>NC_000004.12:24322916-26822916 GCF_000001405.40 Homo sapiens
GTGTAGTCAAATTATATCATTGTATTATCTACATTGTCTTCGGTATAATAACGGAAAAGCAGCATATACTATCACATCATCCATCATCAAAAAACAATTTTTTTGAGCATGGGTTTGGACCTCAGGTACTCTGCTGAATAAATTCTGGGTGGCTCAACTGCTGGTGGATCCCAAATAGATCATTTGGGAAGGAAGAAACCATGCCGGGCCTTAGAGAAAAACAAAATGAGTCAGTTCTCTCTGCTGCCTTTGGCCAGACCAAACCCTGAAGTCATACAGCATGGGGGAGATTTTCTAGTCAAAAAAGTCATTTATCTGTCCAAGCACATCTGAAGATAAATGATGAGAAGCTTCTGGGAACACTGAATGTCAGGCCTCTGAGCCCAAGCCAAGCCATCGCATCCCCTGTGACTTGCACATATACGCCCAGATGGCCTGAAGTAACTGAAGAATCACAAAAGAAGTGAAAAGGCCCTGCCCCGCCTTAACTGATGACATTCCACCATTGTGATTTGTTCCTGCCCCACCTTAACTGAGTGATTAACCCCATGAGTTTCCTTCTCCTGGCTCAGAAGCTCCCCCACTGAGCACCTTGTGACCCCTGCCCCTGCCCACCAGAGAACAACCCCCTTTGACTGTAATTTTCCATTACCTTCCCAAATCCTATAAAATGGCCCCACCCCTATCTCCCTTCACTGACTCTCTTTTCGGACTCAGCCCGCCTGCACCCAGGTGAAATAAACAGCCATGTTGCTCACACAAAGCCTGTTTGGTGGTCTCTTCACACGGACGTGCATGAAGTTTGGTGTCGTGACTCGGATCGGGGGACCTCCCTTGGGAGATCAATCCCCCATCCTCCTGCTCTTTGCTCTGTGAGAAAGATCCACCTACGACCTCAGGTCCTCAGACCGACCAGCCCAAGAAACATCTCACCAATTTCAAATCCGGTAAGCGGCCTCTTTTTACTCTCTTCTCCAGCTTCCCTCACTATCCCTCAACCTCTTTCTCCTTTCAATCTTGGCGCTACACTTCAATCTCTCTCTTCTCTTAATTTCAATTCCTTTCATTTTCTGGTAGAGACAAAAGAGACACGTTTTGTCCGTGGACCCAAAACTCTGGCGCCGGTCACGGACTGGGAAGGCAGCTTTCCCTTGGTGTTTAATCATTGCAGAGACGCCTCTGTGATTATACACCCACGTTTCAAGGGTGTCAAACCACGCAGGGACGCCTGCCTTGGTCCTTCACCCTTAGCGGCAAGTCCTGCTTTTCTGGGGAAGAGGCAAGTACCCCAACCCCTTCTCTCCTTGTCTCTACCCCTTCTCTGCCTTTCCTGGGGCAGGGGCAAGTACCCCTCAACCCCTTCTCCTTCACCCTTAGCGGCAAGTCCCGCTTCCCTAGGGGGCAAGAACCCCCCAGTCGCTTATTTCCGCACCACAACCTCTTATCTCTGTGCCCAATCCCTTATTTCCATGCCCCAACCCCTTCTCTGCTTTTCTGGAGGGCAAGAACCCCCCACCCCTTCTCCGTGTCTCTACTCTTTTCTCTGGGCTTGCCCCTTCACTATGGATAAGCTTCCACCTTCCATTCCTCCTCCTTCTCCCTTAGCCTGTGTTCTCAAAAACTTAAAACCTCTTCAACTCACACCTGACCTAAAACCTAAATGCCTTATTTTCTTCTGCAATGCCGCTTGACCCCAATACAAACTCGACAGTAGTTCCAAATAGCCGGAAAATGGCACTTTCAATTTTTCCATCCTACAAGATTTAAATAATTCTTGTCGTAAAATGGGCAAATGGTCTGAGGTTCCTGACGTCCAGGCATTCTTTTACACATCAGTCCCTTCCTAGTCTCTGTGCCCAGTGAAACTCGTCCCAAATCATCCTTCTTTCCCTCCCGCCTGTCCCCTCAGTCCCAACCCCAAGCGTCGCTGAGTCTTTATAATCTTCCTTTTCTACAGACCCATCTGACCTCTCCCCTCCTCGCCAGCCCAAGCTAGGTCCCAATAATTCCTCAGCCTCCGCTCCTCCACCCTGTAATCTTTTTATCACCTCCCCTCCTCACACCTGGTCCGACTTACAGTTTCATTCTCTGACTAGCCCTCCCCCACCTGCCCAGCAATTTACTCTTAAAAAGGTGGCTGGAGCCAAAGGCATAGTCAGGGTTAATGCTCCTTTTCCTTTATCCCAAATCAGATAGCGTTTAGGCTCTTTTTCATCAAATATAAAAACCCAGCCCAGTTCATGGCTCGTTCCCCAGCAACCCTGAGACGCTTTACAGCCCTAGACCCTAAAAGGTCAAAAGGCCATCTTATTCTCAATATACATTTTATTACCCAATCTGCTCCCGACATTAAATAAAACTCCAAAAATTAAATTCCGGCCCTCAAACCCCACAACAGGATTTAATTAACCTCGCCTTCAAGGTGTACAATAATAGAAAAAAGTTGCAATTCCTTGCCTCCACTGTGAGACAAACCCCAGCCACATCTCCAGCACACAAGAACTTCCAAACGCCTGAACCGCAGGGGCCAGGTGTTCCTCTAGAACCTCCTCCCCCAGGAGCTTGCTACAAGTGTCAGAAATCTGACCACCAGGCCAAGGAATGCCTGCAGCCCAGGATTCCTCCTAAGCCTTGTCCCATCTGTGCGGGACCCCACTGGAAATCGGACTGTTCAACTCACCTGGCAGCCACTCCCAGAGCCCCTGGAACTCTGGCCTAAAGCTGTCTGACCGACTCCTTCTCGGCTTAGCGGCTGAAGACTGACGCTGCCCGATCGCCTCGGAAGCCCCGTAGACCACCACAGATGCCGAGCTTTGAGTAACTCTCACAGTGGAAGGTAAGTCCGTCCCCTTCTTAATCAATACAGAGGCTACCCACTCCACATTACCTTCTTTTCAAGGGCCTGTTTCCCTTGCCTCCATAACTATTGTGGGTATTGACAGCCAGGCTTCTAAACCTCTTAAAACTCCCCAACTCTGGTGGCACCAACTTAGACAACACTCTTTTATGCACTCTTTTTCAGTTATCTCCACCTGCCCAGTTCCCTTATTAGGCCGAGATATTTTAACCAAATTATCTGCTTACCTGACTATTCCTGGACTATAGCCGCTGATCTCATTGATGCCCTTCTTCCCAATCCAAAGCCTCCTTTGCATCCTCCTCTTGTATTCTCCCACCTTAACCCACAAGTATAAGATACCTCTACTCCCTCCTTGGCGACTGATCATGCACCCCTTACCATCTCATTAAAACCTAATCACCCTTACCCCGCTGAATGCCAATATCCCATCCCACAGCATGCTTTGAAAGGATTAAAGCCTGTTATCACTCGCCTGCTACAGCATGGCCTTTTGAAGCCTATAAACTCTCCTTACAATTCCCCCATTTTACCTGTCTTAAAACCAGACAAGCCTTACAAGTTAGTTCAGGATCTGCGCCTTATCAACCAAATTGTTTTGCCTATCCACCCCATGGTGCCAAACCCATATACTCTCCTATCCTCAATACCTCCCTCCACAATCCATTATTCTGTTCTGGATCTCAAACATGCTTTCTTTACTATTCCTTTGCACCCGTCATCCCAGCCTCTCTTCGCTTTCACTTGGACTGACCCTGACACCCATCAGGCTCAGCAAATTACCTGGGCTGCACTGCCGCAAGGCTTCACAGACAGCCCCCATTACTTCAGTCAAGCCCAAATTTCATCCCCATCTGTTACCTATCTCGGCATAATTCTCGTAAAAACACACGTGCTCTCCCTACTGATCGTGTCCAGCTGATCTCCCAAACCTCAATCCCTTACAAAACAACTCCTTTCCTTCCTAGGCATGTTTAGTGCGGTCAGAATTCTTACACAAGAGCCAGGACCGCACCCTGTAGCCTTTCTGTCCAAACAACTTGACCTTACTGTTTTAGCCTAGCCCTCATGTCTGCGTGCAGCGGCTGCCGCTGCTTTAATACTTTTAGAGGCCTTTCCTACAAGGTCTGAGAAGGCCACCGCAGTCATTTCTTCCCTTCTGTCAGACATAATTCCTCAGTTTAGGCTTCCCACCTCTATACAGTCTGATAACAGACCAACCTTTATTAGTCAAATCAGCCAAGCATTTTTTCAGGCTCTTAGTATTCAGTGACAGACTAATGGTCTATTAAAAACACACCTCACCAAGCTCAGCCACCAACTTAAAAAGGACTGGACAATACTTTTACCACTTTCCCTTCTCAGAAGTCAGACCTGTCCTCAGAATGCTACAAGGGACAGCCCATTTGAGCTCCTGTATAGACGCTCCTTTTTATTAGGCCCCAGTCTCATTCCAGACACCAGACCAACTTAGACTGTGCCCCCAAATAATTTGTCATCCCTACTATCTTCTGTCTAGTCATACTCCTATTCACTGTTCTCAACTACTCATATATGCCCTGCTCTTGTTTACACTGTTTCTCCAAGCCTTCACAGCTGATATCTCCTCGTGCTATCCCCAAACTGCCACTCTTAACTCTTGAAGTAAATAAATAATCTTTGCTGGCAGGACTATGCTGAATCTCCTTAGGCACTCTCTAATTAGATGTCCTAGGTCCTCCCAATTCTTGGTCCTTTTATACCTGTTTTTCTCCTTCTCTTATTCCATTTAGTTTTTCAATTCATACAAAACCGTATCCAGGCCATCACCAATCATCCTATGCGACAAATGTTTCTTCTAACAACCCCACAATATCACCTCTTACCACAAGATCTCCCTTCAGCTTAATCTGTCCCACTCTACGTTCCCATACCGCCCCTAATCCCGCTTGAAGCAGCCCTGAGAAACATCACCCAGTCTCTCTCCATACCACCCCCAAAAATTTTTGCCGCCCCAACACTTCAACACTATTTTGTTTTATTTTTCTTATTAATATAAGAAGGCAGGAATGTCAGGCCTCTGAGCCCAAGCCAAGCCATCGCATCCCCTGTGACTTGCACGTGTATGCCCAGATGGCCTGAAGTAACTGAAGAATCACAAAAGAAGTGAAAAGGCCCTGCCCCACCTTAACTGAGTGATTAACCCCATGAATTTCCTTCTCCTGGCTCAGAAGCTCCCCCACTGAGCACCTTGTGACCCCTGCCCCTGCCCACCAGAGAACAACCCCCTTTGACTGTAATTTTCCATTACTTTCCCAAATCCTATAAAACGGCCCCACCCCTATCTCCCTTCGCTGACTCTCTTTTCAGACTCAGCCCGCCTGCACCCAGGTGAAATAAACAGCCATGTTGCTAATACAAAGCCTATTTGGTGGTCTCTTCACACGGACGCGCATGAAACTGAAGGCCACCCCCTCCCCACAAAACAGAAATTAGCAGCCCCCCCCCCAATCAGCATTAAAACAAAGATCAACCAACCCGTCATTTTAGTAAACAGAGTAATTTGGGCTTTTGGAGAGCATGAAAATTCTGTCAGCATTATAATGTCTTCTACCACAGACCTTAATTTCTTCTGTCATGGACAATATGATTAGGTTCAGTCCCATTTGATTGTAGGGAATGTCAGTTCCCATTAACAAAAGAAAAGAGGCACTCAAAGACATGTTCCACATTTTTAACCCTTTAGGCAGGGAGGATTTTTCCAGCTCAAACTGCTCCTAGGAAATATTTGAAGTATTTAATCACAACCAGCCCATCCAGCAGATAGTTAAAGGGGTTTACCTAACTAACATCATCTCCCTTCCCAGCATAGGCTACTTTTGATTCAACACTGGCACTAAACAGTGAAGGCCGTGTGTATTTTTGTTTTATTTTGCAACTTGAGGGGTTTTTTTTCCACCCCACCCCATCCCAATCTCTAAGAAATCCCACTCCTTGCATGAATGGAGTTTGCTTTAAACGGTCTGATTCTTTGAGGGCAGTGGAGGGGAAGCAATGTCCTTTTTGGCTGCATGCACTGCTTGGCCATTCAGTCCATGAACTGGTTAGTGCAGGTGGCTTTCACGGGTGCTGGAAAATTATAGTCTCGGAACCAAACTTGTATCAGTAAACACACTGCCTCGGACTGGCCACTTCAATTCCGTTGAACCTTCCACAGTTCAAACAGGGCACCTGTGTCAGTCTGAGAGCTTAGCAGGCACAGCTGACCCTGGCTGCCCAGCAAACAGTTTATGTTGGGGAGCAATCTAGAGATTTCCTGAGATAAGGATGCTATTACGGGCTGACAAATGTGGAACGGAGCAGAGTGGGCAGCTTTTGTCCAGACTGACCCAGGGTGAGAATGCTGGGATTATTGCTGATTGGGGATAAATGGCAACCGGTGATTTATTTGTTCAAGTGAAACCAGCCAAGTTCATCCCTCAACACCATCTCCCATCTCTTTAAGCTTTTTTTTTTTTCCTCTTCAAGCAAAAAGACTTAGCAATTTTGGGAACTCTTCAAATACCACCATTCCAGTGAACCCCATTGCCCTTAGGATAAAATCTGCAATCCTTCACAAGCCTTTGAGGCCCTGCGTGATGGGGTCCTACCTGCCTCTCCAGCTCCGGCTCCTGCCACTGGCCCCCAAACCTCCTGCACTCAACCACAATGGCCACCACTCTGGTTTCTGACTGCCCCAATTTCCTCTCCACCTTCAGCCTTTGCTTGTGCTGCGCCCTCCCCCTGGGGCTCTTCCTCTCTCTTTACCTGGCAATCCTCCTTATCCTTGTTCCAGGTTGAATGTCATCGGCAAAGATCAGGCAAGCTCCTCCATTATGATCTTCTGGGATCATAAGATCATTAAGAACTTCATTACAGGTCTTAGCACAAGCGTGAATAATTACTATTGCTTTAAAATTGTGCTCCCCCACTGGCAGGGACTTTGTCTATCATATACACCTAGCACTTAGTGCAATGCTGAATATTTCGTAGGTCAAATGCACAAATGAATGAAGTAGGTGCACAAAAGATATTGACTGCCTATGAGAGAATCTAACAAAGCAAACCCAGTAAAACAAAATCTTCATCTTAAATGTGCACAAACTAGGGAGTGAGTATTCTCTCCTACCTCTCCTCTCCAATCATTCTGGCACAAGGATTTCAGATGGTCCTGCCTTCCCATCAGGGCTGTACCATCAAATCTACTGCCTGGCTTTCAGGACCCTCCCTTATCATTATCATCATCATGAACATTATTGAACATGTAATATGTTCCATGTGCATTACTCAGTATTCTCTACTGATCTATTTTGATCCTCACTGCAATCCATAAAATAGTGCAGTGTATTAAAGATGGGCACAGATGCATAAATTCTTTGACATTTCTCTCATTGAGAGGTGGGGTCTTTGTCCCCTCCCCTTGAATCTGAGCTATCATGTGACTGCTTTGACCAATAGAGTGCACAGGAAATCATGTCATGCCTTTTCCAGTTTCTGTGTCGGAATGGTCACTCTGGGGGAAGACTGCTTACAACTAATGACTAACACCTAATTGGCACAAAGAATGTAAGAAGTCTGACTCCCCTGAGACTGCAGGGAGGAAACTCGAGCTGGTTGCAGGGAGAGGTCCTGGGGAAAGAATGCCCTTCCAGCCCCCAGCTGTTGCAACCATGCCAGCCCGGGTGCCAGGCACGTACATGAAGGCACTATCTTGCACATCCAGCCCAGTGGAGCCTTCAGCTGACTCCAGCCCCAGCCACAGGAGAAGCTCCATGACAGACCACTCAGCTGACCCCAGTTAACCCCCAAAATTGTAAGAGAGAATAACAAATTAGTATTTTAAGCCACTAGATTGTGGGGAGGATTATTAGGCAGCAATAAATAGCCAAAACACATAGGCACTATTATGACCCTGGCTTTATAAATGAGAAACTGAGACCCAGCACACTCAAAACCACACAGCTGGGAAGGGGTGGAGCTGGGAGCCCAATCCAGGAAGGCTGGCTTCAGAACCCAGGCTTTCATCATCCATGCAGCCACACCACTCTTTGGCAGGCAACTTTTTCCATTTGACTCCTCCAAGACATAGTCTCTACTGCTGTTGTGCCTCTAAAAGGGTCCCCTTCTCTTTCCTTCTGCCCATGTGCCTAATCCCCTACCTCTATCATGATCCCCTCTCTGAATCCTCTACTGATATGCCCTTCCTCCAAATTCCTGGGTACATTTAAAGATAGGCATCTAGCCTTACCATTCATTGTTCTAGTAATATTCTTCATGCTGTTTTTTGCTTCACAACTATACGTTATCTCCTTAAAGGTCAAGACTAAATCTCCTATTTTGATTTTGCCCACCTCTCCAGAAAACCTTGCCCATCCCCACTTTGCCCAGCACAATGCTGTGCACTCAATAAATGCACCCTCCAGCCATACTGGCCAAGCTCATTCCCTTTTCAGAGCCTTTATGTTTGCAGTTCCCTTTCCCTGGAATACGCTTTCTTAGCTTTCAACCTGAGCTGCTCCTTCACAGCACTCAGATCTCAGAAAATATCTCCCCTCCACCAACAGGCCTATCCTGACCACCCTGTCTAAAGGAGCCACGCCTCCCCACCCCTAGTCAGCCACTCACCATCTCCTTATCCTGCATTGTATTAATTAGTTGTCAGTTTCTTAATTCCCTTAGGTAGCAAACAAGTTCCAGAAGGACAGAACATGCCCATCTTGTTTATTGCTATAGTCTCAATCCCCAGGACAGTTTCTGGCCTATAGTAACATCTCAAAAAATATTGTTAAATAAATGAATGCATATTTGTTGATTGAATCTTCACTTCATAAGATCTGCCACCATGGAGCAGTTGTGCTCATGTACACAAAACATTTTCCCCTATCATGTCAGTTGCATCTTCAGCATAATGTGCAACCTTCCACTTCTCATGCAGAAAGACTATACTTGCCTCTAAGGTGAACTCTGTGTTTATTTTATATATATATATATATATTTTAAGTTCTGGGATACATGTGCAGAACGTGCAGGTTTGTTACATAAGTATACATGGGCCATGGTGGTTTGCTGCACCTGTCAACCCATCATATAGGTTTTAAGCCCCACATGCATTAGGTATTTGTCCTAATGCTCTCCCTCCCCTTGCCCCCAACCCCTTGACAGGCCCCGGTGTGTGACGTTCCCCTCCCTGTGTCCATGTGTTGTCACTGAGGTAAATTCTGTGTTTATTTAGCCAGTTGTTGACGTCGGGCAGTAGTCTACATGCTGCTTTGGTTGTCCAAACCATTTTTCACAACTGAGTTCTCAGAAGAACAGTGGGTTTTTTTTTGTTTTTGTTATTGTTTTGTTTTGTTTTCATTTTTCTTTTATAGAGACAGGGGCTCATTGTGTTGCCCAGGCTGATCTCAAACTCCTGGGCTCAAGCAATCCATTCACCTCGGCCTCTCAAAGTGCTGGGATTACAGGCATGAACCACCATGCCTGGCCTAGAAGAGTGCATTTAAAGCTGGTCGAGGAGCCTCTAGGATGACCCCAAGAAGAGAGGGTGGCCAAGCAGGCTTAGTACGACATGCATTAATAAAGGCCACATTGCAGGGATGATGAAATGAGAATATTAAATCCAATGGAGGTCCATTTTGCTCACTATGGTAAACACAGAAATTCATCCTGGTATCTAGAACAGAGTAAATCCTCAATAAACACTTGTTGAATGAACAAAGGAACAAACCAATGAATTAATGAAACATCTTTACCTTGTGTCTCATTTCTTATCACTTATCATTTCAATATGTGCAAGAACTCAGAGTACATTTTTCATTTTGTGTATGTGAAACTTACCAACAAAATAGTAGCTAAAAAGTTGTAAAACTTACAAGTTTTCAACAACAAAGTTGAAATGTAAATGAACATCTGTGCTCCCCGAAATACATAATAGGCAAGTAGAGAAATCTAGAAAGGAAAGGCCACAGGCTGAGGGAGTTAACAGATGCGATAGTCTATTAACATTAATTTTCTGAAGTGTATATTTCAGAAATTTGCTCAGCCTCGCTGAGTCTCAGTTTCCTCAACTGTATACTGAAGACAATTTCTTTATTTACCAACCTGAAATATTCATAGTGAGTCTAAGATGGAAGAACAGATGAGTAAATACTTTAAAAGTGTAATAAGAGGCCAGGCGTTGTGGCTCACACCTGTAATCCCAGCACTTCGGGAGGCCAAGGCGGGCAGATCATTTGAGGTCAGGAGTTCGAGACCAGACTGGCCAACATGGCAAAACCCTGTCTCTACAAAAACTACAAAAATTAGCTGGGCGTGGTGACACGCGCCTGTAATCCCAGCTACTCAGGAGGCTGAGAGGCATGAGAATCACTTGAACCCAGGAGGTGGTGGTTACACTGAGCTGAGATTGTGCTGCTGCACTCCAGCCTGGGCAACAGAGCAAGACTCCATCTCAAAAGAAAAAAAAAAGTGTAATAGGAATATGAGCTAATCGACAGTTTCCATCTTCCTCTCTTTCTGACATTTCAAATACTTAAAAATACTTTTAAAAATTTTTTAATCAATGTAATATATTTTTTACTATTTCTGAGTTTCATGATTCATTCACAAATGACTATTACCTGTTTGTTCCAAATACTCAATCTGCAAAGTTTTTCCTAATCATTTTATAATTCTTCACTCGTTTTTATTCTGTTCTCTCTGCTTTTCAGCAAAGGATCTCATGGTATAGAGAGCTTCTCCATCTTACCAGAGGCAGAGAGCAAGTTAGAAACAGCAAAGAAAAAATCAAACTCTTGAGCCTCTAGTCTGTGGTTTATAGTATAGAGCCCAAACAACTGGGCCTATAAAATTGTCACTAGTGGCGGTGTGCGGTGGCTCACACCTGTAATCCCAGCACTTTGGGAGGCCAAGGAGGGAGGATCACCTGAGGTCATGAGTTCAAGACCAGCCTGGTCAACATGGTAAAACCCTGATTCTACTAAAAGTACAGAAATTAGCCAGGTGTAGTGGCGGGTGCCTGTAACCCCATCTACTCAGGAGGTTGAGGCAGGAGAATCTCTTAAACCTGGGAGGTGCTGGTTGCAGTGAGCTGAGTTAGTGCCACTGCACTCCAGCCTGTGCAACAGAGGAAGACTCCAACAACAACAACAAAAAAAAAAAAAAAAAAAAAAAAAGGCACTAAGAGAAAAGTCAGAACATAGAAACTAGTCCATTGGCTCTCAAATTCAGGGTGGCATCAGAATCACTTGGAAGCCTTGTTAAAACACAGACTGTTGCATCCTCACACCCCACCCCAAAGTTTTAGGAGTTCTGGGGTAGTGTCTGGGATCCTGTATTTCTAACAGGAATTTTGTATTTCTAACAGGAAAATTGGCACTACATTCCCATGTAATGCCAATGCTACTGGTCTGCCAGTCACACCGTGAGAACCAAGTACCTCGCCTTTTCATACACTAACTCCTTTGATTCTCCCCAACAATCCTTTCCCATTTTATAGATGAGAAAACTGAAGCCCAAAGAATAAGCTCTACTCGCATTCCAGCTTGATGATTAACCAAATCACTATAATCTTCAGAAAGTGAATTAACTTTTCTGTGGCTCATTTTCTTCATCTACTGAAAAAATATTGTCAGGTACTTCGTGAGGATTAAAAGGACAGTGGTGTCTAAGAAGTGCTCCGCAAAGTCAAAGACAAGGCAGAATTCTAGGAATCTCACTTAGCACATGGTTGTGTTTTTGTCACTTTTTTATTTGCATGGGAAATTTTTAACCACAGTCTTGGCAAAGTACTCCATCCCATTGTCCAAACATCAGTATCCACAGATTCTGTTTTCCGAGGTTTTGTTTTGTTTGTTAATTACTGAGTTTGTTTTTCCAAGAACTTCCCTTATGTGCTATAAGTGGAGGATGTTGGGGGGCATGTGAAGGTGGGGAGCTGTTTCAAACACATTGAACATTTCCATTTCTAAGACAATGCTCGACTGGATAGACAGTGTTCCCTATGATGTGATACATAGTTATGTTGGAGATTAGTGCGAGCATAGCCTCCTTTGGTATAAGGTTCTCTGATTTGGCTTTCAGAGGATTCAGTGTATTTTGATTTCTATATTTAGAAACCCAAGGCTTTTTGGTATGCTATGAACACATCGAGGCAAGACTAATTGTAAGCACTTGTACTTAAATATTAGTTTCAAGAATAAGAACCTTCAGAGGTTTCCATATTGTATTCCACTGGAGTATCATTAAGGGAAGCAATTACTTATCAGGGTATACTCAAAACAACTATCGCATTCGGAGGAAATAATGGGAGTTGTCTGTCTAAATTGCTAGGCAGGGGCCCTGGAAATCACTTAGCATAATTCTTGGCATAAGGTAAGCAGTCAATACATGGAACAGAGATTCACCCAAATGAGCACATAGTATGTGTTAGGATTTTACACATAGCATGTCATTGAGTCTTTATAATGTCCCCTGATTTAGGTATGGCTGTTCATTTATAGATGAGGAAACTGAGATTCATGGAAGTTAGGCGATGTTTATCAGGTCCTTAGGGAAGTAGGTGAGGGCTGAATTTATGATGCCAGCCCATAGGTGCTTGATGTCAAAAGCAATTTTCTTTCCACTACACTAGGCTATTTCCTTCCTTGCCTCTTTCCTTTTTGTCTTCCCTCCTCTATAGGGTTCCTTCCACAAATATCAGAAGTCTTTGTGAATGCCAGCCAACAACCACTGTCAGCAAGGTATTCCCATTTTATGGATTGGTTCATAGTAGAAAAAAGTGATACCTCAAAGCCACCCCCGAAAAGTTTCAGTATAAAATACGTAACTTCTTTCTGAATCCTATTCCTCAGCCCTCAACTATAAGCGCGAGGGTACGTTACAGAGGATCCTTTATTTAGGAAAACAAAGTGTTTGGGTCTAGACAACAGGCCCATGACAGTCCATCACCCAGGGCCAAGGCTCCCAGCTGCCCAAGGTGGCTGAGATACATGGGAGGAAAAACTGGTCTTGCTTCCAATTTGAATTGCAAATGCTTCCTGGAGACAGAAGTCAGGCGGATATGCCCATTTATTTATTGCCTAGTGCTACAATAGCTAAATAAAAATAAATAAATAAAAGTAAAGCACCTACTGATTTATTATTCAGAATAAATACATAAATAAAGGCCTAGAGCAATAAAAAGGGTTAATTGAGGGCTTTCTTTGCATTTTCCCCTAAACACCAGTTGTCTTTCTCTTCTATTTCTTCACTTTTTTTCCCCCGTTTTTATGCCTCATGCCTCTTTTAATTTTTTCTGTTTTCCACATCCTTTCTCTATCTTTCTGTCCCTCTCTTCAAGAACCGTTCCCCTTCATCTCCTGAGCACCTCCTCTCTAGTATTTTGTGTCTGGTTCCAAGAGGAAATAGCAGAGCAGTAGAGTTTTCACCTCCCTGTTGGCAAGTGCTTTGTGTCACACTGTCACTTAGGACACACTGATCTATAGGTCTCTTCTGCTGCTGAGAAGAGACAGGGATGGTGAAGGTACATCTCGAGCTGGGATATTTTCTCCTAAAATGTACCCTAAAAATTGCACCCAGCATCTAATTTTAAATGGATTACAGAACTGGATTTTTTTCACGGCTTTTTCTTACTATAAAAGTAATAAATACTTACTGAAAATACAGAAAAATATAAAGAGAGTAATCACCCATTCTTACTGTAATATGAAAGCAATCACTATTAAATGTGTATGCCTTTTATCCCTGTATTTTAACAAACATCACGTTTGTTCATATATATCACTAATGATATATCACACATTCATGTATCACTAATTTTACATACATGCATGCACTGTTCACATTATTCTAATTCTCATCAACATCATTATGGCTGCATCTTATTCCAATGTGTGAACATACCAAAATACACTGAGTCATACTTCTTTTGGTAGATAGCTGGCTTTTTGTTTTTTTTCCATTTTTTGCGTTATAAATAACGCTGCCATGAGGCAAACACAGTGGCTTGCACCTGTAATCCCAGCTACTTGGGAGGCTAAGGAAGGAGGACTGCTTGAGGCCAAGAGTTGGAGGCCATCCTGGGCAACATAGCAAGATCCACCCATCTCTAAAAAATAAAATTTAATTTAAAATAATAATAAATAAATAATGTTACCATGGATGACTTTGTGCAAAAAGTTATTTCTGCAATTTTCAATGGTTTCCTTGGGAAATAATTCCAAAAGTAAAATTGTGGAATCAAAGGTTATGAATGCTTTTAAGGCTCTGTAAATTGCATTCCAAAAAGTTCGTGCTCTCTCCAAATCCCTTACCACACTAAGAATCGTTCTTATAAATTGGGTAAAGAAATGTTATAAAGCAAATAACCACCCTCTGATTTGTCCTTTGTGAAACAGGCAAAAAATTGGGAGCCCATCTTTCCTCTGACTCTCACCGCCCCACCCAATTCCACCTGTGGAGGGTCACCAGCTTATGACCTCTAGGTTTTGTCTCACCTTTTTGCAAGACAAGCCAAATAAAGCCATTCTCTTATTCATTCATTCAACCACTCGTGAACAGCTACGGAGTAGTTATTTGCCAGGCCCTGTGCCAGTGCTGAGGATATAAAGATGAATAGAACATTATCCCTAACTTACATGAACAATGGTGTGGTGGGACAGACAGACATGAAAATAAGACATGAAAATAAGTCTGGTGGGGCGACCAGAGCTCATGGAGGCAGGCGTGGAGCGCTCCAGGTCCTCCGAGAGGAGCCCCTACTGAGCGTGGGGAGATGATGTCTGACCAGTCCCTAGGTGACATCATAACATAACAGTTACTCTTTCCTCTGTACTTACAAGCATTGCCTCATTTACCCTCAGAACACCTCCACTAAGGAGATCTTATTGCTCTTTTACAAATGAAAAAAAAAAAAAAAATGAGGTTGAGCAAATTAAATAACTTGTCCCAGATCACACAGCTAAGAAAGGGCGAAACCAAATGTAACTATAAATTCAAAACTTCACATTGGACTCATCAAGGGTCTACCAAAAAGGCTCCATCAGCCCAAATAAGGTTCCCCCAAGACTTGAGCTCCGACGACCCCATTCCATCCATTAATGACAAAGAGAGGTGCAACCCCTTCTCAAGCCCGCATCTTCCCAGCAGCCTCCCTTGCTTTGTCCTGCAGGGGTGGCTTTCCTACCTTCTGCTCCTTGTCATCCGGTCTGAACTCCCCTCTTCTCTTGAGCACGGTGACCCTCAGCACTTCACCCTGCCTAGCCTTGCCATTTGGCTATAAAATTTGTTTTAACTGCCAGGAAACTGATGGAATTATAAAAGATCCATGATGATTCTCGGGGCCCTGCCTTCTTTGTCTCTAAAGCAATGCGATCAGAAATGATGATTTGTGAGCCCCTGTGTAATTCTCACGGTATAAAATCCTGCGAGCCACTGAACCACACCGAGCGCATTTAGAGTTGCTATTAGAATACAAAAGCAAAGGTTTGGTTCAAACTGAAAAGGCAGACACTTGTGGCCTCTTCCAATGAAGAAGAAAGGAAAAGAAGTATTTTAATGATGTTTTTTAATCATTTCCTCAGAGCACACAATGAGAATATATTTGCTGGGGAATGAAAAAGAACACAACATCAATTCAGTGCACAAAACTACTCTAAAACCTAAGGATCTATTCTCACATTTTTCATTAATTCCATCCAGGCTGATAACTTTCAACATTAAGCCTCCGTGCTTCATCCAACTCAAGTTTCCTAGAAGCACACAAACAAATCAAAATTCATTTGGGGTTGCCAAGAAGTCTTTCAAATATGGGATACCAACCCCCGTTTCAAGTCCTTTTCACTGCCCAAATTCCAACCTCAACTATGCATTCTCCATTAAAAACGTTCACCCATCAATCCTGTTGGTTTCATCATGAAGTTATAGGGACTGAAGACTCATCTTGCTATGTAATAGCAACAAAGATGGTCTCAAACACAGCTTTCCAACAAAAGCACAAAGCTTGAAAAAAAAATGGCTTAATTCCAAAGGCCCCACTGGGATGTTAGCCTCCCTTCCATAAGAACCTCCAATGTCTCATTGTTTACAATCAGTTCAGTACACTTTTAAAAATCTTTATTATTGTGGTAAAATATCCATGACATGAAATTAGCCATTTTAACCACTTTTAAATGTATAGTTCAGTGGCATTAAGTCCATTCATATTGCTTTCAACCATCACTGCTATCCTGTACCCACTAAAAAATAAATTGCTATCCCTCCCTCCCGTCATGTCCTGGTAACCTCCATTCTATTTTCTGTCCGCATGAATTTGACTAGGTCCCTCATGTAAGTGGAATCACATATTTGTTCCTTGTGTGTCTGGCCTATTTCCCTTAGCACACTGTCTTCAAGGTTCATCCATGTGTGTGTGTGTGTGTGTGTATATATATATATATATATATATATACACACACACACACACACACACACACACATCAGAATTCCATTCCTGTTTAAGGCTGAATAATATTCCATTGTATTCAGTTCAGTACTCTTTGCATGATGTTTTAAGCCTTCCACATTCTGGCCTGATTTTTTTTTTCTTTATCTTATTTCCCATTTCAGAGACCTACATGCCTAGGGCAGAGAAGATGAGTCAGGAATTCATCACCTTTTTCCCAGAGATTTTAAGCCTTTTTACCTTTGTTCACACTGGTCCCTTAACCCAGCACATCCTCCATCGTGCTTTCTCTAATCAAAATCCTAGTTGTTCCCTGCGCTCAATTAATGCCCGTTCCACCATGTGGATCCATGCATACTATGGAGCACCCTCCAATTACAGTCGGACCAGCTGTAAAATGTGTGCTTTCATCACAGCCAATGGCGCTCAAAGTCACCTTCTCTGAAACAAGACAGTTTAAAATACAGTTTTCAATTATTTGGCAAGCCCTGTTTTAGGTTTGTTTTATTTTGCTTTGTTTTTTTCAGACGGAGTCTAGCTCTGTCGTCCAGGCTGGAGTGCAGTGGTGCGATCTCGGCTCACTGCAACGTCCACCTGCCGGGTTCACTCCATTCTCCTGCCTCAGCCTCCCGAGTAGCTGGGACTACAGGCGCCCACCACCACCCCCGGCTAATTTTTGTATTTTTAGTAGAGGCAGGGTTTCACCGTGTTAGCCAGGATGGTTTCCATCTCCTGACCTCGTGATCCGCCTGCCTCAGTCTCCCAAAGTGCTGAGATTACAGGCGTGAGCCACCGTGCCCGGCCTAGGTTTTTAAAAAATAGAAATTTCTTTTTATTTAAAGCCAGGAAAAAAAATAACGTGACTAATGTGTATTGAGAACACACATAAAATAAAAATATTGCATGTATAATCTCAGTTTTAAAATGTAGTCATGAATAGCCTTTGGGGGCACTGGACTATTTCTAATGTAAACATTTTGAACTATAGAGATATAGCACTTTATTCAGAAAATAATACAAATATTCATCTCCACTCGATTTTCTTTCCCAGTTATAAACAAGAAATATATTAAATGGCATAAATAAACTGACAAAAAAGAACGCACAACTTTGCTACTTAAACGGCTTATTGAAAATTCTGACTGGCTATTTCTCTGTAAGATTTGCAGTGCCTTAGATTTTATACATCCTTTTTGTGGTTAAATTAGTAATAACAGCATTAAAATCTTAAGAACTGTATAGTACTCTATTTAATTATCTTCTCCCATAATTACACTGATTAAACACAGCATAAGAGACCATAAAGATAGATAAAACATTATGGCTACAAAACTTTTTTTTTAATGTCCATAAAATGACTATTAAGCCGTAGGTGACTAAATTAATATCACCCATACAATTTTATGGGGTTTCCGTCCACATCTAACAGTATCATTTGCCATGATGGCAGATTTTTTTTCATAGCTGTATTGAAACTGGAAACTAACACTTTTCAAAAAGATGGGAACGCAGTGGGCTGGCTTGGTCAACTTAGCCAAAAAGAAGACAGTTCTGTTTGAACCGTGCTCCAAGCTATGATCTGCTGTATACATTTAAACCCGCTGACCACCGAACTCCCTTTCTCATCCACCCGCCACTCCCACTGACAAGCCAATGGGGAACAGTGGTTTAGTAAATTATCCATTTCTTCATTTTCTTCTGAAAGTCATCTCCAGAGATTTTGGGTTATATTGATGGCACAGGCAATCAAGGAAGCAGATTTTCATTTTCCATCATAGGAATGAGCTTCTGAAACACCCAAGAACTTTCATTCTGTGCAATCCGTGCTATTACAAAGATTAAAGAACATGACAAAAATCTCAAGAAAATATAACTCTAAAAGCTAATCCTACGGGAAGGAAAAGAAAACTATTTGGAAGCTTTTCAAATATAAAGAATAGCTCCCCAGGATCATACTTTAGCAATTAAAAACTTATATATATAATTATATATATATATATACACACACGTATATAAAATGAGCTAGCAGAACCAAAATAAACCAACTGATCTGAATGCATTATCACCACTAAAAATCTGCACATATTTTCCTTCAGTGCTTGTAAAATGAAAATATATTTCAATACTAAGTTGATCCTTTTATTAAATTGGCACATATATTTTAAGAACCTATTGGGAGTCAGCTAAGTCCTAGATGTGATGGGTACAACAATAAACAAAATCAACACAGTCTGTGACTCATGGAGCCTGCAGTCTAGCGGGTGAGGCAGTAAACAAACAACAATATGAACAAACTGTGCAAATGTTTTGAGTAAAAGTTAAGGATACTTTAAGAAAAGATAATGACGGAATTCAATTTGGATTCGGTTTGGGATAAGAGGTCAGCAAGGCTTGTCTGAGGAAGCAAAATTTAAGAAATGAAGGATAAATGGAAGTTACTGTGAAGAAGACATACAAGAAAGAACACTCTAGGCAGAGGAGACACAGATTAAAGGCCTTGAGATGAGAAAGAGCTTAACATGTTTGAGACATGCAACACACACATTCCATGAAAGCAGGGTCCCAATCTGTTTTGCTCACCACAGCACAGAGAAAGTGTCTCGCTCACAGAAGGTGCTCACTAAATATCTATTAAGTGGTTGTTGAGTACATGACTGTGGTCAATGTAGCTGGAGTTCAGTGAACAAGCAGGGGAGCAGCCTACGACGGGTCTGCTCATGCAGCCAGGAGCCAGATCATGGAGGGTCTTGCCACCATTTTGAAGATAACTCCATCATCTCACCACAGGACCCAAAACATCCATGCCCAACTTGTTTCCTCTTTTAGTACTGAAACTCAAAGACTTCCCACACGTTTATCTTTATTGTAAGATGTTTCAAAGGCAGGGGCTATTTCTTACTCATTTTTGTGGCTCCTGTTTCTTTTATGTGCCGTGAATAAACAGGCACTTGATAAATACTTATTGACTGAACTTCTGCTTATTGAGACCTTACTATGTGCCAGGTAGTGTCCAAAGCACTTTGCATACATTGGCTAATTCAAGTTTCAAAAAAAAATCTGCAAGAAGCATACGTATATGTGTGGGTGAGTGTGTGTGTGTTGGTGTGTAATCTTCATTATTTTTGTCTCCAATTACAAATGAGAAAACTGAGGCTAATAGAGGTTAGGGAATTTGCCCAAGATCACGTTGCTGACAATTACCAAATCTATTATCCTTAGAATGTGTTCCCTTATCTATTACACTAACCAGCCTCCCACAACTAAAATATAAAAATAAGAACCCCATTGATTTTTCTTTCAGAGAGAAATATGTATCATGGATATCACATGACATATAAGGAAGTCGTTCATATTATTACAGTACCAAGACTAAAATTCATGATGCAAAATGTATTTCCTTCATTAAGCTATGGTAAAATTGAAGGACTTGTTCTTCAGAGCAAATGGGCAAAGTGATTAAAAACAAAACTACTTTCTTTTAATTAAACTAAGTTTCAGGACAACTGAAAAATTGGACAGACTCTGACCTTGAGCCTGGATTGACTTCCCTGTTGGGTTCTATCATGGGCACCCAAGCCAGTTTGAGTCCTGGGATACCTTGCTCTGCTAGCTGATCAGGTAAGCTCCTGACTTCCTGAAGATAATTTTATGGTCAGTCCCTGCCATGTTTCCCCACAAGACAACACTTCCTCCAATATTGGTGACAGAAAACTGGGCTAGAGAGACTAGAAATCTGACCCACTGTGCCATCCTCATGTTATGATGTTCTTAATGAGTTTCAAACTAAGCTCTGAAGGTCAGTCAGCTTGTGGGATTCATCAGGAGGGAGGGGGCCAAGGAACCAGAATAGAACGTTTCAAAATAGCAAAAACCACCACTGAAACACTCTGCTTCTCAAGTGCCCTGGTTCAAACCAAACCCTTAATCATAAATGGATTGTTCTGTGCCCATACTTCCCACGTTAGTGTCAATGACATGGCAATCAATTCAGGAAAAGTAATTTTATGGTTGGAATGTGTGTGTCCCTTCTAAAACTCATGTGGAAACTTCATCTCTAATGCAACAGTATTAAAAGGTGGTGCCTTTAGAAGGCGATTGGGCCATAAGGAACCTACCCATGGATGAGATTAGTGCCTTATAAACGGCTTGAGTAGGAGTGAGTTTCCTTCTTCCCTTTCATCTCTTTGGCCACAAGAAGACACAGCATTTGTCCCATCCACAGGACGCAGCAACAAGGCATCATTTTGAGGCACAGAGCAATCCTTTACTAAACATCGAACCTGCCAGCACATTGATCCTAGATTTCTGAGGCTCCAGAACTATCAGAAAGAAATTTCTATTGTTTATAAATTGTACAGTCTATGATATTTTGTTATAGCAGCAGGAATGGACTATGGCAGTCATCCAAACCTGAAACTTATTTGACTTTCTGGATTAAAGATAATATCTTGTAGGCATATGCAAATGATTAGGGCTGAGAGTGGAGATGTGGTGTGTGTCTTACTTTGGGGAAATGCTTTTTTTTTTTAATTTCCATAAGTTATTGGGGTATTTGGTTACATGAGTAAGTTCTTTAGTGGTGATTTGTGAGATTGTGGTGCACCCATCACCCGAGCAGTATACATTGCACCCTATTTGTAGTCTTTTATCCCTCACCCCCCTCCCACTCTTCCCCCCAAGTCCACAAAGTCCATTGTATCATTTTTATGCCTTTGCGTCCTCATAGCTTAGCTCCCACATATCAGTGAGAACACACAATGTTTGGTTTTCCATTTCTGAGTTACCTCACTTAGAATAATAGTCTCCAATCTCATCCAGGTCGCTGCAAATGCTGTTAATTCATTCCTTTTTATGTCTGTGTAGTATTCCATTATATATATATATATATATCACAGTTTTTTTAATCCACTCATTGATTGGTGGGCATTTGGGTTCATTCTACAATTTTGCAATTGTGAATTGTGCTGCTATAAAAATGTGTGCACAAGTATCTTTTTTGAATAATGACTTCTTTTCCTCTGGGTAGATACCCAGTAGTGGGATTGCTGGATCAAATGGTAGTTCTACTTTTAGTTCTTTAAGGAATCTCCACAGTGTTTTCCATAGTGGCTGTACTAGTTTACATTCCCACCGGAAGTGTAGAAGTGTTCCCTGTTCACTACATCCATGCCAACATCTACTTTTTTTTTTATTTTTTGATTATGGCCTTCTTGTAGGAGTAAGGTGGTATTGCACTGTGGTTTTGATTTGCATTTCCCTGATCATTAGTGTTGTTGAGCATTTTTTCATATATTCGTTGGCCATTTGTATATCTTCTTTTGAAAATTATTTATTCATGTCCTTAGACCACTTTTTGATGGGATTGTTTGTTTTTTTTTTCTTACTGATTTGTTTGAGTTTGTTGTAGATTATGGATATTAGTCCTTTGTCAGATGTATAGATTGTGAAGATTTTCTCCTACTCTGTGAGTTGTCTCTTTACTCTGCTGACTCTTCCTTTTGCCATGCAAAAGCCCTTTAGTTTAATTAGGTCCTAGCTATTTATCTTTGTTTTTGTTGCATTTGCTTTTGGGTTCTTGGTCATTAAATCCTTGCCTAAGCCAATGTCTAGAAGGGTTTTTCCAAGGTTGTCTTCTAGAATTTTTATAATTTCAGGTTTTAGGTTTAAGTTGTTAATCCATCTTGAGTTGATTTTTGTATAAAATGAGAGGTAAGGATCCAGTTTCATTCTCCTACATGTGGCTAGCCAATTATCCCAGCACCATTTGTTGAAAAGGGGGTCCTTTCCTTCACTTTATGTTTTTGTTTGCTTTGTCAAAGATTGGTTGGCTGCAAGTATTTCCATTTATTTCTGGGTTCTCCATTCTGTTCCGTTTGTCTATGTGCCTATTTTTATACCAGTACCACACTGTTTCGGTGACTATAGCCTTATAGGATAGTTTGAGATCAGGTAGTGTGATACCTCCAGATTTGTTCTTTTTGCTTAGGCTTGCTTCGGCTATGTGGGTTCTCTTTTGGTTCCATACGAATTTTAGAATTTTTTTTTTTTTGTAATTCTGTGAAGAATGATGGTAGTATTCTGATGGGGATTGTGTTGAATTTGTAGATTGCTTTTGGCAGTATGGTCATTTTCACAATATTGATTCTACCCGTCCATGACCATGGGATGTGTTCCTATTTGTTTGTGTCATCCACGATTTCTTTCAGCAGTGTTTCATAGTTTTCCTTGTAGATGTCTTTCAACTCTTTTGTTAGGTATATTCCTAAAAAGTTTTTTAGTTTAGTTTAGTTTTGTTTTGTTTTTTGCAGCTATTGTAAAAGAAGTGAGTTCTTGATTTCATTCTCTGCTTGGTCGCTTTTGGTGTATAGAAGAGCTACTGATTTGTGCACATTAATCTTGTATCCGGAAACTTTGCTGAATTCTTTTATTAGTTCTAGGAGCTTTCTAGAGGAGTCCTTAGGGTTTTCAAGGTAAACAATCATATCGTCAGCAAACAGTGACAGTTTGACTTCCTCTTTACCGATTCGGATGTCCTTTATTTCTTTCTCTTGCCTGATTGCTCTGGTTGGACTTCCAGTACTATGTTGAAGAGGAGTGGTGAGAATGGGCATCCTTGTCTTGTTCCAGTTCTTAGAGGGAATGCTTTCAACTTTTCCCCATTCAGTATTACGGTGGCTGTGGATCTGTCATAGATGGCTTTTATTACATTAAGGTATATGCCTTGTATGCTGATTTTGCTGAGAGTTTTAATCATAAAGTGATGCTGGATTTTGTCTAATGCTTTTTCTGCATCTACTGAGATGATCATGTGATTTTTGTTTTTAATTCTGTTTATGTGGTGTACCACATCTATTGACTTGCATATGTTAAACCATCCCTGCGTCCCTGGTATGAAACCCACTTGATCATGGTGGATTATCTTTTTGATATGTTGTCAGATTCTGTTAGCTAGTATTTTGTTAAGGATTTTAGCATCTATGTTCATCAGGGATATCAGTTTGTAGTTTTCTTTTTTGGTTGTGTCCTTTCCTGGTTTTGGTATTAGGGTAATGCTGGCTTCATAGAATGAGTTAGGGAGGGTTTTTTCTTTCTCTATCTTGTGGAATAGTGTCAAAAGGATTGGTAACAATTCTTCCTTGAATATCTGGTAGAATTCTACTGTGAATCCTTCTGGTCCTGGACTTTTTTTGTTAGTAAATTTTTAATTACCGTTTCAATCTCGCTGCTTGTTTTTGGTCTGTTCAGGGTATCTAATTCTTCCTGCTTTGAGCTAGGAAAGTTGTATTTTTCCAGGAATTTATCCATCTCTTCTACACTTTCTATGTGCATAAAGGTGTTCATAGTAGCCTTGAATCATCTTTTGTATTTCAGTGGTGTCAGTTGTAATATCTCCTGTTTCATTTCTCAGTGAGGTTATTTGGATTTTCTCTCTTCTTTTCCTGGTTAATCTTGCTAATGGTCTATCAATTTTATCTTTTCAAAGAACCAGCTTTTTGTTTCATTTATCTTTTGTATTTTTTGTTTGTTTCAATTTCATTTAGTTCTTCTTTGATGTTGGTTATTTCCTTTCTTCTGCTGGGTTTGGGTTTGGTTTGTTCTTGTTTCTCTAGTTCCTTGAGGTATGACCTTAGATTGTTTGCTTGTGCTCTTTCAGACTTTTTGATGTAGCTATTTAGGGCTATGAACTTTCCTCTTAGCACCAACTTTGCTCTATCCCAGAGGTTTCGACAGGTTCTATCATTATTGTCATTCAGTTCAAAGAATTTTTTAATTTCCATCTTGATATTCTTCAATGCTCAGTCCAGAGTAGGTTATTTAATTTCCATGTATTTGCATGGTTTTGAAGGTTCCTTTTGGAGTTGATTTCCAGTTTTATTCCACTGTGGTCTGAGAGAGTGCTTGATATAATTTCAATTTTCTTAAATTTACTGAGGCTTGTTTTATGGCCTATCTTATGTTCTATTTTGGAGAAAGTTCCATGTGCTGTTGAATAGAATGTGTATTCTGTGGTTGCTGGATGAAATGGTCTGTATATATCTGTGAAGGCCATTTGTTCCAAGATATAGTTTAAATCCATTGTTTCTTTGTTGACTTTCTGTCTTCATGACCTGTCTAGTGCTGTCAGTGGAGTATTGAAGTCCACCACTATTATTGTGTCTCATTTCTTAAGTCTATTAGTAATTGTTTTATAAATTTGGGAGCTCCAGTGTTAGGTGCATATATTTTAGGATTGTGACATTTTCCTGTTGGACAAGGCCTTTTACCATTATATACTGTCCCTCTTTGTCTCTTTTAACTGCTGTTGCTTTAAAGTTTATTTTGTTTGATATAAGAATAGCTACCCCTGCTCGCTTTTGTTGTCCATTTGTATGAAATGCCTTTTTCCACCCCTTTACTTTAAGTGTATGTGAGTCCTTATGTGTTAGGTGATTCTCCTGAAGACAGCAGATAGTTGGTTGATGAGTTCTTACCCATCCTGCAGTTCTGTATCTTTTAAGTGGAGCATTTAGGCTATTTATATTCAATGTTAGTATTGAAATGTGAGGTACTGTTGCTTTCATCCTGCTCTTTGTTGCTTCTGTGCTTCGGTTTTTTTGTTATTTTGTTTGTTTGTTTTTGCTTTTTAACTTGTATTTTGTTTTATAGGTCCTATGTGATTTATGCTTTAAAGAGGTTCTGTTTTGATGTGTTTTGATGTGTTTCCAGGATTTGTTTCAAAATTTAGAGCCACCACAAGACTTACAGCTCCTTTTAGTAGTTTGCCATTGGTAATGGCAAATTCTTTCAGCATGTGTTTGTCTGAAAACAACTGTATCTTTCTGTCATATATGATGCTTAGTTTCGCTGGATACAAAATTCTTGGCTGATAATTGCTTTGTTTGAGGAGGCTGAAGATAGGTCCCCAATCCCTTCTAGCTTGTAAGGTTTCTGCTGAGAAATCTGCCATTAATCTGACAGGTTTTCCTCATAGGTTACCTGGTGCTTCTGTCTCACAGCTCTTAAGATTCTTTCCTCCTTCGTAACTTTGTATAACCGGATCACAATGTGCCTAGGCAAAGATCTTTTTGCAATGAATTTCCCAGGTGTTCTTTGTCCTTCTTATATTTGGATGTCTAGGTCTCTCACAACCCAGGGAAGTTTTCCTTGATTATTCCCCCAGACATATTTTCCAGGCTTTTAGAATTCTCTTCTTCCTCAGGTACACTGATTATTCTTAGGTTTGGTCGTTTAACATAATCCCAGACTTCTTGGAGGCTTTGTTCATATTTTCTTGTTCTTTTTTCTTTGTCTTTGTTGAATTAGGTTAATTCAAATACCTTGTCTTGGAGCTCTGAATTTCTTTCTTCTGGTTGTTCAATTCTATTGCTGAGACTTTCCAGAGCATTTTGCATTTCTAGAAGTGTGTCCAAAGTTTCCTGAATTTTTCATTGTTTTTTTCTTTAAGCTGTCTATTTCCATGAATATTTCTCCCTTCACTTCTTATATCATTTTTTGGATTTTCTTGCATTGTGCTTCACCTTTCTCTGATCTTTCCCTTATTAGCTAAATAACTAACCTCCTAAATTCTTTTTCAGGAAATCAGGGATTTCTTCTTGGTTTGGATCTATTGCTTGTGTGATTTTTGGGGGGTGCTGAAGAGCCTTGTTTTATCATATTACCAAGGTTGGTTTTCTGGTTCCTTGTCATTTGGGTAGGCTCTGTCAGAGGGAAGGCCTAGGACTGAAGGCTGTTGTTCAGATTCTTTTGTCCCACAAGGTGTTCCCTTGATGTAGTACTCTCCCCCTTTTCCTATGGATGTGGCTTCCTGTGAGCCAAGCTGCAGTGATTGTTTTCTCTCTTCTGGGTCTAGCCATCCAGCGAGTCTATCCAGCTCCAGGCTGGTACTGGGGGTTGTCTGCAGAGTCCTGTGATGTGAACCCTCTATGGGTCCCTCAGCCGTGGATACCGGTGCCTGTTCTGGTGGAGGTAGCAGAGGGTGCAATGGACTCCATGAGGGTCCTTAGCTTTGGTGGTTTGATGCTCTATTTTTGTGCTGGTTGGCCTCCTGCCAGGAGGTGGCGCTTTCCAGAAAGCATCAGCTGCAGTAGTAGTGTGGAGAGGGACCAGCAGTGGGCGGGGCCCTAGAACTCCCAGGATTATGTGCCCTTTGTCTTCTGCTACCAGGGTGGATAGGGAAGGGCCATCAGGTGGGGGCATGACTAGGCGTGTCTGAGCTCAAACTCTCCTTGGGCAGATTTTGCTGCAGCTGCTGTGGGGAATGGGGATGAGATTACCAGGTCACTGGAGTTGTGTACCTAGGAGGATTATGGCTGCCTCTGCTGAGTCATGCAGGTTGTCAGGGAAGTGGGGAAAAGCGGGTAGTCACAGGCCTCACCCAGCTCCCATGCAAACTGAAGGGCCAGTCTCACTCCCACCGTGCCCCCACCAACAGCCCCAAGTCTGTTTCCAGGTAGAGGGCAAGAGGGGCGTGAAAACTTACCCGAAGCTATCTGCCTCCCAACTGCGAGAGAAAAGGGCTTTAGTTCTTCCCCGTCCTGTGAAGTCTGCACGCCCAATTCACACCATCCCTCAAGTTCTGGCCAGGAGGTTTCTCACCCCGTTCAAATTGTTACAAAGTTCAGCTAGAGAATTCCTTCTCCCTGTGGAGTTTTACCCCCTGCCCCTCTGGCCACCCTCCCGATGGATCCCTGTGGTGCCAGGCAGGAATGGGCTGCTTGGGGACCCAGCGAGCTCCCAGGGCCTTTTGGCTGCTTCCTCTACCCCTGTATTTTGCTCAGCTCTCAAACTTGACTCAGCTCCAGGTGAAGTTGGAAACGTCTCCAGCAAACAGACCTTCAGCTTCTCCAGTGGGGGGTGTGTTCGGGAGAGGAGGGTCTCCCTTTCCCACTTCTGCAGTTGGGGCACTCACAATATTTGGGTGTCTCCCAGGAGCAGTCTGCTTCCTTCAGAGGGTCTGTGGGTCCTGTCAGGATTGCTGGTTTGTTCTTGCAGTCGATCTAGAGCTCAGGTGATCTGTCCGTCTTGGCCTCCCAAAGTGCTGGGATTACAGGCATGAGCCACGGCGCCCCCTGGGAAATGCTTTAGTTGGTACATTTTGAACCAGTAAAGCTGCCCTGTGGCTGGGTACACTTACACAAATAGCATCTGAAAAAAACTTTTTTTTTGATATTCCAAATGGTATGCAGATTTCAGGTTAAACCTAGTACAAGGATACATACACCTGGGATATAGGAGAAAAAGGAAGAGCAAGACATAAATACTTCCCTTATCCAAATCACCAATCCTCTCATGAGGGAGTGGTATGATAGCTTACACCTACTGAACGCATAAAACTGTGTGACAGAAAGCATTTCACATGAAAGAATGTATTTAGTAGTCATATCAACCCCAAAAGATGAAAACAAAACAAACTGTGCAATTTACCAGTCACACAGCTAATAGATGACTTGAACCAAGGAACTGTGGCTTCAAGGTCTTTATCACAAACTATAACATGGTCTCTCATTCACTACCGGCAGAACATGGAGAGGGTAAAATTATAAAAGCCTAATGGAAAAGGAAAGGGCAGGTGGGGTGGAGTTGAGTGCAAGAAGACCTAGGAAGTCAGACTCCATGGCTGGGCATCATGGCTCACACTTGTAATCCCAGCACTTTGGGAGGTGGGGGCAGGAGGATCACTTGAGGCCAAGAGTTAGAGACCAGCCTGGATAACATAGTGAGATCTAATCTCTAGAAAAAGAACAATTTTTTTTTTTTAATTACCTGGGGGGTGGATCACTTTGAGCACAGGATTTCAAGATCAGCCTGGGCAACTTGGTGAAACCCCGTCTCTACCAAAAACACAAGAATTAGCTGGGAGCGGTGGCTCATGCCTATAGTCCCAGCTACTTGCGAGGCTGAGGTGGGAGAATGGCTTGAGCCCAGGAGCCAAAGGTTTCAGGGAGCTGAGATCACGCCACTGCACTCCAGCCTGAGTGACAGAGCAAACCCTTGTATTTAAAAAAAAAAAAAAAGTTAACCAGGCATGGTGGTGCACACCTGTAGTCGTAGCTACTTGGTTTACTGAAGCGAGAGGATCACTTGAGCCTGAGAGGTTGAGGCTGCAGTGAGCTGTGATCACACCACTGTTCCAGCTTGGACAACAGGTGAGATCCTGTCTCAAAAAAAAAAAAAAAGAAAAGAAAAAGAAAGAAGGTAAAATTTAGATTAGAGGAAAAATGCGATTACAAAACAACTCAAAATTTCCGAGCAGAAGAGTGATTTGTTGAAAGCAGGTTTAAAGAGATATTTTGACTACACGTGTTCTGCTTAAAGCAGGGTGCTTATAAAAAAAATCACAATGCACATTAAAGGACTCCATTTACCAAAAAAATTCACAAAAATAAGGCCAAATATAACCTAAGACCCTCTCCAAAAAGACACTATCTAATGTAAGAAGTGTTTAGTCTTAAATATTTAAAATTACTTTAAGAGTTGAGCTAAGGAAAAAATAAAAAGCCGTCATGGTACAGAAACATACAGCATCCTGATTTGGGGCATAGTGTACTCTGACACTATTTTCTAACCTAAAAATCACAGGGTTTGTTTTTTTGTTTTTTTTTAATATGGTCTTTTCAAAAAAGGCCTCCTACAGTCAACAAAGAAGAGAAAGGGTGTTCTTTTTTTATTTCAGTAAGAATTTTAATGCTATCCCGTGTGGCAGTTTCTGTGA
The DNA here is from genome assembly GCF_000001405.40 of Homo sapiens. NCBI lineage: Eukaryota > Metazoa > Chordata > Mammalia > Primates > Hominidae > Homo > Homo sapiens. The sequence goes on from NC_000004.12 coordinate 24,351,945, forward strand.
AAAGTTGCAGAACTGGATACTATGTTCTTTGGGTTCTGGGGTCACTGCAAAAGCCTCAAAGGGGAGTTTAAAACCTGATGGGCCTAGATCAAGGAGGCGCCAGGGGGATTGATTTGGGGTTCATTCTGTTGCTATTCCCACTCCAAAACAAGGCATGCTGGGACTTGAACTATACAGAGCCACCCGGGAGTGGGAGGCGAGAGGCCAGGAGAAGCCTGGGATCGGAGGGACAGGAGGGGAATGGCAACTGACCCAAATACAGAGATAGGGAGGGGAAGAGGGCTTTGAGTCTGAAGAACAAGGTGCAAGCTGGGGCACACAGCTCAAAGGCATCACTCCAACAGAAAGCACAGGGATGTAAGGCGCCCTCCCCTGTCAGAAGCCAGGTGAGAGTGCAGCTAGGATAGGAACAGCCAACACAAGTGAGCAGAACTCTAGCTGCCAGAAAAGAAGGTTCTAGAAGCACAATCCAGCTCCAAAGAGGTAATTAGGAGGAGCTAATGAGCTAGCTGTCATTCAACATCCCATAGGTGAGGGTGCCCAGAGAATGGCACCCAGTTCATCCCCACATCTCAGGGATGGGGTCCAACTGGCCACGGGGACTTTAACAATGAGGCCCAGCAACAAAGGCCTGGCCAAGGTCTGAGGACTCGGTTCAAAAGCTGGAAAGGAAGCTGGGGCTGCTGTAGGCATTCTCCAAACCAACCCATGAGCAAACTTATATCCCCAAACGTCCCACTGCCTGCCCCAGCCTTGGCATGTGCCCAGGCTATCTTTGAGTTTCCTCCCCTCCTGTGGAGCACAGAACTATTGTTTACCAAAACCTGCTGGTGTTTGTTATCAGCCTCCTCTCTCACTAGACTAGAGGCTCCTTAGAAGCAGGTAGCATTTTATATGCTTCTTCCCTGCTCTCATGGAACTTAATGCTGTAGAGGGAGTGCTTTAAAACCACCTATTAAATAAATCCTGTCTGGAGTTCCCTACCAGTAAGTATTACAGCTGAATTCAAAGAAGCCCATCTCTCTCCCGTGGCATGGGAGGGGGCTGGAGTTCGTTAGCTGATCACCGCCAACGTTCTCTCTGGGTGACATGTGGGACTATTGAATGGCGGGTGGAGGATCCTGGGATTTCAGGGGCATGTTGCATCCATCTGATCTGACTGGTATTGCCAGCAATCGAACCAAAATCTGGCTTAATGCAGTAGAATCTGCAAAGCCAGTCCCAAGTGACCCTTTTAAATAATCAATCTTTTTTTTTTTTTTCAAATCCTCTTTCGTCTTAAATACCAACCTGATTCCTTTACTAACAAACTAGGTGCTTATTCTGCAAGCCACAAAGCATTGCTGATTAGTAATCAGGGAAGCCGAGCATAGAAGGGAACTGAAGTGGAGATTGAGAGATGAGCCATTTCATCTGGGTCCCCCGCCCTCCCTCTGTGGGCTTAAAAAAAAAAAAAAGACAGGGACAATGTTCTCCATCTTCATCAATGTTTTATCAACTGAAGAAACATTAAGGCGAGACTGGCAAGGGATTCTATTTTCTTGTTTACTGTAGCGAAAGACTCGGCCACTAAACTTCAGATTTCCCGATTCCTAAGCCTTGCTAAGAAGGATGCAAAAATGGGTCATAAGAGAAAGAACATATTCTTATTCTGTTTCCCACCTGTAAAATATAATATCTCCCCTGCAGATTGTTGTGAGAGTTAAGTAAGATCATTAATATCCAGCACAGACTCAGGAACACAAGGAAGCACCATTAATGTTCATTAATTTCTTCTTGGTTCTCCATCATCCAAGTCTTCTGACATTCTAGCAACCCAGTACCACAGGTGGGAATTCTTTGAAACACATCAGAGTCAGAGCTCTTGATTTTGATAGGAAACGACTGAGCCCTTCCTGATTGCAGGGTACACACACTAGGTTCAGAAATCCCTTTAGCATTAGGAAAACTTTGGACCAGGGAAACTGCAATGCATTGGTTTGCTCTTGCCCCTGGAACAAATTATCACAAATTTTGTGGCCTTACACCAATACAAATTTATTTTCTTACAGCTCTGTAGGTCAGAAGTCTGCCGCGGTCTCACCAGCCTCCTATCAAGGCAGGGCTGATCCTTCCTGGAGGCTCTAATGGAGAGTAGTCCTTCACTCACTCAAGTTGTTGGCAGAATTCAGTTCCTTGCACACAGCCTGCTATACCTCAGAACCAGCAATGGGACGTCAGATGCTTCTCATGCTGCCCTCTCTCTAGTCACAGCTAGGAAATATGCTCCAATTTTAAGGACTCATGTGATTACATTGGGCCCACCGGGATAATCCAAGATAATCTCCCCATCTCATAAGGTCTGTAATCTTAATCATATCTGCAAAGTCTCTTCTGCCATGTAAGGTAACATTCCCAGGCTCTAGGGATCAGAACCTAGACAAATTTAGGAAGTAGGGTGTGGGCATTATTCTGACTACCACACAAGAGCACTTGCTGAACATTAACAATTCATAAATGTTCACCAATTTACACCCAGAATGCTGGAACCTGGAAATCATGGAAAATGATTTTTGGAGTAGTTCTATCATTTAGTTTTCTTTTACTCACTAAAATTGGGTTTACCAAGATAGTGTTAAGACAAAACAGCTGAGACACATATCATGTAAAACCACCCTTTTGGCTGGGTGCGGTGGCTCACACCTGTAATCCCAGCACTTTGGGAGGCCAAGGCGTGTGGATCATGAGGTCAGGAGATCAAGACCATACTGGCTAACATGGTAAAACCCCGTCTCTACTAAAAATACAAAAAAATTAGCCGGGCATGGTGGCAGGCGCCTGTAGTCCCAGCTACTCGGGAGGCTGAGGCAGGAGAATGGCATGAACCCGGGAGGCGGAGCTTGTAGTGAGCCAAGATCACGCGACTGCACTCCAGCATGGGCGACAGAGCAAGACTGTCAAAAAAAACAAAAACAAACAAACAAAAAACAGAAAAAAAACACCCTTTTGTCGTTGGCTTGGACTTTTACCACTCTGCCTTTCTTTTTGCCAATTCAGCTTAAACCAAAATGGAAAAAATTGTTTAGGTGATCTGCCGCTAGCCAAGAGAGACCAGGGAATGTTTTCAAAGCCTAGGGTCAGCTTCCATCAGAAAGTTGAAGGGACTTACCGCAGCTATGTTTGTCACGACATTATCTCTCTCCTATTTTACAAACAGAAACAACTAACTCAGAATTCACGACTGATGGAGTAGGAAACAGGAACCAAACCGATTTTAAAAGCCTTGTCCATCATCCTTTCTATAGCTTATGAGGCATGGCCCAGCATCCACCTTATTAGTCAAGGGACATGCTAAGCAACTTTCAAACCGAGCTAAGCAGGCAGCAGTGCCAGGAAACAAAACAAAAACAAACAAACAAAAAAGGCAAGAATGGCTGGAGAGAGAAGACAAAACAGACACAAGAAACTCCATGCCTTTTATTGTCAAGAAGAGGAGCTGCTGCTCATATCTTCTTGTATTGCAAGATGCCTCTTCAATTTATGCCCTCTCCCCTTCTGTAAATTGGATTTATAATCTCCAGCCCCTTCTACAAAATCCCAGGTGTGGGTCAATGGCTGTCACTGTGAAAAAAATGAGAAAGAAGAAAAGCTTACCACTTTCTAACGCTTTTTAGCCCCAAGGCACAATGAGACACTTCATTGTTGTTATTGTTTCAACAAATGCCTTGATTGAAATGACCATGTTAATGTAGCTGAGATTATTGGCTGGAAAAGAGCAAAGTGCCAGCACACACCAGTCACAAACCCGCCGAGAGACAAGCGACACACAAAAGAACGTGGAAGTGCGAGGGGGAGGAAGAACTGGTATTATTATTGTTATATTAGAATCCATTTATATTTTGCCATCAATTTAAAACAGGTTAGCTGAAGCCAAGCCTCCTAAACTTATTGTAGTCCTCATGCCTATCTCTATAAGAGATAATGAGTTTACGGCGGGGCACGATGGCTCATGCCTGTAATCCCGGTACTTTGGGAGGCTGAGGAGGGCAGATCACCTGAGGTCAGAAGTTCAAGACCAGCCTGGCCAACATAGAGAAACCCTGTCTCTACTAAAAATATAAACATTAGCCAGGCGTGGTGGCGCGTGCCTGTAATCCCAGCTACTCAGGAGGCTGAGACAGGAGAATCGCTTGAACCCAGGAAGCAGAGGTTGCAGTGAGCTGAGATCACACCACTGTACTCCAGCCTGGGCGACAGAGCAAGACTCCGTCTCAAACAAAAAAAAAAAAAAAAAGAGAGAGAGGGAGAGATAATGAGTTTACCAAGCATGTGTGAATTGCACAGGGGAAGCTACAGGGATTCCCTTTCAGTCAATATTTTCATAGACAGTCACTTCACGGGAAGGCCCAGGGTCTGACCTAAGCTAATAAATGATTATCCCTCGCTACTAAAATCAGGACCCTAATTAACTTGCTAATTGTTGGTCTCTGTTCACGGACATTAACCTGAGTTATCCCACTATATACACCTGTAAGTAAATTACAGGCTGTATACTCAAGATGAACCTTCTGTCCAAGTGAATAAATGTGACTTCAATGTGTCGGCCACACATAATACTTTTAAGTGACCAAGTGTATAAGATTCTATTATGGGCACTTCTCCAAGCAAATTAAATGGACACAAACTCCCTCTAATAATTTATTTCCTGAGCAATGTCTCTGGGCCCTGTCCTTTGGAAGGCACAGTCTCCTTGTTCATACCATCCTCTTTTATCACAGTAATAGCTACTCTGGCTGGCTTCCCACAGGCCAAGCAGTCTAAGCTAAACACTGTATATTCATTCTCTCCCTTAATCTCTACAAAGAGTCATAAAATATACATTATATTATTCCTATATGATGGAGGAGAAAACTGAGATTTAGATTCAAATGACTGTCTTAGCAGATATTACTAGTGCTCACCCAATTCCCCTCCATACCCTGGGGTTAGCATACTTAGCTTCTTCTAAAAGCTAAGACACTCTCTGCTTGAGATAAGGGAAGTATTGAAGTGCAAAGGAATTAATGTTCCCCATCCTGGGAACAGCCCTCAGATAACAACTAATGGGAGTCGGGTAATACTAGAGCTTCTTCTCTTGTATGGGACTATGCTGAGACAGGTCTGCACCATCATCCAGAGGTTCCCAGCCTGAGCGTTCAGGTGCCATAGCAGGGACTTGCTCATCAACACACCTTACACTGGTTTCCTTACTCTCTCCTCCAGGATGCTAACCTGGGAAAATCCAAATACATTTGCACCCAAATAAATAACTGCAACTCAAGTCTAAGCTAACTTAAGGTCAGCTTCTGGGGGAGGTCACACACAGTACTTGTCCAAGGCCAGATGACCAACAAATGGCACAGCTAGAGCCAAACCCAGGTTGGCTAATGCCAAAGTCCATACTCTTACTCCCCAGATTATACTATCTCTTTGTCATCCGTTATCTGGCATAATATTTAATCAAAGCATTCAAGTAATACATTGGAATTAGACTTTTCCATATTTTTGCTATACTTTTTCCTGCCTGTTTTGCTTCTAGCAGCTTCACTTGCTAAAATAGTCTGGGTTGAAGGCTCTACAAGGCATTTACGCTGATCTTACTTCAACTACATTCTTGATAGATGGCCATCATGCCTGTTCGATATGGTTTTGCTGTGTCCCCACCCAAATCTCATCTTGAATTGTAGCTCCCATAATTCCCACAGGTTGTGGGAGAGACCCGGTGGGAGATAATTGAATCATGGGGGCAGTTTCCTCCATACCATTCTCATAGTAGTGAATAAGTCTCATGATATCTGATGGTTTTTTAAGGGGAAACCCCTTTTGCCTGGTTCTCATTTTCTCTCTTGTCTGCCGCCACATAAGACATGTCTTTTGTCTTCCACCATGACTGTGAAGCCTCTCCAACCACATGGAACTGTGAGTTCATTAAACCTCTTTTTCTTTATAAATTACCCAGTCTCAGATATGTCTTTGTCAGCAGCGTGAAAACAGACTAATATACTGTTGCTTAATCTATCTCTAAAGGTGGTTGAGTCCTTCCTGTTAGAAAAGAGCTAACATTTAGGAGCATCCACAATATATCAGGCAATGTTCCAGGGATATCATACATATTACTCCACTAACCCTCACAACAGCCCTTTCAAGCAGGTGTTATTATCTCCATTTTACAGATGAGGAAACTGAGGCTGGTAACCTGTTCAAGGTCATGCAGTTAGTATGTGGCAGATTCAGAATTGAAAGCCAGGCCCCTCTGACCCCAAAGTCTAAGCTCTTTTTGTATAACAAATAGTGCTTGCATGTGCCAGGTCCAAGATTTTTAAATCCTAATTTATTTAATCTTTAAAATAACCCTCTGAATTAGGTACTATCACTATCTCCATTTTATAGATGTGATAACTGAGGCAACAGGAAGATAAGTAACTTGTGAAGGGCCCACAGAAAACGGCAGAGGGCCAGATTCAGACCCAGGTGTTCTGGCCCCAGCCCATGCTCCTAAACACTACTTTTTGTTAACTCTCTTAACCACAGTGCTCTGTATTGACCCAAGTTCTGATGCTACATTGAAATGTCCTCAGTATCACTTCTACCCAATATTCTTAGGTTTGCCTTCCAAAATCCAAAACTAGCCTTATCTCTTTCCCCTTGATAAAACTGTAAATATTCAAAGATGGTCTTTTCACGTGGTCTTACATGGTCACTAGCAATCCCTTGACATCTAAATCCTTTGCTATACCGCCCATGCCTTGTGAAAAACCTCCACCCCAGTTCCCAGTTTCTCAGAACTGAGGCCCACCAGGTGTGGCCAGATCACTGCATAATGTGAAGATGACCTCCCCTGCCCTGATGCAGGACTTTGGCCAGTGAACCCTGAGCGTGGCATGGCCTTTTCTAGCAGGTAGGTTGTGTGAAGAAGCTCAACAAAGAAGAGACATTTTCCTCATGTTCCACACCCATTTTCCCACCTATGTGTTTCTTCCATGCCAGGAGGACAGCACAGACCAGCAGGGGCGATTACAAACACTTCAGGCTGGCTACATACAGGCCAGCACTCCCATTTCTGTTGGTATTGACTTGCCACTGTTGCTGTACCTTTATTTATGGTTTAAAACTTAAAGAAAGTTCACCGTCTTTATTTAGCAATCATTTGTGGAGAGCCTCTCTATGCCAGTGTCAATGTTGAGGGCTGGGAATAGAACAATGGCTGCTGATCTCTGCGAGTTTAGAGCCTAGTAAGCAAGAGATATACAAAATCAAATAACTTCCATCCAGATCTTCTTCCTCTCCCTCTCCTGACCTCCAAACACTAGAGCATCCCAGGCTCAGTCCTTAAACTTCTCTTCAGAACATACACACTTCTCTAGAGATCCCATTTGCTCCTGTGGCTTGACTGCTGTCTCTGTAAAGATGCCTCCACCATTTATACCTTTATCCCGGTCTCTACCCTGAACTCCATACCCCATGTCCAATTGCCCACATGCCATCTCTTCCTGGATATCTCATGGCATCTGAAACTTAACCTAAATCACCAAATTCTTGATCCCCACTGGTGTAGATTGAACTGTGTCCCCTCAAAAAGATATATTCAAGTCCTATTCCCTGATACCTATGAATGGGACCTTATTTGGAAATAGTGTCTTTGCAGATAGAATCAAGTAAAGATGTGGTCATACTGGTTCAAGATGGGCCCTAATCCAATGACTGGTGTCCTTATCAGAAGAGGGAAATTTGGATACAGACACAGGGAGAACACCAAGTGACTTTGGAAACAAAAATTGGAAGGATTCTTCTACAAGCCAAGGAACACCAAAGATTGCAACCACTGGAAGAGCAAAAATGAATTCTTCCCTGGAATTTTCATAGAAAATGACCCTGCCAATACCTTAGTTTGGAACAGTTCTCAGCCTCTAGAACTGAGACAATACATTTCTGTGGTTTTAAGCCATTCAAGTTTGTGGCAACTTGTTACAGCAGCCCGAGGAAACTAATACATCCCTCAAGACCAGCACCTCCCATCTGAGTAGAAGGTAAATCCAATCTCTCTGTGGATTGGGCCACTTTTTTGCTTCTTTTACTCATACAGTTCACACTCAGTCCATGAAGATATGTCACTGGCTCAATGTTGAAATACATCCAGAATCTCACAACTTCTCACCACTTCTATAGCTGCCACTCATTTCAGCCACATCAACTCTCCCCTGAATTGGAGCAAAAGGCTCCTAATGGGTCTCCCTACCACCACCCGTAGCCCACCACGGTCCATTTTCCACAAAACTGGGGAAATGTGGCTTTAAAAACATATATCAAATTATTTCACTTCTCACTCAACCATTTTATGACTGCAGAATAAAATCCAAACTCCACACTATGGCTACTTTCCCTGACCTCATCCTTCCTTGGAACTCTCATCCTTCACTCTGCACCAGCCACAAGCCCCTCCCATCTAAGCAGAGGCTGCCCAGATAGCACCACTCCCTCATCCTGTCTTTCATTCTGCTTATTTATCTTTTCAACCTTCATCACCATCACTGCTTGGCATATTATATGTGTTTGTGTGTTGTCTGCCTCCCTGCCTAAAAAAGGAGCCCCATGACAGGCCATAGTGTGAACCACCACTGTTTGCTAGGCACTTAGAACAGTACCTGGCTCATCAAAGATGTTCAGTACATCTGTTGAAGCAATGCAGTGCTGGGAGAAAGCAAATGCACAGCAGTTGAGGTGTTGCAGAGCAGTGCCTGATTCTGCCTGAGAGCTCAGTATTGTCTTTTCATCTCTAAAAGGGGAATAGGAAGAATAGCATCTAACCCATAGGTAATGCAATGCTTGGATATAGCATAAGCTATAGCATAGTTTTGCTCATCTATATGATGTGGCTTAAATATGGATATATAGATTTGTACCTTATATATAGCTTAAATATAGACAAGGAGCATCGAGTACACAGTGTCTAGTTCATGGTAAGAATTCAATAAAATATTAGCTAGTGCTCATTTAGGCACAGAACAGACTTCACAAAGGAGATGCCCCTTGAACTAGCTCCTGGTGGATTACAAGAAGGCAGGGGTTGCAGGCAGATGAGAGGAGATAACGAGGCAAGGGCCTGCATAAGGCATTCAGGTGACCACTTGCTCCAGTGTGGCTGGGACAAGAAGGAACTGCGGCAACAGCAGAGGGGCAGGGACAAGAAGGAAGAAGGAGCCAGCAGAGGACAGGGAAGGAGTCAGCGGAGGACAGGGCGAGAGGTTTAGTAGGAGACAGATCTCAAAAGCTTCACAGGGAAAAGGGAAAGACATCATCATCTGATTCAAATGACAAGCAGGAAAGCAGCATAGATGATAAAGCACATCACAGATTCAGTGAGAACCTACAACTCCCCAATTTACCTCTTAGAGTCAAACTGCAAAGTTCCTATAACAATATAGTCAACAAGACCTGAAATGAAGACTTTGTTTTCTTTCAAATGCAGCATTAGCAAGAATTTCATGAACATTCCCCTAAGGGAGGCTGATTCACTCTCTCTATCCTTCTGTTTGACTCTCTCTGCCTCTTTCTCTCTCTCTCTCCAGCCACATTGCTTTATATATCCTTGTCTATAGATGGGATGTGTACGTAACACCCTGAATTTGATAATCCACTGTTGGAATGCCTCCATTTTAGCTTTTTAGCTTAAAACAATCCAAATCTAAAACTCAACAGGAAAAATCTAGTGTTATTTTTAAAGGCAAGATATCCAGGTGAAGACCAGAGAAATTTATATTCAGGACCTTAACACAAAGAAAGCAGCAGCATTCGTATCCCACGTTACAATGTCCACTTTCTGTTGTTGAGCGGGTAAAGCCTGCATGATCAGCTACAGAAAGCTTGTTCTGACATCTGGGAAGTGAAGACGGCCTCAGAGGCTCCAGGCAGGAGAAACATACAGTCTGATTGCTTCCCTAACCTAAACAGTCTCCTCAAATACAAATCCATTGTCTGAAAGAGTTTCCCATATGGGAAATAAAGACAAAAAGATAAACTGGACTTTAGCCCCATACTGACATTCTCAGGGTTTTTCTATCAAAATAAAACCTTAAGAAGAGCAAGACAAAATCCTATGCAAAACTTATATTCATTCAGTGTCGCCATTTATCCGAATATTCTTCACATTGTTGTCCCTGGTATCCTGTTATGAAGAGACTATAGTCATGGGTTCATTCCCAGTGCCTGCCCTTCAGAAGTTCACCCACTTCAGATACAGGCTGTGATCATCTTCCTTTTTCTGAATGTATGTCTCTCACCACATCATTTTGCTGCCCTAAAATAGAGGTTCCAGATTCCTGTATCAATTCCAGTATTGAGCACAATTTCTGAAAGCAGGCAATCAAATATGAGCTTCTTGAACACATGACTGGATGGATGGATGGATGGATGGATGGATGGATGGATGGATGGATTTATTGAGAGATCAGAGATCTACACTTAGGATTAAAGAAGAAGTAAATGCTTTTACAGTTTTTTACTTTTGTTTTGGCTTGGTTTGGTTTTTTCTAAAGTAGGTGCAGGTGGCATCAAAGGACTAGTTTTTTTTTCCTCCAAAAACTAAGTTCCACAGCCAAGAAGGAGCCAATGACAGGCCACATTGCCTTGCAGTAGATAGAAGTATTTATTGGCCTTCTCTCCCCGCTTTCAGAAAATGAATGAGATATTTACCTCTAACTTTTCAAGAAATGTCTAGAGGTTGTTTGCAAGTCTAGTCATCCAAAGAGTTCCATTAATCTCCATTAGCTGACATCATCAGACACAGTTTCTTCCCATTTCACAAGAATCCCGGTTAAGCACCACCACTCACTTCCACACTTGAATTTAGGCAGAAGGACCAAGAGCATATGAAAACCTTCCTTTCATGAGACAGGAGAGGCATTCAAGCACATTCGGAAGCTCCTTTCAAATATCAAGCGTGCAAGAGGCATCAAGATTTCCTAAAACTCGTTGAAACAGAAACATCGTAAGAACTTAACAATTATTAGGAATTTATATTTAGACGACTTCAAGAACAGATCCTAAGGCAATTCCCCAACTTGATGTCTTTCTCTTGCACTCACTTCAGGCTTTTCTCAAACATGGGATTCTTTACAGGAAAATGTGTCTGGAGATTATTCCTTTTCATATTTCCCTATGACAATGTGACCTTCAGTGAATAGTGTGAAAAGTCAACCTCATTCATGTATTCAGAGCATTTATAAACATTGTATTTGTTCCGGTTATAGAACACATTTCATCAGAGAAAAATTGGGCTAACTTACCTGAGCCTCAATCTTTTATTCAGAGATCAGGCTCACTTATATGTCGATCTAACACTCATGTTGGCTCAATATAAACATTTGGTGCCAGCTTGAAGTAATTGTATCACTAATTACTATTGAATTATAGTGGAAATCATATAGAAGTACTTTTAACATTCAGACTAGGACAAGAATGAGTCCATGTGATTAATGTTATTAACGTAACATTCAGCTCGGTAATATACCATAATGATCCGGCTATTATATTAAAGTGTTACTAAATATTCACTTAGTGCCAAAAAACACAGTGGGTGTAAGGTTTCTTTGTCGGATTTGGAATTTAAACAGCACTCTTTGTCACAGTTAAGCTTGGTATAAAGCCCTAACAAACAAAATCTGCCTACTACAGGAATGTTTACAAAGGCACAGAAAATGCCCACAGAAGGAATCAGTTTATCATAAACAATACAAATATTTACTTGATTATTTAATGGGTGCCCAGCATGTCTGTCCTTAATGTAGCATTAGTTGACATCAGGAACACACCATATGTGCAAATAATTAATTCAAATTATGCCTTTCTTCCACTGAGTTCTCTTATAAGGAGCAGAATTAATGTCGAGGCATATTCAGGAGCAGGGAGTTGTAGGCCCCTCTCCATGACTGCCTTTATGAGTACCTAGTTTTTAATACTTCATCCTCATTGTCATTCCGCTGCCAAGAGCTGATGGCATTTGAAATGCTCCTACCGTGTTCCTTATGTAATCAGTAGGATGACTAACATAGCGATTAAAAACCTGACTAGGCTAAAGATTTTCCTATGAGATTAAGCTTGCCCAAAATCACCCAAATAAGTCCACCCATTTTAACAACTGCCACAACTGCAAAATCAACAGCTAGCAACTATCCACTGTGGATGATCCAGCATTCCTAGCTCACAGGAATGGAAAGAGAAGCCAGCCATTCCAATGACTCTAAAGTGTTTTCAGTTAAGATGCTTGAGGCTTATTCATAATAAAGACGTTCAAACCATATAAAGGGATTTTCTGTGGGCAATTATGCCGACCCTTTTCTCTATGAATTAATACATGGCAAACATTGGTTTGTATGACATTTCGGATGAGAAAACCCTTAGCAGAAATGAGGTGCAGACACAAAGTGCTACGTTTAAAGGTGCAAGCACTGAAACCTTATCTTCCTGTCAAGCTGCTTCCAGGGAGGTTGCCCTGGGCCCACCTCCAATCTTGCAAGAGGCAAAGGTCTTGCACTTCTCCTCGCCTCTCATGACATCATGTTCTTACGCAGTTTTTCTCTAGTTCCTCAGGTTAGTAATAGCCAAGCCTTTTTTCTAAGAATAATAAGAAAAAAAGAAAGAAAAACCAAAGAAAACTTTAAAACTTACCTCTGATGAGGAAACTGAGCTTTCCTGAGAGCAAATAATTCCACTTCTATTATGTGATTATTCATTTATATATTTCTGTGTGAATATACATATGTATTTGTGTATACGTGTGGACCCATATACATGTAGACCCATATATATGTATGCATTAGAGAGTTGTAAAGGTTGAATTAGACACTGCACATGAAATGAACAGAATAATACCCAACAGCTAGTAAGCTCTCAATAAATGATAGCTACTATTACTATCATGGTTGAATTATATCACAGCATCTGGCATGGTGCTTGACACGTATCGATACTCAATAAATAGCAGATGAATGAATTATTACTAACTCTCACCATATACCCACATATGCAAGGAGACTAAGGCACAGAGAAGGCGCCTTTTGTAACTTACCCAGCATGACACTTCTACCAAATGCTAAATATAGGATTTCAACCAGATCTGTTTGAGTCAGAAACCCTGGCCCTTCTCAGTACTCTCTGCAGATCCTACCATAACAAGCTAATGCAGAGATGGCATTGAAAAAAAAAAAAAAGAAAAATTAATGGATTGATTTCAAGTTGCAATGGGACTTTGAAAGACTATAAAGCCTATCATGAAAATAAAGGGGAAAAAACCTTCCAAGTTATTTAAAAATATGTTCCCAAGATTGCTCAATATTTTACAGCTGACTCTAAAAAGTTAACATCCAAAATCACAAATTTATTCTCTGCCCGGTGACATTTTCTTCTTTTCTAATGAATTTGTATTTAAGAGGAAAATTCCAAAATTGAAACAATGGCAATGATTGAGTAATTCATTCCTCAGTGCTATATTAGCAATTAATTAAATCTACCCAGCAATATACAGAAACCAGTCATCTGCCCCTGTATTTATTTTATTTCACTTCATTTCCTGTATCTTGTATATTCCCCAAAGCAATTCTTTGCAGTAATTTTACCTTCCATGCACAAATCTAATAATCCTTCTTGTTCTTAAGCATCACAGGTGCAGCTGTATTGTTATTAGATTATTAAATGTACATCAGATAAATTCCAGTTGGGCTGCATTCTCCAAAATGCCTTTTTTCCCAATCACATATTTTCTATTTTTTCATAAGTAAACACTGAGGTCTTTATTAGCAATAGTTTTTTTTTAATATATGCTTCAACTTTTCTTCTTATACATTTTGTTGCTAATCACAGGATTTAGTCAGCCTCCTATGCACATTCACGACTCTGTAATCTTAACAAGCTATAGGCAGATGATTGACAGATAATACTTGACAGCTTCAAAATTAGAGAATATAAAATGAAAATTTTAGAACAGCCAGATCACTTAGTATGCTAGGCTTCCAGTTTTGGCTTTTCTCCTAATCATCAACTTGTGGAGAGGAAGTAAGGGAAAGCAAGGAGCTAAACATTCCCTCACTCTCTAGCCTACTGGATGAAAACCACCAGGCTTGAACCAGCCTGAAAGAGTCATCAGTCAGAAATTATCCAGCCAAGAGTTGAAATGCACGCCATCAAAATATTAAGTCAAAAATATGATTCGTTGGCACTTAAACCAAAACACCATCATCTCCTTCCCAGAGCCAGCCAAAATGTGCTTTTCACAAATTTTATTCCGTTTCATTCACTGAAGAGAGTTATCGTTTATGTAGCTTGCTCCTTAAATCTTTAATGAGAAAAGAAGTCATGTCATGTTTATTGAAATGATTAAGCCAATTTTTATTGACTTTGTTCAATTTATGTGGGAGCTGAAATTTACCTGAAGCCTTTCTATTCTGGAAAGAATTGATTGGTGACTTTTTTCCTGCTATATTTGACTCAACTACCAGTGATCGAGCAAAGAAAAGAAGTTTGCTGTCTGTTTGTTTCACTTCCTTTATCTTCTATATTAAACCTCCCCACAACACAACCAACAACAAGCATATTTTCCTCTGTTTCAAGAGAATTGGGTGACACAAACCTTATACCAATTAAACTAGTAGCATAAAATGTTTGGGACGTTCCAAAGTCCATGCCTACCCAAACAGATGCTACTCAAAAAACTTGAGCCTGGTTCAAAGCTTTCTATCCTGCTCTCCCCAAGACCTAAATTCTGAGGCTATTTTCCGTCATCACCCCCATTGTAATGAATTAGAAACCAACAAAACCTAACACGGGCAGCCCTTCTTAGAGGTTCCCATTGATAAAACGCCATAGAGATGACTTTGTTTTCTGAAATAGAAACGAGTATTTTCCACCCTTTTCTGCAACTTCCAAATCTGATGATGCTTGCAAGGTGACAATTATGCTGAGATTCCTTCCAGGGACATTTATGAAGGGAGAAATAAGTGACTTCAGGATTGTTATTTTATATACACACTTGTGGAAAAAACACAAAGCTGTATGTTTTTAAACTCCTGCTCTTTTCTGGTGTGTACGTTCAAAATAGATCATAATGGATAAAATTGTTCAAATGTGACTTCCCTCCTTTTGAAAAGCAATTGCTGTCAAGAGAAGCATTTGGGTTAATGATTCGTAATCACTAGTAAGAGCCTAAAGGTGAGCAACCACTACTGTGGAAGGAAAAGTGGGCATCCCAGGAAGAAATGGGGGAGGAGACTCCTCAGGAAAATCACAGAGGAAGAGGCTAACCCTGCATTTCCACCATCAGAGAAATGTACACTAAATAGCCATAACTAGGCCAAATTATTCCCAAGAACTATATTGTTTAGTCTAGAATCAAGGTTGAAAGAGCAGACACAGAAAGAAAACTTCTGATCCTCAACACTCATCTTGACTTAAAAGGCATTTATTTAAAAGCTTAAGTATAACGGGCTCACATACTAGAAAATTCCAAATGAAATGGGCTTTGCAATGAGCTCTGATATGTGAAGAATCTGGTTAACTAAGCTAAGCCAACCTGTTTGCAATTATGAAAAATGAAAGTCATTCCAAATTAATGCAAATAATAATAAGTAATTTAGGAGGAACAGTGGGAAGATATCAGGGACATCTTAAAATGCCTAAAAATGTCTTTTTCTTTTTTGCTTGCTTAGAAATAGAAGTTAATTTCTATAAACATTCTTATGGAGTGGGCATGTATTACTATCTAAACTGCTGCCTTAATGAACATATTGTTGTTGTTTCTTTGTCGCTAGAGAAAAAATAATAATAAGGCAAACCTGCCCATTTTCAAGCTCCTTTGGTGCTTGATGAGGTAGGTGGTGTTTTGTAACAAGACAGTGTTACCAGAAATTGTAAAACACTCCAATAAACAGGGACAATCGCTGCAATCATATGCCAGGCCCTCCCAGGGTGCAGCTAGGAAATCCAGCCTTTTATTCGAAAGACACAATATCATCACTCTCCAACACACCCTTTATCTATACACTAACCTATGGTTGCTACATGAAGAGAGAAAGGAAAAGATATCAACATTATGTAAGTAAGGTTTTCTAAAAATACCTTCCTACAACTTGCCAAAATGACTGAGATCTAATTCACTCTCAAGTCACAGAAACCTCAGTGCTTTGCTGTATGTTAAGAGGTGAGACGTGAATCGTCTTAACCAACTGGGTCAAATGTGAACTGAAAACTACAGTAAGAAGGAATGAATTCTGAACTCTATTTGCATCAAAACTGGACTCCTTCAACTCAGACTCAGCAATCTGGTAAAGGAGCAATTTTGAAGTACCATACAATTTTAGGGTAGCAATCGTGAAATATAGCTGTGGATGGGACAGCCGCAGAAGGTTAACAGATACTTTCAATAAGTGATAAAGATATTTTGTAGTCATGGTAACCTGCATGCAAATTTAAAACATTAAAAAAAATTATCTCCCCTTTCCCCTGATATCATTTATAGTTTTCTCTTTTCTATAGATCCTTGTCTGAAGCTGGGTACCTAAGATTCCAGCAATAATGGAATCAAATTTGGGGGGTTCTCTCTTCAAGGTGGACTTCAAAATTTTAGGGTACATTCCCTGAACAAGGGCTTTTAAAATGGCAATACATTATTCTATACATTTGTACCATATAATTTATACCACACAAAATATGAAAAAGACCTTTAAGTGGCCTGTTTCCAATGGGCTGTGCAATAAACTGATTAATATTTTAATTAATTTCTTAAGTGCTACACTAAAGGGAGGTAGTTGAAACCTAGCATGCATGAAAGACAGGACTTTCCTCGGAACAAAAACGAAGAGACACATCCATCAGGAGACGCGGAAGAAACGGAGAGTGAACGGGAGGGAGATGGCAATTTTCTTGTGGCCTGTTAACTCAGTTTCTTTCAAACCATCTTATTCTCTCCTTTGAAATGAGCAGACACACAGAGTCTCCTGACAATGGAATGGAGACAAGTCAGAGATCCCAAGGCTCACTCTGCCCTATCTCCAACCTCCCACGAGCACCCCATCTGGCTCTGACAGCCACCATTTCAGAAGGGGACTGAAGCCTGGCCCACTAATTATCTCTTCCCAAGGCCACTGAATTTAAAGATATCAGCAAATTTGAGATCAGCATTACTGGAGAAAAAAGACTGGAAGAGCAGGGTGAGAACATGGATAACGGTCACCTCCTTCTTTTTGTGTATTTCTCTTTGGTCAGTGTTTTAATTGAACACGTACATCACTCTTACATAGCTAAGAAGCCATCACAATTATTTTTTAAAACTAGTCTAACAGCTTCCCACCTCATGTTCAAGTCTGAGAATAGTTGCTTGATGAGGGATAAGGAAACATTTTCTCAGATCATTTTCACCGATAAGGCCAAGGAGTTGGAGGAATGGCATCCGAGACATGGAAGTTACAAGTAAATTAATTTGAATTAGAATAATAACAATGCTTTACACCCTAAATGCACTTTCCAATCACTATCTCATTTGTCCTTATTATAACCCTATGAAGTAGTTAAGAGAAGCAGTACAATCCCCAATTTCTACATGAGAAAATTGAAGCTCAGAGAGAACAGAAAAAAAAAATGCTCAGGGTCACACAGAGAAAGAAATATAAAACATCAAACTCATTCACTTTTTAAAAACATGAGAGCTGGGAGCGTGCCATGCTTTTTTAACACCCTGCAAAGCTGTAGCTATAAATGCAGCAAGAAGAATTTTGGCATATTTGCTGTTGCATAATTATTCAAGAAGGCACAACTGCCCCATCAACACATTTGACTAAGTCACAATGAAGAAAGGCAGCCAAGACTTTCGTGCCCGCCAACCCTCCGAGTTAGCAGGGGCTGGGCAAGTCACGATCACATCCTATGGCTCTATGTCACCTGCAGTGTGAGATGACTCCACCAGCAGAAAGTGGAGGCTAGTAGGTGGGCTCCCACAGCAGTAAGCAATGTGCTATCTCCTTTTCAATCACTGTGATTCCATCAAAGAGAAAGGCTTGGCTTGGGGATAATAAGCCTCTACATTAAACTTCTAAGACTTAAGACTCTTTTAACAAAGGAAAAACAAGCTTCAGGCTCACAGCCTTCAGCAGGCAACAGCGTCTAGTTAAAGATGTTAACTTTTTGGTGTTCTTTTAACATTTTTTTTCAATATTCTTCTATCTATAGCAAGTGATACTGGTTTTCCATTTAAAATGGTAACAAAATTTTTTCTACAAATAAATTTCCAGAGGTTAAAAAAAAGTGAAATAAATAGATTAAGCCACATGAAACTACTAGTATTTATTTTAAATCAGAAATGGTCAAAAATGGGCACTTTCATATGGTTTGGCCTAATGGATGAATAATAGGTAGTAAATAATAGCGACGGTGTATAGACAAGACAGAATATATTTACATAGATAGATATGACACATAAGGAGACACATACAAATAACACAAAAAAAGAGTAGATGAATGACTTCGAATTGAAAAGCCTTGTTATTAGGATGATCATAGTATTAAGTTGGAGTCCCATTCTTCAGAACAATACCCTTAAGCTATAACAATTTGACTCTCCACTCAATCCAGGCAAAGGCATCTGGCTTCATTGTAGATTGGATCTCACTCTGGCCCAAGGCCAGCCACAAGGGAGAATTACATGCTCCAGACTCCTAAACAGATCAGCCAGAGAGCAGAAACAAGACCACAAGACATCCCACTCCATTCTCTTCTCATCTTCCTCTCAGTTTCTCCTGTCTCTCTCTTTTTTTTTTTTTTTTTTTTTTTTTTTTTTTTACTTTAAGTTCTGGGATCCATGTGCAGAACATGCAGGTTTGTTACACAGGTATACATGCACCATGGTGGTTTGCTGCACCTATCAACCCGTCATCTAGGTTTTAAGCCCCGTATGCATTAGTTATTTGTCCTAATGCTCTCCCTCCCCTTGCCCCTCACTCCCGAAAGTCCCTGGTGTGTGATGTTCCCCTCTGTGTGTCCATGTGTTCTCATTGTTCAACTCCCACTTACGAGTGAGAACACATGGTGTTTGGTTTTCCGTTCCTGTGTTAGTTTGCTGAGGATGATGGTTTCCAGCTTCATCTATGTCCCCCACAAAGGACATGAACACTTTCTTTTTTATGGCTGCATTGTATTCCATGGTGTATATGTGCCACATTTTCTTTATCCAGTCTATCATTGATGGGCATTTGGATTGGTTCCAAGTCTTTGCTATTGTAAATAGTGCTGCAATAAACATACATGTGCATGTGTCTTTATAGTAGAATGATTTATAATCCTTTGGGTTCCCATACCTTATATAACTTATGTTAAACCATACATGAAATACACAGACCCTCTTTGATCTATCAGGAACCATTTTATCCCACCTTCAAGCTTTACACAACTTTCTGTCCCCAATACACTTCCTACAAAACAATCGAGTTGCTTAGAGCTTTGCAAAAGGTCTGAGTGGTGGTAGCTACCTATCCTTCAACTGTATCATCCCTAACCCCCAGCCACTGTCTTCTCCAAAGAGCTGACAGAATATCTCCTGAAAAACCTCCAAGAAGTCTAAGAGGAAAAGGAAAAGGTGGGGGTGAGGGGAGAGTCCCTGAGTCAGATATGAAGATAGGAACCTTCTCCCTTCATAAATGCAACATGGAAAGTCAGTAGGGGCAGGGCGCGGTGGCTCATGCCTGTAATCCCAGCACTTTGAGAGGCCGAGGCGGGAGGATCACCTGAGGTCAGGAGTTCAAGACTAGCCTGGCCAACATGATGAAACCCCATCTCCACAAAAAATACAAAAAAAAAAAAAAATTGGGCAGGCATGGTGGTGCGTGCCTGTAGTCTCAGCTACTCAGGAGACTGAGGCAAGAGAATCGTTTGAACCTGGGAGGTAGAGGTTGCAGTGAGACCAGATCATGCCACTGCACTCCAGCCTGGGTAACAGACCAAGACTCTGTCTCAAAATAAAAGAAAAAAAAAAGTCAGTAGAATGAAATAAGGTTGCCTCTCTTCTGAAACTCCCTAGTGCTACTTATGGAAGGGACACTGATAAAGTTTCATCTCTCTCTCTTGCCTCCAGAGTTTGGGAGAAGCATATGTGTTTCCAATTTGTTCAAGCTCCAGCTCATTCCATTCACCCCAGACAGCCACTAAACTAAGGCACATGAGCTACATTCTACTTCCCAGTCTTACCCTAACCAACTTTGCGACCTTGAGCACGTCATTTAACTCATTGGCTTTGAGTTAACTTAAATGCCAAATAAGGGAGTTTACCTAAATCAGTGGTTCTCAAAGTTGGTTCCACGTAAGAATCACCTGAAGAGCTTTATAAAAACGCCCACACCAGGGCTCACACCTAGAAATTGTTGGCTAGGTTCCTGTGTGCTAGGCATTTGTAGTTTTTTAAGCTTCCCCTGTGGTTCTGCTATGCAGCTAGGGTTGAGGATCTCCAGCTTAAATCAACTCTAAGCTTCTTTCTAGCCCTGACAGTCTTTGAGTCCTTAATGCTAACTCAGGGGCTGGTGGCCTTTTCTCGTTTCTATTTGTTCTACACAGCCCTTATCAGTAAACGCTTTTGCCTTGGCTACACTTGCAGTTCTTAGTCTTATCCAGAGAACGGCCCACACCAAAGATCTGAAGTTTATTTTTCTACCGAAAAGAACTTTTGAGTTTGGTGAAAAATATAGGCTTTGTAGCTACACAGGCCTGGTTTTGAATCTCACTGTGTGTAGTCTTGAGCAAGCTACTTTATTAATCTCTCTAAGCCTCAACATTCTCATCTCCAAAATGGGGATAATAATAGCTATTTCATGGATCCTTGTGAAGAGTGAATGTATACAAAGTACAAATGCTGAATAAATGTTACTACTTCCTTCCTACAACTTGGAAGTGAAGGAGGTTCTGTGCTCACAGAGGAGAGAGCTGGCGGAAAGTCAGGCTGAATTTCTAGAATCCTTAAGAGCAGTCTTTGGCTAAGCAGATCAACACCAGCCCGGGGGACACTTAGAGCTTCAGAGCTCTGACTCCCTGCCATGAGCATCGTCTTCCCTCCCATCGGCTGCACAGAAGCAGAAACACAGTCCAGTTCTACATTCTGGAAGGGAGAAGCTACAAGTGTGAACTCACAAAACTGCAGGCCATGAGATAAGTAGGCCAGTCCCGGACTCCTGCGGCGTGAGCAGCAGGAAAAGAGAGGCTAATGGTCAAAGGGACCTAATGAGGAAACAGTCGGGTCTGGCGATACTGGGGCAAAGAGGTGTCTGCAGCAGATGGAGGAGGAAAAAGATGAGCAAAATAGAAGATATTTGCCCTTTCCAGCTTTGGCAGGGCCATGGAAAGAATTTCTCAGACCACTGAGATTAAGCGGCAAGGAAAATGTTCAGCACAAAGCTGTGAGTAAGACTGCTGTTCAAAATTAGCTTTTCCCTATCAGTGCATATTTAGGCATAGGAATAAAGCTGGAAGGGAACACGCTAAAATGTTAATATCGTTTGTCTCTAAATATTGAATTTCTGGGTCATTTCTAGGCTCTTCCCTGTATATTTCTGCAGACTGCAAATCTATAATGAATAAAAATGTCTCTTACTATCAGAAAACAAATTGAAAGGAAGAAATGAGGCATGTTATACAAATTTATAAACGAGAGACAAGGAACAAGGTTGTGGGTGGGAAAAAGGAGAGCACAGGATTAAGATATCAAAAGACAGCTGTGTTTTTAAGAATAGATCAAATAAAAAATTGATAGGTTGCCCATTCATGAGACTATATATCTACAGTACTGAGGTCAGAATTTGCCACTGCAAATAGCAAGTAATCTGCTGTCTTTATTTTCACCTTTTTCACTTTCTGTGTTGACACTGGCTTTTCCAGTGTTTTGGAACCTGGCAATTGCTATGTGATAGCAAACACAAATAAATCACTGAGGAACAACGATGCAAATTCTCTAGCAAAAGGACCTAGCACTGAGCACAGACACACAGAAATCAAAACAAAACCAAGGAGGCACTGACGTTTCTTAAAACACCACTTGTCAGTATTTTTCCAATCCAAAAATACATGAAACCTCATACAGGATGTCATAGATTTCTAAGAGGTGATCCCAGATATCAGAGTTAAAATTTTCCTACAACATTCAAACTGCTTCCTGTGGCCAAAAGATGATGGTTAACACCCCTGGGAGGGACAGATTTTTCCATTTAGAAAAGCCTCCATTTCATTGACCCAAGTTGGTATTTCTTTTCTTCTATCTGCCTCTATCCCTGGCTGCTGGTCTAGACTCACTCAGGGAAAGTTAACGAACAGTCCTACCCTGTCACTCTATATTTTGAAACCTTTCCATGTGGCCTGGTTGCCAGGAATCACGAAGAAACCTTGTGTCCTCATAGTGGGGAACATCGCACATTGGGGTCTATCAGAGGGTGGGGGTGGAAGGAGGGAGAGGATCAGGGAAAGCAACTAAGGAGTTCTAGGCTTAATACCTGAGTGATGGAATAATCTGTATAGCAAACCCCCATGACACAAGTTTACCTATGTAACAAACCTGCACGTGTACCCCTGAACTTAAAATAAATGTTAAAAAAAAAAGGGCCAAGGATCTGAAGAGACATTTCTCTAAATGAGGTATACGAACAGCCAGTAAGCACAAGAAAAGATGCTCAGTATCACTGAGTCATCAGGGAAATGGAAATCAAAAACACGAGATGCCACTTCACACCCACTAGGATTGCTAGAATCAACAAGTCAGATACTAACAAGTGTTGGCAAGGATGTGAATAAATTGAAACCCTCATACCATGATGATGCAACTGTAAAAATGTGCACTATTAATTTGAGGAATTGCCAGACTATTTGGAAAAAATTAAACATGGTGTTACTATATGACCCAACAATTCCACTCCTAAGTATATGCTCAAGAGAAATGAAAACGTGTCCACATGAAAACCTGCACCTGCATGTTTATAGCGGCATTATTAGTAATAGTCAAAAAGTAGAAATGATCCAAACATCCACCAACCCCCCACCCTAAAAAAAAAAAAAAAAGAAACCTGTGTCCACTATCATCCCTGTCAGGTTGGGATACGTGGGGACTTTCAGAGAAAATAACCAAATATCCACCATTAAAACTCCAGGTTGATTTTCTTTTCCTAAGCCATTTTTAATCAGGCCCCAAATGTGAAGTTTTGAAGAAAACAGTATTATTAAAAAGGAAAATCAGGTTGAGTTGGGTGAAGGTTAGGGTTAAGGTTTGTGAAATTTAGACACCACACATTTCAGTTAAATGATACATTGATCCATGTCCCAAACTGTACTGAAATCTGCTCAAAGTCCGATTTGTCAAGTTTATCGGCCACCATTTGGATTCAAGATGACAGACTGAGTTATAAATCCAATTCAAGGTGGGACTTACACGGTGCAGTGTACCAAATTTTATCAAAATCAGTCAGCTTCTTTAAGAGTCGAACAGGGCATAGACCAAAAAGGCAGTTAAAAGGAAAATGTCACATTAACTAGTTGAAGCAAGAATCATGCTCAGATCCATCATTTGTGCATCAATTCATTCAACAAATATTTATTAAGCAACTACTCTATACCAGGCAGCGCAGTACAAGCTGGGGATACGGTAAATCACAAGGCAGACGATAGAGCTTATATTATGGTGGGAGGAGGTGTGAGGGGAATAATTAAAGCTAGCAAAAACAGAGACTAGAGCCAGCATGGGAATAAAAAGGGGGTCGCGATAGACAAAAATGGAGATAGCCCACTTTAGACAGGGCTCACAGGGATGCTTTCTCTGAACGGAGGTATTTAGGTTCAGGTGGAAGAGTGAGATAAAAGCAGCCCTATAAAGAGAGCAAACCCAAACTCCTAAGTGGGAACTGTCATGGTCTTGGACAAACAGGGGGTCCAAGGGTGAAGAGGAAAGGCAGAACAGGCCCACAGTGACTTGCCATACCAAATGGTTACTAGTGATATTGTGGGTAACATTGTCAGAAATCATTTGCGTGGATTGTGCAAGATGGCAGACATTGCACCAAGAAAAAAAAAAATACTGCACACTTTTATTTCCTGTCATGCCTTTCCATTCACACATTAAAGAACACCTAACAGCCCATACATTTTACTTTCCTTTGGGAAATTATCATTAAAGATTATCATCAACATCATTAAGGAACTTTGAAGTGTGATGCATAGTTTCTAATGCATTTAGCACACATAAGCATATACGGTTCCCACCACAGGCAGGACAAGAGCCTTCCATCAAACAAGTGAACTCCGAAAACAATCAGGTATTTACCGCAAGTCCTATGGAGCAAATGATACTTCGGCAATTCAGCCCTGTAGGGGGTGAAGAGGAGGGCTTGCCAAAGCGGTCAGCTCTTCATGAAAGCCTGTCACGTCAAGGACAAATCCAATCAGTTCCATTGATAGGTCAATCTTCAGGCAGTCAAAAGAATATGCCCAACTGAATAAAGCATCCTTCCATTTCCCAGTCACCCGAAAAGTTGTAAATTTTATGAAATTCCAGTCCTAAAGTTTTAAGCCGTTTTTGAGCCATTTGGAAAATAAAACGAATTGCAAGAGAGTTTCCCTAACTAGCTCACTGATCTTTCCGTTGTCATGTCAGGATAAAAGAATTCACCATTTGACTAAAGGTCAATGTTCTAGAAATATTTATGGGTGCCTAAAAAAGGAAGACTATTAGGGAAATACTTATTCATTACCTTCATTACTATATGGTTAGCTGCACGAAGTACCAGACATACCTACACGATGAACTTACCTACCTTTCCGTGATCACGTATCCATTTGTTATGTGTTGTATTTGTAGGTTAGGGGTCCTTCTCATGGTGAGGTTAAGGATACCCCTTTCAAGGAAAATGACTAAATGTTGGTTATATTTTACATTGTGCATGATTTTAATTCTCTGCAAGTAATGTTTGATGGATAAGTCTAAAATAAAATGGTCAAATGGCCTAACCTTTTAGCAATAAAATCGTGTGCAATAAAAATGCTGGAGGGCACCAGTTACTGAACTGTCATGGACTGGAGAATTATTAGACCCCATAATTCTGTACTGCAAAGCCAAATTTGTAGATTTTTTTTCACGTGAAAAAAAAATCTAGGAAATTAAATGGAAAGACCTGTAGTAATGAAATATTAAATGCAATTTCAAGTGCACAAAAAGGTCAGAAGCCAAGGGGAAAAAAAGAAAGATTTCTAGAACAACATTAATTTTATCACACTTTGAGTATGCCTAGGCTTAAATACCCCTAAAAGCCAACCCAGCCCAGAGTGGGGCAGCGGGGTAGGGGATCAGGGAGGAAGCTAGAAAGGAGGTGCCCAGAAATAGGCACAAGTAGAAGCCAAAAGTAATACATAAATAAATAAATAGAAAATATTTCACTTGTTTTCAATTTCCAAAGTTGACGTTGTATTGCATAAATATGCATCAACCCCAGCAGAAAGGCATAAAAGCAAAATTCCTGGACTCCAACTACGGTGTGTCAGTTATACTGAAGTTCAGCCTGATTCTCGGTTCCTGTTTTTAAATTCACTATAATTGAGTTTCAATCCTGGCCAAAGAGAGCACATATCATAGGATGGTTTCGTGGGCATTTGGAGTCCGTGAGTTGAGATGTGTCTGTGTGAAAAGTGTTACTGTCATTACAAGAAATCACTGAAAAAATGTAGCGTCGATTTCAGGATACAGCAGTGAAACTTCATGTCAGTAATAGGTATGTAATAAGTGGGGGATCCAGAGAAACTTTAAAAGCAATATTTTAAACTGAAAATTATTGTGTGACTAAAAGGGTCAAATGCTGACATCAGGACACCTTGAATTTGGGGATGACATATTGTTTCTGTGGAATATTGTTCACAGTTGCATGCAGGGAAAACCTTTATTTTAATACCTAGCTAACTCTCCAGGTCCATTACTCACACAGAATGTACAATCTTTCTTTGAATATGCCACAGAAATAAGATAATCTGTAATTTACGATTGCTTCAGCTTTACAACCTAAACAACACATGATGAAATCTTGTTCTTTAAAATACTAATCTGGGCTGGGCGCAGTGGCTCACACCTGTAATACCAGCACTTTGGGAGGCTGAGGTGGGTAGATCACCTGAGGTCAGGAGTTTGAGACCAGCCTGGCCAACATGGTAAAACCCCATTTCTACTAAAAATACAAAAATTAGCTGGGCATGGCTGCGCATGCCTGTAGTCCCAGCTACTCAGGAGGCTGAGGCAGGAGAATCACTTGAACTTGGGAGGCAGAGGCTACAGTGAGCAGAGATCATGCCACTGCACTCCAGCCTGGGCAGCAGAGTTAGAATTCATCTCAAAATAAATAAATAAACAAATAAATAAAATACCAATCTGTGTAGTTGTAATGTAGGATAGCAGAAAGAAAGATTTATATTTATAGCCAATTTTTACTTATCTTTACCTATTTATAAACTGTGCTACAACTTCAATAACCATGGTTAAAAAAAAAACATCATTCCTAACCACACTGCCTTTGACTGTAAAAACAATTTCACCGTAACGGATAACACTAAAATACTCCAAGAATAATCTATAAATGAATCCTGGATTACTAGTCAAAAGATGGTGGTTATAAATGATTTCATGAAAGAGTTGATGTTACTTTGAAAATCTTAGAGTCTGTCTATGGATTTTTGTATTTTATATGTAACATTTTTATGAAGTGATTTTGCCCTTACATAATAGCTTTCATCTTCAAAGCACTTCACAAATATGAACTAGTTACATAAAAAGCTATATTACTGCAAAATCAGAAAATGGGAAAGCTGAAGTTCTCTTAGCAACCCTCACTCTCACACATTCTATATGACTAATCTATAGCAAAGATTAGGTTTCTTAAAAACATGTTTAATTATCAATACTGCTTTTACAAAAACATCTAAAGGGTTAATGGAGTTTTATTATACCAGGCAGTCCTTACTATTCATAAAAATCTGCTTTTGATGCAATTTGTTAAGTTTGAGAAAAATTAGACTTGTATTGTGGTAAATCTTCTTTGTCCCCTTCTATTTCATGAAATCTGTTAAATATCAAGAAAAAGGTTATTCAACAAAGCTTTATCATATTAAAATTGAAAAGAAAACTTACATACGCATCAATAAGACATGATTAAATAAATTATCGCATGTCTATATGATATAATAATATCAAATATAATACAGCCATTAATAATTATGTTTTTGAAGTTGATACCATGGATGTAGAGAGTAGAATAACAAATACCAGAGGCTGGAAAGGGTGTATGGGTTGGAGGAGGTGATAAAGAGAGGTTGGTTAATAGGTAGAAACATACAATTAGACAGATGGTATAAGTTCTAACGTTGGATAGCAGAGTAGGGTGACTATAGTTAGCAACAATGCATTGTATATTTCAAAGTAGCTAAAAGAGAGAACATGAAATGTTCCCAACACATAGAAATTAGATAAACAGGCAAATAAGTCAAATACTGATCATTATACATTCTATGCATGTAACAAAATATCACATGTACCTCATAAATATGTAAAATATTATATATCAATATAAAAATAAAATAATAATTAGGTTTTTGGAAAATACAGGAAAATTTTCACAATATATTAACTTTGGAAAAGGTCACAAATTTATCTATGCCCTGTGATGTCCATTATGAAAAAGAAATAATTATCTATAAACATTTAAGCAAACTGGATGAAATAAATGTGAGTGGTGGGCATATGTGTGGTTTTATTTCTTTCTTTGAACTTTATTATTTAAATTCTTTTTTTTTTTTTTTGAGAAAGAGTTTTGCTCTTTTTGCCCAGGCTGGAGTGCAATGGCACGATTCGGCTCACTGCTATCTCCACCTCCCGGGTTCAAGTGACTCTTCTGCCTCAGCCTCCCAAGTAGCTGGGATTACAGACGCGCCCCACCACACCTGGCTAATTTTGTATTTTTAGTAAAGACAGGGTTTCACCATGTTGGCCAGGCTGGTCTCGAACTCCTGACCTCAGGTGATCCGCCTGTTCGGCCTCCAGAAGTGCTAGGATTACAGGCCTGAGCCACCGTGCCTGGCCTATTATTTAAATCCTTAACAATAAAATATATAGTTTTTTTTTTAATCATGGGACATTAATGTTATTTAAAGGGAAACAAAATCATAAATCTTGCCCTTTAAGATCTCTTTGAGAGCTGAGAGCACAGTACATGGGAGTAACTCAAGGTGGAAATTCAGGGTAGAAGGAAGAAAACCTTTAAGTGTGTCTTAAAGAAAGGCAGTATTCACTAATAAAGAGAGCAGTCTAGACAGAGGGAATCACATATGCAGAGGCACAGAAGCAGGAGGCACGAGAAACAACAGAGAGCTTGAAGAGCTTCACTGGAGCAAAGAATACGATCAGGAATCAAAGAAGATGATCATGGAGATGGCACATGCCAGATTATGGAAGACCTTGATTACTGTAGGAAAGAGTCCAGCCTCATCCTTTTTGGATGATGTGTAGATGATACTGGGAAAGGAGGCATGGAGAGGTTAGATCAAGAAAGTAGTAAAATTAGCGGAGTCATTTAGCTTGCTCTGACTTCAACAAGCAGAGGATTGGAGGGAAGACAAGACGAGAGTCAGTGATACCAGTTAGGAGATTCTGACGGGTTTAACCCAGGGAGGATCCATGGAAACAGAAAGAAAAAAAGTTCCAGAGATAGTTAAGAAACAGAATCGACATGTCTTAATGGCCAGTTACACAGAGGTGAATGAGAAGAGCGTCTAAAGCCCTTCCCAGGTTTCTAGACTGGGTAATTGACTGGACAGTGGTGTCGTTACCTAAATCAAGTGGATCTGGGCAAAAAGCCAGTGATTTGAGATGTGTAGAATTAAAGATGATTATAAATAAACAGCAGGCTGCATGGATTAGTAAGCAAGTCATAAGTGAAGGGTAGAAGAAGAGATTTGAAAACACTCAGCATGTAGCTGTGTGATTTAAAAAAAAAAAAAAAAGGAATGGATGGAATCACCATAGAAGATTGGGCTAAATGAGGAAGGAGCTCTGACAATTGGGAGACATCAACATTTGGAGGCAGACACACAGAGCCTGAAGAGGAAACAGAGACAGAATGGTCAGCCAGAGAGGTCATGGGAGCTGAGGAGCAGAGGCTTTCAAGAAGGGAGTGATCTCAGTTGTGAAATACTACAGAGATCAGGTAAGATACGGGCCAAAATGTGTCATTTAGGCTTCACAGTACAAATCCTCATTGACCATTGCTGGAGCAGTTTCAGTGGGTAGCATGAACAGGAGCTTATGGATAATTCAGATTTAAGGAGAGTGTGGCAACTCTTTCCACAAACTTAACCATGAACTGGGAAAGAAAGCACCAAAATTAGAAGTAAACACAGGACCACAAAAGAAAGGCACTGATTGTTTATTAAAAGGTAACTAGCTGCAACTGCAGTAATGATTACCCAAGAAATGAAGTCATTGTTTTTCACCTAATAAAAATATAGTCGTCCAGCTACAAAACCAAGATATGACAATACATGTCCAAATGCTTGCTCTTAAGACATCAGCATTATCTAGCTAAAACTCATGTTCACAAAGTGTTTTGCTAGCACAAAAAAATCCTACAATCTCATTTCCAAAGTCTCACCTTAAACTGTGGTGTTACTCAAGTAATTGAAAGAGTTGACCAATATAAAGAATAAAGTTTATAGCTACAAATAACGTGGTACCAGGAATGAATTAATTGTTGTCTAGATTATCTGCTGAATAGCCAAGATGTTTTAAATTAGCTATACAACTCTTTCATCATTAGGTAGACCTGAGGTTGATTAGATAAAAATCCACTTTTATAGTACAAAGTAGTTGAAGAAGTTTAGAAAGAAATTTAAGAAACTTCATTTGTGTTGTGGTTCTCATTGGACTACCCAACTTAATGTTAGGAACTTCAATCCATATTGAGATAAAAGTCTATATCATTCTTTCCTTCCACTCACCTAGAAATATCAAATTCATTATATGTATTGGAATCCACAAAAACATTTATTATTTCTAACCCAATAAATCTGCTTTTAGGAATTTATTACATAATAGGAGAAAATGCTATATGAACAAAAATATTCAGTCGGACATTATAAGAACAAAAACTTAGAGAAAACCTAAAAATTCAACAATGGAGAAAAAAACTACATGAATTGTAGACATTAACTTAATGAAATAATGTACAGTCACTAATTGCATGAAACAAAGCTGAATAAAATTGTTCACTTTGACTGCAATCATTTAATTATAAATTATACGTACAAACCAAAAAACTCTTAAAGATAACTCAAACTTGGGGGAAAATAAAGCTGTGTTGCAAGAATGAAGGAATAAGAATTGTTTGGGTTTCTTATTTCAAATTTTCCCTTAATGTTCTTATAAGAACTTTCAGAACTTAAAAGGCAGGAAGTAAGGGAGGGAGGAGGGAGAACAACTGGGGACCAAAACCAATGGAAAGGAAACTGCTACGTAAGAAAAAAAGAATTCTGAAATGTATCTAGACATGTTTGTAGACTATTTGTAGACTGTGACTCATCTGTAGGCTCGGAAGCCCTGTTTAGAACTGATACAAGGTTAAATGTAGTTATCCATTTGCAAGTATGACTCATTAAAATGATACTGACAGGTACCTTGTTCTCTATACAGTCAGTGTCTGTAAATATTTTTTAAGAAATACTTTTTTCCAAAGGCAGCAGCACCAGTCAGGGGCTTATAGATAAAACTCCCATCTCCCTGGGACAGAGCACCTGGGGGAAGGGGTGGTTGTGGACGCAGCTTCGGCAGACTTAAACGTTCCTGCTGCTGGCTCTGAAGAGAGCAGCAGATCTCCCAGCACAGTGCTTGAGCTCTGCTAAGGGACAGACTGCCTCCTCAAGTGGGTCCCTGACCCCCATGCCTCCTGACAGGGAGATACCTCCCAGCAGGGGTTGATAGACACCTCATACAGGAGAGCTCCAGCTGGCTGACTCTCTGGGAAGAAGCTTCCAGAGGAAGGAACGGGCAGCAATCTTTGCTATTCTGCAGCCTCAGCTGGTGATACCCACGCAAACAGGGTCTGGAGTGGACCTCCAGCAAACTTCAGCAGACCTGCAGCAGAGGGGCCTATTAGAAGGAAAACTAGCAAACAGAAAGGAATAGCATCAACATCAACAGAAAGAACATCCACATAGAAAGCCCATCTGAACATCACCAATATCAAAGACCAAAGGTAGATAAATCCACAAAGGTGAGGAAAAACCAGCACAAAAAGGCTGACAATTCCGGAAACCAAAATGCCTCTTCTCCTTCGAAGGATCAAAACTCCTCGCCAGCAAGGGAAAAAAGCTGGACGGAGAATGAGTTTGACCAATTGACAGAAGTAGGTTTCAGAAGGTAGGTAATAACAAACTCCTCCGAGCTAAAGGAGCATGTTCTAACCCAATGCAAGGAAGCTAAGAACCTTGAAAAAAGGATAGAGGAATCACTAACTAGAATAACCAGTTTAGAGAAGAACATAAATGACCTGATGGAGCTGAAAAACACATCACGAGAACTTTGTGAAGCATACACAAGTATCAATAGCCGAATCAATCAGGCAGAAGAAAGGATATCAGAGATTGAAGATTAACTTAATGAAATAAAGTGTGAAGACAAGACTAGAGAAAAAACAATGAAAAAGAATGTACAAAGCCTCCAAGAAATATGGGACTATGTGAAAAGACCAAACCTACATTTGATTGTTGTACCTGAAAGTGATGGGGAGAATGCAACCAAGTTGGAAAACACTCTTCCAGATATTATCCAGGGGAACTTCCCAAACTAGCAAGACAAGCCAACATTCAAATTCAGGAAATATAGAGAACGCCACAAAGATACTTCTCGAGAAGAGCAACCCCAAGCCACATAATCTTCAGATTCACCAAGGTTGAAATGAAGGAAAAAATGTTAAGGGCAGCCAGAGGAAAAGGTCAGGTTACCCACAAATAGAAGCCCATCAGACTAACAGTGGATCCCTCTGTTAGTTGCAGAAACCCTACAAACCAGAAGAGAGTGGGGGCCAATATTCAACATTCTTAAAGAAAAGAATTTTCAACCCAGAATTTCATATCCAGCCAAACTAAGCTTCATAAGTGAAGGAGAAATAAAATCCTTTACAGACAAGCAAATGCTGAGAGATTTTGTCACCACCAGGTCTGCCTTACAAGAGCTCATGAAGGAAGCACTAAATATGGAGAGGAAAAACCGATACCAGCCACTGCAAAAACATACCAAATTGTAAAGACCATTGATGCTAGGAAAAAACTGCATCAACTAACAGGCAAAATAACCAGCTAACATCATAATGACAGGATCAAATTCACACATAACAATATTAACCTTAAATGTAAATGGGCTAAATGCCCCAATTAAAAGACACAGACTGGCAAATTGGATGGAGTCAAGACCTATCAATGTGCTGTATTCAGGAGACCCATCTCACATGCAAAGACACACATAGGCTCAAAATAAACGGATGGAGGAATATTTACCAAGCAAATGGAAAGCAAAAAAAAAAAAAAAAAAAGCAAGGGTTGCAATCCTAGTCTCTGATAAAACAGACTTTAAACCAAAAAAGGTCAAAAAAGACAAAGAAGAGCATTACATAATGGTAAAGGGATCAATGCAACAAGAAGAGCTAACTATCCTAAATATATATGCACCCAATACAGGAGCACCCAGATTCACAAAGCAAGCTCTTAGAGAGCTATAAAGAGACTTAGACTCCCACACAATAATAGTGGGAGACTTTAACACCCCATTGTCAATATTAGACAGATCAACGAGACAGAAAATTAACAAGGATATTCAGGACTTGAACTCAGCTCTGGACCAAGCAGACCTAATAGACATTTACAGAATTCTCCACCCTAAATCAACAGAATATACATTCTTCTCAGCACCACATAGCACTTATTCTACAATTGACCACATAATTGGAAGTACAACATGCCTCAGCAAATGCAAACAGAAATCATAACAAACAGTCTCTCAGACCACAGTGCAATCAAATTAGAACTCAGGATTAAGAAACTCACCGAAAACTGCACAACTACATGGAAACTGAACAACCTGCTCCCAAATGACTACTGGGGGGTAAATAACAAAATTAAGGAAGAAATAAATACGTTATTTGAAACCAATGAGAACAGAGACACAACGTACCAGAATCTCTGGGGCACCGCTAAAGCAGTGTTTAGAGGGAAATTTATAGCACTAAATGCCCACAGGAGAAAGCAGGAAAGATCTAAAATCGACACCCTAATATCACAATTGAAAGAACTAGAGAAGCAAGAGCAAACAAATTCAAAAGCTAGCAAAAGGCAAGAAATAACTAAGATCAGAGCAAAACTGAAGGAGACAGAGACACAAAAACCCCTTCAAAAACTCAATGAATCCAGGAGCTGGTTTTTTGAAAAGATTGACAAAATAGATAGACCACTAGCCAGACTAATAAAGAAGAAAAGAGAGAAGACTCAAATAGACACAATAAAAATGATAAAGAGGATATCACCACTGATCCCACAGAAATACAAACTACCATCAGAGAATACTATAAACACCTCTACGCAAATAGACTAGAAAATCTGGAAAAAATGGATAAATTCTGGGACACATACACCCTCGCAAGACTAAACCAGGAAGAAGCCGAATCCCTGAATAGACCAATAACATGTTCTGAAATTGAGGCAGAAATTGATAGCCTACCAACCAAAAAAAGCCCAGGACCAGAAGGATTTACAGCCAAATTGTACCAGAGGTACACAGAGGAGCTGGTACCATTACTTCTGAAACTATTCCAAACAACAGAAAAAGAAGGACTCCTCCCTAACACATTTTATGAGGCAAGCATCATCCTGACACCAAAACCTGGCAGAGACACAACAAAAAAAGAAAATTTCAGGCCAATACCCCTGATGAACATCAGTGCGAAAATTCTCAATAAAATGCTGGCAAATTGGATCCAGAAGCACATCAAAAAGCTTATCAACCATGATCAAGTCAGCTTCATCCCTGGGATGCAAGGCTGGTTCAACATATGCAAATCAATAAACATAATCCATCACATAAACAGAACCAATGAAAAAACCACATGATTATCTCAATAGATGCAGAAAAGGCCTTCGATAAAATTCAACACCCCTTCATGCTAAAAACTCTCAATACACTAGGTATTGACAGAATGTATCTCAAAATAATAAGAACTATTTATGACAAACCCACAGTCAATATCATACTGAATGGGCAAAAGCTGGAAGCATTCTCTTTGAAAACCGGCACAAGACAAGGATGCCCTCTCTCACCACTCTTATTCAACATAGTATTCGAAGTTCTGGACAGGGCAATAAGGCAAGAGAAAGAAATAAAGGGTATTCAAATAGGAAGAAAGGAAGTCAAATTGTCTCTGTTTGCAGATGACATGATTGCATATTTAGAAAACTCCATCGTCTCAGCCCAAAATCTCCTTAAGCTAATAAGCAACTTCAGCAAATTCTCAGGCTACAAAGTCAATGTGCACAAATCACAAGCATTCCTATACACCAATAATAGACAAACAGAGAGCCAAATCATGAATGAACTCCCATTCACAATTGCTACAAAGAGAATAAAATACCTAGGAATCCAATTTACAAGGGATGTGAAGACCTCTTCAAGGAGTACTACAAACCACTGCTCAAGGAAATAAGAGAGGACACAAACAAATGGAAAAACATTCCATGCTCATGGATAGGATGAATCAATATTGTGAAAATGGCCATACTGCCTAAAGTAATTTATAGATTTAATGCTATTCCCATCAAGCTACCATTGACTTTCTTCACAAAATTAGAAAAAACTACTTTAAATTTCATATGGAACCAAACAGAGCCCGTATAGCAAAGACAATCCTAAGCAAAAAGAACAAAGCTGGAGGCATCATGCTACCCGACTTCAAACTATACTACAAGGCTACAGTAACCAAAACAGCATGGTACTGGTTCCAAAACAGATACATAGACCAATGGAACAGAACAGAGGCCTCAGAAACAACGCCACACATCTGACAAAATTTGATCTTTGACAAATCTGACAAAAACAAGCAACGGGGAAAGGATTCCCTATTTAATAAATGGTGTTGGGAAAACTGGCTAGCCATATGCAGAAAACTGAAGCTGGACCCTTTTCTTATACCTTTATACAAAAATTAACTCAAGATGGATTAAAGACTTAAATGTAAGACCTAAAACCATAAAAAACCCTAGAAGAAAACCTAGACAATACCATTCAGGACATAGACATGGGCAAAGACTTCATGACTAAAACACCAAAAGCAATGGCAACAAAAGCCAAAATTGACCAATGGAATGTAATTAAACTAAAGAGCTTCTGCACAGCAAAAGAAACTATCATCAGGTTGGGCGTGGTGGCTCATGCCTGTAATCCCAGCACTTTGTTAGGCTGAGGCGGGTGGATCATGAGGTCAAGTGATCGAGACCATCCTGGCCAACATGGTGAAACCCCATCTCTACTAAAAATACAAAAATTAGCTGAGCATGGTAGCTCATGCTGGTAGCGCATGCTGGTAGGCCCAGCTACACAGGAGGCTGAGGCAGGAGAATTGCTTGAACCCAGGAGGTGGAGATTGTAGTGAGCTGAGATCATGCCACTGCACTCCAGCCTGGCAAAAGAGTGAGATTCCATCAAGAAAGAAAGAAAGAGAGAGAGAGAGAGAGAGAGAAAGAAAGAAAGAAAGAAAGAAAGAAAGAAAGAAAGAAAGAAAGAAAGAAAGAAAGAGAGAAAGAGAGAAAGAGAGAGAGAAAGAGAGAAAGAGAGAAAGGAAGAAAGAGAAAGAAAGAAAGAAAGAAAAAGAAAGAGAAAGAAAGAAAGAAAGAAAGAAAGAAAGAGAAAGAAAGAAAGAAAGAAAGAAAGGGAGAGGGAGAAAGGGAGGGAGGGAGAGAGGGAGGGATGAAGGAAGGAAGGAAAGAAAGAAAGAAAGAAACTATCATCAGAGTGAACAGGCAAATTACAGAATGGAAGAAAATTTTTGCAATCTATCCATCTGACAAAGGGATAATATCCAGAATCTACAAGGAACTTAAACAAATCTACAAGAAAAAAAAAACATCAAAAAGTGGGCAAAGGATATGAACAGACACTTCTCAAAAGAAGACAATTATGTGGCCAACAAACATATGAAAAAAAGCTCATTAGAGAAATGTAAATCAAAACCATAATAAGATACCATCTCACACCAGTTAGAATGGCAATCATTAAAAAGTCAGGAAACAACAGATGCTGGAGAGGATGTGGAGTAATAGGAACACTTTTACATCGTTGGTGGGAGCGTAAATTAGTTGAACCATTGTGGAAGACAATGTGGCGGTTCCTCAAGGATCTAGAACCAGAAATACCATTTGACCCAGCCATCCCATTACTGGGTATATACCCAAAGGATTATAAACCATTCTACTATAAAGACACATGCACATGTATGTTTATTGCAGCACACTTCACAATAGCAAAAACTTGGAACCAACCCAAATGCCCATCATTGATAGACTGGATAAAGAAAATGTGACACATATACACCATGGAATACTATGCAGCCATAAAAAGGATGAGTTCATGTCCTTTGCAAGGACATGGATGAATCTGGAAGCCATCATTCTCGGCAAAGTAACACAGGAACAGAAAATCAAACACTGCATGTCCTCACTCATAAGTGGGAGTTGAACAATGAGAACACATGGACACAGGGAGGGGAACATCACACACTGGAGCCTGTTGGAGGGTGGGGGGCTAGGGGAGGGATAGCATTAGGAGAAATACCTAATGTAGATGACGGGTTGATGGGTGCAGCAAACCACCATGGCACGTGTATACTTATGTAACAAACGTGCACGTTCTGCACATGTATCCCAGAACTTAAAGTATAATAATCATTTTTAAAAAAGAAATACTTTTCTCTCCAATTTTCCTGAAAACAAAGAAATAAAGATGGCAGACAGTTCTAGTATGAAGTGTTATTGAAGTGCTAAATTAGCAAGTTTCCCTGCATTTTTAGTTGAATACTATTTACAGTAGTAAATAAAATAAAATAAACAATTTTATTTTTAAAACATTTTCAGTAAAATTTTGAATATGCTCAAATAACACTACCCCTGAGGTAGAGTTGGATCAGTCTGTTGTTAACAGGCCTTGGTTTCATTTTAAGTTTAACAAAGACTGTTTCCCCAACATTTCCATGGAAACTGAACTTCTTAGCACCTATAATAATGTGTCCCCTCATATAACAATAATTTATTTTGCTTATACTATAAAGGCCTATAATGGTTAGAAGGAGGCTCCAGAGTCAGAGGGGTTCAAATTCAAGCTCCACATTATTAGCTTAGAGACCCTCAATGAGTTACAGAAAAGCTCTGTGCTTCTGGTTCCTCATTTGCAACATGGATATAACAGTATTTATCCCATGAGGTCTTACGAATATTAAGTGAGATTAATGTATGTGGAGTACTTAGAAATAGACCTGGATCATAATAAGCACATAGCTAATGTTAGCCATTATTAATATTAGATGTTGCAAGGATACACGAAGAATCAGAGTTCTGGCCCTGAGGGAGGCTGGCTTTATGACTATTAATAATGATAACATAAATAAGGATAGTATTATGCCTTTTGCATGCATAGCATTATTTGCATGCATTAACTTTTCTGATTGTGCTACAACTCTGTGAGACAGAGCTCAGACCCATTAGATAGCTCAAGAAACTGAGGTCCAGGAGAACAATTCAAATGACAGGATTCCCCACTATAGAGATTTTAGCTAAGGGCTAAGGGAGGCTTTGTTCTAAAGGTACAAATTAGAGAAAAAGGTCTAAATAGCATCAGTCCTCACAATATGATCCAATGGGGAAAAACTAGTTGAGAGTTTGTGACCTCCTTTTTAGTTGACAAAGTAATTTGGACGGGTTTGGAGTTTTTAATGGTATAGTAAAACTTGAGTAATCATTAATCAAGGCATGAATTGTAAGTAACTTATTTT
Organism: Homo sapiens; assembly: GCF_000001405.40. Taxonomy (NCBI): domain Eukaryota; kingdom Metazoa; phylum Chordata; class Mammalia; order Primates; family Hominidae; genus Homo; species Homo sapiens. The sequence goes on from NC_000004.12 coordinate 24,390,074, forward strand.
TTTTTCAGAGAAAATGACTGAAAGAAAATTCCAAAAAGCAGCACTGTGAAAACTGTTTTAGCAGCCATATCCTAAGAGTTCATGAAATATGATTATTCCCCAGACAAGTCTAGGTTTCCAGCTTCAAAATCATATTAGAGTCCCAAGACAGGAAGTTAGCACTTTTTTGCCCCTCAAATACAAATGAAGAGAAGATCACTATTTGAAAATACTATGCTTGTAACAAAAATGGTAGAATTTGTAGCAATTTATATAATAAATCCTGGCCCCTTTTATGCATTACTATACAGAAATATTATTAAATAGTTATATTTTTATTAGTTTTTTGGAACTATATAAAAACATTTTTATTGTGGAAAATTATGAAAAAGAAAATGAAAAACCACCCTAAATTCCACAACCCCAAAATAAAGTCAATACTGTAATGTTTTTTATATGCATGTTATGCACATGTGCACGTATACTTATGTACATTACCTCTACTTACAATGTCATTTGACTTTCTGCAAATTATTTTTTAACAATATTTTTTACGTCATCATAAACTGCTTTCTCTCACCACTGGGATACTGTGTACGCTGCTTTGTCCTGCTTGCTTTTCATTTTTATATTCAATATTATATCGGGAGCATTTCCCAGGTTACGAAGTATTGTTTGAAGCGGTATTTTTAGTGGCCTTTCTATGTTGCTCTCTCACCTTTTTTAAATAGTAAGTGGATTCAAGAATGTTCTGCCTTTCAAATCTCTCTGATACAATATGGAGATCTAAGTTTCATGACCCCCTGATAACACCAATTAGCACATGTAAAATTGTCTCAAGCAACTTAGGAATGTAATTAATATTGCCTTAAAATATCAGAGGAAAGCTTTTAGTTAAGAGTAATTCCTTCTGTTTGCATTTTTAAAGGCCTGTTTTGAGTACTTCAAATCCTTTGGCGATAAAAGCTTTCCTTAGCTTTATGGGTTTCCCTGCCTAAAAAGTAAAGGTAAAAGTAAAATATTATTATGAAATTCTTACAAAAAATCTAATTGCATCAGTTATTACTTTTTAAAAATATGTTCCTGGGTGAATATTGTCCATAATATTGTATTTTGAAATCATTTTGTAGTTTTATATACACACAAGAGTGATCTCCGCAAAATTTGAGTTTGACTTGGCTATTTCTTGCTCTCAAGCCACGTGTTACATACATATTCAATCCACATATATCTCTGACTATTCATCCAAATAAAGTTGGCTCCTTTTCATCAAGAAATCTTTTCCCCACTGGGGTAAATACACATCTAAACCTACAAAAAGTCTACTTAGCACCAGTTACTCTGTAACATAGCAAGGTACACTTTCTTCTAATTTGCTAGCTCCCCAACTGAAAAAGGCTTTGTTGAAATCTAACTTTATTGGTTCTGGTTGGAAATTGAGCTATATGTAGTGGATATGCTGATTTTAAAAAAGAAAGAAAGAACTACAATAATGGTGGTGTGGTCCCTTGAGAATACATTTGTTTCTGCAGTATAAAACAAAATTAAATTCTTCAATCTCAAAAACTATTAAAAGGTTGTATTTAAAATGCATGAAGCATTAAAAAGACATCAAAATTAAAATAATCTCATAAATCTCTTCATTTAAAAGACTTATTAGAATACAGATCGAGGCAGAAAACAGCTGCCCAGCCCTCCAGAGCAGTAAATTATAACTATTTTAACTTTTTTCATTTTCATCATTGAAAATTCTTTTCCAGAATAATTGTATTGCTGTAGCAAGACCAACTGTCCCACATATTTAACATGTGAGTAGTAAATTGCTTTCAATGAACTCCGAAACAGATACGCTGTATATTCTTTTAAAGATCAGCCAACCACAGGGTTATGCCCTGACAAAGGATACAGAAGGTACAAGCAGAAATTAGTTTTTAATGTAAAATTGATCAAAATAATTAATTATTTCAATTCACTTTGCCAGAGCACCAGGGGAGCCTTAGGAGAAACCTGATAGTTTTCCTATAGAAAACCTGATAGTAAGAATTTTATTGTCATTCGCTTTTTTCCTGGATCTGCCAGCTAAAACCCAATGAAAAAAATTATCATGGGAAGGACAGTTACATGTGTCCAATTGCCGTCAGTCATTAAAACTTGAATGTCTTTTGTAAATGACTGACAACTAGGTGGAGGCTTTTTTTAAAAAAAATAAAGATTCTCACTTCATAGACCACCATGTGTCAGTCTTGATTGTACTGGAGCATTCCTTGGAGTACAATTAAACTATCATGTTGATTGCACCTCAGTGCAGTAGAATCCTGAAAAGAGGAAAAGAAAAGCCAGATGGCTAACCATGATGCCTCATGCCTGTTGCCCCTCCTCATATTCTTGAAAAATATACTGTGAAATGAGCAGAGCTATTTTTTATAGAAAGCAGCCAGATATGCTTTGAAAGTCTCATCAGGCGATAAAAGGTATGTTCCCATAAAGCTGCCTCCCATTTTTATCACCTTCCCTTCTGTAGGCGCACTCTGACATCATTCCTCCTTAACAGAGATAAGATTAGTAAACAGTGGGCTTTATTAGGAGCTACTTAGAACATCATTAATCCAATTTAATTGATGGTGTAGTGGTACCAGATCTTTTTGTCCTTTCTCTTTCTGGAAGACAACATGGGTAGCAGAATCAGACTTCTTTCCAGAAACAGCATCTATCTTTGGAATTCTGCACACTTTCCCGTTGCCTCAGCGCGCACAGGCTGAGCAAAGCTCCTTATCTAAGACTCTGAAAAGGATAACAGGACTGCTCGAGTATAAAAACTGCAAGTATTTTATTTATCTCTCTTTCTTTCTGCTTAGATTACCATTATCTTTGGTCACTGAATTTTGTCTCTTAGGCTTCAAATGAAGAGCGAAGTCAACCAGATGGTACAGCTCTAAACCCCATGGATTACTGCTCCATCAGCACACACACACACACACACACACACACACACACACCCCTTTTTCTGGCCTTTCTTTGGCTTTACCTTACCTTAGGGTTAACTTGCTCATGAATGGTTTCTGATGATTCTACAAACTTCCTGGCAAAATATTTATGCTGAAGAACAATGCAGGTGCTACAAAGGCCTCAGTAACTACTACTTATGCTGCAGCTGAAATGGGAGTCAAGCAAATGAGCTGTTGAAAACCAAGCTAGAGATCTGCAGGAGGAGGGGAAATTGCATGAAATAATTGTGAACATGAATTTCAATTCCATCCATTCATTCTTTTCTATAGCCACATAGAAGCCATTGAAGAAGCCACGGAGATAGATTGAGAAACGGCCCCTTCCTGTAAAAGGCTTCCAATCAAAATAGACACAGGCATATGAATATAGCCCTGTGATAACTAAGACAAGAATAACATAACATACGCACCCTTGCACACTGCATGGTAATAGTATTAAATCAATTGTTAAGCAATGTCCTATGGGCATGCGTGATTAACTCTCACTAGAGGGATCAGGGAAGACTTCATAAAGGAGGATGCAAAGGAGTTCCATTATTAGTGAGTAGGGAAAAGGGCACTTAGGATTAAGGAACAGCATGGGCAAACACACAGAGAAGTGAAAACACTTGGAACAGATTCCTGCTGCCCCATTTCTGTCGTCAGTACCACATGCACAATTCTTGCCACGTCCTTGTGTCATCTGTACTAGTATTTGCTTAACGTTCTTTTTAAGTGACTCCATTTTTACTGAAATAGTTTTTTTAAAGAATAATTTATGGCATAAAAAAGAAAATTTTCGCCGGGCATAGTGGCTCACATCTGTCATCTCAATGTTTTGGGAGGCCAAGGCAGGAGGATGGCGTGAGGCCAGGAGTTTGAGACCAGCCTGGGCAACATAGCAAGACCCTGTTTCTACAAAAAATATATATGTTAAAGAGAAATTTTATGGCACTAATTTAAATAAAAGCCCAGTGTCACTTCCCCCAAGTAAGAAGTAACTGTAAAGATAATAAATGAGAACAAAACCATGGCCCTCCAGCTAAATACTTTGTCTGAGCCTGCTTTCTCTTTGCTACAAAAGAAAGTGAGAATGTCAATATGTTAATGACTCCCCCATATGCAACTAAGAATTCTTCCTCAAGGGATTCCAAAGGGGTGAGAGAGAATTCTAAACTGCATAAATTACTCATGTGGTAACTCGGGTTTACTCACGGCCATGTTAGTGTACCACCTAAGGTCATTTTGAGTCATTATCCCACACTCTGGGAAACCATGAGATCCAAGGAGCTGGCTGAGAGAAGGATACAAGGAGAGAGAAGGCAGAAAGCAGATTTGTAACTTGTATGGACCCTGAAGTTCACGTCTAGGGACCCTGAAGTTCATGCTTAGCACTTCACGACCTTCACTTGAGGTGCTAAGAAGTCATTTCAGGTAGACAGATCTTTAAGAAGAAAACGCTGGTTGTGGTACTAAAGATAATTGAACAGAGAAGAGAAGAAAAGCTAAGAGATCAGCTCATTTGAGATAAGCCAAGCATCTTAACTAAAGTAATAGGAGAAGGGATGGAGAATAGGTAAATGTTCCTCCCCAATGGTACCACGCTTGCACGCTGTATGTTTTCCATACTGCTCCGTCCTTTACATGAACCAAGTCATTATGACTGCATTTTATCAAATCTAAGATGCTATCAATTGTGAGATGCACCATTATTTTATATGCCACTAAGAAAGAAAAATGCTGCCAATTAAATGATGATACACCATCACTTGTAAGAAGCATCCAATTTCAGAGATGCTAAAATGTGGGGGAAAAAATGCTTGGCTTGGAATCAGTGAGACACATTATTAATCACTATTGCTTAAAAGCAAATAATATAGAGCTTGGGAGTTAATTGGTTTTCAAAAACAATGAAAAAGCATATCTTGTACAATGTCCTTCCTGATATAACTAGAGCTATAAATTGTCAGCCTCTTGAGATAAGACAACATAAAACAGTGGTTCAGACCTGAGCTAGAAATACCTGGGTTCAAGTCCTACTTCTGCCACTCACCAGCTGTGGCACCTTAGACGAATAACAAACTTCCAAAACTTCTGTTGGTTTATCTGTAGCATCTTCTTTGTATTTTTCAATATGTAAAAACCCTCCCAAAGGAAAACTCAAAGTAAGGACCCTGAGCATTTCCCCGCCTAGATTAATCCAAACTGATTTTTAATGAAAGCTAATTATTATGTGTAACTAATATTATCAGTGGTAATACAGTTAGTAAAATAGTTTGTCCTCTTTTCCTTATTATACCCAAAGAGCCACAGTGCCCACAGGTCTTAGGTTATCATCATCACATCAGTGGATTGATGCTCACTTAAATAATATAGTATATGAGGACTGATCACTGACAAATAAGTTGGGGTCCATATGGTTGGATTCATTTGGGTTGGTCAATGTACAACCCCAGATTCAAGCTCCATGAGATTTTCTGTTCCAAGGCTCCTCCTGGACATTAATAAGTCTGTAAATGTGAATCATTCTGAAGACAAAATGTGGAATTATCTATCTCCATGCTACTGTGGAAATAGGAAGCTGTTCTTCCAACGGACAGAGCAGCATCTCTTTAATTTGTGGATTACCACACCAGGTGTTTTCAAGCTGGGACACGATCTGAGCCTCACACCAAGCCAGGGAGTTAAGACAGGCATTGCTGTTCCAACTCACGGAAGAGGAAGTTGAGGTTCAGGGAGGACACAGTGGAGCTTGTCCAATGTCACACCATTGTAAGTGGCAGGGCCTGGAAGGAAGCTCAAGTATGGCTCCAAATGTGGTGCTCACCTTGCCCCTCCATGCTTCCACATGACTAAAAAACAATATTCTTTAAAAAATAATTACATTATTTTTCTCTCCACCTGCATTCTACCTTCTCATTTTTGGTTGGTAACTCACTCTTGATCAGTCTTCCAAGCCTTCACACTGGCCTTCAATCCATTGCTCACCTCCTTCTAGTGCTCTGAAGATGCAACAGGTGTCCGAGAGACTCAACCTGTTACTGATCCCACATCTCCTGGGGCAGAGCCGGGCAGACACTGGGTCCTTGGTCATCAGGGTGCCGGGGACAGTGCTGTTCTCAGGTAGAGCCACCAGGGAGCAGGGTGACTCAGTGTGCAGCCAACCTGCTCCAGAGCAGGTGTGCAGTCCAAACCCTTAGAGCAAGTGCAGGACGATGGGGGCGGCTCAGAGGCAGCAGCGCGTCAAGGAATATGGTAGTTCAGTATATGACTTACACATGCTCATTCTAGATTTGCTTCTGCAGCTGACGAGCTGGGGAGTGCTAGGCAAATCGCTTCCCCCAGTCTCTAAGAGAAGGTCTCTAAGAGTTGTTGACTCGTGACCTTTATAGTCCAGCACTAAAGTACTCCCATAGCATCCTTCCTGTGGGTGACCTCCCTGGGCAGATCAAATGCCACAACGTTCACAAAATGCTCACAACTGAAAGAATGCCGACATGGCTGTCTGTGAAGCATCCTCTAATAGATAGATGGTATCATCAAAATCTTCTCCAGCTAAAGAAGAATTCCTATTTTAGGATGTCTCCCATTTTTTTTTTCTTCTGAGACCTGAGCAAGCAGGATTCAGAGAACCCTAGCTATCAGTTTAGGGGGCAAAGAGCACCGCATTGCTCCCCACAGCTCACACTTCAAACACACAGCATCTAACCCTCTCCCTGGTACCCCTTCTCTATTCCCTTTCGGCTTTTTTGATTCCTTCATAAAAAGGTCCTCTAATTTCTGCAACTAAAACACTAAAGAAGTCTATAGACTCAAACAGAACTTGCACAAATCCTGGTCCCTTTTGGTGTGATGAGGAGAGCTTTTCATCACTCTCCAGTTACAAAATGGTACTCTCATGCATCCTCTATTCCAAGACTCTCAGAAACACAATTTTTCTGCTTTACAATTAACATGATAAAGTGTCAATAACTTTAGAATAAAGTGATTAGCAAACAGTTAAGAAAAACAACTAAGCCAAATGACTCCATGCACATGAGACGTGAACCAAAATTACACAAAAGATAAAAAATAAATGGCTAATAAATTATAGAATAAAATTTCAGCACACACTAGTAATCAAAGAAGAGTAAATTAAAATATGACGCAATCTTAAATGACTGACAATATTACAAAACTTATTATACCCAGCGTTGATAAGAGTGACATAAATGAGGCCTCTGAGTCTACTGGAACCGGCCAATTTTCCTGAAAACAATGTAGAAGAATACATTAAAAGTCCTATGCTTGCACTGAGATGCAAACATGAGGAGGAGGATTTATAATGTACTATGATCCTCCAATATCCACTCTCCCCTTCCTCTTTAGGAATAAATCCCCAATTTTTTAACTGGGTACATGGCCATTTGTAATAAAGATTACATTTTCTAGTCTCTCTTGTACCTAGCTGTGGCTCTGTAAATGTGTTCCATCCTAAGGAATGTAAGTGGGAATGAGGGGTGCAAATTCCAAGTGATATCCTTAAAAAGAGACATACTTTCTTCTCCCTCTTGCTCACTCTTTCCTTCTGGCTGGAACGGATGACTAGCGCTCCAGCAGCCATCTTGGTTGTTGAGGTGGTTTTAAAATGAAAGTCAGATGTGGTGGAGCAACAAGGTAGAAAGATCTGCACCTACAACCTCCAACCTTTTTGAGTCACAGTAATTTGAAGTTTTACTTGCAGCCAAATCTAACTGCAGACAACATAAGTATTAATAGCAAATATAGTGCAAAATATTTTGCTTAAAACAGCGAGATGCAAAACAGTGTATAAAATGCTAGTACTTACATAAAAAGAGGAAAACTAAAAGGCTATGTGGTAACTAGGTCTATACTGACTCAGGCCTCCCTGTGTTCACATCCTTATATAGTCCCTTCCTACACTGAATATGAGCTTGCCATGTGTCTCATCTAAACCAGTAAACTCTGAAAAAAGTGACACTGCCAATTCCTAGCCTAAGCCTTAACAAGACCTAGCCGCTTCTGTCAAGATGCTCTTTGCAGAATTGTTTATAATAGCAAATAAATAAATCCAACTTTATAAGAACATTTACACTGTGGAATTTCTTTATTAACATATATAGCACAATGATGGGAAATGATTATTATATAGAAAAAAAGATAGCATATAAAATCATACTCATATGGAAGACTATGTCTAACCTGTAAAGCAGATCTATAAAATACACAGAAATACTTTATATGTAACAGAATAGATTATATTTAAAAATTAACATTTCTGGCCTCTGAGTGAGAGAATAATAGTTAATTTATGGTGGCTCCATTATTCTTTTCAAATTTCTTACAAACAGAATGTTTTACTTTCAATTTTAATAATTCTATTTTTATTTCTAGATGTTATACTTGGTCTTCTTTTAAATCTTACTAGTTTTTCTGATATATTTTTGATACATACATTATTTGGGATTAGTCTGTAATTTTGTTCATGTTTTCAGTTCTCTTCTTTCATTGAACATTCTAAATTTATTTACCATGTCCTCTTTTCTGTAGCATCACAACTCCAATACATGAAGTACTTGCAGCTCTCATTCTGCTATTTGTGTTTCCCTTGATTCTTAAATACAAGATGACTACATTCTTCATGTGTCTGTAATCCTGGATTGTAAGATCACATGAGGCTGATCTGAAACTGTGGGATGCCAGAGGGCCTGGGGTTAAAGTGCATTTCTCCAGGGGTTAATGTGCATTTCTCCACATCTTCTAGGCACTCTGAGCACCCCAATCCAGGACCTCTAAAATCAAGATTTCTTCCAGATCTCTCAGGCAGGAGAATTTCAACCTCCAAAGCCAAATGAGGGCAGGGCTGTTGTGAAAATATTAGGAAGAAGATATTTTCCCCACCCAGAGGTAAAGCTAAAATAACTCTCTTGGCCAACAGGAGGATTTATTTTTACTAATATACTTTTTTATAGAGAATGTAGCCCTGCAAGGGTCCCAGCTGTATTTTAGGATTTCAACTTCCCACACTGCAAGGGCCCAAAGCCTGGTTTCCGGTCCCCAGTCAAAGCACAAGAATCTAACCCTGTTCTCAGCAAATGCTCTCAGCGAAAACTCAGCTTATGCTTCCCGCCAAGCTTCCACCTTCCTATCTGTTTTTAGTCCCTGGAAATTTCACTCACTTTTTTTGCAGATGTCATGAAAATATGTTAGTTATATTTTATCTAGCATTCTTAGGTCCTTTGAGTGAGGTCATTTACCAGAATACCTGGGCAACCCACTATATAGCCACAATTGGAAATTTAGGCTGATGTTACTTTTATAATGAGAAAAAAGTATATTAAGTACAAATGAACCTATCCCTACACAATGGGAGAAATTTCACCTATTAACTGTTCTGAAAATTTCTCTGACAGGTTGCTTTTTCCATAACTAAAAATTATTCAGCATGGAGAGGCAGCTCCAGGAAAAACCTTACACTTCACTGGGACTGAAGTTAACTAATTTATCACCACAGCAAAAGGACATTATGTGTAAGTCAAGAACTTCCACAGGTGAGCAGAGAAAGTGGGATGTGGGATAACATCCAGGGGCCAGAACATTGTAGGTTTTTATTAAATATTTATATTAACAAAATACGAACACTCATTTCCACCAGACAATATTTTGGAAATGGGTACCAGTAGAGTGCCAATATTTTGATGTTCATCATATCTTATTATCTGAAGCATATGAACATTTACACCAAAGGAATCTCCTTTTTTTTTTTTTTTGAGACAGAGTCTTACTCTGTCACCCAGGCTGGAGTGCAGTGGCACGATCTTGGCTCACTGCAACCTCTGCCTTCCGGATTCAAGCAATTCTGCCTCAGCCTCCTGAGCAGCTGGAATTACAGGCACACACCACCACACCTGGCTAATTTTTGTAATTTTAGTGGAGACAGGGTTTCACCATGTTGGCCAGGCTGGTCCGAACTCCTGATCTCAAGTGATCCACCCCGCCTCAGCCTCCCAAAATGCTAGAATTACAGGTGTGAGCCACCACACCTGGGGGAGGAATCTCTTTAAATATTCTATGGAGTAATTCTTAAGTATTCAAAGAGCTGAAATACACTTGTGATGGTTAATACTGAATGTCAACTTGATTGGATTGGGGGATACAAAGTATTAGTCCTGGGTGTGTCTGGATGGGTGTCGCCAAAAGAGATTAACATTGGAGTCAGAGGGCTGGGGAAGGCAGACCCACCCTTAACCTGGTGGGCACAATCTAATCAGCTTCCATCGAATATAAAGCAAGCAGGAAAATGTGAAAAGGAGAGAGATGGGCCTAGCCTGCCAGGCTACATCTTTCTCCTGTGCTAGATGCTTCCCACTCTCAAACATTGGACTCCAGGTTCTTCAGTTTTGGGACTCAGACTGGCTCTCCTTGCTCCTCAGCTTGCAGAAAGCCAGTTGTGGGATCTTGTAATTGTCTAAGTTAATACTTAATAAACTCCCATATATAGGAGATATATCTATATATATCTTATTAGTTCTGTCCTTCTAAGAGAACCCTGACTAATACAACACTCCTCTCCCCTTCCCTGTGTTGTAACTATTGCCAGCAATGACATTGACACACTTGCTTTAATCTGTAGGTGTCTAATTTGCAGAAACCTTCATTTTATGTTCTAATGTGAGAATTTAATGAGCTGGCCCAGTCAAAGCGCTTAGCACCTAGCTCATCGTAAGACTGTCAGGATGATGGTGGGGAGGATGATGAAAATGGTGACGAAGATGGTGATGATTTTTAAAAGCACCTATGTAAAATGTGAGGCAGATATGCCAAGTGACTGAAACTAAAATCAATGAAGGACAAATGGAGCATTCTTTGTTTTAAACTTAAAACTCCAAAGAGGCATGATTCAAAGTTGTTTACTTGTATCTGGAACATATGAACCTGTATCAGGTCTAAGTAGGTACTTTAAATATACCTGAATTTTCTTTTTTTTTTTTTTTTTTTTTGAGACAGAGTCTCGCTCTGTCGCCCAGGTTGGAGTGCAGTGGCGCGATCTTGGCTCACTTCAAGCTCCGCCTCCCGGGTTCACGCCATTCTCCTGCTTCAGCCTCCCGAGTAGCTGGGGCTACAGGCGCCCACCACTACGCCCGGCTAATTTTTTGTATTTTTAGTAGAGACAGGGTTTCACCGTGTTAGCCAGGATGGTCTCGATCTCCTGACCTCATGATCTGCCTGCCTCAGCCTCCCAAAGTGCTGGGATTACAGGCGTGAGCCACTGCGCCCGGCCATACCTGATATTTTCAAAAAATATTAGCATTGTCATGAGGGTATGACAGTAATTATTATGATGGTGCCACTCACAAACATTAGGTTTCAAACTTCCATTATCGGGCCAATGAACACGTTTGCCCATGAGTCCAAGGTCCACGAAGAATTCTCCACACTTCATGTTCTAGCTTGCTTACTGCTCCAGAGAGAAAGAACCGCACCCACCTTCAGAGCTGAGGATGATGGTTAATGTTTACTGAGCATGTACTATGTGCCAAGTTTGATGCTCAGTTTTTCCCTCTTATCTCATCCAATCCTCACAAAAACCCTTTAAGATAAATTCTTAATATCCCATCCTATTGGGGAAAGAGCATGGCAGAGTCGTTAAAAGCACAGATAGAATCGCAGCTGTCATTTGCCTTGAACCAAGCTACTTAATCTCTCTATGCCTCAATTTCCTAATCTACAAATAGGCATGACAATAGAAGGTAACTCAAGGCTGATGAGAGGTGAGTGGGTTGGTACATGTGAAGTGCCTGGAACATAGTAAATATCAGTAAACATGTAAGTCTTGGCTATTATTTACTTTACAGATGAAGAAACTGGGGTTTAAAGAAGTCAAATTACTTAGCTTGTAAAAAGCAGTGCTGGGACTCAAATCCAGGCAGTCTGGCTTCAGACCCTTGACATAAAGAGGGAAATGGAAATACAGCACCCACTCCGCGGCTGCTCTGAAGCTTCATCTGCACACGTAAGTGCTCTCGCCCCACCCCAGTCAAGGGAAGCGCTGCTGAATAGAACTCTATTTGGTTGAGGTGGCAGCAGAATACAGGAAAGGCCTGGCCTTCTGGCCTGCTTGACTCCATCCTACCCCACTCCGTAACCTGCCACAGCACAGCACTGTTGCAGAATGGCGGACGTGGACCAATGGTTGAGCGGTGGAGAGAGATACTCCTCAGGGTTCTTGGACTCTGCAGCGGCTGCTACAGCTGTCTCCCCAGCGACAGGAAAGGATCGCCAAGACAGAAGGGGGAGCTGCCGTGTCTTCCCCAACCAACATGCGAGCTGTTTGAGAGCCCAAACGGCAACAACAGCCGCCATTTAACAAACACTTCCATTGGCCAGGTGGTGCTAGGCATGTGACAGGAACGTCTTAATCTGATCCCCATGACAATCCGATGAGGCATGGGTTTGTCACTATGTCCTCTCTGCAGATGAGGAACCTGAGAATTAGTGAGGTCAGGTACATTGCCCGAGGACAGATAATTAAACACCAGAGCCAGGGCTCAGCCCAGAGCTGGGTCACAGTTTGTCCTAAGACAGTACACACCAGAGATGAGGACTGGAATAAAACGGCAAATGTAGCAACAATGAGCTTCCTTTCCCCAGAGGCCTAGTGGACAGAGCCCACCAGCCAAACACTTGGGAGACAGAGGTTCCAAATCTGAGCTTGGCTCCTCACTCTGCTCCCTACTCACCAAGCACCTTGAGGCTGCCCACAAATAGCAAGCATCATTTATTGAGGACCTACTATGTGCTCAGCTCTATGCTTGGTGCTAGATTGTACGCCCTACTTGGGCAGGAACAGCATCTGTCTCATTTGCTAATGTATCCCCACAGCCTAGTATGATGCCTGGCTCTCATTAGGGGCTGAATGAATACTTGGAGAATTAATGAATGAACGAGTGAAAATATTCGCTCTGATCCTTACAACTGCTGTAAAGTAAAATTTGAATCCTCTGTATGTAGGAGAAGAAATTAAGTTCAGAGCAGCCAAATCCCCTGTTCAAGGTCACATAGTTAATGAGTGCTACAGCGGGATTCAAACCTAGCCTATCTGGCTCCCAAATCCTACTTTTTCCTCTCTATTTCTCTTCCCCAAAAGGACACAATGCCACTCTCCCACCTCCCACGGCTATCATGAAGATGAAATGAGATAAGGTGGTTGAATGGGTTTTGTAATCACTGTACTTGGAAAGGTTGGTAACTGTGATTTTTAACACAAAATCAAAGCCTAAAGTCAAAACAGCACAACTTCAGTGGAACGTTAAGCTCTGAGAAGAAATAGGAGTATTTGGGGCCAAGAAGGTTTTTGCTAGCTTTGAAATCAAATCACACTGCGTACTCGCAGCCACCTTCTCAGGATGTGGGTGAGGAACAGAATCCCCAGATTTAGAATTGCAGAATTGCAGAATTATGCAAAGGCCACCCAGCACAGCATTCCACCCAGTGCGGCACCCTGGACAGATTGTCACCTCATCTCTGATTGAACAGAAATGTGACAGCATAAGACCAGAAAGAGATACCAGAAATGTAGGTCTCAAAACAAAATACCCGCTGGATACAATCACTTCCCCAGAAGATCTCTTAGGCTCATGTTGTTTTTCCATTCCTGGGTGATCTGTCTAACCTGTAACTTCCATGGTTAAATCAAATGATTTAATTAAGCTTCTGCAGTAAATTAGAATTTAGCAACACTTTATATCTAAGGAATTTTTAAAACCTTGATCATCTCTCTCTCTCTCTTTCTTATAATAATCTTATCCTCATTTTCCGAATAAGAAGAATCTAGACACAGCACAAAAATTTGCCCACAAAATCAGGAAATTAAGGCTCAAATGCAAAAGTGAAGGCTAGGTAGAATTCTACCTTCAAACTCTTCATCCCTTTAAAAGGTGACTGAGGCCAGGTGAGGTGGCTCACGCCTGTAATCCCAGCACTTTGGGAGGCTAAGGTGGGTGGATCATGAGGTCAGGAGATTGAGACCATCCTGGCTAACATGGTGAAACCCTGTCTCTACTAAAAATAAAAAAAATTAGCCGGGCATGGTGGCACACACCTGTAATCCCAGCTACTCAGGAGGCTGAGGCAGGAGAATTGTTTGAATCTGGGAGGCAGAGGTTGCAGTGAGCCGAGATCGCGCCACCGCACTCCAGCCTGGGTGACAGAGTGAGACTCCATCTCAAAAAATATATATATAAATAAATTAAAAATAAATAAATAAAACAAAGGGTGGCTGAGAACAGATCAGAAAACAGAAAGCAATTTAAGGGAACAATAGCCATGAAAGCCTTCTTAAAAACACAAGCAGAATATCAGCGTACAGTGGCTAATAAAGTAAAAATCTTTAGTGAGTCTTCAAATCCTGACTCATCAGGATTGGGAACTCACAAGGGAGGATCTTGCCAACTTCTTTTTAAAAGCTGATAAGCGAAGGCATGGAGAAACTGAAAGATATATATTAAAAACAGTGCAAGAATGCTGTCCCCAGTATAAGGTACTAACATCCTTATTCTCTCTCAGCAGAGGGGGCAACTCAAGGCCTTCTTGATCCAAAGTTGGCAAACTAAATGAGTGACTTCTCAGGCATTAGGACGTGGCAAATGGTGGCCACTGGCAACTCAGTCTTACCTAGATAGAATACAGGCTCGATGTTGCCAGATTTTATATTTTTCAAGAGAAGCCAAAAGTCCTTTTCTTTGGCAGAGTTGGGATTGAGGAAAGAAGACCTTCTTATTTCTAAATATTGTCAAATTCAAGCAACTTCAAACTGCCAATTTGTGACTGCAGCTTTTTCCCTCCTGAGTAATATCACGGTACTACACAACAAGCCCAAATAAGACTCTGAAGACCTAAGTTCCAGTTCTGAATCCTTCAATGATCACTTACGCACACTTTCAAAAGGTCACTTACACTTCCCTGGGCTTCAGTTTCCTCATCTGCATAATGGACTTAATGATGCCTGCCTAATTAATTTCATACAATTTTTGCATGAATCAAATAAAATAAGTTATTCAAAAACAAGGGCTTTATGTCCCCAGGGATGAAAAATAAAATAAAAATAAAATAGTCAATCAAAATAAAATAGAAATTAAAAGTTTGTTGAACTGAAAAGCACTTTGAAAACGGTCAAGCAGGTATTAAATGCAAAATGTCACACAAACTGCTAGTCCTCAAAATCTTTCTAAGTTGTATGAAAAGGTGGTTTTTTTTTTCAAGAAAAGAAAAAGTATTTTCCCCTCCCCCCAAAAAGTTTTTCCAACAAAAGTAATTGACAGTATCTGTTTAGTAACTTGAGAGAGAGAAGAGCGAGAGCTTTTATGCAAATTTGATTTCCCTATAATAATCTAGAGCTATTCTGCTAGAAGGAATTATCTCCGCAGGCTGGCAGCTGTGGTAGGCAGTGAATTAAAAATGGCTCTGTATATGGGAAAATCTGTTCTATAATCAGTGCTATTCTTGGAGAGGACATCAATCTAGCGCAGCTCCCATGGTGCTCCACGCCTGTGAATGACATACAAGCATGAGGTAGAAACTCCCATTACATCACGGCTGGGGATTCTGTCCTGCCTGAGACATTGAACTGCTATCCCAAGGTGAGAATGGATCCAATGGTAGCCTCCAACCAGCCAGTATGGCCAATCCCCTTAAGTTAGGAAAGAACACATTAGAGGACAAAAAAAAATCTTCCAACAATGATTTATTCAACTCAACTCGAACTGCCCAGTCTTAGGGTTATTATAAGGCTTCTACATGTTTTCTTCACTCTCCCCTTTCTTTTTTCTTCCTTCTTCCATTTCTGTCTTCCTCCTTTCCTTTCTTCTTTCCCTCCTTCCTTCCCTCCTTCTTGCCTTCTTTTCTTCCTCCCCACTCTCACTTCTCTCTTTCCCTTCCTTCATTTCTTCGTTTTCCTCCCTGCTATTCTGATACAGAATCTAAGGTTCGATTCCTAAATCACAAGATGCCAGGCAAAGAAATGCTACACAAGGGCTCTTTGTCCATGGGAAAGGCACACGCTACAGAAAAGTATTTTAAGAAGCCAGCAATGACTGCAGTGCTGCACGTAAAATGTCATCATGTTCTTAATGAGGCAATTGCTTGGTCAGTAAAAATACTCTCGCCCTGGGTGGTTAGTATGTTGAAGTTAACTTGGACACTGCATGTGGCAGCCACAGCCATCTTCCCACAAGAAGTTAGGCTGCATGTAAATAAAGCCATCACCTACCCCCAAGTGAATCCTATCTCCTTCATTGGACATGGAATTTTCCTGGGAACCTGTGTCCCTGTGCTTCTGGCGAGGTGTCTTCTTTCCTTAAGTCGAGTGCACCATTATTGTGTCTGTTTGGAGTACTGGATATCAAATTAAACTGTGTGAGTGTGTCTGCATATCTCTGTCTGTGTAAAGGGATTTGGAATTATGCTGATTTAAGTCACTCAGTGTCTTTTAAAATAACTAAACGTCAATGCTAGAAATGCCAAGAAATTGCACTTCGGAATTGGAACTAGTCATCTCTCCCTTTCAAACATTGTTAAGAAATGGCCTTTGTCCAACATGCCACGTCCTAGAGACCCACAGAGCTGAGCATACACATGCCCACAGTGGAAGGTCAAGGTCTCCAAAATGTTGAGTCTTCTACTGAGGTTAGAGCTAGCAGCTCCAGCAGTGTGGGCATATCTGCATGAAAAGGCAGAGAACAACCTAATGAGATTGACAAGCAGTGAATCTGTTTGAGACCACATTGAGCCTGGCCATCCAGCACCAAGATGGCTTGAAATAGCTCTCAGAGAGGCCAGAAATGCTGTCTTTCAAACATGTTCCCTGGAGAAAGGGAATTGTTCCTGCTACCAGGGCCCCTCAGGGATCAGTATCCTCTTGCTGCTCATTCTCAGGCAGGAACCTTTCTCTGTGCTCTTCTTGGGTTCTGTTCTTTTGAGCCTTTTCTTTTTCAGCTATGGTGGCCATAGATACATACCAGGCACCACCAGACATGCATGTATTTCTTGAACCACCTCCACTCTCTCTGAAGCTCCGGAGGCCTCCAAAGTCTTCACGAAAGGCACAAAAGCTGCCTACATTATCACTTTGGTAGGAAAGCAAAACAGGGTGGCACTGCAGGGTTAATTTAAAAGACAGCTGCATCCATTTTGCTCATTACTCTTCATGTATAAACTGCAAATTGCATTTGAAAATATTTTCTTTAAAATAAAATTGTCATTTCTGAGCCTCCTGCAGGCACCCAGTGTCTGGGTAAAACAAGTAGCACTAACATGAAACGAGGGCGTCATCCCTGCCTCCTTTACAGAGGTAGCAGGCCACACCCTGCTGACCCCACTACACAATGAATAATGCAATGAGTGGGAGAATGTTCTGGTAAAATCAATCATTCTCCAACATTGGGAAGCTGGGGCAGAATTTGCTGCACAAGCATCTGCATTCTCCCAGATCCAGTCCAGTGACATCGATTTTAAGAGGAGGCAACTAAATTTGTGACTGCTTCATTTCACCCTCCCATTGACCTTGCTCTCTTTCGCTCAGACCTAAGTTGGTTTCCCCCAGGAATCCTGGAAACAAGAACTAATCCCTTTTGGAAATGAGAATTAAACAGAAGGCATCTGCTGTTTGAATGTTGGACATAGGGGGTCTGAGCCTCAGTCTCTTCCTCTATAAAATAGGGATAATTGTAGTACCTCTTTTATTGGGTTGTTATGAAAAATAAATCCATTAATTCATGTAAAGTATCTGAAATGCTGCCTGACACATAGTTAGCACACAGTAAATGCAGATATAGATACATAAATATAGACTCATTCCAAACTCATTTCCTGATCCTGCAAAATGGGAGACAGCTACTTAAAATCTTCTTCTTAAAAGGCCTCGTTTGGAGTAAGGAGCTCTGGATTCAACACTTGAATCTAAAAATCAATTTTAATATCACCAAAGAGAGACAAACTGATTTTGTACTTCCTGGTGTGATGCAATTAGACATACACACCACCACCCACAAAGTGTTTCTACCAAAATCTTGGACCTGAACTTGAGTGAGCTTCTGGACCCAACAGTTTACAAGAGGAAGATAAAAGGGACCGAGGAACATCATGGATACATACAGCAAAATCCAGGCCATGGAAATTTCAACAAGACAAACTACTCTGCTGCTTCAACACGTAGATTTCAAACAAAGAAAAAAAAAAGACAGGAAATATCTTAGAATAAAAGAAAACACAAAAGGCATATCTACCAAATGCCATGTGTAGATTTTCATTTTGATACTGCTTTGAAAAAAAAAAAACCTATAAAATAGCAACAGTTCAAATTGGGTCAGTTCAAACACTAATTGAATATTGTGATCGCAAATAATTGTTCTTAAATTTTTTTGCTGCTTCTCCCATTGAGGGGCAATCTGATTCCCCTCCATTGGATCTGAGGTGGCCTTAGTGACTTGCTTCTCTACGACCTCTAAGCCTAGGTCATGAGAACCTTGCAGCTTCTACACAAGTGTCTTGAAACTCTTGCTCCTAGAATATTTCTTCTTGGGACCCAGCAGCCATGCTGGGAGAAGCCCAAAAGCATGGAAAGACCATCTGTGGGACCTAAAGAGCTGACACCTCCACCTGAGTCCCCAGCTGACAGTCACATCAGTAGGCCACTCTGGAGATCCAGCCCACTGGTATCTTTAGATGACTCTAGCCCCAGCTAAAATCTGATTATAGTCACATTAGAGACCCCAGACGAAAACTGCCCTGCCGAGCCCAGCCAGCCCACGGAAACACGAAACATAACAACAAACTACTGTTTTAAGCCATCAAGTTTGGAGGTAATTTGTTATGCAGAAAAGGTAATCAGAAAACTTTCTCTTAAAGATGTGTTCTTAAAGATTTATAGAAGAAATGATATGATAGTTGGGATATTCAAATTAATCCAGTTGAGGAGGGGGGTAGAGTTAAAACAAGCTTGCCCACGTGCTGCTAAGGCTAACACTGGGAAGCTGGATCATAGAAAGTCATTATATTCTTCTCTATAATCTTGAATATTTTTTAAATGTTTTATAATAAAAAGTTGTTTTTTTAAGATCTCTGGATTTGTCAAGACAAAGTTTGAAGACTACAGAGAAAAGAATACTAGCTGTTAGGTTAGTGTATGTGGTAGGCATCACAGATGTTATTTTAATGTGCAGAATTGGTAATTCATTATTACCTGTCCAACCTCAGCATGTCCATCTTTAAGAAGACAGTAAATGGAGTTAAAAGAACCTGCAGTCAAGAGTAAAATTCAAATCCCAGCTCTGCCTTCTCCTAGCTGAGATTCCTTTGGCACATTCTTCAACATCTCTGGGTTTCACTGCTTTATGTGCAAAGAATTTTTTTTCCTGATGAAGTTGCCCAATTCCTAAATACTTAAAGGGACAGTGTACACCGGAAAGTGCTACAAAATCACAGATACTAGTGTTGCAAGCTGTAATGAAAAAGAAATTATTTACTCTTAAGGCCCTGACAATATTATATCACTATAGATCATCTACCTACCATGTAAATGATGTTAAATTTCTGTTCTTTTCTCAATTACATTCAGGAGCTGGACAGATGTTTCTTCACCAGGGAGGATGTGCTGGGGTGGCCTGACTAAACTATAAGACATGTAGGGTGTGCATGGCTCATTTTTGGGGTGTGGGGCATCTTGAGAAGATATTTGCTCACCACCCAGGTCATCAAAAATGGGGTTTTACATGACTGCATGTGATTGTTAATCCAGAGAGTATATGTTTGGACCAGAAAACCATGTGTGCTCCAATGGGAGGTAAACAAACCTGCCCTTTGCTGTGGTCAACTCCACAGAGGGGACAGCAAAATGTGCATCTATTGTGGGATAATTGATAATTCTCCCAAACAACAACCAAAGAGGTTAGCAAGCCATTAACTTCACTAATAAATTAATCCACTCAAATGTGTACTGCTGTATCAAGAACTACAATTCTACGTACAGCTCTATGTAGTGAGTTTGGAAAAAGCCAAGTATCCGTAACTGAAGCAGATTCCTCCATTAACTTGTCTTTACATTTCAATGGTCTGTTACTATTGAAAAAATTGTGAAAATAATTAATAAAATAATCTAAGAAGTCAGCTTACATTCACACATTTGCCAATGGCTCATAGTTTTGTAATAAAACATAACAACATAAAAGGTAACATTAAATAACAATAGAATATTATATATACACATACACATATGTGTATGGATACACATACACGTATTTTCCTACATATACAAATATATATAACAAATGGAAAAATAGAATACAAAAAGTTTTGCGTGTGTTCATCTTTTCTATGGTATTAATTGAAATGCCTTAGGCTAGCATTTCCCAAAGAGTGCCCGCAGACTCCTGCCCCCACCAACTAATTTTAAAAATTTATATTTATTAATGCTTGTGATGTTCAATACTGAGCGTCAACTTGATTGGATTGAAGGATGCAAAGTATTGTTCCTGGATGTGTCTGTTAGGATGTTGCCAAAGGAGATTAACATTTGAATCAGTGGTCGGGGTGAGGCTGACCCACCCTCAATCTGGGTGGGCACAATCTAATCAGCTGCCAGCACAGCTAGAATAAAGCAGGCAGAAGAACACAGAAGGACTAGACCTGCTGAGTCTTCCAGCCTCCATCTTTCTCCTGTGCTAGATGCTTCCTGCCCTCGAACATCAGACTCCAAGTTCTTCAGCTTTTGGACTTTTGGACTTACACCAGTGGTTCGCCAGGGGCTCCCAGGCCTTTGGCCACAGACTGAAGGCTGCACTGTCGGCTTCCCTACTTTTGAGGTTTTGGGACTCTGATCCACCACTGGCTTCCTTGCTCCTCACCTTGCAGACTGCCTATTGTGGGACTTCATCTTGTAATTGTGTGAGTCACTTCTCCTTAATAAACTCCCTCTCATATATACATCTATCCTGAAATCATATATATGTTTGGGAAATGTTAGGTTAAACAAGCTTAATGAGGTTTTTGCATTTGGTGGCGGCTGTTTTTAATGACAACTCTTCTCAGAAATGTTAATGTGCACATTGTGAATCTCCAAGAGGTACCCAGAAATGATTTACTCAAGAGCTCTTCCTCCAGACTCTTCTTCCTCAGGACACCCCAGGAGGAAGAAGAGAAGCCGACTGTCCTGGGTAACTAACATTTGGATAGCAGCTTCCCATTTACTCAGTGCTTTACAATTAACTCATAAGCTCTGCAGCACTGCTGTGAGTTGAGCAGGTATCACTAACATTATTTTTCAATAGGTTTTATAATTTTAGAGATGTTTTAGGGTCACAGCAAAATAGAGTGGCAAGTACAGAGAGATCTCATATACCCTCTGCCCTCACACAGGTGCAGCCTGCCCTACTATCAACATCCCAGGCCAAAGTGGTGCATTTGTTACAATCTGTGAACCTACATTGACACATCATCACCCAAAATCCATAGTTCACATTAGGGTTCACGGTTGCTATTACACATTCTCTGGGTTTTGACAAATGCTTTAGGACATGCAACCACCACTGTAGTATCATACGGAATAGTCTCTCTGCTTTAAAAATCCTGTGTTCCATCTCTTCATCTCTCCCTCCCCAGTAACTCCTAGCAACCTCTGATCTTTTTAGTGTCTCCATCACATTGCCTTTTCCAGAATGTCATATAGTTGGAATCACAGAGTATGCAGCCTTTTTACATGGGTTTCTTTCACTTAGTTACATGCATTTAAGTTTCCTCCATGTCTTTTCATGCTTGATAGCTCATTTGTTTTTAGCACTGAATAATATTCCATTGCCTGGATATATCACAGTTTATCCATTTACCTACTAAGGACATCTTGGTTGCTTCCAAGTTTTGACAATAGTGAATAAAGCTGCTATAAATATCCATATGCACATTTTTGTGTGGACATAAGTTTTCATCTCCGTTTGGGTAAATATCAAGGAGCGTGATTGCTGGATCATATGTTAAGAGTATGTTTAGTTTGGTAGGAAACTGCCAAACAGTCTTTCAAAGTGGCTGTACCATTTTGCATTCCCACCAGCAATGAATGAAAGTTCCTGTTGCTCTACATCCTTGCCAGAATTTGGTGTTGTCATTTAATCTGATATTCAAAATGAAGAAACAGTCCAGCCTCCGAGTGAAATGACTGGAACCAAGGTTTTCTAACTGCAATCAGTATGCTCCTTCCATTTCACCAGGGCAGAGGTCAGCAAACTCCTACCCAGAGGTCAAATTTCACCCACCACCTATTGTTCCACAACCCATGAACTAAAAACAATGTTCATATTTTTTAATGGTTAGGGGGAAAAAAAACAAAAGAAGAATAAATTTAATGATGTGAAAATTACATGGAATTCAAATTCCATTGTTGGTAAATAAAATTTTTTTGTTGTTTTGCTTTGTTTTGAGATGGAGTCTCACTCTTGTTGCCCATGCTGGAGTGCAATGGCTCAATCTCCGCTCACTGCAACCTCCACCTCCCGGGTTCAAGCGATTCTCCTGCCTCAGCCTCCCGAGTAGCTGGGATTACAGGCGACCACCATCATGGCCAGCTAATTTTTTGTATTTTTAGTGGAGACGGGGTTTCACTATGTTGCCCAGGCTGATCTTGAACCCCTGACCTCATGATCCACCAGCCTTGGCCTCCCAAAGCGTTGGGATTACAGGGCCTGAGCCACCGCGCCCAGCTGGTGAAGTTTTATGGGTACACAGCCACACCCACCATTTACCCATTATCTATGGCTGCTTTTTTGCTGTGCCAGTTGGGTTGAGTGGTTGCCACTAGAACAGTATAGCCTGCAAAGCATAAAATATTTACTATCTGGCACTTTTCAGAAATAGTTTGCCAACCCTGCACAGAAGAATCAGACCCGATTAGAAGCATCCTCTCAATGAAGAAAATCCTAGGCTTCGTAATGGTTTTCAACCAACAAATGAGAAAATATATTCAAAGGCAGTTTCTTGTATGGCCCTCCTCCCCATAGAATTCTCTTTCTTACTTTCCCAGACATTTTAGCATTGTATAGGCAGTGATGCTACACATAGGAAGTATTGAATTTTGACTCCGCCAACAGTAAAGAGTACTGTCGCTAAGATTCAGACTGTGTTTTCCCCTTCAAGGGAGCTAAGCAGCATCCTGCCTGGCTTCATTTTTTTTTTTTTTTTGCCTTAAGGTTTGTTTATACTCAGCAGGAGGAAAGGTAAGGAGATAAAAGCAACGCAGAATGAATAAAGGAAGACAAGACTACAGCCAAACACGGGGAAGGCAAGATTAGAGGAGCAAGCCCCAGGGAAGAAAGTTTACAGGTTACCAACTGAGTAGATGGAAAGGGAGATTATGCCAGGAACACAGTGGCCAGAAGGAAGAATCCCAGAGACAAAATCGCCACAGGCAAAGGTTATTTCAATGCACAAATCTCCCAAAGTGTGGATCAAGTCGCCGAAATAATTAATTTAATTCTGGCTATTAGCTTCTTTAGCCGGCTGGGATCCCCACTGGTATTTTAACCCAGATCCTTGTGGGGGGGTAGGGATCATTTAGGAAAGGAGCCATGGGAAACAAGAAGACCGTTTGAATCTGCAATTCCTTCTTTCCGCTGCTGGCTTCGCAGCTGGAGAGGAGAGGAGAAAGATCTCTTGCCCAACATCAGCCTGAGAAGACCCTGATATTTTAAGCTCTTGAAAAGCAGAAAAGATGACCTTTTCTCAGCATCCCCCAAAGTAATCTTATAAATGATAATGAGAGGCCAGTCACTGAATGCTTGCGATATGCCAGGCCCCAGATTAGATCCTTCCCATATGTTAAATGTCTTTAATCCTTACAACAACCCCTTGAGTCAAGAAATACTACCGGGATTTTGAAAAGGAGATTTTGAGAAGTCAAATGACAAGGCTGGTAAAAAGCAAAAGTGAGACTCGAACCCACGGTTGTCGGTCTCCAAAGCCCATGCTCTGAAACCACCATGAGACACTGTCTCCCAGTAAGCATTTGTTAATTACCATAAAGCACTAAATTAATCAAACACAAGCTACAGGATCCAAACTGGGTTCCTTCTAGCCATCACATGTACTTATTTGTGCTAAATTATGATGATATTATTTATAAACATAGCTTTGAAACATTGCAGATTACAAAGCGATTTCATGTACATTTATCTCATTTAATTTTGCCCAAAAGCCTGGGTACATTTGCTTTTGGGCAGAATTAAATGAGAATGAAATGGAAAGGAATAGTGGGTGCCTAACCAATATCTTTTATTCTCTTCTTTTTCTCCTTCCAGAGCAGTAGCAGTAGAAAATTATGTGTCCAGCCACCTGATAGATAGGGGCAAAGGATGAACTATAATTAGAGTCACCGTACCTCTAGGTTCACCTGGGATAAGCCTGGTTTATGCTCCTTTCACTCTGAACAGCCCCATTTAGATGATAAATTATATGATCACCCTAGTTCAGTGGTCCCCAGTCTCGACAATCCAATTGGATCCCCTGGGGTCATTTAAAAATACTGAGTCCTGACCCCAACCATAGACATTCTGATTTAATTTGTTTGCAGTGAGGCCCAATATAGGTACTTTTTTAAAGCCCCCTTGTGTTTCAAGTATGCAGCTGGTGCTGAGAAGCACTGTGCACCAGCTCTAAGCCAAAGTTGTTAGGTACAACTTCTGGATAATTTGTTTTAAAACTGCTTGAAGAGAGATTATTCAGGAGGAGGGGGTGGCCTTGCACCCTTCTTCCTTCTTGCTGGAATGCTGACATGATGGCTAGAGCACAAGCAGCCATATTGGTCTATGAGGCTGACCTTGATGATGAAAACCATGGCCGGACATGGTGGCTCATGCCTGTAATCCCAACACTTTGGGAGGCCGAGGCAGGTGGATCACTTGAGGCCAGGAGCTCAAGACCAGCCTGGCCAATATGGTGAAACCCCGTCTCTACTAAAAATAGAAAAATTAGCTGAGTGCAGTGGCATGCACCTGTAATCCCAGCTACTTGGGAAGCTGAGGCATGAGAATCACTTGAACTCCAGAGGTAGAGGTTGCAGTGAGCCAAGATCGCACCACTGCACTCCAGCCTGGGTGACAGAGTGAGACTCTGTCAAAAAAAAAAAGGAAAGAAAGAAAGAAAAGAAAAGAAAGCCACACACTAAGGGGCAAAACAGAGAAGAGGAGCTGGGGTCATCGATAGTTGTGGAGCTAGGGACTATCTCCAGACTTTATTTATAAGAAAGAAAAATAAATCATTCCATTTTCAAGCCACCATATCAAATGTCTATTACCAATAGCCACACAGCAATTCTTAAGTAACATAGTAGGCAACCTTATGTTACAAATGAGAGAAGTGGCCCAGGGTAATACCAGTTTATAAGTAGCAGAGGCCAAAGGTTTTGATTCTAGTCTTGTGACCTTTCTTCTAGAGGGGATGGGGCAGAGTATATTTTAAGGACAAGAAAAGGGTTCCCACTTACAAAAGCAGACCTTTCCAGCCAACTCTACTGACCTTCTGAGAAGTTATTTCTGAATCCCATTTGTATGTGTTGCCAGAACACTGAGAAAGAAGAGGGTTTGATAAGTAATGGCAATTACGAATACATATAAAGTTTGTTTTGCTTGAAGAACAGAGAGTTCTTAATTACATATTCAGAGATGTTCGTCGTAATTTTGCTGTATACTGCAAATATTCTGTATTAGTTATAAATTTATGTAAAATGTTTTAAATCTAAAATTATTTATTCACAAATAGTTTTTGGAGAATCTGGTATGGGGATAACACTTATACTAAGGTTGAGGAGTGAGATTGCAGGGATTTGAGAAAGATACAAGCTCCTACCCATGAGGAGATTAAAATGTACAGTGGGACATAAAACATGTACATGAATAGCTACAATGGATGTTTTGTACTGCCAGCAAGGGGTCGTGATTAATTTTTTAAAAATTACCTTGGGCTTAAGGAATCAGGAAAGGCTTCATGGAAGAGGTGGTAATCGTGTTTTAAGACCTTAAAATGCAGATGGATACAGGCAATTCAGGCCCAGGAAGTGATCCAAGAAAGGCTCAGAGCCAGTTACGAGGCAAGTGTGTTAAAGAAGTTTCAAGAAGTCCAGACACACGGAAGCACAATGTCTTATGCTAGAGAACCAGGGTAGATGGGACTAAGAAGGTAGCTTAAGGTCAAATTACAAAGACTCTTGAAGGCCAGGCTAACAGCTTTGTAATCTATTTAGTATACAGTGTGGATCAATCAAAGCAGTGACCTCAAAAGATAAATGTGCCAAGCCTGTGCAAAATGAATTTGCCAGGGAGAAAAGAGAGGCACGGGACCATGTGAGAGGCTACTGCAATAGTCCAGGCAAGAGGTCAGGAGTGCCAGAATTAGGGCATAGGCAGTGGGAATGGGAGAGAAGGGCTGAGGGCCAGAGACAAAGACCTGACTGCACTTGGCAAGATGTGTGAGACTAGGCGAAGGGATCAGGTGACTCAAGACTCTGGCTGTGGAAATGAGAAGCTTTAATTAGAAGTCCTGGGCCCAGGAACGCAAATATCTAACTGTCGATAGGAAGCATGGAACTGGCCCGTGGGAGAGGCATCAGGATTGAAGTTTTAGATTTGGGAGTCATGTGTCTGGAAGTGATAGATGAAGCCATTAAAAACAGGGAAACATGGCTTGGCACAGTGGCTCACGCCTGTAATCCCGGCACTTTTGGAGGCTGAGGCATTTGGATCACCTGAGGTGAGGAGTTTGAGACCAGCCTGGCCAACATGGCCAAACCCCGTCTCTACTAAAAATACAAAAATTAGCCAGGCATGGTGGCGTCTGCCTGTAATCCCAGCTACTCGGGAGGCTGAGGCAGGAGAATCGCTTAAACCAGGAGGCGGAGGTTGCAGTGAGCCGAGATCACACCATTGCACTCCAGCCTAGGCAACAGAGCGAGATTCCATCTCAAAAAAAAAAAAAAGGGAAAGAGTGGAAAAGGAGAAATTTGGGGATAGGAACTCAAGTAACAGTGACAACTGGTAGGAAAGGAAGGAGAGTTGGAAGGGAGTTAGGGAGGAAGTGAAAGAAGAAAGGAAGATCAGAGAAGCAGGGAGGAAACAGAATGTAAAGTTACAGAGGAAAAGGAAGAAAAGAGTTTAAAGAGGGAGTTCTATTAACAGTATTAAAGCAGTCAAATCACCTTCTCCAGTTTGTTTTTCTTAAACTTGACTTTTCTTTTGTAGGGGTAACTCAGTTCTGTTGAGGAACAACTCCCAGCACATGCCAAGAATCCCTTCCTTCCCCTGGGAAGAAATGGCCACAGCCACCAGATAGGTTTTGAAACCTCACTGATGAAGCAGAAAAACAGTTGTCAGTGATTTGAGAGCCCTGAAATCTGGTCCAAGTTCTGCCTAGCAAGTAAATTTCACAACCTCTCTGGGTGTATGTAAATTCCCCTATAAAACAATGGGTCAAGATTAATTGCACAAAGATACACATTGAAGGATGCTTGTTGTAATATTGCTTTATTATAGCAAAAGTCTGGAAACAACCCAAATGTCCAGCAACAAGGTATTGGTTACATAAATTGATATGTTCATCTAGCAGGTCACTTTGCAGCCATTAAAGGTTACAATGTAGAAATAATTTGTCGACACATAAAGATGTATACATTATATTGAGTTCAGAAGCAAATTATAAAACATGATCTTTTTATAACATATATGTATAGAAAAAATTTATAGATGATATAAATTTCTAAAAGGAAAGATGAGTGGTTGCATATTTCATTTTGCTCATCTGTACCTTCTAATTTTTCTCAAATAAAAACTGCAGGTAAAAGTTCAAAAACATACTTTTTAAAGTGAAATGACTTCTATATGGCTATAAGACTAACCCTCCACCATCAGACTATTTATTTTGTTTTTTCTGTAAGAATATTTATTATATATACATAAAAATAATAAGAATATTATTCATTATATGTCATTTTAATTAATAAAAAATTGTGTGGGCTTTTGTGAACTTGGAGCTGCCTTAAAAACCCTTAAATCTAAAGTGAGAAAACCTGAACTCAACAAGTGCAGCCACCATGGGAAGCTTCCTTAACTCCAGAGTTCCAGCTTCTTTGTTTCGTAAAATTCAATGATATTCCCCACCCCATAGAACTTGGCGTCTGAGGTTGAGTGAGCTGAAATAAAGTGTATTCCAGTTCTTCTAAGCAACAGAGGGCCATCCACATCTAAAGCTGTTATTACATTCGCTACATCAAGCGTTAACTAGTGTTCTAATTAAACACCATGGAATCTTCCAGCTCTCTGGCATTTATCTATGGGTAGAACAAATGTATACTGAAGTCCTACATGAGCCAGCCAAGCACTATGGCAGGTCCTGGAGATGCAATGAGAAGCAACACAGACATTCTCTTTGCCTTTATGTTCCATTATCAAGTCATTTTCTAAACACCGAGACACAAGTGTTAGACTCTAACAGACCTAATTCTAATTAGAGCTTTTAAAGGTGTTAGAACCCAGGCCAGGTATGAACCTAGCTACACTATCATTTACTTATGTGCCAAAGAGTTTGATCATACCCATTTCAAAGATCTATTCTAAAGATTAAGTAATTATACAAAAATGCCTGGAACATAGCAGGACCTCTATAAACATAGCTATTACCATTTTCATTATGAATCCCATTGTTTGCTGATTTAATTACCAACATACCCTCCACACATTTCTTTTCAAGTCACTTAACAGCAAATTTAATTTCACCAGACACACCTCAATGTCAGTCAATTCCTCATCTTTCACTATTTAGGAAATATTTTTGCTAATCATCTGCCAGAATTCTTGTTATTTTCAGAGTAACTTGTGTAGCTGTTATTCAGTTTTCACTCTTTGACACTCTTAGTAGATTCTTTGTTGGTTTCTTTTCTTCTCTGGGACAATAGTAAGGTGTCTAGGTTTCAAATACTTAGCTTCTATTCAAAAAGGAAAAAAAATACTTTTGGATAATGATTGTTTCCTTAGTGGTTAAAAACAGAGGGAAAAGAAGCAGGAGAGGGGGCTGGCACAAAGAGAGATGCTATGACACTTAGCATCTTCCAGAATTTTGGTCGTCTCTACTGAGAACATTTCCAGCAGATGAACACCAAAGAAAAAGGCACACAGGTCAGGACGCCATCTGTTGCTCAGTTGGAACAGACCATTCTGCTCAGAAACCACGGAAGTGTGATATTGCCCTTCACTTCCCACTCCCTGACCAACACAATTCCTAACAAATCTTCAAGTGTGTGTGTGTGTGTGTGTGTGTGTGTGTCTTATGCAACAACACAAACCCAGGAAACATCACACCCTAAACAAATAATCCCCTTCCCCTTAGCAGCATCCTAGATACACAAAGTATGCAATAGAATCCAAAGAACCCTACAATCCCGAAAAACACAGAGATGAAAAGGCTGCCCTCTCCCAATTTCAGCCTTGGAGAACTTCCTTAATGCCACAGCCGAACTATGTAATTGTGACCACACTTCCTTATGGCTGCAGTGCCACCTAGCGGCCAGGTGAGCTAGGGGCGCACTCATTCTCAGTCTGAAAAAGCAACTTTTATCTGCTGACTCTTCAATTCTTTCCAGAGAGGAACAGAAGTGGCTGGTGCACATGACGGCCAGAATTAGGAATCATCAGGGTTCTATCACATTCAAACTATTTCCTGATTATAATCACATCCAAATCACCCAGAAGAGACAAAAGAGGATAGAAAAATTCCTGCCAACTTTAGGTTTTCATGTCCAAATGCATCCTCATACAAACTCACAAACTAGCACAAATATTGAGTCTAAATCCAGGCAACCTTGTGTATTTTAAAGTCTTCAAGGCATGCAATTATATACATTAAATTATTTTCAAACAAAAAGAAAAGTGAAAAATAGGCTCTAAAGAACCAGTAATGAGATTCTTCTTTTCTCTTTTCCATAAACAGTTCTGTCAGTTGCTGACATTTCTGATGCCATCAGACACTTATAACTGGACTGCAACTTTATCTGCATAGAATAACCAAAAGCGTATGCACCTTTTACAGATGACAGCTTAAATAATGTAATTTGTTTGAGACTTAACGTGGGGATACACAACCTAATTCAGTTCATTTTAAACCCAAATTATTCTGGTTAATAGCCTGGTAAATCTCAGAACAGAAAGTGTGCACCGCTGCTAAGTATTCCATATTAAAAATAGTTTGTGATGGGATGTGCTTTTTTTAATTTAAAGTTTAATGTACATTAACATTTTTAGATGAAAAACTGACAATCTGAGAACAGTTCTAAATTCTCCTTTGATTATTTTTCCGGCGCGTTGAAGGCATGATATAGCTACATAAATAGGCTAACACTCTGGTTCTTTGGAAGATTAGTGTCTGTCCGATCGTATGCCCGTTTTTATAACTCTCTAGTGGGTTTTTAATGCAGAATGGATCATGTCCACACTCCCGGCTGGGATTCCAAGTCACAAAAGTCTTTCTTAATTTCTGATCCATACCTCCTGGTTGACTTACTCACTGTCCCCTGCTGAGATCCACCCTAGACTAAATTTTAAGCAGGCCAAGTTGATTCTTTCCTGCCCACACTTTCCACACAAGCCAGCAGCCCTCCCCTACCACTTGGCACATTCTCCAACCGATTCTTGCTGTTGAACCGGGGTAGCGTTCCCAGATGTCTTGGTCTGCTTGGGTTGCTATCACAGAAAACCTTAGACTGGGTAATTCATAAACAACAGAAATTTACTGCTCACAATTCTGGAGCCTGGGAAGTCCATGATCAAAGCACCAGCAGATATGGTGTCTGGTGAGGGCCTGCTCCTCATAGATGGTGCCTTCTACATGTCCTCATATGGCAGAAAATGTTAAAAGCATTCCCTCAAGCCTCTTTCATAAGGTCACTAATTCCATTCTTGAGGGCAGAGCCCTCATGATCTAATCACCTCCCAATGACCCCATCCTCTCACACTATTGCATTGGGGATTTAGGTTTCAACATATACATTTTGGAGCGACATGCACACTCAGATCATAACACTAGATTTAGAAAAAACAACAAACAAACAAAAAATCAAGATGAGACATCCAGTTGTATTTGAATTTCAGATAAACAGAAAATTTTTTAGCAGGAGTATGTCCCAAATATTGTATGGGATATACTTAAATCAAAACATTATTTATTGTTTATCTAGAATTCAAGTTTAATGAACAGTTCACTTTTTTTTTTTTTTTTTAATGGAGTCTCGCTCTGTCGCCCAGGCTGGAGTGCAGTGGCGCGATTTCAGCTCACTGCAAGCTCCGCCTCCCGGGTTCACGCCCTTCTCCTGCCTCAGCCTCCCGAGTAGCTGGGACTACAGGCGCCCGCCATCAAGTCCGGCTAATTTTTTTGCATTTTTAGTAGAGACGGGGTTTCACCGTGTTAGCCAGGATGATATCGCTCTCCTGACCTCGTGATCCACCCGCCTCCGCCTCCCAAAGTGCTGGGATTACAGGCGTGAGCCACCGCGCCGGGCCAACAGTTTACATTTGATCCAACAACTCTAGCCCAGAGGAGCCCTGGTCTTCCACGCAACAGCCCCTGCTGTGAGTCCTTCCTCAGCCACTGCCTCCATGATGCGTACCTGTCAGCATTCTTTCAAGACATCTAAGTAAGCAGTACTGAAATCTGAGAGTCAAATTTTAAGCTGTCTTGTGGTGTGCATACAATTAGTAGTACATGCCTTTATCATTTTGTTCTTGTTATGTTTATTTTTTGGTGATTCCTTATTAAGGACATATAATACTGCTTTTCCATGGTAGTGATAGAGAGCTCCTTATAAATTAAACTTAAGTTGTTGGTTAAAAAAAAAATAACGTAAGTCAGTTTAAGGGGAAAAATTAAGTAAACAATATTGCAGATGCTACTCAGATTAAACAATATAATGAGTCGTACTAAAAGGATTGAAGTTCAGGAAACAATTACCTAAAGCAGGGGTCAGCAAACTATGGCCCATAGGCCAAATCCGGCCCACTGTCTGTTTTTGTAAATAAAGTTTTATTGGGACACAGCCCACCATTCATTTATTGTATCATCCATGGCTGTTTTCATGCCACAGCAGAGCATACAGCAGAGTCACATAGTTGCAATAGAGACCATGTGGCTCATGAAGCCTATAATATTAACCTTCTGGCCCTTTACAAAAGAAAAGTTTGCTGATCTTTGACCTAAAGCATCACTCATCCTAGATTGTCAAAGGAAAAGCTAGAACGTTGAAAGTCCTCATGATGGAGATATTTTTGGACAGAGCAGATATATGGCACAATACAGTCTAAAGCTGACAGGGGCCTCCATTTCCATTTCAGATTCTTTTTATTAACCTCTTTCCCATGACCAGATCTGCCTAAGCTTTCCATCTTTCATTCTCATGTTTTAAGATTCGGAATAAAATCTGCTTTTTCCAGTAAGCCTTCCCTTATTAACTCAGACCCACCTACACCCTGAGCTACATAGTAGTAAGTGAATATGCCTTTTATTGTGTTCTCTTTAAAAATGAAAAAAAAAAAAAAAAGCTATTTGCTCACATAGAGAACTATGACCATATAAGGCAAGCCCTTCTTAATAACCCAACAACACAATAATTTAGTACAGAATTTGTTAAAGTTAGCATAAATAGGTAACACAGTAACTTCCATAATCATGCACAAATTACTTCTGAAACAATGGGTAGGCTCTGGAAATAAAGCTTTAATCAGTTGCAAATGCCTGAGTAAGCATAATTGCACCCCACTAGTTAAGCATCCTTAAGCATGATAGCGTTCTAATCCACAGGTCAGCAGTATTGCAGCATCCCATGCCGATTCACTAAGGTGGGAAGACATAGACACCTTGGATTTAAAATAAAATTAAAATACAGCCCCTATTATGCTGTTACAGATATTGAACAGTTGTAGAGATTTTCCCAACCTTGGAAAACACCATATATATACATGGTGTTTATAGATATAATACACACACACACAGACACAAAAACATTTGAATTCCAGCTCAGTGTCACCTCCTAAATGAGCCTTCCCACACTGGCATAGACAAAAATCATTGCTCCTCCCTCTGGAGGTCTGTAGATACTGGTTGCTCTCACAAGTCCAGTATTCACCAACTTGCCATAATCATGTATGTGGTGACAAATCAGTGACCCGGTTGCCTCCAAATTAAGACCCATGTTTGACTTGCTTTCTCCAGTGCCTAACACGTGATAGGGCTTGATATGTTTTTGCTAAAAGATGAGATGAAACCCTCTAAAGTCATTCCAAATTAGATCCAAGGAGAATATGACCATTCAGTTCTGTTAAACTAGCAGAATAAAACAAAACTAAATAACTATTTCTCACTAATCAAAGAAGTATTCTATTTGTAATCCAGCTTGGTTGACAAGTTATGACTATCAAAGCAAGATACATGAGCTGTGTTGGGGGGCTGGGGGGGTGTCCCATGACCTCTAGTCTTTCCCTTTTTGTATGCTATCATATAAAAAGTTTGAGTTGAGTTTTTGTCATTGGTTGAGTTTTTATCATCTGCCTAATGCTACTGCTTTTTCTCTTAGGAAATATGTCATTGTCAGTTATTTGCACATTAGTATGAATAAGACAATTCATTACCTGTCTCAGCCTCAATTCCAACTGAGGCTGTAAAAGCATTATTTCAAATTAAAGGAACTGACAACAAAAGCAACAGACCAGGGAAAAGTCAAACACTACCAACGCTGCCTACAAGTCAGGCCCATCTGGATGGACTGTGACCTTGGCTCAACTAGACACATACAAAATGGCGGCCATGATGGTGGAGATCGAAATACCAGTGACAATTCTTTTTGGCACCTTTTCTAGATCTGAGTCTCACTTCATTGATTTTAAAACATGATAATACAGTATTTAAAACTAACTGGTACATGTATAAAAGTAAAGATCTTGAGAAGAAATGGAAAACTTGGGGGAAACTTTTACTGTATCCATAAGAAAGACAAAAATATTCTAAAAAATGTTTTGTAGAGTACGTGATTGTTTTCACCCTTTACACTTCTAGAGCTGACTTTCTAATTTTGGCATTATTTGAGGAGCCTCTGTGGTTATGCCAATTAGGAAAAGGAAAAAAAAAATTGTATGAAAGAGCAATGCTATACACACACTTTTTTTTTTTTTTTTTTTTTTTTTTTTTTTTTTTGAGACAGAGTCTCGCTCTGTCGCCCAGGCTCGAGTGCCCTGGAGCGATCTCGGCTCACTGCAAGCTCCACCTCCCGGGTTCACGCCATTCTCCTGCCTCAGCCTCCCGAGTAGCTGGGACTACAGGCGCCCGCCACCATGCCCGGCTAATTTTTTGTATTTTTAGTAGAGACGGGGTTTCACCGTGTTAGCCAGGATGGCCTCGATCTCCTGACCTCATTATCCTCCCACCTCTGCCTCCCAAAGTGCTGGGATTACAGGCGTGAGCCACCGCGCCCAGCCGCTATACACACTTTTTAAGTAAACATCTGGAAATCGGAGAGTGAAGCAAATGCTAAATCCAGAAGGAACTATGTACTTTAGGTTCCAGTATCCATCCCAGTTAGAATGCCATAGTCCCAAGCGAGATGCACTATAAAAAGCATAATTTGAGCATCATCTCTCATCATTCAATATAGTTTTTCAACCCTTTCAAAATTACATTGAAAAATCTATATAATGTGTGCTTAGATTAATGAACTGTTTGAATCTGGATCAATAAGCACTCGAGGCTCTGTGCCGTTGACACCTGCTGGGAACATCTAGAAGAATGCTTCGTAGAGGGCAGAGCCAGTCGGCACTTTGAAACTACAGGGGTTCCACTTAATAAACAAGCAATCTAATATATGACCTCTGCAGATTAATTTTCTGAGAGCAAGCAAATAATCTGGATTCAAATTTTCCCTGATTATGCATATAATTACAGTATCACTTACCAATTAACACATTGATTTAAACCTTCTTGGGATTATGTATTTCAGAGTATAAAAGAGATCATCCAAACGCTCAATGCCTCTCCAGTTTGGCAAAGAATCACATGGAATGCAACTTCCCACCCATCTGATTTCTCTTATGGAAGAAAAAAATCTGTGATGGTAACAGATTACAGAGGATACCTTAAAATATCACGGGCCATAATTATTGTCTCAATAACTGGACCACAAGGACACACATTATAACATAATAGCCAAGTCTTGGGGAAACTTTGTCATCTCCTGAAATATTTCTGTAGAATCATATATTTATAAAACTGCTTCTCTAGCTTGGATTATTATTATTTTTTAATTTACTGCAGCACCCAGGGTATAATTTATCCACCATTAGACAGTTACATAAATAGACAAAGATATATGGTGGAGATTCTTCTCTACTTTAGACAAGTATAATAATTAATGTTAGTCGTTTCTTATTCCTACATAAAATTTCCCATTAAAAATGTTAATATGCTCCTTCATAAGTCCAGATAGTGATGAAAACAGAAGATACAAGGAAAATAGCTACATAGCATGCATACATATGTAAAAGAAGTTAAAAGTAATAAATCAACATGGCCAATATAACGAAGCCTGCTGTCCAACAGTAAAAGCTGTCAGAATGAGGTTTCATTATTAAGACCTTGATATCCAACCGTTGGGCTGAATAAAATCATTCATATCACTTCTGCACTTTCAGGGAGAGAATTCACATCTAGGATCAAATTGTCATGGTGCCGAATTCCTGATTTTTTCCCCTTGTGTTACTTTCTGAATAATTATTTGAATCTCCACAGGAAATGAAAGTTGACTAAAGCTAACAACGAAATAACAAGCTTTTACACACAAAGAAATTACTCTATGGTGTTTTATTTAACAATAAATATTTCAAAAAGGAATGCTTACACATTTGAAAAAATAAAGATCTGACTAATTCAAATTCCAGCCCTACTGTTTTCTCAGTAAGATAAGTAACACAAGCAATCATAAATATGGTTTAAAATTACAACGGGGAGGGAACACTTGCAATCAGTTAAGTTTAGACCTTGTCCTTATTTCTTCTTACAGAAGAAGGTAGAGAGGTAAAGCCCTCTAATATAATACTTCGTAATTCCAGAACATATACTATTGATATTGTGATTCTTTCTGAGACATAATAACTAATTATTCAGAAAGTGTCAGAAAATAAATCCAACTCCTCCTCTAACCTTAGTCCCTAATTTAAAGGGGAAGAAAAACAGGGCTTCTAAGGATGAAAAGTCCCAAGTGCCATTTAAAAATAAAAGGAACATTTCAAATAAACTTCAATCTCCTTGACAGCATACGAACAAAAACAGCAGCGATATACCAGCTTCTTCCCAAAACAAAACCCAGTGAAATTACTGAGAATTTCAGCTACTGTAATCCAACTATGTGAAACTCTGGGGGTGTCAGCAGCTACTCAATAAAAAGGAAAAGTGAAAATAGTACAAAAATGGTTCCTAATAGCAATAATGTATAGTTTTGTGGTCATTACTGGTCAGATAATAACCGGCAGTGACCTTAAAACCATGCATTATGGCTTAAGTATGGGCTAGTGCTCATTGCAGATGTGTAGCTTAGAAATAAGCAATACAATCTTGCCATAAAAGCTCAAACTGTTCCAAGTCTGGCTTGCGTGCATGGATTTTTCCCTCTCTAGTGTTATCACACCAGGAATCTTATAATGATCTGAAAAATATGTACCTTAGGGCAATAGTTCTATACTGAAAAGATAAATACTCGGGCCAAGGCAATCTAAAACATACACAGAGAGCGGGCTCCAGTAAGGCAGGTGAATGTTTTTACAACAGAGACTCGGGTACATTTTGACCTTTTTTAAGTTTCAGCTGTCAGGAAAGCTGCAAGAATCTCAGTTAATATGTTCTTCACCTCCGTGAAATGACATATCAATATTCCCATTCTGCAGATCAAAACACTGAGGCACAGGTAAACCAGATAACCTGTTGGGGAGGAAGCAAGGCAATGATGCTGAGAATTAACTGCTTTGTAGGGCAGGCTTAGGTTCCCATAGTAAGGTCAATTTTTTTACAATTTTCTAATGTCCTCATTACAAATTCACTTGTATTTCTTTTCTGCCTCCTGTAAACTGAGAGATTTTTGCATACTTAAAATATTTTTTTCAAATGTACAGAAAATGCTGCATCTATTCTTTATTTATTTTTTTTTTTTTTTTGAGACAGGGTCTGGCTCTGCTACCCAGGCTAGAGTGCAGTGATGTAATCTCAGCTCACTGCAACCTCCACCTCCTGGGCTCAAGCCATCCTCCCAACTCAGCCTCCCAAGTAGGTGGGACTACAGGCAAGTGCTACCATGTCCAGTTAGGTAATGTATTTTTGGTAGAGAGGGGTTCCACCATGTTCCCCAGGCTGATCTTGAACTCCTGGACTCAGGCGATCCACCCGTGACCTATCCAGTTTGTTTTTTCAGGTGAAACACTCAAGAGTCTGCAGAGCCAGTGGAGACCTGCCCAACGGTGCTGGATCTGCCTCACAGCTGCAGCGTGCCATAGGTGGGTGGGCCAATATCTGTCTAGAACAGGGGTTCTCAAGGGGCTGTGATTTTTGTCCCTTGGAGTCATTCTGGAGACATTTCGGGTTGTCATAACTGGAGGTGTGGCAGGAGGGGTGGTTACTGGCATCTAATGAATGTAAAGGTCAGGAGATCCACAAGAAAGTCTCCCACAATAAAGAATTATCCAGCGCTGGCCAGGTGCACTGGCTCACACCTATATTCCCAGTGCTTTGGGAGCCTGAGGTGGGAGGATCACTTGAGGCCAGGAGTTGGAGACCAGCCTGGGTCACATAGCAAGACCTCTTTTCTATAAAAAAAAATTTTTTTAATTAGCCAGCCATGGTGGCATATGTCTTTAGTCCCAGCTACTCGGGAGGCTGAGGGGTGAGGATCACTGGAGCCCAGGAGTTTAAGGTTGCAGTGAGCCATGATGGCACCACACCACTGCACTCCAGCATGGGTGACAGAGTGAGAGAGACCCTGTCTCCAAAAAAAAAAAAAGAATTATCCAGCCCAAATGACCATAGTGCCAAGACTGAGAAGCTCTGGTCTAGATTCCTTGCTGTTTAGAACAGGCGTCTTCCTGATATTCGCACGCATCCCAGCGCCTCTCCTGGTGTCTAGTGTATAGAAGACCCTCCATCAGTGCTGGCAGAGAGAATGGCCAAAGGCAGTCAATGGCAAGAGAGCCAAGATTTCTTCTTTCCCTCTCTCTCTCTTTTCCCCCTGCCTACTCCCTCTCTCTTATTTTACTCTCTATTCTTTCTCTTTGCTCAAAATGCTACATTTGGAGAATGGTTCACAGTTTCCAAAGCAGCTCAGCTTATGTGATCTTCAAAACAATCCTGTAGGGGTAATATTATACCTTACTCTACACAGAGCAAAACAAAAGTTCACAAAATATAAGGAATTTCTCAAAGATTACCTAAGTGACTAAGTTATAAAGGGGAAGCTGGATGCATGTCTACCTTCAGAAACAAGTGTTCTCTCCAAGTAAAGGACACCCTTTGACAGTACTTGGTCTTGTTGCAAGGAGTGGCTGGTACATCTTCTAAAATGATTCAAAACTATTCATAAGTAGTTGGGTAGCAAGAATAACATAATAGGAAGATATTCAGGCTGACACCCCTCCTCTCTTTCCTGTGGTGATTGGAAGCCCAACATTCCCAGACTGAAAAAATGAAATTGTATCTTTCTTATCATTAGGCATACAAATGTCTTATTTTAAAAGCCTCAGGCCATGGGATAATCTCAGGCATTATGAGGACAGAGTACAGTTGACATTGGACCCAGTACCACAAGCCATTGACCTCTGGAAGTGATGAGAGACCCAACAAAAGGTCAGAAACTGGTGTCAGATTGCTGCCGGCACATGACAAAATACATGTGAAATTTCTCTGCAAATTCCCATCTATTTGGCCTGGAACAGTGGCAGAGTACACCCTTGTGGTCAGTAGCTGGCCTGAGCAGGCACTGGGCGAGGTAGTAAATACACAAAAGTGGTAAAAAAAGAAAACTCAGACGTGAGCTGTGTGCGTGTGTACACATATTTATAACGTCCAAAGAACTCGTGTCTATTTTTCTGTGCTGTGTATACACTTGCTCACACTCTCTCTCTCTCTCCCTCTGTTTCACACACATGCAACACACACACACTCACACAGTTTTTTATATTTCCTGAGTTCTTTGGTATATCAGGCCCTTTGCTAGATGCCAAAGACACAAAGATGAGTTGGTCTCCTGCGTCACCCCCTACAAGGCCTAATGAGGGAGACAAAGGCATATTAGCAGGTGAATCACATTACAAAAAGGCCAGTGTTCAATGGGAGATCAGGAAGCTTGACACCCACAGGGGAAGGGAAACAAATAACTCTGCCTAAAAAGGGCCAGAGAAGGGACATTGAAGCTAGGACATGAAAAACAAGAAGGGGTTTGCCAACAGAAAAGCAAAGCAGCCTGAGGGCAGGAGGGGAAAGGCATGGAGCAGGCAGAGCCATGTGCAGGGACAGTGAGAATTTTTTTTTTTTTTTTTTTTGAGACAATCTCGCTCTGTCACCCAGGCTGGAGTGCAGTGGCATGATCTTGGCTCACTGTAATCTCTGCATCCCAGGTTCAAGTGATTCACCTGCCTCAGCCTCCCAAGTAGCTGAGATCACAGGCACCCGCCACCAGGCCTGGCTACTTTTTATATTTTTGTAGAGATGGGGTTTCACCATGTTGGTCAGGCTGGTCTCAAACTCCTGACCTCAGGTGATCCACCCACCTCGGCCTCCCAAAGTGCTGGGATTACAGGTGTGAGACACCGCACCTGGTCTGACAGTGAGAATTTATCTGCATGTGACTTCAGAAGAGTTTTCTTGAGATCCAGTCCTGGTCCTATGTAAGAACCTGATGAGGAAGATTGAGGTGGAACTGGAAAAAGCCTTACATGCCAAGTGAAAGAATTTAGATTATCCCCTAGGACCCAGCACTTTTTAAAACTTTTCTGATGCTGCCCAAAGACACACATTTTACATCACAACCTAGCACATACACGCAAGTATCTATAACAGAAATAAAAAGTTCACATAACAACACTAGCCCTTTCTATGTGAAATTCACCCCGATATTTTGTATTTCTTTTTTTTTTTTTTTTTTTTTGAGATTGAGTCCCACTCTGTCTCCCAGGCTGGAGTGCAGTGGCGCGATCTCAGCTCACTGCAACCTCCGCTCCTGGGTTCACGCCATTCTCCTGCCTCAGCCTCCCGAGTAGCTGGGACTGCAGGCGCCCGCCACCACGCCCGGCTAATTTTTTTTTTGTATTTTTAGTAGAGACGGGGTTTCACCGTGTTAGCCAGGATGGTCTCGATCTCCTGACCTCGTGATCCCCCTGCCTCGGCCTCCCAAAGGGCTAGGATTACAGTATTTCCTATTTTTTTATTTTTGTTGCAACCCCCTAAAATGATCTCATGAGCAACAAATCAGTTGTATCCCACAGTTCTTCAAACCCTGCTATGGGCCACAGGGAGGCAAGCAGGGTGTTTTTTTAACTGGGAAGTGACAAAATCAGGTATATTTAGTGTGATAATTTCAGTAACAAGGTGAAAGGGGAACTGAACTAGGAAACCCTGGAGCCAGGGAAGCCTGCTACAAGGCAAGAGTCCAGAAGAGACATGGTATGAGTCTGAAGTAAGGCACAGACCCTGAGACAGAAAGTAGGGGCCGGGCGCGGGGGCTCAAGCCTGTCATCCCAGCACTCTGGGAGGCTGAGGCAGGCGGATCGCCTGAGGTCAGGAGTTCAAGACCAGCCTGACCAACATGGTGAAACCCTTTCTCTACTAAAAAAAAATACCAAAAAAGTAGCCAGGTGTGGTGGCGGGTGCCTGGTAATCCCAGCTACTCGGGAGGTTGACGTGGGAGAATCACTTGAACCCGGGAGGTGGAGGTTGTGGTAAGCTGAGATCACACCGCTGCACTCCAGCCTGGGAGACAGAGCAAGACTCCATCTCAAAAAAAAAAAAAAAAAAGAGAAAAAAAAAAGAAAAAGAAAAGACAAGAAAGTAGGACCAAGTCCTGGCCATTAAGTCACAGAATTGACTGCCATTGGTGACTTGCTACAGTGGGGATGCAGGAGAGATTTCTAGATGGAAAGATTGATGGGATGATGTCAACATTAACTAGGATAGAGAACACAGAGAATAGAACATGTTTGGGTGATAGGAGGTTCCCTGTTTGTACTTGGTAAATATGAGATGTATACAGGAAACCCCAACAGAAATGTCCAGTAAATGACTGGATAGAAGAATGCAAACTCTGCAAAATATAACTGAGATAGAAACATGGATACAGATGAAATTAGCTGAAACATCATCATTAAAGCCTCCAAGTGGATAAAATCTCTTAGAGGGTCAGGTGTTAGAAAAAGCAGGGAGAATAGACCAGTCACCCTGGGATCGCCAACATTCAAGGACCAGAGAGAAGAACCAGAAAGACCGTCGAATGTGCTGGAAGAAAGTGTAGTGGCAAGTGGCAGAAGGTACTTTGTGGCCTCATCATTTTCCAACACAATACTTTCCATTCATCTCCATACATATTTGTGTCCTGTTTCCTCCACTAGAATAAAATATGCCGCTGAATCTCCAGAAGCTAGAATAGGGCCCCTAGCACATGGTAGGGATCAATAAATATTTATTGAGTAAGTGAATGGATAAGTACATAAAATCAAGCCAGGGAAGGAAAGTATTTCAAAATATGGGAGTTGTCAACCAAGGCAATTGCTTTAAAGAATCAAGAAAGAGGGCTGAAAATAGGTCATTAGATTTGAAAATTAGGTTGTTGGGAACCTTAGAAAGATCCATTTCAATAACATGTTAGGATAAAAGCTAAATGGTTATGGCTTCAGGGAAAATGGGGGTGAGGTCACAAGTTGCAAGGGAGTAGGAAGAAATGTCAAGAGAAGGTTAATTTGGAGGAAGAGAGATGAAAGCAATCAGAGATCATGTATAGACTCAGGTGAATAAGACAGAGGAAAGAAAGTGAAGTTAAAAGAGGGGGAAAGCAAAATTGTAAGGTAGCGGTAAAGGTGGAAGGGGTTAGGAAGTCCAGTATACAGGTGAAGACGTTGACCTTAATAAGCTTTGTCTGTGACAGAAAAGAAGAGGAGGAGAAGATGTGCCTGCCATGGGTGATAAGGATCTTTTTTTCTCTCTCTGTGAAAGATGAGGGAAGATTTTCTGCACAACCTGCACAGGGTGAGGGAGAGCTCATTTTGGATGTGCTGCCATCAGGGATTGGAAGGTAGCTAACCGAGGAGAGCAGAGGGATTTCATGAAGCACCAAAGACTTAGCGCAAATCAGATAGACTGACTTCATATGGTGTCAATCAGCATGGTCATGGAACTCCATTTAGCGATGCATAGAGCGCCAGAGCAGATGCAGAGAAAAACAAATTGGACTCACCCAGCATCCAGAGCGTGGTCTAATGAGAGGTGCCCTGGAAGAAAGCCTCCCTTTCTTCTCTGCCCATAAGCACAGTTAGCTCCAGTCTTAGCCCCACTGGATGGGGTTGTGTGATCCTGAGTGTGTCACCATACCTCTGTGAGTGTCTTGTCTACAACTGGGGACTGTAATATCTTTCTAGTCTCACTGGCTTGTGGTGGGGCTCCAATCAGATAATTGATTTGAATAACTGTTACCAACTCCTAAATGCTGCTCAGGTGGCCGCCTTGCGGTTCCCCTGAACCAAACTTCTGCCATCTTTCATAATGCAGCTCTGGGAAGACACACCAGCCTCTACCAGGCACCTGGCAATCTCTCTTTTTGCCCCATGGGTGTCACATTTTTGACCTATAAAACAAGAACAATTTTCAGACGAGACCCTAAACTCGTTCAGTATCTATTTAAATTACTTCCCCATGAAAAGAACTTCTGCCGACTCTAATGCCTTAGAGATGGAACCAGGGAGAGAGAAATTTGCTTTTGTTAGCGGACTCCATAATTAGATGGAGATATGTCCACCTGGGTAATAGCTAATGGGTTTTTTAAACTTTTTATATAAATATTTCAGTTTCCTTCCCTGCCAGATTGACTTTTTCTCAATATTAATTGCCTCCATAGTCTTAGTCTATAGCAACATTTCCAACCACTGTCCCTGTATGTTTTATTTCTTTCTCAGGAGGCTGCTATTGGATGACTTCATTTAAATTTTTTAATACCATGAATAAATATTACCTTACTTCGCTCTGGGGGGGACAGGCAATTCTCGGGAGGGAGACTGTCAACTCCTCAGCAGTTTACTTCATGAAATAGGTTACTGGGTTTTATTCCGGCCTACAAGTTTCATAAACTAGGAAAATCCCCATCTCTTTTAACCCATGCTAATTATCATTATCTGCAGGAGGGGCATATAAACTCTCATTTTGAAAGCTCCTTTCTACAGGCTTTGAGTTTATGAATGATGCCTCTTGCCTAAAGGATTATTTGACAGCCTTTTAGATAACGACTTTCCTCTCCTTGTTGATTCTCAGATCCCACATGACGGGGTAATGTGGGATGCTATGTTGCAGCCATAAATTACTCCTTTTTCATCATCTCTCTCCTCTGCCAATGCAGAGGGTCATCTTAGGCCCCCTATACTTTTTAAATAAGCTCTAACTCCTCATCATTCCTGAGCACATGTTCTGTTCCCTGGACAGCCCGATTTTTATTGCTGAAACTCAAGAAGCTATTAAGTCTCCTCAACCTGGCAGGGCCCCAGGACCAGATGGTGTTCTCCTGGTTCTTATAAAGCCTTTATTAACAAAAGGACACCACAAGCCTCGCTGGCCGCCATAATGACTGCTTTTCCCACCCACGGAAGACCCTAGCTGGGGAGGACAACCTGTTGATTGCTATTCTTGTCATCATTGTCAAAACATCTTGCCATCTCCACGTTGCCCTGAATTCTTTTCTGATCCTTTGCAGGGTACTGATTAGAACTGCTCTCTCTACCCAAAAGAGGAAAGAAAGAAAGGAAAGAAGGAAGCATTTAAACTAATGAGAGATATAAACAACAGATGACAGAGGGGGCTTTGCTATGAACTCACCACCTCTCATACGGATTTTTAACAGTTTGGCAGTGATGAGGCCCCCTCAGGAAAGTCGGATCTGTTCATTGCTAAGCTAGAATCATGAGATTTTTCACGGAGGATTTGCTTTCAGACTGAGGTAGCTTTTCATCATGAGCT
Source organism: Homo sapiens (assembly GCF_000001405.40). Lineage (NCBI taxonomy): Eukaryota > Metazoa > Chordata > Mammalia > Primates > Hominidae > Homo > Homo sapiens. The sequence goes on from NC_000004.12 coordinate 24,434,341, forward strand.
GATGCAGCATGCCACATGTGACTCTGAGTGTCACAGCTATATCAGGGTGCCCGGGAGAGCTGAGAGAGTCAGTAATGGTATATAGAATTTCTCACCTCTGGATCACTAGTTCAAATGCAAAAGGCCATAAAAAGCTGTTATCTTCTGGCGGACTCAGTGAAAGTTTCCAGGCGATATCAGCTGCCACAAATGGCGCTCGCGTGACAAATGCTCGGTGCACAGGGTCTCAGGGTGGGGCCCCTGGAAACTCATGCTCTCTAAGGTCATGGTCGGCTTGGGAAAGCAAAAGGCTCAGACAGAATAAGTGGCCCCTTTCCACCTGTTCTGTGATCTCCATGGGGAATGGATTTTGCCAACATCAGATTGTTCATAAACGCAGATTGCCCCTCGATGCATTGTTGGGATTACTTTAAAAGTTCAACAGCTTCACTCTTGCTCTCACCTAATTCTTTTGTCCATTCATGACAGGCCCATGGAAACCTTTCAGATTCCTCCAAAACTCATCCACCTCGTGGGGAGAATGGGTGCTGTCAATGACAGCTGCCCGTACATTTTGTTCAGAAATGTTAACACACCAGGGAATTTTCTCAGCCCTGGCACTTTACAGCTCAGGACCTTTTCTTGCTGAATACTTAAGTTATTTCTGGAAAAATAACTTTTATTTCCAAAGAAATACGGCAGGTGACACAGAAACGTCCCTTCTTGTTTATTCACTGTCTGTCGTAAGGTTGGCTGTCTTTGCTTTAACTCTTTTTCCTCTTTCTTCACGCTGTTGGGCTTCTCCTGCCCCTTTCTGGGACCTTCTCTAGAAATACAGCCCTATACCTAGACTTCAGTTCCTGCCTTTGAAGGCAGAACTGTTCTTCCCTCAGGTAGTATTAGAAGGACAGTGAAGCACCTGGAACTCATCCTCCCTGTATCACCGAGGGCCCAGCAAGAAGTCTGATAATGGCACAATGACATCATAAATTACATAAATTAATGCTCTGCCCTCCAGTTGCACTGGCATTTGCTCACTTCTGCAGACAGGCCATGCCTTTGCCCACACTGGGTCTTTGCACAAGCTGTTTCCCCTGCATGGAAGCCCTTCCTACTTGCTGTGCCTAGTAAACTCCTGTTTTCTCATCAGATCTCACCTAGATCATGGCTCCCTGGAGGAAGCTCTCCCCAAGGCTCTCACAGATTGGGGACTTAACATGTTTGTGACTCAGACAAATGTCTACCTCCTCCACTAGATTGCAAGCTCCAGAAAGGTGAGACAACCTCTCCTCATTTCACTGCCTCACCTTTGAATCCCAGAGCTAAGCCCACAGCTGGCACATTTTCAGCACCCTGTAGATAGGATTGGAATGAACCAATCATTTCATTTAACGTTTACAACCACCCCACTAAGAGGTGATTTTTTAAAATTTCCATTTTACTAACAAAGATACTGAGGTTCAAGGAAGACAAATCACTTGCCCTAAACCACACAGCATATAAGTAGGCAAAAGCAAGATTTGAACTTGAGACCAAGAGATGCCCAAGCCCTGCTTTTTCTGCAATTTAGTTATGACCCTGCTACCGGGCCTCAGTCGCTAATACTGAGCTGTTAAAAAAATAACTGTGAAATGTCCTAGCCCCTGATGTGTACCACTCTTGTTTGTCAGTTTAGTAGCATGGGCTGCTAGGTTGCATCCACCCAACTCTATACACATGAGCCACTGTCACTCCTCAACCACTATTCCACTGAGCCAAATTAAGCCTCTAATTCCTTATATTGCATATTCCTTAGATATTCCCGATCAATATAATGTTCCCAGCCAGGATAAAAGTGAAGCCGGTGAGATACTGGCCTTGGATACAAAACTTAATGGGTCACCAAAATCTCAATAAGCAAGATAGTATTTTAATGCAATGTATAAATTTGACACCAAAAAATTGATGATGAGCAAAATGTCAAAATTTGAAATAAAGACAGGATGGGTGTGACTGATTTTTCCACTGCCTCAGGCTCCAATGTGGCTCGACACAGCACCGCTCTGTGCAGCTCTCACAGGTGAGCAGAGGTGGCCAACGAGTTGACATCTATGAGCCATCCCATAGCCCTGGTCACAGAGCTGACATCGATTGGCCATCCCATAGCCCTGGTCACACAGCTGACATCAATTGGCCACCCCAGAGCCCAGGTCACAAAGCTGACATCGATTGGCCACCCCAGAGCCCGGGTCACACAGCTGACATCGATTGGCCACCCCAGAGCCCGGGTCACAGAGCTGACATCGATTGGCCACCCCAGAGCCCGGGTCACATTGCTGACATCGATTGGCCACCCCAGAGCCCAGGTCACAGAGCTGACATCGATTGGCCACCCCAGAGCCCGGGTCACAGAGCTGACATCGATTGGCCACCCCAGAGCCCGGGTCACAGAGCTGACATCGATTGGCCACCCCAGAGCCCGGGTCACAGAGCTGACATCGGTTGGCCACCCCAGAGCCCGGGTCACAGAGCTGACATCGATTGGCCACCCCAGAGCCCAGGTCACAGAGCTAATATCTATTGGCCACCCCAGAGCCCAGGTCGTAGAGCTGACAGCGATTGGCCACCCCAGAGCCCAGGTCGCACCCAGGAGTGTCTGGCGGGCTGGCTCTAGGGAGACCTCAGCTGAGCAGGGGGAACACATGGGTATTTTCTTTGCCAACATGTGATCGTGTTTGTTCCTCCCCATTAGATGTGAAACTCCAAACCTGAAAGTCACAAGTTCTCCCTTTCTTTCAAGACTGGGCTTTTGTTTACTCAATAATAAGCAAATACGCATGGCAATGTCAGATTGGGATACGATCTTTGAAGGAAAGACAAGGGATGATGAAGGACTGCTTCATGGCACAGCCTCAGGGACCACCTCTAGCCCTGTGTTCTGTGGGAACAGCAGCCCCTGGAGGTGAAGAGGCCACAGCTCTAGGGTACAGATGGACAGAAATGGAGGTTCCCAGTGGCCACGTTAGCTGGGGTGGTCAGGGAGGTGCTCTCCAAGGAAAAGACAGATAGCTGAACACCTGAAGGGCAGACATGAGCCAGCTCAGTGCTGAGGGAACGGGGGGTCCTAGGGCTGCCATAGGCTTGGTATCCAAGATTTAGAAGGGAGACATGAGTAGCCGGACACAGTGACCCAGGTAGAGAGGTGCAGGAGATGAGGCTGGCAACCCCTCGGGGCTCTGAAGACTTTGTGAAGGACTTTGAGTTAATTCTGTAAGTAAGGGAAAGGCACAGGTTTTTTGTTGTTGTTGTTGTTGTTGTTGTTGTTGTTGTTGTTGTTGTTTTAGTTTTGGTTTTTTGGGGGTTTTTTTCTTTCTTTTTTTTTCTTTTCGAGATGGAGTTTTGTTCTCGTTGCCAAGGCTTGAGTGCAATGGTGCGATCTCAGCTCACTGCAACCTCCACCTCCCAGGTTCAAGTGGGATTACAGGCACCCACCACCACATCCAGCTAATTCTTTGTTTCTAGTTTTTTTGTTTCTTTTGGTTTTGGTTTTGGTTTTTAAGTAGAGAAGGGGTTTCACCATGTTGGCCAGGCTGGTCTCGAACTCCTGACCACAGGTGATCCACCCTCCTCAGCCTCCCAAAGTGCTGGGATTACAGGCCTGACCCACTGTGCCCGGCCTACAGCAGGGTTTCAGCTGGAGAGTGGCAGGCCCATGCTCATTCTGGTGATGAATAACTGCAAGGAGCAGCACAGGAGGGACAGATCCAGCAAGAGGACACAGCAGAGTCCAGGATTGGACCAGGGGTCGCCAGGGAGATGGAGAAAGATAACCTGACTCAAGACCTAATCCAGAGGTAGCACTGATGACAGCCCTTGGGGATAGATTTGATGTGGAGGAACAGGAAAAGGGAGGATGATCCTTGGGTTTCACCTCACACAACAGGATGGAATTGCTGGGGTAATAAAAGCCTGAGTAAGAAACAGATGTGAGAGTTGGGGCTGGAATGAAGGGACCATTATCCCATTCTCTCCAGAGCAGGGATTTTCCACCAGAGGCGAGGGTATGATACTAGAGAAGAGAATACATTTCTGTGGATAATACCCATACCACTGGCTGAAAACAATTATCCAAAATTTGAGTCTCCATCAATCCTCCCACTTGTGTCTCACTCATGGCAATAAAGTTTATTCCCAATAATAATATTGCAATATTTTATTCATCATCCTTGTGTTTTAGAATTACCATAGCAGTGAAATTTATATGCAACAGCATTATTACAATTTTCGGCTACTAATGAAATTATTGTTTCTGTTTGCGATGTGTTTTGGCGCTATAATGATAAACATTTCCTCTCAAAAATACCACTGCAATGTTTATGTTCTCAAAACCTGCCATAAATGACAAATTACAGAATGCCTTTGAGCAGTTAAACTCTCTTCTTGGAAAAGCTGGGCTTCTCATTGCTATCATGGTGGGATCTGAGTCCGTTAGTGAAAGGGATTTGAAATACAAAAGGTTGAAATTCATCATCTAGTATACTGGCCTCCAAATATTTTTGACCCTGTGTCTCATTAGTCAAATAAAAAAATAAAGTGGAGCACATACCCCCAGAATGTATTTTTTAATTTATCATATAATGGAATGGAATCTATTATATAATTTATTATAAATTAGACTGCACTAATATATTATGCACATTATAACACAAACGAAAAGGAACTGGAAAAGGATGAGATACAAAATAAATTGACATAAAAATTCCAGTATCTCCTTCCCTCTCCCCCACAGCTTTGCGACCCCCTGGGTAAACGTTCTGCAGTTTGGAAAGCACAGCCCTAGAATATTGTCCTCCCTGCATTTCCACACCCATCTCTGATTCTTCTCCATCCTTCTCCTTCTTTAAGAGAAGAACTGATGCAATAATGGCTTTCCAACCCCTAAGGCTAAACGCAGCACCCTAAGGAAAGGCTCAGGTGAGAGGAGGTAAGAGAACCATTTTCATCTGTTTTAAACTTGGGGGCTTTGAATGAGTTCAAATGAACAAACAGCTTTGTAGTTAATAAGACCAAGTCTGAAAACCACTGCTCTACTGAGCAGCTAGGACTTATGCTTGCCAGTTAGAAGTCATTGGTATGCTCCCTTCCATTCTCTGCACTTGCTATAATTTTTTTCCTGTAATCTTCACTTCTTCCAGGTTCAAGGTTAAAAGTCATTCAAGGAGTACCCACTGACTATTTATAATGTTTAACTGGTATTGGGCAGACTGTCATACCTAGGGACTATATGGCCACCATCTGGGTACTACCAGCAACTGCTTTCACGTGAAAAAAAGATTTCCAGAAGAAACGGGAAGAATTCCAAGACAGCATTAGAAAGCGTCTCAACAGTAGGCATAGGGATTCTGCGGTAGCTCTGTAGAGACTTCTGTTATAACCACTCTGATCTTTGCACATCAAAAATCCAAGATAAATCCTGATAAAATGACCAGTTGATGGTTATACAAATAGGCTCTGGGGTTCTAGGCTTGGATTTACCATGATTTTACTGTGCATTCATGGGAACATGACTCAACCCTCAGAGCCAAATCCCTTAAGGTCCAAGAAGGAGACTTTTTCTCCAAAAGGAATTCTTCCAAAAGAGAAGCCAATTCAGTGCTTTGCTCTAATTTCTCTCCTCATTATTCAAACTGTTTTGGAGAATCTTCCTAATCTTTTAATCCCTGTTCAAATCCCTTGCCCTATATTAAGCACAAAAAGAGGTCTCCTTCTTTTCTCTGAGTCCCTATAACAATAATTATGTGTGCAATTTGTTTCACAATTAATCCTAGAAGGTCTATGTATTGTTGTTCTGAACTGTTATCTCAATATTGTGGTGGTGATGGTGAACTTTTCATACATCCCTCCAGTGTTCAGAGGTGGACCAGAAATATCTGCAGGGCAGGAAACTCTTCTACATCTTCCTACAGGGGACCACATGGGTTCTGGCACATAGTAGGTCCTCAGGAGACATTTGTTGAATTTTTCTTTCAAGCTCCTCATCGGTTTTTTCCTTTAATTCCCATGGAAGGGAAGAGCAATACCGACCCCATGGAGCTGGGCTGAGGTTCAGCCAGTTCACGCAAAGTACAGAACATGGCACATGGCAGGCCACAGTTGGAAACTGACACATGCCTCCCACCGACATATTTATTTCAGAGTGTTCATTACTTTTCAGATTTCTTGGCCGGCCGCAGTGGCTCACGCTTGTAATCCCAGCACTTTGGGAGGCCGGGATGGGCGGATCACTTGAGGTCAGGAGTTTGAGACCAGCCTGGCCAACATGGTAAAACCCTGTCTCCAATAAAAATAAAAAAATTAGCTGGGCATGGTGGCACATGCCTGTAGTCCCAGTTACTCGGGAGGCTGAGGCAGGAGGATAGTTTGAGCTGAGGAGGTCAAAGCTGCAGTGAGCAGAGATTGCACCACTGCATTCCAGCCTGGGTGACAGAGTAAGACTCTGTCAAAAAAACACAAACAAACAAACAAAAAAAAACAACTCTTATTTAATTGCCAACATTTAAAAATCAGGAAATTTCATACACACACAAAATCAAATCAGCCAACCTGGAATCTGCTTCTGTTGAAAACTCAGCACTCATCACTGATGCAGCATGTCTACCTAGCAACGATTGACGGAGAAGCAGCTGCTTCCCCCAGAAAAGCATAGGTTTTTCTGGCTCACAGGTTCCCCACCATTCCCAAGCAATCTAACACAACATTAAGCTAAGATTTGCAATAACATAAAAACTCTTGTTTCTTAAAAACAGTCTTCAGTTCATCAGTTGTTTGTTAGAGAGATACTGTGGAATGGTGGGGACTGTGACAAAGGGACAAATACAAGCTCCAGTCATCACCCACCCAGAATGTCATGCTGCCTGGCTCCTGTAGTCACAGAAGTATTCCACCCTAGCAGGTGCTTACGAAATGATAGCTTCCTGACCACTTCTTCTTCTAGCTTTGATTTATTCTGTCTTGTAATAACCTAATTGTTTCTGTCCTTTCATTTCCCCTTCTGATTTGTATTCCCCTGCCCCCTTGTGCCCGTGGGGTGCTGCTGGGAGGACATCAGAATCAGACCTTACCTCATTCTCAGAGTCTAAGCTACTGCAGTCTGACTGCTGAAGAGCAAGTAAATAAGCAGGACCATCAGGGCCAGAAGTAGGGAAGAGGTACCACCCGGAACAAAATTCATTCCTGAGGCATGTTACAGGACATAGGAGGAGGGACAGCCACCCTGAATGTCCTGTTGCTGCCCCAGCCCAAGGTTGGCCTCACATCTGTCACCCCTACAGCCCTGGCTATTGTCCAAAAAAAAGGAAAGAAGGAAATAGGGAGGGAGGAAGAAACAGAAGGAAGGAGGGAAGAAGGAAGAGGAGGGAAGGAAGAAAGGAGGAAAGGAGGAGGGGAGGAAAAGGGTGGAAGAAAGGAAGGAGAAAGAAGAGAAAGGAGGGGAGGAGAAGGGAGGCAGAAACTCTGAGCTCTCAACAACATGCTCCTCAGAGAGATGGTTCTTAGCTCAAGAGCATGCTGCTCCCTGATTTAAGCAAAGCTACAAATGCAAAATGCAGCTTGTCCTTAAAATTCAGTAGCATCAGAATGAAAAAGAAATGCTAGGCCGAGTTGTGACATTTAAGTGGTCATGCATTTTTCAACGTATCAGTTATGCAAAGATGTTTATATTCATTTTCTCCTTGGTCGTGTTTCATTTAAATAGAGTGGCAAAAAGTCTTCAAAAAGTTTAATTAAATAAATCAGAATCGTGGAAATCAAAGTTAACTGAAATAGACTTTAGAGTTCAAAAAAAAGTAGAAATATAAATTACATAAATAATAATGGAAAAATAAAAGCAGATGAGTAAACTAAATATTCTTGTTATCTCTACCTCTTGCTGTTTCACCTCCAAGTGTATTTTTATCTTGTATTATATTTCTAAAAACTCAAAAAGAAAAATGTCAGTAGATGACAACATGAAAAGGTTCATGGGTTGCTGAGCTAATCTAAAACCTTTAGCAGTAAGGGGAAAAAAAATCTTCATTTAAAGAGGCAATTTATTTTTTAAAAAATGTGGGGCTGCATGGATAGTTTTAATTCGTAATCTTACAAGCATGCAAAATGAAGTTCAAAAAGGTCTCATAGAAACCCCAGATAAATTTAAGATCATCCATTTCATTCCTATGTTCATAAATAACAGTTTTAATATGTAAGAGAATGACAGCAACAATAATGACCTTAACTTGGGTAATCCATTTGTTGACAGCAGGTGATAATTCGGCCTTCCTGATAGTAATCTGTTTTTTGGCAAACAAGAGAGGGGGCTATCTGCCACATACATTTATTTTTATGGGGAGGACATGTTTTATAAAGCTGAATATGGGACAGTAAAGGTGTGGAATTAATTGTCCAAGTTGCAAAATATGTTAGAGATGGTATGCTAAATCTACGGCACACAGTGGCCCTGACATGATTAAATGTTCACTTCTATTAAGTAACCACGAGCCTGTATTTCCAATTATGGTGGTGAACTGCTTTCTGCTGAGTGGATTAGCTTAGTACTTCATTCTGCTGGTAGTTTTATGATCTGAGATCTTTAATTTTCCCAATTCAACTCTTAGGGACGCAAAGACAAGCTGCCTGACTTTTAAATAATATATTCCCCTTTTAAATTTCTGCCTTCTGCCATTTCCTAGGAGCGCCATTTCCTGTCACCATAATTATAATAATTTGTATGTAGTTCCTGGGATCACATTTCTAATTGAGTCCTAAATTGGTTAACCTCATGAAGTTATTAATATGCTTTTTTAACCTGCACAAATTATATATTTGTCTGGTTGGTCAAATAACGTTCATCATTACACACATTCCTTACCTCTCTTCCTTCAGTTTTAACGTCACTATTTTAGTTTGAAAAATGTATGGGTTTTTTTTTTTTTTTTAAATAATATACCACAAACTTCAGAACCGTAAAGAGTAGGGAAGGAAGGTCCAGTCCAGTGACCAGTGAAAGCCCAGGATCAGCAGAATGAGAGATGACGTCACACCTGAACACCAGGAAACAGCTCATCTGGCTCTGGCACTGGGGAAGGGAGAATGTGGAAACATAAAGGTGGGAACTGAAAGCACAGGCAAGAATGACCAGGTCATGGAGGCTGTGCAGAGTGTCGGAAACCACACCAAAGGCAATGGTACCCACCAGAGGGCTTTTGGTTTTTGTTTGTTTTTGTTTTTATATATTTATTGAGACAGAGTCTTGCTCTGTCACCTAGGCTGAAGTGCAGTGTCAAAATCTCGGCTCACTGCAACTTCTGCCTCCTGGGTTCAAGTGATTCTCCTGCCTCAGCTCCCTGAGTAGCTGGGATTACAGGCGCCTGCCACCATGCCCGGCTAATTTTTTTTTTTTTTGTAAATATGGGGTTTTACTATGTTGGCCAGGCTGGTCTCGAACTCCTGACCTCGTGATCCGCCTGCCTCAGCCTCCCAAAGTGCTGGGGTTACAGGCTTGAGCCACCGCGCCTGGCCCCCACCAGAGGGCTTTTAAACAAGGAATTACCACAGCCAGATTTGTTTTAGAAACTTTGTTTTCAGGTGGTTCAATTAAGAGTCTACTACACTTGCCCAAGCAAAAAACAAACAATGAAAGCAAGGAGTAAAGTTGTTGCAAAAAGGACAAGTCAGCTTTGAGAGTAATTTCGTCGTTGTTGTTGTTATTGTTGTTGTTGTAGAGAAAGAGTCTCATTATGTTGCCCAGACTGGAGTGCAGTGACACAATATAGGCAGCCTCCGCCTCCCAGGGTTCAAGCGATTCTCCTGCCTCAGCCTCCCAAGTAGGTGGGACTACACAGGCACACACCACCACATCGGTTAATTTTTGTATTTTTAATAGTGACAGGGTTTCGCCACATTGGCCAGACTGGTCTCAAACTCCTGACCTCAGGTGATCCGCCCCCATCGGCCTTCCAAAGTGCTGGGATTACAGGTGTGAGCCACTGCACCCTGCCCCATCAGAGGCTTTTTAAACAAGGAATTGCCACAGTCAGACCTGTGTTTTAAAAACTTTGTTTTTAAGTGGTTCAATTAGGAGTCTACTGCACTTATCCAAGCAAAAAAAATTTAAAAATTTAAAAAAAAAATAAAAGCTAGGGGTAAAGTTGTCACAAAGAGAACAAGTCAGCTTTGAGAATCATTTCTACACCCAAAGAGCCTACAGTCTGGACTGGAAAATGAAGCAACACAGTGAAACAGAGAACAGTACAGGGTCATGCATGAGCCATTGCTATATGAACATCACAGAAGGTGAGAGATTGATGTAACTTAGAAAGTCAGGATTGGCCTCCTAGCAAAGACCACCTTAAACTTGGGAAGAACTGATTCTGGGATAGTAGCCTGAGTGAATATTAGACGAGCAAGTGAGTCTGTATCTGCTTGAAAGAACAAAGAGACAAAAGCCAGGTGCAGTGGCTCCAGCCTGTAATCTCAGCAATTTGGGAGACAGGCAGATGGCTTGAGCACAGGGGTTTGAGACCAGCCTGAGCAACATGGTGAACCCTGTCTCTAGAAAAGTTGTAAAAATTAGCTGGACGTGGTGGCGCACACCTGTAGTCCCAGCTACTCGGGAGGCTGAAGTGGGAGGATTGCTAAGCCCAGGAGGTGGAGGTTGCAGTGAGCTGTGATTGCGCCACTTGCACTCCAGCCTGGGCAACAGAGCAAGACCCTGTCTCAAAAAAAAAGAGAGAGAGAGAGAGAGAAAACCACAGCTACTTGAGCATCCCTACACTGACCTGACAATCCTGAACAGTGCTTCACATTGAAGTAGTCATCTCAGCAAATCCTCTATGGCTAATCCCTCTTAGAGTCTCCCAAAATGTTAAGACCATCACCCCAGTCAACAAGGAACAAACCGTCTGTGGTCACTGGCATTCACAGGTGTGAATAAGATCTCAAGACTGATTGTTTTTCTATACTGAAGACTTATCTAATGCCTCTGCTCTGACTGGTCTTTCATTTAAACGTTTCCTAAACCATGTGTCCGTAAGGCTGTGTGGATACAAAATCGATATCTTGACAATTCCTTTTTGTCTATTCTGATGACACAACCAGATTGTCAGTACTGGATTCGTATATTTTACACAGGCCCTGTTTGGAATACACACAGTGGGTTTTCTGATTATTATAAAATAATAACAATTTTCATGCAGTGGATTAGATTCTTCCAAACCTCTCAGGAAACATGTTGGTATATGTGAAGCTTCGCACTGAAAGTATTTCAGAGGGTAAGTCAAGATCACATCTGTAGCTCCTTTAATCTGGGTGGGGCAAGACAGGACATGAAAAGCATCAGAAAATCCCACCATTATACATTTCTGGGTCTAGTGGGCAGGAAGGGGATGCCTTCATTTGCCAAATGTGTTCTGAGAATCTGGAGAACATTGCTGGTTAAAAGATACTTATTCAGGCCAGGCGCAGTGGTTCACGCCTCTAATCTCTGCACTTTGGGAGGCTGAGGCGGGCGGATCGCTTGAGGCCAGGAGTTCGGGACCAGCCTGACCAACATGGTGAAACCCTGTCTCTACTAAAAATACAAAACTAGCCTGGTGTGGGGGCATGTGCTGTAGTCCCAGCTACTTGGGAGGGTGAGGCAGGAGAATCACTTGAACCTGGGAGGCAGAGATTGCAGTGAGCGGAGATCACGTCATTGCACTCCAGCCTGCACATCAGAGCAAGACTCTGTCTCAAAAAAATAAAAATAAAAATAAAAAAGACATTCATCCATTCAATATAATTGAAATTCTGAGTGGTAAGGCAGCTTTCTCTCAACAGGACCTCATTCTGGAACTTGGCATACTCCAAAGCCAAGATAAGAAGGACGGTTGAATTTCCCCACATCTTCACCAACAGCTGTCTGTTATATTTTGTTTTTTACTTTTTTATAATAGCCCTCCTAACAGATGTGAGGTGGTATCTCATTGTTTTGATGTGCATTTCCCTGATGATTAGTGCCTTTGAGCACCTTTTCATATACCTGTTGGCCATTTGTGTGTCTTCTTCGGAGAAATGTCTATTCAAGTCTTTAGCCTGTTTTTTAATAGGATTATTGGGTCTTTTGCCATTGAGTTGTAGGAGTTTCTATATATTTTAATTCCTTCAAGGGGAAAGAGGAGACAAAGACTATTTTAGCGAAGTAACAGTACAGAGGTGTGCTAACGGCCAGAGGAAAAGAAAAGGTCTCTCACAGAGCAGGTGAAGTGGAAAACACTGAATTTTTTTTTTTTTTTTTTTTTTCTTGATGGAGTCTTGCTCTGTCATCCAGGCTGGAGTGCAGTGGTGCGATCTTGGCTGACTGCAACCTCCGCCCCCTAGGTTCAAGCAATTCTCCTGCCTCAGCTTCCTGAGTAGCTGGGATTACAGGTGCCTGCTACCACGCCTGGCTAATTTTTTGTATTTTTCAGTAGAGACGGATGTTTTGCCATGTTGGCCAGGCTGGTCTCAAACTCCTGACCTCAGGTGATCCACCCGCCTCGGCCTCCAAAAGTGCTGAGATTACAGGCGTGAGCCACCACTCCCAGATTGAATTTATTAATGCTAGAGAACTATCTCACAACTTTGCCTTATTTTACAAGTTAAAACCCACCCACTGAATCAAAGACACCCCTTTCTAGAGAAGGTCCTCAGCCTCTGGCAGCATCGTCTATCTGACTGCTGCTACTCCAAGACGGCCTTGCTCCAGCCCTCCCTTAGAGACACCCTGGAATTCTCTAGAATTCTCCACAGGCCAGGCCAGCTACTGAGCCCCAACAGAGCCTTCTCCAAGAAGTAACTGTTAACACTCTCCTCCCTCCCCTGCCAAGTGATCCCAAGGCTCTGGAGAAACAGAAGATGGCTCTTCACAAAACAACAACAATTGACACTTCCATCATTGCCCTGCCCAGCTCTGCTGAGTACACAAGGGACCATCATCACCAACCAGGGGCTGAGCCAAACAGAGCTGCCCTCTGGAAAAATGGAACTAAGTCAACCAGAGAAGGGACACAGGAGAAGTGAGACAATCAGGGAAGCTGAGGAGCCCAGGGATGCGGCACTGGAGCTGAAAAAGTGATGATGTGGAAACAGGGCTGGCAGCCATTGGGCTGAAACTCAGGCCAGGTGAGTCAGTGCATAAAGGGGCTCCTAGGAAGGTCAGCAGTCTCGACCTTGCCTCTGCAGAGCCCAGTCCCACTTCACAGGAGATGTGGCTTCACCTCACTTTCTCACCTTGGAGTCCATGATGTGTCTGAATCCTCGTCATGCATCTGCTGTCCAGTTGAGTGGGTTTCCTCCTTGCAAACAAAGGAACCTGAACAAAAGCAAAGGACAGGGACCACGTCCCTGGGCTCCTCAGTTTCCCCAGTTGTCTCACTTCCCCCACATATACACTCAACCCACCTCTGCCCCATTTAGGTCCTAAACGTTAGGAGAAAACATCGGCATGAAACAGTCCCAGAAGACATCCTTTCCCACAGAACAACAGGAGGCAATGGCCTGCAGCATCTAGAGACTTCATCACCAAGCCCTTCAAGCCAGGCAATCGTTCTGCTCCATAACTAACAAAACACAGGTTTGCTTATTTAGACATTAAAACACGCATTTTTAAAAACACCAGAGGGTTCCCAAGAGTACACAGAGCGTGTCTGCTGCAGTGCACCCTTCTCATCTACCACTGAATTCCAGCTCCTCACAAAGAACCGTGGACATCTGCCCTTAACGAGCTACTAAACTTTTATCACGCTAGATTTTTTTAAATCTCCCCTTTAACCCAAGCAAACATTATTTTCCTATATAACTGAATGTATCATTGCTCCACACTTTACAGTAATCTAACTTGATGAAACAGCCTTGGCCCAGGAGGCTGTTTAACGTTTGAGGAGCCCACGTCAGATTGATCAGTTGCACTTCCTACCAAATACACAGATGTCCCTAGAATGCTGGTAAGCAGAGGCAGCGGCCCACACTCTTCTTTGTTTAGGTGAATGCCTCTCCATCTTTAGTCCCTGCCCTACCATCCATCTCTGCTGCTTTATGCAAGAGCCCCTCACTTTCCTCCTGATTCATTCTTGTTCTTGTTACAGCCCATCTTCTTTGAAGCTGTCAGAGTGATCTTTGAAAAACATAAATCAGGCCATGTCCCTCCCATGCTTTAAAATCTCCACTGGATTCCCACATCACTGAAAATAAAGTCTAAACTCCTCACATCACCCACAGTATGGAGGGACCTGGGGTCTTATCATCTCTGACCTTATCTTAGACCACAGCCTCGAACTCTCCCAGCTGTGGCCACATAGGGAGTTGCTTCCCACCTGGCCTCTGCCTGGAACACTACCCAGAAGATCGAAGGTTAATCACGACCTTTCCAGGGAGACCTCCTGTGACCACCCCTAGTCTGAATACCCCTCCCTGCATGTCTCACACACACCCCATTGAAACCATGCCTATCAACTTTATAAAATTAGGGAAGAAGGGAGGCGGGGAAACAAAGATAAATCAAGCTTGCAGCACATGCAACATGAATCATGAGATCTGCCTGCTCTTGGATCTGCTTCCTCATAGTTGTTGGTGCCTATTGCCTCAGAATCACATAGAACACATAGACCCTGTTACAAGATTATAGTTCCCCTTAACTGCTCTACAAATAAAAATTTGAACATCATAAAACGTTGTTTTCCCTTTGAGATGTTCTTTCAGGTCCCACATACCAGTGAAACTACTGACGTCAGCTGGTCTGCAGGACCCCACAAGAGCTGACTCACCAACGAAGGCAGTTTCCATGTCTCAATGATTTCCTGCCCCTTATCCTAACCAATCAACGACCCCAATTTTCTAGCCCCTCACTCTCCATGAACTGCTTAAAAACCCAGCCCAGAACTCCTTGGGGAGATGGATTTGAGGGTCTTCTACCATCTGCTCACTCGGCCCCCTGCAGCCATTAAACTCTTTCTCTGATGCAAACCCTGCTGCCTCAGTGTAATTGGTCTGTTCCTGTGCAACGGGCATAGGAAACTGTTGGTCCTATAACACTTCCTGTTGCTGATCATTGTCTATCCCATCACATGATCTTTTTGGAATCTTTATAGCACTTCTCACTTTCAGAAATTATCTTGTAACTGCATTCAATTTTGTTGTTTTATTCTGTCTCTACCTGCAAGATTATAAATTCCATCAAAGCCAAGGCTCTAGGTTCTAAAACAATGCCTGGCACATGATAGAGCCTCCAAAAATATTTATTGGAAGAACAATCCTCTGACTTGTGATTGAAAGAGTTATAATTTTTCAGGTAGTTTTGCACAAAAGACTTTTGTCCTCCATTTATAAGTCTGAAGTACTAATTTCTACTTTAATATTACTTTTTCCACTGATAATAGAAATAATAGTCATCATGTGATTTTGAAATACCACTCTATATTAAATACCTAAGTAATCTGCATCTATTATAGGTCAACAAAAAAGAACCGGATATTACCTCTCTCCTATAATTGGATTGTATTTTCTGAAGAATCATGTTATTCTGGAGTTTTACCTTCTAATTTTCTTTTGTATTATATGTTTTTATTCCCTGCAAATAAATGGGCAGTTTTTTTCCATTTTGTGTGCAAATCAGGAAAGAAATATTTAAACCAGACAACAGCTTTCTAGAAATGACCTAACTGGTATATATTAGAGCATAGGGCTTCTCAACAAAGAAATAAATGTGTTGTTCCTAGAAAATATTTTATTGAAACTTACCCCATCACCAACATGGTCTGTGGGAACAAGTCTAGAAGAGGATGAAGAAACAAATGACTGGGTCAAGTGGACATTATCGTTCCCCAAAAATGGTCTCTCGTAAACATGGTTAGCCTCTGTTCATATGTGCCACACCTGTCTCTCTCTCTCCCTCCTTTTATACCAACATTATCATGATGGCCTCTGTTTGCTTCCCACATGCCACACATTGTCCTAAGCTTTGTCTTGTATTCACATGTACGAACTCCTTTAACTCTTAACCTCAGAAGGTGAATGTTAAAATGTCCATTTTACAGATCAGAAAGCTGAGGATTAGTAATGTGCAGAGCTGACTGCAAGACACAAGACCTTCGCCATCACATTATACTTACATTTCTTTCTAGAACTTTCATATGGCAAGATTTTTATTTAGAAGGGTCAAAACTTTAAAGCAATATAGAATTCTTACACAAAGCTGCCTAGGAAAATATAACTGTTTCAAAGATCCTTCTCTTCCCAGTTAAAAAAAAGGTGGGGGGATCTAAAGTCTATATTTTTCTCACCAGTAAAAATGATGGCAGTATTAATAACCACCTTGTTGAATTCATCATTACAAGTAATCTTTCTTTCTTCCTTTGACTTCATAAACACTGCATATTCAGTCTGGGCCAGATGCCTACAGACATCTTTGAAAACAGTATTTCATCATCTGAATATTTGACCATTTGAAGGAAAAAAAAATAGCTGTTCCAAATTCCTGCCTTTATACATGTTTTCAAGGCTCAGTGGAAATGTACCTCTCTGCCTCTTGTTGTCCCTCAAATGACCACCCACAGATGCCTCTTCTGTTATGAAAGACTGTCTCAGAAACCAAAAGCTGTCTAAGAAAATTATCATTTCTTTTCAGAACTCTTCTGAGTCTGCTCAAAGACAAGAAACTACAGGGAATTTGATTAGAATCACAAATAGATCTAAGAGTAATAGTAAAGGAAGTTAACAAAGCTGAGATAATCAGCACTTCAGCTTGGGTTCCTAATCAAATAAATCTTTGATTTTCATTATTTTGTTTAATCTGAAATACCCCTTGCCAGCATATACCATAAACTTTGCTTTGATGTCTGCATAAAAATGGATATTGTTTCTATATTTGTACTGTGTCTTATTGACTGGAATTAAGTTCACCATCAAATAAGAATTTTAACATTTTCTTAAACATTCAGGGCTTGTCATATTTTCTACCCTGGCTACAGAAAATCCTCTGACTATCCCTTTTTAGGCTACTAAATATCTCTTTTAAAAGCTGGCTGACTTCTAAAACAAGCACGACCCTAATGGCACTTTCAATGAGAGTCTCTTCTACATATGTACATAGGTCAGTTGCTGATTTATTTTAGTCCAGTTCTTCTACCTACATTACAGTCATTACATTCTATGCCATGAAGTGCCTCATGGGACCAAGAGAGCTAGACTGTGTGATGGTTTGGGTTTTTTTGGGTTGTCTTTTGTTGTTGTTGTTGTTGTTTGTTTTTTGAGATGGTGTCTTGCTCTGTCGCCAGGCTGGAGTGCACTGGCACCATCTCGGCTTACTGCAACCTCTGCCTCCCAGGTTCAAGCCATTCTCCTGCTTCAGCCTCCCGAGTAGCTGGGATTACAGGCACACGCCACCACACCCAACTAATTTTTGTATTTTTAGTAGAGATGGGGTTTCACCACGTTGGCCAGGATGATCTCGATCTCTTGACCTCGCAATCTGCCCGCCTCAGCCTCCCAAAGTGCTCGGATTACAGGCATGAGCCACTGTGCCCGGCTGTGATGGTTAATTTTATGTGTCAATTTGACTGGGCCATGGTGCCCAGATATTTGGTCAAACATTATTCTAGATGTTTCTGTGAAGGTGTTTTTTGTACGAGATTTAACATTTAAACTATTGGACTTTGAGTAAAACAGATTACCCTCCCAAGTGTGGGTGGGCCTCATCTAATTAGTTGAAGGCATGAATAGAACAAAGACTGACCTCCCCTGAGCAAGAAGGAATACTTCTAGCAGAAGAATTACAACTCAAACTGAAACTCTCCCCTGGATCTCCAACCTGCCAGCCTGCCATGCAGATTTTGGACTTACCAAGCCTCTATAATTGCATGAACCAATTCCTTAAAATAAATCATCTCTCTCTGCCTGCCCCACCCCCCCACACACAAACACACACACACACACACGCACACATGCACCCTATTCTTGTTGGTTTTGTTTTCCTGGAGAATTCTAATACAGACTATCTAACATTGTTGTCATTTCCAGTGAAGCTTCAGCTGCTTCCTTTAGTTAACAAAATGTGTTCTAATTGCATAGGGAGGTCTAAGAAGTTCTACTCTCTCGACCTCATTCCTTCCATCATTGTGCACTAGTTATAATATGACTTTGAATAGGCAAAGGTTAGGATCCATTCGCTTCCTTGTTGACAGCCAGCTAAAAGACACTAGGCCACACATTCACCACTCTTTTCTAAACTATAAATCTTGAGATCACTGTATTTCTGAATGACCACCTGCCCTGGGTTGTTCATTTTACTTATTTTTTCATAAGTGAAATTTTTTCATACTCTATTCAATCACGTGTGGCGTGGAATACTGTTCCATGTGCTGGAAACACAAGGATAAATAAATATGCTGCCTTTGTGGAGTTTACAGTCTAGTGGGGAGACATAAAAAATAGCGGCAAAAAATAATATCTCTTGGCATTAACATCCCCAACAAAGGGCCTGGGATTTCAACTCTATTACTATAATAATGATATTTTAGAATGAGGCAAATGACGGGGGTGTAAGGAGGTTGTTACTGGCTGAACTGTGTTCCTCCTACCCCCTAAGGAAATTCATGTTGAAGTCTTAACACCCAGTGCCTTAGAATGTGACTGCATTTGGAGACATGGACCTTCACAGACGTGACTGCATTTAAACTCTGGTCTTTAGGGTGAATCCTAACCCAGTATGACAGCTGTCATTATAAAAGGGGGAAATTTGAACACAGGCAGGCACAGAAGGAAGACCATGTGAAGATACAGGGAGAAGATGGCCAACTACAAGGCAAGGATGGGGGCCTAGAACAGAGCCTTTCCCTCATGGGCCTGAGAAGGAACCAAATCTGCCAACACCTTGATCTCAGACTTTCAACCTTCGGAACTGTGAGGAAATAATTTCTGTTGTTTAAGACACCGAGCCCGTGGTACTTGTTACAGCAGCTCTTGCAAACTAATACAGAGGCTAAGCTTAATAATGATGTACAGCAATGGCTGAAGATAAGAACAAGTAAGGGAGTTCTCATAAAGGCTTCATCAACCTGACCTAATGACTGACTAGAAGCAAAAGGAGAAGGAAAGCAAGAGATGCAGGTCGACTTGAGTTATGGGTGTAGTAAATTATAAAAGTGGCCACTAGGCTGGGTGCAGTGGCACACGCCTGTAATTCCAGCACTTTGGGAGGCCAAGTGGGTGGATCACCTGAGGTCAGGAGTTGGCAACCAGCCTGACTAACGTGGTAAAACCCCATCTCTACTAAATACAAAAAAATTAGCTGGGCGTGGTGGCACATGCCTGTAATCTGAGCTACCTGGGAGGCTGAGACAGGAGAATCACTTCTACCTGGGAGGTGAAGGTTGCAGTGAGCCGAGATCATGCCATTGCACTCCAGCCTGGGCAACAAGAGTGAAACTCTGTCTCAAAAAAAAAAAAGTGGTCGCTAATTCCCTCCCCACTCCCATCCCTTCACCCCTCCTCCACCCCACCTCCACATACCTGTCCTTATGATGTGGTCTTGAAGATACTCCAATCAAAAGGTAGTGTCTATTTCTCAACTCCTAAATATGGGCTGGCCTTGTAACTTTCTCTGACCAATAGAACAAAATAGAAGTGATGCTTTATTAGTAACAAGCCTAGGCCTCAAGACGCCTTGCAAGCTTCTTCTCCCTTACTCTTCTTGGTAATCTTCTTGATCACTACTATTGAATAAGCCTGGGCTAGCTTACTGGATGATGGAAACGTGGATACATGGCTGTGTTAGCCCCAATTCCCCAGCCAGCAGTCAGCCATCTGCCAGATTGATGAGCAATCAACTGCCAGCTGACTGAAGACATAAGTGAACCCAGCTGAGTCAAGCAGAAGACCCACCCAGCTGACCTTAGCCCATATTCCTGACCCATATAATTGTGCACTTATACATGGTTGCTGGTTTTTTTTTTTAACATAGTATATGGTTTCAGTTTTAAGACACAAAGTTTTGGGGTAGTTTTTGGTACACTGAAAAAGTTACTTGGTATGTGGGATAAATATTGTTTCCTTTTGCCTGGATAAGAAATTCAAGAGCAAAGCAATCCGGATAAGAAATTCTGCCTTGGGCCCAGTGCAGTGGTTCACACCTGTAATTCCAGCACTTTGAGAAGCTGAGATGGGAGGATCACTTGAGCCCAGGAGTTGCACTCCAGCCTGGACAACATGACAAGACCTTGTTTCTACAAAAAAAATTTTTTAAATAGCTGAGTGTGGTGGTGCATGCCTATAGCCCCACCTACTCAGGAGGCTGAGGTGAGAGGATCACTTGAACCTGAGAGGTTGAGGCTGCAGTGAGCCAGGATTGCACCACTGCACTCCTAGCTGGGTGATAGAAAGAGACCTTGTCTCAAAAAAAAAAAAATCTGTATTTGACATATTGTGTTTGAAATATCTGAGACTGTCAAGAAGCCAGTTAGTTAAATAGTTCCGAGTCTCAGGCAAGAGGTCTTATTTTGAAATACAAATCTGAAAGATAGTCATGTGACTGATTTCCATCCATGAGTAGATTGTCACAAAAAAAAAAACAAGAATAGAATAAAGGAACAAGAGATCCAAGTTAGGACCCCACGAACATCAACATCTAACATCAGGCAAAGCAGGAAAGTCAATTAGGGAGAAGAGGAAACCGATGAAATACACGAGAGAAGTCAAAGGAAATTCTCAACAGAGTCAAAGTCATAGTAATGTCTAAAAAAACAAATAGGGCTGATAAGAGTCCCAAACATTTGGGAATTATAAAGTCATTGCCAGAAGAGTTTTAGCAAAGCATTGAAGGCTGACTCTTACCAGCCATCATTAAAGAATGAATGGGGCCGGGGCAGTGGCTCAAGCCTGTAATCCCAGTGCCTTGAGAGGCTGAAGTGGGAGGATCACTTGAGGCCAGAAGTTTGAGACCAGCCTGGGCAACATAGCAAGACTCTGTCACTACAAAAAAATAAAAAATTAGCTGGGCTTTGTGGCTTGCGCCTGCAGTCCTAGATATTCGAGAGGCTGAGATGGAAGGATCACTTGAGTCTTGGAGTTTAAGGCTGCAATAGCCATCATTGTGCCACTGCACTCCAGCCTGGACAACATAGCAAAAGCAAGTCTCTGAAAAAAATTAAAATAAATTTTGTTTACAAAAGTGCCTGGAAGGGGATGAATTGGAAACAATGAGTATAACTACTATGGTTTGAATGTGTCCCCCAAAGTTCAAGTGTTGGAAACTTAATCCCCAATGCAACAGTGTTGAGTGTTTAAGAGTTAATTATGTGATGAAGGCCCTGCTCTCATGAATGGATTACTGTCATTATCTCCAGAGTTGGTTAGTTGTTCCAAGAGTGAGCTTATTATAAGAGGGAGCTCACCTCCTCTTGCCCTCTTGCTCTCATGCGTTCCTGCCCTTCTACCTTCTGCCATGAAATGATGCAACACGAAGGCCCTCACCAAACATCAGCACCATGCTCTTGGACTTACCAACCTCCAGAACTGTAAGAAATAAATCTCTGTTTTTTATAAATTACCCAGTCTGTGGTATTCTGTTATAGCAACACAAAATGAACTAAGATAATTATCTAGCTGAGCTTGGCAGATAGGCTGCTTTAGACACTATCTGCCTCTTTGCTCAAAGAATCTGTGAGCTACTGGTGGCAGCCAATGTCACACTCATGCTGATTAATGCCATTAAAAGGTATAGTACCCAGCATTAGCTGGGCCTTTCATGCCATGCAACAAAGGGAAAAAAAGAGACAAATAACCCCTAAAGGGAAGTGAAAGATTGATGGGAGAATTTTTCAAGATGGGAGAGATTTTGGTACATTTATTCCTAATTTTATTGAGTCATAAAGCTGTAACTGATGCATTGAAGTCCTGGAGAGGATGGCAAGGGATGATATCCACAGCACAGGTGGAAGAAAAGCTAGGGGTGGAAAGATAAGAGATTTCCAGATATGAGACAAGAGGTTGAGGGAATTCACATTGGGTGACCATGAATCCTTACCTGGAAGGAAGCCCATTGGTGGGCAGGGGAGTTGGGGACAGTGGGAAATGTTCAGAGCTGCAGATATGAACAGTGAGTGAGCTTGATATTCCATACGATATTTGCTAGATGACGCTGAAGTTGAGGATAATAAAATTATACTGGCATTCTTTGGTATGGCTGGTTTTTTCCAACAGCAGGAAATAGCTTGCATGCAGAAGCAAACAGAACAGTTGGTTGCACCAATCCAAGACTAGGATTTTTGTGGACAGATATAGAAGGGTGAGAGATTAAGAGCTTTGAGGTTTTAGCAAGACAGTGGTTAACATAATATATCATGGGATCTCTCAGCTGGCTAAAAGGAGTCAGGGGAAAAGCATGGTTAATGAACTTGGAAAAAGGGAGAGTAGGGGAGCAAGCAGAGAGGCTATGAGGGTATAACCAGATATGGTTACACTGGAGTTTAATGTTCTGGAAGCAGAGACATTACAGAAGACAAGGCCAGAGTGTGGGCAATGTGACTGAGCTGGCAAAGTATGGTGGGGATGAAGTCTTGCAACTCTGAAGCTAAGTCACTGGATATTTCCTGCACACGCAGATGCTGAAGACCACCCTGATGGTGGCAGTTCAGATAGCAAAGAGGACATGAGCCAAGGGACTGAGCCTTCATGGGACCAGAGGAAGTAACAGGGATACAATAAGACAGCCAGGAAAAAGGGTAGAATATGGTCTATGGGAATTTCACTGGGAGGTATGGGATCATACAGTTTTGCAGGATTATGGCAAAGGAATGTTTTGGAAGCAATAGTGACCACAGCTCCTTTGAGCCTGGGAAGTGTAGACAAATGAATAGTCACTCCCCCTGCCCTCTCCAGAATGCACTTTCTTGGGGAAAAATCAGATGTGGGGAGGGAGAGTTTAATGAACCGGGGTCCAAAGACGTTGTTGAAAAAAATTATGAGAAAGTCAAGTGAGAAAGAAAGAGGGGCAAGCCAGAGAGAATGAGAATGACCTTCACTGTGGGGTTTAATGTTTCATCTTGAATATGAGCTTTATTTTTCACAAATATCTTTAAGATTTCTAGCCTGGGTCCAATCAGACAAACAATAATGATGCCATAGGATATAGTCAACATTCCTCTTCTCTTGGAATTATCTCAGGAATAACAAAAGATACTGTTTTTTGTTTGTTTGTTTGTTTGTTTGTTTGTTTGTTTTAAGATGGAGTCTTGCTCTGTCCCCCAGGCTAGAGTGCAGTGGCGCAAACTCGGGTCACTGCAACCTCCGCTCCCAGGTTCACGCCATTCTCCTGCCTCAGCCTCCCGAGTAGCTGGGACTACAGGCACCCGACACCACGCCTGGCTAATTTATTATTTATTTATTTATTTATTTATTTTTTAGTAGAGATGGGGTTTAACCATGTTAGCCAGGATGGTCTCGATCTCTTGACCTCGTGATCCACCCGCCTTGGCCTCCCAAAGTGCTGGGATTACAGGCGTGAGCCACCGTGCCTGACCGAGATACTGTTTAGAGTCCAGGTTTATTCCTTGTTTTGAAGTTAGGTAGTTCAGTAAATAGAACAAGAAAGATTTTTCTCTGTAGATCTCAACAGAACATAGGCCAGTAGGTATTTGCAGAGATATTATACCCTGGAAGGAAAGAAAAAAAGGCTCTGATAACTGGAGTTAAACTCTTGATGTAAACTATTTGCTTGGATCCCTTGACCAACATTTGGTTCTAGCAGCCAAAAGAATTTGCAAAAACTAAAGATGAAGGAAGGTCATCAGAGTTGTAAGAATGACCTCTTGACTAATATGTATGGTTGTTAAAAAGGGTTATTTTGGGGTTTTCAAATGCACAAAGAAAATATTGGGCTGGGCATAGTGGCTCACATCTGTAATCCCAGCACTTTTGGAGGCTGAGGCAGGTGGATTTCTTGACCTCAGGAGTTTAAGAGCAGCCTGGGGAACATGGCGAAACCCCATCTCCACAAAAAAATACAAAAAGTAGCTGAGTGTAGTGGCACACGCCTGTAGTCCCAGCTACTTGGGAGGCTGAGGTGGGAGGATGGCTTTAGCCCAGGAGGCAGAGGTTGCAGTGAGCCAAGATCGTGCCACTGCGCTCCATCCTTTGTGAGAGAGCGAGACCCTGTCTCAAAAGAAAAGGAAAAGATAAGAAAATACTGTAATATGAGGATTTATTTTATGATATTCTCCATCTGGTACCCTTACATGTACCTGTCTGGAGTGTAAGTTGGTGCATCTTTTCAGAGAGGCAATTACATTTGTACGGCCTTTAACCCAGTAGCTCTACTACTGGGTATTACCCTAAAGAAATACTCATAGATATGTACGTGATTTAGTCATAATTGGTGACAACCTAAATACCCAATGATACAGGATGGTTAAATAAATGGTTCTATTAACATACAATGGGATACTACAGGGCCACTAAAAATTATATGGAGGCATATGAAATATTATATGGCAGGTCAGTTATGATTTATTGGACTAAAATAAGGTTACACAAATATTTACATGTGATACCAACTTAAATATGAAATGCATACACCTAGAAAGAAGACGGGAAATATATAAATCAAAATATCTGTGATTATCTCTAGGTATTTAGACGATGTATGGTTTTGATTCGATTTTTCTTCTTTTTTCAACTTTTCTAAGAAAAAAAATCCAAAACAAAAATATATATCTACAATAAGAAAAATTAATAATATGCTTTTATCAGTTTCCTGGGTATATTACTTGCAAAAATAATGCTCTAAGAAGCCAAGTTTAAATTTTTTTAATTAAAAGGTAAAATATAAAGGAAGACAATATTCCCTATATGTGAAAATATCCTAATTTCAAGGGGAAACTCCCTTTTTAGCAAAAAGGTCTTTTGGGGAGGGTCTTAAAGGAAATGGCTCTGCCCATCTAAGTTCTGACCCTTTCTGTTTTGCTAATAATCACGTGGCTATTAGGGGCTGATGTCTTTAAATTCCAAGAATGAGTTAAAGATTATTTCTCTGGTCACATGATTAATAAAGATGTTTAGTTAGTGCCTATTTCATTCCCTACACTGTATTTAATGTTATGGATGGTGTAAATAATGAAAAAAAAAAAAACTCAAGGTATTCAGAAATCAATTAAGGAAAAAAAAACTGGGCCAGGTGCAGTGGTTCACTCCTGTAATCCCAGCACTTTGGGAGGCTGAGGCAGGCAATAGCTTGAGCTCAGGAGTTCGAGACCAGCCTGGGAAGCATGGTGAAACCCTGCCTCTACAAAAAATACAAAAATTAGCCAGGCATGGTGTTGCACACCTGTAGTCCAAGCCACTCAGGAGGCTGAAGTGGGAGACTTGCTTGAGCCCCAAGAGATTCAATCTGCAGTTAGCCAAGATTGCGCCGCTGAAATCCAGCATGAGCGACAGAGCGAGACCCTGTCTAAAAATAAACAAACAACAACAAAAAAAACTGTAGATATTTACTTTAAATACAATAGGCATAAAATAACTAATAACAACAATTAGCATTCAAGCAGTGCTTTTTCCGAAGCCTTCTTAAATACTGTATATGCCCAAATATAAGATGAGGTAGTTTCCCAAAACTCTCTGGAAATAAGAGATATTTGTGTATTTTTAAAGACTGACATATCATAGGACATTCTCTAGTTACTTTATTTAAACAACTAAGTGATGCTTGAAGAAGACTCAATAGCCTGAAATGACCTCAGACAAAGCTTTGGGATGTTTAGAGAGGTCACTTGACAGAATTGGTTACAGTGGATGCAAAGAGATTTAATACAGATTTAGTCATTATTCCTGGAGTAAGGTGCCACAGTACAAATGTTTAATATCATTGTAAACAAGCATTTTAACATAACTCCCTAAGTGAATCTAATGTATATTTATTTAACATCTACTTTATTCTGGGTCTGTATTCAATGCTAATGGCTTCTCTTTTCAGCCGGCGAACTGTTCTTCCACCATAATGATAATGACTAAGAGGACACTTTACGGTTTACAAACACTCCCCAAAACATCATCATACTTGATTATACTAGCACAGTGAAAGAATGAATATGGCCAAAATTCTGGGAAAATAAACCGGTATGTATGTTAATAGAGATAAACAATGAAGCAACCATTGTTTTTCAGCAGCCTGTTCTCTAGGACTAGTTTAATTGGGAGAAATAATTTTTAAATTCTTTCTAATGAAACTGTTACTATCAGGGTCAAAAAAATCAATTAGCAATAAGTCCTATTTTCTGAAACAACAAGGGTTTGATAAACATGGTAAAGATGATTCCATTCTCTTTTACCATTTGTTTGGCTCTTTCATCAAAGCTATGTAACCCTCTTCGTTTGACATCACACAAAGAAAGACCTAAAGGATTTCATTAGCACTGCTTCCTGGGCCTCACAGTGTGTCCTCAATTTCTGACGCTATTTCACTCTCCAGCTCGAGTGGCTAATTTTAATCCACAAAAAGTTTGGTAATTTATTGAAGTATAATAAATCCAAATAAAACTTCATCTTTGATTTACTAATTAAACTGTTCTTCTGACATTGTCAACAGAACAGATTTTAATTTTTTTAGAAACTGGGTCTCACTCTATCCTCCAGGCTGGAATGCAGTCATGTAATCCTAGCTCACTGCAGCCTAGAACTGCTGGGCTCAAGCCATCCTCCCGCCTCAGCCTCCCTAGTAGCTGAGACTACAGGTGCATGCCATCACACCTGGCTAAATGTTTTTATTTGTTGTAGAGGTGGGTCTTGCTATGTTGTCCAAGCTGGTCTCAAACTCCCGGCCTCAAGCAATCCCTCTGCTTCAGCCTCCCAAACGCTAGGATTGCAGCGTAAGCCACAATGGCCTGCCTAGGGCGGATTTTAAATGATGCAAAGATCTTAATTATTATCAACCAAGTTTGAAAGCTTTCTTGCTTGTGACAGAACAACTGGAGAGGAGTTCCTACTTCTAAATTTCTAAAGTCAAAACAATGAGCAGGAAAGACTCTGCCTCCTTTCACCTGTTCTTCTTTCTAGGCACATTATTTTTCCTTCTTGGTACTTCACACAGTTTAAAAGAGATAATGATAGCTAGATGATAGGAAGGGAAAAAGAGAGAGAAAGAAAGAGGGAGAGACAGAGAAAGAGAGGGTGAAGATGACGTGTGTATGGATATGGATGGACAGAGCTGTACTATTTTGTGTATATCTATTCATATGCACGCACATATCATCCGTCTATGTCTCTATCGTGTCTATCGTGTGTGTGTGTGTGTGTGACTTTTGTGTCTCTCTTACTAAATGAAAGCTCTCTTAGGGGGTAGGGCAAGCTCATTGTAGGTGCTCAATAAATTTCATTGAATGAAAAAAATTTAACACAATTTAAAAAAACTCTCGGCAGGTATTCCTTGACTAATTCCTTCTACACTTTCCTTCTGCCTCAAATGTCCCCACTCTCATCCCCCATTCTCATCTCCCAGATGCTCTCCATTTCTTAAAGCCCAGAACAAATGTCGCTGCCTTCTTGAAACTTTCTGTGATTTTTCCAGCCAAAAGTAAACTCCCTCTTCTCCAAATGACCACAGCACCGCTATCTCCTCCCTAAAGCACTAACTGTTTTCTATCTTCTTTGCATCCAGGTGGGTGGGGCTCCACTTGTAACACACATTCATGTTGAAGGCAGCATTTTTTTTCTTTTTCTTTCATTTTTAGACATGCAGAGCAGCATGTTTTTTGTTTGTTTGTTTGTTTTTGAGATGGAGTCTCGCTCCAACGCACAGGCTGGAGTGCAGTGGCGGGATCTCGGCTCACTGCAACCTCTGTCTCCCCAGTTGAAGCAATTCTCCTGTCTCAGCCTCCCAAGTAGCTGGGATTACAGGTGCACACCACCGCACCCGGCTAAATTTTTTTTTTTTTTTGTATTTTTAGTAGAGGCAGGGTTTCACCTTGTTAGTCAGGCTGGTCTCGAACTCCTGACCTCAGGTGATCCACCCACCTCAGCCTCCCAAAGTGCTGGGATTACAGGTGTGAGCCACCGCGCCTGGCCAGCATGTTTTATTTGTCCTTGATGCTCCTCTCTCCACTCCTCCATCAGTTCATCCATCTGAATGCAGCCTAACAGGATAGTTAAAACATGGGCTCAGACACCAGAC
Source organism: Homo sapiens (assembly GCF_000001405.40). NCBI lineage: Eukaryota > Metazoa > Chordata > Mammalia > Primates > Hominidae > Homo > Homo sapiens. Next base: position 24,462,503 of record NC_000004.12, read on the forward strand.
ATGCTTCATATAAATCCTGGCTCTACCACTTACTAGCTGTGTGACCTTGGCTACGTTACTTCATCTCTCTGGGCCTCAGTTTCCTCATGGAATACTAATAATAGTACCCACCTCATAGGGTAATTTGATGATGAAATGAGTGAATCCATGTAAAGCACTTTAAAATGTCTCTGGAATGTTACAGTAAGTGGTCTGTAAGTGGATTCTATTATGATGGACTCAATATAATTTGCTGAGAATCTAGTATGGACCGGGCGGTCTGCTCAGCTGTCACATCAGTAGGAACTCCATAAATATTTGAGGAATGACTGGTGAGAGCAACATTGACTCAGCCCTTTATTAAGTCAGTAACAAACGTCTTTCAGGTCCAAGGTCTCATTTAATCCTCACAACAATTGCAGGGGATGGATGTCACCCCCTCCACCTTCACCCAGGAGCAGAGTCCCTTCTGCACTGCACAAGCACATACTTAGCAGGTGAAAAGTCTCCATAGCGTTCACCTCACAAGCCCGCCAACTTCTAGAGATTTTTTTCCATTCCCTCCTGCAGCTCCCTCGACTTCACACGAAGCATCTTTTTTAGCATCTGTTCAGCCTGACTCCCATCATTAGATACATTCTTATGTGTTTATAATGCATCACTGATTTGTTTCAGGACTAAATCGTGGGATCTAAAAATAAAGTGATGTTGAACATATTTCTTTGCATATTAACTTTAAAGAAATGGATTAATCTTTTAGAAATAATCAAAATTAAATGATCCACTCAGCATGGAGCAGTTACCAAAAATAACAAAAAGCAAAAACTCTTCAGATTCCCACTTTTCCTTTTTTACTGCTTCTGGATTTGTTAATGTAAGCATATCCTTCATAATTTTTTCATTTGAAAAATTAAGAGGTTTAGCAAGCCTATGGTAACCCAATCTTGTTTTTCCCTGGGGACATTTAAATGGAAGCAGGATTCATTTATTCTCCAAGTCAAATTCTCATTTTCAAAAATGACATTGCGGAACTGCCGTCATCATCCTAAGAGATGGAACAAAGAATGATAAATAAAGTGACACATGTGTTGGTATAAAAGTTGTTTTCTGACATTTCAGCCATTTATCCAACACATATGCTCTGTCTGTCCACTACAGGCTGGGCAGGATGAGGATCTAGAATTGAAGAGGGTGTGGTTCTTTCTCAAAATCAGCTTCCTCAGTAGAATGGGAGGCAAGACTTCCAAATAAATATGACAGCAAGAGACAGAAAGCTTTATGGAAAGGAGAGCAATGGGAGTGGGAAAAAAAAGTCAATTCCTGCTGAAATAAAAATATGATCTGCCTATTTGATAGAACATTTAAAATGTTTTCCCTTCAACATACATGCACGCATATCCATTTTGACTGTTTGCTTCTTTTCTTTCTTTGGAACCTGACAATACTCTCAATCACCAGCCCTTGGGTGTTTACCTGTCACCTAGGCTTGGTGACATTGTTTTATTCAATTTGATATTTCCCTATTATTCAGAAAGGGTTATATATGCAAATAAATATACATTCTGGTTGCAACATTAAATAATGAGGCAAACTACAGTTTATAAAATGCAGTTGTTCCATGCCACATTTCATTTTAGGAGAGGGAGGCCTACAGCCAACTGTGAACAATTACCAAATTGTCAGTGGAATTCAATAAATGTTGTTTAAAAAAACTAATTATTTGTTACAATAACCAGCTACTACTGCCACTTTGTATTTGGAGGTTTGTAAACTACTTCCATTTGAAATGTAATTGATTCCATTTTTATCATTTGTTCAAGTTTATGTGGTTGTTCTCATCCTAAGAGATGATAACATCTATTTTCAGCAAATTATACATTATAATTCCTCATTCAAAAGCTGTAACAGAAAACAAAATGCTAATTTATGCTGTAAATGAAACTACAGAATCATAATCACTCATTGTTAACATTAGGGACTAAACTGCTACTGGAAATAATAAATTGGAGCAGAATGTGTAGGGGTTGTTGGTTAGCTTTTTCTTTTTCTTTGCATCTTTTTTGCTTGTTATTACACAACCAACACACTTTCTAATACTCTTTCAGGCAAGAGATTACATGGATGTCTTGTCTTCTTCCACAAAGAAGCCAGACGTTCACTGGGCTTTTAGCTATTACCTGCAGCTCTCTATTTGAAATCTATAGAAGACGTGCTCACAAAGCAATCAGACGTGCACACTACAGAGGGGAAGCAGATTAGAACTACACACCTGCTCTTCCACATTCCATTAAGTTTCCACATCTACATTTCCCTTTGCATCAACCATCTCCTCCCCTGCCCGCTTCCCTCCTCCCCTCCACCGCATGTTTCTCCTGTATGAAGACCCCAGCGTAACCTCTTCTGGTCAAGGTGAGCCTCCCCCAGTAGCAAGCTTCCCCTCTGCTTCAGCAACTACACCGAACAAATGCATAAATGCACATAAACCCAGTAACTTTTTTTAAAGATGGGGTCAGTAGCTACGATTACAGGCACACGCCATCACACCTGGTTATTTTTATTGTTCTTTAGAGATGGGGGTCTCCCTGTGTTGCTCAGGCTGGTCTTGAACGCCTGGACTCAAGGAATCCTCCTGCCGCAGCCTCCTGAGCAGTTGGGATTACAGGTGCGAAAAACCGTGCTCTGGCAAAATCAGTAAATTTCAATAAATATAGTCAACCCTTATTAACACACACAAAAAGGGTGGGGGTGGATCTGGTACCATATTCTAGACACTGCTTTGTTGAAATAACGATCTTCATGTGAAAATAATGTAATACCACCTAATGGCATTTTCTCCTTTCTTCTTTTTTTAAAACATAGAATCCGAAAGAAAGAAACATTTTAATATAATTATTATATCAAAAAGGTGAATTTTTCAAAAGGACCAAAAAGTCACACTGCCTTCTAGAGTAAATCACTTTTCTGCTGCCCTTTTATTTAATGCCGTCTGCTGTACACATTTACCTCTTCGCTGGCAAAGTGTGATCATTGATTTCCTATGGTCTCTCTGGAAGGAAGTTCTGCTTCCTTGATGATGAATACAAGGGGTAGGTGACCCCATTCTCATTCCAATGCAAGCCTTGCACTTTTACATTTCCGCTAGGGCTACAGGAACGTGAAAGCAGTGAGAAACTCCTTGCCCTCTTCATAGAGACTGTCTTGCTGTAACTACTGACATTTAATGTTTTCCCTCCGCTTCCCACAACTGTATTTTGGAAGATCACAAAATAAGGGCTGAACCACTAAAAGGCATTAGTTCATGATGGACATAAATGTTAGGCGCATGATTCAGTACAGAAGATACCTGTTATAACATGGCCGGGATGAGAAAGGTAAATTTCAGCCTAAATCTCAAATGTAACTATATGTAGCACAAGCGGAAAGTGACACGGATTAGCTCATGACAGTGTATCCCTCACTATATATATGATAGGGTTTTGATACATCTGAATGATTATAAAATTATTCTATTCATGTATCTCACAGTTATATTTCTTCTGTCGAATATTTTATTGATATTCATGTACATTTGGAATGAGTGCCCCACTAAACCATAATTATTCTGTTTTAGAAGGCCCTGTCTATCTCTCAGGCTAGATCTACCATTCAAACCAAAAAGAATGGTCAACTCAAACATCTAGTCCAAAAAGCATCAGGTAGTTATGGTTGATTCCACCAAAAGAGACAACTTCACCTCGTTCATCAAAAAGAATTCTATCTGGTTATATAAAAGAAAGTGGGTAAACTTGGGCAAACAAAGGAGATATTCACTATTTCACAAAGCTGGCAAATAAATGACACCATTGCCAAACTTGCCAGAAATGTACATGTGGCCACACAATTTCTTCTGTGTTGTAGCAGAAAGTGAGTACAGTGGGGATAAGAAGAGGAAGCTGGCACAAGTCTGTCTGGTGGAGGGCCCAGCTTTCCCTGACTAGCGCTGAGACCTTAGGCAAGTCACTTAATTCTCTGTGCTTTGTTTGCCTCATCTATAAAATGGGAATAACAGTAAAAGTACCTACCTCATATGTTGTTATGGAGATTAAATGAGTCAAATATTTATAAAGTATATGGAACAACAATTGATAAATGTTAGTCATTGTCACTGCTCTTTAATTACCAAGTTTAAGGTTTACATATATTACAAAGAAAAGCGAAAAACAGCACTTTGGGAGGCCGAGGTCAGGAGTTCGAGACCAGCCTGGCCAACATGGTGAAACCTCATCTCTACTAAAATACAAAAATTAGCCAGGCGTTGTGGCGTGCGCCTGTTGTCCCAGCTACTCAGGAGGCTGAGACAGGAGAATTGCTTGTACCCAGGAGGTGGAGGTTGCAGTGAGCTAAGATTGCACCACTGCACACCAGCAAAAAAAAAAAAAAGAGGAAGGAAGGAAGGAAGGGAAGGAAGGGAGGGAGAGAAAGAAAAAGAAAAAAAGAAAGAAAGAAAGAAAGAGAAAGAAAGAAAGGAGGGAGGGAGGAAGGAAGGGGAGAAAGAAAGAAAGAAAGAAAGAGAAAGAGAGAGAGAGAGAAAAAGAAAGAAAGAGAAAGAAAGAAAGAAAGGGAGAGAGAGAGAGAGAGAGAAGGAGGGAGGGAGGGAGGGATGGAGGAAGGAAGGAAGGAAAGAAAAGCGAACAATGTTTTCCAGCTGATGCATTAAGTAAGCCAGCCTTATTGGAAGACCTGCAACAAACTCTTTTCCTCTCCTATACCCCTAGGAGAAACCCAAAGTCAGAAAAATTGGAGTTATGTGAAAAGTGGGGTTCTGTGAGCTGGATTTACAGGAGGATTTCTAAAATTTATTTAAGGTAAGAACGTAGAAATGCACTTAAAACTCTTTTGCAGTTCATACTACATCTTCAGGGAAATAAAAATGTTGAAAAGGTATAGAAGCCCAGTTGATATTTTTTGAACTTTGAGGTATTGGCTATCTAACAACTTTGTAAATGGAGGACATTCCCAAGTCTTGGCTCATCTCCGGGGATGCCAACATTGTCACCACTTTAAGAATTATGAAATGTCCAGAAAGAAAGAAAAAAAAACACTGAATTCTTTATGGTATTTGGACTGAATGGAAAAGAAGTGTTCCTCAGTGGGCTGCTTTCTGCTTTGGCTATCCATATTCATGGAGGTAATGCCAAGCCAAAAAAAAAAAAAATGGGCAGTCAGCACAAGCTTTCGACAACTTACCCACGTCCATTAATGATTCTGCACTGAAACTTCTACCTTGCTGGAGAAGACACAGTGAGTATACAGAATTATGGGTACTGGCTAATTCAAAACAGTCACTGCCTACTCTGAGAAGATAGTTCCCTTATGAAGATGCCATTTTTATATTTCTAGTCTGGAAAATTTGGGAAGTGGTGGGGGCAGGGAGCAGATAAAGAAAAGTTTAAAAAGCAGGGTCAAGCCTCGTGGTAATGTCTTTTACGTAGCCTCAGGTTAAGCTACCCAGTAACCAAAAAGCTGGTCAATCAGGTGAGTAAAGTCAGATGTCTGGCCTCATGGACACTCGAGCAGTCAGCTAATTGGCTCCATTTTTCACTTTCAATTGATTGATTCAATATCATACAGACCTGGCCTGCTTCGATTTGGGCTTACATAGTGACAGCTAATAAGGTGACCTGGGTCCAAACTGCAAGCAGTAATAACCACTCCACAGTCAGCTTTCTGATGGAGACAGGAAGCCGAAACAACTACAGGAGAGAATCACAGGTTGAAAAGCACAACATCAAAAGATAAAGCTCGGTTTTGGAAGCTTGCACTACTGCCATCCCTAGGCGTGAAACTGTAAATTAAAGAATGGTCTGCTGTCTGCTGCACTGAGCCAAATCAGAGACATTTCACATATACACTTTAACTGGGGGTTTCATTCTAATTGAAGAAATGAATTCCACCTAAGCAGATGCTCCCCCCCGCACACACACACTTGCTATGATATGTTTTGCACATTGGCAAGTGGGTGCAAAATATCTGCAACATGGTCCTCTCAGATATAGGACGAAATTTCCCAGTTTTTAAATGGTAACAGATGTAGTTTCGGCTCTAATACACATTGGGCTCTCTCCAAAAAAATCACCCCTCCCTCCCCAGCTTCAAGAATAAAATGTCACAGAACAAGTAAAAACCTGGTCAGTGATGATTTGTGGCTGGGTTTTTGTTGTTTGTTTGTGTTTCTGTTTTTCAGTAATGAATAAACACCCTCATTGTTTCCAATTTTCCAGGTCTATATATCAAGAAGCTCCATCTTCATTATTTTTTTTTTACTTGCTTGTTTATAACGAGAGGCGTCATAATCATGTTTCTTGTGAAAATGAAAGTAATCAAAATGCCTTGTGATTCCAGGAAAAGAGCTTCTTAGGGAGACATGCCTGCCTGCTACTGATGTTGCAGAAAGGTTCCTTTTACATGGTATTAGATGTTGAGAGCACATCATATTGATCTAGAAATAAAAAGCTTGATTTTTTTTTAGTACAGTCAACGCTTACCTTCATAAGCACTATATAACACTAGGAAAAGGATTTTTAATTGAGGTAGAGTAAACAAATTATATCTGAAGAACATTGCCATTTTTAGGAAACGCAGGATATGTAAGCATTTTGGCAGCAATCAGGGTAAAATCATGAACAAGTCTCACTCTTGCAAATTTGGCCCAGGCCTTCCTATAGCAGCTCTGCCCGAGTCCAAGATGAGATTTAAAGTATCGCCTTTGTTGTATTCTTTTTCTTCTTAGGAACAGTTAGGAGCAGGTTTCTCAAACATGTGCCCATGCTCAAATGCTGAAAATGCAAACTGGAGATCAGTAAGGCCCGTTATGCACATGTATTCTTCATCTCTGAAAATGGAGATTGTGGCAGTGTTGGAAACCGCAAATCCTGGTAAGATTCACTGCCCCGGCTGCATTTACCACCAGAGATTAAAGCTTCGGTAGCATCTGACGCACCTTCCCCTAATGATGTACATCTCTCATTTGTTTCTGTACTTTATCTTAAAGTTCATACCACACCACTGGAAGAAGAAATCAATACTTCAAATAATCTCCTCTCCCCACCATACAATTTCACTGCACTAAGAGTAGCACAGTACCCAATACCAGCCCGAGAGCCAATCATTCTCCAGAGAGCAGAGCCAGCTGCTTTATCAGAAATTCTTTCGATTTTCTTAGCAACATGAGTATCCCCTTCTAGAAGAAAGATGTTGCCTCTTGGGGAAACGCTTTTCCACCTCAAGTTAAACTAACTTTACCTGAAGAAGCCGGTAGTTTTCCTCTTTTTAAAACGCCCCCCTCCGCAAATGGTTCTCTCTTTCCTTTACTCCAAACCTGCCCCCATCCAGTCCCTCTCTCCCACCTCCTCTGGTTTCCTAGGAGTTTGCACGTGATTGCCTGTCTTGTGAAATCCAGCCGCAGCCCTTCGCTTTTAAACGCTCTCAAATGACTTGTTTCTATCTCGTTAAAGATGCTGCGAAACCTCCCATCTCTGCAAAGCTGTATCACTGCTTCCTTAGACCCAAGTCTCCTTCCTCTCTTCCTTTGGAGGAATACAAAGTGCCTGAGTTTCACGGCCCCGGGGTGCAGGTCGGAGGCACGCGCCTGGAAACTTGTCCTAACGCCTCTGACTCCAGGACTGGGGGGCGCGGCGCTGCCGAGGATGCCCGAATGCCGGCCGGGCTTGTACCGGGTGCGTGGTTCAAGCCTTTCGTACCCGCCTCAGTCCTCAAAGACGAGCAGGGCTTGGTTTCTGACTCATCGACAGACACAGACACACACACACACACACACACACACACACACACACACACACACACACTCTCTCACACAGGCAGGCACGCGGACGCCCGCTCCTGGAGAGCTGGAGTTTGCGGAGCCGGAGTGGTCGTTGGCTCTCGGCAATCCTGGGCGGATGCAAGGAAGCGTGGAGAGCACCCAAGGCCCGCCAGGCGGGGCAGGATAGCCTGAAGGAAGCCACCGGCGCCGGCCACGGGCAGCCGGGCACCCTCCGGGCCCCGATCGTGCTTCTCCAGGCCCCCAGCTCCAGCGCCGGCCCGACCACCTCAGTAGCTCCTGCAAGTTTCTACTCGCAGCGAGGCCTCGTGTCTCCCGGCTGCCTCACCGCGAATCCTCACTCCGCGCGCCTGGGCTGCCCTCCCGCCCCGCCCGAACGGCCGGCGTACTTCCCGGGGGCAGCCCAGACGCCCCCACCCGCGGCGGCGGCCCGACGGTCTGCCCAGAGCTCGCCGCCGCCTCCCGCTGCTGCTGCCGCGGCGGCGGGAGCCTCTCCAAGGCTCCGGGCGGCCCTTATGTATTATTCACTCGGATGGCCGCAGCGCTTTCTGGAGAGCCCACGCCGGAGAGGTCTTCACCTGGCAGCTAGTAGTTTGGCGATTTGTTTCTTGGAAACTTGGGGTGATGCGGAGGCGGCGGCGGCGAACATTTTTCGGTTGCTTTCGGGGTTTGTCTTCTCTGCCGGGAGCTCGCAGGAACGCGCTGCGCCCCGGGCCCGGGAGGGAGCGCGCCAGCGCCGGCGAGCGCGGCGGGCAGCCCCGCAAGCGGCCGAGGCTGGCTGGCGGGCTCCGGAGGAGAGGCGCCGCGGAGGCCAGGCGAGCCGGGCTGAACGGAGCTCTTTTCCTCGACACCCCCCACCCCTAGCGGGCCAGCTCCCCCCGCGGTGCGCGCTCCGCGGGGCCCGGGAATCCCCGGCGCCCTGGACCGCCCACCGAGTAGCTAATGCCTTTCACCATTGCTCCTCCACCGCTCCTCTGGCCCCAACTTTCCCCAGCCCAGACACGCGAGCGCGCGCGCACACCCACACACAGACACACACCCGCGTGCACACACACACACACGCATACACGTACACACATGCCTCCCCTCCCTCGACCCCAGCTCTACTTCCCCGCGTAGTTTGGAGATGACAGATGCCTGTAGACTTTCACCAACAAGCGGTGGGGGCAGCAGACTACAACAGTTATTTAATTAAAAGGCATTTTTCCTCTCTCTATTTCTCGCTCCAGCTCCCAGAATAGCTTTTTCACCCCTAGACCCTGAGCACATGCCTGTCTCTCCAGGTTACCAGTGGCCCGCTGACATCCATCTCCTTCCACGCCCCCCTTCCGGCGTCTACCCCCAGCGTCCCTGGGCCCCCCGAGTCACACCGACACGCACACCTACAGGCCGGCGGCGTGGAGCGTCTAGGGCACGATGCAGCCGGACTGCATTGCACAGTCATCAAAGTTAAGTGTGTTTGTGGGGTGCTTCTGTGCCCCAGGGGAGGCGCGGGGTCAGGAGGAGCGGAGGCTCCACTCTGCACCCCACCCCCCCCACCTCCGCGGGTCAGGGGACGCCTCTACTTGAGATTGCAGCCATTTTAGGGAAAGAGGCGGCTCGGGCCCCGAGGGGAGTGGAGGGGGGACAGCACGTCGCGGGGGGCTTGCGGCTCTGCAGCCCCTCGGCGCAACTGGAAGGCGGGTAGGCGCCGGGCGCACAGGGGCGCGGCGCCCGCGGCGACTTGGGGAAGGTTGCGCTCGAGTTCCCTGGTTCTGCCTGGAGTTGTTCGGGGTAACGCGCCGGCTCCTGCCTCTTTCTCGGGTTCCCGCTGGGCTGGGAGGTGGTGGGGGAAGGTGTCGATGGCAGATTGGGCACGGGAGGAACGCGACAGAACCTGGAGACTGGAAAGCTAGCGATGGGGGAAGGGGGGGTATCTCCTCTCGCCGGTTGGCGCTGACCCAGACAGTGCGACCCACTTGGCCCCCCATCCTCCCCACCCCCTCCCGAGCCTCTGCCTCCCCACCAAGTACCAAGTGAGCGCGCGGCAGGGGGCAAGGGGCGCGACGCCGCCCGGCACCGAGCCACCCCTTACCTGGTTGGAAGGGGTTTCCCAGGAGGAGCCGTAGTTGTAAAAGAAGGAAGAGAAGAGGGTGTCTTCCGACAGCCCGCAGCCCGCCATGCTCTGGATGCAAATAAAATGAGGAAAGAAAAAAAAAGCACACATACACAAAAGCAACCCAAAATTTTAAAAATCAAATTAAACCAATAAGCCAAGAAGAAATTCTCTCGAAAATAAAAGAAAAGGAGGGGGAAGGGAATGGCAAAGGGAACGGAAACTCTCGGCGGTGCTCCCTCTCCGGGAGAGGAGGGATGCTCGGGCTGCCGCCGCCGCCGCCGCCGCCGCCGCTGCCGCCTTCTCAAGACGGTACCTAGATAGGTTCGTCCTGACTTGGGCAGCCGCCGCCGCCGCCTGTGCCGGCTGCGTGTGTGCGCGCGTGTGTGTGCGTGTGCGTGTGTGTGGTGTGTGCGCGCAGAGCGAGAGACCGCAGGGGAAGCGAGAGGGCGAGATAATGAGCGAGCCGGGATGGAGGCGCAGAGGCAGCGCGAGCGGGCGGGCGTGTGCGCGCGGGGGTGCGTGCGTGTGTGTGTGTGTGTGTGTGTTGTGTGTGCGCGCGCGCGAGCGCGCGCGTGTGGCTGGGTGTGCGTCTGTTTGGGGAGCTCACCGGAGAGCCGGGGCCGTCACGTGGGCGCGCTGACTCCGCCGGCTGCCGGGGACAGCCTGTACTACAGCCCCGGCCACTAAATCAGACCACGCCGCCAGACCTTTTGCAGCCCGCGGCCGGCCGGCCGCCTTCTCCGACCTCCTCGCCATAGCCGCCGGGCCATGCGCGTCCCGGGACGGCAGGGGGCGCGGGTGAGGCCGCGGGCAGGTGGATGGATGGGTGGGGAGTGGGCCGCCCTGAGCCCGGGAAGAGGAAAAATGCTCGAGGAAAAACACAGGCGCCCACCCCCCCGCTACGTCCGGCAACCTCCTGGCAAGCCTTCCTTCCGCCCTGTTTGAAGATTTTTTTTTTTATTCCTAAAATTGCTTTTCCATGCAGAGACCCCTCTTCCAGCCACTGGAAAATTATTTTCACATAGTTGCTATGTCCCGCTTTTCTTGCTTTCGCGATCCCTCCAGCCCCCCCGCGCGCGTGTCCACGCAGGCACAGACACACCGGTGCCTGCCTCCTCCCATTCCAAATGCAAACCCACTTCCTTTTGCCGGTTGCTGTAGTTAAGCTAAGTCAATGCTACATCAAACTAGGCTAGGCTGAGAGGACTGGAAAGTGGATTTAGGGGACAATACTGCCCCAGCAGGAAGAAAGGCTCTAGTTTGGCGTTCTGTTGATTTAACAGTTTAAAACGAAAATGGATTTTGTAGCTTCTGCACTAAAACTCAGGCCCCTTGAGTCACAATTATTTAAAGGGAGCTATTCTCTAAAGTCCATTATATGATATAAAAATGTAAACGGATATAATGTCGTCTTTCTCTCTCTCCTCACAAAATGGTATTTTAGAACCAAATCTTTCAGTCTTAATAATTGGGTGGCTGAAAGGTGTGTTTTTTTTTTTTCTGCAAGAAGACATTCTTTACTTGCTTCCCCTTACTCTTTATACAGATATTTATAGAAAGTAAAATTTAAATAAAAACCAGCATATCTGTGTAAGATGCTCTTAAAAGTATTTGAATCCTTGCAGGAAGACTTGAAACAACCTCTTAAAGGCAGTTTATATTGTTTTCTTTCTGAATCCCGTTTCCAAATGCTGCCTATTTTTATTCAAACCAATTGTGTTTTTCCAAGAGTTCACACTTCCACTTGTAAATTCCCCACTGGAGGTCGAAATCCTCTGTGAAATAAACATTTCCACAGCAACCCAGTGATGTCAGAAACGTCGGCTAGTGATTTCAGAGGGGAAATAAAACAGGAGCAAAGAATGGCTCTAGAAAGACAGTTCCTTCATCCTTGCGAATAGCATGCCTCCTGGTAGAAATTCAGAAAACATTTCTGGCTAAATACCTGTTTTCTTTTTCTGAGATTGACTTATTTTTCAAAGGCATGTCAAATGATCTTTAAAAAAAAAATAGGTCACCATCCTCTTTTCTGGATTGGTGAAGAATGCTGTTTCAAATCAGTGGTGCCTAACCACACTGGCCACTGTAGATTTTTATAAGGGGGGGATATATTTTTTCTAAAAATTGATGTTGGAGAGAACATTGAAAGATGAAATTTTACGTACTAACTTCAGGCCCAAATAATGCTGACTGACCTGGCTTCAAACTTACAATAGTTTTTTTAAAGTATTAGGCACACAGAAGTTCTATTCAGTTATCGAAATTGGTGCTGATCTCACCAATATTGAATAAAGGGGCTTCTCCATTGTTCCCTCTATTGTTTCCTGTGTCTCCTGGCTGAGAAAAAGAAGGGAGGAATTCTTCATACTGCCCCTAATTCAATCCCCTTGCAGTCCCACCCCTATAAACATTAAATGTAAAGAGACCAGAAAATATTAAATTAGGCCCAATGCCTGTGTTTTCTTAGGCTTCCTATCTAAATAACATTTATACAGAGCATTATAGAAATGTCCACTTTGTAAACTGCTTTTCATACATACGTTAGCCCAAGTTAACATTCTGTTCCTGCAGCCACTCACTGATTCCCTGATTTTAGCTCAGGTCCCACATTCACACCAATGGAAGTTCATTCTGTCTGTGTTATCCCATCATCTATTTGTTGGATAAATGGATTCATTTCTCACAACAATTTTGGGAGAATCAGGACTCTTTATCTCCATTTTACAGATGTGGAAAGAGGCTCAGAGATGCTAAATAACCTAACCCAGGTCCTGCAGCTACAAAGTGATAGAAATTGAACCTAAACTTTGTGACCCCACCTACCTCTTTCTTCCAGATCTAACTGAGCCCATCACAGGCCTGCTCTTCTATGAACATTTCCCCCCTGCATACCAGATGGAGTAAGTGATTCCAACCCTTTCCCCCCAGTTGATGTCAAGTGTACATTTGTGAAATGTCTTAATTTAAAAATTGATTGCATGTGCTCATCACTGTCCACAAGAGCCCTGTTAGGCAGCAATTATTAGTTTTTTTTTTAATAGACCAGGAAACTGAGGCTTAAGGAAAGACCCCCCTCCCCAACTCCCCCTCCTTCCTACAGCTAGTAAGTGGAAGAGCTGGGTCTTGAACCAAAGACTTCTGGCTCATGCCTCTCTTTCCCTGAACAAACACACAGGAAAACAGATACATGGATCCACCTAGCAGGCCCAGGGCCTGCAGAGGCATCCAGGGATAAAGAGGCAGGAACAGGTTTAAAAGAACCTCCTCTGGGCACAAACAGGGGAACACTGTATAAAAGTCTCACCTCCAGCCTCAAACGTTTGTTTCCCCTCAAGTCTCCAGCTCTTTCTTTTTTCAACAGGAAAGCCCCCAAAGACGGCCACCTGAATAGTTTTCTGATAAAATGCCTCCTTCCCTGCTTACCCCTCTCCCTGGCAGCTCTGTCACCCCAAAAGAATTCTGCCTTCCTTGATAGATTTGCTCACCTGGCATCACCACAGTAACCTGGAGGTTTGTTTGCTAGTTCTCAGCAACATAAAACAAGCTGCCACCCCACCCCCTACCCTCACCGGGGCCCAGAACAGATGGAGACAGCCCCTTGGGAAGCAGAGGGAGCCATAAGCTCATTGAGAAAAGATCACTCCAGCCACCTTGCCAACTCCTTGCTGTGCAGTATTCAGAAGTCTGAAGATGGAAACCCAAAACAGAAAGCTTTTGATTTCCAGATCCGCTGTGGTTGTTTCTCTCAAGACAAACCAAACTTTCTTCTGCATGTATTCCCCTATCATATTGCCAAGTCACAATTTGTCACTTTGAAAATATGGAATTTGTTGAACTGATATCATCCTATTAGTGACAAATCCATCTTTATTCATAAATACTTTCCGCCCAAGAAATAAGTTTTGTATTAATATTGTATTGGAAATTAGTTAATAGTCCAGATGATGTGGGGTGTTTTCCTTGTTTATAAATGAGGTGCATTAACACTCTCGTACCACTAGGGTGTCATTTAGTGAATGACTGCTCAGCTCTGCAGATGCAAGAGGCCAAATTCTTGTAGATGTGAATAAAAAATGATCATTTTGGCTAAAACTGCAGATGGGAAGCAGATGTAATGTACAGAGGAAGTCGATTTCATTCCATCTCTTTCCTTTATTAAGTCTGTTAATTTGTCTTATTTAAAAAAGCATTCTGAATGCAAACACGTGTTAACTTGAGGCAAAGTGAAAACCAATATCATTCCTGCCTTCAAGAAGTTTACAGTCTCAACAAGTGTTTGGTCTATTAGGATTTGGGGTTGCCACTATTACTTTGAAACTGTTTAAAAGTTTACATCTCATCGAAATCATAATTACCCTGGGGAAAGATTAAAATTAAGAAATTGTGAGACACGGAAATGTCAGGAGGGCAAAAGGAATGTATAACAGAAGAGGAAGTTACCTTTTGTGGAAAACACGTGATGCCAAGGCCAGGGAGGAGGGTGCAACAGTTAATGCAAAAAGAAACTGAGGCAGGGCCGGGCGCAGTGGCTCACGCCTGTAATCCCAGCACTTTGGGAGGCCGAGGCAGGCGGACCACTTGAGGTCAGGAGTTTGAGACCAGCCTGACCAACGTGGTAAAACCCTGTCTCTACTAAAAATACAAAAATTAGCCATGGTGGTGCACACTTGCAATCCCAGCTACCTGGGAGGCTAAGGAGGGAGGATCGCTTAGATCCAGAAGGTGGAGGTTGCAGTGAGCTGAGATGCCACTGCACTCCAGCCTGAGAGACAGAGTGAGACACTGTCTCAAAAAAAAAAAAAAAATCAAGAAAAGAAACTGAAGAAGAAATGAACCTCAAAACAGCTACAGCAGTAATAATAACAAATAACTTAGTGAATGCTTCTAACGTGCCAGGCATGATATACAGCACATAACAATCTCTTTTGCTTTGGGCTTCCTTGAGAAAAGGATTGGAGTGCAAGTTGTTTATTTGGGAGGTAACCCTAGGAAACACAGGTAAGGAAGTAGGAGAAATGAGAGAAAGAAGTGGAGGAGGCTGTAAGGAGTGCAACTCTGGGTAAGAAGAGTTTAGTTCTGCTTGGGACCCTCTGGGAGGCAGTGTGGAATGCACAGTCTAGACTGACCCTCCTGGAAGTGTGAGGGGCTGGGGTATTTGCTGATCTTCCAGCTCCTCAGTGGAAGGCTACTCCTAGGTGTTGGTCACTCCCGGGCACATCCCACCTGTGGCCAGCACAGGCAAAGTGGGGTCTAGCAGCCAGAGTAAGTCCTCGGGCAACGGGGTGCTGCTGCTGATGGAATCTGGGAAATTCATGGAAATGGTCATGCGTGGAAATGGTCAGGGTTGTGCGGATCTGAGTTGGGACCAACAGCATCTGCGACACAAACATTAACTCATTTAATTTTACCAAAACCTTATGAAGTGGGAACGATTACATTTCCAGTTTCTCCCAGGAGAACACAGTCTGAGAGTGAGGAGTGGCATCTGTTGTTTTTACCCAGCTAGTGTCGGTTCCCTCTTCTGGGAACAGCCCCCTGCTCTTCCTTTGAGAAACATTCCCTTCCCCGTCTCAGTGATCTGACCTCACTTTCTCACTCCAGGGATGTGCAGGGGACCCCAGGTGACCGGATGAGAGCTCTGCCTCTCCAGAGCCATAGAGATTTTCACCAGAGCCATAGAGAGGCGTGCTCTCTCTGCTGGGAGAGCAAGGCTGGGAGAATGTGTAAGCCTGGCGCTCTTCCAGGCCATTTGACTCCCACCGGAATGAACCCAGCTGCTTAAGAATGAAGCCAGCTCAGAAGGAAAGAGAGCCTGAGAGGAAGCACTGCAGATTCCTGACTTAGATCCTTTGAGTAACTGGATCCAGCCCAACCTGAAGCTAGACACCTCCCTGGACTTTCTAAGTGTGTAAGCCAATAAACGTCTCCTCATTATAAGCCAGTCTGAGGCTGATTTATAGAAGTTAAGCATTTTGGCCAAGATCGCACATCTAACAAGTGTGGAGTAATATTCAGATCCATACAACCCTAATTCCATATGTGCTAGGGTTCTTAACCACCATGCTGTACAGTGGCAAATAGCATCTATGGCTGGACAGAGCTCAGAGCCACATCCTTTCATTGCCTGGCCCTCACTGGGAGTCTCTTCCCTTCCAGAAGCAGCTGCCAATTTGTTTAACAGAGTAATTGATCAGGGTACATCTTGATTTTCTTTGTTTGTTTGTTTTTGACTCTCATGGAGGCAAACATCTCAGCTGTATTTGAATTGTTTGTTGCATCAAATCATTAAATGTCTGGACATGTCTCGATCACTTGGTGAAAGGCTGGAGTGGAGGTGAGAGAAAGTGTAAAAAGAAAATAGGGAATTAAGGCCAGGCACGGTGGCTCACGCCTGTAATCTCAGCCCTTTGGGAGGCTGAGGCAGGTGGATCACTTGAGGTCAGGAGTTCGAGACCAGCCTGGTCAACGTGGTAAAACCCCATCTCTACTAAAAATACCAAAAAAAAAAAAAAAAATTAGCCAGGCATGGTGGTGGGTGCCTGTAATCCCAGCTACTCAGGAGGTTGAGGCAAGAGAATCGCTTGAACTTGGGAGGTGGAGGTTGCAGTGAGCCCAGATTGTGCCACTGCACTCCAACCTGGGTGACAGAACAAGATTCTATCAAAAAAAAAAAAGAGAAGAAGAGGAAGAAAAAGAAGAAGAAGAAGAAGAAGAAGGAGAAGAAGGAGAAGAAGGAGAAGGAGGAGAAGGAGAAGAAGGAGAAGAAGGAGAAGGAGAAGGAAGAAGAAGGAAGAAGGAAGAAGGGGAAGGGAAGGGAATGGAAGGGAAGGGAAGGGAAGGGAAGGGAAGGGAAGGGAAGGGAAGGGAAGGGACGGGAAGGGAAAGGAAAGGAAAGGAAGGGAGAAAATAGGGAATTAAGACCTTCAACTCTTGCCCTTTTTCTGATGACCCAATCAGGAGATATTTCTGGACAACCTCTGTATTAGTCAGGACTCAGTTGCAAGTGACAAAAACCCAACTTCACTGGCTAAAACAAAACAAAAAAATTTTTAAGAACTTTAATGGTTTTCCTGACTGAACAGCCCAGGAGTAGGGGTGTTTTCAGGCAAGGCTGGTCTATGCAAATCTCAAACAGTGTCAACAACCCAATTTCTTGGCTTTGCTTGCCTTTGGGTTGACTTCATTTTCCATTCCACATGGAGCCTCCAACATAACTGGCTCACCTCTTCCTTTGTATCAGTGGTCCTAACAGAAAGAGAGTAGACAGATGAGATAGATGTGCATCTCTCTCTCTCTCTCTCCCTCCCTCCCTCCCTCCCTCCCTCTCTCTCTCTCAACAGTCCAGTCAAAAATCCTTAGATCCTAAAACATTGGCTCTGATTGGGTCATGTTCCCATCTTTACATTAATTATGGTAATCAGTGGGATGCAATGCTCTGTGATTGGCCAGGCTTGAGTCTCATGCCCATCCTTGGCTCTAGAAGTCCATAACACCAAAGCAAATAAACAGACTGAAGAAGACGTAGCTTCCCAGAGGAAAATTCGAGGACAGTCTGTGTATCTGGTACTTTTGGGAGAATGATGATTGGATGTCAAGCAGGCAAAAATGGCAGTCATCCACATTGCACCTACTATGTTCTCTGCACTGTGGCTAACATGATAGAGGGTACGTGACCACTTTTTTGTCTTTAAGGAGCAGACGCTATGTTCAGAAAAAAGGTGTCACTACCTGTAGAACAACAAATAAAATATATAATAATAAATGAAGTTCACTGATGAGCATATCACAGGTTGTTATTTGCAGGCAACAGAATTCACTTCAGATACTTTAGGCAGAAAGTCTTAGGTAACTCATATAATTTCCAGGAGGGTTAGAGAATTGGGTTTGGATGCTACAAATAGGAACAAAGCTGCCAGGAAAAAAAGCTATATGACAATAGACTGGACACCAGAAACTCTACCACCCACAGTCTTGGAAGAACAGGAAGCTTGGTAACCTCATTTGCCAGAACATCTGATCTCCCTGTACTTAGCAGTTGCCATACATTGTGCACTTCTGCCTGTAAGACTGGAGAAGGTGTGTTTGCCTGGAGGCACCTTGGTCACATGGGTGACCTGCAAAAGGTTCTGGGAAATGTTGCTTTTGGCTCTCTGGCCTCTATGAACCACAGAGTTAGTAGGAGAATGTTGCAATGGAAACCGAATGAGTTAATTTACGATATCTGCCACAGAGCAGGTGACAGGAGTTCAGGGGAGAGAAGAATAAAAAGGCCAAGATCCAATCGTCTGTCACATTGGTTGTCTGACATTTGCTTAAAAATCAGAGGCTATAGATGCCGGGGATAAAATGTCCACAGAAGCCACACCTGGTCCATACCTCCAAGTTCTGGATGCCATTTGAAGACAGATGATGGCAAGTTGTGTTTGTCCATGGGCAGAAGATCAAGAAGAAGTCTGGGCTATGTTGTATGAACCATCTTGACACCTCCCTCCCCTTCAATATCAATATCCAATGTCTCTCCTTAAATGCTTCCCCTTCTGTCTACTTCCACTCAGTCACCTATGCTGGGCTACCTTTCTCTTCTGTCAGGACCCTATGGTAGATTCCTAACAGGTCTTTTTGCATCCATTGTGACCCAGCCATTCTTCATCCTGCAAAAAGAATAATGTCTTCAAAGCGCAAATCTAATCATAGCGCGCTTCAGTGGCTTTCATTGCTCTTTGGATCAAAACCCAAATCCTAAAAATGACCCCTTTCAGTTCCTCTAATCTAGACACCTACCCCAACCCCAAGTCTGACACAATTTTCCATAATCCCACAGGGCTTTCTAAGGAGTTACAAGGCCCCTTGTGACCAGATTCTTCCACGGACCTCTCCAGCTCATCTCAAGTGACTTTTTCCTTTGCTCCTTCTCAAAGGCCTCCCAACTCACACAAGGCCTCAGTGTGGCCAGCTCACTTAAGCTCTCAGAGACGTCAGATTCTTCCACCTCAGTGTGGCTTTGCCCCTACTCTTCCCTCTGCCTGGAGAAGCTTTCCTACCCTTCCTGCCTGCCTAAGACCTTCTCAAACTCTAGAGTAGAGGTCATCATTTTGAGGAAAGTCTCTTGTCACAGTCCCAGAGGAAAGCCCTTTCATCTCTTCTCCTGGTTTCTGCCACACCTCTGTTCCATCTCCCACCAGCTGGTCTTATTCACTGTGGTTTTCCTCACCTAGCACAGAACCCACTCAATACAAGTTGACTGAACAAGACCAAATAAACGTTAAAAGGAAGAAGAAAAAAAAATCCCTCTACACAGAAAGCAGTAATAAATAAAATGTGTTCTACTACCACCTTAAGACCTCAATTAATGTGCTTTTCTCCTCGTGAATCCTTGCTTCCAAGCAAATAGAATCTGACAGGCCGAATTAAATCATTTATCTTTCTAGGTCTCTGCCTTGGTTCTAACACTAGTGAAAAAGCCCTGATATTTCATAAGAAACTGGCAAAAGCAAGAGCTACGGCCTGGTACCTTGACTTTATCTGGTGGTGCAACCGATATATACATGTGTCAGGAGAAAAACATTCATTTCCAATGCTTCTTTTACCTAGGTGGAATTAAATGCCAGATTACCATATTTGATCATTTTGTTTTCTCACACACACCCTAAGGAACCTGTGTGTGTGTGTGTGTGTGTGTGTGTGTGTGTGTGTGTGCGCGCGCGCGCGCATGCGTGTGCGTGTGCGTGCCAACCAGGTTATTTAACTCCATACGTGGCTACAGCTGCAAACTACAGTGCAAACAGCCTTAGTGACAAAAACACAACCAGAAATGCTTAAAACTTCTGCTAAATGTTATGTTCCAGTTCCATCTTACACATTTTAATGTCTTTTGATTTGGAGTGACCTATGGGTTTCAACCATGGGCCAGCGAGGAAACAAAAGATCATTTCCACTCTGCCCTGTATAATTAAATACCTAGATGAAGTTTTCTCTGGTTCTGCTTTCAGAGCCAAACAACGCTTGTTTGCATTCCATCATCATATATCAACACCCACGGGCCAGGGGAATTTACCTTTGCTGTTCTATCGCTAGACCCTTATATCAGGGCATCCTGACCGCATTTAAGCATATCAGAGAGGCCTCTGGTTACGAAGCCTGCAATATTTATTTTTCCTTAAATCACAAAAATATCCTATTTACAGTCCACTATTTGGAAAGGGATAACATGGATACAGACACTCCATAGATAATCCCTGCATCTCGTCTACAGATTCAAACATCTGTTTTTCTTCAAACCTTTGTCTCGGAGATGCTGAGTAGTCACGAAAGGGAGTGGTTTGGATTCCCCTCTGCTCGCTTCTCCTGCTGAGATCTGGAGGGTGAGACCCCAGTGAGATGGCATCGGGGTCAGACAGAGAGAAGGAAGACAGTGAGGAAAGGCGAGGATGAGTTGGGGACTTTGTGCAGCCGGAAGCAACCTGAGAGGCTCCACAAGCCATGTTCACGCGAGGGCTCCTTGGGCACAAATCACCTGGGGGAATTCATCACAGTGAAGATTCTGGCTTGTTAGGGTTGGACAGGGGCCTGAGATTCTGCATTTACTAGCAAGCTCCTGGAGGCTGCTGCTGCTGCTGGCTGGGACCTGCAATATGAGTGTTCAGGATCTTTAAACCTCAGGCTCTGAGTCAGACAGGCCTGGCTGGGAATCACCCCCTGGGTAGCTGGGCACTCTTGGGCAAATTTCTTAATTCTCTAGACCCTGGATTCCTTATCAGTGTAACAGCAATGATAGTACCCACTGAGCAGGTCTGCACATGAGGGGTTCAGTGTAATGTCTGGCGTGCCAGAAAGCCATCTGGTTAGCGTTGCTTATTGTTACCTGATTCAGAGACTTCTTGGAGTGAGGCATGTTAAAGGTGACAGAATGAGGACCAGAGCCTAACTCCCCAACTTCCTGGGAAGTACGCCTTGCCTATTTCATTATTTTATTATTTTTAATATTTAGATTTCTCTTGGTTGTATTTTCTCATTACACATAATAATACAGATTTGTGAAAAGAAAGAAAAGGAGGAAGATAGGGAGGTTAAGACAGAGGGAGAGAGAAAAGAAGGAAAAGAATTAAATTAGAAAAAGGCCAGATGCTGTATCTCATGCCTGTAATCCCAGAATTTTGGGAGGCCAAGGCAGGTGGATCACCTGAGGTCAGGATATTCAAGATCAACCTGGCCAATATGGTAAAACTGCGTCTCCACTAAAAATAAAAAATAAATAAAAAATTAGCTGGGCATGGTGGTGGGCACTTGTAATCCCAACTACTAGGGAGGCTGAGACATGAGAATCACTTGAACCCAGGAAGCAGAGGTTGCAGTGTGCCAAGATCATGCCACTGCACTCCAGCCTGGGTGACAGAGCAAGACTTCATCCTCAAAAAATAAATGCCGGACGCGGTGGCTCACACCTGTAATCCCAGCACTTTGGGAGGCCAAGATGGGAGGATCACGAGGTCAGGAGATTGAGACCATCCTGGCTAACACGGTGAAACCCATCTCTATTAAAAAGACAAAAAATTAGCCAGGCGTGGTGGCGGGCGCCTGTAGTCCCAGCTACTTGGGAGGCTGAGGCAGGAGAATGGTGTGAACCCAGGAGGCAGAGCTTGCAGTGAGCTGAGATCACGCCACTGCACTCCAGCCCGGGCGACAGAACAAGACTCTGTCTCAAAATAAATAAATAAATAATAAAAATAAAATAAAATAAGAAAAAAACTGCCAAAGAGATCATGTGACATTTTAGTCTATGTACTTCTAGTTATAAACACATATACTTTAAATAATAGAATTCTATTGAACATACCATTTTGCAATCTTTTTATTTTCCCTCGATGCACGCCAATAATAATAGAACAATAGTAGTGATGACAATAACAATAGCTAGTCTTTTTTAGCCTCTTACTATGTGTTAAACACCCCTCTAACACACTCTTAACTCATGAATTTTCACAACCCTTTGACATAGACGCTTATCATCTGCATTTTATAAATGAGGAAACTGAGGCACAAAAAGTGTAATATACCCAAGGTCTCACAACTAGTAAATGGGGAATTCAGGGTGGAAACCAGGCAGCCCACAGCACAGCCCCTGCCTAAAAAACCCATGTTCTGTGTTCTTCATGGTTCATCCTGACGTGCTGTTTCACTGCCTGATTATTTTCCATTTACCACATCATGAATATCTGTCCTCGCCATTCCATAGTTTTGCACAACATCACTTTTGGTGGCTGCATAGTATTTGTTGTCTATTATTATCTCCATTTTACAGATGAGAAAATCGAGGCTTGGGTGCTCAGTAGGCTGGCGGAGGGTAGTTGGAATGACCACAACCTGCCTTCAAGCCCTAGGCGCTGTCCGCCCCACAGTGCTCTCAGAAGTACACACACTGAGCACCTACTGCAATCAGGGTATTTGCTGGTCTCAGTGAAGAATGGCAGACCCATACGATTCTCACTGCTGTGCAACTTACAGTCCAGTGGGTTGAGACTCGCAATGAAATAAGTAAGCAAATACATGACCAAGATGATTTGAGATATTGGCAAGTGCTAGAAAAACAATTCCACTCTGTGGTGTGATGAGTGTGAGTGGCAGTGATTATTCTGGAAAACTGTTTGAGGAGGTAAGATTTGAAGTGATACCCAGATGACAAGAGGAAGTCATCACACAGTAATCTAGAGTCAGATTTATCTAAAGCTCTTAACATCAAACAAAAGCTTAGTGCTAACCTGAGGGAATGGTGAGCAGAAGCATTTTTTATTTTTAGAAGTCTCATAAAGAGCATGAGACAGTGCAGGCAGAGTGGAAACAGCAAGGCTTGTGAGCCAGGGCTGGCGGGGGTGAGCCTGGCTCTGTCCCGCGTGTGGCCTTTGACAGAGTCCCAGTCACCTCATCTGTAAAATGGGCTTGCAATTGCTTAGAGCAGGGCTGCTGTCAACATGAAATGGAATAACTATGGAAAGCACCTGGAGGATACTGTAATCTCTACTGTTGACATCAGCTCTCAGGGTTTGATTGGCCTGCCCTTTGAAGCATCCAGTCTGGAATATTAAGACATCAGTGTCCGGGTGTGGTGGCTTATGCCTGTAATCCCAGTATTTTGGGAGGCTAAGGCAGGCAGATCACTTAAGGTCAGGAGTTCAAGGTTAGTTCAAGCCTAGCCAACATGGCAAAACGCTGCCTCTACTAAAAATACAAAAATCAGCCAGGCATGGAGGCACGCCCCTGTAATCCCAGCTACTCAGGAGGCTGAGGCAGGAGAAACACTTGAACCTGGGAGGCGGAGGCTGCAGTGAGCCGAGATTGCGCCATTGCTCTCCAGCCTGGGCGACGGAGCAAGACTCCGTCCCACAAAAAAAAAAAAAAAAAAAGACATCAGCATTAATCAACAGGAGAATAAGGAGATTCCTGAGATTTCACAAACGACACATATTTGTGAGCCTGTTGGGTATTGTCACCATATTATGATTAAGATCTAGATAATACTTGGCACATCATTTACTAAGTCTCTCCACAAGAGCAACTTGGAAAATTCAGAGGAATGACCTTTGGCTTCTCAGTTGGTCTGTTTACTCTGATAGACTGAGGGAGAAGGCTAACTGGGTCACCCATGACCATCTTTGACCTTTCTCAACTCTCAGTTGATGTCACTGTTGTGGTAGAGGCCCTTGGGGAAAAATTCTTTCTCTCTCAACTTTCTTTGTCCATGGAAGTAAATTGTGTTAACAATGGCTCTGACTACATTTATATCCATTGCCTACCTTCATCTTCCTACCTCCTGTTCTCCCCATTTTACAGACGAGGGGACCGAGGTTCCGAGAGGTCACACAGCCAGGTAGGCAGCTCGCTCTGGGCTGGGTCCTTTTCTCGTTCATGTACTCAGTCCCCACAACAGTCTTCAAGCCTTTTTGCCTCAGGAACCACTCTTTCTTCCATTTTCCCCTGGTCAGCTCTGACCTCGTCCTCAGATCTCAGCTTGTGTCACTTCCTCAGTGAAAAGCCCATATTATGGGCTCACCAAGCTCTGTATCTTCCTCCTGCGTCCTGCCTATCAAAGCTACAATTGCACAATTGTCCATGTGACTGTTGGATCCATGTATAAAGTAGGAGTAAAGAGCCCAAGCTCAGACATCAGGGACGTGGGTTTAGAAATGAGTGCCACCTCTTTCCAGCTGAGTGTCTTTGGGCTAGTTATTTAGCCCCTGCCCATCTCAGTTTCCTGGGGTGTAAAATGAGAATCATAATAATAACTACCTCATAGAATGGCAATGATGTGAAATCAACTCATGTTGCTAAAGTTCTTGGGGAAAATGCCCAACAGACAGCCTGCGATACACGTAGAGAGGGGCCAGAAGGCCATCTCCTAGGCCACACCGAGCCACACTGCAACCTCCATACAGGCAGGATGGTGTTGCGCTTGGCAAAGCAGGTATTCCACAAATATCTGTAGAATTCAATGAAGTACTATCATCATCATCCTCATTATCATTCTCATTTTACAAGAGAGCGTTCAAGTCGCTTGCCCAAGGTCACATGACTAGTTAAGACACTGAGCTGAGACTCACCTTAAATCCTATTGCTCATCCCACCTGGCTATTCTGCTGGCCATAGGGTCTTCTGGTCTACTGTGGATAAAACCCAGAGTCCAGGCAGGACAGGGAACAGGGGGTTGCAGAAGCTTAGGGAGGAAGCACGCCAAAGTAGGCGCACCTTCATACAGTCTCCCAAGCCCGACTGCCTGCAGATTTTCTGTCTGAGCCGCCAGAAACAAAGATGACAGCCGAAGGGCTGAAGGTCACTCCAGAGTAGGGAGAGAGGGGTCTTGGTGGGCCCAGATCTCCCAGCACCAGGCAGTGGGTTCTCACACCAGCCTTGGTCTCCTGGGCACAGAACGAGGACAGGGATAGGAGACCTCCCATCTCTCAAATGCCCTGGTGTGTTTAACTTGTTCCTGCATTTTCCTGGGGGACTTGTGTGTGCTCTGGGCCTAATGATTTCCTGTGAACATTCTACCCGGGGTGTATTCCTGTGTCTTCAGAGGAAGGACTAATCCAGCCAGACCGTCTCCATTCCCCTCCCTTTACCCTCTCGGACCAGACCAGCCTGGCATTTTTTTCTCTTGAATTTAAGAGCCTTGCAGACACGAAGATCCTTTTAGCTTTTAACATATTTAATAATTTATTATTTATCTAGTGTTTTTGTAAATGTATTCCTCAGATCTTGCCTTTGCATCTCTAGTTTCCAATTTGCACCTACCTGACATAGTTTATATTACAATCCCTTGATTCTCCAAAGGCAGGGTTTCCTCTTTTAACACTTTTTTATAGTCCTAATGAACTTCTATGCTTCATTTACTCAAGAAGACATCTCTCTCTCCCTCTTTCACATTTTCCTGCTCACAGGCATACAAATCATATGTGTCACTAATACAGTGTTGATTTTTCCTGGGTTGGTTCTTTTTTTAAACATGTTTGCCCTTCAGCCTGCTATTAACCAGTTTCTTCCTACTTTGAAAAACTCACTCTTTTAAATTTCATCATTCAGTATTTCCTCAGGGATTTTACCCTTTATTAAGAAGTCAGAACCAATTTTGGAGCAATCCTGGATACCAAACAGTCTCCTGAATCCTTTGTCTCCTCCCCAGCTCTGGCACAGGAGTGGGCACACAGCAGTGACCCAATAAATACTTGTTGGTTGACCAGGTGGCCAACAAGTGATTTTCAGAGAGGCAGATTGGAGTCCTGCTTAAGTACATGGGTGTGAAATCGGGACATGTGGGTTTCAGTGCTGGTTTTATTCCACATGTGGCTCTGTGACCTTAAGCAAGCCACTCAAATGCTCTAGGCTTCCATTTCCTCAGCTGTAAAATGGGAATGAGAGTCTTTTCTACCATCTTCCAAGGCTTACTGCAAGGATTAAATACATAAAACACTAAGGAAGATACCTGACAGAGCAAGCTGTCGATAAACAATAACTTTGGTTTCTTGCCTACTGCCTCCTCTTTGCAAGACACTTACATGATAGAGATTACCTTGAATCACAGACAGAACAAGGCAATTCACACCTCTCCCCGCACTTCCAAATTAAGAACCACGTGTGATAAAGGCACTAGGAAGATCTCGCTCTCGGTTGTCCACACAAGCATTTAGATGTGTGCAAACGGCCCATCCATGAGTCCCAGTCTCCTGCTGTCCCTTCTGAGACCTCAAGGCCAGCATCTGTAAAAAGGGGATGGTACTTTGCCCCTTACTGGAGAAAGAATTCACCATCCCTATTCTCAAACCTGTCGCCTTCATTTAAATGATCTATTGCCTTGTTACCCTAACATGAATTGCCCTCACACCAGTTCAAAACAGCTGGTAAATAAACCAACTAGGACGATAGAGGCCATCCAGTCCTCTTTAAGGATGGGTTGGCTCAGGAGGTCAAGGCAGAAATGCCCACTAGGGGGCGAGCGTGCTCACTCATCGATCCCCGTGGTGGTTCAGTCCTGGAACTACTAGGAAGGGAAGAGGGGGCTAACACGTTCCAGGCACTCTCCCAGGCCCATCTCTGGATGCACTACCACATGTAATCTAACATTGCCCCGGCTGAGGAGGTTGTATTTCTCCATATTAAACCTAGGTATTCTGAGGCTTAGGGGGGTTAGTTAATCGGCCCAGGATCCCAGAGCTGAAAGTGGAAATTGTGATGGAAACGAGGCTTCTCCTACTCTAGCAGGCCACCTAAAGGGTCCCTGTAAAGGGCAATACTCAGCTTTGACTGTTGGAAAGGAAGGTGTGCAGACACCAGACATGTGGACACTGACAAAATGGTGGGTCACATACACCTTCCCCCAAAAAGGGGCGTAAGTTTAAGCCTGTGTTTCCCAAAGTGTGTCCCACAGAACATAAATCCTGAAAGGTCCTCTGTAAAAAAGGTCTCTGAGGTCATAGAAGTATTTGAAATGTGGCATTTACTGTTCTTTCTGAAATACAAAATACTGGTGAATATGTTAAAGGTCGTGGGAAGTCCTGCAGTAAAGAAACCTGTTTGCTTGACTTTGTTTAATCTAGTTGAGCACTTGGCCAGCCTATTGGACATCAGGGTTGTTACATACATATGACATCTATTCATTTTTTAAAAATAAGCTTGCTTCAGAACATTAGGAACATACTGAAAGTGAAGGAATGGGAATTCACACATTCAAATAAGGGATTGACATAGATGTCTCAAAGACAGAGGAAAGTGCGTCCAAGTAGGGTATTTATGGAAAGTCTGAGTTATGAAACAAAAACAGACCCAGAACCATACAGAAACCTAAAGTCTTTAGGATATGAAGAACCATTTCAGCATTCAGGATGACTCCAAAATGTAATCCAGAAGACAAACTATCATGGTAACCAAGATGTTTCACACCATGGGGTAAAAATTTTACATTTTGAGTCCTTAATCTCCAAAGCATGCTCAGAGCTGGATCTTAGCATGGAATGTGAGTTTAATCATGAACTTGCTGTATTCATCAACACACACACACACACAATGGAAAAAAGTTTTGCTACGATTGTACTGAATGGCTTAGAGAGTACAGTCCACAGAGACAGATGGTTAGACCCATGGCTGGCTCCCAAAGCTGCATTCTCCAGTTCAGTGAGAGGCCAGCAGAGACAAGTGAGGAACCAGCTGCTTTCCACAGCTGGAACAGCTGCAGGGATTGACCTTGAGAGACCCTGCAGTCAGCACACGAACCTGGTGGCTCATGCTGACTTCATGCCTCAGAATGGAGTACAATGAAAAAGAACATCTACTGTTCCTGATGGGTTAAAGATGGCCACAAATCCTTTGATACTTCCCCTTTCAATAGGTGGGGTCTAATTTCCCTCCCCTTGAATCTGAGCTGGTCATAATGGCTCACTTGACCAAGAAAATGCGGCAACCGTACTCTTCTGGGACTTTTGAGGCTAAATCTTAAGAAGCTTGCAGCTTCTGTCAGTCTCCTAGAACACTCAGTCCTGGGACCCAGCTACCTTTCTGTGAGGAAGACCAAGCAGCCCCATGGAGAGGCCACATGGAGCCCTGGTTGAGCTCCAGCCAACAGCCAGCACCATCTTGCCAGCCATGTAAATAAGCCATCTTAGAAGTAGTTGGAAAACCAACAAGTCATCCAGCCACGCCCTACGCTTCTCACCCCTAAATGATCTGATCCTACATTCATGAAATACAGTAAAATGGTTGCTTTAAGCCACTAAATGTGAGATTATTTGTTAAACAGCAATAGATAACTGGAACACAATTTTATTGAGCCACTATAAGTGATGGCACCAAAGTAGGTACTTTGAATATGTTATCTCCTATAATCGTCACAATTTTCTTTAATTGTACAAATGTGAGAATTAAGACTTTGACCTTGGACACATTAAGAAACTCATCCCAAGTCACACAGCAACCCTGTTTTCCTGTCTCCAGTATCTTTAATTATTAGAAAATGTATTAGGGAAAAAAATCCACAAAATATGCTATAGAGAAAATAGGTAGTAGAAAAGTAGAATGAATGGTGAGTTTGCATGGGTGCAAAAGAAAGCACCTCTGATTCTAGCCTAAAATAAAACAAAAGTTGTAGACAATGGAGAATTCTCATGAAAATATGTCCTCCCTCTGGCTTCAGTTATATCACTGCTATGAGACTGAATAGGAAAGAGGGAATGTTTTCATAATGTTAAAGATTTTTTCCTTTAAATTAGCAAGGCCAGCGCACCAGCTGGGTCCTTGACAGTTGTCTTTACTAAAAGCACTTATGGACTTAGCACCTACTATGTGTTAGGCATTGCCTCAGGTGTTTCACCTGTCAGATAACCACAGGCACATTTCCTTACATTTGTAAGAGCTTTAGAGTTGACATAATATATTTACCCACATGGTCTCATTTCATCATGGGAGCAGATGCTTTTCCTGGGGAGCAAAAGGAGCCAAATTAATCAACAAATGATCAACATTTAGCAGGCACCACCTATATGCCTGACACATAAGATCATTCCCTGCCTCCCTCTCCCCACTGGCTGGTTTATTCCCCTTTGCTTTCTTACTTAACGGTTTGTATTGTATGGTTTATACCTGTTTCCCTCATGACTCTATAAGATTCTCTTGCATAGCAAAAACCTATGTACAGTGCCTGGGGCAAAATAGGGAAGGTCTGCTAGTGAAATGGAGGGAGGGAGGGAGGGAGGGAGGGAGGGAGGGAGGGAGGGAGGGAGGGAGGGAGGGATGGATGGGTAGGTGACTGGATGGGTGCATAGGTGGGTGGGTGACTGGATGGATGGGTGAATAGATGGATGGGTAGATGGGTGGGTGGGTAACTGGATGAATAGATGAAAGGGTGGATGGGTGGGTGACTAGATTAATGGGTGGATGGATGAATGGGTGGGTGACTAAATGGACAAATGAATGGATAGGTAGATTGGTGACCGGATGCATGCATGGATGGATGACAGGATGGATGGGTGGATGTTAGTGGGTGGGTGACTTGGATGGATGGATGGATGGATGGATGGATGGATGGATGGATGGACAAACGGATGGATGGATGGATGAGTGGGGACTGGATGGATGGATGGGTGTGTGAGTGGGTAGGTGAATGGTTGGATGGATGGATGGATGGATGGATGGATGGGTAGGTGACTGGATGGATGCATAGGTGGGTGGGTGTGTGAGTGACTGGATGGATGGGTAGATGGGTGGGTGGGTGACTGAATGAATAGATGGGTGGATGAATGGATGGGTGGGTGACTGGATGAATGGGTAGATGGGTTAATGAGTAGGTGACTAAATGGACAAATGGATGGATAGCTGAGTTGGTGACTGGATGGATGCATGGGTGGATGGAATGATGGATGGATGAATGGATAGATAGATATAGGTGTGTGGGTAACTGGTTGGATGGATGGATGGATGACTGGATGGACAGATGGATGGACAGATGGATGAATGGATGGATGGATGGATGGATGACTGGATGGACAGATGGATGGATGGATGGATGGGGACTGGTTGGGTGGATGGATGAGTGGGGACTGGATGGATGGATGGATGGGTGTGTGAGTAGGTAGGTAACTCTTTGGATGGATGGATGAATGGGTGGATGGATGGATAGGTGGGGACTGGATTGATGGATGAGTGGATAGGTCGGTGGGTGGGTAGATGGATACCTGGACGGGTGGGTGTGAATGAAAGGACTATATGAATAATTAAGTAGTTAAGAGTGGTTAAGACTTACGGAATCACCCACTCTTTATTGCACTCTTTTTTTTAAGAGGCAGAGTCTTTCTCTGTCACCCAGGTTGGAGTGCTGCAGCCTAATCATGGCCCACTACACCCTCCAACTCCTGGGCTCAAGGGATCCTCCCACCTCAGCCTCCCAAATAGCTGGTAGTACAGGCATGCACCACCATTCCCAGCTAATTTTTAAATTTTTTGTGGAGACGGGGTTTCACTATGTTGTCCAGGCTGACCTCAAAGTCCTGGGCTTGAGTATCCCGCCACCTCAGCCTCCCAAAGCTCTGAAATTATAGGTGTGAGCCACTGCACCTCGCTCTTATTACAAAAGCTACCAGTTTTTCGAAGAGGAGGAAAAGAATAGTGAAGGGAATGAAGAGATGGAAGAAAATGAGGATGAAGAAGACAGTTCAGGGAAAGTCATCAAAACAGGTACTAAGGAAGGGAAAAGATGTATTTAAAGTATTATCCATTCCTCAAGGCGGCCGAAGGGGGTGGATCACTTGAGCCCAGGAGTTCAAGACCACCCTGGGCAACATGGTGAAACTCTGTCTCTACAGAAAAAATAAAAAATAAAAAATAATATATATATATACACACACACACACACACACACACACACACACACACATACACACAAAATTAGTCGAGTGTGGTGGCACATGCCTGTACACACACACACACACACACACACACAAAATTAGTTAAGTGTGGTGGCACATGCCTGTAATCCCAGCTACTGGGGAGGCTGAAGTGGGAGGCTAGCTTGAGCCCAGGATGTCAAGGCTGCAGTGAACCATGATCATGCCACTGCACTCCAGCCTGGGTGACAGAGTGAGACTCTGTCTCAAAAAATAATAATCAAGTGCCAAGTGTTGGCACAGACACTAACAGACAGAGCAGTAAGGGAAGGTTTTAAAATGGAGGGAAGACGGGCAGGATGTGACCTGCTGGGGAGGGTGGAGGCTGGGGGACTGCAGTGGAAAAGGAAGGAGCCCATTATTAGACAACTAGGTGAGGACACTAAGTGAGAGGTTCCTTCAGGGGCAGTGTGTTTGGGGAATCAGGCGTTGTGTCACTGCGGAGTGCACATGGGAGGTTGAAAGAAGAGACAGGCCAGGCCAGTTGTGCAGACCTCATGCAGACTAAGGAAGCAGAAGTTCTCCTGGCAGGCATAGATGTACATTTGAAAAAGAAAACACAGGGGTTGGAGTGGTAGGAGAGCATCACAGCAGTGGTCTCCCAGTTTTTTAATGGCTGTTGTGTGCAGAAGGATTAGGAAGCATCCCATGACAATAGCTACTATTAATGTGCCAAGTGGTCTGCTAAATCATGACATGCATGAGCTCATTCAGTCCTCACCCCAACGTTCTCTGGTGCATACTATTATTATTATTATTTTGAGACGAAGTCTTGCTCTGTCGCCCAGGCTGGAGCGCAATGGCACGATCTCAGCTCACCGCAACCTCCACCTCCCGAATCCTTCTGCCTCAGCCTCCCGAGTAGCTGGGATTACAGGCACCCATCATCATGCCGGGCTGATTTTTATATATTTGTAGAGACAGGGATTCACCATGTTGGCCAGGCTGGTCTCGAACTCCTGACCTCAGATGATCCACCTGCTTCGGCTTCCAAAAGTGCTGGGATTACAGGTGTGAGCCACCACACACCAGGCCCCTGGTGTGTACTATTATCCCCATTTTATAGATGAGAAAACAGAATTGAGACGCCAAGTACATTGTTGAAGATCACATGACTCATAAGTGATGGAGCTAGGACTTGAATCCTGTTTTTCCCAACTCTGAAACAGTAGGATGGAACAGAGTACCCAATCCATTTCCTGTGCTGTTCAAAATGAGCAGAGGGTAGAAGTTACAGGGGCACAATTACAGGGCTCAGCAGAAACATTTCTCTCAGAATTAGAGCTGAGCCAGAAAGTAACCTGCAGCACTTAAGAAATGGAAGTGGAGGTAGCTGATGGGGAGAAGCATCTGGTAAGAGCATGGTATGGACATTTGTCATGTTTCCTCAATGCCCAGCCCTTTAGAACACCCTTTCTATACCAAGCAACACAATTTCCATATTAGGTGACTCTCTTCCCTAAGCCACAGCCTGAAAGCATGTTTTCCCAGCCTCTCTTGCAGCTAGCGCACAGACATGAGACCAGGCTTCAGCAACTGGAGTGTCCAGACTGTGATTCAAGAAGAGGGACATGGAGTCCATTTTGCTAAAGAGGCTGTTTTTTTGAGGGTGGTGGTGGCCACAAAGCCTACTTTCTGGCACAGAGCTGGCATTGGAGCTGGTGACAGTGGTGACTTTGGTGAAATCAGGCTCCTGATAGAGGCAAACTAGCTGCTTAGTGGCAGCATCAGTAGTGGATTCCTCATCAGACTAGATTGATGCTTTCAAGTTTGGCTCCTGAATTTTGAGCCCTATTCTGCTGCACCCTAGCAGATTGACAAGCCCCCAGTGTGCTCTCAATAAACTCCTCTCCAGCCTAATGGGCTGGGGGCCACTTCTGTTGCTCACCATGTAGAACGCTGACCAAGACAAGCGCCCAGAGGGAATTTCTATACTGTGCAGAGTTGGACACAAACACCTCTTATCCCTGTCAAGGGCTGATTCCAGAGTCTAGAGAATTTTTGTCAATCAGCTGGAGAGGCAATTTCTAGTGACTTTAACACACTGGTGAAATGGCTCTGAAAACTTGAAGGCAAGACCTGTTAGGGGCATATTAGTCAGGGTTCTTCAGGCAGACAGAACCAACAAGGGAGAAAAACAGGAAAGGAAGAAGGAAGCAGGGAAGGAAGGAAGGAAGGAAGGAGAGAGAGAGAGAGACAGACAGACAGACAGACAGACAGAAAGAGAAAGAGAAAGAAAGAAGGAAAAAAGAAAGGGGAAGAGAAGAAAAGAGAGAGAAGGGAGGGAGGGAAGGAAAAAAGGAAAGAAAAAGGAAGAGAGGAAGGGAGAAGAAGAAGGAGGAGGAGGAGGAGAAGGAGAATAGAAGGAAGGAAGGAGAAAAGAAAGAGATTGAGAGAAACATTGATTTTAAGGAACTGGCTCACATGATTGTGGAAGCTGACAAGTGCGAAATCCAAAATCTGCAGGGTAGGCCAGCAGCCTGGAGATCCAGGGAAGAATTGCAGTTCAAGTCCAAAGACCATCAGCCAGCAGGATTCCTTCTCCCTCAGAGAGGTCAGTCTTTTTCTCTTAAGGCCTTCACCTGGTTAGATGAGGCTCACCTACATTATGGAGGGTAATCTCCTTATTCACAGTCTACTGATTTAAATGTTAAATCTCAACTAACATATACCTTCACAGAAACATCTGGAATAATGTTTGACTATATATCTGAGCACTGGGGCCTAGCCAAGCTTACATATAAAAATTAACCATCACAGGACCCGTACCAAGCAATGTAATTATTTGATAGAGGTTGATGTACATAATTATTGATGTAATTATTTGACAAGTTGAGATTCTCATTTTACAAAACACTGTTTTTGTCCCTGTATGTCTCTGAACTTCACACAGCACCTGGCACAAAGACTTGACGTGTGTTTCAGAGATGGGTGTTTGGATGGCTGGGTAAGTGGTAGGTCTTATTGTCCAGTTTTTTGACAGCATTTTATTTTTCTTCTCTGCATCTTATCAACATTTTTTATATATTTCGAAAGTACATGGCCAGTCATGGTGGCTCACACCTGTAATCCCAGCACTTTGGGAGGCCGAGGAGGGTGAATCACCTGAGTTCAGGAGTTCAAGACCAGCCTGCCCAACATGGCAAAACCCCATCTCTACTAAAAATACAAAAATTAAATGGGCGCGGTGGCATGCACTTGAAATCCCAGCTACTCAGGAGGCTAAGGCACCAGAATCGCTCGAACCTGGGAGGCAGGGGTTGTAGTGAGCCGAGATCACCCTACTGCACTTAAGTCTGGGTGACAGAGTGAGACTCTGTCTCAAAAATAAATAAATAAATAAAAATAATTTCCTCTGTTGGTGTGGGGAGCAAGGGCGGTTGTCTGGAGCATCGCTCTTTAACTGAGGTAAGTCTTTAGGCACGAGCAGGAGTTGAGTTGGCACGGTGATTAGCCCAGGGAGATGCAGGTTTAAAGGGTGCACACCCAGCAGCAGAGGGAACAGCACGTGCAAAGAAGAAAAACAAGGAAGAACACAGTGCCGTCCTAAAGATGCAGCTAGTTTTGGTGCTGTTGGTTTTGTGGTTATTGCTTATTTTAATATCTCTGGAAAAGTCACAAAAATGGGGTTTAGCCTAGATAAGGAAAAATTGAGCTCAACTGGTTTGTGTAAGGAATAGGTTTCATATCCTCAGGAAACTGATTAGGAAGAAATAGGTTTAAAAAGGAGGGTAGGAAACAAAGAACTTGAAATTACCACTAGGATAATCAAACTTGGGCTTGTGCTACAAATACCACGGAGCTGTGTGTGGAATATCCTTCCACCGGAGGCAGCCGGGAGGAAATGACCAGGACTGACTCCTTGCGGAGGCCAGACCAAGTGACTTCCACCATTTTGTGGCTAATGTTTGTGCAATGGATGGTGTAGCATCATAGTCTCCGACTCTTCCAGAAAATACTCCAGTTTAAATTGGCTACAAATACAATCAATTGTTTGGTCAGTGAAAGGCTGCAGTCTCTATGAACCTTACCATACGCATCTATTTCCATGAGCCAAAATGCTAATGCAATTCCATCCCGTGGAACTATTCCCCGTGGTTAGTCTAAAAATCAGCTTTACTCACCCGGTGAATCAACTGACCACAAAATCCCACTGAGGAAATAACATTGGGAAAGCACCCAAAAAGAATCCTGTTGTGATTTATTTGGAACAACCATTGCTATGTTTTTATTTTTATTTTTATTTATTTATTTATTTTGAGACAGAGTCTTCCTCTTGTCGCCCAGGCTGGAGTACAGTGGTGCGATCTCAGCTCACTGCAACCTCCGCCTCCCAGGTTCAAGGGATTCTCCTGCCTCAGCCTCCCAATTAGCTAAGATTACAGGCACCTACCACCACACCTGGCTAATTTTTGTGTTTTTAGTAAAGATGGGTTTTTGCCATGTTGGCCAGGCTGGTCTTGAACCCCTGACCTCAGGAGATCCACCTGCCTTAGCCTCCCAAAGTGCTGAGACTATAGGCATGAGACACTGCGCCTAGCCAAAAACATTGCTATGTTTTTAAAACACGGTTTTTCAATATTTTAAAAAGATGCCTTTTAAAATATTGATTGGGAAATGACATTTTCCAAGCCTACACCTTCATAGTTACATTGCCCTTAAGAGGTACACTTCTTATTGAGAATCTGTTTTCTCCCACAATATTGATTAAGTCAGGACAATTTGCCAGGCATCAATAATATGCTGCCTTCATGGGACTTACTGTCTAGAATTGCTGCTGCTTCTGCCTGTTCCCACTACTATATTTTCTTGAGCTTCACTTTCTATAATGTGTTATGAAAGCAGTAGGTATTTTTCATTTATCGTATTTTTAAAATATGATAATTATGTTAAATAGGTTTTTTCAAATGATGCATGTTCACCTGCTGAAATGCAAATGCCATCCCCCTTACCATACCCTCCCTCCAAGACACACCTGTTCCCCAAAAGAGACAAACAGATGTTTCTGGATCCTTCCCTTAAATATTTACTTATGATGTGGTAGTAGCTTTCACAACTGACCGTCTCTTAACTACCCTGCTGGATTCACTGTAAACCATGTAGACTTCTGTAAATGATGATGATTCCCATGACCCCTGAAACACCTGAAGCTGGCAGGCTCCACCTGACTTTGTCCATGGATTCCCACATATTGAATTAACCCTTTGCTCCCCAAACCTGTCAAAGCCAGTTTATTCATTCATGCACAGACATCTGAGCGCCTATGATGTGTACACACTGTTTTAAGCTCTGGAGACACTGCAGTGATAAAGAACAGAGAAGTCCTGTCCTCAAGGAGCTTCTATGCTAGTTATACTTATTTGCTTCTACGGTTTAATTACATGTTGTAAAACCTATTTAAAAATGAATGGGAAGCTGGGCATGGTGGTTCATGCCTGTAATCCCATCACTTCGGGAGGCTGAGGCAGGTGGATTACCTGAGGTCAGGAGTTCAAAACTAGCCTGGCCAACATGGTGAAACCCCGTCTCTACTAAAAATATAAAATTAGCCAGGTGTGGTGGTGATTGCCTGTAATCCCAGCTATTCAGGAGGCTGAGGCAGAAGAATTGCTTGAACTGGGTAGGCGGAGGTTGCAGTGAGCCTCGACTGCACCATTGCATGGAGTGACATGCATGGAGTGTTGCCTGGGCGACAAGAACAAAACTCTATCTCAGAAAAGGAAAAAAAAAAAAAAAAAGAATGGGAAAAGAAGTTCTTGCTCCTATGAAAACCAAGTTGAATGTTTTGGCATGACTGAATAGATGCAAGTTGCTTCAAACAAATGCTGTTGAATTTGGCATGGGCCAGACAACCATCAACTATTGGAGAAAATGGTACGAATACGGGATTCTGCTTTGCAAATGTCTGTAAGTTCTTCCTGGAATTTTAAAAAACTGAAACTGGAGGTTATAGATGAATTATTTCAGGGTGTGGTTTAGACAAGATAGACAAGGAATGCTACTCAACAGACCTAGATGGCAAAGCAGAAAGGCAAGAAGAGAGGCACCTAGAGTGCAAAGGTTAAGAAGGCACTGCCCTCAGGACCATGCAAGTGCAGGGTCAGCACCTGAGAGCAAGCGCCTCATTAAATGTTGTGCTCTTATTTCTGACCTGCCTCGCCCTCCTCCCAGCCCTGCCAGATGGCCTCAGGCCTATTTATGCTTTTAAACTTAAATATGGAAGGAGCGTAACACTTTTAAAGATTCATCATTTTATTAACTAACCAACCAGTTCCAATCTGTTGGAGGGAAAGCTTCTACAGTATCAAAAATATCGAGGCTGGGCGCGGTGGCTCACGCCTGCAGTCCCAACAATTTGGGAGGCCAAGGCAGGGAGATCACTTGAGGTCAGGAGTTCGAGACCAGCCTGGCCAACATGGGGAAACCCCAGTCTCCACAAAAAATATAAAAATTAGCCAGGTGTGGTGGCACATGCCTGTAATCCCAGCTACCGGGGAGGCCAAGGTGGGAGGATTGCTTGAACCAGGGGGATGGAGGTTGCAGTGAGCTGAGATCACGCCACTGGACTCCACCCTGTGAGACAGAGTGAGACTGAGATTCTGTCTCAAAAAAAAAAAAAAAAATTGAGCTTGCTGTACTAATAGCAAGCATTTATGGAGTACTTTACATGGATTGGTGAATGTTCTAAGTACATTGTGTTAACTCTATGCTATGGTCTGAATGTTTGTGTCCCCTGCCAAAATTTACATGTTGAAAGTCTAACCCCCAAGGTGTTAATATTAAATATTAGGAGGTAGGTGGGGCCTTTGGGAGGTGAATTAGATCGTGACAGGGGAGCCCACATTCATGGGATTAGTGCCCTAATAAAAGTGGCCTCAGAGGGCTAGCTTGCCACTTCCACCACATGAGGACACAGTGAGAAGGTGCCATGCAAAAACCAGAAAGCAGGCACTGAATCTGCCAGTGCCTCAATCTTGGACTTCCCAGCCTCCAGAACTAGGACACATTTCTGTTGTTTATCAGCCACCTGTTTATGGTGTCTTATTATAGCAGCCTGAATGGGCTAAGATACTTCCAGCACTCAGAACATCGCTGTGTGTTGAATACTATTATTATTGTTCTTCCTATTTTATGCATGAGGAAACAGGCATTGTGAGATGAATTGCCCAAAATCCCACTGCCTGGCTCCAGAGCCAGAAACAGCGGCACTCCATATTCCTTTAAGGAACCCCTTCTCCCTTCCTCTCAGGTCATATGAGTCATGTGGGGCTCTACCCCTGTCCAGAGTGAGGTGCAGGACCCAGCCTGGCAGTCAGCAAAGTTCCAGCTCCCTGGCTGAAGTGCTTGGCTCAGGGGCAAGTGCAGACCTCAGCTGATGCATCCCAGGACCGGGGCTCCCAGGAAGAGCCTCTGTCTTTTCAGCTGAGACAGCTGGCAATGAAGTAGATGATTACTGGTGTCCCTAAGAGGAGCCTGAAAACAAAGCCAACACAGAGGAAAGCAGAGGCAAGAGGAGGAGAAGGACTATGTCTCAGTGCCCTTGTTGAAGTCCTGGATGAGTCTTTCTTTTTTTTTTTTTTTTTGAGACGGAGTCTAGCTCTGTCGCCCAGGCTGGAGTGCAGTGGTGCAATCTTGGCTCACTGCAACCTCTGCCTCCCAGGTGTCAGGCCTCTGAGCCCAAGCCAAGCCATCGCATCCCCTGTGACTTGCATGTATACGCCCAGATGGCCTGAAATGACTGAAGAATCACAAAAGAAGTGAATATGCCCTGCCCCACCTTGACTGATGACATTCCACCACAAAAGAAGTGTAAATGGCCGGTCCTTGCCTTAAGTGATGACATTACCTTGTGAAAGTCCTTTTCCTAGCTCATCCTGGCTCAAAAATTACCCCCACTGAGCACTTTGCGACCCCCACTCCTGCCCGCCAGAGAACAAACCCCCTTTGACTGTAATTTTCCTTTACCTACCCAAATCCTATAAAACGGCCCCACCCCTATCTCCCTTCCCTGACTCTCTTTTCGGACTCAGCCCGCCTGCACCCAGGTGAAATAAACAGCCATGTTGCTCACACAAAGCCTGTTTGGTGGTCTCTTCACACGGACGTGCATGAAGTTTGGTGTCGTGACTCGGATCGGGGGACCTCCCTTGGGAGATCAATCCCCCGTCCTCCTGCTCTTTGCTCCGTGAGAAAGATCCACCTACGACCTCAGGTCCTCAGACCGACCAACCCAAGAAACATCTCACCAATTTCAAATCCGGTGAGCGGCCTCTTTTTACTCTCTTCTCCAACCTCCCTCACTATCCCTCAACCTCTTTCTCCTTTCAATCTTGGCACCATACTTCAATCTCTCCCTTCTCTTAATTTCAATTCCTTTCATTTTCTGGTAGAGACAAAGGAGACACGTTTTATCCGTGGACGCAAAACTCCGGCGCCGGTCACGGACTGGGAAGGCAGCCTTCCCTTGGTGTTTAATCATTTCAGGGACGCCTCTCTGATTATACACCCACGTTTCAAGGGTGTCAGACCATGCAGGGACGCCTGCCTTGGTCCTTCACCCTTAGCGGCAAGTCCCACTTTTCTGGGGAAGGTGCAAGTACCCCAACCCCTTCTCTCCTTGTCTCTACCCCTTCTCTGCCTTTCCGGGGACAGGACAAGTACCCCAACCCCTTCTCTCCTTGTCTCTACCCCTTCTCTGCCTTTCCGGGGACAGGACAAGTACCCCAACCCCTTCTCTCCTTGTCTCTACCCCTTCTCTGCTTTTCTGGGGAAAGGGCAAGCACCCCAACCCCTTCTCTCCTTGTCTCTACCCCTTCTCTGCCTTTCCTGGGGCAGGGGCAAGTACCCCTCAACCCCTTCTCCTTCACCCTTAATGGCAAGTCCCGCTTTTCTAGGGGGCAAGAACCCCCAAACCCCTTCCCTCCGTGTCTCTATGCTCTCTTTTCTCTGGGCTTGCCTCCTTCACTATGGGTAAGCTTCCACCTTCCATTCCTCCTTCTTCTCCCTTAGCCTGTGTTCTCAAAAACTTAAAACCTCTTCAACTCACACCTGACCTAAAACCTAAATGCCTTATTTTCTTCTGCAATGCTGCTTGACCCCAATACAAACTTGACAGTAGTTCCAAATAGCCAGAAAATGGCACTTCCAATTTTTCCATCCTACAAGATCTAAATAATTCTTGTCGTAAAATGGGCAAATGGTCTGAGGTGCCTGACGTCCAGGCATTCTTTTACACATCAGTCTAAAAGTCTCTGTGCCCAGTGCAACTCGTCCCAAATCTTCCTTCTTTCCCTCCCTCCTGTCCCCTCAGTCCCAACC
This sequence comes from Homo sapiens, assembly GCF_000001405.40. Taxonomy (NCBI): domain Eukaryota; kingdom Metazoa; phylum Chordata; class Mammalia; order Primates; family Hominidae; genus Homo; species Homo sapiens. The sequence continues at coordinate 24,502,632 of NC_000004.12, forward strand.
CCAAGCGTCACTGAGTCTTTCTAATCTTCCTTTTCTACAGACCCATCTGACCTCTCCCTTCCTCCCCAGCCCAAGCTAGGTCCCAATTCCTCCTCAGCCTCTGCTCCTCCACCCTGTAATCTTTTTATCACCTCCCCTCCTCACACCTGGTCCGACTTACAGTTTCGTTCCGTGACTAGCCCTCCCCCTCCTGCCCAGCAATTTACTCTTAAAAAGGTGGCTGGAGCCAAAGGCATAGTCAAGGTTAATGCTCCTTTTCCTTTATCCCAAATCAGATAGCGTTTAGGTTCTTTTTCATCAAATATAAAAACCCAGCCCAGTTCATGGCTCGTTCCCCAGCAACCCTGAGACGTTTTACAGCCCTAGACCCTAAAAGGTCAAAAGGCCATCTTATTCTCAATATACATTTTATTTCCCAATCTGCTCCCGACATTAAATAAAACTCCAAAAATTAAATTCTGGCCCTCAAACCCCACAACAGGATTTAATTAACCTCGCCTTCAAGGTGTACAATAATAGAAAAAGTTGCAATTCCTTGCCTCCACTGTGAGACAAACGCCAGCCACATCTCCAGCACACAAGAAATTCCAAACACCTGAACCGCAGGGGCCAGGCGTTCCTCTAGAACCTCCTCCCACAGGAGCTTGCTACAAGTGCCAGAAATCTGACCACCAAGCCAAGGAATGCCTGCAGCCCAGGATTCCTCCTAAGCCGTGTCCCATCTGTGCGGGACGCCACTGGAAATTGGACTGTTCAACTCACCTGGCAGCCACTCCCAGAGCCCCTGGAACTCTGGCCCAAAGCTGTCTGACTGACTCCTTCCCAGATCTTCTCGGCTTAGCGGCTGAAGACTGACGCTGCCCGATCGCGTCGGAAGCCCCGTAGACCATCACGGATGCCGAGCTTTGGGTAACTCTCACAGTGGAAGGTAAGTCCGTCCCCTTCTTAATCAATACGGAGGCTACCCACTCCATGTTACCTTCTTTTCAAGGGCCTGTTTCCCTTGCCTCCATAACTGTTGTGGGTATTGACGGCCAGGCTTCTAAACCTCTTAAAACTCCCCAACTCTGGTGCCAACTTAGACAATACTCTTTTAAGCACTCCTTTTTAGTTATCCCCACCTGCCCAGTTCCCTTATTAGGCTGAGACACTTTAACTAAATTATCTGCTTCCCTGACTACTCCTGGACTACAGCTATATCTCATTGCCGCCCTTCTTCCCAATCCAAAGCCTCCTTTGCGTCCTCCTCTTGTATCCCCCCACCTTAACCCACAAGTATAAGATACCTCTACTCCCTCCTTGGTGACCGATCATGCACCCCTTACCATCTCATTAAAACCTAATCACCCTTACCCCACTCAACGCCAATATCCCATCCCGCAGCACGCTTTAAAAAGATTAAAGCCTGTTATCACTCGCCTGCTACAGCATGGCCTTTTAAAACCTATAAACTCTCCTTACAATTCCCCCATTTTACCTGTCCTAAAACCAGACAAGCCTTACAATTTAGTTCAGGATCTGCGCCTTATCAACCAAATTGTTTTGCCTATCCACCCCATGGTGCCAAACCCATATACTCTCCTATCCTCAATACCTGCCTCTACAACCCATTATTCTGTTCTAGATCTCAAACATGCTTTCTTTACTATTCCTTTGCACCCTTAATCCCAGCCTCTCTTCGCTTTCACTTGGACTGACCCTGACACCCATCAAGCTCAGCAAATTACCTAGGCTGTACTGCTGCAAAGCTTCACAGACAGCCCCCATTACTTCAGTCAAGCCCAAATTTCTTCCTCATCTGTTACCTATCTCGGCATAATTCTCATAAAAACACACATGCTCTCCCTGCCAATCGTGTCCGACTGATCTCTCAAACCCAAGCACCTTCTAGAAAACAACTCCTTTCCTTCCTAGGCATGGTTAGCGCAGTCAGAATTCTTACACAAGAGCCAGGACCACACCATGTAGCCTTTCTGTCCAAACAGCTTGACCTTACTGTTTTAGCCTAGCCCTCATGTCTGCGTGCAGTGGCTGCCGCTGCTTTGATGATTTTAGAGGCCCTCAAAATCACAAACTGTGCTCAACTCACTCTCTACAGTTCTCATAACTTCCAAAATCTATTTTCTTCCTCATACCTGATGCATATACTTTCTGCTTCCCGGCTCCTTCAGCTGTACTCTGTTGAGTCTCCCACAATTACCGTTGTTCCTGGCCCAGACTTCAATCCGGCCTCCCACATTATTCCTGATACCACACCTGACCCCCATGACTGTATCTCTCTGATCCACCTGACATTCACCCCATTTCCCCAAATTTCCTTCTTTCCTGTTCCTCACCCTGATCACGCTTGATTTATTGATGGCGGTTCCACCAGGCCTAATCGCCACACACTAGCAAAGGCAGGTTATGCTATAGTACAAGGCACTAGCCCGCCTCTTAGAACCTCTCATTTCCTTTCCATTGTGGAAATCTATCTTAAAGGAAATAGCTTCTCAGTGTTCCATCTGCTATTCTACTACTCCTCAGGGATTATTCAGGCCCCCTCCCTTCCCTACACATCAAGCTGGAGGATTTGCCCCACCCAGGACTGGCAAATTAGCTTTACTCAACATGCCCTGAGTCAGATAACTAAAATACCTCTTAGTCTGGAGGTATTTTAGTTACTGGATAGGTACTGGCCTTTCCTACAGGGTCTGAGAAGGCCACCGCAGTCATTTCTTCCCTTCTGTCAGACATAATTCCTCAGTTTAGCCTTCCCACCTCAATACAGTCTGATAACAGATGAGCCTTTATTAGTCAAATCAGCCAAGCAGTTTTTCAGGCTCTTAGTATTCAGTGAAACCTTTATATCCCTTACGGTCCTCTGTCTTCAAGAAAAGTAGAATGGACTAAAGGTCTTTTAAAAACACACCTCACCAAGCTCAGCCACCAACTTTAAAAGGACTGGACGATATTTTTACCACTTTCCCTTCTCAGAATTCAGGATTGTCCTCAGAATGCTACAGGTTACAGCCCATTTGAGCTCCTGTATGGACACTCCTTTTTATTAGGCCCCAGTCTCATTCCAGACACCAGACCAACTTAGACTGTGCCCCAAAAAACTTGTCGTCCCTACTATCTTCTGTCTACTCATACTCCTATTCACCGTTCTCAACTACTCATACATGCCCTGCTCTTGTTTACACTGCTGGTTTACACTGTTTTTCCAAGCCATCACAACTGATATCTCCTGGTGCTATCCCCAAACTGCCACTCTTAACTCTTGAAGTAAATAAATAATCTTTGCTGGCAGCACTATGCTGAATCTCCTTAGGCACTCTCTAATCAGATATCCTGAGTCATCCCAATTCTTAGACCTTTTATACCTGTTTTTCTCCTTCTGTTATTCCATTTAGTTTCTCAATTCATCCAAAACCGTATCCAGGCCATCTCCAATCATTCTATACGACAAATGTTTCTTCTAACATCCCCACAATATCACCCCTTACCACAAGATCTCCCTTCAGCTTAATCTCTCCCACTCTAGGTTCCCACACCGCCCCTAATCCCACTTGAAGCAGCCCTGAGAAACATCGCCCATTCTCTCTCCATACCACCCCCAAAAATTTTCGCCACCCCAACACTTCAACACTATTTTTATTTTTCTTATTAATATAAGAAGGCAGGAATGTCAGGCCTCTGAGCCCAAGCCAAGCCATCGCATCCCCTGTGACTTGCACGTATATGCCCAGATGGCCTGAAATAACTGAAGAATCACAAAAGAAGTGAATATGCCCTGCCCCACCTTAACTGATGACATTCCACCACAAAAGAAGTGTAAATGACCGGTCCTTGCCTCAAGTGATGACATTACCTTGTGAAAGTCCTTTTCCTGGCTCATCCTGGCTCAAAAAGCACCCCCACTGAGCACCTTGCCACCCCCACTCCTGCCCGCCAGAGAACAAACCCCCTTTGACTGTAATTTTCCTTTACCTTCCCAAATCCTATAAAATGGCCCCACCCTTATCTCCCTTCGCTGACTCTCTTTTCAGGCTCAGCCGGCCTGCACTCAGGTGAAATAAACAGCCATGTTGCTCACACAAAGCCTGTTTGGTGGGCTCTTCACACGGACGCGCATGAAGCCAGGTTCAAGTGTTTCTCCTGTCTCAGCCTCCCGAGTAGTTGGGATTACAGGTGCCGGCCACCACACCCAGCTAATTTTTGTATTTTTAGTAGAGATGGGTTTTCACCATGTTGGCCAGGCTTGTCTCGAACTCCTGACCTCTTGATCCGCCCACCTCGACCTCCCAAAGTGCTGGGATTAAAAGCGTGAGCCACCGCGCCCAGCCTGATGAGTCTTGCCTGAAGCCAATTTACCCCCGAACTTTTCTGCTATATAAATCAATGCATTCCCATTTTTGCATAACCCTATTTTGTGCTGGGTTTTCTGTTGTTCAGAACTAAAGATTTTCTTTTTTTCTGTTTTTGGCAGGGTCTCATTCTGTCACCCAGGCTGGAGTGCAATGGCGTGATCACAGCTCACTATTAGGCATCGGGTCCAAAACCGTAGGTTCTAAGGGAGATTAAAAAGTCTAAGTCATGGTCACTATGAATTTATAGTGTTCGGGAGTGACACGTCCACCCCACCCACTCTGATTCTACCAAAAGTTGAACAATTTTAGAATTACCACAGGCAGTGAATAGGTGCCAGTTTGAAGAGGGATGCTCACTTCACTGCTGAGGAAGGGAAGGAGGGGTTTCGGAGGATGGGTAAGATGCCACTGAAGGCTGAGGAGGACTGAGGCAGGCAGAGGAAAGAGAGGTGGCTTGCTGGAGGTGGGAGTGGCATGGGCAGATGCTCAGAGGCCTGGGTAGCTTCCATGGAGTGAACCATTTAGTGAAGGAGCCGCGGGCTGCTTCTCAATCTGGGTTCCCCCGGAAGCGGACCCACAGTCAAGGATTCAGTGCAGGTATTTAACTTGAGATGATCCCTGGAAGTCCCGGTAGGGAAGTGTGGACAGGGAAGGGAAGAAAGCCAATAAAAGGGACTTTATCAAGCCCATTCCTGGGAAGGCAACTGGAGCTCTATCCTGCTGGAGGACCCTGTGTGGATCGTGCCTGAAAATCGTCCCAACCTGAAAGGGAGGAGGCTACACAACCTTGTCTCCTCACTGACTCAAGGCTACTCCTGGTGCCATTTACCCTTCCAGCCTGCCCACTGCTGGAAAACCAGGAAGGGCCCCAGGCAGCCAGGCTGAAGTGTTAGCCACACAGTGGGTGCAACTGTCACCAATTGCCGGAAGGCCTCTGCATGGAGCCAAGAGAGCAAGGATTTCTCCATCCACAGCAGTATCCCCAAAACCCATCAAGTCTCAGCCTGGGGAGTTTGGGGCCAGGCAGGGGAATGGAGAGGGAACACCCAGGAGTGGGGACTTTTTTTTTTTTTAACCCTGGAGCCCAGGAATGTTTCAACAGTCATGCTCCAAAGGCAAGGAGTGAATCCAGAGAATCGCCCAACTCATTCCCAGCTCTGCTGACCTCAGTTGGTGAATTAGGTTTCAGTGCTGCCCCCAAATGACTCTGCTCCTCCTGGGAAGCCCAGGTGAGCCATTCGCTCAGAGCCATCGGGTTCACCTTTGCCCTCGGCCCAGCACAGTAGCTCAAATCCCTACAATTATGGTTTTAAAAAAGCTGTTGGCCTAGGACCAGGCACTTTTGTTTTTCTCATTTGCAGTGCAAAATAAATGCCGATTTCTTGTTGACAACCTGCGGTGCACTTGAAGCAGTCCGTGATTTAAGCACTGTCCTCGTTTTATGGAAAAGGATTCGAGGAAGAAATAGACAAACCACATGAAGAATATTGGTGAAGTGGGAATATTTATTCACTAAGGAAGCCCTTAAGTTAGAGGGTTCTTACCACAAGCAAGAACTTTCCTTTCCTCAATCTTTCAACAGGTGAAGGGAGCAAAACAAGGCCCTGGCTTTCATATATAAATAAAGATATAGACTTTTCTATGAAGAAAAGTAAAGCAAAGCAGGGCAAGGGGGAACCCTGTGACAGGGTGTGTTTTATTTGAAGTAGGCCTCTCTGAGCACATGGCATCTGACTAGAGACACCCAAGAAGGTGAAAGAGGTGTGAATGGAGGCCATGCGGCTACCTGGGGAGAAGGGTATTCTAGAAAGAGGGAAGCAGAAGGCATTACCATAATGATGTATAGCTTTTGCATAAACATGTGATACTGGTTGCTTTAGTTACCTACGGCTGCTGTAACAAATTACTACAAACTCATTGGCTTAAAATGCCACAAACTTACAAGCTTACATTTCTGGAGGTCAACGGTCTAAAGTGGGTCTTCCAGGCCAAAATCAAGGTGTCAATAGATCTGCATTCCTTCCATAGGTTCTTGGGGAGAACCTGTCCTCTCACCTTTTCCAGCTTCCAGAAGTCGCCGGCATTTCTTGGCTCATGGCCCCTTCCTGGCATCACTCTAACCTCTGCTGTCATCATACCTCCTACTTGGTGACCCTCCTGCTCCCTCTTGTAAAGATCCTATGATGACATTTGTCCTACTGTAAAATCTAGAACAACCTTCCCATTTTAAGATCCTTTATCTAACCATATCTGCAAAGTCCTTTTTGGAACAGAAGGTAATATATTCAAAGGTTCCTGGGATTAGGATGTGTACCACTTTGGGGGGCCATTATTCAGCCTACCACACCAGTGTTCGGCTAACATTTGGCTAATCAGAATGCTGGGACCTTCAGTCTTCAGGGCCTGCTGGCCTGGGGTGGGTGAACAGGAAAGGACCCAGAAGCAGGTGACTGGCATGTGAAGCTCTGGGGAGGCTGGGCACAGATAATCAGAGTGAGGTTCAGGCAGCTTTGGTCCATTGGGGGCCTATAGGTGGGGCTCCCAAAGGCAGGATGGCCACAGATGTCTCTCCAGGTGAGAAGCCAGGCATGAAGGCAGAGGAACAAGCTAAGTGACAGCATGAGGAAATAATCGGCCGGATCCAGACAACTGAGAAAACCTGAATATGGATATTGCAGAATTGTCCATTTTATTAGTTGGCATAATGGCATAAGTGATGTTTTTTTAAAAAAAAAAAATCCTGATTAGGCAGAGCTGCAAACTAACTTTAGAGTGAGATAGCATTTGGTCTGGAATTGGCTTTAAAACATTCCACTGACAACCACTAAAAAAAAAAAAAATGCGGGGGAATAGCTGAAACAAGGTTGGCGAAATGTTAACAGTTGATGCAGGGGGTGGATACACGGGAGTTCATTATAAAACATCTATATATTTATGCATGTTTGAAAAATCTCATTAAAAAACCTGAAGTCTTTTGGGAAGAAGCAAATGAGGGTTAAGGGAAGAAATCTGGCTTTTGAATTAGAAAATGTATATGCGCATGATGACATGTTCAAACTCACCAGTAATCAAAAGAGATGCAAATTAAAACAAAGAGATATTAACTTGGCAAAAATGAGCAAGTAGAATAATACCAATTGCTGGCAGAGATGTAGGTGGACGTGTCCACGGGACAGGCATAGTGAAGAATATGGCCCTACTTGCTTGAATAAGCCCATTCTATGATCTGGCATATAGCACAGAGAGTCTCATAGGGAAAATGTGCAAGAATGGCTCACTGCAGCTTCATTTACTGCAGTGCAAAGCTGTGAGTCAGTCACCGGGAGGGTAGGCTGGGAAGATGTCGGGGTTGTACCTGCAAACAGTATGGAATAACCAGAAGCGACCAATTAAATGTCCCCATAGCAAGAATGGGCCTTAAGCCATCAAGCTGAGAGAAAAACAAACAAACAAAAATAAGCAACAAAATGATATCAAAAATGTAAATTCAAAATACAGCCCCACAAAACAACATATTCATTTGGAAGGACATACATAAACAAGAAAATTCACATGAAACACAGAGTTACCTGAAAGCAGAGATCAGCAAACTGTGACTCTCAGGTGAAATCCACCCTTAGCCTGTTTTTGTAACATTTTATTGGAACACCGCCATGCCCATTTGTTTATGTATTGTCAGAGACACATTACATGAACAAGCGATGATAATGTGTCATATACTAAAGGGTACATAGTATTCACTCAAACCTCTGCACCCGAGCTTTAAAAAAAGAAGGTAAAATTTAGGCTGAGATTCAATAACTAGGAGAGCCTTGGGAAGGCGCTTTTCCTGCTTGAGCTGCAGTCTTTACAGTCTTCACAATTACAAAAACAGGGTACCGTCCATCTCAGAGATAATATACCTGCAAGTGCCTTGTGAATTAGAATCACACTTTCAAATGCAAAGGTTTCTTATTATCAGGGTAACAAGGAAACAGCAATGGTTTCACAATGTGTTCTCCCAGCCTTCTAATAGAATGTCTTATCCATTAGTTCCTTGCCCACTTTCTATGGTGAAACTAATGGTAAGGAAGTAATTAGAAGGCAAAACAAAGACAAGGGAAACCGCAGACCAACAGGATCCACAAATGGGAAGCAAACCGGGGCAAGCTTGGAAATGCCACAGAGGAGCCACCAAGGGCAAATGGGAATGGGTTTTTCCATGAAGGTAAATGTGGAATGGGTCCGACCTTGTGCCCACTGCCCGTCAGCCCTCAGAAGAGGAAGCAGGCTTCATCAGGGTAATGTCACCTCATCACATCTGATAGAGGGATGGAAAAATGGGCGATTTCCTCTAACAGGATACAGCAAGCATAGCTGCCATGGCTTAGGTGTTGAGCAGGTACCAGGCATATGCCCAACTTCTCACAATTGTCTTATTTAATCATCAAAGTACCCTATGAGGTAGGTATTACTATTATTATCCCATCTTACAGATAATCATATTGAGGTATCAAATATTGTAATAGGAAGCATCAAAGATTAAGTAATTATCCCCAGGTAACCTGAGTGGGAAGTGGCAGAATCAGTAGAGTCAGCCCTACTCACAACCCTAAATGACAGGTATTACCATCACCAGTGAACAGAGGGAGAAACTGTCTCAGAGATGTGAAGTTACTCAGCTGGGAGTGTGGAGCCAGGGCCTGAATCAAAAACTGGCTGACTCCAATTGTCCTACCCTTTCACTACTGCATCATAATGCGTCCCTGAGCCCAAAGGATCATTTCCTAGAAAAGCCCCTTCACCTCTCCAAGCCCCGAGCCTTGTCATCCAGCACAGTATTCCTAGAAAGGAAATGCAGATTGGGTGCAGCTGGAGGCATCACTGTGTGGGTGCTTCGGCAGCTCTGTGTTTACATTCCCTTGGTAAAGACATCCAGCTCATTTCTGTTGGCTTATTTGAGGGAATGCTGTCTGCTGTAGCTAAGAAGCTGAAATTGAAAAGGGGAGGCGGCATGGAATGATGATGAGATTAGGTTTGGAGGAGGAAAACAGGATCGTAGGTCTGCCTGTGACAACTTGGGCAAGTCATTTCTCAAACCTTGTAAAGGTTGGGTTTGCTTCACTGAAAATGGAGACATCCTTTCCACTCCCACAATGATATATACTTCCCACTCATTTAAAAACAGGCCTCTTTTTTTTTTTTTTTTTTTTTGAGACAGGGTCTCTGTCGCCCAGGCTGGAGAGCAATGGCGTGATCTCTGCTCATTGCAACCTCCGCCTCCCAGGTTCAAATGATTCTCCTGTCTCAGCCTCTCCAATAGCTGGGATTACAGGCACCCGCCATCATGTCTGGCTACTTTTTCTATTTTTGTAGAGACGGGGTTTCACCGTGTTGGCCAGGCTGGTCTTGAACTCCTGACCTCAGGTGATACGCCCACCTTGGCCTCCCAAAGTGCTGGGATTACAGGCTTGAGCCACCGCACCCAGCCCAGACCTCTTAATAATTTATTGAATACTTGAACTTAGCTGGGGACTATGCTGGTTTTGCATACATGACATAATTTTATACTTAATAGAAATATAGGAAATAGATGGCTATCCCCATTTTACAGATGACAAAACTGAAAAAGGGTTAATTTCCTCAGTGGACCCAGGATTTGAATCCAACTCCGATACCAGAGCCCATTTTAGCCCAGTGGTTCTCAACCCTGGATTTGTATTAAAAGCAAATGAGGACTCATGAAAAAAATGCTGATGCTTGGGCCCCAGACTTGATTTAACTAATCTGAGGTGGGGGCTGAGTTAGGAACCACTGTTTTAACCACGTTACAAAGCAGCACCCTTAAAACTAGCAGTTCCTCTCTCATCTCATGTCCACGCACAGAAATGCACAAAAGGGAATACAGCTGTATAATAAACTAAGACGGCTTCATAATATGTGGCAAATTATATTCTTAAGCAATTAACTGTTGCTAACTCTCAGCTATTATATTAATTTATAATAAATGCAAATGAATATATTTGGCTTTGCAATTTTAAAAAAATCTGAATTTGAAAGGTGTAGCATTCTGATAATGCACATCACTTTAGAATGCTGGGTTTTTTTCTTTCTGTTTTTAGTGAAGACATAAATCAGGAAAAATCAATCAAGCAATAAAGAGCTCTGGTAAAACAGAGTCCAGCCAGCACTCCCACCAAAACAGGAGTAAGTTAACTTCCAAATTGCTAAGGATGGCCCACCGGCAGTTAGAGCTTTGTTAGGCTGAGGTTTACACCAGGGTGACTTTTTGAAAGGTCAAGTTACACCGGAGTGACCTGCACCTTCTCTCTTATACCCATAATAAGATGAATTAATCCTTAAATTGGGGAACTAAGCTTCTGCCAGTAGGTATTCCTAAAAATGTGTAGGTTTAAGCAGAAACTGGCACTGTATATTGAAGTACCATTTTGTGGCACTTAGTGCTTTATAATCTTCTCATCTTCTTACTGCCTAAGTGACCCGGGACAGTTAATATCTCTTAGCCTTACTTCATATATTTAATGCAATAGGAATAACACCCTGGGTTCTTCCTAGGGTTGCCATTAGAATTAAATGAGCTCATTGTGCCAGTAGGTCTAGCAGAATGCCAGAGAAGAGGCTCACTAAATATCAGATCTCCACCTTTTTCTAGTCATGCTTACGTTCGGTTAATGGAAATGGGGCTTGACTCAGACATACCCTTAAAGGATCTTGGTGCCATCTTCTTCTGCTAAGAGTTAAAAAGATTTCATTTTAAATACAATTCACAACTGTACCTTCACCATAAGCCTCATTGTATTCTCCCAGCCTTCTAATAGGTCTTATCCTTATTTCCTTGCCCATTCACTGGGGTTAGGTCAAATGGCACAAAACCACATGAGACCTGTGCATGTTGCCCATCAGACAGGATAGGCTAAGTTACACAGTAGTAACAAACAGCTCCAAATCTGAGTGGCTCCTACAACATCAATTGATTTCTTGCTCATCTCCATCTTGGGTCTGTTGGGAGCTTTGCTCTATGATGCCTCATGCTGGAACGTTGCCACAGCAGGGGGAGAGGGAGCACGGTGAAATGACATTGTGCTTGTACAGCTGCCACCCAGATGTGACCCCATCACTTCTGCTCAATCCTGTTGACCTAAGCAAGTCTCACCTGGCTATATGTAACTTCAAGGGGGCAGTGCAAACCTACCACATGCCTGAAATTAGAAATATTTGGAGAACAGCATTAATGACTACCACAGCGATCTTAGTTTACAAAGCATCTGTCACAATGATTACCCAACTTAATCCTCACAATTCCAAGATGGTAATTAATCATTAAATGTGATCATTTAATTATAAGGCATCAGCAAGCACCAACCAAAACAGAAAACCCAATATAAACAGTTCAGGCAACTCTGCCCACTAGTGAGTGAAAGTGTCTGGAGTGCATGAGATACGAGGTATGAATCTGCTACGTGCTCAAGCCTTATCCACCTCTCCAACCTCTCCATGTGTGTGTCATCTATGAGTGGGATTCTGCTTTTGATAAAGATATTTCTTTTTTTGTATGTGGCCTCTGAATGAAGGCCAACCAAGATTCTCAGCTCAAAAGCTGTAATCTTTCAATGTTGGAGGGGAAAAAAGGCCATTTTCCCCCTGCAAAGTAATCAAGCATGCTTCCCTGTCACACCACCTTCTTAGGGAGACTCAATTTGGACTATATCATGATTTCTGCCTTAAGGACTGACTTTAGAGTCTGCCCCTGGATGAGAGCTGAGACATCACTTCATCATTCTCTAAAAGATGAAGAAATGAACAAAGTTTCAGCAGTCAACAAGGACACTGAGCAAGGAAGTGGCTCAAAATTCCCATTTCTTTAAGGCAAGTCTCCTGTAAGGGAATAGCTTAGATGTGGCTCTCCCCATCCAGCTCAGTATTTCACCTACCTATTCCACAATGAAGATGAAAAGTGTGAAGCAGGAGGGTAGCAAATAGTCCTCACTTTTGTTAACCCCCTCAGGGAGGTTTTGGTTTCAAAGTCTGACCACTGGGTGTCAGGCTTCGGGGGAAAGAAAATAGAGATGGTTTATCAACCCCACTTAATTATGCCAGAGAATGCAGGTGAGATTTGCTAAAGGACAGAAAATCAGCTGGCTTAAGTCTGTCAATATGTCTGAAGAAGCTTACTAAACTTTCACTCATCTGACTACACCAATAAATATTTATCTTTTCTAAATCTGTACAAATAATTCATTAGACAGCACACAGCGATATTGACCTCAATCCTGTCCTTGATTTAAAGATTAAAAGGGAGTGGTCAACTTCTGTATCTAGCAATTCTGAAGACAGATAATCTGAAAGCGTCCCTGCAACAAAATACCTAGAAATGCATATAATGAATATGCTTAGGGAATAAATACTTTTTTTTTTTTTTTTTTTTTTTTTTTGAGACGGAGTCTCGCTCTGTCGCCCAGGCTGGAGTGCAGTGGCACGATCTCGGCTCACTGCAAGCTCCGCCTCCCGGGTTCACGCCATTCTCCTGCCTCAGCCTCGCGAGTAGCTGAGACTACAGGCGCCGGCCACCGCGCCCGGCTAATTTTTTTTTTTTTTTGTATTTTTAGTAGAGACGGGGTTTCACCGTGTTTGCCAGGATGGTCTCGATCTCCTGACCTCGTGATCCGCCTGCCTCGGCCTCCCAAAGTGCTGGGATTACAGGCGTGAGCCACCGCGCCTGGCATAAATACGTATTTTTAAATACACAGCTGAGTTTATTCTGGGATGGGAAGAAGGGACTGGAAAAATTCAAACAGTAAGAGTGATGTGACTGGGTATGCATTGGAGACAGGAAGAGGAGGAATGAGTCAAGTGCTGTAGAACTGAGATTTCTACATAAAGTCTGGGCCTTTAAAGGGACACAGGCATAGGACAATGAAGTTCTCTGCACTGGCTGCAGGTGGTGTAAGGTATACCGAGGAAAATAACCAGCTCTACAGATTAAGTTAATGGGCTCTGTGGACCTTTCCCATCCCTCTGCCTGGGGTTCACCGTTCTCACTAGTCCTAAACCTTGGGCAGGTTACATAACCTTATGGTACCCCGTTTGCCTTGGTTGTGGTATTGTGAAGAGCCGATAAACCTCGTGCATATTAAGTGCTAAGTGTACAAAAGCATGGAAGGGGCAAATCAAAAGTGGAAATATGTTTTTCTCCCAGAGATCAAGATTTTTCCTTAAGAAAGTCAAGATATGGTTATGCATTATCTGCCTATTTAATGAAAAATAAACATCTTTAGTTATAAAGGACCAGGATTTCATAGCCTTATCAAATGCTAATGAAATGAGAAAAAAAAGTTTAAAATTAGCAAAACGCTTAAAATTTCCTCCATAGTTATATCACTAAAATAATGGGGGGAAATGTTCTTTTGATAACTATCAAGTTTTATATCCTTTCCTTAATGCCACTGGCAGAGTTCAAAAACGGTTTTTATTTGGGGAAAGCAAGAAACCAAATAGGATTATAAAATACCACAGGTACAGCCGGGCGCGGTGGCTCACGCCTGTAATCCCAGCACTGTGGGAGGCTGAGGCAGGTGGATCACCTGAGGTCAGGAGTTCGAGACCAGCCTGGCCAACGTGGTGAAACCCTGTCTCTACTAAAAATACAAAAGTCAGCCAGGCATGGATGTGCATGCCCGTAGTGCCAGCTACTGGGGAGGCTGAGGCAGAATTACTCGAACCTGGGAGGCGGAGGTTGCAGTGAGCCGAGATCTTGCCACTGCACTCTAGCCTGGTGGACAGAGCGAGACTCTGTCTCAAACAAACAAACAAAACAAAACAAAACACAGGTACAGGATATACTCCATAGAGAGGAAATGCTCTCGCTTAGGATGAGACAAAATAACAAACTGAATGACCTTGAACAGAACTTGGTTATCTTTGGGTCTTGGTTTTCTTTGAGTATGAGGATTTGAAATCAATTACTTCTGGGGTCTCTTCCAGCACTTCCTGATTTTATGACAGTTATTCCAATTGCAAAAGAAACTAACTACCCATTTGGCCCTCCCATTCCACAAAAACAAAACACACAGTATCATTTCAAGAGTCAGAGTCAGATTCTTGTTTTGAATTTAAAGTGCTACATGACTGCTAAGGTTAAAACTCCTTTCTTTCAAAAATCAAAAAGGTTGAATCATCAGAGGATAAAACCCATCACCACTGCAAACCAAAGTGGATTTTCAACCTAGTAGAAAATGTGAATTGACAAAGCATGCAAAAATTAGCTCAAGTAGCTGCAACCTTCTTCTATAAGTATCCTGGTAAATGCTTAGGAGTTTAAGTGTGTATTGTTTATGCTGCAAGAAGCATATGAGGTTGAAAGCATGGATGTGTTATGCCCAGAAACTGGAATCTTAATTCAATAGGGAAAGAGTCTTCTTCAAGTAAAAATAACACAACTAAAAAATTACAAAGTCTTAATACGAACTGTTTAATTGTTATAACAAGATTTGAGAGGCAGGGGTAGGTAAGTAAGTCACCAACTGGCGATAAGTCACCAACTGTTAATATGTGTCTGCAAGTTTCTTGTTTTTCACAATCACTAGATTTACATACAATTATAGGTTATGGTTCTCCATGTACACATACAGTGAAAGACATTTTCCAAATACCTTTTGATGTAGAATGGAACCTGAGACAAAAAAATCACTTAAGAAATCAAATCTCATATAATGGAAATACTTTAACCACAGCATTCACACATTTGACTGTGGATTCCAAATGCTTATCTAAACAGAGGCAACGCAATTAAACTGCCTTCACTCAAAATGGTGTCAGAAGGCAACTACCCTATTTACTAGCCACTGATAAGTTATGACAACACTATTTCATAGCCTGTCACTATATTTCTTTTAACCCCCCAGCAGTAGGATTTAGGATTTCCTCAACACTAAGGGCTTATCTCAAATGCTTTAGTGCACGAACAGTAAAAAATCAGAGTTGCAATGCCACATTGAGAAACTAGATAATGACTTGGAAATAAAAGTGGGGGAAGTGATGAACTGCCACTACCTGTTTTTCTAAGTTTTCTATTTTCTAATACAGAGCAAAACTTTAAATGCTAACGACAAAAATAAATCTAACAGGCCTAGAAATTCTGAAGGTAACCCAGTGACAATAGAAAACTTTTAGATCACTATTAAGAGGTCTTTATATTGTTCATAAACAATAGGAAAATAAGACTGATACTGTTTATAATTACTAACTAGATAAAATTTGGCAAAAGACATCTAATATACTTTTTACAATGAAAATGATTTCTAAAAATGATTCCCTTGATCTCATACCTATAGAAAAACTATCAGTGATTACTTTTTAGTATGAAAATAATAAGCTAGTTACACAATTTAAATATTATTTTCTGACTTTTCTCTCTTCCTTATGAGACTGGGGAAAAAAGATGTTAGAGGAGAAAAATAACTGTTACATGCCAAATAGTTCAAAATCTTCCCCTGGAAACTGAAACAGGATCCTTAGAAAGTACATAATGTCCTGGAGTTTCCCTTGTAGACAAATACTTTGGTCATTTATTTGTAATCAGATACTGATTTTAGCAGATTACAGCACTTATAAACATTGTCACAGACCGCACAATGTCCATTCATAAATAAAGGAGGTTTATTCATGAAAAGGTTGTGATTCTTCTGAAAGCATCCAATACAACCTTTCTGGACATTTCCCTTTCAGTATTACCTGGCATGTAATCAGGAAAGGGAAACATTCAGGTAAGTTACAACCTCCAGTCATATTCACAGCAATATGCAATATGGACATTTACAGGGGGAATCCCTTTGCAGGTGACTTCAACTAGAAATCCCAAGAGTCACAGTAAATGTTTCAAAGTCCATATAAAGAAAGAAGCTTGGCCGGGCGCGGTGGCTCACGCCTGTAATCCCAGCACTTTGGGAGGCCGAGGTGGGTGGATCACTTGAGGTCAGGAGTTCAAGACAAGCCTGGCCAACATGGCGAAACCCCATCTCCACTAAAAATACAAAAATTAGCCGGATGTGATGGTGGGCGCCTGTAATCCCAGCTACTCGGGAGGCTGAGACAGGAGAAACACTTGTACCTGGGAGGCAGAGGTTGCAGTGAGCCAGATCGTGCCACTGCACTCCAGCCTGAGCAACAGAGCGAGATTCTGCCTCAAATAAATAAATAAATAAAAGTATTTGCTGAAAGAATGATATTGTATACCACAACCAGGTGCAAGGGACATAATGATATGGCTCCAACCCTTAAGAAACTCAAAGCCTAGCAGAGGAAAACAGCTTTAAATACCTGAACAGGTTCCAAGGACAGAGATAGAAAAAACAGTCTATCTTAATGATGGCTCCAAGTTATGGATAAAAGCAGTGTAGTGTAAATAAGCAGAAGAGAATGGGTGGTTCACCTTGCAAATACTTCTAATCCCCAAACCAAGCAAGTGACTTCTAGACTATGTTCACTTCAGACTAGTCATATCATTGCTCTACTTTAAAAACAATACGAAGAAATGATTGTACTCAAAACCTGTATTATATTAAGCAGCAAGCCACCAGTAAAAAGATCTTCCGGTCAGACCCTTGTAGCACTACTTAAGGAAAAGGAAGACCAGGAGTGCAGGAAAGTCCTCTTCCATGTCTGTTTTCTTGTCAACATTAAACCAGAATGAAAAATAATTAGACCCACCTTGTCCACGCAGGTGTGTAACTTCCTAAACTTAGGATGAAAATCACAATCTTAGAACCATGCACCTATCAAGGACATCAACCAAGCTTTACATATCCAAGCTCCCCTGGCACCCAGCTCAGGAAAAATAGCATCAAGGTTGAGGGAGCACTTAGCTAAGCAGAGTGGAATGCCAGCTCTGCAGATAAACAGCCATGTGACCTGGGGCCTCAGTTCTTCTGAAATAAGGAAATAATACAATCTACCCCAGATATCACAACTTAACTGTAAGGTTCAGTTCTAAGAGTTCCTGCAAATTATTATATAAGTTGTTACTGACTGCTTTCTTTCCTTCCACCATGTTGATCATTTTTCCTACTGTCTTCAGTCTGCCTTACTGCTGCTTGTTTAAAACAGTGACTGTCCAAGAGCCACCTGTACTGTTTAAAAGTTAGCTATACCAAAAGACACCAACTATTACATTTCTCCATGGTAATAAAACAAAAACGGGAAAATTTGCATCTCAAAAACTCTCCTCACCCTGACAAGCGACATAACTTTACCAAAGACGACATGAGTAGATCCTGATCAGTTACACATCACTTCAGGGAGAAACCGCTAAAGCAGCCGACACTTTTTGTAGAAAATCCTACATGTTTCTCTAAGGTTATTAAAATATTTCTGGAGAGGCAAGGAAAGCATACTCAGACATTTAACACTTAAGACAATACCTTAAAAGTTATCCATTCAGCCCTCCTTAAGTGTAAAAAGGGAAATAATAAGAAAAAAGAAAATGAGTTGTAAGCTGTATTTCATTAATATAATCTTGGGAAACAGTGATTCAACAAAACACCCAAATATAAAACTTTAAAATTTTTTAAGTAAATATCTTACAAAAAAGTCTTCAGCATGTTTTTGTGTAAGCAGAACTGAGACAGTACACTAAAAAGCAAATAATCTAAAATAATAACATACTCGTTATCACAAATCAGTCAGAGATGAAATTCTAATCATTTCTTTTATAATCTACTGCACAAGTTTTATCTATCTTCCTTAAAAATCAATGTATTTCCCTTCTTAAGAACTCAATACCAGCTGGGCATGGTGGCTCACGCCTGTAATCCCAACACTTAAGGTGGCTGAGGAGGGCAGACCACTTGAGGTTAGGAGTTCAAGACCAACCTGACCAACATGGTGAAACCCCATCTCTACTAAAAATACAAAAATTAGCTGGGCGTGGTGGCGGGTGCCTGTAATCCCAATTACTCGGTAGGCTGAGGCATGAGACTCGCTTGAACCTGTGAGGCAGAGGCTGCAGTGAGCCGAGATGGCACCACTGCACTCTAGCCTGAGAGACAGAGTGAGACCCTGTCTCCTATTAAAAAAAAAAAAAAAAAAAAAAAACTAGCTTCTCTGCTAAAGCTAACAGTGCTAGTGCCACAGTTGAAATATTTCCCAGCATCTTAGCAACTGTACTTTTTAATATAATCTAAAATAAAAAACACACACCTGTGTAATCATTAGAATGAATTTCTATCTATTCATGGTTTTAAGTAACTCAGTCCCTCAAACTGATAGCATGCCTTATTTTAATCTTACCTCAGATTTGGCTGAGCCAAATTTTCTAGTTTAAACTGCCTAACAATTCTTTACATAAGTTGCAAATCTATGAGCTGAAATGAAGAAACCTCTCAGCAAAGTCTTCATGTTTATTATTGAGTGTAGAGTATGTTCATCAATGCTACTAACCAAAAACCACAGAACATGACATACAGAAAATCCACTGGTTCTTGATGAGTTTATGGGTATAACTGCCACGCAAATCTAAACACACTGAACGCATTAAACCCTAAGTAATGATCTTTAATCATCTGCCCCACCTGATGATTCTTTTAAAGGGCAAGATCTTAAAGACTTTAGCACTTTTCTACATCCCTGCTACCCATCATCAACCAGGGGTAGCCTTCCACTTCAGTTCTCAGGCTAGCGTGAATTCATCATCAAAATTGTAAGATCTAAGTATGCCCATGATCTAAGGCATCTCTTTCACCATCTCTTGCTTACTCACAATCAAACTACTTTCAAAGTCTCATGCATTACTCCCTCTCTCAAGCCTGAACTTGATCCACCTCAGATTAACAGATACATCCCTCTGTGCCAAGATAAGAGAGACTAAATTTAAGCTGAAGTCCCTTGTAACTTTCCCTTCTATCTTCGTCCTGGTCTATGAAAATCTCTATTTTCAAGGCAACATCACCAAGTTTGACCTCAACTTCAGATCAAGTGTGGCCATAATCCCAGTCTCTCCCATGACACAGGTACAGGTTTTGCCTAAAATTTCAAGGTAGTCCATTAACTTGAAGTTTCTTTCCTCTTGGTCTCAATCCTGCCCATGAAAACTTTCCGTTAAAAGCAGTCTTTGCAAGCTTTCCCACTTCAAAACCCTTTCTCACCCAACAATGCCTACAGGTAGACTAAATGAAGGCATGCAAGGGGTTCTGGCAAACTGAAGAATACATGCCTACCTACAAAGCAGCTAATTAACAGTGTGTCAGGAGAAACTTCAGGTAGGCCCACCCTTGCCAGACTCAGGAATATTTTGAAAACTTTACGTGGATCTATTTTTACAGAAAGGTGCTCTATTTCTTTGAAACACTTCATGAGGATCACATCAGGGCAGGCTGCATCTGGGCCCTTTTGACTACCTGCTTGTATCCTCTACCTTAAACTTACATAAGCTGGCTAAAGACTAAATTACCAATTCCCATAGCTTTCAGGATTCACAATTCCCTTCCACTACACACCTCTCTGAAGCATGAAACTCCACTATCTAAATAAATTATTTTACTTTCTGGCTGCTCCTTCGCCCCTCCCCTTCTCTTATTAAAGGTTCTGTGCTTTTTAATCTTCACCATTTTTTTCTCTCTCAGCAGCAACTAGGATCTCAAACTGATCTGCAGCCTAGATTCACGATTGGCACCCCAAGCCATGCATCTCATATAGCCTACACAAGCTATCTCTGATGACTCTTCTGCTTTACACCACCACTTCATCTCTGACCCTTTCATTCTGATTCTTCTTTTCTGGTTCAATCTCATTACCTGGGTTATTGTGTGGTATTTTTTCTAAATGACTTCAGTGAACCCTCTTCCGACAATCTATCCTCTATATTGAACTCAGATGCACACCTAGCCTAACCTTCAAGTTCCTCCACAACTCAACCCCAACCTAAATTCATAGTCTCCTGTTTTTATCTAAATAAAGAGATCATGCTCCACTCAAACCAGACTGTTCTTTGCTGTCCTCTTAGCATACCACCAAAACTGACCCTGACCAAAAAGCACAAACCATTAAACCATTTAAGAAAACAAACAAAAACCAACCCAAAACCAAATACTGGACTTGATCAATATTTTAAAAAGTTCTACTCTTCGGGGTCAGGCGCGGTGGCTCCCTCCTGTAATCCCAGCACTTTGGGAGGCCGAGGTGGATGGATCACCTGAGGTCAGGAGTTCAAGACCAGCCTGACCAACATGGAGAAACCCTGTCTCTACTAAAAATACAAAATTAGCTGGGCGTGGTGGCGCATGCCTCTAATCCCAGCTACTCTGGAGGCTGAGGACTCAGGAGAATCAGTTGAACATGGGAGGTAGAGGTTGCGGTGAGCTGGGATCACACCATTGCACTCCAGCCTGGGCAACAAGAGCGAAACTCCGTCTCAAAAAAAAAAAGTTCTACTCTGCAACAGACACTCTTAAGCAAACAACAGTACAAGCTAATGGGTTAGAGAAACATTTGCAAAACACATTATCTCATAAAGAAGTTAGATCCAGTATACACAAAGAACTCTTAAACTCAATAATTAAAAAAACTAATTATAAAAAGGACAAAAGTTATGAGCAGTCACTTCACCTAAGAGATATAAATGGCAAATAGGGACATGAAAAGATATCCCAATATTCCACACCATTACTGATTAGTCATTAGAGAAATACAAACAAACCACGAGGTACAACACCTACTAAAATGACTAAAATTTAAAGTAAAATAGATACTATGAAATGTTGGCAAGGATACAGGGCAATCAAAACACCTATATGCTGATGGTGGGGGAGCAAAATGATACAGTATTTTGAAAAACTAGCAGTTTCTCACAAAATTTAACATATATTTATCACAACCCAGCAACCTTGATTCCTAGTTACTTACCCAATAGAAAAACTTACCCATGCCTATATAAAAATCTACATGCAAATAGCTTTACTCTTAACAGTCAAAAGCTGATTTTCTAACAAGTGGAAAACGCATAAACAAATATGGTACATATACAATGGAATACCACCCAGCAATAAAAAAAGAACTCACTGATATATGTGAAATAGATGACTCTTGAAAGGATTATGCCAAATGAGAGAATCTAGACACAAAACACTACGCACAGTATGATTCCAAGTAGCCAAACACTTGGAATAGGAGGAAGGGTATTAGCTACAGAGAGACATGGGGAACTTTTTAGGGTGATGAAAACGTTGCGTATTGATTGTGGTGACAATTACACAACTGTATACATTTGTCAAACTTTATCAAACTATATAGTTGATGTTAATTATACCTCAATAAAGCAGAACTTTAAAAACTGTCTCTGAACCATGACTCGTGCTCTGAAATGCTGTTAATCATCTAAGAAATCCTTATAGCCCATTTTTTAGGGACCACTAAAAATGCACAAGACCAGAAAACCACCTCATCATGTTCTCTAATATTAAAGAAACTGCAAAATTCAAATTAATGTTTACATGCAATCATTTACTAAAATCTGTCAACTTCATTTTTAAATGTAACATTGATAAAAACTGCGTTTGAAATAATGTGGTTTCATACTAGAAGAATTCTGAGACTGTTAGAAAACATTTAAAATTAAGATATTCCTATCCTGCCTTTAATTTTTTTAAATGTCATTAATGAGCTATGGACATATTTGAACATGTGAGCTATGGATATATTTGAACATGTGGGGTGAAGTCTCCGAAGATTAACACGACCCAAGGTCTGTGAAGGTCCCTTCTCAGCCCTGAGCCACAGAGATTAACATTCTCAAGTAATAATTACGTGCCTTAAATTTATACTAAGATTAATATGAAACAAAAGTATGCTGTGGTTGCTTGAAAGGTTAATGTAATCTGAAATTGTAGTAACAGAAGTGATGGTAGGCCTGGTCCTTTGGGAAATAGCAAGTTCAACTGCAGTCTGTCCAGCTTAGACCATAGTACTGACTGCAATCCACAGAGTATTTGGCAGATGTTAACCAGGAATGTACAGAATAGCTGGAAACCATGTTAAAGACAAATGTTGACAGGAAAGAAAACAAACAAACAAACAAAACCAGGGTATTCAGTCTAAATTAAAAATAAGGGAAGATGACAGTTAACTCCAAATATCTAAATGGCCATCAAGTAGCAGAATGGCCTTGTTTAATTATGTTCTAGAAGGAAAAACTGGAATCAGGTGTTACACAGAAAGGGCTTTAGCTTAGCATTTCTAAGAGCTATTAGGCAGCCTTCAAGGGTAATGAACTGTTTTGCTTGATGTATCTGGTTAGGGAGGATAGCCATTAAAATTACTTCTAAGTATATGCGAGTACCTTATAAACCTAAAATTCTAGAATTAAGTCATATGCCGTATAAAAAACTTGAGTATAGAATGCTTTTGGATTCTAGCTAAATTGGTTTATTGTAGGGCATCTTTTGTCCCATTTCTCACAAGTTGTGTTAATTTCCTGACATTTGCAGGGTCAATGGTTCTACTTACTGATGGCTTTCTTTCCTTATACCATAATGCAACAAGCAGTTCACCTATTCCAAGTTGAGAGATAAGGAAGGTGACCTCTTCAGGTAATCTCCAAAAAACTTTTTAATTTTCTTGTTGTATAGCACAAATAAATTATTTGATAGTCATAGCTCTATGTGAACAAAGGAAACTAACAACTTTGCTGTTCAGCTGCCAAATTTGTAAGATAAGGAGGTTGAGAGAAGACCATTTTTAAAAGCCACAACTTTGTCAATAACATCAATGGTAAGAATCTTCAGCTTTAGGCTGAGCAAGGTGGCTCACGCCTGTAATCCCAGGACTTTGGGAGGCCGAGACGGGCGGATCACGAGGTCAGGAGATCGAGACCATCTTTGCTAACATGGTGAAACCCCGTCTCTACTAAAAATACAAAAAAATTAGCCAGGCGTGGTGGTGGGTGCCTGTAGTCCCAGCTAACTCGGGAGGCTGAGGCAGGAGAATGGCGTGAGCCCAGGAGGCAGAGCTTGCAGTGAGCCGAGTTTGCACCACTGCACTCCAGCCTGGGCAGCAGAGCGAGATTCCGTCTTTAAAAAAGAAAAAAAAAAAAAAAAGAATTTTCAGCTTTGGTCAGATGTAGGCAGGCTAGAACAACTGGAGATGGTGGGGGATAGACATCATGATAAAAACTCAACTTGCTCTTTCTATGTGGCCATTCTCAATGCACACCCATGATTCCTAGAAGCTCTGCCAAATACCAAACTTTATTCTAGATATCTGAAAACTCTAACACGTAACAGTTTCTCTGTAAGAAAACCTAATGGTCTAACTTCACATTTTACACAGCCCAAGATTAAATAATACGTTACACCACTCTGAGACCTACTTAAAATTGGATGGTCAGATTATAAAGATACACAACAACTTACAAACTACACTTGCAGCTTAAATTAACAAGCAAAATATTCCTCTGGTGAGAGCTGCCATTTCAGTGAGAACAGTCTGACCAAGTACTTAGACTTTTTCAACATAACTTTAAGACATTCTGGCAATGTTGCCAATGCTTAATGTTGCATGAATATCTAACCAATATTTAAATGTAACCTGAAGTATTATTCCACCATGTAAATTATTCCATGGGAACAAAATGAGGCACTTATAGAAGGCACATTAACTTTTTCAAGCCACTAGGCATCATTTAGTAACACCTACCTACACTAAAAAGCATACTAGTTAGCTTCAAAGAGTTAACTTGCCCAACTCCCTAAGTCACATGCTAGTTACCAAGTATATTTAAATGCCAGGCACACACCTATATATTTCCTTTAACACTTAAAAACTTATAAAGGTAGGAGGGGAAGAAGAGGGAAGTCCAGACTAATGAGTACAGTATTTAGTCTTCATATGAAAATAACTGATTAAAAAACATTTTATGGGCCACATAAAACACCTCAATTTTCATTCCAAAATGAATGTAGACAAGTTTTCAACTTGTCTACTGCCTGTCATAGAAAATGGAAGGTCAAATGTACATTTTAACACACTATACAAATTATTTTGTATACTGCATAAAACTTCCATCACTAAGAATTTTGTTAAACTGAGATCTAAAATATGCTTTCCTCTTACCTAATACTAATAAACGTGTTTGAGAAGCTAGAAGTATAATAAAAACATCTGACAAAAATGTAGTTAATAAATTATGAGCCTTATGAAAGGAACTCTAAGAAAGACAAGTAGAGAGCTCTCCTTTCATTATTCTCTCTTTTGGGGTCCAGTTTCAAATGATCACTACACACATTTTACCCCTTTTAGATCGATCACATCCTGATTAACCTAACAAAGCGCTAAGCCATGCTCTTAAAAATACTGCTTTAACAGCTACTTTTCCTAAGGAGTACTCCTGGTAGAAAGATACTAAATATGTAGTAACAGTATAATTATAATAATAAAAAAGCTCCACACTTGAAAAACAACTATACTTAGAGACTAGAACAAAGATACCAAAGGGCTTTGGCCAAAATTAGTATAAATAGACTTTATTGAAGTCAGTGCCTCTGTACTGAGACAGAAGATTGTGTCTACATAAGCACAAGTTGTAACATTTCACAACTTCTAAAAGGAATGTCAACAATTACAACGATCATGCATACCATGGTCGATAATCACATTTTAGAAGCATTTTCAACCATTTCTAAAGAAATGCTTATAACATTGTTATATATAGAACTACTTTCAATAAACTGCAAAACATTGATCGACTTTTCCAGTATGAGCTACAGTGTCAACACAAAAGGGAGGCATAAATGTTTAATTTATGAAATCAGAATGGAATATTTACTGTAAAGAAAAATTAAAAAGCTTTCAAATAAAGGCCATTATCGAACCAACGTGAAGAGCACAACTCGAACTTTTGAGTTCATTCATCTTTTAAAGCTGTCCTCTCAATAACTTCAGTTCTAAGCACTGAATTCAGTACTGTGAATATTCCTTGGATTGAAGTTTGGCAATGATGCGGTCCAACTGTCTCTTTGCTTCACACTGTGGGAAATTGCTCATGTCATAATATTGAGGGGCAATTTTCACCAACCTGTTTAGAAGTGGGCAGAAAAATTTCCAAATTAACATTTAATTGAAGTACTGGAGTTGTTAATAGGATAGGCATTATTCATTAATATACTGATGAACCAAGGCAAATCTATGAATTCAAGTCTCAGAAAAATACAAATAACTAATCCTTACAAATAGCACTTTTAGAAATGTGTTAAGTATTTTATTTAGTAAGATGTGAATTTTCTGATGTTGGACTTACCATAAACTTAATAACAAACCCCTCAAGATACATTAATGTAAAGATAACAGATAAAGTCACTGATTTCTTTACTCTGGCACACTATTAATTTGCCACTCCAAGGATATAGTAATATATAACAGGTTCTGTGTAGGAAACATCGTGGTATTCAAATGATTGGATCTTTTCATTTTCAATGTTTTAATAACTGTAACTCTATACCCCCAAAATACACTTGACTGAAATCTTTTATAAAGTTTAGCTATATAATTTTTTTCTCAACAAAGCGTTTAAGATAAAATGGTAATGTCCTACACAATTTAAGTGTCAAAAGTCCCAAATCCGTATAAGAAAGCAGCTGCACAATATAAAGCGGTGACAGCACCTAGAATATGTGCCTTCAGTCCCACTACTCTTGGCTGACATTTCCTGTCATAGGTTATAGAATAGATTCTGGCATAAATAAAACAAAAAACCATGAAGGTGAGGGTTATTTTGCTTAAAATAAAACAATCCGTTCTTACTCTACATTTTGTAGAAGCTAGTATGTTAAAACACAAAGAGCTATCATTTTTATGCCTGCACAGTTCCTAAAAACCAATATATAAATAATAAATAGTTGAGGGCTAATTGTAATGGGACAAAAAAAATGTTAAAAAACAAAACAAAACAAAAAAAAACAGATTTCTGCAAGCAAGAAACAGTACTGACTTGAGAATCACAACAGCAAGAGAATGGCTCCAAAGAAACTCTAAAAATTAAAAAAATTAAAAAAAAACCCTTTTTTAAAAGTATGTCTGAGAGACAGGGTCTCACTGTCACCCAGGCTGGAGTACAGTGGCATGATCATAGCTCACTGCAACCTCAAACTCCTGGGCTCAAGCAATCCTCCTGCCCAGCTTCCCCAGTAGCTGGGACTATAGACGTGCAGCACCACCATGCCCAGCTAATTTTTGTACACACCTATATATCTTTTAGTAGAGATGGATTCTGGCTATATTGCACAGGCTGGTCTTGAACCCCTGGCTTCAAGTGATCCTCCCATCCTGGCCTCCCAGAGTCCTGGGATTACAGGTGTGAGCCACCATGCCCAGCCCCTGAAGAAACTTTTCATGCTATTCAAATGTAACTTCACATTTGGCTTCAAATCCTGCCCATAAATATCAACAATCCCACTGTCCACTTAACAAAGGAAGGGTGTGAAAGATTAATCACACCATCCAGTCAATTCCCTCATACCTACACACTGAAATATAAATTCTCAATGAGTGAATGCAAGGCCATGACTCTAGCAACAGTCAGGTTCCATTTTGAGCAAAGTACTAACAAAAAACTGTTAGAACAAAAGGTGTACTTACCATTCTGGCTTGATATCTGTACATGTCCGGATGTAATTCTTTGTTGTTAGAACAAACTCATTATAAAGCACCCATTCAGGTTTGTGGTCAAGAACAGTAGAGGGATGCAACTGAACCACCTGGTTATCTTTCACAGTTAAGTAATGCCCTGTTCGTTCTAAATGTGCCACCTGAAACCAAAACCCAGTATATTATTAATACAATGCTTCTGACTTGCTAGTTGTAAAGCTACCTACATAATTAGGAAGAGGCAGGCCTCCCTTTTACTTTTCATTCTATGGCTATACTTATTTATCACTGTCTGATAAAAGCAGAGATAAGCAAACTGCTGCCTGTGGGCCAAATCCAACTCATAGCCTCTATTTGTAAGGTCTGTGAATCCAAAATGGTTTATTTATCTTTAATTAGAAAGAAAAAATATCATACAAAAAACATTCCGTGAAGCATGAGTAGCATGTAAAATTCAAACTTCAGTATCCATAAGGAAAGTTTTATTAGAACACAGGCATGCCCATTTGTCTATACCTATTATGCTCCAAGAGCAGGCAGTGTTAGGTAGTTTTGACAAGGACTTCATGGGTCCACAGAGCCCAACATTTACTATCTGATCTTTCCTGCCTGAGACCATCTAGAGCAGGCTCTTCAGCACTGGGCGCCAACTATGAGCAGACAATTACCAGAACATTCATGTCTAAGGTAGAAAACTAAAGCCAGGTGCAGTAATCCCAGCACTTTGGGAGGCTGAGACAGGCAGATCACCTGAGGTCAGGAGTTCGAGACCAGCCTGGCCAACACGGTGAAACCTCATCTCTACTAAAAGTACAAAAATTAGACAAGCGTGGTGGCGGGTGTCTGTATCCCAGCTACTCAGGAGGCTGAGGCAGGAGAATTGCCTGAACCCAGGAGGCGGAGGTTGCAGTGAGCTGAGATCAAGTCACTGCACTCCAGCCTGGGCGACAGACCGAGAGGCTCCATTTCAAAAAAGAAAATAAAGAAATAGAATAAAAAATAAGGTAGAAAACTAAAGAGGGCAAAGAGGAAAAGAAAAAGGTAACCTACAAAGACAGGAAAATAAAAATGGGAAAAAAAAAAGAGCTTGCACGTGCTTCCCTCTCATTTCTTTTTTTGGTAACACCTTGACTGGTGATACTCATCAAAATGGACAGTTCTCCCTTTCCAATTCTAATATTCTGTGCTTAAAGAATGAGCATGAATAATAGAAAAGAAACTCAATTTCATTCGAAATATTTACTAAACACCTATTAGGTGTCAGGTACTATAATGCATGCTGTTTCTAATAAATTTTTTGTTTGTTTTTAAAAAGAGATAGGGTTTTCCTATGTTGCCTGGGCTGGCTTCAACGCTCCTTGCTCTCCACTCAACTTCTCTAGTAGCTAGGACTACAAGCACACTCTGTGGTGCCTAGCTGTTTGTAACAAATTTTAATCTACATAATTAAGAAGTATAATGCTTGAATATAGTTTCATCAATTTTTTTTTTTTTTTTGAGACGGAGTCTCGCTCTGTCGCCCAGGCTGGAGTGCAGTGGCGCTATCTCGGCTCACTGCAAGCTCTGCCTCCCAGGTTTACGCCGTTCTCCTGCCTCAGCCTCCCGAGTAGCTGGGACTACAGGCACCCGCCACCGCGCCCGGCTAATTTTTTGTATTTTTAGTAGAGACGGGGTTTCACCATGTTAGCCAGGATGGTCTCGATCTCTTGACCTCGTGATCCACCCGCCTCGGCCTCCCAAAGTGCTGGGATTACAGGCGTGAGCCACAGCGCCCGGCCAGTTTTTTTCTGAAATATAAAAAGCAAATTTAAGAACATGTCAACCCAGGCCTGGTGGCTCACGTCTGTAATCTCAGCACTTTGGGAGGTCGAGGTAGGAGGATCATTTGAAGCCAGAAGTTCAAGATCAGCCTGGGCAACGTGGCGAGGCCCTCTCTCTACACACACAAAAAGGCAAAAATTAGCTAGGCATAGTGGTGCGTGCCTGTAGTCCCAGGAACTCAGGAGTCTGAGGTGGGAGGATCACCAGAGCCCAGGGAGGTAAAAGCTGCAGTGAGCCGTGATTGCACCACTGCACTCCAGCCTGGGAGTGAGACATTGCCTCCCTCACCCCATCCCCTCCCCCTAAAAAAGAACAGAACATGTCAAAGAGAAGCCAGTACAACATATCAAATATTAAGAATATAGTTAAGAGTTTCAAGAAAGAATGCTCATACCTATCATTCACCAAACTCTAATAAGCCTATTATATAATAAGATGCCACAATAAACACTGTGTTACTTAGATTCAAATACAGACATCTCACCAATCTCCTTTGATTTTTGATTCTGAAACTGAGTGTCCTCAGGCTCATATTCTAGCTACTGAGCCCATCTGGCCTTAAGGGTAAGCCACATCGTGCTTAAAAGACACAGCCAAAGAGAGAATGAACAAACAGAAAAGAGATAGAAGAGACTTATCCCAAATCAGGTGATTTGTTTTCAATTTTATCACCACAAAATTTTCTTGCATTTTTCTCAAAGTTTCTCTTATTTTATAAACACCTTAAAATAACTGTTCACAGTATTTACTTGACAAGTTTTACTTCTGTTCTTATAGCCGTTAACACAGCATACTTAAACTAAATAAAACCTTTTAAATTATGTTTCATCTTTATTGCTACTCAACAGACGTTTTTGGCTTTTGCAGTACGCAAGGGTCTTGGTCATAATTACCAATGATCACTCTGTAGAGGACTGTAAATGAAATCCACGTATTTGAATATTTGAATTTGGAGGTGCTTAGTTTTTAGATAAAGACTAAAGCCAACTGTATGTACTTTTGGATCCGCTCAATTGCTTCCTTTTAGTACTCTGTTATGACAATGTATTTCCAATTAAGCCCTAGATTCAGAGAAACTTTAATGCACTGATCAATATTCACATTCCTGAAGAAACAGGTGCCTAATCACATCTGAAAGTAGCCAAAGTTTCCATTTTGTATAACAAAGGCTCTATTAATAAAATAATTCTAAAAACGATTCCTGTATAACTAGACTACCTTAGCCATTTAGTACATTAATTTGTTACTCATTAAATACTTAAAATTTCTTAGTATATTAATTCACTCAAAGAAACTGGATGTACCAACATTTAAGATAAATTTTTATGAGCATGCACAAACTCACTTTTGCTTTTGAGTGGATTCAAAGGACTGTTAATAGAAATCAGTGTCATATGAATACTTAGTTATTCATTCCCATATTATCTACATACCTGCATAAAATACCCAGTAACCAAAGCTTTTCTTATATTAATATAATAGTCCCTGCTTGTAAAGTCAGTACTTCGACGAGGCAAATTAAATCTGTCCATAATTCGAGATAGCTGCTGGCGTACATTGTCTGCGGACATCAGGGACCTGTAGTTAATGAAGTTGTCATAACACCACTGAACCGATTCATGATCTAAAAAGGTAGAAGGCGGGGAGAAAAGAAGGCACCATGAATCACCCACACAGGAATGTTCTCTAATTAAAAAAATTGTTATAAAGAATAAGCTAAATAAACCAGAAAGGAGATTTACCCACAACATTTTCTTTAAATGAACTGCAATGTTACCAACTTTCTCAAAGATCTGTAGTGTGATTCAACATTAGAAACAGTAACAAGGCTTTTGGATTTGGATGCCAAAACAATGCTTTTGAATTAACTGTTTTTAGTGAATTACTTCTCCCATTAACATCCACCTGGTTGTTTCCAAAAGATGGTCTATCAGATAAGGGAAGGCTGGAAGTATTTGGTAAAAGTCATGGCCTGTTCATTTTCAATGAAACTACAGCTTTAGATTAAGATAACTGCAAACAATTGTTGTGTATTGTTCTTTATGCCTGACACAGAGCACCTCAGACTTAAAGACGGCAAAGTTTTATTGCGACACACGTGTCTCTCAGCAATTTATGAGCAAGTCCTGAAACAGAAGAAAGTTTACAAGGATGCCCGAAACCTCCACTCATGTTTAATAAACAAGACCTAAGTCTAAGCACTTCAAGTAATTTTATTACATGTATTATCAAAAGGATATTTCTCCACTGATGAATCCTTGATAAGCTTCCAACTAGCCTAGTGTTGCTCACTTAAAGAGCTCAACCTGTAGCATCATGAAAGAAATTTTACAGTGACATCTTTCATGTGCCAAAGACAGTCATGGCAAAGAATTGCATTATTTATTTCAGAGGACCTTTGATAAATAAAACTAACAGGGTTATTGTGAAATGGGAGAGAGAAAACAAAAATTAAAACTGTTGATCCTTCTCTTGCTACTGTGATGTATGCTTATCTTCAGCATACTCTTTTCTCTTTGGTTCTAGGATTCTACCAGTTATAGTGTATAACTCTGCCTTAATGTTTTTTAGACATAACAAATATATAAGTACATTTTTATCCATTACAAAATGCATCCCCATTTCAGAAATTAAGGATGGGTGAGGTGGAGATAGGAAATAGATTTTTGAATTAAAGAATACAATAACATATTAGAACACCCATTAATTAATCCATCTGGAATGAGAAATAAAAGTTAACCATCTGAAGCCATTGACATTTAAATCAAAGCACTGAATATCTTTGGGAGCTGAAACAGCACACCTTAGAGGTAATTTTACTTATGCTGATGCTCTGTAACAAGCTGAAAGGCAGAAAAATGCCCAAGCTGGACAATAAAAAGGCAAATTTTTGAAAAGGTTGTTGATTTGCAGACTATGGCTTGAAATGTAGCTTTTTTGTGTGGTTCTCAATTTTTAGAATTCATGTACTACAGATGGAAAAATTGCAAATCTAAGTTATTTGTTAAGAACAAATGACTAGTAACTAACATCTGATGGTTCTACTGTATTTCTAAACTTGTGAGAAATAATTGGGTAAATGGGAAAATTAAATCTAAAACTGGAAACATTAATATAATTCTAGCTGTTTATCTCTCACCAATACAGTAAACCACCCCTAAGATCTAAAGCCAAACCATTTGTCTGATTTTTAGAGAGAAATCTCCCCTCCCTAGACAGATCAAGGTACTGCAAAATAACTTGAATCTAGTTTTCGATTTCAAAGGGTTATTTACATAAATAGTATTAAGACAACATTTTAATTGACATGACATTTTAGCTTCACTATGTAATCAACTATTGTCTCTAATGCAAAACATCTTGACCAGTATCTGAAACACGCTTTTTTCAAATATACTCAATGTTTCAATTAATAACATACAACCATTTAAAAAGCTTTCGTGAAAATATTCCAAATATTTTCATATCCATATATATATGGATATATCGAAATAATAACACGTGGGGATCTGGCAAAGTTTTTTGCTTTTTTTTTTTTTAAGAGCTTCTCTTATTTGAAAAGGTGGCAATCAGTGATTAAAGGCTAAATCCTCACCTTTAACTAATAAGGACAGCTCTACCAAATGTCAAGTCATCACATACTGCAAACCCCTAAAAACCACCAATGGCTAATCATCCCTTTGGCAGTGAGAGATCATAGTACCTCTCACTAATAATGCATTTCTTGGGCAAACAATAGACTTGAACTTTTCCACCTCTTGTTTACAGGCCACTTGTAGCCTAAGAACCATCATTCATACTTGTCCGTTTTTCTATTTTATTAGTTGTATTTTGATGTAGAAAGTAGTATTTTGATGTATTTATCAGAAATAGGTCATACATCTAGTGAGTGGATAACACCATTTTAACTTACTACATCCCCTCTGACTGAATCTGTTCCTTCTCAAGGCTTTAATAGGTTATGTATCTCTTGGTCACCCAGCATGTTTCGCATAGAAGAGGAATACAGTAGGTTTTTTGAGTAGATCTGTCTAATCAGGGGTAAGTCTTTAACGCTAGGTAATACCAGTATTTGGATACAAGAAAGATTAAATAACTGTTCTAAGGTAAACCATGTGCTGGTCTTCAGCCTGTGGTTTCATAACCACATTTCCCTTAACTCTCATATCTGCCCCCAAGTTTTCTGGGCCTGGGCAGAGAAGGGCTCCATTCTTTCTCACTGCTAGTCATCAATTCTTTTCAACTCATATCAGGGTTCTGGAGTAAGGAACAGATGTAAATCAAGTTAGGTACTACGTCTGGTGCACACACTGGCCCTCTAGCACTTCTGGACCCCAAGACAAATAAATTCACCATCACCCCTACAGAGATGTGCCAAAGTCAACAGGCTCCCCATTTTAAGAGTATAACTGAGATGTTTATGAGATAATAAAAATGAGTTACAAATAAAACCAGACATACAAAATTGGAACGTCAACTTTATAAATTAAGAAACCAATTTCTCATGAGAAGAAACTACAAACTTAGTGACAGAATTCCACATTTTTGGCACAGGGTGATGATGTAGGGCTATCAGTTAAAAAAAAAATGTCAGATCCAGTTGCAATTTCTGTATTTTTTTTCTCCTTTAAATTTATTAAGGTTTCCTCTCAATTTTTGCAAATGGTACATTCCAACAGCAGCAGCTAGCAATAACTTCATTGTTATTATGTTTCCTCATTTACAAGTCACTGACAAATGTTTTTCAGGTCACTAAATATTCTATGATAAGATGATTTAAAGCTAGAACAATTACTTCATATGTCTACAGCATAACTCACAATTTTTCCACTGGTGGGCATTTAGGTAGCCAATTTTTTTTTTACCACCATAAATAATTCTGGTGAAATTATTTAATCAAATCAGTGTCCACAGAATACCAAAAAATAACTTTCTAAATTATTTCTGGGTCAAAGAGTATACAGTTGCTAAAGTTCCTGGTAACATAAAATCAACTTTTCATAAAGACCACAACTAACCCCACTCCCATACAGCTAAGGAATATTTTTCAATATCTGCAAATTTTATGTGAGAAAATGGTAATGCCTTTCATTATCAATAATAATGCCAAAATAATAATGCACTTCTTGGGCTAACAGTAGAGCTGAACTTTTCCATATCATGTTTAGAGACCACTGGTAGCCTAAGAACCATCATTCATACTTGTCCATTTTTTTCTATTAGTTTTATTTTGGTGTAAAAAGTTCTTTATTAGTAAAAATGTTAGAGTAATGATTGTATAAACAATATAAAACTATTCTTAAAAATGTAAAATGCACAGAAATAAAAGTATATAAAAACGTGTATGTTAGTGATACATGTTATACAAGTCTGTCATTTTTATCACTGTTATTTTTCAGGTTTTCTACAATTGGTGCTTTATCC
The DNA here is from genome assembly GCF_000001405.40 of Homo sapiens. NCBI lineage: Eukaryota > Metazoa > Chordata > Mammalia > Primates > Hominidae > Homo > Homo sapiens. The sequence continues at coordinate 24,536,855 of NC_000004.12, forward strand.
CCTGATTATAAACATAAACAACTTTGAAAAAGATTGGCAATTTCTATTTTAAATGCTCGTCAGGAGTTTTTCAAAAGTACCTCTGGGTTTCTAATATAAGTTGTCACGGATAATAAATCAAAGTGGGACAAAGAAACATCTTATACACTGCAAGTGACATTTAGACAAGAGTGTCTCCAATCAAATTTACACTTACTTTGTTTAAAAGCATGGTAGACGTTCAGCAGTGTCAGATGATCTCCATCTATGTGGGCAAATCTCATCTTGGCCTCATCTGCGGCTTTCTTGGCCTCCGTGGGGCGAACAAAACACTGTGGGACTAAACAAGGTTGGTATGGGCCCAACACAAACGCCCATATCGATGAGTCACGCATTCACAGATAGAGGAACAAGGCCTAGCTAGGTCAGTTCACAGAGCATAGGGCAGGGCAGGATGGCCTCCAACTGCATCTTGGATTGTTTACTACCTTGATTTGGTACATCAACACCTAACCACATCTGTAAGACAAGAGGGTTTCAAAGCTACAGAGTACCTGATTATTTTAACTAGATCTAAAAGTAGGCATCAAAACAGCTATTCTGAAGGCCATCAGGATACTAAAAAGCTCAACTTATTTAAAAAAACCAGTGCTGATAGCTCTACCAATAACCAGAATAACGGTGTCAATTGCCTTTTAGCTAACTGTAATTTTTCAAAAGGGCATCCACTAAATCTACTGAATGGCTGTGAAAGTTAGGAAGCTATGCTTGCCCACTGCAGAGCTAACAACAACTTTGAAACCAGTCTACTGCCATGTTTCTATCAGAATTTTTTCCCTAATACTGTGGCTATTACCAACTGGTGGGTATCACTATTAGCACCGGTGAGCAGAAGCATATGTAAACATAAAAATATCAAGAATTCTTGGGTTTGGATGATAGCAGTAGTGGTGGAAGGTTAAACCGCCTTTGAATTAAGAAAATTCAAAAAGGCTGGGATATTCAGCCTAGTGTTTCAGCATTTTAACAAAAGGATTAGAAAATAAAGTCCCAAATTTAAAAAAGAAAAAAAACAAACTTATTTGAATCAAAACCTCAATATAAAAGCAAAGTCCAATATTTCAAAAGTTGACAATTAGTCTGAAACAATCATATCAAGGGTCATCAAGATATGTAACTACAGTTATTTGTTTAGAGCCTCAATATTAATTCACATAAAACTTTAAATTGTTACAAAGCATGTACTACATTTTTTGAAATACAACTTTCCTTAATTCAGTTTAGCAATTCCATAGTCATAAAAGCAGTATGAAAATAAAAATACTTAACAGCTTGGGACTTTTTCAACACATTTTAAAAGCTCTTAAAACCTTGTCAATGAAAAAATTCATAAATTATCGGTTCGGATAGAAGATAATGGGAATAATCAACAACAAGATAAAATACAGTATCATATTACTCTTTCCCATACAGTTTCCCCTTTAAAAAGATGCCAAAATAGCCAAATAGTGACAACAAAACATGATCATAATAAATATTAAAACTCTTGCTTAATTTAATTGAAGCAAGGTAATTCATAAAAGCACACAAACTTCTCACAGCTGTGAATTTTAATGTGAACTAGCCACTAGAGTTAAGTGGGAATAAATAAGTAGTGCTCTCAAAGGCCTCTAGATTTGCACTGTTAGTATCAGGACCTCAAAACTTCAAAAACTATTTTAATGTCAAACAAAGCATTACAAGCTCAGCAAACTATTTTTTATTCCCTGACTTCTTACTTGCCTCTTATTTCAACACTTTTCCTATAAATGGACCATTTAAAAACAGTCCATTTACATTGCTGCACATAAATGCTCATTCTCCTGACAAACTAAAGGTTTTTATTTGTAATAAATAAAAATAAGTTTTTTTTAATTACAAATAAAACTGAGATGTAGTTGGAAGATTACAACTACATCACAACAACAAACTTCTTAAAGAGCTAATATTCTAAACTCAAACAACAGTAATCATGTAAGTATATCTGATAAGAGAACCTAGAGAAATAAAAACTAGGCAGATAGACAAGTAAGTACACAATCCATTAGTTCTTGCCCCACACTTTCTCTAAAAACTAAAATCTTGGGAGAAGTACAACTGGGAGAATCTATAAAACAACATATAAGAAAGGCAGACAACAACCTACCACCACCTCCGCAAATGAAGCTACAATTTAATTAAAGTGACTCAATACTGCCCTGCCCATCTGCTCTGAGTCTGATCAGTCATAACTCTGCAAGAAAACATTTTAGCTACTTCTTAAATAAAAAATTCACACCATTAGAATATACCATACGTCTAAACTAAGCCATAATTTTACATTTAAATTTTTTTCAATTTATCCTTTAATTCCACAGAATATTTTGAAATATTTGCAGCATTAAGTTCAATAAACCACTCAGCAATAGGGAGTCAGTTCTCTCCCGTGCTAAAACTAGTAGCAGAGAATATTTTAATCGTCAGTAAGAACTTATTTTCTATTTTTAGCTGTAAGAATAGCTATTCATTTGTTTCTTAACAATATTTCTTCTCCTTTAGGGAAAATCTAATTTCCAAGTTACTATTCATTTGTGGATTACATTTTATTGTTACTAAAAACAGCATTATTTCCTTAGCTTAATGGTCCAATTTTACAAAATTAGCGATTTTATATATTAGGTATGTTTCTTTTACCAAGTTTTTCTACCATTGTAAAAGAATACCATTATCAGATTAGATTTTAAGCCTAAAATTATACATTACTATTTCTATTTACTTGATATGAAGTTTGAAATTCATGTTTGTTCGGGTGCCATTGGAGTACATATATAGAAAAGGCTCAACTTAATGTATAGCTTTCAGTTTGTCACAGGCACACTTAATAGAGCTAAGTACTAGAGCAAAGTTCTTCCTGTACTTGCAGTAAAAAACAAAAAACAAAAAAACCACAAAGATAGCAGTGATGGACCTTTAACCAAAGAATTCAGTTACAACTGTGCTCAAACTTACTGCAATTTTTATTAGCACTCAAGAGAGCCAATGCTTTACTTATCTTTTGTGCACAATGACTTACTTTACTTTTGTAAGCACTATGTCATTACGAAGCTATTTACAAGGTATTTAGAAAACAAAATTAATTCCTTAAAACCATCTATAAAATCCACTATCATACTAAAAATTAAAAAACAAAAACAAAAGTGAAGTCCACCCAAACTTTGAAGAGCTGGGCTTTTTTTTGTTCCTTTCCCTCTATTACCTGACAACATAGCAGTAATAGATAGGACCTCATTAGAACAGTTGTAGTCACAACTTGCAATAACCATTTTTGCGAGCTGTGGATCTAGAGGAAACTCTGCCATCATGGATCCCAATTCAGTCAGATCTCCATCATCATTTAAAGCAGCCAGGTAATTCAAAAGTTCCAGGGCTCTCATCAGAGTTTCAGGAGCTAGTGGTAAAAGACAATCTATTAGACACGGTGCCTTAAGCAAGCAAAAATGTGACAAAGTACAAACTATTATAAGCAATCTCATTTTTCATTTTGCAGTGGACCAAACTCAAACTCAAACTGTCATCCAATTCAATTATACAGATCTAGCAAACAATGAATCATAAAAACATTGCAAAATTTTCCTGTAGGCAAAACTGTCTTCTTCCGAAATACATTAAATAATTGCTAATTCATCAATGTGTTTATCAAACTGTTTTTCCCCAAAGAAAACTTAGGAATTCTCACATTTTCATGCCCAGAGGATAATTCAATTTACCCAAACCCCCCCATAATAACTTTTGAAGAAAAAAAAAAAATGTGCTCATATAACTGTCACCTTTTTTAGTTTTAATGCTATCATGTAAGACTTAATCTTGATGCATACTGGATGGAAAAAGCAAAATGTATTTAATACATATATTAAATAGGATGGAGAAAAACACTAAGAGTCAATTTTGGTTAAAAGATCTGATAAAAATGTGTTTTGATAAGTCATACCTGGTGGATCCATAAAATCAAAATGTACCAAGTCATCAATACCAAGTTTCTTCAATTGTAACACAACTGATCCTAAATTAGAACGCAAAATCTCAGGATAGGTGTTATCCTAGCAAAGAACAAAAACATTTATTGGTTATGTTAAAAATGCCTCAGTCTCCTCGTTCCAGAAAACAAAAATCTGCTGCCTCCTGAGCTATTTGTTTTGGCATTACTTCTACACTGTCTCAGTAGAGATAAATACTTGTAGGCTAGACTAGAGAGAAACCATTTTTCTCCAACTATCTTTATAGTATTCAGTGTTTGCTACTGTCCATAAAACTCGCAACTGCAGAAAGAAATTCGTATAGTAGTCTTCACTCATCTGAACTCGCAATTTCCATGGTTTCAGTTAAGCAGTGTCAACAGAAAAAATTTTAAAGATTCCAGAAAAAATTCATCAAGTTTAAATTGTGCACCATTCTTAGTAGTATGCTATATACACTATACACCCATTTGTCACTTAGCAACCATCTGTTATTAGATCAACTTTTGCAGTATCACAGTGCTTGTGCTCAAGTAACCTTTTACTTAATAATGGCCCCAAAGCGCCAAGAATATTGATGCTGGCAATTTGGATATGCCAATGAGAGGCCCTGAAGTGCTTCCTTTAAGTGAAACGCTGAAAGTTAGTAAGGAAAGAAAAAAAGTTGAAACCTAGTAACAAAAGAGCAAAAAAATCACATCTAAAGAAAGAATGCATCTTCTATCAGTGAAATTGTAAAGAAAGATATTTATACATAGTATATGTAAGTAAGGTTCAGCATATTCCAGTTTTTAGGCGTGGGAGGGGGAGGGTCTTGGAATGTATCAGCCTGGAATAAGGGGGTGTACGACTATCTAAGTTAATTACACCATACATTTCACTCCTGGAAAAGCTAAGGAGCTTTTAATCCTAAAAGGCAAGATTAAGTAAATAAGGCAATGTTCTTCTGGTAAGATAATTCAACCTAACATTTTAAACATATCGGCAGGAAACGACAATACCCCATACCTGCATTTCTGTTTTATAAGCTTTCTCTGTGTAAAGTCTGAAGCATTTTCCAGGTCTGGTACGTCCAGCTCGACCAGCCCTTTGCTGAGCTGAAGCTTTACTAATAGCTGTCACCAAAAGGGACTCAACTCTGATTCGAGGATTGTAGACCTATTGGAATTGAAATAACACAAGAGTCTTTCTTCAGTCAAACACAAAATTGTGATGCAACAGAAGTATCCAAAGCCCACAGTTAATTCCAAAATAAATAAAGAAATATCGATAGCCATAAATCATGCTGCTACAATAGACAACCCACCATCCTGAACCTTAAAGTTCTTTCAGACATTCTAATTCGATCATCTGAAAGACTCTAACATGAAAAACTTCTTGTCAAACACACAGCTTATATAATCCTTACTCCTCCTAATTTCAGTTCTATCAGGCTGACCTTGTTCCTTGCTTTTTATATGCTGGGCAGTCAAGGATTCTGCCCGAAAAGAAACCTTCACTTTCAAAACTCGACGGTCTGAGTACTATTACTCTGTTACTGTTTAATGAAAAAATTTCCATCAATAACAAAATGTAATCAATTTATCCAAAAGATATTTGAAAAATAAAACGTATTTATTGAATAGCCACTTCACCTGCATTTCACTTCATTTAGTATACAGCACTGTTAAACTAGAGGAGTAACATAGTACTGTTTTCAAATAGTGTGCCTAGTTGACAGCAGTAACTCTAATAATGTTGGGAGAAGTGACTGAACTGCAGGGATAGAAATCCTGTACTTTATTACTAAACCCATACTGTTAAATGAATATACAAGCCAAAACACCCACCGTCACTACACTGAAACAAAGAAAGCAAAGCAACTCTAAAAGAAAAAAAAGCCTAGAATTACATATTAAATACTGTCTTAATTTCTGAGAGCCAGCCAAAACATAAAGGGTTCATACAGCAGAAATTTGCAAATAAAAAAAAAGATAGGAAAATAATTCTGAAAGGTAAATTTTAGCCATTAAATGAATTGGTTGTAAGTACTGTTAAACCAACTCTAATTTATAAAGTATCCACTAAATATGTACCTTCTGTTTCGCAAATCCAGGATCAATCACAAACACCACACCATCTATTGTCAAAGACGTCTCTGCTATGTTAGTTGACACAACTACCTGTTAAGAAATAGAGTATATAAATTATATTACATATCAAATAAAATTAACAGGACTGTTAAAGATCAGCCACTAACTTTCACTGACACAAGGAATTTCAAGCCAGCAAATAAACTAGAAATATCATTTGATCTTCAATGGCCAATGCTTTAAAAAGGTAAATTAATATTTAAGGAACCAAAATTTTGTTTACACCACAACAGCAACTTCTTTCTCAACAAAGCTATTACTTCAGGTTATCACTCAACCGCATTACATTTTGCTTAATCAAATTAATGGACAGCATAAAAAGAAAAATACTGATGAAGCAATATAACGTGCCTTACAAAACGTCTGATAAAACAGCCCTTATAATTAGTATTCAAATTTCCACAAGTGTATATTTCAATGTTTTTGGGCAATATTTACAAATGAAAACTTCGTTATTTATATCACCAAAATTCAACTCAACATTTTAAACAAAATGCCACATGGAAAAAAACTCAAGTTATAATCCAGTAAGAATGGACAGATCAGCAGAATCAAATGTAAATATTTCGGTAAGTGCATGGTCTCAACGGGATGACATGTAATACGTTACTACATACAAAGCAACTGTTAAGAACTATAATTCTTTATTGACGGAAAATGTTTAAAGCATTTACATACTAATATGATAGCTTGTTTGGTATACGTGCATGTTTTACTATATATTACATATGTTTTAGAAAATTAGTTAAGGACTTGGGAAATACATGTTACATATAATTTTTTTTTAAACAATGGGAAATGGGGATTCCTCATTAGTATTTTAACTCAGGACATGATTTTCAGGAACAGGTTACTGATATTAAGTTGAAGATGTCTGTATATGCAAGCAATTGATACAGAAGATGAATCAAACAGAGTCTGCTTTTACCATTTGTAAGGGATGATTAGACATGGATAGAAAGTGTGAGTGGCACCAAAGACACACTGTGAAATTTAAAAAGGTTTACTTCCATAGCAAAGTCAAGAAAAGCTTTACTGAAAAATAATAGCATTTAGGACAGTCCTTGACGGTAAGGTTAAGACCTACTCATGAGAGAAGGAAACAGCACTAGCACTAAAGTTCCATCTTAAAAAAACACATGTGGGAGAAATGCCTATGGGCACATACAAAAAATGAAAAGATTTATATTTATCCCTATTTTATTTTAAAAACACTTAATTTTATAAATCAAATAGCTTTAAAAATCATAGGCTTTTGCTGCATTAACTATTTTACTTAATATTAACACTTTCATTTTCTGATTTCATATTTACTAAGTAGTAGACTTCCCAAAATACTAACAGGAAACCTCAGGGATTTAAAAACATAATAGCAATCTACCAAGAGGGTATTTCAGAATAATTTACAAGTCAAAAACCAAAATGTTTCCTTTTGTCAGTTGAAAAGACTGACAACTAGCAAAGGAATAAGAAACCACATGTGGTTTGATGATGTTGCTGAAATACATTCTTCAGGACATTTAGAAAAATAATCAGCAACTAGAACTGAAGCAAACAACGACATACATAAGGTTAACAGGTGAAACTTGAATAAGCATAACCGGCATTTAATATTCTAGAAAGTCAGTTTCTTGTAGTTAAAGAAGCGATGAATTTAGAGGTAACTGGCAGACCTAGCAATCAAACCTGAGTGGCTAAAGTAACTGGAAAGGTTTTAACACCCCCAAGCTTGTATTCCTTTTATAACTTGCATATTACTTAGTCTACATAACACAGGGTTGTAGGGAATAAATTATGTAAGGATGTGGAAATGCTCTATAAACTATACAGAATAGGCCAGGCATGGTGGCTCACATCCGTAATCCCAGCACTTAAAAAGGCCAAGGAGGATTATTTGAGTCCAGGAGTTTGAGACAAGCCTGGACAACATAGTAAAACCCCACCTCTACAAAAAAATAAAAGAAATTAGCCAGGCATGGTGGCACATGCTTGTAGTCCCAGCTACCGAGGAGGCTAAGGTGGGAGGACTGCTTGAGTCCAGGAGGTTCAGGTTGCAGTGAGCTATGATCATGGCACAGAACTCCACCCTAGGCAACAGACTGAGACCCTATCTCAAATCTATACAGAACCAACTACATGCCTGTAAATACAGAAGACGTCTTCTGGCTTTCTGGAATTCTGGGGTGAAAACCATAGTTCTGAAAATATTTATGAAGAAAATCACTTTTAAAAAAGTTGTTCTGGGAAAAAATACATTTCACATATTTCTTCTATAACATAATACAATGTGATAAAAATTTCTCATGTGACCAACTCTTTAGTTACCATTATAAAAAGTTAATTTTTCTCCACAAAATAATTTCATCCTGTGTGTATGTTTTTTGTCTGGGTGAGTGTATTAAATTCTGTAATACTTAACAATTCGCGGATACATGATTCTGCAAGTGTTTAAGAATCAAATGATTTATGCCAACTTGGCAAACCCTCGTCATTATTGATATTAGTAAGAGCCTATTGCCAGCCAAAAGTCAAACCCTAAAATACAAGTGTTAAATTGAGTCCTTAACAAAAAAGCACAAGTTTTAGGCCTTTCTCAAGGACTAAAAATAGCTAAGGCTAAATACACACACACACAATGCAAAAGCGAACTAATAAATGACAAGATAAAAGCTTCTTTGGTACTTCAGCAGTTGAGTGAGGCAAGCCCTAACCATGTTCTAATTGTAAATGGCACACCATACAACCAGGAACCCATCAGGAGACAAAATGACCTTGAATTTGTCAAGGGATTTACATTATGACCAGTAAGAATCAATATAATTGTTACATGCTTTCTAGACTGCAACACTGCAGTAAGCGTTCAAAGAGCCTTAAAAAGTGTTCAAACCGCATTGACTAATATGGAACAGACCCTATGGTGAAAAGCTTGGCATCACTGTCAGGACATGCTAAGAGTAAATTTTCCTCCCTCAATAACCTGCCTTCTAATAGAACTCACTTTTTTTCTAATAGAACCACTTCCCCCCACTCCGCCCCCAATAACTCCACTTCAAAGTAGAACTCGCAGTACTTCATTTGCCCTACCTGAATACTGTCTGGACACAATAATGCATTTAAACTAATTTGGACTTTTAGTCCCCAGGGAACTCTGTGGTGGTCTCCAACACAAGGACATCAACTTATTTGCTTATAAACATCCCAGCAGCACCACAGTAAGCTATCTTCAGATCCTGGATCATTAAGTCTTTCTTTAAAACTACAGGACCATCTCCACAAGGGCCATTTCTCTTTTTCACTGAGCAATGTATGCTCTGAACCATATTAATCAGCGAAATGTAGGATCAACTATAGAAAAGTCAGCTATTTGTATGAACAAAATTAATGAACACTAAATATTTAAAAAATAATTATAGTTGTATTTTAATAACAACCAAATCCACAAAATAGCAATTTTAAGTCTCAGTCAAAAAATGCAGAAGTTATCTACTGAAGAGTAAACTTGAATGCATGTAAAGAATTACTGTAACTTTTAACTTAGTCAAATACTTGAATAAACTTCAAAAATTATCAAGAGGTAAAAATATTTACCCTCATATAAATATATGTTGCATTCTCAACCTTTCTTGATTGCTAAAAACTTGAAATCGTTCACCATTAGTGCTGTAACATGTTTAAAAGGCTGTTTTTTATTAGTACCACAATCAAGTTATAAAATCTATTTTTCATAAACTAATAGAGAAATAAGAAATGGCACTGCCTTATAAAAGGGACTCAAATATAAAGTTATACAGAATCACAATTAATTTGATGGAAATTAAAATTTGTATTAAGTATTATATTTGTTCAAAAACTTTCAACTTTTATATATTTGCTTTATGCTAGCTACTATCCTTATATTAGAACAGTTTAACAAAAAAATCAAATATTTTTTCACAATTAGACACAAACAGTAAGTTTAAAATTACATATGAACAGTAAAACTTGTATAGATCCCTCCTCTATAAGCCAGGCTTGTATGAAAACTTTAAATTTGTGCTTAACATGCTGCGCCTCAGAATGTTCTTCCTCATAATGAAAATGATGCAGCAACTGCCAAGGAAGTCTTCCTTTACTCTCCCTAGGACTGTCCAGGGAAGCTACATCAGTGCTTTTCTCAACCTCTAAGATGAAATTGACTCAAGGCAAGGATAACATGATTTCCCAGCAAGAGGTCCTACAGTTTCGGCTGAAACACCATCACTGGATGGCAAAGTGGCAATATAGCCCCTAGTTTTGAATTATAAGCTCATGATCAGTCCTCAGAGTGAGCCCATCACCAGCTGTGGCCATCATCACATATCCAGCCACTGCTGAGTCACTCTTTTCAGTAAGACAAAATTCTCCTCAGCATCCTAAGGATTTAAAACACAAAAAGCAAAACAGAAACAAAAACTTTAATTTACTTCAACGACAGCAAGAGCTCAGATGTGTAACTGTAGTAAATATGGGCCCATATATCTCAAAGAAGAACTCAATGAAACGAGAAGTACACAAAAGGATGCACAAACAGGACATCTTTGTTGTACACCAGTTTCACTCAATGGTAAACAAACACAACGTTTTAAAAATAAAACAAATACAGATATACAAAGTACACATGATTTCAAGACAAATGAAAACTAGGCAGGCTGAGGGCTGGGCGTAGTGGCTAATGCCTGTAGTCCTAGCACTTTGGGAGGCCCAGGAGGGGGGACTGATTGAACCCAGGAGTTTAAGACCAGCCCTGGCAACATAGTGAGACCCCATGTTGTTTAAAAAAAAAAAAAAATTAAAGCTTTGCCTGGAGGATGCATTAACTTATTATATAAATATTTAAGACATATATGTCTCTCTCTCTCTCTCTCTCTCTCTCTCTATGTATGTATGTGTATATATATATATATATATATATATATATATATATATATCTATATCTATATCTATATCTATCTGCTGATGGGGACTATATATCTGCTGATGGGGAATCAAAGATGTCTTCCCAGCCCCTCAACAAAGTATCTCAGAAATAGGGCTGAAATAATCTTGTTCCTGTCCGTTTGACAGGATCTAGATGAAGCTTCTGCATTCCAGGAACTCACATACTTATGCAGTGTGATCAGTGCTACTTTTTTTTTTTTTTTTTTTTTTGAGATGGAGTCGCGCTGTCGCCCAGGCTGGAGTGCAGTGTTGCGGTCTCAGCTCACTGCAACCTCCGCCTCTAGGGTTCAAGCGATTCTCCTGCCTCTGCCTCCTGAGTAGCTGGAATTACAGGCACGCGCTACCACGCCCGGCTAATTTTTTTGTATTTTCAATACAGACAGGGTTTCACCATGTTGGTCAGGCTGGTCTCAAACTCCTGACCTCGTGATCCACCCACTTCGGCCTCCCAAAGTGCTGGGATTACAGGCCTGAGCCGCCACGCCCGGCCAGATCAGTGCTACTGTTATTAGAGGTCTGCACAGGGTCAACATTTCACACCTATAGACATTACATTTGGGAAGCCTTAAACAAAATTATGGGCAGAAGGCCAAGGCACCAAAGAAAAAGTGCTTACTTTATAACAAGTGATTTAATAGGAGAAAAGACAGTACTTGGCCAACATCCTTTCTTAACCCATCCTAACTAATCTTCCATTTGCTAAGGAGGCACTACCTAGAAGAAGCAGTACTCATTCTTACTTTAGGGTCAAGAGATATGCGGAACCCTACAAATGGATATTATTTTGTTGTATAAAACCTAGATCACAATCACCCATAACTTAGTCCTTTATAACTGAATACAGTTTATATCTCATAAATCATTATTAGTGAAATATTTATAAAGAGCATTTCTAATGTTACCTTTCTTCCAATTGCTCCATTCTGTTTTTTGGGAGGTGGAGGCTCAAAAATGCGTTGCTGCTGCTGAGGTGGAAGTGTAGAATACAATGGAATGATTTTAATGTCACCAACTTCAGGGCCCAAATCATCAACTTCACGCTTTATTCTCTTACAGGCTTCATCAATTTCCTACAAAATAAAAGTGAGTCTAAAAACGAATACTGAAACATTTTAAAGTATTTATTATAATCCTAGTTCTATGCAGTCTGTTTTATGTATGCCATCTTCTTTCACTTCATGGATACCCTGTTTTCAATTTAGTAACCAAAACTAATTTAGCAAATTTCAATGGGATTTCCAAAACAATCCAAGAAACTTTCATTTTTGTATTCAAATGAATATATAACTGCCTTATTTGCATTCCACACCCCTTTTCTTAGAGTCAGATTTCCTAATTAATTCTCAACAAATTGTACTAAAATTGAAATTTCTCACTCAGGAATATTTAAATGCACTCACGACCTTTTCAATTTTCACAATCTAAAAGAAATTGATGTGCTAGACATTTTAAATAAGCCAATTAGGCTTTAATGTCACGTATCACTAATGCAATTATATGGAAGATTTGCTTCATTGTGCCTAATGAGAACAAACACCTTTACAGTATCAACACAGATATTTAAGAACTAGGCTAACCCAAATGTCTTAGGCAGCTACAAATTTTTTTCTCAGAAAACTACAGTCACACGTTGCTTACTGACAGGAATATGTTCTGAGAAATTTGTTAGGCGATTCTGTTGTTGTGTAAACATTCTAGTGTATTCACGAACCTAAACTGTATAGCCTATTGCTCCCTAGGCTACAAACCTGAGGAGCATGTTATTGAAGTGAATAACAGTAGGCAACTGTAACACAATGGGAAGTGTTTGTTCATCTAAACAAAAGGCATGGCAAAAATATGGTATAAAAGATAAAAACCGCCAGGCACAGTGGCTCACACCTGTAATCCCAGCACTTTGGGAGGCCGAGGTGGGCGGATCACCTGAGGTTGGGAGTTCGAGACCACCCTGACCAACATGGAGAAACCCCGTCTCTACTAAAAATACAAAATTAGCTGGGCGTGGTGGCACATGCCTGTAATCCCAGCTACTCGGGAGGCTGAGGCGGGAGAATCGCTTGAACCCGGGACGCAGGAGGTTGCAATAAGCCGAGATTGCACCATTGCACTCCAGCCTGGGCAAAAAGAGGGAAACTCCGTCTCAAAAAAAAAAAAAAAAAAAAAAAAAAAAACGGTAAAAATCAGTACACTCATATAGGGCATCTGCCATGAAAGAAGTCTGCAGGACTGAAAGTTGCTGTGAGTGAGTGAGTACTTAGTGAATGTGATGGCCTAGGACATTCTGTACAGAACTGTAGACTTCATAAACACTGTACATTTTGGCGATACAAAATTTATAAAAAAATGTATTTTCTTTTTTTTGATATATTTTTCTTTCTTCATTAAATTAACCTTAGCTTACTACAACTTTTTAACTTTATAAACTTCTAAATTTTAACTCTGACTCTTGTGTAGTAACACTTAGCTTAAAACACAAACACACCGTATGGCTGTGCAAAAGTATTTTCTCTTTATATCCTTATTCTATAAGCTTCATTCCAATTTAAAATTTTTTACTTTTTCAACTTATTAAACTTTTTGGTTAAAAGACACAAACACACACTTAACCTAGGCCCCCACAGGGTCAGGATCATCAATATCACTATCTTCCACCTTAACGTATTAACCCACTGGAAGGTCTCCAAAGGCCAGTAACACACATGGAGCTGTCATCTCCTGTGATAACAATGCCTTCTCCTAGAACACCTCCTGAAGGACCTGCCTAAGCCTGTTTTACAGTTAACATTTTTAAGTCGAAGGAGAACACTCTAAAATAATGATAAAACATGTAGTATAGTAAATACAAAAACCACTAACAATGTCCTATTATCATTATTATTATGTACTGGACATAATTGTACATACTATATAGTACTTTTAAAACAACTGGCAGCAAAGTAGGTTTGTTTGAACTAGCATCATCACAAAGCAGTGAGTAATGTGTTGTGCTGTGATGCTGCAAGGTTACGTTCAGCTCCACTATAATCTTACGGGAGCAGCACCACAGCTATCTGAGAAGTTTGTCTTGACCAAAACGTTGTTATGTGGCACATGACTATATTCTAACACATGTGCATTCAAGAGGAGACATAATGAATATCAAGACGGAAAAAAAGAGAGAGACAGATTATGTATGATAGCTCTGGGAGAGGCAAAGGAACTTAAAAATGGAAGGCAGCACTGCGGACAAATGTATTCTAAATTTTATTGAAGTATTAATTCAATTAAACCCAGAAGTATGTAAAACGCTTATTATACACTAGGCAGCCTGTCCAATAAATGACCCAATCAGAAGCTACCCTTGTCAACAAAGTGCGTGTTTTTTTCAAAGGACAATGATACTAAACGGTGAGGAAGAATTTTAGGACATTTACTTTATATTTTTTTAATGTCCAACTGTGTCTCTATATCAAAAAACACAACGTTCTTAAACACAGTAAGAACAAATAAATTACTTTTCACTTATTTCAAACACATCAGTTTTTTTTAAAGGTTATCTGTCTCAAAAATTGTGACACAGAAAACTATTAAAGATTCAATGTTACTAGATCCTCCTTTGAAATCTCAAGTTTCTAAAAGAAAATGAAAGTAGATGCTATTCATCTAAATAAAAAATATAACAAAGCGAACAAATATTTTTTGAAAATACTGCTTTCAAATGTTGTATCTAGATTAGAATGCCCCCTGCTGGCATGCAAATAAAAAATTAAGAGCTCTCCAACTTAAAAAACATTTGAACATAATATAAAACTAGGATTCCAACATTTAAGAGTATCTGCAATTTTGTTAATTTTACTGTACATAAATGAAAAATAAATGCTCAGAAATCACAAAATATCCAGATTTCACACATTAAAAATTAAGTGCTTAAATTAGACATTTGCTTTGTGATTCCAGTATTTTAAAATGACAATTCCAACTTTACTGGAGATTAGACTACCCAATCTGCTAAGTATGCAAGGAGCTAAAACAAAATGATGACTATGTAGGATATAAAGGCATCTCTAAAATGTGGAAGAAATCCCGTAACACTTAAGTTTTTAGATAAAGTCCTAAACAGCTTTAAAACTTGCAATAAAAATTTTCCCTGAGGTTTGCCAAACTTCCAAGAAGTCAACACTATCAGCTGAGAATGCCACAAAACTTATCTGCATTCATCAGAATATAAACAGAAACAGGTAGTGGAGGAAAAGAAGTTTCAACAGCAGCCATCTGCTTAGTCATTAGCAATACTGAGAATAAAGACAGACAGTTCAGGAGTTTTTGATTTGAGAAAAGATTTTTAACTCCAAAAGCAGCAATATGTTAGTAAATTAATCTGGACCTTACCAATTAACTCACTGCATGTTGAAAAAAAAATTTACTAAGCAAAATTAAAAATAAAATTATTTAATTACAATCACTCTTATCTAATTACTATCTAGGCAACACTTTAAACTGTTCTCTCTCCCTCCCAAATTAACTCATGTGACTACAGAAGCACTTTTATTTAGTGGTCAGAATATGTTCTTAAAAACCAGTTTTAAATTTTTATGAGATTACTCAATTTCATGGAGGCTATTCAAATTTATGAAGAAAGGAGTACTGATTTCGCAGTTGCATTTAACTTACCAAGTAAAAATAATGAAGGTTCACAAAAATGAGAAGGTAATATTTACTTTAGACCAGCTCTACTACTAAATACAACAAATGAAATGTAAACAAAACGTTAGGTTTTCTGCTACCTTCTCCCCAAAACTCTTCAAATTCAAGACTGGGAATCTAAAGATAACTTAAAGAAGCAATGGTATGCAAAAAAACAGCTGACAACTAGAGCAGCATTTTATTTCATGAAAGACACTCTAGCATACATCTGAAAACCCTTCGGCTTACTCCCTTCCTTTCCCCAGCTGTGGGATTCACAGAAAATACCGCACAAAGTTGTCTCAGAGAAAAACCTTTCGGGTCCTTAACCATGAGGCCATTTGATATTTCTGATAGAATCTCAATACGCTTATGTTATCTGAGAATGATGACAATTTTAAATAGTGATTTAAAAAATAAAAATATGGCCAGGTGCAGTGGCTCACGCCTGTAATCCCAGCACTTTGGGAGGCCGAGGCGGGTGGATCACCTGAAGTTGGGAGTTCAAGACCAGCCTGACCAACACGGAGAAACCCCATCTCTACCAAAAATACCAATTAGTTGGGCATGGTGGCGCATGCCTGTAATCCCAGCTACTCGGAAGGCTGAGGCAGGAGAATCACCTGAACCTGGGAGGCAGAGGTTGCGGTGAGCCGAGATCGCGCCACTGCACTCCAGCCTGGGCAACAAGAGCAAAACTCCATCTCAAATAAATAAATAATAAAACAAAATAAATAAAAATAAAAATATACTATGCACTTTGGAGGAAATGAGAAACTAGAGACCAGACACAAGAGGACAAAACGATTATCCCAACAGCCTCAATACTACATTACAGCACAAATGCTGTTTATATGCCATCAAAAAAGCATTTTGGGGCCAGGTGTGGTGGCTCGCGCCTATAATCCCAGCACTTTGGGAACCCGAGAAGGGCAGATCACCTGAGGTCAGGAGTTCGAGACTAGCCTGGCCAACATAGTGAAACCCCGTCTCTACTAAAAATTAAAAAAAAATTAGCCAGGTGTGATGGTGGGCACCTGTGATCCCAGCTACTTGGGAGGCTGAGGCAAGAGAATCGCTTGAACCCGGGAGGCAGAGGTTGCAGTGAGCCGATAATCATGCCACTGCGCTCCAGCCTGGTTGACAGAGCGCGACTCTGTCTTCCCTCCCCACCCCCAAAAAGAAAAAGAAAAACCCTTTCGTAAAAGGCTTTTTAAAACTTTGTATTATCCAAATAGCTTCTGAATTTATTTAGCCACTCAGGTATTCCACAGCACACCTATAAACACCCTATTGAAAAGAAGCTTAGAAACGCTACATCTGGCCGGGTGCGATGGCTCACGCCTGTAATCCCAGCACTTTGGGAGGCCGAGGAGAGTGGATCACGAGGTCAGGAGATTGAGACCATCCTGGCTAAAACGGTGAAACCCTGTCTCTACTAAAAATACAAAAAATTAGCCGGGTGTGGTGGCGGGCACCTGTAGTCCCAGCTACTTGGGAGGCTGAGGCAGGAGAATGGCGTGAACCCAGAAGGCGGAGCTTGCGGTGAGCCAAGACTGCACCACTGCACTACAGCCTGGGCGACAGCGCAAGACTCCGTCTCGAAAAAAAAAAGAAATGCTACATCTGAGAATAAAATTTTAAATGAAGTAAATTCTAACTAAGAACTTTTAGTAATCCTTCCCAAATTTCATGAGCATATGGGAAGACAAAACCAAACTGAAGTGTTTTGATGATGAATAGGCACCCAAGTTCACTCACAAGCTAAATACTGATGAAGATAACCTGATTTCAAAGCAGCTGTGATGCACATTCATGCTTCAGCATAATAGCACTTATATCCCAGGGATCTCTTAAACTACAATTGCAAAATCTTGAAATTCCAAAAGCATTTAACACTCTTAAAATAATTATAACACAAACTCTAGTGGTATACAGAAGTATTCCTACAGTATGCAGATAAAAGGGGTTATATATTTTACATATTAATACAATCAGGTTGAAGAACATTGAAATAAAAAATATGATTAACATGTTCTTATGATTAAGGTTGCTGCATATTAGAAACAGTATGTCAAAAGCTAAATAATGAAGAAAATTAAAACAATACCTCTTGACCAGTTAAGAAAAGAAGAAGATCTCCCTCTTCCTCTTCACACATATGAATCTGGATAACTGTTCGAATTGCTGCTTCAAGATAATCTCTCTCTGGTTCTGGAGTATAGAAGATCTCAACAGGATGTGTACGCCCAGGAATAGTTAGGAGAGGACAGTTATCAAAGTAAATCTGGAATTTTCCTGCATCTAGAGTAGCGCTCATAACTATAACCTGAAAGAAAACAGTAAATTATTTGAAGCTGTCTTCAAGGATTCTTACATGGTCTTACAGTATAGCAATATTTACTATTCTACATATATCAGCTATAAAAATGCCCATGAAAACCTTCAAATAAACTGTAAATGAAAAATCAAATACATAATGGCTGAACTATAGTAAAAGTTATTTACATTTTTAAAAATTTAGAAAAAAAATAAATGCACAAACTACAGCATTTCTTCATAAAATACCTTAAAATCAGATTTTATAAAATTATATGTAATTCAGATTGCTAAAAGAAAACATTAATATGCAGTATAATTATTGCTACCATTATTAAAACAAAACTTTGCAAATAGGAAAAAACAGAAAATGCAAAAAAAAAAAATAAGTGGACCAGATATAAAAAGGTTCCTCCATAAAAAGTTTCATAAGAGTTCTTAATTTCTACTTTCAGGTTCTCACTAAAACCTTGGTAGCACAATAAATTTAATAAATAATGATAGTACTCACATTATTCTTTAAATATATTTTTTAAAGCATTGATCTAATTTGTATAAACAAAAACATGCTCAGGCCTCAGTTTTTTTTCTAAAGACCCAGAATCTTTCTTGCCAGTGTTGAACCCTTGTTTGTTTGTTTGTTTCTGCTAAGAGTCTCACTCTGTCACCAGGCTATGAACCCTTCTATAACACTTGTATCAACAAGGGATGAGTCTACATTCCAATGAATAGTATACACACACAACACAGCAAAAAGGGGAACATCATAGACTTTGGGGGACAAAAATGTCAGAAAATAGTTTTAGGCCCTTAATCAATACAGTAACAGGGGCCAAGGTACATGTGGTATGGAGGAAAGAAGTAATACACGAGGGTAAGTGACTACATTTCTAAGGAGCTGCCTGTCCTGTGTATAGTTATTTCCACTCTCCAGCATTATAAGTTACAATGGGTGTTTGTGATGAGACAAGGACATGGATCTGAGGGAGAAAGATTTGATCCTTAAGTAAAATAAGCCTCTGTACTTAATGAAGGGTACAGTGAGTAGCACAGTTACACATATATGTTATTAGATTATAAAAGAACTAGGTGGGTTACAAATTGAGAAGATTGGGCTTAAAAATGCATTACTATAAAGGGGGAGAAATAAAGTCTAAAATGAAAGCACAGCAAAGCAGAAACAAAACAAGAAGGTACTTACTAGTTCCTTCTTTTACAGGTGATTTCTTACAGTTGGTTATTGATCAGTATGTATTCCCCATTTTTATGCCCACATACACACATATATAGTTAAATGGAGAGAAGAAATTACTTCACCTTTAAATCTGATCTCTGTCTTACAACTTCCTTCAGAACACCCATTAGAATATCTGTAGCCAGTGTCCTCTCATGAGCCTCATCAAGAATTATTACACCATAACGCTCCAGGAGGGGATCATTCATAGCTTCACGAAGTAACATCCCATCAGTCATATACCTATATTCCAAAGAACATGTTGGTTAAAGGTTCCGTTAGGTCATTTTAAAACCAAACTTCGTGACAAAAATGAAATGCAAAGACATAAGGTAAATTAAAAATAAACTTCTGCCCCAAACAAATGTGCTACTGTTTCATGATCAATTGCAAAATTAAGTTTCAAGAAAATCTTTTAAGAGTATACAATGAAACAAGATATGCTTCATCAATTCTTGAAAAATGTAATACTGAAATGTACTGGGAAGACATGATATGACCAATTATGGAACATAATGATCACATGGTTTCACATGAATGCCAAGGCAAAATTCGTCATTTTCAATTTCTTAAACCTTTTAAAAACATACAAATATTCAACACGCAAAATCTAATAAACCATTTTAAGTTGCTTCATGTCACACCACTAAAATGTTACCACATGCAAATAAACATTTTTTGTTAAGCCTTAACAATTCCTTACTTAATAAGCTAACAACAGGCTCTTGGTTCAAAAGGGCTGAAAGCGTGAGTCCTCCCACCCCAAAGAAATAATCTTAAAGCACAAAAGGAATTCAATAATAAAAGAAGTGGGACTGAGGGGCAGCATCAACACTAAACAAATGCTGATACATAAATGGAAGATAAAAACAAATGACGTCAGATTGATCAATGAACCAAAAAGGGAAACCAGGCTTAGTTAGGGATGGCTCAAGTGAAGGCTGCTAATATGGACTCCAGTTATCACAAGACAGGCGCCACGTAAGAATGAAGGCAATGAGATCAAGGGTCAAGATTGTATAACTTTGCAGGGGTCAGCTATCTCCTGTCCATTCCACACTGGTTACTGATGTCACTATGAAAAACAACTATCTTCCTTTTGGCACCTGGACAAAACACAGGATGCCTTTAGATGCTTAAGTCACAGCTCATCCAGTTAGATAAAAACCCATTATTTTATTTACGGATTTAAAAGTGGTATTAAAAAATCTGAAGCCATCATTTATGAATTCACCATTTTGGCTCTTTTTATGATTAGTCTAACCTAATCTTTCATGGACCAACTGGATATTTTTAGCTCATGCCATCTGCTGGAGCATTAAGTTCAGCAAATTGATAGTGTACAACAAAAAGAAGTGAATTCTCTTTATTTCACCTAAACTTAATTCTAAATTTCATAAACTATTGGCAAACAAATCCATCTTAACTCATTTATATGCTTTATGCTTCTTGTCCTTGGTCATATTTTTAAAAATAAACTACCACATTCCTGGGAGGGACAAACAGCATTAGCTATAAGGTTATTTTATGTAAGACCAGGAAAGAAAAAACACTGCCAATTAAATTATGACTCAGTGCCTTAAAGACAGTAAAGCATAGTGCAAGAATCAGCAACACTATAGCCCTTAGCTGCTTTGAAATTTCTTTGATCTGAGGACGTTTGGTAATTTTTCCTGTCTTCCGATATATCACAGACACGAGAGAGGCAATACTCTTGTACATGATCTCAGTAGCAGAACATAACATACAGCTTCCTCTATTTGTGAGTTACCTCTCTTAGCTTCAATAGAGCGGTCTGTTGATTTGCAAGGCAAAAAAAAAAAAAAAGGATTGGTTACTCTTCCAACATTTGCTCAAATACTAGCATATTTACACCCTATTGCTCCATTTCCCAGCCTCTTGATACTCAGTGCTCATTTCAACATGGAATCATAGTGTAATATTTAATATTTCTGAAGGCATTTAAATTAGCAAATACTCTCAGTATATACAGACCCAACAATTCACATTATTTGAGGTGAAAATATGTACAGCTAGATCGAGTTCAAGCATTCACAGGCAATAATAACCAAACTGCCACCAACTACAAGACCTCAGTAGATTGTGAGACACATTGTAACTTCAGACAATAAAAACTTGAGAAAAAAGTCACAGAAATGATAAAATATGACTTTAAGTTGAAAACTTCTTAAAACTAGTTTTAAAAGTCACCTTCTTTATTTTGATCTTTTTTCTCCTCACATTCCTCAAGCTTTAATCAATCACAATATGGAGCAGAGCTAACCAACAGACATTCCTTTTTATTTTTCTAAGGGAAGAAATGTTACAGATGGCAGACTATAAATATTATAAATTAGATTAATGGAAATATTTTATTGTGCTTTATTAACTATGCATATTGCAAGTACTTAGTTAAATGGCCAAAACTTCTATCATCCAGACAATTCCCAATGGTTCCTCAATACTGATCATCACCCAGTGATCCCATTCCATGAGGTGCTGCACTTAATTACTTCTTGCATCACCAGTTAATATGGGATACTGCTGTTTGTACAATGAATAATTTCAAGAAAAATGAAATTTCAAAATTTCAAAGGTCTCAAGGATATAGTCAAATTTACTTCTTTTCCAGTGAAGAAAACGAAAAAAACCGTAGTCAACTTTTCCAGACTCTCAAAACCAGTTACTAAGACTAGGTATCACTGTACTGATTCCCAGTCCTAAGTCTCTCCTACATTAACACACTCTTCACAAAGTCCCAGATAAAGGAACCCATTGTACGTACAAATTTCATAGCAAAAAGCTATTCGAAAGATATGCCCAGGTCCTAACCTCTGGTACCTATCAACGTGACATTACTCAGAAATAGGGTCTTTGCAGAAGTAATTAAGTTATAAATTTCAGACAAGATCGCCCTGAATTTAAGAGTGGGCCCTAAATCCAATGACCAGTATCCTTACAAAATGTAAAGAGAGGGAGATTTGAACACAAAAGGAAAGCCACGTGAAGATGAAGGCAGAGACTGTGGTTACAAAGCTACAAGCCAAGGAATGCTAAGGACTGTTAGCCACCACCAAAAGCTAGGAGAGAATCATGAAAGACTATTGCCACTTAGAGCCTCCAGTTGGAACTAACCTGCCAACATACTGTTTTTGAACTTCTGACCTTCAGAATTGTGAGAGAATGAATTTGTCAATTTTAAGCCACTAAAAAAAAAAAAAAAAAAAAAGAAACAGTACTTGACGATTTGCTATACTGTTAAATGTATGAAACCCTTTGCTTAACAACAAAAAACTAACTTGACACAGAACTCAGGAAAGGCAGAATCAGGCACTGGAGATAAAAACTACAGTCCATTTTCCTTTATGTAAGAGTCAAGTTTTACTAACTTTCTTAGTAGTAATGAAATATTTATCCAGGCTAAGGAATGAGTCACAATAGTAAAATTTTAAGTTTGAAGTTTCAATGATGAATTAATAAAAGTGCCACAGGATAGCCAAACTCCACACTTTACTGGGTGCCTTACTATCTACAGTGTTTTCCAACTGTTTTAGGGCAGAGATGCTCTTAAAAATTTATTAGCATCACCTTGGAACTAGTAAGAACTACAAAACTTGAGTCTCATCTCAGATCTACTTAATCAGAAATTTTGAAGGTGAGGCATAGCAATCTGCTCTAACAAGTTTTCAAGTGATTCTGATGATTGCTAAAGTTTAAGAAACACTAGTCTAAATTAATCAAATTAAACAAGAAGCAGATTACCTAAAGATGTCTAAAGTAGCAAAAACATCCTTGGAGTAAGTAACAGTTCAGCTTTTCAACTGTGACTGCTTAATAAAATATACCAAAAACCCCATGTACTGAACAGTATCAACCTAGCTTAAGTATTTTTTTGCAACAGGCACATGTAGATGGCGTAGTATAACTACAAGCCAACTGCCAACTATGATCTCAGCAAGATGACGACACCTAACACATCACTAATTCTGATTTGAACAAACCATGGTAAAACATTACATCCTGCAAATATATTACTTATTTATATTTTTGTATTTATATATATGTATATATATTTTATGAAACATTCCAAAAAATTACAAACTAAGCCTAAGAAAGGCAAAAAATCATTTTTATAAAATGAAAACCAGAAATCCCTACCTCAAAGCTTATGATCCCTCCCCAGTAAAATTCCAGCTTGGTTAAATGTTTAAAACAAAAACAAAATAGTAAAATACATGGATTAAATTATTTAAACCAACACTGGGCAGGGTATGATGCAAAACCTGGACATCATAAAAGTGGTTAATTCAATACGTGTACAAAATTCAAGTCTCTATGTAGCATGAAGTGTCATAAAGCAAAGAAATGTATGACAAACTGAGCAAAAATTGCAACTTATATCCAAGGTGCTAATTCTGTTATAAGCTCCTACAAATCTATAAGAAAAAGGCCAATCCACTATAGAAATATGGGCAAAGCATATGATGAAACATCTAATTCTATCAATTTTATAATACCGCATATTTGGTCAAATTTAAATTCTCTGAAACTAAGATGCATTTTAAAATAGCACCTTAAAAACAGCTATCAACTAGGTAGAAATCCTGAGAAGATGAAAAAAGCACCAGTCTCAGATTCCAAAAAGAAATACAAATGGCTAATATACAAAAATGTTCAATTTCACAGAAAATAAATGCAAATTAAAACCATAAAGTAATCCCATTTTTCACTTAACAAGATTGACAAAGATAAAAAGTTTTATAATGCTGAGTTGGCAAGGGTAAAGAAACAGATGCTCATTTACTGATTCCTTACTGGTGAGAGTATATAAAAATCTCTATGGAGGGCAATCTGCCAAAAGCTGATAAAATTCAAGTATACTCTATGACCCGAACAATTTCACTTGTAGGGAATTTATTTCACAGATGTGTATGCGTGAAAAAAATGTGTGTACAAGTTTGTAAGAGGATACGGAGGACAGCAAATGTTTCTAATAGCAAAAACTGCAAATGAGGTTCCATCAATAGAATTTGTTAAGTAAACTAAGGTACAATCACAAATGCTATGCAGCCATTAAAAATAAAGCAACTTAAAACCACAATGAGATACCATCTTATACCAGTCAGCATGGCTACTAAAAAGTCAAAAAATAACAAGGTTGTAGAGAAAAGGGAATGCTTATCCACTGCTGGTGGGATTGTATTAGTTCAGCCATTGTGGAAAGCAGTTTGGCAACTTCTCAAAGATTTATAATAGAATTACCAGTTGACCCAGCAATCCCATTATTGGGTATACAGAATATAAACCCTTCTACCATAATGACACAGGCCTGTGTATATTCACTGCAGTACTATCCACAATAGCAAAGACATAGAATCAACTTAAATGTCCATTAAAAGTAGAATTCATTTTTAAAAGTAGCACATATACACAATGGAATACTATGCAGCCATAAAAAAGAGATCATGTTCTTGTGACAACATATATGAAGCTAAAGGCCATCATCCTAAGCAAACTAACACAAGAACAGAAAACCAAATACCTCATGTTCTCAGTTGGGAGCTCAACTTTGAGTAAATATGCACACAAAGAAAGGAACAACAAACCAGAGGATGGAGGGTGGGAAGAGAAAGAGAATCAGAAAAACTACCTGTCAGGTAACTATGCTTATTACCCGAGTAACAAAGTAATCTGTACACCAGCCCGTAATCCCAGCACTTTGGGAGGCCGAAGCAGGTCAATCACTTGAGGTCAAAGTTCAAGACCAGCCTGGCCAACATGTGGAAATCCCATCTCTACCAAAAAATACAAAAATTCACCAGGCGTGGTGGCGTGCACCTGTAGCCCCAGCTACTTGGGAGGCTGAGGCAAGAGAATCGAATCGCTTGAACCCAGGAGGCACAGGCTGCAGCGAGCTGAGATTGGGTCACTGCACTCCAGCCTGGAAGAGTGAGACACTGTCTCAAAAAAAAAAAAAAAAAAAAAAAATCTGTACACCAAACTCCTACAACATGCAATTTACCTATACAGCAAACCTGCACATATACCCTTGAACCTAAAAGTTAAAAAAGCATAAATAAAGCAACCTGAAAAAGGCATCTATTATAAATGAATGGCACTGTTTAATCTGAGTAATTAGATTTACTGTTCTCCATATTACCTAGGAAAGCTTTACAATACACTCAGAGAATTACATGGAGCGATGAGGAACAATGATGAAGGAAATAAAACACAGAGGTTAAGAATACATACTTGCTGCAAGACAAAACTGGGTTTAAGTCCCTGTTTTCCTATTATTGTCTGATCTTGGACAATTTCTTCCGTAATGGTCCCCTTGTAAAAATGTGAACAGGGTAAAAATTGTTTAAAATAAAACAATGTACATATATAAAGTCCTCAGTACACTAACTGCCTGGCACTTGGGAAATATTCAATAAACGGTTCTATACCACACTCTTAACTAGCCTCCATGTAACTCATAAATCCTTGGGATAGCCATACACTTTATAAAACATAGTGTAATATACACATAATCCTGTCTCCATCAGTTGGGTCAAGAGAATTACAGTTGACATGAAATGATAAACCCCAAGCATAGAAAAGAGTCATATATATGAACACCAAGTCATATGTTTCAGAAGTTTAGAACAAGATGAATCTTTCACACACACAGAACTATCAAATCTGTGAGACAATTCTGAAAGATTTAAAAGAGCCTAGAAACCAAGCATTCCAAAAGATTGAACTGTCTTAAATTCCAGAAAAACAACTTGTGTATTTTCTAAATGTTTGAGTTTAAATTCCAGCTTTAGAATTAAATGGAATTCCAAACAAATGAACCCATACTCAACAAAATGGTGTTGATTAATGTTAACAATAAATGAACCTATAGGTCTTATATTTAAATGTCCAGGTATAATTTTTCTATTTACAACTGATCTTTCAGGTTTATCTTTATATACATATAAAGAAATATATATAATCTATATATAAGAAATACATATATATGTATGTATATATTTTAAAGAGACAAGGCCTTGCTATGTTGCCCAGGCTGGAAGGCAGTGGCTACTCACAGATACAATCCCACCACTGATCAGCTTTGACCTGCTCATTTTCCAACCTGGGCCGGTTCACACCTCCTGGGGCAACCTGATAGTCCCCCGCTCTCCAAGGAGTTACCATATGGATGCCAAACTAGCACACTACATCCCGGAACTCTTGGACTCATGCAATCCTCCTTCCTCAGCCTCCCAAAGTATTGGGATTACAGGCATAAGCCACTGCACCTGGACTTGTTTACAACCTTAATGTCCATGCAGCCAAAAGAAGATTAAACTACTTTTTTTGGGTATAAACAGATCACTCAAATGGTAGAGTAAGTTGTTGATTCCATCTGTAAATGCATTAAATGATCACCTAGAATATGTATGTTCTCATTTTAATGATTTAAAACATAATTTTTTTACTATTTTCCATGTTCAACATGTAGGACATCCCAGGAACTACAAGTTTAAGGTAGCTGAGAGTTTCAAAAGTAGACCGTAAATCCTTTTGATGTCGTATTTGTGGAAGCTAGACTTTTGATAGTTGCTGTTTCAAAAAGTATGAGGCAAGGCTGGGCACGGTGGCTCACGCCTGTAATCCCAGCACTTTGGGAGGCCGAGGTGGGTGGATCACGAGGTCAGGAGATCAAGACCATCCTGGCTAACACAGTGAAACCCGTTTCTACTAAAAATACAAAAAAAAATTAGCCGGGCGTGGTGGTGGGCAGCTGTAGTCCCAGCTACTTGGGAGGCTGAGGCAGGAGAATGGTGTGAACCTGGGAGGCGGAGCTTGCAGTGAGCCAAGACTGCACCACTGCACTCCAGCCTAGGGAACAGAGCAAGACTCCGTCTCAAAAAAAAAAAAAAAAAAAAGCATGAGGCAAACATCAGTATAGAACAGGAAATAAAAGAGGTAGTGTTCAATCTGTTATCAAGGTTTGAGAAACTGTGAGTGATCAAATAGCATTAACACACTTAATAAATAATGGTGGTTATTTATGAATGAAATAATTTTTCTTTCAACGTATGTGTAGTATTTTTTAAAAGAAACATAAATACTTAGGTTATTAGGACCCAACTACTTAGTAAATGGAATTCTGAAATATTTCTTTAGGTCTGGGGTACTACGAAGAAATTATTGAGATATTACGTGTGCTGTCAATTAAGACAGTGTGAGAACTTCAACCTTAATAGAAACCAGCTCATCTACCTATAGTATCAGGAAAGGATTGATACTATTTGCTACTGGCTAGTCCATCTGCCTATCAAAGTCTCTCCGTCCTTCTCAACTCAGATGAAATACCTCCTCCTCTGTGAAATCTCTATACATTCAAATCACCTTTTATTGGCTTGACAGTTTTCCCCTCCCCAACCAAGTCAGTGAAGAGCCAGTGATATTAGCCGAGTCCTTACATAATGTTTCTTTTATTGGTGAAGGAATAAACAAAGACAGGCTCTAGTTCAACCTGGTATGTTCTTAGCAACCATATTACACAACATGAGCAACACTAACTTACTGTAATCACAATAGCACTACATATAGCAAAATACTGGTTACAATGACAACAAACTACTAGATGTAAATGCTCACAAGGAAAGGGAACATATTTTGAATAATTTAGAATCTACAGTGTTTCAATGTTCAATACATCAAACAGGGCAAAAAGGAAACATCAAACCCTGGACTCTTAAAGAGAGCTGAAATGTTTAAGACCACAATCAAACCATACAGCTTTGTTAGTGTAAACAGCTAAAATACATTTGGTATGTATTTCAGAGTTAGATACCTAATCACGAAAAAATGCCTAAGTTAACAATAGAAAATAAAGACAACTAAAAATATATTGCCTATTCCTCAAATTTTCACAAGTTTTAAAGGGAATATTCTTTCATCCTCAACAGAACTCACAGAAAGCTAGAATGAATGTGTAGGGTGTAGGTTCTACTTAATATTTTTTAAGATATTGGCACTGTATAAACAAAGAGAGCCTTCTCTATCTAATCCTCACAAATACTTAAGTACAAAGGTCAAATTTAACAAAACATGTAGAGCCTCAGCAAACCAAGTTAGCTTTCTAGGAATTAGCAAAAGCCAATAGAATTCTACTTCTAGGGTGACCACAGTAACTTTTTAGTCCTCTGGCAGAAACTGCCTCAGTGTTAAATAACCACATTTATCCTTTATTCCCACCTCTTTTTAAGAGTCCAATAAAATTACCCTTACCTAACTTATGTGCTACACATGAACTAGAACCAAGACTGCCACATAACAGATGTTCAATAAATTAGTTTATAATTGTTTGTATAATTAATGGTCCTTAAAGTGCCACATCTGTTTCACCTTTACCTCCAGCCCTAAAAGAATACTTGAATTGATTCATTCCGGTGACAAGTCACGTCAAGGTTTAAGTTTACATCCCCAATTGTAATTCAATTATTGTGCCAAAAGGAACTTTATTAAATTGGTTTTATTGAGTCCCTCTCTAACTGGGTTAACTGGTTAAAAAGATCCAATAATTTCTCCAACTGGATATCTACCATCATCACCAACAGCAGCAAGAATCAGCAATGCTGACTGATGCACCCCTAAACAGAGTGCCATAAATGACGAAGAGTTGTACACAGACAACTATACCTGATCTCAGAACAACCCTATCAGGTAGTTAGTACCAGCTCCATCTTTTGAAAAAGAAACAAGCACATGAGGGCTACTTAACACATAGTTAATGTCACAGCTAATACGTGGGCAGAGCTAGGACAACTCAGACACTGACCCTAGAGGCTATGCTCTAGGATCTATTTCCTTTTGATTCTCTTCACAAACCACCATTTTTTTTTTTTTTTAAGAGAGATGGAGTCTTGCTCTGTCACCCAGGCTGGAGCGCAGTGACACAATCCTAGCTCACCTCAGTCTCAAACTCTTGGGTCCAAGTGATCCACTCACCTCATCCAAGTAGCTGGGACTACAGGTACATACCACCACACCTGGCTCATTTTTTTAATATATAAATCTTTTTGGAGAGCCAGGGTCTCACTATGTTACCCACCCTGGACTCAAGTGATCCTCCTGCCTCAGCCTCCCAAAGTGTTGGGACTACATGTGTGAGCCTCTGCTCCTGGCCTCAAGGTATTTTTAAACGAAGTTGTCTTGTTGGAAACCCACTCTGGAATCTGCATAAGTAGTCTTTATACAGTTGGTGCTTCAGTCAGCTGTTTCCAGAGGCACCAAAGAATCCGCTATGGCAATGCCCTGTAATTCCCTATCCCATAACCCCTGTTCTGGCTAACCACTACTTTAAATTCAACCCTTGACTTAAATTCCAACTTCCTGGCCGGGAGCAGTGGCTCACGCCTGTAATCCCAGCACTTTGGGAGGCTGAGGTGGGTGGATCACTTGACGTCAGGAGTTTGAGACCAGCCTGGCCAACACGGTGAAACTCTGTCTCTACTAAAAATACAAAAAGTAGCTGGGCATGGTGGCACACGCCTGTAATCTCAGCTACTCGGGAGGGTGAGGCATGAGAATCGCTTGAACCCGGCGGGTGGAGGTTGCAGTGAGCCGAGATGGCACCACTGCACTCCAGCCTGAGTGACAGATGAGATGAGACTCTATCTCAAAAATAAATAAATAAATCCAACATCTTCCCACCTAAACTTATTCTCAAATCATTCTTTCATATAAACACCCATATTCTACTTCAGAAGGTTAATCACAATGTCAAACTTTTTATTTACATTTTTATTTGCTTTAACAAGAACAGGGACTAGATTCACTTTTCATTATACCTAGTACTGCCCAACACATAGAAGGTACTTAACTATTAGCTGACTGAATGACTAATCATTATGTGTACAAATTATTAGATTCCTTCAACACAAAAATCTCTAATTTTACAGCTTACGAAAAAATAAAAAGGAAGCATATCACCTAAAATAACAGTAAAATTACCTACCAAATTAACAACTTCAATTATTACGTTTTTCTACGCTTACAAGATTATCAAATTGTTTTCTTCCCTAAAAAATTATCAGCTCCTTCAAAAAACTGAAGGTGATTTCCTGAATTAAAATATGTTACAACCAGGCTGGGCGTGGTGGCGGCTGCCTGTAATCCCAGCACTTTGGGAGGCAGAGGCGGGCGGATCACAAGGTCAGGAGTTTGAGACCAGCCTGGCCAATGTGGTGAAACCCCGTCTCTACTAAAAATACAAAAATTAGCTGGGCGTGGTGGCGGGGGCCTGTAATCTCAGCTACTTGGGAGGCTGAGGCAGGAGAATGGCTTGAACCCGCGAGGTGGAGGCTGCAGTGAGCCGAGATCGTGCCACTGCACTCCAGCCTGGGCGACAGAGCAAGACTCCGTCTCCAAAAAAAAAAAAAAAAAGTTACAACCACAGACAAATGCTTCTTAAAATCCACTGCAAAAGGGCTACACCAGAAGCCAACAACCTCTCCTTCCTTACATCAAAATGAATCAAGGTATTTTACACTGACTAGTCACAAATACAGCAATATATTGTTCCCTGACTGGTAAGCTCTTTAGGTATCTCTTTGGGTTTTTTCTTCATAATTTCCACTCCAAGAAAACAGGAAAGTAAGTATGTTGCAAAAAGAATGCTTCAGAAGAAAAGGATGGGGACAAGCAAACACATAAAAAAGGAAATATAAAAACCATTTAGGAGTGGCAGCTTTGTAAACTTACTTGTTCACTGGGATGGGGTAGCCATTTAAGGCTAGACTAACAGAGTGTGCACTAAGTTATACCAGATCCAATCTTCCGAAAAGAGCACAGTGTCAGATCTATAACCTAAAATTTATGAATAGGTATCCCAAACACTGAAGAAACTATCTTATAGACCCTTAATCTATATGCGGACAATTTAAAGATACTTTATTTAGCTAAAATGCTCTCAAACTATGGTTAAATTCTGTGCTCCTCAAACATAATCTGCCTAAGTTAGCCTCTTTACCACCCTAGAGTGAAAATTAAAGTTCGCCCTGGCTACACAATGGATATATAAGCATTTTATATCTATATATGATAAGAGCTACATTTAATGAAGCATTCCCATTAGTTAAGTTCTTCCTATCAAATAGCAAAGTTACATTTGAAATTTTTAAATTTTAAGCTAACTTATTGTAATAATACACTCCTTTACTTATATTACTTAAAGGCAACACCAGGTTAGCTCCTAGAAGAAACCCCAATAAGCTTACCCTGTCTTAAGTAAGCTTTTACAAGTAGTTATAACCTCTAGAAAATGCTCCATTAAAAAAATCACAATGCCAAAAATACTTCATTTGAACTATAAAATCTGTTACTTGTCATTCCCTATGAAGTGAACCAAAATCTTTCAGAGGTACTCATCTTTTGAAAGCCTATCCTCCACCCACTTCCTACTACACATACACACAGCACCAATATTGCATAACTTTCTTGTATCCCAATTTCCAAATTCTGTTCTCAACTGTGGCTTACCAAAAAAATTCAATGCAATGTGAATCAAGTCAGAATAATGATATTCCTCCTAAAGATGAGTAAAATCTCCCCCTTATTATCCTCAAGTCCTTGACATTACCTGCATTTTAAAGTAATACAACATAATGAGCTATGATTTTGCTTATGCAATTATTGTCAATTATACTGTAATTACCAGTGATCAATAACGTATCACTGAACAACTACAAGAATTTATTCAGTGAAGATTAAGGTTTAAGCCAAAAATATGTCCCATAAAGTCATAAGGATAAGCTTATTTAAATATTTTAAAGTTCAACTGCTATTAAATATCACGCTGAATAAAAAGTTCTAATAAAATGAGATAAATCAAAGAATTAGAAAAAACTGACACAAATGTTGAATGAAAACTGGATATTTTGATCCAATAAATTGTTTTAAGTTATGATAGCTCTATTTTAAGAAACTATCTCAGAGATACACACTGAAATATTTATATATATAATTATTTGGTATCTAAGACTGCTTCGAAATAACATGGGACAGGGAAATAAATTAAGATTGGATATGAAATAAATAAGACTGAAATAGTTAAAAGTCGATGATAAACACATGCAGTTCATTATTCTATTCAATTTCTGCGGCTGGGTGTAGTGGCTCACGCCTGTAATCCCAGCACTGTGGGAGGCTGAGGCGGGCGGATCATGAGGTCAGGAGTTAGAGACCAGCCTGGCCAACATAGTGAAACCACAACTCTACTAAAGATACAAAAAGTTAGCCAGGCATGGTGGCGCACACCTATAGTCCCAGCTACCTGAGAGGCTGAGGCAGGAGAATCGCTTGAACCCGGGAGGCGGAGGTTGCAGAGAGCCGAGATGGCGCCACTGCACTCCAGCCTGGGCAACAGAGTGAGACTCCATCTCAAAAAAAAAAAAAAAAAAAAAAAAGAGAGACTCTTGTTTCATTTATCCCATTAACACTATATATCTCTCTGACAACAAAGACTCTGACAACAAAGACTCATATCACTGCCTACACAACGCTCCAAAATGGTTTTTAAAAACCTCAGGGAGAAGATCACATAGATATGATTTTTCTTTTTTTTTAAAAGAAATGTGGTCTTGCTATGTTGCTCAGGTTCAAATGCAGTAGCTATCACAGGCATGATCAGAGCACACTGTAGCCTTGAACTCCTGGCCTCAAGCAATAATCCTGCTTCAGCCTACGAAGTGGCTGGGAATAAACAGGCATATGCCACTGAGCCCCACTCAAACAAGTCACATTTAAAAGGACTTAAATATCACATAAATACAGAATAAGCAGAAGCAACCAGAGGGAAGACTTGAGAAAGAATCATCATCAGGTAGCATACATCATAACTTATGCAGAATGCAAGTATAAGACAATAAAAAGTTGGTAGAGTTAAAACATTAGAAAGCTCAATACAGTAGTCAATTATCTGCACCATAGCTATAGAGGAACAAGGACCTAGAGGCAGCTCTAACAGTGTATTACAGAACAAAAGATTCCTCTTTTTAGCTTATAACAGATGCACGGTAATAGCTGCATAATTAACATTAAAAGTCCCCTCTCCCCTAAATAAATCACATCCCATCCTATACATTCTTCTTTCTAAAAGTAGTTATCTTTTACTAAGTAAGACATATCACTTTCCTTTTCTTTCACAATTAAGTCATACACCATTGTGTCTACTAAAACCACACATTTTACAGTATCAGTAACATTTCACCTAAAATGCAGAACCAAGTAACTAAAATCTGACCTTTGAACTTCAATTTCTACCAAGTAACTATAGATTACCAATAATATATAATTAAACTAAGGTCATGTGGTAAGTCTAAGAAGGCCTACTTTGGATAATTCTAAATTTGGATGACATAAGCCTGCACTAGCAAAGTCTTCTATCTAATAGCAGAAAATGGCAAGCAGAGGACTAAAAGCGTCATTAAAGATATAGTACTTACTTAAGAATGGTTTTTGCACTACTGCAGTCTTCAAATCGAATGGAGTAACCAACTTCCTGGCCCAACATCACATCCATCTCATCAGCAACTCTCTGAGCCACACTCATTGCAGCCACTCTCCTGGGTTGGGTACAGGCAACTCCTCTCTTGGGTCCTGGTAATGATCGCATGTACTCCACACACCACTGTGGAATCTATCAAATAATTTCACATTTAAATTAATTCTATTCTGCCTGCATATCAAGTATATGTAACATAAAGCACTTTATCTCATTCTAATGATTTAAAACCAAATCCAATTAGGCAAATGACTATAAGACTTGTGATTCAAAACTTGTAACAACACAAGCTCTCTAAACCAAGGAACAGTTATGTGTAATACTGATATGACACACACCCAAGTTGGGTAGACACAATCAGGAATACACTCGACAGTGTGACTATCCCATCATGAAGTATTTCTCTATGCAATTTTAAAAAATCCAACTTACAACAAATTCTACTTTATAACAAACGTTTCTAAGAAAGTGTAACTTTTAAATTCTTACATAATTTGAGTTGCAAAATCAAGTGGAAATCATACCCCCTTGTAACTCTGAAGCTGTACTTTTATTTAATTCAATTCAAATTTGGTTTATAAGCCAGCAGAACCTAACTCTTAGCACCCAACTCTTTTGTAATCCTATCCTTTCCCCCTCAGGAGCAGTATGCACAATGGTAGCACCTTAGGTACCATCTTAAAATCAATTTTAAGAACTGCCAGTCTCAAATTTAACAGGACCTAGAGCAGCACCACTTCGTTAAGGGCAGCCAAAGGGTTGGGGGACCCCCAAGCACAAGTTAAATTGGTTGCCATGACGGCAGTACATTTTCCCCCAGTTCCATTATCAATATAAGCTAATGGATTCCCCAATTTTACAGTTTTCCAGTCACTTAACTGGAAAAGAACCATGGGAAAAATGTAAGTGCTCACCATATTATATGGAAATCCACTGCTAGAAGAGCATAACTGGTTTACATCAAAGCTTCCAAACGCCTATCAAACTCTAATGCTACAGGAAACATGGAGTTTTCTGCACAGTATCAGTACAGTAAAACTGATAAGGAATATTGGTGGCTGCACTATTATTACATTTTAGTTAGGTTGCTTCTGCAATTGGGGGTAACTTGTCACTAACAAATATCTGAAAGGGAGGGTAATTATGCTGATTCTCTAAAATCATATATATCTTTAAAACACTTTAAATGAACAAAAATAACTAAAGAAGTAGTATCTATCGGGTTCTGTAAATCCACAGACCTAGGTTTAAGTGGTTTTCTAGTCAGGCTATAAAGCCTTACTTACTGATATATCCTCAATTCGGCAACCCTTTTACAAAGGCAAAATGTACTTTCAAAGATCTAGAAAGTGAAATTCACTCACTGGTGAACCAAAGATATTTAAAATTAATTCAAAATTCTCAAGGCAAGAATGTTCAGATCTTTTGTTTTTTTGTTTGTTTTTTGAGATGGAATCTCACTCTGTTGACCAGGCTGGAGTGCAGTGGCATAATCTTGGCTCACTGTAACCACCAAGGTTCAAGCGATTCTCCTACTTCAGCCTCCCAAGTAGCTGGGACTACAGGCACGTGCCACCACGCCTGGCTAATTTTTTGTATTTTTAGTAGAGACAGGGTTTCACCACGTTGGGCAAGCTGGTGTCGAACTCCTGACCTCAGGTGATGCACCCGCCTCAGCCTTCCAAAGTGCTGGGATTATAGGCGTGAGCCACCATGCCTGGCCAAGAATGTTCAGATTTTTTAATTCACTCCGCTAAAATCAACAGCTTACCTCCACTTTAAAAACAAGACCAACAAGTCAATTAGCAGCTCTCAGGACCCCTGTGCACTCACTCTGAAAATGACCGAGGATGCCAAGCTACTAATAAATTTACTGTTAAGAAATTAAAACTGAAAAATTGCTAAAATATTAATTCCTAACAATAAAACTCATTCTGTTTTAACACAAAATAACGCTTTCTATAAAAATGACTACTTTTCAAACAAAAAAACTTAGCTAGAAGAGTGCGTTTCCTTGTATTTTTACAAATTCTAGGATCCCTGAAATGGTTTCAAGGACTTTCAAGAACTCCCAGGCAATAGCTGGAGAACCAGTCAGTTAATGCATCTGTTCACATTTCTAAGGAAAACAGCATTAGGAAAAGAAAGAGGTCCTGAAATATGTAGGCTACTGGTGTATTCAAGCCAGGGATCCGGCTTTTTTGTTTTTTTCTTTTAAGACGGAGTTTCACTCTGTTGCCCAGGCTGGAGTGCAGGGGCGCAATCTAGGCTTACTGCAACCTCCACCTCCAGGGTTCAAGTGATTCTCCTGCCTCAGCCTCCCAAGTAGCTGGGATTACAGGTGTGCGCCACCACGCCCAGCTGATTTCTGTATTTTTAGTAGAGATGGGGTTTCACCATATTGGCCAGGCTGGTCTCAAACCCCTGACCTCAGGTAATCTGCCCGCCTCAGCATCCCAAAGTGCCAGGATTACAGGCATGGGCCACTGTACCCAGCCAGGTCTAAGTTATTCTAAAGCCATTCCTCCTTTTCAGCTCTTTGCTTCCTCCACTTGAGGGCATCTTAAAACTGATCCTCGGTGTTCTAGTCTTCTTGTTTTACATAATATCCTGTGAAGTCTTATATGTTCTAACTTCTAATACTACCTATAATACATCAATGCCAATCCTAACTCCAGCTTTCATCTTAGAGCTAACGGTCATTTCCACCTAGTTGGTATCCCAAATTCACACATTCAAAAGCAAAGCCATTTCTCACCTTCCTCCAAAATACTTGTAATTCCTAATATCCTGACTCCAATCCATTCTTTATTTTCTATTCCCAAGGCCCTTCACAGAATCGAAACTTTTGTTATGAGCTCTTACATGGTGTATCATCAATATGTTCACTAGACAGGAGTTTTTTTAAAAAAAAATCCTCATCATTCCTCTTCAATTCAAGAGCTCTGATGGCTTCCAGTCTATACAAGATATATTAAGGCTCAACTTACAGTTCCAGTCTCACCTGCCCCACCTCCACCTTCCCAAACCCTCTGTATTCTAGCCAGAGCATACCTGCATTCCCTTAGCTCAACATGCGTCCTTGCTCACACTGTCCCTTTGGTTGACCTAGCTTCAATTCCTTCCTCATGTGCAGTTATGTGTCTACTAAGCAGCAATGTGAAATGTCTTTATTGTAGGTCTGTCAAAAGCTAAAGTCATGGCCCGGTGCAGTGGCTTGGGCCTGTAATCCCAGCACTTTGGGAGGCCCAGACAGGCCAATAACTTGAGGTCAGGATTTAGAGACCAGCCTGGCCAACAGGGTGAAACCCTGTCTCTATTAAAAATACAAAAAAAAAAAAAAAATAGCCAGGCATGGTGGTGCGCGCTTGTAGTCCCAGCTACTCAGGAGGCTGAGGCAGGAGAATCACTTGAACCCAGGAGGAGGAGGTTGCAGAAAGCCAAGATCATACCACTGCACTCCAGCTTGGGTGACAGAGCGAGACTTTGTCTCAAAAAAAAAAAAAAAAAAAAAAAGTTAAAGTCATTACTTTAGATTTTGTTTAGAGAATTTTTCTGACAAGAACAAATCACCAAAAAAAGACTGGCTTTAATGGTTTGAGTCAAAGTTTAATAAGAGCATGCTAGGAAACATTTGAATGAAATTCACTTTTTAAACTGTTTGGTTTCCCTTCAAATCCCCCAGATGTGCTGCAATCCTCAGTATCCAAGTATCTTA
This sequence comes from Homo sapiens, assembly GCF_000001405.40. Taxonomy (NCBI): domain Eukaryota; kingdom Metazoa; phylum Chordata; class Mammalia; order Primates; family Hominidae; genus Homo; species Homo sapiens. Next base: position 24,574,431 of record NC_000004.12, read on the forward strand.
ATTACCCCTCTAAAAGTTAAATATTAATCCAAATAATCACAAACCTCATCTTGAGTTGACCTGACCTCCTTCTACACTAACCATTAATAAACTCATCTCTGAAATGAGGCTACCCATAATCAGACCACAGAATAGCAGTATGAAATATAAAACTTTAGATATAAAGACAAAAGGTACAAAGTTTTAAATATTGAGCCCACCAAAATCCATAATCCATGTAACCCAGGACAATCCACTAAACCTAAGTTTCTCATAAACTTAAACCTCATTTTGCTCATCTGTAAAGTGGTGATGAATATCTTCCTGCAGGGTTATAGAAAAACGTAAATGAGCTAATACATGTAAAGTATACAGTGTCTGGCTTTACCCAAATATCAATTAAATAGTAAGTTCAGAGTTACAGTCTTTCTTGTAGTTTGAAAATTCTTAAAATTTCCGTAAGGTGATTTTTGAATACCCTAACATCAATTCTAAGTTTTCCTTCATTAAAAAAGAAAAATTGGCAAGGCTAAGGCAGGAGGATTGCTTTAGCTCAGGAGTTCAAAACCTCAACTCTACAAAAATTTTATTTAAAAATTAGCCAGGCACTGGTGGCATATGCCTGTGATCCCAGCTACTTGGGAGGCTGAGGCAGGAGGATCGCTTCAGCTCAGGAGGTTGACGCTGTGTTCATACCACTGCACTCCAGCATGGGTGAAAGACTGTCTCAACAACAACACAAAAATTAAAAAAAAAAAAAAGAAAAGAAAAGAAGAATGGTACTAAGGCTCAGTCTATAATAAAAGCTTCCTATTTTGGTTGCTACAGTACCTTCAAAATGTCTCCATGCACATGTAACTTTAGAAAAAGATAAATTGTGTATGCGGTATGTTCAATCTCTGCATGGTAAGACAGGTAATTCACTTCAATACTTTCCTGAATTTTTCAAAGTTTCTACAATGATCAGGGACTGCTACTTTTGAAACCAGAAATTTTTAATTGATGGTTCAGGCTTAAGTGTATAAAGACAGTTACTTCTCACCCACAGCAAGAAAATGCAAATTAAAAAGTACATTAGAATGCAATTTTTCACCTATTGGATTTGTAAAAATTCACGTTTTAATAGTTTCCCACGTGTTCTCCTACATGCTCATGGAAAGGTAAATTGATACGCTCCCTCTGGAAGGCTATCCAGCTTTCTGTATCACAATTACAAATGATCTTCTGACCCAGCAATTTCTGCTTCCTACAGAAACACTTGACCCATGCAAAACAACCATGGGAAACAGTCTAAATGTCTATCAACAGGGGTCTAGTTAATAATAGCCCATCCATGTTTAAAAAATATCCTAGCTATATTACAAATAACACACTAGTAACAGTGTTTAGTTCTATGGGAGGGAGGACGACTAGATGGACAAAAGTCACCGGTATAGACTTTATATTACTTTGGCATTTCATTTTTTGCATGGTTCAAAATACCATATTAAATACAAACGACAAAAATCTACCCCAGTGATTTCTCCACCCAAGTACCAGAAAACAAACTGTGGGTCCCTAAATCTGTACTGTCCGGGAGTCAAAATACCTCTGCCATACATAAGGTAACAAAATTTGAAAAGCGAGCACCACTATTTTCCCCTAGATTCAGGGGAGAGGTATTCTCTATAGGATTTCCACTCTGAAATTCAGAGTGCCAATTAAACATCAAATCAGCTATTCTTCAAGATGTTCTATAGGACAGACAAGGGAAATGACCACCAGAATCAAATATGCAACATTTGGTAAACTTAAACATAAATGAAATATGTACCATGGTATACAATAACTCACCTGTGTTGTTTTACCAGACCCAGTCTCACCAACCAGTACAAAGGACTGATGTCTAACCAGAATATCTGTAAACCTATCCTTGTATTCCCAAACAGGGAGCTGAAGACGTTTCTTTAGAATATCATAGTATCGAGGAGTATGGGGTAAGTTGGTGAACGGATTAATGCACTGTGGAAGTGACGTGTGACCTGCATGTCCGGCATGCGTTGAATGAGCAGAATGTGTTGAATGCGTTGAATGTGCTGAGTGGGTTGAGTGAGCTGAATGGGAAGCTTTCAAAGGTGGTAATCCAGCACTGATAAGCATAGCATTTGTTGAAGCTCGCAACTCCTTCTCCTTTTCTTTCTCCCTCTCTCGCTCTCTATCTCCTCTATCACGTTCTCGGTCTCGATCTTTAGACCGATCTTCACGATCCCGGTCTCGATCTCGATCCTTCCTAAAAACAAAAATTTAGAATTCAGATTCTGAATTTTATGCAGAATGTTCACGGTAGCGTTATAATCACAAAGAGAGTAAATGTCCAACGTTCAAATGAATAAAAAGTCCAATGGATTATGTAACTATCAGAAATAATAAAAAATACCCTACAATCAAGGGTTTCCCATTCTCCACCACAAACATCTTTCCCTTCCTTGCTGATGCCCCACCTTCCTTAACTTTTAACATTAGGTGAGGTAACACAAGAACTCAGTCTGCTGCAAGTAAAACCCCTCCTACTTAGACAACAGAAATCAGATACTGAGGGTAGGATGAAGAAAGGATAGGTCCAAATTGAGTAAAAGAAGATGGCATCTCAATCTTTCTCAAATTCTCCTTCAATTTGTGAAGAGGTATTTTGTGCACTAAAAGTATATTCAGAAGTTAGCACAAACACTGCTACTGGAGATAAAGACAACTCCACCTCACATCATTACAGTCAACAGTGGTGGGTTTTGCTCAATACTTTTATAATCCACTTCTAATAAATTACTTTAATATTCCTTTCTTTGCCATAGGACGATGTTCGGTTGTAATGCAAAGTGAAAAGAGCATAGTACAATGTTATACCTGTCAATATCTCAACTAATACAAATACGAATTACAGGACTGCAGAATTTGTTTTCTTAGTTATACTTTCCAGCACTTTCCCAATTTTGTTCAGTAAATGTATATTGCTTTATTAAAAAAACTGAAATTAAAACTTTTATTCCTTCTTGCTTGTTTACTCTTGCATTTTAACCTAAACAGCAACAGCAAAACACTGAAAGCACTCTATAAATCTATGTACCTTGGTCTACCATAAAATGAAACATAGCCAAATTAAAAATAAGCTTTGCTAAACACTATTAAGTTGTTTAACATGTTAAAATTATGCAGGTAGCCACTCTATTAAACCTGGGTCAATTTTAAGTAGTCAATGCTGGTATCTACTTCCAGTTACTAGAGATTGACCTTAATAAGTCATTTTAAAAGTATCTATGCTAAGAACTTCACAAGCAGAATGGCTGCAGGTTGTTCATATGCGTTGTGGCTGAAAGCAGCCTCTGGGAGACTGGTGGTGGGAATAAAATAAAATAATCTATGCTTGTTCATTTTACTAATCCAGTTTACTTCAGACCAAGTCCATCAGCAGAGAAATTTGCCTCAAGATCTTTAAACCCAGACTTGAAATAATGAGACATGACGGAGCTATGACACAAGCCCCGAAACATGTCATTGTTCCTTACCCACAATACACAAAAGTACAAATTCCCTGTGCTCCAAGTGCAGTTGTGTGACATGTACAAATTTACTCAAAAAGGGGAAAAGCCATATATATGCATATATAAACATGAAAAGTGATTTTCCCCTCTTCCATCCCAATGTTCACCTTCTACAAAAATCACAGAGCATACAAGCCAGAACTGTATGAAGCCTCTCATTTCACCTGGCATAAACAGAAAGAAAATCAATGGGAAAGAAAAGTCAAAGGATAACTTAATAAACATAAAATGAAGTCTCACAATTCAATACTTGAGAGTCTGGACCTATCTTCTGAAATATGCCATCAACTATCTTTGCTTCTCCTGCTTCTGGCCTAAGGTGACTGTTAATTAAGTGTTTACATTGCTCCAAAATGCCAACGAGGTGTAGTTTATAATAAGAGTACACAGAAATGTGCCCAGCAAAGTAAGAAGCACTGTACTCACAAATGGTTCAAATACTTGACACCTTAAAGATCATGGATCATACAGCTAGAAAAGAACTCTTAAAGAACATCTGGTCTGAACAAAAAGGATTCATGTTTCTAGTATTCACTCAACCATGGGGGAAGGAGGAGATGACAAAAAATATAATTGAAACAACTTCCTTTTTTTTGAGATAGGATCTTGCTCCATTACCCGGGTTGGAGTGCAGTGGCTCACTGGATCATGGCTCACTGCAATATCAAACTTCTGGGTTCAAGTGGTCCTCTCACCTCAGCCTCCCGAGTAACTGGGACTACAGGCATGCACCACCACGCCTCGCTAATTTCTTATTTTTGTAGAGATAAGGGTCTCACCATGTTGCCCAGGATGGTTTTCAACTCCTGGGATCAAGCAATCTCTTGCTTCAGCCTCCCAACGTGCTGGGATTACCGATGAGCTACCATGCCCAGCCTAGTTTAATGATTTCTATACTTCTAGCATAGTACCAGGCAATTAAGACATGGTCAAGAGTTACAAAATTTGGGGGAAGAGAGGTGACAAAGTAAATCATGTATTATATATTGCCTTAGTTTGTTAAAGTAATACCTATACTAACAAAGATTTTTTCAGGGGCCCACTTCATCAGATGCTTCATTACCAAACCAAACAAAGGATGTATAAAATACATTCTAAAGATAAAAGGTTAGCTGCTGATCAAGCAATGGCGACAGCTGTGGTATTAAGATAAAAGGAATGCTGGAATCACCATTGCAAGACACTGCCTCAATTTACTGATCTGCAAAATGAAGAGCATTTTCAGATACTTTTAGTCTCAGATTAAAGTAAGAAAACAGGGAGGATGCAGGAGGCAAATTCAGACACCTGGAAATGTTGCTTATGGCTCAAACTACCTTCCTTCGATGAGAGAGGGAGTACAAATGAAAGGTGAGTAAAAGGGGAAAATCAAACCCTCCACTTCATAAATATTTGTCAACTATTGTGCACATGCGTGTTTTCTTTTTTAAAAGATACTTTTTATTATAAAGGAGTTTTGTTCTTAAAAGTTTACTAGTTGAAGTATAAGGGTTTTTAAAAACTGGTATCAAGTCAGTGCTTCAGACACAGCCACACCACGAGCAGGGAGGGAGGTATGACATGACACAGTTGTTGAACATACTGCTCTGTACTGTGTCTCAGTTCAATCTTGGCTCAAGACTTAAGCCAACTATAGGATCACAGTTATTTCTTCCCTCACCTATAAGATGTGGCTATCAATATGTTTTGTAGAGTATAGATAGGATTAAATGAGTTAATATATGTGATGTGCTTTAAGTGTTGTCTGGCACATTGCAAATGCCCAATATCGGTTGTTGTTGTTATTATTACTATTATTTTGAGACGGAGTCTTGCTCTGTCACCAGGCTGGAGTGCAGTGGTGCAATCTCAGCTCACTGCAACCTCTGCCTCCCTGTTTCAAGCGATTCTCCTGCCTCAGCCTCCAGAGTAGCTGGGACTACAGGCACATGCTGCCACACCCAGTTAATTTTTGTATTTTTAGTAGAGACGAGGTTTCACCATGTTGGCCAGGATGGTTTCAATCTCTTGACCTCATGATCTGACTGCCTCGGCCTCCCAAAGTGCTGGGATTACTGGCATGAGCCACCGCGCCCCACCAATATTGGTTATTATTAAAGATCTTTTTAAGTTCTAATACCATGTTAAAATTCTACATGGAGGGCAAGACCTAGTGACTCACGCATGTAATCCCAGTGCTTTGGGAGGCCCAAGTGGGAGGATCACCAGAGGCCAAAAGTTTGAGACCAGCCTGAGCAATACAGTGAGACCCCATCTCTACAAAAAAATTTTAAACTTAGCTAGGTGGGGTGGCACGCCTGTAGTCCCAGCTACCTGGGAGGCTGAGACGGGAAGATCACTTGAGCCCTGGAATTTGAGACTGCAGTGAGCCATGATCACACCAGTGCACTCCAGCCTGGGAAACAGAGGAAGACCCTGTCTCTAAAAAATAAAAAAATTCTACATGGAATAATAACAGGCACTGAAGTACTGCTAAGGAAGACATTAACTGGTCATCAAAATCATGATATTTTAAATAAGCATTGCTTTTTTTTTTTTTTTTTAAAGACAGTCTACCTCTGTTACCCAGGCTGGAGTGTAGTGGTGCAATCTCGACTCACTGCAACCTCTGCCTCCCAGGTTCAAGCAATTCTCCTGCCTCAGCCTCCGGAGTAAGTAGCTGGGATTACAGCAGTGCGCCACCATGCCCAGTGTATTTTTGTATTTTTAACAGAGACAAAAATAGGTTTTATTACCTTGGCCAGGCTGGTCTTGAACTCCTGACCTCAGGTGATCCATTCGCCTAGGCCTCCCAAAGTGCTGTGATTACAGGTGTGAGCCATCACACCCGGCAATAAGCACTGCTTTTTATCCGTCAATCTTATTTCCAGGAACCTCTCAAGGATGTGTGCAAATACGTATGTATAAGGATGTTCATCAAACTTCTCATTTATAAAATAGCAACAAGTGGAAAACTACCTAAATATCAATGAACAGGATATTGGTTAAATAAGTGATGTCATACCTTTACAACTGGAGTACTATGGCAGTCAATCTATTTATTTTTTATTATTTTTTTTTTTTTGAGATGGAGGCTCGCTCTGTTGCCCAGGCTGGAGTGCAGTGGCACAATCTCGGCTCACTGCAAGCTCCGCCTCCCGGGTTCATACCATTCTTCCTCAGCCTCCCAGAGTAGCTGGGACTACAGGTGCCCGCCACCACACCCGGCTAATTTTTTGTATTTTTAGTAGAGACAGGGTTTCACCGTGTTAGCCAGGATGGTCTTGATCTCCTGACCTCGTGATCCACCCGCCTCGGCCTCCCAAAGTGCTGGGATTACAGGCGTGAGCCATTGCGCCCGGCCTATGGCAGCCAATTTAAAAGCGTAATGTGTACCTACAGTTAATGACATTTCTGAGTGGAAAAAAAAATCAAAGTACAAAATAACACGCGTTGATCCCACTGATATTAAATTTTATAGTTCATATTTTTGAGTCAATATGCAGAGATCTTAGAAAATGTTCACCAAAAACTGTTATCCAAAGATGGAGATGAAGATTTTAGGGAATGCCTTCTTTAAACCTTTGAGTATAAACATTTCTTATGTTCCCTGTGGCAAGTTCATTTAACCTCATCTACCATACAGGATTGTAGTGAAAATGTGCATGCTCCACAAATGTTATCACAGTATTAATACATTAGCTTTACTTTCCCATAATTAACAGAAAAAACTCTTATCAGGTGGTAATATCAAAAACCAACATCAAAATGAAAAACGCCCCTAACATCGAAAACTTTTTTCCATACTTCAACAGTAAGTATGGAAAATTATTACTTTCGGTAATTGTATAGTGAAGATTCTGTGGGTTGACAAAAAGAAGAAATGAGGCCAGAATATGCAACAGAAACCTATAATAACTTCACCTGATTTCAAAGTTAAAATATGCCAGGAGTAAATAAAGCCTTATATAGTTTGGGAGCATTAATATAAGTGAAATCTCCCACTGAATTACCTTCCCTTCTCAGTACTGCAGAAACCCTATCTGGCAGTGGAGTTTGTAAGACTGACAAGCTTATGCTCTCCAATAAAACCACTTGCTTATCAGGGAAAAAAAAAATCTGCAGGATTGCATGGCAGTCAACAAGTGACTTAAAATTATCGAGTATGAAAAAATTCTGAGGCCGATAAACACCTTAAGTCCACTGTTAAATAAAACCAGTTCAAGGATAAATGGCACTCAAATGACATAGAAATGAGTATAAAAACTTCCCTCTACTATTTCTTATAACTTGGGCATTATTCCAAAGATGAACTCTCCTTTATCCATAGGCAAATTCTAAATAATATACAAGGGAATCATAAAGCTACCATTAGACTCCAAAAGTCAACCTTTTTACTAAGGATATCTGTTTTTGCAAGAGAAAGTAAACAATCGCACATACATATGGTGGGACCACTAATCCCAAGGGGAACATTTTAAATGGTGCACATATGCACAAATACAAATGAATTCATTCATTCCCTCCCAGAATATTTTGTTCCAATCTGACCTCCTGTGAGAGACATCAGTTCCAGATGACAGCAATTTATTTTTGCCTTAGAGAAATCAAGAACTAAGTGTTCCCTACTTTACCAACGCATTATAAATGTCATTAAAATAGGCTGTAATGACTCTTAACTACAGTACTGAACTGTGTGCTGCTGAGTGAAAATGACAAAGGCAGGGTTCCAGATCCTGCTGTAAACTTGCACAAGCCACCTTAACTCTGTTCTCCACTTCTCATTCCTTGATTGGAGCCGCGTATAGTCTTTTTTAAGTTGCTTCCAGCTCTGAGTCTGTGACATACAGCTCAGAGGTATTAACGTTTTGTGGGGCGTAATGGTGGGGGAGGGTGATAGCCTAAAGAGAGTCTGTCTTACAATGTCATTGTCTTTTTTACAATGCCTAATATCGTAAACTAAATAACTCACAAAATTAAAATGTGACATGCTTTTGCTTTCTATTGAATAATTCAACATATGGCAAAGCCTCAAAAAGTACACCCTATCCTGGCTTATACTCTACAATGACACTAAACATATCCCTGGAAATCAATTTCAATGAAGAACTTTAGCTGAAAAATTCAAAACAGCTATACAGGTGACTTGACACAGTGATTCTGTATCACAAGTACACAATAAAATGATACAATTATGCAAAGTATTTGGCTACTCGGGCTTTTGTGGGTTTTGCCTGAATTATCCAAACAGGTCTTTGTACTTCATCAATGAAAACACACAAGGGACAAGAAATGATTTTCACGAAATTGCTTAAATTAACTGCTAAATTCCTCTGTACCTTTAAGGAAAGGAATCTGGAACACCAAGAGTTTGTGTAAGTATTTCAACTCTCAACCTCCACATGGGCGGTGTTTCGCCATAAATACTAAAAACACGTTTTGAACATGATCCCTGTATTTCAAAAGCTACTTATGAAGAAAAGTGGGACATGCATAGAAAATAAATGATGAAAAAAAAAAACAATGCCTTCTAATCCCTCCCCATGGGACGATGTTCAGTAACCAGTTTTAACCAAAGCAGGAAATACAGGAGATGGCGGGAGCGTAGGCAGAGAGCGGAAGTTTGCTAGTATCTACTTTGAAGTGTTTGAATGGACCAAGGCACGCTCTCTCCCGCCAAACTATAAACTCAGTCGCCCCAAAACACCAGCCTTCCAGCCCATCAGGTATATTACTCCACGTTTTCCTTTCTCCCGGCAGGTCCTCTACTCCCACCTCCCCCGAGAACTCCCTATTTGCTGGCTTCTCTCAACTCCCGCCACCCCCATCCCAGCCTACATTATGATCCACGCGCTGCTCTCACTTTCCGCCCTCCGCCTTTCCCGTCTGGAGTGCCTGGCCGCGCCCCCACCCAGGCCCTCCCCACGGCCCCTCTGGCTGGGAAGTGCCTGCTGCCCTTGGAAGCGAATACTCCCACCGCGCCCTCCCCCACCCTCTCCTCCGGCTCCAGGCCTTCCTCGGGAACCGAGGCCACGAGGTCCGCGGTTCACTCCCGCCCGACGCCCTCGCAAATGACTCCCGCTCGGTTCGGCCTGGGGGAGGAGGCGCCCTCATGGCTACTGCAGGCCTCTCCACCCTCCGGACTGGGCTGGGCAGCGGCCCCGTCGCACGCAACCCCCCGCGCCCTTGCCGGGCCGAACGGGCGCCGCGCTTCTCCTACCCGCCGCTAGTGAACCCAGCCCAGAGAGAAACAAAGGCTCGGGCTCCAGGACCCGCTCGGCCAGGCCAGCCCCGGCCCGCTCCCTGCCAGGACCCCAACAAAGCCCGAGCTGCCGCCTCGCGCCCCCGGCCTGGCTTACCCATCGGTCCCCGCACGCTTCTTGCCAGAGGGGTAATCCTCCCCTAGGTCCAACCGGTGCCGCTTGGACATCCTCGCACTCTTCGAACGGGCAGTTATTAAGGAAGAAAGCTGGCTGCTGTATGGGCACAGTCGAGGACAGCCACTTAACTCTGGAGGACCCCCACCCCTCCCGCTACTACAGCCCACACGGTGCGGCCGGAACCAACAGCTAAAATGGCGGCGGCGACGAGGGCTGGGCCTGCGCGCGCGCGCGCTTCCGCAGCGTGCGTGCGTGCGAGTGTGCGTGTGAGCGAGGTGCGCGCGCACGACGCCCAAAGGCGGGAACTCCTGTCCCGCCCGCTGCCTCATTGGTCCGACCTTTCTTGGGTCTCCTCCCTCTTCCTGTAGCTTTCCCCTCCTCGGAGCGGCTGTTAGGAAGAACCTGAAGGCCTTCACTTTCCATTTCAGGCTATCCTTGCCCCTCTGAGTCAAGAAATTGAGAAAGTCTAGTCCTAGTTAGGAAATCCTATTCATTTCTATTACCCCGGCTTTAAGGGAATCTCAGACCCAGAGAGGTTGAGAAACGAATGAAGATCGTACAGCTAATAAGTGGCAGAGCCGGGATTGGAACCCAGCTATTTAGTAACTCCAGATCTGGAACTTGCGGCCACTGCGCTACCCTCAGTTGCAGTGAGGGGCCGCGCGATGGTTCACGCCTGTAATCCCAACGCTTTGGGAGACCGAGGCGGGTGGATCACGAGGTCAGGAGTTCGAGACCAGCCTGGCCAACACGGTGAAACCCCGTCTCTACTAAAAATACAAAAATTAGCTGGGCGTGGTGGCGTACGCCTGTAATCCCAGCTACTCGGTAGGCTGAGGCAGGAGAATCGCTTGAACCTGGGAGGCGGAGGTTGCGGTGAGACGAGATCACACCAGTGCACTCCAGCCTGGACGACAGAACAAGACTCCGACTTGAAAGAAAAAAAAAAATCAATTGCAGTGAGGAAACTGAAGTGAGAAAATGTTAAGGCTTGTCATGATCTATTTTGCCCTTTTCTTGCCCAGCACGGACACCATGCACCCAAGCTATAGATGTTTTTAACTAGAATACAGAGAATTCGCAGTGAGGGCACAATTTGCTTTTTTGTTTTTTGTTTTTCTGTGCCTATTAATGCACTTTCGCAGTGTTAAATAACACCCTGCAAGGTAGTTGTTATTTTGTAGACGTAGACGCAAAGGCTGAGGAAGGTTACATCTCCTAGCCATAAGGGCTGTACCTAAAGCCATAACAAGGAGGTGGGGCAAGATGACTCTAAGGATTTTTGTGGATCTCTCCCCCTAGAATATGTCTGCTTCCTCAGTTGCATTTGTTCCCAGAAGAAATGCACAAGAAAAGATCTGTGGACCATCTGCAGCAGGGTGATCTCTGTTGTTCATGGAATGGCTTGGTTTGGCTGCCCTGGAAGACCATACTCTGGTTCTTATCCAAATCTCAGGACTGCAATTGCTAGGATTAAATGCAACTTAAATATTGCAACTGATGAGGGGTTTGTGTGTTTGTTTTGAGACAGTCTTGCTCTGTCGCCCAGGCTGGAGGACAGTGGTGCAATCTCAGCTCACTGCAACCTCCGCCTCCCGGGTTTAAGCCATTCTCCTGCCTCAGCCTCCCTCCTAGCTGGGATTATAAGCGCCCGCCACCACGCCCGGCTACGCGCCCGGCTAATTTTGGTATTTTTAGTAGAGACGTAGAGACGAGGTGTCGCCATGCTGGCCAGGCTGGTCTTGAACTCCGGACCTCAAGTGATCTGCCCACCTCGGCCTCCCAAAGTGCTGGGATTACAGGCGTGAGCCACTGCACCCAGCCAGCAATTGGTAAGGAGGGTTTTTATTTTTTTGTACCAAATCCACATTGGAAAGTCAACACAAAGAAAAATGAGTATATTTTTCACTTGTGAAATATTCAGTACAACTTTCTATCCTAAATGTACCATAGTCCCTACTTTGTCCCTGGTTTTGCTTTCACAGTACAGTAAGATATTCTGAGAGAAAGACCACATTCACATAGCTTCTATTACAGTATAGATTCTCCTTGACTTATGATGGGGTGATGGCCATCGCAAAGCCATCGTAAACTGAAAATGTTGTAAGTTGAACATGCAGTTAATATACCGATAAACCCATCGTGAAGTCAAAAAATCTGGTCAAACAATTGTAAGTCAAGACTGTCTGTATGTTGTTATAAATGTTTTATTATTAGTTGTTAATATCTTACTGTGCCTAATTTATAAGTTACACTTTATCATAATTACATATGTATAGGAAAAAACTGAAATTAAAATGATGAGTTGGCCTTCTATTATCTGTGGGTTCCTTATCCCTGGATTCAATCAACTGCAAATCAAAAATATATTTTTCTTTAAAAATGGATGGTTGCATCTGTATTGAACATGTACAGACTTTTTCTTGCTCTTATTTCTTAAACAATACAGTATAACAGCTATTTCCATAGCAATTACATTGTATTAGGTATTATAAGTGATCTAGTGATGATTAAGTATACAGAAGAATGTGCATAGGTTATATGCAAATACTGTACTATTTTATATCAGACACTTGAACCTCCACGGACTTTAGTGTCGGCAGTTTCTCCTGGAACCAATCCCTAGTGGATACTGAGGGACAATTGTGTTGACTTTTTTCAGATCATGATGTATAATCACTGGATTCCATCTGATTTTTCTCTTTTTGCTTAATTTTACAAATGAGGGAAACTGAACCCCTAGGTCTTATTGAAGTTCACACAATCAGTTGGTATCAAAGTCAGAATAAAATACAGATTTCACTTGAAGTATTAAAATCTCAGTCTTCAGGTTTCCAGTTTGATGACTGCTATAAAGTGCTCTAAAATTTTGGAGAAATAATCAGGGAAAAAAGTTAGAATTCTACCTGCAGAAGTGCTCCACTCAGATGTCAGCCTCTCATAAATGATGAAAGAGGAACTGAAATCAAGGTGATGAGACTTTTCCCTTGGGCCTAGGTTACAGCTAAAGAAAACCATAACCTCATCAGTTGTGTTGTGACCTGAACAATTAAAGAAAGGCCCTGGGCAGGCGTGGTGGTTCACACCTGTAATTCCAGCACTTTGGGAGGCCGAGGCAGGTGGATCATGAGGTCAGGAGTTCGAGACCAGGCTGACCAACATGGTGAAACCCCGTCTCTACTAAAAATACAAAAATGAGCCAGGCATAGTGGCACATGCCTGTAATCCCAGCTACTCAGGAGGCTGAGGCAGGAGAATCACTTGAACCCGGGAGGTTGAGGTCGCAGTGAGCCAAGATTGTGCCACTGCACTCCAGCCTGGGCAACAGAGCAAGACGCCATCAGAAAGAAAGAAAGAGAGAAAGACAGAAAGGAAGGAAAGAAGGAAAGAAAGAAAGGAAGAAAGGAAGGAAAGAAGAAAGGAAGAAAAGAAGGAAAGGAGGAAAGAGAAAGGCCCTACTTATTGAAGGATAGTGACCTCTCTGGAATCTAGAATAAGGGGAACAAGTGGCCAGAGGCTGCCAGGATGTGCACACTCCTTGGGAAGAAGGGTAGAATTCTAGGTCTAAATGATCCACCCTGGATTTTCAGACATCATTATCCCTGGAGTAGAGAAAAGGCACCCACCAGGCCCTCCACAAACTTGGCTGGAAATATTTCCAGATAATATCCTATTTTCCCTTACTGTTACTCTTTCTCTACTAGACAACCCTCTGGCCTATGACATGGACTTTCTCACCTGGAGGAAATGTCTTATGCAGCTAACCAGCTGCAGGGTCTCAAGTCAACCTAAATTAATAAAAAATAATTGCTAATAGCAAACACATACAAAGCACTATGAGCCAGATGCTGTTCCTTACACATTTGAGCCTATTTGAGACTTACAGCAACTTCAAGTTTAGTCCAATGAATTACTCTTATTTACAGCTGAGGAAACTGTTACTCAAAGAGGCAAGTATTTTGGCCAAGATGACAGTTCTGAGATTCAGCCCAGACAGTGTGTGTGCTTAATTGCTATGTTCTGCTGCGGCTGATAAATAGATATTCTCGTTCCACTTTATTCGTCTAAGGTGTGGTTACTGAAGATAAGTTCTCCCAGTCTGACAAGATGAACATGAACTGATAAAACTTCTGCATTGTCCATGTAGAGAACTAGTTTACAGAACTCTCAGTGGACAAGTGGGGATTTGGATTATTTGAACCCAGTCCAACTCTAGAGCCGCACTATTGACCATTGTACAGTATCACTATTACCATTTATTTATTCAATCAACAAATATGTATTAAGCTCCCATGTCAGGCATTAAGTGCTGGGGAAAGAGGAAAGAAGAAAATAGCCATAGTTCTTGCCTTCATAAAACGTGGCAGAGGGAGAGAGACAGGCACTGAACAGCTAAACACATAAATAACTATGTTGTTATCACGATGATAAGTGCTGAAAAGGCCAGCTACAGACGACAGGCATTGTGAGAGCATATAACAAGTGGCCTTGATCTACATTGAGGGTTAGGGAATGCCTCTCTGAGAAAGAAACATTTAGACAAAAACCTTAAAAATAAATGCAATCCCAGCACTTTGGGAGGCCAAGGCAGGCAGATCACCTGAGGTCAGGAGTTCAAGACCAGCCTGACCAACATGGAGAAACCCCATCTCTACTAAAAATACAAAATTAGCCGGGCATAGTGGTGCATACCTGTAATCCCAGCTACTCGGGAGGCTAAGGTGGGAGAATTGCTTGAACCCAGGAGGCGGAGGTTGCGGTGAGCCAAGGTCACATCATTGCCCTCCAGCCTGGGCAACAGGAGCAAAACTCCATCTCAAAAAAAAAAAAAAAAAGAATGCAAATTGTCCAGGCAGAGAGGGCAGAAAGCATTCCAAGCAGAGGAAACAGCCTGTGCAAAGGCCCTGAAGCTTTAAAAAGTCAGGTGCGACCCACAGACAGAGAAAACAACATGGATGTGTTGAGATGAGGAATTTGTCATCTGTGATCCTGCAGATGCAAGAACAGGGCATATCATGCCCCATCTGAGGAGTCCTGCTGAGGAGGTAAGCCTTTATCCTTCCTAAAACAAGAGGAAAACAGAAATGAGATTTAAGTGGGAAAACAACATGATCACTCATGAGGATTTGCCAGGATCAATCCACCAGTCTCCCTCTTTGAATCCTCTTTAGCAACAAAATGCTTACAAATTTGAAAGAATTTTCAGTACTATTTTTAATCACCTTATCCTCTCTCTAGTAAGAGACAGAAATAGTTACAAACTATAGTGGTGCTATGGCTTGCCATCAAAATCTCACTTTCATAATGAGACATCCCTCAGCTCTGGGAGTGCTTGCCACCTGCACACGATCCTCGTGTCAGCCCTCTTCAGAAACTTCCATGGCTAAAGAAAGCTGCCATGCCCAGGGGCAGCCTGAATACATTCTACAGGTATAAAGGCTTGGCCTGTCTACCAACTTAGGACAACTGTGAGCTTCAGAGCATCTGAACCCTCTGTGGGATCAGCTGAAGTCTTTGTTATAATGGCATCTGATGTACCCCAATGCAATTTGGCCAGTAACAATCCAGAGTTACCTCCAATCCCACAAGTTAAGGCCACAGTCCCAAGCAAGACTGAAGATGTCCCCACTCCAGACACCATCCATAAGTTCAGGGGTCTGCAGGCCACCAGCACTCCGGCCCAACTGGCTACAAATTCAGAGTTTCTCACAATTCCATCATATTTGATAATTTACTAGAATAACTTATAAAACTCAGGAAAGCACTATACTTATGGTTGCTGTTTTATTATAAAGGAAACAAATCAGAGCGTCTGTGTCCTCTCCCCATGGAATTAGAACATGTGACCCTCCCTCACATCCATGTCCTTACAAACTAGGATGTTCCACTGAGCTTCAGTGTCTGCAGTTTTTATTGGGGTTTCATTATGTAGCCATGATTGATTGACTGAATCATTGGCTCCATGATTCAACTCAATTTCCAGCCTCCTTTCCCTGCTTAAAGGTCAAGAGATTGGGCTGATAACATGTGGCTCAAAGCTTCAACCCTTTAATCACATGGTTGGTCTTTCTGGGATGACCAGTTCCCATCCTGAGTTATCTCCTTAGCACTAATTCAGATGTCGTCCAAGGGCCCAACATAAAGAGAGTAACTCTTTAGGGAATAAAGGGAATACATAAACCTAAAGAGAATAAAGGGAATACATAAAGAGAATAAAGGGAATATATAAACCAGGATACACAAACCAGGAAGTCACTGCATATTCACTAAAGAGAGCAACAAAGATACTCTTATGACTTGGGAGACCCCAAGGATTTAAAATGAACCAATCCCGTGAACCAGGGATAAAGGCCAGTCAAATTCATTGTCATGCAACAGCATCACAGTCAACTTTTCCTTATCTGATTCTACTTTTATCTTTTCTTTCCACTGATATTGATCCTAAATGTACTTCTTAATAAACATTCTAAATGCTAATCTTTGCCTCAGAGTCTAGTTTTCATGGAAGCCGACCTAAAAGATTTGGTGCCAGAAGTGGTGCCAGAAAGAAAGCAGACATTATGATTGGATTTTGGAGTTGGTCACCCATTGCTGGCTGGCAATGAATCTGTGGTGGAGGTAGGACACAAGGAAGCAGGGCAATTGTTAAAACTTTCACCTGTAGCTTACTGGGAAAAAAGCATGTGGTGTACTGCAAAAGGCATGCAGTTCTCACATATGGGGGAACTGGTAACTATAAGCTCCCTAGAATTTGATGGCTATTGCTAAGTAGAATTAATATTTTGGGGAGAGATAATGAAAGGCTGGAAGTTATTTATCTGCAATTCAAAACTAAGCATGAAAACCAGAAATCCTATGAGGGAGCATATAAAAAGGTTTTCATTTCTTGCAGTGGAAAGGCAGAGAAAACTGAAAGGCAGTTCCAGGACTTAAACATAATAGTAGCAGAAAATTAAGTGGAAACTTCCAAAGAAGATTAAACTCTCCACTTAGGCAATTGTGATATACCAAGGTTAGGACCCTGGATGGGAAATAGTGGGACTCTGACACATGGGTGGGGACATCTGGGTTGATGTACTTGAAAAATTTTGAATCCCTAGATTCCCCTCAACCCACTGAGTCTGCCAAAGTACTCTACTTTTCTGTATTAAAAGCTCGTGTTCCTCTCTTGTAAAATGATGCAGAGGTTTCCTCTCTGCAGAATAACGTCTACCACCCTTTTCAGGATACATAAACCAGGAAGTCACTGCATATGATATTCCAGGGACATCACTACATATGATATAAGTATATCATAAGCATCCATCTTTGGCTTAATTTGGTTGTTCAGATTGAGAACTTCCTTTGACGTTTGTCCATTTATTTTCCTCCAGATGCCTTATTTAATTTATTGTCTCCAAAACTTCTGTAAGTAAAGTTCCTTTGACTGCCATTTCTTACAGTGGGAAGGCAGAAAAAAGTATATGATATAAGTATCACATGATACAAGGTCATATCACTACATATGATATTCCAAGAACATCTGATACGGTGTGGCTGTGTCCTAACCCAAATCTCATCTTGAATTGGTGTTCCCATAATTTCCATGTGTCTTGGGAGAAACCTGGTCGGGGGGTAATTGAATCATGGGGATGAGTCTTTCCCATTCTGTTCTACTGATAGTGAGTAAGTCTCAGGAGATCTGATGGTTTTATAAAGGGGAGTCCCCTGCACATGCTCTCTTGCCTGCCACCATGTAAGATGTGCCTTTGCTCCTCCTTTGCCTTCTGCCATGATTGTGAGGCCTCCCCAGCCATGTGGAACTGTGAGTCCATTAAACCTCTTTCCTTTATAAATTACCAAGTCTTGGGTATGTCTTTATTAGCAGCGTGGGAACAGACTAATACATCAGAGGACACATAATATTGGCATACAATCCTACTCAAAGAAGCTGTAGGACCCAGCCAACAGGTACCAGCAGGAACCAGAGGAGTTGGCACAGGACCAAATTCTTTTTTTTTTTTTTTTTTTTGAGACAGAGTTTCGCTCTTGTTGCCCAGACTGGAGTGCAATGGCGTGATCTTGGCTCACTGCAACCTCCACCTCCTGGATTCAAGTGATTCTCCTGCCTCAGCCTCCTGAGTAGCTGGGATTACAGGCATGTGCCACCACGCCCAGCTAATTTTGTATTTTTAGTAGAGATGGGGTTTCTCCATGTTGGTCAGGCTGGTCTTGAACTCCCAACCTCAGGTGATCTGCCCGCCTCAGCCTCCCAAAGTGCTGAGATTACAGGCGTGAGCCACCACGTCTGGCCAAGGACCGAATTCTGAAGGTTATGAATGTCAGGGTGGGGAGGTGGAGCATACAGTTAGATAAGGGAGAATTTATCAAGTTGGTAATACTCTCCTAGCATACAAGATTTAACACTCATGCAAGGATCCTGGGTGATAGTGTGAACACACTTAGGATGTCATCTAGAAGCACAGAGAAATCAATGGCTCACAGTACACCTGGTTACATAGAGATGCCAAAACTGCTTTGGTTTACATTGTAAGGAGGGACTAAATGGCTCAAAGAAGTGAGCTTGCTAGAGTGAATATACTTATATAAAAATGGAAAACCCAACAGATGAATATATTTCAAAGGAAAGTTCAGAGTATACACCACTTACCAAATCAATAAGGCATTATCTGGTTAGAGAGGAATCAGCATCACTCTAAGACTCAGCAGTGGTTCTCCCTGTAGTCCAGGGTGAAGACAGAAGATACCATTTCAGAACTGGGTTCACTGAGAACAGTAGAGATGATGGAACCTTGTAACACTGAAGTGACATGATGGCACTCAAACTTCAACAGCCAAATGGACACTGCAAGGCAAGAGCGGCAGTCCAGGGGGCTTTACCCACAGATGTTTTGGAGATGACAAATAAGCCATCTGGAGCAAAAGAAATGGGCAACCATCAAAGAAAGTCTTCAATCTGAACAACCAAATTAAGCCAACAATGGATGATCAAGAGGTTAAAGGCTGATGCTCTGATACAAAGTCATGATCACTTGCCCAGTTTCTGGACTTGAACCAGTTTTTGGACCTAGAATATATTTAATTGGAGGGAGAGGGCATGTCCCTAGAAGAAAGAACTCTGCAGCACCAGCACAAGTGTACACAGTAATAATTCCCCAAGTCCTTCCCTCAAGTGATCTATAGCCATTTACTTAGGTGGCCATACACTGGAGAAAAGGGAATATCTAACGATTTCAAGGACATCATGGACACAGTGTGTAAAATGACATTGATACCAAGAGACTCAGAGTTTCATTATTGGCCCTTTCTTAGCATGGAGATATATGGAAATCGAGACTGGATGTCTGGCCCAGGTCCAGCTCATGGTAAGTCTACAGCGTTCTCAAACTACTTGCTATGCCCCCAGTATACAAACATACACATAGAATAAACATCATTAGTAGTTTGTGCGACCCCCATATTAAATTCTGGATCTGTAAGGGGTAAGAGCTATCATACTGGGGAATTCCAAGTGGAAGTTTAGGAAGTTGCACACACTTCCCATCCCCTGAAAACTCAGCCAAGATACTAAACAAAAAACAGCCCAGGGTGGAATTATCAGTTTCAGCTCTGGCGTGTAAAGAGCTTGGAAGTTACTGCTCCCTTTCTTACAAGAAGAATAGCTGAACAAACTGAAAACCAATGGCTTTTCTTAGAGCCATTAGAGAACCAGGTTGCAGGGTAAATTGCCATGCTGAAATCTGAAGAGATGTGCAAGTTCAAAGAGTCACAGCAGAGGTCTGCTTACTTTGAGCAGAAGCAACCAGAACCATAAATTGGTAGAAACACTTAAGTGGTTACTTTGACAAATTTCTAGAGTCTGAGTATGAACTGTCGATGATGAGAAACTCCTGGGTATTTTGATGTTAGGGAGACCCCCAGACTTTAATGGGTTTTCCTCCAGAAACCCACTCAGTTTGCACAATGAAAAGCTAAGAAAGATGTCCCCGTGGCTCAGGCAGAGAAAGAGAAGAGTAACCATTGTAAAGCATGCCCAGAACATTGTCCATATAGAAGTCCTACTTTTCAGGGAAAAGACTTTATGGGAGCCTTATCCCAACTTGGAAATGGGCATTTCACCTGCACCCAGCCCACTAGCCTTATTGTCTACCTAAGGAAATTTTAAAAAGCTAACAAACATTCATGAAGGTCACAGCTCAGGGACATAGGCCTATTAAAAGACTAAGATTTAATTACAGGATTACAAAAGAGGCCAGGCACAGTGCCTCACACCTGTAATTCCAGCACTTTGGAAAGCCAAGGTGGGCAGATCACTTGAGCCCAGGAGTTCAAGAGCAGCCTGGGCAACATGGTGAAACCCTATCTCTATGAAAAATACAAAAATTAGCCAGCATGGTGGCAGGCGCCTATAGTTCCAGCTACTCAGCAGAGAAGCAGGGGTGGGTGTGAGCACTGAGGCAGGAGAATTGCTTAAGCCTGGGATGCAGAGGATGCAGTCAGCTGAGATTGCACCGCGGCACTCCAGCCTGGGTGACAGTGAGACCCTGTCTCAAAAAAAAAAAAAAAAATTACAAAACACTTTCCCTTCCCACTCCTTTCTACCACACCAACATAACTCTAGTATAACAGCAGTGGATTACAGCTGGAAAAGGTCCAAGACACAGACTCTAACTAATGCTTCATTCTTAGAGAATCCCAAAGTCAACAGGGGAGACTAGAGAACACTAATGGAATTTGAAACCTCTAGCCCCTCTAGCTATAGCAAACATTAAACACAGTTCAACTTCTAGCCAGATTAACATAAAACCTCACACTAAATGCCTATTTACTTCGGTTCCTATTACCCAATGCATCACAGTAGATTTCAACAGAAAATTGCAAGGCATACTAAAAGACAAGAGAAAACATAGTCTGAAGAGACAAAGCAAGCATTCGAATCAGGCTGAGATACGACATAGATTTTGGAGTTATCAGACAGGAAATTTAAAATAACTATGATTAATGTGTAAAGGACTCTGATGAAAAAAGTAGACAGCATGCAAGAGCAAATAGGTAATATAAGATAGATGAAAAAATAAAAAAGAAATCCTAGGAATAAAAAATATTATAACATAAATGAAGATTGCCTGTGATGGGCTCATTAATAGATTGGACATGACCAAGGAAAGAAACCATGAGCTTGAAAATAGTTCAACAGAAACTTCCCAAACTGATATGCAAACAGAAAAAATAATTGAGACCAGAACAGAACATACAAGAACTTTGGGACATTTCAAAAGTGTAACTATGTGTAATTCGTACCAGAAGAAGAAGACAGACAAAAAAGATCAGAAGAAATATTTGAAATAATAATGGTAAAAAAATTTTCAAAATTAATGACAGACATACAACCACAATCCAGGAAGCTGAGGATGGATCAAACAGGATAAATACCAAAAGGATATTTGCATACAACTATGCAACAGGATATGCAAACAGGATATGCATACAACTAGGCATATCATACTCAAACTGCAACAAAGCAAAGATAAAGAGAAAATATTTAAAGAAGTGAAAGAAAAATTTTTTTTACCTACATAGAAACAATGATAATAATCACAGTGGACTTCTCATCAGAAAACTGCCAGGCATAGTGACTCATGCCTATAATTCCAGCACTTTTGGAGGCCGAGGGTTGGGGACCACTTGGGCCCTCCACGGTAGTTCAAGAGCAGCTTGGGCAACATAGCAAGACCCAGTTTCTATCTGGAAAAAAAAAAAAAAAGAAAGAAAAGAAAAGAAAAAAAAAAAAGAAACCAACCAAGCAAGAAAAGAATGGAGTAAACTATTTAAAATGCATCAAGCTATAATTTTAGGTACAGAAAAATTATCCTTTAAAAGTGAAAGAGAAGTAAATTTTTAGTCAACAAAAAATGAGAGAATTCATGGCAAGCAGAACTGCATGCAAAAAATATTAAAATAAGTTCTTCAAGGAAAAAGAAATTATTTAAGTCAGAAACTTAGACCTACATAAAGGGAGAGCATTGAAGGAATAAATGAAGGTAAAATAAAATCTTTTATTTTTTTCATTCTTAATTGATCTGACAGATAACTGTTTAAAGTAAGAGTAACAATGTCTTGGGAGATTAGAGCATAGAGACAAGTGAAATGAATGGCACCAATGTAATGAGGGATGGGAGGAAGTGGAGTTATTCTGTTGTAAGTTACCTACACTACACCTGGAGCAGTATAATGTTATTTGAGGATGGACATAGATTAGGTTAAAATAGATATTGAAAACTCTAGGAGGTCAGGTTGGGGAAAATGGTGGAGCAGGAAGCAGGAATAATCTGTCTCTCCATGCAGGTAATACTGGCAGAATCTGTCTTACTTAACTCCTTCTGGAGTCTATAGAAGGCTTGCAACTTCTAGAGGAAGGTTTGGAATATAAGTTGTGGTTAATTTCTGTCAATTTCAGCACTTAGCATAGTAGCAACTACCCATCCCTCACCACACATCTACAAGGCAGGCAGCAGTGCATAGGTTCCTGAAGCAGCTTACAAACATTTTGGGGGGTTGAGCAAAAAGGACTCTGTCCTTCAAATATTAGTACTCTGTGCTTGATCGCTGAATTTTTTTTTTTTTTTTACAGAGTCTCACTCTCTCATCCAGGCTGGAGTGCATTGGTGCAATCTCAACTCACTGCAGCCTCTGCCTCCTGGGTTCAAGCAATTCTCCTGCCTCAGCCTCCCGAGTACCTGGGATTACAGGCACCTGCCACCACACCTGGCTGATTTTTGTATTTTTAGTAGAGATGGGGTTTCACCATGTTGGCCCAGGCTGGTCTTGAACTGCTGGCCTCAAGTGATACGTCTAGAAAGTGCCAGGATTACATGCGTCAGCCACCACGCCTGGCCCTGAATGTCACTTCTGAACACAAAAGATCAGAGAGATACAAAGGGGTGAGTGGCCATTATTGTTGCACCTACCCTCAGTTGTTGCAAACTCCTCCAGCTCAAGTGACTTTGCGGGATTTAAAAAGCCAGCACCTTTCGCTCCCTGCTTCATTTTTTCTTTTTCTCTTTTCTGGACCCAGAGATAAAAAACAATGACATTAAAAACAACACATATAGGAAAACTTATAAAGTGACTAAACATGACCAGAGTAAGGCCCAGAAAAAAACCTGAGAAGACCTTAAGTTTACACGTCAGTCTGGCTCTTGGCCCAGAGACAAACTACAACAATTAAAAATAAATAAAGAAAAACAATAACAAAACCAGCAAACCTTGGGAAGAAGGAGAATCTTATTTCCAGAGTTATCACATTATTGTATTCAAATGTTTGCTTTTCAATGACAAAAAAAAATCATAAAGCATATAAGGAAACAGGAAAATATGGCCTAGTCAAAGGAAAAACAGTAAACAGAAACTGTCCCTGAAACAGACTTGATGGCGGATCTACTAAACTGTCTTAAAGATGCCAAAAGAACTAAAAAAAGATGAAGAAAGTCAAAACGGAAATACCAATAAAAAGGTAGAAGAGCTAAAAAGAAACCTAAAACAAAGTCTGGAGCTGAAAAACGCAGTAACTAAAATGAAAACTTCACTGGAAGTATTCAAAGGGAGATTTGAGCAAGTAGAAGAATGAATTAACAAATTTGAAGGCAAAATAATGGAAATTTTTGAATCTGAGAAATAGAAAAACAATTTAAGAAAAGTAAACAGATCCTAAGAGACTTATGGGACACCATTGTAGCAGGCCAGGTTTCCATTAGCAACCAGAACAGTTTCCACTAACCCTTTACTATAATTATGAAGTCATAAGTTAAACATTAGAGAACTGGAGAAACCGGTGCCTGAGTATGAGGGCTGGAATGAGAAAACAAACCCATTAAGATCCCGCCTGGGTTTTCTCAAACCCTAAAGTCTGATCGAACAATAAAAGCATTCTTACACCTACACCTCATACCAGGGCTCACTTAAGATTAAGAAACTTTCAGCTGGGCGTGGTGGCTCACACCCGTAGTCCTAGCACGTTGGAAGGCCAAGGCGGGCAGGCAGATCACCTGAGGTCAGGAATTCAAGACCAGCCCCGCTGTAGTAGAGAAACCCCATCTCTACCAAAAATACAAAAATTAGCCAAGTGTTGTGGTGTGTCCGGAATGAGTGGGTTCTTGGTCTCGCTGCCTTCAAGAATAAAGCCGCAGACCTTCAGGGTGAGTATTACAGCTCTTAAAGATGGTGTGTCCAGAGTTTGTTCTTTCAGATGTTCAGATGTGTCTGGAGTTTCTTCCTTCCGGTGGGTTCATGGTCTTGCTGACTTCAGGAATGAAGCTGCAGACCTTTGCGGTAAGTGTTACAGCTCTTAAAGGTGGACCGTCAGCAGTTGTTCATTCCTTCTGGTGGGTTCGTGGTCTCGCTGGCTTCAGGTGTGAAGCTGCGTCCCCTCGCAGTGAGTGTTACAGCTCATAAAGGCAGCACGGACCCAAAAAGTGAGGAGCAGCAAGATTTATCGCAAAGGGCTAAAGAACAAAGCTTCCACGGAGTGCAAAAGGACCCAACCGGTTTGCCACTGCTAGCTTGGGCAGTCTGCTTTTATTCCCTTATCTGACCACCCCCAATCCCCCACCACCACTCACATCCTGCTGATTGGTCCATTTCACAGAGAGCTGATTGGTCTGTTTTACAGAGAGCTGATTGGTCCATTTTTGACAGAGTTCTGATTGGTGCATTTACAATCCCTGAGCTAGACACTGAGTGCTGATTGGTGCATTTACAATCCTCTAGCTAGACATAAAAGTTCTCCAAGTCCCTGCTAGATACAGAGTAGTGATTGGTGCATCCACAAACCCCAAGCTAGACTCAGAGTGCTGATTGGTGCAAATACAATCCTCCAGCTAGACATAAAAGTTCTCCAAGTCCCAGGAGCCCAGCTGGCTTCGCCTAGGTCCTGAGCCCTGGTGAAAATTCAAGCGTGGCTTGGGAGGGCTGGCAGTGCTGGGGTACCTGGCACACCCTCCGCAGGTACTGGCCCAGGTGCTTAGCCCCTCACTGCCCGGGGCCAGCGACGCCAGCTGGCTGCTCCAAGTATGGGGCATGCCGAGTCCGCACCTACCAGGAACTCGCGCTGGCCTCCGAGCCCTGTGCGCAGCCCCTGTTCCCGCCCGCACCTCTACCTCCACACCTACTCCAAGCAGAGGGAGCCGGCTCCGGCCTTGGCGAAGCCCAGAATGGGGCTACCACAGTGCAGTGGCGGGCTGAAAGGCTCCTCAAGCACGGCCAGGAGGGACGCCGAGGCCAAGGAGGCACCGAGAGCAAGTGAGGGCTGCTAGCACGTTGTCACCTCTCAGTGGCACGTACCTGTAATCCCAGCTACTTGAGAGGCTGAGGCAGGAGAATCACTTGAACCCGGGAGGCAGAGGTTGCGGTGAGCTGAGATCGCACCATTGCACTCTAGTCTGAGAGACAAGAGCATAACGCCATCTCAAGAAAATAAAAATAAAAAATAAATTTAAAAAAACTGATTAAGAAACTTTCCAAGACTCCAGAGAAAGCTTTCCAGACCCTAGACCCTAGTTAAAGATTAGATATAGAGTGAATGAAACACTCCTGCTTGTAGATGCAATTCTACATGTAGCATGGAGCTTAAAATGTATGTCAGCACTAGCAAAAAACTTGTAACTTTGAGTTGGTATGGTGAGTTACTTCGACCTTCTCTCTGTAACCGGTTGCAGAAATAAACTCCCTTCTTTCCCAGTCTGTCTGCATCTTGTTATTGGATCACAGAAATGAGCAGCCAGACCTTGTTCTGTCCAGGAACAATTCTGGTGACTCCTCAGGGATGGATCTGTGCTCAGTGGCCAGTGGCTTCTAAGTCGACAGTCATCGGGAGACTCCCAACAGCTGCCAGGTACGGTTTGTCCTGGGGAGTCTCCCAAGGACCTTCCCGGATGCAAAGACCCCCTGTCTCTCTATTACTGGGGAACAACAGAGGCTGGGAATGGAGCTGCTCAAAGGGTTAAGTAAAACCTGATGGAAAGCTGGGGGTCTATTGTTTTCTCTATTAGAGCTCATGTAGCCATTTTTTTCAGTACTGTTGAGGAAACAATAGGACTCCTTTGTATACCCGGTCACGGTTAATACTGAGTATCAACTTGATTGGATTGAACGATACAAAGTATTGATTCTGTGTGTGTCTATGAGGATGTTGCCAAAGGAGATTAGCATTTGAGTCAGTGGGCTGGGAAAGGCAGACCCACCCTTAATCTGGGTGGGCACAATCTAAACAGCTGCCAGCGTGGCTAGAATACAAGCAGGCAGAAAAAAGTGAAAAGAGAAACTGGCCTAGCCTCCCAGCCTACATCTTTGTCCTGTGCTGGATCCTTCCTGCCCTTGAACATTGGACTTTAAGTTCTTCAGTTTTGGAACTCGGACTGGCTCTCCTTGCTCCTCAGCCTGCAGACGGCCTATTGTGGGATCTTGTGATCGTGTGAGTTAATACTTAATAAACTCCCGTTTATATATTCCATGAGTTCTGTCCCTCTAGAGAACCCTGATTAATACACCCACTTTACAAAGTTAGAGGACCTATTTGCATTTGTTTGTGAAAATTCATTTGTTCTGTTGGTCTGATATTAAGTTTAGAGTAGTCAGTATGGGCAACAGGGCATCTATCCCTACAAATAGTCCTCTGGGAAAAGCTTTGTCAGATTGGAAGCACGTTGGTTATCTGCTAATGACAAGAAGAGTTAATCTTCTGTTGTAACACATCTTGGCCAATGTATGTTTTGGGGTCTGAGAAATGGTAGCCAGTTTTTGGATCTTTAAATTTTCATACCATTTATCAATTAGAATTGTTCTACCAGAGGTCAGGTAAATGAGGTGAAATACCTTACATCTGGGCATTAATGTTGCTAAGGAAAAAGGAAATAAGCTAACTTGGCAATGCACTGCCAAGTCTGTCCTGACTCACAAGGGGAGGAAGAGAAAGCCTTTGAAACCCAATTTAATGAATAGTTAATGAATACCCTAAACCCCATAGTGGCTACTGCCGCAGCTCAGGAAAGAGAGGGAATGCTACCCATAGAGTACAGGAAGGCAGCAGGGCTACTGTCTCCCTCTAGGACTAGGCAAGGTACTAATTTTGGCCAGGGAGTCACTGAGTCTGGAGCAGGGAAGTTCCCACTGTAACAATATTCAGTAGGAGTCAATTAGCAAGGAGCTCCAGCCAACATTATTGGGCCTATAATACCACTGTATTTGCTACACAGTGCCCACCTGGGCAGATGTGCAGGCTCTCCTAAGCATTATGCTCACTGCAGATGAGCGGCAGCTGGTTTTCAATAAAGTGAAGGAAGAGGCGCAATGACTTCATCATGAAAATTCAGACAACACAGATCCGGGGGCGGCAATTCCCCACAGGGACCCTAATTGGGATATTGTAGAGGACATACATCCCACTGTAGCTAACCCATATACTAAGTTCATTTCTCTTCCTGGAGATTATAAATGGCTGACAGTATTGGATTTAAAAGATGCTTTCTTTTGCATACCCATAGACACAGAAAGTCAACTGTTGTTTGCCTTTGAATGGATAGATCTTGAAGCCGCAACGTGGTTTCAGTATCATTGGACTGCACTCCCACTAGGATTTAAAAACTCTCCACATATATTTGGGGAAGCCTTGGCTTGAAATTTAAAGAGTTTAAAATTGGAAAATGGGGTATTGTTACAATATGTGGGTGATTTACTAATACCTAGCCTCTCTGAATGGGAATGTCAGAATAACACCATTAAAACTCTTAACCACCTAGCCACCCGTGGGTATAAGGTTTCAAGTAAAAAAGCTTAGATATGCCAACAAACTGTGGCATACTTAGATTTTCTCTTGCAGGAGGGAGCTAGAGCTCTAATAGTGGAAAGACAAAATGCAATCGCTTCCATTGCAGCACCCACTACCAGAAGGTAGTTGAGAGGATTTCTAGGCAAGGCAGGGTTTTGTTAGATCTGGATTCCTAACTATGAACTACCAATGAAGCCGCTATACAGTCTGTTAAGGGACCTAACAATGATGCCTTCGATTGGGAGCAAAACACCAGCACTCATTTGGACAACTGAAATGTAAGTTAACCTCCACCCTATTCCTGGGGCTCCCAAATCCTCATAAGCCTTTTCAATTGTACATGCATGAGAGACTGGGTCTAGCACTGGGGATCCTTAACACAGAAATTAGGAGAAATCTTGCAGCCACTAGGCTTACTTTCCTAAACAACTGGATAATGTGGCCAAAGGCTGTCTCCTGTTCAAGGGCGGTCACTGCCACCTGCCTACTATTAAAGGAGGCTGAAAAGTTGACTTTGGGACAGCCTGTTACTGTCTACGTGCCTCACCAAGTACTAGTGTTACTAGAACAAAAGGGAGGCTACTGGCTGACAGTGGGCAGATTGAGCAAATACCAGGCCACACTCCTAGATGAACCCACAGTAAAAGTGCAGGTTACCAGAGCCTTGAACCCAGCTACTTTACTTCCCTCTACCGAAGAGCCAAAAGAACTTATGCATAATGTTTACCAATTATTGACTAAGGTGTTTTCCAGTCACCCTAATTTAAAGGACACAGCCCTGCCATATGCATACTGGACATTGTTCATGGATGGGAGCAGCCTGGTAACCGACAGAAAAAGAAATGCTATATATGTAATGGTAACGTTTTCAGAGGTCACAGAAGCCAGGACTTTACCACTAGGAACCTCTGCACAGAAGGCAGAACTGATTGCCCTTACAAGAGCCTGCAGTTGTTCCAGGTAAACAAGGCACTTGGAATAAATTGCAGACTATACTCAGCATGGAGACCACAGTCTTCTGGACAGACTGAAAGGAAAATCCAGCACTAAAAACAGTTATTGCCAAACTGTGCCAGGAAACTCAACCAAAATGAATTCAGGTACTTGGCATTGCATTGCTCTGGGTAAGAATGACCTCCCCAGATGTGGGATTAGGTTAAGTCCTGTGAAATGATACATGAGAGACCCTTTTGGGTTACTAGGGTGCCCCTTAATAAGAAGTCAACTATTAAACATTGTGTTACTCACTTGGGACAAATTCGTAACGTTTTGCATAAGCTTGCTTTCAACAACAGCATTGTGAACTCAGCAGAGCCACGCCACTCTTTCCAGTCCCGTGATCAAGTACTGCTAAAGAGTAGATGGGAACGGGCCCAACTCAGCAGCTACAGGAGAAATGGAAAGGGCCCTACTGGTGCTGCTAACTGCCAATTTCAGCACTGAAACTGGCGGGCATCAAGCCATGGATCCACTACACATTGTAAAAAAGTTCCTGCCAAAATAAATGTTCATAACAGAGGTCCCCAAGATAGCCAAATAGGAGGCAGAACCCCTCAAAGTCCTAAGATTTCTGTACAAAAAAGATAGGATTTTTTAAATAATATTTTTTCTTACTACATCTTTTGTTGTTTCTTTCTATACTCCTAACCTTTTCCTATGATGGTGTATTAGTTCAGATTCACACTGCTTTAAAGATACTACCTGAGACTAGGTAAAAGGAAAGATGTTTAATTGACTCACAGTTCTGTATGGCTGGGGAGGCCTCGGGAAACTTACAATCATGGCAGAAGGTGAAGGGCAAGCAAGCGTGTTCTTCACAAGGTGGCAGGAGAAAGAGAGCAAGCAATTCCCACACTTTAAAACCATCAGCTCCTGTGAGAACTCACTCACCATCATGAGAACAGCATGGAGAAAATCACCCCCATCATCTAATCACCTCCCATCAGGTCCCTCTCTCGACACATGGTGATTTCAACTGGAGATGAGATTTGGGTGAGGGCATTGAGCCAAACCATATCAAATGGGCACAAGATTATGCAGATAGATTACAACAAGACTCGTGCTGGGTCTGTGGTCTATTACCCCTCTCTATCACCAAGGCACTGCTTTGGTGGGCCTCCCCTATACAATGAAAAGATTAGGTTTCTTTATAGATCTTAAACAATGGACAAGGTTGCAGATGACTGGGGTAACTAGAAAAAATATTTCAGAATGGCCTATAAAGAAAACTTTAAATGATCACCGATTCCTCCTTGAGCTGCAGTTAAAACTGAATGTTGTATGTATGTTCCTGATAACTCAGGAAACATTGGTTTAGCTTTAAAGGATATGCACCAACAGATCAAGGCAATCTCTAGTCCTGCACTGTCTCTCCATGAATTGACAGCACCTTGCTTTGATGGGCCACCTTCCTGTGGCAGAAAATTGTTGTTGTCTTAGCTATCCTCCTGGGCGTAAGTATAACACTATGCTGTGGACTATATTATTGTTGTATGCTGTTCCCAAACATTCCTTGAGCTCATAAGATCATGTTTCAACAAGCACTGCCTTTGAGTCCCCAAAGTTGAGAACATTACCAATGCCAAATAAACAACTTCCATTCCAGTGCCCCCTGACGATGACCCTCTCCAGCAGGAAGTAGCCAGAGAGAATACATTGCTCACTTCCTCTTAGTTTGCCACATCATAGTTTGTACTCTTGTACTAATCTTTTAACAAATCAGTGCTTGGGAAAATTAACTAACATGATAGAAATCATGTAAAAATTGACAGTGGGGATTGTGGTGAGCTAGGTTTCCATTAGCAACCTTTACTATAATTTTGATGAGTGCACAAGTTAAACATTAACTTATCTTAATATTAACTTCCTCCATACTATGTGTGGAATTGCGCCTACAAACAGGAGTGTTTCATTCAATCTATATCTAATCTTTAGGGTCTCGGGTCTGGAAAGCTTTCTCTAGAGTCTTGGAAAGTTTCTTAATTTTAAGTGAGTCCTGATGTGAGATGTATGTGTAAGAATGCTATTATTATTATTTAGGGTCTGAGAAAACCCAGGCAGGGTCTTAATGGGTTTGTTTTCTCATTCCAGCCTCATACTGAGGCACCAGTTTCTCTAGTTCTTTAATGTTTAATTTATGCATTCATCAAAACTCTAGTAAAGGGTTAGTGGAAACTTACTCTTCTTGCTGCTGATGGAAACCTGGTCTGCCTGCCACACCATCAAGTGGACCAATATACACATTATGGGAGTTCTAGAAGGAGAAGAGAGCAAGAAAAGGGAAGTGAGAATATTTCAAGGAATAATGTCTGTAAACTTCCCAAACTGTACTTCATGAGAATGTCTTCATCAAAAGACATTCTCAACAGAGTAAAAAGGCAGCCTACAGAATGGGAGTAAATATTCACAAATCATAGTTCTGATAGGGGATTAATATCCAGAATATATAGGGAACCCCTACAATTCAGCAACAAAATAACAAAAAACCTGATTTAAAAATGAACAAAGGACTTGAACAAACATTTCTGCAGAGAAGATATCCAAACGGCCCATAAATACATAAAAAGATGCTCAACATCACTAATCAGTAGGGAAATGCAAATCAAAACCACAATGAGAAACCACTTCACACCCATTAGGATGCCTATTATTCTTTTAAGAAAGAAATCAGCAACTGTTGTGAGGGGTGTAGAGAAATTGGAAACCTGTGCATTGCTGGGGGCAATGTAAATTGGTCTGGCCACTGTGGAAATATATAAAGTATAGAGATTCCTCAAATATTAAAAATAGAATTACCTTATGTCTTAGTCCATTTTCTGCTGCTAGAACAGAATATCACAG
Source organism: Homo sapiens (assembly GCF_000001405.40). NCBI lineage: Eukaryota > Metazoa > Chordata > Mammalia > Primates > Hominidae > Homo > Homo sapiens. The sequence goes on from NC_000004.12 coordinate 24,606,005, forward strand.
ATTGGGTAATTTACAAAGAACAGAAGTTTATTTGACTTACAGTTTTGGAGGCTGGAAAGTTGAAGAACATGGCATCATCATCTGGCAAGGGTCAGTTGGAAGACTAAAGGCAGAAGCAAGGGCATGAGACAGAGAGAAAAAGAGGCTGAACTCCCACAATAACTCACTTTGGCAATAACAGCATTAGTTTATTCATGAGAGTAATGCCCTCGTGACCTAAACACCTCTTAAATGCTCCACCTCCAAATACTGTTACAATGGCAATTAAATTTCAACATGAATTTTGGAGGAGGCATTCAAACCATAGCACCATGTGATCCAGAAATTCTATGTTTGGGTATATATGCAAGATAATTGAAAGCAAGGACTCAAAAAACAGATATTTGTACAAGAATGTTTATAGCAGCATTATTTACAGCAGCCAAAAGGTGGAAACAATCAAAATGTCCATTAGCAGGTGAATGAATAAACCAAATGTCATATATGAATAAATGGAATATTATTTAGCCTTAGGAATGAAATTCTGACACATGCTGCAACAGGAGTGTCCAATCTTTTGGCTTTCCTGGGCTGCATTGGAAGAAGAAGAATTGCCTTGGGACTCACATAAAATGCACTAACACTAACGATAGCTGGTGAGCTGGAAAAAAAAAAAAAAAGGTTCATGCACAAATCTCGTAATGTTTTAAGAAAGTTTACGAATTTGTATTGGGCCGCATTCAAAGCTGTCCTGGGCCTCATGTGGGCCAGGGACTGCAGGTTGATTAAGCTTGTGCTACAACATACATGAATCCTGAAAACATTATGGTGAGTGAAATAAACTACACACAAAAGAACAAATATTGTATGAGCTCACTTCATTGAACTACTTAAAGTAGTCAAATTCATAGGCAGAAAGTAGAATGGTGGTTGGCAGGGGCTGAGGAGAAAGGGGGAATGGGGCATTACTATTTAATGGGCACAGATTTTCAGTTTGGGAAGAGTGAAAAAGTTTTGGAGATGGATGGTGGTGATGGTTACACAACAATGTGAATGTACTCGATGCCACTGAACTGTACACCTAAAAATGGTTAAAATGGTCATTTTATTATTTGTGTATACTTTACCATGATAAAGCATCTTGGGAAAAAAGATTAAAATGCTTGCCTCCTTAAAGACCTAAAAGACAAATAGGCTGTGGTTCCCATTATATCTCCATTTAGAATAAACATCTGGCCTCTGCAAAATTCAGGCAGATCATGGAGAATGGCAGTGGATTATCACAGACCTGACCTATTATTTTAACAGTATCTCCAATTACAGTTTCTGTTCCAGATATATCTTTGTTAGAACAGATAAGCAAGGACTCAGGTACATGATATGTGACCAATGATTTGGCAAATCCATTCTTTCTCTGTTCCTATACAAAATAGAATCAGAAATGATCCATGTTTCTTTGGAATGCACAACAATGTTCCTTTACAGCTTTGTCCCAGAGCTATGTTAACTCTGCTGTCCTCTGTCATAACATAATCTGAAGAGACATGGACCAGCTGGAGGTGCTGCAGAATAGCACACTGGTCCACTAACTGATGACATAATGTTAGTTGGACCAAATAAACAAGAGTAGCTGGGAGGTTGAAGGCCTTGATAATTCACATGCACTCTTGAGGGAAATAAACCTTAAAGATTCAGGAGCACACTGCATAGGTAAATTTTGAAAAGTCTGGTGGTCTGGGGTATGCTAGGACATCGCTTAAGTAAAGGAGAATTGACTGCATCTTGTAGTTCCCATCACAAGAATGGAAGCACATTGCATGCTAGGCAGCCCTTTTCAGGTTCTGTAGGCAAGGTATTCCCAGAAGTACACTTCCAGCTCACATACTGGTTGACACAATGGTTGCTATTTTTCTTTTTTTCTTTCTTTCTTTCTTTCTTTTTTTTTTTGAGATGGAGTCTCGCTCTGTCGCCCAGGCTGGAGTGCAGTGGCTCGATCTCAGCTCACTGCAAGCTCCGCCTCCCGGGTTCATGCCATTCTCCTGCCTCAGCCTCCTGAGTAGCCGGGACTACAGGCGCCCACCACCATGCCTGGCTAATTTTTTGTATTTTTAGTAGAGATGCGGTTTCACGGTGTTAGCCAGGATGGTCTCGATCTCCTGACCTCGTGATCCACCCGCCTCGGCCTCCCAAAGTTCTGGGATTACAGGCGTGAGCCACCGTGCCCAGCAATGGTTGCTATTTTTCAATGGGGCCCATGGCAGGAAAGGATTCCGCATCAAGTCCCATGCTTCAGGGCAAGCAGCTGGCCTCTTGGACCACACAATCCAGCAGACCCTATGGTATGACGAATATCAGTGTTGTGAAAAGATGACATGTGGATTTTATGACAAGCCCTAATGGAAGAATCACAACATAGATCCTGCACAAAAGCCATACCATGGCAACAGAGAATTATACGCCTTCCAAAAAATAAATGTTGGAATAAGACTGGGCCCTAATAAAGACAAGTGCCTCACTGTGGAGACACCAAAACTACCTCTCATGAGCTAGGCTCCATCACACTCACCAAGCGATAAATTAGGATGTATCTAGATGGAAGAGGAACATCTAGGATTCAACATCAATAAAACCAGAGGGCACATGCAAGCCGAGTGAGCAGGTAGCATGCGGGTAGCTCATGTCATCTACCACTGTTACACAGCACGTCTTCCCCAGCTCTGGGGATATGCGGAAGCAAGTTTGTACCAGCTCATAATAGTTTCTTGTTAAATTTTCAGGAATCTTGCAAGCCCATTGATGCCACGTCGGTAGGTTGAAATTCACCGTAAGTACTTACAGCATGGAAATTAGTTAATACTACAAATTGGGTCTTTTCTTCTCCTTTTCAGAAAGCTAGTTGCTAAATATTTACCACCACATCACTGCTCAGCTCACATCCATGACTGCATGGGGGTCTATAATGACTAGTTGATGTAAGAGGAAGAAGCCTGAGCTTGATTCACAAATGGCTCAACTTGGTATGTTGGTGCAAGCTAGATATAGATGATGGCTGTACAACTCAGGATACAACTCAGGCTGTACAACTGAGTGGGGGAAGCCCCACTCAGGATAGTCTTGAAAGGTAGTGGCAAGGGGAAATCCTCCCAGCAAGTAGTATTCCAGGAAGTCCACATGGTCAGCCATTTTGTGTGGAAAGAGAAGTGGCCTGCAGTTAGATAGACACACAGGGACTCATGGGCAGTGTGATATATCTTGGCCAGGGTCTTCGAAGGTGAACACTTGGAAGATTGGTGAGCAACAAGGGCTATGAACATATGGAAATAAATGAACTTATGGAAGTGAGCACAAAGTGTAAAGATCTTTATTCAGATGTTAATGCCCATCAGAGCATCCATGACATAAGAGGCACTAAAAAAAAAAACAAAAACAAAATCAAACCAAAAAAACTACATGTCATTCAACTGGTAGCAGCCAGTCTCTATCATCGATATGAGATCCCACATACTATTGTGTCAGACAAAGGGATTCATTGAATATTAAAGGAAGCACAGAAACAGGCACATGACCACGAGATTCAATGTTCGTATCACATAGCAAGAAGCTGGTCCTGACAGAAACACCAAATCAGAGATAGTGCCTTATGAAGATGGCTTGCCATCACTCAGAATGCAGTGCACTTTCTAAAGGAATGACCTTTACATGGTGCTATTTCCCCCGTAGGTAGAACACATACGTCTAGGAATCAAGAAGTAAAAGTGAGAGTACCCTTATTTTCCTTCACTCCCAGTGATTCATTTCGGGAATTTGTGCTTTCCATTCTTGAAACTCTGAGTTTGTATTTTTGTTTGCTTGTTTTTTGGAGTTTTTTTTGTTTTGTTTTGTTTTTGTTTGTTTGTTTGTTTGAGACTCAGTCCTGCTCTGTTGCCAGGTTGGAGTGCAATGATGCAATCTTGGCTCACTGCAACCTCCACCTCCTGGGTTCAAGTGATTCTCTTGCCTCAGCCTCCTGAGTAGCTGGGACTGCAGGTGCATGCCACTATGCCCAGATAATTTTTGTATTTTTCATAGAAATGGGATTTCACCATGTTGGTCAGGATGGTCTCTATCTCTTGACCTTGTGATCTACCCGCCTCAGCCTCCCAATGTGCTGGGATTATAGGCATGAGCCACTGTGCCTGGTCAAAACTCTGAGTTTTTAACACTTAAGAGTCCGAGTTCCTAAGAAGGAATACATCCACAAAGGTTGTGACCTGAGTTCTTGAAGTTTCTCACACCAAGAGGCCAGGACAAGAAGAAGAATTACCATTCTGGCAGAAGTAAATGGCCCCCATCACCAGGAGGAGGTAAGGCTGCTGTTACACAATAAGGGCAAGAAGGAAAAATATGTTTTCCACCAGGTGATCCATTTCAGTACCTTGGTATTCTGTTGAGCAATGTTGATAGTAAGTAGACAAGTGTAGCAGTGACACCCTGACAAAGACATAGGTGACCAGGGACTCAGATCCTTAGGAGTTGATGGTCTGGGTCATACTTACATACAAGCCACCAGGACAGCAGAGGTGCTAGCCAGGCTTAAGGGTCAAATAGACAGCTGGTAGTTCAGGGAGACAATGAGTATTAACTGCAGCACTGAAATCTACTGTAGTGGTGCTATCTGTGGATGATCCCACTCACCTTCATCCTCTTAGCTTTCCCCAGGGAAAAGGTGCTCCAGAATTCTGAAGAAGCTGTTCCTAAAACTTATACAAAGAAGTGGCTCTAGGCCAGGCATGGTGGCTCACACCTGTAATCCCAGCACTTTGGGAGGCCAAGGTGGGTGGATCACCTGAGGTCAGGAGTTCCAGACCAGCCTGACTATGGTGAAACCCCGTCTCTACTAAAAATACAAAATTAGTTGGCCGTCGTGGCACGTGCCTGTAATCCCAGCTGCTCAGGAGGCTGAGACATCACTTGAACCTGAGAGGCGGAGGTTGCCGTGAGCTGAGATGGCATCATTGCACTCCAGCCCAGCCTGGGCATCAAGAGTGAAACTCTGTCTCAAAAAAAGAAGAAGAAGAAGAAGAGGAAGAGGAAGAGGAAGAAGAAGAAGAAGAAGAAGAAGAAGAAGAAGAAGAAGAAGAAGAAGAAGAAGCAGCAGAAGCAGAAGCAGCTCTAGGCAATGCAAAGATTGGACTGTAATAGATCCTGGAACGTGCCACCCAGACCTCCTTCAAGAATGAAGGACTGATTTCCTCAGCATTTGCAAGGAGTGCTGTCAGCAGATAGCCCTCAGTTGTCAGCCTCTCCAAGAATTTCCTCATCTGGAGAGCTACCTCACTCTAGGGCACATTCCCTCCCCCAGGATAGCCTGTGTCTAATGACTGATCATTATGGGAATGTATACCATAATCTGGGCCAAATTGAGAGGGCTGTATCCCAGCTTCAGAGTTCCCTTTGGAGTCAGCTTAGGCTTTTTAAAAATAACCTCACTGGCCAGGTGCGGTGGCTCACGCCTGTAATCCCAGGATTTTGGGAGGCTGAGGCGGGCGGATCACCTGAGGTCGGGAGTTTGAGACCAGCCAGACCAACATGGAAGAGACCCTCTCTCTACTTAAAATACAAAATTAGCTGGGCGTGGTGGCGCATGCCTGTAATCCCAACTACTCAGGAGGCTAAGGCGGAAGAATCGCTTGAACCTGGGAGGTGGAGGTTGCGGTGAGCCAAGATCACGCCATTGCACTCCTGGCGTGACAGAGTGAGACTCTGCGTCACATCCAAACTTTATCCTCTGCCCAATACCGCTTTATTGCCTTTTTCTCCACTGGTGTGAATCCCAGGAGTCTTTCACAATAAACTTTCTGCATGCTAATCTCAGTTTCCAAGACTGCTTCCCAAGAAGCCCAACTTAAAATACTAGGGTTGGTTTCGTTTTCAATTTGAATAACCTCCTAAAAAATTCTAGATGAATTGTCAGAGACTTTGAAAGGTTTAAGTTTTTGGCTGGGCGTGGTGGTTCACGCCTGTAATCCCAGCAATTTGGGAGGCAGGGGCGGGCGGATCACTTGAGATCAGAAGTTTGAGACCAGCTTGGCCAACATGGCAAAACCGTCTCTACTGAAAATACAAAATTTAGCCAGGCATGGTGAAGCATGCCTGTAATCCCAGCTACTTGGCAGGCTGAGGCAGGAGAATCGCTTGAACCTCGGAGGCAGAGGTTGCAGTGAGCCGAAATTGCACCACTGCACTCCAACCTGGGTGACAGAGTGAGACTCTGTTTCAAAAATAAAAAAGTAAAAAAAAAGAAAGGCTTGTTTTCAGTCATTCATTCAAGAAATACTTACTTTGCACCTATTATATATTAAGCACAGTTCGAGGTGCTAAGGCTATAGTGATAAAAAAGATAAAGAAAATTCCTGGGCTCATGGCATTTAAATTCTAGTGGAGGGTAACAAACAATAAGCAAGTAAATAAACAAATAGGGTAATTTAATAGATTGATGAGGGCTATAAAAATAATATAGGGCAGTATGATAGAAAGTGATTGGAGGTGCTGGAGGTATGAAGGACTACATCAAAAGTGGGTTGGGGAAGGATTCTCTTAGAAGATGGCATTGAGCTAAGACAAAATGAAATCAGGTGTTTTAAAAAACTGGGGAAGAAACTCCAGGCAGACAAAAAAGCAAGTAAAAGGAGGGAAAGGAGTGTGAGTGTGTAAAATATAGGTGGGATACAGTGGCTTATTCCTGTAATTCCAGCACTTTAGGAGGCAAAGATGAGAGGATCACTTAAGGTCAGGAGTTCAAGACCAGCCTGGACAACATGGCAAAACCCCATCTCTACCTATGAAATAATATATGAAAGAGGTTGTAATGAATGGAGGTAGTGAACAAGACGAAGTAAACTGAGAGGTCAGTGAGGGAGACAGGAGCCAGATAGTGTTGGGTTTCATGGATCATTGTAAAGATTTCAGATTTATTCTAATTTCAATTGGAATCCATTGGAGGATTTAAAATAAGGGAGCAATATTATCTGTTTTACTTTTCCATAAGTCACTTCAGCTGCCACTGGAGAGTCAACTACGGGGAAAGAAGGAAAAAGTGGAAACTATTGAAGTATCCAGATGAGAAATGATGGTGATAACTATGGTCTGAATGTTTCTGTGCCCCCAAAATTCCTTTGTTGAAACCTAATCCCCAACGAGACAGTGTTAGGAGGTAGGGCCTTCGGGAGGTGATTAGGTCATGCAGATGGAGGCTACATGAATGCCCTTATAGAAAAGCCTGAGAGAGATTCATCACCTTTTCTACCATGTGACAACATGGGAAGAAGGCATCATCTATAAACCGGAAAGCAAGCTCTCACCAGATATTGAATCTGCCAATGCCTTAATCTTAATCTTTTCAGCCTCCAGAACCGTGAGAAATAAATTTCTGTTGTTTACAAGCTATTCAGTCTATGATATTTTGTTATAGCAGCCTGAGTAGACTAAATCAGTGACTAAACCTAAGATGGTGGCAATTAAACAGGTAAGATGTGGTTGCACTTGGGATATACTTTAGAGGAAGAGACAATAGGACATGGCAATGTATTGTCACAGCAGAAGGTTCGAGAATAGAAGGAAAGGAGAAGAATATAGGATGTCTGATCAACGGGGTGGATCATGTAACTACTTACTGAGATGGGGAGGATTGTGGTGAGTGGAGTTGAAGTGAATGAATCATGACTCTACTTCAGTCATACTGAATTTGAGATGCTTATTAGACATCCAGAAGTAGATATCAAGGACTCAGCTGTGTTTGATCTTAGGGCTGGAAATGTAAATTTGGGAGTCATCAGCATAAAGATATATTTAAGAAATGGAAGTAGCTGAGATGACTTTATCCACATAGAGAAGTAGAGTGAGAACCAACCCTGGTGTTCTTGTATTCTTTCATTTGCCGTTACAGATAGCTGGGAAGTATTAACCACCAAAACCAGCAAAAATGACAGAAGAATCAACTATCCAAACCACGTCCTTTAAGTCAAGAAAAATTAATATCTCAAGAAAAAAATCTTAAATGTTTCTAAGAAGGCAGGTGTGTTAGGCAAGATTTTGGCCCATGATCTTCATTCCCTAGTGTTTTACCTGTAATACTATATTATAATTGCAGATGAAATTGATGAAATTGATGTCGCAGGGCCGACGCAGTGGCTCACACCTGTAATCTCAGCACTCTGGGAGGATCACTTGAGTCCAGGAGCTAGAGACCAGCCTGGGCAACATGGTGAAACTCTGTCTCTACCAAAAAAAAAAAAATTGGGCATGGTGGTGCATGCCTATAGTCCAAGCTACTCAGGAGGCTGTGGTGGGAGGATCACTTGAGCCTAGGAGACAGAGGTTGCAGTGAGCTGAGATTGTGTCACCATGCTCCAGCCTGGGCAACAGAGTGAGACTTCATCTCAAAAAAAAAAAAAAAAAAAAAAGAAATTGATGTCACATGTCACAAACTCTAAGACAGAGAGGTTTTCCCAGATTATGCTGGTGGGCAAATGTAATCACATGGACCTAGAAAAATGGAAGACGGCAGAATAGTCAGTCAGAGAGATGTGATGGATGAGGAGGTGGGAAAGATTCAAAGCAAGAGATGGACCCAACCCGGCATTGCTGGCTTTGAAGATCAAGGAAGGAGCCATGAACAAAGAAATGAGTACGGCCTTTAGAAACTGGGAATGACCTTTAGCTGATAGCAAACAAAGAAACAGTTCTAGAACCACAAGAAATCAAATTTTGTCCACAATCTGAATGAGCAAAAAAACAAGATTCTTCCCTGGAATTTCCAGAAAGCAACATAGCTCTGCAAACACATTGGTTTTAGCTTGGTGAGTCCCCTGTCAGTCTTCTGCCTCACAGAACTGTAAGTTATTAAATTCTTATTGTTGTAAGCTGCTAATGTGTAGTAATATGTTACAGCAACAATACAAAACTAATACAGAAATGGATTTGGAAAAATGGAGGCCACGGGTGATCTTTATATGAGCTGTTTCAGAGGAGTGATGGCACTGAAAACTCAAATGAAGTGGGTTGAGTAAATTAGAAACGAAAACAGTTGAGTCACTTAACAATGAGGATACTTTCTAAGAAATATATTGTTGGGTGATTTCCTTGTGTGACCATCATTGAATGTATTTACACAAACCTAGATATATAGCCTAGTGCACACCTAGGCTATAGGGTAGGGCTTATTGCTTCTAAGCTACAAACCTATACAGCATGTTGCTGTACTGAATAACGTAGGCAACTGTAACACAATGGTAAGGATTTGTGTATATAAACAAATCTAAACATAGAAAAGGTACACTCAAGTTATGATAGCATAATCTTACAAGACCTCCCTTGTATATGCCATCCATTGTTTAGCAAAATGTTATGAGGTGCACAACTGTACACATAGACAATTATTTCAAGGGAGGCAGAGACATGACACAGAGCATCAGTTTAAACCGTGGGTTCTGATACACAGTCTAGGCCCTAAAGACAGTGTTCACATTGGTGAAAAATAAGATTGGGCTCCCTTAGTAAGAAGGGATGTGTATTAATATGGAACATTCTTAGGCCACCTGTGGATTGCCAGACAGGTCTACTGCTAATATTTGAGGGATCTGGGGAAGGATATAAATGAATGCTCAAGGCCTGTGCATACTTCCCTGTATGGGCACGCCAGCACAATTGTAATGGTTGTGGTTCAGGATCCTACAGGCAGAGACTCCAAGTGGCCACATTTCCTTGGCCCTAAAGACACCTTGCCATGTGAGTGAGTAGAGCTTCACGCCTGAGGAGAGCTGTAGTGGAGCCCTACAGCCCAGATCTCATGGCAGGAGCCCTGGTCACCTGGGTCTAAGGGAGGTCCTGCTCCAGGCTCTGGTAATTTGTGTCCATTTCTTCCCCTCTGATGATAGTTGTGTATAGTGTGCAGTAGGAAACTCAGGGAAGCATCTTGTTACCAGTGCCATACAGGTGCTACGTTAACTGGGAGAAAAGTAAGAAGAATGGAAATCTACAAAGAAAACAGAAAGGAACAGAAAATGAGGAAGGCAAGCCCATTAGACTGTGAGAGACAGAAGAGGGACTGTATGATATCCACATTTGAATTCTCAGCAAAATGCCTTCTTAAGTGTATGGGACAGCTTCTCTTTCCATTCCCAGCTTTATGCACTTTGCAGACACACCTTCCTCTTGCGGGAAGTACCAGGAAGGAAGATATCACTATTTCTGCAAACTCAGTGAGAGCCTGACATTCATCGGTCCATGTTTCTCAGTTGGATAGGATTAATGAGTCTCTCTGTGGCCTGGTCTTCTGGCTCTTGTTCTGTTGGATCTGCACAGCCACAAATGGAGTCCATTGTCTTTTTCCTACTTCTCAGGGTAAGCTTGGCAAAGTAGAGCATCTATCTTATTCCCACCTCCTGTTCCCACAAGAGGGAAGAAATATTAGCCCCACTATCAGTCTCAGGTCCAAGCTATAGTTCTTTTTTTTTTTTTTTTAAGACAGGGTCTCACTCTGTCACCCAGGCTGGAGTGCAGTGGCATGATTTCAGCTCACTGCAACCTCCGCTTCCCCAGTTCAAGCAATTCTCCTGCCTGCCTCCTGAGTAACTGGGATTACAGGCGTGTGTCACCATGCCTGGCTAATTTTTTGTGTTTTTAGCAAAGATGGCATTTTGCCATGTTGGCCAGGGTGGTCTCGAATTCCTGACCTCAAGTGATCTGCCCGTCTCTGCCTCCCAAAGTGCTAGGATTACAGGTGTGAGCCACTGCAACCAGCCCAAGCTATAGTTCTTGATGAGTTCTCTAAAAGCCAATTTCTAAAAAACCAATACACCAAAGTCTGATGCACTGAATGGCCCAGTCTCCAAGCCCTTAGAAGTCTGATTTGAGTCTTTTCTACAACTTCTATGTCTCTCCTTAACTGTTCATGCTTTCTTCCTACCTTCCTGGACATATTTGTGATTACTGTAATACTTTAGTATCATTGCCTACTAATTTAATAATCTGTGTCATTTCCAGGTCCATTTACAGGTTGATTATTTAAATCCTCATTATGAGTTATATTATTCTGCATCTTTCATGCCTGGCAATTTTATTTTCCAGTTTTGTGGAGGTATGATATATAAATAAAAATTGTATGTATTTAAAGTGCACAACATAATGTTTTGATATATGTATATATGGTACAAGGATTACCACAAGCTAATTAATATATAAATCACTTCAGATAGTTCTGTGTGTGGTAGAAGACTTGAGATCTACTCTCTTAGCAAATTTCAAATATATGATATATTATTATTAACTACAGTCACCATACTGTACATTAGGTCTCCAGAATTTATTCATCTTATAACTTATGGTTGTACCCCTTGACCAACATCTCCCATATTTCCCCCACCCACAGCTCCTGGCAACCACCATTCTATAGTCTGCTTCTATGAGTTTGACTTTTTTAGATTCCATATATAAGTAAGATGATGCAGTATTTGTTTTTCTGTGCCTGGCTTATCTCAGTTAACATAATGTCCCTCAGTATCATCCATTTTGTTGCAAGTGACAGGAGTTCTTTCTTTTTTAAGGTTGAATAATGTTCCATTGCATATATGTGCACCACATTTTTTTAATCCATTCAACTGTTGATGGACACTTAGGTTGATTCTGTGTCTTGGCTATTATAAATAGTGCTGCAGCTAACATTGGAGTATTTTATTTCCTTGGCTGTATACCCAGAAAAGAGATTGCTAGATCATATGGTAGTTCTATTTTTAATTGTTTGAGAAAACACCACATTCTTTTCCATAATGGCTCTACTAACTTACCTTTCCACCATCAGCCGACAAATGTTCCCTTTTGTCCGTATCCTCACCAACACTTGTTATCTTTTGTCTTTTTGGGAATAGCCATACTAACAGGTGTGAGGTAATATCTTATGTTTTTGCATTTGAGTTTTCCGATTATTAGTGATGTTGAATACCTTTTCATATACCTGTTGGCCATTGATATGTCTTCTTTGGAAAAATATCTCTTAAGATCGTTTATTCATTTTAAAACTGAATTATTTGGGTTTGTTTTTGGTTTTTGCTAATGAGTTGTATGAGTTCCTTATATTTTTTGGGTAGTAACCCCTCATCATATACATCAGCAGTCCCCAACCTTTTTGGCACCAGGGATCAGTTTTGTGGAAGACCATTTTTTCATGGACTGGGCCATGAAAACTTTTTCTCAAATTTTTTCAGGATGAAACTGTTCCACCTCAGATTATTAGGCATTAGATTTTCATAAGGAGCATGCAACTTAGATCCCTTGCATGTTCACAGTTCACAATAGGGTTTGCACTCCTATGAGAATCTAATGCCACTACTGATCTGACAGGAGGTGGAGCTCAGGCAGTAAAGCTAATCCACCTGCCGCTCACCTCCTGCTGTGTGGCCTGGTTCTTAACAGGCCACAGACCTGTACTGCGGGGTTGGAGATCCCTGGTATATATGGTTTGCAAATATTTTCTCTCATTTTGGAGGTTGTCTTTTCATTTTTTGATTATTTCATTTGCAGAAACTTATACAGAAACTTTTTAGTTTGATGTAGTTTCACTTACTTACTTCTGTTTTTGCTTTTGTTTCCTTTGCTTTTGGTATCCTGATATTCAACAAAAATTGCCAAGATAAATGTCATGGAACTTTTTCCTGTGTTTTCTTCCAGGAGTTTTATGGCTTCAGGTGTTAGGTTTAAGTCTTTAATATATTTTTACTTCATTTTTGTGTTAGATAAAGGGCCAATTTCATTCTTCTGCATGTGGATATCCAGTTTCTCAACACCGTTTATTGAAGGGACTATCCTTTGTCCATTGCATATTCTCAGCACCTTTGTCAAACAGTTGACTATATATGTGTGGGTTTATTTTTGGGCTCTCTGTTCTATTGATGTATGATTTTATGCCAGAATCATATTGTTTTGATTAAGATAGCTTTGAAATCAAGAAGTGTGATGCATCCAGCTCTGTTCTTGCTCAAGATTGCTTGAGCTACTCAGGATCTTTTCCCATTCCATATTAATTTTAGGATCATTTTTTCTTTTTCTGTGAAAAGTACCTTTGGAATTTTGATAGGAATTGCACTGAATCTGTAGATTGCTGATATGATTTGACTGTGTGTCCCCACCCAAATCTCATCTCAAATTGTATTCCACATGTGTTAGGGAGGGACCTGGTGGTTGGTGATTCGATCATGGGGGCAGTTTCCCCCACGCTGTTCTTGTGATAGTGAGTTCTCACAAGATCTGATGGTTTAAAAGTGTGGCACTTCTCCCCTTGCTCAGTCTCTCTCCTGCTACCATGTAAGACATGCCTTGCTTCCCCTTTCCCTTCCACCATGATTTTAAATTTCCTGAGGCCTCCGCAGTCATGCAGAACTGTGAGTCAATTAAACCTCTTTTCTTTATAAATTATCCAATCTTAGGTAGTTCTTTATAGCAGTGAGAAAATGACTAATATAATTGCTTTGGGGACTATGGGTATTTTAATAATATTAATTCTTCCAATTCATTGATATGGGATATATTTTCATTTATTTGTCTTCAATTTCTTTCACTAGTGTTTTAATGTTTTCATAAATGGTTCAGTAGTATAAACAGTTCACTTCCTTGGTTAAATTTGTACTTAATTATTTTGTCCTTTTTGTTACTATTATAAATGGGATTGTTTTCTTAATATCTCTTTTTCTAATAGGACATTTTAAGGACTTTATCTCTTTTTTGATCCTTTATTGTCAGTATATGAATATGCTACTGATTTTTGTATGTTGATTTTGTATCCTGCAACTTTACTGAGTTATTTATCAGTTTTTGACTAAAAGTCTGTTTTGTCTGATACAAGTATAGTATCAACGCTGTTCTCTTTTGGTTCCCATTTGCATGGAATATTTTTTTACCGTCCTTCACAGTTTCAGTGTATGTATGTCCTTAAAGCTATGATGAGCCTCTTGTAAGCAGCATATAGTTGAGTGTTGTATTTTTATCCATTCAGCCATTCTATGTTTTTTGATTGAGAAATATAATTTATTTACATTTCAAGTACTTATTGATAGGTAAAGACTTGCTATCACCATTTCGTTAATTATTTTCTGGCTGTTTTGTAATTTCTTTGTATCTTTCTTCCTCTCTTGCTATCTTCCTTTGTGATTTGATAATTTTCTGTAGTGGTGTTTTGATTCCTTTCTGTTTATCTTTTTGTGTATCTGCTATAGATTTCTGCTTTGTGGTTACCACGAAATTGACATAACATATCTTATAGTTATAACAGTATGTTTTAAGCTGATAGAAACAACTGCAATAACATATAAAAACTCTACAATTTGGATTCCCCCTCCACTTTTTTTTAATGTCACAACTTACATGTTTTTATATTGTTTACCTATTAAAAAGTTATTAAAGCTTTTTAATAGGTAAAACTGGCAAAGAAGAATGCTTTGCCCAGCAAAGATATCCCTCAGGAATGAAAGGGAGATAAAAACTTTCTTAGACAATAAAAACCGAGGGAGTTTATCATCACTAGACCTGTCTTACAAGAAATGCTAAATGGAGTTCTTCAAGTTGAGTTGAAAGGATGCTGATTAGTAACTCAAAAACATCTTATAGTATAAAACTCACCAGTAAAGGTAAGTATATAGTCAAATTGGAATATTCTAATATTATTATGGCAGTGTGTAAATCACTTGTAATTCTAGTATGAAAGTTAAAAGACCACAATATTAAAAATGAGTGTAGCTTTTACCTGGATGATCATATCTCTCTCTAGATTTGGGAAGTGTTCTGCTATTATTTCTTAAAATAATCTTTCTTTTCCTTTCTTTCTTCTTCTAAAACTCTCATAATGCATATGTTAGTTTTCTTGATTGTGTCCTATAAATTCTTTCTTCATTCCTTTTCATTCTTTTTCAATTCTTTTCCTCTAACTGGAAAATTTCAAATAATCTGTCTTTGAGTTCACAGATTATTTCTTTTGCTTAGGACTGCCATTGACATAATTTACTGTATTTGTCACTTTATCCGTTACATTCTTCTGCTCCAGAATTTCTGTTTGGTACTCTTTTGATTTCCATCTCTTTGTTGAACTTCCTGTTTTGTTCATGTATTGTTTTCCAATTTTGTTGAGTTGTGTATGTTTTCTTTGTAGCTAGCTGAATTTCCTTCAAACAGTTGCTTTGAATTCTTTATCAGGTAATTCATAGATCTCTATTGCTTTGAGTTAGCTATTGGAAAATTATTATATTCCTTTAGTAGTATTGTAGCAGGATGAGCTGCAAACAAAACTCCTCAGACACCGGGTTGAAGAAGGAAGCTGCTTCATTCGGCCAGGAACTTGGGCAGACTTGCGTCTCAAAAGCCGAGCTCCCCAAGTGAGCAATTCCTGTCCCTTTTAAGGGCTTACAACTCTAAGGGAGTCCGTGTGAGAGGGTTGTGATTGATTGAGCAAGCAGGGGGTATGTGACTGGGGGCTACATGCACCGGTAATCAGAAAGGAACAGAACAGGACAGGGATTTTCACAGTGCTTTTCCACACAATGTCTGGAATCTATAGATAACATAACTGGTTAGATCAGGGGTCGATCTTTAACTACTAGGCCCAGGGCATGGTGCCAGGCTGTCTGCCTGTGGATTTCATTTCTGCCTTTTAGTTTTTACTTCTTCTTTCTTTGGCATAGGCTTTATGCCCACATATCTGGTATAATCCAGTGGGGGCTGTCCAGTCCAGATGGGACTCCCGGTGGGTCCACACAGTTTGCAACTTTGGAAATTTACTAAACGGATTTCTTTTAGTGTGGTTTGAAGTTTACCAGGTTACTGTTTTTGTAGTACTATTATACAGTTTTTGCCCAAGGCAGCTGAGTCTTCAGGAAGACTTCTTTCTTTGGAGGCAGAAATTGGGCATAAGACAATATGAGGGGTTGTCTCTTCCCTTAGTATCATGTTTCCTTGATTTTTCAATTACATGGGGAGCTTGCATTGTTGTTTTGTTTTGTTTTGTTTTTGTTTTTCATTTGAAGAAGCAATCACCCTCTCCAGTCTCTGCTGACTAACTTTGGGAGAGAAATACCTGCACTATTCGGCCTGACTAGGGATTCTGAGGTTTTCTCAGTCCTTTCCTATTAATGTGTCTGATTCACACCTCTTGTTACCACTTGCGGAGGGGGAGATTCCTAAGACTGTATGCCTTCTCTTGATCTTTTTTTTTTTTTAAAGGCTGTTCCCTGAAATGGTCAAGTTTATGTGCCTTGTCCCAATCGCACAGAGTTAGGATGGCTTTCTGCACATGCTCATGAGCCATCTGCAGAGGCTTGTACTTGCATTTGTGGTGACATGCATAGGGGCCATGGGGTGGAGAAGGGTGGGACATGCAAAGCATTTAGGGTGCCTGTGAGCAAGCTGAGAGATTCTGTGAACAAAGTTTCCAGTAACTCATAGGAGGGCTTCCTGATGGAATCTGCAAAACAAAGCAGTTAGTAAGATCCATGGCCCTTTATTGAGTTCTGAGCCTGGGTTAATGTGACTCCCCAGCTCTCTTCCTTGCTCCCAACTTTCTGAACTTTTTCGTTGTGCCAGTCACCTCAGTATTCTGTGTGAGTTAAGAAAGAGGTGGACCTCTCAAGTAGCACTCTTCATGACTGGATAAGCCAGGTACTTGCTTGCTATGCATTCACTTTCCCCTATGGGAGAAATTGCAGGCTGAAGGAGTCTGTCTTGGCACTGAACTGTGCTGTCTTAGGGGAAAGGTGACACAGTTATAGTGAAATTGTTCTTCTTACCCTCTTCAATGCATCTATTCTCAGACTTTTTGCTCCACAGTGTACTAGAACTTCTCTGCTGAACTCTCAGACTCCCACAAAGGTACTGTCATGTGGAGGTAGTTGTCAAAATCAATGCTTCTGTGTCAAGATGATGGCAGAAAACACCTATCCTGGCATGTTGAATGAATTCAATCCTTTCAAAGCTTGCCTTTAGGCTTTGTTAGTTGGATCCAGAGCAATCTTTAGCCTAGAGCTAGTTCTGGCTATTGTTCTACCCGATCCATTCTGGTGATCTTCCCCACACTTCATCTAATTTTCTCATACATATTGCTATGGACTGAATGCTTGTGTCCCCCTCAAAATTCATATAGTGAAAACCTAAACCTTAATGTAATGGTATTCATTGATTAGGCCTTTGGGAGGTAATTAGGGTCAGATTAGGTTGTGAGAGTGGGGCCCTCATCATGAAATTAATGCCTTTATAAAAAGAGAGGAATTGTTACTTCTGTCTCTCTACATGCAAGTAACAAGGAAGGCCATGTGAGGACATAAACAGGAAGAGGGCCCTCATCAAGATCCTGACCATGCCAGCACCCTGATCTCAAACTTCCAGCCTCTAGAATTGTGGGAAATAAATGTTTGTTGTTTAAGCCTCCCAGTGTATATTACAGCAGCCCAAGCTGACTAAGGCACACATAAACTGATTGATACTAAGCTAAACTCTCAAGGGGAGCCCTTTGCAGATCTTCAGGGTCCTCCCAGTGTGGCTCATTACTCTTTGGCCCTGCCCCACAAATCCTAGCTCCTTTGACCTCTTCAGACTCTGTACTCTGGGTGCTCCTTCCATAAGCTATAGCTGAGAAATTCTGTCCTGGCAGTAAGCTGGCAACATTAGAGTTCCCCTTATTTCTTTTCCTTCTCTACGTTGCCCGTTGTCCAATGCCTGAAAATTGTTATTTCATATATTTTGTCTAGTAATATGGTTGTTTAGGGAGGAGGCTGAATCTGGGGTCTAGTGCTTCCTCATAGCCAGGAGCAGATGTCTTATAACATGTTAGTAAAGTTTTCCTACATTATGGACTCTCAGGATATGCTTCAATATCTGGTAGGGAAAGTCTTCCCTCATTTTTCTTATTATTTCAAAATTTTCTTGGCCATCTGAGTCCATTTCTCTTTCCCGTCATTGTCTAGCCAGCTTACTAAATTTCCTTAAAAAGTCCTGTTAGGATTTGGATTGAAATTGAATTAAATTATATACTAACATGAAACATGACTGATAGGCTTACATTTTCATATACCTTGTCCTTGGATGGGAAAAGTTAGTATAAAAAATAGGCCAGGCACAGTGGCTCACCCCTGTAATCCCAGCACTTTGGGAGGCCGAGGCGGGCGGATCACGAGGTCAGATCAAGACGATCCTGGCTAACACTGTGAAACCCCGTTTCTACTAAAAATACAAAAGATTAGCCAGGCGTGGTGGCGGGCACCTGTAGTCCCAGCTACTCGGGAGGCTGAGGCAGGAGAATGGCATGAACCCGGGAGGCGGAGCTTGCAGTGAGCCGAGATGGCACCACTGCACTCCAGCCTGGGTGACAGAGTAAGAAGCCGTCTCAAAAAAAAAAAAAAAAAAAGCAATCCCTTAAAATGGAAAGTAAAATAAAGCAAATGAACCCAACACAACTGGAATTAGGTTGGTGGCACAGTCACACAGAGAGAACCTATTTAGAGCAGCTTGAAAGCACAGTAATTTGATAGCCCATCCCTAGTGGGATATTCCCTAAGGGCGAAAAGAATTGCAAAAAATATCTTAAGCTGCTCAGAAATCTCATGTTTCAGAAGTAGTGTGAAAACCATTATTTTGAGACTGTAGTGTATACAGAGAGGCTTAAAGTTAACAGGCCATTATGTAATTTTTCAGTGTGGGAGAAAAGATATCAATGGGTTAGACAAAAACCTTGTAGTTGAACTGCAACTATTAGTATGAAGTCATGACATATGTAATCTTACAAACAAATACCATTTTCTATTCTGTCTACTGAAAAAGCTCAGAAACAATAACTAAGCCCATAATACCAAATGCATAAATGGTGTTCCCAAATACCATATTCCCTGGAAGACAGCAGGGTCCCTTGCATTACAGCCTTGACAGATCTAGGGCAGGAAACACACAGCCTACCCTAAGTACCTGAGCTTTCTTTTCTCTGTTTTGACCCCAGAAGTCCCAGGGGTGTGTCCAAAAATTCCAAGATCCAATCTGAAGAAATTTTCTCCCATAGACCAGTGAAACAAAAAATAATAACTATCATAGACAAAAAGCAAATATGTATGTTGATATCCACTAGTTTATAATGAAACAAACCAATAAAACACAGTAGTCAGTGTTACAGGATTCTGGGAAACCAGCTCATCTGCAATCAGTTCCTTATCTCATTTCCCTGCATAACCTGCACCTCTAGGTACGAGATGATTGAAGAGGACACTGCACCATTGTGTAAGAAACTTCTAAAGCTGCGTCATTAACAATGAGAAGGAATGATGGAGTCAAAATATCACCACTGTGCAAGTCTTGACAAATCAGTGGATATAGGTGTGCTAAACAACAAAGAGAGATGATCAGACTTTCCATGTCACCTTCTATGACAAATATTTGCCTGAAAATTGAACCTGAGTCTGATCAAAGCTCTAGATCTAACCACCAACATCCAGGAACTACAGGAGACAAAAGAATACATTAAATGACACCACAGAGGTACAATTATCAAAATTCAGGTTAGGAAAATGCTGCCGGACAACCTGTTTTCTTCAGTAAATTGCAAGAAAACACATAACGAAGGAGGTGTCAACAGATTAAAAAAGATTTAAACACCTATCACTACCAACTGAAATTTATAGCCTATTTAGATCCTAAGTCTAAAAAATAAATTAAACTATCCTGAGACAATTGGGGAAATTTAAGCAGTGACTAGATATTTAATCATATCAAGAAATTATTGCTAATTTTTAAGATATAATAAATGTTAAGAAAGAAAGACTAAAATTTTTACAGATTGAAAAACTAATAATATTCCCCTAAATAAATATAGCAAAATTCCATGTATTATCCTAATAGTTCTCTTTTTGGGGGGTAGAATGCGTTGGATAAAATTATTTTAAAAGCCACATGGAAATGTAAGTGCCTGAATAACAAAGAAAATATGCAGAAGATAAATAATGAGAGACTTGCCTTCAACTGAAAGCCACTGTAATAAAAATCACTGGAATACAATCAACGTGGTATTGGCATAAGAGTAGACAAATCAGTGGAACAGAAGAGTGGATCCAAAAATAGATCTCAGTATATATCATAATTTAATATGTGACAAAGGTAGTATTTCAATTCTGTGGGAAAGAATGGCTTACTTAATAAGTATTGCTGGCATAACTGCCTATTCTTCTGGAGCAAAATGAACTTGTATCTCAATTTCACAACAAATCCAAAAATAAATTCCAAATGGATTAAAAACATAAATGTAAACAATAAGTTTAAAAAAAATATTTAGGTGACTACATGCAAATCTAGGGGACAGAGAACATCTTTTAAACTAAAACCAGAAACCTGGAAAGTATAAAAGGTAGACATATTTGATTACATAAAAATTTCAAACCTTTATATGGTGAAAGGTACCCAAACAAAGTCAAGAGTCAAAATGCATTTAGAAAAATATGTACAATGTAGATAACAGATATTGGGTTAATATTTCTTATATATAACAAATTCTTGCAAATTGATAAGAAAAAGATAAACCATTCCAATTTTTAAAAAGGTCAATAAGTATGAAAAAGGAAATAAACCGAATAGCAAATCCAAATGGCTGGTAAACATATGAAAAGGTACCCAACTCAGTGGCAGCCAGGGAATTGCAAATTAAAATAATAATGAGATATTACTCTACATGCAACAGATTGGCAGAAGTTAAAAAGAATGATATTATCTATTCCAATCTCATGCATTACTTGTGAAAATGTGAATTGTCACATTTTGAGAAAAACAAATGCCAAGCAGCATCCATTATAATAAAGAATCCTCATACCCTTTAACCCAATGATTGCACTCCTGGGATTGTAGTCAGTAAAAATAAAATAATCAATATGGAGAGCTATATGTAAAGTTGTTTATTGCAGAATTATAGTAACAAAAACCTAAAAACAAAGTCAATATACATCCATAAGGGAATGGCTGAATAAATGTGTGTGTATTTGCATCATAAAATACTATGCAGTTGGCCGGGTGTGGTGGCTCATGCCTGGAAACCCAGCTCTTTGGGAGGCTGAGGTAGGTGGATCATTTGAGCCCAGGAGTTCAAAACCAGCCTGGGCAACATAGCAAGACCTCGTCTCTACCAAAAATATAAAAATTAGCTAGGCATGGTGGTGCATGCCTATAGTTCCAGCTACTAGGGAGGCTGAGGTGGGAGGATCACTTGAGCCCAGGAGGTTGGGGCTGCAGAGAGCCATGAACACATCATTGCACTACAGCCTGGGTAACTGAGTGGGACCCTGTCTCAAAAAAAAAAATACTATGCAGTTACTAAGAAGAAGGAATTAGAACTACTGCATATGAATTAGAAGGATTGCTACAAGGTGTTGAGTGAGAAAGGCAAGATGCCAAGAATGGTGTATATTATGGTTTCCAGTAATAAACAGTATTCAGTCATGCATCACTTAAGGATGGGGATGCTTTCTCAAAATGCATTGTTAAGCAATTTTGTTGTTACGTGAATATCATAGAGTGTACTTACATCAACCTAGGTGGTAGAGGCTACTACTGCACACTTAGGCTATATGGTGTGGTCTGTGGCTCCTAGGCTACAAACTTGTATAACATGTTATTGTACTGAAAACTATAGATAATTGTAACACAACTGTGTACCTAAACATACAAAACGTACAGCAAAAATATGGCATTATAATTCTTTGTTTCTTTGGGGCCAGTGTTGTATATGTGGTTTGTCATTGACCGAAATGTGGTTATGCAGCACATGACTGTGTATGGATGAGTGTGTGTGTGTGTGTATGTATGTGTAAACATGTATATTTGTGTACAAACTTCTACTTATAATTACATGAGTTTGGGAAAAAAGTTTGGAATGCTCTACATTGGATTGTTAACAGGAATTTTGTCGAGTTGTGTGTGAGGGTGTGAGATTTGGGTAAAATCTGAAAGGAGAAGGGTAGAAGAAAAATTGGATCTAATTTTTTTAGCTACCATAATGATATTCTGTTAATATATTTACATATTAATATGTATATAATACATTATATGCATATATACCTAAAATATAATACACACGTATAATGTGTGTGTATATATATGATATAATATACATGAGAGGAGAAAAAGCTAGAGTTGAATCCATATCTGCATATTTGTAGAGATGCACATGATAAGGTGTTAAATTTAAAAAAGTAGTAATGTGTAAGTATGATTCTATTTTGTCAAAGCAAACACATACAAACAAACTTCTATAGTTGTGGTCTCCATAAATGCTTGTAATATTGAATTAGCTATGAAAAAAGGTGTGAAGGAATAAATGCCAGGGTGTTAATGTGTGTTAACTCAAAGGGGATTGAGGTGAGGATGAAATGATGATTAACTTTTTCTTTGCACATCATTGTACCATTTTACTTCTTCAATAAGCCTGTATTGCTTTGTAATTTGAGAAAAAAAAGGAAAAAAATATGCGTATTCCATCTTAGGATGTGATATCTTTCAATGTCTATTCAGGTCTTCCTTTTTTCCTTAAAAGTTTCTTTATCTTTCTTTTTGTTGTTGTTTCTTTCTTTTTTTTTTTTTTTGAGATGGAGTCTCACTCTGTCACCAGGCTGGAGTGCAATGGTTTGACCTCGGCTCACTGCAACCTCTGCTTCCTGGGTTCAGGTGATTCTCCTGCCTCAGCCTCCCCAGTAGCTGGGACTACAGGCATGCCCGGCTAATCTTTTGTATTTTTAGTAGAGACGCGGTTTCACTGTGTTGGCCAGGATGGTCTCTATCTCCCGACCTTGTGTTCCACCCACCTCAGCCTCACAAAGTGCTGGAATTACAGGCGTGAGCCACTGTGCCTGGACTGTTGTTGTTTATTAATCAATAACCAGTGTTTGAGGTTTATCACATCTTTTTTGGCATCTGTTGAGATGATACTCTGATTTTTCTCTTTTAATCAATTAATGTGATTTTTCTCCTTATCTATATTCTCCCATGTGATAATCTCACCTTGTCTCATGGCTTTGAACAAGATACATATGCCAACAATTCCCAAACATGTATCTCCAGCCCAGGCCTCTCTTCCCAACTCCAGACTCCGGGTAACTGTCTACTACCATCTCTGCTTGAATGTGTAATTGACATCTTGGACTCAACATGTCCAAAAAGGAACTCTTGACCACGTTCCTCCGTCCCAAATCCCACCAAACCTTACATGACCTTACATGACATGAGCGCAGCTCATGCAGGAAACTGCAGCTGCACTATCTTAGTTGAGGGCACTTCATCCAACTAGTTGCTCAGGCCAGAAAACATGGATCATCTGTGACTTTCCTCCTTCTCTCACACTCTATACTCAATGCATCAGGGAAATCCTGCTCCTTCTACCTTCAAAATACATTCAGAATGGACAGCTTTAATCATCTCGACTGCTTCCATCATGGTCACCATCTATCCTCTCTTGCCTAGATCACTGATCTCCCTGGCTCTATTCTCACTCCTCCTAAAGTTATTCTCAATAAGGCACCCAGAATCAAGCCTTTTCATAGATACCTTAGATCATATCCCTCCTTTGCTCAAAGCCCTGCACTTCCCCGCTTCTCCCTACACACCTCTCCTGACATTGCCCCATTTTATTTAGAGTGAAAACCAACGTCCTAGGCCAGGCGCCGTGGCTCATGCCTGTAATCCCAACACTTTGAGGGGTCGAGGCGGGCGGATCACCTGAGGTTGGGAGTTCGAGACCAGCCTGACCAACATGGAGAAACCTCGTCTCTAATAAAAATACAAAATTAGCTGGGCGTGGTGGTGGGCACCTGTAATCCCAGCTACTCGGGAGGCTGAGGCAGGAGAATCGCTTGAACCCTGGAGGCCAAGGTTGCAGTGGGCCGAGATTGAACCATTGCACTCCAGCCTGGACAACAAGAGCAAAACTCTGTTAAAAACAAACAAACAAACAAACAAACAAACAAAAAAACAGTGTCCTGTGACTTCTCCATCTCATCTCCTTCCACTCTTCTAACTTACTCTCCCACAACCATTCTGGCTTCCCTGAAGTCCCTTGAACATGCTGGGCATACTCCCTCCCACCCTGGTGCTTTCACACTCGCTACTTTCTGCTTAGAATACCCTTTCCCTAATAATCTGTTTGGCTAACTCTCCTTCTCAACAGGGCCTACCCTGACCACCTTATTCAGTATCCTCCGTCCTTCCCTGGTACAACAAATCTCCTTGCCCTGACCCACTTTATCATTTTCCATTGCACTCACATCCCTTTCTGGCATACAAAGGTGTTTATTATATTAAGTTTATCTTCTGTTTTCTGTCTTATCTCATTAGGACATCAGCTCCAAGAGGACAAGAATCCTGTTTTGTTCACACATGTTACCTGAATGCCTCGAACGGTGCCTGGCACATAAAAGACGCTTAACAAATATTTGTTGAATAAAAAAATGAATTTGTGCATTGCATTGGCTCTGAGTGTGATGCTTCCCTAAACCAGTTCCCCCACTCCCCTACAATTCCTCTCTTAATATTTGTTTTAAGCTACGATGTTCTTTAGAATTGTTTTTTCTCTTAAATATGACCCCTGTTGCTTTCTCTCTTTAGGAATAATTCCAAGTTTCTGGTTCATTAATGAAGCTTTTTATTATTTCCTCACACTGTTATAGATTTGTTTTTTTTAATTTGTTAAAAGGTACAACATTACAGCTAAGAGGAACAAGTTCTAGTGTTCTATAATACTGCACGATGACTATAGTTAACAATAATATAGTATATAGTTTCAAAGAGCTAGAAAGAGGATATTGAACGTTCTCACACGAAGAAATGACAAATGTTTGAGGTGATGGACATGTAAACTACCTTGATGTGATCGCCATACATTATATATATATTGAAACATTACTATGTACTCCTTGAATATATACAACTATTATTTGTCAATTAATAGAATAGAATGAAATAAATAATAATAAATGACTATACCTCTCCACCAAAAAAAAAAAAAAATTCCATTATTTCATAGGATTGGGAGAGTAAGGAAAGGCAGATGCGTGTCTCACTCGACTATTATCATGCAGCCTTGACCTCAGAGAACTGAGTTTGTTGGTGTGAGTCAGTCTTTCCGAGTCTGGGTAAATATGATGAACTTACGAATCCTGGCTTGGCCACTAGCTGCAATTCTCTAATATCTCCAGCTCCAGCCCCTTGAGAATAACACTGCCTACATTAACCATGATATTATAAAGTATTTTTCAATTCAGAGAGGAAATGAATTGCATAAATGCTAGATAATAAAAATGAGGTTCTAATGCCTGACACGACATTTCCTTCCCACTAATCGACTCAATCTTAAAATCAAAGATATCCACCCACATCCTTAGGGAACTCATTGAAAATCTTATGCAGCTGAAAAAATTTCTAATCTTTTTACCATGGCTCTAGTAGTCAATTAAAGACTTTTCAAAATGTAAAATATGCATTTTTATGTCTGTTTTCAAAGTCACTAAAGACCAGATTTTGACCGTCGATGTATATGCTGAATATGCCTGCCCTACAAAAAGAAATTTGGTTAATTTAGGAGTGTGCTAAACTATTTTTATCTAACTTTCCTACCAGCATAGCATTTCTTTTTCTTTTTTTCTTGAGACAGTCTCACTCTGTTGCCCAGGCTGGAGTACCATGGCTTGATCTCAGCTCACTGCAACCTCAGCCTCCCAAGTAGCTGGGATTACATCTGTGCTCCATCGTGCCCAGCTAATTTTTGTATTTTTAGTAGAGACGGGGTTTTGCCATCTTGGCCAGGCTGGTCTTGAACTCCTGTCCTCAAGTGATCTGCCTGCCTTGGCCTCCTAAAATGCTGAGATTATAGGCAGGAGCCACTGCTCCCAGTCCCAGCATAGCATTTCTAAGCCACAGAAAAACACGCATTCTTATTCCTTGCTTAAAAAAAAAATTATATGCTTAAAGAATCAATGCTTTTGGTTCTTTACTATAAAGTAATTTTGTGCCTATGTTGAATCGGAGGGAAAAGCGTTCATTGTGAGCCCATTTTCCACAGTCATACATGTATTGATACAGAGCTGTGACTAATATTATTATTTCTAAGAATGTGACTTGCACTTTGACAGCTATCAAACAATGTTGAGAAGAAACCTTGAGTTATCATCAGAGTCAGCACCCACCTGTCAACACAGGACAGGATAAACCAGTTTTTCCAAATCTAAGGTTTCACCAATAGACCCTAGCCCTAGTCTGCTGCTAACAGTCCTATCCCTTTCTCTCACCTTCCACAAGTTACTCCAAATAAGAACTCTAATTTGTAAATTATTGATATAAACCTTTAAGGATACATGGTTTCCATTATCTTTGGAAAACCTATGGGGCAGGAGATTCTTTTCTTATTTTGGAGTTTATCTCATTGTTCTAACACCCTGATAGTAAATAAGTTTTTCCTTATGTTCCTCCAAACTCTTCAACTTTGCAGTAAACACATTTTCTCTTAATCAAAATTATTGAACAAGGAAAATCATTGCTCATTATCCTCTGTATTATTCTTGGGGATAATACATAAGTTCTGTCTTTGGTCTGTTCTATTTTAAGTTTTACTTGTGAAAAAATGGAAACTTACTTTTCATTTCTCATTATTTTTGGATCCTATTGAGATGTTCCACATGACAACTGAAATGTGGTGGCCAAAATGGGATCCCATTTACTTGATCTTTGTAGAGATGGTGGCACTTGAAAGATTGAAACAATAAGAGAAATTAAACTGGAAGTGACGGATTTAACTAACATTTTTGAACTTTTGTACCATGGAAATCAATAAAGTTGGCTGGGAAAGTATAACAGTTAAAAATTCATATCTGACTGGGTGCGGTGTCTCACGCCTGTAATCCCAGCACTTTGGGAGGCTGAGGCGGGTGGATCACCTGAGCTCACGAGTTTGAGACCGGCCTGACTAGCATGGTGAAACCCAGTCTCTACTAAAAATACAAAAATTAGCCAGGCATAGTGGCGGACACCTGTAATCCCAGCTACTAGGGAGGCCGAGGCAGTAGAGTCACTTGAACCTGGGAAGCCGAGGTTGCAGTGAGCCGAGATTGCACCATTGCACTCCAGCCTGGGCGACAAAGCAAGACTCCGTCTCAAAAAAAAAAAAAAAAAAATTCATATCTATACTATCTAAAAAATTCACTCATATGTATACGAAAAGTTGCCTATATATAATATTCAATTATTAATGAATACTTTTGCAATAAGATGTTATTTATTTTTTTAGAGGGGTCTTGCACTGTGGGCCAGGCTAGTGGCATGATCATAGCTCACTGGAGACTAGAACCTCTGGGCTCAAGTGATCCTTCACCTCAGCCACCCAAGTAGCTGGGACTACAGGCATGAGCCACTGTGCCAGCTCATAAGATGTTATTTTCAATTAAAACAATTTTTTGGCTGGGCGTTGTGGCTCACGCCTGTAATCCCAGCACTTTGGGAGGCCGAGGCAGGCGAATCACGAGGTCAGGAGTTTGAGATCAGCCTGACCAACATGGTGAAACCCCATCTCTACTAAAAATACAAAAATTAGCCGGGTGTGGTGGTGGATGCCTGTAATCCCAGCTACTCGGGAGGCAGAAGAATTGCTTGAACCCAGGAGGTGGAGGTTGCAGTGAGCCAAGATCACGCCACTGCACTCCAGCCTGGGTAACAGAGAAAGAGTCCGTCTTGGAAAAATAAATAAATAAAATAAAACAATTTTTTTTAGTAACATCATGATTCTAGCACATACATGAATGGACAATACTCTTACTGGCCAACGTCCACTTTTCCTCAAAATCTAGTGGACATGTCATGTCTTGAAAGCACTGGACAAATCCTTAGGAAAATAAGCTCCTCTTCAAACCCCATTATTCTATATTCCAGAATTCTACAAGGAATTCCAGTCTGTATGATTCTACAATCTCACACTGTACTGTCCCTGTTATAGCAGTCATTACATTACACTGAAATTTTTTATGACTGTCTTCCCTAGTAGAAATGATCATCTTTATCAGGAGGTGGCAGATCAGGGACCATGTAGTCGCTTCATTCTTTTTTTCATGGTCTAACATGACGCCTACTACATGCAGTAGATGCTCCAACACTGCTTATAGAATGAATGAGTTTATGTTAAAACAAATGTAAACAGTAATTACAGAATATGGAAAAGATCTCCCTCCTTAAACTTCCAAAGACATGCCACGTGATGCAATATTATTTTGCTCAAGAAGACTTTAATACCATCGACAGACGTGCATTCCTTTTTCTATGAATTAAAAAGTTATAAGTATCATTTTAAAGATATTAACAATATAAATTCTCCTGAAATTAATTTATGAATTCTATATAAGGCCAGTCAGAATACAGGGCTTTTAAAAACTTGATGAAGCTGTTCTGAAGTTCATATAGAAAAGCAAACATGGATGAAGAGCCAGAAAAAAAAATCTTCAAATAAAAAGCAACCATGAGGGGAAATATCTCTATCAAATGTTTAAATGTATCATTATATTACAGTAATTAACATGCTGTAGACCAGTATGGAGACAGAAATATTCTATTAAATAAACTGAATGGAAAATTCAGAAAGAAACAAAAGTACACATGAACATTATTTTAAGATAAAGCTGGCTTCTCAAATGGTGGTAAAAGATGGCCTTTTCACCCTTTTTCATACTTCATCAATAAGGTACGTTGTGAAAATAGAAAGCCATTTGACAAAGGTCACCTGGATCTCTACATCGCTTCTTTCAACCAAAGGAAATTCAATGGCTCGACCTCTCAAAGAAATGCCATAACAGCAACAACAATCCTAGAATTGGATTTTTTAAAAGTTTGAATGGGGAAGGGCACACTAAATAATGACATGAAATTGAGACACTACTAATGATAATGCTGATTATTTAAAAATTTTTTTAAAAAACTCTGAAACTGTGGCTGGGCACGGTGGCTCACACCTGTAATCCTAGCACGTTGGGAGGCCGAGGCGGGTGGATCACCTGAGGTCAGGAGTTCGAAATCAGCCTGGCCAACATGGTGAAACCCTGTCTCTACTAAAAATATGAAAAATTAGCCGGGTTTGGTGGTGCATGCCTGTAATCCCAGCTACTTAGGAGGCTGAGGCTGGAGAATTGCTTGAACCTGGGAGGCAGAGGTTGCAGTGAGCTGAGACTGCACCACTGCACTTAAGCCTGGGCAACGAGAGTGAAACTTCATCTCAAAAACAAAAAACAGAAAACAAAAAAACCTGAAACTTCCATACAGAAAAAAGAAAAAGCTCCCAAAAAACTAGCAAAAAAAACCTTGTGTAGACAAAATCAGAAGATAAACAAGAAACAGAAGAAAATTGTTTGCAATATGTGACACAAAAAGGACTAATCTCTTTAATATGAAAGGAGTTCTTACCAATCTGCATGGAAAAGATCAGTGACCCAGTAGAAATATGGACAAAGGATATGAACACAAAATTCATGGCAGAGCAGTGAGTGGCTAACAAATCTATAAAAAGATAATTAAAAAATCAAAATAAAACAATAAAATTACCTATCAGATTAGCACTTATATAAATTTAATGACATACAGCCTTCACCATGGAGAGGGGAAGTAGATACTCACTAAAGTGTTGATGGAGGGTGAAAAAAAATACATAAAATATTTGGAAAAGCAATTTGGCAATATTAATCAAAAATTTAAATTAGAACAAACAAGCAAAAATACGATTGGGGATTTTTGTTGTTGTAACATTGTTTGAAACAACAAATGCTAGAAACAACCTGGATGTCTATCAACAGGGAATGGATTAAATTATGATATGGCTTATCCTCTGGTCTGAATATTGATGTCCCCTCAAAATTCGTATATTGAAACTGAAACCCCCAAGGCAATGATATTAGGAGGTGAGGCCTTTTGGGAAATTAGTAAGTCATGAGGAAAGAATTCTTAGAAGTGGGATTAGTGTCCTAATAAAAGAGGCTAAAGGGAGCTAATTAGATCCTTTCATGATGTGAGGACACAGCTAGAAAGCATCATCTATGAACCAGGAAGTGGCCCTTTACCAGACACCAAAACTGCCAGCACCTTGATCTTGGCGTTCCCAGCCTCCAGAACAGTAGGAAATGCAATTCTGTTATTTGCCAGTTTATGGTATTATAGCAACCTGAATGAACTAAGACACATTGCAATGGATTTCTATGCAGCAGCTCAGACAGAACAAGCTAGAAGAGAAGGATATGGAAAAGTATCTATTATGTCCTTAAATGGAAAAAAAAAACCCATCAGGTTCAGAACAGTGGTATAAATTATCGTGTTTATTTTTTAAAGGGTATGTATCACATGCATACTTTGCATATATTTATATAAAAAACTACCTGGATGGATATGTAATTTATTAACCGAATAAATAAACAATTTATTCTGGAAATGGGATTGAGAGGAGCACAATATAAGAAACTTACTTTTTACTTTATGCTGTTTTCCCTTTTTTTTATTTTTTATTTTTTTTGAGATGGAGTCTCGCTCTGTCACCCAGGCTGGGGTGCAGTGGTGCAATCTTGGCTCACTAAGACTTCCGCATCCCGGGTTCAAATTATTCTCCTGCCTCAGCCTCCTGAGTAGCTAGGATTACAGGTGCATGCCACCACACCTGGCCAATTTTTGTATTTTCAGTACAGACAGGGTTTCACCATGTTGGCCAGGCTGGTGTCGAACTCCCGACCTCAAGAGATCTGCCCACCTCGGCCTCCCAAAGTACTGGGATTACAGGTGTGAGCCATCGCATCCCATCTGCTGTTTTCTACTTTTTATTTTTTATGAGCATGCAGTATTTTTGTAATTAAATTTAAAACCATTGTAAAATAATGCTTGTATTTACGTAAGAGTCACTGGAAGCAAAACCCTTTGATGATTTGGCAGCATGTGATGAGACACAGGGCTGGGACTGGGTTGCAGTTGCTGAGGCATTGGCCTTGGTTACAAAATTTAAGGGGTTATCAAAGGCATCAGTAATAAAGATGAATAATATATATATTTTTAAGACCTTAATTTGTTACAGCACTTTTATTTTCACAGCAAAATTGAGAGGAAGGTGCAGAGATACCCCATATGCTCTTTGCCCTCATACATGCATAGCCTCCCCCATTACCAGCATCCCTCACCAGTGGTATACATCAGGGGTCCCCAACCCCGTGGCCGTGGACCCGTACCTGGCTGTGGCCTGTTAGGAGCTGGGCTGCACAACAGGAGGTGAGCGCAAGTGAACATTACTGCCGGAGCTCTGCCTTCTGTCAGACGGGCAGCAGCAGCAGACTCTCGTAGGAGCACGAACCCTATGGTGAACTGCGCATGCGAGGGATCTAGATTGCGCTCTGCTTATGAGACTCTAATTTATGCCTGAGGATCTGAGGTGGAATGGTTTCATCCCGAAACTACTAAGGTTGGGGACCACTGGTGTACATCTTACACCTGATGAACCTACATTGACACATCATTATCACGCATAGTTTTTTATTTGTTTGTTGTTGTTTTGAGATGGAGTCTCACTCTGTTGCCAGGCTGGAGTGCAGTGGCGCAGTCTCGGCTCACTGCAACCTCCACCTCCTGGGTTCAAGCGATTCGCCTGCCTCAGCCTCCGGAGTAGCTGGGACTCCAGGCCCATGCCACCACGCCCAGCTAATTTTTGTATTTTTAGTAGAGACGGGATTTCACCGTGTTGGCCAGGATGGTCTCAATCTCTTGACCTCATGATCTGCCCGCCTCGGCCTCCCAAAGTGCTGAGATTACAGGCGTGAGCCACGGTGCCCAGCCCACCCATAATTTACATTAGGGTTCACTCGTGGTGTTCTACATTTTATGGGTTTGAAAAACTCTATAATGACATATATCCACCATGATAAGATCATGAGTAGCAAATGACATATTGCTAGAAGTTAAATGGCTGCTCTTTAAGAAACAGGAAGCTTTGAACAGAGAGACTTCTAGAGCCTGAGTGATAACCCTTCGTGGCGCGCGCATCGGTTACACCTGTCTCTCCCTGGTTTGAAAGCTCTATTAGCTATTCATGAGAGACCCCCTTTAATTGCATTGCCTATTGAAGAGAGGTATTTTTTTCTGTATGCACATATGTTTTTGTTTTAATGTTTCATCATAACATAATCTTCTGGAAGACATTTTAAGCAACAAATTAGAGATCCAAAGTTTAGTTAAAATACTGTTACCAATGCAAATAATTTGCTGAGGTGAGAAAAAGGGGCTGTATGATGTATTTCTGTGCAGCTGTATTTTTATGCAGCTGGTATGAAAGTAAGATTTGACATTGCGAAGACACACTCCAATCCCAGAAATATCAAGATTTAATGAATGTTTGCATTTACAATCACAAAATTAACATACTTGCTATGTGTTTGTTTCCTTTGCAAGACTATAAGCTCCTCAGTTCCACTATTGTTTCTCCCTCATCTCTGTGGTTCTAGAATCCAGTAAGGCACTTGGTATATTTACATGCTCAGTAAATAAAGTGGCATGAATGAGTAAAGG
Source organism: Homo sapiens (assembly GCF_000001405.40). NCBI lineage: Eukaryota > Metazoa > Chordata > Mammalia > Primates > Hominidae > Homo > Homo sapiens. The sequence continues at coordinate 24,638,573 of NC_000004.12, forward strand.
CAAGCTATAAGTTAGACAGGTAACTGACAATACATGTTCAAGTAATTCAGTTGGAATGACAGGTTTGAAGGGATAGTTCCCAATTTATTCTTCCTTGTTCCGTGAATTGTGATGGAGGTGTTTTGCTGCTCAGTTGGAAGAATGTTTTCCTCAAATGCAAGGGGGAACACTTATACATAAATGAATAAAATCTTCTCATTTAAATTGTCTATGAATCTTGGGAACCTGCTCCTACCTCTGTGATAGGGAGTAGTTCATAAACAAGTGAGTGAACAAGTAGCAAACAAATATTAACAGGTCATCTTAGAAACGGCTGATGGTCCTTAGGTCCGGAGACTGATATTTAAAGAAAATGTGTGTTGAAGGTTGTGATTCTTTATTGCACACTTGTAGTATATAGGCTAGTAAAATTGTTCTTGGTTTATACGATGGGATTAAATAAACCAATGTTTCATTGTGCTCATCAAAGGACCTTAGCAGTTCTGGGGTTAGGACTAGATACACTGTCAGCCCACAGGCTTTTCAAAAGAGCAGCCTGTGAGAAGAGTGCTGTGTTATCCATTTTTGTATAACAAACTACCCCCCAAACTTACTGACTTTAATCAGCAACCATTTTATTTTATCTCAGGACTTTGTGTGTAAGGATTTTAGGCAGAGGTCAGTAGAAGAGCTCCATATAGCATCTACTGAAGTCATTTGCTGTGTTCAGATGGAGGCTGAGCTGTCTAGGAGGGTCCAAGATCACTTTAGTCATATGTGGTACCTTGGCAAGTTGAAAGAAAAGCTGGGATCAGCTGGAACTTCCCCCCCACAACCACCCCCAGAGCCAACTTGTGGATTTTCCATCATGGTGGCCTCAGGGTAATTAGTCTCCTAACAGAGCAGCTCAGGGCTGAATGGCCATTTATGACCCAATCTCAGAATTGCATAGTGGCACCTCTAGAAGGAAGGAGTGTCAAGGAATTCGCAGCTTTGTTTAAAAACTGCCATGAGTGTGGGAGTGGGGAGAATTCAAAGGAAAGCCAAATTTATAGAGGAAGGACTGTGCGCCCTTCAGGCTTGATGATGAGGCTGCAAGTAGGAGAATGAGAAATAAGGTCAGAAGCTAAGCAGCAAGTGTCAAAAACTATGTGACAGGAGAAAATGCTGGCATCAGGCACTCAGAAGTAAGATCTATGAACAGCATGTGACGCTGGAGGCTTCCCTTTGCCAGTGGTGCGGGGCCAGGCTGGCATGGAGGACACGGGGTGCTATTTACTATCGGAGGGGCTCAGATGGCTAGATGGTTGCTTCTTTATGCTTGGACATCAGAGTAAGTTTGACAATGTGGTCACCAGAAATAACCATTTCCCTTCTCAGTGATTCAGTCTGTTTCCTGTTCCATGGATCACTTTTCTAAACCCCAACCAGTGATTATTGTGTTATTGGCCTTTCCTTAAGCAGAGGCTTCTGTTCCGTCCCCAGACCCACCCATAGCCTTAAACTTCAGGGGCCATGAGACACAGGGGGTGACCTGGGGTTCTTTGGTTTTTCTGAACTCTCAATGGAGCCTCCATTTTCATCAGCAGGTCTCAAATCCGTCACCTGCATTCTGTCTTCCTCCATTATCCCTCCACACCCTTCAGCTCTCTTCCCTCTTTCAGTCATTCTGCTGTACCTGTTTCCAGTGGAGGGTGTCCGGGTTCTTGGCGTCTTAAAAAAAGAATTGGTCAAAACGCACAAACAAAGCAAGGAGGGAATGGTTTTATAGAAAAAGATAGTGTACACTCCACAGTGTGGGAGCGGGCCCGGGCATAGGAGCTCAAAGGCCCCATTACAGAATTTTTGGGAGTTCAAATACCCCCTAGAGGATTCCACTGCTTACTTCGGGTTCTCCTTATGTAAACGGAGAGGATGAAGTAAAGTTACAAAGTCATTTATGGCATACGCCCTGTGGGGAGGATATTTCCTGTTATAGCTGAAGTGTGAATCGGCCTTATGTTCCCTGCCTCCAAGGCAGACCCTATTTTCCTGCCTTATCTCCCCGCTCAGAGATGTGATCCCCATAAATCTTTATGGAAGGTAGAGAGACAGATGGTCTTTTTTTTTTTTTCTGTAACTGCTTCATGCTGCCTTGGGGCGTAGTCCCTACCTCTTGGGGATCACGGAACTCTCACCCTGTTCTGTCTAGTGGAGGCAGGGTAGCTTCTTGATGTCCAGGGGTGGTGCCTTCACCTGGAACTGGCTGGAACCTTTGTTGTCTGATCATCTAAAGCTTGACAGTCTCTAGGTGAGAGGAAATGAATTTGGTTAAAAGATTTAATGGGAACTTCAGAGGGTGGATACCCATGCTGTCAGAAATGTTTGTTATAGAGATTTGCAGGAGAAAAAACAAAACCTGGTCTGTTCTAGAATCTATGTGTTTCCTTAAAGTCTTAGCATGAGCAACTCCATTTTGGTTTTGTTTGGTTTGGTTTGTGGGGGACTAGTGCATGAGCTCAGTCCAAAACAATGGCCTCCCATAATTGTGTTTAAAAAAATTCCCTGTTTTTGGTCAGGCTCTCACTTAGATGAGAGTGTAACCAAAACTTAGGGCCTTAGTGCCACTCTCTGTTACCACCTTTTTGGGTTTCCGGTCTCAGCATATCATTCTTAGGTTATGATGTCCTCATGGTTGCACATTTCATTCAGCTCCTGTTATTCCAGTTGAAGAGAGACCATATGACATTCTAGAGATGGCTGCATGCAAGTATTTAAAACCTTTGAGGGAATACAGCATGCCAGGGAGACTATTATTATGACTATTGGGAGGATAATACCAAGAGTTTGGAGTATGTTCCTTACACAAGGTCTCCATAAATCAAACCTCCTAAAATCAAACAGATCAAAGAATGAGCTAGATAAAGAGTTTGCTCACTTGACTAAGCAATTTCTTCGTCAATCCCCTACCACTGAATTTATATAATCTTCATTTGATGTATTTCCCCATAGGCCACAAGTGCCAGCAGCTGCACAGATACATTTCTGTTTAGCCAATTCTATTGTTTAGCATATTTTTCACAAGAGAATTTAAAGTCTGTTGTGTAACTGTAGCCTTTAAACTAGAATTTGCTATAGAACCTATCATGAGGGATACATTTCTAATCATTGCTTCTTTTACTTAAACCATGGAAAAAGGACCTAACAAGTGAATCCCTTTTAGAAGAATGAAGACCTTCTGGCAATGTTCTCTTTAACCCATGATGTGGGTTAAGAGGAGTGAACCAATGTTTTGTTTTTGACTGATTATGAGGCAACACATATACCATTAAAATTTCTCACCTACATTGGGCCTTCATCTTTTATCTGTCAAAGTAGAAGTTTACCCATGTATAAGGCTGGCTGCAAACTCCTTCACAAATAAAAGTCTACTCCATTAGTGCACACAACAGACCCCTTTTCCACTTCTATTGTTCATAGAGGCATAAGCAAGGAAAAATATTCAAAGATAAGAGTTTCATCATGGCAGAGGTCTTAATTTGTGAACTTGGGAAAAGCAGTTCACATCAAGGATGCCATCCTCTTCTTGGGAGAAATTTCCCCGGTTTGTTTTACCTTAAAGATTCCGGCCGGGTGCAGTGGCTCACGCCTGTAATCCCAGCTCTTCTGGAGACCGAGGCAGGCGGATCATGAGGTCAGGAGATCGAGACCATCCTGGCTAACACAGTGAAGCCCCATCTCTACTAAAAATACAAAAAATTAGCCGGGCGTGGTAGGAGGCGCCTGTAGTCCCAGCTACTCGGGAGGCTGAGGCAGGAGAATGGTGTGAACCCGAGAGGCGGAGCTTGCAGTGAGCCGAGATGCACCACTGCACTCCAGCCTGGGGGACAGAGCGATACTCTGCCTCAAAAAAAAAAGATTCCAATGGGTGCACAGCTAGCTCCAAGAGTGTGGAGGGACTCTTCTCAGTTGTGAGATCATGAACCCAAATTTCAAGGTCCCAAAGTTTTGTTGTAGTGTGGATGGCCTGCCTTCTACTTTACACAGGGTTCTCGTAAGCCTTTCTCTGAATTGTATTTTTTACCAAAAACTTCCCTACAAACAACTCTCAGGACAGCCAATTGTTAAATTGTCAGGAAGTTTGCAAGCTGGTTGACTTCATGAGGATAGCTTGAACTTGGTCATAGCAGACTATTTATGGTATAAATTAGCACCCCTGTCCCAGAGCTGGATGTTAGGCACTTACCAGCACACCACTGTTCATGTCTTTATGATTTTATTTTCTCTCCTCTTGCCTCCCCCACCACCTGTCTAAATTTAATTCAGAATCACTATTTCCACTTGTGGTAGAAACATAGAACATTTGCATTTGAAAATATAAAATGGTCAAGAGCAAGTGGTCTCATCTTTCTAAGTTTTCGTCTCCTGTCCGTAAAGTGGTGATAGCAACATCTTCCTCATAGGTTGTGGTGGGATGAGGTGATGTCATATACATCTGGTCTCAGCAAATACTCAATACTCTCTGGCCATATCACTGGTCTCATTCTCTGCATGCACCCAGCCTTGGGTTACTTATTTATCAACCGACACGTTTTGGAGCTCGCATTCTTTGAATAGCTGACACTAATGACTCATCAGTGAAGTGTGTTTTCAGTAGGAAAATGCTCACAACAATCAGTGCACACTCTTCTACATCTGTGATGAACTATGAAAACCAGGTCTCTTTCTGCAAAGCTATACCCTGAGAAGTCAGAGAGTATTCTGAATTAAATTCTTACACTGTTATCCATGCTGGACTTATTTTACTTGGCCAAAGTTATTCTTCTGAGAGCACCCACCTGGCATTTATCTCTATTCAACTTTGCCTTAGTTATGTAGGACCAGCTTTCCTATGTGTTGAGGTCATTGTGCATTGAGGTCAGTCATGAATAGGCTGGGCAACAGCCCTTATCTCCCCTTCTCCAGAGTCTGAAACAGTGCATTCCCTCCTATGCATCATCTGACATGGATAAAGGCTGTTAATGTGTTTTGCCCAATGGAATTCATATCTGATTCTCTCTGCAACAGTGATTTTACTTGGAAAAAGAAATATTTTCCTATACTAGTGCTACTATATTTGATGAGATTAATTGCCCTCTACTTTAAAATATGCATATTTTAATGGCTAACAAAGATCTCAAGAAATACATAAAGTAAAAATAAAAGTCAGAAAAAAATAGAGGTTATTTGTTTGACTTTGGGAAGTGCCAAAGTTCTTTTATTGCTGCTCCATGGTTCCTATGGATCATTTTATTTTAAAGTTAGGTTTACCGAGGTATAATTCACACACTATAAAATTTATTTTAGTGTAGAGTTTATGAGTCTTTCCAAACACATGTGTTGTGTAACCACCACCATAATGAGGAGATGAAACATTTCCATTCCTTCCCCAAATTCCCTAAGGCTTTTTGTAGCCAGTCCCCTTCTGCCAACAACAGGCCCTGGCAACCACTGATCTGTTTTTCTGTACCTATAGCTTTGCCTTTTTCTGGGAAGTCATACTAATAGGAATCATACAATATGTAGTCAGACAATATTTTGAGTCTGGCTTTTTTTTTACTTAACTAATACATTTGAGATGTTGATATGGTTTGGATTTGTGTCTCTGCACAAATATCATGTTGAATTGTAATCCCCAGTGTTGGGGAAGGGGCCTGGAGGGAGGTGATTGGATCACGGGAGCGGATTTCCCCTTTTCTGTTCTCATGATAGTGAGTGAGTTCTCACGAGATCTGGTTGTTTAGAAGTGTGTAGCACCTCCCCCTTCCCTCTCTCTCTCTCCTGCTCCACCACGTGAAGATGTACGTACTTGGTTCCCTTTCGCCTTCCATCATGATGGTAAGTTTCCTGAGTCCTCCCCAGCCATGCTTCCTGTATAGCCTTCCTGTATAACTGTGAGCCAATGAAACCCTTTTTTTTTTTTTTTTTTTTTGAGACGGAGTCTTGTTCTGTCGCCCAGGCTAGAGTGCAGTGGCATGATCTTAGCTCACTGCAATCTCCGCCTCCCAGGTTCAAGCAATCCTCCTGTCTCAGCCTCCCGAGTAGCTGGGACTACAGGTGCCCACCACCACTCCCAGCTAATTTTTGTATTTTTAGTAGAGACGGGGTTTCACCATATTGGTCAGGCTGGTCTCGAACTCCTGACCTCAGGTGATCCATCTGCCTCGGCCTCCCAAAATGCTGGGATTACTGGCGTGAGCCACCTCACCCGGCCTTCAGGTAGTTCTTTATAGCAATGCAAGAATGGAATAATATAGACGTATTGATGGTATACTGGTACTAGTAGTTGTTTTTTTAAAATTGCTGAATAGTGTTTCATTGTATGAATGTACCACATTTTGTTTATCCATTCACCAGTAGAAAGGCATTTGGGTTGTTTCAAGTTTTTGGTGATTATGAATAAAGCCACTATAATAAATATCTGCATACAGATTTCTGTATGAACATAGCCTTTCATTTACTGGAAGTAAATTCTATGGACCATCTTCTTTGCCCCCACCCAAACTCCTGTGGCTCCCCCATCGTCCTCAGAAATCACCACCCTGGGGAACTGAGTACTGTTTTTACTTCCAGCAGAGAGGTGTGAGTTCTGGTGCCAAGAAGCAGTTTCACTTTTAGGTTTCTGGACAGCAGACATATATACCCTCTGTGGAGATAGAGAAATAAATAATAAGCAGGTAAATAGATGGGTGATAGACTGAGGGAGAAGTGAGGAAAAACAAGGCCAGTAAGCATGAGACAGGGCTTCTACATCAGGTGCTGTAATTAAGGGCTTCTTCTTAATTAGCAGCCCAGCTGCCTATAAAATTGAATTGTGCTTCTCTGCTTATAAACTGGAATCATGACTCACTGAATTACGATTTGCTTAAATCCACTCTTACCATTTGTGCATATGAGCTGATGTATTGCAGCTGATATCTGGACTCAAATGAGTTGATTAGGAGGTCTCTGGTCATCAGAGATTTCTATTAATTCTGTTTGAATAACTGCAATAGCAACACTTACGAAGTGCCTGCTGTGTGCCAGATACTGTTCGAAGGACTTTATATATGCTGACTCATTTAATACTCACGACAGCCTTAAGGCTAGTGATTTTTCCTACTTTACAGATTTTACAGAATTTGAGGCACAGAGAGGTTACGTATAGACAGCAAGGGGCAAAGTTGGAATAAAAAACTCAGGCCATTATAAGCCAGACACTTGACATCTCTTTTTTATCTTCATCCTAGCCTGACAAGGTGACTTCTTATTATCCCTATTCTACAGATGAGGGAATTGAGACTCAGAGAAATTAAGTAACTAGGTCAAGGTCCTCCAGCTGGTGGGTCATGGAGTTGGGAATGGAATCCAAGTTAGTCCACGTGCTCTCTATCACCTCTCCCTGCCTCTAATAAAATCACTTGGTTTGCCTTGGAGTTGACCTAAGTTAAGAGGCTGTCGAAAACATGAAATGAAGATGAATTTGTCTGAGTCTCTGTTAACCTTGCTGCCCAGGCTCAGCACATGCTGCCTGAGTGTTTCTGCTGGGAGCTTGCTCCATGCAGCCTGCTGGCCCCAGATAGGACCTCTCTGGGGACCAGGAGGTGTATGGTAAAAGCCTTCTGATTTTTACTATGACTTTTCTCAAACAATAAACTCCCTTTAGGGAAGTTGGGAGAGAACAAAAAATAAATACTGGTTAAGGGTATATTTACAATAGATGTCCTTTTGCATTCATTTGACTCAAATTTCCTTAATAGGCTGCTTATTCTGGGCTCCACACTTGCTCTAATTAGTTTTTGCATCATGCAATGGTTGTTGGTCTCTGGAGTGAGAGGGAGCCTGGAAACATGAGCAACAGCTATGGTTATAAAAATGCCAAATAAGCCCATCATTCACTCCCTTGACTGTGCTCTGTGTGGCAAACGTGAAGGCCAGCCTTGCCCTTATCAATCTTACCTCCCATGCAAATGCCCTGACGTGCAGGGTGCTTTGGTTTTATTTGTTTTATCATTATTGGGCATCTTCTGTGTGCTAGTTCTGTGTTCAGCACTTTTGGACGTTTGCTATCTCCCGTGCTCACAACAGACTTTATGTACATGTCTGTCTCCTTCATAAATGATGGGCTCCTGAATATAGGGAAATGTGTCATTAAGGATGAATTGGATCTGGTTTTCTATCATCCAGGAGCCCCTAGTTTAGTAGGAGAAACCGACATATATATAAATAATCTGAATACATGGCACACTATGATAATGCCATAATGACTATAACAGTAATAGTTACCATTTAAGGAAAATGTATCACAGTCCTGGTACTGTGCCAAGTCCTGAATGTGTTTCTATGCTTCTTTAATCCCCAGTGAAATTGAGGCTGTATCAGTTATCTAGTATCATAATAATGCTGTGTAACAACCATAAAACTTCAGTGGCACACAACATTTATTTTTGCTCACAAGTCTATGCGCTGGCTGGCAGCTTCTGCTTCTGGGGCAGCTGGCTGTGGGCTGAGGCACCTCAGCTGCGTTCTCTTGTGCATCTGGGCAGCTGGGGGCTGGCTGGTGCTAGGAGGGTCTCAGATGAAACAGTTTGCCTCTGTTTTAGGAGATGTCTTCTCCTCCAGCAGGCTAGCTCTGGCTTATTCTTTTGGCAGAGGCAGGATCCCTAAGGGCACAAAGTACACAAGCCTCTTGAGGCCGAGACTCAAAATGGGCACACTGCCATTTCTGCTGAACATTTGTATTTGGCCTAAGCACATTTAAAAGGGTAACCCAGATTCAGGAAATGGGGCAATATACTTTGCTTTTTGATGAGAGGAGCTGCAAAATTATGCTGTAAAGGGCCTGGATACCGGAAGGATGAAGAATTGCAGCCATGTTTTGCAATCCACCATGGGTACTATTATCGCTCCCATTTCACAGATAAGGAAACTGAGGCATAAAGAGATATCTAAGCTCATGTAGAAAGTAATGGCAATGTATATTAATAGACAAAAGACCATAGAATTGTTGGCAAAGGGAGACACTGGTGCTTTTATAAAAGACTACCTTGTGTGGAAGAAGAATGGGGACGAATTTGAACCTTAGCACTCTAGAGATGCTGTTGATGTCCTGCATCATGCCAGGACCACCTCTGAGATCACTGGTAGCTGTAGTGGGTGGTTCCCGCATGCTGCACGCTGCTCATTTCATTTTATCATTTATTTATTTATTTATTTATTTATGAGACCGAGTCTCACTCTGTCACCCAGGCTAGAGTGCAGTGGCGTGATCTCAGCTCACTGCAAACCCCCGCCTTCTGGGTTCAAGTGATTCTCCTGCCTCAGCCTCCTGAGTAGCTGGGAATCCAGGTGCCCGCAAACACGCCTGAGTAATTTTTGTATTTTTAGTAGAGACCGGATTTCACCATGTTGGCCAGGCTGGCCTCGAACTCCTGACCTCAGATGATCCAAGCACCTGGGCCTCCCAAAGTGCTGGGATTACAGGAGTGAGCCTCCGCGCCCGGCCTGACCGCTGCTTATTTCAAGGGACTCTCTGCTCTTCTGCCTGGGGCTTTCTCCCCAGTACCATCGAGGTTTGCTGAGTCTACTCACAGGGCAGCCTGCCTGTGTCAGACTTAAAGTGCCCAGTGGTAACCCTCCACTTAAGGGGAATAGGAGCTGGTGAATCAGTACCCCAGCCTCCCCATTCCACAGTGGAGCAATTCTGTGACACATTTTACAAAGTTCCTTGGAAGATCCCTGTAGGGATTGAGCCCCAGATTACTCTGGGCGGTAACCTGCTAATTAACACACACTTTATTGTCTTTCTCCTTCAAATAAGCCACCTACACCCCAGCCCTTGATTCAGGATCTGCTTTTATAGGAAATCAAACTAAGAAACCTTGAAGGATGGCTAAGATATTGACAGATAGAGGGAGGCTGGTGAGTGTTCTAGGTAGAAGCTCTTTTGAACACTTTTGGACATTGTTTTTAAATTTTCTTTGTGCAAATGATACTATATTTGCATAATAACATTTTATTTTAATTTCAGATAATTCCTTTTAAGATTGACTCCCAGAAATAGAGTTAGTGGTTATAGATTTTAAACATTTCACAGGCTTTTAGCCACTGAAATCTAACCTTTAACATTAAGGATTTGCCCAGCAGATATCTCTCTTCTTATTAACTGAAGAAGTTTTTAATTACTGAATTTTTTTTTTTTGAGACAGAGTCTCACTCTGTCACCCAGGCTGGGGTACAGTGGCACCATCTTGGCTCACTGCAACCTCCACCTCCTGAGTTCAAGTGATTCTCCCACCTCAGCCTCCCAAGTAGCTGGGATTACAGGAGCCTGCCAACACACCCTAATTTTTGTATTTTTAGTAGAGACTGGGTTTCACCATATTGGCCCAGCTGGTCTTGAACTCCTGACCTCAAGTGATCCGCCTGCCTCAGCCTCCTAAAGTGCTGGGATTACAGGCATGAGCCACCATGCCCGGCCTAATTACTGAAATTTTGAGGGTATGGGGCGTTGCTATTAACTAAGCATAGCACATATGTCCCAATTTAAAATTAAACATTAAACATCCCTATTCTAAAACTCTGTTGGCCTTTCCGGTACCAGGAACTTCTTACTGGCCAGTCTTCCATATAAAACCATAATCTATCCCCATATTCTCCATATTCTTGTCCTTTTTTTCCTCTCATCTCTTCTGAACTGTCACAATTTTAGCTGACAGTTCTCAATCCAACCACCCTCCCTTCATAATATTTTCCTAAGCCCAGCAATTCACTTTTCTATTGCCTTCCATCCAGACAGGCTTTCCACACCTGTAGGCTCATTTTCCATGACCAGAATGGCTCATTAGAATTTTCACTGAACAAACGGCTGTTCTCTCCCTCAGGGACCCCCACAAAACAAGCCACTGCCAGCTAATGTGTTTGTGGAGATGGGGTGGGAAGGGAAGGGAGGGGAGAACATCAGAAGAGGGTTCAGAGACTTAGTGGCCCTTGCAGAGGGGACAAAATAAATGTGGTACAACTTGAGAATAATCTGGACAATTTTCTGCCCCCTAGAATATCCACCTCACAGCCTCTAATTCTGTGCTTTGTTCTTTTGGACCCTGAAAGCTTTTTGGTCTTCAATAATTCTCTATTAAAATGCAAATCCCTACTGGGAGTTGTTAAGCCTTATCAGCTAATAGCTGACTGTTGCAGGAGCATTAAGATCCTGCTGTAATGGGGCACAGAATGGCAGAGGGATGGGACCGTACCGTGGAAGGACAAATAAATTCAGGAAGAAAGAGAGCGGGTATTTATTAAAGGGGTCATTTTGGGATCTTTCTTGTATTTTGACCAGAATGAACTTTGCTCACCATTATCCACAGCTGTTTCCTTTGCTTTCTCAACAGCAGTCATTTTTAAAGGGTTGGTTTTAAATACCTTTGACCTGAGTATAAGTTGAATTAAGGAGGAATGCTGGAGCATCTCTGCTTTGCCTAAATTAGAAAGACTAAAAGTAATCTAAGGAAATTGCTACAGAACCCTTCTCTGCTCTAAATTTAGCTCCCATTTAATCACATCAGTGTCGTGGTACACACGTGTCTTTTGGTGGCTCAGTGGGTCACAGCAAAGCCTGGATGTGGCCAGGGTGGTGGGTGCATTTTGTCTGTGGTAGGAAAAAGTGGAATACATACCAGCAGACTTAGCAATTGTGTGCCCCTCAGGAGGGACCAAAACAGAGCATGGATGCACACTGCCAATATATCCGAACTCCCTGGAAAACTGCAGAGATGCAGCGTGACCTCCACGGGAAATGAAGGTATCCGTCAGCTGAGTCCCAGCCTTCCAGCCAGAGCACCTTCTCCGTCACCCGTAGCTCTCACACGTATGTCTTCTCTCCCCTGCTGGACTGTGAGTGCCCTCGTCTTTGACGGGAGCCAAGGCTACTCCGTCACTGGGGGCAAGTCCAAAATGCTTTCAGAAAAAATGCATCCATAAAGAAGAAATGGCAATGCAGGATCATTCCAAAGCAGTGTTGTAAAAATAAGTGCAGTCTTTGCCACCCTCTCACCCCTTTTGCCCAGGTCTGTTTTCCCTTTGCAGGTGTGTAATTCAAAATATTTAACAACCAGGAAGGCATCAGTACTAATTAATCAGAAAAGAACAGGGCTTGCCCATGAAATCAATCCATGGGGCTCTGGGGCTGCCCATTGTGCAGCATTAACCCTTTAATTCCCCCGGAATTTGCTGGGTTTGCAAAGGCACACCCAGCGGGCTCAGGATAGCATCTGCTCACCCAGCAGTGTAGAAGTATTCCAACATTCCTGGTGCTTTCTTGCCTGAGTGCCAGCCTACCCAGTTCCAGGCACCTAGTTCTAATCTCCAATTGTGTGCTGAAGCTGGGCCTAGGCAAGCTCTCTTTGCATGGGGCCTGGATACTTTGATGGGGGAAGGTCACTGAGCTCAATCCTGGGGCAGGCATGGAGGTTGTAGAGAATGGTCCAAGGCCTGGTGGCCCAAGAAAGCAATGTCTGTGTAGCTCTGAGCTGGGCTGTCAGGACAGGTTACAGCCTCTCCTCAGATACAGAGGTGTAGTCACTGGCTTTGACACCCAGGAAATTCCCTAATATAGATGTGTTTCTCTGGGAAAAGCCTTCTTCTGACATTGAGACACAAGCTTTCTATTCTATCTGTTTTTTTTTTTTTTTTGCTTAGCCTATTACCACTATTGAAGAAAAAAATACCTTCCCCCATTTCTACTGTCTCCATGTCTCCCCGCAACCACACACACAAAAAACAACCCCAAAACAGCTTATCTTTTGGCGAACAAATTTCTGCTACTTCCTGGGGAGAGGAGAGGAACTGTTTTTATTGTATGCATTGGTGGAGGTGGGGATGGTGGGCTCATTTTTACTCCCTCTGCCCTCATTCATGCCTCCAACTTCTCTGTCTAGTACAGGAGTAGAGAGCTCTGACTCATAAGGTCTTTGAATATAATCATGGACTTGGAGGGGGTGGGCACAGGAGGAGAACAAGGAAGTGAGCTATTTTCAGTTTGTCAAAAATCCTAATAGAAAATATAGATTAACACTCTTGTGTGCAACTAGAGAAATTCAACTTGAGCTAGCTTAGGGGAAAAATTGGAGTTAATTGGCTCATGAAATCAATCCACAGAAATAAGTGGGGTGTGCTGAGTCTCAGCGACAGCTGAAGCCGGGCCCTAAATGTCACTGGGGCATTCTCTTATTCCCCATTTCTCACCTGTGCTCTTCTCCGAGTGTGGGCTCCATGCTGCAGGCCAGTGGTTCTCAACCAGAGAGGGAGAGCTATTTTACCTCCCGTGGGACATTTGGCAATATCTGGGGGACATTTTTGATTGTCACAACTTGGGGAAAGGTGCTTACTGACATTCAGTAGGTAGAGGCCAAAACTGCTGCTAATTATCCCACAATGTATAGAACAGCCTCCCAAAACAAAGAATTATCTCACTAAAAATGTCAATAGTAGTTGAGAAAGCCTGCTCTAAGACTAGTGTTTTAGTTTGTTCTTTGCTGCTACAACAGAATACCACAAACTGGGTAATTTATAATGAACATTAATTTATTTGGCTCATATGGCTGGGCGCAGTGGCTCATGCCTCTAATCCCAGCACTTTGGGAGGCTGAGGCAGGCAGATCACCTGAGGTCAGGAGTTCGAGACCAGCCTGACCAACATGGTGAAACCCCCTCTCTACCAAAGATACAAAAATTAGCCTGGAGTGGTGGCGGGTGCCCATAGTCCCAGGTACTCGGGAGGCTGAGGCAGAGGAATCACTTGAACCCAGGAGGTGGAGGTTGCAGTGAGCTGAGATTGCGCCGCTGCACTCCAGCCTGGGTGACAGAGCAAGACTCAGTCTCAGAAAAGAAAGAAAGGAAAAGAAAAAGAAATGTATTTGGCTCATAGTTCTGGAGGCTGGGAAGTCCATGATCGAGGGGCTGCATCTGGTGTGGGCCTTCTTGTTGCATTTTCTCATGCTAGAAGGCATCACACAGTAGAAGGGCAAGAGAGGGCCAGAAAGGGAGAAAAAAGGGAGCCAAATTTGTACTATTATGCAGAACCCATTCCTTCTACAACAGTATTAATCATTCATGAGGGCTCTACCTAATCACCTGTTAGAGGTCCTATCTCTCAGTACCACCACACTGGGGACCAAGTTCCAACAGATGAACTTTGGGGGATACATACAAACTTTAGCAGCCAGCTTTCTCCTGGAAACATAGCTGCTGGCAGCTCTCATACCCATATCTAATGGCTTTGGTGACCTAAGGGGGACTGAGATTCACTCACCCTGATCCAAATGTCAAAAATATCAGGGAATGTCTCCGATTGGTCCAACTTCATCCAGCGACACATCCCTAGACTAATCACTACGTCCAAAAGTTGAATGTTAGAAGGTCAGGGAACCCCTTTCCAGGGCCTCATGTTTGGAGTTGGGAAGAAATATTCTCAGAATGAGAAGGGTAAAGGGCAGGCCAGAAAATAGATGACAGTCAGGCCACGAAAGCTCCTAGTGAGTAATTTTAGTTTGTCTGGGAGGCAACATCTTTTAGAAGTAGAGATATGAGGCAGCAGGCAAAGAGAAGTGACCCTCAAAGGAGCAAATTCTGGGAACCATATTAATCGAGAACCCACCACTAAGATACTGCACAGGCCAGGCCAGTGTCCCATACTCCATACTCTTTATTCCCCACTCTTATTTTTATTTATTTATTTAGTTAGTTTTTTTGAGACAGAGTCTCTCTCTCTTGCCCAGGCTGGAGTGCAGTGGCGCAATCTCGGCTCACTGCAATCTCTGTCTCCCAGGTTCAAGCGATTCTCCTGCCTCAGCCTCCCAAGTATCTGGGATTACAGGCACCCACCACTACACCCGGCTAATTTTTGTATTTTTAGTAGAGATGGGGTGTCACCATGTTGGACCAGGCTGGTCTCGAACTCCTGACCTCCCAAAGTGCTGCGATTACAGGCATGAGCCATCGTGCCCAGCCCCCACTCTTCTTATGAAGGCAATTCCTGGGGGACCTGTTCTCCACTCAGAATCCTTGGGTGGTAAATGGCTATTTAGATAAACTAATTACTGCTAATGTTAGCTAGCTAATGAGTTATTCCTTCCAGATGACATAATGCCTAACCCCGTTATAATGTGCATATTCTTTCAAAGGTCTCTAAAGGAGGAAATAGTAGTAGAACTTCCAATCAAGTAGGAGCTTGCTGGGAAAATTTTTTTGTTGTGGCGGCCTTCCATTCAAGTCATTAATGCAGGTAGCAAGTTACGCTGTGTCTGAATAAGACAGGTTCAAGGTTAACATTTGCTTTTTTTTTTTTTTCAACTCTTATGTTGGATTCACGGGGTACATGTGCAGGTTTATTAACTGGGTATATTGTGTGTTGCTAAGGTTTAGGGTACAAATAATCTCATCACCCAAGTACTGAGCATAATACCAAACAATTAGGTTTTCTTTCTGTTTGTTTGTTTTGCCTTTTTTTTTTTTTTTTTTTTTTTTTTTTTTGAGACGGAGTCTCGCTTTGTCGCCCAAGTTGGAGTGCAGTGGCGCGATCTCGGCTCACTGCAAGCTCCGCCTCCTGGGTTCACGCCATTCTCCTGCCTCAGCCTCCCGAGTAGCTGGGACTACAGGCGCCCGCCACCACGCCCGGCTAATTTTTTTTGTATTTTTAGTAGAGACGGGGTTTCACTGTGTTAGCCAGGATGGTCTCCATCTCCTGACCTCGTGATCTGCCCACCTCAGCCTCCCAAAGTGCTGGGATTACAGGCGTGAGCCACCGCGCCCGGCTGTTTTGTCTTTTTTTTAAAAAAATTATTTTAAGTTCCAGGGTACATGTGCAGGATGTGCAGGTTTGTTACATAGTTAAAGGCAACAGTTAGGTTTTCAATTCTTATCCCTTTCCCTCCGTCCCTTCCTCCCCCATCTAGTATTCCCCAGTGTCTATTGCAAGGCCAGCATTTTCTGAAGTATGTTCTTCGAAACAGGGAGTCCCTGGATGCTAGTAATTGTTACTGAAAATAAAGATTTCATAATAAAATCCATTAGGGAAATGCTGGTTTAGATGACATTTAGTACAGTTTTTTACTATAGGACTCAGGGCTCTTAATAGAATGGGTGTCGTGACTCTCAACGAAGGAAGAATAATGTGTAGACTTCCCAACTTATTGGGCCTAGGAGCCCCTTTGCTGAGGCGCATTTTACATAGGACTTCCAGTCCTGTTTTGTCCTTTGTCCTTGCATAATTGCTAAAGGCATTCTCCTTTGTTCCCCAAAGTATATCAGTTTGGAGGATAAATTTTATGGTCACCTTATTGTAACAGGAGCAAACTTTGGAAAATGCTTTTCTGTTGTTACCTGGATTTCTGGAGAGCAACTTTTTTTTTTTTTTTTTTTTTGAGATGGAGTCTCGCTCTGTCACCCAGGCTGCAGTGCAGTGGCGCCATCTCGGCTCACTGCAACCTGGTCCATCTCTCGGGTTCAAGTGATTCTCCTGCCCCAGCCTCCTGAGTAGCTGGGATTACAGGCACATTCCACCACACCTGGCTCATTTTTTGTATTTTTAGTAGAGACGGGGTTTCACCATGTTGGTGAAACAATGGTTTCCTATTGTCCCCGGAATACTACTAAATTGATCCCCCATTAATATCAGCATTAGAATCCCAAAACCAAAGCACAGATTGTTTAAAATTAAACAGACCCTAAGCTGATTACATTATTAAAGTTGTTTTTTTTTGTTTGTTTGTTTTTTTTTTTGGTTGTTAAAAGACAGAAGCTAAACCTTAACAGGCCAAAAAAAAAAAAAGCTAGTAATTTGGGCAAGAAACTTAGAATCAGGGGACCAGCTTCAGGAACCACAGTTCCCTGATGCTTCCAGGATTTTCTCTCCAACCACAGCTTTTCTCCGCTTTAGCTTCAGTCCTTCCCACCAAGCAACAGAGAGTGGTTTCATGGGAGGAGGAAATAGGACAATGAAATTTTTGTTCTAAAGTCAAACTATGGGACAAAAAAATGATTCTTATAAAACGTTTTCCTTGAAAGTTCCTTAAATCACTTGTGAAGTACAATATATGTGGTTTGATGTATTCAACTCTGAATACATTCAAATGACAGAGGTATGCGGTAATATACAGAACATAATGAAGGATGCACATGCAAAACATACATTTCCAGATCTTTACTTACATGAAAAAGAGATGAGGCTGGGCACAATGGCTCTCGCCTGTAATCCCAGCACTTTGGGAGGCCAAGGCGGGTGGGTCACCTGAGGCCAGGAGTTTGAGACCAGACTGGTCAACATGGTGAAACCCTGTCTCTAATAAAAAATATAGAAATTAGCTGGGTGTGGTGGCACGTGCCTGTAATCCCAAGTATTCAGGGGGCTGAGGCAGGAGAATCTCTTGAACCCGTGAGGCAGAGGTTGCAGTGAGCCAAGATCACACCACTGCACTCCAGCTTGAGCGACAGAGCAAGACTCTTGTCTCCAAAAAAAAAAAAAAAAAAAAAAAAGGAGGGGGGTGGATGAAAGAATAAAAAGGAAGACTGCAGATGGTTTCTCCTAGCCACAGTCAGGGCGAAGGGCAGTGTTAATTCTTCAGTGTCATGTTCTCACTGGGGCGTGTCTCACTGAAGGGAAGGCTGGGAAGAGTTGCCTGTGCTGTTTTGACTGTGTTTGTTGATTTCCTCTCAATTCTCTAAATTCCATCACTCTCACTATAGAATCTTGGAAAAACAGACTTAACCTTTCTGTACCTCAAATATAAAATGAGGGAATGATAGAACATACCTCATAGTTTTATTGTGATGATAAAGTAGAATAATACAAGCAATGTATTTAGAACAGTACCAGGCATCTTTAAGCACCATGACTGCTACAACTGTTTGCACTGTAATAAAACCAATAGGGCCTCTGCTCTCTGGGGAGTTTTATTTTATTGGTTTTCTTTTTTTCTTTCTTTTTTTTTTTTTTTGAGATGGAGTCTAGCTCTGTTGTCCAGGCTGGAGTGCAGAGATCTCATCTCACTGCAACCTCCGTCTCCTAGGTTCAAGCAATCCTCCTTCATCAGCCTCCCGAGTAGCTGGGACTACAGACATGCACCACCACGCCCGGCTAATTTTTGTATATTTAGTAGGGATGGAGTTTCACAATGTTGGCCAGACTGGTCTGGAACTCCTGGCCTCAGGTGATCCACCCGCCTCGGCCTCCCAAAGTGCTGGGATTATGGGGGTGAGCCACCACGCCCAGCCTGGTTTTCATTTTCTGTGTTTTCTCCTCACCCCCAGTTTTTGTTTTGTTTCTTTGGTTTTTAGTCAGCCTTCTGACTGGTTTGCACCTTATGAAGAGAAATATCTTGTTTTTGTTTGTTTTGTTTTGAGACAGGGTATCACTATGTGGACCAGGCTGGACTCGAACTCCTGGGCTCAAGGCAATCTTCCCATCTCAGCCTCCTGAGTAGCTGGGACCACAGGCTCACACCTCTATACCTGGCTAGAAAGCTGCTTTTGATTCCTTCTTCAGAAGTCACACTCCATTATCACTCATTCAACAAATATTTATTAAGTAACTCCTATGGGCCAGGCATAATTCAAGGTGCTTCAGATGTAGCAGAAAACAAATCGACACAAATCCCCGCCCTTGTGGTCTTATGTCCCCATGGGAGAAGGGAAATATGAAGGAAAAAATGTCAAGCGTCTCCTGCTCCCCGGCTTATACTTCAAATTACATTGTGTTTCTCCCCTTCTCCTGCTGCAGCTTACGCTTATTTATTACTTTTTTTTTTTTTTTTTTTTTGAGACGGAGTCTCGCTCTGTCACCCAGATTGGAGCACAGTGGTGCGATCTCCACTCAATGCAAACTCCGCCTCCTGGGTTCACGCCATCCTCCTGCCTCAGCCTCCCGAGTAGCTGGGACTACAGGCACCCGCCACCACGCCTGGCCAATTTTTTTATATTTTTAGTAAAGACAGGGTTTCACTGTGTTAGCCAGGATGGTCTCGATCTCCTGACCTCATGATCTGCCCGCCTAGGCCTCCCAAAGTGCTGGGATTACAGGCGTGAGCCACGGCGCCTGGCCCTTTATATATATATTTTTTTTTTGGACAAATCTTATTTTATTCAGATAGCTGTCTGATCACACATGGTCAAAGAACGCTCAAATAATAAATCACATATAATCAGATGTTAAAGACTGGTTTTCAGCCAGGTGTGGTGGCTCACACCTGTAATCCCAGCACTTTGAGAGGCTGAGGTGGGTGGATCACGAGGACAGGAGTTCAAGATCAGCCTGGCCAATATGGTGAAACCCTGTCTCCACTAAAAATACAAAATTTGGCTGGGCGTGGTCACGCATGCCTGTAGTCCCAGCTGCTCGGGAGGCTGAGGCAGGATAATCGCTTGAACCTGGGAGGCAGAAGTTGCAATGAGCCAAGATTGCAACACTGCACTCCAGCCTGGGCAACAGAGTGACTCCGTCAAAAAAAAAAAAAAAAAAAAAAGATTGGTCTTTAAACATTATAACCATTCACGCCTCACTTGGCTAAACACAAAACCACATCCACACCTCAGCGACCACGAAACCATTCAGCACAGCTTCCTTAACTGTGAGCTGTTTGAAGCTACCAGTCTGAGCACTATTGACTATTGTTTTCAGGCTCTGACTAGCTCTAGGGAATCTCAACAGGGGTGGGAGGAACCAGCTCAACCTTGGCGTAGTACCAAAATGTGGCCAATCCAGGCTTTGCATAAGTCACAGCAGCGTTCACCAGTGCCCGGGCCTTTTCTGCAAAGTTACAGACAAATTGGGCTATGGTTCTGGAATGGAAAGTTCGTCACCCCGAACAGCCGGCTGAATGTCTACCTGTAACTTCTTGATACCACCTGCTTGCTGTAAACTTTTCCCTTAAAAACAAGGTTTTTCCAAGGGAAAACAAGGTTGAAACCAAAAGGTTTATTTGCAAATACCCTGGGTTTTCCCAGAAAGAATTTCAGGCAGCTTCCTTGCCCTTTGGCCTCATTGCTTACAAGTGACTTTTTCCTTTGCTGCATGTGCTGTGATATTTTTCTCTTTCTGTCTCCCTTTTTCTTTTTCTCTTTTTCTTTCTTTCTTTCTTTCTCTTTCTTTCTTTCTTTCTTTCTTTCTTTCTTTCTTTCTTTCTCTTTCTTTCTTTCTTTTTTCCTTCCTTCCTTCCTTTCTTTCTTTCCTTTTTTCTTTCTTTCTTTCTTTCCTTCTTTCTTTCTCTCTCTCTCTTTATTTTTTTTCAGGGTCTCATTCTGTCGCCCAGGCTGGAGTGCAGTGGCACACAATCTCGGTTCACTGCAATCTCCACCTCCCAGGCTAAAGTGATCCTCCCACCTCAACCTCCCAAGTAGCTGGGACTGCAGGCATGCGCCACTATGTCCAGCTAATTTTTGTATTTTTTGGTAGAGACAGGTTTTCACTGTGTTGGCCAGGCTGGTCTCAAACTCCTGACCTCAATTGATCCACCTGCTTTGGCCTCCCAAAGTGCTGGGATTACAGGTGTGAGCTCCTGCGCCCAGCCATGCTGTGATAGTTTTTCCTTGGTGCTAGTTCCCTTTCTTAAGCTGGAATTCCATCTCCCACTTGGTCCTTTCAGAGTCCCTTCTTTTGATGCAGGCAAGAAATCCTAATTTAGCATCACTTGTGATTATAATTAAGGTGCTGTTTACTCCCTCTTCCAGATCATTAATGAGGATGTTAAATGAGACCAGAATGAAACCGTGTCCCCATGGCATTCCGCTAGACACCTTCCAACAACTTGACACTCTGCCATTTGCTGTTTCATTACCCTTTGTTTACCTTGTGAGCTCAGGCCCTTGCTTTTGAAGGAGGCAGAAAGCTTACTATTTCTACTGCTGCATAGATGCCACTTAAAGGGTGGGGCTGTTAAAACCTGGCAGATTGTAAATGCATCCTTTTGAGTTTGAATTAAATGTGGATTATGAATAGAGCATTGTCAGTAAATACTGTTGCTCTCCCTCCTCTCAGATGCCTTTGTTTGCTCTTGACTTTCTGCAGCTGTTGTCTTTCTGGGAGCAGAGAAGGGTAGCTGTTTGCTGTATGCAAAGATATTGCTTGGATCAGCTTAACTACAAGTGTAAAGTTACACTGTTGCATGTGAAAGATGTGGTAGATGGATTGCATTCATGGCTCTAGTTTTTCTCTCCTCCCCATATCCATGCCCTTTACTGAAGTAACTTTGCAGTACACTCCCAACTCTGACTCTGCCAAGCCATGTGACTTTCTTTGACAAATGGGATTTTAGCAGACATAATGCAAGTGTAAGCTTGGAAAAAAGCACTACGTGTCTGCTTGCACTCCTGAGCCTCCACCATTGCTGTGAAAACATGCCTGGGAGAGCCTGCTGGAAGACAGTACCCAGAGCAGCGCCCCAGTCTCTCCAGTTGACTAGCCAGGACCAGCCTAGATCTTCTGACAACTGGATGACCTTCAGATATGTGAGTGAAACCAGCAGAATTTGCAAGCTGACCACCACCAGATGCATGAGCAATAAGTATACTGCTTATGAGGTCTTGTTTGTTATACAGCCTCAGCTATGGCAATAGATAGCTGATACAATAGCACACATTTGGAGCTTTGTGGACTGGGAACTCATTGATCTTCCAAAGATTTTCCACATGGTGGGTCCCTGACACGATCCTTTACAAGAAATGAGAAGGAAAAGTTTTCTAAATAGAGATTCAGAAGGACAAAACAGGCTCTAGCATCTACAGTAACCTTTAAGAGACAAGGAGCAAGGGAGAAAAGAGCCTCCATGGAGACTTCCAGAATATGCAGGGCACTAAAAAAACTCCTTTTTCCTTTCTCTTTCTCTCTCTCTTTTAAGTAAAACAAGGTCTCACTGTACTGCCCAGGTTGGTTTCAAATTCCTGGGCTCAAGTGATCTTCCGACCTTGGTCTCCCAAAGTGGTAGGATTATAGGCGTGAGCCACTGCACCTGGCCTTCTTTTTCCAATGAAGACAGAAAAGAGAAATGAAGGGTGACCTAATAATTAGAATGCACTGACTCTCCCCTAACCCTAGGCACTGGTTTGCTGTTTCATTTTCAAATATTTGCCTCCGGAAACAGT
Source organism: Homo sapiens (assembly GCF_000001405.40). Taxonomy (NCBI): domain Eukaryota; kingdom Metazoa; phylum Chordata; class Mammalia; order Primates; family Hominidae; genus Homo; species Homo sapiens. Next base: position 24,660,677 of record NC_000004.12, read on the forward strand.
CAAATCACTCAGGCTACAGCCGAAAAATGCTCCTTTGGTTTATGGCAACGCCATTGTTACAGGAAAGGGGTTCCGATCCAGACCCTAAAAGAGGGTTCTTGGATCTTGTGCAAGAAAGAATTCAGGGTGAGCCATACAAAAAAGTGAAAGCAAGTTTATTAAGAAAATAAAGGAATAAAATAATGGCTGCTTTATAGACAGAACACCCAGAGGGCTGCTGGTTGTCTATTTTTATGGTTATTTTTCCATCATATGCTAAACAATGAGTGGATTATTCATGCCTCCCCTTTCTAGACTATATAGGGTAAGTTCCTGACATTGCCATGGCATCCATAAACTGTCATGGCGCTGGTGGAAGTGTAGTAGTGAGGATGACCAGCGGTCACTCTCATGACCATCTTGGTTTTGATGGGTTTTCAGTGGTTTCTTACTGCAACTTGTTTTATTACCAAGGTCTTTATGACCTGTGTCTTGTATCTCCTGTCTCATCCCGTAACTTAGAATCCCTTAACCATCTGGGAATGCAGCCCAGTAGGCCTTAGCCTCATTTTACCCAGCTCCTATTCAAGATGGAGTTGCTCTGGTTCACACGCCACAGACACTGAGACAGGTGGCCTTACGAAGATGGGTAAAGCCTGGAAAAGGAGTTTGCACTCCTTACTCTGAGTGGAGGCACATGCTTCTTAAGTGCACAAGCTTCTGAAGACACAGCCTCTACTTGCTCCTTGGGGCTTTTTTTTTTCTTTCTTTTTCTGGAGACCGAGTCTGGCTCTGCTGCCCAGGCTGGAGTACAGCAATCTCAGCTCACTGCAGCCTCCGCCTCCCAGGTTCGAGTGGTTGAATCCTGCCTCAGCCTCCTGAGTAGCTGAGATTACAGGCATGCGCCACCATGCCCGGCTAATTTTTGTATTTTTAGTAGAGACAGGGTTCCACCATGTTGGTCAGGCTGGTCTTGAACTCCTGACCTCAAGTGATCTGCCCGCCTTGGCCTTCCAAAGTGCTGGGATTACAGGTGTGAGCCACCATGCCTGGCCCCTGGGGCTTTTCTTACTCAGCAGCCCTCTAGGCTGCCTCTTCACAGCGGACACCCAACCTTAGAATGGGCAAAGTGTGGCCCCTGGCCAGCAGCCTGGGCATCACCCAGGAGCTCATCAGACCTGCAGAATCTCAGAGCCCACCCTCACCTAATGAATCTAAACTGACATTTCACTGGAACCACAGGGAATTTGTGTGCACATTAAAGTTCAAGGAGCACAGGTCTTAGGAGATGTAGAGCTCCTCTGGAAGGGCATATCATTTATTTGGGGTCCATCCCCACCTCTAGGTGGTGAGTTCTTGAGGGGAGGATGATACCTTGTGAGTCTTTGTATCCCCAGCACCAAGCACTGCGCCTAAATGTAATAGGAGCTCAAAACTAATTTGCTAAACTGCAGTGAGCTGATGTAACTGAACAGCCAGACTCGTCAAGCTTACTCCCCTATCTCGTGGACAGGACTTTCCTCTCCAGGATTCCTGAGCTGCCTGGAGCAGTGACCACCTTTAATGCACAAATTTGTCAAAACAAGGCAAACCCCACCTCCCCGCCCCCCCCCCCCCGCCCCCACACACACAGACCCTGGGCAGCTCTGTGCACTCCAGAGATTTAGGTTTGAACATTGTGATGTAAAGCACAACATCCAGTGCATTTGAATAAGTGAGTTTGGGATCGGCATTCTGCATATATTAGAATGTCAATGAGGAACTTAAATTAGGGCCCTACTAAAAAATTTGCTAGGCCTTCAACAGTGGACTCAGAAATAGACCAGCAGGCAGGGAGGGAGGAAGAGAGGAAAGGAAGAAGGTTAAAAAACTGGGAGAGTGACAGTCGGGGAGGGGGAGGAAAGAAAAAATAGGCTAGGGCTTATGGGACCTAAATTTTACCTTGTTATTTTCTAGTGGAACTTGGAATTTTTCACCCCCTCTCACGGTATCATTGACATTAAATATCCAATCTTCTCTGCCCCACATCAACTTGAGTAATAAACCACAGCCAAGGTTGGCTGCATCTGCTCTCTTCCTCCTTACTCAATTCAAGTTAAGAATGCTCACACCATACACTACTATTGGGATTTTTAAAATGATTTATTTTGCTACACAGTTCAGACCTTTGAACCAGGCTGGATGCTGGGTGCTTTGTTGACACAGTAGTTAGGGATAAAAGGGGAGTTTGGGGAATTGCAGAATTCTGACTTTCTATAAATCACTAATTTTATTGTAGTAAATAGAGGTCACCTCCTGGAACTTCAGTCGCCTGCCTTGAAAAATGGCATGAAACTATCAATGTCCATCTAAAGGAAAAAAACAGGACAAAGAGAGTGGAAGGGAAAAGTATTTTCTCAGTTTTAGCCAAGGCTGCATCAAGAATATGGCTAGTATGCTCAAAGCTATCTTTAAGAGGTGGCCCAGAAACTTCCCATTTCTTCTTTGAGCACACTGTCTATTGCCCCTGCCCTAGACGAGAGGCTAAAGGCAAAGAATGTGGCAAAGTAGCTGGGGTGTGGGGGACCTTGGACATTCAGTTCTGTCATGAGCTTAGAAGGGCTAAGCCAGAAGGGAGACTGAAGAGTGCACTCCAAAACTGTGCCCGATTCAGCTGAGAGTAATCAAAACAGATACCACATATGGCAGGAGCTGCAAACACAGGCAAACTCAGGGGCCATGGAGGGAAGGTAAATGGCTTGGGAGAGTTGCTAAACTGAGAGACTCTAGCTTGAGTTACTCAACATCTTTCTAACTCCTTCTTTCTTTTTTGTTCTCCTGTTTTTTCTTTCCTTATTTTATTTTATTTTATTTTGTTTCATTTTATTTTATTTTATTTTATTATTTTATTGCGTTCTGGGGCACATGTGAAGGATGTGCAGGTTTATTGCATAGGTAAACATGTGCCATGGTGGTTTGCTGCAACTATCCACCCATCACCTAAGTACTAAGCCCAGTATGCATTAGCTATTTTTCCTGATGCTCTCCCTCCTCCCTCCCTTATTTCTTTTGTGTGTGTGTGTGTGTGTGTGTGTGTGTGTGTGTGTGTCCAGGTCTCGCTATGTTTCCTAGGCTGGAGTGCAGTGGTGCGACCTCAGCTCACTGCAACCTCTGCCTCCCAAGCTCAAACGATCCTTCCACCTCAGCCTCCTGAGTGAGATTACAGGTGCATGTCACCAGGCCTGGCTAATTTTTTAATTTTTTGTAGAGAAGGGGTTTCACCATGTTGCCCAGGCTGCCTCACTTCTAACCTGTAAGACATAAGTGGAAGTCCCTGGAAAGTCTTCCTTTCTTGTATAAAAAAGCAAAGTCTTGCTAGGAGAGATTTTGTCCTTTGCTCCTTTGCCATTCCCTCCTCCTTTTCCTGCCTGAAACACAGATGCCATAGCTTGCTGTGCAGGAGCCATCTTGAGATCATGAGGACCAAACACTTCATGCTTAAAGACAGCAGAGCAGCAAGGCTGAGGAGCCTAGGTCCCTGCTGGCATTGCTCAGCCTCACTGCCAGCCCTGGACATCTAGCTGCAAGAAGAAAATTAACCCCTTACTTATTTAAGCCCCTGTGGTCAGGTTTTCTACTCTACACACAGTGATATGCTACCCCCGGCTCTATCCATTGTTGCTGTATAGGAATGCTGGCTCGGTGTCACAAGATTTTCTGATTTTTCAAGAGAAGATATAAATCTGGATTTTTTAAAATACAGAATTTCCCAGTTGGCAGTTGGTAATTGATCCCAATAGAGACAATTAATTGAATTTTTTGAAGACACACTTCCAATTTGTGATCTCTGATTTATAGAATCTTTACTCTGGGCCAGAGGCTATGCTAAGCATTTTATATAGATGATCACATTTAATCCTGACAACAGTGCTGAAAGTCATGCTATTATTACTTTTTTATATATAGTTTAAGAAACTGAGGCTCAAAAGTTTAGCTAACTTGCCCAAAGCTGTGTAGCTATAGAGAAAGAGCCATTATTACAGCTCATGCCTGACTTTGGACCAGGCATTGCTAATAATGTGAATAATATGGAGTCAATCCTCTATTGCCACATAATGCTGCTTGACAATCCACGTAGAAACTCAGTGGCTTACAACCAGAATTTACTCTCATGCTTATGGTTCTGTAGGATGACTGTGGTATGGGTGATCCCAGTTGGGCTCAGTTGCATGCCTCTGCTTCAAGCTGTGATTCCCGTGGGATAGGGTCTAGGCTGGGAGTTGGGTTCAAGTCCACTCCATGTGTTTTCACTCTGAAAGGGCAGTAGCTGTGCAGGGTATGCTCTTCCCTTGGGAGAATACCAGAATGTAAGAACCAAGCCCTCATCGGTGAGTGCATTTAAGGTCTCTAGTCATATTGTGTCTGCTAGCATTCCATTGGTCAAAAGAAGCTATGATGCTGAGCCCAACATCTGTGGAGCAGGGAGATATACTTGGCCCACAGAAGGAGGGAGCATGAGCATTGCTCAACAGTGATCCAAACAATCACAACTATTCTACACAGCCTCAGGAAAAGCTGGCTTTCATTCCGATGAAACAAAGACTCCTTTTTTCCCCACTGCCTGTTTGCAAAAATGGCAGATGCTGCAAGGACCTGGTAAGTGGGGCACAAAGCCATGCAAATCCATCTGAAGTCAGTTCATTTCAGAGATACCACCAGCTTCTGATGGTGTTACACCCTGGAAATGGCAGTCCAGCTCTAGCTTCTGGAAGGCAACTGGCAAGAGGTAAGGAAGAGATGGTGGGAAGGTAGCCCCTCTCCTTGTTGGGGAGGAGCTTTCATCTTATTCCAGTTCTCAGCAGTAGAAGCTATGCCTGGAGACTTCCAGGTGTCTCCTGTCCTGGTTCCTGCCTTGTTCTTTCTCTTTTCCCTCATCCTCATTTATGTTTTCACTCCTCCTTCTCCAATATTCCAGAATATTCATTCATCCATTCAATGAATAGGCATTTATTGACCACCTCCTTTGTGCCAATTGCTGTTCTTGATGCTGTGGTAACAGCAAGAACAGGACTGAACCCATCCCAATTTCCATCTGAGCTACTTCTAGTAGAGGCTGGCAAATAACAAACAAGTAAATAAAATGAAAAGCATAATTTGGGAGAGTGAGAAGTGCTCCCAAGGGCAGACAGAATGGAGAGGGGAGCAAAGAAAGGGAAGGAGGGTGGAGGAGAAAGGGCCCAGCCTCTTAGTGCCTGACTAGCCCTTTGCTGTGAAGGCTCACCTTTCACGCTTGGCTTCTCCCTGAAGCTGGGAGCTACTTCAGGCAGGAGCCATATTTGATTCAGCTGTGTCCAAGGTCAGACGCAAAGCTTCCCCAAACGCTGTTGGGCAGCAGATTATACCACAGTGTCTTGAAATACCTGCATGGTGTCTATGTGAGCAAGACCTGCTGCCTCCAAGTGTCCTGTCGGTTGTGTTAATCACGTGCATGGGAGGTGAGGGGTGGTATGTACTTGGAGGGGGAGCCCATAGCGAAGGGCAGGGGAGAGAGCCACCAACAGCTTCTCCACTCCTTTTATGGGATAAACTGGGTGGTCCCTCCATGTACACAGGCTTCATGCAGAGCTCTGGATATGCTGCATTAGACCACCTTGTGCCTCAGTTTACTGGAGGGATATAACTAACCTCATCAGGTTCCCTAGAGCAGAGATTCTCAACAGGGTAAGAAGTGATTTTGCCCTGCCATACCCATATCAGGGGACATTTGGCAATGTCTGGAAACATTTTTGATGATCACAACTCGGGAGGGAGTACACTGGCATTTAGTGGGCAGAGGCCAGGGATGCTGCCAAACATGCCACAATGCACAAGGCAGAATTATCTGGCTCACAATGTCAGTAGTGCCCGGGTGCCCTGGAGCCATGCTTGTTAGCCACCCACCCCTCGTGCATCTGTGCAGGGGCTCAATTTAATTTCTCTATATTATTTTATTTACTTTGAGAATGGGTGATATATGCACATCACAACATTCCAAAAGAACAATAGAGGTCATAGTGAAAATGCCTCTCTTTCAGTCTTATTAATAGCTCTCCTTCCTCTTCCCCACCCCTACTACCTTGTGCATCTCCTTCCAAACATACTCTGCCTGTTAGTGCCCCACCTAATATCTTATCGTCTCTCACCTCAACACACCAAAGGCTGCTTTTTGTGACTATCCAAATTTTTCTGCCTGGGGGCTTTTTGTTCTGGCCCTGGGAGCACCTTTGGCAAACTGGAATTGCCCAAGAGTTAATGCTCCTGGAAGTAGCCCACAACCAAAGACAGGTGGAAAGTTGGTGGATAAATACCTCAGCTTATCTTAGGTGAGATAACTCTGAAGGGAGTTCTACACTGTTGGCTTGTTTCACCCTGCAGGATTGCCGTCCAGTTGCTCTCAGTGGTAACGTTCTTGATATTTTCCCTTAATTGACTACCTTTTCTTCCTTGCCTTACTTCTCCACTCTCCTATCGGAATTTCCTGGGATTGCAAGCGAACATCTCAGAGTGTGATTCTGGAGGAACCCAAACTAAGAGAGGGCTATCTATATCTATCTATATCTAGATCTAGATCTATATCTATCTATATCTAGATCTAGATCTATATCTATCTATCTATATATACATACCTATGTATACATACATAGGTATACATGTATATATACACACACATATATTCATATGTGTATATGTGTATGTGTAGTATATATGTGTATATATAGATACAGTTTTTACACAAGTGATAACGTTCTACATCTTGCTTTTTCACTTAATTATATATCTTGGTGGTGTTCCTTATCAGTATAGTGAGCTACTAATATCTTATTATTTCTTGCAACATTCTATTTCATTATATAGATATCCCATAACTTATGGGCATCTAGATAGATTTTCATCTGTGTTTATCAGTGCCCTTGAAACAGTGCCCTTGAAACAGTTTATCAGTGCTCTTATACATTTGATATAATTTCTTCCAGAGTCATGAGATATGCATGTTTAAAATTTTGATAGACATTGCCAATTCTTTATAAAGCCTACACCAATTTATAGCTTCTCACCAGCAACATATGAGTTGAAACTTGGTGCTGAAAAGATGAAGCCAAATGTTTAGGTTGCCTTTTGTCCCTGCTTTGGTCTCTGCTCAAAGCATGTCCTCTCTTCTGTACCTTGGAAGTGGACATGAGCATGGAACTCCCAGGCTGTGGAATACCAGGTGAATGAGTGCAGCCAGGAGGCACCCGGTGGTGTTCCTGAAGGTGTGGACACACATACACACAGCAAACCCACTTGCTCTCCAGATAGTTGGAATCCTTGTTGGTTAAACGTTATGGAGGAACAAAGTGGTGAACACCTCAAAGATGAAGTTTCCAAATCAGATTCAATAGTGAGATATTGAAGGGATATATGCACTTCCCTTGATAGGCCCCTTGCAATTGAGTAGGGGCAAATATTAATACATTCTGAGTGCTCACTGTGTGCCTGGCTGAGAGCCAAATGCATTCCTTGCATCTTCTTATCATCTCATAGCAACCCTATATTGAAGATGATGTTCTTATTCCTGTCTTTTAATGAGGTTACTGGATGATAAATATATTAATTGACCACTTAGCAGATGGAAACTATTGAAAGCCTAACCCAAACTGCCAGGGTTAAAATCCTGGCTGTTTCTCTTATGAGTTGGGTAACCTTAGGCAAGATGCCCTTCTTCTCTTTGGTGCTTCTATTTTCTCCTCTGTAAAATGGAGACATTGCTATGAAGGTGAAATAAGTTAATAGATAGAAAATGCTCAGAAAAAATGGGCTATCTAATCATTGTCTATATGACTCTTGAAACTGGAATTTATTCACTGTATTTTACAGTATCCCAGCAGTCCAGTTCATTTTTTTAATTTATTTTATTATTTATTTATTTATTTATTTTGAGAGTGTCTCGCTCTGTCACCCATGCTGGAGTACAGTGGCCCAATCTCGGCTCACTGTAACCTCTGCCTCCCGGGTTCAAGCGATTCTCGTGCCTCAGCTTCCTGAGTAGCTGGGATTACAGATGTGCACCACCACACCTGGCTAATTTTTGTATTTTTAGTAGACACGGGGTTTCGCCATGTTGGCCAGGCTGGTCTTGAACTCCTGACCTCAGGTGATCCACCTGCCTCGGCCTCCCAAAGTGCTGGGATTACAGGCATGAGCCACCATGCCCGGCCCTGGCCAGTTCATTTTTAAAAACTGAAATTTTAAGAGTTTAAGAAAATAAATGAAAGAGATACAAGTTTTATTTCAGAATTCTCAAAGCGTACTGAGGATTGTTGCTGGAACCACGCTTATGCCTCCGCTGTACGGCTGGCTGGGGGCTCCTGGGGTGGGAGCCGATTACACCACCGTGAGCAGCAGTGATAGAAGCACAAGTCGGCACCGACTGTTAGGCTCATCTGCAGAAATCCAGGCTCTCTGCATTCTGGAATAATTTGATCCACACCATCTGGCAGCTTGAAAGAAGAAGAAAAAGATGAAGAGGGAGAAGAAACAACAGCCATGTAGCATGAATGTAATTCCTAATCTAAGTTATGCACTCCCATTTGCTTCATGTAATATGAGCCAAATTTAAACATGTCAACATCTCAACAATTGCTGATTTTTCAAGTGCTATACGATGCATCTGGCGGGCACTCATTGAATGTTCTTCAATGATGTGACATAAATCTATTTACTAAAATAGAGTGTATTGAAAAAGTAAATAGTATATTGTAATGTTCTTGAGTTGGCGTTTGCATAAATTGGGACTCTCTGAAATATGTGGGTTTGAGATTTAAAAGCACATGACTATGTTTTTAAATGTTCAAAGCATCATAATTGTAGCGCTTACAAACCATTGAGTCTATTTCTCTCATTTTAAGCATAAGAAAACAGCCGAAGATTAGATTTTGATAATGAGAGAGCCCAACGATCCTGGACCCCTGGCCGGGAGGACAATAGGGGAAACAGGTGAAACACTGTGTGAGCTGGACCACCCAGGCTCTCCAACACCAGGACACCAGAGCATCCTTCCTCCTTCTTCTCTTCTGCTGCGACTTCCTGGAGGCATAGCAGAGTTACAACTGCTGGCCATGTGGAACTTCTCTTCTCCTATAAGTTTGCTCTGAGATGGAGAGATTGTGCCTGTGGTTCATTAGGAAGAGCTCTTGGGATCAATGCCTGTAATAAGGAAGGGAAGGAATCAGGATTGGCCAGAAGGAGAAGTTGAGCTGTGTTGAAGCCTCAATGGAGACCTCAGCCAATTCTGAGTCATGTCCTGAAGCTAGAATATGTCCTCTAAATTATCCCAAGCTGAGATGAGGGAGCTGGGCATTTAGCCCTGTATTAGGCCATTCTTGCACTGCTATAAAGAAATAACTATGGCCTGGCGCCGTGGCTCACGTCCTTAATCCTAGCACTTTGGGAGGCCGAGGCGAGCAGATCACGAGGTCAGAGTTTGACACCAGCCTGGCCAATATGGTGAAACCCCAATTCTACTAAAAATACGAAAATTAGCCAGGCGTGGTGGCACATGTCTGTAATCTCAGCTACTCGGGAGGCTGAGGCAGGAGAATTGCTTGAACCCAGGAAGTGGAGGTTGCAGTGAGCTGAGATTGTGCCTCTGCACTCCAGCCTAGGGAATAAAGCGAAAGTCTGTCAAAAAAAAAAAAAAAAAGGAAAGAAGGAAATAACTGAGACTGGTAATTTATAAAGAAGAGGTTTAATTGGCTCACAGTTCCTCATGCTATACAAAAAGCATGATGCTGGCATCTGCTCAGCTTCTTGGGAGGCCTCAGGAAATGTACAATCATGGCAGAAGGTGACGCGGGAGCAGGCAGTTCACAGGGCCGGTGCAGGAGGAGAGAGAGAGGCAGGAGATGCTACACGCCTTTAAACAACCAGATCTCCTGATAACTCACTCTCGTCACAACACCACCAAGGGAGATGGTGTTAAACCATGAGAAACCACCTCCACGATCCAATCACCTCCCACCAGGCCTCACCTCCAACACTGGGGATTTATAATTCCACGTGAGATTTGGGTAGAGGACACAGATCCAAAATATATCATACCCCCACGTTGATCAGTCATTAGATGTGGGCCACCCTAGTTGAGGCAGCTCCCCTCGCTCAGGTGGTTCCTGAAGCGAGCTGACAGCTGACGGCTGCATGCCAGAGGTACTGTCAGCAGCTGAAGGAGAGTCTTTTGTGCTAAAAGCCATCTTAAGCAGCACAGCACAGCGTCCACCACATATTGTGGACAGGTGATATGGTTTAGATCTGTATCCCCACCACAATTTCATGCTGAATTGTAGTCCCCAATGTTGGAGGTAAGCCCTGGTGGGAGGTGTTCGGGTCGTGGGAGCAGATCCCTCATGAATGGCTTGGGCCATCCTCTTGGTGATGAGGGAACACTCACTCTGAGTGTTCACAAGATCTGGTGGTTTAAACGTGTATGGCACCTCTCCCCACCCCCACTCTTTCTTGTTCCTGCTTTTGCCATGGGACTCGCATGATCCCTTTGCCTTCTGCCAGGACTAAAAGCTCCCTGGAGCCTCCTCAGAAGCTGAGCGATGTTGGCGCCATGCTTCTGGTACAGCCTGCAGAACCATGAGCCAATTCAACCTCCTTTCTTTATAAATTACCCAGTCTCAGGTATTTCTTTATGGCAATACAAGAACACCAGGGGTTTGCAGGTAACCCGGGCCCCTGTCCTTGAGGACACAGCAGCAAGCCATTGGTAAAGCAAAACTGTCCATAAGGAAGGCTGCTCCCATGCAGTGTTCATTTGGGCAGCCCAGAAATCGAGAAATCCTCGGTCCATTTCAAGTTTGGGGGAAAACTTATTTTTATCATATTTGAGATGAATAATAAAAGCAAATCCAGAAGTCGGATGGCATCTTTTATTGGACTTAGACCTGGTGTTGTTGAATGGGATTAGATCTGTGGGATGAAGAATGAATCCTGATTCACAGCCACTGCCCTATACTGGACTTATGGAGTCCACCCCTGACACACTGTGGCCTCGGGTGCTGAGACTTCCACAGGGTTTTGGAACTGCCCAGATACATGTGTGCCAATTGGAGCCTGGGGTCTGTATGTCTGTCTTCCAGAACTAAAGATCTCTCAGATCCAAAACTGGCTACATATTCTGGAGCATGGAACTTTAATTTCCTCTTTTATTTGTTCATTTGTTCATCTATGCATTTGACAGGTATTTACTGAAACTAGATTGCAACTCAACCAGATGTAGTGGGAGAGGCAGATAATTGAAAAAGGAAGTACAATGGTGTGGGAAAAGTATTAGGAAAGAGGAAGTGCAGGGTTGTATGGGAGCTCGAGGAGGAACGGAGAAAGTCTCCCAGGAAATAAGGGCGAAGATGAGTGGAGACGGGGAGGATGCTGTGGGTGGATGAACAGTGTGTATGGAAGTTCTCTGAGAATGACATGCTTGAGGAGCGAGAGAAGTGCGGTGTGGCTGGAGCCTTGGGTGTGTGGGAAGGAGAGGCGGAAGGGAGTTAGGTAGGGGCCAGGAGGGGGGCAGCTTCACAGGCCCAGTGAGGGAGGCTGGACTTTGTTCTAAGGTCATCATGACACCACTTTGAAGAGTCTGAAGCCATGTAATCAGAGTTGTGTTTTTCTTTTATTTCTTTTCTTTTCTTTTCTTTTCTTTTCTTTTCTTTTCTTTTCTTTTCTTTTTGAGACAGGGTCTCACTGTTGCCCAGGCTAGAGTGCTGTGGTGTGACCTCAGCTCACTGCAACCTCTGCCTCCCGGATTCAAGTGACTCTCGTGCCTCAGCCTCCCAAGCGGCTGGGAATACAGGCGCGTGCCATCATGCCAGGTGAATTTTTGTATGTTTAGTAGAGGCGGGGTTTCACCATGTTGGCCAGGCTGGCCTCGAACTCCTGGCCTCAAGTGATCAGCCCTCCTCAGCCTCCTGAAGTGCTGGGATTACAGGCGTGAGCCACTGCGCCCAGCACAGAGTTTAAAAGATCAATAATCTGGGGAAGAGATTATTGCTCTCTCTGAGCTTGGGTGGTGGCAGCAGCAATTAGAAGTGTTTAGGAGGCAGAACTGTCAGGCTGGGGTGATCCCCTCGCCAGACCCTAGTACTGGGGAATTGGGGAATGAAGCGCTGATAGGCTGAACATATCGCCTTCCCAGCCTGGGGTGCAAGATTTCACCGCCTGAGGGTACTACTGCCGCCATGGGTCAGGTTGTACCTGAAGTAAGATCTGTTTTCCAGGAGTGATTTGGGATATGGGTGAGAACCCCATGGTTGATTTACATTCAGGGAAAATGCAAAAAGGAATCAGAAATTGCCCCGCCTCTGAATCTCTAGCATTTCTCCAACTTGGCCCGAGGCTGCTTCCACTCTGGCCCTGATTTCTACTGTAAGCGGCAGGATTCTGAGCAGCAGAGAGTCATCGCCCTCAGGAAGCAGGCTAAGCAATCATTTCAGTCCTTAATCAGGCGCTTAACAAGGAAGGAGGCCAGCTCCGGGAATGCGTGTGCATTAACTTTGTTAATGGTAAAGGGCTGGACACTGCAAGGTTGCAGTCATCTCCCAAGCAAGCAGGCCTTCCTTGTGCTTTGTGCCCTAGAAGGTGAGCCTCAGTGACAAACCTGTCAAAAATATGTTTATTGAACACCTACTATACTATGTGCAAGGTGGCTCTGGAGGCAGATCCTGTATATTATTTATCTCATTATTCTTAATCCGTGGCACAGGCACAGGACCGAAAGAGAAAAGGTGGGTGTTTGTTGTGCTGTGAAATGAGCCCCACAATCCTCCAGGTGTGTTCTGGGCGGTGCCACCGCACCTCCATCGTAATTACTGCCATGGTTCCAACCACAGGCCTTGGAGTCAGGTCTCAGTGCAAGCTCCAGATGGATCACTTATCAGCTATGAGGTCCTTGGCAAGTTGCTTACCTTCTGTAAGTCTCAGTGACCTCACCTGTGAAACAGGGGAATCATTAGGTTGAAGGATACAAAATTACCATTTTTGTGAGTCAAAATGGTCCAGCATCTACAGTTTCATGTGGTTCAACCTCCTACGATAGAGGGTTGTTGTGAAAATTAAAGGAGATTATGTATTAAAATTTTAATCTAGTCCCTATCACAAGGTAAAAAGCCCTTTTGATTCTCCTCTTCATAATAATAATAATCATAATGATGATTATTTATACCTGCGTAGGAGAGTTCAGAATGTGGGTGTTGAAGGGGGACCCCCTATTAGTTTTCCCAAAGCGCTCCTGGCCTCCTGCTACACTTCTTACTCCTCCCCTTGGAGGTGGAGGGAGTCACCTTCTTGGTGAGTGATGGCCATCGATCCATGCTTCTAGATTGGAAGGAACAAACCTGTCAAGAATCCTAAAGGTAAATGTGTGTGTGTTGTCTCTCTCTGCCCTCTTCCCCTCCACCCTCCTTCCCTGGGCCAGTGCCAGGGAGCAGTCCTGAGTAAGTCGTGTGCTCCACAGACTCAAACTTTCCCCTACAGGTTCCTGGCTTCAGAATGGGGTGTGTAGGTGGCGGGAGAGGCAGGGAGAAGTTGGAAGCCCACCTCTGAGTCGTACCTTCCAATCCAGATTTCAGTAACAATAAAGCGGATGTTTGGACATTCATCTCCAATTCATTCCTGGTACTCCCTTTTTGGCACAGAGGAGACAGCTATAGTTAATTAGTTCCTTCAAGCCCCCACAGAAGGGGCTGGACCAACTGGCTCAGGAAAGTTGCTGCAGCAGAAATTCTGTTTGTATCTGCTGGAAGACCCTAGACTGGCAGAAAAAGGGAAGTGGTTCATGTGCGGCAGCTATAAGTAATTTCAGGCCATTGGCTGGGGGTGGAGAGACAAGATCAAGTGTAAGGAATCTCAATAGGGCCTAAAGTTTCCTTGGCCATTCTAGCCAGAGGGAATTTTCTCACTAGGGAATTTTCCCCTCAGGCCTCACCTTTAACCATGGTCTCCAGATTTCTGCCTTCTAGAACCTTCTCCCCATCCATATCCCTGTTACTTTCTCATGCTGCCCAGTTGAGCTCCTGCCTTCCTGCCCTCTGCCCATCCTGTACCCAGGCCTGACCTCACCTTATTCTTCCCGAAGCTCTCCTGGTTGCTCTGCTGTCCAAAGAGCACCTGCACCTCTAGGTCTGGGGCACCTAAGCAGCGCCCATTCAGAGAAATGCACACCTAGGTGAGAGGAAAAAAATCACATCTTTAGTTTCATTAGCCTTCAGCTGAAACTCAACATTTCCTTTAAATATGAATGTAGGCAACAAACCACAGTGGTATTGGCAGTATTTGCGAACTTGTCATCATTAGAAATCACCAATCATTTCATATTGCATTGTCATTGTTACAGGTATTTTGAAATATCATTTATGTTCATCACAACTTTGAAATTACAGAATTTGTCTGGGCACAGTGGCTCACACCTGTAATCCCAACACTTTGGGAGGCTGAGGTGGGTGGATCACCTGAGGTCAGGAGTTTGAGACCAGCCTGGCCAACATGGTGAAAACCCATCTCTACTAAAAATACAAAAATTAGCTGGATGTGGTAACGCACCTGTAGTCCCAGCTACTCAGGAGGCTGAGGCAGGAGAATCACTTGAACCTGGGAGGCGGAGGTTGCAGTGAGCCAAGATCGCACCACTGCACTCCAGACTGGGTGACAGAGTGAGACTCCATCTAAAAAAAAAAAAAAATAGAAATTACAGAATTTGTGATACCTGCTGCTAGAGCTGACTAAATTATAATGTAACTAAATAGTTTGATGACTGTGTTTCTGTACAACTGGTTTTCTTTGTAATCCTATGTTTTTATTTCATGCACTTGAAAATAGTATTCTGAAGAATCCATAGATTCTATTATATGATAATGCCAAGGGGATCCACAGTATGAAATACTTAGAATTCTTGCTTTGGCTGGAAAAAGCACTGCAGAATCTGTGCAATTAGAGTTTTTCTTTAATGTGATCGATTCCTAGCTGGAGCTCCATCTGCACTAAGGGTCGGTGACCAGGAGGGCAGTTTGTTCCTGAGAACATGCAGTGGTAGTCCCCAAGCTCTCCACTATGGAGAGCTTGTGTTGCTCCCCTTGAATATGGGAGGCCCAGGACTTCTGTGTGTGATGCAGAATGTAACTTCCCAAGCCAGGTCATGAGAGATGTCACCACTTCCTCCAGGACAAGCCCCAGCTGAGGTCCCAGGTTACAGCCACATAAGCTGCCAGACGCTAGAAAGGGGAAGCCTTCCTGCCACCCTCAGCCCAGCCACAAGCTGCAACTTGCAACTGCAGAAATCCTTGGCAATGACTGTGTATTAGTCCATTTTCATACTGCTATGAAGAAATACCCAAGACTGGGCAATTTATAAAGAAAAAGAGGTTTAATGGACTCACAGTTTCACATGGCTAGGGATGCTTCACAATCATTGCAGATGGCAAAGGAGGAGCAAAGGCATGTCTTACATGGCAGCAGGCAAGAGAGAGCATGTGCAGGGGAACTTCCCTCTATAAAACCATCAGATTTCGTGAGACTGATTCACTATCACAAGAACAGGATGGGAAAGACCTACTCCCTTGATTCAGTTACCTCCCACTGGATCCCTACCATGACATGTGGGGATTATGAGAGCTGCAATTCAAGATGAAATTTAGGTGGGGACATAGCCTAAGACTATCTCAATGTCTACTCCCCAGAACCAGGAAAGATAATAAGACTCCTGGCTCTGGGGAGTATAATAAGATCATAAGACTGTCTCAAAGTCCACTCCCCAGAACCAGGAGAGATAATAAAATAATTGTTGTTGCTTTAAGGTGCTAAGTTTTGGGGTGACTTGTTTCATAACAATAGTAACCAGAATAGAAGGGGTCTAGAATAATATATATTTTTAATTTAATTATTTTTATTAATATATAATATTTGTACATTTTGATGGGGTACATGTGATGTTTTGAAACATACAATGCGTAATAATCAAACCAGTGTATTTAGTATTTAGGATATCCATCACCTTAAACATTGATCATTTCTTCATACTGGGACTGTTTCGAATTTTCTCTTCTAGCTATTTTGAAATAAATAATGTATTACTGTTAATTGTAGTCACCCTACTGTGCTCTCAAACACTAGAACTTATTCATTCTACCTGTGTGTTTACACCTACTAGTCAACCTCTCTTCCTCCCCATCTCCCACCCACACCTTTTCCAGCCTCTAGTAACTATATTGTACTCTCTACCTCCAAGTGATTCACTTTTTTAGCTCCCACATATGAATGAAAACATGTGACATTTGTCTTTCTGTGCCTGACTGATTTCACTTAACATAATTACCTCCAGCTCCATCCATGTTGCTGTAAATGACAGAATTTTATTCTTTTGTATGGCTGAATAGTATTACATTGTGTATATATACACCACATTTTTAATCCATTCATCTATTGATGGACACTTAGGTTGAGTCCACATGTTGGCTATTGAGATTAGTGCTGAAGTAAGTATTGGGGTGCAGGTATCCCCTGGATACACTGATTTCTTTTCCTTTGGAAAAATGCCCAGTAGTGAAATTTCTAGATGGGATGGTAGTCCTAACTTCAGTTTTTGGAGAGACCTCCATACTGTTTTCCATAATGGCTGTACTAATTTACATCCTCACAAACATTGTATAAGAGTTTCCTTTCCTCTGCATCCTTGCCAGCATTTGTTATTTTTGTCTTTTTGATAATAGCTATTGTAACTGGGGTAAGATGATATCTCATTGTGGTTTTCATTTGCATATTGCCTGGGGTATATTTTTGTTCTTCTTCCAGCGATACTCTATTTTTTTGCACTATAGCTAATGTACGAAGTGTAAGATGTCTGTAGCCCAAACATGAAATCTATATCTATATTGGGAAGGAGTTGTTATAATAATGGTTTTGCATTTTTTTGTCTCATATTAGGCTCTAGAGCAGTGCTGTCCCATAGAACTTTCTGCAGTAACAGAAATGGTCTCCATCTGCATTTTCCATCTGGTACCCACTGGCTGCATGTGGTTATTGAGCCCTTGAAATGTGGCTAGTGCAAAGGAGGAGCTGGACTTTAAATATTATTTAAATTTAAATAGCCTCATGTGTTACTGGCTGCTTTACTAGATAACGCAGCTTTGGCAGGACTATTTTAGATTTCAGGTACTCATATATCAATTCTTACCTCCATGCTATACCTGTTTTATTAAGTGAAGGGGAAAAAATACCTGATAGGCATACTGTTACAGAATAATTGAAGACTTTGCTTTTGGCAAACAAAACAAAACAGAAAACCAAAAGCACTTTGCAAAACTGGAAAATCACCAACTCTATCAAATTAGCATTTTGGTACCAAGTGGCCATGAAGACTCTGAAGCTGGGTTATTAGAGGTCAGAACGCATTCAGCCATCAACTCAATGAGAAAGGAAGCCCCACCCCAGCCCTGTAGACATGGCTCTTGGAATGCACAAGCAGAAATCAATTCCACCTGTGCATGGAGACAGGCACGGCGGGCTGCAGTGTGGACTTCCACTTTTTAATTTCATACACTTTGGTCACGTTTGTTTTTTTTTTTACTCAGAGAGAATAATTAATTTCTCAATTTATGTCCTGTATTTTACAGCTGTGTATTTTAGTGAAGGAAAAACTTTTGCATTTTTAAAAGCATGTTTTTATTTTAAAGAGGGATATTGTGAGTTACAAAACAGTAAAAATCTGAAAATTAGAAGTAAGAGTATGAAAGATCTACTCAAATTATTGAAGAAGTTCTGAGTTAATAGATATCTGTGGCTTTTTTTTAAGTGTAATTTTAAAAGTTTTATTGTTGCTGTTTTTTGAGACACTGGGTCTCTGTTGCCCAGGCTGGAGTGGTACAGTGGCACAATCATGGCTTACTGCAGCCTTGAACTCGTGGGCTCAAGTGATCCTCCCACCTGAGCCACCCAAGTAGCTGCAGGCATGTGCCACCATGCCTGGCTTTTGTGCCATTTGTAAGGAAAAGATATGTGACTTTCAATACTGAGAGTAACACAAACTAATAGAAAACAGAATGCTGCCAGGAAGAAATTCTGCCAAATCAAGTCAATGAATTATAATTATTTCTAACCAGTCCATTAATTAACTGGGCACAAAAGGATGTTGTACAGAGTTCAAAAGTATTTTCCCAAGTAGGTTAAACATACCCTTCCTACCTCATCTTGCTTACATGGACATTTCACTCCACAAACTCTAATTTTATTCAAAGAAAAAAAGTAAGTTTTAATATTGTCTAAATTCTCCAAATTCTCACAAACTATAACTAAAAAGAGTTCAGATAAAAAGCTTCTGGTATAAAATAGCGGGGAAAAGAAAAGAAAAAACACTCAAAGGGGTAGAGGAAAGAAATCAAACAATCATGAATATTTGTTGAGTACCACATATCGACGTAGATTAAAGAGGGAAAAAAAGGATACATTTTCCATTTTCAGGCACTTACATTTTAATCAGCGATTGACAACGTAATTATAAAAAGAAACAATATCGGCCAAATGTGAGTTTTTGGCTAGGATTTTTATTTCTCTGTTCAGTTGTGGCTAGAAAAGAATAGAGACGTTCCCAAATTCTGGGCCCTCAAGCAAAATGTTCCAGAAAGCACCTTTCTAATCATTCTGAAATTTACTCTTATAAAGAAAAAACTAAAACAAAGTGCTCAAGAGATGGAGGCTCATTATAGAAAAATATTAAAAAATACAGAGAAGCAAAAGAAGATAAAAAAATTACCTATAATCCTACTCCTCCAAGATATACTTTTATGTTCTCTTGAATTTTTATATGCTTGTATTTGCCTGTGTTTTTATTTGCCAAAATAACATTTTACATATTGCTTGAAACCTGTTTATTTTTCTCACTTGATAATAAATCATCAACATGTTTTTATGGCAATAAACAAACACCATAATATTTTTAATGTCTACGAGTATTCTACTGCGTGGGTATTCCAAAATTTATTTAACCAACTGCTGTTATTGGACATTTAAGTTATTTTATTTCCTCTATCAGAAACAAAGCAGTAACCAACAGTCTCATTTTTGAATCTTTGTTTATATCTTGATTTCCACAGGAAATGACATTAATGGGTGAAAGAACATGGCAAGTACATTTGTAAAAACATAGTCCTCACATTGGTGGGGCGCGGTGGCTCACGCCTGTAATCCTAGCACTTGGGGAGGCCGATGCGGGTGGATCACAAGGTCAGGAGATTGACACCATCCTAACCAACATGGCGAAACCCCATCTCTACTAAAAATACAAAAAATTAGCCAGGCGTGGTGGCGGGCACCTGTAGTCCCAGCTACTTGGGAGGCTGAGGCAGGAGAATGGTGTGAACCCGGGAGGCGGAGCTTGCAGTGAGCTGAGATCATGCTACTGCACTCCAGCCTGGGTGACAGAGCAAGACTCTGTCTCAAAAAAAGGAAAGAAAATACTCCTTACATTGAGTAAAATTTAAAATAGTGACAGTATGGGTGGTGGAATCTGACAGATATCTGGTTAGTTAGCTCTGTGATCCCAGGCAAGTAAACTGTTGAGTTCCACACTGAATCTGTAGACAAGAGAATAATGACCGCTGTGTGGCTTGTTGGGGCAGTTAAATGAATACGTATGTGCATATGTAGGTGTCCTGGGTACAGTGCCTGGCACACAATAGGTGCTTCATCAATTTCAGGTCCCTTTCTTCCTGAGTCCCCACCTAGTATGAAACCTATTTCTCCTCCACCACGCTCTTGTGTCAGAATGGCTCGTTTTAGATTGTCACTGATTCTGCTGAAAAAGAGGGAGAAGGGGAGGCAGGTGCAGAGAGAGGGAGGAAGAAGAAGGAAGAGAAGAAGAGGGAAGGAGGAAAGGAGGGAGGAGGGAAGGAGACCGAGAGGAGAAAGAGACAGAGAGAAAGGGAGAAGGAAGGAGGAAGATGGGAGGGAGAGAAGGAGCAGGGAGAGACAAAAGGAGTGAGGGAGGGAAGGAGGTGTTAAGGGAATGGAGAAGGAGGTTTGGCAAACAAACAACATGGGCTTAACATGCTGCTGCTTAGGAGAAAAGGGCTCTTAAATGCTTTTCATGCTTTTTAAGTTGTTTATCTCTTGGCGAGAGTTTCCCCAGCCCAGCACAGAAGAGAAGCTCTACAGCAGGATACTTCAGCATTTCCCTCTGCCCTTTGGGTATTAAGAAGGGTTAAACCCCACCCAACAGGGCAGAGTACAGTTTGTTTACTGCAACACTCACGTCTGGTCTTGAAAGGCATTTCCTCCCTTGCCCCACAGCCACTGATGGAAAAGAAGATAGACTACGCCAAGGACGCAGATGATGCCTGCAGATTGGGTTGTGTGTGGGCCGGCTGGGTTGGGGAGAGCGTCTTCCCAATCCATACTCATACCTGTACCCGAGTGCCCAGGGGACAGCCAGACAAGCTCTTTCCTGGCCCTCATTTCCCAGTTCACTTTCTCCGGAGACGCTTTCCCTTGCTGGGATCTCCTAGGGGTTCCTTACATGCCAGAACACATTTCAGTCAACTGCTGCCACTGGAGGGCCATCTGCATTTCAGGATGCAGCTCTGCCTGTGGGGTGTGAGGGTTGCCAGTGTTAAACTGTATACTAATCATTAAGGGAGCCCCACTTCCTTCCATGTCCTTCCTTCCAACAGCCATTTATTGAACACATCATGTGTGTGGTATCACACACCACAACCACCATGCACAAGACAGACAAGCTCTTTGCCCTCTTGGGCATACATTTCGGTTGAAAAGACCGAGTACCAAGTACGCAAATGCACCCCTTATGATGAGGTTATCAGGAGGATCTACTCTGGATTGGATGGTCAGGAAAAAAATACCCCTTTTCCAAGAGTTGGTGATACTACTTATTCCACAACCTTAAAGAAATGAGTTGGCCATGTGAAAAGCCAGGACAACAGCAGATCTGAGCTGTTAGCGCACTTTTTAAGAACATGACCTTGATGGTACAGGGTGAGGTTTTTAGAAAAGTCAGATGCAGTTGATCAGATTGTTTTTGAGATTTACAAACTTTCTTTCTTGTCCGGAAATGGGCATGTCAGTCACTACATCATTACAGGAGATAAACGCTTTGGTCTGTGTAATGAGAATAACTTACACTTACTGAATGTCTATGATGTGCTAGGCAGGCTATAGGCACGTCCTTGTCTATAGGGGTCTATAGGTACAGGCTATAGGCATGTCGCTGTAGCTAGTCTTTACAACAAACCTTTGATGTAGGAATTATCTCCAAAAAAGCTCAGAGAGGTTTTCCCAAAGTCATATTAGAAAGAAATGGCAGAGCAAAAATTTGAACCTGGGTCTACTTGACTGTACAACCAGTGCCTTTTCTATCCCACATCACTTCTCTTTCTAAGAGGTAAGAATTCTGTCTGTGATAACACGATACCCTGCAAACCCTTGTTCCACAAAGGGTAAATAGTTTAATTTAGAATTCACCTAGGTTCCCTGCAAATGACAAAGGCACGCCCCCCAACCCCCTTTACAGGAATCTGCAAACCTTGAATTACTTCCTTTCTTCATTTCATTTTCCCCTAATTCACTATAACCGTTCCCTTTGGAGGAAATAATCCAGTTGGATTAGTTGATGTGCAGTTGTGTTGCCAGAGACACACAACACCTGGTGTGGGGTGGCAGCCTATCCTTGCCTCCTCCCTGCTACCCCTCTCAGACTCTGCTCCTCCCTCTCTCTTTTCATTCTGCCCATATCTCTGAATTGGCTTGAATCTCATTGACATAAACAGTCCATGTTTGCAAATTCCTTCTGATCCTGGAGCCTATCATCATTACAGATTCAAACAAAACCCCACACTCTGGTCCCCTGTGATGGCCTTTATGGACATTATTGACACAAAGCTACTAGGACACAGGAGCATTGAGCAGAAAGCACAGCTTAGCCAGAAAGTGCCTGATATTTCACAACAGTAATCCGTTCAGGGTTTTCTCTTATGATACAGATGCCCATAGAGGAGAAACGCCGTGAGTATTTTTTGTCAATAATTTAAGAAGGATTAATATCAATAGCAGTTATATTTGTATGGTACTTCCCAAAGAACTTTAATTCATATTAAGTCTTGTGGTCTTCCTAAAAACCAAGAGATGGCCATGGACCACTATTTTCAGTATAGACAAAGGAGCATGAAATACATGCCTATAACGACTGGCTCCAGGGTACCCAGCTAGTAACTGAACCAGCTGGGACTCAAACCCAAGGCTCTGGAAGTTGAGGCCAAGGGCTCTTTCCAAACATTCCGTTTGACTCTATGGATTGTAATTGCCCAACAGGTTCTGCCTGCCCACTGCACAGACAAAACCAATTCATGGAGACTGTTTTATTGCAGTAAAGCAAGAGTTTAATTAATGTGAGGCTGGCCATATGGGAAAATTGGAGTTATCAGTCAAATGAGTCTCCCTGGAGGGCTCAGAGGTTTGCATTTTTCAGGCATAGTTTGGTGGGCAGGGGGCGAGGGAATGACAAATGTTGATTGGTTGGGGATGAAATCATAGGGGTGTGGAAAATCTCGTGTACTAAGTCAGCCTCTAGGTGGGACCACAAGACTGGTTGAGTCACAAGCTGCCGGTCCCACAAATTGCAGGTCCCGGTGAAGTCAATTGGCTATCAAAAATGCAGAAGTCTGAAAAACGTCTCAAAAGGCCAATTTCAGGTTCTACGATAATGATGTTATCTACTCGAGTAATTGGGGAAGTTACAAATCTTGTGAACTCTGGAACAATGGCTGGTTATCATTTAACTCTTGAGAGGGGCTGGTTATTATTTAGGCCCCTCTCATAATCCTAACCTTGTGGCCTTTCATTAGTTTTACAAAGGTGGTTTAGTTTTGAGAAGGGATATTACCATCCTTGCTTTAAGTTTAAACTATAAACTAAATTCCTCCCCACATTAGCTTAGCCTATGCCTAGCAATGACCAAGGACAGCATGGAGGTTAGAAGCAAGATGGAGTCAATGGTGTTACATTTCTCTTACAGTCATAATTTTGCAAAGGCTGTTTCAAGATCGACACATGAGGCCTTTACTAACTGTGGCAGTTGGCTGGGAGAAAGGGTTTGGGGAAATGGAACAAAAGATAAACAGAGAAAGTCAGGGTATGAGGATTGATTGAATAAATGAAAAATTCACTCATTCATCCATTTAATAAACATTTATTTATTTATTTATTTTTATTTTTATTTTTATTTCTGAGACAGAGTCTCGCTCTGTCACCCAGGCTGGAGTGCAGTAGTGCGATCTTGGCTCACTGCAAACTCCGCCTCCCGGGTTCACGCCATTCTTCTGCCTCAGCCTCCTGAGTAGCTGGGACTACAGGCGCCTCCTACCACGCCCGGCTAATTTTTTGTATTTTTAGTAGAGATGAGGTTTCACCATGTTAGCCAGGATGGTTTCGATCTCCTGACCTTGTGATCCGCCCGCCTCGGCCTCCGAAAGTGCTGGGATTATAGGCATGAGCCACCGCGTCCAGCCTTAATACACATTTATTAAACACCATCACTCACAGTATGATACTCCATGATAGTCTATATCACCAAGGGGATGGATCATGCTTATTTACGGCAGAAAACTGCTTGCATTTTTCTTCTTTTTCCTAGTTCCACAGATGGACTACCTTTCCCAACTTTCCTTGGGCCTGAGTTTAGAGAACAGAAAGTGAACTGAAAACCTTGCTCCTCCCAGCTGTTTCCCCTTGAAGCAGATGAGCATGGAGACCTTGGAATCTTTGAATGATTGTTCTTGTCAATTTGGCACACCGTGAGACAGAAACTTCTATTATATGAAACTATTGAAAGTTTGGAGTTTATCTTTTATGGTGATTAGTGTTACCTTCCTGGGCTTCTTAACGAGATTGTAGGAAGAAACTAAGACTTAATGCCCTGTCTGGGCGCAGTGGCTCATGCCTGTAACCCCAGCACTTTGGGAAGTCAAGGAGGGCAGATCACCTGGGTCAGGAGTTCGAGAACAGCCTGGCAAACATGGTGAAATCCCGTCTCTATAAAAACACAAAAAATTACAGGCGCAGGCATGGTGGTGCGTGCCTGTAATCCCAGCTACTCGGGAGGCTGAGGCAGGAGAATTGCTTGAACCTGAGAGGTGGAGGTTGCAGTGAGCCGAGATTGCACCATTACACTCCAGCCTGGGCGATAGCTGCAGACTTGTCTCAAAAAAAAAAAAAAAAAGACCTAATGCCCTAAGGCATCCAATGTAGGTAATGAATTAACTTCTCTTCTGTGCATCTGAAATGCTATAAGTTATATATTATTTGTATTTTCAGAGAATTGAGAAAAGAGTCACTCACGTGGTTTTCCATGGAGTTTAATTCTCTTGTGGAACCCCCGTTAGAAAAGCTGACTATACTCGCACAATCTCCATTCTCAAAAGGTTTATGATAATCTAGTTGTGGAAATTGGACAGATGTACACACTTCTCTGCAAGGGAATGTGAAGGGGGAATCTCATATCACTTCACTTCACTTCAGCCTTATGACAAGCCTATAAAGGAGAGCTTTGCAAACATTATCATCATCATTTTACAGAAGAAGAGATTTCAAGGTTAAGTGTTCAAGGTTGCTCAGGTAAGAGGTAGTGGAGCCAGAATTTGAACCCATGTCTGATAAGCTCTTGCTCCTTCCAAGATATCACACTGCAAAATAAGCAAGTTTAACCTACTCTACAATTCTCCTTAAGGCTCCCACAAGGACCAGAGGGCCCAAGACGGTTCCCCATCTTCAAGGTCAAAGATAACACTTTCTTCCTGGAAAGGGAAGTCCTCTCTCCAGCACCTCTGGGATCTTGGTCATCCCTGAGGTGCTCTGTCTTTATGAGAATTTTTCTACCCTGGATCTGTTTATGAGAAAGGGATAACAGTATAATTTAAAAATATATAGGAGTGGATGAGTGAAAAATAAGAGTCATCTTGGATTCTAGCTTTAGGAAAGGGGGACCAATTTATGAAAAGTTTGGGAGATGTGATCAGGAGAGCAAAGAATGGTTAGTTTACAAAGAGAATTAGGTTAACTAACAACCAGCTTCCAAAAGCTTAATTAAGTCTCTCAGCCCTCGAGTGAGTCAAGGAAATAATTGATTTCCACATTGCTGGTGGGGAAAGTGAGGAGGGGGAGGTAATTTGCCTGTGGCCAACAAGGGAAACAGCATTTGTCCTGGGATTAAAATCTAAGATTTTCTGGCTCTTGGTCCTTGGTTTTACCTTTGAATCTGGAATGCTCAAGGCCCAGAAGTGAGAATCCCAAAGCAGGACTCTCAACCGAGATGCTGTATGCAAATAAGGGACCAGATAATTAATGCTTCGCTCTTTAGTAATTTTCTGTCCTTCAAAAAGGTAATGCAAACAATGCGCCCCTGGTGAGTCAAGGCCGTGTGGGTTTATTTTAATAAGCACCGGCACTTTTCCTTATGAGGCGTGGCCATCACCCAGTGCAGTTACCTGTGATACTAGAAAATATTTGGAAATCTCAAAATATAAACAAATGTCTGGAAAAGATCAGAGAGAGAAAAAAATGAAAGAGAGAAAAGAAGAAAAGAAAAAGTAGTAACAGGAGGGGAGGAAAGCATTCTAGAAAAAGAGTAACTACTAATTATTGAATGCTTGCTCTGTGCAAGGAGCTTTTCAAATGTTTCCTCATAAGAATTCCACGAGGTAGGCATTTGATGACTTTAAATGGATGTAAAAACTGAGGCTTAGAGGGGTGAGGCTTTTCCCAAGCTAGGAAGGGGCAGGACCAGCATTTGAGTCCAAGTCTGTTAAGTCAGCCTTAACCACGGCCTGGTACTGCCTTCTGCCTATAGATCTGACCAGAAGAGAGCGGGAAGGAAGGGGTGTTAAAAATGCATCTGCTTACAGGCCAGGCGTGGTGGCTCACGCCTGTAATCCCAGCACTTTGGGAGGTGGGCAGATGGCTTGAGAAGGCTTGGTAGACCAGCCTGGGCAGCATGGTGAGACCCCGTTTCTACAAAAAATACAAGAATTGGCTGGGGGTGGTGGGGCACACCTGCAGTCCCAGCTACTCGGGAGGCTGAGGCAGGAGGACTGCTTGATCCAGGAAGGTCGAGGCTGCAGTGAGCTGAAATCTCACCACTGTACTCCAGCCTGGGCGACAGAGCTAGGCCCTGTCTCAAAAAAAAAAAAGAAAAAAATTATTCATCTGCTTATTCATCTGCTTACTTGTCTGTTTTCCTCTGCTGTGTTGTAATCTCCTTGAGTATCAGAATCAAGATTTAATCCTTTGTCTCCCCAGAGCCTAAAGTAGTTCTTGAAAGGCAACAGACAATAAAAGTTTGATGCATGAACAAGCAAATGAACATCTGCAACGAGCCCAAGGCCAAGGGTCAAATATCTTGCCTTCTCTAACCCTGAAGTCATCTGTCATCTCTCTGGCTCTCAAAATCTAGGGAACTGGTTTGTCTTCCTCCATCCTCCACACACCCAATTCTATGGCCCGGGAAGTAAGTCCAAGGTCTTGTCTGGAACCTCTGGAAATTCCTGGGTTTAGGAACAGCCTTGTGCTCTCATTACCCCCCTTAGCCTCCTGACCCTGGTGTCTGTCCCGCTGTTCCCACTACGCCCATGAATCAAATCCTGACTCTGTCACTTGCCAGTTATGTGACCTTAGGTAAGTCAATTTTGGATTCTGGGATTCAGTTTCATCCTCTGTAAAATAAGTGCCTTGACTTAGATAAGGATGGCAAACCCAAATGCCTACAAGGATCAGGCAAATATTGAAAATGAGCGATGCAGATCGCCTAAGACGATAGGGAGTGGGGAAAACGGAAAAGCAGGCGGGAAAGGGCGCCCCCTGGCAGAGAGAGAAGCTACTACCCATCTTTACCTGTTATTACGTAGGAATGAGCGCTCAGTGTGGTCACATTTCCAGTTTTTTTTTTTTTTGGTAAGATGCGGGAAGTCTGGATTTTTATGTGAAATCTTTCAATTCTTAAATGTTGACACAAAATTTTTCAGAAACGCAGCGTGAGCCAAACTCAACACATCTGTGTGCCGAATTCAGCCCATGGCCTCCAGGATACAGCCTTTAGACCAGATGATGCCTAACATCTTTTCCACCTTTGAAAGGATTTGGCCTGGTGGCAGATCATCCCTTCAATCTGGATGTTTTTGGCTCTCTGGACTATTTTTGCTACAGTTTAAGCAGGGTGGACCAGGGCTTAAGAGTAACTGTGTTTATAAACACCCTGAAGAATTCCATATGGTATGCCGAATGTGAAGTTGGCTTAATTTGAAAAGATTAAATGTACTCAGGCAATTGCAGAGTTGTCTGTTTTGCAAATCAATGCAATTTGTCGGTACAGGCCGGGAAGGAATGAGCTTTGGGAAGCGCAGCTGGTGTGACCAACAAGCCCAGTGGTAGTATCATAACAGGAAAGCCAGTGTGGCAGCAGCTCCCTTCTCCAACACTCACATCTCCTCTTTGCATGCACTACACACACACACACACACACACACACACACACACACCCTTGCCTCTTCCCTGATGGCTGATTCAGTTTACTGTTTTTAAATTTGAACCATATCCAAATAAAAAAGGGTTCCTTTACACATATCCACGGACAATGTGGAGAATGCTTAGCAATCGGGGACCAGGTGTCTCACCTGATCGCAGCAACTTTGGGTCATGGAGAAGCCCTCAGTGAGGTACCCGAAAGCTGGATACACAGACCTTCCTATAGTATTAACTAATTGTGGGAGCTTGGACAATTATTTCCCCTCTTCAAGCCTTGGGTTCTTATCTGTGAAATAATGGGAATGAACTTGGATGTCTTAGGTCCCCTCTAGCACTGACAATCTTCATGATCTTTCATTCCCCACGAGGCAGGCAAGGGGAACCACTCTTGTTCTCTCCCTTAACATTGTTTTTGCTACAGACCATGGATAGCAACTCACTGGTCTAGTGTCTAGGCATGTCGATGACCATGGATTTCTATGGACACCACCTTGAGCAGCTGGAAGAGATTCTGGTCTAACCTGTCATGTGAACGTAAGGTGGACCTTGAGGCATCTATAGATCCCATGTAATCCTGGCACAGAGGGTCCCTTGCCTTTCTCCCCTCTGCCATTTCTGGTACAGTTCAACAGTGCACAAGGGGGTCACATAATCAGGTTCCTTGATCAACACGTCTCAACCTGTAAGGAAACCACAAAGCACAAAGGAGAAAAAGAAGAGGAAAATTGTATGGAAATCAGAATTTGGACACGAATAACAGAAAAGCAACTCAAACCAGCTTAATCTTAAATAAGGGGATACTTTAATGTCACGAGAAGCCCAGAGTTATTCCAGCAGCTCTAGAAATGGTCAACAGCTTATTGATGTCTTCAAAGACCCGTATCCCTTCTGTTTCTCTACTTCGTTATAGGCCAATTCTCCTCCTTGTAATGAAATTGCTGCCACTGTTCCAGGCATCATGTCTTTGCACACTTTTCTTTCATGTGTACCTTTTTTTCCAGTGTGCTAATTTTCCAGTAAGCCCCTCAAAAGACCTCCTTAATGGCCAGAAATGAGTCACACGCTCATGCCTAAAACAATCATTAGCAAAAGAATGTAATTACTTTGGTTGGTTTAGAGCCAAACAATGCAGATTCATGCTAGAGAAGGGAAAGGCTCTGCCTCCCCCATGAGGTGCAGGAAACCTTGTATCTGAGCAAAATTAGGATTCTGAGTTCCAGGAAGAAAGGCAGGAAACACAGCTGTCAGGAAGACCACTAACTGTGGCTCTCCACCATCCCTCCACTCCCACTGTAAGATTGGTGAGGAAGGAAGGAAGGAGAGAAAGGGTAGAGGAAAAAGGGGGGAAGGAGAAAAGCAGAGAGGAAGAGAAGGTGGAATTGCAGCTTTGGAATCAAACAGACTTTGGTTTCAATCCTAGCTTGGTTGTTTTCTAGCTGCCTGTTCTTGGCTTATCCCTGAGCTTGTCTAAGCTTGGGTTTCCTCACTTACAAAATGGAGAGAACATGGGCTTTTCGTGAGGTTACATGAGAAGATGAATGTAAGGAGCCAAGCACAGTGTTTGTCACAAAATAATGTTCAGTGAATATTAGCAAGAAGAGAAACAGAAGTGGGACAGGAAGAAGACTTTATGCAGAGCTTTACAGTTTATAAGATGCTGTCACAAACATCGCCTCTTCGATTTGACAACATACCAGGAAGGCAGGCAAATGAGGCATCTTTATCATTTTTTTAAGGGGTGTTGAAACTACAACATCCCATATGTGTCTAGCCCAAGGTTGTAAAATCCGGATGCAGGTCTTCAAAGTCCAGAGCTCCAGAAACACACAGAAAGAGTAGTTAAAAACAGAAAAGCATATTGAAAAAAAGAAATGCATATTATCGTATTTAGAAAACACATTCTTATTGTAGCAGACAGAGGGATCCCTACAATGAGAACTCTGCTTTTTAGAGATCCCCCCACTTCCAAATGGGGTGGTCTCCATCTTCCTAAATGTCTAATCAGGACAATTAGACTCAATTCAACAAGTATATTGAGCACGGACTGTGTATAAGGCAGGGTGGTTGGTCCCTAGAGGATAGAGAGTTGGGTACAATACTCTGTTCTCAAAGAGCTTACAATTGAGAAAAAAATGCAGAGTAATTTTACTGATAAATATTTTTCAAAATGCAATGTAGTCGAGTTAGTTCTCTTTTTCTTTCATTGCCAAGGGTGAATTAATTTGGCATCTGTGGGGAGGCTGCTGCAATGAGGCTGGCTTAGATGTTCTCTAAGTTTCCTTCCAAAGAGAATATTCTTGAGGACAGGAAATCTGCTTTGCCAGAAAGGGCTTCTCTGAACCCTGCCAAACTCTGGCATCCTGGAAGATGTCGTAATCCTCCTGACTGAGCTAGCCTCTGCTACTCCTCATCTTTACCAGCCTAGGCCAGGATTAAGTCAGAGAGCCCCAGACCAGCAGGACTCTCAGTTGGAGTGAGTGAGTGAGTGAGTGAGTGAGTGAGTGAGTGAGTGAGTGCTGCTCCACTCAGGTCTGAGGTCAGCCGGGGTTGCCTCTGGTCTGGAGGTCTCCTAGACAAGTGGGCCAGAGATCTCAGTGAGTCAGCCTCACTCTCCAGACCCTCTGGGGCATCCTAATGGGAAAAGGATTTCTAGTTATTTCTCAAAGGGGTCCTTAAACCTCTCAGAGCAATCTCCTCCCTTTTGAAAAAAAGAGATGTGTATTATTTAGAAAACACGTTATTGCGGCAGAGGGAGAGATCCTTGCAGCGGAACTGATCTCTTGTATCATGTACTGGTTTGGGGATAATGTGAGTTAACATTCTGAGACCGAAGTAGATTTGTTTTGCAAGGTGGGCTGGTGATACATTCGCCTCTGAAAGACGTGAAAATTCAACCCTATTGGAATTGGTCTCATGTGATTGACAGACCTGTCTTGTGAATGAACTTGGCTGTGGGAAAAAGAGAATGGGTTTATGTGTATGAGACACAGTCCTCACTGAGGGCCTGGGTTGGCGTTGGGCTTTCTATAATGTCAGTTTCGGGGCAAATGTGAGATGAAGACTCTCAGAGGTGAGTGCTCTAAGAAGAGCCAGGGGGTGGTGATGAGTGTTGGGATGTGTGTGCATCTGTGAGTGTGAGTGTGTGCATGGGGAAAGTAGGGTGTCAGGGAGAGCAAGTCATCTAGAGCTGCAAGTGCTGGATCAGAGGGATTAGGCAGGGAATTCAGGCAGCGATGGGCAAGGAGTATGAAACACCCGGCCTCATGTAAGAGTGGACAGGAGGAGCACAGAGTCTTGGCAGCCAAGAGCTCTGACATGGACCAAGGGACCAGATGTGGGCCTGGGCTAGAGGAATGAGGGTCGGGTGCCCTGGAGCAGGCCAAGGCCATCAGAGGGGCTAAGGCCCATGGCTACTTTTATATGGCAAACCTCTCCCCTTTTCAAGGCAGCTCCATATTTTTTCTAAAGAGGCCACGTTAGAGAGTTGTCCCCCAATAAATGAAGCTGTGTTGATGGCCCAGGCCTCCTAGGCTTGCCTGAAAACATCTGCAGCTGTGTCAGTCCAGAGCTGCCCCTCCCTTACACCCAGGCTTGTGGGATAGTGAGTCTTAACTATTCATTCTGGGGAACAGGTCAGCGGGTGGGTCTTGCGGACCTGAATCCCACATCGGACCCAACAGTCTCACAAAGCAGTTTTCACAGTCTCTGCCCAGCACTCTCTGCTTCCCTCCTCTTCTGCATTATCTTCCCCAGATTGGGGTCTGTGGATTGATAGTCCCTCCAAAGGAGTTCCTGTGTGGGCAGCGGGTGCATTATAAAGAGCAGCACAGGAGAGGTGCCAGGGCTGCCCGCCTGCATTCTTGCTGTTAATACTTGGGCTCTGGGATGACATGGTTCCCCATTCCCCACTGTAAGTGGTCAGACAAGGTACCTAGTTTTTCGTGTACACAAGGGAAGAACTGCAAGTGTTTAAATCCTTCAGAATATAAGCTCCCTGAGGACAGAGATTTTCATCTGTTTATATATCTCATGAATCCCCAGAGCCTGGGGTAGACAATAGCATATTTTAGGCACACAGCAAACATTTGTTGAATGTTTAAAATACAATCACCCATGCAAAGTGCTTAGTACAATATCTGCATAAACATAGTTAATGCTAGTTCATGCTATTATGAGTGGTTTAGAAGCTTCCTCAAAAAGTGTTTAAGAGAGCATAAAGAGGCCAGGCAGGGTGGCCCATGCCTGTAATCACAGCACTTTGGGAGGCTGAGGTGGGCAGATCACTTGAGCCCAGGAGTTCAAGACCAGCCTGGGCAGCATGATGAAACCCTGTCTCTACAAAAAATACAAAAAATAGCCAGGCGTGGTGGCGCATGCCTGTAGTGCCAACTACTTGGTGGAGGTGGGACACTGAGGCAGGAGGATCACTTGAGCCTGGGAGGTTGAGGCTGCAGTCAGCCGTGATTATACCACTGTACTCCAGCCTGGGTGACAGAGGAGACTCTGTATCAAAAACAAAAACAAAAAAAAAAAAAAAAAAAAGAGAGAGCATAAAGAATATTTTATTTGTTCAGTCAAAACATATTTGTTCATTGGCTGGTGTGTACCAGGTGCTCTGTTAGGTTCAGGGGAGACAGCAGGGAATAAGAAACACATTTGCTGATGGAGTTTATAGTCTAATGAAGGAGACAGGTGTTGAATAAGCAAATGAGTGTTAATCAATGTGCTGACCTCACATAGTTAGTGGAATAAAATGAGGTTGACTATACTAAAAAATTTGAACTGGGTACCAGACTTTAGTTGGACTACACAGACTTCATTTGGACTACAGTCCCTTCCGTTGGTGTATTAGTTAAGGTAATGCTAGTCACTGTAACAGATACACCTTAACTAGCAGTGATTAATACAAGAGAAGTTTATTTCCTGCTCACATGAAGCCTAAACAGTTGCCTCTGATCAGCCAGCCATTCTCCTCCAGGCAGTGTTTCAGGGACCCAGGTTCCTTCCCTGTCGTGGCTCTGTCCTCTTCCACACTTGACTTCCAAGTCCCCTGTGTTTCTCTGCATCAACTTGGTGGTAGCAGGGGTAGAGGAGAGGGCTTGGCAAAAGGTTTTTATGGACCAGGCCAGGCAGTGGTGAGCATGACATGTGCTTCCATTCTGTAGGTCAGAAGTCAGGCCACAGCCAAACCAGAACACAAGGGAGACTGGGAAATGTAGTCTAGGCCAGGGCTTGAGGATCTCTGCTGCAATATGCCCTTCTGATCATTAAATCCCCTTCGTCCCCTTCTTCCCATTCATAGAACACACTGACCCTTATCCTTAAGAGAGGTAACTCAAATCCCAATTTAGTCACTGTGTCCAGCCCAGTGCCTTGAATCTCTGGGTGATATGTAATATATCCAAGTCCAGATGCAGTATTTCATGTTCATTGACCTGTGATCTAAAAAGACAAGTTATCTGCCACCATCCTACATGTCTCCCATAAGCTATGGTGGAATATAGATGGCACAAGGCAACAAGAACTCCCATTCAGAAAAGGGCAGAATGGGAGTCACATGTTTGTCACAGGTTCATAGCAATTGTACACTCCTGCCAAACAGGAATGCTAAAGTTGGCTGGTCAGTTAGGGAATTTTGTTGATTAGACAGAAATTGAACTTCCTTGTCTATTGCTCTCTGTGGTCTGTTATTTTTCTTGGCCCCTTGTACTGTGGGAGTTGTAAAGCTTTTGCAATTTGGGGGTTTTGAGATTGGTTTAAAGTAGGATTTTCCAACCTCACTCCTATGGACATTTTTACCTAGATAATTTTTTGTTGTGGGGAGTCTGTCCTATGTATTGTAGGATGTTTAGCAACATTCAGGGCCTCTACTTAATTTTTAAAAAATTTATAAAGAAAAGAAGTTTAATTGACTCATGGTTCTACATGGCTGAGGAGGCCTCAGGAAACTTACAATCATGGCAGAAGGTGAAGTGGAAGCAAGGCACATCTTACATGGTAGCAGGAGAGAGAGAGAGATGAAGGGAGGAAGTACCACACTTTAAAACCATCAGCCCTTGTGAGAACTCACTCACTATTAGGAGAATAGCAAGGGAAAAATCCACTCTGTGATCCCATCATCTCTCACCAAGGGCCTCTACTTACAAGATGCCATGGGTAGAGGCATTTCTGTTGCAGTTATGACATCAAAAAATGTCACCAACCATTGCCAAATGTCCCTTGGAGGGCAAAAGCACTTCCAGTTGAGAACTACTGGGTTAAAGCTTAAACAAATCTTGGCTCATGGTTTCTTTGGCAATACCATTCCCTCAAAATCTTATTAGGCTTCTGATCTATATGCTTCCAGTCAGTTCCATGACCAGTAACCATGGTCAAAATTGTTTTCTAAACAAGAATGTTCTCGTCTAATTTATTTCTTTGCCTCCAAATGTTTTGCTACCACATAACATGATCTTCATCTTTATAGCTTCAAAAATCATTTTTTTAAATCACTTGTCACTCACCACTAATTGAGCAGTGGGTACAAGGAAGCTGATTCTGGAGACTGGAAAGACTCGCGTAGTGACCAAACACCTGCGATGGCTTAAAAGGAAGACCACTAAACAAGGCCACAAATTTTAGATTTATGTTACAACAGCATACCACTTTAAGTATAAACTTCTACATTAGTTAAAGGACTGTTACAGAACTGGTCCGCTACAGAGTATAGATTTTCCTATTGGTAAGGTATAAAATTAGGCCAAAGGTCTTTTTTCCTGGCCCCCTTTTCTTCTTGTTTCTCAATGAGTAGCTGCAATAGCTTGTTCAGTGCTGGATTAGCTACCTCTTGGCTTGGAAGAGAAGCGGGAGCTGAGTTTTGGAGCTATGTGGAGGTCAGAGAAGAATGGATGTCTGGAGAGGGAAAAAGCTCACAGTGGCAGAGGAGGTGAAACTGGAGGTAGCCTGGGGGAGCTCCTGGAATGGCCTGCTGATTTCTGGGGTTTGGTGTGGGTGAGATTGCACAGACCAAGTTCGTTCAAAAGGGCCAGAGTGGTATGAACACCATGAAAACCCCGAGACGGTTCATGAATCTGAATACTTGAGTAAGCCACATAAGCTTTGGTTTCTCAGCTTCCAACATCCCATTTAAAATTTGTGTATGTATTTTAGGTTCAGTGAAGAGGAAACAAAAATAATTAATATTTCATCCTTGCTAAACAAATAATAAAAAATGAAACAAGGTAAAATATCTAAAATGAAACAAGGTAAACTATTCATCAGGGAAATGCTAAATATACAATGATATACTAGAGAAATGCTAAATATACTAGTGATATACTAGAGTTTCTTATACTAGAGAAAAGTATGCCATAGTTTAACTCATGTGTACAGTGTAAAAACATTTACTCAAAAAGAAAATCCCCACAACAATGCCATATGCTGAGTCTGAGGATGTAGTTATATAATGCATATAATATATAAATGCAGAGAAAGAAGTTTATGGACTGATAACTATGGCTGAGCTGGGAGAAGAAGGAGGGGGTGGTGACATGGATTAGAGTGATTGCTAAAGGGATTTCTTTATTTATTCCTTCCTTTCTTCCTTCCTTCTTTCCTTCCTTCCTTCCTTCTTTCTTTTCTTTTCTTTTCTTTCTTTTTCTTTCTTGATGGAGTTTCCCTCTTGTTGCCCAGGCTGGAGTGCAATGGGGCAATCTTGGCTCACTGCAACCTCTGCCTCCCGGGTTCAAGCCATTCTCCTCTCTCAGGCCCCCGAGTAGCTAGGATTACAGGCATGCACCACCATGTCCAGCTAATTTTGTATTTTTAGTAGAGATGGGGTTTCACCATGTTGGTCAGTCTAGTCTAGAACTCCTGACCTCAGGTGACCCGCCTGCCTTGGCCTCCCAAAGTGCTGGGATTACAGGCGTGAGCCACCGCTCCTGGCTCACTGAAGGGATTTCAATGCAACAGTCTTTCCAGAAGAGGATGTAAACCAAATTTGATAAAAATTAAAAGAATGAGATAGGTCTGTTTGCATGGATAGATGCTGGTATAAGTTTTGCATAAAAAACACAACTGAAATCATCTGTATTCTCCCTATCAGATACAATAATCATTATCAACATTTTAGTGAAGTTTCCTTCATTCTTTTTTTCTCTGTCTATAAAATGTGTACTTTAATAAAATCGAGTGATATTTTGTGTTCAGTTTTGTACTGTTTCCTTTACTTAATAAGATATTATAAGCATTTTCTTTGCCATTAAATATTCTTCAAACAATGTAATTTGCAATGGATACATAATAGCCTATATATATATACATTTACAGTAGATAGTCACAATTGTGATACAGTGTATCAAGTTGTGCCTAAGGGTTTAACTTCTATTGTCTCCTTTCATCCTTCCAACACACCCATGAGATAATGTTGTAATTCCCATTTTATAGATGAGGAAGGAGAGGCTCAGCGAGCTATGTTTGTAAGTGGCCCAAGATCCCAAAGTTAGCACGTGGCTAAGCCAGGTCTCAAACACACATCTATTGTTTTAGCTACTCTTAAGTTAAACACAGTAGAATCACCCCTGAAACAATTATTTACCCAATCCACTATTGCTGGACATAAGACTGCTTGAAAATTTTTGCCATCTTAAATACCACTGTGATGATTATCCTTGCACACACAGTTTTGGCCACATCCCAGAATTCCCTGCTTACGTTAAATTCTTAAAAGTGGAACTGGGTCAAAATGAGAGAACGTCTTTTATCTTCTTGCAACATATTGCCAGAGAGAACCAGACCCTTTTGCAGGCCTGCTTTGGAGCTTTAGGCAAACTCTTCCAAATGGGAATGGTAACTGCAGGAACTATGGACTGCAGCAATCATGGCCCTCCTGGGCTGAGGACTGAACTGGGGCTCATTGACATTGACCTCTAAATGATGGCACTCAAGTCACACCTGGCTCGCAGAGAGTTTTATTGAATTTCCTTGCAATGCTATTATGCTCCGTAAACACAGAGTCAGGCAGACGCAGTGACCACGGGCCCCTATTACATCAGGTAAGTGCACATCCTGCTACATGCCTCCTCTCATTTCTATTATTTCAAATGTCAAATGCACTTTGCCTCAAGCCTTCTCGGCCTTTAATTTTTAAATCTACATGCACTTAACTTATTTATTGGATTTCTATGGGACTTGAGGGGAAATTTAATTCATATACTTCTGCTTCATCTTCACTTAACTCACTTGTTGGCTCAAATAGTGTTGTTGGCTCTTTTAAATGAGAATTTTTTGTGCAGCCTTTTTTTTCCAGAGGCAGGAAGCTGAGGAGGGAGGATTCTCATTGAAAAAAAGTAGAAATTTAGGAAGGTGATGGACTTGGGGAAGGGCAGGCTCCCAGGCATTCATTAAAACATTCTTACTAGTCAAGAGGTTGCAGAAAGGTACACAGAGTTGGGAAAGCAATCTCTTTAACTTGGCTTAATTAACTTAATTTAAGGCTCATCTTTACCACAGGGATGTGCCAGGAAGCTCAGGGGCACCTCAAATTTTTAAAATTTCCTATTTAAATTAATTGATGCCATCGGTAACTCCCTAATCTGCCCTTCTTACTAAGATGAGATAATTTAGTAAGTTGAGATAATTCCATTCCAAAGCAGACCAAACTTGATATTTTCTTATGTCATTTCAACCTGATGGTGGGTACATGTATCATTTTCATTAGGCTTCTTTTTTTTTTAATTTCCTTTTTTCTTATTATGAATATTTTCAAACATTCAGAAAAGTTGAAAGAATCATACTGTGTACACTCAAATGCATAACGTCATAATCCTACAATGGTTATCATTTTGCCCTATTTGCTTGATATTTTATCAATCCATCTCTCAATCCATCTTATTTTTAAATGCATTTCAAACTAAGTTGCAGACATCAATAAACTTCATTGTTAAACACTTCAGCATACATGTCATTAACTACATTTTTTCTTTTTCTGATACAATTTATATAAGTAAAATATACATCTCAACTGTACCACTCAATGGGTTTTGACTAATTTGGGTACCCGAGTAACTCAAATTCCATCAAAATACAAAACATCTTCATCACCACAGAAACTTCCTTAGTGCCCTTTTGCAATTCATTTCTTACCATCCTTTGCCCCAGGCAATAATGGAGCTAATTTCTGTGACTACATATTAGTTTTGCCTGTTCTAAAACTTCATGTAAATGGATTCATATGGTATGAAATACTTCATGTACCTCTCTTCTTGCTCAGCACAATGCCATTGCATCTATCAGTACTTTTTCTTTTTCTTGCTGCAGAGTAACCTTGATACTTGATGGCATCTTTGAACATTAGATTAACTAACCCTAAACCCCATCCCAACTCCAAACTTTCTCTAACAGGAGCTTATGGTTTCTTATGGCTAATTCAGGTTGTGATGGGCTTTCTGTTACTTGTAGCAATGAGCCTTCTAGTTAAAACAAGACCCATTTGAGATTGGTCTTTCCCGCCTTATGTTATAAACTGGAATTTCTCAGAAACATGTGAAAATAGAAATGAAAGCACCGTTCTGGAAATAATAACCCAGTTAATGTCTGGCTAGAATGCTATTAAATATGCTATGGGATTATTCTCCTTAATAAAGCAAAATTTAGCGCAGAGACTTGCCAGAAAAATGCATGTGGTATTTTAGAAAGAGTCTTTTCCTATTTGAGTTACCTCCCTGCCTCACAGAACCACACTGGCCTGCACTACATTGAATGTACTATAATTCCATTTGTCTTAGCATTACTTCAAATACTTGGGTTGCAGGTCAAGACTAAGATTCCACTGTTCTGCTCAGAAGACCTCTGCACATCCTTTGGGTCCTGAGCAGGATGGTCCAAGCCCAGCTGTAGGGTGATGGAGGTGGAGTCGGTCATACAAAGGTGGCGCTCTGCCCCTGAACCACGATCCAGTCACCCTGCCCTACCCGGGGTTAAAACTGGGAATTGGTCTACAGGAAGAGCCTGCCTTCTGAAAGGGACAGGAAAGGAGCCTTCAGGTGCTTTCAGTTATGAAGGCTCCTTAGACAGCCCTTGGCTGGAGTCCACTGAGAACCATGTGTAGCCATTCCTAGGGCCTTTTACCTGGAAACAGTAGTTTTAGGTATCCTAACACCACATGTTATATGACCTGATTGAACAAAAAGATGCTTGGTACATATGAGTGTTAAGAATCAGTACTAAAAAGTTTGGGAAAGAAAAATATAAGAATGAAATTGGAAGATTTGATAGAATCTGAACGTTCATTACTGATATCAGAGTAATTTCACTAGGGTAGGAAATAGAATCATTCAGTCCTTTATTTTATTCATTTAGTTGGTATTCAACATGGAGGAGGAAATGAATGCAGTATATAATTTATTCAGAAATGGGTGTTGGAGTCACACCTGGATTTCTACCTGAGCCACTCACTGAACTCCAATTTTTTTTTTCCTTCCTTGCTTCCTTCCTTCCTTCTTTCCTTCCTTCCTTCCTTCTTTCCTTCCTTCCTTACGTCCTTCCTTCCTCTCTCTCTCTCTCTGTCTCTCTTTCTCTCTTTCTTTCTTCCTTTTTGAGAGGGAGTCTTGCACTGTCACCCAGGCTGGAGTACAGTGGGTGATCTCGACTCACTACAACCTCTGTATCCTGGGTTCAAGCAATTCTCCTGCCTCAGCCTCCTGAGTAGCTGGGATTACAGGCCTGTGCCACCATGCCCGGCTAATTTTTGTATTTTTAGTAGGAACAAGGTTTCGCCATGTTAGTCAGGATGGTCTCGAACTCCTGACCTCAAGTGATCTGCCTGCCTTGGTCTCCCAAAGTGTTGGGATTATAGACGTGAGCCACTACACCCGGCCCAATTATTTTTCATCTGCAAATTGAAGATGAGATACTTAAATCATACAGCATTTCATTCCTTGATGCAACAAGTATTTATTGAGCACCTACTATGTGCCAGACATTGCTCTAGAATATAGGGGCAATGGCAACTAAACAAAGTTGCTGCTCTCACAGAGCTCTCTGCAAGACCATATTTTCAAAGATGGCTGCACCAGTGTATTCCATCCCACACTCTCTCCTTACAGGGTGACATTGACACACCTCCACAGAGAGGTGTGGTCTGTGTTCCCTCCCCTTGGATCAGAGCAGGCCTGTGG
This sequence comes from Homo sapiens, assembly GCF_000001405.40. NCBI lineage: Eukaryota > Metazoa > Chordata > Mammalia > Primates > Hominidae > Homo > Homo sapiens. Next base: position 24,700,375 of record NC_000004.12, read on the forward strand.
CTATCAGGGAAGTGATACTGCATAACTATTCAAGCTCATCATAAAAGGTGAGGCAGAATTCTCCTGGCCTTCTCTCTTGGTACACATGCCTTGAAATCCCTACGTTGTTATATAAGAAATTTAGCTACCCTGTAGCTGCTAAGATGGAAAGGTCATAAGGAGAGACCACACAGAGACAGAGAAAGATACCCATAGCATCCCAGCTGTTCCAGGCCCCAGCCTTTGATCTTTGGTGAAGGCCCTGAGAGATAATGCATCCCTACTGTGTCCCATCTGAACTTCATGCTATACAATGTATGAGCATAATAAGCAGTGGTTTTATGCCACAAGTTTTGGGGTAATTTGTTATGGCACCCTTATAACTGAAAAAAGCTGTATGCTAGTTGGGCAGAAAGATGCTAAGCCAGTAAACAACAAGATATTGTCAAACATGACCACAAAGAACTAAAAATAGGGTGATGCGACTGAGGAGAGGGAAGGAGAGGCAACTCCTGCTAGAAGATTTTCCCCATAGAAATCCTGGCAGAAGAGAAAACATTTGAGCTGCATCGACTTGAAAATATAAAAAGAAGGGCCAGATTGAATGTTCTGGGGACAGAGGTAACAGTGAATGCAATGGCCCAGGGAAGCCTGCAGCTGTGCCCATTAGAGGAATTAGAAAATAGCTGGTGCCCCTGGATTACAGAGAGGGAAGAATAACATCCCAAGCTGAGGTCAGAGCAGACAGGTTCGCCTCATATGGGGAGTTGTAGGCCAGATCAAGGCTTTGGATTTTTATTTAAGTGTGATGGGAAGCCACTGAAAGATTCTTAGCAGTGAAGAGATATGGTTCCATTTACAAGATCTCTTTGGCTATTGCGTGGTGAAGGGATTGAAGGGTAAGAACTGAAGTAGAGAGGGTAATTCAGAGATGATGGCCCGAGTCCAAGTGAGAACGGAAGGCGGCTTGGACTGGCATTGGAATCGGTGGATGTACTATAATGACAAAAACAACAGTAACTACCATTGCCTAAGTGGTTTCTATGTTCAGGCATTGTTTAAAGTGCATTACATAGATTATATGATTTTATCCTCACAATGACCCTATGATGTATGTTCCATTATTGTACCAGATGAGAGTTCAAGTACCTTGCCCAGTACCACATATTTAGTAAGTGGTACAGAAAGACTCCTAATCCAGGCAGGGCCCCCACAGTGTGCTTCTTCACTGGATGGAATCCAGTGGGATAATTCAGGGTATTCTGGAGAGGCCAGTTCTTGCTAAGTAATTGGATTTGGAGAAGGGCAAAGAAAGACATCGAGAATGATACCTTGATATTGAATCTTCCCAACAGGAAGAAATGGTAAACGTTTGAGATGATGGACATGCTAATTATCCTGATCTGATCACATTATATGTATGGAAACATCACTATGTATTCCATAAATATGTGCAATCATCATTTGTCAATTTGAAGAAAGAACGATACCTCGAAGTCTGACATGGACGATTAGGAGGGAGGTGGTGCCATCTATTGAGATGGGGATGTCTACGGGAGAGACAGGGTCAGGGAGAGGCAAGAATTATAAGAATGAACACATCATAATGAACAATGAATGTAAGAATGAACAATAACAGGGATGCACTGATGTTTATTAATATTTACTCTGTGCCTACCATGACCAAGCATGCTGCATATACCAACTCATTTAATTTTGTGATGGCCCTAAGAAGTAAGGTACTGTTATTTCCTCATTGTACTGAAGATGGAACTAAGAAGCAGAGAGGCTAAAAAAATCATCAGAGGTGACAGAGCTAGTAAATTGGGACTTGGAATTCAGGCTGACTGGCTCCATGCTCGCTGTACACACTGCTTCTTATGAAACGAGCAGGTGTCAATGAAGAACAGCGCCCAGTGCATAGTAGGTGATTAATTAATGGTAGCTGTTATTATTAATATTGTTACTATCCAAATGTGGTTGACCTTCTCTGGTGTATGTGATATTGTGTTACTAAGAAATAGAACACAATGAATTCTCTCAGGGAAAATGCCATGTCTCTGGCAAGTCCAGACCCACACTCATGGAAGTTCAAATGATTCAAGACAAACACACAGCAATACAAAGAAGCCATAGAAGAGATGCCACAAGGCAGTGTGTGATGAAGTGCAGAAGAAACATATATATCTAGCTATACAGATCATTTCAAACATCCAGAGGAATAGTAAAACCTTGTGCCAGGATTACTAACACATGTGCTTGCAACAGCACGATTCCTTCTCTATAATTCATTGCTCCCTGTCAGGACCCAAACCAAATGTCAAAGATTGGAATAGTGACATTTACACTGTTTTAATTACCCAGCAAGATTGGTGTTTGTGGACTTGTTAAGTAGTTCCCAAACAAAGCAATGAAATTTAACGGTTTTGCTGTGCAACAAAACTTACCTCCTTCTTTCTTTCTTTTGGTGGAATGATGGGGGAGGGCAGTGGGGCCAATTTTTTCCTGGTGTAATTGAGACAAATTCCTTGAAGTTTTGGTACAATGAAAATTTAAAACATGAGCTGTTTCTACCTTTTTAGCTTTATGTAACATTTTTTTTTTTTCACCACAGATCCCAAATGCCAAAGATTCAAAGCAACAAGTCAAGCCATATTTTTGGAAAGTTTTTCATGTTTTCTTAAGATTTTTAAAAAACAAAACCCAGAAAATTTAGAAATAGAGAACATTGAAGAAACACACAGATAATCTCACATAATTCCACCACACAACTACTGATTATCTTGATGTGTTTCTTTATAGATTTTTACCCCTATACTTACTTACATAGTTGTAATTATAGTGTATTCACAATTTTGTATCCTGCTTTTATATGTAAATGTTTATCAGTCACACCTTTCTATATCTTCCACATTTTGCTGGGAGAGTCCATTAAGTGAACATACCTTAATTTCTAAACTGTGTAACTAAATCACTTTTAGAACAAGGAAATGAATAAATAAAGTAAAATATGTAAATTAAATAATGTTACTCTTTCCCCTAACATTGAACCCTTGGCAAGGCCTCCTATCTGGGAGTTGAGAGTTCTGTCTCTGGAGTCTGACTTGACTTAAATCTCAGTTCTGCTACTTGCTAGCTGTGTGACTTTGGACAAGTTACTTAACCTCTCTGAGCTTTAGTTTCTTCACCTACACCATATGGATAATGGCGGTGCTTACTCAATGGAATGGGATAATGTGCACTGAATACTGCAGAGCTGTCACATTATGAACGCTTAATGAAAGTCAGCCATCATTGCTATTATAATCATCATTATTATTGTTTAAACTTCCATGTACTTCCAAGCATGATTTTGGTGGAATGAGCACTGAATTAGAAATCCAAAAGGTTGAGCTTGGCCAGGCTTGGTGCCTCACACCTGTAATCCCAGCACTTTGGGAGGCCAAGGCCGGTGGATCACTTGAGCTCAGGAGTTTGAGACCAGCCCTGGGCAACACGGTGGAACCATACCCCTACAAATAATATGAAAAAATTAGCCAGGTGTGGTGGTTTCTGCCTGTAGTTCCAGCTACTTGGGAGGCTGAGGTGGGAGAATTGCTTTAGCCTGGGAGGTCAAGGCTGCAGTGAGCTGAGATCACATCACTGTACTCCAGCCTGGGCAACAGAGCAAGACCTTGTCTCTTCTCTTCCATATATATGTGTATGAACAGTTGATCTCTAGACCTGGTGAGCCACGTACTTGTTGCTAGTGTCCTTACCTATAAAGTGGAGTGTTAAATACCTGTCTTGTCTCTTTTAAAAAGAACTGTGAAAAAGAGAAAGCTGTGTAAATCCAAGACCTCATGAACATAAGAATTGCTCCTCCAGATCTGAGAGGCACAGTCCGGTGCTTTGAGGCTGGTATTCTCCATCATGCAGGAGAGCCAGGGGGCGGGGTAGGGGTGGTTTCTGACACCTCTCTGATGACCAGGCCTCATTACAGAGCCAGCTGTGCTCCTTAGAACAATGCCGGCAGAACACAATACTATGCAAAGGTCAGCAGAGGCGTTCCCAACGCATGCTGGGTATTTTCTTGCCTTTCCTTTCCCTTGCCTGTTCACAGAAGGCTCGGAGCCACATGGTTCTGCTGTGTTAAGGAAATCCATACCTCAGGAGTTTTTTTTTCTTCTTTTTGCTGTATTCATTTATTTTAGATAGTCCATCAACGCCATTTGCACCGCTCAGGTTAGAAGTTGTCAGCATTTCCCACTTAGGCTGCTATTTCCAGGGAATGATTATTTGATTGTAACATTTGTTCCAGGCAGCAACGGGCCAAGGAGAGGTCTTAGCTCAAAAGCACCTTCCACCTACTTAAAAGCAACAGCCACCACAGCGTACTCCTTATGTGACCAATTTAAAATGATGGGAATCAACAACAAAAACCTCAGATATTTTGAGTTCTGGAGGACAGAAAGGGTTGTTTTGACAATGGCGTGAAGTTTATGACTGCGGGTCATCAAGAGTTCATTGTCTGGCATTCTGGCATGGGCATGATTGAAGGAGCTGCCAAAACATCACTGAGCACAAATGTGAACCACGTGCCTCCTCTGGGGAGGACCGGTTTGTAGGTGTTGCCTCCTCCTTGCCTTTTCTCTTCCTCTCCTGTCTCCTCTCTTCACAGCTGGAAGATGGAATAAGTGGAGACAGGAGGTCTCAATCAGCTCTCTCCTTTTTGGGAGTTTGCCCACTGAGGAGAGCAGGGTTGGCAGCAGCAAGAGAGAGAAAGGTAGGAGACACATTATTATAATAGCCTGACCCTCCGCATTGCACATCATTACGCTCATCACCTGAGAAGCCTGTTAGGCATGCGGGGAATGATTGATGTTGCAGAGCTCATTCCTTCAAGTGCTATTTATTGAGCGCCTGCTAGGCTTCTTGTGTTTTTTGTCTTGCTGGGTACGTGAAGTTGAACAAAAACATGGTGTCTCTTCCCAGAGAACTGCAGCTAATGTGAAGACAGTCATAAGTGAATGTGCAATTACACACCAGGCTTAGGACTCCAAAGAGGTGCCAGACGGGGATACGAGGGGCACAATTTGTACCGTCAGGATAGAGAAGCCCTCTCAGAGGAAGTGGCATTTACCTGGAGAAAGGAAAGTGGAGTTGGAGGCATGGGAGTGCCTGAAGTATGTGCTTGGGGCATGTACCAGGTGTCTTGAATTTTGTCTGAGTCAGCGTACAGTTGGATGTGAGAATCAGAGACCTATTCAAACAGGCTTAAACTGAAAAGGAGGTTTGTTAAAAAGGGGAGGGAGGAGATTTGCTAGAATCCGTGGGTAGAAAGCATGGCTAGAGCTCACAGGGAGTGGACTGGGAAATGAGTGGCTTCTCCCCTTCTCCCTCTGGAAGTGATATGACCAACTGCATTTTGAGTAGGAATAGGAGTAACCTGGTGCTGATGGGGAGCCATCTAGGCCTGGGTGGCAGCCTACGGGAAGAGTCAAGGCAACAGGACCCTGTGTGGCAACTCTAAGAACTTAGCGTGGCTGTTGAGCTGGAGTCTAGGATGCCTGTGTAATAAGCAGAGGAAGCAGGTGATAGTGGAGTGAAGCTGCAGGAAGGTTAGCAGGGGCCACATCATAAAATGTCTGTGTGCTCAGCTGAGGTGTTTTCCATTGGCCCTGAAGGTTAAGAGTCTGTGGAGGAAAATGAAATAATCTGGTGAAGATTGCATGTGGAGGACGAAGGGCGGCTGGACGCAGGGAGACCCAGGAAGAGGCCCTTCTCCATCAGGGTTTGAGATGAGCATCTGCTATTTGTTTGGGCCACCTGGCATCTGGATGCACTTTTTGTTTATTTGGGGAGATTTCTCACTTTATGAGTAATGATGTGAGACAAAGACGGCCTCCCCTACTAGAAGCTGAAAAGATAGACATTCACTTTCCCAGCCTCCCTCATAGCTGGGACACAGCCATGTAATCTTAGCTTGGCCAATCAGAAGGTCCCATGTGATGTTTTTATTCCTCTCTCTCTTCTCCTCTTCTTCTCTTTCCTCTTCCTCCTCCTCTTCCTTCTTCTTCTCCTCCTTTTGCCCTTCTTCTTTCTCTTACCCTACCTCTTCCCCTCCACTTCCTCCTCCTCCCCCTTCTCCTTCTTCTTCTCTCTCTTTCTCCCTCTTCCTCTTTCTCTTTCCCTCCTTCCCTTGCACTCCAGCTCCCTCTTCCTCCCTGTGTTTCCCTTTCTCTCTCTCTCTTTCATGCAGTGGAGGCTGCAGACCCTGAAAATGCAGCAGTGCAGACTGTAGTATCCATGCACATGGTGGTGGCTGCTGTTTCTTCTGTTTCTGATCAGGCCTTCACCTTGGAGTTGGTCATCCTTTACCAAATCTTATCCTCAAGCTCATTCTCCAGCACTCCAGTGTCAACTGTGAAATAGTCAATAATCTTATTTATTTATTTATTTCTAAAGATGAGGGCTTGCTATTTTGCCCAGGCTGGTCTCGAGCGCCTAGCCTCACCTCCTTATGTGCCAGGACAACAGGCCTGAGCTACTGCGCCTCCTCAATAATCTTGGTTTTAGACTTTTAATTTAATTCTGTATACATTTATAGGAAGTCATAAAGATAATACAGGGAGGTTCAATGTACCCCTCACCCAGTTTCCCCCAATGGCTACATTTCAAATGACTATAGTAAAAACTAGAAAATTGACATTGGTAAATATGCGTGCATAGTTTTATGTCATATTATTACATGTGTACATCCATGTATTCACCACCACAATTAAGACACCTAACTCTTCTGAGCTCTTCTTACTCCTAAATAGTCATTCTTCCGGTCCCAACCCTCCATTCCCAGCTCATGACAACCACTAATCTGTTTTCCATTTCTACTATTTTATCATTTTGAGGATGTTTTTTCAGTTGCCATCATACAGTATGTGTTCTTTGGAGACTGACTTTACTTTTTACTTTGAGTAATGCTCTTAAGATCCATCCTAAGTGTTGTCTATAACAATACTTTATTCCTTTCATTACTCAGTAGTATTCTATTGTATAGATGTACCACAGTTTCTTTAACCATTCCCCTCTGCTCTGGAGGGACACTTTTGTTGTCTCCAGTTTTTGGCTATTGCAAATAGTGCTGCTATGAACAATCATGTTCAGGCTTTTGTATAGATATAGGTTTTCATAACTCTAGGGTAAATGTCCAAGTGTGCAATTACTGGTCATATGGTAAGTATAGGTTTCATTTTTCCTATTTTTTTGTTTTTAGAAACTGCTGAACTATTTTCTAGAGTGGATGTGGAATTTTACATACCCATCTGCAATGCATTAGAAATCCAGTTTCTCTGCATCTTTCCCTGCATTTGGTATTGTCAGTGTCTTTTATTTTATCTCTTCTAAATAGGTGCAGAGTGATAGCTCATTGTGGTCTTCATTTGCATTTTTCTAACAGCTAGTGAGGTTGAACATCTTCTCATGTGCTTATTTGCCATCCATATATTCTCTTCATGGCTTTTGCCCATTGTCTAATTGAATTGTCTTTCTTTTAATGATGAGTATTGATAGTTCTTTATATATTGTAGAAATGAGATCTCTGTCAGATATGTGGTGTACAAATATTTTCTCCCAGTCAGTAGCTTGTCTTTTACTTCTTAATAAGGTCATTTGTAGGGCAAAATCTCTAAATTTTGATGAAGTTCAATTTATCGATTTTTTATTTTATGGGTTGTTCTTTTGGTATAATAGCTAAGAACTCTCCACAAAGTCCTAGATATCAAACGTTTTTTCCTATAATATTTTCTAAAAGTTGTATAGTTTCACATTTTACACTTAAGTAAATGTATGATTCACTGAGTTAACTTTGTATAAGGTGTGAGGTTTAAGTCAAAGTTCTTTTTTTTTTTTTTTTTTCTTGAGATGGAGTCTCGCTCTGTTGCCAGGCTGAAGTGCAGTGGCACGATCTTGGCTCACTGAAACCTTCGCCTCCCAGGTTCAAGCGATTCTCCTGCCTCAGCCTCCTGAGTAGCTGGGACTACAGGTGTGCACCACCACGCCCAGCTAATTTTTGTATTTTTAGTAGAGACGGGGTTTCACCATGTTGGCTGGGATGGTCTTGATCTCTTGACCTCGTGATCCTCCCACCTTGGCCTCCCAAAGTGCAATTTTTTTTTTAACCTATGAATATCTGATTGCCCTACTACCATTTGTTAAAAAGACTATATGCTGCCTCAATTAAATTGCTTTTGCATCTTTGTCAAAAATCATATTTACATGTGTAGAATTGTTCATAGTATTCCATTATTGTCGTTTTGATGACTGCAGGATCTGTTGTAATATACCAGGCCTCATTTCTGACTTATTAACTTGTGTCTTCTCTTTTTCTTTGGCAGTCTTGCTTGAGATTTGTTAGTGTTATTGATCTTTCCAAACAATCAGCTTTTTGTTTCATTGATTTTCTGTATTGTTTTTCTGTTTTCAATTTCATTGATTTCTGTTCACTATTTCTTTCTTTCTGTTTGCTTTTGGTTTATTTTGTTCTTTCATTGTTCTAGTTTCTTGAAGTGGGAGCTCGGGTTATTGATTTGAGGCTTTTTCTTTGTATAACACTAAGCATCCAGTGTTATAAATTTCCTTCTCAGCACTGCTTCAGCTATGTCCCACAGACTATTTGTTCAACATATGAACAAAATTCATACGTTAAAGTCCTAATTCTCAGTACCTCAGACTACGACTATATTTGGACATATGGTCTTTAAAGAGAAAATAAAGTTACAAGGAACTTATTAATGTGGGCCCCAAACCAATACTGAGGCACTTATAAGAAGAAAATATCAGAAGACACATAAATACAGAGGGAGGACCATGAGAAGCACAGGGAGATGGTGGCTATCTATAAGCCAAAGAGACGGCTGCAAAAGAAATCAACCATGCCAACACCTTGATTTCAGACTTCTAGCTTCCAGAATGGTTAGAAAATAAATTTCTGTTATTTAAGCCATCCAGTTTCTGGCACTTTGTTGTGACAGCCCTAGCAAACTAATATAACCATGCTTTAAGATTTCCTTTTTCCTCGTGATCGGCCTGCCTCGGCCTCCCAAAGTGCTGGGATTACGGGCATGAGCCATCACACCCGGCCTGGCCAACACGGTGAAACCCCATCTCTACTAAAAATACAAAAATTAGCTGGGCATGGTGGCATGCACCTGTAATCTCAGCTACTATGGAGGTTAAGGCAGGAGAATTGCTGGAACCTGGGAGGCAGAGGTTGCAGTGAGCTGAGATTGCACCATTGCACTCCAGCCTGGGAGACAGAGCAAGAACCTATCAAAAAAAAAAAAAAAGATTTCCTTTATATCTTTCTGTTATTGATTTCTAGTTTTATTTCATTGCAGACGGAGAACATAATGGTGTCAATTATTTTAAAAGTGTTGAGGGTTTTTTTTTTTATGGCTCAGGTTATGGTCTACCTTGAGATACTTTCTGTGAAAACTTGAAAATAACACATATTCTGCTATTTTGAGTTGAATATTCTATAAATATTAATTAGACTTGATGGCTCGATGGTGTTATTGAGTTCTGTTACAAACTTGCTGATTTTGTGTTTTATTCTTATTAATTTTTGAGAGAAATGTGTTGAAGTTCTCAATTATAGTTGTGGATGTGTCCATTTCTCTTTTCAGTGCTACCAGTTCAATATATCAGTATCACATACTTTGCAGCTATATTGTTTGGTACATACACATTTAGGATTGCTATGTATTTCTGGTAGACTGACACTTTTATTACTATGTAATGCCCTTCTCTGTCCTTGGAAAATTTATTTGCCCTAAAGTATACTTTATCTGATAGCCACTCCTGCATTCTTTGGATTAATACTCACATGGAACACTTTTTCCATGTTGTACTGCCAATTTATTTATATCAGTATAGTTGAAGTGGGATTCTTGTGTGTATATGTAATGTATCCATATATCTCTGTTACTTTTTTTTTTTTTTTTTTTTTTTGAGGAGTCTCACTCTGTCACCAGGCTGGAGTGCAGTGGTGCGATCTTGGCTCACTGCAACCTCCGACTCCCTGGTTCAAGCAATTCTTCTGCCCCAGCCTCTCAAGTAGCTGGGATTACAGGCATGTGACACCACGCCCAGCTAATTTTTGTATTTTTAATAGATATGAGGCTTCACCATGTTAGACAGGGTGGTCTCGATCTCTTGCTCTCGTGATCCGCCTGCCTCAGCCTCCCACAGTGCTGGGATTACAGGCATGAGCCACTGTGCCTGGACAGTTCTGTTACTTTATTATCCACTCTTTCATTCTCTGTCTTTTAACTGGTATATTTAGAACACTTACATTTAATGTAATTATTGACATTTTAAGGCTTAAGTCTGCCATTTGATTTTTGTTTTCTGTTTGTTTTCTCTGTTTTTTTTTCTTGTTTGTCTATTTTATTTTTCTTGCCTTCTTTTGGATTACTTAAACATTTTAGAATTTTATTTTGATTTATCTATAATATTTTGAGTATATCTTTTGAGTAGCTTTATAAAAGTTGCTCTAGGGACTACATTATATAAACATAACTTATCAAAATGTACTGGTGTTGACGTTTTACCAGTTGCATGAAGTATAAAATCCTTACTTACCTTTATGTCTCTTTACTTTCCTCCATTACTAATAATTCTTAAATATTTCCTCTACATACATTGAGAACCACACTAGTCTGTTACAATTTTTGCATTAAACTTCAAACATAATTTAGACAACTTAAGGAAAGTCTATTGTATTCACACATATTTGTGCTCTTACTATGTTCTTTCTTCTTTCTTATGTTCTAAAGTCCTTCTTTTGTCATTTCCTTTCTGTTTACAGAACTTCCTTTAGCCATCTTTTTAAGGGTAGATCGGCTAGTGACCAATTCTCAGTTTTATTTCATCTGGGAGTGTATTAAGTTCCCCATTATTCCTGAAAGATATTTTCACTGGATGTAGAATTCTGGGTTGACAGTTATTTTCTTTCAACAACACTTGAAAGATGTGGGGCAGGTGCAGTGGCTCATGCCTGTAATCCCAGCAATTTGGGAAGTCAAGGCAAGGAAGGGGATTGCTTGAGCGCATGAGTTTGAGATCAGCCTGAGCTGGTCCTGTCTCTTTAAAGTAAAAAATGATAAATTTTTTAAAAAGGAAAATTTGCCACTTCCTTCTGGCCTGCATGGTTTCTGATGAGAAATCCAATGACATTTGAATTGTTTTTCTACTGTAGGTAATGTCATTTCTCTCTGGCTGCCTTCAAAATTGCTTTTTGTCTTTAGTTTTCAGAACTTTACTATAGCATATCTTACAGTGAGTTTTTAAATTTTGGTTGTGGTTCACTTGCCCTTTTAAATGTAGGTTTATGTCTTTTGCCAAATTTAGGAAATCTTAAGCCATTATTTTTTTGAATATTTTTTCAGCCCCACAATCTTTTTCTTCTCCTCCTGAAACTCTGATGACCAAAATATTAGATCTTTTGTTATAGTCCCACAGAAAAGCAAGGCTTTCCTCATTCGTTATTTAGTGATTTTCTTCTCTATTTATCAGATTGGGTAATTTCTATTGTTCTTTCTTCAAGTTCACTGATTCTTTTCTCAGTCCTCTCCATTCTGTTGTTGAGCCCACAAACTGAGTTTTAAAATTTTAGTCATTGCATTTTTTAGTTATAAAATTTTTATTCGGTTCTGCATGTCTTCTATTTCTGAGACTTTTTTTTTTGCCAAGTCTTAAAAAATTATTTTTTAAAGACTCACAATTGCTCATTGAAACATTTTTGCTTTAAATTCCTTATCTAATAATTCTAACACATGCCACCTTGGTGTTGATGTCTATTGATTGCCTTTTTAAATTTACTCTGCAGTCTTCCTGGTCTTCAGTATGAAGAGTGATTTAATATTGAAGTCTCAATATTTTTATTTTTATATTATACAACTCTGGATCTATTTATAATAAATATTGGAACTTGGCAGGCCTCCTCTGACACTACTCTGCCGAGTGAAGGGGGAGCAGACCTCATTATTACCAGCTGGGGGTGGGAGTCTGGGTTTTTCTTTGAGGGGCTCCATGGTACTGTTGGGTGGAAGGGGTTTTGGGGCTCCTCACTAGGCCCTTGATACCTGGGAGGGGGAGGGGCACATTGTGACTTTCACTGACACTGTGGGAGAGTGACCTTGTTTCTACTGGGTGATGGTGAAAGGATGGGGAAGGGTACCTCATTATGGCTGGTGGGAGTGAATATTCAGCCTCCTGAATGGCCTCCACTAATACTGCAGGAGAGGAGTCATTACTGCCTGATGCTGAGGGAGATACACATCTTGGCTCTGTACTTGGCTTTCTCTGATACTACCCCAGGAGGGAAATTGGGGTACCTCACTACTGTCTGGCAAGAGTGCGAGTCTAGGCTATAGGCTTTTGCTGGAAGGGTATGAGTGGGGCTGCAGGGCTTTTCGTGTGTGTGTGTGTGTGTGTGTGTGTGTGTGGTGTTTAACTAGGGCAGTTATTGTCTAACATTTTCTGGTATGTTTGGCTTTCCCTGTTCTGGTCATTTGGCAAGAGATAGCAGGTTTCCTTGGGGATGTTTTGTCTATACTCATTGACATTTCTGTGTTTCCAATTTCTCCAGTATCCAATCTAGGGTATATGAGGCAAAATAAAGCCCATGTCAAAATAAAACCCTTATCACCATGTCATTCCTTGGATCTCAGGTTTCCTAGACAGTCTACCTTCTTTTTTTTCACCTTTTGGAGACTTCTTATGTTTATTCATATAATGTTCAGGGTTTTTAGTCATACTTGATGGGAGGAATAGGGGAAAGTATGTCTATCTTACTGAAAGTGGAGGCAATTCATCATCCTTTAACTCAACTATTTTCAGCTTAATCAATCAAAGTCAGCTTCTGTTGTTTACAACTAAGCTCCTGTCTGACATAGAGTTTTTAGTAACGGAAAACCACTCGCAGTAGTTTTAGTAGAGCACAACTTATTAGAGGATAGCAGGCAAGCCCTAGAATTTCTTGATATTTTTTCCAGCTTTACTGAGGCAAAATTGACAAGTAAAAATTGTATATATTTAAGGTGTACAAAGTGGTGTTTTTATACAGATATACATTGTGAAATGATTACCACAATCAAGCTAATTAACACATTTATTACCTCACATAGTTACCTTTGTGTGTGTGGGTGTGTTTTTGTGTGTGTGTTGAGAACATTTAAGATATACTTTCTTAGCAAATTTAAAATATACAATACAGTATGATTAACTATAGTTACTGTGATGTACATTAGATCTCCAGAACTTATTTATCCCAAATAACTGAAACTTTGTACCCTTTGACCAATATTTTCTCATTTTCCCCAATCTCCAGACCCTGGAAACCACTGTTCTACTCTCTGCTTCTATGAGTTTGACTTAGACTTCATACACAAGTGATATCGTGCAATATTTGTCTTTCTGTGTCTGGCTTACTTCACTTAGTATAATGTCCTCCTGGTTTATCCACATTGTTGCAAATGATGGGATTTGCTTTTTTGAAAAAAGCTAAATGATATTCCGCATTTATGTGATGGAACTTATAGTATAAGTTCTATTATTATTGCAATGTCCCTGTATTAGTTTATTAGTTCTAAGAGTTTTTTTTCTGGTGGAGTCTTTAGGGTTTAGGATACTTGATATAATCTCAATCTTCTTAAATTTACTAAGATTTGTTTTGTGACCTAATATCCTGGAGAATATCCTAATATCCTGGAGAATGTTCTGTGGTCAATTGAGAAGGATGTGTGTTCTGATGCTGTTGGTTAGAATGTTCTATAGATGTCTGTTAGGTCCATTTGGTCAATAATGTTCAAGTCCTCCGTTTACTTATCAATTTTCTGTCTTAATAATCTTAATTATAATCTTAATTAATTTCTGTCTTAATAATCTATTCATCATTAAAAGTGGGGTACTGAGGTCCCCTCATAGCATTGCATTGTTATCTATTTCTCCCTTCAGCTTTGTTAATATTTGCCTTATGTATTTAGATGCTCCAATGTTGGTTACATATATGTTTACAATTGTTATATCCTCTTGATGAATTGGTTCCTTGTCATTATCTAATGACCTTCTTGGTCTCTTGTGACAGTTTTTGGCTTAAAGTCCATTTTGTTTATTGTGAGTATAGCTACTCCTCCTCTTTTTTGATTACCATTTGCTTAGAATATTTTCCCCATTTCTTCACTTTTAGCCTATGTGTGTCCTTAAAACTGAAATGAGTTTCTTGTAGGCAGTATACAATTAGATCCTATTTGTTAAAAATATTCCATTCAGATAATCTATGCATTTTGAATGAGGAATTTAATCCATTTACATTTAAACTAATTATTGATAGGTAAGAACTTAGCATTGCCATTTTGTTCATTGTTTCTGACTGTTCTGTAGTTCCATTCTTCCTTTCTTCCTCTCTTGCTGTCTTTCTGATATGAATAATTTTTTAAAATATTGGCATTCTTTGATTCCTTTCTTTTTATCTTTGTATATCTATTACAGGTTTTTGCTCTGTGGTTACCATGAAGCTGATATAAAACATCTTAAGGTTATGACTGTTTATTCTAAGCTGATAACAACTTAACTTTTACCATATACAAAAACTCTACACTCTTAACTTTCCCTCCCCCCACACTTTATATTATGAATGTCACAGTTTACATTTTTATGTTGTATATTTATTAACAATATTATAGCTATAGTTGTTTTTAATATTTTGTCTCTGAACTTTTATACTAGAATTAGATGAGATTTACACACAGCCAATATAGTATTATAGTATTCTGCATTTGACTGTATTCTTACCTTTTCAGTGAGTTTTATCATTTCACATGTTTCCATATTGTTAGCATTCTTTTACTTTAACCTGGAGAACTCCCTTTACCATTTCTTATAAAGTGGGCCTAGTGGTGATGAACTCTTTCAGCTTTTATTTGTTTGGGGACATCTTTATATTTCTTTCATTTCCAAAGGACAGCTTTTCTGGCTATAGTATTCTCAGTTGAAAGATTGTTTTTCTTCTTCTTTTAGCGCTTTGAATATATCACCCGAATTTCTCCTGGCCTGCAAGTTTTCTGTTGAGAAATCTGCTGATATCTTATGATGGTTCCTTTTAAATGACAATTGTTTTCTCTTACTATTTTCAAAATTCTCTTGTTTTGACTCTTGGGAACTTAATTATAATGTGTTGTGGTGAAGATCTCTTCATGTTTAATCTATTTGAGGTTCTTTAGGATTTATGAAACTAGATGTTCTTTTTCCTCTACAGATTTGGAAAGTTTTCTGTCATTATTTCTTTAAATAAGTTTTCTTCCCCTTTCTCTTTTTCTGCTCCTCTGGAATTGCCATAATGTATATATTGGTTCACTTGATAGTGTCCTGTAAGTTCTATATGCCTTTTTTTACTCTTTTTAATTTTTTTTCCTTTGTGCTTCTTTGGGTAATTTCAAATGCCTATCTTTTAGCTTGCTGATTTTTCTCCTGCTTGATCAGGCCTGCTATTGAAGATCTCTATGGAATTTTTCAGTTCAGTAATTGTGTTCTTTACCTCTAGAATTTCCTTGATTCATTTTTTTAATTTTAATTTTTATTTATTTATTTTATTATTTTATTTTTTGTTTGAGAAGGAGTTTCACTCTTGTTGTCCAGGCTGGAGTACAATGGCACAATCTCGGCTCACTGTAACCTCCACCTCCTGGGTTCAAACAATTCTTCTGCCTCCGCCTCCTGGAATCAGCTGGGATTACAGGTGCCTGCCACCATGTCCAGCTAATTTTTTTGTGCTTTCAGTAGAGACAGGATTTCACCAGGTTGGCCAGGCTGGTCTCAAACTCCTGACCTCAGGTGATCCACCTGTCTCAGCCTCCCAAAGTGCTGGAATTACAGGCTTGACCCACCACGCCCAGCATCCTTGGTTCATTTTTATGTTTTCTATCTTTTTGTTAAACTTCTCATTTTGTTCATGTATTGTTTTCCTGATTTTGTTTAGTTGTCTATTTATTTTCTTTTGTTTTTCACTGTATTTGAAGACAGTTATTTTGAATTCTTTGCAAGGCAGTTTGTAAATTTCCATTTCTTTAGGGTTGATTACTGGTGCTTTATTTTGTTTCTTTTGTGGTGTCATTTTATTACTATTATTATTATTCATGATATTTGTGGCTTTGCATAGGTATCTGTGTATTTGAAGAAGTAGGGAATTATTTTAGCTTTTACAGATTGGCTTCAGCAGGGAAAGCCCTTTACCAGTCAGCCCATCCAGAGATTCTGGATGGGCCAATTTGCTGTTAGAGTGCTTGGGCTGGTTGGTCTGGTGCCTGGACCCACTTGAGTGGATGGGCCTGATGTCTGGGTTCACAAGAGTCAACTTGGAGCTTGGATCCACATAGCCAGGAATGGAACCTGGGTCCACAGGTTGGGCCTAGAGCCTGGATCCAGAGGCTGCCCTGGAGTTTGGGTCCATGGAGATTAACATAATTCTGGGGTGGGCCTTGAGACTGAGCCTGCAAGGGTGGGCCTAGGGCCCAGGTCTGCAAGGACTGGGGGTTCAAGGGTTGACCTGGCACTGGGGTGGGCCTGGAGCTTGGCTCCATGGGTTGAGCCTGGAGCCCATGGCCATGGGTCCAGCCTGGTACTTGGGAAAGCTCGGTACCCAGTCTACAGGGGCCAGCCTGGAGTCTGAGGCCATGAGTGCTGGCCTAGGGTGGTGGAAGATAGTACTGGAGTGGGCCTGGAGCATGGGTCTTTAGGAATGAGTTGGGAGCCTAGGGCTGTGGGGGTCCAACAAGGAGCCTGGGTCTGTAGGTGCCAGTCCTGACCCTGGGGCCATGGGCACTGGTCTATTGCTGGGGCAGTAGGGGCCTGGTGCTGGGATGGGCCTGGTAAGGGGATATGGAAATATTATAAGTGAAGACCTATATTTAAAAAGCAAATGGAATTGAGCCCAAAATTTGCTATGATATTCCCAGGGAGAAAGAAACCAGACAGAAACTTATATTGCTATAAACTAAATTGTGTCCCCTCAAAATTTACATGTTGAAACATTAGTCCCTAATGTGACTGACTTTAGAGATAGAGACTTTTTAGAAGTAATTAAGGTTAATTCAAGTCACAAGGGTAAGGCCTTGATCCTACAGGATTAGTATCCTTATAAGAAGAGACACCAGAAAGCACTCTCCTTCCCTGTCCACCATGTGAGGACACAGAGAGAAGGAGGCCATTGGCAAGCCAGGCAGTTAGCCCTTGCTAGTAACTGACCACGCTGGCATCCTAATCTTAGACTTCCAGTCTTCAGAACTATGAAAAATAAATGTGATTTTTCAGCCACCACTCTATGGTATTTCATTATGGCAGCCTGAGTAGATGATGACATGTGTACTGTATATCTCCAGTTATCAAGAAAGCAAACTGTTATCCAGTTCTGAGCTCTGCAAGTAACCCAACCTGCAGGTTGCTTTGATAAGAGACATTGAACAATATATTAGAATTTGATAGCAGTTTCTCAAAACACATAAAGATGACCTTATAACAGTTCCTGATAAAAAGCGGGTGCCTAAAAGTTAAGTCATAGTTCTTTGAAAAGATTTAGAGAACTGAGTAGTGTCACACAGGCTCCAAGCTTTTTGGTGATGGGACTTGATAAAAGATGTGTAGCAATCAGCAGTGAGGTAGACTTCCTGTTAGTTACTGGGAATTGGCATTATTCTTAGCCCATATTTTCTGTCCTATAACCCATAATATGGGACAGGCATGAGAGTACGAGGATGGCATATGTGTGAATTTCACAAGTGCCAAATGACAGAAAGGGGATAAACGTGGCTTTGGAGAAATGTCTGATCAGGGTCTCTGTATTAGTCCATTCTCACATTGCTATAAAGAAATACCTGAGGGGCCAGGCACAGTGTCTCATGCCTGTAATCCCAGCACTTTGGGAGGCTGAGGCAGGTGGATCACGAGGTCAGGAGTTTGAGACCAGCCTGGCCAACATGGTGAAACTCTACTAAAAATCCAAAAATTAGCTGGGCATGGTGGTGCGTGCCTGTAGTACCAGCTACTTGGAAGGCTGAGGCAGGAGAATTACTTGAACCCGGGAGGCGGAGGTTGCAGTGAGCCAAGATCATGCCATTGCCCTACAGCCTGGGGAATAGAGTGAGACTCCATCTCAAAAAAAAAAAAAAAAAAAAAAAGAAAAAAGAAATACCTGAGATGGGTGATATATAAAGAAAAGAGGTTTAATTGGCTCATCATTCCACAGGGTGTACAGGAAGCATGATGCTGGCATCTGCTCAGCTTCTAGGGAGGCCTCAGGAAACTTACAAATATGGTAGAAGGGGAAGGGGAAGCAGGCACGTCTTACGCAGTTGAAGCAGAAGCAAGAGGGGTGCAGGTGCTACACACTTTTAAACAACCAGATCTCGTGAGAACTCTATCATGAGAACAGCACCAAAAAGATAGTGTTAAACTATCAATGGATCCACCTACATGATCCAATCACTTCCCACCAGGCCCCACCTCCAACAATGGGGATTACAATTAAACATGAGATTTGGGTGGGGACACAGATCCAAATCATATCAGTCACAAACTCAAAAAATGTTCTAGAGCCAGACAAGTGAGGCCATGTATGGAGTGGCCCAGAGAGTGTACACCTGGTCAAAATGGAGTAGCTGATCTTTCAGAAGCTAAAAGATGTCCTCCAAGAATATTGTGCATATCAAAAGCCATCTAAGGGCAGAATTCTGCAAGAGGATCCCCAGTCAATGGGTCACACAAACTGCAAGACTATTAACTCTCAGATATTAATTATCCCATCCAAATCCTAAGTAATAATTAAAACGAAGATGGCTGCTGAGAATTTGGACTTCATGTAATGTCAAAATACTTAAGGTCCCTCAAAGCAATTATTCCTTTAAGTAGTAATGACCATGTCAGGACTTTGTCACAAGAGTTTAGAGGATAAATATCCTCAATGCTGCAGAGTGCAGTTTTCTTTTTTCTTTTTCATTTGCTTGGGCTTGTTTCCCAACCATGTGTCCTTCAGTGGGGTTCCTAAATGGTTTAACAATAACACCCTCCCGAAGAAGTGCTTGGTCAGGATATTTGTCACTTTTTTGCAGCCATGGAAAATGCACACAGGGATTGAAAGGCCCAGGTCATGCAACATTGCTCAAAGGATTTGAGGATTCCATTACTGCACAAATCCTTTAATTAAAGCCAGTTCCTCCAGGCCCCTGTTGCCCGAACCCAATCCAGAACGTCCCAGGTGACCTTGGGAGGCTTGATTAATTGATGAGCTGGCAGTGCAACCGTTCCTTCAAAGATCCCAAGATATATCTGCTAAAACAAAAATGCCCCTGGACACCATATGGTCCCGTGTTTGTGGCAGCTCTTAAAATTTATCTGCAACTTTTCCCCTGTGTGACTAATGCCTGCTGCCTTCTACTCAGTGACTGTTGCAACCTGTCACCCTTCTTTGTGGCAAAGAACTCTTCAGCAAAGAGGTATTTTTGAAAACTCAAGAGGACGTTTTTGCAATTTGGCAATAGGAAGTAACATTCTCTACTGGGCTCAAGTCACTGTGGATATCAAAGTGGCCAGATTTTTGAAAAGTATCTCTTCCTTGGCTTTTCAAGTTTTTGGCAATAAGCAATTATATCTAAGAAGCACCAACCTCTAGATTCTGCTCATCATAAGAGTGAAGTGAAGGTAAACCGGATAATGTAGGAAAGCCAAGTGTGCTACAGATGACAGTATTTTTCCATGGAGACTCTTGAGGGTGACTCTAAATGCCTCTTCTTTATAATTCTGGGTATTCGCACTTTATCAGCACCCTACGGATAACACCCTAGTAATATTGAGTTTTAATTCATCTTCTCAGAAACTAGAGAAACAAAGGAATTCAACCAAAGGCAAACTTTTAACACTGTCTAAAGGAGAGTGGTCCAGTGATGGATTGGGGCATGCATATTTGAAAGAAGCAGCTAGATAAAAGCTATATAATAAAGGGAGAAGAATTTGGAGTTCCCAAGGCAATCCCAGAGGAAAGAGATAAGAAGACTAGGGAGGAGAAAAGGAAGGAGGAGGATGCCAGGGAGGCAGAAATCTGTAATGTTATGTTATGATTCCTCTCTGTGAGCTACATCCTGCATTTTCAGCAAAACCTATCAACTCAGATGCTCTTACAAAAGCCAAATACATTTTGGGGCCCCATGGGTTAGTCTCAAGTTGATGTAATGGGCAAAATAATGTCATCCAGTGCATTGCTCATTCCAAAGTTTACTTGAATATCTGTAATATCATAAAAGGAAATGCAGATCACAAATCACATGGGAAGGAGGATAGAGCAAGGATTCCCAAGTATGGAATCTGGGCCAGGCAGCCTAAGTTTGAGTTTTGGCTCTCTCACTTACAAGCTGTGGAATCTTGGACAAGTCGCTTAACCTCTCAATGCTTTGGTTTTCTCATCTGTAAAATGAGGATAATAATAGTACCTACTTCATAGGGTAGTGATGAGAGGTAATTGCATTAATAATTGTTGTACCCTCAAGATAGTACTAGGCACATAGGAAGAGCTACATAAATGGTTGCTAAATAAATAATACATCTTAAGATATATTTTCTCTAACACTTGACCTAAAAGACCATTTCTAGTTTTCCTCTCTCTCTCTCTAATCAGTTTTCTACTCCTTTCTTTTACTATCTCTTTGGAATCTCTGCATTTTCCAATGCAGTCCCCAAACTTTGATTCTCCAGCTCTATAGTACCCACATTTGCATAATAAGAGCCCACAGTGGGGTGAGAGAGGAATAAGAAAGAAAAATGCAGAGTATACCACATCCAAATTTTCCCTTTAACTCAGGATGAGGGGGCGGTAGAAGAGCTGTGAATTGGCATTTTTGGATAACATTTTCTGGTTATATTGGATGTGAGTTACTGTAGAGGGAGAATCGGAGGATGGACCTGAGTTTCACACCAAGCAGCAGATCTGAGGCAGCATGAGAAAACATGGACTCTGCAGGTGACCTCAAGAACCTGTAGTCACATAGGAATTCACAGAATCCTCCGCACCTTTTGACTTCCATCAGTTCTTGGAAATGTAGGAAATGTGATCCAATTTCTTTAACATTTTGAGAGATGTGCAGTCTTGCTCAGAATATAGAAAAGGGCAGAAATGGATTTCTTTTATATGAAGATACACATTTGTCAGGACCCTTAGTACAACAGAGAGATTGATGGTGAGTGGTCAAGAATTTAATCTTTTTTTCAGTAAGAAGGACAATTTATTAGGTTAAATAATGCATTTATAAAGTGTGTTTTGTATGCATAAGATGGCACACATAAAACATTCATTTCTACATGCAAAGAATCATGTGCTTATGAATGTGGAAATGAATATATACAATATGTGGATTTAGATGAATATGTTTGGTTAGTAAGATATATGAATGATGTAGTAAAAATGTAAGACTTTACAATCTGGCAGCCCACAGAATGAAGTGAGTTAAGAACACAGATGAAGACTGTGATCTTGTAGGCTAGTGGTCTCAGCCCTCTTAGCTCCCCTAATAGTATGTCATGCTAATGACTTTATCGTGAGCAAAAACACATCCAAATAAAGTAAATGGAAAGGATGAGAGAGAACAAGTGGTTGAG
The DNA here is from genome assembly GCF_000001405.40 of Homo sapiens. NCBI lineage: Eukaryota > Metazoa > Chordata > Mammalia > Primates > Hominidae > Homo > Homo sapiens. The sequence continues at coordinate 24,722,029 of NC_000004.12, forward strand.
TGACTAACCCAAGACATATAGGTATGAGCCTGGATTTACATGGCTACTGTTTCTCCTTCTAGCCTGATCAAGACCAAGGTAAAGAAATCAAAAGTTGGTGCCTCCCACATTGTCTTGCCCATCCTACCTGTTGAAGTGTCCCTGGACCACAGGGTGGCAGAACGTCTCATCCTGGTGGGTTTGGAGGCCTGGTGTGAATGGCCTACACATGTAAGCCTAGACTACTCTCCCTTACCCTGCTGCCTCCAAAGAGGGGTAGAGCATGCAGGATGGATGGCAGGGTGGCCTCAAGTGACCTCTCATGTGTATTTATATTTATGTGATGGGCGTAGAATTACGCAACCAACCTTGTCTTTCTCTCACCTTCCTAGTAGAAACCCAGGCTGGTCCCATTAGCTCACTGGTGACTCTTGGACAATGAAACTTTCTTTGGTCACCTTTAATCACAGACACAGATCAACTTGGGTAATTTAAAAATGTTCACTCCTGGCTGGCCGCAGTGGCTCATGTCTGTAATCCCAGCACTTTGAGAGGCTGAGGCAGATCACCTGAGGTCAGGTGTTCAAGGCCACCCTGGCCAACATAGCAAAATCCCACTCTACTAATAATACAAAAGCTAGCCGGGCGAGGTGGCAGGTGCCTGTAGTCCCAGCTACTCGGCAGGCAGGAGAATCGCTTGAACTTGGGAGGTGGAGGTTGCAGGGAGCTGAGATCATGCCACTGCACTCCAGCCTGGGCAACAGAGCGAGACTCCACCTCAAAAAAAAAAGTTCACTCTCATTGGAGGTAATGATTAGCTTCATTTGTTCAGGTAAGAAAATGAAAATTGAGAGACAGTAATTGACTTAACAAAGGTCCAAGAAGTGGGAAAGCCAGCATTTAAACCCATGTCCGTCTCACTCGCAGGCCATACTTCCCCCTCTCTACCAGGTGCCTCCAAAGAGACACCCTGACTCTCTCACCTTTCTCCCGCACCTGTTGTATCAACCCCTGAGCAAGTGATGAGTGAAAGGTTGCCAGCCAGTTGCATCCCGTCCTTTTAGCATGTCCTGAGTGGGTGATGTTCTTAGAGACAGAACTCTGAGATCACACGAAAAGTATCATCTACCATTCTGTCACACCAGGAGAAGAGGAGAATTGTTTGCAAACAGTTTCTTAGCCTGCAGTCCATAAATAGCCTCCTGGTGGGAAGATAGGTATTTTCTTTAATTTTTTTTGTATACTAAATTATCTTTGTGAAATGAGCTTTTTAAATGTAAAAATATTGTTGCTGTGTAGTTTCACCGCAAATAAATGTAGGATGGAAAAGATGTTTCTGTACGTGGTTAGTAACAGATATAGTAGTAATTACCCTGACATCCCATTGATGAGAGGAGATTCCTATTGATAGGAATGCATGACATCACACCCTATCATTGTGAATGGGCACACCTGCCTTTGCTCATATCAGGTCTAGCTTGAGTGGAAAAATATCAGTGAAAAGAGATGAGGTCCAAATTTACCTGTATCCATTGTTTCCATTTATATGACTGAACATGATAAGGATTCCCCACCTTCCCAAACCCCAGTGCTTCTTGTGTGGCAAAGTTAATGTTTGTCCATCCTGACATTGAACAATGCAGACATTTTTTCATGAGAAAGCTTAATTTTAAAAGCCTGGACCTGTATTTAAACTTGTATTTGTCTCAATACAAAATCCTTTGATTGAAACATCTTACACAGTTATTTCTTTACCCTTCAAATAAAATCAGCCATATACAGTTGAAGAGATTTGGGGAAATCCTTGTTCTATGGAGCTGACGTAGCTTATTTGGGAATTGAGGTAGATAAAGAAAATGGAAGCAACAGTTCTGTCAGATGGAACCGGCCGTCTGGAATTATCACTATTTCTTTTAACGTGATGGCCTATGAAGATGTGTTGCTTGGGGTTGCTGCAGCTTCTTGTGACCGTGAAGGGGACATGAAGAGAATTACAGAGAAGCTTGCTCAGAACTTTGATGTTGTTGAGCTGCTGAGTTAATAGTGCAATTTTCAGACTTATTTTCAGACTTATTACCTGGGGAAAAACACATTCTTAGGGTTTAAATCAATTTAAATTTAAATCAATTTACATATATTTTATTGCTTATTCTCCATCACAGCTTAACAAATGTGGATAGGATCCTTGATTTTTCATCCTCTTTTGGTGAATGCTGGTGCTCCTTGGCACAAGTCTCTCAGCAGAGACTTTGGGAACACTGATTCTTTTGTGAGTCAGCATTTAATATCTTCAAAAGGAAAAGGCAGACTGAAAGGATATCAAAGATGATATGCATGGACCATGTCAAGCTGCCTACTACCATTTCAACTTCTATTTCAAAGCAAGCACCATCGTGTCTTTAAAATTGATTTTTTTAGCAGATTTAAGATGGACTTTTTTTCTTTTCTTTTCTTTTTCTTTTTTTTTTTTTCTTTTTGAGACGGAGTTTCACTCTTGTCAGCCAGGCTAGAGTACAATGGCATGAACTTGGCTCACTGCAACCTCCACCTCCCGGGTTCAAGTGATTATCCTACTTCAGCCTCCCGAGTAGCTGGGATTACAGGCATCAGCCATCACGCCTGGCTAATTTTTGTACTTTTAGTAGAGAGGGGGTTTCACCATGTTGGCCAGGCTGGTCTCGAACTCCTGACCTCAGGTGATCTGTCCGCCTTGGCCTCCCAAAGTGCTGGGATTACAGGAATGAGCCACCGCACCCGGCCTAGGAAAAACTTTTATTGTGCATTTTTTTCTTTCTGGAATGAACCATTAATTGTTACATCATTGAATAAAAGTGAGAGACATGATATATTAAAGAATAAGGTTGAATATTTACAAAGTAAGTCCATTTCTAGTGTAGTAAATTTTCCCTCTTATGTTTTTAATGAGCATTTTTCTGGAGAAGGGTTTTATACCCTTCATCGGATCCTCAAAAAAGCTTGGGACAGAAAGAAAAAGTTCTCTTCTGGAAAGTCTACCTGAAGGGCTGTTGTGTGAGACAGTTACAGTAGCTTGTAGCTTTATTGGAAAAGAAATTTGGGTTAATGGAGGCAACATGGCACCATAGGTGCGAGTGTAGCTTCTAGAGTTGGACATCGCCTCTGAGAGCCTCTGTTTTCTAATGTAAAAGATGGGAGCATAGGGATTCATCTCATAGGTTTAATGTGATGTATAGTAATTCACTGAATAGAAAATGATTTTATCGTGTATAGTGCATTAGCATAGTCATTAGCATCTCAAGGTCATAACCAATCACCTTGAGAATCACCTGCAGGGCTAAACTATTGATGCCAATGGAGGCACCTAAGGCAAAAGATAGGAAGAAAGCATAGGTGAGGGTCAAGAGGTGCGAGTTAGCACAGATGAACAGAGCACACCTTTGGCACTTACTCCCCTGTGACCTAGAACAAATGACCTCCTTTCTCTGAGCCTCAATGTCCTTATCTTCAAACTAGAGATAATAATGTTCACCTCATGAGGATATTGAGAAGGTTAGATAAGAAAAGGTGTGTGTGGACAGCACCTGGCCCAGTGGGGTGTTCAGGAAATGAGCTATCCCTCCCTCCTTCCGTCCACCTCCCCCCATCTCAGTTCTGTCTTTGCTCTTAACAGGTGACCTGAATATCCATGCACAGGTGTGGGTGAATACATGGAATAGTCCCATCAGTACAGATGCACAGGGAAGTTGAGGCCTCGACAGTGGTTATAGCGTAACCCCAGGCCCTGGTGGAGGCCATTCTTGTCCTGCCTTGGGCTGACCTGCCCCACTCTGTGTCCCATGGGGCGATGGTGCAGCAGGAGCCTGGGGGCACTGCCCAGTATCTGAGGTTCACATTGGAAGGAAGGAGTTGGATCAAGGTGGTGGTGGTGGGAGAAAGGTGTTAGTGCTTGTGTTTGTGAAAATTGTTATTGTTGTTGTTATTTTGAGGCAGTCACATTGCCTTCCAGAAAGCTTTAGAGAACTGGGGGAGGCAATAAACGAAAATTTGAAGGGAATAACATTCAACTCATTCAACATCCTCTTGAGTCCCTCACTTCAGTTTAGCCATCCTTTGTACCCTTACCCACTTTATTTATTTATTTTTTAGCACGTAAGCCTTGAAATGTAAGTATATATGTTCTACTTGTTTGTCGTCTGCCTTCCTTCTAGAAGGTAAGTTTCATAATGGCAGGGACTAGATCATGTTCACTGAGCCTAGAACAGTGCTTGGAGCATTGAAGATATGTAACCAGATTATTGAATAAATACAGGTCCAAATGTTTAAAGCAAACTATGGGTTATAGGAAATTCTTTTTTTTTTTTTTTTTTTGAGATGAGGTCTTGCTCTGTTGCTCAGGCTGGAATGCAGTAACATGATCATGGCTCATTGCAGCCTCGACCTCCTGGGCTCTAGTGATCCTCCCACCTCAGCCTCCTGAGTAGCTGGGACCACAGGTGCACACCACCACACCTGGCTAATTTTTAAAATCTTTTGTAGAGATCAGGTCTTCCCATGTTGCCCAAGCTGGTCTTGAACTCCTGGCCTCAAATGTTCCTCCTGCCTCGGCCTCCCAAAGTGCTGAGATTACAAGCGTGAGCCACCACACCCAGCCCCTATAGAAAATAATTTTTATTGATGTGACACGATTCAAAGCCTAAACTTTTGCTAGAATTCCACATACTTTTTAATTATATATGGAAATTGGCTTGAGCCAAGTTCCTGTACCATGGTCCCTTCCTACACCTCCAGTCTTTATGACTGTGGTAAGACAATACACCCCCATGCCATTTACTCAGTGCAGCAATATGACTTGCTTCAGTCTATGAAATGTGAGTGCAAGTAACGTGTATCACGTCCAGGCAGAAACTTTGAGAGCTAGTGTATTGTTTGCTATACTCCTTTTCTCTTCCTCTGATCTTGGAGTCATGAGTCCAGATGGAGCTTTTGCCAGCCTGGGTTTCTGAGTGGCTAAGGTGGGTATAGCTCGCTTGTCAACCCATGATGGATGGTCGTGAGGTGTGGTGAGAAATGAACTTGGTTGTTTTCAGCTGCTGAGGTTTTCAGATTGTTATTGTAGCACAACCTAGCCTATTCCGATGAATCCAGAGCTCACTTCCATCTTTTCTGCTTTATTGATTCATATCTTTAGCCCCAAACACAGGTAACTTGGAGCCTGGGAATGGAAGGAATTGCATTTACAGAACACTTTCCAAGTGCCAGGCTAGTGGTGGCAGTCATTCTCGGGCCATTTTTTTCTTTTTAAGAGACAGGGTCTCGCTATGTTGCCCAGGCTTGACTTGTACCTCTGCATCCAGTTCCAAGTCATTTTATTTCAACCTCTTTACAGTCAAAGAGATAGGCAGGGACTCCTAGCTTCAGTGTAGGGCTGAGGAAACTGAGGCCCGGGAAAGGTTAAACACCTGCTGCAGGGCCGTTTGGTTTCTGCTCCCAAGCTTTCACTCTTTCCACTACAGCAACTGCCTGCCACTGAAATGCATGCTAAGGTCATTCTGAGAGCGGGTGTTTGAATCTTAAAAAAACAATAACCTTTACTAATGACCTGGTAATTGTTTTTATTGCTTCCCAAAGAAGTGTGAAGTGGTCTGAGAGACGACACAAGACAATTTCCTTTGATGGTGAAGTTTTCCAAAGAACAATTGCCTCACTCTTCTGATCTGTTGGTGCCTTGGCTTTGCTGTGATATTATACTGATGCTGAGCGCAAGCCTGGGAACTTTGAAAAAGCTGCCGAGGTTGGAAAGAATGTTGGGCTCAGCCATGCCTTTATTTAAAATCATTAATCCTGTCTTACTTTTATAAAAATGGTCACATAATAATATATGAACCAATGATAAATAGTGACATCTATCAAATTCTTATGCTATCCCATGACTGGGCTCTCAGCACTTAAAGTCGCCACCCTCTTCATCCAGACCCCGGCAAGCTGCCTGTTGCAAGGCGAGGGCTCCATAAATATCTCTGTAATGAATGAATTATCCTACAACAAACATTTGCTGGACCTGCTGCTTTGAGCCCTGCTCAAAGGCAATGAAATGTTTTCTATGTGAAAATTTATTGAGAGGAGAGGAAAAAGGCTAGTGTTCAGACAACTTGGTCATCTAATTCACATCCAAAAGCCATTCTAAATCCCAAGAACGGCGTTTGGATGTGAATTAGATGTGATTAACGAGAAGGCGAGGAAATTAATTCTAACTGAAAACATTAATGATTTTGTTAGCTAACATATTAGAGTTAGGTCAAACTTATGACATTTTAGAGTTGCCTTTTATTGGCTTTAGTACAAATAATCGGACTCAGTCTGTCCAGAGCACTACATTTCGCGTAGGAAAATGTCTTATGTTAAGACATTTAAAAGTTTATTTACAAAGCCCTTCCCAAGAGTTGCTTAATTTTATTCTTACCTTTCCCCTGTGAAGGCAGGGCGGATATGTTCAGTATGAGTTGCAGCTGCGGAAGTTTAGAGATTCTCAGGAACCTACCTAAAACCACACACTAACCCAAAGGCAGAGGGGTCTGGAACCTGGGACGCCAGCTGTGATTTCTGGTAGGTTCCAAGGGGGCTAAGCAGGTGATTGTTGTACCTTTTGTGTTGTTGTTGCTGTTCCTTTTAAGATAGCATGTTGTAAATCTAAGATTTATTCGTTTTGTTTCATTTTGTTTTTTGAGACAGAGTCTTGCTCTGTCGCCCAGTCTGGAGTGCAGTGGTGTGATCTTGGCTCACTGCAGCCTCCACCTCCCAGGTTCAACCAATTGTCCTGCCTCGCCCTCCCAAGTAGCTGGGATTACAGGTGCCTGCCACCATGCCTGGCTAATTTTTGTATTTTTAATAGAGTCGGTGTTTCACCATTTTGGTCAGGCTGGTCTCGAACTCCTGACCTCAAGTGATCCACTCACCTCGGCCTCCCAAAGTGCTGGGATTACAGGCATGAGCCACCACGCCTGGCTTATTCAATGTTTACTGCATAGTTGGGTTAGGTTTTCCCTGAAAACCTGTATAAGATGAAAACCTGAAATAAGATGACATACCTGTGATGGTGAATTTTATGTGTCAACTTGGCTAGGCTATGGTGCCCAGCTGCTTCATCAAACACCAGTCTAGATGTGGCTGGGAAGATATTTTTTTTTAGCTGTGATTAACATTTAAATCAGTAGACTCTGAGTAAAGCAGATGATGCTTCATAGCGGGGGTGGGCCTCATCCAATCAGTTGAAGGCCTTAAGAAAAAAGACTGAGATCCTCCAAAGAAGAAGGAATTCTGCCTCCACACTGCCTTTGCACTGAAGACTGCAACATCAATTCCTGGCAGAATTTCCAGCCTGCTGGCCAGCCTTACATATCTCAGACTTGCCAGCCCTCATAATCGTGTGAGCCAATTCCTTAAAAATAAATCTCTTTCTATGTTTAAGTCTGTATCTCTATCGTGTATAATAGGATATATGCACACACTCTATTTGTTCGGTTTCTCTGGAGACCTCTGACTAATATAATACCTTATGCCTTTCTGGTAGATGAATAAGATGATGATAATGACAATGACGGTGCCCATTTTTTAGTCCCTACTATATGCCAGATGCTTTTCTTGAGCTATCACAAATGAAGAAATCAAAGTGAGTTGAAATAACTCACCCAAAGTCAGAGAGCTAGAAAGCGACAGAGAATGGAGCCAGCTTTCTGGTCCTAATCACTAGAACAAATATTTCTAAGATTTCTCTGGCAATCCGTTTTCTAAGCAGTCTAAAGATGCATTATGGCAAAAATTAGGCAGCCAACTATGTTTTCCAGATGTGGTATCTTATTCTTTGAAAAACGATAGTCCACTGGGCAAGTCATATTTGTGTAAATGTAGTATAATATTTGGAATTAAAAGAAAGAGGAAATCTATTTACTTCCTTTCCAAATTCATTACCACAGCAACTCCAATACCTGTCACCTGGAACTCAAAAACCAAGTTCCATCTGGATGACAGAAGACAAAAGACTATTCCTGCCTTTTTCCGTTGGTTTTGGGTTTGGAGATGTTTGGGTTTTGCACGGGGGAGAGTGATGATAAATGATCCTGAAGCCCGAGCTTTCTCTTTGCATGCAGCCTGGCCCTCAGGAGCATAAGCTAATGTTCCAGAGAGATGAAAAAGAGATAGAGTTTGAGGGCGGCTGCCACCTGTCCCCGTGTAGTACGTGCAATACAGGTGCCATTTATTTCACCTGTCACACGTACACAAATATGTAAACCTCAGGAAAATCAGCTTTCCATCTTTCTCTGAGAAACTTGGTGTGAGCTTTGGAAATTAAAAAAAAAAAAGGTGGGGAGCATCCTTCACATGCTCTTATTTTTAGCTCCTCTCTCCTTTGCAGAATGGCTAACGCCAACTCAAACTATTTCTGCAAAGAGTTGCTGGGGACAAAGTGGAGATGTGGGTAGGCCTCCTTGAGCCAGGCTCTCAGAAGCAGGTGAGATGCAAGATAAAGCAATCGCTTTTCAACCACCTTTGACGTAAGTGCTGGAGATTTCTTCAATTAGCTTAATCCTTTCCTCCTGACATACACTTTACAGGAAAGCAAATGCCATAATTATCCTCCCCCATCCTCTCTAATCCCTGTCTGTGTGGCATGCCGACAGATGCTTTTCTGCTTGCCCGCGCTGCCAGCCTCTTGGAGCCCAGTGCCACAATGAGGCGGGCTGTGTGTGACAGATTGCTAAATCTGGCCTCCTCGAAGCAGGAGACTCGGCGTTCAAGTGGCGCCGGCTGCTCACGCCTCCCTGTGGGGCCGAGGCAGGCCTGGCTTTGGGCAGGCCCAGAAAGTTCTGGAGGGCTGCCTTGTGACTCAGACAATCCCTTGCAGAGATGGCCAGCCCTCCAACACTGACACAGCCCATCACGGGTAGCTTGCTTCGTTTAGGATTTCAATCTGGGACCCTGCCAGGAAAGGCCTTTTTCCACCAGGGAAGAGTGTCCAGCACCCAAATACCATGGCAAGCATGGGGTGTCTGTCACTTGATAGCAACAAGAAAGTTACCTGATCTTATCCCACTGACTAAATGCAACAGCGGCCCATCTGTTGGCAGCCATGTACTCATCTATATATATCTGTTATTTACATCCTTAACACATTATATATTTTTTTTGAGGTCACTATTTTGGATCCAGGAACTGTTATTAGAATTCAGTCCTACCTCTGACTTCCTATGTAACCCTTGAGTCACAGCCTCTGAGCCTCAGTTTCCTCATCTGTATGTTTGTAACCATTTTCTTTTGCAAGATCTTTGTGAAGATTGAGTAATATCATCAATACAATGCAGCTAGTATATAGTGGGTACTTAACAAATGTGATTTATTAATGAGACTAACTATAGCATAGTAACATTACTGCTATTACTAATAATGTATACTTTGCTAGTGCTTTAGTTCATTCTAGTTTTCAAAATAATTTCATATAACATTTCTTTATCTTCTGCAGAGGCAGATATCATATCCCATTTTATTTTTCAGATAAGGTTTGAGATGCTGGAGATCATAGAGATCAGGGGTTTGCATACTATGGCCAGTGGACCAAATCCGACCCACTGTCTGTTTGTGTAAATAAAGTTTTATTGAAACACAACCATGTCCATTCAGTTCTGCATTGTCTGTGGCCACCTTTGCACTGCAAAGGCAGAGTTGAGAAGCATAGGCTTGCAAAACTTAACGTATTTCCTATCTGACTCTTTACAGAAAATGTTTGCTGACCTCTGACATAGATGATAAGTGGTGGAACCAGGAGTGAAATAATGCACCTGTCTATGGATGCCTCAATCTAGGGTTATATCAGGAACATGCCTTCTCTAAATGAAAAAAGCAATGGTGGCAGCAGACAGCAAAATAATTCTGAAATTGTTTTTGTATGTTTTTAATCTACCTAAAATATATTTCTGCATCTCTTAATATAGTGTGCACAGCAGTGTCCCACATCCAGAGCTTAAGGTAGTTCAGAACTTGGGCCCCCAGGCAATGCCCTGAACTAGAGTCCACACATCAAGCTCCTGGCAGAGCCAGGGTGGGAACTGCAGCTTCTGATTCTGGAATAATTTCTCATGAAGGCTTGTTTCTCATCATTATCTCCATACAAATATTTCTTGTTACTTATTCTATGTTCTTCTCGCTCACATTTTCCCCTCTTCCTGAACTCAACTAAGTCTAAGGGCTCTTAGAAGCATCCCAAAGTGTTGCCAAGTGGCCTGGGGTTGCTCTCAGAGGTTCAGAGGTACAAATCCTACAGGCAGAAACACAGCTCTTTTGGCCCTTTCCTGCTTTCTCCCCTCCCCCAATATACCGTATTTCCCAGAAGTCTACTGCGTGCCAAGCCCAATCCTGGATGCTGGGGAGACATCTGCGGAGGACAAGACATGATAAGAAGCACACAGTCTAGTGGGGAAAAGTGGGCCCAGAAAGTAAAGGAGTCACGATAAAATAGGATCAATTATTTGCTAAGGGCATGCAAATTGTTCAGTGGGTCTGGAATGAGAATTTGAAAGAAAACTGTGAGACATGGTTGAAGTTGGAGAAGTACAGAAGGGGAAAGCTCCCTCGGGGCCTTATATCAATGCTAAGGGGTTTGCATTATTTCCTGAAAGGACTAGGGAGTCCTTGAGGATTCAAGACAGGGAGCAACCTCAGCCTGTCCTCACATCTGCAGGGCCTACAGCCTGCTGCCTGCTTCTTGTCTCTTCCCTCCCCAGATTCTCCCGACTTGGGCAGGTGTGTGTTTCCACCATCCTATGTCCAGTCTCCCTCCACATCCCACTCCCAGGGAAACTGCTACCCCTTGACCACACTTCAAGGCCTGGTAGTGTGGACACTAGCAGTGGCTCCACCTTCAGGGGAGGAGTCCTGTGCAGGCCCAGAATTGGCTCAGGGCTGGAATATCAGTAATGCAGGGTCCTGGGTGTCTGCATTCTAATCTGGAACCGTCTGCAGGTGGAGGACCAGATAGGGCTTTGTTGGGAACGTTCCTTTAGCCTGCAGACTCCTTGTTCCATAGGGAGGGGTGCAGCTGAGACCCAAGAGCTCTGAGAGCCAGAGCTGGGCCCTCTATAGTACAGAATCCAGGAATGAAGCCCAAGGCAAAAGATTGTGCCGCTTGCCTCATCAGATCCCTTGAGGCAGGGCCAGTTAAAAGGCGGCTAACGTATTTTATGGGATATCAATGGTGATCTGAAATGGGCAGGAAACAGCGTTGAAAGGAAGAAGACCAATTTGAGAACAATTCAGGGAAAGAAATGGACAGGTGCAGCCGGGCGCAGTGACTCATGCCTGTGGTCCCAGCACTTTGGGAGGCCGAGGTGGGTGGATCACGAGGTCAGGAGTTCAAGACGAGCCTGGCCAAGATGGTGAAATCCCGTCTCTACTAAAAATACAAAAAATTAGCCGGGCGTGGTCGTGGGCACCTGTAATCCCAGCTACTCTGGAGGCTGAGGCAGAGAATTGCTTGAAGCCAGGAGGTAGAGGTTGCAGTGAGCCGAGATTGTGCCACTGCACTCCAGCCTGGGCAACAGAGCTGGACTCTGCTTCAAAAAAAAAAAAAAAAAAAGAAAGAAATGAACAGGTGCAACCCTCCTGGCTGGTGCAGTGGTCTTGCCCCTGTCGTCTGACAACGTTCCATATTGTAGCTGAAGGGGCTGCTGTGTGCAGGCCCAGGGCAGCCTCCAAACACAGAGGATGACAAAGGGGAAATGCAGGGTTCTAACTAAAATGTGTACCTCTGTGTGGAAGTGAGCTCTGAAGGGTGAGTGTGAGTCAACCAGTGAAAGAGGGTGAGATGGCAGGTGAAGGAGAGAGGAGAGTGGCGGGGAAAAGCATTCCAAACAGAAGACTGTCAGGAGGTGAAGACACTGAAATGTCTGCAAATATTCTCTACGGCAGGGGTGAAAGAGGGAGGTGGCAAGTGGCAAAGGTAGGTTCGACCCAGACTGTCTGTGGCATTAGTGCACAGCTGTGTGCGTGTGTGTGTATGTGTGGTGTGTGCACATGTGCACACTTAGGTGGGGAGGAAAGGCACATAGGAGATACATCTCCAAGCAATGCATTTAAAAAGGTTGCACATCTCCCCAGCCAGTCAGAGGACTGTCGGCCTCAATGCTCACTTCCTCTCTTTTGCATGGATGTGTAAAAGTGCAGAAAGAATTCAATCTCAAAGAGATGAAGAGAACATCACAATAACAACAACACACGCATGCCCAAAGCAAAATGAGCAAGAGCTTCAAACAGCTCTTCATCCCACACAGATGAAAGTAATTCGATATTTGACACAACTAAGTATCTAAAATGCAGGCAAGAGTGACATGACTTAGATGCCAATCACGCTGCTTTTAACGAGTTCTTCCATTGTGTTTATGTCTGAGGCCACAGTAGCCCCAGAGGACTCCTGGGTCAGTTATCTATATTTGGAACATTGTGTGTACTCTCTTTGCACAAAGCAGGGCCCACTTCCAGGAAGATATTATGTTTTCCCCATCAATAAAGCTTGATTTTTATGGGTGTTTAAAACCATACTAGCAAAACCCATTGGTATTATGGGTAGGTGTTGAACCAGTTGCAGGATGCAAGTCAGCCATCTTCTATCATCCTCGTGAGCTCAAATGCCCTAAAATATTGCCCTTGAGGTTCTTCCCAGAGAGACCAGCCTTGCCAATTTTGCAGTATTGTTGAAATAAGAAAGAATTTCTGGAAGATTGCAAGGCATTTGGAAAGAACCATGCATTTTCTTGAGGGATGCTGGCTGAGTCTATTTTTAGGCTGCCTTATTGAAAGGCCACTTCTACTTCATCTCCTTACTACAAGTCCTCCTGTTTTCTCTTTTAGTATTCATGTGGTTTCTAATATGGGGTGGTGTAAAACTTAAAATTAAGGTCTAATATTATCTGTACCTTGACATCCGGTAATATTGGGAGGGTCTCAAATGCCTAATCACAAGTTCCCATTCCCACTCTAGAGTCCCACAGAGTCCCGTGGCCAAAGGACCCTTCTTGTTAAATGAGCCAGGTGTAGCTCTTGCTTATCCCTGAGTAGCCAGTTTCAGTTCTCTGCTAGTCTGCAGAATTATCTAAACAAGCCAATCTATCCTCTCGTGGGAACCAAGGAGGACCCCACCCTCTTGATACTACACAACCTGCCTTCCACAACCTCTTATGGTTCACTCTGCTCTCAATTGCACCCCCCCGTGTGGCCCTGCATGGTGCAGCAATTCTTCTCTTTGGGTGTGAGTATATGTCACTAGTAAACTGCTGCTGATCTCAGCTGTCCAGTGTTAGGCGTCTCATGTTCAGCTATTCCTATAGCCCTAGGGAGAGAATCTCCTTGTCATCAATGGGCTAAATAGAAGGTGGTTAAAATAATGGGAGGTAGACAAACCCTGGCTTCAAACCCCTGTCCTTCCCAGGTTTTAGCTGTGTGACCTGGGAAATTGTTTAACTTCTCTCAGCTTGAGTTCCCTCAACTGTAGAGCAGCATTTGCTTTATGAGTTTTTTGGGAAAATTAAATGGGATCATTTACTCAGTTAATCTTTTTTTGTTTGTTTGTTTGAGATGGAGTTTTGCTCTTGTTGCCCAGGCTGGAGTACAGTGGTGTGATCTCAGTTCATTGCAACCTCCGCCTCCTGGGTTCAAGAGATTCTCCTGCCTCAGCCTCCTGAGTAGCTGGGATTACAGGCACACACCACCATACCCAGCTAATTTTTGTATTTTTAGTAGAGATGGGGTTTCACTATGTTGGCTAGGCTGGTTTCGAACTCCTTACCTCAAGTGATCTGCCCACCTCAGCCTCCCAAAGTTCTAGGATTACAGGCATGAGCCACCAAGCCTGGCCTTACTCAGTAAATCTTTACTGAGGCCTTCCTAGGTGCCAGGAACAGGGACTGTAGCAAAAACTGCATGCTGGGTTTTTGTCCACAAAGAACTAATATTCTAATGGAGGGCATAAACAACACACATTTAAAAATTAACGAGAGGGTTACAAACAGGTGCAGTGCTATGAAGAAAAAAATGCATCAAATAACAAGAATGGAATTGCTCATGCTGGGTGGAGGATGGGGGGCAATTTTAGATACGGATAGCATGGAGGGCTCTCTGGATGGTAACGTTAGAGCTGAGACCTGAATGATGAAGAGTCAGCCATTAGAAGATTTTGGAAACAGCTATTGTAGGCTGAAGGAACAGCAAATGCAAATGCCTCCAGTAGGAGGCAGCAGGGCCTGTTGGAGCAAGGCGAGAGAAGTCAGCGTGACAAGTACACGTGAAGAGTGATATGGTTTGGCTCTGTGTCAAACCCAAATCTAATGTTGAATTGTAATCCCCAGTGTTGGGGGAGGGACCTTGTGGGAGGTGATTGGATCATGGGGCAGATTACCCTCTTGCTGTTCTTGAGATAGTGAGTTCTCATGAGATCTGGTTGTTTAAAAGTGTGTGGCGCCTGTAATCCCAGCACTTTGGGAGGCCCAAATGGGCAGATCACGAGGTCAGGAGATCGAGACCACCCTGGCTAACATGGTGAAACCCCGTCTCCACTAAAAATACAAAAAAATTAGCCAGACATGGTGGCAGACGCCTGTAGTCCCAGCTGCTCAGGAGGCTGCTGAGGCAGAAGAATGGTGTGAACCTAGGAGGCAGAGGTTGCAGTGCGCAGAGATAGCACCACTGCACTCCAACCTGGGTGACAGAGTGAGACTGCATCTCAAAAAAAAAAAAAGTGTGTGGCACTTCCCTCTTCACTTTCTCTTCCTCCTGCTCCAGCCATGTAGGACATGCTGGCTTCCCCTTCACCATCTTCCATGATTGTAAGTTTCCTGAGGCCTCCGTAGCCATGCCTTCTGTATGGCCTGTGGAACTGTGAGTCAATTAAACCTCTTTTATCTATACGTTACCCAGTTTCAGGTACTTCTTTATAGCAGTGCAAGAATGGACTAATACAGAAAATTGGTACCACAGAAGTGGGGTATTGCTATAAAGATATGTGAAAATGTGGAAGTGATGTTGGAACTGGGTAATGGGCAGAGGTTGGAATAGTTTGGAAGGCTCAAAAGAAGATAGGAAGATGAGGGAATGTTTTGAACTTCCTAGACTTGTTGAATGGTTGTGACCAAAATGCTGATGGTGATAAGGACAGGGAAGTCCAGGCTGAGGTGGTCTCAGGTGGAGACAAGAAACTTATCGAGAAGTGGAGTAAAGTTCACTCTTGCTATGCATTAGCAAAGAGACTGGCGGCATTGTGACCCTGCTCTAGAGGTCTGTGGAACTTTGAAGTTGAGGGAGATGATTTAGGGTATCTCGCAGAAAAAATTACTAAGCAGCAAAGCATTCAAGATGTGGTCTGGCTGCTTCTAAAAGCCTATGCTCATTTGCATAAACAAAGAAATGACCTGAAACCAGAACTTGTATTTAAAAAGGAAGCAGAACGTAAAAGTTTGGAAAATTCGCAGCCCAACCATGTGGTAGAAAAGAAAAACCCACTTTCTAGGGAGGAATTTAAGGCTGTAGAAATTTGCATAAGTAAAAAAGAGCTGAATGTTAATAGCCAAGAAAATGGGGAAAATGCCTCCAGGGCATTTCAGAGACCTTTGTGGCAGCCCCTCCTTTCACAGGCCTGGAGACCTAGGAGTAAAAAGTGGTTTAGTGGGCCAGGGCCAGGGACTCATGGCTCTGTATACTCTCAGGACATGGTGCTCTGCATCCCACCTGCTCCAGCTCCAGTCATGGCTGGAAGGGGCCAAGGTACAGCTTGGGCTGTTGTTTCAGAGGGCACAAGCCCCAAGGCTTGGTGGCTTCCATGTGGTGTTGGACCTGCAGGTGCACAGAAGGCAAGAGTTGAGATTTGAGAGCCTCCACCTAGATTTCGGAGGATATATGGAAATGCCTGGATGTCCAGGCAGAAGTCTGCTGTAGAGATAGAGCCCTCATGGAGAATCTCTACTCAGGCAGGCATAGGGGAAATGTGGGGTTGGAGCCCCTGCCCAGAGTCCTCACTAGGGTATTGCCTAGTGATGCTGTGAAAAGACGGCCACATTTTGAAATGTCAGAAGGACATGAGATTTGGGAGAGGCTGGGGTGGAATGACTGGAATGATACGGTTTGACTCTGTGCCCCTACCCAAATCACATGGTGAATTGTAATCCCCAGTGTTGAGGGAGGGACCTAGTGGAAGGTGATTGGATCATGGGGGTGGATTTCCCCCTTTCTATTCTCACAATAGTAAGTGAGTTCTCATGAGATCTCATTGTTTAAAAGTGTGTAGCGCTTCCCCCTTTGCTCTCTCTCTCCTGCTGCCATGTGAGGATGTCCTTGCTTCCCATTCACCCTTCTGCCATGATTGTAAGTTTCCTGAGGCCTCCCAGCCATGCTTCCTGTACAGCCTGTGGGACTGTGAGTCAATTAAATCTCTTTTCTTCATAAATTATCTAGTCTCGGGTTATTATTTATAGTAGTGTGAGTATGGACTAATACAAGGAGTATGGCTCATAGGGCCCAGTGTGTGCCTTCCTGAGGAAGCCATCCAAAGTCAAAGCCCTCCCACTGCAACTACTGCAGTGCATTGCTGGAAAATACAAGCTCTGTAATTCTGAAGCAGAAGGGATGCAAAGGGGTGAGCTGGAAGGAAGGCATGATGATTTCTTGGCTGAACCAGTGTCTAAACCAGTGAAAGGTCTGACTGGAGAGCATTTTTAAAGAAATGCTGCTTTTCCAGAGATTAGAACATAAAGACAGCTAGATCAAATTTTGGCAAACAGAGATCCTGTTGGGAACTGTTGCTGTGACTAATTAATAATCCCACTTGAAACTACTACCTCACCTGATGGAAATACCATGCTTCTTCTTCTTCTTTTTTTTTTTTGAGATGGAGTTTTGCTCTTGTTGCCCAGGCTGGAGTGAAGTGGCGCAATCTCAGCTCACTGCAACCTCCGCCTCCTGGGTTCAAGTGGTTCTCCTGCTTCAGCCTCCCAAGTAGATGGGATCAAAGGCATGTGCCACCATGCCTGGCTAATTTTGTATTTTTAATAGAGACAGGGTTTCTCCATGTTGGTTGGGCTGGTCTCGAATTCCTGACCTCAGGTGATCCACCTGCCTCAGCCTCCCAAAGTGCTGGGATTACAGGTGTGAGCCACTGTGCCTGGCCTGAAATGCCATGCCTCTAATAGTTATTTTTAAAGTTCTATAAGAGTTCAATTTCTTCAGTTGGGCATCATATCTCCCTGGATTTGCACCCAATCTCCATTACTTTCTAGGTACACAGAGCTTGAACCAAGTTCTTAAGAGTATAAGCCTCAGTTTTCTCCTCTATAAAATGGGGATGATGATGATGATGATTATATTAGCAGTACCTATCTTAGAGGGCTTTTGGAAAGATTAATTGAGACAATCCCTGAAAAACTCTAGCATACTACGTGTGACTCTGATAAGAGTCCCCAGTGTTAATAAATATTTTCTAAAATATTGTTTACTATTAATTACTTGTTTTTTCAATACCCCAATTAAAGTTACAAATGGCTTTGGTTTGACTTGATATTCTGAATTATTGTGCTGTTACTAAACGAGCATTTCCATTGTCCATCTGCTCAGTGTTCCTTGATGTTAAGTGGATTTATGCAGATTGTTTTGTGGATGCCATCTTTTAAACTTTCTTTACACTAAAACAATACAGCATTTGTTTTAAAATTAATACAGGTCTGCTGTAGAAATTGTAGAAAATACAGACACATATTCAGAAGATAATAAAAATCATTCATAATTTCACCCAGATCTGTCACTAATGTTTTTCCTTTTAGGCTTTTCTCTATGAATTTTAAAACATAGTTTATATTTTATATGTATTATTTTTATTCTCATGTAAAAGTTGACATATTATAAACATGTGCATCTTATTTAAAAATTCCATAAACATTTTAAATGGCTACATAATAGTCTATTATTTGGATTTATCAGAATTGTCTTAATAGTTTTCTTACTTCTGGCTATTTGGGTTATCTTTTATGATACAATTTTCTATTATGTTATCTATTATGAATAGTGCTGGGATAGCATATGTGGACATCTAACGCCCAGCTCCACAGACATGGGTCTTTAATCAAAGATAATAATTTCTTTGATGACTTTCACAGTAAAGAACATTGATACCTTATATGGGGAAGAAAATACTTCAAGTGATACAGGACAGGGGTTGGAAAACTATAGCCTGTAAGCCAAATCCAGCCAGCAGGTTTTTGTAAATAAAGTTTTACTGAAACAGCTAAGTTCATTTGCTCCCACATTGTCTGTGACTGCTTTCATGCTGCAAGGGCAGAATTAAGCAGCCTGGGTTTGTAAACCCTAAGATACTTATGGTCCGGCCCTTTACAAAAAACAGTTTGTGATTTCCTGATACAGACTGTGAGAGAACTCAGTAATCTTATCCAAAATCCAAGAATCCTAAATCATACATTTTTACTAATATTTTTAAAAGTCTGTCTTTAATTTTTATATTAAAAACAAATACAGAAAAAATTAACATTTAATAAAAAACTAAAATAAAATAAACCTCCAAATGCAGACATCATGGGTGTGCCCAGTTCCACTCTCCATCCCTCCTGCTCTACATCTTAAAATTTTAGCCTGGACCAGGCAATGATTGATAGAATAGAACAGCAACTCAGGGGAAGACTTGGGTATGAATGGGAAGTTTGTCATAATAAAGATGGCACCAGAAATCAGTCCATGGGGAAGGAAAGGATTACTCTGCATATGGTATTGGCATATGGTGTGAATCAGGAATTTGACTCAAACCATATACAAAGATGAACTTCAGATTAACTCCTAATTGTGAAAGGTACAGCTATAAAACAGTGTTGTTAATATATATCTTTTTGGTAATCTGAGGAAGCCTATAGACTCCTCAGCATAATATTTTTAAATGCATAAAATAAAATAGGATTATCAAAAGAAACAATTATGTAGAAATTTTAAAACTTGTGAAGTAAAATACATGCTTCTGTATTAAAGCATTGATATGGTTTGGCTCTGTGTCCCCACCCAAATCTCATCTTGAATTGTACTCCCTTAATTCCCACATGTTGTGGGAGGGACCCGATGGGAGAGAATTTGAATCATGGGGGTGGTTTCTCCCATATTGTTCTCATGGTAGTGAATAAGTCTCACGAGATCTGGTGGTTTTATTAGGGGTTTCTGCTTTGCATCCTTCTCATTTTTCTCTCGCCACTGCCATGTAGGAAGTGCCTTTTGCCTCCCGCTATGATTCTGAGGACGCTCAGTCATGGAACTGTAAGTCCAATTAAACCTCTTTTTCTTCCCAGTGTTGGGAAGCATGAAAACGGACTAATATCTGAGAAAATGGACTAATACAAGCATTACTCAGATCTGGCAGCAAATCTAACAGCTAGAGCAATTTTGAAATGTGGCACTAAAAAACAATTTTGAAATATATGCAACAATGGTAATGTAAGCTAAAAATATACTTTTTTTGGAGACAAAATTGAAAGCCTACTACTACCACTGTGGCTTGTTGCCCACATTCATAATCAGAAGAAATATTAAATGTCTATTAGAGGTTACTGAAAATAAAAATGTATTTTTTCCCATCCAAGTTCACTGACATCTTGAATTCCAGGTTAACGCCAATCTAGTTAAAAACTCCTTCAATAAAGCTGATAGAAGTAGAAGAGATTATTTTTGATTCCTTAACGCTAGGGAAGAACTTCTAAGATAGTGGCCCCAAAATGCACAAAGAATTGATGGATTTGTTTCTTTTAAAATTCAGAAATTTTGTTTAATAAGATGACAGACTAGGAGAAAACATTTGCAACCTTCAAAACCAACAAAGGATTCACATCTAGAATAAATGAGGAGTTTCTGCAAATCAACAAGGGAAGAACAAGAAAACCAAGTAAAAATGTATGAATAGACACTTCACAGAAGTGAAAATCTTGTATGTGTAATAACTATGTGATGAGATGTTCACTCACTTGTAATAAATGAGTGGAAAATTAAAACATCAATGAAGTAGATACTGAATACCATCCTATTTTCCATAAATAGAAAGCCTGTCACCAGTGGTTGGGCGTGGTGGCTGTAATTCCAGCACTTTGGAAGGCCGAGGCAGGCAGATTGTCTGAGCTCAGGAAGTTTGAGACTAGCCTGCATAACATGGCAAAACCCCGTTTCTAAGAAAAATACAAAAAATTAGCTGGGCATGGTGGCGTGTGCCTGTAGTCCCAGCTACTTAGAAAACTGAGGTGGAAGTATCGCTTGAGCCTGGGAAGTCGAGACTGCAGTGAGCTAAGATTGTGCCATTGCACTCCAGCCTGGATAACAAAGGGAGACCCTGTCTCAAAAAAGAAAGAAAGAAAGCCTGTTACTACAAAGCATTGGCAACGATGTGGGAAAATGAGAACTCTCATGCACTGTTGATAGGATATCAACTTTTATAACCATTCTGAGAACAATCTGGTGCTATATACTGACACTAAAGAAACACATATATTATGACTCAACCCTCCTATCCTGAGTATATAAACAGGGAACTCTGGCAAACCATCCTTTAATTGAACAAATATGAAAATATTCATCTCAGTGTTGTTAGTGATGGTGGATACCGGAGGCAACTTGTTATAAAATGTGGAAGGTGTGTCCTGGTGGGTGCACAGTATGTAGCAGCTGCAACCATAAGGTCCAAGGAGCTATGTGTGTATTGACAGCAACCCAGATATATCTTTAACTCATACTATTGAGTAAGAAAAAAGGTTAAGAACATCAAGAGATCTTTAGCACAATGCCATTTAATAACATACCCACAGAAAACAACACTACATATTTTGTAAGATATCTGTATCTTGAGAAACTGAATGTACACGTGAACAGTGGTAGGACCATATTTGAAAATAGAACTGGGACTCACGACCTGCAGCAACCTGCCCAGGAAACCAAATCTTTATCTGCAATAGCCAGCCCGGGAAGCCAGCCTGTTGCAAGTCAGACATCTAGAAAGTCAGATGCTATCTCTAGTAACAATTCAAGAAGCTAAACAGTAACTTTTGTAACAATTGATCTCAAATAGCCAGGACTTGATTAACAACTCGCAACTTCCATAATTTTTGTTCCCACTTCCAACTCGAGGCCAATTAGAGAAAGTCAAATATGCACCCCTAACCAATCGCATAAGATGCCCCACTTTTAGTTAGTCTCCTCCAGCTTCTTCAGGCCAACAGCCTCCCATCAGGGCACACCCAAAGCTTTCGCTTTCCCCCATAAATCTTCCTCACTCCTCTGCCTGCCTTTGAGTCTCTGCCAAATGCAAGTGGCGATGGCTGTCTGTTGCTATACAACAAGCTCTGAATAAAGAGCCCTTGCCTGTTCTCATTTGGTAGGTCTTTGTTTATTCCTACAGTCTCCAAAGAGACCTGCAGGGCACACGAGTGCTGCCTTTTGAGGGGTGGGAATGAACTGGATTGGAGAATGGAGCTCAGGGCCTTGCATGGACCTACAGACCATGTGCCGTGAGCTGAGGAAGTGATTTACCAAACTCTTGGAGGTCCACACAAAATACAAAAAAGCATTTTTAAAATTAGTTCGTTTTTGGGCTGGGCATGATGGCTCATGCTTGTAATCCCAGCACTCTGGGAGGCCGAGGCGGGTGGCTCACCCAAAGTTAGGAGTTCGAGACCAGCCTGACCAATATGGTGAAACCCCGTCTCTACTAAATACAAAAAAAAATTAGCCGGGTGTGGTGGTGCATGTCTGTAATCCCAGCTACTTGGGAAGCTGAGGCAGGAGAATCGCTTGAACCTGGGAGGTGGGGTTGCACTTGAGATTGCACCACCGCACTCCAGCCTGGGCAACAAGAGCAAAACTCCATCTCAAAAAAAAAAAAAAAAAATTTGCTGTTTTTATTGCTTTTTGAATGGTATTTTTCTCTTCCGAAATCTCTTCTACTCTTCCTGTCCTTTTTCAAGCTTCCCTCTGCTTGGGGATTAAGTATCCAGATCATTACTCCCCAGGCAGAGGCATTCAGGGAATGAAAGGAAGCCACGCTCCACCTCGCTTCTCTGACCAGCTGGTAGTGAAGATTCCCAGGGCCCACAAAGGTCCCTGCCAAACCTGAGCCTCTCTAAGAAACTCTTAGCAATGGCTCACGCAGGAGTCTTGAGTCCAGATACTCCCCCTCCGGCCTGGTTTTATCTCTATTAGAGCACAGTTTAAGCCAGTGTCCTCCTTTTTAACCACTCAGTGCTGGAGATTAAGGGAAAAAATAGGCCCAGTGATTTCATCTCACTCTTTTTCAGTGAAAATTACTTTTCAGAACTATTAAATCTTCTGTGAAGGTTATAATAGAGGACTTAGGTTCAGTTTAGCCATTTATTAAGATATAAGCTACCAAGCCCCAATAGAAAAAATAAACAACTAGCAGTTTACTTGGATTTATGCACAGTCTGTCTAATCAATCAATCTGTAAACATTATGCAAATGTGTGTAAACCCAAACCTAGCCCAGACTTTACGTATGCATTGTTATGTAAACGATCAATGTTGTTAATGCAAATATTAATATAAACCTGACATTAAACACAAGTTTACACAGCCTTGCTAGTTGAAGTAGGCTTGATTTACATTGAAATATAAATAGCAATAGTGCTCCTTTCGGGGCTTGGGAAAACTGACCCGAGGTCACTGGGAGGCCAGTCTCCACTGCTTCCTCCAATTCACTTCCAACCCCTTCATTCAATGCATCTTATGAAGAATTGGGAGAGAATTTGAACGACAACTCATCAGCCCCTACGGGTGTCTTTGTTTAGTATATCCCAGCTCCCTGTGGTGGGATCTCTCTAGGGTCACCTTTAAAGCCAGATGATCTCATCTCTGCACTAATGATGAAGAGGGGTCACTCACCAGCTTTTGCTGCAACATTGGTTGAAACATTGCAGGTGAGCCATTTTGCCAACAAGATTTGCTATTAAGAAGCCTCCTGGGCAAGTCTCAAGTCACTTTGCCCCAATCTTTTCTGCTGACTGGCTTCTTATCCTTCAAGTCTGTTTTAAATGTCACCTCCTCAGACAGGTCTTCCTTGATCATCTATTCTAAATAGGTTACCTCCTAGATTATTCTGTAGCACAGCACTCTATACATTACGCTCATTCAGCTTTTCTCAATTTGTGATTACATATTTATTTGCTTATGTGTTTGTGTTAACTTTTTCCATCCTCCTCACCTATAGCTTCACAGGAGCAGAGCTACATCTGTTCACCACTTTATACTCAGTGCCAGGTACACGTGATGTGTTTAAAAATATGTTGTTGGTTGGATGGACACACACACCCAGGAATCTTGTGGTTTAGCCGAAAGATCTGCCTGTCTTTTCATAGGCAGCCTCAGGAACTTGCTCAGCTGTGTCTTTCCATTAGGACGTGGGACCTTCCCTGAATATACTGATAATCTGCATGGCTTTCCTCAGTGCCTTCTGCCAGAGCAGGATTCTGTTCTCTGAGATCCCACCATGGTATAATAATAGTAGTAGGAGAAATAGCTATCATATATTCAATTCTGTCTCAGTCTCTTGGGGTTGCTACAACAGAATACCATTGACTAGGTGGCTTATAAACACCAGAAATTGTTCTCACATTTCTGGAGGCTGCAAAGTCCAAGATCAAGATGCCAGCAGATTCAGTGTCTGATGAGGGCTGGCTTCCTTTTGAAGGAGGTTCATAGGTGGCTGTCTTGTCCCTGTGTCCTCCCATGGTGAGAAAAGTGAGGGAGCTCTCTGGGGTCCCTTTTATAAGGGTACTAATATGGTTCGGCTGTGTCCCCATCCAAATCTCATCTTGAATTGTAGCTCCCACAATTCCCACATGTTGTGGGAGGGACAGAGTGGGAGATAACTGAATCATGGGGGGCTGGGTCTTTCCCATGCTATTCTTGTGATAGTGAATAAGTCTCATGGGATCTGATAGCTTTGTAAAGGGGAGTTTCCCTGCACAAGTACTCTTCTCTTGTCTGCCGCTATGTGAGATGTGTCTTTCACCTTCTGCCATGATTGTGAGGCCTCCTAGTCATGTGAAACTGTGAGTCCATTAAACCTCTTTCTTTTGTAAATTGCCCAGTCTTGGTTATGTCTTTATCAGCAGTGTGAAAATGGACTAATACAGGTACTAATCCCATTCAGGGGCTTAGTCACCTTATGACCTTATCATTCCCAGAGGCCCTACATCCTAATACCATCACATTGGGGGTTAAGTTTTGGTATATGAATTTTGGATGGGACACAAATATTCAGTCTGTAGCAAATACTTAGTAGTTTCCAGATGTTATACTGGAGGCTTTACCCTCATCATCTCACTTGAACTTTAACCTTCAAAGCAACCTTTTTTTTTGAGATGAAGTCTCACTCTGTCACCCAGGCTGGAGTGCAGTGGCAGGATCTTGTCTCACTGCAACCTCCACCTCCTGGGTTCAAGCAATTCTCCTGCCTCATCCTCCCTACTAGCTGGGATTACAGCTACTGTTTGTTGAATACATATTCCCTTCTCAACCCCTCCTACTAAGACTAATTGGATTTCTACTTTTTTGGTGTTTTGTGGAGGGGATACTTTCAATGTTGTCTTTGATCTTCATTTGGGTTGGGCTTGGGGGGTGCATTGGGAAGGAGGCCACACAAATAGAATTCCTTCTAGGCACTCTACATCTCCAGGGGATGCCTGCCTAAAACTTGCCTGCTTATGCAGAGGCTCAGGCCTTGCAGAGGGAGCTTAACTCCAATGTGTCAAATCCCAAGACTCCCATAATCATTAATAGCAGCTGCAAGCCCCAAGGGCTCCTTGCAAAAGTAGAAACAGCCACAGAAATGAGAAACTTTCTATTGCCTATAGCAAAAGAAAGCAAACTAAAATGGAGAAGGTGAGACTGACTATTATCCTTACTTTTTTTTTCTTTTTTGAGACGGAATCTTGCTCTTGTTGCCTAGGCTGGAGTGCAATGGCACAATCTCAGTTCACTGCAACCTCTGCCTCCCAGGTTCAAGTGATTCTCCTGCCTCAGCCTCCCAAGTAGCTGGGATTACAGGCACCCACCACCACGCCCGGCTACTGTTTGAATTTTTAGTAGAGATGGGATTTCGCCATGTTGGCCAGGGTGGTCTCGAACTTGTGACCTGGTGATCTGCCTGCCTCAGCCTCCCAAAGTGCTGGGATTACAGACTTGAGCCACCAGGCCCAGCCTTATCTTTACATATTATTAATAATGACAGTTTTTATTTGAACAGCACTTTGGAATTAAAAAAATGCTTTTTCCTGTATTATCTCTTCATTGCTCATCATGCCCTTTGAGGTATTACAGCCAATTTGCAGATGGAGAAACTGCTCACAGACAGGCCACAATAGAAGCTGGAGCCTCATAGAATAAGCTACCAGCATCCCTTCGTGAGAACCCATGTGTTCCCTGGTGTCTCTCCGGGATATCTTAAGGGAAATAAGGGCATAAGAGTGGTCAGCTAGATGAGTGACTAATTCTTCTGACTGTTATAGGTTTACAAACCCTTTTTTAAATTTGTTTTTGTTTGTAGGTTTGTTTTTTGAGAAAGGCGATATCAGCCAGGATGGGATTTTCCCCAAATAATTCTTTAGCAGAGTTTCAGAATCTTTACTTTCCACCTTGACAGTCCCCAGAGACCAACTGAAAGGACCTCACTTAATGTCTCATCCAAAGGGTATTTGCAGTACTGGCTTCATCATTCAAAGCAGGAAAGGCCTTTGTCATGGTCAAATGGCTTTAATGTGTTTTGAATGCTACATAAATTCAAACTTGATGGCTCATTTATTTGTTGGATTGAAGTTTTATACAATAAACTAAGCCTTGGTATTTACTAATAACTTGTGAACTGCCCTTTGTTTATTTAAAACAGCCAGAAGGCAAAGAAGTTGACCGAGTCCCTCATGGCCAATATGATGTTCAGATCCTGGCATTTCCTGGGACAGTTTATGGATCAGTGGGAAGGGTCATAAGAAGGTTGTTTGTGGAGAAGACAGGGGACACAGTGGGGAAAAGTCGAAGAAGGGGAAACATTGTAGGTGGGTGTTTTATTCCAGACTTATTTTGACGCAGCCCCACCATGGTGGCTTCAACCGCTGAGTTCAGTGAGCTGGGAATTCAGAGCTTTGAGTGACAGGCCAGGCTTGGCCAGTGACTTGTGGCATGACCTTGGGAGATTCATTGCTCCTACTGTGTCTCACTGTCTCACACTGAGAAAGGAAAGCAAGTGTAGAATAAATTCAATTCATCGTTCAAGGTGAGCTTCATTAAACTACTGTCCTTTCAGGAAATCTGTGCTCTTTACCCCTATCCCATCTGCAAACATTTCTCTCTTTCTGAAACTCCAATAGACATTATTTGTCCCCACAGATACTGTGGGTGAGAATACAGGCTTTGGTATCACAGCTGAGTGTGAGTCCCAACTCTGCCACTCATGTAAATTGAACACGGAGGGAATATTTTTGAGCTTCCATTTCCTCACCTGCAAAATGGGAATAACTATAAAGATAACCCGCTATGTTGTTGTGAGAAAGAAATGGCAACGGACGTGTCAGGTCATCCTGCATTTAGAAGGTATTCCTTATAGAGAGGAGCGATGTTAATTATAGGCTTATGTTTTGGGATTTGGAGTAGAGTATAAGTGCCGGAAGAGAAGGGACCCCATGTTTGCAGTTCTTTGCCACACCCAGTGTGTGGAGATGGACTTACTTTCTGTGATAATGGATGTTCACAGCCTGCCTCTCAGGGACGGATGATGTGTCTGCCACTGAGGACTCGCTGAAGGGCAGCAGCATCTTCAGATTCATCTGAAGGGTAAGAATGAGTCATGGGACACAAGTGGGCAAAATCTCCAACATCTCTACATTTCCGTAGCCGGGGAAATATTTCTTCCTGTTAAGATTGGATGACAGGGTCTGCCTTCAGCACCTTCCCATTTCCACACACTTAGAGATTCCAGCAGACTCATTTGCTGGGATGAGTCCTGGCCTTGAGAAAGATACACCAGGAAATGTTTCGCTGGACTGGATCCTCGACTTGAGTTTGTTGGTCTCTGGCCAACTCCTATCTGCTGTGCCTGTATGCTTGGGTCCTGACCTAGGCGTGCTTGGCCGTGAACTCCTCTGCCCTCTGCTGCAGCTGACACTGGCAGGCCTTTCCTCATTCTTCCATGCTGGATTCTTAATTTTGTTCCAGTAGCCACGTCTCCCCTGAGTCGCTTGGATTAATTCAGGTTGGTCTAAGGCAATCATTTTAGCCTCATTCACCAAATTTGGCCAATGAGAATAGAGCTTCTGAGTAAGGCTTCTTAGCTCTAAAAAAAAAAGGGTAAAAGTGATAATAAGAAGAGCTAGTACCCCTGTATCAGTCAGGGTTCTCCAGAGAAATAAAACCAATAAGAGGGGTGTGTGTGTGTGTGTGTGTGTGTGTGTGTGTGTGTGTGTATTAGGGTTCTCTAGAGGAACAGAATTAATGGAATAGATATATAGATATATATAAAGGAGAGTTTATTAAATAATAACTCACACGATCACAAGGTCCCACAAATACACCATCTGTAGTCTGAGGAACAAGAAGAGTCAGAGAGAGTTCCAAAACTGAAGAACCTGGAGTCTGATGTTCAAGGGCAGGAAGCATCCAGCACAGGAGAAAGATGTAGTCTGGGAGGCTAGGTCAGTCTAACTTTTTCATGCTTTTCTGGCTGCTTTATTATTTGCTGGCAGCTGATTAGGTGGTGCCCATCCAGATTAAGGGTGGGTCTGCCTTTCCCAGCCCACTGACTCAAATGTTAATCTCCTTTGGCAACACCCTCATGGACACACTGAGGATTAATACTCTGCATCTTTCAATCCAATCAAGTTCACATTCAGTATTAACCATCACTCTGTGTGTGTGTGTGTGTCTGTGTGTGGAGAGAGAGAGAGAGAGAGAGAGAGCCAGAGAGAAAGTTATCATAAGGAATTGGCTCATGCTATTATGTATTAAGCAGGCTGGCAGGTCGAAAGATCTACAAGCTGGAGACCCAGGAGAGCCAATGATTTAATTCCTGCCCAAACACAAAGATCTGAGAGTGAGGAAAACTGACAGTGTAAATTCCAGTTGAAAGGTTGATAGGCTGTAGACCCAGGAAGAACTCGTGTTTCCTGAAGGCAGGACAAAAGCCAATGTCCCAGTTGGAAGGCAGTCAGGCAGGAAGAATGCTCTCTTACTCGATGGGAAGGGCAGCCTTTTTGCTCTATTCTGGCCTTCAACTGATTGGCCGAGGCCCACCCACATTAAGAAGGGCAATATGCTTTACTCAGTCTACTGAATCACATGTTAATCTCATCCAAAAATACCCACACAGAAACACCCAGAATAACCTTTGACCAAATATCACCCTGTGGCCCAGTCAAGTTGACACAGAAAATGAACCATCATATCCCCATTCTAACTTGGTGTGGCTTGTGGATTGAATCATGTCCCCCCAAAAAGATATACTGTGATTCTAACCCTGGTGCCTCAGAATGTGCCCTTGTTTGGGAATGACTTCATTGTAGATGTAATTAGTTAAGATGAGGTCGTACTGGCGTAGAGTGGGCCCTTAATCGAATATGACTGGTGCCCTTATAAGATACGGACATGGAGAGAGTGTCATTTGATGATGGAAGAAGAGATTGGAATTCTGCAGCTGTAAGACAAGGAACGAACACCAAGTGTTACACTACACTGGACGCTAAGGGAAAGGCATGGAACAGATCCTCCCTCAGAACCTTTAGAAGAAACCAACCCTGCCAACACCTTGATTTTGGATTTCTGGCTTCCAGAACTGTGAGACTATGCATTTCTATTGTCTTAAGCTCCCAGTTTGTGGCACTTTGTTAGGGCAGCCCTAGGAAATTGATTCAATGTGTGACAGTGTCACTCCTTGGGCTGCTGTGCCATCCTGCTACCATGAGGTGTGCCCACAGATACACTGAGGGTGACAGCACAGAGTCAGGAGAACCTGGGTGTTTGATACATTTGTTGAGCTCCTGAATTAACCAGCTTGGAAACTCCCCTTCCTCTAAACTTCTTGTAATATGAGATAGTGCAAACCCTTATCGTCTCAGCCATTTGGGATTGAGTTTCCTGATTTTTAGAGACAAGTGCGTCTGATTGATGGATGGCTCTCATACCTTCTTCACTCCAGGCTCCTGCTCCTCTGTTCCTTGTCACAGTGAAAGGCATCATGATCAACCCAAATGCCCACGAGATAAACCCAGCCTCCATCCTTGGTGTTTTCCTTTCTGTCATCCTCCCGACTTGATCATTCATCAGGCCCCGCCAATATTGCCTCCCTATTCAGTCTGCCCATGCCTTCACTGCCCTGGTACTAAGCTTCCCCTTATGTGTTATCACAGCAGCTGAACTGTGCTGTCTGTGTCAACTCTTTGTTAACTTAAACTACCCTCCTCACCAGACCCAGAGTGAGACTCTGTAATATATAATTTCTCCAGGTTATTCTCATTGCTTTTAGGACAAAGGCCAAGTTCAAACTCCGTAGCATGTCATTCATGATCTGGCCCCTGGTAGTAATTTCAGCTTCATCTCTTAAGACTTGGTTAGACTTGTCAGCTGCTAAAGTTACCACTGTCTGTCTCACCTCAGGGCCTTTGCACAGACAGCTTCCTTGAGCTAGAATACAAGCTGCCTCCCTTGGCCTGCCTAACACCAACTCATTCTCCAGGCCTCAGCTCAGCCACTCCTTCCTCCAAAGGGCCTTTTCTGATTGGTCCTGCTATTGCTTGGTTGGATATTTTCAGATTCTAGAAGAACATTGGTGCTACGAGGAACATGGTGTGGGAGGCTCTGTGTTGTAGTGGCATAAGCACTAGATAGGGAGTGAGAAGATGCCCCAGTGTCTGACACTGATGAAGTAGTGGAGTCCTGGGGAAGTCCTTCTTTCTCTTGGGCTCAGTTGCTCTGCCCACAGGATGAGGGAGTAGGGCTATGCCAGTCATTCTCATGAGGGAGTAGGGCTATGCTAGTCATTCTCATGAGACAGTAGGGCTACACCAGTGATTTTCATGGGGTAGTAGGGCTATGCCAATGGTGTCCATGGGGGAGTAGGGCTATGCCAGTCATTCTCATGAGGGAGTAGAGCTATGCCAGTCATTCTCACGGGGGAGTAGGGCTACACCAGTGATTTTCATGGGGGAGTAGGGCTATGTCAGTGGTTTTCATGAGGGAGTAGGGCTATGCCAGTGGTTCTCATGGGGAAGTAGGGCTATGTCAGTGGTTTTCATGAGGGAGTAGGGCTACGCCAGTGGTTCTCATGGGGGAGTAGGGCTATGTCAGTGGTTTTCATGGGGGAGTAGGGCTACACCAGTGGTTTTCATGGGGGAGTAGGGCTACGCCAGTGGTTCTCATGGGATAGCAGGGCTACACTAGAGGTTTTCATGGGGGAGTAGGGCTATGCCAGTGGCTTCCATGGGATCATAGGGCTATGTTGGTAGTTTTCAAACTATGTCCTTCAGAGCTCTAGGAATTCTGGAGAAAGCTGCGCAGGTGAGAAGGAAAAAGAGCAAAAACAACCTTTGGATCCCACTCCTAATTCTATTCAGGTCTTTTTCAATATCTGCATCATATATTGTGCTTTTATAAGAATTTGTTTTGGAAAAAAGAGGCATTAATAGCTTGAAAACATTAGAAAACCACTGATCTTTATAACTAGGATCTTGCCCAGCTCAAACATTCTGTTGTAACACAGACACCTCCAGCAGAGAAAGAGAGGGAGACAGCTGAGGGTACAAAGATGATTATGACGAAGTCTATGAGAGGACATGAGGAGAGGACATGAGCTGATGGCTTCGGCCCAGTCAAACCTGGCACAGGATCTATAAAAGTGAGAGGTTTTGCGATGAGACTGGACATTTTGGGTTTGGAGTCAAAAGAACTGGGCCTGCTGGACTCCAAACCAGTGACTTATACCCTTGATGCTCAGTGTAATTACCCGGGAGCTTTTGGAAAGCATTGATTCCAGAGTCCACTCCTCAAATAACTGAATGAATCTCTAGGGGAGGGCTGTGGCATCTGAACCCTGCAAAGGAGGAACTGTGATTGTCTTGCTCACCATCATAGTCCTGGTGCCCAGCATATACGATCAGTAGGTAATAAGTAACAGCAAATATTTGTTGAATAAATAAGCGCATTTCATATTAGCAACTGACAGGCTTATATCTTCTTACTCAGATTACTGAGACTTCCTGAGGCTCAGTTTTTTCATCTGTAAAATGAAAAAGTAATTTCTACTCAGAAGTGGTGCTATGAGAATTAGGGATAAGTCAGGTACCTTGCAGAGCATATGAGACATAGCAGTTGCTCTGTAAATGGTGCTACAACCATTAGTGACAATTGATATGACTAAGATTCAGACCAAAAAATACTGGGTTCCAATAAGGCTGCCTTGTATCAGTCAGGAGACTAAATTATTCTCTGATGACAAATATCCTCCAAGTCTCAGGGGCATAACACAGCAAATATTTATTTTACCTGCATTACTTGTCCATCAAGGTTGACTAGGGGTTGTCAGAGTCTCAGTCATATGGAACATTGCCAGTCACCATGACAGTCAAAAGGAATACCCTGGAGCTCCTTCCACTGGCAAGTCTGATCCCAGAAGTGACCCACAACTGATTAGTCAGAAGCAGTCACATGGTTGCATCAACCACTGGGACCCAGCAAGTACAATCACACTATGCCCAGAAGGCAGAGAACTGAAACTTACATTGATGAGCAATGAGAAAGATAGCACCGTAGCTCTATAGAAGTCATGCATGACTCTATATACACTTAACTTCCAACAATGACAGCAGGAATCAACAACAGCTTGAGGCACAAAGTGCTTTGGGCATTTACTGTGTTTTGATACCCATTATTAATTCTTCTTTTTCTCTTTCTTTTTCTTTCTTTCTTTCTTTCTTTTTTTTTTTTTTTGGGACAGAGTCTCGCTCTGTCACCCAGGCTGGAGTGCAGTGGCACGATCTCGGATGACTGCAACATCTGCCTCCTGGGTTCAAGCGAGTCTCCTGCCTCAGCCTCCCTAGTAGCTGGGATTATAGATATGCACCACCACACATGGCTAATTTTTGTGTTTTTTAGTAGAGACAGGGTTTCATCATGTTGTCCAGGCTGGTCTCGAACTCCTGACCTCAAATAATCTGCCTGCCTTGGCCTCCCAAAGTGCTGGGATTACAGGTGTGAGCCGCCATGCCTGGCCTCTTTCTTTTGGAATCATCACTCAACTATAATGTTTAAACCACTTCATGAGATAAAATTTATATGCCAGAAACTTCACCTGTTTTAAAGGTACGATTCAATGATTTTTGTAAATGTTAGAGTTGTGGGACCGTCACCAAAATTCAGCATTTCCAGCACCCCAGAAATGTTCCTCATGTTTATCTGAAGTCAATCCCCACTCACACACCCAACATCATGCAAGTGTTAATCTGTTTTCTGTCTGTACATATATATCTTTTCTGAACATTTCATACAAATGAAATCATGCGATACATAATCTTTTGTGTCTGGCTTCCTGCTTCTGATGATGTTTTAAAGGGTCATTTGTGTTATCATAAGAGTTTCAAAGGTTTTGGAGGCTGATCAAGGAAAAAGATATGACCACGAGATGCAGTAATACATAACAAGCTTTATTGGGTGGTGTCTAGACAGGGTGGCCTAAGAAGGGAGTCCCTTACAGGATGAAACCCGAAGTTTATGGCTCTGAGGTCATCATCTAGGAAGGAAGTAGAGCAAGGGAATTCCTGAAGAGAAGCAGCAACAGAGAGAGGCTTGTAATAAGTTTTGAAGTGAAAGTTCTCCCACATTGTTCTTTTTTGAAATTGTTCTGGCCATTCTGGGACCTTTGCTTTTTCATATACATTTTAAGATAAGCGTGTCAATTTCTGAAAAGTACTCTGGCATTTTTATAGGGATTGTGTTGAATCTGTAGATTTGCATGGAGATGTGTGACTCCTTAACAATATTGGGTCTTCTGATCCAAGAACATAGAATGTCTCTTCATGTATTAAAATCTTTCTTATTTTCTCTCAGCAATGCTTTGTAATTTTCAGTGTGCAAGTCTTGCACTTTATTGGTAAGCTTATTTCAAAATACTCTAGTCTTTTTGATGCTATTGTGAAGGAAATTTTATTTTCATTTTGTAGATTGTTATGTGTATTATTATGTAGAAATACAATTGATTTTTATATATTGATCTTCTGTCCTGCAACTTGCTGTACTCATATATTCATTCTAGTAGTTTAAAAATAATTGGAGTGGATTCCTTAGGATTTTCTCCCCATACGATCATGTAATTTTTAAATAAAGACCATTTTATTCTTCCTTTCTAATCGGAACCATTTCAATGAAAAATATTTTTCTTACTTTACTAGCTAGAACCTCTAGCCACAATGTTAAGTAGAAAGTGGTGAGAGACATCTTGCTTTGTTCCTGATCTTGAGGGGAGAGCACTAGATCTTTCACTATTAAATATGATATTAGCTGTAAGATTTTTATAGATGCCCTTTATCAGGTTGAAAAGTTCCTTTCTATTCCTAGTTTGTTGAAAATGTTTTACTTGAATGAGTGCCGGATTTTGTTAAATGCTTTTTATGTATGTGTTGAGATAATTGTGTAGCTTTTGTCCTTTATTCTATTAATATAGTGCATTACACTAATTAATGTTCAGATATTAAACCAGTCTTGCAATACTGAGATAAACCCCACTCAGTCATGGTATATAATTCTTTTTATATGTTTCTGGATTCATTTTACTAATATTTTGTTGAGGAGTTTTTTATCTATATTCATGTGACTATTAGTCTGTAGTTTTATTTCCCTGTAATATGTTTGACTAGCATCAGGGTAATGCTTGCTTCATAGAATTCTTTGGAAAGTGTTTCCATTCTACATTTTCTGGAAGGATTTGTATTTTTATTATTTAAATATTTGATAGAATTCACCAATAAAGCTATCTGTCTCTGGGGTTTTCTTTGTGAAGAGATTTTAAATTCAATTTCTTTTCTTGTTATAGGTCTATTCATATGTTTTTATTTCTTCTTGAGTCCATTTGATAATGTGCATCCTTTAGTTTCATTTAAGTTACATTTAAGTTACCTAATTTGTTTCCATAACATTGTTGACACTAATCCCTTCTAATTATTTTAATTTCTGTAGGATAGGTAGTGATATTCCCCTCTTTCAGTCCTGATTTTTGTCATTTGTGTCTGTCTCTTTTTTCCCCTAGTCAGTCTAGTTAACAATTTGCCAATTCTACTGATTTTTTCCATGGAGCAAATTTTTCGTTTCATTGATTTTTCAGGATTATTTTGTTTCTATTTCACTGATTTTTACTGTAATTTTTATTATTTCCTTTCTTTGCATGCTTTGGGTTTACTTTCATCCTTCATTCTTGTTTCTTAAGATGAAAGCTTAAGTATTGATCTGAGATCTTTCTTTTTCTACTAACATAGGCATTTAAAGCTATAAATTTTCCTGTTGGTACTGCTTTAGCTGTACTTAATAAATTTTTGATATGTTGTGTTTTCATTTTCATTTACTTAAACACATTTTTCAACTTCCTTTGTGATTTTTTCTTTGACTCATTGGTTATTTTGAAGTGGATTGTTAATTTTCAAATATTTGTGAATTTCCCAATTTTCTCTGTTGAGGACATCTAATTTAATTTCTTGTGGTCAGATGTTTCTCCCCCAGCACCTTCAGTATGTCCTCCCACTGTCTTCTGGCCTCCTCTGTTTCTGATAAGGAGTCAGCTGTTAATTGTATTGTCCCGCTGTACATGACGAGTTATTTTTCTCTTGCTGTTTTCAAGCTTGTCTTTAGCTTTCAACAGTTTATATATTGTGTATCTAAATGTAGATCTATTTGTTCTTATCATACTTGGAGTTAATGGAGCTTCTTAAATGTGTAGATTAATGTCTCTTATCAAATTTGGAAAGTTTTTGGCAATTATTTTTTCAAATATTTTTATGCCCTTTTCCCCACTTCTCTTGTTCCAGGATTCCCATTACATGAATGTTGTTATGCTTGATGGAGTTCCACAGCTGTTTGAGAATCTGTTCAATTTTCTTCATTTTTTTCTTTTTTCAGATTGGATAATTTTTATTGATTTATCTTCAAGTTCACTGATTTTTTATTATGGCATCTCAGATCTGGTGTTGAGCCCCTTTAGTGTACTTTCCATTTTACTTACTTTATTTTTCAACTCTAGTTTTCCATTTGGTTCTTCTTAAAATATAAACCCTGTGTGTTGATATTCTCTATTTGATGAGTCATTGTCATTATAATTTCCCTTAACTTATAAAATATAATTTTCTTTAGCTTTTGAACATAATTTTACTAGCTGCTTTGAAATTTTTTTCTGTGAAGTCTGACATCTTAGAAGACTTCTAAGAGACAATTTCTATTGACTTTTCCCCTGAGCTTTTTCTACTTTCCTGTTTCTTTTGATGTCTTACAACATTCTTTTTGGAAATCAGAAATTTTAAATAGTATATTTTAGCAACTGTAAATTCTCACCCTCTCTCTAGGAGTTGTTACTGCTGATTTTGATTGTGTATTGACTTTCCTGGACTTACTCTATAAAGTCTCTCTACTATAATATGTGGCTGTGATATCTCTGCTAAAGTTTCTTTTTTGTTCTTACTTTTTTCCTAAATTTTAATTACTATTGTTAACCCTTGATTCAGCATAGCTTACTAACTGATCAGAGGTTGTGCTCAAACACATCAAGTCAGTAAAGCTTCTACTCTTTGCTGATGGATCACTATATGGATTGCAGAACACATTTAAATTTCAGGCAGTTTACAGTTCTGTCCCTGCTCTTACCTTCTATGGAGACTTTGTGCTTTCTTTGCATGTACACAAGATCTCACATTCAGCCAGCCATGTGTACATAGCTAGTGTCCTCTTCAGTCTTTTCTGCACATGCAGTCAGCCTTGCACATAACCACAGCCTTTCAGACCTTTAGGGATATTTTGGAGCTTAACAAGTCTCACTGTGGCTGTCTAGTTACTTAGAGCTCCCTGTCAAATTTCTGGCTATGCTTCTGATCTGTTGCTTATCCTAACCAATATTATAACCACAGACTAACTGCAACATTGGCCTTCCCCATTTGTTTGCTAATGAAATCACTATTGTGAATCAACTACTCTTTTCCATGATGTCTGAGGGCATGGGATATTTTCCATATTCATTTCAAATCAAGTCAGTCTTCTCTGGCAGAAAAGCTATTGGTTTTCACAGTATACCCTGACCTGGTAGATCTACTACACTGATGGAATTGAGGGGATGAGGGGTGCAGCCCCAGGTTAAAACATCAGAGTCCCAGTGTCATTGGCCCAGTGTCAGTAGGTTTATTTGAATAAACTATTCTAAATTTTTTGCATGCCTTTGGTCAATTTTCAGTGTCTCAAAGTTGTTTTTTGACAATTTTGTTCAGTTGTTTCTTCAGTGAAGAATTTGCTGAGTTCCTTTCTCTACCTTTGTCAAAGTTTCATCTCTTCAATATAATTTTGTTGTTATTGCTCTTTTGTGTGCTGCTTTGCTAGGACTGCCAACCAGAGACCCCACCCTTTTTCTTTTTGCCAGGAAATACACCTAAGACATAGCTGAGCCATCAAACACTCTTGTCCCAAATTTTAAATCTTGATAGGAGTGATACAAAAACTGAAAATAAAGTGTTATACTTCATTCATTTTAGCAGTACCCTGACTGGATTCTAAATTATCTCAGCTACCTCTGCTTCTAGGGCTCCTCTGGTTCTCATCATGTACAAAGCCTGGTTCTGTGGCCTTTCATCAATTCTAGAAGGACCCCCATGTCTGTCCAATAAATACCTTTCCTTCTCAAGTTAGCCAGAGCCTGTTTCTGTTGCTGGCAAACAAAGAATCTGACTGATACAGCTTTTCAAAGGATGTGCAGAAGGGAATCTTCTAAAGACTCCAGATAAGAGGCCAATTATTCACTTGACAGTTTTTGGGATTGCTGCAACACACGTGCACCTGTGGGACGCTCCTATGCCGGCGGTATGTTGTGTGCCTGATGAAATCCCACTGGAGGGGCCAAGTCTGCACCTGTCACCAGTCACAAAGAGGATCCAATTTTTATCCATTTCATCTGGAGAACCATCTGGGCTGGGAATAGCAGTAATAATAACAAATCATTGTCACCAGATTTCCACATAGACGGCACACTTTTTTTGTTGTTGTCACTCTTGTTAAACATCAAGTTTTCAAGTCTGCTGGTAAATAGTCAGCAGTGGTTACGAAGGCTGACCTGGCCTGTATGACACGGGATTTGGACTGGTCCTGAGAACATGGCATGGTGAGAACTGGCTACTGATAGTCTTTTCTGGAGGGACAGGAAGTTGGGGGGAATGTCTCTAGAAGGCCATCGTTGAAAGAACTATTCAAGGGAGTATTGGGTAGCAATGGCTTGCTTATCAACATCAGATGTAAAAACAATTTTGGGTTTTGTTTGATGTGGGCCAGCAGCAGAATGTGGCTGATAAACAAGCAATCTGTATTATTAAATAGCAGTAATAGAGGTATATTATATTAAACAGGCAAGTTGATAGTTCTCCTCTGTTTCACCCTTCTTAGAGCACTCAAAGTTATATCTTCATTTTAGACATCACACATTTTTTGTGCTAGAGACTATCAAGAACACATTTAGAGGAGAACAATAAAGATGGTGAATTGACTTCAGCTGCCATGTAATGAACACTGGAAGGAGCATTTAATTTGCAGAGGACAAAATAAGGGGGTAGAAATAATAGAGAATGGGAAGTAACATAGCTATTTTCAAAATCTACAGAAACGAGATGTGGAAGAAGGATAGCATTTGTTCTCTCTATCTCCAGTGACAGATCAAGGATCAACAGGCAGAAGCTACAAGCAGATATATTTTAATTCCATATGACTCTATATAAAATACTTAAATTCGTTTTCTATAATGTCACCTAGAAGTGGGCTTTCATTTTGTAATTTTAGTCAAAGTATGTATAATTGTGAGGACTAACACTGTTCGTTTATAAATACTGACACTGACGAGTGACAGGCAGGTGAAAGCTGTAAGAATTTTGTGTTTGGTTAAGGTTTTGTTCACCTACTCTTTTAAAAATTAAATGTAGTGATTCTTTCACAAGTTGTAACCTGTAGTAATAAATATGCATTTTCTATTTTGAAATTGATATAATACAAACCCTATTTATAAAACGGCTATGTATATTTTTAGCATTTATTTATTTTAGGAGTTTTGTAAAAATTTGCAGAACCATGTGTAGGAGCTCTGACAAATGAAGCAAGATACACGAATAAAGCCTTAGAAGAGAGATCAAATAGTTGACAAGTGAGAGACTAACAGTGAACCTGGAGGAAAGAGTGGGAATTAGAAGAAGAGCAAACAGTCTATGACTGTTAGAAGGAGTAGAGGAGAATAATCGATCACTGTAATCAAGGTGGATGGGCATAGCATAGAAAATGCTGTTAGAATGGTGTGCACTACATCACTCTTGGACAGTGGTACTATACTGTATACAGCCATTTAAATCATGGTCCCCAAGCCACAGGCATAAGACTCAGGACCACAGCTAGCTTGTCCAATAACTTTGGGTCAATTAGAAAAAGGCACACACTGGGCGGATGTAGCCCTGTAGGTGAATTGCTTAGGGAATAAAGTATAGGCTGGATTTCAGCTTTCGTACATGGCCGTCTGCTGAGCACCTTCATGCAGGGAATAGCTGTACCCATGGCTATGAATAGTCTCCACATCATCTATTCATATTTTCTGAAACTCATTTTTGGAATTTTCTATCTAGACTCTAAGGGTTGGGTCAGAGGGATGAGATTATTCATTTTGTTTGGAATGGAATGGAGTATATCAAACTCCATACAAATGGCAAAGAAGAACTTTCAAAACTATCCAGATTTGAAATGCAAAGCTTATTAGGAGGAAGTTATTCCCCATAATTAAAAGAGTTTAAGCAAAGTTTTGGTTATAGGATGTAAGAAAATAGCCCAGTTACTGCAACTGAGATTTAAGGTCCAGGTGGAATTAGGAGCAAAGTTGGTGAAGCTGAGCTTGGGAATGTGGTTTGCAAACAGCAGCATGCATCAGAATCTCCTAAAGCTTACAAGTACATAGAGCTGGGCCCTGGTCCCAGAGTCTCTGATTTCATAGGTGTTCTAACAGGTTCCCAGGTGATATTGATGCTGCTAGGCCAGAGACCACATCTTGAGATTGGCTTAGACAGTCAATTTGCAAACTTTAATGTAGGCACAAATCAGCTGGAGATCTTGTTAAAATGCAGATTCTGATTCAGTGAGTCTGGGGTGGGGCCTGAGATTCTGCATTGCTGAGCAAGCTTCCAGATACTGGCCCAGGGACCAGGCTTTGAGCATCAAGGGCCTAGGGTTGGTTCAGTGGCAGATGCACGGCTTGAAGTTGCATGACAGATTACTGCAACTGTAGAGACTAGACATTGTTGGGCAGGGACCCAGGTAGCACACTCATTGACTCCGCAGATATGAGCAGAGCACCTACTGTGTGCCAGGTGCTGTTAAAATGCTGGGACACTGCAGGGAATGAAACAAAGTCCTTGCTTTCATGGAATTCCCATTCCTGAGAAGCAAAATCATGTTTATAGCGCACTCTTCAATCTCTCAGAGGATTCTTTTTTTGGCTTCAATTTTTCATATCACAGCTTATCCTGAAGAAGGAGAAAGATAAAGGACTAGAGAAAAGTAGAATAACTCAAAATACTTTTTTCTTCCATTTTATTTAAGAAGTCTGAACATTTCTTAGACTCATAAATAAATTTTTCAGAAAAGATGTTCATATATTTATACAGGCATATTCATTTATACTTCCTCCAAATAATTTCTAACAAAATATACATCAAGACACATTATAATGTTCTTGCCATATGGGGATATAGACAGAGGCATGACATGAATATTGACTTTTAAATTGGGGTGGTTCAAAAATATGGATCAAGACAGTGTTTAGAGGGAATAGACAGTATTTTAAGGGAGCCAAGGGTGATTTTCCACTGCCTTCTAGGTTCCTCCCAGGAAGTCTGGGAAAGTGGGAAGGAAACACCCAATAGATCAGCAGACTAGGTGAGGCAGTGAAATGTAGTGGCCAAAAGCATGGGTTCAAATCCTGTCTCCATCGGTTACAAATTGTGTGACCTTGGCAAGTTATTGAATGTCTTTGATGTCTAGTATCTTCATCTTAAAAGGGGGGATAAAGTCTATCTTGCAAGTTGGTTGAGAGAATGAATGAAATGAATATATGCATGACTCATGCTTAACTCTCAATCAATGATAACTTGGTATCAAGCTGGACATAGACCAGAATGTCAGCATAGTTCAGGGCTATTTTTGACATACATGTAAGCAATGCAGAGGAGTAGATCTAGCTCAGGCTACAAATGTTCTCCTGGGCCAACTTTCCAGAAGGAGGCTGAGAACACAGTAGAAGAATTTTATTGAGAAAAAAAAAAAAAAAGCACTAACTAGATAGTAAAGGGCTGAGTTAGACTGAGCAGGAGAGGATTCTATGGCTACAACGAGTGTAAATTCCCTCCTAAGATCAGAGTACTGAAATTTCACACCAGGTCCACCAGAACAGCTTTTGAATTTATGATGCTTTTAAATATGCTTTAAGATGACAACACCCAATCTGGTGAAGTTACAATAAAACTTCTATATCATAAGTTGCTGGTGGCAAATTGGTACTATCTTTTAGGAAAGTAATTTGGCAGTATGAATTAGAAATTATGAAAATATTCATCCTCTGTCACTTGATTGTTCTTCTTTGGAAAGTTATTCTAAGGAAATAATCCAAACGAAGGAAAACAAGGAAGATGATTGTTTTCATTACCTATATTGAAGAAGAAGAAAAAAACAGAAAGCAGCTATGTAATTCAAAGGATATTTATGTAACAATATAATCTAGTTATAATTGGGGCATATCAAAATTACTTGAAAACGTAGCGGTTTAGGCCGGGCAATGTGGGTCATGCCTGTAATCCCAGCACTTTGGGCAGCCAAGATGGGAAGATCACTCAGGCCTAGGAGTTTGAGACCACTGTAGGCAACATGGCAAAACCCCCTCTTTACAAAAAAAAATACAACAATTAGCCAGGCATGGTGGCATGTGACTGCAGTCCCAGCTACTTGGGAGGTAGAGGTGGGAGGACCACCTGAGCTTGGGGAGGACGAGGCTGCAGTGAGCCGTGATTGCACCCCTACACTCCAGCCTGGCTAACAGAATGAGACCCTAATGAGATGCTGTCTCAAAACAAAAACAATAAAAAATAGCAGTTTAAACCAGTCATGTTCATTTGCTCACATTTTTTTTTCTTTGGAGACGGAGTCTCACTCTGTCGCCCAGGCTGGAGTGCTCAAGCTCTGCCTCCCGGGTTCATGCCATTCTCCTGACTCAGCCTCCCGAGTAGCTGGGACTACAGGTGCCCGCCACCATGCCCGGCTAATTTTTAGTATTTTTAGTGGAGATGGGGTTTCACTGTGTTAGCCAGGATGGTCCATTTGCTCACAGTTTTATGAGTCAGAAATTCAAAAAGGTTGGGAAGTTCTTACTTGGAGTCTGTCGTGGACTGCATTCAGATCTCTGTTGGGGCTGTAGTCCTCCAATGGCATGACTAGGCTTGTCATCCGAGATGGATCACTCACATGACAGGCAGTTGGTTTCAGCTGAAAGCTTAGCTGGGCTGTCAGCCAGAGCACCTACACGCAGCCTCTCCAGCATAGCAGCCTCTCCAGCATAGCAGCCTCAGGATAATCAGATTTCTTTACAGGGTTTTTGTTTCTCCCAGAGGTAAAATCCCAAGAACACCAGGTGTAAGCTTCGTAGCTTTTTCTAATCTGATCTTGAAAGTTATGCTGTGTCATGTCTCCTGTATTCTTCTGGTTAAAAGTGAGACATTAATGCTGGCCCAAACTCAAGGGGAGGGGATACACACTCCACCCATCAATGGGAGGAATGTCAGAGGAATTACAGACATGTTTTAAAATTGCTACAGTCTTATTTGCATACCTCCCACATGCAACATACTCTCTCCCTTATCAAGATCTCCCAAAGGCTCAACTATTACAGCATCAGACTCAGGCTGGACGTTCAGGATCACATCATCTCAGTCAGGTCCAGGTGTAAATTCATCTGCTCAAGTTTCTGAAGACCTCAGGACTAAAGAGATCAAGGGTTAGAATAAATAAAATAGACACTCCTATTCCAAAAGGAAGGGATGGCAAGCACAGAGCAGTCACTAGTCCAGAGAAACTTGAAATTCAACTGGGTACCTGTCACCAGTTCTTTGTTCATGTCATCCAGTACTGTGGATTGTACTAATACTGATTTGTACTAATTGTACTAGGGGATTGTTCATCAGTACTGATTTGTACTGATTGTGCTAGGGAATTCCTCCTCTAGGTTCTCAGCTCCTCCATCTGGGCTCCTGGTTTTTCCCTCTGAGTCGTCCTTCCCTTTTAATAATAAGCAGCCTGTGAGTGCGGCGGGGTGGCTCTCTCATTTGGCTTCCTTCCCACAGAAGGTTGTGGATCAGAACCACTTTCATTTTGTGCTGCTTCTGTCTCTTTCAGACCAAGATGATATTGCTTCTGCCAATATAATTCCCTTGAAATATTTGTTAGCTTTTATGAATCTTACTAGAGTCCCTTCATTGGACAAATACCACAAAGGGTCTTTGGGATAGCCTCTTCTCTATCTTTGATTCTCTATAAGGCTGCAACATCTTTCAGAGCCTAGAAGCTCTATGATTTAAGAGGGGTGATCTACTACAAAGCATGATCTTAAGATCTTTAGATACATTTTATCTAGCAGACCATGTCTAGGAGATACCATTTTAAATCTTTCTGAAATCATAAAAAAAGTGTTGTAAAGTTGCCCCTCTGGCTTTATTTTTACCCTTTGGTGGCATTTTCCCGAAAGAGCCCTGAGTTTGATCTTTTCCCTAAGGTCCTTTCTTACTTTAAGAATCCTTTGCTGACTGAAAATATTCTCTTGAGCCCTTTGTATTTCTTTCAAATTTCCCTTGAAAATAAAATAGTTGGTTTTTTAAAGTTTATTTGTTTATTCTCTTTACTTTCATTTTATCATAGGCAATTAGAAGAAGCCAGATGGCATCTTAAACACTCTGCTTGGGAATTTTCTTAGCTAGATCATCGCATTCCTTTAGTACATTTTCTATTTTCCACATTACTGCAGGTGATAGTTTTGCAAAACTTTCCACCACTACATAACCATGGTCTCCTCTCCTTCAGCTTCTTGTAAATCTCCCTCACCTTCCTTTAAGCCCTCCCTGACATATTGCACTTCTCAAGGCCCATCAGGTTTCAGTTTACATTCCAGCCCTTGCCTGCTGCCTAGTCTCAAAACCAATGGCATGTGGTTTAGATTTCTATTATTGCAGACCCTCATTTCCACATACCACAATTCTTTCTGTTTACTATTGCTGTGTGAAAATTTGTCTTTAAATGTAGTGGCCTACAACAACCATTTCATTTTGCTCATAATTTTGTGCATCAGAAATTTGAAGAGGGCTCAGCTGAGCAGTTCTCATTTGAGGTTACTCACGCAGTTGCAGTAAGATGTCAGCTGGGGCTGCAAACATCTGATGACTTGACCAGCCTGGATGTCCAAGATGGCTCACGTGTGCGGTTAAGAGCTGGCTCTGCTGTCAGCTCTGAGCTCAGCTGGGCTGTCTTCGGTGTCTACATGTGGGCTTTCTAGCACAGCACTCTCAGGATACTTGGCCTTCTTCATGGTGCTGGTTTTCCCTGGAGCTAACATCCCAAAAGAACCAGGCAGAAGTTGTATGGTCTTTTCTGACCCAGTTTTGAAAGTTAAAAACAACATCACATCTGCTGCATTCTATTGGTTATAAGGTGCTCACTAAGTCATCCCAGATTCATGGGTAGGGGACATAGGTACCACCCCTCCATGAGATGAGTGACAAACAATTTGCAGATATGTTTTAAAACTGCCACACAACATATTAAATTCTCTAAGGTTAGGGATAAAAAAGCAGAATATATAATTGCATATGACCTGGGATTGAAAGCAGTATCCAGGAATGGACATATGAAAAACACTGGAAAGAAATGCAAAAAATATTGTATTTTTTCATTATTGTAGATGATTTTTTTCCATTTATTTTATAGTAGGAAAGAAAGAATGAATGAAAGAAAAGAAAACATATTTCTAAGAGATTCAATACTTTTTCTTTATAACCTCTGCTCCTTTTATCTTACAGTTTATCTTTGGGATAGCCATGAGAATCACTTTAAGTTGGGTTTGAGGATGAGAGGGAGCATTGACAACATGACCAGTTGGATATGAAGGTAGCCTTGGCTGTGGTGAAGTCGGATTGAGCAGTAATGCACAGGGCTATTATGTGACACTTCAAGGACTAATTAGGGCCAGGAGGAAGCCCAAAAGTGTTATCTCTTATGTGCAGGATCAAGACACCCAAGTAGGTTCACACATTTCATGGCCATTAAATTCTGTTTGCCCCATGAAACAAGTAAGGAGACATAGGTCAAATGTTGAAACTGAAAAGTGGTACAGATCTGTCCAAACAGAATGTTCTTGCATTCAATCACTCAAGCAATGTGGAATTAAAAGCTATGTGTTATTATTAGATGCTCTACACTACACACCCAGACTTCCCTCTACCTGCTGATGTCCAGAGAACTTTCTTAACCTAGTTTTGCTCACACAGCAGGACCTGGATCCCAGTACAGATCCAGAGTCCTGTTATGGA
The DNA here is from genome assembly GCF_000001405.40 of Homo sapiens. NCBI lineage: Eukaryota > Metazoa > Chordata > Mammalia > Primates > Hominidae > Homo > Homo sapiens. The sequence goes on from NC_000004.12 coordinate 24,766,925, forward strand.
CTGAATTGTGTTCCCCCAAAATGTGTATCTTGAAACCTGAAGTCCCAATGTAACTGCATTTGAAGATAGGGCCTTTAAAGAGGTAATTATGGTTAAATACGGCCATAAGGGTGAGGCCCTAATCTAACAGGATTGGTGTCCTTATAAGAAGACAGACACCAAATAGCTCTCCTCTTTCTCTAAATGCACGCACATAGGCAGGCCATGTGAAGATACAGAGAGAAGGCAGCCATCTGCAAGCTGCAGAGAGAGGCTGCAGGAGTGGTCAATCCTGCTGACACCTTGATCTTGGACTTCCAGCTTTCTCAACGGTGCTCAAACAAGTTTCTGTTGTTTAAGTCACCGAGACTGTGGTACTTTGTTATGGCAGCCCTAGAAAACTAATAAAAAGTCCTTCAAGCTGATTCCTGGTATCCTTTTGGCATGCCCTGATCATTTATTGAGCATTTCTTTACTTTCTAGCACAATAGGATGTTCTGTGTCATTTAGTACCTTTTCTGCCTGTGGTAGGCCGCACAATGGCCTCCCAAAAAGGTCCACATAGGAATCCTCTACACCTGTGAATAAGTTGCCTTAAAGGTGTTTGGCCCAGTGCATATGCCACCATGTAAAATCGGCTTCCATGAGTAGCAAGAAAAAATTTTTGGAAAATCACATTTGTCACTTTGCCTAATGAGAGAAATGTTGAAAAGAAGGTTAATTGAAATTTAAGAAAATAAAAGGCTGTTTGGGGGATGAGAATGGTTTGCTTCTTACCTTCTCTGCACAGCAGAGATACACAGAAATGGTTTAGAGTTGCCATGGGATGGACTTGAAGTGGGTGGTAAGGAAATTCCAATGTGTCTACATCAGGTGCAGTGCCAGGGGCTAAGAAAAAGACAAAGATGCTTAAGACATGGTCCCTGTCCTCAAAGGATTCAATCTGGGGATAGTTTCTCACCTACATGGGAAACCAAAGAGATTACCTAGAATAAGGGCATTTTTGTGGTGCTAGCAAGTAAATCAGAAGGCTGATGTACTGATTCAACTGATGTACTGATTCAACTGATGTGTAGATTTTAAGGATAGAAGGAAGAAATATAGCAATGACAAATTTGATTGGAAAAGATCAGCTGGGACGATCATACTCATCCCAAATGCAGCTTTATCACAATGGAATGATGCCTGATACAAAAGAAACAACAGAACATGGCAGATCAAGGTGTTGTGAAAACACTGAGCTGGTTGAAGTCACTGCACCTGTGTTTGCTGATCTTAAACAGCTGCGTGTGGATAATGTTAGCAGGAACAGGGCAATTGAGGAACTTGAGAACGCTAGTGCTGTGATTGAAGCCACCTGTCCTGGCATCACAGGTAAGATGGTGAAAAAGTTAACTGGGAAATTTCAAAATCGTTCCACTGATGTATCCTCTTCTAAGCTTTTCGTTATTGGCTTCTGTTTCATATGAAACCCAGTAAAGCTCTTCAAGCTTGCCTTCATGCCTAACTCAAAAGCTCCATATGCCTTTCACACTTTTGCAACTTGTTGATGATTAAAGACTTTAAAGAACTTTCCTCATCCCCACGAGAAAAGTGCTTTGTGTAGTGGTTAAAAGCGTGGATTTTGGAGTGATCATCCAGGTACAAGGCCTGAGAAGCTTTACAAGCTGTGTGAGTTTAGTTGAGTTATTAAACATTTCTGGGCTTCAGTTTCTCTTCCACAAAATGGAAATAATAATAAAACATCCTTATGGTAAATGGGAATTGAAGACTATTCTATACCTGGTTGACTCCAGGTCTGACTCCTTTGCAAAATGTTTGAACCACTGAAGAGAGACTGGTGAGTTTGGTGTTATTTCATTTTGACCAAGCTCTTGGTCTTGGGCCTAGATGTAGGTGAGAAAAGCACTTCCTCTTTTTGGAGCTTGGTCTGGGCTGTAAGGTGTGGGGACATCTGGGGTGCTTCTGACAGTTGCTCAGGGAAGCCCAGCCCAGCCCCAAAGTGGCCATCAGTTTGCAATCTAGGAAACTGACCTGTAAAAATGCAGGGATAGACCTGGGTCCATCAAATCTGTGAGTTTTTATCTGGCTTTTACTTTCCTGCCATTATTCCCACACCTAGGCTAGTTTTTAATAAGAATGACACCCTGGCCTCTGATTTGCTGTGGTAAACAAGCAGATGGGCCTGCCCATGTGTGAGATGAAGTGGACACAAGGAGGTAGCAATCCCTCCCTGAGGTCAGGCTGGAGGTAGCATTGAGGCCACCAGAAGAGGATCATTGGTGGCAGAGGCACCATATGGTGGTATGGTGAAGAGATTCAAGTGGCAGAACACACGAGTCTGTGCCCGAGTACATGAGAGAGATGCCCAAAACACTGAAATAGCTGGAATTCACTGGATGGAATCATGGGATATTTCCTGCTAACTATGTGGGCAGGGCCATAGATGTAGTCCCTTGGGTTACTAGCCCAACACCTTCATTTAACAGAACACACACGTGTCTACAGTCAGTGGGGATGGTCGCTGTATTTAACCACTGCTGTGTTGTCAAAGACCATTCCAAAAGGATGTAACTGATCCTGGTGCTGAAGCTTACAATCATTTATGGAAGAAAGCAAATCCTATTGCTGGTGACATGGAAGATCTCCAAAGCCCCTTTATAAAGGAGAGAAGGGGTATTTGGGTTTTCCATCATTTCCCCAGCAAACTGTAATTTCTATCTATTGAGATTGGTAGAACTTTTGCCACCAATCTTTCTGAATTCTGGGTTTTGTTACTGGGTTTTTTTTTCTTTCAAAAGAGTGAATCAGATTTTCTGGATGTCCCACTGTGCCAGGAATTAACCCTTTAGTTTCTGGATCCTGGGGAAGTTCCTGAGGTTCCAGAAGAGGGGCTGGGTAGCTGACAGTGGGGAAGCAAACAGAGAGCTTGAGTCAATGTCTATTTACCAGGCTGTATGAAAATATTCCAATGTTTTAACAACCGGAGCATCTGGGACTGGTGCACCCCAGTCCTGCCTACACAACCAGGACCACACACAGCAGAAGTCTTCTCACACTCGTGTCATTCCTGAGAGGTTTTACACAGAAAACTGAGGCTCTGCTGAACTTTAGCGGGGAATAGGATAGGAGCACAACACTGCGCTTTCAGGCTGTCTCTCATACTTGGATAGCTCTTCCCACGTACCCTCTTGTGTAAGCAGAGAAGCCATGTGGGAGAGACCCTATGCTATTGTCCCTTCCCCTTGAGTCTCTGAAACAAGGCAGATCTATATGTCATAGTTCCTGTTTTAGAGCTGCAATCTGCCAAAAGGTTGACTTATCTTTAACGAACTCTTCTGCTTCTGGGCCTGCATGAATGCTAGTCAATTCATAACTGGCAAAATGAAGCTATTTCCATGACCACAAAAACCCATTCAGGGTCCCCACAAACTCAGCCCACACCCTCCTATTCCAAATCAATGAGGCTGACTCAATTTCCTGCTGACTCACAGCAGTCCCAGCTTTACCAGTCAGCTGGTTCCCCAGGTTAAAAGTGGCTCCAGGCAGAACCCAAGATCCCTGGGAACCAGAGTGTTGCATGTGGCCACTGTAAGAGGCTTAGCATGAGTCCTCAGACCCCCTGCTGTTTCCACATGGCCTGGGCCTTCTCACTGGACTGAATGTTTCAAGTGTGCACTCTGAACCTGGAGCCTGAAGAAGGGTAGAGGATACAAGGCCAGCTGGACGTGCAGAGCTGAGATTGCTGCTTAGCCAAAGGCCCCCAAGTTCTCACCCGTTACCCGAGATGAAACACCTCAGGAAATCCAGGCAACCTGATGACCAGCTGCTTATAAAAAGCGATTCTAAATACACTTTCCAATCATTTATAGAAGAAAGCAAATCCTATTGCTGGTGACATGGAAAGTCTCCAAAGCTCTTTTATAAAGGAGAGAAGGGATAATTTGGTTGTCCAGGATTTTCCCAATAAATCATGGATTCCTTCCTACTGAGATCAACAGAACTCTTGCCACCAATCTTTGTGAGTTCTGGGTTTGGACACTGGGGTTCTTTCAAGAGGACAGAAAGAATCAGATTTTCTTAAGAGGATATATTAATGACTTAAAATGAATCTCTTTGCACATTTTACAACACTCGCTACCACTGACAAAAAAGTTGATATTCTTCTAATAAAAACATCCAATTCAGAGATAATGAAAACTAAAAAAAAACTGTATCTTCTCATAATCCTCAATTTTAATAAAATCTATGGGCTCTGGCAACAGGGCTTACAAATGACAAGTAGAAGTTTCATCTTGGGGGAGCCACAGGGGAATTTCAGAGAGAATCTGTTTGTAACCAAACCAGAGAAGCACAACTTCAAATAACCACCAAACTTCTGTCTTCACTCCCTAAACATGAGGTTTTTGAGTATTTCCAAACAACTTAAATTGTGATAGTTAATTTTATGTGTCAACTTGGTGGGGCCGTGGTGCTCAGATATGCGGTCAAACATTATTCTGGCTTTCTGCCTGGGGATGCTGCCAAGAAAGCATCATTAAAGTCTCTCTTCCCATGGGCGTCATGTCTAAGCCAGTCTCCTAAAGATCCTGAACAGGTGCGGAAGCTCTACATCAGGGGCTTGAGCTTTGAAACAACTGATGAGAGTCTGATGGGCCATTTTGAGCAATGGGGAAGGCTCACTCTCACAGACTGTGTGGTCTGAGAGATCCAAACACCAACAGCTCCAGGGGCTTTGGGTTTGTCACCAATGCCACTGTGGAGGAGGTGGAGGCAGCCATGAATGCAAGGCCACACAAGGTGAATGGAAGAGTTGTGAAACCAAAGAGAGCTGTCTCAAGAGAAGATTCTCAAAGAGCAGGTGTCCACTTAACTGTGAAAAAGGTATTTGTTGGTGGCATTAAAGAAGACACTGAAGAACATCACCAAAGAGATGATTTCAGACAATTTGGGAAAACCGAAGTGATTGAAATCATAACTGAATGAGGCAGTAGCAAGAAAAGGGGCTTTGCTTTTGTAAGCTTTGAAGACCATGACTCCAAGGATAAGACTGTCATTTGGAAACGCCATCCCGTGAATGGCTACAACTGTGAAGTTAGGAAAGCCTTGTCACACAAGAGATGGCTAGTGCTTCATCCAGCCAAAGAGGTCAAAATGGTTCTGGAAACTTTGGTGGTGGTCGTAGAGGTGGTTTTGATGGGAATGACAACTTTAGTCATAGAGGAAACTTCAGTGGTTGTGCTGGCTTTGGTGGCACCCATGATGGTGGTGGATGTGGTGGCAGCGGGGATGGCTATAAGGAATTTGGTAATGATGAAAGCAATTTTGGAGGTGGTGGAAGCTACAATGATTTTGGCAATTAAAACGATTAGCCTTCAAATTTTGAATCCATGAAGGGAGGAAACTTTGGAGGCAGAAAGCTCTGGCCCCTGTGGTGGTGGAGGCCAATACTTTGCCAAACCATGAAACCAAGGTTTCAGTAGCAGCAGTAGCTATGGCAGTGGGGGAAGATTTTAATTACTGCCAGGAAACAAAGCTCGGCAGGAGAGCGAGCCAGAGAAGTGACAGGGAAGCTACAGGTTACAACAGATGTGTGAACTCAGCCAAGCACTGTGGTGGCAGGGCCTAGCTGCCACAAAGAAGACATGTGTTAGACAATACTCATGTGTATGGGCAAAAAACTCAAGGACTGTATTTGTAATTAATTGCATAATAGGTTATTTTTGTTTCTGTTCTGTGGTAAGTATAAAGCATTCCAACAAAAAGCATTAAATGTAGACTTTTTTGTTGCACCCATGCTGTTAATTCCTAAATGTAATAGTCTGATCATGATGCTGAATAAATATGTCTTTTTTTTTTTTTTTTTGAGACTGAGTCTCGGTCTGTCTGTCGCCCAGGCTGGAGTGCAGTGGCGCAATCTCAGCTCACTGCAAGCTCCGCCTCCCAGGTTCACACCATTCTCCTGCCTCAGCCTCCCGAGTAGCTGGGACTACAGGCGCCCGCCACCAGGCCCGGCTAATTTTCTGTATTTTTAGTAGAGACGGGGTTTCACCGTGTTAGCCAGGATGGTCTCGATATCCTGACCTCGTGATCCACCCGCCTCGGCCAAATATGTCTTTTTAAAACAAACACACAAAGAAACAAAACATTATTCTGGATATTTCTGTGAGAATGTTTTTCTATGAGATTAACACTGAAATCAGGAGACTCTGAGTAAAGCAGTTTTCCTTCCATAAAATGGGTGGGCTTTATCTAATCAGTTGAAGGCCCGAATAGAACTGACCTCCCTGAACAAGAGAGAATTCAGCAGCAGACACTCTTTAAGATTGAAGTGCAGCATCAGCTCCTCCCTGGGTCCCCACCTGATGGCCTCAGGACTTGAACTGTAGTATTAATTTTTCCTGCCTCCAGGTCTCCTGCCTCCTGGCCCACCCTACAGATTTTGGACTTTCCAGCCTCCATAATCATGTAAGCCAATTACATTTATATGTAAGCCATATACAATTTACATACATGTATACATGTACATACACATACATATATGTATACATGCATATATGTACATACACATACATATATGTATACATGTATATATGTACATACATATACATATATGTATACATGTATATATGTACATACATATACATATATGTATACACGTATATATGTACATACATATACATATATGTATACATGTATACATGCATATGTGCATACATGCATATATGTATACATGCACATATGTATGTATATATACATATATGTAAATTGTATTGCGTGTGTACATATATACACACACATAAACACACACACACATTCTACTGGTTCCATTTCTCCAGAGAATCCTGACAAATGTGTTTCCCTGCTTCCCTAATTTGATTCCTTTCTTATATTCTCTTCCCAACCTTGGCTGAACAGTGGAATCACCAGGGTAGCTTTAAAAAATACAGATACAGCTGGGCACAGTGGCTCACACCTGTAATCCCAGCACTTTGGGAGGCCGAGGTGGGCAGATCACCTGAGGTCGGGAGTTCAAGACCAGGCTGACCAACATGGAGAAACCCCATCTCTACTAAAAATACAAAATTATCTGGGCATAGTGGCACATGCCTGTAATCCCAGCTATTCGCGAGGCTGAGGCAGGGGAATTGCTTGAACCTGGGAGGTGGAGTTTGCAGTGAGCTGAGATTGTGCCATTGCCCTCCAGCCTGGGCAACGAGAGCAAAACTCCATCTCAGAAAAACAAACAAACCAACAAACAAACAAAAAACAAATGCCTGGGTCCCCATCTTCAGACAGTCCAGTTTGATTAATCTGGGCTGTGGCCTAGGTACTAAGATTTTAAAAGCTTCCCAGATGATTCTAAAGTACAGACGATCTCAAACTTATGTTGTTTTGACTTATAGTTTTTTGATTTTACGATGGGTTTATAGAGATATCATTCCATTGTACATTGCGGACCATCTTAGTTACAATGGTTCAACTTACAGTATTTTGACTTTACCATGGGTTTATAAGAATGTAATCTGATGCATTTTGACCTACTATATTTTCAATTTATGTTGTGTTTCCTGGGGCATAACCCCTCATAAGTTGAGGAGCATCTGTACAAGCACAGTTGAGAAACATTGTCTTAGAGTTCCTTGGTTAAAAAAAAATCTAAATAAGAACTGGGCTAAAGCTCTTCAAGTATACTATTTCATAATCAGCTGTTGAATTCCTTTGCTGTGAATCTTACCTTTATGAGACTCTAGAGTAGAATCACAAGGTCCTAGGAACAGGTACGTTTTCCTCACCAACCTACTTATGAAAGTTCTTCAGGTTACTAAATGTGAACCATGCTACTTTGTATTTACAGAAATTCCTATCTTTAAAAGAAAAGCATGCTTTTCAATTTCATTTCAAAGTCTTATGACAACACTTTGACGTTGGCAAGTGGCTAGTTAATTTGCATCCATTTTATTTGCAAGGAAGCTGGGGCAAAAATGATTATTTCTTTGCATGGAATTCTTCCTATCAGTCACAACTGTCCAATGAAGTAATAAATTGCCTTTTAAGATTTTCCTCCCATAGTGATTCTTATGAAGTCATGGAACCATGCCTACTTCTATATTTGCACATGAGCAAAGTGACATGCACACAAGGTTATCCATTAAAGCCTGGTTTGTGGAAGTAAAAGACTGGAAACATCCTAAGTGTCTGCCATCAGGGACAGGTTAAAAAATTATAGCACTTCTAAAGATGGCACAGTATGCACACATAAAGGAGAATGAGGCAGCCCTTCATGCTCTGATATAGAATGATCCAGTACAGTGCTACAGCCAGTTTGGACCAGTTCAGGAGGGCAGATTGTTAGCGTCTCTTCTTAATTTTGCAGTCAGCAACAACTTGAAATTTGCCATGGTGGGAGTTACATTATGAAAATCTATAAATGGTATGAATCAGAGCATAGCTCACTCCATAAGAGGCAGTTGCTGAATATTTACTAGCACGCCACTGAAAAGATCTCTAAGACCCACTTTAAAGTGAATAAAGCAAGGTGTTGCACAATCTGCACAGTATGCAAGCAACTGTGTAAAAACAGGGGAAATTATTGTGCATTAAAAAACCTCTAGATTCTTTAAAACTTAAACATAGAATTACCATATGTATTCCCAAGAGAAGTGGAAACATATGTCCACACAGAAACATGAAAACAAATGTTTGTAGCAGCATTATTTATAGGAACCAACAGGTAAAAACAACCTAACTGTCCATCAGCGGATGAATGAATAAATTAATGGCGGTGTGGGCATACACTAGAATAATATTCAGCCATGAAAAGGAATGAAGTATTGATGAATGCCACAACTTGGATGAACCTCAAAAACATTATGCTAAGTGAAAGCAGCCAGACACAAAAGGTCACATATTATATGATTCCTTTTATATGATACAGGCAGAATAGTCAAATCTATAGAGACAGAAAACAGATTAGTGGTTACCAGGGAATGGAGGAAAGGGAATGAGGAATGATTATTTAATGGGTAATTTTTGTGTGTGTGTTTCTGGAGTGATGAAAAAGTTTTGAAACTAAAGAGTGGTAGTGGTTGCACAACATTATGCACACATTAAATGCCACTGAATCGTACAGGCTCACACCTGTAATCCTAACACTCTGGAAGGCCAGGAGGGCAGATGCTTGAGCATGGGAGTTCGAGACCAGCCTGGGCAACATGGTGAAACCCCGTCTCTACCAAAAATACAAAAAATTAGCCAGGCGTGGTGGCGTGCACCTGCGGTCCCAGCTACTCAGGATGCTAAGGTGGGAGGATCACTTAAGCCTGGAAGGTGGAGGTCGCAGTGAGCTGAGATTGCACCACCACACTCTAGCCTGGGTGACAGAGTGAGACACCATCTCAAAAAAAAAAAAGAAAGAAAAAGAAAGAAAAAAGAAAGAAAACAAAAACATAAATCTCTGGCAGGCTGCACAGAGAAACTGGTAAGCTGTCTCTAAAGAGGAGAACTGGTTGTCTGGGAGACTGGGTGTGGGAGTAACTTCATTGTATGCCTTATTGTTTGAACCATATGGACAAGAGGGGATAGGAAGGTCTAAGAGACACATACATCCCCTCTGTAAAACCCAAGGTAAATGGATAAATAACGAATTAATGGCAAATCACAATTAATTTAGAATCTACAAACTGAAAGCACTCTCTTTCCAGAGACTCTCATTGGTTGGTCTTCCATCACCATATCCCATCAGGTAGGAGTATCTCTACCAGGCAGCACTTGGACACCTGTATTTACTCTGCCCTGCGAATGGAGGATGCAGCGTGATGCTGGGGATACTTGGTCGTAGAGTGGGTGAGGTGGATCTGGGAACAGCCATATGGCCTTGGGTTAGGCACGTAACCTGTCTAAACATGAGTTTTCTCTTCTGTAAAACGGAGATGATCAGGTCCACCTCTCGGAACTGGTATGACAATGGTATGGAGAATTAAGATAACACATGCGTGTGCCCAACACACTGTAGGCACTGAGCAACGCTGATATCGTTTCCTGGGAAGGGGATGATGCTGAGGGATTCTGCCTGCTCAGGAGACTCTCCCTGGTGACTCCTGAAGATTTCCTCAGCCTGCTTTGTTCAACTGGCCCAGCACTAGCATAACCTTGTTCCTGTGTCTTTATGAGCCCTTCTTTTCTTCTGTTTTATAAACCAAGACTGTATCATTGAAGTGGAGAGTCAATAGAAAAGTAAGAGAATTAGATTCTTAAGGGTAACTAGAGCTGTGATTTATTGAGTGCTTACCTTGGGCCTCATATTTTAAATGCATTATTTCTAACACTTACAACAGCCCCAGAAGCAATATATTTCAATCCTCATTTATAGGGAAGAGAGAGCTTAAGTAACCTGCTCACCATTACATTGTGCTAGAGCAGGGATTTGAACCCAGGACTGCCTGGCTTTCTACTCGATCATATTCCATCATGGAACCCGGCTTGCAAATTGCCAAAGTCAAGACTACTGGACTGTGTGGACCTAAAACAATTGTAGAATCTAGATGAAAAGTGGAAGGGGCCCAGAAAATTATTGAGTCTAACCCTCACCTCATAAGAAACCCCTACTTCAACATCCTGACTCTTTGATGGAAAGCTCATCACCTCATGTGACAGCCCATTCCATTTTTAGACAACTCTAATTACTAGAAAGACTCATAATGTGCTATTTGCCAGACAGATTCACCTGCTATTTTCATTACAACTTCATACACCCTGATGAGGCCATTATTAAGACATCCTTGGCTGAAATCCTGAACTCCATTACCTCCTGGACTTGCAATAAGGCCCCTAACACCATTGCCAAATAAAGTTACTCCAGAACATCAGCGTTGCAGACAAAGTCACGAGAGGGATGTTGATTACAACTTCAAATGAGTCTGGGATAGGTGATTATCTATTTCTAAGGAAAGGTTATGCTGGATGGGATGTATTGTCACTCGGGACAGAGGTATAGCATATACTGCAGAAGTTTAAAATAATCAGAGTCGTGTGTATGCAACACAATTCCCTGGTTAATTAAAATGCTTGCAAAAAGCAGTGAAAGCTGATTTTTGTGCTTCTCCTTCTTCCTGGTTTTCAGCTTCTTCGGCAGTTTTCTGTTGAGTGAAGGACAGTCAGGTCTAAATGATGAAATATGAGCTCGTGTCACTAGCTTCCCACACCATGAACTTACTGTAAGAACTAACAACTAATAATGGAGATTAAAAATGGATAAGAATTAAAAAGGGGAATCCAAGGTCCTCTGAGTGTGTGAGCTGCGCTCATCTGGTTCTCTGCGGGGGAAGCAGAATATGTTTACGTGATTGTGTGAACTGCAGGAAACTAAAAGATGCCAGGGTCAGAAGAGTAAAATGTGGCTCCACTGGGACTTCAGGTGGCAAATAGGATTGAGAATCTTAACTTTAATGAAGACAACAAAAACCACATAATTAACACACACTGTTACCACCTCATTAGTCTCCCGGGGCTTAAATTATGCTAAAAATAATCAACACATTTTGTTTAAATAAGGCGCTGTTACAGGTGGTAATAAAGGCTTACTTCATAGCAGAATGAGGCCATTTTTCCACATTTTTTTCAGATGCTTTAAAGTAGGCCTTATCTTCATTCCAAGGAAAGGATTATTAAAAACATATGTGGAGTTGCGGAGAGGAAATGAGTGTATTAGTTAGAGTCTCTCTGGCTCTGAGCCTGACTCCAAAATCTTACACAACTCCATTTCACAACCCAGATCCCCAACATCAGGATTGTCTCATAAATGATGTGCTGTGGGGCATTGGTGCTGGCTACACATCAAGCTGCGAAATAGCCAAGTTTGGTCTGGTGCCTTTTCTTCTCTTTTTTCACACTGTAAGCATTAAAACTCCTCTTACATGTTTATACATTCACTGCCACCTAATCTGGGTTTGACCTATGACTATTTTGACCAATAGAATTTGGAGAAAGTGATGTTTCTGGATTTCTGAGCCCGGGCATTGCAAAGACCTGAAATCTTTGGCCATGCCTTGAGCCACTACAGAGGAAGTCCAATTTCCCCTGCTGTAGAGCCAGACCACAGGGAGAGGCCTTGGAGGTTGAGCCATCACCTGGAGATAGGCCATATGGCCTCTAAGCACCTGAGGCCTAGACATTCAGCCCAGTGGCAGCCTCAGCTGCCAACTGGCTACAACTGCAAGAAAGAACTTAAGCAAGGCCAGTAGAGGAACTGCCTGCCCATCCCTAGGTAACCCACAGAATCATGAGATATGATAAAATGGTTGTTGTTTTAAGCCACTAAATTTGGGATGCATATTGCAAAACAATAAATAACCAAAATGCCTCTTTGCATTATCCCTGTTAGGATGCCCTTTTCACCCACCCTTGACCATTGGTTATGGACTGAAGGATTGTGTCTCCCCAAAATTCGTATGTTGAAGCTCCAAACCCCAATGGATGGTATTTTGGGGTGGGGCCTTTGGAAGGTAATTAGGTTTAGATGAGGTCATGAGGGTGGGGGCCACCATGATGGGACAAATGTCCTTGCAAGAAGAGGAAGAGAAACCAGAGCTCGCTCTCTTCACCATATGTGAACATAGCAAGAAGGTGGCTGTTTGCAAGCCAGGAAGAGAGACCTTGCCAGGAACCAAATCTGTGGACACCTTGATCTTGGATTTCCTAGCCTCCAGAATTGCGAGAATCAAATGTCTATGGTCTACATCACCCTGTGGCATTTTGTTACAGCAGCCCGAGCTGACTAAGAAACCATCTGTCTGTGCATTTCCAAGATATCTCCTTGCACCTTTAGGAAAAATCATCCATGTGTGTTCACGTGTGTTCATGGAAGAAAGTCTCCCTCTGTTTCTTAGAAAAATTATCATATTCACTGTGATTCTCAGAGATGAGACTCCTAACTTCCTTGTGCAAGCCAAGGGAAAAATATTAAATTTTTCCATTACTTTCTTGCTCTTGTTTTCTCTCTGTGTAAAAACAGGAACTCCACCTATTCTCCACCACGGAGTTAAACAGCAAAACCCTGTGCTTGTGGGCTAGTGGTGCTGGTTGGGGGACGGATGAGAGTCATTGCTTGATTATGCTGCACTGAGTATCTCCCTAAGTTTTAGAGAGTGAGTGATGGCTCTGAAAAAGATACTTTTTTTCAAGCAGAAAGCTTTGCATTTCTGTCAAAAATCAGGGCAGATAACAAAACTGCTTCTACTTTTGTAGTGAAGCTCACAGCTTGCTCATAACAGAGAGCAACATAAAGTATCTGTGCAGCCCTGAAGGAGAGAAAGAAAAACAAAGCATTTTGAGACCACATTGAAGGAACATTTACATAGACCTGCTCTATAGCCTTGGCACCAGCAAAGTTAAAGTGCTAGAAGTATTGTTGACAAGACTGTACTTTGACCGAATTTAGAAACGTCGGATTGAATGAATAAATGGATGGATGGATGATGATGATGGGCAGAGAGAGTACAATTTATCCACCAGCTCTGCTAGAGGGAAACAACTGGAAATCATTTTGGGACCCGAAGATCTGTGAATGGCTCAGAACCAAGACGATGGGAGATGAAGATCCAGGCAGAAACATTTTCCTGTGCTGAACCCAGTTATGAGTTACATCACTTGCTCTAGATAAGGATTATATGAGACCTTATTATTGTCATTGCTTGTAGTTTGGAGCCTCTTTATTCATGCTCAAGTTAACTGTAAGCAGTTAATTCCATGGAATGAGTTTGGTCCTTCCCAACTAATTTTCTTGCTTTCTTTATAAAATCCCAAATTAAATAATGTCCGTAGTTCCTTAAAGAACTAAAGGTAAATATCTGAACCAGTGTGGCAGGTATTGTTGGCTGCCTAGCCAATAAAATCCTTCCCTCCTTCATAGTAAGGAAAATTTGATTTTGCTAGGGTAGCAAAACGTTCAATGAAAGAACATTTACTCTGCCAGACTCCTGTGACCCTAGGGATGCCTGTGACACATTTCTGACCATGAGACATAAACTGAAATTGTCTGGGAAAGAGGGTGTTTCTACTTCCCTTTTCTTTCTTCCTGCCTGAAGTGAGGTGCCATATCTGGAGGTGTATAAGCCACCTTGCAGCCTTGAGGCAACATTCATGAGGTCAGAAGCCTGAACACTGACAATGATGGCAAGCAAAGATGGGAAAATCGCAAGCCCTGCAGGTATCACGGAGCCACCCTACCAGCTCTGGACTTTTTGTTCCATGCAACAAATGCCTGAGTGTTCCAGCAAGGTTTTTTGTCATACTTTCCTTATTTGTAGCCAAAAGCATTCCTGGCAGATAGTCTTGGGTTGATCCAATTGAAAACTACTCTCTTGGTTCCAGTGTCTGGAAGGGGGAAGGAATATGCCTTCTTTATTGCACATTGCCTGACTAAAGGCCAATTCCTCACAGAGTATTTACAGGAATATTTACATAGACCTGCTTTGTAGCCTTGGCACTAGCAAAGCTAAAGTGCTGGAGGTATTGTTGACAAGACTGTACTTTGACTGAATTTGGAAATGTTAGATTGAATGAATAAATGAATGGATGGATGATGATGATGACGGGCACACTGTATTAGTATGGGCTGCAAGTAAAAGAAAGTCTTGGCTTGCACTAACTTACACAACAGAGTCACAGAGTGGGAAGTCCAGAGGTTAAAAAAGATGCAGATGCAGAGCCATCAGGGCCTCAAGGACCCAGATCATTTCATCTCACTTCTTGGCCATCCTCAGGGAATACCATGTGCTGATCGAACAAGATTAATCAGGAACTTTGTTGGTGACTCCCTGCATTTTAGTAGAGTTCTATACCTGAACAAAACAGATACCTGATAGAAAAGAAAAGCAGGGATCAATTATCACAGGAAACCATCAGTGTCTACTACCCACATGTTACATAAACACTTTGCAAAATGTGCAAAGTCCCAAAACACAAAATGATGGTGAGGATGATGCCAGCTTACCATCAGCATTGGTTTGGACACTTTCTGACTGCCATTTGGAAAAGGGGAGTTTAGTTTCTTTCCATTCAGTTGGCATTTATGGCTTCTAAATGAATGGTCTAATTCATTCATCCAATTTGACTGGTCTCATAACAGGAAGAAATTAAAGTGTTCCAAGTGACCAACTAGCCTGCTTGTAAAAACTGAATACTTGGAAAAACAAACAATTCCATCCTTCTCTTCCTCCTAAGGCACCTTCAGTGTACAAAAGGGTGGTGCGGAAATGAACTCAAACTCTGTGTAAATGGAAAAAAAGAGATTCCAAAGTCTGTTTAACAACAAGACCAAGTCATAGATTCTTAGTAGGAATAGCTTCTTTCCCCTCCTTTGTGGAGCTAACGTTCTTTTTTTAGAACGGGTGCCTCACTGGGAATAGATGTGAAAACTGCATAGCAGGATCATGTGATGCGTAGGCAATTTCACAGGAGTGAATTTCCCCCCAGAACACTAAGCTGCTTGTGCATAATCCACCATGGTATTGCAAACACAGGGAGAACAATCTGTAGTGCCAGAGAAACGACTTGTCAAACATACAAAACTAGGACAAAACAGAGCAGCACTTGTATTTTTCTTTGGGAAACAGTGTCTTTCCCTCTCTCCCCATGCTGTTCTGGTGGTGCTGACCCTACTTCTGGCTGACAGAGTAAGCCTATGATGAAAACTGTATTCCATCCTCATCAACATAGTTATGGGTTCAGATATGGAAACAGGACTCACGTAGGTTCCATGAGATTCAATTGGGCAATTTTGTTGGAACTATTAGAAGTTTTAGAGCTATGAAAATAGAAGATCCTGGATTTTTCAGTCATATGAGCCAGTAAAATTCCCTCTTGCTGAAATTGGCATGAATTGCATTTCTGTCACTTGAAACTTAAGGAGATCTAGCTAACACAAAAACAAAGGTACCAGTATCTTGAGTCCTAAAAAGAAGAAACAGAAATCCATGACAATATAAAGAAATTGATTCTACATTCACAAGTCTTTCCACTTCCACCCTGATACCTTTGTGTTCTCCAGTCCAATTTATAAAATGAAGGACCTCAAAAAAACCTCAAAAGGTTTACTCCTCAAAAAACAGGTAATGCAATTACAGAATTCAATGATTGCTACATGCCAAGCACCTAGTTGGTTTCCTTACATAATTATCTCATTTAATTGTCAAAAAAATCCTCACAAAATCCTACCTTGTTTTTACATGTGAGGACAGTGAGGCTTGGAGTGGATCAGTGCTGTGTAGAAACTGTCAATTTAGTTAGCCTGAGGTCAGGAGCAGTGCTCTCCCAAGAGACGTCAGAGGAGGGTCTCAACAGGACAACTGTCCCACTAATGAATAAGAAAGCTTTCTCTTTTTACTCTCCAATGCTTACTCATTAGAGTTCTGACCTCAAACTTTGCAAGACTAAATCTGAAGGACCAACAACATAATACAAAATTTAATTTGGATGACCTTGCCTAGAAAGGATTTGAACTTGAGGTCATCCTCACACCAACGAGGTGAGCCCAAGAGTTGCCAGCTTTCTTACTTTGCTAATGCTTACAAGATGTCTGTGCTTTTCAAATTTATTAAGGGATAATTTACAAGCAATAAAATGCATGCTCTTTGACATGTAAACACTCATGTAAGCATCCCACATTCAAGATATAGAACACTTCCATCACTCCAGAGAGATTTCTCATGCCCCTTTGCAGCTAATTCCAACACACATGCATGCAGGCACACACACACATGCACACACGCACACACACACATGCACACACACACAAACACACACTCTCTCTCTTTCTCTCTCTCTCTTTTTCTCTCTCTCTTTTTCTCTGCCTCTGCCTCTCTCAGTGTTCCTCTACCTCCATCCCAGGAAGCCATTTTTCCGATTTCCATGACAATAGGATTAGGTTACCTATTCTAGAAGTTCATATGAATGGAATCACACGGTATATACTAATCTGCATCTTGCTGCTTTCACTTAGACTAATATTTCTGAGATTCCTTCATGTTTGAAGCCTCACTGTCCCCAAACATCCTTGGTGTGAGGATCACCTCAAGTTCAAATCCTTTCTAGGCAAGGTCTATGTACCAGCAGTTTATTCCATCTTATTTCTGAATAGTGTTCCATTGTGGAAATATAACGCAAATAATATATCTGTTCACCTGCTGATGGATATTTGCAATGTTCCCAGTGGACCCATTATGAATAATGCTCTTATATATTTTCATGTATATGTCTGTGGACATGCATTTTCATTTTTCTAGGAATGAAAATATTGAATCATATGTTAAAGGCATGTTTAAGCCTATAAAAAACTTCTAAAGAGTTTTTCCAAGTAGTTGTAGCATTTCACAGTCTCACTATTAATGTATGAAAGTTCTAGTCACTCCATATCCTTGCCCACATTGCCATTGTCAGTGTTTTTATTTTTAGCCAAGCAAATTGACATAGAGCAATGTTAAACTGTGGTTTTGTTTTGCATTTTCCTGATAACCAATGAATATGCTTATTGGTTATCTGTATATCTTCTTTTGTGAAACATTGGTTAAAAATGTTCATCCAGTTTTTCAACTGGATTGTCTTTCTTCTTATTGAGTTATAAGAGTTCTTTATATAGTCTAGATACAAGTCCTTTGAAAGTTATGTGTATTAGGAATATTTTCTCCCAATCTGTGATTTGTCTTTTCAGTTTCTTAAATGTTTCTTTTGAAGAGCAAACATTCTTACTAGTGATGAAGTCCAGTTTGTTAATTTTTTCTTGTATGGTTTATGCTTTTGGTGTTCCAGTAAGCAATATTTACATCCCAGAAGTTTTACAGTTTCACTTTTACACTTAGGTTTGTGCTCCATTTTGAAAAAGTTTTTTTATGTGTTTAAGATAAAGGTAGAAGTTCGTTTTACTTCCATATTGATATGCAGTTGTTCCAGTACCATTTGTTGAATAGTCTACCCTTTGCCCCATTAAATTACCTTGGCACTGTTTGCAAAAGTCAATTGACCATGTATGTATAGGTCTATTTTTGAATTTTCTATTTTGTTCCATTGATCGATATGTCTGTCCTCATGCCAATACCACACCGAGTTGATTATTAAATTTTTATAATAGGTCTTAAAGTCAGGTAGTGCCAGTCTTCTAACTGTGTGTATGTATTTCAAAATTGTTTTAGCAGTTCTAGGTCATTTACTTTTCCACACACACTGCAGAATAATCTTTTCAATTTCTACACAAAAGCCTGCTGGGATTATGATTGGCATTGTGTTAAATTTGAGGTAACTGACATCTTAATACTGAGTCTTCTAATCCACAAATATGGCATATCTTTCGATTTGTTTAGATCTGCTTTAATATCTCTCAGAAACATTTTGTGTTTTTGTATATCTTGCACATTTTAAGTGTAGAATTTTAAAAATCTTTTTTCTGAATTTATTACTAAATATTTCATTCATTTTGGTGTTCTTATCAATGGTAATTATTTCATTTTCAAATTGTTTGTTGCTAGTATCTAGAAACCCAATTTACTTTTATTTACCGACTTTGTATCTTGTGACCCTGGTAAATTCCCTGATTATTTCCAGTAGTGTTTAAAAAATATCCTTAGAATTTTCTTTTCTTTTCTCTTTTCTTTTCTTTCTCTCTCCTTCCTTTTTTCTTTTCTTTTCTTTTCTTTTATTTTCTCTTCTTTCTTTCTTGTTGAGACAGGGTCTCACTCTGTCACCCAGGCTGGAATGCAGTGACATGATCACAGCTTACCACAGCCTTGACTCCCCCCAGGCTCAAGCTATCCTCCCACCTCAGCCTCCAGAATACCTGGGACTACAGGTGCACAACACCATGCCCGGCTAATTTTTTTATTTTTTATAGAGACAGCGTTTCACCACTGTTCCCCAGGCTGCTCTCAAACTCCTGAGCTCAAGCAGTCTGCCCACCTCAGCCTCCCAAAGTGTTGAGATTACAGGCATGTACCATTGCACTTGGCCCAGACTTTTCTATGTAGACATTCATGTTTGCATAAAGTTTACATATGCCCCTCAATATCCATGCTATTTATTTATTTATTTATTTATTTATTTATTTATTTATTTATTTTGAGATGGAGTCCTGCTCTGTTGCTCAGGCTGGAGTGCAGTGGCATGATCTCAGCTCACTGCAACCTCTGCCTCGTGAGTTCAAGCAATTATCTTGCCTTAGCCTCCCCAGTAGCTGGGATTACAGCCACCATGCCTGGCTAAATTTTTTTGTATTTTTAGTAGAGATGGGGTTTCACCATGCTGGCCAGGCTAGTCTCGAACTCCTGCCTCAGGTGATCTACCCACCTCGGCCTCCCAAACTGCTGGGATTACAGGCATGAGCCACAACGCCTGGCCTCCAGGCTTTTTATTGTTATTTTTTCTTATCCTATTACACTGGCTAGGATTTCCAGTACAATATTGACTAGAGATGAGGAGAGCAGATATCCTTACCTTGTTCTCAATCTTAGATGGAAAACATTCAATATTTCTCCATTAAGTTGCCTGCTACTTGTAGGTTTTTCATAACTGCCTTTAATCAAACTGAGGAAGTTGCCTTTTATTATTAGTTTGCTAAGAGTTTCTTTTTTTTTTATCATGAACGGGGTTAGATTTTGTGAACTACTTTTCCTTCATCTATCCAGATGATCATGTGATTTTTTTTCACTGCATTCTGTTAATGTGGTTAATTATATAAACTAACTTTCAAATGTTAAACCAAACTTGCATTTCTGCGGTAAACTCTAATTGGTCACAATATATTTTCCATATTGTATATTTTCTGAATTTGTTTTGTTAAAATTTTGTTCAGGAATTTTTTATTTATGTTCATTAGAGATACTTATTTGTCAGGCTTTTAATTTCATGGTTATGTTAGTCTCAGAAGAGAAATTTAGAAGAACGTTACCCTTCTCTATTTTCTAGAAAAGTTTGTGTAAATTTGGTATTACTTATTTCTTAAATATTTTATAAGCATTTTATAGAATTCACCAGCAAACCCATCTGGCCTAGACTTTCTTTTGTGGGAAGGATGTTTTAAATAACAAAATAAATTTTTTAAATATACATGGGACAATGCACCCTGTTTTTCTTGTGTAAATTCTGTAAGTTGTGTTTTTCAAAGATTTTCCCATTGCATCTCAGTTATTGACCTTATTAGCATAAATTTGTTCACAAGACTTATCCTTTTGATAGCTACAGGATATGAAATAATGTACCCTCTTTTATTTCTCATATTGGTAATTTTGATTTCTTTTTTATTAGTCTTGCTAGAACTTTATCAACTTTATTAATCTTTACAAATAATCCACATTTCATTTTTAAATTTTTTCTCTATTGTTTATCCGTTTTCTATTTTATAAATTTATGTTCTTTATTACTTATTTCCTTCTACTTACATTGGGTTAATTTGCTCCTTTCTTTAGCTTCTTAATGTTTCAACCTTTGTACTTTTCTAATATATGCATTGAAAGTTATGTGTTTTCCTCTAAGAACTGCTTTGGCTCCATCCTCTATAGCTTGATATGTTGTTTTCATTACAATTCATGTGTAATATTTTCTAATATCCCTGTGGTTTATTCTTTGGCTCATAAGTTATTGAGAAATGAATTATTTAATTTTTAAATATTTGAGGATTTTATACATATCTCCTTGATTTGTATTTTAGCTTCATTGTACTCATATAACATACTCTGAAATGTTTTAACCTCTTTAAATTTAATAAAAACTTATTTTTGGCCTAAGATATGATCTATCTTGGTAAACATTCCATGTAAATTTGAAAATAATATTTATTATGGAACCACTGGGAAAATACAAGTTCAGTTATGTCAGTTAATAATGTTGTTCAAATAACTAATTGTCTTGTCTATTTCTTCTATCAATTAATGAGAAGGCATGTTAAAAGTGTCCAGTTATGACTGTGAATTTGTTTATTTCTGTCTTTAGTTTTTAAATTTTTTTTTTTTTTTTTTTTTGAGACAGAGTCTCAATCTGTCGCCCAGGCTGGAGTGCAGTGGCGTGATCTCAGCTCACTGCAAGCTCCGCCTCCTGGGTTCACACCATTCTCCTGCCTCAGCCTCCCCAGTAGCTGGGACTACAGGCACCTGCCACCACGCCTGGCTAATTTTTTGTGTTTTTAGTAGAGACGGTGTTTCACCGTGTTAGCCAGGATGACCTCGATCTGACCTCGTGATCCGCCCACCTCGGCCTTAGTTTTTAAAAGTTTTGTTTCATTCATTCTGGAGTTTTGTTGTTGGATAGATAAAATTTAGGATTATTATGTTTTCTTGATAAATGTACCTTTTGTCATTGTGAACTGTCCAATTGCTGTGACTATCTACAGCAGTAGCTTTTGTTTTGATGTCAATTTTTGGCTGATGTTAATATAACTATGCCCTTCTTCTGCTTACTGTTTCCATGGTAAATCTTCTTTTCATGCTTTTACTGCCAGTCTGTCTGTGTCTTTATATTTGACATGCATCTCTGAGAAGCAGCAAATAGCTGGGTTTTGTTTTTTTATCCAATCTGAGAATGGCTGAGTTGCCATTTTTCAATGAACTGCTGTTTCTTCTCATGGAAGAGAAATATTTTTCAGGTTAGTATCTCCACTAAAATAGAAAGATAAAATGTAGATAAGCAGTTTGTGAGTTTAAAGACAAATGTATTAGACCATTTTTGCATTGCGATAAAGAAATACTTGAAGCTGGGTAATTAATAAAGAAAAGAGGTTTAATTGGTTCATCTTTTTGCAGGCTGTACAGGAAGCATGGTGCTGGCATCTGCTTGGCTTCTGGTGAGGTCTCAGGGAACTTTTGGCAGAAATGAAAGTAGGAGCAACATGTCACATGATGAGAGGAAGAGAGAGATAGGTGAGGGGTCACACACTTTTAAATAACCAGATCTTGCATGAACTCACTCATCACCAAGGGAATTGTGCTAAGCCATTCATGAGGGATTCACCCTCATGATCCAAACACCTCCCACCAGACCCACCTCCAACACTGGGGATGACATTGCAACATGAGATTTGGAGGGAACAAATATCCAAATCACATCAACAAATAAGAGATCTATATCCAGCCAACTTTACTCATTATGTGACCTGTATGGCCTCCAAAGGCACTGAGTTTTTAATTCCTGTGGTAGTAAATTTGAGATTTTCTAGCTTTGAGGGAAAGAATGTAAAAAGGAGATGATAGATTCAGCCTATGCATAGTCATTTTCTTATAGAAATTGCTGTTCTCTCTCTGAAAATACATTTTTAAAGAGGTTGCAAATCTATACTTGTGTTTAAATGATGAATATATTCACGAATGAAAAGATAACTTCATTTTGGTCACTAGTGCCCAACCAGAGGAATGTTCTGATCTATTAAAACTTGTCTTCCTAAGTGAAATCACGTAGTTGAGTCAGTAGTTAGATTCCATCTTTTCTGCAATGGCTTGGCCAATGAGCTATAAATTCCTGCTTTGGTGTAACAGTTTGGGGGAGAATGGCCAGTATGATAAGTTTCTTCTGCTAAAGTGGACAGAAGTTGGGAGAGATATTCTAGAAGTTCATGCCTTGGTCCCAGGCTAAGGCTGCCAACAGCTCGTACAGGTTGAGTATCCCTTACCCAAAATGCTTGGGACCAGAATTGTTTCGGATTTTGGATTTTTTCAGATTTGGGGATATTTTCACATACATAATGAGATATCTTGGGAATGGAACACAAGTCTAAATGTGAAATTTATTTGTGCTTTGTGTATATTTAAAACACATAGCATGAAGCTAATTTTATACAATTTAAAAAATAATTTTGTGCATGAAACAAAGTTTATATACATTGAACCATCAGAAAGCAAAGGTGTCATTGTCTCATGTTGGTGCTCAAAAAATTTTAGATTTTGGAGCTTTTAAATGGAAGGATGCTAAATCTGTAGTACATCCCCACTGTGCAGAGGATGTCTTAAGACTCAACCGCATTCCCTCTGTTTTCTCTAGAAGGGCAAGATGGAGTCTGCACAGCTGGGCCATGACCCAGGAACACTATGAGGAGGTGGGCTGCTTTGTATGATTGCTCCAATATTCTGTGAAGTGAAATTCAAAATATACTACTACAGCTATAACACAGAATCTTCTAATCTTCCAGATGCTGGTTCTCCTGTAGCTGCTCCTCTTTAGGTGACCCTGGTGAGTGATGGTGGTTTGGGGACTATGATGGAAGCTATGACCCACTTCATTTAAAATCATCCCTGAAGATTGGCCAGAACCATTCTGGATTCATTTCTGAGTGAGACACATGGCGGCTGCCCTATTTTCTTCCCTAGGCCTTGGATCTGAGGCCTCTTTTTGAATCCTGTCAGCCCTGTCAGCATTTAGAATTCCTAATTATTTTTCTAAAATAAACTCTGAGTCAAGAGGATCTCTCTTCCCTCTACATTTCCTTCTAACATCAATTTTCTAAAATTCCAAGAGTAGTCTGTCTCACCTCTGTCCTCAGATTCTGTTTTCTACATGTGGCAATGGCAATGTCTGTGCATTTTACACAGCTCCTTGGAGAACTTCCGCCCATCTTTTCTATTAGTTTGTTCATTCTGGGAGTATGGAGGAAAGGGGCTGGGCCAAGCTGGCTTTCAGAGTGGGGAGAGTACTTCTTTCTCATGGTGAAATTGCAGGGTGTGTGTGTGACGGGGTAAGCAGGGGGACAGGTGAAGAGATGGTCAATGGAGCCTTGGAACTGGTGAGATTGAAGGTCAGCAGCCTGAAGGCTTCAAATTCTTCCTCTACATCTAATGGGGATGACACTGGAATAATCAATTAGATCTTGGTTTCCACCTGCAAAATAAGAGTATGACACTGGGAAGATTCTGTGGTCCCTTGCACATATGTCTCTCCAAATAGACTATGAGCCCCTTGAATTAAGGCTGTGATTTCCATATCTTCATAGTCATGGTGCCCAGTATAGGGTCTGACACATAATTGCATCAGCTAGGCATAAATTTGGCTGCTAGTAACAGAAACCCACTAATAGTAGAATGTGTTGAGGCTGATTTTCTTCTATTACAAGAAGATTAGAGCTGTGCAGGTGTTGGTTAAGGTGTTCAGTGAGGTCTTTGAGGACCAAGGTTCTTTCCATCTTTCCCTTTTACCATCCTGGGCATGTTGGCCTTATGTTCTCATTCTTGTCATTGCATGGATCCAAAGTAGCTACCATGTTGCCAGACATCACACCCACATTTTAGGCAAAGGAAAGGGAAAAACACTAGCCATTTCTGCCTTTTATAAAGAAAGAAAAAGCTTTTCCCAAAGGCACATCAGGTTATGTCTCATGGACTATGTGCTGGGTCACATGACCAATGCCAGATGAAAGGGATTCTGGGAAAGCAAATGTCAAGCTTTTTGGCTTCTTGGGAAGGAGAGAGTAAGAACTGGGGCACATATGGCTGTTGAGCCCACTGAATGTTTGGTAAATAAATATAATTAGAAAATAAGCTGGAAAAGTCTCCTTTTTTTCCCCCAAGTAGAGTGTACCATGACATTATTTTGAGGAAATAAGCATTAAATTGGATTTGCTTTTAAGTTATGACACTGCTCTTTTATTATTATTATTATCGGCATCCCTGGGTGTGCCTGAGCCAGGCTATCTTGTTTCCCTCTGGCAAACCAGAATTGGCCCAAGTTTTCTCACAGGCATGGGGCAGGGAGTAGAACTGGAGGGAGAGTCAGAGTTCATGAAGAACTCAGTGTGGAGGGATTTAACTCTGGTGTTTTCCTAAGTGAATATTTTACACACACTCACCTTCGGATCAGGAAAGGCATTTCTTCTGTATTCTGCTATTGGTTATTCTCTTCATGTGGCCTCATGTGTAATTAGTTGAAAAATTACTGGTTCTTACTGGTGTTCATTACCTTCTCCTTCATACACATTGTGCCAACATTTAAAGAGGAGGGTTGACATGTCGACAGTGAAAGCAAACGTGCCAGAATGGGGCATAGAACAGCATGCAATGTCCCCTCTTCACTGAGGAACAGCACTAATAATACAAATGAAGAGGTGCACATGAAGGGTGCCCATTCCTGGTACAGCAGAGGCTCTTAGTAAATATTAGACGTGATTATTTTCTTTCCTTTATTTGAGACAGGGTTTTGCTCTGTCACCCAGGCTGGAGCGCAGTGGTACAATCATAGCTTACGGCCACCTCAACCTCCTGAGCTCAAGCTATCCTCCCACCTCAGCCTCCTCAGTAGTTTGGACCACAAGCATGTGCCACCACACCTGGTTGATTTTTTAAAATGTTTTGTAGAGATGGGGGTCTCGCATGGTGCCTAGGCTGGTCTTGCCTCAAGTAATCTTCCTGCTTCAGCCTCCCAAATTGCTGCGATTGCAGGTGTGAGCCACTGTGTCTGGCCCATTATTTTATTCCTATTCATAATAAGAATGATGCTTCTTTTCTTCCTGCGCACCCTGCCAGTGAGGATCCACTTTTTCCTGTTAACCAGATGTTTCTAGATAAAATTATAAGATTCAAGATTGTACTATGCAGTTCCCTGGTTTTACTTTAATTCCCCGGGGGGCTTCTGGGAGAACCCTGGGCAGGCGAAACATACTGTTAGTTTTTCAGATGTGTTTGAAGTAATCTGGTTGGGTAAATAGTGATCACACAAAACCTGGCTTTCTAGGGAGGTTAACCTGAAACCTTAATTGTTTTCAAAAATTTTCTCAGGGTAACCACTCTATTTCCTGGTGGAATTTAAGTCTATCAGTTTTCTGTACACATGAAAAGGAAGCTATTTACAACTGGCATTCCTGTACGAAATGTACAAAGTTCTCTAGCAGAGAGCTCTTCCACGTGGGAAGAGTGCTTTTCAACGCACTTCCTAAAACTGGTGCTTGACAATGCTCATTTGACTTTCCAGTGTATTATACATTAACAAATGTGAAAAGAATAAGAGGTCAATTGTTCAATGTCTCGCTTGCATGGCAGTCACTGATGTTACAGAGATCACTGTGAAATGTGAACTCCTCTGACTCCTCTGTTACTTGTTTCTAACTTTGTTTTCATCTTCTCATTAGGTTAGGTGGTAGTAAAGCATAATGATTAAGAATCCAAGCTTAGGAATCAAAGTCCTAGGGTTGAATCTTGACTTTGCCATTTTCTACCTCTCCAACCTGGGGTCCATTACCTTTTCTTACTGGACTTTATTTTCTTATAAACAAAGTTGCCAAATTAATATCCACCCCACAAAAAGTATTGCAAGCATTAAATACGATACTATATGAGAAAGTGCTTCATAAAGTGTTCAGCTGCAACTTCAGAAAACTCAACCTAAACACCTTAAGCAAAATGAGAATGTATCGACTCATATAATGAAAATAGAGCATCTGAACCCATGCCAGTGGGTTCAGATTTCACTCTACCATTTTTTTTTTTTAGAGACAGGGTCTTGCTACATTGCCCAGGCTGGAGTGCAGTGGAATATTCACAGAAGTGATCATAGCACACTATAGCCTTGAATTCCTGGGCTCAAGCAACCTTCCTGCCTTAGCCTTCCTAGTAGCTGGGACTACACATGCGTATACCACTGCACTGAGCTCTCACTCTACTTTTATTCCACAGCCTTCTGCATTGGCCTTATCCTCAGACAGCTTCTCCCTTAGTGGAGCATGATGGCTGCAATAACTCCAGCCTTTTTTCTCCAGTTTCAAGTCCAGTAAGAAAGAGAGGATGCATCTCTTTCAACAGTCCCAGTGAAAAGTGGCATTGCATCTCATTGGCTCTGAAGGTGGATCATCCCTGAACCAGTGCAATAGTACGATTTATCATACCTAAGCCACAAGCTACCTCTGGAGCAGGAGATGAAGTCAACACCACCTGCTGGACTGAAAGTATAGTGGTTTCTCAGAAAGGAAATTGGGATGTTGTTACCAAAGGAAGAGGGAATGAATGTTGCCATGGTGGGGAGGTTGGGGGCGGTGGCGAGAAAAAGGCAGATTTCCTCTAGAATGCCATCAAAATGAAAGTAAATCTAGGCTTTAGCACAAGTCCTAGAATACCAGAACGGAGACGTGCTTTCTTGGACCTTAAACGAAATAAAATTAGGCCAAGTGAAGCAAGTGCCATTTAAAATAGTAGCTATGAATGTATATAATTAGGATTTCAAGAACTGAATGAAAATATAAATGTTTTAAAAATGGGAAGAAAGATTCACAATAAGGAACTAGACTGTTGCAGGGTGGGGGTGGGGTGGTGGGTGGCATGGGGAACTCTGAAAACTCATTAGTTGAGGATAACTACGCCTACCAACAGAATGCAGAGGTGCAAGACTGAGCTACTGGTGCCTGAGTTCTCAGCGGGCCAGAAGGAAGGACGGTAGGGTGGAAGGGCTGGAGTCTCAGTTCTGGGAAGTCTCCCTCTTATCTCGCAGAATGCCTGTCCCTGGATAAAGATCATTAGTTTGAGTTTTTCCAAGATGATTCTAGGAAGCTCCTGCTGGTAACTAAGTCACCCATCCTGGGGTGGGATCCAGAGATTTAGATTTTTTATAAGCTTTCCTGCCACCGAAACGGGTGTTTGGGACCTCACGAGGCCCTGTTCATTCTTCGTCGCTGCGCTCCCCACTCTGTACTGGATGCATTTACTGACGTTGTTGTCTCCGTCCCCAGAGTATGAACCCCCAAGGTGACTCATGCAGCTGTGGGTGCCCGGCATACAGCATGGTGACTGGAATGGATGAGCACCCAATAAACATTTGTTGCAGGAATGCAGGAGGACGGGCAGGCCAGCAAGCAGGCTGCCTGGTTTTTCCCACATGGGCTTTTCTGGGAAAGAAGAGCTTCTATTTTTGGAAAGGGCTGCTATGATTGAGAAAAGTTCATGGCAGCAAAAAAAGGACAGACGTCGGGAGGGAAACACTCCTAGTTCTCCCAGACAACACATTTTTTAAAAAGACTCCTTCATCTCTTTAATAATAACGGTAACGACAATGACAATGATGATTACTTATGAGTGCGGCTAGTGCCAGCCACTGTGTTGTCACTGGGCGAGTAATGATCTCATTGGATCTTCACGGTGGGCGTGCGGGGTGGACAGCCTCACACCCCCATTTTACAGATGATGAAAAGGAGGTGCAGGGAGTGGTGCAGCTGCTTCAGGCGTACACAGATAGGAAGTGACAAGGCTGGGACTCTGCAGCCTGAGTGTGTCATCACGACCCACCCGCTGCTCTGCTCTCATAGGTATGACAGCACAGCTCTGGAGCAAATGCCACGCACATTTGCAAGGTGCCCATTTCCATGCAGCAAAAATAAGTCAATAAGTTATTGACTTACAGAAAAGCAAAGGGCCTCTCAATAAAGAGGTCATTGTACACCTCTCCAAACAGGCGATTTTCTTTCTCATTTTTATTCCCCTGCTGTGTGCTGAAGGTCACTGGCTACAAGCCGGTGAAGTCGCGGAATGGAATCCTTGGCCCGAAAACCCAAAAATGGGAGGGGCAGAGGAGGTGGGGACAGAGCGGGAGGAGGTGGAGGCGAAGCAATTCTACAACCCGGGGAGGTCTGGCCTGCTTTTCCTCCCTGAACTGGCCCAATGACTGGCTCCCTCACGCTGACCACTCCTCTGGGCTGGCCTCCTGCACTCGCGCTAACAGCCCAGGCTCCAGGGACAGCCTGCGTTCCTGGGCTGGCTGGGTGCAGCTCTCTTTTCAGGAGAGAAAGCTCTCTTGGAGGAGCTGGAAAGGTGGGTGCTAAGTTGAGGTTCATTTTGTTCTTCTCGGAGTGTGCTTATTGAGTCTGAAGCTGGGTTGGGGCAACGGGCCTCTTCTTGGGAACAAATTGGATCATCTTCTTGGGAAGGAAATGTACTTTCCCTGGCTGCTCTGAGGGGTTAGTGGGGAGGTGGAGTGAGCGGGGAGGAAGGCAAGGAGGGGAGGAAGAAACCGTTCCTCCTGTGGATCTGCAAAGACCAGTCCAAGAGGATTTTAGTGTTAGGAAAAGGAATCTGGAGTGACGAGAAAGGGGGCCTTTCTAGATGTTGCATGGCTTTGGTGTCGGGAGCCACTTATGGGACAGCAGGTACTCTAAAAAGCCACCTCCTTAGGAAAGCAGAGAGGCCCTGGCCAGCTCAGGCTCCCAGCAAGAGCTCCTTCTAGGAGACAGCTGAGGGATGAAACACACCCAAGGCTCAAGAGGGGCAGGTTCTTCCCAGATACAGACCCAGGAAGGAGATAAAGGCTTGGTGCCTCTATTTGGTTCAGGATAAGGGCCCCTGTCCTCTTTCTCTGATAACACTGTCCTCTTTCTCTGATAACACCGTCCTCCCTTCCAGATCCACGTACAAAGGAGGCCCTTAAAAAGGCACTTGGTCATTCACAGCTCAAACTGAGCAAGAGGCTGTGGGAGAAGAATCAAGTTGGTCCCGAGGGGAAGAGGTGTCAAAGGCTTAAGAAACAAGAAGTCAGAGTTTACCTGGGTTTGAGGGAGAATTTTCTTTCCCCCTTTTCCTCCTCCTCCTCCTTCTTCTCTTTTTTTTTTTTTTTTTTTTTTTTTTGAGACATGGTCTCATTCTGTCACCCAGCACCCAGGCTGGAATGTAGTGGCACGATCACTATCACGGCTCACTACAGCCTCTACCTCCCGGGCTCAAGCGATCCTCCTACCTCAACCTCCTGAGTAACTGGGACTACAGGCACATGCCACCACACCCAGCTATTTTTTTTTTTTTTTTTTGCTAGAGATGGGGGTCTCTACCAGGTTGGTCTCATACTCTTGTACTCAAATGATTCTCCTGTCTCATCCTCCCAAAGGGGTGGGATTACAGGCATAAGCCACCATGCCTGGCTCTTCTTTTGGTTTCAGAGAAAAACATCTCCTTAAAATGTTTATTTCCCAAGGATTCTTGAAAAAGAAAGCTCACTGACACACCCAAAACAATCTGGTTTTGCTCTGTGCTTTTAGGGAGAACTTTCTAAGCAGCAGAGCCCTTCTGAGTGGCAGGGCTGTCTTAGGAGGAAGGTGTCTTTGATGATGGGGAACTTCATGTCCAGGTCTGGCAGGAGAGTTACCCCACTTTCCTGCCTACTCCCTGGGGCTTTGGGGTAGTAGTACCACATTGGGCCATGTCATTTAGGTGAGTCCTTCAACATCACTTTCTCTGCTTCTCCCTCTTTCTGGATCCTCCTTCTTGGAGCCTTTCAAGGGGACCTCCTCTCACAGTGTCCATAGCATCTCTTAGCTAATGGTCCTTAAAATCTCTACCAGCAGCTCTCTCTGATAGCTAAGAGCTGCCATTTACTGGGAACTTTCTATGTACTGGGCTCTGTGCTAAGTGCCCTAGATGAGAGATGTGCAGTGTGGTGCCTAAACCTTGGGCTTGGAGCAGACACACACTTTCAAATCCTGCCTTCAGCTCCTTAGTGAACATGTCACCTTGGGCGGGACACACGCCTCTCTGTGCCTCAGTTTCCTACACTTTAGAATGGGGATAACACTGAATAATGTTCTTGTGAGGATGCAGGGAATTAACCCACGCACAGTACTTATAATAGTGTCTGGCGCCTGTGTTCGATAAGTTTTAGCAATTCTAATCATCTCTTTTAAGCCTCGCAGCAAGCCTCTAAGGTAAGTCTGTATTAGTATCCCTATTTACAGATGAGAAAACTGAGGTTCACAGGGGATGAGACAGTGTACAGTCTGCAGTCCAGCAATTACTCTGCTACTCAGCAATAAAAATAGTAACAGCTAACCCTTAGACTAAGTGGCAGAGTCAGGCTTTAGATTCATGAGGTGAGTTCTGGAATCCATCCCTTTAATAACCACACTAAATTGCCTTTCTGAAATGGTTATATAAAGCATATCTACCCAATCTTGGAGTTTTTTAAATGGCACCTAGTTTGGTGCTGGAAATGCAGTTGACCTTCAAAGCAATTCTTTGGAGGCAGCATCAATCCCTCTGGAAATACCTCGGTGGCATGGCTGGCCTTATTCTACAGGTAAGGAACTTGAAGCTAAGCATCAGTAACCCCGTGAAGTCACAGTTAGTATAGGTTGGAATTGGGATTCAAATCTGTACCTGACTTTATAATTCCTAGCTGGGCCCCAGAATCTTTGATAGAGGTGTCTTCTTTCTTTTCTTTTCTTTCTTTCCTCTTTCTTTCCCTTCCTTCCTCTCTCTCTGTCTTTCTTCTCTCCTTTCTTTCTCACAGAATCAAAATCTCTTGGGGTGGGGCCTGGGCATCTGATTTTTAAAAACCAGACATCTGATGTGCAGTCAACACTGAGAACCCCTGCCAGCTTCATCTCCTCTTCTAAGTGCCAGACCCAAGTTTCCGACTGTCTGCCCACCTGTCTTCCCACCTGGGCACCCGCCAGCGTCTCACCCTCAGGAGACTCCAGCTGAACTAATCCTCTCTCCCTGCTTTTCCAGAACAGGTCCCACCCTCCCTCCACTCAGTCTCTCCTGCTGGGAACCCTGGTCATCTGCACTGTGCCTTCATCTTCCATCCTGCCAGTGCTGCCCGGTGTGTCTCTTAAACCCATGCCTCCTCTGTGTGCACCACCTGCACTTTGGTAAAAGCCTTCATTTCCTGCTTGGGTTACTACAACGCCCCCTAACTCATCTCACTGTCTCTATTTCTGCTTCTCTGTCTCTCCCTAGGCTACTCCCATTCTTCCTCCCCTTTCCTCTTCATCCCAAAGTCCAACCCATATCCTTTTACCAGTAGGACTTAAGGAACTAAAGACTATCTCATCACCCACTTTTCTTCTTAAAAACTTCCACTGCACTGCCTGCTGAGATGGCCTTCCTACCCAACTTGGCTGGAAAACTCCTACCCATCTTGTGGAACCCAGTTCAAAAGTCACCACCTCTGAGAAGCCTTCCCTGAGGCTCCTAGGGAGATGGGTACTGCCTCCTCTGTCCTTCTCCAGCACAGGCCCCATCTTCAATCACAGGATTGTGCTGGAATGATTGGATGCCAAGTCTGTCCCTCACTGAACTCCTTATGCAAAATCCATATTATATGTTTCCTTTTGCCAGGTGTGGGCCCAGGTGCTGGGGATACCGATGAATAAAACTGAGTTTCTGTCTTCAAGAAGCTCCAAGTCTACTGAGTGTAGCAGAGAACAGGGAGAAGGCACTTCAGGGAGAAGGCGTAGCACATGCAAAGCCCCAGAAGGCAGGGACAGAAGCCTTAGGGATGTCTGTGGGGGAGGATGGAGGAAGAGGGTAACAGGAGACCAGGTGGGGAGATGAGGGAGGTGGTCTGGAAGGGCCATGAGACACCCCTCACGCTCCCTGAGACCCCCTCCACGCTATAGAGATGGGACTGGAGAGGACGATGATCATTTGTGACTCAGATCCCTGTGGGTTTCTTCAGATTGGGTCTCACCCATCTTTACAGCCACAGCACCTAACACAGTGCCCGGCACACAGCAGGCCCTAGACAAACGTTTGCCACATGAAGTCATGCCCACTGGGCCAGGAAGCCCACTGGGGACTGGGGGGTTGGTTCTGCGATAATGGGGTCCCTGAGATTCTATGTTTCACGTGACTAAGCCTCACTCTGCCCCCACCTCCGCGGGGGCGTCCCGCAGGTGCCCGACTCCAGCCATGCTGGCGCTACTGTGTTCCTGCCTGCTCCTGGCAGCCGGTGCCTCGGACGCCTGGACGGGCGAGGACTCGGCGGAGCCCAACTCTGACTCGGCGGAGTGGATCCGAGACATGTACGCCAAGGTCACGGAGATCTGGCAGGAGGTCATGCAGCGGCGGGACGACGACGGCGCGCTCCACGCCGCCTGCCAGGTGCAGCCGTCGGCCACGCTGGACGCCGCGCAGCCCCGGGTGACCGGCGTCGTCCTCTTCCGGCAGCTTGCGCCCCGCGCCAAGCTCGACGCCTTCTTCGCCCTGGAGGGCTTCCCGACCGAGCCGAACAGCTCCAGCCGCGCCATCCACGTGCACCAGTTCGGGGACCTGAGCCAGGGCTGCGAGTCCACCGGGCCCCACTACAACCCGCTGGCCGTGCCGCACCCGCAGCACCCGGGCGACTTCGGCAACTTCGCGGTCCGCGACGGCAGCCTCTGGAGGTACCGCGCCGGCCTGGCCGCCTCGCTCGCGGGCCCGCACTCCATCGTGGGCCGGGCCGTGGTCGTCCACGCTGGCGAGGACGACCTGGGCCGCGGCGGCAACCAGGCCAGCGTGGAGAACGGGAACGCGGGCCGGCGGCTGGCCTGCTGCGTGGTGGGCGTGTGCGGGCCCGGGCTCTGGGAGCGCCAGGCGCGGGAGCACTCAGAGCGCAAGAAGCGGCGGCGCGAGAGCGAGTGCAAGGCCGCCTGAGCGCGGCCCCCACCCGGCGGCGGCCAGGGACCCCCGAGGCCCCCCTCTGCCTTTGAGCTTCTCCTCTGCTCCAACAGACACCCTCCACTCTGAGGTCTCACCTTCGCCTTTGCTGAAGTCTCCCCGCAGCCCTCTCCACCCAGAGGTCTCCCTATACCGAGACCCACCATCCTTCCATCCTGAGGACCGCCCCAACCCTCGGAGCCCCCCACTCAGTAGGTCTGAAGGCCTCCATTTGTACCGAAACACCCCGCTCACGCTGACAGCCTCCTAGGCTCCCTGAGGTACCTTTCCACCCAGACCCTCCTTCCCCACCCCAT
This sequence comes from Homo sapiens, assembly GCF_000001405.40. Lineage (NCBI taxonomy): Eukaryota > Metazoa > Chordata > Mammalia > Primates > Hominidae > Homo > Homo sapiens. Next base: position 24,800,565 of record NC_000004.12, read on the forward strand.
AAGCCCTGAGACTCCCGCCTTTGACCTGACGATCTTCCCCCTTCCCGCCTTCAGGTTCCTCCTAGGCGCTCAGAGGCCGCTCTGGGGGGTTGCCTCGAGTCCCCCCACCCCTCCCCACCCACCACCGCTCCCGCGGGAAGCCAGCCCGTGCAACGGAAGCCAGGCCAACTGCCCCGCGTCTTCAGCTGTTTCGCATCCACCGCCACCCCACTGAGAGCTGCTCCTTTGGGGGAATGTTTGGCAACCTTTGTGTTACAGATTAAAAATTCAGCAATTCAGTACTGCGTCGAGGTCTTGGTTACTTTTTTGTTTGTTTGTTTTAGGCTTCTCTCCCAAGCTGAGCTTTTTTTTGTTTTGTTTTCGTTTTCCTTTTTTTTCTTTTTTTTGGGAGTGGCAAACATGCTTCCCAAATCCCTACAGGACTTCTCCTTATCCTCTGCCCCCACCTCCCTAACCCTGCTGGCAACAACGTTCAGCCACTGCTTGTCTTGCCCTTCAGTGTGGCTCCAAGAGGAAGATCACCAGAATCACTCAGGGAAGTTAAAAAAAAAAAATACAGCTTCCTGGGCTACATCCCAGAGCTGTGGAATCCAAAGGGAGAAGAGAAAGTGAATTTGCGACAAGCGTCGGGATGATTCTGGCACTGGACCCTCTGGCCTGAGAGGGGAAGAGGCCTTCCATCTCACCTGGGCTGGTAGCTTGTCACATCTGCCTCCGAGTACAGCCTTAGGTCCATTTCCCAGATATCAGAGACAGTGCCAGGGAAGCCAGGTGACTGCATCTTGCCTAGGCACAGAAGAGTAGGGTTGGAATGTGACGTTGTTAGCATTTGGCAGGACCAAAACCAGAGGCAAACGGAGGCAGTGGGATGGAAAGGCAGTTGATTTTGATGAAGGCTTGTTGGGAGTTCAGCTTTCTTTTGAAACTTATAATCTATACCCAGGCTAGAACAGTCTTGTGTATACACCTTCATTCATGGAATAAACGTACTTGCAATAACTTTTTAGCCTCCCAGGGTAGCCTCACTTCCTAGCTGTGACTTTTCCACCCTGGTTACTGGGAGGCAGCTTCCATTTCTCCCAGACTAGCTAGGCAGTGCGTCCAACTGAACCGCAGCCAGAAACCTGTCTCCAGGGGTTATTTTTACCTCTAACTAGGACTAACTTATTTTAAAATCTTTCCTTGAGCCCAAGTGACAACTGAAGAGAAAGGCTATTGCCTGGTGATTTTGCTCCACCAGTTGGTTCTCACTGGTTTGAATACTAACTTGAACTGTACTCATCGACACTGAAAGGGGATGAGCAAACAGTGTCTCTAAATCTCCTGATCCTGATCTCAAATATCCCCCTAATTACAAGTTGCAACAAGGCAGCTATTACACGGGGACACAGGATGGAGAGGATGGGTGCCAAACACCCATCGTCTACTCTGCTGCCTCGGTTATGGTGAATTCAGGACCATCAAGGGAGGTGTGGACCTTTTTTTTCAGAAGGAGGCTGACACTTCTTGTCAATTGCATTGTGTTCTTAGTTTTGCTCTTCACAACCCTTGACCCCGTAGATGGGGGCTGAAGAGGCACCCTGGCCGACTCACTCTATTTCTGTTTTGGGAATGGGATGGATAAACTATCCCATGGGCCTCCAGAGCCAAAAAACCAAAACGAAACAAAACAAAAAACCCCAAAACAAAAAAGCAAAAAGCAAACAAGAAAAAAAAAAAAAGAGGAAATAATAGGCAGACAATTTACAGTTCATTGTAAGGGCAAAGATATGCATATAGCATGATGGTTAACAGGTCAGACTCAGGTAGAAAGGCCCATTTGAACCCCAGCTCTGCCACACTCAGAAACTGTGTGACCCGAACAAGTCACTTAACCTCTCTGAGCATAGGTAAAATAAGATCATCATACCAGATTGTTTTGAAGATTAAATCAAGTGTTATTCACGAGAGGTGCACAGCATAGCATGCACAACAAATAAGGACCTGGTAAGTATCTAATTAATAACAATGGCTAAGATCCAAAAAACAGCTACCTACTAATAAATAGATGGAGCTGCCTTGTAAGGCAGTGAGCATCATGCAACCAGGATTCAAATGAAGGACAGTTGCTACCTCTGAGGTTCCCGAGAAGGATTTCTGCATCCATTGAGAGACTGAATGACATGAACTCTGCGATCCCATCTCTTGTGGGGAGGGAACCTAGAATGAAGGGAAGATTGTGGGCCATAAAGGCAGACATCTGGTTCCTGGCACAGAACCATATGTGTGCCACCAAAGCCACCCACCGGACCCCACTTGGCCCCTGGAGTCTATTTTTACTCCTCTCATCTTACAGATCTATTTTGTTAATCTCCTTATATTTGCTGTTTTGACTTCCCAGCCAGCTTGCTAATCAGTTTGCCTATTTGACTCACAGGGTTTGCATTTGTCACGGGGACTGAAACACACGCTTGTTTTGATTTCTTTTTGTAAAATTAGAAGCGTTTGATGTAATGACTCTACCTAGACACAGCTGGTAAAGTGAGAATAATGCTCAAGTTTGCACAGTTTAAACACAATGTAGACAATAATTAGAAATGCTATCTTTAGATGTTTAGGATAAGCTTTTTCTCAGAATTGCACTGATTTTTTTTTTCTGAGTGGGGCTTTTTAGTGCATATATACAGAAATACTAAAAACGTAAGAAAATAGAGCAAATCAGTGAGTGCTTTGGTCAACTTGAAAGACTGCAGGAAATAAACCAACTGATTTTAGATCTGCCTTTTTTTGACTGAATGCATAAAATCTTTACATTCTCCATATTTTTCATGACTACCATATGATCAAATAGTTTTAGGTGACAGATTGCAACTGATAAGTTGCTGCAATATGGCAGAAGTCATGCTCAGCCTCCGCTTGCCCGGTGGTGAGGGTGGAATATGAAGCAAACAATAAAGATAATTCATCATCTCTATCAGGAAAATTGCCACATGTTTATTTCAGGTAACAAAAAAGATATAGTTATGATATACAATGACCATAGAATCCAATAAAGCAACTTCTGCAAATGAATAGAAGGTACTTTTTCTTTAAATGAAACTACAAAATAGCAGCTGGTTTTAAAAACAAAGCCAATTGTTTTAGATTTAATAGGCTACCACTGGCCTCTGCTAAGATCCCCAAATATATTCCTGAGCTCACATAGATTCCAGAAAGTCAAACTTTTCAATATTATGCAAACTTTCCCTATGCATCCAAAAAATTCTCATTTAGTAAAGAGGTGATATGAAATGTAAGGCAGCATGTCCATATCTATCATTTTAAATTGCCTTCATGCTGTATCAACTGGTTTTGTTTTGGGAAGCAACCATAATATTGAGAGACGGGTCTTTCCTATTTTTTCTGCTACTCATTTCTAACTAGATTCACTACGGAGCTCCCAATTGCATCTCTCTGATCTACAAATTTTTCTCTCTTCAGGAAGACACCTGGAAAGAAGGGACTACATTAAAGGAGTGTGTTGGGGGCAATGCTTTGGCCTTTTGACATCCTATCTAGTCTGAAGGGACCCTCACTATTGCTAAGGAGGAGGAGTGTTTTAAATGGAGGCTTCAGAATGAAAGCAGAGGAAGAAGGTACTCTCTTTTTCAAAAAGAAGGAGGGTACAGGCCGGGCGCAGTGGCTCACGCCTGCAATCCCAGCACTTTGGGAGGCCGAGGAAGGCAGATCACGAGGTTGGGAGTTTGAGACCAGCCTGGTCAACATAGTGAAACCCCGTCTCTACTAAAAATACAAAAATTAGCCAGGCATGGTGGTGCATGCCTGTAGTCCCAGTTACTCGGGAGGCTGAGGCAGGAGAATCGCTTGAACTCGGGAAGTGGAGGTTGCAGTGAGCCGAGATCATGCCACTGCACTCCACCCTGGGTGACAGAGTGAGACTCTCAAAAAAAAAAAAAAAAAAAAAAAGAAGTAGGGTACCAAGTCATCCACAAGGCTGTGGGAAAACAACAAAGCCAAGAGGGCACCCCATTTTTTTGGAGTGAAAACCAACAGGGGCAAAGGCATGCTGTAATTTTAAAGAGACAGAGAAGATCACCTCAGTGAGTAAGCAGCTGGTCTTTGTCATTCCTTAAAGAGGAGACAGAACTTTTCATGCCATATCGTGAACCGGGGTGCAAAGGCTCCCGGTAGGAATAACACATCAAAAAATTTACTCCAACATGTGAATAATTGATAGCAGAGCCCTTTTCTAGCACTTTGCATCGTGATGGTGGTGCATGTTTGGGAGGGAGGTCACAGAAGAGGAGCAACGATGGGCAAACTAATTTAGCTTGCTTAAGATTGCCAAAAGCTGGGAGGGTCCAGCCGGCATTGAGCTGAGGCCATCAGGAGCCTCCCAGCTAGAGAGGCTTTGGGAATAGCTGTGGGAGCAAGAGAAGGAACGGGGAGGGGAGAAGAAGGTGGGCAGAGAAGGTGTGGAAGGAGGAAGAGCAAGAGTGAGGGATGAGAAATGCCTGGTTTACAAAAACCAATCCACTTCTACAGGCCTTAATCAAAAGAAAGACAAACGCTCATGTAAAAATCCACACCTAGAGGCTCTCAGGCACAGAGCGATCACAGGAGAGGCAGAGTGTGCAAACAAGCTTTCATTAAGAGACCTGTCAGCTCTGTTTCATTTCTCCAGGCTGCTCTGCATTCTGCTGGCAATCCAGCCGGAAAAATAATGGAAGGACAAACACGTCTGAACAGGCAAACAAAGGTGGGAACATTCCACCTACAGAACAGGACAGATCAGAAAGATGCCAGGGAGGGGGGATGAGATGGCTTTTTTCTGAGCAAACAACCATAGCCCCTCCCCTTAACTCCAAACTCATCGGAAACATGATTTTCTGGCTTTTTATGCAGCAACAAAAAGACATGGGGTTCAGAGACAGCACCATTGGTTGTCTATTCCCAACTCTCTTACACATCCCAAGATATGATTCTGTTTTGGTGTTCAGCCTTTTAGAGTCTGAATGTCTAGCGACAGGGCCCTTCTTCAGTTCTTAAGGGTGAATCTTGGTGAACCTAAACAGATCATGGTAATACCATCTCCCTTGCTAAGAAATGGTTAAGACATTGCCATGTGACATCATCATGTGACAAGGTCTCATGCGACCACAAGCCCCAGGTGATCATTCTGACCAATAAAATGTGATAGGAACTGGGTTTCTCGCTCTTGAAACACACACACACACGTATGTGGGAAGAAACTTCCTTCTGCCTTTGAACAGGTGTTATCTGGAGCTGTTGCAGCCACCTCGTTATCATGAGAAAGCAGCTGACACAGCAGGAAGAGCAGGAAGATGGAAACCTAGAACCTTGACAACTTTCTTGAATGTATAGCCCTGGAATGCCTTACTTTCGAAGTTCCTGTTATACAACATAATTCATTTCCCTACCGCTTAAGTTTCTGTTAAGTGTGGCTTGAAGCTGAGAGGACCATGACTGATGCAGGGTTATCTAGTGAAGTAGGGGACAGAATGCCACAACCTTAAACTTTGATCCTAAAAAAGACAAAAGACAGCTGTAAGTAATTGCAGAAAGCCCCTTTAATGTCTGTGGAACAGAAGAACCATGTTGGATGGGGAAAGCAGGGGCAGGACACACGTGTCGCGTATCTATGGGGTGTTATCAGGGTTATATCTGTGACAGGATCAACTAACTTACTGGCTCTCATTTCACCTGATAACATAAGACCCTCCCCGCTGACTACACACAGTTTAGGTTATCACTCCTTATGACTCCTGCTCCCTGCCCTGCACCCTAGATTCTCTGGGACTCACTGCAGTTTTCCTGACTCTGATGGAATGTGCTGGAGTCTATTACGAGCCCTGCTTTTCAGAAGGTGCTCAACAGGCCCTGAAGATGTGCATCTGGCCGATGGTGGGTCAAAACCAGAGTTCTGCAGGCTGAGATTTTTCCTTTTATTATTATTAAACTTGGCTGTGTTTTCCTTCGGTGGCTCTGGCATCCTATGCAGTAGTGCTGGACATTTGCAGGCAGTTAAGGCCCAGTACAGCAGGAAGAATGATTTCTGTGACTGCTGGTCTGTGCAAGCCCTCCAGCTGCGGGAGCAACCTCCCTTGAGGAGAAGTTGTGGGGGTGGGCCTGGTGGGGAGGGCGATAGGCTGGGACAGAAGGAAGGATGGAATACTGGACCTGGTGGCCAGGGGTCAATGGGATGTCCTTCTCACCAGAAGCAACAGAACGCCGACTCCAGCATGCTCCCATTTCAACTAAAGTAGTGGGAGACCCACCCAATGTGCATCAAAGGCCTGGGTCCTTCTGGGCTGCACTTTGAGGAGGAGCAGCATAGTAAGGGATGGGGCGCCCATTCTGCTAGCAGAGTGATTCCTGGAGATGCAATCTGGGAGGGATGTATCCACGTGGCTGACCCCTCGTGTCCAGATGTCACATCTTAGTGTCATGAGCCTGGTATAAACATTGAATTTTTAGGATGCATTTTCACTGAGAGGCTACCACTCTGGGAGCCTCTCTTTTTCCTGCAAGGAGCGCCTCTCAAAGGAGTGATTCTGGTTCTCAGAGGCATTCTGAGCTTTGGGATCTAGTCTCAGGCTTTCCAGGGAAGGAAAAAGCTATGGCTGGATGACTTTTAGTTTTCTGCAGTGCCGGATGCCAACTAGAAAAGCTCATTTTTATCTGAAAGGAAAGAACCAGCTAGAATTGAGCATGCCCTCCTTTCCCATCCCTGTATCATGTCCTTGGTTCCACATCCCCCCTTGCCATGCTGTTGTGAAGTTGTTTTGTTTTCCTCTCTCTTTCCCATAAAAGGTCATGAGCTCTGTTTCTGTCTTTAAGATTCCCGTACTTGGTGGCACAAATGAGGCAGCCTCAACATTCTGTTGAAGGAGTGAAGGGTTTGGAAGTTCCAGGTGGTGCAGGAAACTAGACTGGCTCCCAGCAGGTAGATCTTTCCCAAACCTGAAATGGCCATACAATCCTGTATGTGAGACAGGCTGAATGCAGAGAATGAGCATTTCCAGGTGGTAGCTCTCATCTCATCTCACAAAAAAAACCAGACCACCACTGGGAGTCCTGTTCCCCGGCTTTTATGCTCACCCCTCCCAGTCACTTCAGATCAGTTAATTCTCCAGATTTACAAGCTAGAAAACTCCAGCTCTGGCACTCAGCACACAGGCCTCAACCGGGGCTGTGGATTTCAACCCAGAAGCCCAAACTTCTCAGCCGGCTTAAGGCCCCTTCCAACTGCCAGTCTGTACCACGACAGCAGTGCTGTGGGCACAATGCCAAGCACACCCATGCCAGGCAGTCCTCCTGGGCCCTGACTTGATGGGGTGCAGCCATGGGTCCTCTGGACACGTTTTGCTCAATTATACCTTCCTCTCCAGCTGCCTAACCTTGACCAAGATGGGGACCTGATTAAAAACCCCATCAGTTTCTAGCTCTTCCCATAATTTTGATTGACAACATTAAATGCTAATACAAAAACATCTTATCTCTGATAAAACAAAAGCTGACAGAAAGACGGATGCTGAAAACCAGCCATATGGTGGACACGATTCCTGGGCCTGGCCCTGTTCACAGTAGCACTCTCTGGCAGAAAAGAGATGACACTGAGAAGCTTGAGGACCTACATTTAATAAATCAAACTGTACTGGCATCATCAGAATATTCACAGTTTGCAACAGGATCAGTGCGTTTTCTCACTTGCAGACTCGGAGGTATTTCAGGAGAAGGCGACGTGAGCGCACCATTCCGATGCTTCATTCTTGACCCTCTCTGGGGCTTTCAATGTGTCATTGTGTCAGATCCCTCTCCCCTTCAGGTTTTCACGGTGCTCCTCATGCCTCCGCCCTCTGGGATCCCTTTGCCGTCTTCCGGTGTGGAAGCTTTGGCTGCTGGCCGGCTGGCCTCGAAGGAGTCCAGGTGAGATTTAGGGAGCTCCCCCTGGATGGCCAGGCCTGGCGGGGCTGGCCCCGTCTCACTCCTCTGACCTTCTATGGGACTCTCTCTTCTGACCTCTTCCAGTTCTGCAGCTGCCTGTTCCTTTGTCAGTTTAATTATTTCCCTCCCAAGGCTGTTTACTTCTTCCTCAGAAGGTAACTGGGGTAATGAAGGATGAAAGAGCTTGCATTGGTTCCCGCGGCTCTGATTTGCTGGGGAGTTGACAGCGGGCCTCCCAGCATCCTCAGGCGCTGTCAACGCCTCAGCAGCGGCACAACTTTCATCTTCTTCTTGCTTCTGAGCCTCCCCTGAAAACAGAACGAGGACAACATTAAACCTCTGGCAGCAAATCAGCCCTCACCGCCCCTCTTCTGCCAACCTCCTGCCCAGCCTACCAGCACAGGGCCTCTGAAAAAGGAGCAAGACTTTTTTGGCTCCCTGTGCAGGGCAATGGAGCCAAAGGGGAACACAGGACCCAGGTGAAACCAGCGAGCATGCATTCTAGTGATTCCTGCATTATTAACAGAGGGCAAGGGAGCACTTGGGCCATGTCATAATCCATCCTTTCCAGGCACCTGGTTAGCTTCTGTTCCATTCTCTAATGGCCGCTCCTTGTGCCCATTAAATATTTAAATTGAGGACAAAGGTTTTGTTGGTTCTGCAGCTGAGAGCCAGGGCTTGTTAGTAATGAAAAAAGGTTCCGGCTGCATTGAGGGTGGGAAGAAGAAGGATAGTTCGGGAAGGATTTAGTGCCACCCCTTCTCCACGATTCTCCATCAGCATCTCATTCCTTAATGCGGACACCTAGTGTTCCTCAATATCAAATAAATTATATGCAAATACACCTTCAAGCTCCCTCCCCTGTTGAGTTGTTGTCCCTAAACCCCTTCTCTATAGGATGGAAATTCTAGCACTGCAACAGGAAGGACATGGGAGAGAAGGGGGAGCCCTTAAAGTGCTGACATCCAGCCCTCATTTCCCTACTCACTTGCTTTGTGATCAGGATAGGACTCTCTGATGCCCCTTCTGGACCTAACCAGCAATGCTTGCTCTGCATGAGTGGGGAGCAGCATGGCGGAGCCAGCTCTTAGTACCCGGGCATGTGCATTCAATAACAGACACTGAGTTTCCCCAGAAGCCAATCTCTTCCCAGCCCTCAGGCTAAACAGTGAAGAAAGGTATGACAGAGCCACAGTGGGACTGGGTTTAGCCTGGACACATGTCCTGGACCAGGAATGAGGGGCCCCCAGGAACACTTTCTGGTACCCCTGAATGGAACCACAGCAGAACCCTGCTGTAGTGGGGCTTGCTATCATATATGCGCAGGTATGTTTTCAGGCTGTAAGTTGGAACTTGGGGAGCTGGAGAACTGCAGCAGGTTAGAAAGGATGTTGAGCATCATCTGGCCATGCCATTTTCCTGCTTAAAACCTTCTGCTGGAGCCTTGTCACTTTCAGGATAAATTTCCTTTCGCTTAGGCCCTTACAAGGTCCTGCTGATGTGCTCCTGTTTCACTCTGCAGCCTCATTTCACACAGTTTCATCACACGTGTCCTCCCAGCCATGTCACGCACCCATTAGGTCTCCACATGCACTGATCAGTTTCTCCCCTCTGTTAAATAAATCCTCCCAGCTAACGCTTATTGGGTGCTTTTCCACACTAGGCACTGCACTAAACATTTGACGTGTTTATCTCATTCTAAATTTAAGTCCATGAGAACAGGAGCCTCATCTGACTCATCCAGTGTCTGACACATTCTAAGCATTCAAAAATATTTAAAAAATAGTTCCCTTTCTTTTATAAATGGAAGTATAATATACACAAAGAGAAGTGCACAGAACTTATGTATCCAGCTCAATGAATTTTCACAAAGTGAACTCACCCATATAACCAGGATGAGAAACAAAATATTACCAACCCCTGCAAACACTTCCAAGTCCAGGACTCCTGGACCCCCTTTCCAGTCCCTTTTCTGCTGCCAGGGATAACCATTAGCCTATTTAAAATGCTGAAATGAGATCTGCCTGGTCCTTGAACTTTATATCCAGGAATCTTACTGTGCTGGTTCCTTTCGCTTCCCATGATGTTTGTGAGATTTACCCATGTTTATGAGTACAGAATTTGTTCATTTGAATGCACCACAATTTCCAACAGGTATGTAAATGTTGAATGAAAATGGGCAAGCCAGAAACAGAAAAAGAGATAGAAATTGAGAGCAGACATATTAAACGATTCACACCATCACTCAAAATTGCAGAAATCTAAGTCCCAATGAAATGTAGTTTTTCCTCTATCAGAATGACAAAAATGAAAAGGTTTGACAAAGCTCAGTGTTGAGAAGGATGCAGGGAAACAGGTACAATCATACATTAATAAAGAAAATAAAAATTAGTAAGACTCTTTTATAGGCCAGATATTTCAAGACACATTGTTCTTAGATACTCACTACAACACTGTTTTTAAAAACAGAAGTCTGGAAAACTCCAAGTGCTCATCAACAGGGGATTATGTATACAGATTTACTTGCCAAGTTGCGAGATTCTTTCTGATAATATGCACTAAAAATTGTAGGTTGTCTCTGGAAAGCAGACTGAGGACCACAGCAAGAAGCAAGGGTGGAGGAAGACTTTAAGCTTAATTTTCCACTTTTCTGTGCTATTTATATTTTTTAACATGTGCTGTATTCCTATTTTATAAAACAAGATATGCAACCTCCAAGATTCTACCATCCAATATCACCTCATCTTTCCTTTGCTACACTGATCTGTAGAGCTAGGAACCCATATCCACTGCTTTCACTTCCCAGAGCTGATTCATATCTTCGATCCTTCAGTCTATCCTGCGTCCCCCCTGCTTGTGAGGTCTACATCCCCCTCCCCACCCTGTAGCATACTTTCCCATTGGCCACATGCTCCTCGCAAGCTGTTTCTCCCTGTAGTCTCTCCTTCAATCTAGTTCTGTGAGCATGCTGTATTCGTTCCCTATGGCTCCTGTAACAACCACAAACGTAGTGGCTTAAAACAAAACACATTCATTCCCTTATAGCTCTGGAATCAGAAGTCCAAAAAAATTTCACTGGGGCCAGGCACAGTGGCTCATGCCTCTAATCCCAGCACTTTGGGAAGCTGAGGCGGGCGGATCACCTGAGGTCAGGAGTTCAAGACCATTCTGGCCAACATGGCGAAACCCTGTCTCTACTAAAAATACAAAAATTAGCCAAGTGTGGTAGCGCGTGCCTGTAATCCCAGCTACTCAGGAAGCTGAGGCAGGAGAATCAATTGAACCCGGGAGGCAGAGGTTGCAGTGAGCTGAGATTGTGTCAATGCACTCCAGCCTGGGCTACAGAGTGAGACTCCGACTCAAAAAAAAAAAAAAAAAATTTCACTGGGCCAAAACCAGGGTTGTGCTCCCTTGGAGGCTCTGGGGCAGAATCCATTTTCCGCCTCTCCCAGCTTCTGATGGCTGCCAGGATTCCTTGGTTTGTGGCTGCATCCTTCCAATCTCTGCTGCCATGGTCACACTGCCTTTTTTTCTGTGTGTGCACAATCTCTCTCTTGCCTCCCTCTTGAAAGGATACATGATATTGCATTTTTGGCCCACCTGGATAATCCAGGATAATCTCCTAATCTCAAGATCCATAAATCAATCATATCGGCAAAGTCATTTTGCCATATAAGGTAACATTTACAGGTTTCAGGGAATTGGACCTGAAATCTTTGAGGGCCAATATTCAACCTCCTACATATGCCTTCCCAGTTCCCTTTGTTGATTCTGATATTTCCTTCTGGCCCCTCTGAGGGCACTTCCCCCAGTGATCTGCCATCTGTTTCTCTTCATTCATTCTCACTCATTAGCTATCACATGACCTTAATTCCTGCCTCTGAGTACAGCTCCCAGATCTATATCGATGGCTCTGCTCGCTTCTTGTAGAAGATACAGACCCACGTTTCTGGCTGCCAATAGGATCCTCTACCTGGAAAATCTGCTGGCACTTTCCAGAAGACAGTTTTCCCCCATAGAGTCCCTCCTGTTTGCAGTTTCGGTAATGCTTCGTAGTCACATGGGCTTAAGACCTTGAAGACCAGTCAATGCCAAGTCCTGTCTTTGTCCCTCTGTATTAGTCTGTTTTCATGCTGCCAATAAAGACATACCCAAGACTGGGTAATTTATAAAGGAAACAGGTTTAATGGACTCACAGTTCCACATGGCTGGGGAGGCCTCACAATCATGGTAGAAGACGAAAGAAGAGCAAAGGAACATCTTATATGGCAGCAGGCAAGAGAAAGTGTGCAGAGGAACTCTCATTTATGAAACCATCAGATTTTGTGAGACTTATTCGCTACCAAGAGAACAGTATGGGGGAAACCACCCCCATGATTCAATTATCTCCACCTGGCCCCACCCTTGACATGTGGAGATGATTACCATTTAAGGTGAGAGTTGGGTGAGGACACAGCCAAACCATATCACCCTCAGTGCTGTAGACTGAATGCTTGTGTCCTCCCCACATTCATATTGAGGCCCTAATCCCCAGTGTGATGGTATTTGGAGGTGAGGCCTTTGGGAGGTACTCAGGGTTAGATGAGTCATGAAATGGGTCCCTCATAATGGGATTTGTACCCTTATATGAAGAGGAAGGGACCAGAACCCCCTCTTTCTCTGCCATTTGAGGATGGCAATACAGCAAGAAGGCCACCATCTGCAAAACAGGAAGAAGGCCCTCCTGAGTCACAGAATCTCTTAGCACCTTGATCTTGGACTTCCCAGCCTCTGGAACTAAGAGAAATAAATGTCTGCTTCTTGTTGAAAACACTCAGTCTATGGTAGTCTGTTACAGCAGCCTGAACTGACTAAGACATTCAGAAATGTTCCTTGCATCTGCCCACTCTTCTCCTTGCCCAATACCAAACATGGCTTGGATTTCTAAGGTTTCTAGATAAATTGCTGAGGCATATATCCCCAAGGTTCAGCTTGGGGAATATATATATATATATATATATATATATATATATATATAAAACCTAAAAAGGAAATATAATCTAACAAGTTTGAATTAAAATGGAGCTTAGAATTTCTGCAACGTGTAACAATGTTCCTACATCTGTGATCCATTCTAATTTTAATACAACATAAAAGTATTGATACGATATAAAAGTATTGATTGATATGCATGGTATGTGGTGTTGAGCATTTCTTAATTACATAATTGAATAAACTTCTGAGCATTTATTTACTTAATCAAATGTTTAAAAGTTTTAAAATGACTGAACATTGGTAAAAACTCTGAGAAGCTCTAGAAGAAATGAAAGAGTGAAATCAGAGGGACTTTAAGACTAAAATGAAACTACCAAGACGAAGGGTGGAGCACAAGGAAGAGAAAATGATCATAGACAGAAGCAGCGATGTGATAACAAACATCAGTATCAACAGGGAAGAGGACTGTGGGTTTCAGCTGAGTAAGGTGGGTCTTGGCTACTGTTGCCACACCCTATAGCTCTAATTCTCCTGATATAAATTTGCTTTTCACATTCAAAATAAGTTTCCATTTCCTTTAGCCTTTTTGATGACCATAGACAAATTCCAGGGACAGAATTTTGACCAAATCTACTTTATGATTTCTGAAGCCTGCATTTAGTCACAGACAACTATGTTTATTCTCCTAAGAATTCACTGGCCTCAGTAAGCATTGTATCTGCAAAGGAGACCATTACTTGTGCTCACAATGAAATACATGAATGTAATAAAGCAAGCCTTGCTTTTTAAAAAAATAGCTCTTCAGATCTGTTCAGCCAGGATAAGGTATGTGTTAGTTCTTGATGCGCAAATGTATAGATGTGTGAATAAATCAAGCCTTGATTTTGAAAAAAACAACTATTCAGATCTGTTTAGCCAGGATGAGGTATGTTGGTTTCTAATAGGTTCCTTTGATTCTAGTCTCCTCCTACACTAATCCAACCTGCTGGGAGACAGAAACCGTCCCTAAAGCTTCGCTACCCAAAGTGTGGTTCATGGACCAGCAGTGGCAGCATCACCTGGGGACTTATTAAACATGCAGGGTCTCAGGCCCTACTCCAGAATTACTGGTTCTGAATCTTTACTTCAATAAGATCCTGGGTGATGTGGGTGCACACTTCAGTTTGAGCAGCACTGCAGGCTTGAAGCACAAATCTCACCATGTCTTTCCCCAGCTATACATCATTGAAAGGCTGCCAGTGTCTCGGCAGCAAAGCCTAAGCTCATAACCTGGCATTCAAGGCCTTCCACGACTCAACATCCATCTACATTTCTACCTGGCAAACCAACTCCTCTCCTTATTCCCTCTACTCCAGCCACACTGAGCCCCTTCATGTCATCCACCCCTGTCCCCAGCACCTATACTTAGAAAGTTGATTCCTCCATGACTATCATTCTCTCTTGTATGTCCCAGGGATGAACTTCAAGAGTCAGCTCCACCTCCACAACTTTCATGATGCCTATGTGATTAAATCTGGCCAGAAGTAATATTCCTACCTTAAATGTAGAAACTTGCCTGATTAATTTTTTAACCTTGTTCCATAGTGGGGACTTAATAATAAATAGCTTATTAAATGTTTGAATATATGAACGATATACATGAATGCATGAATCCATGAATATATTAGTACATCTCTTTAAATACCATTCGTTAATATATGAAAGCAATCCTTGAATTTATGGTATTCATTTAAGGTTGTATTCAGGTTGCTACTCTAAAAGTTCTTAAAATGGTACTTTTGAAAAGGAAAGATAAAGATTTCTGACTTGCACAAACATTTATCTGCATCTAAGGTAGCTCAGGGAAGCAATCACATAATTTTCATACTCACAGATGAAAATTTTTATAGTGGTTGTACAGGGGACATGAGAAACAGCGGGTCAAAATGAGCAGGTTTCCAGCATGGTGGGGAGGCTTTATTTAAAAGGAGTAAATTACGGTACTTTCAGCAGCTAAATTTTTCACCAACGTGAGACGAGTACACTCCTTCTGGAAATTACTCTTATGAAATTACTTCTTCCAGGACACTTAATAGTATATTCTAGTCCCCCTGAAAAATTAATTAACCTTACTCGTAACAACCTAACCCCTAAACCATCTGTGGTGTGTTTTTACTGTAGGTCAGGTTAATCTTCTCTACCTTAATTTACACCTCAGTGAGGGTGGTCTAAATTACACAGGGGACTTTCAGTTGCTGGTATTTTGCCTTGTGCCATTTCGTTAGATGACATTCTGCTCATGTCCAAAGGTATGAGTCTCTTTTAATATGGGAAACCTCTGAGATTAGCAGGGAGAACTTTTTAACTTTTTAAGCAGTGGGTGCAGGGGGGTGCGTGTGGGGCCAACACTGCTGTCCTCATTAGAGATTAAAACACAGCCACGATAAGAGGAATGAACTCAGGCTGTAATCCTACTCTGTTTACTTTTTCTGAGAAAGGCTAGATTTTCAGAGCCTCAGGACCACAGAGCTACAGGAGCCAGGGTCTAGGACAGGACTGTAAGTCAACAGCAGGATTTACCAACCCACTCTCCCATTTTTTTCAAATTTAAATTTAAATTTTTAATTTAATTTTTTTTTCTTTGAGACAGGATCTCACACTGTCCCAGGCTGGAGTGCAGTGCCGCGATCACAGCTCACAGCAGCCACAACCTCCTGGGTTCAAGGGATCCTTCCGCCTCAGCCTTCCGAGTATCTGGGACTACAGGCATGTGCCACCATGTGCAGCTAATGTTTTAATTTTCTTTTTTAGAAATGGGGTCTCACTATTGTTGCCCAGGCTGGTCTCAAATTCCTGGCCTCAAGCGATCCTCTCACCTCAGCCTCCCAAAGTGCTGGGATTACAAGTATGAGCCACCCTTAGACTTTTTTTTTAAATCCAAAAGATACCCCAAAATTATACTCAAGTCATTATCAGGAGACAAAAAAAGGTTACTAAAAATGTCACAAGCGTTGAGCTATCACTGGGACCTCTGGTTACTTGCTGTGGGAGCAAAATCCTCCTTTAAAGATTCTAGAATCTTAACTCCTAAGCTGTGGGTGTTTTATTTTTAAGGATAGACACATAGCATTGCTATTTCTATAAAAGATTTCTGAACCAGCCAAGAGTGGGAAAATATTAAAAATAATAGTAATTATTCAGTGTTTTAGCAAACAATTATCATTAACACTTATTATTAATAATGATACACATATCAATGATGAGGATGCAATCAACGGCTACAAACGCATTATGACACAAATAGTGTGGAAAGAAAAAAATATTTCCTCTAAAAGATAAAGAAACAGTATCTCTTTGTTAAAAAAATTGCTAATCACCCAAAAACGTGTCCCCCGCTCCCCACTGCCACTGGCCCGAAAAGGCGATTCATCTTCCTTTGTTAGTTGCTCTCTGATAGGCTTTGTCCTCCCAAGCGCGCGCTGCTTTCAGTTGGAATTGATCACAGATGCGACAGTGATGAGGCCATCCCGGACGCTGACAGCCACGGCGTAAACACTTCCTTATTCCCACCCAGCGCTGTCAGAGGACGGGGTAGGAACAATGAGAGCTAATGATGCAACTCTGGAAGCTATCATTTTGAATCAGTCCACGACTTACAACGCCCTTGTGAAAATCAAGCCAGGCTCATGCTCCGTTTCAGGTTAGCAGGCCCAGGTCCACCCCGAGGCTCAGCAAGCCTAGAACAGACAGAAGGCTTTGGATCTCCATGTGGACATTGGATCCTGGCATGGCAAAACCACCAGCCAAGACATGCTCCAAACCACACAGGGGGCCATGGTGTTCCAGGCCAGCCTTACAAGCAGCCACATGAGGCTGGCTGCAAAGACCCAGCCTTGCTTTCTGGCTGGTGTGGAACCAATTAAAGTCAGGGTCTCTCTCTTGAAATTCTCCCCACAGGTACCTGGGGGGTAACCTTTCTGTTCAAATCCCAGATATGTCCTGGCTTCTACCACTCCATGCAGTATTATGGTCCTATGATCAGGCTCTCAAACCTGTTGGCTCATCTGGGTCTTCTTACCCAGTGATAAGAAGTGGTCTTCTTACCACTCCATGCACTATTATGAGTGATTTAAAGCAACAACTATGCATTATTTTTCACGAGTCTTTGGGTCAGATGGGCGGTTCCGGTTCTGCTAATCTAAGCTCAGCTCAGCAAGGCTCCCTCATCCGTATGCAAGAGAGAGCTTGCAGAGCCTAGCTTAGATTAGCAGAACCACCCATCTGACCCAAAGACTCATGAAAAACAATACATAGTTGTTGCTTTAAGTTCTAAATTTTGAGTTGGTTTGTTACCCAATAATAGCTAACTGATACAGCTGGTTAGTCCATTTAGCTGAGGGCACAGTTTTTAGGGCAGACAATCATGAGGTTGGAAAGGTAGGCTAGGCCAGGCTGCAGAGTTGAGATGTTAAGTGCAAGACAGTGGAGAGCCACTTTGGATTTTTGAGCATGGCACAAATGTGATGAAACGGTACTCCAAAAACTTTATTCTATGGTAGCAGGATGAAGATGGGAATAAAGCAAGGAGAGTCAAGGAGGATGGAAAACCAGGAGAAGCCCTCCTGACAAAAAAATGAGGGCCTGAACCATGCCAGAAGTGATAGGTCCCAAGGTGTAAAAACTCTGCAGAAAGAGTTGAGTGAAAGGCCACATGTAGATGGAGATGGAAGGTTGACAGTGGTTGATGGCTCCAAGGTTTTGAGCCTGAGAAGCTGAGAGGGTGACAAAAAAAGAAGGAAGAAAGCAGGAAGAGTTGGTGATGTCATGCTTGAGAAGTCCACAGAGTATTCAGGGCAAGGGAAGTTGGGGCTCTGGGAAATGTGGGTGTAACTCTGCAGATGGAACCTTGTGGGGGAAAAACACTTTGAGTGTATTTTTATGGAGGTAATGATTAAAGGCATGAGTCTGAGCAAGAGAAGATGGAAATATGGATGTATATTGTTTATCTATTGCTGTGTAACGAATTACATCAAACCTAGCAGCTTAACTCAGAAGTCTGAAAACAGTTGAGCTGGGTGGTTCTGGCTAACGGTCTCTCATGAGGCGCCCATGAAAAGCTGACCAGGGCTGTTGGCA
This sequence comes from Homo sapiens, assembly GCF_000001405.40. NCBI lineage: Eukaryota > Metazoa > Chordata > Mammalia > Primates > Hominidae > Homo > Homo sapiens. The sequence continues at coordinate 24,818,601 of NC_000004.12, forward strand.
TCTGAAGGCTTGACTAGGGCTGGAGAATCACCTTCCAGGATGGCTCACTCCAGTGGCTGATGGCTGGAGGCCTCAGCTCCACACCACATGAACAGCGTGGATAGCTGCTTGAGCGTCCTCATGATATGGTTGTCAGCTTCCTCCAGAGTAAACAACCCGAGAGAGAGCACAAGGGACAAGTCTCATGTCTTTTATGACCTTGCTGTAGAAGTCACATACCCTCACTTCTGTATTCTACTAATCAAACAGACTGATCCTGATACAACATGGAAGACGGTTACACGGGGGCATGAATACCAAGGGGTAGGGAACATTTGGTGCATTCTCAGAAGCTGGCTGCTACACTAGGGGTGGCAGAACAAGATAAGCAAAACTTCAAAAGACATGAAGTTTGTTGGGAAGACAAGACTCCCACATGGGAAGAGATCAGGTTCTCAAACCTGTTGGCTTATCTGGGTCTCTATATGGGTCTTTGATCCCTTCCAGAACACCCTGCCTCCAGAACTGTCTATCTGGTAAAGCAGGAGCTTTTCTCTCTATTCTACTGCTTCGCAGACTTCCCATATACCAGGCAATGTGCCAAGATTTCCCTGAGGTAGACATGATCATGTCACTGTTTTAAAGGAAAGGAAACTGAGGCTGAAGTCTCCAGCCCAAGTTCTCATAGCCAATGTGATGTGGACCTGGCCACGAACCCAGGTTGTCCAACTCCAGGGTCCTCACTCTTTATTTATTTTTTGAGACGGAGTCTTGCTGTATTCCCCAGGCTGGAGTGTGGTGGCACAATCTTGGCTCACTGCAACCTCTGCCTCCCAGTTCAAGTGATTCTCCTGCCTCAGCCTCCTGAGTAGCTGGGACTACAGGCACGCCCCACCACACCCGGCTAATTTTTGTATTTTTAGTAGAGACGGGTTTTCACCATGTTGGCCAGGCTGGTCTTGAACTCCTGAGCTCAGGTGAAACACCCACATCCACCTCCCAAAGTGCTAGGATTACAGGTGTGAGCCACTGCACCTGGCACAGGGTCCTCACTCTTAACCTCTCTGCCACCATGCCTAGAGAGCAGGGGCCTGCATGCTGCATTTAAAACCTCCCAACAAGATGAACCCACATAAGCAACAAGAGGAAATCTGAGGAATGTCCCAATGATGCCAAAGCAGCAGCACAAAGGGGAAGGGGAAGAGACCGATGTCCATTGAGCCACTCCTCTGTGGCAGGCACAGTCCAGGTAAAGATGGAGAAATCGAGGCGTGCTTACCATCCTTGGGATCTGCTTTGTTCTCAGTGGGCTGCTCGACAAACTTCAGCAGTGGGGATCTCGACCTCTGTCCACTAGGAAGAGTGGGGTCGCTGAACAGTATGGTGTCCTTGCCCCCTGTTGCAGAAAAGAGGAAAATGGATGTCTTATATCATCAGTGGAGTTGGGTTGCATTTAGTCCCACACACTTAATCGGCACAGGGCTGGCTACCCACAGACACTACCATTGAAGGGAAGCCTGCTACGACTGCTGACATGCTCCATACTTCCTTACACTATTGCACCACCCTAGCCCTAACCCTTGCACACACACACACACAAAATCCTTATCACTAATTTAGTATTGAATTATAGGCCATTTTTTTCTTTCCTCTCACTGCTTGATGTATATTCATCTTGCTTCCCTAAGTGGACCGCAGATTCTTGGAGGGGGTGATAAGCATGTCTAGAATGCCTGGTACAGAACTGAATTCACAAAGTCAGTGCTCAAAAGGGTACCAACACATCGATGGGCTGATAACTGAAAGAGACATTGATTCTTCCCAGGTGTTGGTAAATGAGAGAGAGTTGGCAATTCTTTGATGTCACTGGAACTCTGCAACTGGAGAGTTGGCTAAACACTGTGATTTGACTCCTACTTTGGGAAAGAAAGAAGAGGAAGAGGAGGAGGAGGAGGATGAGGAGGAGAAAAATAATGTATTGTGTCTTATTTCACCATTCAGTAGTTTAAATGGAGACACAAAAAACAATGAGCAGACAGAACAGACTGATCTGATTTATACTAGAAGAGGCTCTTTTTCCTTTTACTTTCACCATGGTCTGAAAACATCATAACATGATTCTTCATCATAACATCCTTCATCACTGCAGGAGGTCAGTGCTATTGCCATGACATAAACTGTATCAGATCTGGGGAGCTGCCACTCTTTCCTGTCCTCCCACTTTGTATCTATGTGGAGACCAGAGATAAGAACAAACAGGGCCACAGCATAAAATTCATTCAGCCAGGTCCCCAAAGCTAATGTCATCCTTTAATATTTGTTTTGTACTAATTGAATTCTCTATTTCAATTGACTATTCTAATCAGAGAAGTTCAAGGAAAGGTAGATAATGCATTTCTACTTATTTACATGCAGGGATGACATAATACACTGCTGATATTAGCCACAAAAACGGATATTTTAAACAGAACATACTCCCAAATCCTACTGAAACATTGTAGCTCAGGCCTTCAGGCAGCAAAAAGAAAAAAAGGAAATAATTGTTATTGCATAATAGCCATTTGAAGTTGCACCTAGACCAAACAAAACCATAGAAAATTCTCGGCATTTGTTCACTCGAGTAACTTCCATCTTTTAATATAAACTGTAGAAATGAAACAGGGAGAAATTTCACCAACTCATTTGAGAAAAAAAAAAATAAAAACCCCCGTTCATGCATGGAAATGGCAATCTCACTGTACAAATACACGATCAATTTGCCGAACTGTGTTGAAATTCAATGCAATAAAAGAAAGGCCTTCCTAGAAGATGAGGTTTTAACAGCATCAAAAGATTCTTGTGCAGACATGGATCATTCAAATCCCCAGGACTGTACCTGGCAGTTATTAGTTCTGTCAGGTCTTTTGACAACAAGTTCAAGGAATCACTGCTAAAAATTCCAATTTATGAAACACACATCCAGGCAACCTAAGGCAGCGATTCAAGTTTACATTTCAGAAAATGTGTTGTTGTCCACCTGCCTCACTGTGCTGACTTTTACTTATCGTCCATTCCAGGGAAGCATCCATATGATTCAAGGATGAAGGAGACTGGTTTGTGCAGTAAATAAAACTATAGGTACAACATGGTTTCCAGGGAAAGGGGAGATGGTGGAAATGGTAAATACAAGTTTCTGAAGAGTAAAAAGTCAATGGGGAATGGCTGGCTGGGGTATCACAAAAGGAGTATTTTACCAAGACAAGTGGGGTAAATACAGCTAATTAAAGTAGAATACCAGAGCTTCCAAACACAGTGTACAACTGGAAAAAAAATCACAGGAAATTCAGATTCTCAGGCTAAGTAAAAACGGGATGGGGGAAGGGAAGAGAAGGAGGTGGTGGAGTACATTTTGGGTTAGAACAATTGTTGGTTTTTATCTTTATTTTTAGTACTGGTGATTAAATTGGACAAATCTTTGTATGTTCTTAGATTCAATTTTAGGACTGGTGATTAAATTGCACAAATCTTTATTAAGTTCTCATATTAACTTTTAGGGCTGATAATGAAATTGAACAAATTGAATGGATCTTTATAGGATATCTACAGATTAAAAGAAAAGAAACAATTCACTACATTCACAAAAGTTAAAAAAAAATACAGACACAGTGACAATTTCAGAATTCAGGTTTGCTAAACTTCATAGTTCCACAGATGAAACCCTGAATATTTACTGCATTTTTCTGATTCTACCCCCACCCTGCCATGTAGTTTCTAAATTTAGAACACTTGTAGATTTTTTCAGCAATGATCTACTTTAAATAAGGTAGAATAAAAGGACATTAAAGAGGTAGAAGACTCTTGTAAATTACGTGGGAGCTTCATTTCTTAAAAAAAAGAAAAAAAAAAAAGGAAAATTGTTTTCATGAGGTTCTGTTTACCTGGAAGACTCCACAAACCAGAAACTTCCAGAGTTCTTAATTTTTTTTCCAGCTCAGCCACCCGATTCCCTAGGATTCTGAAAAAAGGGGAGAAAATGACAATCAATTACTGAGCATCCTGTCAGCCCCCAGCCCTGGGAATCCCACTGGTGCCCTAGTAGAAAAGTGTTGAGATTTATGATATATGCAAAAAATGGAGTATTTGTATGTATGTGTGTGTAAATAATATGTGCTCTATTGAAAGTGCATATACAAATAGAAAGTACAGTGAATGATTAAAAACAATACTAAAATGCCATGAAAGTGAGTCCTCTCCCAAAAGGTAGTTTTCCTGGGAAGCTAAATGATGACTCCACCGCTGCCCAAATCATTTGATGGAATTTCTATTTGAGAAATGCTCACTGCAAAGATGACAATAAATTTTGAATACCCTTAATAATATCACATCTTGATTCTTGGAGGGTGGATCTGATTTTTGGAAATAACCAGGTCTAAAAAATAAGATGGATGGACATGCTTGGTAATGTTGTTTTAAGTCAATACATAATACCATCAGCCTTCTTAGACCCATGTCTTACTGATGTCCACATTCTTGATATTTAGCACAATGCCTGATACATGGGAAGTATTTGATAAATATATTTGATTAAATAAATGCCTTTCTTTTTTCATGACTCATAATTAGCTATGGGAAGAATGAAAAGAGATATTTCAAAAGAGTTTTCAGTAATTGCAGAATCATTAGAATAATTACATTGTTCTCCAAGGTGACCATTCTGAGTCACTAAGATATACAAGTTCTAGAAAGTGTGTATTTGAAAAGACCATACTGTTTACTTGGAAGCCAAACTTTCACTACATGCATGGATAGACATGTGGGCATACATACTCCCACATCACTCTATAAAATAATATAGTTGGGAAATAATTTAATAGTCCTCTAAAACTTGAATCACTTTCCATTGGGCTGGAAATTGAAAAACCAGTCTTTATTTTATTTGGGGGATTTTCTTGGCACTGCTGTGCTAAAATTATGTGGAAATCACCTTAATAGCAAAGTTTCAATTCCTTTCAGCAAGATAAATCAGAACACTAGAATTATTCTCCTATCTCTCTTTATATTCCAGAGATAGCTACACACACCCACATACACACAGAGGCATGAATATGTATATTTCTACACATATATATGGCTGTGGATTTATCCTTGTTTTACCTGAATTGACTTGTACCATCTTAATTAATATTCCCTTTGAGTTCACAGAAAACTCTGGAATTACTCTATGTGGTTTTCTTCCATCTAGGTACTTAGAGCTTTTCTTTTCTTCTTTTCCCTAAGTCTTAAAATTATGCAGTCTTTATCAATTACTTTCCATTTTCATTCCATTTGTTGGGTCTCTTTTGCTTTCATGTCCCTGACCCTTCAATAGACACTATCCTTTGTAATCTCGCTTTCCATATTTTGCTCAGACCTTCTGATCCAAGCTCCCTTTTCACCAGCTGATGAGTTTGAGATGCAATCACAACTGTTCAAGTTGATGCCTGTTTCTTAACGAGATCAGATCATCTGTAGGTGGCTGCTTCTTGGAAACAAAAGATAAGGCTTAACTCTTCCGTGGAGGTGGAGGGATGCCGTCTGAGCAGCATTCGAAGGTGTGCTGAAGAGATATTGGGTTATATTTTTTCTGATGTTTCGGGATAACACAGCCATCTCTCTCAGAAATGGAACGAAGTGAATTTCCTGGTGTCCCCAGCAATCTACTTTCAGGGCCCCTGCCTAAGTTTGTCAGTGCTTTCTTCTCTGACTTGACACTTATCAGCATCTGATGCAGGGCTGGAGGTAGTAAAATGGACTCAGTAGAAGTTATGACAGTAGAAATAATAACAATAGTACCACCAACAACAATAGCAACTGCATTACTGTTAACACAAACAGTCAACTAATCTTTCCGGAGTCCGTAATACACATCAGAGGCCATGCTGAACACTCGCCTCATTTGTGTTATCTCATCTAACTTGGCAAAAACCCTGTGGTGTACATGGTATTGTTATCCTCCTTTTACATGTGGACTGTAAGAAACAGAGAGGTTAAGCAACTTGCCCAAGCATGCACAGTTTATCTCAAAGTTCTGTCTTTCCCCAGCCCCCAGCAATCTCATCCACCATACTCCCCTCTTCCCATTAGGAAGCTGAGGAACAGAAGTTAGTTAACTTGACCAAAACCATAGGCAAGACTCAGCTGGTGGTGAGGCTGTATCGGAATGTAAGCCTGGACTTGCTTCTGAAGCACATGCTCTTAACCAATACCCCATAATGGCACTTTAAAACCAACCTTGTCACATTCTTTCTCATGTCTGCCTGAAGTGCTCCTTAAAAACTGTTCATGTTGAAACATGGATGTGCCCGCAGTTGCTTTGCAAAATACAAGCCACAATGCTTCAAATGGCAAAGAGGATCTCTGTTAGCTTCACACTGAAAGAACGTGGCAGGGAGCCCACTGAACCTGGTATGACGCAGCCCAGGGAGAGAAGAGGGGCTATTTACATTTTAGCAGCCAGCAGCACGGATAGGTGGAGAGAAGAGCAGGAGCCGAGTCCGTTAAATTTAGTTTGACCAATTCAACAAACAGTTCCTGAGATCCAGCTCTGTAAAGCACTATGCTACAGGCTGCAGGGGATAATGAGGAGAAGGAGACCCTGTCCCTGCATTTGAGAGACTAAACGTCTGGTGGGAGACAGACCGATGCATACACACAAAAACATACATGGACGGTGCAGTGGAAGGCTTTAATAACAGCTGGCATTTATTAATCACTTGCTCTATACTAGGCATGCACAGATGCTCCCTTGGTGTCCTGCAACAACTGATGCGTCAGCTCTTGTTAGCCTTATTTTGTAGGTGAGAAAACTGAGACTCAGAAAGGTCACTTAACTCACCCAGGCTTACACAGCTGGCGAGCAGAGGGGCCAGGCAAAAACACAGGCTTGAAAATACAGGCCGGGCATGGGGGTTCACGCCTGTAATCCCAGCACTTTGGGAGGACGAGGCAGGCGGATCACGAGGTCAGGAGATCGAGACCATCCTGGCTAACATGGTGAAACCCCGTCTCTACTAAAAATACAAAAAATTAGCTGGGTGTGGTGGCAGGCGCCTGTAGTCCCAGCTACTCGGGAGGCTGAGGCAGGAGAATGGCGTGAACCCAGGAGGCAGAGCTTGTAGTGAGCCGAGATAGCGCCACTGCACTCCGACCTGGGCGACAGAGCAAGACTCCGTCTCAAAAAAAAAAAAACACACACATGCTTATTAAAACTGTAGAGCAGAAATGAAGAGCTAAGTGGAAGACGAATCTACAGAGACCAGTAGGAACCCAGACCATGAATGACCTACCTGCCATATTGAGAACATTCAGACTTTTCTGTATTGGCAATGGGGAAAGAGTGAAGAGGTTTTTTGTTGTTGTTTTGTTTTGTTTTTTAAGAGACGTAGTCTTACTCTGTTGCTCAGGCTGGAGTGCAGTGGCATGATCTCAGCTCACGGCAACCTCTGCCTCCTGGGTTCAAGCAATTCTCCTGCCTCAGCCTCCCGAGTAGCTGGGACTACAGGTGTCTGCTGCCACGCCTGGCTAATTTTTTTTTTTGTATTTTAGTAGAGACGGGGTTTCACCATGTTGCCCAGGCTGGTTCTAACTCCTGAGCTCAGGCAACCTGCCCACCTCAGCATCCCAAAGTGCTAGGATTACAGGTGTGAGCCACCGTGCCCAGCCCAGTGAAGGGTTTTAAGCAAGGAAGCAGGATGAGGAAGTTTAGGCAAAGTATTCTTCATGCCTAGTTGAGAATGGAGTGGAAGGAGTGTGAGTAGAAGCAGAAAGATCAGTTAGAAGGGCATCGTCCAGGTGGCGTTGATATGGTCCAAACCAAGCCAGTGGGGATGCAGGGGTGCTACAGGAATGGGGCAATGAGGAGGGAGATGAGCTTGAGATGCCTGTGGGAGATCTGTGCAGACACAACGGATGCAGGAAGAAAGGCAAAGATCTGAGAGTGCAGGCTGGGGGAGCAGAGCCAGCAGCTCACCACCAGAGGATGCGAAGTCAGAAGGAACCGTGGAAGAGGCAGAGGAGAGCCAGGACAATGTGCCACCTTGGAAGCCAAGTTGAGAGGGGTGCAGATGAGAAGGGGTTGGTCAATATTGTCTTATTCTAGAAAGTGGTCACACAGGATGGGAGTTGAGAAGAGGCAACTTAGAAGATGTGCCTGACCCTTGAAGGAAGGATGTTTCAGGACAGTAGAGGGGATGAAATTCAGAGTCCAAGGGACTGGGCTGAGACAGAAGCAGACTCTGGGAGAAGTGAATATAGCCGGCTCTTCAAGTAGCTTAGCAGGGAAGAGAAGGAGATAAACAGCAGTAGCTCGAGGCAAACTCAAACTTGAGAGAGGTTTGGGGTTTTTTTGTTTTTTGTTTTTGCAGGATGAGGGAGATTTTAAAGTTTTAAAGTTTTTATTTAGTTATGGGTTGCTTTGGGGGAGATTTCAGCATGTATCTACCTAGTAGTCTAGGAAAATCTCTCAGGATGCCCAGTCTCCAGATGGCTTCCCTGCAGTGGTTTTAGATAGTAATGACATCATCAAAGGAGTCTGTGATGAGGAGTCTGTGAAGACAGAACTCACACAGGAACTGCACTACCGTGCTCGCTCTCTGGACAACACAGACAGCAGGAATACCAGAGTGAAGGTCTTTAAGGAAAGCCTGGCTCTAAAGGGGAAGCAGGTAACTGTGTCTCTACATGCCTGAAGACGCCCCTGCTTGCTTCTACCCCAGGTGGCCTCCTTTCACGTCTCTGCTCTGATCCATACACCCTCTTGCTGCTGCTCCCCAAGATGCTGAATTTCCAAGCTCATTTACCATTGGCCAGGGAAAGAGAAGAGGAAACGGTTTCAGGCATAGCAGGAAGGATAGCAAAAGGCCAATATGTCCTCATATATTCACCACCACCTCCCCGCCATGGTAAGGCATGGGCCTGGGGGGAAGGTCTGGAGAACGAAATGTGGTGCACAGTGAAATGGCCCTTGAACAACCACCTCGTCCACGAATGCTTTGCCACCCGGTTTGAAAGATAAATGAACCTCATATCCGTTCTTTCTCGATCACCAGGCAACTGCCAACTTGCTGGCAAGAAGTAGCTCAAGCAAATTGCCTATTAATTGAATGTTGCTCAAGATGTAAAGTCCTAGGTTTCTTCATCAATTCTTCGAGATGGCTTCCGTTGGAGCCTCTCAAGGGTGGTAACTGTCAGGCAGTGGAAAACCAGCATAGGAGCATACGCTGCCAGGAAGGAACACCTTTACTGCTATGTATAACGCTCCAGCAAAATAAAGCCATTTCTTTTCTTTTTAAAATTAATTAATTATTATTTTTTTCTAAGATTGCAATTGGGTCATGCACACAGAGACCAGGGTAGTTTCCAGTGCATTCCAAAAGCTATTTTATTATTTCAGTTACACAAGGCTAAATCAAGGGGGAGAACACACATAGACCAAAGTCACATTCTATTCTCAGCCCTCATTCCATTTGTAGTATAATTAGTTTCTTTACATGCCCCCAAATAAAACATTTATTAAAAGTATGAAACAGAGGACCCCCTAAGTATTAAAGATGGCACATTAGGCAACTTATGTACTGATGCGAAGCAATCTCCAAGATCCATTATTACAGGGGGAAAAATCAAGATGCAGAATAATGAAAAAAGAAACCTTTTTAAAAAATGAATACCAGTTACCGTTTGTAAAAAAAAAAAAAAGACAGTATATCTATGTAAATATATGAGTATGTGTATATACATAAATATATTGTGCATTTGCTTATACTGTCTATGCATCCTTTGGAAGGATATATAAGAAATGAGGAATGGACGTTTCTTCCAGGAAGGGGATTAAGGTAGCTGGGAGTAGTTTGGAAAGACATTGTTATTTAACCTTAAATTAATATTAAATTAAAACCACAGAGGCCAGGCATGGTGGCTCATGCCTGTAATCTCAGCACTTTGGGAGGTCGAGGTGGGCGGATGACTTCAGGTCAAGAGTTTGAGACCAGCCTGGGCAATATGGTAAAACCCTATCTCTACTAAAAAAATACAAAAAATTAGTCAGGCGTGGTGGCATGCACCTGTGGTCCCAGCTACAAGGGAGGCTGAGGCACATGAATCACTTGAACCCGGGAGGTGGAGGTTGTAGTGATCCAAGACTGTGCCACTGCACTCCAGCCTGGGAGACATAGCAAGACCCCGTCAAAACAAACAAACAAACAAAAAACCCAGAGGATGGCTCAAAAATTATTAAAAAATAAACATGAAAAAGTACATAGAAACAAAAATAAACATGGTCAAATGAAAATGTCAGTCTTTCACAATGGAGGGAGGGAGTGCTGTGAACCTGGGGCATGGGTGTGTTTGCAGTGGGTATGGTTAGGAACACATTAGTGAATCAATCTGTCAGAGGAGGCTGGGATCCTCTGCAGAGGCATGTCAGGCCGACAGCCTGTGGATGCTGTCTTTGGCAGGCAATGGGGACTCAGTCTGCTTTGCAGAGAAGGCTAGTGTCATGCTCAGAACTGTAGCTGGCAGGTGGGTTAGGCGGGGGAGGTAGGACTGGGGTCTGAGGATGGAGCTGTGGGACGGTCTCCCCAAGGAAGAAGTGATGGTCAAAGGGCATAACCATTTTTGAAACATACTAGGATGGATGTTGACTGATGGAATTTGAGGAGCTGAAAGGATATCTGGAGAAACCATCAACCAGAAGTTGGAAATGTGGGTCTTGGTCTTGCTCTTGATGGGGTGGTGGGTACAAGAGATCTGAGAAGAGTCTGCAGAGAATGAGAAGCAAAGACAGAGACAGGGAATGAGGTCTCCCAGGTAGGGGAAAAAGCACAGAAGATGGAGAAAAAAGATGGAGTGGGTCTGGGGTGGGGGTCAGGGGAGAGGTGGGAAAAGGAAATGAGACAGTGGAGAAGGCTGGAGTTTCCCCCTTGAAATCCATCTTACTTGGATTTCAAGATGAAAATCTCAATGTGAAGAAATTAAAGAAGGAAGAGACTCAAAGGTGGAGTTTGGGGATACTGGTGACCTGCAAAGAAAGAATACCGTGGGAAATGTAGGAAGAGGTCTTGGGAGGCATTAAAGCCAAGGTTATCTTTCTTTCCTGTGCATGGACTCACCCGGGACTTACTGAAATCCAGAATCCTAACCTTCCCTCCCACAAATCTTTGATTCTGCATTTATAAACAAGTGTCCCCACCCCCCAGCCGCTGCACCCAAGCAATTCCAACATAAGTGACCTCCCGGAATACATTTAGACAGGGTGGCTGTTGAGGAAGGAGAGGAGGCCTTCTTCAAAAACATTCCAGGCTGGGTGGTATTTTTGGGAAGGCAGCAGGGTTTAGGAAAGGCTTTGGGAGTTCAGGGCAAAGAGGCAAAAGCCAGAAGAAGGGAGGAGGTTGAAGAGGGTGAGACAGGAGGTCCCAGGGGAGCAGAGGCCCAGAAGAGGAAAGATCCCATGGACCAACAAGATGGCAGCTGGTGTACTTCCTGGAGACAGGAGTGAGCAGAACATGGGGAGACTGGTTTCAGGGCAGCCGCAAGTTGAGAGGCTCATGGTGAGAAGCCCCACTTTCTCAGTGAATGAGGAACTGTGGTGACCTGCTGAGAATGGACCAGGGTTTAGAAGATGTGAGAAGGCTTGAAAGATGAGGTGTTCTGTAGAGAGGGAAGGACGAAGCCAGCTCATGGAGGACATTTCGTGCTGCAGGGGATGCCCATTCCTTCTTCCTCCCCTGAGAAGCAACTGCATTTCAGCATCTGACTTTTCATTCCTTGGTTAAGATTTCACTTTTCAAGAACATTTAAACCTTCTCCTGTCAATAAATTACCCGTGTCATCCCTTCGAGATTGCCCTGCTTCCCTTTGCTGCTCTCCGCTTTCTTCCACATACATCTTCATCTCTGGTGCAATCTTCCCTTCACTCCAGCTTCTCTTTTTCTATTTTGTTTTTATAATACTTTCAATCATTTTCCACTTGCCTCTCTCCCATGCCCCTGCGTTCGTCAGGCCCCGGATTCTCTGGTCCCTCCCTTTGTCACTTGAAGCCTAGCTTTCCAGGCCCCGCTCAGTTCTCTCACACTTGCATTTTGGTTCCAGGTGTACGTCTGTCTTGCAAGCAGGACCAGCTACATAAATTGCAGGGTCCAGTGCAAAATAAAAATGTGGGACCCTCTTGTTAAAACAATGACTAAGAATTCCAAGATGGTGACAGTGGAAGATCAGACCTAATGTGGGGTCCTTCTGAGCACAGGTTGCATGCCCACAAAGCCAACCCCATGTGTAGTATTTGCTACTTTAATTTATTGTTTATTCACCATTCTCTGAACACTCTTGATATTACCTCTGTCATCTCTAATGGCTACGTTAACCTGCTTGGTTTTACACAACATAGTCAACATGCTATAAAAACCAGATAAGACATTCCATTTTAATTACCCTTCCTTTTCACCATCTTTTTTGTGGATCTGGAAGAGTGACATGAGATTCTTTTCTAGGCCCCGCAGCCTGTGGAAGTTGATGCTTGGGTGATTTCTGCCATTAAAAGACCCTCAAAGTCATGCTGGGAGTTTTAAATGGCACTGAGGCAGTTTCTCCCCTAAAAGAAGAGCTGGAGGAGAGGTGGGTCAAGTCACCCAGGCGATTATTTTATGGAACTCATCCATGAAATACATACTACTCAGTGTGTAGCTCAGAGTAAGCATTCAGTATGGCTGGTACCCTTTCCTTGCTTGGCTCCAGCTGATAGCCAAGATGCTGATATAAAGCAGAAGCACCATTCTAGTTTAATAAGTTTCCTTCTTGATTTGAGGGGTCTCACCTTCCCTGCAGGTCCGTCGTTCCAGCTGGTTGACATTCACTTCTGGTAGCCTCGTCCCACTTCCTTCGCGCCCACCCCCCAACACAAGAGTTTGGCCACCTACTTGTTGGTTTGCCTCTGGTGCTGAATGACCATGTTTTTCTCGTGGATTGTTTCCAACAGGGCTGTTGCCAGAGATTTCAGGTCAGAAATGGACTGCGGAGTAGCTGGGAGGCTGCATCCATGATCCTCAGATAGCAGATCCTGAACTAGATAGGATACAAAATGTATAACTCAGTCGTCATTCTTCTGAAACGCTGGAATGCAAACCAATGTCAATCCTTCTTGGATAATGATATGTCCCCAGCTTCAAAATGCTACTATGTTGTATTGAGAGTCCACCTCAAGTGTCAACAAAACAAAGTAAAATCCAGTGTGAGAACTAAACAGAAAGGAGGAAGTTCTCAGGACTTTCATCAGCAATTTTTAAGAAGATAATAATATTTGCATTTGTCTACTATTTTAAACACTTTCATAATGACTAACGCATAAAGTCTTAAAATTGAGGGAAAAGAAACTCTATGAAATATTGATTTTTTTCCATTTCATGGACAAAGCAAGGCACAGATGGGTTAAGAACATTGGCTGAAGGTCACACAGCCATGCAAATGACAATCACTCCTAGCTCCAAGCACCTTGCTTTACGTCAGTTTCCCACTGTGTGATACCCCTGGCAGGTGGTAAGATAATTTAGGAGATTATTTAAAGTGCAAAATATATTTTGTATTTTAGTAGCTATGCATTTGTTTGAAGGTATTATAGAAAAGGTTATGTATGGCATAACAAAACCAATGATTTCACAGGTGCTACCACTTAGGATAAGGTCAAGTAAAATGAGTCACTTTAAAATCGACTTAAAGAAAAACATTAAGCAAACAATAGCAAGGTGGCACAAAGATAGGGCAAAAAGGTATAGAGCAGACTGCAAATATCTAAATATTGGGAAAGAGTACATTATGCAAAAACTAGCTGTTCTTGGATATTTGTTACTCCACAAACTGCCAAATCCCATTCACGGCCAAGTTCAAAATGAAAGCCAAACAACACACACAGTTCCATGTCATTGAAGGACTGAGACCCATATGAGAGAGACCTGCCCCTTGTGCATATATCCTGCCCTGGATGAGTCTTTAACAAGTCTCTAGTCATCTATGGATGGCTCTGATAGAAAATTATTTTTTTTTCTGGTTTCCAAAGTGTACACTTTCAAAAAATTCCTAATTTGTCTGCATGTCACTTACAAATATATAAAGGAATATTACAGTGTGGTATACTAGCTTAGCATATAGTAGGACTATCATCTCCTTTATCCCAAATTCCATACTTCTGCAAATAGATTGTAAGATTTCCTTAGCTTCTTTGGCAATAAAACACTATTAATGAATAATATGACAATACTATCTATTAAAACATCTGTGACTTTTTCACATGTGATGCTGTTACAACTATGTTTTCCCAGTTATGCTTGGCTGGGCTTGAAATGGCTTAAATTGCTCTCAGAAGCCATCAGCCCCATCCACAGCATGGCCCCATTCTACATCTGCAACTTCTGCTGCTTCTCCCGCCGTCTTTTTCTACCCTAGGGTCACTCAGGTGCTCCTGCGTATGTGTCCTTTCTGACACCGAGTGGCTGTTCTTCAAGTCTGCTTTGGGTTTTTTAAAAGCACTCTTCAAAGGAAGATAAACTAAGAGTTAAATAAAAGGACAACAACCACTGATATTCCTACCAGACATTAAAAAAAAAAGGAAACAGTATAAATCTCACAATTTTATTTTATTTTCAAAAATGAAAAAAAAAACCCGGCTTTTTTCACTTAACAATATTATTCATCATTAATATCCCTTAAAACATAAAATTGGATGGCTGCTTTGTAGTCTGTGTATAGATACAGAATTATTTGGCCAGGTGTGGTGGCTCATGCCTATAATCCTAGTACTCTGGGAAGCCAAGGCGGGCAGATCACCTGAGGTCAGGAGTTTGAGCTCAGCCTGGCCAACACAGTGGAACCCCGTCTCTACTAACAACACAAAAATTAGCTGGGCATGGTAGCACACGCCTGTAGTCCCAGCTACTCAGGAAGCTGAGGCAGGAGAATCGCTTGAATCTGGGAGGCAGGGGTTGCAGTGAACCACGATCACGCCACTGCACTCCAGCCTGGGCAACAGAGTGAGACTGTCTCAAAAAAAAAGATATAGAATTATTTAACACTGCTGGACATTTACTGTGTTTTCATGTAGAATTATTTAACTACTGCTGGACATTTATTGTGTTTTCAATATTTTTTATTATAAGTAATGTATGAAGAACTGTTTTGTAGCAAAATGTTTGCATATGTCTGTAATTGTTTTTTGTTGGTTCAAAGGGGGCCAGTTTAAGGCTTTTCATAGCAGGTTGTCAGAGAGTCATAGATTTTGTTTACTAATACCAACAGATTGTTGATAGAATGCTTTTCATCATAGGTTTTCTAGAAAGGCTGTGCCAGATTTATGGTTCTGCCACAGTGTTTGAGTGTGGCTGGCATTCCCCACATCAGTGATAACACTGGGTATCAACATTCAAAGATGGTTTGCTATATATGGTATCCAGAGCTAAACTTAGATGGGCTACTTCACATTTTTATAGAGTATTGTAGTTTTCTTTTGAAAAACAATTCTAGGGTGTTCTTTTCTGGTTGAGTGGAAAAAAGAAGTTGCTTGGAAAAGAGCCTTGGTTGTTATGTAGGCTGGAGACTCAGCACTTTTTTTTTAAGCCACTGTAGTGCTGATTAAGACTGCCATATGATAGTTGCTGGTCTGCACTATCAACAACCAAAAAGTGGGCCAGCTGAGCATATTCGACTCGAGACTTATGTTTAGCATTGAATTCTGAATATTAAGTGTCAGAAGCCAGCGTGCTGCTATTTATTCCCCTGGACTGTTCCTGGAAGATCATTATTTTTCATTGGAATCGACAAGAAGGAGGAAAAAAATTGCAATCAATAAAAGCTTCTTCGAAAAAGGCACATGTTATGTGAGAAAATGATTTCAGCAGCTAGGAGACTTTTCTGATCGTAGAGGCCGGGAAAAGAAGAAATTCAAGGAGGTCAAAACGCACCCTTGGAGATGCTGAATTGGTGATTAGGAAACGGGGAACATTCTGGAAAGGAGAACACAGTCTAGGGGAATATGCCCAAATGGGGTCTAGTGATTAGAAAAACCTCGAATGCAGTGCTTCCCAAAGTGGGGTCCCTAATCCAGCGTCAGTATCACCTGGGAACTTTTTAGAAATACATAATTTTCAAGTCGTACTCCAGACCTACTGAATCAGAAACTCTGGAGTGGAACCAGTAATCTGTGTTTTAACAGGCCCTCCCGGCAACTCTGATGCACGTGGAAGTCGGGGAGCCACTGTTCTATGGATCGCCTCAGTTCCCAGACCACAAAAGCAGCAGCCTGGATGGGATGTGGGCTTGCAGCTCTAGTATTTTACGCTCATGAGCGGTCTCTCCTGGAGCATGATATCCTACCTTGCTTTGCAGACAGGACTCCTGTCAGAGCACTGCTGCTGGATTTACCCTGGCCCTTCGAGTTTTTCCGTCTCTCCAGAGCATTCTAAAACAGGATTGGGAGAGAATAAAAACCCGTCAGAAAAGCCAACAATGGAAAAGTACCTAGCAGATGCCTTCTCTCATCGGCCCACAAGAACCCCTTGCAAACTCCAAGTGCTAGCCTAATATTTAGAATTCCAAGTCTACGCCCAAGAGTTATAATTTTTACGGCCTGGTAAGAAGTTTGTTTGTTTGTTTTTAAATAAAGGTGGTGCATGGCAGAATGATAGCAATTACAGTCCCCTGTATACAAAAAGCACTTAATACATGTTAAATTAAATCAAATCTGAAACAAGAATGCAGCCTAACATGTGAAGTCACTAGTAATGAAAATTCCTTCTGAATAGACATGAGATGGTGACTAGGTTTATTTCCATGCACCAATGGTGATTTCTGGAAGAAAAGAGAGCCATGATCAATTAGTGATGTCTGCCGTGGATACAGATTAAGGAAGTACATATGTGCCACCTACATGTCATTCCTAGAACAGACTTACATTAAAATTGATATGTAGCATCTAGCCAGTGCTTGGCACATAGAACTGAATAAATGTTGTTAAATGAATGCATCCACACATTTTTAAAAATTATGTATTAATTATACAACTTTAAGAGCTATATCCTTCTTTGGCTGAATGCATATAGATAGACTGGTATAATGTGTGGCTCCCACAAAATGGAAAGGAAGAACAGCACGGAGACTTGTGAGAACAAATGCTAATGTCAAAAGCCAGGAAAATAAGGTTCTTCCAAGCATCTAGACGGCTGTAAAACTTCACCCTCAGGAAGAGAAATCAATCTACTTTCCAAGCAGAGAAACCCAGGAGATTTTTCTAATTATAACACTTACAACTAACATCTGCAGAAATAGATATTATCAAACTAATGGTGCTGGAATTAGACTAACTAACAGTGGGGAGAATTTAAACATTCTGTCCTTGCAGGGTGACATGAACATGATGGTTTAGACTGTGCCTTCCCAATCTTTGTTTCTTCATCACTCGGAAACCATTTTCTTATGGGTGATTACGACAGAAATAGCATCTGATGAGTGAACATGTTATAGAGAAAACGGGTAAGAAACCTAATTGCAAATGGACCAAGGCTATGCAATATGCAAGTCCAGATTCTAGTGGAGAGGCTATACCAGGCGCTAACACATCCTGAGTGGGCATGCCTTGCTCAGATAACAGCCACAGAAGGAGCTCTTGCGAAAAGCTGCTTTGGTTTTGTTTGTTGTTTGGGATTTTAATTTGTACTGGTTACCCCAGTTAAAGCTCTTATTAGACTCTATCTGGGAGGGCAGGCAAGTACTAAAATATCTTTGGCACATAGAAGGGAATTAAAATAGAATGACGTTTAGATGCACAATAGTCAATCACCATCACTGTCATCATGATTTTGCTACCTTGTATTTGGCAATGTTTGATTTCAAGAGGTTGACCTCTTCATGGAGTTGCTTTAATCTCTCTTGAAGGTACCTGAAAAAGAATACATAAAACTAGGAGGTGTTTAAGGGCTAAATAAAAAACACACACTGAAGTATAAGGGGAAAAAACAAAAACCACTTGCCAGAAGAGCTATCTTTTACACATAACACCTTGCCTGCTCACCAGAGAGGAGAAACATGTGCATCTTTGTGACCTTTCCTTAAATGAATGCAATCAAGGTCAAACATGCCCAAATCACAGACAACCCACTTTAAAACAGCCCTCGCAGAGATTCCCTAAGGGATATCAACACAGTTTTCACA
Source organism: Homo sapiens (assembly GCF_000001405.40). NCBI lineage: Eukaryota > Metazoa > Chordata > Mammalia > Primates > Hominidae > Homo > Homo sapiens. The sequence continues at coordinate 24,836,781 of NC_000004.12, forward strand.
TAATTCTCATTAAGATGATTCCACTGGGAAGAGAGGCAGGAAGAGGCGACACCAGACATAACATTAAGTTAGACACACACACACTGAAATTTGCCTCAGGGAAAAGAAACGGCTAAGGGAATTTCTCAATTCATTTTCTTATTCTTTTCTTTCTCCTTGATGGCAATAACAAGCAACTCTCATGGGTTCCTCGCCCTTCTCAACCTACCAAGGAAGGTGTAGGGAAAGAGAAGGGAGATGTGTGCACTGTGTAGGTGTGGGCTGCTTTCCTTTTTCACTTTTGCAACTAATACATGGCATTGATGTCATCATTTCGGGGGAGTGAGTTTCTTTTCACTTGTAAGGCAATTTTCTCCAAAATAAATAGGGCTGCAAATAACTCCCAGCCTGCAGGCCTGTGCAGAGCCAGCCTTCCTCCCACGCACAGGCCTGGGCCTGGCCACTTGCCTGTTCTCCATACACAGGGCGTCCACGTCAATGATGCGGTTCTCGTGCCCACTCAGGATATGGTTCAGCTCCTGGTTGAGCCTCTCCACTTTGTCCTGGTAGGAAGACCGTTCTTCTTTAACATCCTGAAGCTCGTCCACAGAAGCCTGCAGGTCGTGCTCCAGAGACTCAATCTAAAACCACAGGGAGAGCCCTTACTCAAGATGTTCCTCAGGCTCCAGCTTTATGGCCAGAGATGGAGCCTCCCACTTGGTTGACTGATTTTTAGAGAGTTTATTAACACTACCCGCATGCCCTAAAGCCATAAGCGCCACACACTGAAATACAATAACAGCTAAAAGCGAGGGATGACTTCCTGCCAGACATTCATTATATTTAAGACAGGAGAGGTGCAGCAGCTTAGAAAACCAGAACTGAACCCTCGCCAACTTCAGGATGCCCTGCAGCTGCCAGTGTCTTACAAATCCATACTTTTTCAAATCCACTCTAGACCCAGAAATCTTGTTCTGCTCTTCAGTTAGTAAGAGGAAGAAAATGAACTTTAGGCTCTCTTAGTTGTTACCTAACTAGGGCTCTGCACTTGTTGAGATTTTGCCTAAGAGGCACTGCTCAGCATTTTAGCAGAAACTTGCAAAGTAAGGCCAGTTTGTCACGTGTTGTTCTCTCCCTGTCTATCCTGGCTAGGAGGAACGTTTCTTGTTGTGTTCAGAACAATGGTACCCAATAGCAGGGAGCAGACCTGCCTGCTGGAGGCCAGAAACCCAAGAGTCAGCTTGGGACCCTAGTGCAGTGCTGAGGAAGTAAAAGCATTCAACGTGCATCCCAGGCACCCCATACTCTGAGAAACGAGGGGCACAGTCCACTCTTGTTTGTGTTGTGTCCAGCTGTGCAAATGCATCCCCCACTCTGAATAGATGTTAGTGAGAACCTGTTCCTTAGCTCGCTCTAGCTGCTGCACCAAGTCTTCACGCTCATGGGCTGCAAAGTGTCGCACGCCGATTGCTTCGTCTCCGAGCCTTTGTTTGGCAATCGTCATCCTCAAGAGCTGCATTTTCCATTGGTAGAAAAAGAAAAAGGCACAGAGAATAAACAGATCCAAATAAAAACCAAAGGACACTAAGAAACTTTTGGAAGATAAGATACTTTCAAGAAATACTGGAGAAAGCACAAAACAATTACTTGCCAGTATCATCCATTTTTTAAAAAATTAAAAATATAGATTGTAGTTAGTGTACACATGCACACACTGTTTAAGGCCTGGGCACTCTAGGCTGGATGTCTGGTGGAGCACTGCCACTGGGAGGAAACAAACTCTGGTTCCCATTAAAATTTAGCGAAGATTCAAAAATGATAACCCAATGCTGGAAGATCTGCTGAGATGGGAACTCTCCCACACTCGTAACAATGAGGTGACATTATCAAGAGCCTTAAAAGTGTCCCTACCCAATGATCCAGTAACTCTACTTTTGAAAATCTGGGCTAAGAATAATCCCAGACTGCTAACTTTAGGAAAAAATGAAAAAATAGATTGCACTGTTATTTAAAGAGTTTAAAAAAAAAAAACAAAAAAAAACCAACTAGAAACAATGTCTAACAATAGTGGAATGTTTAGCAAACTACAGTGCAACCAACCAAGTGGCTAATTTGCAGCTGTCTGAAATGAGGCTTATGTGAACTAGGTAACACCAGATAACAAGTCTATGATGCCATGTTAAGTGGGGGAAAAAAGAATACTAACGTTTCTATGCAGTATGACTAAAATTATACTAAGAACTCTCTCTCTCTCTCTCTCTCTCTCTCTCACACACACACACACACACACACACACACACACAGAGAGAGAGAGAGAAAGAGAGAGAGAGAAAGAGAGAAAATGACCAAATGCACCCAAATATTAAAAATGTGTGTATTTCGGTGATGGTGAGACTGCTGCTATCTGCTTTTTACTTTCTAACTTTTTTTTTTTTTTTGAGACGGAGTCTCGCTCTGTCGCCCAGGCTGGAGTGCAGTGGCACGATCTTGGCTCACTGTAAGCTCCGCCTCCTGGGTTCACGCCATCCTCCTGCCTCAGCCTCCCGAGTAGCTGGGACTACAGGCGCCCACCACCATGCCCAGTTAATTTTTTGTATTTTTAGTAGAGACGGGGTTTCACCATGTTAGCCAGGATGGTCTCGATCTCCTGACCTTGTGATCCGCCTGCCTCAGCCTCCCAAAGTGCTGGGATTACAGGCATAAGCCACCGTGCCCGGCCTTTACTTTCTAACTTTTAAAATCTTCATTCACTGCATGAATTTCATAATATGCCTTTATTTATGTTTTAATATCCTCAGGAATAAAATTGCAGTCTTCCAAAACATAATTTTCCAAAAGATCCCTGAAGAACCCATAGCTTTCCTGGACTCCAGAGCCAAGACCCACCTGCAGCTCCAAACCTTCCAGGTGGGGCTGCAATGGAAACTGTGTGAGAGGCCCAAGAAGGCCCCAGTGGTCTCAGAGCATCCCCTATCTGCCCATCACAACTCCAAGGATTGCCACTGAAGAGTGACTTTCAAAAGTTATGGCAGCACTTTCCAGTGTTTCTTTTATGGAGGTTTTAAGTCTGATTCCACACCTCCCCGTAGGGCAGATGTGGATGGGTTTCATATATGAATGGGATCCTGGGGACAGTTTTTCACTGTCACACAGATCCGACCCAGCCAGGAGTGCCCGTGGGGGACAATCTCTTCCTTGTTCCTGCATGAATCTTAAGGGATTCGTTGCCAGTCGAGAAAATGGCTTAATTTTCAGAGTCTCTGAAGGATTTATGGGCAGGTGAGAGATAGGAAGTTAATTTAAGCCAAGGGAGAATATTAACTAAATTGAAATAATAAATAACAGCAAGGAACTTTGAAAGAAATGATGACTAAAGAAAAGTAAAGTGCATTTTCAAATGACACTTACTTTGGGTCCTTATTTGAAAACTACTCAGTTGAACTCAACAAATATTTACTGTGTCCCTACCAAGAGCAAAAGCACCATTGGGACTGGGTGGACAGTGTCCCAGGCAGGTGGAACAGACCGTGCAAAGGCAGGCAGAAGATGCAGGACGCTTAGATGTGCAGATGGCTGCACTTGCTGGAATCTGGTTATAAGCGATCCTCATTATCCATGGATTCTGTATTTGTGAATCTGCCTACTTGCTGAAATTTATTTTTAACCCCAAAATCAATATTTGCAGTGCTTTCATGGTCATTGTCAGACATGCAGAGAGTGGCAAAAAATTACAGTCACCCGACACACACGTTCCCACGGAGGTCAAACAAGGCCACATTCTGCCTTCTTGTTTCAGCCCTTGGATTGTAAACAAATGTCCTTTTCATGATCTAGTGAGCGTCCCACATTTGTCACATTTTTGTGCTTTTCACTGGTGACTTTGCTGTTTCATGTGGCCCCCACGCATAGTGCCAAAGTGCTGGAAGTGCTTGCACTTAGTGTTATCAGTGCAAGAAGGCTGTGAAGTGCCTTATGGAGACAATATGAGTGTTAGAGAAACTTCCTCCAGGCATGAGTGACAGTGCTGTTGAACTCAGTTCAATGTTCATGAATTAACTGTATATGTCAAATAAGGTGATGTTAAACAGAGACACACATAAAACAAGGTTATGATTGATCAGTTGACAAAAATGTTGTGACCAGAGGCTTCCAGGAACCTAACCCTGCATTTCTTCTAGGAGCAATGGTTCAGTATTCACTAATCCAGTAGTTGGCAGTGACTTCACAGAACAAATTTGTAGCAAAACTGGTCATTCCACTGAAAGCTGATATGCAAAAACTCTATCACATCACACAACTCTTGGCTTGGGACATCAGAACTCCAAAAGTGGATACACAGGAAGGCAAACGACAAGCCAAACAAAACAATGTCTATCAGATCTGAGGGTCTAGGAACAAGAAAACTCCTGCCTTTCAGTATGAGGCCAACAGGAGGCTCAGGTCGTGTCTTCAAAAGCAGGGTATTTTTCTTGGTCTATAAAAAGCCATACTGACAGCCTGAACTTTAAGTTATAAAACACTGTGGTTTTCCATTCCCAATATGCTTCACTGAGCACTTAATTTAGAATTGCACAATTATGTTTGCTTAATGCCAATTAATTATTAAACATGTTTATTGAGGTCTGACAGCCATATAAGAGTCATCTTTTATATATTGGATGCCTGTTAAGCTTCAATAAATATGTTAACAATCATTTGGTGTTTAATGTGCATACAATATCGGCTGTTAAATCTCAGGGCTGGACTGGTTGAAACACTTATTTTTAAAAGTGAGGCCCAAGTTGGTAATAGCTGGATCATTAGTTGTGTCTGAAGCTTAAGTGCAGTCAGCTGAGGGGGTCTAAGGACGTCACCGCAGAGGAGATGGCAGAGCCCCAGGGAGAAGGCTCCTGCCTTCCGAGCTGACAGCTGGTGTGCACTGGAGTTGGCCCACCTAGGGCCTGCATCCTGGCCCCACAGTCTGTGAGCTGTGCAACCTCAGGACTTGTCTGAACTTCTTGGAGTCTCAGTATCCTTCTCTGCAAAAACACAGCAGTAAAAGTGTAGGCATGAAGTGAGAGAGTGGGGTTGAGTTAAATGAACACTGAACTCAGGGGAGTTCAAATAGTCATATATATGAGTCTGGGGATTAAAAAGAGGAGGAAAGAGAGGATGAGAGAGAAATAAACCAAAACATTGGGTGATTCTCCCAATTCCTATGCTCAATATCCCTGCTGGAGAGTGAGGGGTGACAGTGACTGATAATATATTTATGCAAAGTCACACTATTCTATTTTTACATAATACCGCTATTCCAAAGCATACATACACCATGCAAGTTTTGGACAATTTCAAAGGACCATCAGGGGGAATTCTGGCTACATACAAGTTTCTGCCTCTTACATGCTGACTTCAGAACCTAACCCTAAGTAAGAAAAGATGGGACTTCTCTTTGATACTTAGCACAGGCCCTGGAGCATATAATGTGTTTAATAAGTAAATAATAAATGTTAGGGACTCTTGTGATTATTGTAATTATCATCCTCCTCCTCCTCCATGTATGTTTCCCCACACAGAAGCCCACGAGGGAAGTCCCACCTTTCTTCTAAGCTGGAGAAAGCAGAGCTCCCGAGCCAACCTTATCTATGTAGTGCAGGCAAATGATGTTGATTTTCCACCTTGGAAAATGGCTATGAAGCAACCGCTCAGGACACTTAATTTCCTCAAACAGGGCCATCAAAACTGCACAGCCAGCCTCCCTGTGCCAACCCACAAAGTGGATCAGTGCCTTGCACAGCACCCGCGCCGCCACCAATAGACGCATTCAGTTGCTGATTTAGATAGAAATAAATGTTTATGAATGAATTATGGGTGTGAGTCGTCAGCTTGCGGATGAGGTGCAGCTGCAGCTGGGAAGTGGCTGAGGGACATGGCTGCAAAACAAAGTGGTAAAACGGCTTCTGGGTGTCCTGCCCCCAACTCTGCCAAGGGCCTGCTCAGTCTGTCCTCCATGAAGCCTGTCCAGGCCTCCCAAGTCAGAATGACTTGCTCCTTCCTTGATCTCTTCTTAGCCTTCGTCTCTCACAGTCCTCAACATTCTCTACCTCATCCTATTTTCATTTACCTGAATCTGTTTTACCCAACAGTGAGAGGCAGCCAGTTGCAGGAGCAGCTATTTTCCGGGTGTCATCTCCGTTCAGATCCAGCTTCTGCTAATCCTAGCTATGTGCCCTTGGCAAGCTTCTAACCCTGGTGGGCTACATGTGACTTGTTTAAAAAAAAAAAATGGATAAAATCTATCTTGCAGACAGGACAGCCATGTATGGCTGCCCAGGCTGTGCACTGCACAATTCCATCTGTGGAGATCACTTTACCACAATAGGAAGATACAATGCAATGATCACTGTCCATGTAACTTCATGAGCTTTCAAAGTGCAATCCCCAGTTACAGTTGGTATAGTTACAATTCTTACACAGTAGCTGTCAATTTGCCAGAGCTATCGAGAGGGTCAGATGAAAGAATCATTAACAGGAAGTGGATGCTAGCCCTTTCTTGCCCCCAGTCCCCGTGTACTGCTGCAGATAGCACACCTGGGGAGAGGTCAGCACCAAAAGGCATTTATTAAACATTCATCCGGAGTGGCACTGTACTGGGCAACTCAAAAACAAGACCCTGCCTATTATTTCTTTACTTTTCCTGTTAGTTTCCTCCACATCCTCTCCAAATGCCCCCTGACCTTTTGCAAATACCTTCAAAAAAACTGGACATGAGAGATTAAAAAGGCTCCAAGTGGGCCACCTATTGTGTACACCAGAGTCCAAATTCCTAGATTTATATGACATTCCAGTTTTAGTTTCAAACAAAATAATTTGTCACTTAAAACAAAGCAAATCAAAACAGTAGTTTTCATCCTCCTACCCTGGAGATCAACACGCACACACTCAATAGTGTGTATACGGATGTCTCCCAGTTAACAAGCTCCCAATGCAGTCCAAGCGAGCAGTGTGCTAGCAGCTTTCCTTAGACCACTGACAGATACCCCCAAGTGGCACTTCACAGCACTGAGATCCGCATAGAGCCTCTACTAGGGCTGAAGAGGCACAATATGACCTGCTCCTACCTGCCTCCTGACCCCATTTCTAACCATCCCCCTATGTCTGTGCTCCAGCCATGCCGGCTTCCCTCCCTTGTCCGAAACATGCCACTCTCATGTCTGTCCCTGGGCCTTTGCACTTCCTCTGCCTTTGGAAGAGCCCACTCACAGGTCTGTCCAGAACCCGCTTCTTTTGTCTCATTCAGGTCAGATCAAATCTCCCCTCTCTGAGAAGCCTTCTCTGCACATTATCACTAGAGGCATTCATCCCCAAGCCACTCTCAATCCACACTGCCCTGCCTCTCTGTCTTCATCATACTTACCAGAAATAATCGCGTTCATCTGCTTGTGTCTACCCCACTTCAGCTCCATCATGGCATGAACCTTGCTTGTCATATGCACTGAAACACCTTGTCCTCCACAACCGTGTCTGGCTAACCATAGCCCGTCCTCAAATGCTTCTTAGATCTATTAAATAGGAAGCCTTCATTCTGTGCTCCCCACAACTCTCAGAGGCAGACATTGTCATCTCCTCTTTACAGTAGCGAGAACCCCCTGAGAGGTTGGCACATGGCTCTGAGGCCAGTGTTAACTGGCCAAAAGCTTCAGGTTGAGGGCACTGTGGCCCACTGGGAACCATGTACAAATCAATGGGCCGGGCCAGGCATGGTGGCTGACACCTGTAATCCCAGCACTTTGGGAGGCTGAGACAGGTGGATCACTTGAGGTCAGGAGTTCGAGGACAGCCTGGTCAACATGGTGAAACTCCGTCTCAACTAAAAATACAAAAACTAACTGGGCATGGTGGTGCACACCTGTAGTCCCAGCTACGCAGGAGGCTGAGGCAGTTGAATTGCTTGAACCCGGGAGGCGGAGGTTGCAGTGAGCCGAGATCACATACTGCACTCCAGCCTGGATGACAGGGCGAGACTCCATCTCAAAATAAAATAAAATAAAATAAAATAAAAATAAAAATCAGTGGCCCACAGTGCCCTGGGCCCAAAGCTTTTGGCCAGGTAACACTTAGCACTAATGTGCCATGCCATGCACTATCCTAGGTGCTGATCCCCATTCACCCATTTAAGTCCACCAAGCACCCTTGGCAGGTATTGTTGCTATCCTTATTTGCACATGAGAAGCTGAGACATAGAGAAGTGGAGGAACTTGCCTATGTCACAAATCTTATAAATGGCAGTCAGGAATTGAGCCCGGCAGTTCAGGGCTCTGAAGTCTATGCTGCGTTGCCTCTCTTCACAACCGTGGCAACAATACCTGCACAGCAGCTCCCCTGGAGAATGTGCTCTATGTCAAGTGCTTTATAGAACTTTCTTTATTTAATCCTCACAAAAGGCAAACGGCATGCCTTCCCGCACCAAGCCCCTGACACCCTAAGCTCGCTCCCCTCACAGGGTCTTTGGACTTCACACCCCATGTCCCTATATCTGACCCTTCCCACCACACTTCCTTCAGGGCTCTGTGTCACGCACATGCGCAGAGGGCCTTCCCTGACCACCTGATACAAACAGCATCCCTGCCCCACCTGGGCTGCACTCTCTAGCCCCTTATCCTGCTTTAGTTTTTTACTTAGCACGTATCACCTCCTGACATATTATACCGCAGTTCATCAAATATAAGACTCCATCAACTTTAAGAGCCACCACTGTGCACCTCTAAAAAGAATAAAAAGTGCCAGTCGTAACTACACAATACCGACTGTACCAGAGATGTCCAAATGTGAAAAACTGTGCATCTTGGAATCTGTGAAATATGATTTATTTGCTTACTGTCCATCTGCCTCCACTAGAACGAAACTCCCATGGGAGCAGGGACTCATTGATATTGTTTGCTGTTAGCCCTAGACCAGTCTGTCCTCAACAAATACATGTTGAAATGAATTGACCGAACCAGCCTCCATGAGGCAAGTACTACTGCTATCCCCATTGTACAGATGAGAACAACTAAGGCACGAAGAAGTCAAGCAATTGTCCCAAGATTACACAGCTAAGAAGCCCCTGAATCACTGTCAGATAGTTCAGCACATGTTGCTCCCAGAGCCAAAATCTTTAGTGTCCCATCAAGCAGTTTTAAAGAAGCTCTGATTTATTTTCATTTTAGTGTGTAATTTGGATATGGTGTATGATAAAATAAGTCTTGGGCAGAGATATCTTTCAGAATCAGTTCTCCACTAGGAAGTGTAATTATGTCCACAGTCTATGGGATGAATATCTGAAAACCATGCTGTTTTGGTCACGTGGTCTACCCAGACTATGAGCTCATGTAAGCCATGACAGGCTCAAATGAGGTATCGGAAGACCAAGTGTATCCAATTCACTTATGAATAAAACATTAGACACTGCTGAACTAGACTGGCCGCTTGCTGGACTCGCTGAGCATTGCCTATAGTTCATAATCAAGATCCCAGGTAGAGCAAGACATGATAGGGCAGGGAGGTGGGGTGCGGTGAAGGGCCCTTCTCACTCATTGTAATTCCTCATAATTAATTTCTATAGTGCCCCAAGGCGAGAGCTTTTCATTAGAGTGCCATCTTTACTTCAGTTTCTTGCAGGCTAGGACATCTCTCTGCTCCTTTTGAAGCATAAAGTGAAACAGCTTCCAAAGAGCTCTCTGATCCCTCATCCTGGACCATGACAAACATCCACAGCTGAGCACTCCTTTTTAACGAAGTGTACCTTAATTAGTCACTTGCACACTCATTGGTCTGTCTTTATTGGCCTGTAGCTGTATCTTAATTGGTTTGCTCACCAAATTCATCCAAAAGTCCCACGTCAATAGAGGTATGTTCACAGAAGGTCTCTATCATTTCACGGCACCAATGACAGATAAAACAGAGGTACCTAAAGACCTTCAGCTGGTATAACATAAAGCTCATTATTAAGGGCAAAACCCTGTGTTTATGCAATATCACAACAGCTAAATTTAAATTTGCCAGCAGGGGCCCAGGAAGTGTAAATGTGTGACATTGGTAGGAGCATTTGCCTACCGCAAACTTCCTTGCTTTTGAATACATCGCACTGTATTATTGGTCCTCTGCATGAAAGTACCATAATCTTTAAAGTAAACAGACAAGAAGACCAACTGCCATCTGTCCCAGTGGGAACATGAATTGCCGCTTCTGGCATATCCTATTAGGTGCTTATTCCACAAGGAGCACACAAAATGCAAGAAAGTTCCCAGGAGCTTGGCACCAAAGCAATAATGCTTGATGCTGGCGAAGTCGAGGCTGGTGATCAGGAGGGCTGACTTTTGGGGATCCATCTGCCACATGCCAGGTGTCTCACCAGGATCATTGTCTCTACTTGGGGGGACACATCTAGTTCACTGGAAATAGCTGATCAATAGAGAGGAAGATCTTAAGATTTCTGGTGGAATTCTTGCACAAGTGGATTCTAAGTCAATATGGGCGCATGTTATGCTAAAGACAACAGCAACACTTACCCTCTGTTAAGTGCTTGCTAGGTGGTATGCACCATGCAACACCCTTTACAAACGATATTGCATGCAAGTCCATCCCTAAATCATTAAATCTCATTGTCCTGTTCTCTTTTCTTCTCAGACTAAGCACTGTCTGATGAAATTACTTACGTATTTTATTTTCTTATTATCTACTCCCCAACTAGAATATCAGTACCATGGGAGCTAGTACCCTGTCTTTCTTATCCTTTGATGTGTCCTCAGCTGCTTTGATGTGTCCTCAGATGCTAGAAAGTTAATTAGCATGTAGGAAGTCCCCAATTATGTGGGGACTAAATGATGTGGTGAATAAATGATTAAACAATTCGATGAGAGGCATTATTATTGCCACTTTACAGATGAGGAAACTGAGGCCTGGAGAGAAAACTGACTTGCCAAAGGCCACAGACAATAACTGGCAGAACGAGAACATAAACCTGGGTCTGACAATCTTAAAAGGTGGACCTCTTGGGCTGCACTACACTGCTCCACTTCACAGAGACAGGCTGGAGCTATCTTTTCCTAGAGTCCAAATATTTCCAAGTTCAGTGACTTCACTTTGGTAACCTGACATTTGTCATGGTACCAGTATTTATCACACAGACATTGGCAAAATGTTACAAGTCAGGCTTCTTTCAAATAGCTGGTTCAGGAGCACACCTCAGGGTATAGTAGTCCCCCTAATCCTTGGTATCAGTTACCTGAGGTCAACCGTGGTCTGGAAATATTAAATGGAAAATCCCAGAAATAAAAAATTCATAAGATTTATATCGTATGCCATTCTGAGTAGCATGATGAAATCTCGTGTCCCAGTCTGTCCCACCTGGCCCTGCTGGAGAGATACAAATCCTTCCTTTGTCCAGGGTCCATGCTGTCTACGCTACCCACCCCTTAGTCACTGAGTAGCCATTTCAGGTATCAGGTCAACTGTCACAGTATTGCAGTGCTTGTGTTTAAGGAACCCTTATTTTACTTAATAATGCCTCGGCCAGGCACGGTGCTAACATCTGTAATCCCAGCACTTTGGGATGCCGAGGTGGGTGGATCATGAGGTCAAGAGATCGAGACCATCCTGGCTAACATGGTAAATCTCCGTCTCTACTAAAACTACAAAAATTAGCTGGGCGTGGTGGCGCGTGCCTGTAGTCCCAGCTACTCAGGAGGCTGAGGCAGGAGAATCGCTTGAACCCGGGAGGCGGAGGTTGCAGTGAGCTGAGATTGCACCACTGTGCTCCAGCCTGGTGACAGAGTGAGACTCCATCTCAAATAAATAAATAAATAAATAAATAAATACAATAAATAATGACCCCAAACACAAGAGCAGTGATGCTGGCAACTTGGACATGCCAAAGAGAAGCCACATACTGCTTCTTTTAAGTGAAAAGGTGAAAGTTCTCGACTTAAGGAAAAAAAAAATCATATGCTGAGGTTGCTAAGATCTGCAATAAGAACCAATCTTCTATCCATGAAATTGTCAAGAAGGAAAGAGAAATCTGTGCTAGTTTTGCTGCCGCACCTCAAACTACAAAAGCTACAGCCACAGTGCATAAGTGCTCAGTGAAGATGGAAAAGGCATTACATTCGTAGGTAGAAGACATGAAGAGAAATGGGCTCTGATTGATGGCAACCGAGAGCTGCACTAACCCAGGTTTCAGGCATCCACTGGGGGTCTTGGGAAGTATCCCCCAGATAAGAAAGGACTGCTGTCTTTGTGATTCCAATGTCCTCTGCTAGTTCTGCTGTTTGACCTACTAATCCTTAAATTCTCCGAGACCCCTTTTTTCCTCCTGATCCCCTTTCCCTGAATCCACTCTTTTCTTAACGCCCAGAAGAGGAAGCAGGCCAACCTCTGCGGCAGACCAAGGGGAGCTGCCACTGTCTCTGTGGCCCCAGCACTGCCTGAGTCTTTCCTCATTCCTTATAGACTGACACTCTGAGAGCCCTGGGCAACGTGCAAAGCTTTTCGAGGGTAATGCGTGGCTTTGTGAGCCCTCCTTTTCCCAGAGGGCTCCTCTAACCTTGTTAATCTTTAAGAACTGTAATTTTTAAGGAAGGGGATGGTATCCAGTAGGTTTCCCTTTTCACATCTCTCATCTGGTTTGGCTTGGAAGTTTGTGTTAGTTTGGGAGCCTAAGAAATTCCTGCGCACTGGACAGAGATAGCAGGAGGTAATCAATCACACAGGCTCCCCCCATCACAGGACGCCCATGTTGGCACAAGAACGCTGCCCCCTGCCCCATGTGAGAGCTAAGCTGCTTGGAAGCCAGGGTGGCAACAAATCTTTCAGGAGGCTATTTGGAAATGCTTTATGGCCCATAGGGTTACAAGGCTCTAGCTGAACAAATGGAAAAATTAGTCTACCCTAAAATATCCAAGGCAAGTAATTTCCTATCACCTTGTTTTTCAAACGTACTTAACATCTAGAATCTGGGCTTCCCAAAATATAGATAAGGGTCATCAGTTAAAATGGCAACTCAGAGATAAAAATCTTCCACTTTAACAGTCACTCATAAAATGACGCCATCAGCCCTGCTGTTTGGCCTCAGAGTTAGGCGTCCAAAAACAGCAATTATTAAGTATTCTTGAATTTAACAGACTTCAACCAGTCAAGGAGCAGGACACTTATCCCTTGTCCCCCAAGGCTCAGCAACTGACCCTCTGCTCTCTCCACAGAAGCTTCTCAAATACATGTATCTGGGGTTAGTCCCCCCTCTGTTGGGACAGTTTGCTTTTCTGGTTCCTTTCTCCAAATTTCTAAACTACTTCTTACTCCACAAAGTACTGATGACAACCAGATGGTAGTTGGTCTGTTTATTTCTTGCATACTTTTTTTTTCTTTTTCTCTTACTCTTCCTTGAATCATTTTGCTCTTCTTTTTGTTCCCTTTATTCATTCATTTCATTCATTCATTTATTCCATTCCATTCCTTCAATAGAGATTATATAATACCTACCTATCAAGAACTAAGAATGCTAATTTATAGGATACAGATGGAAATTCGGCCCTCAAAGAGCTTCCCCTTGGGGCTGTCGGTGCCACGCAAGTGAGAAGCAGAGGGGCAGAGCAGGACATTGCAGGTTGCACAGGACTGACACCTAAGAGCTGGAGAAGGCTGCATTTGACTTATGACCTGGGAGAGGAGCAGAGCTTGCAGGGGAAGTAAAGGGGAAGAGTATTCCAGATTGAGCAAACAGCAGGCACAAAGGTCCTGTGGCCACAGGCAGTGTAGCACAGCAAAGGGGCTGAAATTAGTGCTCCAGGGCTCAAGTAAGGGTGACCAGGAGCAAGGATGTGGCTGCAGAAATGAGTAGGGGTCAGATCATGGGGGCCTAGCACACCATGATCATGGAGGCCTAGGCACCAGGAGGTAGAACTGAATGCAGAAAGTGATGGAAGAGTTGGAGTAGAAAGTGCCATAATTAATTCAAAAAAAATTGAAGGTTTAACTCATTCTCTACCACACAGTCACAGTTACCTGGGAACGGGGGCTTCTGAGGTTCTCAAGAAAGCCTGGTGCCATTATGGAATGAGTAATCTGGCCTCTGGTGGGGGTTGGGGGAAGGATGATCATGACTCACATGAGCCTGAAAATAAACCAGCCCTGTAACTTTAGAGGCAAATGAGAATAAATGGAATCTCTGGGGCTTACTGCAGTTAGACTTTTTTTTTTTTAGGGAGAGAGGCCAGATACTGAAATGGGGAGGTTTGCTGAACAATAGAACATCTTCCCCTGCCCCTTTTGGCAGGCAAATTTCTTTACAGGCCATGAATAGCAGTCACTAAATTCTAAACCTAAGGTGAGAAGACAAAGTTTGATAAATGTGCCCAGGTACTGGAATAAAGACTCAGAGAGCATGCAGATCAGAAAGTTCAGACTGTGACCACCTGTGCTCAGTGTTACACACATAAACATGCTCTCTCACACACACTAACACACTCACACACATGCCCTCCTTTTCTTTTCTTTCTTTTTGAAAGAGATGGGGTCTCATTCTGTCATCCATGCTAGAGTGCACTGGCATGATCATGGTTCTCTGTAGCCTCAACCTTCTGGGCTCAAACAATCCTCCGGCCTCAGCCTCCTGAGTAGCTGGGACTACAAGCGCGTGCCACCACGCCTGGCTGCTCTCTCTTTGTTTCCATGAACTGTCAGTTGCAAACGTCAATTCCTAAAATTCTCATACCTAAAAGGCAAAAGAATTGAAAGTGACCAAAAGATGAGACAGGAGCATATTTAGGAAAGTTGAGGGGAGGAGCAGCTCAGGAAAAAAAAAGAAATAAAATAGAAAAAATATGTTATCAGTCAGTCAAGAAGAGTCACAGATCCAAAAGTCACATCTTAAATATGTTTCAGTATTTCATGGGTTTATAAACTCCTCTAGTATTTTCATGGGCTTAAAGAAAACTATTGCATACATTTTGTTTTATTCTCTAGAAAATCTTGCCCTCCTGCTATCACTTGAGGAAGTGAGTAAGAAGGTCTGTCCTTTAATTATTGACCAAACACCTAGGTTACGGAGTTTAAATCCTTTTAATGATGAATAAAACCACGAGCGGCTGGATTAGCTTGTCCAGTGTTAATCAGAGCCTTTCCTGGACATTCTTTCCCACCTTCTATTTCATGACTAGGAATAGTAAAGCCTAAGTTTTCAAATTTATGTTAAATCCAAGAGGTTAAAAAAATTTAAGGCCAGTTAAGTGGAGAAGAAGCTGTGTAAGGAAGGCTTACTAGATGTTTATATGCCCTCAAGTCAGGACTCTCAAGCCAGCAGTATGCAGCATCCTCTCTGAAGTCTTATTATGGAAGAGCTCTCTGGATGACCCAGGCAATTCTATGCATATTTTAAAGAGTGAGCATTTTTCATAATGGCTCCTTCTAATAACCAACAACTCCCAGCAATGATGAAAGTCACCATCATTTGTCAAGCAATTTGGTAACATCTAAAAACATTTCCCCAAGAACTGCTCCCCTCCAACACACCATACACACACACACACACACACACACACACACACACACACACACACTATAGTCTTCTTGAGTCCACTTTCAAAGCCATCTCTGTTGCAAAAGCCACCTCTGGCAAGGAGTTGGAAATGAATCAATCTTGGCAAAACAGGAAATGATTTGGGAGGACAGAATTAAACTTGGGTAGTTTTTCTTTCCTTTCTCAGTTGTACTTTTGTTCATAGCTTCAGCTGGGAGAGAGAGTGCACACATTTAGTTGGGAGTTTATGAGTTCATATTTTATAATTAACGTTGCCAACAGGGGAGTTTGATTAATACCAAGCAGTGGATTTTGAGCAATGTTCCATACAAATTGCCAAATTTAGCAATAAAATAAATTGGTTATGAGAACATAATTAGTAGGATGACTACTTAAAATTCAAAACCGAATGTGAATAATTCCAAATCATCTGAGCCACAAATCCATTATTTGTATATAAGGGCGAAAGTATAACATTTGGGTTTTATTTTGCCCTCAACCACAGTGTTATTCACCACTAAGTTGAACATAATGAAACTTCCACAATGGGTTGTGGCAATATTTTAGAGCCACTGAGAAACACACATATACATGCATGCACACACACAAAGGGAATGTAAAAAGGTAAGATACGCTAAACTGCGAATTTTCATTATAAATTTAAAAATCTATAACAAACTTTTCAACAAATGCTGCATTACATTTTTCCGATGTGCAATATATAAACCTCGAACGCACAATGTTGCAGCAGAGCTTCTTCCCTGTAAATACTCACAGTACCTTGTTGTCGCCCTGGACTTCTCCAAGCCTTTGCTGAAGTTCTTTAATTTCTTCTCCCAGATGTTTATTTCGGTCCTGAGAATCTCTCAATAGTTGTGCAAGATTAGCCTAGAAATATCAACACATTATGAAATACAATCAGAAATGGAGGAGTGGATGAATGCAGGGCTTCATTGGGCTTGTGGATGCTGGTGTCTAACCCCAGTTGAACCACACAAAGCCCGTTATAGTAAACACATATATGAATGCAGCCAGTGTGTGAATCACACCACTACAATGGCACGCAGGAAAATGAAGTTGGCCATGAACCTCAATTTGGAGATATTCTTTGTTTACAGAATGGCTCACAGAGGGTACTTGAACAAGCAATGGAAGAGTCAGTCTTATTTGCCTTAAACAAAAAAAAATTGTGAGGCTGAGGCAGGAGAATTGCTTGAGCCCGGGAGGCGGAGGTTGCAGTAAGCTGAGATTGTGCCACTGCACTCCAGCCTGGGTGACAGAGCAAGACTCCATTTCAAAAAAAAAAAAAAAAAAAGAGAGAGAGAGAGAATTTATCACTAAAAATCTGGAAAAAGGACATAGAGTTCAATTGTAAAATTTGGGCCAGGCCAACAACATAGAAAAAGTTTCATTTTCTTGTTTGGATAGCTTCTTATTCTTCAAATATATGTTGTCTCATGAGCTTTCGTGTGTGACCTCAATGCCTAGAATTTTGATTACAATTCTAGGGGGCGGCCAGAGAAGAAGTCAGTGACGAGCAACAATCTCTGAAATCAGGATCCAGAAGAAATGCAACAGTTTCCTGGGCTGGTTTTCCCCTTCTTTATTTCCTTATTCTACCTCACATAGTACTAAATAGCCAGGATAATCGCCCTTCATTCCCATCTTCATGACATCATCCTTTCCTTAAGATTTGCCTCCTGTTGGGATCCAGGTCCCTCCGGTCTCCATGGCCAGTCCATCAGCCAGCCTCCCCTTTTGGTGTGGCTCCATCTCACAGCCTCATGGTCCCTTTCCCCAGAGCATGCAGACACCTTTTACCATATCCTCACCCCTTACCCACATTTCCTGAACCTGGGATTCCTGGCCGCCCATCTAGCTACCTATTCCAGTCTTTTACTCACAGTCCTCGCTCACATGGCTTCTTGTTCTCCCATACTATTCTTACTTTGCTAATGGACTTGCCCTAATTCTCACCTGACTTATCACATTCTTACTGAACCTTAGCAGGAAGAGACTGCAAACTACTGAAAGGCAGAGACTCTGCTTTCTGCTTCCTCTGCTTCCATGTGCGTTGTTCCAGACAGTGCTCAGGTACCGACAAGTGTTTTAAAAGCTCATAATGAATAAATGAAGAAAGGAGGGAAGGAAGCAAGTAAGCAATCCAAACAGGCCTCCTGGAAGGGGGGATCATTCAAGGAGAGTCAAACGAGGGATATTAGAGATGATCTTAATATGAAAGAATCCCTTCCTGCTGCAGCTGAAGAAACCCAAATCCAGAGAGGTTAGGGAACTAACCCGACTGGAATGGCTAAATTTCCAAAGACTTCAATGCTAATACTTTGGGGAATATGTAACTATGGTGGGTACTAAAAACAGAATTAAAGGGAAAAGAAGATAACGATTACATGTTGGCTGACCTCCCGTATCCCATTTGTTGGGATATCCTGTTGTCTTACCTACTAGGTCTCCCCACCTCATGCTCACCTCCCTGTGGTCCCCCACACAGACCAGGCATGATCCTATTTCAGTGCCAGGGCCCTATTCTCTCTGTTTAGAATGCTCTCCCTCCAGAGAGCCTCTTGGTTCACTTCCTCACCTCCTTCAGTCTTGCTCAAAGGTCACCGTCTCAACAGGGTCCATCTTAACCGATCGATTTAATACTGAAACCTTCCCCGGTGCTACCTTACCTTTTTTTCTGGAGCACTTGCCATCTGTTATCATTTACTTCATGGTTCATTGCTTACTGTTGACTCCTTGTCTCCCTCTCCTTACTAAAACATAAGTTCCATGAAGGGCAAGGAACTTCGTTGTCTCTACTGACCTCTCCCAAGCACCTAGTAGATGCTCCATAACTATTTTTAAAATAAGAGGCAATAAGCTGAGTGTGGAGGTTGCACTCTCCCTAGGAGAGATCAGGAATAATAAGAGTGTACCAAGACTGAAACCAATGCCTGGCATGGAGACTTGCATAGAAAATCATTCATCCCTGGCTAGCTGCCGTGGCTCACACCTGTAATCCCAGCCCTTCGGGAGGCCGACACGGGTGGATCACCTGAGGTCAGGAGTTCAAGACCAGCCTAGCCAACATGGTGAAACTCTGTCTCTACTAAAAAATACAGAAATTAGCCAGGCATAGTAGCACATGCCTATAGTCCCAGCTACAGTGGAGGCTGAGGTGGGAGAATCCCTTGAACTGGGATGGTGGAGATGGTGGAGGTTTCAGTGAGCTGAGATCATGCCACTGAACTCCAGCCTGGGCAACAAAGAGAGACTCTGTCTCAAAAAAAAAAAAGGAAGAAAAAAGAAAAAAAAGAAAAACATTCATCCCCTTTGGCTGGATTTAATCAAGCCCTGATCTCTACTCACTTATTTGAGAACATTACTCAGTAACTCCATCGAATTTTTCAGCCCCCTATTTGCAAAGCTCCCATCTTGTAATATTTGAGTTCTAATTTTCCCAGATTTCTGTTCTCCTAAGACAAAAATTTAGTGATGGATGAGGAAAATCAAAACCTATTTTGTAGGTAGGAAAGCAAAGAAACATGAGACACTGTGAACAAATGACTGCCTTTGGAAATTTCCCTAAATGGGAGGAATCAGAGAGAAGAGGCTGCATTCTGATCATGCCACTTCCTGGGTTGGGTGACATGACAGGAGTTTCTTAATCTCTTGGGTCTCCCATCTGTAAGACAGAGCTAGCAACACATAGTTATTTGATCTTTAAATAATGAACAAAGAATGCCTACCACAGTGCCTGGCATCATGTGTGGGCTCACTAAAGGTGGGTTACCTCCCTCAACTGTGCCCACTCCGTGGTTGCTACTCCAACGCTCAGTGAACAGAGCTGTGTAAATGCAGCGAAGGCCTCTCCTTGGACACAGCTGACTCCTTTGCAATCCTGCCCCTTTATTGTTGATTATTTGTTCATTCATTTATCTGACAAATATTTATTGGGCACCTGGCATCTGCCTGGCACTGTTTTAGACCTGGAGATACAGCAGCAAACAATACAGACAAAACCCTTGCCCTTAGAAACTGACATCGAATGGGTGACATTACATTAACTACATTATATTACAATAGAATATATAATGAATCCGTGTGCTAGATGATAACATGCTGCAGAGAAAAATAAAGCAGGCAAAGGGAATAGAATGTGTTGGAAGAAAGGGCCGCAGAAGGTTTCACTGAGAAGGCCACATTTACATCAAGACTTGAAAAAGGAGAGAGAGAGCCTTGTAGATATCTTGGAGAAAAAGTCCCAGACAGGGGAAAAGGCAAACAGGCTTCCCTCTCTCCCTCACCCCATCACATCTCAAAACTTCCATTTGAAAGCGCAGCTCAAGGCCACAAGAGCAGGCTGACCACAAGGACTACAGCGAAGTCGAGAGATGACTCAATTCTTGATTTTCGTTTCCTGGTTCCCCCTCTCCATCCACAGCTCTCCTTCCTTAGCTCAAGGTGTCACATGTGGGCGGCCTCTGCCTTTCCTCCACGGAACTCCAGAACATTCCCCAGACATTAGCTCATTGATCCTTTTCCCTGGCAGCAAACATAATCCCTCCCTACCAGATGGAGGGCCAGGCCATTGGGCAGCAGTGACTGTCCCTGGGGAGCAGCGGGAGGAGCAGCCCAGCGCTTGCTCGGTCTGGGAGCTGGCTGCCAACTGCACATTCAGGTGAATCTCAGCATCCCCATCTGGAGAAGATGCAGCAAAATTCACCTAAACCTTCATTTAGCGGAAGAGAGGTCCAAAGAAATGTCTGTAAGGGCAACAATGAAAACGTAAAAAAAGACAAGGGAAAAAAATCTCCAACCTCCCTAAGCTTCCCTTTTTAAATCAATATTTCCTTAGTCTCTGGTGGGCAGGAAGACCCTGACATTCACTGACCAATGTAACTGCAGTGGCTACATTGGTAGCTACTGTATGGGTAAACCAGTACAACTCAATCTGTTGGTGGGAAAAGAGTTCTCTTTTCTCAATCCATACTAGATCAATACTTTTGTAAAATCTAATAAAAATGAGTTACTAGGCAAATAAATTTAAGAAGACAAGAAGATAAAACCCCAAGTGTGTATCATTAGATTCAACAGACATAAAACCATGCTGTCAAATTGCTATAAAAGTTTCTGAACACTTACTCTCAATTTCTGTATGTATCTTGTCATGGACCAGAAACAATTAGGTTGCAGCCTGGCCCTGGTCCTTGGGCCTCACTTTAAAAAGCACTGAGCTCAAATGGTTTTCCTAGGGATATGGAAACTAGAGTAAAGAAGACACTTTATAAAAATCAGTCAATAATTCCAGTGATGGCCAGGACGGAGGGCAGGGCTGCTTTAGGAAACAGTTATTTAGAGACCTAGTGATGTGATTATTGAAAATTATTTACTCTGGAGCCTGGCTGAAAAGAAATCTACTAAGAGCCAGCATTTCTACATTAGCTGCAAAACAGTGGTTTATTAAAATCGCAATCCTCCAAGTGAGTTCACTGTAAATCTACCCCAGCTTTAAACTTGGCCCCTGGAGTACAGTGGGGTGGGGGTGGCACCACTGCTTCAAAGCAGGTGACTGTAATTTTCTTTTACCTTTAACAGGCTAGATTCCTTGTCAACATACAATTCTTTTCTATTCAGTCCCTCCACCTCCTCAACTCCAAAACAATAACTTTGAAAACTAGAAAATGACTATTCTGATATGGTGCCTAATTCCTTGACATACACCTTAAAGAACAGCAAAAAAAAAAGAAAGTAGTACATTTCAAAGTGCTCAAAATAGAGGAGAAAAGTTCACAGGATTCTTTTGACCAAAAATAACACCCATGACTCACACACATTCACTATAACAATCCATCAAGCTAACACACGGTGCCTGCTTATAATTTATCAGCTATGCAGAGCACTTTGTCTAACTGTTACTGAGAAGGACTCTGTGACCATCAGTTTAGAATAACAGCACTATGTAAAGGAAATGTCAGGGAAAAGTGGCAGCCTGCCTAAGACTGGGTTTCACAGGGAAGGAAAACAAAACCAAGAGATTCTTTCCTCTAAATCTCTTGGGGCAAGAGGCAGCATAAATAGCAAAACATAAAACGGTTTAAAAAGAAGCCTCTTTTAAATATTCAGATCAAGCGAGAGCCAACATTAAAGGTTGACATTTTTGCTCTGATAATAGTGGAATGTTGAATATAGTGGGATACGTGTAGAATCCATATATTTAAGTCACTCTTTCTAGCTAGGAGTTTATTAAAATTGTGATGGGAAAGGGAGGGAAGAGAGATTTGATGAAAACATAGCGGAGAGATTCAAGGCCGAAAGGATATGACAGCTTTCCATTCTGAAACACCTTCCTTTGTCAAGGAACAACTCAATCCCCAATTATAAATGATGCCTGCAGAAGCAATTCACCAAAGCCAGCCCTGGGTGTGGGAACTGGGAGGCCCTGGAAATTCTCTCTGGACAGGGATGATGACTACAAATACTGACAGCTGTTGTGAAGGCAAAGACCAGGAAATTGATAGAGCTGTCGGATCTCACCCCCAACCTCTTCCCAACTGTTTGCAGGAATCCTCACCGAGGTAGGTTAGCCACATGGGAGAGGGCAGCTATCTTGCAGCATTTCTTTAAGCCCTGCTGCACTCTGAACTCTAGCTCTTGCCTCTATCACCGTTCCAATTCCCCTACAAATGCCGCAAAATATGTCAGAATGGTTTACACTACAGATGTGACATGTTTTTTAAACTTATAAGAACCAATGGGAGATTTTAAAATACGGACAGTCCCTGATTTAATGATGCTTCAACTTATGATCTTTCAACTTTACAATGGTGTGAAAAAGATAGGCATACAGTAGAAACTGTAGTTTGAGTACATAGCCATTCTGTTTTTTGGTTTCAGTACGGTATGGAATAAATTACACTTTATAAAATAGGTCTTATATTAGATGATTTTGCCCAACCGTACACTAATATAAGTGTTCTGAGCATATTTGAGGTAGGCTAGGCTAAGCTAAGCTATGATGTAGGGTGGATGTACTAAACGCATTTTCAACTTTTAATGTTTTCAATTTATGATGGGTTTATCAGAATGTAACCCCCTTGAGCATCCCTTTATGATTAAAACCCTCAGCAAAATCTGCATGGAAGGGACATACCTTAAGGTAATAAAAGCTATCTATAACAAACCCACAGCCAACATTATGCTGAACAGGGAAAAGTTGAAAGCATTCCCCCTGAGAACTGGAACAAGACAAAGATACTCACTTTCACCACTTCTATTTAACATAGTACTGGAAGTCCTAGCAAGAGCAATCAGACAAGAGAAAGAAATAAAAGGCATCCAAATCAGTAAGGAGGAAGTCAAACTGTTGCTGTTTGCTGATGATATGATCATATACCTAGAAAACCCTAAAGACTCCTCCAAAAAGCTCCTAGATCTTATACATGAATTCAGTAAAGTTTCAGGATAC
Organism: Homo sapiens; assembly: GCF_000001405.40. Classification (NCBI taxonomy): domain Eukaryota; kingdom Metazoa; phylum Chordata; class Mammalia; order Primates; family Hominidae; genus Homo; species Homo sapiens. Next base: position 24,859,760 of record NC_000004.12, read on the forward strand.
AAAATCAATGTACACAAATCAGTAGCACTGCTATATACCAACAGTGGTCAAGCTGAGAATCAAATCAAGAACTCAACCCTTTTACAAACTGCAAAAAAATAAAGTACTTTGAAATATGCCGAACCAAGGAGATGAAAGACCTCTATAAGGAAAACTACAAAGTACTACTGAAAGAAATCAAAGACAACACAACCAAATAGAAACACACCCCGTGCTTTTAGATAGGTAGAATCACTATTGTGAAAATGACCATACTGCCAAAAGCAATCTATAAATTCAACACAATTCCCATTAAAGTACCATCATCATTCTTCACAGAACTAGAAAAGACAATCCTAACATTCATATGGAACCAAAAAAGAGCCCGCATAGCCAAAGCAAAACTAAGCAAAAAGGACAACTCTGGAGGCATCACACTACCTGACTTCAAACTATACCATTAGGCCATAGTCACCAAAACAGCATGGTACTGACACAAAAACAGCAACATAGATCAATGGAGCAGAATAGAGAAGCCAGAAATAAAGTCAAATACTTACAGCTAACTGATCTTCAACAAAGAAAACAAAAACATAAGGTACGGAAAGGACACCCTATTCAACAAACGGTGCTGTGATAATTGGAAAGGCGCACGTAGAGGAATGAAATTGGATCCTCATCTCTCACCTTATACAAAAGCCAACTCAAGATGGATGAAGGACTTAAATCTAAGACCTGAAACCACAAAAATTCTATAAGATAGCATCAGAAAAACCCTTCTAGACATTGGCTTAGGCAAATACATCATGACCAGGAATACAAAAGCATATGCAACAAAAACAAAGATAAATAGATGGGACTTAATTAAACTAAAAAGCTTCTGCAGAGCAAAAGAAATTATCAGCAGAGTAAACAGACAACCCACAGAGTGGGAGAAAAATCTTTGCAAACTATGCATCCAACAAAGGACTAATATCCAGAATCTACAAGGAACTCAAGCAAATCTGCAAGAAAAAAACAAATATTCCCATTAGAAAAGGTAGATAAGAACATGAAGAGACAATTCTCAAAAGAAGATATATAAATGGCCGACAAACATATGAAAAAATGCTCAACATCACTAATTATCAGGAAAATGCAAATCAAAATCACAATGCAATAACACCTTACTCCTATAAGGTGTTATTACTCCTGTAAGGCCATAATTTAAAAATCAAAAAATAATAGATGTTGGCATGGATGTGGTAAAAAGGGAACACTTTTACACTGCTGGTGGGAATGTAAACTATTATAACCACTATGGAAAACAGTATGGAGATTCCTTAAAGATCTAAAAGTACATCTTCCATTTGATCCAGCAATCCCACTATTGGGTATCTACTCAAAGGAAAAGAAGTCACTATATGAAAAACACACTTGCACATGCATGTTTGTAGCAGCACAATTCACAATTGCAAAAATATAGAACTAGCCCAAATGCCCATCAATCAATGAGCGAATAAATAATATGTGATATATATATATGCACACACACACACACACACACCATGGAGTACTGCTCAGCCATAAAGAGGAACAAAATAATGGCATTTTCAGCAATCTGGATGGAGTTGGAGACTATTATTCTAAATGAAGTAACTCAGGAATGAAAAAACAAACATTTTAAGTTCTCACTGATATGTGGGAGTTAAGCTATGAGGACACAAAGGCATAAGAATGAAACAATGGACTCTGGGGACTCGAAGGGAAGGGCGGGATGCAGGTGAAGAATAAAAGACTACATATTGGGTACAGTGCACACTGCTCAGGTGATGGGTGCACCAAAATCTAAGAAATCACCACTGAAGAACTTACTCATGTAACCAAACACAACTTGTTCCCCCTAAACTACTGAAATTAAAAAAAAAATGTAACCCCCTTGTAAGCTGAGGAGCATCTGTGTAACCATGGATCATATTTGGCAATGACCATGATGTTAAGGGAACCTATTTTCAATGATCGAATATTTGACAGTGGTCAAATCTGACAGCCCTAAATCTTTCAGATTTGGGAGAAAAGTTTCCATTCTATACCATTTCTCTCGCTGTAATAAGAAATGGGAAGATGGACATGAAGGGAATCAGGATACACCACCCTAAATGATGCCACTTTGGCATCAGGAATCTTTTGAGCTGAAGGCAACTGAGAATCAACAAACGCAGGAAGAAGAGTTCTCTACACTCCCTTTTCTGTCTAAAAGCAGACATACATTTCCCTTTGAGATGGTGTCACCCACTTCAGTACCAGGAAGAAGAGAGAGACTCCTATCACCAGAGACAGTCGGCACCAAGATGAATCTTGATAGATAATAATGTTTTGTGATGCTAATTGTCTCAAAATGAAGTCACTGATGACAAGTGACAGTGAAACTGTTGACCCCTCAAAGTGATAAACATATGCATAATGGTCTGAGGTGATAATACCTGCTGTGGCTAGGCACCCTAAGACCTGACGAGAAATTGAAGTCACATGGCAGCTGAGATAGTAAGTGTGCACACTCCGTGGAGGGCCATAAAAACAGCAAAGCAACTGACCATGGAGAAGCATCTGTAGAACTTCTGTCTGTGGTAACTTTGAGGCCGCCTCTGGATACCAGCCGTGGCGGCCAGAAGTTCTGCCCAAAAAGAGCAGTTAATCCCCTGCTGGTCAGCATTTTTAGAAAATTCTGGCCCTCTCTAGTTTGTCTGTGGGTGTGTGGGTCTCCCTGGCTACTCGCTGTGGTTTGTCCCCTTCTCTCTCATCACTGCCTATGCGCTGAATATACTTACATGATTGCTGGTGTGTGAAAGCCTCACAATAAATCGTGAATTTGAAAACATTTAATTGGTCACTGATTCATTGTGAAACCTCTTGGGCCCTGTTGGAGTTAACATAACTAGGCTGATTCAAACCTGACACAATATTCTTCATAAACAAATCTTACCAAAATAACCCTTATCTTTCATTAATTTCTCCCATATATTTCCTGGTTGCTTTCCCACAATTCGTCATCACTCAAAGCCCAAATCCCCTTTCCTTTGTTAAAATGGCATATAAGCCCCTGAGTCTAACTGCTTCCTGAGTTTTATTTTTTTCTGTGAATTCCCATTGCATGTAAAATGTTAATAAAATTGTATGCTTTTGTCTTTTGTCATTTAAGTTTGCAGGCCCGTCACTGAACCTAACAGGAGAAAGGAAAACCTTTATTTCTCCCACAGACAAAACAAAAAACAAAGTGATAAAAGTTTAAGAGAGGCTGGGGGCAATGGCTCAGGCCTGTAATCCCAGCACTTTGGGGGGCTGAGGCGGGAGGATCACCTGAGGTCAGGAGTTTGAGACCAGCCTGACCAACATGGCAAAACCCCATCTCTATTAAAAATATAAAAATTAGCCGGGCGTGGCGGTATGCACCCGTAGTCCCAGCTACTCAGGAGGCTGAGGCAGAAGAATTGCTTGAACCCAGAGGTGGAGGCTGCAGTGAGCCGAGATCACACCACTGCACTCCAGCCTGGGCGACAGAGCAAGACGTCACCTCAAAAACACAAAACAAAACAAAAACAAAAAAGTTTAAGAAAAACCTTTTAACCGTGTGCTATTCCAGACACTGGAAATAGGAATCAAAGAGGTAGGCCACATGTTTTCACCTGTGTCCTTAAATATTTCAGACCAGTAGCCAGTAGAGGAAAAGGCCAATATTTCAGGAACAATCCTGCAAGTTGAAACTGCCTTTGCAAAATTATGACAGTAAGAGAAATCTGACATGGCTTCTAACCTCACAGGCTGGCTGTCTTCACTCATTCCCCAGTGCAGAAAGTAGAAAAGTTCCTCTTCAAAGCTCATCTTGGTTTAAAAATAAAATAGTAGACACTAGGAATAATAGCTCCTTACTCTAAAGCCTCCTATCAACTATTAGTTCTTACACTTTAGCCCAGGCATGTCTGGACAGGCCCAGCCTAGTCTTTGCTCATAGGTTATGCCCCTTCCTTATTTGGAAATGTTATTGCTTCCTTAAACCTTTCATAAGCAACTTCCTTTCCTTCTTTGTTCTTCCCTGCACTTACCTATTTAGGAAAGTTTTAGGCTATTAGCAAATCAGGTATCAGTTTAAGATTGTGAGGTTCAGCTCCAGCCAATGGATGCAGGACACAGCGGTAAGGATGACCCAAATGCATAAGGGACAAATATATCTGCTTTTCATTTGTTCAGGTGTGCTCTCGCCATTGTTCCATCTGCGAGGGGCACCCTTTCTGCAGAAAGTAAAGAGTGCCTTGCTGAGAGATCTTTTGTCTCGGTGCTGACTTTTCTTCATGGGACCGATTATCTATTTCTAACTATTTTGGTATTTCTAACACCCGGCGTGGGCCGGGCTAACTTTGGGAGAAATTTAGTTTATTGTTTAAATAATAGCCCTTCTCAAAAATTAAACTGCTCTTGTAAAACTAATGAAAATCCACCAAGTTAGAAGGAAGAGAGGGGCCTGAATTCTACTGAAAGGTTAGGTATCATTAAATAATCACCAGCCATTATTCCAGAGATCACAAGATTTGCAGTTTCCCTAATTATTCCTGCTAATAATGCCACTATTGTAGAAACTAAGATTGGCCTTTTGAGATGTCTTTCTAGGTTTTCACATTTCTGACAACTGGATAACCTCACTGGGACTAACCAACTGGTCCTGTGACCCTCACCCAGGAACCAACTCAGCCCAAGAAGACGGCTTCGACTCCCTGTGATTTCATCTCAGATCCAACAGCACTCCCCACTCCCTGGCCCCCTACCTGCCAAATTATCCTTGAAAACCCCTAGTCTTCAAATTTTCAAGGAGACTGATTTGAGTGATAAAAAAACTCCGGTCTCCCGTTCAGCTGGCCCTGCGTGAATTAAACTCTTTCTCTATTGCAATTTCCTTGTCTTGATAAATTGGCTCTATCTAGGCAGTGAGCAAAATGAACCTACTGGACAGTTACAAAGTCATCCCAAATCTTCAGAATTTACTAAATACAGTTGATCCTTGAACAACACAGGCTTGAACCACACAGATCCACTTATGTGTGCATTTTTTTCAACCAAATACAGATCAAAAATACAGTATTCACAGAATGTAAAACCCATGGATATGGAGGCCCAACTTCTTGTATTCACAGGTTCTGCAGGGCTGACTGGGGAACTTGAGTATGTGAGAATTTTGGTGTACACGGGGTTCCTGGAACCAATCCCCTCTGTATACTGAGGAATGACTGTATATGTAACCTCGCCATGGAAAAGTTATTCTACACCATAATATAAAAATGATGTATTCCAGAAAGTCTGGTAACATACCTCTCAATCTGAAGACATATAAATCAGAACTGGAACTCAAAAATTAGAAGAAAACAAGAGAGAGACAGACACGCAGACAGACATGCAAGCCCTTGACCTAGGCACTTTCTCAAGAAAAGTAAGGAAAAAGAGAATGAGAAAAAGAGACCAGATTTTTACATGGTATTAAAAAGTTTGATACTCTGAGACCCTTAAATCCATACCTTCAATATAGGAAAGTACTAGATTAAGCAAGAATACATTTAAAAAATGTTTGATGAAACATCAGGGGTTCTTGAGAGGTGTGATTGACAGCAAATTTAATTGCAATTTCTACTCTGCTGCTTTGGTCTGATGGTGACTCCTGTGTTAACAGTAATAGAGTGAAACTTGCTTTGCTTAGCAAGGGCCCCCTATTCACAGCAACTGCCAAAGTGATGACCTTTGCTATAGCGACAGCTTTCTTAGTTACAAAAAGAACAACCACCCGAGAGCTTATTCGTACATATTTTTTGGCTGTGCAAGGAGACCTTAGCAGCCTACTGCCACCTCGTAATCTCAAAATACACACTTGTGAATGAATGCATTTCCAGGCCCCACAGGCAAATGCTTTTGAATAGGCTTGGGAGGTTGCTATTTAAATAAATGTTTGCTTCATCTTGGCCATTATGATTCTGCATCTGCCACTTAGTGACTCCATTAATAGCTCCCAAGTTCTTTAGACTCATTGAGCCTAAATTTCCTCATCTATAAATCGGGGGGTGCTTCCACCTTCCTTACAAAATGGTTTCAAGGATTGAAAGGGCTTATGGGAAGGTGCATTAGTCCTCACAATAAAGTTGCTGTTGTTATGATTTGGGAGTGCTCCTAGGGACAGGACCTGGGATTTCTTCCTAGTTTCCCTGGTGTAATGAAAAAATCATACCATTCAAAGTGATATAAAAAGAAACATCTCAAAGCACTTGAGATCTTTGAAGGAAGTTTTAGGTTCTGAGCAACAAACCAGGACATATATACAAAGTCACTGTGATTTGCAGTCACAGGAGACTAAAATAAGCTTGACCAAGGAGACTTTTTATGGAAATGAAAGGTTCCTTCCCATCCCACAAAGGGCCACTCTATGCTCTGATTTTTCCAGGGTTGTCATCTTGGTGCGTGTCACTGTCTAAATAAGCCATCACTTTTTAGAAGCAAGAAGGCAACAGCTCCCTCCTGGACCATGAGAGATACCTTTCGTGGTACGTCTGCTTGAAATCAAAATAGGAAAAGACAAAGATCTTAAAGATGTGTTTGACTGTTTATTCAAGGAGTTTTCACCGGGAAAATGTACCTCTGTGACCTCAAAGAATCCCATCTTATAAGAAAATTAACCCGAGATAATTTAATTGCCCCTTTGTCTGCTTTGCAGGAACTGCTTGTTTAGCAAAAGAAAAATATTTAAAGGGTCATTGGAGATCTTTTGGTGATCTCTCACTGCAGTGCAAAGGGGCGCTCTGTGTACACTTCTGCCTGAAGTCACAAGAAGAAATTTTCATTTCAATATCCCACGAGAAGCTATTAGTGCAATCACTGTTGTCTCAATTTCTTCACAGCTTCTTTAACGGATGATTTGCCATCGGAAATTCGTTGTTTTAAAAAGGATTCTGAGTTCCAAAAGAAAGCCTCAACAACTACATTTCTAGAACTACAAATGTAAAAGTTCTCATCTGTCCTTTAACGCGAAGACCCAAAAAGCAAAAAAAAAAAAAAAATATACACACACACACACCCACACACACACACACACACACGTGCATATATATTGATTGCTACAGGAAAGAAGACTGGCTTAGCAGGTAAAAATTCCTAGCTCAATTTCTGGTTCTCTACCACTCCTAAGCAGAGAGCTTTGAACAAGACACTTAATCTTTAGACTTCCAAAATGGGCTGGACTGAATGTTGACTACGGTTTTTCCCAGCTCAAACAGTCTAAGAATCGAATATAGAACAAAAAGCCTGAACTACAGCACCGAACTACAAGCTAGAGGGGTCTGGAATCTAAGCCTCCTCCATTAACCTGCTATGTGTCCTTGGATAAGTCACAGGAAAAATTAAAAATATCCAGTATTCATTGAGCACTCTCCAACTAACAGACAATGAGCATCACAAACACCGCCACATCAGTGCCTCATAAGAGCTTTACAAACACATCTCAATATCATGTCCACTATGAACAGGAGGAAATTGAGTCTTGAAAGGTGACACAGTTTGCCCAGTCAGCAAGTGGAAAGGTTAAACTTGAATCCATGCAATTAAATGCCAGAATCTAAGTTCTTTTTATTTATTGCTAACTGTGATGCTGCCCTGTGCCTTTATGAAAGACATACCTCCCAGTGTGACCTCAGAAGAATGCTGGGAGATTACATGCAGGCATGCATATATGCATGGTCTCTGAAAAATACAAAGTGTTTCAAAGACTAAGAATGTGGTATTGTTTTCTATCTATACTTGAGAAGAACCATCAATACATTTAGAGCAGCGGCTCTTAAATGTGGTCCATGGAACACCAAGGATCTATAGAATGGCTGTAGGTCTGTGACTCCATGAAATTGAATGCAAATTTTTTTGCAGGCATGTTCTACAGCAAAGGCCCATGGCTTTCAACAGATCCTCAAAGGTATCACTGATTCACAAGAGAATAAGAACCACTGGTCCAGAGAAACGGAACTGAATCAAGGAGAAAATCCAACAAGGGGCGATCATTGCAATCTTTCCTTCTGAAACAAACAGGAGAAGAGCCCAGTAAGCTCAGATCACAGAAATTCAACCTTCTGGGTCAAGAAACGAAAGTCACAGCTTCAAGGCCAGTGGGCAATAATACGCACATTGTGGTGTCTTCTCCTTTTCCTATACATACATCTCGTGACCTCTGGTCACATCTGTTAACTCCACCTGTTAACTCGGCAGCTGGTTCTTGTTCCAGTGCCTTCCGCTTATACAAGGTATCTTTGCTTTGCAGCTGGAGAGGTAAATACTTCCCCTGCTGTTCTGCCTTTGGTATAAATATTTAGCATAACACAGGAGACCCCATCTCAGGGTGTGTGCCTCGATCCCCTTCCTGCTGGTGACGCAGTTTAGAAAGTAATTGTGCCTCTCCCTTTCCATACTTGCCCATGTAAACCAAAGCTTTCTGCTTCTGGCTAAACGGAAAGTTTCAAGACAACCAGCCCCTAAAAAATTTAATGCTGCATTTTCCTCCCCATGCTGAACTATGAAGAGGACACCTTACCACCTACCCTAAAACCAATCACATGCTTAAATAAACTAACAGTAAATAAAAATGTAAAATATGTTTAAGGGACAAGAGTCTTCTTTTTTCCAACTCCTAGAGCTATTTCCCCACTTGTTTACCCATTAATAAGTCAGAATTCCCTCCCTAATTTTGGACTATATGTTTCTCTCCTTAGCACTGATTACCATTTAACAACCTATATATTTTAATTACTTTGTATGTTGTCTGTTCGTAGCATCTCTAGTACAATAACTATATTATTGGTCCAAACCCAGACACCTTGGGGAGTGAAAGGGGGCACTAATAGAAATGATCCCAAGACAAGAGGTGTCAATGGAAATGGTCCTGGGTAAGATGAAGGGACGGTCACTTTTGCTACAATGCAAGTTCCAAGCTCAGGGATCTGGGTCTGCCTTTTTTCACCCCGTGCCCCTCCTGTCCAGATACTTACGGACACACCCATGGGTGCTCCCTGAGTCATGGTAGTTACCAGCGTGAGCTCTGAGTGGACTGCAGAGGGTCAAAGCTCTGGCTCCATCACCAGTTCGTTATGTTACTTCCTTGGGTAGTTTCCTTGAGCTCTATATGCTTTAATTTTCTCCTTTATCAGATGGCAATAACAAGAATAGTATCTACCGCACACGGCTATGTGAGAGTTAAATGAGGTCATCTACAGCAAAATGTCCAGCACAGCAGCCGGCACTTGGTAAGAGTGAGCACTCAATGACACCGGCTGCGATTGCTATGATCTGTCCTCCTGCGACTGTTTTAAGAAGGCATGTAAGGCAGATGGCTATGACACTGTCTACCCCGCACCCCTCTACATGGTGGTGGGAGGAGCTGCCTTTCATCAGTGGCATGCCTGATCATGCCCATCTGACCCTGAAACAGGCCATTGGCCTGAGCCTGGAACTTGGGAGCAGCCTTCTTCCAGCGGCCAAAGGTGTAGGGGCTCCATCCCAGCTGCAGTTGGCAGTCACGCTTCCGCTTCTGAGGAGGAAGCAGGCGCAGAAAAGGAGATGAGAGCTGAGGAGAGGCCTGGGCTCCTGGGCCCTGCTGTGGCTATTCCTGGGGCCCAGCTGCACTTCTGTCTCCCACGAGGGCTGCTCAACCAACTCTTCCCATAATCTATGAGCTGGAACCTGTCTTTGGAGCAAGCTACTTTGAGTGGCAACTGCAACCAAAAGGGTCCCAACAAGGGCAGTGTGTCCTGTTGACAGCCAAGAGCTGTGCTGGACAGAATCAACCTGCTAACATACAATTGTTTAAAAAAGAGATGACAAGGAGGAGCAGCAGGCGAGAAACATTGATGGATGCTCACCTTGTGCCAGGCACTGCACATTGATGGATGCTCACCTTACGCCAGGCACCATACTGAGGCCTCTACTTGCATTGTCTCATTTGATCCTGACAGCTACACTATGCAGTGGGTACATATTTATCCCCATTTTATGGATGAGAACATTGAGACTCAAGACACTCAAAGGAGCCTTCCCAAAGCCTCACAATTAGTTTAGTGGACATCACTGCTAACTCCTAACAGCTCTTCCATCCCAAGTGATGAATCAAAGTCGATGAGTGTATAGCAGCCCCCTGGTGCGTGCTATTAGACCAGGAATGGGAGCAAGTCCTACACTGGCCCAGCCAGACTGGAAAGGAGGACTTATTTTCCATGGCTGCATTTTCTGCTTCTCTTGAGGGGAACCAGACACAGAAGGAAGCTGATACTAAATGTAAGAGGAAGCTGATGTGCTTAAGTCGGCAAAGTGGTAGAGTTGTCAGGTAAACTACAGAATGTCCAGTTACATTTGAATTTTAGATTAATAATGAATAATAATTTAATATAAGCCTATCCCCAAAATCACATGGCACACACTTTTGTACTTAAAAAACAATACAATTTTCTACATTCCTATCTGAAATTCAAATGTACCGGGTGCCCTGTATTTTTACTTGCTAAATTTGGCACAGTGGAGAGAATGAGTACATGACAACTTCATGAAGCCATAAACCATCAAGTACTTAAAGCCCACATTACCTCTGAACTTCTCGCTATGTAAGGTAATTAATTCGTTTATTGTTCAAGCAGTTTAGAATTTGTCACTTGCACCCTGAAGCATCCTATCTCGTGCAGCAATCACTGGTTCCAACCCAGGCAGGGAGGCTGCAGAGCCCAAGCTTCCACCACTACACTCAGTCCTAAAGGGACAGAAACTTAATGCCGTATGAAAAGCTACAAAGCCAATGTTTAGGACGTTGAACTTATATTTTTAGAGCTGTAAGAATGCAGCTTAACAGACTTACTGGGATTGATCAGATTCTCTTCAGTTGATATAAATTTTTTATTATAAAGTTGTGGAATGTGAATTCCCCTAAAACTATAAAACTCCTTCATGAATACTAACTAACTCTAAAATAGCAGCAAAGGTGCTGCTTATAACCTCCAAAACCTCAAAACCCAAAACACCTGGCAATTCAAGATTAAGAACTCCAATTTTTAAACATTAAAGATAAATTTCCCCATCCTGGCTAACACGGTGAAACCCCATCTCTACTAAAAATACAAAAAATTAGCCGGGCATGGTGGCGGGTGCCTGTAGTCCCAGCAACTCGGGGGGCTAAGGCAGGAGAATGTCATGAACCCAGGAGGCACAGCTTGCAGTGAGCTGAGATAGCGCCACCGCACTCCAGCCTGAGGGACAGAGTGAGACTCCCTCAAAAAAAAAAAAAAAAAAGATAAATTTCTACATTTTGTTTAGAAAAAAAGTCAATGAGCATCACAGAAAAATGTGACTTTAGATCAAACCTGGAGCATTATAAAATAATCCTGTAAGAAAGGAAGGGAGCGTATAAGTAAGCGTGCTGAATGAATGAATGAATGAATGGGTAACCATAGGACTGAGTTGGTCTCTGAGGATAAATGTGTGTGTGTTGGGCAAACTGTTCACCAGCATAAAAAAGTCTCAAGGCAATGACCCCATGGAATCAAGGAATTTACATGTGGTGCTGGTACAGCATCAATGAGCACAAGCAGGATGCTGGGTTAGCCACGACAGCTGGGAAGAGAGCAAATCATTCCTGGGTTGCTATCTGCATCCACCCATTTCAAAGTCCTGCTCAGGCACAGAGGCTTCCCTATAACGGGAAACACACAGCATTAACATCACCATCATCTGGACTCCCTTCAAGTCCATAAAAAGCCGTCATTTAGGGCATGTCAGTACAGAACAACTATAAAGTTAAGGAAAGTTCTAACAAAGTTATATATGAAAATAGCTTGCTCTCTCATTCTCTCTCTCTCTCTCTCATAAATACATGTATAAGAGAGAGTGACTCAGTGGTTCCAACCCAGGCAGAAAGGCTGCAGAGCCCAAGCTCCCACCACCACACTCTCAATCCTAAAGGGACAGAAACTTAATGCCATTTTAAATGCTACAAAGCCAATGTTTATGTCATTGAACTTGTATTTTTAGAGCTGTAAGAATGCAGCTTAACAGACTTACTGGAATTCATCAGATTCTCCTTAGTCAATGTAAATTTTTTTTATTATAAAGCCACAGAACATATCTATCTATGAGAGAGAGAGACACCAAGTTAATCTATAAATTTAACAAAACCCCTATCAAAATACCAATAGGATTTGTGTGAGAAGGATCGGAGAAGAACTTGATGAAATGTTTCTAGGTTTTATCTGAGAAAAGTAACATATAAGAAACCTCTGAAAAGGAAGAGCAAAGTGAAGAAGGTTAGCCCAAAAAGATATTAGAAGTATTATAAAGCAAAACAATAAGAATAATGTGGTAGAGCCACAGGACTTTTCAGGGAGCTCAAAGGAACAGAACAGAGAGTTAAGAAGCAGATCCACATATATATAAGGATTTGATGATAAAAATGTGCATGTAAAACCATTGGTTTGGTCAATAAACAGTGTTGGCCACCGTGCAGGAGAAAAGAAAGTAAAGGCATGTGAATTTTAATGGAAGATGGCTTTTAAGAGTGTGAAGTGGCAGAACCTAAACAGAACAGTATGCACCCACAGAATGGCATGCAGCCACCAAATATTATGTACCTACCAAATGGTATACACCCACTAAACATTATGTACCCACGGAATGGCATTTACCCGCCAAATGGTATCTATCACCCCCTGAATATTATGCACCCACAGAATGGTATGCACCCACCAAATGGTATGCACCCACAGAAGAGCATGCACCCATAGAATGACATGCACCCACTGAATGGTATGCACCTGCAGAATGGTATGTACCCACTGAACAGTATGCACCCAGAAAACAGTATGACCCACTGAATGGTATGCACCCACAGAATGGTATGAACCCACTGAACAGTATGCACCCACTAAATGGTATGTACCCACAAAACAGCATGCACCCGCCAAATGGTAAGCACCCACAGAACAGCAGGCACCCACAGAATGGTATGCACCCACAGAATGGTATGCACCCACAGAACAGTATGCACTCACCAAATGGTATGCACCCATAGAAGACTATACAGCCACAGAATGATAGGCACCTACCAAGTGGTATGTGTCCATTGAATGGTATGCACCCACTGAACAGTATGTAACCACTGAACAGTATGCACCCATAGAACAGTATGACCCACTGAATGGTATGCACCCGCAGAATGGTATGCACCCACTGAACAGTATGCACCCACCAAGTGGTATGCACCCACCAAATGGTATGCACCCACCAAATGGTGTGCACCCACAGAACAGCAGGCACCCACAGAATGGTATGCACCCAACAAATGGTATGCACCCACTGAATGGTATGCATCCACAGAATGGTATGTACCCACAGAACAGTATGCACCCACAGAATGGTATGCACCCACAGAACAGTATGCACCCACCAAATGGTATGTACCCATAGGAGAGTATACAGCCACAGAATGATATGCACCTACCAAGTGGTATGTGTCCACTGAATGGTATGCACCCACTAAACAGTATATATCCACTGAACAGTATGCACCCACAGAACAGTATGCACCCAACAAATGTTATATGCCCACAGCACGTGCCCACTGAACAGTAGGTAGCTCAAGTCCTGTAACCATGTGCCCTCAACTCTATCTCCCATCAGGATTCCCAACATGAAAGGGAATGCAGTCAACTGGTGTACCTCCCCCAACCAGACTTCACTGGGTTTCCTTCACTCCACTCCGAATTTCTCTTTGCAGTTGGAATCTCTACCTACTCCTCCCAATAACAGAAAGAATTCCAGGAAATTAAAGGAAGTTCTCTACATTTTGAGATTCCCTGATCCTCCCAATTGCTGCTAGGTATCAATAAAAAAATCTGAGATCAGAAATAAGTCTTACCTGTTTCCTTTTTTCAGGAGGAAGTGATGGATCTCCATCCTACAAAGAAACAAATGCTGCATTTTACTCTTTTAGAAAAATAGATGTACTTAGAAACAAGAAGTTGAACTAAATTATGAACCTAAATGTAGACTCTCCCCACCCTCCCCACCCTGCAGCCAGTAATGTGCTGAAGCAAGCTCAAATATACTTTAAAAAAATAACTACAAACTGAACCAGAGTTATTTTGGAAAAACCTCTAGGGAATCAGTTCCCATTAGGACCAAATCTATATATTTCCTAAAATTGTTTGAACACAAAAACTGGATTTGTCAAAATTCTTTTTGATCACAGCCTAAACTGAAATAATATTTCATTTGGTTTGAGTTCCTCTTTTAAATAGTTAGAACCAAAGGAACAGTGATGGGGACACACATACACATATAGAGAGAGAGGAAAAGAGAGAGAAAGAGAGAGACAGAGAAAGAGAGAGTTTTCTCTGTGGGCAGAACAATCAGTGTTGGGAGGGACAGTATTTGCTCAAAGTTAAGAAGACATTGAGAACTTCTAGTCCTATTAGATTTGTTTTTTTTTTTTTTTGTTTTGTTTTTTTTTGTTTTTTTGCCTTAAAAGGATTCTGGCCAGGCGTGGTGGCTCAGGCCTGTAATCTCAGCACTTTGGGAGGCCAAGGTGGGCAGGTCACTTGAGGCCAGGAGTTCAAGACCAGCTGGGCCAACATGCTGAAACATGTCTTTACTAAAAAAATACAAAAATTAGCCAGATGTGGCGGCGGGTGCCTGTAATCCCAGCTACTAGGGAGGCTGAGGCAGGAGAATTGCTTGTACCCAGGAGGCAGAGGTTGCAGCGAGCAGAGATTGCACCACTGCACTCCAGCCTGGGCAACAGAGTGAGACTCTGTCTCACACACACACACAAAAAAAGGATCCGATTCCTCTCCCTTTTGTGCCACATCAGGGAATACAAATATCTCAGGTGAATAAGTGAATGCTCATTAAATGAGCACTCTAATATCTGATGCTGTCCACATATAAGTCAACACGATTTTAACCTGAGGAATCTATTCTATTCTATTTCTACTCCAGGGCAGTTTAATAATGCCAGCACAGATAGTTAAATGTCAGTAATAGTGTCCCACTTAAAAAAGAGATCGCCTCAAAAGCAGCAAGAATGAAAACTAGCATTATGCAGTTGGCATTCTCCATTTCAGTATCATTTGCATCTTAAACGTTTTGCCATATAAAAACCTAGAGAAAATAAAAAAGCGCAGGATACGAGAAAGGTTACAAAAATTATGGATATGTCCACACCGTGTATTACCATGCAACTGTTTAAAAGACTGAGTTAAAGGCTGGGCACGGTGGCTCATGCCTGTAATCCCAGCACCTTGGGAGGGCGAGGCGGGCAGATCACGAGGTCAGGAGATTGAGACCATCCTGGCTAACAAGGTGAAACCCCATCTCTACTAAGGTGAAACCCCGTCTCTACTAAAAATACAAAAAATTAGCCGAGCATGGTGGCAGGCGCCTGTAGTCCCAGCTACTCGGGAGGCTGAGGCAGGAGAAGGGCATGAACCTGGGAGGCGGAGCTTGCAGTGAGCCAAGATCCCGCCACTGCACTCCAGCCTGGGCCACAGAGCGAGAATCCGTCTCAAAAAAAAAAAAAAGACTGAGTTAAATCTGTATGCCTAGAAATCTGGATGATTCAAATCTGGATGAGTTAGATCTGTAGGCCTAGAAAGATGTCCAAAATAAAGTGCTGAGGGAAAACAGCATGTTTTATTATTTTTAAAAATAAATTTGGAATTTATTTTATTTCTCCATGAATTTTTTTTTTTTTTTGAGAAGGGTTCTCTCTATGTTGCTCAGCTTGGTCTCAAACTCCTGGGCTCAAGCAATCCTCTCATCTCAACCTCTCAAAGTAATTGGGATTACAGGTGTGTCACTGCATTTGGCTTAATGTAACTCTCTGCAAGGATGGCAATGCTGTCTGTATACACTGTCCAATACAGTAGCCATCAGTCACATGAGCCCATGAAATGTGACATTGAGACTGAGCAATAGAGTCTCCTATTTTACTTAATTCTAATTAATTTAAAACTAAGTAGCCACCTGTAGCTAGTGGCCTCTGTATTACTGTAGACTTATGAATCCTCTTTTTAAAGAACTCTATATAATTAAATTAACAAGTAAACAGTCACACATACAGTAGTCCCCACCTGTCCTCAGTTTCAGGTACCTGAGATCAACCATGGTCCAAACATGTTAAATAGAAAATTTCAACAATAAATAATTTATAAATTTTGAATTGCATGCTGTTCTGAGTCGTGTGATGAAATCTTGCACCATTCCCCTCCATCCCACCTGGGATGTGAATCACCCCTTCATCCAGGGTATCCACGATGCCTACGTGGTGCACTCGCTAGTCACTTAGGAGCTGGTTTGGCTATGAGATCAAAAAAACAACAGTATATGTAGGGTTTCCTACTATCTGTGGTTTCAGGCATCCACTGGGGATCTTGAAACTTGTCTCCCTTGGATAAGCCAGGAGCCTACTGCAAACACACATGAATATGTTCACAGATGCCAGAGCAAGAAGCATATACATACACACGTACACACACACACACACACACACACACACACACACACACACACACACACAGAGAGAGAGAGAGAGATTAACTTGTGAGTGGGACTGGGTTGTTGAGGAAATAGAGGTGGTGACTTTTACTTCTAAATTTTTCCACTTTGAACTGTTTGCATTTAACCATTTCTAAAGAAACAGCATGTGAAAATCTCTTTATATCTTAATTCAGGGAACAGGAAAGTCGCTGAACAGGGCAGCCTAACACTTACAATCAGCTCTCGGTACTTCTTCTTCAGTGACTGGTGGCGCTCCCGGAGCTGATTGGCCATGAGTTTGTACTGGTCCCTTTCCTGTTGACAGGTGTCCAGCTCCTTGGAGAGGATCAGCAGGGCTTCCTTCTTACTCTCCAGCTTCCTCTTACACACCAGGTACTGCAAAGCAAACAAATCCAGGCAATGGGTCAAAAACATCCATGGGCCTCCATTAAACACACACCGTACTTCACACACCCTGTGGGGAATTTTTGCCATTCTCATTTTTAGAGCTCATGTGCCGAGAGAGACATTTTTCAGCAAATGACATGTACTTCAGGCTTCTACAGCGCTAACATGCAGTGCCCTCATGACAGAACCTAAACCTTGGACAAGTAAGTTAAAAAGCAGAACGTTTTAAAAAGTTGCATAAATGGGTAAACAGGTAGACAGCTGGACTCCAATTTTGTTTAAAAAGGATTTATATATCCAGATAAGATTATGTAAAATTTTATTAAGATATTTAATAAAAATTTTATTAAAATGTTACTAACGATAAACTCTTGGTAGTAAAATTATTTACCCAGGTTTCAAAATTTTTCTTGATGCTTTTCTGTGTTTTCTAAGTTTCCAGAGTAAACCTATATGGTTTTTTGTCTGTTTGTTTGTTTGTTTGTTTGTTTTTTGAGACGGAGTCTTGCTCTGTCATCCAGGCTGGAGTGCAGTGATGTGATCTCGGCTTACTGCAACCTCCACCTCCCGGGTTCAAGTAATTCTTTCACCTTAGCTTCCCAAGTAGCTGGGAATACAGACGCGTACCACCATGCCCGGCTAATTTTTGTATTTTTAGTAGAGATGGTCAGGCTCTGTTGGCCAGGCTGGTCTTGAATTCCTGACCTCAGGTGATCTGCCCACCTTGGCCTTACAAAGTAGTGGGATTACAGGTGTGAGCCACCATGCCTGGCCCATGTAGTTTTTATTGTAAAAAAAAAATGCCCAAAAAGTTATTAAAAATAATTGAACCATAAATTACCACAATAGATTGCACCTGCCCACCAAACCCAGCAGCTATTTTCTCACTTGCAAATTCATCCACTAACATGGCCCTGATGCGTTTAACTTTTCCTATGATTCAAATGCAGGCACTCCCCATCCAGAGACCAATCTTAGGAGCTAAGTATTTTAGCCACATTTTGAATTCTCCCAAACAAGTTGAGTACACCTGGTTGGAATTCTTGCCTCAGAGTTATGAGATTTCTTCATCCTTCCCTCTGCTCACTCTCCTGCACCACGAACCACCCTCACCTAAGTCTGACCCACCATACTGGCCAGCATGGGCCCGAACAGGACTCTTCACTTTTTACTGGATATATTGCACCGTCTAGTATTATTCACATATGTGAAATGTGGCACTAAATACCTTTGGAATTTGCCCTGTAAAAGACCAAATTCAGAGCATTCATGAAAACAATTTATAGTTTCATTATACACTCTGACATGAGTACTTTGTCATTATGGACGCTCACACAAAGCAGAGCGAGAATCAGCACTCCCATTCCACTGGAGTCAATGCTCTTTTATGGACAAAAAGCATTACTCATATATAGTGCTTGCTAGGAACTGACTTTGTTAAGTTCAATTTCAAATAAATGAAAGGGAGAAAAAGAGAGTTTTGTGCATTTGCACAATTTTTTTTCCTAAAAAAAAAAAAAAAAAAAAAAGAAAGTAATTGCTTAGCTTCAAAAACAAAGGGGAAAGAAAAGGCATTCTGAGACGGATTTGAGTTCTAAAAAAGGACACTTCCACCTTGGATGAATTTTATTCCTGGCAGTAATGAGGTTGGAATCCTGCCTTAAAATGTCCTGGATTTTGAGACGTTGACATCGTCTTCATGGAGGCAAAATGGTTCTGTTGCCACAGTGATTTCTCAAGAGTAAAATCCCCAATGAGTAAATATCAGAGGAGAGTGGCTCAGAAACCCAAACTGCAGTGTCCTCAGGGGCGTATTGAGATTTCACAGGAAAAATACCATTTACACACAATTTAACACATCTGCCCTTGTTCCTCCAGTTCTTTTCCCGTAATCAGCACCCTTGGTTGTCAGCACTGTGAGTATCGGTGACCCAAAGACAGTCACCTTTATCCCTTCAATTTATCAGATTCAAACCTGAGGCCCCAAAGACACTCGTGCCTTCCGACTTAGGGGACAAAAATCCTCATGCATGAAGACATTGGAAGCTGCAGTAGGTAAGCTCCGCGGGAACATCCCGCCTATTGAAGGGTAACAGGTAAGGGCCGCTGCTGACTGTCAAAGTGGAAATTCAAGTTCCTTGACCTTGAACAGCTCTCTGTTAGGGTCCAAGAGAAAAGCCATTTCACTCACAAGGCACGGTCCAAATAGGGCCATGAAAGCTGTGAAGGGCAGTAAAACGCCTCCCTTGCTTCTGGGTCTGAGATACCTGGTAGAAAACAGGCACAGAGGCCTCTGCTGAGACCCACTGGCCCGGGATTTGAAGAGCAGAAGCTCTGTAGGTCCCAATAATTTTACGCCATGTTATTTATTTTTATCAGCAGGACAAACCTTAGGCTGAAGCCTCATTTGTAAAGTAGCTCGAAGCAGAGCTCTGGCTGAAGGTGAGACATCTTCCCTGTAGTTCTGCCATACCCTGGCACAAGTCTTTGGCATCTATAAGGAACCCTAGAAAACACTGCTCTCTGCCAGGCACGGTGGCTCATGCCTGTAATCCCAGCACTTTGGGAGGCCGAGGTGGGCAGAACACCTGAGGTCTCAGGAGTTCAAGACTAGCCTGGACAAGATGGCAAAACCCCCTCTCTACTAAAAATACAAAATTAGCCAGGCATGGTGGCATGTGCCTGTAGTCCCAGCTACTGAGGAAGCTGAGGCAGGAGAATCACTTGAACCCGGGAGGCAGAGGCTGCAGTGAGCCGAGATCGCACCATTGCACACCAGCTGGGCAAAAAGAGCGAAACTCTTGTCTCAAAAAAAAAAAAAAAAAATTAGCTGGGCATGGTGGCAGGCGCCTGTAATCCCAGCTACTTGGGAGGCTGAGGCAGGATAATCGCTTGAACTCGGGAGGCGGAGGTTGCAGTGAGCCAAGATCATGCCACTGCACTGCAGCCTGGGTGACAGCATAAGACTCCATCTCAAAAAAAAAAAAAAGAAAGAAAAAGAAAAGAAAAAGAAAACACTGCTATCACCTGGGATGCTTGTTAAAATGCAGACTCCTGGGCTCCAGCCTAGGCCCACTAAATCAGAATCTCTGGTGCCTGGCTCAGGAATCTGCATTCTTAGCCCATGGTCCAGATGATTCTTATCCAGCCCATACTTTAAAAACTCAAGCTCTGGAAGCCTCAAGCTGCACAGTCTCAAAAGTTAGAACCAACTAAAATGGTCTGGAGGGACTGAGAGGCCACAGATAGCCCACAAGTTCAGAAGCAAGGAACAGTCTCAGAGCCATTCCGGTGAGTGTCTGTGCCATCTTTTGTAGCTTTTGGGATTCTAAACAAGTACAAACATGGACTACATTTTACTGCCTCTAGCCAAAAATCTTATACAGTCATGTAGTACATAACAACACTTTAGTCAATGGCAGACTGCATATATGATAGTGGTCCTACCATAGAAAGGTGGTGGTACCTTTTCTATGTTTAGATACGTTTAGATACACAAATATGTATCATTGTGTTACAATTGCCTTGTATTCAGTACAGTAACGTGCTGCATACATTTGTAGCCTAGGAGCAACAGGCTGTACCACATACGCTAGGCATGCAGTACGCTGTGCCATCTAGGTTTGTGTAAGTACACTCTATGATGTTCACACAATGACGAAATCGCCTAGCGGCACACTTCTCAGAAAGCAACCCCGTCATTAAGTGACACATGACTGTATATGCATGTCTCATCAAAACAACAATAGAAAACTCTAGGAAGTGGGGAGAAGGGAGTGTTGGAGAATGAGGTGAAATTTCTTGGCCTCATTCTAAAAAAGTAAAAGTGTATTCCCTGTAATGACAGCTGTTAAAATGTCCCATTTTTTATCCCTGTGATTGGAAACAAACAACAAAAAACTAGAGAGAAAAAGGTCATGAAGATCCTTCTTAGTGGGCAGCTTTGAATAACCAGCAAATATAAGGCTGGGGCATTAGAAGGAACCCAAATTAGAATGGAAAACCAGACAAGCTAAGTCACTGTGCTCAGGCTATTTAGGCTCCCAGAGGAAGATCAGTAACTATAGATAGCAGATCCAGCAATGGGCTCATCATGAACTGCAGGTACCTTGGGAAAGCCATAATACAAAAGGACCAAAAGAACGCACACTCCCCAGGACTCGTTTCCACACCTGGAAGATGAGGGGGTTCCCAGGGCACTCACCACCTTGAGGAACCCACGATTTCAACACCACTGTCGAATATCACTGGATGTAAAAAGTGCAGGAGAAAGCACGGGGTAAGGGCTCCAGTCCAGAAGGTACGACTCACTTTGAGCACCCAAAACTTGCTTTCTCTGCCTTGTCTAAGACAGAGCTGGCTCGATGATTTCCAAAGACTGTCTGTGGCCAGAGTATTTCCAGAATCTCTGGACAGTCACTTGGTGGGACAGGGTGCTGGGACTGAAGCTGCGTTTGTAGCAGCAATTTATCATAGAGTGAGAAAAGGCCAAACGTCTATTGGGTCAATATTCATGGCTCTTGCTAATATTTCTAGTTCTCCTTTCCTTCCAGGCATGTGGCAGGACGGTCCATCCCCATTGCTTTTGGGTAAAGCAGAAACATGGACCCTGCTTTGCCCGATAAAATGGGATTGGAAGGGATGTGAGTTGCTTCAGAAGGAAGGCACTTGAGAGGGGAGGTGAGAATTGCTGGGCTTTCTCCTTCCCTGCAGCAACAATGGTGGAAGCACAGGTTGCTATAGGGTTGCCACAGGATAACAGAGCTTGGAGGGGCAAGCACAGCAGACAACTGCCTGGAGAGCCATTCGGGTCCACAGAGAACTTTGTGTGATCCAGAAAAAAATTATTGGTGTGTCAAAGTACTGAGATTTGAGGGTTTGTTACTGAAGCATAACTCAACCCATCCTGACTCATATGGTCTGCATCAAAGAATGGGACTGTCTGGGGGGGAGAAAAGTTATACTTGCCCCTGGGCTGTGTGTCCACTGAGTCACCACACTGAGGACGAGGGTTCATGTGATCTCTATTAGTAGTGCTATTGATGACAAAAAGCAAGGTTTTGTAACACATGCTTTACCTGTATAATCTCCTTTAATCCTCAGGACAATGCAATGAAGTTACTGTGCTATCATCTGCATTTTATAAATGAGGAAGTGAGGCTTAAATGAAAGTGTTTGCATAATGTGCCAAGGGATTGCGAAGCCAGAATTGGAACCCAGCTCATTACAGAGCCAAGCCTGTGGAACCCCAGCTCCTGAAAAACTAAACATTCTGTGCCCCACCCCCAAAAATCAGAATATTCATGGAGTTGGTTACCACATCTAGTTGGTATTCCTAGTACAAGGAAACAAAAAAAGAGACAATTTGAATTTGGCTACTTTTCTGGACCTAGAACAAATAGTAATAAAGGTTTTATTGATTCAAACAACTTTTTCTAAAACTAGTGGGTCTGCCACTTATTTCCTCAGATGCAAAGCCTGAAGGAAGATGGAAAAAAAAAGTTTAAAAATCCACAAGCCTCACTACTCTCTCCTCTTTATGAGGGAGCCAAGTGGAAACAGTAAGGTTTCCATTCACTTCTAAGAAATGGGACAAACTAAAGGGCCTCAGAAAGGAACTAGAAGGTTCTTTTCTCAAAAGCAGTTTGATCGCAACAGGAGTTTTCTGTAAGCTATAGTTGGCCTCATTATTCAGTCAAATATTTTCTGGGTGCCTTCTATGTACTGGACACTGAGCTAAGTATTGGGACCCTCATGGGATAAATGATATCGTTGAATTTTGAAAAGGAAAGAAAGGCATGATACCTGGATAACAAAACGTTATTTCCTGCTATCTGGAATCCTGAAGGTTCTGAAAACTGAAAATGTGTTCCTATCTCGTCAGTGACCTAAGCTGATGAGAGGGTGTCTATGGCCTTTATCCATGGAGTGTGAATATTCATGTATTTGCTGAAGAAAAATCAGTGTGTTTGATCCCTGGCTGCTGCCTGAGACTCTGCCAGGGATGACATATAATATACAGTGTGTGTACTGCATTTCATTTCAGATTCCCAAAACTCCTGCATGAGAAACACATATGGGCTCCAAGGACTTTAGATATGGAATTTTTTATTGGAAACTCACCCTTACAAATCTCTACAGTCTCGATGATGAATGTGTGACTAAAATCAAACCTTTCTCCAACAGTAATTGCCCAAATAGCTAAGCATTCATTAGATTTCTACTTCCTCACATAGGCCAAGAAAAACTAAAAATGCATTAAATGCAGTAAATCTTCAAGCTTCCATATGCTTACGTGCCTGTCCCCCCAGCCTCCTAACTTCCTTATCCTTTAGAGTCAGCACTGAATGCTGGAGCTGGGATAAACCTCACGGATAACCCAAGTGACCTGCCCAGTTGCAAAGAACAAGGCTCCTGACTTCCAGCATATTCCATGACAGTGTTTTCCAAATTGTGGGTCATGATATATTAGTTGCAACCCTTGTTTTCTTTTCTTTTTTTTTTTTTTAAAGGTACAGAACAGAGCAGAAAATATCAGGGTGTATCCCCTGCAGTAAGGGTAATTATTGTTTCCTGAAGCTTTTCTATTTGAAAAGTCTATAGGAATAAACACACACATATGCCTATTTGCACATACTTCTTACAAGCCGCCATTTTAAAAGTCTGAAAACTACTGTTCTCTAATAAGCCACTCTGGACACTTACCCATTCATTCAACAAATACTTGGTGAAAGGAACGAAGAGAGGCACAGGTGGGTGGGGGTGGGGCAGGGAGGAAAGCTTGAGAGATTATGTTTGATGTGAATTTTGAGAGTGAGTAGGTGTAAAAGGCATCTGAATAGAGACCATTATGTCTTGGAAATCATTCACTTGTTCTCTGGAATTGAGTCACAGCTCTGAGGATTTAATCCCTGCTCTGCCCACCGCCTGCTGCCCCCTACATTGAGGTTATTGTGAGCCTGAAAGGAAATGTGCTATGTTAAAGGCTTTATAAACTTAAAAAAGATTGAACACATGATTTTTACAGCATTTAAAGCATCCAGAACACTTTTGCAGACACGTTCCCATTTGACAGTCAACACTCTGACAGGTGGGACAAGAACCGCTTTCCCCATTTTATGGGCAAAATAGCTGAGATTCAGAGAGGTTAGTGTCTTTCCTAGAGACACGTAACTAACAACTGTCAGCTCAAACCAGAACTTTCCATTACACATTCCAGGTTCTTTTTACTATTCTACATTGGCACCAAATTAGTTATAAGTGGTTCAACACATTACCTGTGTTGAGCAAAACCGTATTTTCAACAAGACACTCCTAGAGGTAACCGCATAGCTCAGAGAATACATTGTAACTCATTTCCAGGTCCTGTTTGGGAGACAGGCAGCTCTCCTGGGGCCCTAAGTTGAATTCCACAGGGAATGCTTAGGTCTAAGAGGCCACCTATAGATTGACAGTGTCAACAACAAACGGCATGTACAACGGTGGTCCCGTAAGATTATGTGGCCATATTTTCACTGCACCTTTTCTATATTTAGATATGTTTAAATACACAAACATTTACCACTGTGTTACAATTGCCTAGAGTATTCAGTACAGGCATATGCTGTACAGGTTTGTAGCCCAGAAGTAACAAGCCATACCATGTAGCCTCGGGATGCAGCGGACTATACCATGTAGGTTTGTGTCAGTACACTCTAGTACAGTCGCACAATGATGAAATTGCATAACAAAGCATTTCTCAGGACATATCCCTGTCATTAAGCAATGCATGGGTATAGCTAATAGATGGTAATAAGTAGCTGATTATCATTCACTAATAGTGGCTAACTACAGTACACTAAACACTTTAAAAGAGACACAAAACTCCCAGAAAAGAAAGAAAAGCAGTTTAGACTAATGGTTGGGAACACGGCAGGAGGAGCTGAAAATGCCTGAATTCAAATCTTGGCTTTGTCACTCACTAGCGACATGATCAATTACCTAGCCTCTCTGTGCCTCAGTTTCTCCATTTTTAAATGAAGATATTTACAGCATCTTCGGAGGGTTGGTATGAGAATTAAGAGTTAGTATATGTAAAACATTTAAAACAGTGTGTTGTATGCATGTTAATGATCATTACTACTATTGTTATCATGGAGGAGAGAGTGACACAGCTTAGCAAAGAAGGTGCTCAAGGAGTTGGAGGACAATGTGGTATTTGAAATCGATCGGGAGGGAGGGGTAGAGGGATACATCTTGGTTGGGGATAGACGGAGCTGTGACAAGTGGCAGTGACAGGGAAAATGTTACTCCTGGCTGGGAAACAGCCATAGCAAAGCACAAAGGTGAGAGGCCAGAAGATGTGTGTTCAGAACAGTGAGCGACGCCCTGGGCTGGCTGTGGTGGAGGGTGGGAGTACAAGCTGTGCCCAGATAAAGCCAGAAAGACAGACGGGTGGCCAGGTCAGAAAGGGCCCGGATGTGGTGCTGAGGAGTTCAGATTGTATTCTTCCAGCAGTCAGGAGCTCCGAGGGGCTTTGAATGGGGGAGTGTCATTAAGAATCATCTTAGAAAGAAACTTTCATCCTGACATCCTGTGGTGTAAATTATATTGGACAGTACAGTGTGGGTGGAATTTGCTGCCAAGCTTGAGAAGAGAAGAGAAAGTGATTGTGGTTCAGGATCCACTCTGCAGACACACCTTTGGATCCTGCAGTTTGATCTGAGCTGTCAGGCCTACAGAGAACACACTGGCTTTGCTGTTTCTTAACGCAGTCTGTGATCACGGTGTCTAATGCAGTATTGTTAGACAGGGTGCTACCCAGGCAACCAGACTCATGCGTGGTTTCAGCCTCCGCCGTGACGGCTGGTGCCGGAATCACATCAGTGGGCGAGTGGGTCACATGGCTGCCCAAACACACTCCAAAGGGCCAAGTTGAGCAAGGAAAAACAGGGAAATATCCCACTTTCTGGTCACTAGGAGGGGCCAAGAGACAAACACTTTATCCTCCTAATGCCTCCACTTTTGCTCTTCAGTCAAGACAAAATTCTGCTGGTCAAGTTCATGTGTAGAGTAGGGACTGCTGACATTCTCTCTCCTTCCCAGCTCAGGAAGGTTTCAGTTTGTTTTCAGAAGAGGGGACAGAGAAATGAAATTAGTATTTTTTTGAATATCTACTATGTGCCATGCATTCTTAGGAATAATAAGAAGACCTTCATTTGATTATAACAGTAACAGTAGCAGCCACTATCTAGTGAGCATTACTATTTTCCAAACTGCTAAATGTTCTACTTGAAACATCATATTTAATCTATATGGCCACTATGAAATAGGTTGTAAGATTAGTCCCATTTTACAGAGAAGGACATAGAACCTCAAAGAGGTAAATTTATCCTTCATCACAAAGGTAGTAAGTGGCAGAGCCAGACTGTTACCTGGGTATATCAATTAGGATTCTTTGGTGTAAGCAATAGTAACTGACATTCTAACAAAGGAATATATTGGAAGGATACTGGCCCTTATAGACTTGGCAAGAGAATGCAGAGCTAGACTCAGACACAGGTGGGCAGCAAGGCAAATCTGGGCAATGGAGATAGGAACCAGGAACCACCAACCACCAGGTCTTGTTGCAGGAAAGGTTGTCAGAGGCTGACAAATGGGATGAACTGGACTCTGTGACATTTCAGTCTGGACTCTGTTACATTTCAGTCTCTTTGCCTCTCTGTTCAAGGAGTCTCCAACAGCCTAAAGCAGATCATGAGGAGTCTTTGCCTGGGCATCTGTCCACAGTTATTAATGTACACAGACTGTATCCAGTGGTAATACCCTCCACTTGGAAGTGCTATTGAGAAAAAGAAATGAATGCTGGGAAGTGAGAAAACAACAAATGTGCATTGCACCAACCTGGGGAGGATCCATGCTACTGAGTTTATTTCTCAACCTTGCTAAAGCTCCCCTTCTTGTGTTTTTTGAATAAAGATTGAAAAATAAATGGTGATCATTCAATAATAATCCTTTTACTTTAACCTCTAAGTCTCTATTAATCATACACAGAAACACAGGAGTGCATAGGAGCTCCAGGAACACTCAGGGCGAGGCTCACGTGGCTGCCCTTGGTACACACCTACCAGCTGAAGAAAGGAAGACAGCTGGTGTATACTAACACCAAATACACTAGGTAATCAGTGACACACGAATGGAATAAGCTCAGTAAAATATGCCTAGTTTTGGGTGTGAATACTAGATATCATAAAATATTTTTATTATTCTCTCAAAAATATATTTCTCTGCAATTGCATTTCAATTACATTTTTAAAGCAGAGCTTACAACTCATTTGTCGATGTTAATTCATGCCCACACACAAACACCATGAGGGTAGTTTGTGCTCATCATGTGCTCATCATCCTAAAAGCCCAAACCATTGGCCATTGAGGGGCTTTTATCTGCCCTAAAGCAAATCATAATTGCTACAACAAAGATCAAAAGATCATAATAATTAAATGGCTATCTGACATACTACATTACTATTTGGGTGGCTTTATAGCCAGATAGCTGCTGCTGAGAGATGAAGGTAGCTGGGGTGTAGTGGGGGTGGGGTGGGGGGCGGGGATGGGGTGCAGTCACTTCTTGCCAAAGACTCCTGGTCCTTCGCGATTTTTACTAATGGGATCAGTCTAGCTCTCATTAGCCACCGCAAGGGCATGCCTGCTAATCCAGACAGAGTTCTCAGCAGATGATAAACAGACATGGCCAAAGAGTTCATGTTCAGGAATAATTTAGAAACTTCTCAGCTGCAGACTCATTCTTTCTGTAGAGGTACCTCCTCCCCTGATCACCACCTACTCACTCATAACTGCCCTTGCCTTCCCCTCTTCTCCATCCCCCATCCAGCAATACCTCACTTCCCACCCAACAAATGGCTCCAGGTGAACAGCATTCAACAATCAACCTCCCTTCCCCGCCTCCAACAAGCCACCCCTCCATGCCTGGAACCTCTGTTTTGCTCTGCCCTGTGATCTCTGGCAGGGACCATCACAGCAGCCTTCTGGTTTCCCTACTTGTCTAGTCCAGGTACCAGTCCCTTTGGAGAATGTAAATTAGGGCTTGCCACTCTTCTTTAAAAAAAAAAAAATCTCTGATGTTAAGGAGATTTGCAAACAGGAGCCTTTCAGCATCTGGCTGCAACCCACCTCTCCAACTTCATCATCAGCTCTTCTACTCCCGCCCTCCATGTTCCTGTTCAGCCCACCTACTGCTGCCCCCACACTCAAGCTTCTTCACCTCTCTCTTTTTCTACACTGTCCTGCACCCTGCTCCTGAGTCCCTGTCTGGGAAGCTTCTGCCACTCCCCCAGGCAGAGTGAGAGCCACGTGGCACTGTGGGTACACTTAGAGTAGCACTCACACACCCTGTATCGCAGCACCTGCCCACCTGCCCACTTGTCTGACTAAGGCCTCTTTGCAGCCAGGGCCCATCTTATTCATCTTTGCATCTCCAGAGCCAGGCACAGCTCCTGGCCCACAGTGTGTGCTGAATACATATTTAAGAAATAAGTTTCAGTTCCCACCAAGCTGAATATATACATAGATATATAGATAGATAGATTTACATATTTTAGTCAGATAGCCATCAATTTATTATTAGGCCTAAATGTCTAAATCTCATTTAGCATCATGCTTTGCAGAAAAAAAAAATCCAGTTACACAAACTCAGTGTGTAAGGAGAGGATGCAGGACAGTTCCTATAGAATCATCAAAATGACATTTGTATGTTGACCTCATTTTTATTGCTTAAAAGGACCACTTCCCTGCCATCACAGGGGTATACACTCCTTTCAGCACCTTCATTCTTAAAAGTCCTGCAGATTCACCAACCCTAGATAGACATTCAGAACCTCCACTTGGAGATACATGTATATTTAACCTCTCCAGACATGGGTTTGGTTATCTATGGAGTACAATGCCTGTGGGGCTGGCCACATGCTGATATTCATCTTGCTGAAGTCCTCCAGCCTGCGGCAATCCCTAAGCCCTGCAACATTAACACCCTCGCACCTTGGGTGTGAGCCTTTCCTGCCCACGCCTATAGTCCATCCTCCAATTGCAAGACTCCCTGGGCATTTCCACAGCCTTTTCTAAATCTGTATTCACCTCTGTAATTTTTAGATAACATTTCAGCAATTTCAAATTGGTAGCTTAATGATTCTAATGCCATTCTCTAAGATGACTTTTTTTTTTTTATGATCTATCTTTCTCAGACTCACCATGCCGTTTTCCCCCTCTCCGGTATTACTTTTGACAGGCAAACTTTGATTATTTGAATGCCCCAGGGGATGTGCTGAAATTTAAGTGAGATTTCAGGTAATGGGAAGAGTTTATAATGTGAACTACAGTAGCTGGGGGGTATGTGAAATTCACTGACAGTCTTGGCTAACCGAAGTTTTGAATAACGAAGGTTTGCCTGAATATCTATTTCAATCCTTTCACTTCTCTTATTTCTCCTTTCCTCCCTCTCACCATCTCAGTCTCTGCATTCTCCACTAACTATGCCCCTGTCCTTTGCAAGCCTATAAAGATGAGGAGGAAACACATGGAAAAAAGATTGGCTTTCTTTCTCATTGGCCATAAACGGGCTAGGAAACCACCTCTCACTTGTTGAAGATAGCATCTATTTCTAAAAATCATGGCTTACCTAGAGTGAATTTGCTCTGTCCCCAGTGCTAGGCTGATCCAACCTTGTCTCAGGCCGAGATGCTGCCGGTACGCCTTGCAGTTCTGGTTTGTTTCAGAGATTGTGTATATGTTCAGGATGAAGCACTAAAATTACGCATGCATCTGAAACCCTCTCTTTGCCATCCAGGTTGCCAGGGGCCTGAGGTCTGCTGGATACAGGTGACAGGCAGCTTGCATCACCAACCCTCACATATTGCAATTACACATTATGACATATAACTGTCACATATGGAATGTAACGATAGATTCACTGGTTACTTCATTATAGAATAATAATTCAATTCGGTTGCAGAGGGCTTTCCTTGTGGGCTGTGTAGCAGTAAGAAGTCAGCAAAGCATGTACAATATTTTGGTCAGACTGACTTTAAAAGCTGTAAAACTGCTGTGGTTCATTTTATCTGTCTCAGTAGAAATCCTAAAAAATACCCTAACACCCCTATTACTAATGAGGCCCACTGCACCTTTGCATATTATCAGCTCTTAACTTCTTAGACCTGTTCCCGAACCCTGGGAGGCAAAGGGGACCTGTAATCGTGCTTCCACTTTATAGATGAGGTATTGAGAGGGTTACAGGGTGGCATTTGCAGAACTAGAATTGATTCCTTGACCGTTCTTTAACAAAAGGGAAACTCAGGAGATACAGACAGGAAAGCATCATTAATAGAAGCAATGCGGCACCTGGGCTTTAGAGTGACATGATGTGGGGTTTGCCACCATCTCCTACCACAGGGACCACAAGAAGCCACTCCCCCACTCTGTGCTTCAGTTTTCTTTTCTATAATGATATGAACAGCCAGCAGCATTTTGAAGCCTACTCAGTCCTAACAGATGATTCAGCATTTCACATACATTAATCACTAATCCTCATCACAACCCCAAAATGTAAACATCATTACCCCCCTTTACAGGCGAAGAAACTAAGGCTCTAAGAGTTTTTTGGAAAAAAAAATTATGAAGCTTGTAAGAGGCAAAGGTGGGATTTGAACCCAAGCCTGTCCCATGCCCTTTCTGCCACAGCACCCCATTCACCCAAAGGAGAGTTGGAAGGATTCTATAGAATTACTTACGTGAGAAAAAGCACTCAATAAACTCTAAAGACACCAATCTTATTATCACAGTAATCAAAAGAACTGAGTCTGTCCCATTTGAAGACAGAAAACAATCTCCATTCCTAAATGTGTTGGCAGATCTTGCCTTCTGAAAAATATGATTCCCCTTCTGGGATGAACAGTCCCATAAGAGGGCCAGTGTGTTCAAGATGAAGCTTCAACTCAAGATGGAGCATGTCTGAGAACAGTCCCTGGCTCCCAGCTCTCTGATACTTGAGTCAGGTGCACATACTCTAAAGCAAGGAGGTGTTCCATCCCAGTCTGCCCCAAAAGGCAGTCATCTGCAGACTTGAGATCTTGAAATCAGCCGTGCAAATCCATTACTACTTTAATTATCCAAGTAAATAGAGCTCTTACCACCATCTGCTGAGATTTCAACCAATCATGATCAACACAGTCTTTCTCTCTGGATGAGAAGCTCAGAGTCATCGCTAAAGGGCCACTTGGGCCCTGAATTTCCGCCTGCAGCATGCAGGCCTCCCCAGCCGAGCCCTGTGGCTGGGAGCTGTTTTCTCCCTCTCACTGCGCCTTGCTCATATTTTCCTGAGCACTGTTAATTTGCTCCTGCACTTCATCTTTGTCGATTTTATTTTCTTTCCATAAACTCCAGATACTACTGATTAGTGAGAAACTATCCTTAACAAGAACTGTCAGTTTAGAACTCAGCCCCCCCAGCAAAAAGTCAGGCGGAGATTTATTCTGGGACATTGGTGGGT
Source organism: Homo sapiens (assembly GCF_000001405.40). NCBI lineage: Eukaryota > Metazoa > Chordata > Mammalia > Primates > Hominidae > Homo > Homo sapiens. The sequence continues at coordinate 24,891,246 of NC_000004.12, forward strand.
GTATAATCCTCGTGATTCAAATCACTGATGTTTTCAGAGGACAAACTAAATTGTAAACACTGCTCAAGGTGGGGACTCCATCCAGGTCTGTTTCTCTGGCTGATAACTGTGATGGGCTGATTATGCTAGCAAAAGGCTCCCATGGGTGACCCAAATTAATTATGGCTTTCTGGGAAAATGGCAAAATCTTCACTGGCTGCAGATCACCAGTGGACTGCAAGCCAATGATGGGCATGATTTGACTTGCTCTCCTTAACAGAACATTTGACCACCACCATCATCACCTCTGTCATCACTATTTATCAGGAGAACATTTAAATGACGATAAAATGGGTTGTTCGGTTTACTCTTTTGCGTGTGCATCTACAAGATCTAATACTAAATTAAAAACTCCTTTGGAGAAGTGCACATAGACATCACTAATTCAGGTAAGCTCGAGGTTTGGGCATCTCGCTTTCAACAAAGAAAATTTGCCAGGCACAGTGGCTCATGCCTGTAATCCCAGCACTTTAGGAGGCCAAGGCAGGAGGATTGCTTGAGCCCAGGAGTTTGAGACAGGCTTTGGCAGCATAGTGAAACTCCTTCTCTACAATTTTTTTTTAAATTAGCTGGGTGTGGTGGCGTACATCTGTAGTCCCAGCTACTTGGGAGGCTGAGGTGGGAGGATCCCTTGAGCCCAGGAAGTTGAGGCTGCAATGAGCCATGATCATGCCACTGCATTCCAGCCTGGGGGAGAGAGTGAGACCCTGTCTCAAAAAAGAAAAAAAGGTCAAAAGAAAATTCAGTAGTCATCAGGATCATCATAAATAGTAGCGTCAAAATGGATTGTTAAATATATGTCCAGGCTGACCATTCCAAAAGGAGATGAAATTCAGAGGCAGAGAGACTTAAAAAGATAGAAGGCAGTGGATACTCCCAAGTAAGACCCGGGGTGTGAGTCAGAGTCCCCTCTGGATTCCAACTCCTGCCCTACCACTTCTAGCTGAAGGATCTTGGGCAAGGAAATCCATTGCTTGCTGAGCCTAAGATCTTTTATCTGTAAAATAAGGACTATGATAGTACCTACTTCATGGTACTATAGGTTTGTCAAAGGATTAAATGAGATAATGAAAAGAAGGCTTTTAGCCCAGTAACTGGCATGCAGCTGCCATTTACTTACAGCTTATATTCATCATCATCATCCACAATCATCATCTTCCTGGATAACATCAGCACTGGTTGCTGTCCACTTAAGTGGAAGGGTACAAAGACTATAGTAGTTAAAATAAGTCCTTGGGAAAGACCTACGAAGCCTGATGGGCTCAGATTTCAGGTATGACCATAGAAGCGTCAGCCAAAACACTGATGGCAGGCACTGTTCTGGGCAGTTTTTCACATTAGCTCATTTGATCCTCACAAGGAGGCCCTCTGAGGTAGGTACTATGAGGATCCCCTATATAAAATACTGTCCAGTGAGATGGAAGCAACAGTGTCTGAAACATTTCCTTTCCAATGTTTCAGACTTCTGAAACATTTCCTTTAAGGGAGGGGCACTGTCTTTGTCCATTTTTTGTTGCTATTACAGAATACCAGAGACAGGGCAATTTATTAAGAAAATAAATTTATTTCTCACAGTTCTGTAGGCTAGGAAGTCCAGAAGCATGACACCAGCATCTGCCAATGACTTTCTTGCTACATCATGACACAAATGAGGGAAGGCATCCCATAGTGAGTAAGCACTCCAGACAGAGAGAAAAGGGGGCTGATCGCCCTCATTAACAAACCTACTACCATGATAATGACATTAAATCCTTTCATGAGGGCAGAGCCTTCCTGACCTAATGACCTCTTGAATGTGCCATTTAGTAACACTGTCACGATGGCAATTAAGTTTCCATGTAAGTTGTGAAGGGGACATTCAAACCATAGCAGGTTCACTCTTGCCTATGTCTTCCTCCTTCTTGCCACATAGTGGTCTGCAAAGTGGAAAGCCTCACACATGGAATGATGAACCAGAAAAATGAAAGGTGGCTAGGTCTCTAACAGATTGTAAGCCAGCATGCCAGCCCTAAAATGCCTACCTCCAAATGTATTGCACTTCAGAAAAATATAAAGTTCAATATTATTTAAGCAATTATTAATTCTGGTATTTCATTAAAATTAATCCTAAATAAAATACCAACATACCCAAATATGTGGTATGAGGAAATTGGACACCCAATATTGTAAGACTTGTAATCCACTTCACAATCAGAACTCTGTGTCACCACTGACAGATGACATTGGCTATCTGAGACACAAAAGTAAGTAAGCAGTACATCAGGGCATTATGTAGTTAGGGTTTTAAGTAAGAGAATGTTTCCCTTCTAGCACAATCTAAAATACAGACTTTTTTTTTTTTTTTTTTTTTGAGATGAAGTCTCACTCTGTCAATCAGGCTGGAGTGGAACGGGGCAATCTCAACTCACTGCAACCTCTGCCTCCTGGGTTCAAGCAATTCTCCTGCCTCAGCCTCCCTTAGTAGCTGGGATTATAGGCACCCACCACCATGCCCAGCTAATTTTTGTATTTTTAGTAGAGACAATTGGCCAGGCTGGTCTCAAACTCCTGACCTCAGGTGATCCGCCCGCCTCGGCCTCCCAAAGTGCTGAGATTACAGGTATGAGCCACCACGCCCAGGCTAAAATCCAGACTTCTTAAAAATTAGTGCTTCAGTGTACCAGGTTGGTTGGTCCACTCATTCACTCATTCATTCCTTCATTCACTCATTTTGTGAGGCTGTGTTAGAATAGGAACAACACAGACTTCAGAATCAGAGAAACCTGGAGTTCAAATCCCAGCTCTGGCTTTCCTTGCATATTCCCTGATGTCTACTTATCTTTTAGCTGTACTGAAAGTCATATGTCAAGCATCCAGCACAGGACTCAAAGCATTAAAAAGTGCTCAATGAATGTTTCCTTTTTCCTTCATATAGGTTCCTGAATTGAAAATTACATTAAAAAATCTTCATGTGGTGGCTGGCACACTGCAAATGGAAACTTAATATAATTTTATTGCCATTAGTAATAATAATAAGAGTAGTGGTAGCAATCAGCATAGTGGTTGTAGTGATAGTGGTAGTAAAATAATCAAAACCTAAACTGAGAGAGGGTGAAGAGAGGCAGGTTTCCAAGTGTGCACTGTTAATGCCTACATAATCAAGACTCAGCTGTTCAGCACTGAGTGGGAGGGTATTTCTGGGAGACGGGTGGAGCTTTTCTCCTCCTTGTTGGTGTCTTCACAAATTCCAGCAATCAAAATAGTCATTTTCCTTCCTTGCCAATGTCATCTTAAAAGAACCTCTCTCTAAACCCAGGTGCTTAAATTGTCCAGTGAGTTTCTCTCCTCTTTAAGAAGAAGTTGAGGAATGGGACAAACAAGCACCTTAGTATTTGTTCTCCTGTAAACACCAGAGCAAAAGTATGTTCGAAAGGGCATCTCACAACGTGTGTTAGGATGTGAGATGCCCTTTCGAACATACACAGCAATGGTTATTAGGATGTTTAGCATAACACATGTATATTCAAAAAAACTAAGCAAGTCACAGAAGGCACAAGCAGGCCTTGAAGAAAAAAAATCTCAAAGTCGCTGACACCCCTGCAGCCTGTGCTAGAACCAAACAGAACCCCTCATGCCAGCCATTTAGGCTTTCTGATAGTGGGGAAAAATACAGCAGGTATTTATAAAACATAGGCTTAAAGTCCCATGCAGGCATGGTTTGTCAATACCTCAGAATCCCAAGTGGCCGCTCTGGCGATGATGATGATGATGACGACGACGATGACGACCATGATGGTGATGATGATGAGTTAATGACGTGGCAACTATCCACTACTTATGAATAAGTAGTGCTGACTAGGAATAAGAACACGTTATAAAAACAGCATATGATACTGGAAGTCAGAATAATGGTTACCTCTGGGTGAGGCAGGAGGGATATCTTGGCTCAGAAGGGCATAGGAAGCCTTCTGGGGAGCTGGGGATGCTCTAGAACTTGCTCTGGGTGGTGGTTACACAGGTATGTGCACATGTAAAAATGCACTGAGCTGTACACTTAAAATGTGTGCCTCTGCTGTCTACGTGTTAGCCTCGATACAAATAGTAAAACAGCATACACTATAAATTCATTTTTAGAAATTAGGGCATGGAAACATGGAAGATTACAGCAGTCAGCTCTGGGTAGTCAAATTGTAGGTGGCTTTTTTTCTTTTATATGTATCTGTATTTTCTAAATTTGGAGGGTGCAGTGAATTTACATTGCTCGGTGTTTAAAGTTAAAATCCACTGTTACCCAAGGCATTTCTCATCTCTAGATAACACCTTCAGTCATTCACTTTCTTCTCAAACCTTTCCTCATTCACAGGCTCAGGCAGTCTGGGGCATGTCCCTCATGGCTGCCTGAGGAAATTCTTTACAATGGGCATGGGGTGGGGTGGTGAGTCTGAGGTGTTACTAGATTATCTCACTTTCTTGGAGCCTCTGCTCAGACAGGACTGGGTCACCTGGTGCACCTGTCTTCAGGCTCCCACAACAGAGGGGCTATGAGACCATCCCTTCAGGATGACCTGACCCCACTCTTGAGGACTCCTTAGCCCACTGTTGCTCAATTTCCAGCCTATACTGAAGTCTGGGCAGGAATCTAGAACCAGACCCCAAAAGTCTCCTTTTCAGCTCACATTCTTGGGTTTAGATCAGGTTAGCAGAAGCAGAGATGAGGAAAGCGGTCTTGCAGCATGCAAGGGCTGCCGCCTCTTGTCTGGAAGTGAGCATGCAGGGCGCCTGAATCCAGGGTTCCCAGCACAAACCTGGGGTCCAGAGGGAAAAACATCCAACAGGAAGTTAAAACCGAGCTCCTCTTGCTTGCTTCTTGCTGAGTGACCATAAAGAAGGATGCTGAACTTCTGAGCATTTCACGAACACTCTGAATTACCATGTCTTTGTTTATATAATGAGGTCATTACCACCTGCTCAGTCTAATCCACAAGCTTGTTATGAGGGTTCCATAAGGAAATGGGGGGTAAGGTGACTACATCCTGGTGGACTGTATACCCCAACTTTTGGCAGAGTGCCTGAGACACAGTAAATCCTTGTAAATACCAGTTGAAGAAAGACGAATGTAAAGAATTATTTTTATCATTATTTTTCTTAATGAGAAGACCATAGGGGCCAAAGAAATTGCATGAGAGTCAACCGTGGGTAGCAAATAACCTTTGGAGCAAGCTTGAATTCTAGAGCAGAAGAGAGTTAAAGCCTGGTGTATGTTCAGACACGCTATAATACAGGTCAGATCCCATTACAGAAAGTAGCTCTTTATAACCAAATGATTTCCCACCCACAGCCTCTGCCTGGCTTTTTTCAAGCAATATATCTGAGATAATAAAATTCCAGTTTGGAAGGAAGGAAGGTAAAGAAGGGAGGGAGGAAGGAATTGACTTACAGTAAGTTCATAAATCCCTTAGAGCTTATTAAAAGGTGATTTGACTTACTACCTTGAAAAGATCACAGTCTATATTTTGAAAGTCATGTCTGTGGGATAAAAATGGATACAAAGGGACTTTGGGGAAAGAAACAGATGAGAATGTTGTTTGGACCAAAAGAAAAAAAAAATCAACGTCCTCGTGTTAATTCAGTAGTTTTTCAATTTAAGTATTAACTGAGAAACCATGAGGTTTGTCATCTCTTTTAGATTTTTCCACTATATGCAGGACACTGTGCTGGTCACAGTGAGAGATTCAAAGATGAATTGGTCAGTTCCTTCACTAGAGCAACTCCAAGCTGCAGGCAAGGCACAAACACATGTAAATCCAACCCATGGCGGCCAGGGAGACACGCGGTCAGAGAGGCATGGCTAGATGTTGTGAGATCACAGAAGGGGAGGAGGGCTTTTAGTCTGGGGGCAAGAGAGCTGTGACTGAACCTTGAGAGAGAAGTAAGAAAAAGGAAGAGAACAAGAGTTCCAGGCAGAAGGCACGGCCTGATCAAAGGCTGGGTGTGTGGCAGCATGCGCTTCAGACAGAAATAGAAGTGGTTGTTTTCCAGGAGTGCAGGATGTGTGAAAAGGAGAAAGTCAAAATAAGTCTGGAAAGTTTGGTTTGGATGAAAGTAAGAAAGGCCTTAAATGACAGCAGAGTTTGGGCCAACATGAGAGCTGACGGGAGCTATGGAGGTCTGTGAGTGAGGAAGGGTCACAGTCAGAGTTTTGCTTCCAGAGACTTGATCAGGCAGTAATTAATGAAATGGAAAGGTACAAGGAGACACAGGAGGTAGGGAGGGTGCTGAGGAGGCCTGCAAAAATCCCAGAGAGAGGTTGCTATGAGTTCTTTGTGAGCAATTGCAGTCTTCTTCCCTAAGCACTGAAAACAGCTTAATAAAAGGCTTACTCAAACCCCAGCAAATCAGCAAAGGAGAGCAGCCAGCAGATGCTCTGAAGGCCAGAGAGGGGTATGAATGAAGAGGGGCAGAACAATTTGGGCACGAGTTTGGATTTGGGCATGAGTTCGGACTTGGGCACAATAAGAGGCGTACGAAGTCAGAAGGTAACTAGGAGGTTCTCAGAAGAGGCCGCAGAAATGGCAGCTGCCCAGGCTTGACTGAGCAGCCTGCATGCATGCTGCAAAGTCTGGCAAAGCCAGAGAATGTTGGGAAGGAAGAAAAGGTTACAGATTGACCCCAGCAGCACTCACCAGGTTGGAGCAAATTAGAAAGCAAATTGGAACTGGCTAGTGAGAGAGAGTCCCATCCCTGCCACCTCCAATACTGCCTTGGTCGTGGGGTCTGCAGATGGCAGAGCAAGCAGGCACAGCAATCTGCGCCCCATCAATATGATTTTTCCATGGCATCATGTTGACAGTCAGCAGCTGACACATCACCTCCCTCTGCAGGAGCATCTCTGAAGCCCCGGGGAAGGGTTTTCCCAAAGCCCAGGCAAGGATAGGAGCATCGCCTCACCTGGAGAGGGTTGGGGGATTTAAAACACACTTTCACATACATCATCTCACTTTATCATCATCTTAACCGAGAGACACAGGTAGGTACTGTCATCCTCACTGTACAAAGTCCAGAGAAAATGAGGTATTGGAGAAGTCAGGAGATTTGCTCAAAACCAGGTAGCTACATATTTCTGGAGCTTGGTGACTTACAAAACCCATTGCAACTTGAGCCGGGAAGCTGGCCGGGACATTGGGCATGTTCTGGGGCACTTCAGACACTCCCAGCTCTCTTAGGGCCATGACTGGTCTGGAGGAGAGACTAGAAGTGGGGCACACCAGCAGGGTTGGCTTCAAAGAGAATCCTGGAAATGACAAGGTAATTGTCTTTCCTTCTTATTCCCTCCCTTCTACAAGCTACTGCTAAGTGTCTATCCTGTGCCTAGCATTGTGCTAGACATTGGTGACCACCCACCATTCTGAGGACCCCCATCCTCAGGAACCGAGTTACCCTGCCAACAATCCCCCATACCATCTTCCCAAATGCAATGTACCACTCATTGCCCAACCTCTTGGGGCCCAAGAGAAGTGGGAGACCCAAGGGGAGTCTGTGACATTTGAGCTGGGCTTTAACATATGAGTAGGAGGTCACCTTTGGACATAAGCAAGTCTTAGAGATGTTATAGGGCATGGAATGATCTGGCCAGAGTCAGGAGTACTATGAAGGGTAGGGGAGGTGGTGGAAATAAGGGTTACAGGAGTTACCAGAGGTGTGGAGTGGGAAGGGCCCTTGGAGGCCAACTGAGGCACATGGCTTTCATTCTGCAGTCCCTAGAAAGCCATCAGAGAGCTCTCAGCAGTAGAGTGGTAAAATCATTTCAATGCTTAGATGATGACTCTAGCAACTGCATGGAGGAAAGATCTTCCTAGAAGATATTCCAGGGAGAGGGGTTGAGAATCTGGCCACAGTGAAAGAGTGGGAATGGTGACACGGATGCCCTATTTAAGGACTTGTTCCAAAGCCAGAAAGATGGATCTTAATGAATAAGAATTAGAATCGGGTTGGGAGGTGTAAGTTGGGAAGAAGAATCAAGGTAGACTTCACAGTGATACCATTGAGGCGGGATGGAAGCAGGAAAGAGAGATAGGAAAGTGTATACAGAAGGAGCATGAGTTCCACTTAGGGCACACTGAGTAAGGTGTTTAGTTCCTGGGGACATGGCCAGTAGCCACATGGAGGGATGCAGAAGCCCAGCATGTAGGAAAAGAAGAGGAGAGTATCAGAGGCTGCACAGCCAGGATCGAGTCCTAAAGAAAGACCACTGGGTGTGGCAGTTAGGAGGCTGGTCTTAGGCAGCCTTGGCAAGAGCATTATCAGGGGCAGTGAAGCTGTGAACGGGAGACCCAAGTGAGTCGAAAGTGGATAAGGGCAAAGGGACAGACAGACACTGACACAGACAGGCTCCTGTGCTCTCCCCAAGCCCCATCCCTGTCCAGTCCCTCACATACACTCCTGACAGATCGGTTCCCTCCCCAATGCATCCAAGCAACTTCTACTCAAAGGAGACTATTGTGCCATTGTTTGGTTCCAGAATGAATGCCATACTTGGGTACTTGGGACCCTAGCACCCTCTATACAGTTAACAGGGCATTCGAGGTCTGCCTAACCAACACCTGATGCTCCACTATGTGTCCCCACCAGAGACCAGATGATCTGAGATTTCCCCAACAAGTCTTGCATTTTGCTATGTCTGTACCTTTGCCATCTCTATTCCTTCTGTCTAGAACACCCTTCCTTGACATCTCCATTTGCTGAAATTCTGCCCAACCTTCCTGGCCCAGGTGCCACCTCCATTAAGAACCCTCCTCAATCCTCCAATCTAAATTAGCCTCCCCTTAACCTGAAGAACGCTTATCACAATGCATATCACAGCATAGTGTCCTCATCCCCATTCTCTATCACCACTGCACTGTAACTCCTTGAAGGCAATTGTCACATGCAGAAGGCTTTGCACATAGTAATGCTCACTATGTAACTGGCACATTGAATGCTGACCTTCTCCTCTGCTAGACATCCTGTCCCACTGACATATGAGGGCTGTCCTTCACTCCTCCTTCACATCAACCAGCCAACCCACTACAATGGTGGCTCTCTCCTGACATCACTGACCCCCACCTTTGTGCCTGCCATGAATAGAGCTATACGTGGGCAGGCACATCCATGAGCTACTTTCCCTAAATGAGGATGTGAGATCACAGTAGAGGCTCTGCAAATGGGCCAGAACCAGGTTGGTTCTGTACTCTGTATCAGTGCCCTGCCTCAGGTCCTGCACTACCTGAGCCACTGCATGATACATCATCATTCCAGAATTCCTGTCTCCTGCCCCAACACAGGTGGCCACAGTCCTTTCTCTAAGGAGCTTGTCAACTTATACAGGAGTTAATATCTACACAGAGATACAGCTCCTCTCTTTCTTAGGTAGCATGTGAGTGTGAAAGGATCACAGTTTAAGCCAAGCCAAATAAGGCAACAGGACGAAGAGCTCACTTCAAGATTGGCATCATGGAGGATTTTAGGAGGGATGTGGGGTTCCACCCCACCTTAAAGGACTGGTGAAGGCTGTGGACAGAGAAGAAGGGGGAGGCCCACCTGGATGAGGTCAGGGTGTGAGATAAAGGTGGGAGCCAGAATGCATGGCAGATCATTTTGGCTGAAGCAGCCAGCGTATGTGGGGAGCAGTGAGACAGGCAGAAAGATAGGTCAAGGTCAGCATGAAGAGGCTCGAACACCAGGTGATGGGGAGCCACCACTGAAGGTTTCCGAGTAAGAGGACATCATGAAAAATGTTTTTTCTTAAAGGTGGTTTAATTGGCTAGCTGTACAGAGGATAAACTGACTTGAAGAAAATATGATACCCTGAACAGTATTAGGATGTTTGTTGCAATAAAATAGCTTCAGATAATGAAGAGAGTGGACCAGAAGAGGTGAAAGTGGAAAGACTTCAAAGTAAAAATCAACCAAAGGTTTGTGTTCTTTGGGAACCAGGTCTCCACCACTTTGCCAGATGGGCCAGAGAGAGGTGCAGACTCTCAACTTAAGCAACTTCTCTGCCAGGAGGTACTAAAGCCCCAGTATGGTTTTACTGGTGGAAAACCAGGCAGTGAGTAGTAAATGTCATTCACTCTGGTCATTTTCATTCAGGGACTGGCCAAAGTCCTCTTCTCATCTTCAGCCAATGTATTTTATTCAACGTGAAACTCACTATATTAATTTTTTTAACATAATAAGTGTAGAAATTGTCAATTTTAGGAGCACATATGCGAATTTCCCCGCACAGGAGAGAACATGAATCCCATCAGTTAAAAATAGCAGTTGAGCTCACTTTCCCCCACACACTAATTTTAATAAACTTACTCTGAAATTAGCCTGCCACTATGAAGATAGCTGCTCATCGAAAATGTTCCCAGTAAGCACTAATCTTCCTTCCCAAGAGCTCAAGTACTCCCAGGAAACTCTGAATGATGCACAGTTCTGAACAGAACCCATGCTCTTCTCACCAAACTCATATCTCCTAACCTCCTGTCACTTCCAGTACCACCACCCTCCAGCCATGCAGCAAGGGCCATCTTGGACTCATTCTATTCCATCTCTCCAATCCTGCTAGCCGTAACTTGCTGTAGGGGTCTTCCTTTAGAATGTTTCCCATAGCCATCCCCTTTTCTCTATTCCCATCAATGCTGTAACCCCTTAACACCTCATTCATTCAAACATCCAAGCATTCATATATTCTACACGTATTGAGCACCTGCAATGGGCAAAGTACAGGGCTAAGTGCTAAGGTTACATATGGTCCCTACTCTCAAAGATTTCAAGATCTTTTGGGTCCAGTGGAGAGACAGGTAAGTCAAGGGTTAGGTTGAAAACTACACGATAAGTGGTAGGACTTAGGTGCAATGGAAATAATTGAGAATGTTGATGGTGGCAGAAAAGGCTAGATTACTGGTATCTCTTCCTAACCTGTCCTTCCCTGATTCCTGGCAGGGTCACCAAATTAGTTTTTATATCATCACGGCCTGGCATAGTACCTTGCAGACAATACAGACTCAGTAACTGTTGAATTCAGTGGAAACCAACCTACCCCAAGTATTTTCATCAATTTGTACTCCAGTTAAAAAAAGCATTCAGTGCCTCCCCATTACCAGCTACATCAGGACACATCCTGCTGCCTGGCTTTTGAAGTCATTCACCATCTGGTCCTCCCTGGTTATCCAATCTCATTGCCTGCTGTACTTCAACCCAGTGATTTCTGCCTTTATCTGGAGCATCTCCGCAAAGGCCACCAACTTGGCCCAGTGCTCATGCCTTCTCATGATCTCCCTTGCTGTCTTCAACCAAAGGGAAGGGGCTCAGTTAAAGTTCAACTTCTAAGAAGCTTTTCCCCACTCCATCAAGCCTCACCAACTGCCTACATTAGTGTCTAAGATCTATTGTTCGCTATTGTGCATGGTGTTTTCATCTAATAACAACAGCTAATAAGAATGAATATTTTAAGCCAGGAGTGGTGGCTCACACCTTGAATCCCAGCAGTTTGGGAGGCTGAGACTGATGGATAGCTTTGAGCTCAAGAATATGAGACTGGCCTGGACAAGAAGGCAAAGCTCTGTCTCTCCAAAAAATAGAAAAATTAGCCAGGAAATGGTGGCTCATGCCTGTAGTCTCAGCTATTCAGGAGGCTGAGGCTGGAGAATCACTTGAGCCCAGGAAGCAGAGGTTGCAGTGAGCCGAGACTGTGCCATTACACTCCAGCCTGGGCAACAGAGTGAGAGTCTAACTCAAAAAAAAAAAAAAAAAAAAAAAGAGTATTTTAAAATATTAACTGACAGCCTATCTTCCCACCTTGCTTCCATTTCCTGCAACCCTTACCCTAATTCTCCCCCATATATCTCTCCCCCTTTTTAAGAAGCCAGACATTCTGCCTTTACGTCTAAGAAAGGCATAGCCCAGCAGAACACAGGTAACAACTGACTGGCTTTTCCATTTTCAGGGCCTGCTCCTGAAGATATAAGGGCACAGTTGAGTCTCTCCAGTGGCGCCCTCGACCATAACTCCTCAAAAGACTAGAAAGGATCTTCCAAGTTGAGAAAAGGGCAGAATCAGAGTGCAAATGAGAGCTTGGTAGTCAGTCTCCAAGAAGGAACACTGAGCTTGGCCCAATCAGCCTGGGGTTGAGAGGGCAGAGCAAGGACTTGGCGCTGAAATTTGGGGGACACAGCTAGTTTTGATGGAAACCTGATGGGCTCGGGAATTAGAGAGGCAAGGAGTAAAGCTCTCTGTAGCAATAGCTAACTGTTTTGAATAACCATTCACCTCCTTTTGAAAAATACTGAGTTTACTGAGGTATAATTTGGAGAAAATTTCATCCCTTTTAGGTGTAAGTGTTCCATGAATCTCAACAAGCTTACACAGTCATGTAACCATCATCACAATCGAGACATAGAATACATCCATAAATCCAAAAGATTCCCTCATGTTTCTCTGCAGCCAATTTCCTCACTGTACCTTCAGGCTCTGGTAATCATTGATCAGTTTTCTGTCTTTTTAATTTTTAGCTTTTTTTTTTTTTTTTTGAAACAGAGTTTCGCTCTTGTTGCCCAGGCTGGGCTGCAGTGGCACGGTCTGGGCTCACTGCAACCTCTGCCTCCTGGGTTCAAGCGATTCTCCTGCCTCAGTCTCCTGGGTAACTGGGATTACAGGCGTGTGCCTCTATGCCCAGCTGATTTTGTATTTTTAGTAGAGACTGGGTTTCACCATGTTGGCCAGGCTGGTCTCGAACTCCTGACCTCAGGTGATCCGCCCGCCTCAGCCTCCCAAAGTGCTGCGATTACAGGCGTGAGCCACCGTGCCTAGCCTTAATTTTTACTTTTCAAAAATTTCATGTATACCTTGATTGTGGTGATGGTTACACCAGTGTATGCACACATCCAAACTCTCAAATTGTATACCTAAAATATGTGCACATTTTAATATATTAATTCTACCTTAATAAAGGTGTTCTTAAAAAGATAGAAGACAGCATTAATTCATGAGTACAAAATAGTCACTCATCACAGATGTTAAAACTATCAGCTTTTACCCTATACCATGTACCCTGTAACCCACTTCCCCTAAATGAGTTATCTGGTTGTGGCTGCTCTGGGCACACTGCCTATGGGGTAGCCCTGCTCCACAAGGAGCAGTACGTTTGCTGCTAAAATAATTTTTTAAAAAAGAAAGTTATTCGGTTGTATACTGCTTGAGTTACATACATAGATGTGTAGACAGGTGTGGACATGTGTCCTCATTTCTCTTCAATCCTACCTAGGAGAAGGATTGCTGGGTTGTTTAGTTAAGTGTGTGTTTGACTTTATAAGAAACTGCAAACCTTTTCAGAAGTGACTTTACTACTTTACAGTTCCTCCAGCAATGTATGAGACTTCTAGTTGCTCTGCGTCCCTGTCAGCCCTTAGCTGATGAGTTTTGTAACTTGTTGCTTTTCCATTCTAATAGGTATGTTGTGGTATCTCACTGTGATTTCCATTTACAGTTCCCTAATGACTAAGGATGCTGAGCCTCTACTCATTGCTTATTTGCCATCCCTCTTCTTCAGTGCAGGGTTTATTTAATCCTTTTGTCCATTTAAAAATTCAGATTGTTTCTTTGTTTTTGTTCTTTCATTTGTTTGTTTGTTTTGAGATGGAGTCGCACTCTGTCGCCCAGGCTGGAGTGCACTGGTGCCATCTCAGCTCACTGCAACCTCCGCCTCCCAGGTTCAAGCGATTCTCCTGCCTCGGCCTCCTGAGTAGCTGGGATTACAGGTGCACACCACCATGCCTGCCTAATTTTTGTATTTTTAGTAGAGACAGGGTTTCACCATGTTGGTCAGGCTGGTCTTGAACTCCTGACCTCATGATCCACCGCCGTGGCCTCCCAAAGTGCTGGGATTACAGGAGTGAGCCACCGCACCCGGCCTTTCTTCTTACTGAGTAGTGAGAGTTCCTTTTATATTCTGGATACTAGATGTGTGTTGTGCACATATTTTCTCCCAGTCTGTGACTCTTTATTGTTTTAACAGAGTCCGCCAAAGAGAATAACTTTTTAACTTTGATATGTCAACCTACTCATTTTTTTCTTGATAACTTATCTTTTTCATGTCCTATATAGTCTTCTTTCTTTTTGCGTGCGTGCGTGTGTGTGTGTGTGTGTGTGTGTGTGTGTGTGTGTGTGTGATGGAGTTTTGCTTTTGTTGCCCAGGCTGGAGTTCAGTGGCGTGATCTCTGCCCACTACAACCTCCACCTACTGGGTTCAAGTGATTCTCCTGCCTCAGCCTCCTGGGTAGCTGGGACTACAAGCGCGTGCCACCACGCCCAGCTAATTTTTGTATTTTTAGTAGAGACTGGGTTTTGCCATGTTGGCCAAGCTGGTCTCAAACTCCTGACCTCAGGTGATCCACCTGCCTTGGCCTCCCAAAATGCTGGCATTACAGGCGTGAGCCATGGTGCCCAGCCTACTCTTATTTCTTAATGGGACCCTCCCAAATTAAACATGGGCACATTCTGCTACAGACTACATTCACAGCCTCTCTTACAACTAGGAGTGGCCGTATGACTATGCTCAGACCAATGGGAGGTGAGCAGATGTGATATGTACAATTCTCCACTCATCCCTAATTAAAGAAAAGCCCCTTGCCCTGGACTTGCCCCTTCTCTCTTTCCCCATTCCCATGGGCTGGGACACAAATGTGGCAGCAAGAAGCTTCAGCCACACAGATGAGGACCATACCCTAATCGTGGAGCAACAAGATAAAAGAAATCTGAATTCTTAGATGACTCAAGGAGCAGGGCTGCCCTCCATGCCTGAACCACCACACTCACAAGAAAGAGACACAAATGTCTTACCTTATTTAAACCACTCTATTTTGGAGGCAGGCATCTTTCTTACAGTGGCTTAGACTTTACCCTAACAAATACACCTTTATTTCTTAGGAAGTGAAAACTAATCCCCAATTCCCTGGACCCAGCCTTGGTGTTGTGACATGCTGTGTGTGCAACAGTTTCCCAAAGTTTCCCATAGCCCCAGGGTGATTTGAGGGCAGCATAATAATTAGCCCTAGAGTAACTCAGGGGCAGCGGAACAAATTTTATTTTATTTTATTTTATTTTATTTTATTTTATTTTATTTTACTTTATTTGAGACAGAGTTTCACTCTTGTCACCCAGGCAGGAGTGCAGTGGCACGATCTTGGCTCACTGCAACCACTGCTTCCTGGGTTCAAGCAATTCTGTCTCGGCCTCCCGAGTAGCTGGGATTACAGGCACATCCACTACGCCCAGCTGATTTTTGCATTTTTAGTAGAGACGAGGTTTTGCCATGTTGGCCGGGCTGGTCTTGAACTCCTGATCTCGGGTGATACGCCTGCCTCAGCCTCCCAAAGTCCTGGGATTATAGACATGGGCCACCGTGCCCGGCCAAATTTTAAAAATGAATAAAACTTGCCCCACCTTGGGCAAGACAGCAAAGTTCACCATGCCCAGAACAGTGAAAAGCAGTTCATCAATTTGTTCTTCATTCATCCAAAAGTAGCATGGATGTGGTGCAGACAGCCAGAGGGCCAGAGGACACCTGAGGGGGGATGAGGGAGGACACAACAGTGACCTAGAGTGACCAAGGGCAAGATACTAGACTAAATTAGGAGAGTGTGGGTAGACAAAAACAGCCCACCCCAGCACCCCAGCCAATGACTTAGCCTTAGTCTTAGTATTTCGTTAAGTCCCTTAGAATTTAAATACAAATTCAGGGAAAGGGAGTGGTGTGGCTTCATATGCAGATTACATTTCCACTACTCAAACAACAAAAACTTGTAATCAAAATTAAGGCATTATAGCAAATTATAGTTTTCACACACCAGAGTTTCTGTCGTGAGGTTCATGCTCACTGTTCCACTGCTGCCTTGCCCGGCAGAGGCCTATGCACTCATAAGCATTATTATTTCATTTGATCCTCACAATTAGGATCACCTATGAGGTAGGTACTTTTACTACCCTATTTAAAGACGAGAAAAATGAGGGTCAGAGAAGTTACATGGTGCAGTCATTCCCTCAACATCCATTCTCCCTCTTCGAAAAGAAGCCCCCCAATTTTACTTGGGGATCTACCCTAGCTCCACTCACAGTCCACGTGTCATGCAGCAGGGCTCTGAACACAACTCCAGGCCTAAAACAATCAGATCACTACCTGCCTGAGCGATTTCTTGCAGTTTAGGTGAGTGATCTAAGTGGATTTAAATGGAGCATCCCAGGGTTTCACAGGATCTGCTAGAGAAGGGTCTGTCTTCCCCTCTGGACTTGAACTTGAAAGGATGGGAGGCTTAGACTAAAGCCAGGCAGCAAGCAGACTCAAAGATGGAGAGAAACTGTCTGAGTGGTGAATCAGCCAAAAGCCAGCCCTAGCATGGAATTACTAGTCATGTTGGTTATAGTCACTTCCAAGGGCTGCCATAACAAATTATCACAAACTGGGGGACTTAAAACAACAGAATTCAACTGTTGCACAGTCCTGGAGGTTTGAAGTCCAAAATTAAGGTGTTGGCAGGACTGTGTTCCCCAGTGAGGCTCTCAGGGAGGATTCTTCCTTGCCTCGTCCTAGTTTCCGGTGGTCACCAGCAATCTTTGGCTTTCCTTGGCTTGTAGCTGCATGACTCCAGTTTCTGCCTCTGTTGTCACATGCCTTCTTCCGTCTGTGTCTTCACATTGTCTTCTCTTTGTGCATCTCTGTGCCCAAATTTGCCTCTTCTGATAAGGACACCAGGTCATTGGATTAGAGCCCACCCAAGATGACCTCATCATAACTTGATTATATCTGCAAAGACCCTACTTCCAAATAAGGTCACATTCACAGGTGTTTGTGTGGTGGCAGTTGAGGGGAGGGTGTTAGGACTTGAACACATCGTTTTGGGGACACAGTACAACCTACAACATCAGCCAGTAAATTGCCTCTAAGCTGATCCACTTTGGTTTGGGTTTTTGATCTTTTGTACCAAGAGAAAGGCAGGGCCAAGACTTCCCCCCAGGTCTCTTATTATCTTCAGAGTCTAAGTCAACAACTGAAACCCAAAGCTGGGTCTTTACCTTAACCACAGAGCTGGACTCTATACCTACTCAACCTCTCCTTTCCAAATATCAGTGGCTAGGCCAGGCACGGTGGCTCATGCCTATAATCCCATCACTTTGGGAGGCTGAGGCAGGATTCCTTGAAGCCAGGAGCTCAAGATCAGCCTGGGCAACATAGCAAGACTCTATCTCTACAAAAAAAAAAAAAAAAAAATTGGCTGGGCATGGTGGCACGTGCCTGTAACTCCAGCTACTCAGGAGGCTGAAGCAGGAGAATCCCTTGGGCCCAGGAGATGGAGGCTGAAGTGAGCCATGATCGCACCACTGTACTCCAGCATGGGCAACAGAGTGAGACCTCATCTCTAAAACAACAACGACAAAAACCAAAAATCAGTCTCTACTTTGGGCGGAGGCCCATGGTTAACTGTCTTCTGCCTCCTGGCCCCTGCATACAACATGCTCAAGGAATAGGAGATTGATTGCTATCTAATTAACCAAAATTCAAATAGTGAAATGGAATTATGTATAGTTTATCATAGAGTGGTGGGCTGAGCGATGACCAGGATTTTTATCTTGGAAATAAAAAGTTATTGATTGCCTGCATACCTGTACTTTGAGATGTCTCCAATCTTGAAAGCTCACCTCAGGTGGCGATAAGAATATCTGCCCCTCCCCAGACATTTAATTTCCAAAACAGAACCCTGGTCATGCTTCTTTCACACGCATGGGTGTGTTTACTTCCAGGCCTGAAAGAAGGCTGTAATTTCAGCTTATTATACCAAATATATGAAAATAAAACTGACCTCTGTAGGATTGTTTTAAATGAAAACTGCTTCCTAGAGGCAAGTGGAGGAAGCAACTGATTGAAAGAGAGGACGGGGCTCTGGGCAGGTGATGGAGAGGGGATCCAGGGTGGGAGACAGCACCCAGGACTTCTGCAGAAATAAATGCAAGCCCACGAAAATCCCATGTAGTCCAGATTAGCTGTGCAGTGATGTCTTCCACAGGTCCTTCTGCCAGGTCCCCAAACCATTTCGTAACACCACAGCTGCTGAGCACACTCTTCCCTGAATCTTACCTGTCTGGTACCAGACCCAGTCACACCCATGGAACCCCTGCCAGCCAAACTTGACTGGGCAGGGGAATTACCTGGGCAGCTCAGCTTGTAAGAAAGGCAGATCAGGGGGCTGCAACCCCAGGCACTTTTCAGCAGTAGGTGTATTAGTTTCTTGTGGCTGCTTGATATGGTTTGGCTCTGTGTCCCCACTCAAATCTCACCTTGAATTGCATTCCCATAACTCCCACATGTTGTGGGAGGGACCTGGTGGGAGATAATTGAATCATGGGGCTAGTTTCCTCCATAATGTTCTCGTGATAGTGAATAAGTCTCACGAGATCTGATGGTTTTATAAAGAGGAGTTCTCCTGCAGAAGCTCTCTCTCTTTGCCTGCTGCCATCCATGTAAGATGTTACTTGCTCCTCCTTGCCTGCTGCCATCCATGTAAGATGTTACTTGCTCCTCCTTGCCTTCCAGCATGATTGTGAGGCCTCCCCAGTCATGTGGAACAGCAGGCCCATGAAATCTCTCTTTCTTTTGTAAATCACCCAGTCTCAGGTATGTCTTTATAAGCAGCATGAAAACGGACTAATACATTGCTGTAACAAATGATCATAAACGGGGTGGCTTAAAACAACAGGAGTGTATTCACTCACAGTTATAGAGGCCGGAAGTCCAAAAGCAAGGTGTCAACAGTTGTTTTTTTCTGGGGACTTTGAGGGAGAATCTGCCTCTTCCAGCTTCTGGGAGCTGCCAGCGACCTCTGGCATGCCTTGCCATGTGGCTGCATCACTCCAATCTCTACCTTTGTCTTCACATGGTCTTCCTTTCATGCATCTCCGTCTTCCCATAGCCTGCTCCCTTGTGTGTCTGTGGCTTAAATCTCTGTCCTTTCTCTTCTAAGGTATCAGTCATTAGATTTAGGACCTACCCTAAATCCAGGGTGATCTCATCTAAAGATCCTTAACTTGATCATATCTGCAAAGGCCCTATTTCCAAATAAAGTCACATTTGCAGCTACTGGGGTTAGGTCTCGGATGCAGCTATGGTGGGGAGGTGGGGGGAGCAGGATACATAATTCAACTCACTACAGTAAATTTGGGAGAGACCCATAAACTTGAATTTTTCACAGGCACCCAAAATGACTCTGATGCAGGTGATCTGTAGGCCATACTCTAAGAAACACCAAGCCATTTGCTGCGGACTCAAAGTTGAATCAGACATGGTCTCCTTCCTTGGGAAGCCTGCCATCTAGCAGAAGATACAGACAGATGAGCAATGATTAAAATAGCAAGTGTGGCCTAGCAAGGCTCAGACAAGCAAGGCTCAAGCAATGAGTCAGACAGACCAGGATTCAAATCCTGCCTCTTCCACTTACCAGATGTGAGGCTCTGTGCAAGTTCCTTAGCCTGTCTGAGCCACTGTTTCCTTATCTGTAAAATAAGAAAGAATTCCTACCTTATGTCATTGTGAATATGAGGCCATGTAAAATGCTTAATATGAAGGATGCACTCAAAAAATAGTCATTAGTTATTATTAAGGTGGGAAGTAAGTTAGACCCATTTTCACCTCCCCCATGGCCCCTGGCTACGTGCCCACCTCATGTTTGTGAAGTTAAGGAGGTATTACTCTGGAGAAACTCTGCTGGGATGGGCAGGAAAACTCCTGAAGGACCTACTTCAGGATTCACTGACTTATTCAACAAGCATTTTTCGAGCACCTGCTGCATACAGAGCTCTGTGTATAGGCCCTGGAATAAAGAACCAAACAAAGCACACGGCCTAGTGAGGAAGCCTATTGTTACAATAATGTGGTCAGGGCAAGGTGAAGGTTAAGCCCAGCCAACTGAGGGGCACCCCATGCCATTTAGCACTTGAAGCCTTTCCATCCTTTAGTTCACTCTCACTGTCTACGGTATGACCTTCCTCCCAGACTATATCATGAAACCCCCAGGAGTTCTTTGAGGGTAGGGGAGTTCTTTGTCTTATTCACCACTGAATCCCAAGCACCTCACAATGTACTGACTCCTAACAGGCACCTGATATGCAATTGTTGGAGTAGTGAAGATTCTGCTGCTATTTAAGGGCCTAACACTGGACTTCTAAGGAGAACTACCTCCAGCCTCCTTGACTACTAAGTATGATTCTTGATGGGACCAGAAACAAGGTCCCCAGAGGATCTGCCCCTTAACATAAAGCCTGACAGTTTGAGAAGATGGAGCCAGGCTGCAATACAATGGATCATAACACCAGACAGTTAGGAGAGCTTTCAACTACTAGACCAATGCTGAGCAAACTAAACTAGGGCAGGAGCTACCGCATGTCATTCCTCTTCAGAAACACAACGCTCTGCACACACTGGGCATGAAGCACTATTATCAGACTGACCTGGAGACCCAGAAAACGATGAAAGGAGTGAGGGAGTAGAGGGTTTCCCTTCCCATAACCCACAAGGAAAGGAAAAGAGCAAACCGATACACTCTGCATTGTGTGCACAGGATTAAAGAAAAGGAAGCCCCAAGTTGGCCTTGGCTGGAGCTTGGTTCTCAGAAGGGAGAAATTCCCCGGCATGGGTAAGTAACACCAGGAATTGCCCCCACAAATGGTGGCAAACCAGGGCAACTTACCTGGTTGCCTCCAGGTGAGAGGGAGAAATCCGCATTCCCTCTCACCTGGAGAGGCCGGCAGCTTCTCCCGGCAGGCCGGCAAACTCTTAGGGGGAACTGAAGAGCAAACAGCATAGGATCCTGAAAGTGGACCCCCAGGGTATGTTTATGACAAAAGAGTCGCAGGGCAGGGGGACACGGTGTTCTGTGCTTCCACAAATCGAATCACTTCTGCACCTGTGTTTCACTTTTTCGATAAATGCCCCTCCCCACCTTACACATGGTAGGCCTGCAGTAAACACGTGTTGATTGAATTGAGCAAGTGAATGAGTGAACGGCTGCAGCGGACCCCCGAACTCCCCCAACTCGAACCACCGCCGCAGGTAATTCCACCTGGCCCAGGTTCCACCCCAGGGCTCGGATTCTCCCCCATGGCACCACCTTCCCGTTTCAGTCCCAGGCGTCCAATTGTTTGGCTCCACAACAGTGGCGAGCGGGCAGGCAGGTGGGGCTTGGCACCTTCTGCTCCCGGATCCCAGGGCTTCAGCCTCCAATCCAGGGCCAACCCCTGCCTTGGGGGGAAGGCCCCTCCCCAAAGGCTGACACCAGATGGCGCGGAAGAAAGTGGCGCCCGCGCAGACCCGAAAGTGCAGGAGGAGCGGCGCACCTGGCGGGGTCGCGCGGGTGCGGCAGCCGCGGCCACTTGGAGTGCGCGCCCCCCTCTCGTCCCTCCCAGCTCGGCCTCTCTGGGGGCGCGGGCCCGGGGCTGGCGGCCGCTCGGCCCGGCCCATCCCGCCTGGCCGGCGCCGCGGCCTCACCTCGCTCACCAGCCCCTGCCAGTCGCTCTCAGTCCGGTCGCCGTTCATGGCCTCCTCCTCCATGCGCTGGCCGGCCTCCTGGACCCCCGCCGCCTCCTCCTCCTCGCGACGTCGCGTCGCCGCCGCCGCCCGGGCCCCGCGCGGCCCCGAGAGGGCCCGGCGCCTCCGAGCCGCTGCGCCGCCGCCTCTCGCGGCCGCCAGCGCTGTTGACTCCACGTCAGCCTCCGCCGGAGGGAAAGGGAGGAGGGGCGCGGCCGCCGGGGCCGCAGACACAGCCCGGGCCGCAGCCGAGCCCCGCCGGGCCCGCCCCGCGCCCTCAGCCCCGCGACCTCGGGCTCCGCGCCTCCTGCCCGGCCTCTAGGCAAGGGGAAGCCAGGGTCTCAGCCTACAGGTCACTCCGGACCCCTCAGCGCTCTCCGCGCGGGAGGCGGGCCCCACGGGCAGGCCTGTGTCCCCCGCAAGAAGCAAATCCCCAAATCCAGTCCTTCTCCGACCACCATCACGACTCCCACGCCTAGAATGCAAGCTCCCCGAGGGCAGGGGTTTCCTTGGTTCGCAGATGTGCCTTTGGCAAGATCCTGGCCCATAGGAGATGCTCTACATATATTTATTGGACGAATATTTGTTGAACGCAAGAATGAATGAACCACGTTTTATTATATACTTAGCATTGTTTTTTAAACTATTAGTGCTTGCTTATATATTTTTTAACGTATCATTTGTCATTAATAGAAAGCAAATGTAAAAATTGAAAATAAAGCATTATTCAATTCTAAATAGGGCCAAAAACTCTGAGGGAGATGGTTAGCATGGGTTGAGAGAGGTGTCAAAGACAAATTGGCACTGGTGGCATTCCATGGCTCATGCCTGTAATCCCAGCACCTTGGGAGGCTGAGGCAGGAGGATCCCTTGAGGACAGGAGTTCAAGAGCAGCCTCGGCCACAAAGTGACACACCCCCTCTTTACAAAAAATAAAATAATTAGCAAAAGGGGAAGGCATTGGCATTAAGCTGAGACTTCTCCTAAGAGGAAAGACTGAAAGAGAATGACAGAGGGAAGGTGAATCACACACATAAGTCAATCGTATTCAAGGTGCTGTTCCTGTGACACCTAAAATCCCCTCTTGGACCACTATCAATAGTGAGCCCTCTGTACTCGCAGAAACGCTGTGTGTGGAGATGAGCAAGTAGGTTGAGAAGTTGTGAACCCATTGTACAGTTGTGGAAGCATCATTACCAACATTTATTTATAATTTTTAGCCCCTGTTGATCCTGGATCAACCCTGTGAAATGGATGTTATCCTCATTTATTAGATGGGGAAACTGAGGCCTGAAACGTGGAGAAACAGGGACTCAACTAGGACTTCTGGCTCTAGCATCTTGGAAATCTAAGAATGAAGTATCACCTTGAAAGTTTGTTCTTGGCCTTGTTTTGCACATGATAGACTGTTTGCAAAATGGCAGCAATCATTCCCCTTCTTTGTCCCTTGCCCTGCCACTGTCTCTTTCACTCTGTGCTCAGTCATGTAACTTGCTTTGACCAAAGCAACGTTTGTACATGTGTTACCAGAAAAAAAAAAAAAAAAAAAGAAAAAAAAAGGCTTTTAAAGCAATTGTGCATTAGGATTTAACTCTTGCTTCTGCTCTTGGAAACCATGTAAATAAGCTCCGAATAGCTTGCTGGTTAAGGTAGGATTCCCAACCAACAGTCAACCATCACCAGATGTGTGAGTGAGGCCATTGCCTGCCGCCCCCTCCACGCCCCCCCACCCCCACCCGCACAGCTGATGACAAGCACATGAGTGAGCCCAGCTGAGACCAGCCGAAGAACCATCCAGCTGAGCCTTGCTCAACTAGCTGACTCACAGCATCACATACTAAATAAGTAGTTGTAGTTTAAGCCACTAAGTTTTAGGGCGATTTGCTAGGTATCAACAGGTAACTGAAATGGATGGTGACACAACTGATGAAGGGCCTGAATGGCTTGAACTCTCCCTGGCAGCCCTTCAAAAAGCAATAGTCCCTGGCATCATAATCTAAAGAAAATTTTACAACGGACTGGCTGGCCAGGAGCTAAGAAAAGGAACCAGTATACTAGTCAGCACATTGGTTTTCTGCCTGTTGTATACAACTGCAGCACTCATCCTGGGGAAGTTCAATAACATTGCACACCATGGTCCCTGTCCTAGGGGGCTTGCAAACTAAGGTGCTAGAGAACAGCAGAAAAAAAGGTGGGGCTAGAATGCAGCTAAAGCTTCTGGTCTTCTGACCATTCTGGGCTGCCTAACTCATTATCTTTTTAATCTAAGGAGCTAGAAAGAAGGTCATCCTTGAGCTGAATGTCTAGAGTTAATTAACTCAGTGCCAAGCACTTGTTCCTAAGCCTGACGTCTCATGCCTAAAAAGCAAGGTACTGTCTGCCAATATATTGCCCTCTGGCAAACCATCTGTTTTCATCCTGACCTGTGGATAAATAGACTGTAGGAAAAGTGGGCAGAACTTGGTCCATCTGCCTTTCAAGCCTCCTTGTCTGCACCTTGCTCTCTGCCTGCATTCAGGTGGGAAAGCCCATTCCAGTTTCCACAGTTAGCTGAGCCCTTCATGATATACCACTGCTCCTTTGGCGCCCTCACTGGTATTTCAGGCAGCAGGACAGACAATCAATGAGCGTTGGGAGCCAAGAAATCTTCGCATTCCAGACTATGTGCCTTTAAGACCACTCTCCCTGTGACTCCATTTCCCCTATTTGCTTTCCTTCTCCGAAATAAGTCAGACAGTTATTACGGTATTTAAAAATAAAGCTGGGGAGCAAAATCAAAGTGTGGCAAGCCTCTACCCTCCCCAGCATGTGGGGAGACTTTCAACTCGGTTGAAACAGCATCTCTAGCTGCCTGGGTTTTCCTTAGAGGTTTCATGCCCCAAGTGCCAGCTCAAACCTGCTTCGCTTGTGAGATGTGATGAAATCACAAACCAAGGCAATGTAGCTGCAAGCAATTCTTTTTTATCTCTTTTCATTTATGTAGCCTGACATTGAGTAATAATAATAATTAAATGCAGTTTAAGCTTTTAGGCACCTATACCAGAAGGCCTCTAGACACCTCATCAACAGCAGCCCAGACTGACAAAAAAGAGAGCTAATTATATTGTGGTTAACTTTTTTCAAAGAAGAAATAAACCCATACACCAACTATCTTTATCCCTGATAAAAGCAGTACATTAAATGTCCCATCCGACAGTCCATTTGCACAGGATCATTTTAAAACCTGGTGCCCTTGTCTTAAATGTGCCACCCTGTTACAAAGTATTGAGACGTTTGCTTTAGCCTCTATTTTCACATCCCCTTGGCTTTCTGAAAACTGATCTCTAGGGACCTAATTTTTCCATATATATTCATAGCCCCGGGACCAGTTTTATTGATTTATTTATGTGCACCTATAGTGTTAGAAGAAAGTACTTAGTTGCTTTTGAGTGATGCTTTTCACTTTTAAAAGTTTGAGAGGGTTTTAGACATGGAAACTCCAAAATAGCTTAATCTAAAAACTTGAGCCAGCACAGACTGATGAAAACAAACAAACAAAAAATCTCTGGAGAGATTGGGAAAGAAAGGATGATTTGAACTTATTGTTAGCAACCTAAGCTCTCATTATGGGTTCTATACTTACTTGCATGAAGACTCTGGCCAGGTCTCGGCAGCCCCAGACACGCGGGAAAGCCCTAAAGCTTTTGATGTGACTTCTCCAGACAGTATTTCAGTTCAAATTCTGGCTGCCCAAGCAAAATTCGGGCTGTTGGAGTTCTCATTAAAGGAAACTAAGCAAATCTCCAGTAGAGATTTTGGCCGGGCTTCTCTCTGAACTATATAGTTGGGGCAATATTCATGGCCATTTTTTTTCCCCAGTGACTTTTCTCCTGCCTCAATTAAGAAACTCAATCTGGGCAGAAAATGATTCATAATGACTGTGGTTTATAATGGTGTGTGTGTGTGTGTGTGTGTGTGTGTGTGTGTGTGTACATATATTTATTAATTAGCTCTATATGAGCCAGGAGGGCCATTTTGACAGGTCCTGCCAGGAGCCCCTATAGCCTGGCTGCTAAACTACTTCATTTGCTCTTGGTTTTAACCAGGATCAGGAGACTGCAGGTCCTGGTGAGTGCCACAGCCAGGCCTCCTGCAGAGGCCTGAGACCTGAGGTCCCCTGAACCACTGGCCTCAATTCTGTAGAAGATAAGCTTCTCTCTCCTCCCCCTACCTAGAGGTTCTCTGGGAAGGACCTCATCCATCATTTCCCTACAGAGGGCCAGCAGCCAGATACCAGAGGGGCAGATGGGGGATTCTGGCCGGGTTCCTGACTCAGGGAATCCTCTGTGTCTCTTAGACCCCTGAGCTCCCAGGTCCTCTCACGGCCACCCCTGCCAAGCCCTCCCTGCCCAGCGGCAAACAGTCAGCACGAGCTGCTCCCCTCCAGCCCCGCTGGCTGCCAATCAGCCAGGCAGCAGGGGGTGGAAGGAAGTTGCACTCCCTGCTGAACTGCCGCGCTCACAGTGGCTGAGTGGGGCTGATGACGGCCTGGCAGGCCGGGGACCCGCAGTTGTCATCCTAAGGGGGCACAGGCTTGAGCGTGATTGGCTTGGGCGTTGTGGGAGACAAGAGGTGGGGAGGAGCAGAGGTGGAAAGGCCACTCCTTGGCTGTTGGAGGGGTTCCCAGAAGGGGGACTAAGATGTCAGGAGAAAGGAGGATGACCAGAAAGGAGCTGAGAGACAGAGGGAGAGACAGGGCCTGGGGTGCCGGAGGAGAGGCCTAAAGATAAAGAACCATGGGAGGAGAGCGGAAAACCGTGGGCGTCGGTGGGGTGGGGAGAAACCCAACCACAGGCTGGTGGGGAAAGTGGATCGAGATGCAGCCCACGGAAGGAGTTAAATGGAAAAGAGACAGGAAAAGTCATCTGCTCTCAGATTATTCAAATTTGTTGTACTTATTGATAATGTATTTCATTTCTTCTGCGTGGGGGGGATATGATTCAGCACAAATTTGATGTAAATTTATGGAAATGGAAACGCAGAGAGGCAGCAGGGCCCGTGCTGCTGACGGGTTAGCAGCATGGCCCTTGGCGAGGTGGAGGTTACTGCACCCTGGACTTGGGGAGCTGAAAATAGAAACGTCTGACTTGGGGGTCACTGGCCTCTCCTGCAGGCCAGAAGAGGGACTGACCCTGTCGTTCTGGAAGCCTTATGAAAAAAAAAATCTGATGAATGTCTAAAATAGGATCACCTACATTGCCCTCCTATCTAATTTTTGTCTTAGGGTGGGGGACAATCTTTAGCCAGTGGATATGGGTGGAAAAGGAGAAAAAAGAAGAGAATAAACATGATCAAGGACCTACTGTGTACACAGAAATTGCTAGTGAAATGACAGAAATGATTTTTCTTCTGTACTGTAGAAGAATAATGGGGCTTGGGGATGGGGAAAAAAAACAAAGAAAACAATTTGATCGAGAAGGTGAAAAGGTGGCATTTCATATAAATGGCCAGTGCTGGTAAAATATTTATTGTCCATTAGGCTGTCCTTCAGAACATCGGATGTTGATTTTTATCCATCTCCACCCCCATACCAGGTCATGGCATTTATCTAATGACGTGCCCCTCTCCCAGTTGGTAGCAACCTCTCTAGCCTGGCTGTGACCAAGACAGCACATCAAACCATTCACAGTAGGAGAATTGCCTCCCTGGGCCAGGCCTTGCTCTGCATCTTACAATTGCATCGAAACAGGAGATTCACGACTCTAAGGTGCAAAGCCAGACTAAAGAGTTTTACTGTTCCTCCATTCCTGTTAGAGACAGATTTTTCCAGCACTGGTTCCTGCCTTTGGCCAAAGCTGCAATTCCTTTCTTTGTCCAAAACTTTCTGGGTTCCTGAGTTGCTGGGGCTCCCTTGGTCTGAGGGTAGAAAAGAGGAGTTGATCTGCAGCTCACAGCCATGGTGTGTCAGTGTATTGGGGCAACTGTTTCAAAGTGGGAGTGATCTGATCGCTTTTATTATATCAGTAGGGCAGAAATTGCCAGCCCTTGGTGACATTCATTACATTGCTTTGTCCTCATTCAGTCAAATTTCTCTTTGTTCTCTAACAGAAACTCAAATGGCAAGTAAACATGATTTCTAGATAGACACTGTCAACAAGGGTGTTTGCCAACATATCATGTCCCCTGCTATTGCACCAAGCAGCTTACCTTTGGGAAAGAGGTACATGGATGCCCCTTCTATATCCACATATGACACAATGGTTGCCACTTACTAGCCCCATTTGTTTCCACGATACAGGAAAAACAATCTTAAGGTGCCGTAAGAGAGGCTTAGCAGGGTCTCCTTTAACATACTGGGCCATTAACTCAATAAGCCTTTCTTGAGCTTCTCTTATATGCTGAACTAGGCTGTGAGGATGACAACCAGGACACAGACCTCTGTCCTCAAGGCTTTTGGAGTAGATAGCCATGTTCCCAAGAAGCTTAATACTGCAGAAACACAGAGAGACACCACAGAATTGGACTCTAGCTGTGATGTGAGACACAAAAAGCCTTTTCAGCAACTGGAAATGAACCGTAAAACTAGGTCCATTGGGTACACATAAAAATGGTTAAAATGGTAAATTTCATGTTATGTATATTTTACTGTTAAACAACAATAACAACCTTGGCGGGCAGGGGGTGGGAACTGAAAGGAAAACCAGGTCTATTTGGAAAGCTCTGGGAGGGGCAGGATTGAAGACTACCAAGATGTGGAAAGCATGAATGGGTGATTATACTCACCAAATCTCAATATAGGAAAACAAGGAGCAATGACCCTCTCCAAGGTGAAGGAAGTAGTAATTGGACAAAACATTTAAAAAGGGAGCAGTGGGTTGGAACAGCAAGCATAACACCTTAACCTTTCTGTGAATTAGTGTTGTCACCTCCACCATGGGCGGATTGGGCCAGATGATCTTGAAGGCCTGTGACTCTATGAAATTAATTTTACATTTGGGTGAGGACTTTGTATAAAATGTTAGTGAAGGTGCTGTTATTATTATCCAAGAAAGATTGCAGTAACTTAGCACATAGAAATATTAAGAATCAGAGATCTGGACCCCTTGCTATACAAGAGAAGATATAGAGGCCCAGAGAGATAAAGCAATGTGCCCAAGGTCACAAAGTATATTAAGAAAAAGGCTGTGGCTACAGCCTGGAACTTTCGATTCCCATGTCCTGGCTCCCTCACAGTGCTTAGGAGTTGAAGGTATTTGAAGTTCATGAAGAGCAGAATTCTGGTTGTCTATTGCTATACAACAAGCTACCCAAAACCTGTGGCTTAAACATTGGTTTATTACCATCTCTTCTGGTTTTGTGACTGGGCTCTGCTGGGTGGTTTTCATGTGGAGTTTCCTGGGTGAATGTAAATGATGGCCACAGCTGTGGTTATCTGAAGGCTCAACTACACTGGACATCCAAGACAGCCCACTCACATGGCTGGCCATTGGCTGGGAGCTTAGCTGAGGCTGTCAAGTGAAGCCCCGCCTCATGTCTTTTCATGCTGGGCTCCCTACAACATGGCAGCTTACCAAGGGAGCTTCTCACAACATGACAGCTTGGTTCCCAGTAGGAGCTTCCCAAGAGCTAATGTTCCAAGGGAGAGGAAACAGAAGTTACCAGTCCTCTTAAAGTCTAGCCCTGGAACTGGCATAGAGTCACTTCCACCATATCCTATTGGTCAAAGCATTGAAAACCAGGTCAGCCCAGATGCAGAGGGGTGGATGAATAGACTCCACCTCTAGATGGTCATAGAATGGAGCCATGTCTGTATAGGAAGGGAAGGATTTGATGACCTCCATCTTTGGAGACAAGCTGCCATAGCAGCAATTCTGATTTTTACCACGAATTATTCTTCTATGTCCTGTTTGGAAAAAATATATATTACACAAGTATTAACCAAGCCTGACATTGTTTATCTTAATGGAAACTAAATCAATTAAATTTAGGCCTCAATACCTGTATTTTTTTTTAGAACCTACCAGTTCAGGGGTCACTTAAGCCAAACCATGGCATAGGAGAGTTCCTAAAGAAATTGTCACTGAGGAATGTATGAGAACATCTAGCATGGAAAAGAAGGTGGGACTGGCAGCAACAGGTACTGAGACCCTGAAAGTGCCTCAGTTTCCCTTCATCAGGAAAAGCAGGGGAGTAGAAAAGAGTGTTTCAACTTTGCTAAAAATAAACTCCTTGAGAGCAGGGATTGCGCCTACAGTGCCTGGCACATAGTAGGTGCTTAATAAATGTTTGTTGAGCTCAATTTAGGTACTAGTCTTCTCATCAATACTATAAATAGCATTTAATGAGGACTTGCCATACACCAGGCACTTTTCTAAGCAGGTGACATGTCCCTGCATCTAATCTTTACAACACTGTATAATTATCTGTGATGATCCCAGGCCTGATACTCAGAAGGTAAAAACCTGGAAGGCCCTATTGGTCACTGAAATATCAAAATACTTCCATACAGATTGGTAAATTATCACTATTCTGTGTCCCTTGAATGAACCCTATATGTACTTCTCTCCCCCATTCAACACCCCCATCCAGGAGAGACCCAGTGGGCATGGCCCAGGAGCCTCCCTCATGACTGAGAGCTCTCTATGGCTCTCCTACAATGGCTTGCATTCCTGGATCAAGTTGACAAGACCTTAAAGAGGTAGGCAAAGCCCTGGTGCAGGTGGTGCTGGTACCTCAGCATGTAAATGTTTGGTGCCCACCTAGCCATCCAAGAAAGACTGGACAGGGTCTTTCAGAACTAATGTACCTGCCATCACCCGCCAGCGCCCACATGTGGGAATGGCAGCCTCTGGCCTGCATTTCATGGGCTGTTGAATATCTGGAATCCTAATTACCCACGTATGTGAAGGAAAAGAAAGCTGAGGAGTTTAAAGAGTTTTTTTAAAGATTTGATGAAATTCACATAGCTAGTAAGGGGTGGGTCCAGGGCTACACTGCCTCCAAAATCCGCACCCCCTATTCCCCGCTCTTGTGCTGCGTTACAGTGTCAGTTTCCTAGGGCTGACAAAGGACCACAGATGGGGGTGTTTAAATAGCAGAACTTTATTGTCTCAAAGTTCTGGAGACTAGAAATCTGCATTCAAGGCATCGGCAGGGTTGGTCCCTTCCAAGGGCTTTGAGAGAAGGATCTGTTCCAGATGCTTTCGGTCTGTGTCTCTTCACATCATCTTTCCTTTATGCATATCTGTCTCTGTGTCTAAATTTCCCCTTTTTATAAGGACACCTGTCATATTGCATAAGAGACCCACCCAACTCCAGTATTTCATCTTAACTAATTACATCTGCAATGACCCTATTTCAGCATATGAATTTGGGAGGAGGGCACAATCCAGCCCTTACAGCAACTTTCTTTTCGATGAGACATCCCCCACCCCGTTATAACAAAGTTAATTAGGCATTTACATAAGTCATCTAGAGAATGTTCACTTTGTGTAGGTCCACTAGGTCCCAGTGAATGCATCACCATTCCAAGACTTCCCCTCACCCCACCAACTTCAGTCAAAGCAGTTTGAATTGGCACTCACTCAGTAATATTTGCCCTTCCTCCATGCAATCCACATCTTTCTATTGTGCCAGATCATTTTGATACCTAGTTGAAGGCTGCAAGATGGGGCATTTTGGACTCATTTTTATTCTTTTTCATGCTTCTCCAACGTCCTGAAGCTCACTGATGTTCATACAATCAGTGGCTGGTATGTGAGTCAGCTCCTGTCCCTTCAGCAGTTTAGTGAACTCTGCAGCTGGCGAGATCCTGGAACTACTATTCTCAAATGATGAATCCCTTCTTAGTTCAAGGAGATACTACAAAGGCTTTCCCCAGTGAGTGCTATAGGAAGGTATTGCCTTTGGAACTTTTCTCTCGCTGGGGGCTTCTGCTATATTCCAAGTGTGTGAGATGGTTGTCTGGTTTTCTTGCGTACCCCTTTGAAACACACAGTAACCTTGGTCTCAGATGCCGTGTCCTCGAACTTGGAAAATCATTGGACCAAAAATGTCTACAATTTATTTTTCCCCTTAGATTTTCTTTTTTTTTTATTGATTTTCCATTTTTAGCACAAGATTGATCACCAGCAAAATACCAATTTACATACAGATTCTGCTAAACTCAGCATCCTATATACTTGGGACTTTTTCATCCATAAACCAATTTTTTAAAGAGAGAGAGTCTATTATCAGAAGCGCCCCTGATGACACTCAAGATGGTCTATAGGGAACAAGCTCAGGAGGGTCACAGTCTGGTGGGGTGAGCTCAGCTGATTTGTGAGCATAATAACTATGGGGACAAGGTCACAGGCTGATACTCACAGGGACAGGTTAATATTTTGCTTACTTCTGTGGCCACAAGCCTAAACTGCAAACCTTGGTCAGCTATCTTACAAGTTCATTAAATAACATTCAACAAATACTTTCTGAGTTCCTACTATGTTGAGTTCCTGCTATGCCAGGCACTGTTTAAGTACTAGGACTAGTCGGAAAGACAAGAAGGACATAAACTTTATCCACATGATGTCTATAGTATAGTGGGGAAGCAGATATCAAATGATTATGCAAAAATTATTTAATCACCAAGATGATAAATGCTGTGAAAGAAAAAAAAGGTTTTCTTTGAGAGATCTAATAGGGAATCTAAGTGAAGGGTCATTGAAAGCAAGGCCTGAAGGATGTATAAAAGTTAGGTAGCCAAGATAGGCTGAGAAGGAGTAGCACAGGGGCAGAGAGAACAGGTGAAAACAAAAGAACTTGAATGAAGATTAGTGTGACCAGAAAATAGAGAGGAGGGAAGAGAGTGACAAGAGATCAGACTGGAGGGAGGAGCAGAGCCTTAGTCATGTGTTAAGGAAGTTAGAATTTATCACACAAGTGCTGGGAACCTTTGAAGTGTGTATTAGGATTAAAGCTAAGCTTCAGTAACAAAGACACCCAAATATACAGTGGCTTGACTAAGAAAGAATTTGATTTCTCCTTCACAAGACAGGTTGCCAGGGCAGCCCTGCTACCCAAGGCCACTCTGAGCCCTAGATTCCTTACAAACTGTGATTCTCTCTTCACCTCGGATACTGCCCTCAGATGCAGGTTTGAAGCTGGGTTGCAGCTCAAGTGTGTTTTAGCATGTGGGAAGGGAAGAGGTCCAGGCAATATCCTTCTAAGCAAGTGACACGAAAGTAGCATATGTCACTTCCACTCATATTCCATTAGTGAGAACAGACATATGGCTACACACCACTGCAAAGGAAGCAGGGAAATGTATTCTCTAGCTGGGTAGCCATTTGCCAAGAAAGAGTAGCACCACTCTGACCCAAAAGATCTTAAGCCATAAAGTGATGAGATCAGATATTCAAGTCTTTATAGCTGAAAAAAAAAAAAAAGGATCTTGGAAGTCACTTAATCCAAACTCTTCATCTTACACATGTGAAAACCAAATGAGGTCCATGACTTTAGATACTATTGCTGCATAACAAACCATCCCAAGTTTAGTGGTGTGAAACGTCACGTTATGTTCATGGATTCCATGCTCAAGAATGCAGAAAGGCCACAGTAGGGTCAGCTGGCTCTGCTCCATGAAGCATGAGGCCTCAGCTGAGAAGATTCAGAGTGTGACTCAGTGGCTGGAGGCTGGACTTATCTGAAGGCTCATTCTTTTGCATGCCTGACACCTACTTTGGGAGGACCCAAAGACTAGGACTGTCAGCTAAAATGCCTTACATGTGGTCTCTCCATGTGGTGTTTCTTCCTCATAGCACAGCTGCTTCAGGGTAGTGGATTTTTCTCATGGCGCCATGGAGTTGCAAGAATGACTATTCTAATTAACAAAGTGGAAACTATACTGCCTTTCATCATCTATTCTTGGAAGTCATTCAACATCATTTCCACCACATTATTTTTTGGTTATGAGTGAGTCAAAAACTTGTCCAGATGCCACCTCTTGAGTATGGATGAGTATCAAGGTTTCATTTTAAAGAAGCTTGTGGGATGGAAGAAATTGTTGCAGTCACCTTTGGAAAATGCAATCTACCACAGTGGCCACATCCACTGGCTACAATACCCATCTCATATACAAAATGAATAACCTTTCTTCGAAGACACCCAAAGTTTTGTCCTGTTACTACATCAGTTATAAGTCCAGAATCTCAACTACATCTTGTCCAAGTGTAGTTGAGGCTCCTTAGGTACAGTTTTTTGGGTCAATCTTCCTCTTGTTCTGTAGATCTATGAACTAAAGAGATTAGTTCTCTGTCCCTTATGCCAGCAGCATGCCACAGTAGAACAGGCATTGGATAACTGCTGTAGACATTCCTGTTCAAAAGCAGGGAAAATGAAAGGCATTGGTGGTCACTTGTCCATAGCAATTCTGAAATGTGGGGACAGCTTAGGACTCAGTCATACTCTTTGGGAGTTTTTCTTCATGGCTCTTGGTTCAGCCCTCTGAGTTATCCTTCATTTTCCATAAGAAATACTTCAGTATGCAATTGAATAGCCTTTTTAGCCTGGTTCTTGCCTTTAAAAGACTGGGGGTGGGGTAGGGTCAAAAGAATTCTTTTCATCTCGTACTGTCTCTGTTCCTGTCCATCAAAGCTAACATGCTTCCTTTTAAAAAAACTTTGCGGTGTTTTGTTTCGTTTTATTTTGTTTTACTTTGTATCAATGCATAATCAACTTTATAGACAAAAATCACACTTACAAATCTCTTTGAGTCAGGTCCTTCTCTATCTTGGGTCTTTGTGTCACTGTTGTGGGACAGTGCCCTCAAGATTCTTTGAAGTCTTATTGTTTAACAAAGAAGGTCTACAAGACAAACACTATAGATTCTTAAAGAAGGACTTTTATGTTCCTGGAAGCTTCTCTGAAGTAGCATGTAAGATATTTCTGAGGCTTAAACAAGGGATCTTACAGTCCCATTCTGAATTCATATTTTCCCAGAGCCTATTTATTAATTTGGGACACTTTCCTGGCTAAGATGACTATTCTGAGACCTTATCTATCCTTCCAATTAGGCTTGAAGGCTTAAGAATTCATTCTTGGCCGGGCATGGTGGCTCACACCTGTAATCCCAGCACTCTGGGAGGCTGAGACGGGCAGATCACCTAAGGTCAGGAGTTCAAGACCAGCCTGGCCATGGTGAAACCCTGTCTCTACTAAAAAAAATACAAAAAATTAGCCAGGCATTATGGTGTGCGCCTGTAATCCCAGCTACTCGGGAGGCTGTGGCAGGAGAATCGCTTGAACCCGGGAGGTGGAGATTACAGTGACCCAAGATGGTGCCTTTGCACTCCAGCCTGGGCAACAGGAATGAAACTCCATCTCGAAAAAAAAGAAAAAAAGGAATTCATTCTTGAGTTTGTCTCATTCCTCCCATTTTGTTATAGGGAACAGAAAGAAGTTAGTCAGCACCCTCAATGCTTTGCCTGAAATCAAGTTTAATAAATATGCTTTCCATTTTATGCATTATCACAGGAAACAGTTTTGCTAAACTTTCTTCCACTGCATAACAAGGACCTCCCTTTCCTGGGTTTCCAGATAACATATTCCTCAGTTTCCTTTAAAGTCTCATCAACATTCCCCTTGAGGCCCTTCCAGCTTGTCCTACCTTCCCTCAGGGGCTTCCAGAACCCACTGCGGAGTGTCCCAGTGCTAATACTACATGTTTCTGTTTTCTGTTACAAATGCCTCCCACTTCCAGCTTCCAAATTTCTGTTTCAATGTTTCTGTTTCTATTGCTGCTGATTCTGTTCCTATTGCTTCCAAACTTGGTAACACAGAATAACCATTTTATTATTCTCACAGATTATGTCGGTCAGGAATTCAGAAATGGCGTAACAGGGAAAGCTTGTCTCTGCCCTGTTTAGGGTCTCAGCTGGAAACGCTTGAAGGTTGGGAGTGATTCCCTGCTTGGGACTGTGGATCGTCTGAAGGTTTCTTCAATCGCATGTCTGGCACCTGGGCTGGGAGAACTTGAAGACGAGGACTGTTAACTGGAGCACCTACACGGGGCCACTCCATGCCACTTAGCTTCCTCGCAGCATGGCAGCCTCAGGACAGTCACACTCCTTACAGGCAGCACGGCTCCTAGTGTGAATGTTGCAGTGGACTAAGCAGAAGTGGCATTGCCCTTAAGACCCCCAGCCTCCGAAGTCAGGCATGGTCACTTCTGCTACATCCCATAGGTTACAAGGAAGTCCCAAGCTTGTCTGGATTTGAGGGAAGAGAACACAGACTTCTCTTGATGAGAGAATATCAAGGTCATATTGTAAAGGAGTACATGAGATGTGAGGTTCTTGCAGCCATCTTTCGAAAATATAATTTCCCACATCCAGGAAGGTCATTACTGACGAAGCAGAACTGAAACTCAGTTGTGTTTATGGCCAGACCCCTGTTCTTTCACTATACCATGCTGATGAGTCAATAGCATCATTTGCATGAATGAAAGATCTTACGTTATTAAAAAGAAAAGTTGAAACGTAAGGCAAGATGCCAAATTCAGTCTCAATTGAACATTCTCTGTATTACAAATGCAGCATAAATATATGTTTTCCATAGCTCTTGCAGAGCAAACAGCTGCGTTTATTTGCATCCAAAAACATGGAAAAATTCCAAACTATAAGCAAAGAACTCAAGAACACGACTCAAACTTCTGTAAATGTAAATCTTCATAAAAATAGTTGTAACGTTGATTAAAGCAGGTGCTGAAACCTTCTCCTAGCCTGAAGTATTCCACTTACAAACAACCCCCTTCCCGTATAATGATGTAGTTTTCTAGGAACTACTCGTATATTTGGCTAAGCAGTCAAATGCCTATTAAACTTCCTTATATTAACTTGATCTACCACCTCCTCCTCCATCTCCAACATACACCAACTCTGGTTCTCTCTACACTCATGCACACACACACACATACATTCTTTCCTGTATCACCCTGGAGTCCTTTAAGAGTTCCTTAGATCTTTACAGGGGATATATATATGCTTGGCTTGAAAAAAAACTCAGCGTACCTATACCTGTGCACATCCATGAAATCTAAGTGAATTTCTTCCTTTTGCCCCATGAATAGAGTCTAGAAGAAGGATAGAACCAAAAAAACCTCTATAAAATGGCTCACCCCTTTTCCTCCCTCTATCACATTCTATGTCTGGTCTGGGAATCTGAAAATGTCAGGCAATACATTGTTCGCTGTGATTGAGCATTAGCAAGAGAGTTCTTTGAAAGGATTCTATTACATCTTTATGTCTTTGCATATAAACTTGGACTTCCCTAAAAACTCAGTTCAAATTTGATTTGCAGTGAAAATTCTTGAAATTGTGGTAAGGATTTTAAGAGATAAAGAAGGAAAACACTATTCAGGGATTACTGTGTGCAAAGCAACATGCTCGGTATTTTTCTAGAGACACGTACATTGGACTGTGATAGCATAAAAGAGGTTAAGATTAATACTATGTGTTGATGATGCAGGTGCCCAGGAAGGAGAAGATGGCGAAGGGGAGGAGAGGGTAGGGCATTGTGAGGGAAAGTGGGCACAAGCTTTTCCTGAAGGATGCCTAGGAATTCCAACAGAATGGATGGTATGCATAAAAGTCGAAGGCTTAACATGGACCACCAGTATTTTTCATTTTCTTCATGAAATCACTGACTCCTTCTCATTGTCAATATATGAATCTAACCATGACTGGGTGATCCAAGAATCCCCTCTCAGCTCCTACTACTCTTGTTCTTGCTTTCTTTGCTCCAATCACACTCACCTGGCCCTTTCCCACCTCAGGGATCCCCTGCTTGGAATGCTCTTCCAGAACTGTGAAAGATAAATTTCTGTTGTTTTCAGCCACTGAGTTCATGGTAATTTGTTACAGCAACCCTAGGAAACTGACACAGGTGCTGTCATGGTCTTCACAGGGCAGAGGTGTCTTCCTGTCACTCCCTAATGTGTCCAAAAGCTGAAATGAGTCCAGAAGGTCAGGAAGGCAAAGAACAAGAGGAATGGGGTGAACTTCATGTGACAGGCGGGGCAGCACACTTCCCCTTTTCAGGTGACATTTATGGTCAACTGAAATGATCTTGCATTATTGCTAAACTTCATCTGCCAGGTTGCTACAGTGTCATGCATTGAGCTATGTGTCCGCCTAATTTAAACAAAGAATCAGTGCCCTTTTTGCAGAGAGCTTTTATCCACTGGTTCTTTTATGAAAGGCCAAGGTATGGAAATCTAGCCTCTACACCAGGGTTTTGCCATCCCATGGTCTGGTGAAGATGCTTGGTCCCATTCCAAGCTGGCCTAAATGTGCTGGTTTATGACTTCTGTGTTTCCTAAACTGATTGCCAAGCAGCCCTGCTCTGCTGATTCTCAAAAACAGCCCGTCGTCTGCAGCACTTTTTCTCATGTGGGCTCCCAGGGAGTGGGAATCGGCTCTCAGCGGCTCATGAATCATGGTCTCCAGGATTCTTCTCAGAGGCAGAAAGATTTCTGGGTAGATGAGAAAATTTTACAAAATCTCTTCTCCCTCCTAATCCTTAGCGCCACCACCGCTATCATTTCCATAATCATCTTTATAATTATTTGAAGTGGAAAGGGGGCAGGGTACCTGCTTAATGAAAAGTAGATGGGAAAAAATAGAAACTGTGGAGATAGGTGATTGAATAGCCTCTCTCAGAAATGCACATCATGTGTGATTATGGAGAGTTTGAAAGATCAGACCTCAACACCCTTTTCCAACGTAAACTCTGTCTCTCCTCTTCTTACACCCTTCACCGCAGTCCAAGTGAATCTCTGACTTTCTGTCCTAAAGACCTCCTGATTTCCTCCCTCTGTGCCTCTGCTTATGTTTTGCCTAGAACACCCACTCACATCGCAGAATCTTCCAGCTAGCCCTGCTTCTGAACTCCTGAAAAGTCTTATCTGAGCCTCTTTGGGAGCTCTTGTCATTTTCTGCTTTATATTTTATTGCTTATATAATATTTTTTCCCTACCTGATTATGAACTTTAGACCGTCTCTCTGACTCTCTGCCTCTCCCCCCATCAACCAACAAGCATGCACTTTGAATGCAGGTGCTCAACAAATGTCTATGGAAAGAACAAGAAACTAGAAGTTTACTATCATTCTTTTAATAGACAAGAATGTGTTGACAAGAAAAGTGTTTATCAAAGCCTGCTATGATTCTCCAAACACTTTTACACCTTTCCTCTTTTTCCTGGACATACAGACAAATGACATTTACTTGCCTGTTTTTCAGCTGGAGGAGACCCTGTAACTGGGTGAGTGGAAAGTGAACAGAAATGATGTGTGCCACTTTTAAACCTGCATTAAATCTCCATGCATGACCTTCCATTTCCTTTCCCCTCTGCCAGCTTGGTACAGGTAAGCATGGTGACCTTGGAAACCACAGCTAGGAGCTGGCAGAGCCAGGAGACTGAAAGAGCTTGCATCCCTGAGTCATCACATGGAGGGAAGCCACCTACCATTCAGAAGCACCATTTTGGGATTCTGTGTAAGAAATAAATGTGTCCCATGTTTCAGCCATTGCACAATTTTGGGTTTATGTGATTACATAAACAGAATGATTACAGCAGCTAGGATTACCTTAACCAGTGTAATAAATAGGCTTTACTATTGCTGAAAAAGTACAAAAACTACGATTCTTGGTTTTCTTAGGCAAATGATTTTTTTCTACTTTGGGCACAAATATGTCCACTTTAAAATTTTAATTTTTGTTGTAGGGTATTTAAAGACCACTCCCATTTCCAGAAATGTTCTCACTCAGCCACTCCCCAACTCCCTGCCCCCTCAATGAGGGGAAGC
Organism: Homo sapiens; assembly: GCF_000001405.40. NCBI lineage: Eukaryota > Metazoa > Chordata > Mammalia > Primates > Hominidae > Homo > Homo sapiens. The sequence goes on from NC_000004.12 coordinate 24,930,678, forward strand.
AGAAAAGGTTTTGGTTGTTCTTCCTAGAAGTTGTCATACTGAGATATTATTCCAGTTTCAACAGCAAACAAGAGGGTTCCTGCTACTCTAGACAGGGAGAGTTTATAGAGATAAGTTAGAAATCATGATAAAAAATTTCTGTTTTAGAGATCATAAAATTTAACTTTTTTTGATACTAACTTATAAAACAAACTTCTGGTGTTCTGAGCTAGAGAAGGGAGGGACCCTCTGGCACAAACTCATACCTAAAATTATAGAAGGCTCTTGCTCTTCAAAGGATTCTCACTGGTACTACCTGCTTGGTGTAATTATTCCAGGTAACACATACTTAATGGTTTCCTCTTGCCTCGTGGAATAAAGTCTAAACTCTTTTGTCTGGAATTTAAAGCCTACAGTGATGTAACCCTAGCTTTTCTTTCTAATCAAATATGTGTTCAATATGCTGTACTTTGTCCCATTTCTATTTTTTTAGGCTGTTCCACCATGATCATCATATATATGTATATGTGTGTATATATATATATGTATATGTATACATACATAATGTATTATAAAATATTTGTATATATTGTATAATATGCATATGTATCTGTGTATGTATATGTGTATTTATATATGTTTATTTATTTTAAAATATATATATATATATATATATCTCAGTACAGGCAAGGCTATGCCACAGAGCAAAATTAAGCCTAAACTCCCAGTGCCTTAGCACATGATAGGTTTATATTTTGCTCCTACTACATATCCATTGTGAGGTGTGTGTGTTTGGGTGGGGGGATGTGTCTCTGCTCTACACCACCACTCAGGTACCCAGGCTGATGGGCTTTCTAACATCTTTAGCTGCAACACCTGGGGTTAGTGACCTTCTCATTCACTGCAGCAGAAGAGAAGAGAGGCCAAATGAGCCAGCACTTTTATACACATCGAATTGGCTAGAACTAGTCACATGACCCTAATTGCAAAAGCACTGGGGATCAAGCAGGTGGAGGTTATGCAGTGCATATTTTTATGAGCATTATTGTCTTTGCCACTTATGCATCTTCCAGAAAGCCTTCCTGGTTTCCTCTGGCTACAAACAATGTCTCCTGCCTCTGAATTCTGGCAGCACTGTAATATGTTCCTCCCTTATATTGTATGGAGAGTATGTATATATATATATATATATATATGCATAATCCATATCCATGTCTATATAAAATAAAAATCACTTACTATGTCAGACACTCTTCTGTTTATATTTATTAACTCATTTAAATCCTCATAGTAACCCTATGAAGTAGCTACACTTTTTGTGTCCAACTTACAGGTGAGAAAACTGAGGCACAGAAAGGCTTACAGGTGAGAAAACCGAGACACAGAAAGTGTAAGTGTTCTAACAGGATTCTAGCACAGCCAGTTTAGTTCCACAGTGCTTGCTCTAAACTATTATATTATATTGTGGCTTCTATTTTTAACTTCCTTGTTAGCAAAGACTAAAATATAAAATTGATTTGTTTCTGTATTTGTCATAATGCCAAGTACAGTTTTAGGCACCTAACAGGTTTTCCAAAAGACACTGCATACAATTAGTACCTTTTCTAATGAAAATCTTCAACAGATCTGATCTTTTAGTAATTTAAGTTTCAGCACTGCCAGATTGCTCCAGCTGTACCAGGAATCACTTTAGGAGATGTGATTATTTCTCCTTTAAAAGCTAGAGGTCTTCACAGAAGATAGAATGGGGACTTTGGGAACACCTAGGGGACAGCAAGACAGAAGACAGGAGAAGTTAAGGTAAGACACTCAGGAAAGAGTCAAGCCACTTTATTTATATTGTGTTTGATTTTGTGCTTAAGAGACTGTTAAATTGAAGTAAGGAAGTGTGGCTGCTAAGTCTATTTGGTCTTCTTTTGAGTCCTCAAACTCTGTAAATAAATCCAGATCCCCAGAGACGACTTTCCTTTTCTTTAAATGTGGATTCCTGGTAAGCTGTAATCCCCTCCCATTGGTCATGAGCCTTCTACAGACTAAATTTAGAAAAATTAAATTGCAACCCAGCACTGGCTTCCAAAGTGAAATGAATAGGGCAGAATACCTGAAAACACCAGGGAAAACATTAGTCAGAGGGAAGTGTCAGGGACCTGGTGATCAATCTCACATGTCCACAATCAGAAAAGCAAAGGTCCTATTCATTTAGAAAGAAAATGGAGCTGTGCGAACCAATTTAGAGCCATCAGAGCAATGATCTGGGAGAGGAGCCTTGTTCTAATTATGACTCTGTGTTCCAACCAGGCATGAAAGAAATCACAGCAAACCTATTTCAGAGAAAGGCATTCCCAATGTGGCAGTGTCTGATGTCTTATGCATGGTGAGGGCCAGTGAGTCAGGCAGGAAAAAAAACAGAAAATGATCTTCTTCTATGACTAACAAAGAGGGGGCTGTTCTTGTGTTGCCCTGATGGAAAAATTGGTGGGATCTCAGGAATTAATAAGGAACTATCAGCCCCTGCTTGCATGTGCTATCCTAAAAGTGAGGACTTGTATGTACTTAAATGGGAGGGGCTGGGTGGCACTAGAAATCTATCCTGGGAAGATAGGATACTAAGTGGTACTTTGTCATTAACCTACCCACAGGATTATTCAGTGAATGGTAATAACGCCCAAGTCATCTTAAAATGTACTGCAGATCTTGAACCAAAGTATTTTCTGGATTTAAAAAAACAAATGCCTGGTAAGTTTTTCTAGCAAACTGATAGAGAACTTTGATTTAAAAGGCAAAAGTAATTGGATGTTGAGATTAAAGAAAAAAATGTGTCTATGAAGATGAGTATAATTTTTTGTGGAAAGTTAAGGCTTATGTTAGGGTTCTTAGTATTTATTTTATTCAAGAAATATTTATTAAGTCCTGAAATAGGCCAGGCATTGTTCCAAGCACTGGGAATACTGTGGTGAACAAGACAAAGTCCTTTTCCTCCTAGAGTTCATATTCTGGAGGGAGAGACAGATAATAAGCTGTAGACAAATAAATGAGTAATTGTGTAATTTCTTATTGAGATAATTGCTATGAAGAAAAATAAACAGAATGAAGAGTTAGAGAATATTTCAGTTATCAATTGCCATGTAACAAACTATCCCAAAATGTAATGGCTTTGAACAATGACATTAATTTTTCAGGATTGTGGGTTAGAAATTTGGGGAGGGCTCAGCTGGATGGTTCTTCTGCTCCATGTGACACCAGTTGGAGTCAACCACTTGTTGGCATTCTGTTGCCAACGATGCTGAAAGGTCCAATAAGTTATTCATATGTTTGATGCCTCAGGGCTCCTTCATGTGTATGCTGTCACCCTCCATGGTGTCATTCTCACCATTCAGTAGTCTAGCTTGATCTTCTTTGCAGCATGACAGCTGGCCTTTCCAAAGAAGACCAAAGTGGAATGTGCCAAGCCTCTTAAAGGCTAATCCTAGGACTGTGATATCATTTGGCTGTGTCCCCACCCAAACCTCATCTTGAATTGTAGCTCCTATAATTCCCACATGTTGTGGGAGAGACCCAGTGGGAGGTAATTGAACCATGGGGGTTGTTTCCCCCATACTGTTCTCATGGTAGTGAATAAGTCTCATGAAATGTGATAGTTTTATAAAGGGTTTCCCCTTTTGCTTGGCTCTCCTTCTGTCTCTTGCCTGCTGCCATGTGAGATGCCTTTGCTCCTCCTTTGCTTTCCACCAGTGTTGTGAGGCCTCCCCAGCCATGTGGAACTGTAAGTTAATTAAATCTATTTTTCTTTACAAATTACTCAGTCTTGGGTAGGTATTAGCAACATGAAAACAGAATACAGATTGGCACACTGCTACCTCTTCTGCATTCTCTTGGTCAAAGCAGGCCACAAAACTGGCCCAGACTCAAGGGTGGAGATATGGACTCCACTTTCTAATGGCAGAATTAGTTATCTATTACAAAGAGTGACTGGGAGTAGTGGACCATGTTAGATATTGTAATCTCAGGAAATGACATTTGAACAGGCACCTGAATGAAGTGAGTGGTTGAGCCACAGCAAAGATGGTCTAGATGCACACTCTAGACAGAGGGAACCATGAGGACAAAGGCCTTGAGATAGAAACACTTAGTGTCTTTGAGGATTAATAAGAAGGTCAAAGAGAACAAAGATATGGGATGTGGCTGAAGAAAGTCGACTGAGAATACGATAAGTAAACAGTTGATGGAGACAGAGAGGTAGTCAGATTATCATGAGACTTGAAGGTCATGATCAGATCTTTATATTTTATTACAAATGTGATGAGAACCTCTCATAGAAGAGTAACATGAAATGGCTTATATATCCGAAGGATCCCACTGGCTTCCATGTAGAAAATGGATTAGAGGAAAGAAGGAGGATAGGTGGGATGAGGGAGACCAGATAGCAGGCTCCATCAATCATCCTGATGAGAGATGATGGTGGCTTAGACCAGAGAAGTAGCAACGGAGATGCAAGAATTTATCAGATTCTGGAAGTATTTTTAAGTTAGACACAGCAATGCTTGCAGATAGATTGGATGTAGAAGTGAAAGAAAGCGCATAATTCAAACTTACTTCAATATCTTAGGACTAGACAACCGTGTTAATCATGGTACCATTTTCTGGAATGGAAAAGACACAAGAAGAGCAAATTTGGGGTAAGGGGTAGTAAAAGTAAAGATTTATATTTTAAATAATTCAAGGGGACTATTAGAAATCAAAATAGAGATTTTAGTTCGGCAGTATACTGCGATCTGAATGCTTGTGTCTCCCTTAAATTTATGTTAAAACCTAACCCCCAATATGAAGGTATAAGGAGGTGAGGACTTTGGGACATTATTAGGTCATGACAGCAGAACCCTCATGAGTGGGATTCGTGCCCTTATAAAAGAGACCCCAGAAAGCTCCCTTGCCCCTTCCATCACGTGAGGACCGAGTGTGAAGGCACCATCTATGAACCAGAGAGCAAGCCCTTACCAGACACCAAATCTGCAGGGCATTGCCTGTGGATTTCCAGTCCCCAGAACTGTGAGAAATAAATTTCTGTTGCTTATAAATCACCCAGTAAATGGTATTTTGTTATAGCAGTCAGAAAAGACTAGACACAATGAATATATGAGTCTAAAGTTTAGGGGAGAGGGAGAACCAAAGTTATATATTTGCGAGTCATCTATATATAGCTGGTATTTAAAACCATGAAACTGAACGGAACCTAGAACTCTCAATTTTTAGAGATCAGGCATAGGAGAGACCAGCAAAGAGACAAAAAAGAGGTGGTCAGTGAGTAAGCAGAAGTAACAAGAAAGAGAATGATGTCCAGGAGGCCATGGAAAGTGGATGTGTCAAGAAAGAGGCAATGCTCACCCAAGCTGCTGATATTAGTCAACTCAGATGAGAAGTGCTCATTGGTTCCAGAAGTCTTGGGCAACCTTGACAAGAGCAAGTTCAGTGGAGTAGTAGGGAAAAAAGAACTGATGAGAAAGTAGAGGCAGCTAATATACACAACTCTTTCCAAGACTTTCGCTTAAAAAGGCAGGGGAGAAATTGGTCAGTAGGGTCAGTGGGGGGTATGAATAAGGGAGGTTTTCAGTTTTGCTTTTTGAGGTTTTCTTTTTAAGATGGGCAATATTGCCACATATTTTTATAATGATTGAAATATATCAATCATTATATTATATATATATCATCAAATATATGTTCTAGGGAAAATCAGGATTTATTTTCTTTAAATATTTTAAATTTATTTTTTAAATGTGTAATTGACATAATTGTCCATGTTTATGGGATATAATGTAATGTTTCAATGCATGTATATATAGTATCATGATCAAATCAAGGTCGTTACCATATCTATCACTTTAAATATTTATAATTTCTTTGTGGTAACAACATTCAAAATCTCCTCTTTCCGCTTTCTTGAAATATATAGTACATTGTTATTTTCTATAGTTACTCTAGTATATAACAGGACACCAAAATGTGTCCCTCCTGTCTATCTCTTTGTTCCCATTGATCAACCTCCACAGTCCCCCATTAGGGCAGTGGGGATGTTACCACTGGTGGAATGGGAGTTTTAGAGGCTCACTGGAAGAACCTGAGAGTGGGAAAGGTTGGCAGCTTGACTCACATTAGGAGATGCCCAGAGCTGCATGGGAATCGAATCAGCAAAGAATGGCCTGAGAGGCTGGCAAGCTTTTGTGGTGTTGGAGGTAGTGAGATCAGTCCCGAAGGTCTCTTAGGGGAGAGGTAAAATCAGTTTTAATTACAGACTCCTTTTTGGGCCTGGTTTCCGAGGTAATTTTTGGTGGTGCAGTGGGCCGTGCCCATGGCTGAAGAATGGTAAATCTCTTCAGGGGCACAAGTGGACCTCTTTTACATCCCATCATTGGTGGCGCCAAGGCGAAGGAGAAGAGAGTCCTACCAAGGCCAACAGAAGCAGACCTTGGCCTAAATTAAGCAAAGGTAAATTTATTAGAAGGTTATCAAGAAAACCACAGAATTGATAAAAATCTGGAGAACTTGGCTGGGAAAGAGACAGGAATAAATGGAACTCAGGAGGGGTGGAAGGAGGTACAGTGGTATTCCTTTTGTAGCATAAATAGTCTGATGAGCAAACTGTGGTCATGACGAATGTCTTCCAAGCATTTATTCATGAATTGAGGTGCTCACTCAAGACTCCAAGTCTTGGGAGAATAACCTATTGACCAAATTTAGATAAGCAGCTCTATTAGTCACGATAGACTAGGCTATGCTGCAATAGCATATTAAAAACCCACATTTCAGTGGCTTAACAAATAGGTTATGCTGCAGTGACATATTAAAAACCCATATCTCAAAGGCCTAGCTAAAAAAGATTTGGTTTTTGCTTAGTCTTTGTAGTTAAGCATGAGGCTCTGTGCCATGTGGTCACTCAGAGATTCAGGCTGTTAAAGATCGTACTGGTTGTATTGCCATAGTTGATGGCTTCAAAGCTTGCTGAGGAAGAGGAGGAGAAAAGCTGGAGCGTTACACCCTGTCCCTTTAATGCTCTGGCTTGTAAGTGATGTGCATCACTTCTATTCACACCTATTGGCCAGAGTTAGCCATGTGACTCCTCCTAACTGTAAGGGGTTCAGGGACATACAGAAAAGCACATGGAAGTCGGTGAGGAGTAAATGTCCCTGCTGTTCTAGAACTGAAGAGGGAGGTTGGCAATACATCTGTCTTCTGACACCAAATTCACACTTTTTCCTAAATGCTGTGCTGCTCCTTATGGATGATATGTTGGTGGTGGGCTGGGGGTGCAGAATGGTTGTGTAGGGGGCTATTTGATATTTCTGTATGTGCCTTCCTATTCCTCTCTAAAAATACATAACACAGTATTGGAGCACAGAGCATATGCTTGAAATTTCTTCTCTGTTGATGGGTGGAGTAGTTTAATCAGGGTGAAATTACCATAGTTCATCAGAACCAAGATCTCCAAATACTGTAAATTCATTTCAGCCAGACCCTAAGAATGAATCTGTGTCATGCATCAATTACAGGCATTAAAGAGAAACGACAGAGAGCCCTGATCAGGAGGAGTCTGAGGTTAGAAATCCTAAAAGAGGAATATTATTTTTTTTCCTTTGGCTATTAAGAAAAGCCTTAATTTCCCTGGGGAGAAAAGAAACAGCATTAAGAACTGAAAAAATTTAAAGTAATTAAATCTATTGGCAAGGTAGACATATCATCATTTGACTCCAATAAATAAATTCTGGGGGGATGGAGCCAAGATAGCCGAATAGGAACAGCTCCAGTCTACAGCTCCCAGCGTAAGCGATGCAGAAGACAGGTGATTTCTGCATTTCCAACTGAGGTACCGGGTTCATCTCACTGGGGAGCGCAGTGGGTGCAGGACAGGGGGTGCAGTGCACTGGGCGTGAGCCGAAGCAGGGCGAGGAATCACTTCACCCAGGAAGTGCAAGGGGTCAGGGAATTCCCTTTCCTAGTCAAAGAAAGGGGTGACAGACAGCACCTGGAAAATTGGGTCACTCCCACCCTAACACTACGCTCTTCCAACAGGCTTAACAAATGGCACACCAGGAGATTATATCCCGCACATGGCTCGGAGGGTCCTACGCCCACGGAGCCTCACTCATTGTTAGCACAGCAGTCTGAGATCAAACTGCAAGGCATCAGCGAGGCTGGGTGAGGGGCGCCCGCCATTGCTCAGGCTTGAGTAGGTAAACAAAGCGGCCGGGAAGCTTGAACTGGGTGGAGCCCACCACAGCTCAAGGAGGACTGCCTGCCTCTGTAGGCTCCACCTCTGGGGGCAGGGCACAGACAAACAAAAGACAGCAATAACCTCTGCAGTCTTAAATGTCCCTGTCTGACAGCTTTGAAGAGAGTAGTGTTTCTCCCAGCATGCAGCTTGAGATCTGAGAACGGGCAGACTGCCTCCTCAAGTGGGTCCCTGACCCCTGAGTAGCCTAACTGGGAGGCACCCCCCAGTAGGGGCGGACTGACACCTCACACGGCTGGGTACTCCTCTGAGACAAAACTTCCAGAGGAACGATCAGGCAGCAGCATTTGCGGTTCACCAATATCTGCTGTTCTGCAGCCACTGCTGCTGATACCCAGGCAAACAGGGTCTGGAGTGTACCTCCAGTAAACTCCAACAGACCTGCAGCTGAGGGTCCTGACTGTTAGAAGGAAAACTAACAAACAGAAAGGACATCCACACCAAAAACCCATCTGTACGTCACCATCATCAAAGACCAAAGGTAGATAAAAACCACAAAGATGCGGAAAAAACAGAGCAGAAAAACTGGAAACTCTAAAAATCAGAGTGCCTCTCCTCCTCCAAAGGAACGCAGCTCCTCACCAGCAACGGAACAAAGCTGGATGGAGAATGACTTTGACGAGTTGAGAGAGAAAGGCTTCAGAAGATCAAACTACTCTGAGCTAAAGGAGGAAGTTCAAACCAATGGCAAAGAAGTTAAAAACGTTGAAAAAAAAATAGACGAATGGATAACTAGAATAACTAATGCACAGAAGTCCTTAAAGGACCTGATGGAACTGAAAACCACAGCACGAGAACTACGCGACGAACGCACAAGCCTCAGTAACCGATGCGATCAAGTGGAAGAAAGGGTATCAGCGATGGAAGATGAAATGAATGAAACGATGCGTGAAGAGAAGTTTAGAGAAAAAAGAATAAAAAGAAACAAACAAAGCCTCCAAGAAATATGGGACTATGTGAAAAGACCAAATCTACGTCTCATTGGCGTACCTGAAAGTGACGGGGAGAATGGAACCAAGTTGGAAAACACTTTGCAGGATATTATCCAGGAGAACTTCCCCAATCCAGCAAGGCAGGCCAACATTCAAATTCAGGAAATACAGAGAATGCCACAAAGATACTCCTCGAGAAGAGCAACTCCAAGACACATAATTGTCAGATTCACCAAAGTTGAAATGAGGGAAAAAATGTTAAGGGCAGCCAGAAAGAAAGGTTGGGTTACCCACAAAAGGAAGCCCATCAGACTAACAGCTGATCTCTTGGCAGAAACTCTACAAGCCAGAAGAGAGTGGGGGCCAATATTCAACATTCTTAAAGAAAAGAATTTTCAACCCAGAATTTCATATCCAGCCAAACTAAGCTTCATAAGTGAAGGAGAAATAAAATACTTTACAGACAAGCAAATGCTGAGAGATTTTGTCACCACCAGGCCTGCCCTAAAAGAGCTCCTGAAGGAAGCACTAAACATGGAAAGGAACAACTGGTACCAGCCACTGCAAAAACATGCCAAATTGTAAAGACCATCAAGGCTAGGAAGAAACAGCATCAACTAACGAGCAAAATAACCAGCTAACATCATAATGACAGGATCAAATTCACACATAACAATATTAACCTTAAATGTAAATGGGCTAAATGCTCTAATTAAAAGGCACAGACTGGCAAATTGGATAAAGAGTCAAGACCCATCAGTGTGCTATATTCAGGAAACCCATCTCACATGCAGAGACACACATAGGCTCAAAATAAAAGGATGGAGGAAGATCTACCAAGCAAATGGAAAACAAAAAAAGGCAGGGGTTGTAATTCTAGTCTCAGATAAAACAGACTTTAAACCAACAAAGATCAAAAGAGACAAAGAAGGCCATGACATAATGGTAAAGGGATCAATTCAACGAGAAGAACTAACTATCCTAAATATATATGTACCCAATACAGGAGCACCCAGATTCATAAAGCAAGTCCTTAGTGACCTACAAAGAGACTTAGACTCCCACATAATAATAATGGGAGACTTTAACACCCCACTGTCAACATTAGACAGGTCAATGAGACAGAAAGTTAAGACGGATATCCAGGAATTGAACTCAGCTCTGCACCAAGCAGACCTAATAGACATCTACAGAACTCTCCACCCAAAATCAACAGAATATACATTCTTTTCAGCACCACACCACACCTATTCCAAATTTGACCACATAGTTGGAAGTAAAACACTCCTCAGCAAATGTAAAAGAAAAGAAATTATAACAAACTGTCTCTCAGACCACAGTGCAATCAAACTAGAACTCAGGATTAAGAAACTCACTCAAAACTGCTCAACTACATGGAAACTGAACAACCTGCTCCTGAATGACTACTGGGTACATAACGAAATGAAGGCAGAAATAAAGATGTTCTTTGAAACCGACGAGAACAAAGACACAACATACCAGAATCTCTGGGACACATTCAAAGCAGTGTGTAGAGGGAAATTTATAGCACTAAATGCCCACAAGAGAAAGCAGGAAAGATCTAAAATTGACACCCTAACATCACAATTAAAAGAACTAGGGAAGCAAGAGCAAACACATTCAAAAGCTAGCAGAAGGCAAGAAATAACTAAGATCAGAGCAGAACTGAAGGAAATCGAGACACAAAAAACCCTTCAAAAAATCAATGAATCCAGGAGCTGGTTTTTTGAAAAGATCAACAAAATTGATAGGCCACTAGCAAGACTAATAAAGAAGAAAAGAGAGAAGAATCAAATAGACGCAATAAAAAATGACAAAGGGGATATCACCACTGACCCACAGAAATACAAACTACCATCAGAGAATACTATAAACACCTCTACACAAATAAACTAGAAAATCTAGAAGAAATGGATAAATTCCTTGACACATGCACTCTCCCAAGACTAAACCAGGAAGAAGTTGAATCTCTGAATAGACCAATAACAGGCTCTGAAATTGAGGCAATAATTAATAGCTTACCAACCAAAAAAAGTCCAGGACCAGATGGATTCACAGCCGAATTCTACCAGAGGTACAAGTAGGAGCTGGTACCATTCCTTCTGAAACTATTCCAATCAATAGAAAAAGAGGGAATGCTCCCTAACTCATTTTATGAGGCCAGCATCATCCTGATACCAAAGCCTGGCAGAGATACAACAAAAAAAGAGAATTTTAGACCAATATCCTTGATGAACATTGATGCAAAAATCCTCAATAAAATACTGGCAAACCAAATCCAGCAACACATCAAAAAGCTTATCCACCATGATCAAGTGGGCTTCATCCCTGGGATGCAAGGCTGGTTCAACATACAAAAATCAATAAACATAATCCAGCATATAAACAGAACCAAAGACAAAAACCACATGATTATCTCAATAGATGCACAAAAGGCCTTTGACAAAATTCAACAACCCTTCATGCTAAAAACTCTCAATAAATTAGGTATTGATGAGACGTATCTCAAAATAATAAGAGCTATCTATGACAAACCCACAGCCAATATCATACTGAATGGACAAAATCTGGAAGCATTTCCTTTGAAAACTGGCACAAGACAGGGATGCCCTCTCTCACCACTCCTATTCAACATAGTGTTGGAAGTTCTAACCAGAGCAATCAGGCAGGAAAAGGAAATAAAGGGCATTCAATTAGGAAAATAGGAAGTCGAATTGTCCCTGTTTGCAGATGACATGATTGTATATCTAGAAAACCCCATCATCTCAGCCCAAAATCTCCTTAAGCTGATAAGCAACTTCAGCAAAGGCTCAGGATACAAAATCAATGTGCAAAAATCAAAAGCATTCTTATACACCAATAACAGACAAACAGAGAGCCAAATCATGAGTGAACTCCCATTCACAATTGCTTCAAAGAGAATAAAATGCCTAGGAATCCAACTTACAAGGGATGTGAGGGAACTCTTCAAGGAGAACTACAAACCACTGCTCAATGAAATAAAAGAGGATACAAACAAATGGAAGAACATTCCATGCTCATGGGTAGGAAGAATCAATATCGTGAAAATGGCCATACTGCCCAAGGTAATTTATAGATTCAATGCCATCCCCATCAAGCTACCAATGACTTTCTTCACAGAATTGGAAAAAACTACTTTAAAGTTCATATGGAACCAAAAAAGAGCCCGCATCGCCAAGTCAATCCTAAGCCAAAAGAACAAAGCTGGAGGCATCACGATACCTGACTTCAAACTATACTACAAGGCTACGGTAACCAAAACAGCATGGTACTGGTACCAAGAGATAAAGACCGATGGAACAGAACAGAGCCCTCAGAAATAATGCCGCATATCTACAGAAATAATGCCGCATATCTACAACTATCTGATCCTTGACAAACCTGAGAAAAACAAGCAATGGGGAAAGGATTCCCTATTTAATAAATGGTGCTGGGAAAACTGGCTAGCCATATGTAGAAAGCTGAAACTGGATCCCTTCCTTATACCTTATACAAAAATCAATTCAAGATGGATTAAAGACTTAAATGTTAGACCTAAAACCATAAAAACCCTAGAAGAAAACCTAGGCAATACCATTCAGGACATAGGCATGGGCAGGGACTTCATGTCTAAAACACCAAAAGCAATGGCAACAAAAGCCAAAATTGACAAATGGGATCTAATGCAACTAAAGAGCTTCTGCACAGCAAAAGAAACCACCATCAGAGTGAACAGGCAACCTACAGAATGGGAGAAAATTTTTGCAATCTACTCATCTGACACAGGGCTAATATCCAGAATCTACAATGAACTCAAACAAATTTACAAGAAAAAAACAACCCCATCAAAAAGTGGGCAAAGGATATGAACAGACACTTCTCAAAAGAAGACATTTATGTCGCCAAAAAACACATGAAACAATGCTCATCATCACTGGCCATCAGAGAAATGCAAATCAAAACCACAATGAGATACCAGTTAGAATGGTGATCATTAAAAAGTCAGGAAACAGGTGCTGGAGAGGATGTGGAGAAATAGGAACACTTTTACACTGTTGGCGGGACTGTAAACTAGTTCAACCATTGTGGAAGTCAGTGTGGCGATTCCTCAGGGATCTAGAACTACAAATACTATTTGACCCAGCCATCCCATTACTGGGTATATACCCAAAGGATTATAAATCATGCTGCTATAAAGACACATGCACACGTATGTTTATTGCGGCACTATTCACAATAACAAAGACTTGGAACCAACCCAAATGTCCAACAATGATAGACTGGATTAAGAAAATGTGGCACATAAACACCATGGAATACTATGCAGCCATAAAAATGATGAGTTCATGTCCTTTGTAGGGACATGGATGAAGCTGGAAACTATCATTCTCAGCAAACTATCGCAAGGACTAAAAACCAAACACCGCATGTTCTCACTTATAGGTGGGAATTGAACAATGAGAACGCATGGACACAGGAAGGGGAACATCACACACTGGGAACTGTTGTGGGGTGGGGGGATGGGGGAGGGATAGCATTAGGAGATATACCTAATGCTAAGTGACGAGTTAATGGGTGCAGCACACCAACATGGCACATGTATACATATGTAACAAACCTGCACGTTGTGCACATGTATCCTAAAACTTAAAGTATAATTTAAAAAAAAAAGACTTAAAAAATAAATAAATAAATTCTGAAGGTGGGGTGGGAGGCAAGGGGAGGGAGAGCATTAGGACAAATACCTAATGCATGCAGAGCTAAAACCTAGATGATGGGTTGATAGGTACAGCAAACCACCATGGCACATGTATACGTATGTAACAAACCTGCACGTTCAGCACATGTATCCCAGAACTTAAAGTAAAATAAAATAAAATAAATTTTGAGAGCTTTTATGCAATGACTTGTTTTCTGTCATGTATGGTTTGAAAGGATGGTGATGATGGTAGTTATTTTTGGCAACTATAAGTCTAAGGGAGCTCACGACCACTGGTAAGGTCATCAGAGCTCAGGTGCAGGTTCATTTCTGCTTCAGAGTCCAGCCCCTACTCCCACAAACCCTCCTTTCTCCTTAAATGGAAAAATACCTGCATGTTTTATATGAGAACTGAATACTGAAGTTGGAAGATGCCTGTGCAGCCCCTTCTAGGACATTTGTCCTCATGCTTTAGAGGGTTCCAAATCCCCGAATGGGCTTATTGAATCACAGTTTGCTGGGCTCCACTCCCAGGCTTGTTGACCCAGTAGGTCTAGGGTGGGGGCTGAGAATTTGCACTACCCAGGTGTACTGAGTTGAATAGCATCCCACCCCCTCAAACCCAAATCGATGTCCACCAGGAATCTCCAAAAGTGACCTTATTTGGAAACAGAGGTTTTGCAGATGTAACTGGTGAAGATGAGGTCACACTGGCCCTAAATCCAGTATGACTGATGTCCTTATAAAGAGAGGAGAAGAGACACACAGATCCAGAGACACATAAGGAGGTGCCATGTATGTGGTAACAGAGGCAGAGATTGGAGCGATGCATCTCTAAGCTAAGGAAAACCAATGAATTGCTAGCAACTCTAGGAACTAGGAAGAGGCAAGAAAGGAGTCCCCGTCAGAGCCTTCAAAGGGAGCATGGCCCTCCTGACACCTTGATTTCAGGCGTCTGGACTCCAGAACTGTGAGAACGTAAATGTCTGTTGTTTTAAGCCACTCTGTTTATGATAATTTGTTATATGCCCTAACTTTTTTTTTTTTTTTTAGTTGAAGTCTTGTTCTATCAGCCAGGCTGGAGTTCAGTGGTGCAATCTCAGCTTACTGCAACCTCCGCCTCCCAGGTTCAAGCGATTCTCCTGCCTCAGCCTCCCAAGTAGCTGGGATTACAAGGGCCTGCCACCACGCCCTGCTAATTTTTGTATTTTTAGTAGAGATGGGGTTTCACCATGTTGGCCAGACTGGTCTTGAACTCCTGACCTCAAGTGATCCACCCACCTGGGCCTCCAAAATGCCAGGATTACAGCTATGAGCCACCATGCCTGGCAGCCCTAACAAACTAATATATCAAGTGATGCTGATGCTGTTGGTCTGGGCATCACAGCTTGAGAACCATTGTTCCAGGAAAAAAGGAAAGAAGGCCAAGTACCTCTCCATAGGCAAAAATAGAAGAATTTGGGTGATAAGTATTCTTGAAAAACATACTTAACAGTCAAAGATAGACACACCACCCTTGCTTGACCAATCACTCTCTCTTCTGGGACTTTAGGTTGTTAGCAAGAGACGCAGACTCAAACATACAGCATTTCTTCTTCCCAGTGCTGTGACCAGGCATCACTGTGGACAGGTGTCATGGTTCAATTGCCTAGCCTGAATCCTATCCACTTTCAGGCCAGTTCTCCAGCCTCCTTGAGATTTTGTGAGTCCCCAGTATCCTTCCAATAAATCCCTTTTTGTAAAATTACTGAGTCCATTTCTGTTGCTTGCAAATCTCTTGTCTTCATATGTGTCCTTGAAGTGGTCTGTACTTAGCTGGGTTAAAGAGGAATGAGAACTTATTTACTTTGATTTTTGAATCATTCAAACATAACACTTTTCAATTAAAATATCTTGGTTTTTTTCCTAATTATAAAAGTAATGCAAACATTGCAACAAATGGCGGGTACTTGGTAAAGATATTTTTTAAAATCTTTTTGATTGACTTTCCATTGGTTAAAACGCAGTTGCATAGCTAGTGAGAAAATAAAATGTTGATTAACTAAAGGATGTTCCTTTGAGAAAGGAATATATGTTAAATGGCAGTCTAAGGAGTCCACAGTGAATATATGACCACTTTATCCTAGCGTGGGTAGGAGCTTCATCTCTGCCATCCTAGTGGGCAAGTTAATATTAAGGCCAGCTTTGTGATTAGTCTAAAGATTTGCCTGAAAAATCTTATTTATGTTAACTACAGATGCACTTTTAGAGTTTAAGACTTAGGTTTTTAATACACAATTACTTGTGGTGCCCGCATATTCATATGTACTCATAGATTTTCCTCTCCGAACTGTGAATTATTTCCTCTTTGTAATGCCATCTGCTTCCTCCACCCAAGCCACTTTACAATGCTTTCCTAAAGTCGATTTCAATAGCTTCCTCTCTGCCCAGGAAAACAGGTTCCTGTGCAGGACAGTAATAATATTTTTGCAATCTTTGGATAAATTATGTTAATTTTCCCCCTTTATTAATTTACTAATGCATTGAAAGAATCTCAGCTGAATTTTCATCCTTGCTTTTTGCTTAGTGATATGGTTTGGCTGTGTCCCCACCCAAATCTCATCTCAAATTTTTGTTCCCATAATCCCCACATGTCATGGGAGGGACAGGGTGAGAGGTAATTTAGTCATGGGGGTGGTTACCCTCATGCTGTTCTCATGATAGTGAGTGAGTTCTCATGAGATCTGATGGTTTTATAAGGGGCTTTTCCTCTTTTTGCTTGCTGCCGCCATGTGAGGAAGGACATGTTTTCTTCCCCTTCTGCCATGACTGTAGGTTTCCTGAGGCTTCCCCAGCCATGCTGAACTGTGAGTCAATTAAACCTCTTTTCTTTATAAATTACCCAGTCTCAGGTATGTCTTTATTTGCAGTGTGAGAACGGACTAATACATGTAGAGAACTCCTCCCTCCTAACCTACAAAAAGTCACAGATGTCTATGTCAAACTGGACTCCCATGAAGTCCTCCCCACGTCTATCCTCCTCTTCCATGAAATCCAAGCCAGGGTTGCCTGAATCACCTCATCCTCAACAACATTTCTCAGAATAGGAAATATTCAAAATTTGCCACCACTCATCTTGTGGGCTTCATATAAAAAATACAAAATGCTACCTTTTAAAAATTAAAAAGCCAGTAAATTACCTTCCAAGATTCAATCTGAGTTTAGAAAATTCATTACAATGAAAAAAGAAGGAGGATTTTTTTTTTTATTGCAGATAGTTAGTGGCATTGATGGATTATGGCAGAGCCATCCGCAATATGGCCAAATAATTTCACTGGAGAGGATTTTATATAGCTACAGCTAAAATTCAATGAACTGATTCAGAAGACTCAGTATAAAATATAACAGTGACTTCGAGTGCCAAATCAATTTGGGGGCTTGAAGGGATAGGGAGAGCCTTCGTTCCCTCCCTGTTCATGGACGTTACTTTAACTGGAACTGTAAATTCACAGGCGTAGGAGTGGCAGGCAGTGGGCTACGGCAGGTGATTTAAGAAACCTATCCTGAAAAATCAGAAAGTGGTTGCAAATAGCTGTCCTTAGAGAAGCGTGTGACTCTGAAGTACATCCAAGAGAGAAAGTTCAAAGGATGTTCTCGAGGACAAATTAGGGATTTGCCATCAGGTGACAAGGGTTCTAGGTTTACAAATGGATCAACTTGAGTCCTTGTTTTCTACCTCAATCTCCACCCTTGTGAAATAAAAAGGTTGATGCAGAATAACGGCTTTCACAATGTTGGTTATCTTTGTCTTTTTAATAGTAGGAGGCTTTTTGCTCATGGATTCATCCTACTCTGCTGGATTTTCACTTTGCCTCTGCAGACCCATGCTCCAGCATTCTCACCCTGCTCTTGCTCCACAATGCTGAGGACTGCATTATTAAACTCCCTTGCCGGCCAGCTTCCACTCAGGTTTAGCCAGCAGGAGGTGCCCATAGAAGATTGGAGGATGAAATAAGATAGAGGGCAGGATGTTGACACCTACAACTCCCTCCCTCCCAGGCCACTGGTTGGCAGTGGCAGTGCTCCTGCCCAGTGTCCTCCTTCCACCATATCTCTCTTTTCCTCTCTCTGGGTTCCAGAATCATCCGTGATATGGTTTGGCTGTGTCCCCACCCAAATCTTGAATTGTAGTTCCCATAATTCCCACATATTATGGGAGGGACCTGGTGGGAGGTAATTGAATAATGAGGGTGGGTCTTTCTTGTGCTGTTCTTGTGATAGTGAATAAATCTCATGAGATCTGATGGTTTTATAAAGGGGAATTTCCCTGCACAAACTCTCTCTTTGCCATCCACTATGTAAGATGTACCTCTGATCTTCGTTCATCTTCCGCCATGATTTTGAGGCCTCCCCAGCCACGTGAAACTGTGAGTCAACTAAACCTCTTTCTTTTATAAATTACCCAGTCTCTGGTATGTCTTTATCAGCAGTGTGAAAACAGACTAATAGAATCCCCTAATCCTGCCCATTCAGACAAGGGTAGCAACGGCTGTTGTTAGCCTCCAGGGCTTCATCATGCCTTTGGGGTTTCCTGGAACACTGTCCATTCTGTTGGAAATAACCTCTTCATTAAACTCTTCTCAAGACCCCACAGAAATGTGGCATCTCTTTCCTGCTGGGACAGATGCACTCGGAGACTTCTTAGGTAAAACAGACCAGAGAGGCTCTGCCCTGAATGTAGCTGGGGCTTCCGTGCACACAGTATGCCCCACCCTCATGCGTTTACAGGGACCTGATCCTGTGCAGAAAGACACTTCCAGCTTCTGAGATTCCTTCCAAATTGTCAGCTGTAGAGAGGTAGTGGTGGCAGGGAGGGGGGGTGGTGGGGGGACTCCCTCATCTGTCATTATTCAAATATATTGAGCTCCTATATTTGTTTATTCACTCATTCAGCTAACACCAGTGGAGCACCTCTACTGACCCAGATGCTGTGCTAGGTTCTGAGGTTAAGGGGTAAATAAGATAGAATTCCTAGTCTCAAGGGGCTTACACACATTTGCAAACACACAAGCCAACTACGAAAACCTCAGAGCCAGAAAGAAAGGGCCCTGAGATATTTCTCATCCACAGCAGCACTGAGGCCAGGAAAGCAGGACTCGGGCTCTGTCAACCTGAGAGAAAACAGCAAGAACAGTGCATTGTGGAGTTAGGATCTAATTCCCTGCGTGGGAAGGAAGTGGCAGGCAGGAGAATAAGACCAGTGGGATCTTTCCCCAAGATGTTGTCAGGGATTCATCCGTGGACTCCCCGGGGCCTGTGACTAAGGTGGGTGGTTGCTTTAGGAACCTGCAGGTGCACAGAGGGGACAGCAGAGGTGGCCGTGAAGAGAAGGATGGCGACAGAGGTCATAGGTTATGCCAAGGATCAGAGAGTTTGGCTCATACCAGAGGCACATGGCTGAAACCATCTGTGTGTAACAGCCATCTCTGCAGGGGTCACCCCTGACCTGGAAACTCAAGAGAGAAATTGTTGTCCTGGTAGAAACTGGTAAGGACAGCCTTGACATTCCTCAGCCTCATGAGGTGGCAGAGAGAGTATGCCAGAGCCCCTGTCTATATCACAGTGAGAATGCAAAGGCTGTGAGCATGAACTCTGGAGCCAAACTGCCCAGGGCTGAATCCAGTCTTTGCCACTTGCTGCCAAGTAATACTATTTTTGTTTTCAGCCTTCTCATCTGTGAAGGGTGATTCTAATCCAACCTCATAGGTGGGTTGTGAAAATGTATTTAATTAGTATCTGCAAAGCACTTAGCACAGTGCCTGACACAGAGTAAGCGCAATGCAAATGTTAGTTGTTATTACTCAACATCACTTTACTATTTTCATTTCAGTATGGACCCCAAATCGAGTGGACTCGGGGGTGGGAATATGGCTGCTGGGAATGAGCAGAACATTGGAAGGGGAGTGGAGAATCCCAGCCTTTGGAGTAAGACAAAGATTTAAATCTAAACCCTGCCATGAGCCAGCTCCATAATCTTGGCAAGCACTTAGACCTTCTCCAATCCTCAGTGTTCTCATCTATGAAATGGGGATAATTATCGTACTTACCCCTTAGGGTGGCAGTGGAGGGTAATAACAAGTTCCTTTATTTTTCATTTACTCATTCATTCACGTATTCAATAAACACATTTTTTCCCCACCATACAAGCTATGTTTACTAAGGAAACAAACTTCTTTCCCAATTCAGGGGTCTGGGGCCTGTGTAGCCACCATTCAGAACCTCTAATAAGCAGGACCTGGCCAACGTGGCCACAGGAAGTTGACTTAATGAGAATTAAGTCTTCTCATGTCTTGACTGGCTGCTCCCTGTGTTCCTCAAATCTAGCATTTGGGAAACAGATTCCCTCAACATCATAGCTCAGCATCTATGTATCTTTGGGGACCCCTTTAGGTTAAAAAGCAGGTGTTGTCAAGCTGGGGGAGTGGGGAAGGGGGCCTCAGGCAGGGATACACAGGAAATCGCTACCTGCAGTGGGTGATCACCACATGTGTGGGTTCCGTGGGTGCCCAGGCTGTCACCCGGGCTGCAGGCAGCAAGTGACAGATCCCATGCATGCCTCCTCATTTAAATTCATTCCACAGTCCAGATCTGCCTACACCCAAGGAGCCTTCAGGGCAAGCTGCCCCGAATGTTTCCATTCAGAATCATGCATCCCCTCTCATTTTTGGAAGCTTTTAAACTTCAGGGTGGACAGCGTGGCCCTTGGGAATGTGCTTTCATGCATTAGGAGTCGATTTTAAACAGCAAATATGCCATAGTCAGTCATAGAGGTAAATAATAATACAACTTCAAAAGAGCAGAGCACAAAAGAGAGGCTATTATTAATGGGAAAAATAATTTTAAAGTCATATTAAAAAGCCTCAAGTCTAGTGGAAAAAGCCAGGAAATGGGAACAAAATTAGCATTATTATAGCTTTTCATGGTAACTTACTCTGGGTTTTTCTGGTGGCTTAAAAAAAGCAGAAAAGAAGGGAAAAGCTGACTGATAACAATTTATCCGACCAAATACATTTCCCATCCCAAATGCACCTGTGATAGTGACTGTATTTAAATTGTTTCCTTTTTATATCTGTTTTGTGGCCATTTATACCTCACAGTGTTATTAGAGAAAGCAGCATTTTGTGTGGAATGGTAAACAGTAAAGCTCTTTGAGGCCTTTCAGAAAGAAGTGCAATTCGAGGGGCAGGAATTATTATTATTAATTTGCATGTTAATAATCCAAATCTTCACTAAAGCCCACACTGCAGATGCACCCTCTGAAACTCCGCAGAGGTAAGTGCTGTATATTAATGGGGCACCTTTGGTCTTAGAAGAAAAGGAGTTTCTGTGAAGGACGAGACCTTTTCCTTTCTCAATTTTGAAAGGAGAGTCCTCTTTTTGTTGGGTGCTCATTGCCTTTGCTTCAGTTAAACTGTTCCCTTCTCAGATCATCCTCTTTCTCATCATTTCACATAAAGTCCCCAACAATTTCTCTCAATTAGGCTTTAGGGCACTCACAACCCCACTCCTCTGGAAGCATGGTGAAGCATACGTGTACACATCTGTGTGCAGTGTGTGCTAACGTGCACGCCTCAAACCTTCGGCTTTGTTTATACATATGTGTATTCTATTATTAATGGTTTGGAGCCATTTCAGTTCTGAAGTAGGCGAAATTTAAGTTACTTTTTAAAACATATTTTTTGGCTGGGTAAGGTGGCTCATCCCTGTAATCCCAGCATTTTGGGATGCCAAGGCAGGAGGATCACTTGAGGTCGGGAGTTCAAGACCAGTCTGGCCAACATGGTGAAACCCCATCTCTACTAAAAATACAACAATTATCCAGGCATGGTTGCAGGTGCCTGTAATCCCAGCTATTCAGGAGTCTGAGACAGGAGAATTGCTTGAACCAGGGGGCTGGGCAGAGGTTGCAGTGAGCCAAGATCACACTACTGCACTCCAGCCTGGGCGAAAGATCAAAACTCCATCTCAAAAAAAAAAAAAAAAAAAAAAAAAAAAAAAATATATATATATATATATATATATATATATATATATATAGTGGTAAAAGACACATAACAAAAAATTTACCCTCTTAACCATTTTTAAGTGTGCAATTCATTGATATTAAGTACATTCACGTTGTGCAACCACCACCACCATCCGTCATCGGAACTCTTTTTATCTTGCAAAACTGAAACTCTGTACCCCTTAAATAACTCACCTTTCCCCCCATCTTCCCCATCCCCTGGCAACCACCATTCTACTTTCTGTTTCTATAAATTTGGCTACTTCAGACACCTCATGTAAGTGGAATCATAGAGTATCTGTCTTTTCGGAAGAGATTTTTTATGAGAAGTCTAGGTTTGAGAACATCTGTTAGAAGGTGATTGTGATGCCAGTGGAATGTGACTGACAATACTGGGCTGCTCTGTGAGAGCAACCTGACCCTCCAATAAAGTGCTCATTCCCCCAGTAACAGAACTTGCCCCCCTCCAATTGTTGCCCACTGTCTATTGGGTCCAGAGAAGACTGGCAAGTGGATGACATCTGAGAATTGAAGGGATACCACTTCTCTAGCATCTGGCTGGGGGCTCCACTGGAGTAGCAATCAGTGATCAGAACACAGATTCCTGATTTTGGAGGATGGGGCCCTTTTTGCCCACCCTGGCTCTTGCAAGCTGTGTGCAGCTTCCTCCAGGAACATGTGCATTGTTACAAGTCCCTCCCTCTCCAGCTGAAATGACTTCCAGGAGATTAAAAGGGCTCCCCCTGCTTCATTTTTGTCTTTTCTGCCTTTTGAGACCCAAACATTAAAGACTAAGGCATTCAAAAACAACTGCCTGTACTAGCAAAATTAGAAAGTGACTGCGCATAGCCAGGAAAAGGCACATGCTCAGAAAAGACCCCAAAAGACCTCAAGTTTATACCTCAACCTGATCCTTGGCAAACAGCAAACTCTAGAGAAGCAAGATGATCTGATTTCTAGTAGTACCGGATTATTATATACAAATGTCTAGTTTTCAACAAAAATACTTCAAAGCATGCAAAGTATGGCCTATTCAGAGGAAAAAATAATAATCAGCAGAAACTGTCCCTGAAAAAGACCTGATGCCAGCTCTACTTGCCAAAGACTTTAAAACAACTGCCTTAAAGATTCTCAAAGAACTAAAGGAAGATGTGGAGAAAGTCAAGAAAATGATGTCTGAACAAAAGGGAAATATCAAGAAGAGAGAAAAGCTAAAAAGAAACCAAAAGAAATTATGGTACTGAAAAGTATAATAACTGAAACAAAAGGCTCACTAGAAACATTCAAAGAGAGATTTGAGCAGGCAGAAGAAAGAATCAGTGAACTTTAATTTAGGATGATGAAAATTATTAGTCTGAGGAACAGAAAGAAAAAAGATGGAAAAAAAAAAGTGAACAAAGCCTAAAGAACCTATAGGACACATTGTGGAGGTCCCAGAAGGAGAAGAGAGAGAAAGGGACCAAGAGAATATTTGAAGAAATAATGGCTGAAAACTTCCCAAATTTTATGAAAGACATTAATATAAACATCCAAGAAGCTCAACAAGCTCCAAGTAGGATAAACTTAGAAAAGACCCATAGACAGCTTCAAGACAGCCCTGCCCCCATGGCTTTGCTGGGTACAGCCCAGGCTTCATGCATTGAAGTCATATGCTTGCAGATTTTCCAGGCAGGTGCTGCATGCTGGTGGTTCTACAGTTCTGAGGTCTCAGGGATGGCCCTGCCCCCAAGACTCCACTATGTTTTGTGCTAGTGAGGGCTCTCTGTAAGCTCTGCCTCCGTGGTAGGTCTCTGCCTGGGCTCTGAGACTATCCAAGATATCCTTTTAAATCCATGTGGAGGTAGCCATAACTCCACAGCTTGTACACTCTGCATGCCTGCAGCATTAGCACCATGTGGATGCCACCAAAGTTCACCACTTGTGCTTTCCTGAGTGGTGGCTTGAGCTGCACCTAGGCCCACTTGAGCCACAGCTGGATTTTTTCTAATGCAAGGAGTACTGCATTGGAATGCAGGGAGCAGAGATTCAAGATGGCCCTGAGCAGTGAGTCCTGAGGCCCCCTCCCTAGAAACAGTTCTGTCCCCAAGGTCCTAGCACTCTGGGCCTGTGATAAGCATGGCAGCACTGAAGAGCTCCAAAATGCCTTCAGTGTCATTCTCCCACTGTCTTGATGAATAGCACCTGGGTGCTTTCTATTCATACTGATCTTATCAAATGGTTGCTTGGTCATACTCTTGGTTTTCTCCCCTAAACATGCTTTTTAATTATTTACATGGTTAAACTGAGAATTTTTAAAATTTCTACATTCTGCTTCCCTTTTAATTATAAATTAAATAATTTCTCTACATTTTATTATAAGTAGTTAAGATATACAGTATCTCAGATGCCTTGCTGCTGGTATTTGTTATAGCAACACCCTGCTTCTGGTACCAACTTTTGTCTTACTCCATTTGTGTTTCTATAACAGAATATCTGAGACTTGGTGATTTATGGAGAAGAAAAGTTTATTTTTCCCTTGGTTCTGGAGACTGGGAGGTCCAGGATCAAGGCACTAGCATTTGGTGTCTGGTGAGGGCCTTCTCACTGCATCCTTCCAGAGGGGAGGAACCTTCTCTCCTCACACAGCAGAAGGCAGAAGGGCAAAAAGGGCAAACTACTCATATTCTGCATTTGAGTAGCCTCTTTCATAGAGCCTTAGTTCCATTAATGAAGAAGGAACCCTCAAGGCCTAGTCACTTCTTGTAGACCCTAACTCTTAATACTATCACATTGACAACACGTGAATTTTGGAGAGGACACATTAAAACCATAGCAATGAGGAAATAACCCAAGTATCCATCAACAAAAGAATGAGTTAGAAAAATGTGATATGTACATACAATGAAATATTATTCAGCCTTAATAAAGAAAGAAACACTGACACATACTACAACATGGATGAACCTTGAGAATATTATTTTAAGTAAAATAAGCCAGTCACAAAAAACAAAAACAAAAACAAATATTGTATGATTCTACTTATATGAGGTACTTAGAGCAGTCAAAATTATAGAGACAGAAAGTAGAAGGGTGGTTGCCAGAATCCAGGGGAGGAAGAAATGGAAAGTTGCTGTTCAATGGTAATAGAGTTTCAGTTTTTCAAGATGAAAAGAGTGATGGAGATATGGTGGCAATGGTATTAAAAAATATTATGAATGTATTTAATGCCACTGAACTGTACTCTTAAGGTTACATGGTAAAGTTTATGTTTTGTGTTTTACCACAATAAAAAGTTTGAAGAAAATTCTTATAGAGACTTCAGTTGAGTAACACTTTATTCACACCCTTCCTACAACCCCAAATAGAGGAACACAATCTTTGCTTGAATCTTCATCTAAGGAGATGGCAGAAAGTTTAACGCATATATTAGACTCTAGCGGTGGTTCTGAAATAATTGGAGCCCAATTGTTAGACTACTGAGAGGCAAAAATATAGGCCTCAAGGTTTTCATGTATCATCTCCCAAATTAACTGGGTGTATGCTGAGTCATTTCTCCTTTTGCTGCCTTAGAGGACAAAGTTCTTGTGAGATGACAGCAAACCTAGTTAACACAAACTACACAAACTAACCCCATAACAAGGATTTCTCTGAACTTGCCCCAGGCCTGATAGTTCCAACTCACCCTCTCAGTGACCCTCTATTAACATATGTAAAGACTTTCAAAGTGACTTCTAAAGCTATCTTGTTCATTTAAAGGCTGCTGACAACCTTCTGACTCTTCTCCAGCCTAAACTTCTGAATTACTATATTGCCATTCCTGCGAGAGCTAAACCAGACCTAGGTAATTTCGGGCTATTAATATAAATTACTTTAGTGATCCACTACCTCAGCTCTCCCCAGTATGCACCCACACACATACCTTACCTGGGGCCCTCCATGCCTATTATATCGATGATATCATAGCAATTGGGCCCAGTGAGCGAGAAGTACTATGGATGCCACAGTAGGACACTCTAGGAGATGGGAAATAAACCCTACGAAGGATCAGGGGTCTGCCACATTGATTAAATTTATAGGTGTTCAGTGGCCTGAGGCAGGCCATGACATTTCATCCAAAGTAAATAAATAAACAAATAAATTTATTGTATTTTGAATCGCCTACCACTAAGAAGGAAGCAGAAACTTGGCGGGTCTCTTTGGGTTCTGGAAGTAGCATACTTCATTCACACTTGAGAAAGTGTATACAATCTAATTTATCAGCTGACCTGAGGCTTTTAGCTTGAATGGGGCCCAGAGCATGAAAGAGCTCTGTACTAGGCCTAGGCTACAGTATAAGCATCCCTGCTATTTGAGCTATGTGACCAAGAAATCCCATGGTACTAAGCACATCACAAAAAGATACTGTGTGGAATCTCTGGCTCCAACATTGGAGCTCAAATCCCTAGAATTATGGAATAAAGCCATGAAATCTATGGCAGAGAACTCTACTCAAAACACAGCTCCTGGCATACAACTGGGCTCTGGTAGAAACTATCTGACCATGAAGTATCATGTGGCCAGAGCTGTCTTTTATAACCTGAGAACTGTTAAATCCACCAAGCAACAAAATCAGGCACATCCAGGGACCTTCCATTGTTAGATAGAAATGGTACCTCTGGGGTTAGAGGGCATAAGTCATCTCCCCAAACCAGTAGCACAGATCCTCATGTAATCTACCAGTGTTTCATTGACTCTCCTCTTTAAGCTCACATGTATAACTTTATGAGAGGTTCTCTACAACTAGCTGAAGGAGGAGTATTAAGCCCAAACTCAGCCTACTGATTTATTGACTTGATATGAAGGTGTTGGCCTAAAAGGGACCACCACCATAGTACAATCCCATTCAGGTACAGCCCTAAAAGACTGGGGCCAGTGTACCTGGTTGTCTATTTTCCATGGAGCAATAAGAAATTTAAGTCAACGGAATACATGTATTCATAAGCAATGAGCAATGCTTACATCACGGGTTAGCAAACTCTGATCCATAGGCAAAATCCAGGCCAATGCCTATTTTTATAAATAAAGTTTTATGAGAACATAACCATGTCTGTGCATCTCCATATTGTTTGTGGCTGCATTTGCAAGAATGGCAGAGTTGCAACAGAAACTGGATTGCTTACAAAAGCAAAAATATTTACTATCTGGTCCTTTACAGAAAAAGTTTGCTGACTCCTGACTTACATAGTTAATAAGGGAATGGGAAGAAGCAAGATTGGAAGATTCGGAATGGGAAGGTCTAGGAAGGATGTGGGTGGACTCCTGAGAGTAGACATCAAGTATAGTATCTTCATATAGTACACCCAAGTTCACCAGAGAGTATCTGGTGCAAAAGAGACATTAAACAACCAAAGGGGCTGGTGCCTCAGCCAGTAGACATCAGGAAATGTCTGTCCTTGGTCATCCCAGTTTTTATGCAATAGGTTCATGAATGAAGTAGTCACAGTGGCAGATATAGAAGCTCTTTATGACTCAATGGCATAGGTTCTTTCTCACCAGGGCTCATTGACCTACTAATGCTGCTGATATGTGATTTGCCAACAGTAGAGACGAATACTTAGCCCTGCATATGGTAGCGTACCTTGAAGAGTCCAACTAGCCACATTGAAGCAAATTGATTATACCAGAAGACTTTCCTTTGGAAACGGCAGTGCTTTATCATGATCAGGATTGTTTCTTCTAGATGGTTTGCCTTTCTGCCTGCAGTGCCTCAGACTACCTATCTGAAGCACCACTATCTAAAGCTCACAAAGTGTCTGATTGCTAACATTGGGATCCTACATTACATTTCTTCAGACCAAAGACCCACTTTACAACAAAAGAGATGGGCACATAACATTGAGATCCACTAATTCTATCAACTATTCCACCATCCAGATCTGACAGTTGACAAGGACGTTAAAAGTCATTATAATCATTTTCATATGTTGTAAGATATCTTAAAAGACTCAACTCTAACTTCCAGAGATTAAAACTATAATACTTGAGGTAAAAAAAAATGCACTATATGCAATTCATGGATGATTCGATATTGCAGAATTAGTGAAGATCAAGGCATAGCTATAGAAAGTATCCAAAATGAAAAACAGAGAAGAAAAAAAAGCCAGGTGCGGTGGCTCTAACCTGTAGTCCCAGCACTTCGGGAGACTGAGGCGGGCAGATCCCTTGAGGTCAGGAGTTTGAGACCTGCCTGGCCAACATGGCGAAAACCTGCCTCTACTAAAATTATAGCCAGGTGTGGTGGCACACACCTGTAATCTCAGCTACTCATGAGGCTGAGGCGCTGAGGCACGAGAATCACTTGAATCCGGCATGTGGAGGTTGCAGTAAGCCGAGATCACGCAGGCAGAGCCACAGCTCTGTCGCCCAGGCTGGACTGCAGTGGCGCGATCTTGGCTCACTGCAAGCTCCGCCTCCCGGGTTCAAGCAATTCTCCTGCCTCAGCCTCCTGAGTAGCTGGGACTACAGGCGTGTGCCACCACGGCCAGCTAATTTTTTTGTATTTTTAGTGGAGATGGTGTTTCACCATGTTAGCCAGGATGGTCACAATCTCCTGACCTTGTGATCCATCCGCCTCAGCCTCCCAAAGTGCTGGGATTACAGGCGTGAGCCACTGCGCCCGGTCAAAAAAAGTTTTTTTAATATAAAGAATATCAGTGACCTGTGGGACAACTGTGTTTATCTGCCAACCCTAACATCTAACTCAGTTCTGGGTTGGTCTCTACTGATTGATTATTCTCCTTGATATGAGTTGTGTTGTTTCCCTGTTACTTGGCGTGTTTGGTAACCTTTGACTGGATACCAACCTAGTTGGAGTTCCCAAAGGAGAGGAGGAAGCAGCACAGAAAAAAAAAATTTGAATAAACGATGGCAAAAATTTGAATTATAAACCTGCAGACCCAAAAAGCTTAAGAAGCACAAGAAACATGAAGAAACCCATACCAAGGCATAGCATAATCAAATTGATCAAAATCAGGGTTAAAGAGAAAATCCTAAAAGCAGCCAGAGAGTAAGACGTTTTTATACATGTTATGGACAGAGGACTAAAGACAGAGATGACAACAGCTTTTTCATCAGAAAAAAATGCAAGTGAGAAGACAATGGGACATCTTTAAAGAACTGGAAGAAACCTATCAGTCTAGAATTCTATCCCAAGCAAAAATACCATTTAAAAACAAATGCAAAATAAAGATGTTTTCAGACACACAGAAGCTGAAAGAATTCACCACCAGTAGACCTGCACTACAACAAATATTAAAGGAAGTCCTTCAGGCAGAAGGAAAATGATACCGGATGGAAATATGGGTCTTCAAAAAGGAATGAGGAGCATCAGAAACATTAACTACATAGGTAAATATGTTATTTTCCTCTTTATATCTTTTAATAGATAATATTTCAAACAAAATAATCACAATGAATTGTGGAGTTTATAACATATGTAAAAGTAAGATATATACAATAGCATGTAGGCCAGGAAGGGAAGTATACTACTGTGAAGATTTTCTCTTGCTATACGTAAGGTGATATAATGTCACTTGAAGATAGCTTGTATAAGTCAACCATATACACTATAACTCTAATATAACTCCTAAAACAAAAAAGATAATATAATTCTTTATTATATTGTTATCTAACAATTGTTAATTGTTAGCTATAAATCTTTGTTTTGTTGTTTTAGAAGTTCTATTGGGTTATAGAAAATATAATTCTATTGAAATCACAGAAAATACTCAGTCCCAAAGAAGACAGAAACAAATAGCATATCAATAATCACATTAAATGCAAATGTTCTATATATCCCAAATAAAATCAGATTGTTGGATTGGATTAAAAATCATGATACTATTATATTCTGCCTACAAAAGAAGTACATTTAATATAGACACAAATGTAATAAAAGTAAAGGGATGGGAAAATGTATGCCATGTTAACAATAATTTTTTAAAGGTGGAGTGACTATACGAATATCACATAAAATGTATTTTAGAGCAAAGAATATTAACAGGGATAAAATGGCTATTTCATTATGAAAAGGGTCAATTAGCCAAAAGGATATAAAAATCCTAAATGTTTAAGCTTCGAATAACAGAGCTTAAAAATACATAAAACAAAAACTGATGGGATTGCAAGGAGAAATAGACAAATCCAAAATTACAGCTGGAAATATCAACACTCTTCACTCAGTAATTGGTAGAATAAACAGAAAATCAGTAGAGATGTAATAGGTTTGAACAGCAGTAAAACCAATTTGACCAAATTGAAATTTTTAGACTAGAATTACCAATTATCCAAGTCTGCATGAGACAAGAGAGTTTCCCAGAAGGTAGACTTTTCAGTGCTAAAACCAAAAGAATCCTAGGCAAAGTAGAATAGTTGGTCACCCAACATAGATCTGAACAGCAATAGAATACACATTCTTCTCAAATGCATGCAGAACATGTACCAAACTAGACCGTATTTTGGTCCTTGAAACCAAATTTTAATACATTTTAAAGGATTCTAGTTCATTGGAAGATGCTGAAGGACAGAAAGAAGAAGGTGGATAGCCTAGGATCACAGGACTTGAGGAATGACATGGTGGTGGTGAGTTTCCTCCATATATTCTGAACAGGGTGCTCCAGACGCCTCCAACCAGAACCACAAATGGACACTGACAAAAAAATAAAATACCTTTAAGAAAAGCATGCTCCGCTCATGGGTAGGAAGAATCAATATCGTGAAAATGGCCATACTGCCCAAGGTAATTTATAGATTCAATGCCATCCCCATCAAGCTACCAATGACTTTCTTCACAGAATTGGAAAAAACTACTTTAAACTTCATATGGACCCAAAAAAGAGCCCACATTGCCAAGTCAATCCTAAGCCAAAATAACAAAGCTGGAGGCATCATGCTACCTGACTTCAAGCTGCACTACAAGGCTACAGTAACCAAAACAACATGGTACTGGTACCAAAACAGAGATACAGACCAATGGAACAGAACAGAGCCCTCAGAAATAATGCTGCATATCTACAACTATCTGATCTTTGACAAACCTGACAAAAACAAGAAATGAGGAAAGGATTCCCTATTTAATATATGGTGCTGGGAAAACTGGCTAGCCATATGTAGAAAGCTGAAACTGGATCCCTTCCTTACACCTTATATAAAAATTAATTCAAGATGGATTAAAGACTTAAATGTTAGACCTAAAACCATAAAAACCCTAGAAGAAAACCTAGGCAATACCATTCAGGACATAGGCATGGGCAGGGACTTCATGTCTAAAACACCAAAAGCAATGGCAACAAAAGCCAAAATTGACAAATGGGATCTAATTCAACTAAAGAGCTTCTGCACAGCAAAAGAAACCACCATCAGAGTGAACAGGCAACCTACAGAATGGGAGAAAATTTTTGCAATCTACTCATCTGACAAAGGGCTAATATCCAGAATCTACAATGAACTCAAACAAATTTACAAGAAAAAAACAAACAACCCCATCAAAAAGTGGGCAAAGGATATGAACAGACACTTCTCAAAAGAAGACATCCATGCAGCCAAAAGACCCATGAAAAAATGCTCATCATCACTGGCCATCAGAGAAATGCAAATCAAAACCGCAATGAGATACCATCTCACACCAGTTAGAATGGCGATCATTAAAACGTCAGGAAACAACAGGTGCTGGAGAGGATGTGGAGAAATAGGAACACTTTTACACTGTTGGTGGGACTGTAAACTAGTTCAACCATTGTGGAAGTCAGTGTGGCGATTCCTCAGGGATCTACAACTAGAAATACCATTTGACCTAGCCATCCCATTACTGGGTATATACCCAAAGGACTATACCCAGCGGACTATCCGCTATACCTGGATTAAGAAAATGTGGCACATATACACCATGGAATACTATGCAGCCATAAAAAATGATGAGTTCATGTCCTTTGTAGGGACATGGATGAAGCTGGAAACCATCATTCTCAGCAAACTATCACAAGGACAAAAAACCAAGCACCTCATGTTCTCACTCATAGGTGGGAATTGAATAATGAGAACACATGGACACAGGAAGGGGAACATCACACACCGGGGCCTGTTGTGGGGTGGGAGGAGGGGGGAGGGATAGCATTAGGAGATATACCTAATGTTAAGTGACGAGTTAGTGGGTGCAGCACACCAACATGGCACATGTATACATATGCAACAAACCTGCATGTTGTGTACATGTACCCTAAAACTTAAAGTATAATAAAAAAATAAAATAAATTAAAAATAAATAAAATCTTTGTAAAGTGAAAAAAAAGAAAATTTATGAATTTATCAGTTGTATACCTATAAAAACTTAAAAAAAAAAGAAAAAGAAAAAGAAAAGCATGCTCTCCTTAGCCAAAAAATTGAGAAAGAGGTGGACTAACACCTGAAAACCTTGTGGCAATACTTTCATTACTCCAGCCAAATATCAATACAAAAACACCCACAATCAAGCAGGGAGTTGATCTTCCACCTCAGAGAAGCAGGAAGCACTTTTTAATTCTTCTGCTGGGTGGTGTTAGCAAGGCCAAGTGTGGATCTAATTTACCATCTTCTGCCTGGTGGGAGTAGGAACACCAATTTCTCTGCCAAGGTAGGTCAGTAAGACTGAACAGAGAGTTGATCCTCCACTCCCCACCTGGCCAAAGTAGGTCGTTTTTCAATCACCAAAGCCAGGGTAGTGGCAGCAGCATTTATGGGTGAACAGAGCCTCCACCCCCATCCAGCAGCAATGAAACTTAACAAGGCAGTTTGGGTAGTCGCCACTAGGATTCACACACACACTCTCAGTGTCAGCAGAACCACACAAGGAGGTGAGCCTCCACCCTCACCCAACATAAACAAGGTGGTGCAAAGCAAGGTAGTTGACACTCTACTTCCTCTCTCCCCTGGAGTCAGTGGACCCAATGGGGATCTGAGTTTATGTTCCCACTCACTCAATGGCAACAAGGTGGTACAAGTCAATGTCTCACTTTTTCTGGGAAGGTGTTAGTGAAGCCCAGCAGGGAGTTGCATGCATACTTACCTAGTCATCAATTTATATCTCAATAAAAGACAATAGATACCAATACTGAAATGAATGAGATGTTGGAGTTATCTGGCAAAGATTTTAAGGCATTCGTCATGAAAATGCTTTAACAAGCAATTACAGTTTATCTTGAAACAAGTAAAGAATATAACATTTCAGCAAAGAAATGATTTATAAAACAGAGCCAAGCCAGGCACAGTGGCTCATGCCTATAATCCTAGCACTTTGGGAGGCCAAGGTAGGAGGATCCCAAGCACTTTGGGAGGCCAAGGCAGGAGGATGGCTTGAGCCTAGGAGTTCAAGGCCAGCCTGGGAAATATAGTGAGATTCTATCTCTACGAAAAATTTTTAAAATCAGCTAGTTGTGGTGGCATATGTCTGTAGTTCCAGCTACTCAGAAGTGAGATGGGAGGATCGGTTGAGCCCAGGAGGTGGAGGCTGGCATGAGAAGTGATCACACTACTGTACTCTAGCCTGGGCAACAGAGTGAGACCCTATCTAAAAAAAAAAAAAAAAAAAGAGCCAAATGGAAATTACAGAATTAAAAAATACAATAACCAAAATAAAAAGTCCACTGTATGGCCTCAGTAGTAGAATGGAGATGACAGGATAGAATCAATGAACCTAGGAACAGAATTTACCCTGTCCAAACAACGGACAAAAAATAAACTGACAAAAATGAACAGAACCAACTGTGTTCCTGGCTACTGTAAAATTAAATTTGAAACGAATGACAGAAAAATCTGTAGAAAATTCCTCAATATTTGAAACTAAATAACATACTTCTAAATAACATGGGTCAATTAAGTTAGAAAATATTTTGAACTGAATGAAACTGAAAACACAACTTATCAGAATTTGAGATACCCCTAAAGCAATATTGACCTGTGGGACAATAACTAAAGAATTGTTATTTATATCACCAAGAGACCCAGAAGGAGAGAATAGTGAAAGTGGAATTGAAAAAATGTTTGAAATACTAATGGCTGAAAACTCCCCGAATTTAGCAAAAGACATGAACTTACACATTCATGAAGCTAAGGGAATCCCAAATACAATAAACCCAAAGAAATTCATGCCAAAACACATCATAATTATTCTTCTGAAAGCCAAAGACAAATTTTAAAATCTTGAAGACAGCTAAAGATAAATGACACAATACTAATAGAACACCAATTCAAAGACAGTAGGTTTCTCATCTGAAATCATGGAAGTCAGAAAGAACTGTACTTGCTTCAAGTCTGGAAAAAAAGACTGCAAATTTTGTCTGATGAAAAAATCCTTAAGGAATAAAGGAAAAATTAAAACATTTTCAGATAAAAGAATTTCTTCCTGACTGTCCTTAAAAATGGTAAAAGGAAGTTCTCTAAGCAGAAAGAAAATGATAATAGAAGACAGTTTTGAACTTCAGAAGGGAAAAAACATTGGAATTTGGAATGGATAAAATTGGGGATAAATAAAACATGGTACTATATTAGAAGCAATAGATTACTTCTTATGAATTTCTTAAATTATATTTGATGGTTGAAGCAAGAATTATAACATTTTATGTGTTAATTAGTGTACGTAGAGAAAAACATAGCACAATTTTTTTTTAAGTGGAGAGGATAAAGAGACCTAAATGCAAGTAAATTTTCTACTCTCAGATGGGAAAACACCTATAGCAGCAGACTGTGATAAGCTACATATATATTGTAATACCTAGAACAACTACTAAAAATCTATAAAAAGATTCAAGTCATGCCAAATATGTTCTCTGACCACAGTGGAATTAAATTTGAAGTTAACGACAGAAAAATCTCTGGAAAATTCCCCAATGTTTCAAACTAAATAACACACTTGTAAATAACATGGATCAAAATTAACAATTAAATTAGAAAGTATTTTGAACTGAATATAACTGAAAACAGAACATATAAGAATTTGAGATATTCCTAAAGCAATAATTAGGGAAAAATTTGTAACACTAAACACGTACTTTAGACAAGAAGAAAGAAGATCTCAAATCAGTGACTTCAGCTTCTACCTTGAGAAACTCGAAAAACAAGGGCCAATTAACTGAAAGTAATCCAGGACTACCTCCCTGAAAAGCTGCGCTCTAGTCAGGAGTAGGCCGAAGCGGCCTTCTGACACAGCATGACTCAGCAGGTTTGGAGTGCAGGCGCAAAACCCCGCACGTTATGTAACCATGCCATGTGAGGTGCATTAGGTGATCACCCACGTAAGCTCATGCTTGGCTTGGAGCCACTATTATCTGTAAATTTATAATTACCCTGCTAATACTGTACATATGGCTCAATTACAGCCAGAGAGAGAGTAAAGCCATGTCAAAACTGTCTACGATTCCTCAAGTGTTTTTCCAGCTACCCACCACTTGCCCACCGACTCCCCTCGGACCTCAGTTGGAACCTAACAATTGGCATCACAAACAGGATCCCGAGCTGTTGCAGGTGAGTACGTGGTTGGCACAAGGGCAACGTGACCACACCCTGGTTGAGTGGCTATGGGCAGCTATATAGACTGTGTGGAACGACACTGGTGAAATACCCAAAATCATGAGTAAATGGCAGTCATATGCCAAATTGGTGCAAGTCATCCAGGAAATGGGTATGCGGCAGGCTATGTTTGACCTGAATACCCAGGGGCCAGATGATGAACGTGTCACCTCCCACAGAAGGGATCTCATGTGGGGTTCTGTGTCCCCAAGTGCCTTTGGCTCCCTAGCTGTTGTCCTTACCCCATATATAGGGCACCACATACATGAAGTGACCACTGCTATGGTGGCTCTTGGGCAAGCAGAAGTCTGTCAGTGGGACTGAGGGGTCTGGGATGTAAAGAAGGGGAAGATGCTCCACCCACAGTGGCCCCCTGACAGGAGAAAGGAGGGCCCCAACAAGTGACACACTCACAGATGTGGATAGATTTGATTTTTGTCAGGGTTGACCAAGAGAAAATCGGTAAGCAGTTCAATGAAATTCTCTTAAATTTGTGGAGACAGTTGTCTCTGGAGCAGCAATTTCAGAAAATGCCCAAGGGGGAGAAGGACATTGCTGCATGACCTGGTCCTGCCCAGGCACTTCAGTTCAAAGACAACTTGCTGCAGCCAGGTAGAAATGTAGAGCCTTTTCTGTTTGATTAGGGAACTGGCCAAAGTGCCTAGCTTTGGGGAAACACTGGGCGACTGGAGGCCACATGTGGAATTAGCAATCCACTGGTCCCCCACCAATGTGCGGTGGGTGCTGATGCTGGTGGATACTGGTGCAGATTGCAGCCTCATTTATGGGAACCCAGATAAGTTTCTGGGAAAACCTGCTTTCATTGACAGTTATGGAGGACGGTCAGTGAAAGTGAAACCTGTATCTCAGCACCCTGACATCGGCTGTTTGGCTGCCTGTTTATATACTGTGTATGTCTCTCCCATACCAAAATACATTCTGGAGGTGGATATTTTGCATGGCCTGGCATTACAAGCCATGGCCAGGGAATTCGGACTGAGTGCATGTGACGGACATATGCATCACCAGCCTCAGGTCCTGCCACAACCACGATGGGTTACTTCCACCCATCAATACCATTTGCTGGGTGGGTATACAGAGATAACTGAGACAATTAAAAAGCTGGAGGAGGTGCAGAAAATGTGTGGCACCCACAGCACCTACAATTCTCTGGTGTGGGCAGTTAGAAAGCCTGATGGAACTTGGCAGATGACGGTGGACTATCAGGAACTGAATAAAGTAACACCCCCTTCGCATGCAGCTGTACCATCAATCATGGATTTGATAGCCAATTTGATGACAGAACTGGGACAGTACCACTATGTAGTGGACTTGGCCAACGCATTTTTCTCCACAGACATCAGTCCAGAGAGCCAGGAACAGTTCACCTTCATGTGGGATGGGCAACGATGGACTTCTACAGTGTTGCTGCAGGGCTATGTGCATAGCCCCACCATATGTCATGATCTAGTTGCCACAGACTTAGTCACCTGGCAATGTCCAGAAGGGGTCTAGCTATTCCATTATATTGATGATATTATGTTAACCTCTGATTCTCTTGCAGATTTAGAAGTGGCGGCGCCCCTCTTGCAGCAACATTTGGCAGCATGTGGTTGGGCTGTCAATGAATCCAAGGTCCAAGGGCCTGGATTATCTACCAAATTCTTGGGAGTTACTTGGTCAGGTAAGACAAAGGCCATCCCAGAGGCTATCATTGATAAGATTCAGGCATATCCCAGGCCCACCATGGTGAAGCAGCTGCAAACTTTTTTGGGCCTCCTGGGTTACTGACAGTCATTTGTGCCCCATTTAGCCCAGATGATAAAACCACTGTATTGGTTAACAAAGAAGGGAGTTATCTGGGATTGGGATGATGCAGCTGAGACTGCCTTCCTGGCAGCCAAACGGGCTATTCAACAGGCATGAGCCCTACAGGTCGTTGACCAGGGGCTCCCATTTGAGCTGGATGTGCATGTGACCACAGATGATTTTGGTTGAGGCCTGTGGCAGTGCACGGGGTGCTTGAAAATGCTAGGAGGCTTTTGGTCCCAACTATGGAAGGGAGCTGAGCTCCAGTATTCCTTGAAAGAGAAACAGCTAGCACCTGTATATGCCGTCCTTGAGGCTTGTGAGAGTGTGACAGGATGGGCTGCAGTCATTGTGCAGACGACTTACCCAATAGCAGGAATGGATGCATTCACGGGTAACAAATTCCCAGACTGGGACATTGCAGACATCCACTTTGGCAAAGTGGGGTACCTACTTGGAGCAGCAGAGTACGCTGAGTACAAGTCCCTTAGCAACAGAGTTGTAAGAGGTCTTGGGACCTGTAGTCCTAATGCAAGATAAGGCCATGGGGCCCGAGGCACCCCTAGACCCTGAGCCTTCGCCATTTAAGGAATTGGGTCCCCTCATTCCCAGTGGGTCATGGTACAAAGATGGGTCTAGCCAAGGTGTTACTGCTGCCTAGACTGCTGTTGCAGTCCAGCCTAGTACTAACACCATACGGTTTGAAACCAGGTGTGGACAGAATAGCCTATTGGGCAGTATGGATGGTGATCACCAAGGAGGTGACACCTATGGTAATCTGCACCGATAGCTGGGTTGTCTATTGGGGCTTAACCTTGTGGTTAACTACCTGGAAAATACAGAAGTGGCTAGTTGGCCACCAACCCATTTGGGGGCAATCCATGTGGTACAACCTCTGGGAAATAGGTCATCAGAAAGAGATAACTATTTATCACGTGTCAGGCCATATTCCTTTGGCCACCACTGGCAATGATGAGGTAGATGCCCTGGTGAAGGTCCAATAGTTAGAGCTGGCACCTACATGAGATATGACCTTGTGGCTACACCAGAAACTGGGACATGCGAGGGGTAAACTGATGAGACAGATCAATAAGCATTTGAGCCTGTCCCTGCCCATGCAAGACATTTGGGAGGCTTGTTAGAAATGCCTGGCATGTGCTCAGGCATACCCTAAACAGAGGCAGCTGCCCAGTGTTACACAAGTAACGATAGGGTGAGTGCCCTTGACCAGGTGGTAAGTAGACTAAATCCAGCCACTGCTGAAGTCACAAGGGTATATGCATGCGCTAACAGCTGTGGACACAGGCCTGTTGTTCATCTACCCTTGCAGGGTGGCCAACCAACAGAACACCATCTGGGCCCTGCAACATTTATGTGGCCTGTATGGTTGCCTTCTGGCCATTGAGAGTGATAGGGGAACACATTTCACTGGAAAACAGGTACAATAATGGGCACAACAAATGGACATAAAGTGGGGATTCCATGTGCCATACATCCTACAAGCCCCGAGTATAATTGAGCGATATAATGAACTCTTGAATAATGGGTTACCCTCATATGTCACACCCCTGTCTTTGCAGGGCTGGAGTTCCAAGCTGGACCTGGTGCTCCTAACCTTGAACGAACGGCCACAGAAAGGCAGCCAGACCCCA
This sequence comes from Homo sapiens, assembly GCF_000001405.40. Classification (NCBI taxonomy): domain Eukaryota; kingdom Metazoa; phylum Chordata; class Mammalia; order Primates; family Hominidae; genus Homo; species Homo sapiens. The sequence goes on from NC_000004.12 coordinate 24,969,649, forward strand.
GTGGAGGCTTTGTTACACCAGGGCACTGCCCCCACTCAGTTGCAGATACATTCCAAGGATGACCTCCTTCGACCAGGTATGGGGACGAATGGTAACCTGCTGGTGGCTGCTCCAGCTCCCCTGAAAGCAGTGGAACAGAAAACCTGGCTGTGGCCCTGTACCCTCCAAGCCTGCACAGCCAGTGGTTGGCCATTGTAGCTCCCTTGGGGGAGGGCCTACAGTGTGACTTGCATTTCACTCCTTCGGTGTTCAATACATGGCCCCTGCAGTTGACTGTTCATAGGGGAAAGGCCAGGGAAAGAACTCTCCTCTGGGGGACATATGTACTGTCTGTGCCACCTATTATGAGCTCCCCATGACTTTGGCACAGATACAGGACTCAAAGGAACCGTGGGGAGCTGAGGTGTGGTTTTGCCCATGGCAAAAACCCTTGGTGGCTGCACTGTTATCCAGGGATGAAAGGTTAGCCTATATTTTGCCTGAGGGACGTGCTTTACCTCCATCAGTATCTGTGCCTACTCAGTCATTTCCGTCATAGGTTAACATGCTCCAACTGCATTGTGGACTCAGCCCACACCTACACTGAGATGACCGGTGTTTCCAGCTGTTGGATCTGCACCACCTTTCCAGCAACAGCTGTGGATGGCTGGCCTCGGCACATACATTCAGCATCTGCAGACAACTGCACATGGCTGGAGACTTGGACACCTGTGGCTGATGCCTGGAACGCAATGCAGCAAATTTTGGACAAAGGACACCTCAAGACCCAAGGTGCACCCACCCCCTGGCTAGCCTGTAGCATTTATGATGGGTGGGGCTGGCTACTGGGGGGACGTGTAGTACCTCCAGCCCAGGCATCATGGTGCACTGAGAAACACTGGGGTAACACCACTGAGGAGTGGGTACCCGTCATGGCTTGTGTGAACATAACACATGTCACTACACCAAAGGTATAGTGACAAGGTGGTGGAACAAGAAGCCCCACCAACATCACGCCCTAATGGATTTTGTGCCCCCTGGCAGTCTATGGGTCTGTAGTGACACAGGGTGGCCTTACCAACCAGTGGACTGGACTGGATGTTGTACCTGGGGGTGGCCTCATGTACCTGGCACTGTTCTCCCCATGTTGCCCAGACTCCCACATACCTGGGAGGCACTACTCTCTTGGGTTTTGTGAGTGCAATGAGCCCCCTGGTGGTCCTACCCCTTGGCAATGACTATCCCTGGAGTGGGTGTCAAAACTGTAGAAGCACAAGTTACTGCTCTTGCAGAGCACACCACCAGGGCTCTGAATTACACCCGAGTGGCCCTCATCCTGTTATGGATGAGGTTGATCAGATGAGAAAGGTGGTGTTGCAAAACTGAATGGCCTTTGACATAATAACTGCTGCCCAAGGAGGCACCTGTGCCCTTTTAGGAACACAATGTTGTACCTTTATCCCTGACAATTGGCAGAATATAACAGCAGCCCTGCAAAGGGTCTCATGGGAGATTAAGGTGGTCAAGACCCTTACTGACGACCCCCTACAGAGTTGGTGGGCATCTCTAGGCTCTGGCCTATGCTGGGTCCTAATAGTCATAAGTAGCATAGCTGGGATCCTAGTAGTGAGTTGTTGCTCTCTGTGTTGTTGTTGTGGGTTATGAATTCAGGGCTCTGCCCTATGGGCTTGTGTCCTTGCCCGGGGGACGCCCTCGGCCTGGGAGGTGGAGTATGAGGGAGATGACTGCACTTTAGTCAGGAGTAAGCCAAGGCAGGCTTCCAGTGCAGCATGATTCAGCAGGTTAGGAGTGCAGGTGCACAACCCTGCACATTATGCAACCTTGCCACATGAGGCACGTTAGGTGGTCACCCACATGAGCTTGTGCTTGGCTTGGAGCCACTATTGTCTGCAAAAGGTATAATTACCCTGCTAATGCTGTACGTTCGGCTCGCTCCTGCCCAGGGAGAGAGTACAGCCATGTAGAAGCTGTCTATGATTCCTCGAATGTTTTCCCAGCTATCTGCCACTCACCCACCAACTCCCTTCCTCTTGGCAAGGACATTCTAAAGTTAACCTGAAAAACAAACTAGTTCAGCCCATGATGGGAAGAGGGGGCCAGATATGCCTCATTATACCATCCTCTCTTTTAGAACTACTGATAGAACAGACTCTTTAAGTCTGATAAGAAACATTTACAATCTATTATCTTTGAAACATACTACCTAGAGGCTTCATCTGCATAATAAAACCTTGGTCTCCACAACCCCTTATCATAATCCAGACATTTCTTTCTATTGAAAATAAGTCAACCAGTTGCTGATCAAAAAATCTTTAAATCTTCATGACTTGGAAGCTCTCACTTCCAGTTGTCCCACCTTTCCAGAACCAACCAAGGTACATCTTACACATATCAATCGGTCCCTTATGTCTCCCTAAAATATATAAAACCAAGTTGTGGCCCAACCACCTTGGGCACATTCTCAGAATCTATGGAGGACTGGTCACTCATTTTCACTCAGAATAAATCTCTTCAAACATTCCACAGAGTTTGACTATTTTCACAGACAGAGGGAAGGATGACAAAGGGACACAGGAAAACCCTGGCTATCATGAACTTGTTTGCTGTGTTGATTGTGGTTGAGGACTAAATTCTGACCTTTTTCTTTTCTTTTCTTTTCTTTTCTTTTCTTTTCTTTTTTGAGACAAGGCTCTCTGTCACCCAGGCTGGAGTGCAGTGGTGCCATCTCAGCTCACTGCAGCCTCAACCTCCCTTGCTCAAGCCATCCTCCCACCTCAGCCTCCCAAGTAGCTGGGACTACAGGCACGCACTACCACGCCCAGATAATTTTTGCATTTTTTGTAGAGATGGGGTTTTTCCGTGTTGCCCAGTCTAGTCTCAAACCCCTGAGCTAAAGCAAGCCGCTCCCCTCGGCCTCCCAAATGCTAGAATTACAGACACGAGCCACCACGCCCAGCCTTTTTTCCTCTCTTGCCCAAATTCCTAAGAGGCCTGGGGAGTCACACACTACAAACTGTAAAATCTCATCAGAGACATTTTATTTAAACCTGTCTAACTGACTGACTTTCCAATCTGACCCTGGCATAACATCACATGACAGATAAAGAAGGAAATCAAAACATTTTACCCCAAAGTATGTTTATTTGTCACACTTTGAAATAGCCTGCAACTTTGTTTTTGTGGTGGAATTGCATCTGTAACGAATCTCTGTTAACTAGATATTTCCCCTTCCAGACCCTCCCAATCCTGAAGGGACTAACTGAGGGTCTAGCACTTTTTAAGGGTTTGAGCAGGAAACATTCACCATCTTTTGCCTGTAAGGGTGGGCACCCATGAAGCTTCATCTATGTAACAAGAACCTTGGTTTCCACAACCCCTCATCTTGACCTAGACACTCTTCTATTGATTCCAGGTCTTTAGATAATAACTTAATTCTTTTAATCAATTGCCAATCAGAAGATCTTGGAATCCCCCTATGACCTGTAACCCTCCCCTTCAAGTTGTCCCACCTTTTCAGACCAAACCAATATATACCTCACATGTATTGACTGAAGTCTTATGTCTCCCTAACACATATAAAAACCAAGCTGTAACCCAACCACCTTGGGCACATATTCTCAGCACCTCTTGGGACTGTGCCTCAGGCCTTAGTCACTCATATTTGGCTCAGAATAAACCTGTTTAAAAATTTTATGGAGTCTGACTCTTTGTGTCGACATGGTGGTGGTCCCATGGGTGTACACATATGTCAAAACTTATCCAATTGTACACTTTAAGTATATGGAGTTTACTGTATATCAACTGTACCTCAATAAAGTGCATTTAAAAAAAGTCTGGAGAAAAAGAAGTCCCCTTTTGTTTGCACTTGGAGCTGTGATTAAGCATGCCTGAGGCTACTGGCAGCTATCTTGACATTGTGAGGAGAAAACATGCTTGAGAGTGAGGCCAACCCAGAGGATAAAAAGAACTGAAAAAGGCCAGAGTTAGACCAGATTCCAGCCATCCATCGGTACTGGATCCAGCTGTGCCTACAGCAGTCTCTGGAATTTTTGCTCATTGAGACAATACGTGTGTGTGAGTGTATGATTAACCCGGTCTGAACTGAGTTTTGTTGGTTACAACTGAGGAGTTCTGTGCAACGTTATCCACAGTCCACCAGGCAGGCTGAGAGCTGCTTCTTAACCAGCAAGTGCCTCATGGAGGGATTGGGTTTGGGGTTATGGAAGTGAACAGAGCTGCCTGCCTTAAGGCAAGTAGGCCTTGCTCTGTTCCCCTTGCAGTCCCCGAGCCCGGGAAGCCCGAGAGGGAGCCCTTCAGTGCTTGTGCACTCGGCTGTTTCGCAAGAGTCACGGTCAGTTGCGCCTCTGCTTCGGAAGAGTATTTTTAGTGGCAAATAAAGTGGTGCGCAAATAAACAAACGCCTGGAACAAATCCTGCAAAGGAGAGCGCCTGTGTGCGGCCCACTGTCTAACTAGGTCAGCCTCGGGCACAGCTCCTTTTGACAGTTTGCTCCCCAGGGCGGAAGGTGACCCGCAGGTGCCGGCTGCTTTCCCCACCAATCAGCCATCTGTGGTTTGAGACTCACAAGCTTAGGAGAGACTCGGGAGGCATCAGTTCCGCATCCCGCACTCCCACGTGAATTTGCCCCCGCCCTGAGTCAGAACCCTAGAGGGGTGAAATCCCTGAATTCTGCAGAGGAAACCCATACTTCTTTGCTTTTTCAGCAATTCCAGGAGATGTCGTTTTTCAAGTGGCAAATGTGTGGCTCTAGAGGACAGAGTAACCACCTTGCAGCCAAGAAGCCCTGATGTCAACTCCCAGCTCTGCTGCAGCACCCAGAAATCACCGGACCTTTCTGCATCTTTCTGGGTGACTCTGTCATGAGGATTTCATAATGTAATTCCCTAGCACATAAGAATTTCTCAACCAATATGGCTTTCTTTTTTCCTTCTCACTAGTCTTTGAGCTTCTTAAAGGGAAGACATGTCCTATTCATCTCTACACCCCCCACACCAGTCTGCATTCAGTAAGTGCTCAATCAATGTCTGCTGAATCACATCTTCCCACTCAACTGCATGGCCTCGGATGATCCAATTCTGTGGGACTCAGGGTCTCCCTGATTCTGAAGATCTCCATTTCAGCCACCCCATCCTGGTGCTTTTTCTGGAGAGACTGGGAAAAAGGTGAGCAGAAGAGAATAGAACCAGGAGAGGGAGTGAAAGAGGGGTTGAAAGGGGGTTGGGGGAAGGAAGGGGAGGGAAGGGAAATGCTATAGTTTGAATGTGTCCCCTCCAAAATTCAGATGATGCCAATGTGATAGTAGGAAGAGGTGGTGCCTGTAAGAGGTGATGAGGCTGTGAGGTTTCCTTCTTTGTTAATGGGATTAAAGGTCTTATAAAATAGGCTTTGCGCAGCATTGCACTAGCTTGCTCTCTTGCCTTATGCCATGTGAGGTTGCAGCAAGACGCCCCTCATGAGATGCCAGCACCTTGATCTTGGACTTTCCAGCCTCCATAGCTATGAGAAATAAATTTCTGTTCTTTATTAATTACCCAATCTCAGGTATTCTATGATAACTATTCTGTTATAGCAGCACAAAACAGACTAAAACAGGAAGGGAAGGGAGGAAGACAAAACAGAAGATAGGAGAGAAAGGGAAAAGAAGGGAGGCAAGACAAAAGGAGAAGGGGGAAGGAGAGGGAGGGGAGGGGAGGAGAAGGCAGAGAAGAGGAGGGGATCTTGAGGGGAGGGGAGAGAATGTAAGAGGGGAGGGAAGGAGAAGGAAGGGGGAGGAGGGGGACAGGAGAGGGAGGGGAGGGGAAGAGAAGAAAGCGGGGAGGAGAGGGGACAGGAGAGGGAAAGGAAGGAAAAGTAGGATAGGGAAGGGAAGGAGAGAAAAGATGAAAGGAGAGGAGAGGGGAGGGGAAGAGAGGAGAGGGAAGGGGAGGAGAGAGGAAGCATACGTCCTGGGGAAGGAGCTCATTGATGGGGCTTGGGTCCATGCCCATCCCTGAACCAGTCACTGTGCACTATCACTAAGTCCCGTGTCCACCCCTGCAACCATGAAAGTAAACACAGTGTCAAGGGTGGTCCCCCAAAGAAAGGAGAAGTAACGGGTCCCAGGCAAGCAGAAACCACAGATGTCTTCTCTGCCAATCCCGCATCTGTCTTTGAATTTTGTAATTAGAAATGAGTTTTTTTTTCTGATCAGGCCCATCATTTAACTCAAGCCTGGTTGGGGGTCCTGGGAAGGGCAAAGTCTGTGTTCCAGTGTGGTCCATGCATACAAGGAAGAGAAAAGAAGAGAAAAGGAGGGTAGAGGAGGAGAGGGGACAGGAAAAAGAAGGAGAAGGGAGAGGGAAAAGAGGGGAAGGGAGGGAAGGAGAGGGAGGGGGGAAGGGAGGGAAGTGGAAAAGAGAGGAAAGATTTGGTGGCAATCATTTGAGCCCCGTGTTTAGCTGTGCCTACTTTAGATTTTTCAGTTATTTGAGCCAATAATTACCTTTTTCCTTAAATGAGTTTAATTCTTTTTAAGAGTACGTGGAGCTCAAAGAGATCCTTACTAATCTATCTGGGCCCCTTAGAGTAATTCCAGGGTCCATTTATCAAGGAAAGCAACATGGAGCACAGGCAGAGTCCCCCACTTGAGGCCATCTGCAGGTATCCTCCTTGCTTGGGCACTGTGTGGCCCTGGAACCAGGCCTGTGTCAGGGTGAAGGGCTGGAGAAGGTGGAAATGGGTATAGAGGTATCACCAGGACATTTATCCAAAGTGTGTCATCAGGCTGGGTGCGGTGGCTCATGTCTGTAATCTCAGCACTTTGGGAGGCTGAGGCTGGCGAATCGCCTGAGGTCAGGAGTTTGAGACCAGCCTGGCCAACATGGTGACACTCCATCTCTACCAAAAATACAAAAATTAGCTGGGCATGGTGGTGCATGCCTGTAGTCCCAGCTACTCAGGAGGCTGAGGCAGGAGAATTGCTTGAACCCAGGAGGCAGAGATTGCAGTGAGCCGAGATCGTGCCACTGCACTCCAGCCATCTGGGCAACAGAGCGAGACTGACTCCCTCTCAAAAAAACAAAAAACAAAAAGTGTGCCATCATCTGGCCTGCGCTGGTATAGTGTCCTTTCTGAAGGATGTTCCCAGAAGTGTTGTCAGGTGTGTGCAATGGACTCCAGCTCTGGAGCCAAGCGGGGATTTGGAAGCTATGTGCGATTGTGGAGAACATCTGGCCGCTAGAGGAGTGTGCATGGACCACACTAGAACACAGGCTCTGCGCTTCCCAGGATGCCTATCCAGGCTTGATTAAAGGATGGACCTGATCAGGAAAAAACAAACAAACAAACCTCATTTCTAATTACAAAATCCAAAGACAGGCATGCAGGATTGGCAGGGAAGACATCTGTGGTTTCTGCTTGCCCGGGATCCATTATTTCCCCTTTCTTTGGGGGACCACCCTTGATACTGTGTTGCTTTCATGGTTGCTGGGGTGGACATGGGACTTAGTGACGATGTACAATGACTGGTTCATGGATGGGCATGGACCCAAGCCCCATCAATGAGCTCCTTCCCCAGGACATTGGCTGGAGCTTTGGGAAAGAGGTATTCTTTTTCCATCGAGGACTCCAAGCTGGCAGGTTGGAGATCCTCTTAGCTATCTTGTGTGGAGATGCTGCCTAAGATCTACTAAGCACAGACAAAAGCAGAGCCATGCGTCAGGAAATATCCATTTCTCCCTTGATCCAGCCATTCCTGAAACCACGTGCATTCATTTTACAAACTAACATTTCACTCCCCAACACCTCTGTTATTTATAGTTAAGCCAGTTTGAATCAAGTCTCTGTCATTTGTGGCCAAACAAATCCTAATTAATATTATCTGTGAATCAACAAGCCTGTCTAGCTAATACCAGATGTTGAAGATGATAAAAAAGATGATGTCGTGGACCCAAATGAAATACCTAAGGTGTGGTAGAAGGCGCCCAGCACTGGAGTCCAGCTCTAGTCCCAGCCCTGCTACCCCTAAAGAGGATAAAATAGCTTAACCTCCCCTAAGGCATTACCAATACAGGGATGATAATACCACATAGGTCTGCCTGTTAGGAATATTGACCAGATGATAATATGCATGTGAAAGCATTTTGAAATTCAAAAGCTCAATACACACATAGTAACAAGGTATGCTATAAATCTATGCTACCTGGCTGGGCACAGTGGCTCATGCCTGTAATCCCAGCAGTTTAATAGGCCAAGGTAGGAGGATTGCTTGAGGTCAGGAGTTCAAGTCCAGCCTGGGTAACATAACCACAATCCCATCTCTACAAAAATAAAAAATTAACTGGACTTGATGGTGCACACCTTTAGTCCCAGCTACTCAGGAAACCGAGGCAGAAGGATTGCTTGAACCCAAGACTTTGGGGCTGCACTGACCTATATTTGCACCACTAACTCCAGCCTCAGTGACAGGGCAAGACCCTGTCTCAAAAATAAATAAATACATGAATAAATAAATCTGTGCTGTCCAACACAGTAGCTACTAACTACCTGCTGTTACTGAGCATGTAAAATGTGGCTAGTCTGAGCTGAAATGTGCTGTAAGTGTAAAACACACATCAGCTTTCACAGACTTGATTTTTTTAAATAATATAAATATCCTATTAATAATTTTTATATTAATTTCATATCGAAAGGATATTTGTGATCTACTGAGTTAAATAAAGTACATTGTTAAAGTTAATTTCATCTGTTTCTTTCCCCTCATTTAATGTAGACACCAGGAAATTGTAAGTTGCATGTGGTGGTTTGCATATGTGGTTCACATTCTATTTCTGTTGGCAGCACTTGTCTAAATTGTGAGGGATGGTTCGTTGTTGGCGTGGGAGGTCAGTGAATTCTGGAGGAGTCAGAAAAATCAGAAAAACCTCAGATGAAGAGACAAGGATGGGGGTAGGATGGCATTTGGAACCCATTCTCCATGGTTGTTGTCTCTAATTTTCCCTGTGAATAAAATGAACAGTCTTCCCTTTCCCCATCATTCCTCCCACCATTCGCCACCCACCGCCCACCAGAGAATGAGATGGTTTTAGCATCCTGTGTGCTTTTCACAGCTGAAATGCTGGCAATTTTGCCACAGATTCAGATCTACTCGGACTCACTGGTTTCCTTTGGTAAAATGCCCCATATCCAGAAGGGAAGTCTGCTGGCTTCTCTGACCTGGGCGTGTCTTTAGGATTTCTCAATAGGATGACATCTGTGGCTGGTTGTCCAACACTCATGGCTCCCTTCTGGAAGCGGTGCACTTTGTTCTTACCCTGAGTTACCCCGAAAAGGAGACCCTGAGAAGGACTGCATGCAAATGGTTTGGGGGCACAGGAATTGCAGGGAACACTTTGAGAGAGCAGGGAAGTGAGACAGGGAACAAATGGAAGCCAGTAAAGGGTGAATTAATGAGGCCACCATGGGGGACATGGATTCAGTGTCTTGGGAAATACCTTGAGAAATACTGTGCAGCATATCTCCTTACTGTCCCTGTGTAAGGAACCTGGGATATTTATTAACTAACTTTTATTCCTTAGTATTGAGGGTCAATCTTGGGGTGTTAACTTTCTGGTATTTCCAGCTTGGGTGTACACCACCAGGAACAGGGAATGCCCTCAGACAGAAAGATGCAGGCAATCTTTGAAGTATACAGGAAATGTCTGCAAGTGATCTTCAGGATAGGCTGCAGGGAAATGGTCAGAGCACAGACAGGGTCTGCTATACCTTAGAAGAAAGAGAGAAGACATGGAGAGAAGTGGGGTCCTTGGCAATAGTCCTGATCTACTGGATCAAGCCTTACTTGAAGCCTACCTCTAGACTTGTCATTACCTGCCCCTATATATTCCATATGCTATTTAAACTGGTTTGAGTTTTCTGTTATTCACAATGTAATGATTTCTAACTCAGTCTTTTCCTAACCTGGTTCCTACAATTGAGCAGATTCCCTGTGGTTTCAAAATCAGGAAACAGGGCTGATGGGTAAGTCATGTCATCATTTCCTTCCTGAAACCAGAGTGCAACGGAAAGAAAAGGAGGAGTTGCATGGGATGGTGGCCAAGTTCTCATTGTGACCCAGGGACCATTACAGTAAAAGGAACCTGCCTAGGGAACTTGCTCAGCTCTCTCTAAACACAGTCAGCTCCATGTTCCCAACTGAATGTCACGTCAATGCGTCGATGTTAATTCCGGTAAACTGAATCCACCCGAGAATCTTGTTGTGGAAGCAAAATCGGCTTAAAAGGCTTCTTTGATGCACAGGGAATTCTCACAAGCAATAAATTAAAAATAATCAACGAGTTATTTTATATAATCTGTATATAATATAAAGTAATTGTGTCCATAAATAACGAGGCAGTTAAACAGGAAAAGAAAGGATTTTTACCTGACGTTCACATCGCTTCACAAGGTTTAGTGGATTCAGAAGGACATCTGGACTCCAGGAAAATTTAAGCGTAGCATTTTGAGACTTCCCTAAGGCCCCCTTCTCTAGTACGCAATCGCGGATTCACCAGCTTGAGTCAGTTGGCCTCAGTTTTGCTTTTGGAGGTTTAAGTCGGGTGGTGGGAAGAGATACATTTCCATTCCTGATATGGCCACAAGAGGGAGCTCCCAATGGTCGGCTGCACCTGAAAGTCCTGTCCGTGAAAACTGACAAAGAAAACTTGATTTAAAAGGCGTCTTCTGATAAACCTCAGCATCTCCTTACTAACATACTAAGAGCAATCACTGAACACTTTTCGTATGTTCAATGCGTCCTCGCGGGATCTGAGAAGCATTGTCCTATTAAATCTCAGTCGTCTGATTTTCAGCATCAATTTATCTTGGGAGCTGCTCCTGCATTTTATAAGGTGAATTCTACAGCAACGAGATTAAAGATTCAGAAAGTGAGTAAAGTTAACACTGAGCCCTTGGGCCTGGTAAATTGACAACGGAGCCAGAATAAGTATTTACCATTGTAAAGCTCTGATCCTCATGGCACAGTTGTTTCTGAAGAATGCTACCAGCACTTCCCTGCCCTGCATTTGTCTGGCTTTTTCCATTCATATTTGAATCGATTCTCTCTCTCTCTCTCTCTTTTTTTTTAATTATTATTATCATTTTCCAGGGACTTTGGGTCATTATAAGATTGCAGGTAATGACAGACTGTAATTAAGCCTAAAACAGATTTTTCTTTTAGGAGACAGAAGAATCCACTCTAGCTGAGACTCCAGATTGCCTGGGCTGTAATTTACGGTGCTATCACAAAGGGGTCCTTTTTCCGCATGGTGCTCTGCGGTGATGAGCCAGAAGCTGAAGCTGAGGGGTGTGTGACTCTCCCGCACACTCTCTGGAGTGAGCAGAATGGACGCTTAAATGGCTAAGTATAGCTTGAAACTGATTACAGGCCAGATCCCACTATTGTGCATCATCAGTTGTCATTGTTGAGACTGAAATTGCACTGGGATGTTTCTCTTTGTCACCGGCTCCAAGCTCATTTCTAGGACAGGAGTGAAACCGTATGGTGAGCCTCGGGCCCAAGCACAGGGAGAATTGTTCTTCTGGTGTGTCCCCCAAGGAAGAGCTTGGCAGGTCTTTGGCAGTGGAAGATGGGCTGGCTTCAGTCATGATACCTATAACATTGGTATTGCTAGGGCTTCCAGATTTATGGATAGTAAACTCTAATCTCTAGCAAAGAAGGTTGAAATTGTAGCTCTTCCTCAGTTGCTGTGTGAACTTAAGCAAGCAGCTTAACTTCTCTGGCCTTAGTTTTCTTATCTGTACAACAGAACTAATTATAGTTACTCTCTGATATGGTTTGGCTGTGTCCCCACTCAAATCTCATCTTGAACTGTAGCTCCTATGATTCCCACGTGTTGTGCGAGGGACCTGGTGGGAGATAATTGAATCAGGGGAGCAGGTCTTTCGTGTGCTGTTCTCATGATAGCGGACAGGTCTCACAAGATCTGATGGTTTTATAAAGGGGAGTTTCCCAACACAAGTTCTCTTGTCTGCTGCCATATAAGACGTGCCTTTCACCTCCCACCATGATTGTGAGGCCTCTCCAGCCACATGGAATTGTGAGTCCATTAAACCTCTTTTTTTGTAAATTGCCCAGTCTTGGGTACGTCTTTATCAGCAGTGTAAAAATGGACTAATACACTCTCCTATTCTCAAGGTAGATTTGCAGAGCAATGAAATGAGATATATGAAGACCCCAAGATATATATATATATATATATATATAGATAGATAGATAGATAGATAGATATTCACACACACACACATACACTCAGGCACTGTACACACACATGCACAAACATAATAGGCATAGAAGATATAGAAACTACCCATATGCCCATATGTATTATTATGGGTATGTGTGTGTGTGTGTGTGTGTGTGTGTGTGTGTGTGTGTGTGTGGTTTCTTGGTAAAAGCACTGGGGTAAGACTATGGAGCGTTCATATGCTAGGAGATGAAGTCTGGACCTGACTGCATAGTAACGATAATAATAATAATCTTGCATTCAGGGCTTATTGTGAGCCAGGCACTGTTCTAAGCTCTTTGCATGTATGAAAGCAGCGGTTTTCAATAGAAGCATTATCAGCATTCAGGCAGAACAATTCTTCATTGTCAGTGGGACTGTCCTAAGCCTTGTGTGATTACCAAAGGTCTCTCAAGACCCTCATCATCTCTGCTAACGAAAGGCAGCCCAACTCCCCTGCACTTTTAAAAACACCCAGCTGAGAACCAATTGCCTAAGTATAGATATGTACTCTCCAATATGGAAGCTACTGGCCACGGGTGGCTATGAATGGCTTGAAATGAAGTTAGTCTGAATTGGAGTGTGCTGCAAGTGGAAAAAAAACAAACACTGGATTTTGAAGATTTGGCATGAAAAAAATCGTATTAATATTTTAAAAGATTGATTACATGATGAGATGATAATATTTTGGATAGATTAGAGTAAATGAGGTATTTAAATTCATTTCACCTGATTCTTGTTGCTTTTTTCTTTTTTCTTTTTTTTTTTTTTGAGAGGGAGTCTCACTCTGTTGCCCAGGCTGGAGTGCAGTGGCGTGATCTCAGCTTACTGCAACCTCTGCCTCCCAGGTTCAAGCGATTCTCCTGCCTCAGCCTCCTGAGAGCTGGGATTACAGGCACCTGCCATCATGCCTGGCTAATTTTTGTATTTTTGTAGAGATGGGGGTTTCCCCATGTTGGCCAGGCTGGTCTTGAACTCCTGACCTCAGGTGATCCACCTGCCTTGGCCTCCCAAAGTGCTGGGATTACAGGCGTGAGCCACTGCACCCTGCCTCTTGTTGCTTTTTTGATGTGGCTACTAGAGAATGTTAAAGGACAGCCAGAGCTTGCATTTGTGGTTTGTGTTCTATTTTTATTAGACAGTGCTGGAATGGACAGTGGGATGCTGGCAAGGGCTTTTGAGCCAAAATGGTGTCAGAGTGACTGTGGGGGACACTGCTCGGCCAGCCCAGCCAATATTCGTTTCTGTTTCTTCTATACTAGCAAAATCCTGATTGTATTTGTGATGGTCTTGTGTTCAAATACTCTGCTCCTTAGATCCCATGTAACCTAGTTTTTGTCAAAAAGCATAAATGGAAGTCAACTGGGTGGGCCATCTGGGGAAGCTGTTGTTAACATGAGAAAAAGACTTGGCTGACATGTGCCTTTTGCCCTTTGCCCTTCCCTCCTTTTGCTGCTTGGAAAGCAGACACAATGTCTGAAGGTAGAGCAGCCTCTTTGGGACCATGAGGTTGACAGTCATATTATAGGAATGGTGAAAGGAGGGAGGAGTCTAGTTCCTTAAGTAGGACTCTTCATTATGTGAGCAGAATAAACACCTCGTTTGGTTAGGCCACAGTAGTCGGATTTCTGTTACAAGAGTTGAACATGAGCCTCACTGATCATTATGGTTTCGTTTTGAAGTCAATGCACTGGATGTTTTTGCTTTTCAGTCTGTCTCAAGCATTTGAGCATCTTAGCTAAGTTTGGGGAAATTCTGACGTTAAGAGTTGGGCCTCCACATGGCAGAACTCAGAAACCACCAATGGCCAAGTCCCTCATGGCATGAGGCTCTGCCAGTCAGTATTCGATTCCGAGAAACTGGAGAAGAGGATCTAGTGTTTAGCCCCAATAGCCTTTTAATAAACTCCTTGTCTGCTTAGCCAGCCCAAGCCAGCATCAATTGCCTGCAACCTAGAGCACTAATGGCTGCAGCTGGGAGTTAGTAAAGGCCCTGCTCCTCAACAGTGTCTTATTAAAATCCTATTCCCCAGGAAAAGACACATGAATCCTTAACTTCTCAGCAGGAAACACTGCTCTGAGATCAGGCACTTCCTTACGTTGGAAGGGCATTGTAATCTGTGCCATTGGCAAAATGCAAGACAACTCTTATTATCCCCACTTACCTCTGTCTCTGGAGGCTGCTGCAGTGCTGGGTTTACAGGGTGTATTGACAATCACTTTTTGAATTCAAGTTGCTTGCGAGGAATCTGGGTAGACCAAACCTGGGTAGGGAAACACAACGAGTGAGGAGTTGCTGGAATGCCAGTCATCTGCCTCTGGATGGAGTGTACTTCCCAGCACACCCCTCTGCTTCAGCCCAAGAATGTTTATGTAGAAGTGAGACCACCTGGATTCAAATCGTGGCACTAATACTTACCCGCTGTGTGTGATCTTAGGGAGGTTACTTAAGGTCTCTGAGCTTTGGTTTCCTCCTCTCCAGGGTTAAAGAGTCTGTGAACTGTGCAGACACTTAGGGTCTCCCCCACTTGGCAATGTTCCCTACTTAGTTTCATGCTTTGCTGCTACCATCTTAAAATTTGTAATAATTTTTAACAAGGAGCCCTGCATTTTCATTTTGTCCCAGGACATGTAAGTTATGTAGCCAGTCTTGCTTCTCTATAAATTGAGAATACTATTTATCACAAATATTTGCAGTGAGAAGTAAATGAGAAAATGTCTTTTATGTGCTTTGCCAAGTGTCTGAAACTAGTATGTTTTCAGTGAATGATGGCTGTTCCATGTCAGCGCAGCTAATTTTCTCACAGCATCCTCCCTGGCAGGCTAAGCTCCCTGCACCCCCTTTACTAACCTCCATGTACTCAGGGCCCATGTGAGGACAAATTGGACACCCGCTGCAGCATCAGGAAGTGGGAGACCTTAAGGAGCCAAGAATTCCCAGAAGTGAGATTTTTGTTTCAGTTCTTTCCAAATATAAAGGCATTTGAACTTCCCCTGTAACTTTGATGCTGCAGATGGAATTTCCTACAGGATTCTAAGGTGAGAAATCCAGGTCATGTGATTAGCCAGAAACGCCACAGGCTCATAGCAGAAGCTCCCAGACGGTTCCTTCTAAAGCACTGACACTTGTCTGCACTGTGAGGTTTGGGGATTAGACAGACCTTTCCTGAATACTCCTTAAAATCTTCTGGGCCTCACCTCTTATTCCAGCCACTACTGCAGTGACCAGTTCCAGGCTGACTTTGACCAGCTTTGTGCAGGTGCAACTGGACATATTTACTGGGATTCACCACACACCTCTGTCCTCCTGTCTTGGGTGAACATGCATCCTGATGCTGTCATATGGGGCACCCCTAGAGCCTGCCTAACCCAGAAAAGGGGGAAAGTAAATGCCTGCAAGGCCACCCCTGGCCAGTGGGGGATGAACACTAATGGATAAATGCTTCCCTTTTCATCCCCTTGCCTGCAGCTCCGAAATACATCAAATACAGCCACTTAGAAGATCCCAGTGGGATGCTGAGGCAGCAGCCCCTGTAGCACAGGCCAACTTGTTCCTCCTCCTGTTTCTCACTCCAGCTCCCGTGGATCCTCCTCTCCAATAGTCAACCCCATGCAACAAAGCCTTTGCATAAGGCCCTGCTTTCCTGGGATCCCAGGCTAAGATGACCCCCTAATCTTCTGAAATGAAATACATTTACAATATGACATAACCTACCTCCACACAATGTAATGCCATAATTGAATTTTGATAGATAAATGAAAAGGAAATAATCTTAAAAATAATTAAAACGTCCCAGCAGAACTCTACCAGAAAACCAAGGGAGCAATCAAAGACACTGACCCCTTTGCATGGAATCCCTATGAAAGTGACTTCGTGGCAAGAACCCTAGAAGGAGGGTCAGAGGACCTGGTTGGAGTAACCAGCTCTACCATTAGCCTCCTGTATCATTTGAGTCCTTTTTTTCTAGGCATCCATTTTCTCAAGGATGGTGTGGCATTGAACTGTACGCTCTCTAAGGACCCTTCCAGATTGATTTCTATATGATTTTCTTTTTTTTTTTTTTTTTTTTTTGAGACGGAGTCTCGCTGTCGCCCAGGCTGGAGTGCAGTGGCGAGATCTCGGCTCACTGCAGGCTCCACCCCCTGGGGTTCACGCCATTCTCCTGCCTCAGCCTCCCGAGTAGCTGGGACTACAGGCACCTGCCACCTCGCCCGGCTAATTTTTTGTATTTTTAGTAGAGACGGGGTTTCACCGTGTTAGCCGGGATGGTCTCGATCTCCTGACCTCGTGATCCGCCCGCCTCGGCCTCCCAAAGTGCTGGGATTACAGGCGTGAGCCACCGCGCCCGGCCTTCTATATGATTTTCTGATCTTCTGACCTTTTCAGGACACTTGTTATCTTGTTCTGGCCTCCCTCCAGCTGTTAGCCCGGCCACCAACAGCTGAAATACTAAAGTTTTTACTGAGGAGCCACACCTGCCAGGTGATGAAAAAAGAGGCAGAATTCTCCATTGTAGAGTTTACATTTTGGGAGGTGGTGGTGATGGGGAACAGACAGTAAGCAAACAAGCAACTAAACATATAGTATGCCAGGGAGAGGTAAGAGCAGTGGAGAAAAATAAACAAGTAAGGGGTTAGGGAATATGGGTGGTAGGAGGCAGGAGAGGCTGCTAAGTAAATTCCCTATGATGCTCGTCCCATAGAGTTATCAATACAAGGAGTGACGTCCCACTTGGAATGCCTGCTGTTCTGGTTACTATTGCTGCATAATGAATGACCCCAAAAAGCAGTGGCTTAAAACCATAGTTATTTCATTAGCTCTCATTGTTTCTATTGGCCAGTAATTTGGGAAGACCTTGGCAGGTTGGCTTTAAGTCTCTCAGGCTCCATGGTCAGACCATAGCTGGAGCAGTAGAGGCTGCCCAGGAATCTCCCTCTCTCTTCATTTAGTCTCAGGGCCCCTCCTTGAGGTCTCTGTATGGGCTACGTTGGGCTTCCTCACATCACAGAGGCCTCAGGACAGTAAGACCACTGACATGGGTAGCACAGAGCTCCAGGCGAGTGCTCCAGGAAAGAAAACTGAGGTTGCAACACCTTTTGTGGTAGACACTCCCTAGGGAGGCCCCCATGATTTCTCCCCTTAGAATCTGCACTCTATATAACTGCCTCACCTTGAGGTTGGCAGGAACTGTGACTCGATTCTAACCAATCAAATATGGCAAGGGAATGGGATGTCACACTTGTGATTATGTGTATGTGATATGGCAGTGGTGTAAGGGGATCACAGGTGTAATTAAGGCCCCTAATCAGTTAATGTGAGTTAATCAAAAGGGAGATAATCCTGAACGGGCCTGAGCTAATCATATGGCCTCAAAAGAAGATCTAGATCTTCCCTGTAGTGAAAGAATCCAAGCAGCAGAAATTCAATCTCTCTCTCTCTCTCTCTCTCTCTCTCTCTCTCTCTCTGTCTCCATTGCTTGCTATTATGGGCTGGATTGCTCCGCCACCACCACCAAATTCATATGTTGAAGACCTAACCTCCAGTACCTCAGAATATGACTGTGTTTGGAGATAGGACTTTAAAAGTGGTGATTATGTTAAAAGGAGACTGTCAGAGTGGATCTTAATCCAATCTGATTGGTGTCCTTATAACAAAGAAGATGGAGAGACACCAGGGATGTGTGCACACAGAGGAAAGACCATGTGAGGACATAGCGAGAAAACACCCATCTGTAAGCCAGGGAGACAGGCTTACAAAAGAACTGAATCTGCCAACACTTTGATCTCAGATTTCTAGCCTCTGGAACTGTGAGAAAATAAATGTCTGTTGTTTAAGCCACCCCAAAACTGTGACATTTTGTTATGGAAGCCCTAGAAAAATAATACACTTGTCTTGAAGAAATCAGCTGCCACAAATTCCACAGTCATAAGGAAATAAATTCCGGCCAAAACCTGAGGGAACATGAAAATGGCTTCTTCCCTAGTTGAGCCTTCAGATAAGAACACAGCCAAGACCACACCTGGATTCTGTCCTTGGGAGATCCTGAGCAGAGAATGCAGCTAAGCTATACCCAGATTTCTGACCCACAGAGAGTGTGATATACTAATGTTTTGGTGAGCCACTAAGTTTGTGGTCATTTGTCATGCCACAAAAAGACCTAATTCATCTGTAATAACCCAGCTTAGGAAGTCATAGCACCACTTTTGTTGCATCTTATTGGTTACAAATGAGCCACAAGCCCACCCAGATTTAAGCACTGGGATGGGAGGTGTTGCTGGGGCCAAATTTGGAAAATACAGCCTGTGACACCTGCATAATTGAATTTTAATTTGTAGCTCATATTTGAAACTGCAGCTGGCTTTCTGCATCTACATCAGCTTAATCAACTTGGCATGTTTCCTCCAACTGGTCTTCACATGGGCTTCAGAACCTCTCTGAAGGATGTCTGCCTCTGCCTGTCCCTTTGAGGAGCCCCCAAAGTGCACAATACCAGCACAGAATGTAAAACAGGCTTTTTCTAACATTCCCTCCATGTTTGATGACTGTTCATTTGGGCATTTTTACATGATGCCCTAATAGATAGAAACATTTATTTATTTGTATAGATTTTTCTTCACCCCACCTTTGCACCTGCTGGCTGTTTCCAGGTTCCAACCTGGGAAAGCATAAGCATGACTAGCCAACTGAAAGTGTGTATCTCAGCACCTTGTGAAGTAGGCCCTGAAACAGGGGCATTCAGCCACTTCTCAGGGCTGTACCTGCACTTAGAAGCCCCTAGACTGGACCTGCAGTATTCCTGGGGGTAATAGAAAAACCAGAGTTCAGAGTCCTGTCCCCAGGCTAGAAAGCCAGAAGCACCCTTGGCTCTCCATAAGTCATAACACTGGCTCATGTGCCCTCAGCTAGGAAGGACCTTGGAGGACATTTAGGCCAGACATCTGCTACTCAGTTCCCTTCTACAACATCCCCACCTAGTGGATCTGCCAGAATGCTTCTCCAGTGGGGATAATCATTCCCAGTTGCCCCAGGGAAGAAAAGGGCAAGTTCTACCCAGAAGAAAGAGGCCATTAACCAGCTGGAGTCTCTAGGCTGCCTTCCTTGACCTCTTTAACAAGACAATGGTCTTGATAGCTGGGCACTGTCAACAGAGGATTTTCTAAACTCCCTTCCTCTCATTACTACATTAGAGCCTGGCTGCCTAGATCGTAGAGTTTTACTATGAGACAGAGGAGAAAGAAGCCATGGTATGACAAGGAAATGAGAAGTCTATTCCTTCCAGTCCAAGAGATTGTGAGAGGAAGAGGAGCCAGGCTGAGAAAGCAGAGAAAGAATGGCCAAGGCTCTGGATGTGGGGGGTGTGTTCCAGAGGGAAGGGGAGGGCCAGAAACTCTGCAGAGCCAGAGACATGCTTCCCTGTGAGTCCCAGATGGATGTGCAGAATGTCCAGGATAAGCCCACTAAGCAGCCCCTTTCAACATGACACAATGTAGGGGCAATGACTATGGCAGACGCAGCACTTTTGGCTGCATAGGATCTCATTTACATGCCCTGCTGAGGAGACCTGGAGGGGCTGAAAGGGTTGGCAGAGCGTCCTGCCAGGGGACAGAGTCCACTCAGTCATTTCCTACGACGAGAGCAAATGGCCAAGATCCAGTGATGGGTCCTGGCCAACAACAATGATATTGACCCATATTGAATACTTATTAAATGTCAGGCTTGTCTAAGTGCTTTCCATTTATTATCTCATATTTAATTTTTGAATTAGCCTTGGGAGGTAAGCACTATTATGATCCCCACTTTTCAGATGAGAAGTTCCTGGCCAAAGTTACTCAGCAAGATTAGATAGGATCAACCAGACCTCAGTGGTCCTGAGGTCGGAGACCAAATCAGAACAGGGCAGAAGACGGAGTGTGTCCAGAAGATACTATACGCACGTAAAAACCCTTCCCCATCCCACCCTATCCCCACTGCCACAAGGACCCTAAAAGTTCTCTTGCAAGAGAAGCTGAAGATGGTGGAAATCTGAAAAACTGACTATTTAACTCAAAACAGCCTGAATGGTCTAATAGGACTACTGAAATTGTTAGATTAGATTGACATTACTGGGTTGGTCTATGCCTGGTTTACTTACTATCCAGTGCTAGGGGGTCCAGAAAAAAATTAGGTCAGTTAGACAAAAAATACAGAAGCTTACTTTTTTGCATGTTTGAGTGGAGTGTGAGTAAATGTATGGCTTGACTTCATTTCCTAGTCTGGTATATCTAAGACACTATTTGCTCTGAATAGGAAAGTCTGACAGTTCTGGGTTTGAACCCAGCTGAGCTACTCACTTGCTGTTTGACTCTTGCTTACTTAGCCTTTCAGGGCTTCATTTTCTTCACATGAAAAATAATAATAACAGATTTATATCGTTTAGAAGAGAAGCCAGCAAATATTTTCTATGAAAAGCTAGAGAATAAATATTTTAGGCCTTGGAGTCCTAGAATCTCTATTGTACCTGCTCAACTCTGCCACTGAAGCACAAAAGCAGCCACAGATGATAGATAAGTGGATGTGCAATACTGAATTCCAATAAAACTTTATTTACAAAGCATACGGAGAGACAGATTTGGCTCAAGAGCCTTTGTTTGCCATCCTTTGGGTTGAATATAGACTACACAATGACAAAGAGATCCCAAAATATATTGCCTTAAATAAGACAGAAGTGGCCAGGTGTGGTGGCTTACACCTGTAATCCCAGCACTTTGGGAGGCCAAGTCAGATGGATCATGAGGTCAAAAGATGGAGACCATCCTGGTCAACATGGTGAAACCCCATCTCTACTAAAAATAAAAAAATTAGCTGGGCGTGGTGGCACGTGCCTGCAGTCCCAGCTATTTGGGAGGCTGAGGCAGGAGAATCACTTGAACCCAGGAGGCAGAGGTTGTAGCGAACCAAGATATTGCACCACTGCACTCCAGCCTGGGTGACACAGCAAGACTCCATCTCAAAAAAAAGACAGACATATATTTCTCTCTCCTTTTAACAGTCTAAAGGTGACCATCCGGATTGGTGGGGCAGCTCTGCTCCATGTGGTCATTCGGGATCCAGGTTCTTTCTGTCTTTCGCTCTTCTATGCCTAAGGAACATTCAAGGAATAGCAAGGACAAGGCTGGAGTGGCTAGAGCCAAGCAAGCAGAGGAAATAGTTTAGGAGATGAGGTCAGAAAGGATGTGTGTGTGTGTGTGTGTGTGTGTGTGTTGTGTCAGAGAAACAAAGACAGAAAGAGTAGTTTATGTTCTTGTAAGCTATTGTAGAAATTTGGCTCTTGCTCTATGAATGATGGGAAGCCCTGACTTTTCCTGAACCGCCTGATCTGACTCACACTTTAACAGGATGCCTCCAGCCACTAAGTGGAAAACAGACAAGGAGGAGTCAGGGAGGCAGCAGGGGCCCTAGTGTGGCGGCCACAACAATAATCAAGGTGGGAAACCATGGTGACTTGGGCCAGAGTGGATGTGGTCAGACTGTAGATATATCTTTAAATGCAAATACATTTTTAATTTTTTTGCTGAGAAAGTTTATGACTTTGTTTGGCTTATCAAAAGTTGACCCTTTAAAAACTTACAGATCACTATATAGGCCAGTCACATTTAGATATGACCAAAGGCTTTGAGGAACCACTTAATGTCTTAGTATCACGGTAAATAGCTTCACATGAGAAGGAACTGTGTCCTTTTTGTTAAACACTGAATACTCACTGCTTGGCACAGTGCATAACATATAGCTGGGCACCAGCACACCCAGCTAATTTTTGTATTTTTAGTAGAGACAGGGTTTCACCATGTTGACAAGGATAGTCTCCATCTCTTGACCTCGTGATCTGCCCGCCTCAGCCTCGCAAAGTGCTGGGATTACAGGCATAAGTGCAGGAAAGTGCAGGTATAGCAATGAACACAGAGTCTGCCATAAACTCAACCTTTGTGTCACCTTCATAAGGTGCACAGCTCTCACTTTACCGTTTCTACTGTGTAGAGAACAGGACCCCCAAGGGGAGATGGAGGTGTTCAAACGCGCTAGCCCATCCCCGTTCAAGAAGCCACAGCCTCACAGGTCTCCTAGTTGTGCTTCTGTAAATCACAAGGTCATGGGCTTTTACAATCTTGATTACTTGAGACTCAGAAGATTCAAGCTGCAGATTCCAAGGTGGTACCATGTTCATCATCTTCCACTGTGAAAACAAAGCACACACAGGAAAGTGCTAGCTCTCCCTCCCTTAGGCAAGACACGTCATCTCTGGGTCTCCACTTCCTACCTAGAACACAAGGGGGTTGGAGTAAGAGGCTCCAAAGGATTTCAAGCCCCCTAAACTATTCCCAGACTCAGGCCTTGTCCCACCGCCCCCCACCATGTCCTAAGCTCCAGAGAGGGTGGCTGGCTGGTGGCACACAAGAGGGCTCCACATCAGTGACTACTGGCTACTCACGGGTAAGTGGGTGGTCAGCAGAAAAGGCTGGGCTTAGAGCCAGGTGCGGTGGCTCACACCTGTAATCCCAGCACTTTGGGGGGCTGAGGCGGGTAGATTGCCTGAGGTCAGGAGTTTGAGACCAGCCTGGCCAACATAGTGAAACCCCATCTCTACTAAAAATAAAAAAAAATAAAAAATAAAAAAAAAATAGCTGGAGAATCGCTTGAACTCAGGAGGCGGAGGTTGCAGTGAGCCAAGATCGTGCCATTGCACTCCAGCTTGGGCAACAAGAGCGAAACTCTGTCTCAAAAAGAAAAGAAAAAGGCTGGGATTAGACAGCCCTTCATGAAGAATGGCCTATCCAGCTTCTCATATGACCCACGCAGCAAAATAGACCCCCTCACCCTCTTGTGTCCCCTCACCCCTCACCCCACTGCCACATCCACATGCTCTCCTTGAAATGGGATTACAGAACAAAACATGGGCTCTAGAGTCAAACACATCTGGATCAGCACTTGGCACTTACAATGCTGAGGCTTTTTGCATATTTATGGATTAAAAATGGAGGGTAGCCCAGTGGATAAGGGCACAGCTTCTGGTGCCAGAGTTTCCTGGGTTTAAACCCAAGCTCCTCTTCCTGCTGGCTGTGTGACTCCAGACAAGTTCCTTAACTTCTCTGTGCCTCTGTTGATTCATTTGTAAAATGGGGATAATGATTGGACCTGCCTCACAGAATTTGTGAGGACCAACTGAGATAATAGCTATAAAGCCTTTAGAATAGCACCTGGCACTGGGCTAGGGCTAAAGAAGGGTTAGATATGATTATTGTTTTCTCTGTTTCAGGTCTTATTGGCTGTGCAAACTTGAGGGAGTTGCCTAACCACTCTGGGCCCTGTTTTCCTGGCTTTGCCACTCTTCAGCTGTGTGACCCGGGGAAGCTCTCAACCTCTTTGTGCCTCCATTTCCACATCTGTAAAATGGGGATATGAAAGTGGCTGCTTTGTGAAGAGTCCTGAGAATAAATGAGTTAAGGTATGTAACACTCTGCCTGGTGCCTGGTACCCTGCAAATGTCAACCAGTCATTTAATCAGCATCCTTTTAGAAAATATTAATTGAGGTACACTTTGGGACTAGGCATGCTGGGAAAACAGTGGTGACCCCCACAGACACAGCCTCTGGAATGAGAGCTTCCTCCTGCCTTGCCTCCCACCCCAACCCATGACTTTAATGGTCATAGAAAATTTCATGTTAATTTCACATCTTTAATTTTCTCACAGCTCAGCTAGCGTTTGTTTGAACTCACTTATTTTTCCTTTACAAATGTCCATTTTTTTCCATCCTCTGGGCCAGCATGACTATAAATCATTGTCTATGATTCCATGCTTAGAAAGAGCCAGGCTAGAACCTACCATCGGAGGGTTTTACTGGGTTATTTATTGCGACAGAAAATGCAAATGCATTGGCAGTAAACATAAGGAAGAAAAAGCTACTTCAGCAATATGTGCAGAACGTAAATGCAGATGGAAATGGGGGGTTGGAGTGTCATTTTTAGTAAGTAGAGCAGATACTCCACTTTGCTGAAAATATGAAATACCAGAAAATTCTCCTGACTTTCTATGTTAATGAAAGAAATGTAAAGTTGACCTGCTTCCTTTTTCAGGACCCCAGAATGACATTATATTTCGCTATAGTTAGTGCTATTCAATGTGAAAAGCTGACAAAACAGCAAATAAAAAACCTAAAAGGGAGTGTGCAGAGAACAGAGCTTTGCTGAACAACATCAAGTCCTTTCTCATCACCTGCACTACAGAAAGATCCTCTCTTGGTGCTGCCAAATTTCCTTTTTCTGGTCTGTTTCATACCAGAAAGATCTTTTCCAAGTGGTTAAAAATATATTGTCCTGGTCTCTGTGCATAACTTGCAGACAGAGTTAGGGAACAGGGAGCCCGAGCTCCCCAGATGCACTCAAGGATAAGAAGGGTTGCCTTGTCCTGAATAGTTGACATTAGAGAAAAGGCTTGATTCCTACTCCTGATGTTTCCTTCCCTGTGGAGGGAGTCCGGGAGCACAGTACTCCTGGCACAAGTCTGCAGGCCTCACTCTCCAGTCCCAGTGAGGTGCTATAGGTGCAATGAGGTGAATTAGGACCAGAAACTGAACACGCTAAAACCAATCTCACTCTCTCCCTCTGGTCTGCCTGCCAAGTGCAAATGTTCATCTGCTCCTCCACACTGCAAATATGTGACCAGGTATGTCGAAATGTGTGTTTCGGGGGTCGGTGTTAGGAAACCCATCTACATGCAGATAATAAGCTGTGGTCTCCAATGTAACCCTTATCAGTCATAAAGGGTGCTATTCTGGCATATTCCCTACTTCTCAAGGGCTGCAGTACTCAGGCAGAGAATCGGGGCTTGTGACAGGGCCATCCCAAACCCCAAGAGGTGACAAAGATGTCTCTGAGATATCATGGATAGTCTTCAGAGCATCGTCATCTCCCTCGGGGTCAGGCCACAACCCACCAAACGCAGCTTAGGAGACCTTATTGTCACTAAGAAGTCTTCTCGGCCATGGTTAAGGAAGTTAAAGTGACTACATTCCTCTTCAACATTCAATTCCCAGTCAAGACTCTGCTGAAATGCCTTCAAGAAATCTCCCTGGATTTTTTAGCTAAATTGATCGTTTCTTCTTTTTAATTTCAGTACAACTGTTTACTCACCTGGGTGCACAAATTATTTGTGGAAATGACTTCTCTCCCTTAAACAGTATGTGTGTTGTGGAAATGACGTCTCTCTCTTAAACAGTGTGTATGTGTGTGTGGTGACACGTCATAGTGTGGTATGTGGATGTGTTGGTTCTTTCTTAAATTAATAGACCCATTTGGCAGCAACCTCATTCCTATAAGCCAATAAAAATGGTGGTGTGTTAGTTACTCATTACTGCAAAACAAATTACTCCAAAACACAGCAGCTTAAAACAACAAATGCTTATTGTCTCACATAGTTTCCATGAATCAGGAATCCAGGAGTGGTGTAAGTTTCTCAGGAAGTTGCAGTCAAGACATTGGCCAGGTCTGTGATCATCTGAAGGCTTGACTGGGGCTGACAGATCCACCTCCAAGTTGGTTCACTCCCATGGTGCAGACTGCTGGCAGAAGAACTCAATGTCTCCCACATGGGCCCCTCAACAGGCTGCTTGAGTATGTTCAGAGCATGGTGGCTGGCCTCCCTCCAAGTGAGCAGTCCAAGACCTATTCTGGGACGTCATACACCAACACTTTTGCCACATTCTACTCCTTAGAAGCAAGTCCCTAAGCAAAGCTCATACTCCACGGGAGGGAAACCAGGCTCCACCTCTTGAAGGGAGGGGCACCAAATAATTTGCAAGTATATTTCAAAACCACTGCAGGTCACATGGTGCAGAAAGACAGAAGCAGAGCAGAAGAATATTAAAACCTATTGAATTTACAACAGCAAGAATAAAATACATGATTGTTGGAACATTTAGAGCTCCTTTCTCTCTATTGTCTGCCCAGGAAAACTGATATGGATAAATATGGAAGAGAGCTGGCCAGTGGATGAAATGGTGATGTAAAGGTGAGCTTTGCGGAAGAGTGGAGAAAAGAGATTGGCACTGAAGTGGGCAGTGAAAGAGCAAGAGGCTTGTGGGAGACTTGATTTCAGAGGCAGCGTTTGGATGGTTATGAACAGGCTTTCCTCTTCTTTCAGGGGTACCGTAAAGATCAGAATTAATAGTATGACTATTTGGTTTGGAGGCTGTTTCATTAAGTATTACACTGTGGAGAGACTGGATCACATGGGTCATATTATTTATTCAGGTTACATTCACACTCCCTGTGAATTCCCACCCTATGCAAACTGGCAAGAAAACGCTATTTTAAAAGATTCTTGAACGCTTTTGTATCTTTCTTAAGACTTTTGTATACAGCACTGTTCACATAGTAGGTAGTCAAAATTAGTGAGAAAGACTCAAGCAAAAAGTTTATTTGGATTTCCATATGATTTATAAGCCAAGACGCTATAATCCAAAGAGGCAGGAAAATGATGTAAACTAGAAATAAAAATATTTGTAAGTGACAATGTGTCCTGAATTCTTTGACAGGTTAAGAGAAATAAAAGCAGGAGACGAGGAGAGAGTCACACCACGGTGAGCAGAGAGTTGAGCTGGGGCCCGGGACAAGCATCAAAAGTGTCACTTCCTCTGAGGTCCCAACCCTACTTCCATAGGCTCTGCAGCCCACACCACCTTGGAACCAAACAGGGAGGTGGCAGAACTGATGGGCTGGCCGCACCACCTTAAATCTCTTAGCTCCAAAACTGGAGGTGCTCATCAGGACCCTGCATCATTTCTGTGGGTGATGGATGGTGTGAGGTAAGGCACAGAGATCTAGACTTATTTCTCCTTCCACAACAATTGTTTCTTGGAAGAGGAAGAAAACTTAGCTGGATTTTATCTCTTTGTGTGGATTTCTGGGGTAGACACCCAGAGGTGTGTGCAGGAGCATGCTCTTTGGGGCCCACATAGAGATTCCAGCAGGTGCTGGAGATTCTGGGGTAGCCTTTCCATGACTGCTGGCCTCTTTTCCCCTGTGTTGCTTTGGTTTGCTGTCTGGCTAAAGGCAGGAGTGGGAGAAACTCACATTCCACAAGAGGCTGCCTGGAGCAGAGGCCAAGAGGGTAAGGTTTGTCCAAGGCCTTCCATCTCAGCTTTGCTGCCAATTTGTCAGAAAAAAAATCATTTGTGCCAATTAGACCCTGGTTAGGAAAGTGTTGTCCTGTCTGGGAAGCAGGTACAGAAACCAGTTGCAAGGACAGGAGATCAATGAAAGTGACACATTACTTATGCCTCCAATTCTTCTCAGCCCTCAATTTAGTCTCTGAGACACAGAGAAAATAAGTGTACTTGCCTTGCTAATGGGTACATGGTTGGCTTTGGGCAATTTATATAGAGCACTTTAGTTCCAAGATGAAATGCACTGAGATATTAGGATTAGTCTCTGCTTTAATGAGTTTCTGACTTGCAGGTTTGAAAAAATTTAGTTCTTTTCTGTATTTCTCTACAAACACAAAACAATGATTTAATGGTAAAACAACAATGAAAAGAAACTAGGCCATTCTCTCCAAAATGATTAAAAGGGTACTTCTCCTGACCTGACATAACCTTTCCTCATATGAATTTATTATCTGTATTCACACTCATATTCCACTGGAATGCCTTGGGTCCAGGTGGATGGTTGCTTATGGTTAGTATCGATTCTGAGCAGGTAGGCATTCATACTGTTTGGTTGACGCCTGTGGTGAACAGACCTTAAGGTGACTTCTTGCACCCCTGAGTCATTTTCTTGTATAATCTCCTCTCTTTGAGGACACAAACTGTGCCCTGCTTCAAACCAGTGGAATAGAGACAAGGTGATGAGATCTTTGGTTATTGCACCTAACTGCTTCATTCATTGCACAATTAGTCACACGCTGTTTTGTGATGCAGAACATTTTTTTTTAAGAGATGGTAGTCTCACTCTGACACCCAGGTTGGAGTGCAGTGACATGATCAGAGCTCACTGCAGCCTCAAACTCCTGGGCTCAAGGGATCCTCCTGCCTCAGCCTCCTGAGTAGCTGGGACTAGAGGTGCGTGCCACCACACCCAGCTATTTTTTATTTTTTGTAGAAATGGAGTCTCACTTTGTGGCCCAAGCTGGTCTCCAACTCCTGGGCTCAAGTGATCCTCCCACCTTGGCTTATCAAATTGCTGGGATCACAGGTTTGAGCCACCGTGCTTGGACTGTGATGCAAAATTTTATCTAAACCTTGTATTGTTGACTATAGCATCATGCACTTACTATTTTCCCTCTTAACTAGATTTTAAGTCTCTTGAGGGCAAGAACTCTGTTCTTGAAGATTTTCAGAAGCCCGATAGCATATGGAAGTACTTGACACACAATAAGTACACAGTCATATGTGATTTGGTTTCTGAGCCTTCATTTGTCCAACAAAACCAGATGGGTCTTAGATGAAGATATACGTGGCAAACACTGCATGCCTACTGTGGGTCAGGTTAGCTCCCAGACATGCAGAAAACAAAAGCTCTGTCCTCAGGAGTTCATGATGGTTCAACCCAATCAACGAAGTCTTGCAATCTCACTTCCTCCTTACCTTGTAGAGTTGGAAGATATCCAAATATTCCTAGAGTTCTTTGTCAATCTGTCAGGATTATAATTCCACAGATCAGGCAGAGTGTAACCATGAAGCTCTTCAGTGAATTTTTAGTGACTTTTGGGTGATTTTTTAGTTTCCAAGTAGAAGAAGCAAAAGACCCTTGTGGTGGTTACCTTCCATCTAAACAGAGAGTGAGCTACAAAGATACTGCTGTCCCTCAGTGGCCCATGGGTGTCCCTGCAAATCTGTGACTCAAGTGGCCATATTCATATTAAGCAGACCAGAGATCAAAACCATATTAGGCATGAACCACTTTTTATTCATAGGCTTACCGAATATATTGAATTAAGAGGCATATAGTTTGTATACCCTATTTACCAAAAAGAGCTAAATATGTATACAGCCTAAAATACATCCACTGTAGTCTGCATACTGTAAAACTTGCTTCTTTACACATAGAAACTATTCTTATTTTACCTAGGTTATGCACTTAAAATACATACAAATGGTACCAAATAGCATATTGGCCTATTTTATCACAATTCTTATACATTCCTGATAATCAAAGGGACTGATAGGGAATGCATAGTTTCCTACTAGAAAAAAAGTAGATTTTGATACAAGCAATGGAATACAGTAAGGATAATAATAACTTGGTTTCGATCTCAGTAGCTTTACAATATGCTTCTTATTTGAATGAGCATTACAGTTGGCTCTCTTCATTAATAATTGAGATGTTGTTAATCTTCCTGGTCATTCTACCCTCTGCTTGCCTGGCTGAGGCAAAAGAAATCATCATCCTTTTTTCCTTTTCTTTCAGTTTGTTTTTACTTTCCCAAGTTTCCTCCAGAGCCATCTGCCCCACTTTGCCATTCCCCTTCCATTGCCACCCAAATCCGGACCACTTTCTAATTGCATCATTGCATACAACTAGATTATTGTATTCCACTCCAGGAAGCTGTTGAACAGAATCTTTGGCCGCTGCCTAATTAAAGAACTTCCTTCCGCAGCTGCGAAGGAGAGGCTGATACCTCTGCAGAAGAATCAGGAAGCCAGCTTAAGAGGTTTTCTTTAGGTGGCATGCAAATAGACTCCCCTCCTGCAGATCTTCATCTCACCTTCATTATACCCCAGGCCAGAGAAATTTCCATCATGAGCACTCCTGACCGCCAAACCTCTGGCATCCCATGCTGATTTCTTTCCTAAAAATACACAGACTCTCACTCCATGGGGAAGAAAAAATGCAACTCTGCCATTTCCAGTGTGCTTCCTGAAGGCTGATGACGGCCGAGAGCAATTCATCACCACTCGTGCATTCAGGTTTTGAATTTTTCCTTCACAGATCTCTTCTTGTTTATCTGGTGGACAATGTGACAAGAACCAGATGTGTCTCAACCTCAACATCCTCCCCATAGCTATGCAGGGGGAGAAACAACCAGACCAGCTAGATATCCTCCTTAGTACAACAGAAAACTATCCAAAATTTCTGGACCACTTTCAAGAGTGGGGCCTTGAATGTAAAAAGAGTGGGGCATGCAATTGCATGTTTGTTAATTGTTAAATGGACCAGTTGATTGAATGGTGTCTATTCAGTATGATTTTTCTTCTGGCTATGCATATTTTATTGCACTTTTTACTTTATCTCAAGGTGCTGCCAAATTCAAAATCATGCTAGAAATGAAAGTCTTTCTCTGGGAGAGTATAGCAGGGTGTCTTAGAAAGAAAATACAATGTCTGCTGATCAGAGGGAAAGTTATTGCTTTGCCAGTCCCTATTGGATAACCATGGCAGGCAATTCATATAGTTTTCATGTCTATTTCCTTCTCTCTGAAATTAGAATAATACCTGCCCTGCAATAAACTTCAGAGCTATTTATGAACAAATGAGGTGAGTACTAATGTGCATTGGAAAAATATAAAGCTTTGCTAAATGTAAGGTGGCCTTATCATCCACTGTCCAATAACACAGTGCTCTTCATGTCTAAGAGTTATTTTTAGAGTCTTGATAATAGACCCATTCCCGACCCCATGGAGTATGGGGACAAGCCCCCTTTAAGGAAAGGCCTTAAAGCCACATGGCCGCACAGAGGGATCAGTCCAGGAGCCTCGCCACAAAGTTCATAAAGAAGAAATAAGCTGAGCAGACGACCACCCAGTGGGTGATGGGAGGGAAAGTAGAAGAAAGATCCACCCCCTCCTTCAAGCTGATCTCCACTGGGGACGGTCCACATATTTCTCTGCTTTGCATTTTTGCTGTTGCTTGGTTGGTTTTTTGTTTTACATTATTACTGGAAGAATGCTTCTTGCAGAAGTTGTTTAAAACTTCAGGGATTCTTGGGATGGAGCAGTAAGATTAATGAAGCAAAGATATCACCACCCCGTGCCAAGAACATCTATGCTCCTTTAGTAAGTTGGCCAGAACAAATATCTCCTTCCACAGCACAGGCGCTCTGTAGACTACAGGCTTTAGTCTTGTATAAAATAACATTATAAAAAAGGAAAACCTGATTGCAGTTGAGTGGGTCACCCCCTTCTCACACCCCACCCATCACCTGTTTAGATCGTTCTTTCACCTCCTAATTCCCCATCTGGACTCAACAGCTCTCCCCATCCTAAGCCCAGCATCCTGTGTTTCCTGGTTTCCCAGAATCTGGCAATGTGAGCAGAATAGTGAGTGCAGGGGGTCAGTCGCTCATTTACCCTCAGAGGGGCAGCTGGGAATGTGATACCTCTCTGCAGTAGCAACACTGTGAAAAGATGCCACCTTGCCATCTCTACAGGTGGCTGGAATTGGGAACATCACTTTGATCTGGCATAGTTGCTGGGACTGTCTAAATATCTCCTACAGTTTGCCAAGTACCCATTTTTCTGCCCAGGTTTATCTGAGTGGTTCCATGCAACAGAAAGAATAGCTTGCCATCTTTAGGACTGGAGGAATGGCAAAGCTCTTTCCCTTTCAGCCTCCAATGGGGGGACCTGGGCATTTGTAGCCTGTTCAAAGAAACCAAGAGGGAAAAAAAAGTGCAGAAGAAAAGTAATTTGCACTTAAAAATGAAAACAAACCACTTTTCTCCTGTTTGCTTGGTATTTTGCAGAAGTTTCAAGTAACAACACTACTATGCGTGGGTGAGTTCGTTCATTAAAATCCGTGGTTTCTGAGGCTAGAAGCCTCAGCCTACAGTCCCAGAATGTACCCAAGAGTGCTGATGTAACATCAATGCTTCATTCTCTGAGTGCTATTTATTGTCTCAATCTTCATTGCTTAAAGTCAGGAAACAACAAACACATTCATATTTGTGGCAAAACATCTACCTACTCATGACATGGCAAATAGTCATTTTACAATAACAATACAGTACAATATGATCGTGCTACTTTCATGGCTAGGAATGAAGTTGTTGGGTTTCTCTTTCAGAGCTACCCCTAAAGGCATTCACTTTATATTCTCTGAAGAGAACCAGCTAACCAGGCGGAACATCCACTAAGAATCTTCCACATAACCAGACCCCAGGAGCTTGCCTATTGCCCATACCAGAGAGGCCCATTTGGAAATACACCATCTGGTCTCTTGAGCACAGACCTGGAGTGTGGGATTCAGCTTGGCTGGCTCCAAAGCTGGCCCCTACTGATCAGCCTGAGATCCCCAGCCTGCACAGGCTGATTCCACTGCCAACACGTGGCCCCATGTGGGTCCTGGCGGGGGTTCCTTTGGTAAAGTACTGGGAGAGGAAGGAGTCTTCCTATCTGAGTATCTTGGGTTGTGATTTGGTGTGGGCTGCACTGGCAGTGCAATAGCAGCAACTCAACAAAACAGGACTGTTACACAAGCGGGGCGGAAGGCAGGTGGGCTGGCAGGGAAGTTGGTATTCGATTACTTGAAATATTAAGTTGTCCAGAGGGCAAGGACACGCACAAATCAAAGGGCCACCTCTAGGTTTCAAAGCAGGTCGAGATCTGTGTAAAGTCCCCTTTGACTTCATAAAATCTCACTTCAAAAATTCTACCGAATGCTCATCAGACGGAAATAACTGTTTCATCCCTCTAAAGGATGAAATGAAAAGCACCAGTCTTTGGCCTGCCTGCTGGTTACCCACAAACTCAACGGGTGGGTTCTGAGAAGCAGATGAGCCATGAAGAGCATCAAACAAGCATTACTGCTCTGGCCACCACCAGGGTCACCTTTGAACCGTAAGAAAGAGGGAAAAACTCCTTTGAGTCACTCCTGGGCCTACAGCCTGTGCTGGGTCTAGACATGTGTCACCAGAGTATTGTCTTTGTGGCAGAGGAAGCAATGTCAAACACTAAATTGTTAACATATCCATGACAAGCATTCATATGAGCCAACAAAATCACCAAGGTTCTGCTATTAAGGAGGATTCAGGAAGACTGGGCATTACTTTCAGGAAACTGGGATGACTCAAAATAGCACTGCTGAGTGTTACAAGATTTTTAAACTAATAATCAGCAAATCTTTTCAGCAGACTTTTGGCTTTAAGAGTTCTTACCAAAAAGATTGCTAAAGTGGAATGAGAGGGGCTCAAAGTTTTTTTTTATTTCATTATAAGTGCTGTCCCATCTTATCCAATTGTCTTCTTCCTCATCAAAAAGCGGGGGGGAAGCATATTACATTTCTAGATGATAAGAGTAAATGCTGTACTCTTTTCTCAGAAATTACAGGCTTTAAGATTTTTTTTTAAATGGTAGAATGGGCATGTCATGCAGTTAGCCAATAAATGCAATCCCTGATTAAAATGTGAGTTCTAAAAGTTTGAAAACATCTAACTATTTCAGTGCTTTTTAATTTCAGAGCTCTGAGCCTGGCTTTGATTTGTTTGTTGATTTTTCTTGGTCCTCTTTTGTGAGAGCTAATGCTACATTTCTCTTAGTTTCACCCACCACACCTTCACAAACTTAAGTCAACAATTATATGTTCAAAAATCTTTGTTTTCCCTTTGAAACTGGATGCAAAAAAGAAATCTCTCCTGTCGGTGGAGACAGCTGTGAATGAACGAGGCGCCTGCACGTAAATCTCCTTAAACTTTTTGAATAGCTGCTTCTCTTTATCCCACTGGTATATCTGAGAGAATGTATAGTCACTCCCCAGGGCCAGGTAGTGATTATCTTTAAAAGAAAAGGGCTGCAGGGTCATGGCCCCCCGGGATGGAAGAGCTTGGATCTCCACAAACTGCTTACTGTTCCACCTCATGACCCGGGAGTCCCCGATGAAGCGGGTAAGGGAAAGGTAGAGGGTATTTTGCATTCGGAAGCTCTTCACAGCCAGTACGTCCTCCATGTTGGGGATGTCACCATGGGGGACAAACTTCTTAGAGCTTTTATTCCACTGGAGGATGATGGGGACCTGGGAGCGGCTGGACAGGATGAGATGCGATTTTCCATCGATATCAACAAACTCCGCATCCGTGTCCCTGAACCACTCGTGCAGTGACTGGTAAGAATAGAATCCTTTGCTGTTCCATTTATAAACTGTGGACAGACCAGCCTTTGAGCTGTCTGCGATGACAAAGAACGTCTCGTCGTCGATCTGAAACAGCTCGATGTCATTGGGCTTGGAAATGCGAGAGACCTCTATGTCTTGGAATTTGACAAATTTGGTCCAACTCTCGTCGTAT
Source organism: Homo sapiens (assembly GCF_000001405.40). Lineage (NCBI taxonomy): Eukaryota > Metazoa > Chordata > Mammalia > Primates > Hominidae > Homo > Homo sapiens. Next base: position 25,004,178 of record NC_000004.12, read on the forward strand.
TTGTAAATGTGAGAGCCACCGAAGAGCTGGGCTACCACCACAAAGACCTGATCATCGATGAGAATGGCCTTACAGCCCACGATGGACTGACCTGTGCTCCAAAATAAAGGAGAGGACATTAGTGCAACTACAGCTAAAAACGCATCTCCGCTTGTACTCTTATACACTGCTGGTGGGAGTGTGAAATGGCACAGCCACTATGGAAAACAGTATGGTGGTTCCTTGAAAAATTAAACATGGAATTACCCTATGAGCCAGCAATTCCACTTCTTTGTATATACCCAAAATAATTGAAAGCAGTGACTCAAAGAGATATCTGTACACCTAATGCTATAGACCAAATGTTTGTGCTCTCTCCAAATGCATATGATGAAACCTCATCTCCAATGTGATGGTATTTGGTGGTGGGGCCTTTGGGAGGTGATTAGGTCATGGGAGCAGAGTCCTCAGGAATGGGATTAGTGCCTTCCAACTCCCTCTGCCCTTTCACCACATAGACACAGCAAAGAGGTGGCCAGCTATGCAGTGGGTTCTTGCCACATACCAAATCTGCCAATGTCTTGATCTTGGACTTCCCAGGCCCAGAACTATGAGAAATAAATTTCTGTTGCTTATAAGCCACTCAGTCTACGGTATTCTGTTGCAGCAGCCCAAACAGACTAAGACACCTATAACATCATCCTTCACAATAGCCGAAAGGTGGAAGCAACCCAAGTTGCTTCAATGGACAAATAGATAGACAAAATGTGGCATATACATAAAATGGAATATTATTCAGCCCTAAAAGGAGGAAAATTCTGACATATGCTACAACATGGATGGACTTTGAGGGCATTAGGCTAAGTGAAATAGCCAGTCACAAAAAGACGAATACTATATGATTCCACTTATATGAGGTACCTAGAGCAGTCAGATGCATAGAGACAGAAAGGCAAAGAGTGGTTTTCAGGGGCTGTGGGATGGGGCAAATGAGGAGTTGTCATTTAATGGCACAGAGTTTCAGTTTTTCAAGATGAAAAGCGTTTGGACGTTAGTTGTACAACACTGTGAATGTACCTAATGCCACTGACCAGTATACTAAAACATGGTTAAGACAGTACATTTTGTGCTATGTGTATGTTGCCACAATTAAAACAATTTTTTTAAGTTGTTTAAAAATGTGCTTCCGTAGAAATGGCTGAGTGAGGTCTTCAGGGCCTCTGGAGTCCTCAGAGGCAGGCATACAATTCAGGAAACTCACTAACGCACCAAGGGAATTATCATCATGTTTTTAAATAAAGCTACATTAATTAGCTTGATTTAGCCATTCCACAATGTATACATATTTCAAAACAACATTTTATACACAAATAAATAGATACAATTTTAATTTGTCAGTTTAAAAAATGTGTATCCTTGAAAAAAAAAAAGTATTTCCTGACTCCATATGGCAGAAGGAGGCAGTTAAACAGGCTTCTCCTGGGGTGGTGGGGGGTTGCGGGGGGTAAGGGATGATAAAAAGGCAGGAGTGAGGTCTCAGAGGCAGGAGAAAAAGATTTCTGAGTGTTCTTGAAGACATTTGGGCTCTTTTGATTTCCAGAGCTAAAGGAAGCCAAGTGGAGGCAGAAAGAGTAGGATTAAACCTTATGACACAGACCAGGTGGCCTAGGGTTCAAAGCCCAGCCCCGCACCTTGTAAGCTTTCTGACCCTGTGCTGGTTAACCCAACTCTCTGTGCTCAAGTTCCTCATTCGTAAAATGAGACTGAAGATGCTGCCAGCACTGATCTTACAAGTGACTATAAGGATGAAATGAGATCATTCATGGCAAGCGTTTTTAGCATGGAGCACTGGCACCTAGCGGGTGATTGCTCATTAGTGGCTATCATTATTGAACAATTGAAGCAATTGTCACTATAATCACAAGACCTTGCCCCTTAGTGCTTGCCCATAGTGGGCATGCATAAGTATCTAAAGAAGGAGCAATAGTCTGAATGATCTAGCTCAGACGTCATAAAACTAAGACTTTGCAGAGGCAGGGGACCATTTTCCGTGGTGACTCTCCCCTCTGGCTCACCTCCCACCATCCCTTATCACCCTGCACCCAGATGCCCCCCAGACCTCCCCATTCCAGAAGACCAACCACTAAGCAAAGGACCACCTACGAGACCACTGATCCTCCATCTAGATCACTCCATTAAAGGTTATTTCTTTCCTTTAATTTTCTAGGTAATTTGGACCAAAGTGAATTTGGCCAGAATCCCAAATTCTAAGGATGATTCCATTTCTATCCTAAGGATTGGCTCTGGGGGCTGACACTGGGTGGTTTTCAGAGTGGCATTTACTTTTCTCTTTCACCATTCTGGTCTTCCTGCAAGGACCTAATCCCTTTTCCTTGTTTAAAACTAATTATTGCATTGTTTTTCCCTGAGGATATGTGTGTTAAATGTTTACCAGAGCAAATTTTGAAAATACTAAGAGGTAAAACTTAAGAAGTGTGTAGGTATGACCAGGCACTATTCTAAGCACTTTACATGCATTTACTTATTTAATCGTTATAACAACTATATGAGGCATATACTATTCTTAGCATCATCATCATCCCCATTTTATAAAGGGTAAAACCGAGGCACAGAGAAGTTAAGTAATTTATTAAAAGTCACATAGCTAGTATGTGGTAGAGACTGAGATTTAAATTCAGATAATTTGGCCTCAGTCTATACTCTGATACCAAAGAATCAAAAAGCACAAAGAAGAAAATACAAACCAGTTGTACTATAAATGTGAAATAACACTTAATATCTTGATATATTATTTAATTTTTAATCTGTGCACATATTCAAGTATTCTTTTTTTAAAAAACTGGGGTTTACGTTATCCATAGATATTTTATAATCTACTTTTTTTTCACTTGGCGCCCATGCTGTGAACATTTCCTCATGTGGATGATTCTTCAACAACTTGATATTGACACTACACAGTATCCCATTGCATGGATGCACCATATTTTACTTAATTAATGCTCTACTGTTGGACATTGCAATTATTTCTAGCTTTTCCTTATTGTAAAATAACGTTTCCTTTAAAATATTGTTAAATAACGTTTTGATACCATCTGGCAGTGTTCTCAAGTGTAAGAATTGCTGGGGCAAATGTTGTGCACATTTTTAAGCTTTTGGGTTTTAACTGCCAAGCTGCTCTTCAAAAGCGGCATTGATTTCCACCCTGCCAGCACTAATTGAGAGGGCAGGCTCCTCGTCCCCTTCTTGAGCACCTGGCTATGGAGGCTACCACCCCCTAGAAGTGTCCTAGAGGTCTGCCTGTCACAGCCAAAGGACCGCGTGAAACAGAAGGAATTCCTTTCCCGGCTCTGTAACACACTCTGTCCAGGTTAGCCATGGAGTTGTCAGTAGCAGACAGATCAGTGTGTGTGTGTGTGTGTGTGTGTGTGTGTGTGTGTGTGTGTGTGTGTAGGAAGAGGGATTATAGGTTGGAACATACTTAGCCTGCAGAAATCAAAAGGCGAACAAAATAAACCAAAATTGAGAAAGCCAAGATGAGACGTAGAGAGAACAAGGGGAAGTGAACCTCAGGGTGAACATGACCATGGGTTTCTCTCTCTCCCCTGGTGCACATGGACAGCTGGAGCCATCCCTTTGGCAACATGGTCACCAGGCCTGCAAAGGAGGAAGTGCATGGATTGAGAAAATCCTGTCCTGCCCTTGTCAACTTGGGGACCACCCCATGGCCAAACAAGATGTCAAATGAGGTGTGCACAGCACAGGGAGGGAGAATGGTCCACATTTACCTTGTTCTTCTTGAAGCAAGTAGCACCTAGGGCAGTGTCCTTGCCTACCCACGTGTGCTATAGGGCTTTCCCTCATGCCAGGCTCAATGCCAGCAACCGAGAGACAGCTCCTCTCCTCCCTCCATGAAGTGATCCCCCTTCCTTCTGTAGCACCACCTTCTACCTCCTTCAGGGAAGTCTGCTGGTCTCTGCATTCCCTACGTTCATGCAAGTTGTGGAGCAGTTTTAATGGAAATCAAAAAGGTAGAGTCTGTGGGTGGAAAAGGAGGGTTGCTCCTATTTTACCCCCATTAAATCCTTATAGTATTGGCCAGGCACGTTGTCTCACACCTGTAATCCTAACACTTTGGGAGGCCGAGGTGGGTGAATCACCTGAGGTCAGGAGTTCAAGAACTCCAAGGCCAACATGGTGAAACCCCGTCTCTACTAAAAATACAAAAATTATCCAGGCATGGTGGTGTGTGCCTGTAATCCCAGATACTCGGGAGGCTGAGGCCAGAAAATCACTTGAATCTGGGAGGTGGAGGTTGCAGTGAGCTGAGATCACACCACCGCACTCCAGCCTGGGTGACAAGAGTGAGACTCTGTCTCAAAAAAAAAAAAAAAAAAAAAATCCTTATAGTATTTCCCTGAGTCCAATACAATGCTGATCCCATTTTACAGATAAAGTGGAAATTCCTAAAATCTCCACTTTACAGATGAAAGGGGCTCATGCACATTAAATCACTTGGCCGTGGCCACCAGCTAGTAAGGGCTGGAGCCAGGAAGATCAAAAGCCAGTCTGATGTTGGAACTCATTTCTTAGGCTTGGTGGTAAAAAGAGGAGCCGGGTGGGCTTCATGTCATGCCGCCAAGCTGTGGGATGATTCAGACTTGGAGACTGAGGGGCTGAGGAATCTTTGGAAACTAACAAGGTCCAGCAGGGCTCTGGCCCCAGCCACACCCACTCGGATCGCACTGACTTCCTCCCCACCAGCTCTGTGGCCTCCGTTTGGTCCAGGCCATACTCGCTTGCCTGGGTTCCGGATTCTTGCCATAGCCTCTTAGCTAGCCACTGTGCTTCGACCTTTGTGCTCTCACTCTAAAAGACTATGTTTGACCCGGTAGCTGGACACAATCCAGCCTCTTAGCCAGGTACCTGCATCCTCCTGCCTCTGCACAAAACCCTCCATGGCTTTGTAGGACATTCAGAGGAAAAGCCAAGTCCTTCCTAGGACCTGTGAGACTCCATGATCAGCCTTTCTGACTTTGGACTCATCAACTGCAACTCCCCGCTGGCTCATTTGGCTCATGCCAAACCATCCCCCTGGATGTTCTTCAAACAGGAAAGATGCTCTCCTGCCTCTACCTTTGGACTTGCTGCTCCCTTTGCCTGGAATGCTCTTCCCCCCTCTCCATGCGAACCAATCCCTCCAATCCCACAGGTCTTATTCAAGTAGCACCTTCTTGATGAGGCCTCTCCTGGACCCTCTACCCAAGCCTTCAAATCTTCCCACACACAGTACTCCACATCTTCCTTCTTCACTTTATTTCCCCTCCTTAGCACATTTCTGTCTGATGTGTTTTTTTAAATACTACAATTATTTTTACAATAATTATTACAATACGAATATTCTTTCTTATTGTCTCTTTCTCCCATTAGAATGGGAACTCCTGAGGGCAGAGGTTTTTTTGTTTTGTTTTGTTTTTTTGAGATGGAGTCTCACTCTGTCACCCAGGCTGGAGTGCAGTGGCACGATCTTGGCTCACTGCAACCTCCGCCTCCCGGGTTCAAGCAATTCTTCTGCCTCAGCCTCCTGAGTAGCTGGGACTACAGGTGCATGCCACCACGCCCAGCTAATTTTTGTATTTTTAGTAGAGACGGGGTTTCATCATACTGGCCAGGTTGGTCTCAAACTCCTGACCTCGTGATCCACCTGCCTCGGCCTCCCAAACTGCTGGGATAACAGGCATGAGTCAACACGCCTGGCCAGAGTTTTATCTAGTTTATTCACTGCCGTTTCCCCAGCATCAAGAACATGCCTGGCTCAGAGTAAGCGTTCAAGAAATCTTTGAGAATGAATGAATAAATTTAAGAATGCCACCAGCTGCAGTATATCAGAAGGGCAGGAGTTCAAGACCAGCCTGGCCAACATAGTGAAACCCCGTCTCTACTAAAAATTAAAAAATTAGCCGGGTGCGGTAGCAGGTGCCTGTAGTTCCAACTACTCAGGAGGCTGAGGCAGGAGAATTGCTTGAACCCGGGAGGCAGAGGTTGCAGTGAGCCGAGACTGCGCCACTGCACTCTAGCCTAGGCAACAGAGCGAGACTCCATCTCAAAAAAGAAAAGAAAAGAAAAAAGAAAAGACAGGGCTGTCCTACCAAGGTCAACCTGGGAGAGAAAACCAGTGGGGTACAACCATGAGAAACCCTGGGCTCAGCCCTGAATAAACAGTGGGTGACTGGACATGCCTAAACCTTGACCTCATCATTTGTAAGGTTGTGAAAAGGATGGCAGCTTTGAGAAGCGCCCGCTCTGTGCACTCAATCCTCATAGCATCCACATGAGGCACATCCACTCCCCATTTCCCAGATGAGAGAACCAAGCTTCAAAGGCACACATTCTTCCTAGACCACGGCAGAGTTGGGAGTATAATCCGTGTGCATCAGTTTTCAAAACCTGAGCTCTTTCTAGTATGTATGCCTCCTCTCTCTAAAGAAGAGAGCTTTTGTCCTCTAACCTATGGGCAGGTGTAACTCCAAGAGCTGTTATGAGCTTCCAATGGGATAAACTAGGCCCTGGTGCCTCACAGGCTCACGGCCAACATCGGCATTGGAACTTGTTCAAGAGCAAAGCTCAGCCAGGCATAGTGGCTCAAGCCTATAATCCCAGCACTTTGGGAGGCCAAGGCAGGAGGATCCCTTGAGCTCAAGAGTTTGAGACCAGCCTGGGCATCATAGTGAGACCCTGTCTCTACAAAAAACAAAAAATTAGCTGGGTGCAGTGGTGTGTGCCTGTAGTCCCAGCTACTTGGGAGGCTGGGGCAGGAGGATCCCTTGAGCCCAGGAGTTCCAGGTTGCAATGAGGCAAGATTACATCACTGCACTCCAGCCTGGGTGACAGAGTAAGAGCCTGTCTCAAAAAAAAAAAAAATCAAAAAAACCAAAAAACAGAAAACAGCAAAGCTTCACTCTGTTCCCATCTCCTACCAGAGAGGAGGAGAAAAGGCAGAGAGACCAGCTCATCCTCCCCTCCCCTATCTTCCATGTCAGGACAAAGGGGGAAGCACAAAACCACGTGGACATGGACTCACTTCCTCATCTCCCTTGTTCTTGGCTTCCACAGCAGGTTCACCTGTGCTACTCTGTGCTGAGTCTGCACTTCCAAGAGCGTTACTCTCCGGAAGGTGAGCTCAGCACGGGGAGGCCAGATGGCCCGACGGTGGCCAGCTCATCTGAAATGGCATCCTCGGAGCATCCGTTGTACATCTCACACCGAGATACACTGTGAGATAAGGCTCATTAGCAGCTCTCCCTGCCTCCCCACATCCCTGTACCTGCTGGGAAGCCACTTGGTGCTTGGGAGACTCTTAGGAGCCTCCCAACCCAGAAATTCTACCTGAATATGCTTCTTGCTACAACAGTAAAACGCTGCTCTAAGGCCACATCAGGAACCTCTAAAGGAAACCCTCTCCTGGGGTGATAATTAGACCTTTGTGGCACTGTTTACACAGTATTGTTATCAGATTGCACGTTGATAAATGAGGAGTCTTTCAAAGGTTATTTCAAAAGCAAGTAGACAGTCCACATTCAGTAGGGCTAAGGCACTGGGATCCCATGACGGCACTGAAAGAAGCGTTAACTAATTCATATCCCAAATGCCTAATTTAGGGATCCATTTATTCTTATTTCGTATGTACTTACTAAAAGAAAGCAGTGATCACTAGGACTTAGCAAAGGGCACTAGGAACAAACTATAGGGTATGTGTGTGTGTGTGTTTGTTAGCATATTGGTTAACAATCAGCTTAATGAAAGTCAAAGCATCATTTAGCTGCTACAAAGCTGGTGCAGACTTGGGCTCCCATACTGCTCAGGACAAGGGATTCTCAGTGTGACTTCTCACCACTACTAGAAAATGCCTCCCACCACATGCAACCCGTAAATGATCATCAATAATAAGCAGGATCACTACCTGAGGTTTCCACTCTCTCAGTAATGGACCACACCAAGACAAAAACTGGAGAGACCCAGAGGGAAGGCTGGGACGTGTTCCCCAGCTCTAACCAGGTTAGAGAGCCGAGCTCTCCCTCAATACAGAGGACATTCCTCCTCCCGCGGGCTTGCCGCAATGCTGAAATTAGTTCAACACATCTGATCAAAGCCACAACACACCTGTAATGTTGTCATAGCTCCGGAAATTCATTTCAATGTGGTCCCACTCCAGCACCATGCAGTTCTCCATGCTGGGCTGCGCGATGGCCACGTACACATCGTTCTTGGAGTTGAACGTATCCACTGAAACCGACTGGTAGGGTAAAGTCTGATGAACAACAAAATCTGGGGATGGGTGTTTAAAAAGAAAAGCGTTCATAAAATCTCCTGTAGGGATTATCAACCACCATCACCGTTCCATCATCACATCAGCTCTGAAAAGGACTGGGGAGGAGGAGGAGGATAGGAGAGATGCAACACAAACATCACAGCGTATTTTACTCTGGGACATTCCAGAAAGAGTCCTGGCTTGCGCAGGATTATCAGACAGAATGCACAGTTTCTAGTACAGCTTCCTGTGGAGAAACAGCTTCCCGAGTTTGGCTAAAGGATCTCAGAGTTTTAAACATATTTGGTGAGACTTGGCTTTCAAAGTGGTAAGACGGACAGGACGCTGCACAGCAACATTCTCAAAACTGCCGTGCAAATCACTCTGTGACAAGCGGGGGCTGCGGTCCAGTGAGTTTGGAAAATGCTGTACTTCCAGCTCTCTCAGAACAGCCCCTGAAGGGAAGAAGTCTGTTTTTTGTTTGATATGGTGCTTCTCAAACTTACCTGACCCTTTATCTCCAGTTCTTATAAACCCTAGCTCGGGATTACCTGTCAGCAGACAACCCCACTGCACGTTCAGAATGAATGGTACACTCCCCAAATGGTACACTGAACATTGGAAACCAAACCAAACCCTCTGCTATGGTCTTAGGGGTATTATGGTTTCTACCCACTTAGCCTAGCACGAAGTGAGTGCTCAATACATGTTACCTTTTAGAGGTGCCCCTCCCTTCATTCTGGGGGCAGAGTAGGTGCTTACTGAATCCTTGTTGGCTAAACCACTGTGAGGCGGCTGGCCTTGCTTCTCAGCCCACTCTAAAGACTACAGGGGAGGGGACGGAGGCTGAGTGGTATATGAAGATGTGGGGAGAAGGAGGAGAAAAGAGGCTGCCTCTGCAGCCCAACAGGCAGGAGGTGACTGAGGGAGAGTGTGGACAAGTGGCTCTAGTGGACGGGGTACCTTCCCATCCCCAAGTCCAGAGCAGAACATCCTGGTGAAGGGCTTCTGATTCACGATTATTTCAAAAGCAAGTAGACAGTCCATATTTAGTAGGGCTAAGGCACTGGGATCCCATGACGGCACTGAAAGAAGCACTTTTAGTTACATGACCTTTGGCAAGACAATTGAGCCTGAGGTTCTTTTTTCACCTGTAAAATGAAGGTGGTGTCTATTTCATGAGGTTGCCATAAAGACTAAATGCAAGGTACATGTAAGTATATATTGCAGTGCTATGGTGATCACTCAGTAGTTGACATATGCAACAATGATAGTATTCAGTTGCCTACTTGAAGACTTAGGGAAGAGTCATGGCTCTCCCTCAATCCCCTCCCACCACCAAAATAATAGTTGCTTGGTCAAAGATAAATAAACAGAAAAAAGTGAACCTCTGTTCACTCCTGTTGGCACTAGCAGTGCCAACAGTGTAGAAGCCAGAAAGCGTGTGTTCACTGCACAAGACTTTGCTGGTTTCTGTGTTCACATGTAGACAGAGAAAGGGGAAATGGCAGCAGTCATCATGTGCTCCCTTTTCTGGGGATATAAAAAGATTTGGAGAATACAGCTGCTTTCTTTTAATTACAACCAAGATGGCTATAAACTCCTCTCCTACATCTCCGGTTGCATTCGACTACTCCGAGTCTGCCAAAAGTTCTAAGCACTCCCGTGACGCCCATAACTCACTCACCTCCTCCCTCCCATTAGCCTCCCTACTGCACTCTGAATTCTCAGAAACATGAGCATTTGCTTAAAAAGGCAGGCTGTTTAAAGTGTAGACTAGAAAGTTTCTGTTTTTATTGAAGAATCCCAGGATGAAAAGGAGTTGTCACAGTGCAGAGCATTTTACAAATCTAGCCTGTCGTGGCCCTGTTTTAATCTATTTTCCCCATATAGTGGTTTCATAATATTTCCTACATACTGATTATCTGGCATGACACAGATTGTTAAATCATTTGAATTATAAATGTAACTCTTAATAGAAGAACCCACCCCCGCCCCCGCCAAAAAAAAGGAAGGAGAAGGAGGAAGAAGAGGAAGAGAAGGAAAAAAGAAGAACAGGGCCAGGCAAGATAGGCAAGATGGCTTGTGCCTGTAATCCTGGCAGCTTGGGAGGCCAAGGCAGGACTGCTTGAGGCCAGGAGTTTGAGACCAGACTAGCTAACATAGCAAGACCTTCTCTTTACTAAAAATTAAGAAAAATTAGCTGGGCATGATGGTGCATGCCTGTAGTCCCAGCTGCTCTGGAGGCTGAGGTGGAAGGATCGATTGAGCCCAGGAGTCTGAGGTTGCAGTGAGCTATGATTGTGCCACTGCACTCTAGCCTGGATGACAGAGCAAGACCTTGTCTCAAAAAAAAAAAAAAAAAAAAAAAAGAGAGAGAGAGAGAGAGAATGAAAAGAAAATGATTGATGCATATATATTTGTGGGTATCAGAGGACCAGAGGAATTTAAATATCTTCTCCCACCCCCAATTAAATTTACTTCTCACAAACAGCAAAAGCACATTCTTGTGGAAAGATCTCAGAAATACACATATTGATGTGACATCAATTTACTAGTGTTAAAATATTAATGGCACTCTGCAAAAAGAACTGCCACTTCCATTCACACTGGATTAAGTTCATGATGTCAGTGGGACTCTTACAATTTAGGCCTTTCTCCCAGTGGAATCAACAGATTTTTACATAGCTATTTATAGCACTTGCAGAAAATAAATTATACATGACGCCGATCCTTCTGGGAGAGAAACTGCACATTAATGCATTATTTCTCTGTGCATTTTCATCAGCCCTGAAAAGGGGAAGCTAACAGGACAATTAGAATGCAAAATTCACTTCCTCTAAGGAATTTAGTGAATTACCCACCTAACACAGGGAATCATCGGTAGGTAACAGGGACTTTTGAGGTGGTTAAAAATAGACTTGAAGGGGAGGGTTCAAGAGCTGATTAATGTAAAGACCTGAAACAGCCCAATGGTGGCTTTGTGATATGAATTACACCCCTTGGCCAAGGAATAGAATGGTAACAGTACCTTCCTCTCTCTGGGAAAAAACAGTGAAACAGGAGAAAACTCACCCCTTTTCCGATAATCTGAGTTGAAAAGGAAAACAATCATATTCAGAAAATGTGCTTCTTTCTAAACCTTTGGCAAGAATACGATCACTGTACCATGAACTCTCGACCTTTGGCTTTCCATTTTCCCTCCATCCTCATTTGTTCCCCCGACCCCACGCCCCTACTCCCCATCTAGCTTTTAACGAAGCAACAGAGGCTAAGGTTTGATCTGAACAGAAGACATGAACCCCGAACACTCAAAATTTGTTGACCTAGTTCTTACACAGCGGGGCCTATGTTTGGGGGTGGATCACAACTTTGTTGTACCATTTTTTTCCCGATGGAAGAAACTGTCAGCAAGAGCCTCATCTCTGTTTGTGAGTCTTAAAGGGATAAAACCATAGCACAAAGCCAGAATTATCATCTCCCTCTCACCAGAAAGCCTAGCGCTGACTTTCTAAAGTTTAGTAGGAAGCTTGTTCATGAAGACAAATACTGCATGAGACAGAGAAGGCTCTAAAATGTGTTAAGGCCTCTTGCTACTCCATGTTGGGATGAGGACAGGTTACCTCAGTTCCAAGCTACCACCATTCCAATAACAATTCTCAGAGCCTGGATCACTTTTATAACTATCCTCAGGGCCCTAAGCTCAGAAAATATGTTTTCTTGTAGAAATTATTTCCTATTCCCACGGCCCTATAGCCCATTACTTCCATCAGAGATTAGCAAAGTTTCTCCACGCTATGGCCAGGTGTGAAGAGAACAAGGGAAAATCTGCAAATTTCACCTTGGTGTTTCGAGACCTCTGCAGAGAAAATGGAGAAAAGGTAGTGAGAAGTCTCAGTGAGCTTTAGTTTAGCTTTGGTTTATTCAATTTAATTAAATTTAGCATTTAACGCCAAATAGTCTTGAATGCCACCTTTTGGTGCAAATGTTATCGACTACGACCTCTGATTTATTGTCCTGGCCCTAAAATACAATAAACTAACCTCGTAGTGGCCTCAGCTGACTGTGGGGCACCTGTCAATTACACAGCTGAGTAAGCCCCTATTTGATGATGAAAGGAAAAGTCATTTCTGTGAGATTGCAGGTTGTCTATCAGAAAAGAATAGAACTTGCAGGGTCCCTTATTTACAAACAAAGATACCTAGAAATGATCTTTACTTTCTGGGTTTTTGTTTATTTGTTGGAAGGTGGTAGCGGGGACTGGCCTAAATATGATATTTTGTTCTTGGAGTTTTGGTGTCTTTTGAGTTTCTGTAACTATTTTCTGTTTCTCATTCCTGCTGCTTCTCCTGACATGACTTGAGGCTTTGTAGATATCAGCTCTCAGCCTGAATGTTTATTTTTATAAATTGGGTAAGCAGGTTTCATACAGCGGCCTGATCCTCCTCTCTCTGGCTTTAGAAGCTGTAGAAACCCCACCTAAGCCTTTCCAATGGAGATACTCACCAATACCTTTGGCCCCATGTTGTGACAGTGGAGGCAGTTAGTATTTTGGTTTTATCTTATAACCTGAAAAATGTATAAACTGAAAGTTTGTGGCAGGCCCTGGAAAACAAAATCAAGCTTTCTTTACATTTTTCCCTCGATATGAGCTGTTTCCTTTTGATAACTAGTTGTTAACTTTTATTTTCTATTTTGCCATTGGTTATAATTTACCTAGTTATCTCTTCTTACATGGGACTCTGAAAGTCATTTGTGGGTTTAAAAGTCTGGTGTTTGGGCCAGGCGCAGTGGTTCATACCTGTAATCCCAGCACTTTGGGAGGCCAAGGTGGGCGGATGATGAGATCAGGAGATCGAGACCATCCTGGCCAACATGGTGAAACCCCGTCTCTACTAAAAATACAAAAATTAGCCGGGTGTGGTGGTGCACACCTGTAATGTCAGCTGCTCAGGAGGCTGAGGCAGGAGAATCGCTTGAACCCAGGAGGTGGAGATTGCAGTGAGTTGAGATCACGCCACTACACTCCAGCCTGGGCGACAGAGTAAGACTCTGCCTCAAAAAAAAAAAAAAAAAAAAAAAAAAAATTCTGATGTTTGTTAGTTAAATGTCCAATGAACATCTTCCTAAAGCAAAAGAACAGTCTCAACCGAGTAATCTAAGCCTCCCTGCAGTGGCCTTCTATGAAACCTAGATTGATTTGAAAATGTTCTCCTGCCAAACCCACAAGTTTATACTTTGACTTAAGAAAATGAAACACTTACAGAAATTTGAATTTCGTAAAGAAGCAAAAATAAAGCCAGGGCAGTTAACAAAAATTCTCCCAAACTTTTGAGATATTTTCCTTACCACATCGATTCATTTCTTTAGAATGTTTAAAATTTCTCTAAAACAATTTTGATAAACAGTTCTATATTCACTTTTCCCCAGTCTCTGTTGACAGTGTAAAAGAAAGACAAAGAGATTATTCTAAATATCCGTGTCTGATGAGATAGGCTCTGAATACCTGTAGTTGTGCATTCATAGTCAAAGCTGGTCACGTCATTTAGCTTCTTTTCCTGATACTCTGGTGGACCAATACACAGCACATCAGAAACGGTGGAATTTGTCATCTTCAACCACAGGTATAGCCACTTGGCTTTGCAGTCACATTCAAATTTATTACCCCTCAAATCTCTAAAAATCAAAATAAAACACAAACACATACAAAGAGAAATAGATGTGTCTGACATGTTTTGGTAGTAACACGAAACTCCAGAATTATTAACATCCTGATATATTTAAAACCCCCTAAAAATGGAGTTTAAAAACTTTTATAATTAATATCTCCTGTTTCTTGTATCTATCATTGACTTTATTTAATACTCCTCAGCACCTGGGAATTTAACTGAATAACTGTATAATGTCCAGAGAGCTCTCAGCGAGGACATATCATCTCTCCAAATGCTCTCGTCTCCACGCCATGCCAGAAATGGGAGACATATGATAGAAGAGCAGCCCCCAACAGAGGTTCTCATAAACAAAGAGGATATTGTAGGAAGACAGTTTTCACAAACACAATTGAAACTTCAAGCTCTTGTTAAAACTACGTCCAGTAGGCCAGGCACGGTGGCTCATGCCTGTAATTCTAGCACTTTGGGAGGCCAAGGTAGGCAGATCACCTGAGGTTAGGAGTTCGAGACTAGCCTGGCCAACATGGTGAAACCCCGTCTCTACTAAAAATACAAAAATTAGCTGGGGGTAGTGGTGTGCGCCTGTAGTCCCAGCTACTCAGGAGGCTGAGGCAGGAGAATCACTTGAACCCAGGACGCAGAGGTTGTAATGAGTGGAGATCATACCATTTCACTCTAGCCTGGGCAACAGAGCAAGACTACATCTAAAAAAAAAAAAAATACATCCAGTAAGAAGCAATGATAGAAGATAAAGCAGGTGAACGTGCCATCTCAGGGAGGTGATCTCCCACCCAGCAAGTGTGATTTACCATTGGCCTCATGGTGCTAAGTATAAAATGGCAAAATCCAACACAATACAAACTGTATGCTATTTCCCAGGATGCACTACTTTGTTATAGATTTTTAACCACAGCATAAAAGAAATGCATAAAAGAAAGGCGAGAGGGGATTGAAAGACATGATTAACTGGGGCACAATGACAAACACACATAAACTAAATTTCATTACTTACAGTTCAATCAGAGAGTCTAAATCACTGAAGACATCCCTTGGTAGTGCTTTTATGTGGTTATTGGCCAAAGAACTAGAACAAGAAAGTCACATTGCAATGTGATTATTATCTCATGCCCTGTCACTCTCAACTCCCTTCAGATAAAGCTGTTGACTTATAGCACGGCTTTGGTCATCAATACTGAGATAGAGAAATGAGCTTAGTTATGCAAATATAACATAAGAGATGCTGGATTATAATATACATTTTCTTTCTTTTTTTTTTTACAAAAAGCACTTTTTAAGCTCTTTATGTATATTTGCTCAACCTCAGATGGCTTCCCATGTTTCCTGGAATCAAAGCCAAAGTTCCTTCGGTGGCATGCAAGACCCTTTATTGCCTGGCTACCTCCACTCTTGCTTACCTAGGAGACCCCATCTCATCGGTTTCCAACTACTCAGTGGATCTCTGATCTAGCCACACTGGCCTCCTTGCTATTCCTCCAACAGGTGAGGCATGCTCCTACCCTCCAGGCCTCTGAACTTGGTCATCTGCCTGGAATGTTCTTTCCCCAGCTATCCATTTGGAATTCCATTGCCTCCTTTGGGTCTGTCCTCAAGTATCACCACTTCTCAGGCCTCTGCACATCTCCCTTCCCTGTACCACCATCATTTGGTACACTACATATTTTAATTAACTATTTGTTTACTGGCTGTGTATTCCCCCTCTACATAAGCCACATGAGGACAGAGATTATTGTCTGTCTGTCCACTGCTGTATCCCCAGTTCCTAGAACAGTGCCTGGCACACAGCAGGTACTCAGTATATCTTTGCTGAATTGATGTATTAAGCACCAAAGTGTGAGTGATAAAAGAAGATTTACAGTCTTGTCCCAAGAAGTTCCCTAATGGTCCATCTAAGTGAATTCTATTACTCGTGATTCTAAGAAAGGACTCAGTCAATACTCCTTTACATAAAGAGACTCAGCTCTAACCTTTAAGAATAACATAATAAAATCTCAACCGATCAGAATGTGTAGGGAATGATTGACTATGATCAATTTCATTTTCACATTAATAAAGGTTGACCCAAAACCATTTTGCATTTTTGCTCTTGGTGTTAAAGATCATTCTAAGACGTCTTAGTCCACACCCCACCTCCAGGAAATAGAGTAGAATGCACAGCATCAACTCTTTCTCCGATGATTCAGGATTTTGCAGTGCCCTGTCATCATCCTGTGAAGATGAATGTCCACGGTGCAGGGCTGTTGATGTAGAAAGACGTGGAGTGTTGAAATGATGTACACTGAGTTTGTGATTTCCCCAGGCACTGCACTCTAATGTGAGTCAGCCAAGAAACTGATGCCTACTTTTGTTTTCTTTTACACATATGAATGCAAACAGCAAAACACATAAACGACTAACATGTAAGCAATTCAGCCCCAACCAATTTAAGATATCTATGAAATGCATCTTCTGTATCATCATAATGACCCATCCCAGAAGGATGAATTAAAGAAATGACTCTTCCTACCTAGAGTCGGTTAGCTGGACATAGTAGAAAGCTTGGAGCCCAAATATTCTTGCTTCAGGACACCAAGTTAATATGGGGAGACCCACAGTTTCTGAATTATGCCCCTTCCTATCTAGGTGACCACAAATGGATTTAAATAAAATTTCATGTACTCTTTTACCTTTCTTTTCTAAATGAGGTATTTGTACATTTTTAACTGTGTTGGAAAATAGGCTGAATATGTAATCAGACTAAAGCTACTCTGAAAGAGATTTTGGAAATTTTTAAAAGGGGGGTGTTCATTTTGATTTTCTTTCCTGGTCGATGGTCACTTTTTCTGGAAAGTAAAGTACAACAATGTTTTAGCTAATTAACATTATTAGCTAAAAACTTCAGCTAATTGAAAGTTACTGTATTGATATGATAAGTATATACAGAATGGTCAAAGCCAAAAAAAAAAAAAGCAGAGAGTTTAGCAACGTTCCAAGTGTTCAATTTAGATTTCAGAAAGCAGAATTATTTAGATGGATTATTTATCCCACTCACACTAAGTGCTTAACACCTGCCTTTCCACTTCATTTTGTCTACAAATCATGGCACTTACTTTATTTCTAAAACTATTTAACAGTTCCCTGTCCCTTGGGCTTCATGGGACTGCTGGAAACAAATGTTCTAGATTTTAGTTACAGATTGGCACAGGTCCTTCAATGCTTTGAAACCTGATCTATGTCTCTTTTCCTATGCATGTGAGTCTGTAAGCATTGCAAAAGTTCATGAAAGATAAAAATCAGCTGCTTAACTTCAACAAGCAAATTCCAAATAGGAACTTCCGTAAGCACGGGGGTGAACTTTAGAGACCTGGTATCTTCTCTTTTCTTAGAGGTTTTTAGAAGGGGAGGGAGGTGAATTGATTCATTCTTTACACAGTATATTAAATGCTTGAATTACTAAATGCATCTCCTGCCTAGAGGAGTCAACTTTAAAAGTCGCCTGGCCGGGCGCGGTGGCTCACACCTATAATCCCAACACTTTGGGAGGCCGAGGTGGGTGGATCATGAGGTCAGGAGATTGAGACCATCCTGGCTAACACGGTGAAACGCTGTCTCTACTAAAAATACAAAAAATTAGCCAGGCATGGTGGCACACGCCTGTAGTCCCAGCTACTCAAGAGGCTGAGGCAGGAGAATCGCTTGAACTCGCAAGGCTGAGGTTGCAGTGAGCCAAGATTGCACCACTGCACTCCAGCCTAGGTAGCAGAGAGAGATTCCATCTCAAAAAAAAAAAAAAAAAAACAAAGCCACCTGACTTGTCCAGAAGTAGAGCACATATGGGAAATCTAACTCCATTAAGAAGCCATCCATCCATTAGCAAATCAGGAAGTATGTCCTGCTGGCTTAGCCCTGTGCTAGACACTGGGGGAAGAACAGAGCTAAGGGAAGATCACTAAAAGTCCTGCCCTGCAGGAGCTTCCAACGTGCTGGGAGATAAAACGAACACCCAGGCAACAGCACCAACCAGTATGGCCACTGTAGACAGTAAAGTGCTGGCTGCATGAAGCCAATGGCAGGAGGGAAGAGGAAGATGGAGAATGGCTTAACTGGGGAGATAGAACTCAATCTGGACTTTGAAAGAAAAGGCAGATGAGAGAGAGCAAGGGCAGAAGAAACAGCATCCCGGGCAAGGGAAAGGATGTGAGGAAAAGCAGTGGGATGGGGTGGGGGAGCGCCGAAAGCTTGATGTTCTGAAGACACTCAGAGAAATGAGGTTAGAGAGCTGAGGAGAGGCTTGACTTGTAGGCTTGACCGCGGGGTGGTCCTACTCACTAGGATGAGCTAGTTCTTCTCTAACGCATTCCATGCTCGCTGGACCCAAGTGCAGGCAGGACTCCCTCGCTCCCTCTGTGTTTGTGTTCTCTGTGCATAATACCACAGAAAAGGAGGTGCCTCTTGTACACATGTACACATGATAACAAATGAAACAAATGCATAAGCATGCACACAGGAACACAGTTATGTACACTCATGTATATAAGTCCATGCACCCGAGGACACTTTGTACACCTGCACAAAGATATGCAAATACCCGCGCATGATACCTGCTTGTTCACACCCTCCTGCTGATGGAAGAACCACAGCCATCTGAGCAAATGAAAGTTGCCATCTGGGCTAACTCAGCCCGTCACATGGGCTTTGCCTTAGGTTTATAATCTGCCCAGAGCTTTTGCTCAAATATAAAGCCCTAATTCCTGACTTCTGGGAACCAGACTCATCTGGCCACAGCTGTTCCTCTTCAGACACCCACAGCTGTCTCCTTAGTAGACTCTGTCTGGCCACCCAAACTGCCAAAGATACTTGACAGGCCATGGAGGAAGTTGGGACTTAATGCATGGAGGGAAGGAATTATGTTGATGTTGATGATGATGATGATGATGATGATGATGCCAATTATGCCTTGAGCATTTACCATGGGTAATGGACTAGATGCTTTTCAAGCAAGCATTAACCTTTTATGTACAGCAATCCTATGAAATCAGTATAGTTATCCCTATTTTAAGGAGGAGGAAATTGATCTTAGACAGTTAAACAATATTAATAAATCATGGCCTTGAGATTTAAACCCAAGCCTATCCAAGCCTATACGACTCCAAGCCCACAATTGTAGTCTCTACAGGAATTTGGGGATTTGACACTTAGGTTGAATCTGAAAAACAATAAAGGCTTTTATAGGAAGAAATGAAGACCTAGGACATTGTCCGGTATCAACTATGCTGACACAGATGTTTCGGCCTCCCATGTCTGCTCCCTCATCTCCTTACCCGATAGGCTTTAACTTAGGCAGAGCCTCTACTTGTGGGCGTTCCAGAATCAAGTGTTTGCTTGGCCTATTGACAACCCCCTTTGCCAATATCGGGGCTTGATGTGAATGGTTTCCTCATTAGATGACTATGTCCACACTGTACCAGTCAGGGTTACACATGCTGAAGGTACTACCATCCCTGCCCAACACTTCCAGTCAAAACCCTCCAATTTTCCCAACTGTCTTTATGGCAGGCAGGCTGACTACAGAGATGAGACATGTTATCTTACTCAAACTCAAAATATCTATCATGCAAATGGGACCTGGTTCCTGGCTAACGAATTACTCCTACCAAGATAATGAGCATTTTTACATTTTCATAAACACAGCCACTATTTTTTCTAGTTTTATAAATTTTATACATTTGCTAAGTGTGTGTACTTGCTTCATTTTTATATGCCAGTTTCAAATCAATTTCTTTAATTTTATCTCCAGAAAGCTCTTAAAGAAGCAGAGAGCTTAGTTGAAACCACAGATTAATCCAATATAAAACAAAAAGTGATTTGCATTCAAATGAGAGGAACCATGAAAATGTCTCTATTCCACTTTGTCCTAATTCTGATCCAACATTCCACCTAGTCATCTAAGCCTTGGTTCCAAAATCTGTAAAATGGGGACTCACAGATTATTATGAAAGATGAAGAAGAGAAGGCTCACTAAGCACCCAGCCCTGTGCCTGGTGCCAAGCAGGTATAAGACCCACAATGATTTCCTTCCTGGCTGGGTGCGGTGGCTCACGCCTGTAATCCCAGCACTTTGGGAGGCCGAGGCAGGTGGATCACTTGAGATCAGGAGTTCGAGACCAGCCTGGCCAACATAGTGAGGCCCCGTCTCTACTAAAAATACAAAAATTAGTCAGGCATAGTGGTGTGTACCTGTAATCCCAGCTACTCGGGAGGCTGAGGCATGATAATGGCTTGAACCCAGGAGGCGGAGGCTGCAGTGAGCCGAGATCATGCCACTGCACTCCAGCCTGGATGACAGAGTGAGACTCCGTCTCAAAAAAAAAAATTTCTTCCCATCTCCACCATCAAGCAACACAAGTTCCTCACACCCCAGGATGCTCCTTAATTCCCACACAGTCATGTGGCCTATAACTGCAATTCAGGTTGATAGAGATGATAATAAAGACAAGTATGTGTGTACTCACAATGAGCCAGTGTCTGACTGACAACATAGAAACCTCTTGAGTAATCTAGAAATTCATTTCCTTCAGGGACAGTTACAGCCAAGAAACAGAGAGGCTCCAGGAAACCAATCTTACTCCACATATTAGAGGACTTACAATACTTTTCATAGGACTTACAGGTGAGTCAGGTCACGGAGGCCACGAAAGGCATTTCTTGAAATGGTTTCTATTTTGTTCCCTTCAATGAACCTAAGAGGAAAAGTTGTATAATTAAAATGAATTTTCTCTCCTTAGTATCCCAAAAAAACTATGTTGGTAAGCTTTCAGAATAAAATCTAAAAGTATTCCTGAATTATAAGAATTGATCTCTGAAGACTAGGTCAGCTACACCAAATTCCATGTGGTAGCAGGATGTATGCAAAAATGCGTGCACGGGAGTGTGTGGTCTGCACTCCTTCCAGAAGTGGCATGGAAGTCTCCAAAGAATTCTGAGCTGGCAACATGGGTAAAAACATCCTGGGGAGAAATAAAGAAGAAAGCACTATACAAAGGCAAGAAATTCTCATATCTCTGCAAGACTGGAGCACTTCCAGACATTTTCCCTACTCAATCCCACATTTCACGGTGCCTGGCTATTCATACTTCTGTTAATGTCACTGTCCCTTGAGAGGGTTCTCTTGTTTTACATCTCCACATTAAAGTTTTTTGCTGGGGGAGAGTTCTATCAAGCTTGGTTTTCAGCAACCTTGAGTTTATCGTGTCCTACACCATCTAGTCACCAAGCAAATGGGTGACAAGGCAGGAAAAGCTCAAGCTCTCTAAGCTACTAGGAAGTAGGAAGTATAATGAAGTTGAGTAGGAACCAAACTTCTTTCTCTGTACTAAAACCCCACAGGGTTGGCACATGGGATCTTGCAATAATACCACTGGCCATGCTTTAAGGTCTTTGTGGGAAATAATTGATGTGAATTCACTACGACTATTCTCTAGGCTCAGGGAGAACTAAATTTTAGTTACAGCATTATATTAAGTCAAATATAAGAGGGTCTTTGATGAGATGCTCCATGGTTGGGGCTTTGAAACACAACATCATCAACGAATTAGTTCTTGATTCTTGCACTGAGAACTCACTGATGGTTTTTAAAACTGAGATGTCTTTTCAGTAATAGACTTCAGCATAAACTGATGAGCTAACTTCCTCTCCAATAACCTTGACCATAAGATGAACTATCGTAAGAGAAAACTCATAGCTTTACAACTGCTACCTCCATTGGCTATGTATGTGCTTTGATAGACCTTAGTCAGATTTAGCATTGCAGTCCTGCTACACTTTCCATACTATGTATATGATAATATCAGAGTATTATGCGAATACACATATTATGTATACTCTGGAGAAAGAATTCCTCCAGGAACATCTTTTCTCAAGACACAAAGTCAGCAGAGAGCTTTCTTATATCTAGGATGTGTCTAGAATTCCAATACCTACCTGTTGAACTCAGACAAGAAAATGAGACAAGGCTTTAAAAATCCCTCTGAATGCTAAGTGAGGCTATCCCATCTGATAGCAGGATTAACATTATTACAAAGTTACCAAAGACAAGGATGAAAGAACTTAAAGGGGAAAAAAGACATGAAAGGAAGAAAAGGCAGAAATCAGAACAAGGGCAAAGCTCATTGCGAGGGGAGAAATCTGCACATCAAAAAAGGGAAAAATGACCTTTTTTTAAGGAAAAAAATAAAATAAAATTAGACCCTCAGTAGCAATTCATAGGAGATACTGCAAAAGAGATGTAGAACAGTGAGTGAACAACATGAAGTTGTACCCCCCAAATAGGGAGGCTTTCTTAAAAATAAGTAACCCTCAGAACCCCGCAGCTCTATTTCTGGCTGGTCAGCAAATCCATGCCTATTTATGAGAGGTAAAAATATCCAACGCAACTTCCAATTGTGCTTACTACATGACAAATTAAATGTCAGCAGAGAATGAATGACTATCTCTCCTTCTTTGTTTTGTCTCTCCCTCTTTGTCTCCAGCCTCCTCCTTCCCCAGCATGTTTGTAAGCAAGTAAACTATAAAAGGTCAGTGCTGAAAAGAGAATGGGGTGTTCTCCAGTTTCTCCACCCCTAAACCCTTGCAGAGATGCTGTTCCAGCACAGAAACCAATCCAGAAATTCTACCAAGATACCGAATGTTCAGCAAATAGACAAAGCACAAAACTTACAGGTATTCAAGATGAAAAAGTCCAGCAAAAGCATCATCCCGGATGATCGTGAATGAGTTAGAATTCAGCAATCTGAAAGTAAGAGACAGATTCCAATGGAGAGATGTAAAACTTGAGTCACATGGTAAAGCCATTTCTCTTTCCTTTGCTACGTTTTGATCTGTGGGCAAACATGAGCTCTTCTTAGCCTAAGGAGACCACATTTTGTTGTCAAAAACCTGATTCTCACAGCCTGCTCTTAGAGACGATGGCAAGTGGATTCCTTTTGACCAGATTTTCTTGTCCTCTCCAGAACTCTACTCCTTTCTTCCCTGTGTGTCTCAGTAAATATGATCTGATAGCTGTGACTTTAAAACATTATAATGCTCAGCACGACTAAACAGCCAGTGAATGCTTTATGGTACACAAGCAATCATAAAATTAGAGATCTAAAAAGATCTAATCCAAATCTATTTTTACGAAAATAAAAGCCCAGAGAAGCTAAGTGACTTGACCAAAGTCATGCAGCTGGACCCATAACAATAGTTAAAAAAAAAAAAAAAAAAGTTTGTTTAAGAAACTTTCAGGAGACTGTTACTACGTAGTTTTCTATTTGAGTCATCACCCAAGTCTACTGGCAAAAGAATACCTAAAATTGTATTTCTATTATATGAAAAGTATATTTTAATAGCACTGCAATTTCTAAGAGGCCTCAGATTTTAAAATGTTAAGTGTAATGTTAAAAGTAGGCATATAAGATTTCAAGAACAAAAGTATCAAGAGTATGTTTATTGAGGATGAATAGTGCTCTCCTATATTCCATTTATCCAAATTTTTCTATAGCACATTGCTTGTTTTAATTTCAGTCTCATCTCAAATTTAAGAAACCAACACAGATCAAGAGAATGAGGTGTGTACTCTTACTTTGCCTGTCACTGGATTGCTTTTGAAAACTACTTTTTGGACATTTGTTTTCATCAGCACACATTACCCAGCCTGGGTTACAGGGCACAACATGAGCATCACCACAGGGACTTGAGCATTGCTCACAGAGAGGAGATGGGATGAGGAATAGTTAGGAGTGTGGGCTTTTGGCCCTGGACTAGAATCTGGCTCTGATTTGGGACAAGTTAGTTAAGTTCCCTGAACCTCAGTTTCCTTATCTATCAAATGGGATCATAAGCATGCCTTCATCATACCGATGAAGTGATGATGAAATAAAATTACGCACGTAAGTTCATAGGATGCTGCCTGACTGGTTTAAGTTCTCAGCAAACTAGAAACACTCCTATTTCCAGAGTAACATTAAGATTTTAAAATGAAGTTTTCTTTTAAACTGAGGTGTTTGGGAAACAGTGCATTTAGGTGACTTTCAGGTCATGAGTCAATGCAATTACCTCCCCATTTACTAGATCTGGGTGTTGGGATCTACAATAAAGTCTCTGAAGAAAACAGGTATCGAACTAAGGAAAGAGCTGAGCAGGGAGCCTCAGTGCTTTGCTGGGGACATCACAGGGTAAATTAACACCAAGAGGCAGCCACGGTCTCCTCACGGAGCTGGGGTACTTTAGGAAGGGCTGATACCAAAGAGGCAGAGACGGCCCTCCAAGGATGGCACCTCAGGGCCCCCCATTGTGCAGAGGGAACTTCCCATACTCACAGCAGCTGCAGAGAAGGCAGATGGGAAAACATTCGGTCCTTGATTTCTGAAAACGTCCCATTTACCAGGCTCCTACGGGCAAAAGATGAACAAAAGTAGGCCTAGGTTTCTTTTAGGAAGTGCCATGCAGGGTGGGTAATCAAACTCTGCCTCCACCTGTACTTCAAACCCTGACTCTCAGGAGTGAGGCATAGCACAGTTGCCCAGGATCTTCCCCGGGGTAGGAATAAGAAGAGACAAGCCACTTCCCAATGAATCAGATCAATATGAAGACTAGTCTGAATAACAGAAACCTTTACCATCAGCTCCTTCCACAGACATTATCTCGGTCAGTTTAAATCAATCCCTTCACTTCCTTTTCTTAACTACAGGAGGTCCTTGCCTGAAAATGGATAATCGCTTCACCTCTGCCCATGATTCTGTTTGTGTAGACACAGCGTTGTGTTGGCCTATGAAATGCTGGGGTAGGATTAAGCATTCCTCTTGGGACCCCATCTCTGAAAGACAGAGCACTCCTGATTAAATGCAACATGAAAGCCCTGGGGAAAAACTCACAGACACCTGAACTCCCCTGTGTGGGGAGAGGCAGTACCATCTGCCAGATAAAACGGTCAACCAGGAGGCAAGATGCTTGGCTTTATTTCTGCCCCCAGGCCCCCATCCTTTCTGGCCACAGCAGGATCTGAATACATTATTTCAGAATTCCTTTCAGTTGGCATGCAGATCACTTAAGCAGCTGCTGGTCTGAAGGATTTAATAAGGGGAACTCTAATTTCTGGAATCCTCCATGTCACCCGACTTAGCAATATTAAGAATCAAAAAGGTCCTCTGTTCCCACCAGCCAAACTCTTCTGACTTTCTATAAATGCAAATGGGAACCCCCTCACTCCTGGGTCCAGGCCCCTACAATTTGCCTTGGGTGGGAGGCTGGGAAGCACTGGACACAAGAAAGTATCTTGAGCACAAGCAACGTCACCCCGGGGATTCCCTGCCTCCACCACTGACTGGGCACCCAGGCATCTTGGCCTGGAACAAGAGAGTGGTCTTAGCAGGAAACATGTCCTAGCAGTAAAGATACAGCCCAACAGCCCCTTCCACCGCCCTTGTGAGAGCTGGTCATTTGGCTTGAGTGGCCAGGTGAGGGCAGGATGAAAGCACCTCTCGGCAGGTGGATACCTAATGTGAAGCCCTTTCCTGTCAGTTCCTCCTGCTGAAAAAGCAGCCAACACAACTGTGTGATGGAGAAAGGGGGCAAGAAGCCCTCCTGACCTCAGGGCAAGAAGGCTGACTTCAAAGCACTTGGCCACTGGGCTAGGCGCCCAACATGCCCCAAACCTCTGCCCAGCCTTCTGTTACCCCTCTTCTAGGCCACGGGGGGCGGCCCCTCCCCTCCCAGAGCCTGCATGCCTTGACCTCGACTTTTTGCAACCTGCAATGTGGAGAAGTCGGGAGGAGGCCACGGGGTGAACATTCGCCCCAGACCTGATGTGGGGCAGTGAGGCCTCACCCTGCCCAGTTTGCACTCAGTCAGGTCGTGTTCAGCTGCTCCTATGCACGCCCCTACACACACAACTCCAACCCGCAAACACACACACACACACGCACACGCCCTCTCAAACTTTAATGCACCCTTGAGTCTCCCGGGGACGTCAAACGCACACTCCAGGACTCCACTCCAAAGACTGCTTCAGAGCAGCTGGATTCTGCATTGGCACAAGCTTCCCCAGGTGAGTCTGATGCAGGTGGCCCGTGGGCCACACTCTGAGAAACGCTGCCACAGGAACCTGTCTGGGTTCCCAGATTCTGGGGCTCAGGTCCTCACCGTCCTCCCCGGGGGCCAACACTCCACCCACGTCCCCCACACAAAGGCAAAGAAGGGGCCTGGGGAGTGGGTCAGGGTCGCGCTGGCCCGGCGCCAGAGGCAACTCCCTCGCGGCGGCGGACGCAGGGTGGGGCGGGACGGGATGGGGGCTGGAGGGGTCCCACTCACAGGGAGCTGATGTCGCCCGGCACGATCCTGGGCACCCAGGAAGAGCCCACGCAGATGATAGACTCCTTGGTACAGCTGCAAGTGGCGGGGCAGCGCGCCAGCCGCCTCACCTGCGCGCTCCGCGGTATCAGGCACGCGGCGCCCAGCAGCAGCAGCAGCAGCCCGAGCGCTCCGCAGCCGCCTCTCCGCAGCGCCATGCCCGGTCCCCGCTCCCCGCCCGGGCCCCGACCCCCACCGCCGCGCCGCGCGCTCGGACCCGGCGCCGCTGCAGACGCGGGCGCCGCTCGCTGCTCTGCCGCCGCCGCTGCTGGCGAGGACTAGGGAGCCGCGGGTGTGGGAGGCCGAGCCGCAGCCGAGCAGCATGCTGGCCGCCACCCCCACTCGGCGCCCCCCCACCCGAGCCCGGGCTGCTGGGCGGCCGCCGCCGCTGCGCCCGCCGCACTCGCGCCTGCCTGACATCAGCACTCGCGCCCGCAGCCCGGCTCTGGCCAATGAATAATGCATGGCGGGGCCCGCCCCGCGGGGGAGGGGGCCAGCGCCGGCCCCGTGGCGCCCCACCCGGCCCCCACCTCGCCACCCCCTCTCGCCCCGGGCCGGGCGCGGGGACAGAGGGAAAAGTTGGGTGACCTTGGGGGAGGGGCCAAGCCTGGCGGAGACCCCCGTCGGGGCCTGACTGAGCGGTGGAGGATCCGATGCCTGCAATACCTCCAGGGGTATAATCTGGGGAGGGCACTGGGTTCCTTTCAGGCAAATCAATAAAGTCGGAGCGGGGAGTGTGGAGAACCGGCTTGATTACTGGGGAGGGAGGCAGCCCTGGGTGCTTTGAAGAGGAGAGACTTTGGAGCAGCCTTTATTAATTTTGAAGTGCATGCTGCCGGTAGGGTCAGCGAGGATGGCTTTGCTTGTCTTCTGCGGTGGGGCAGTGAGGTCTGGCTCTCGCTCCCACAGCACCAGGGGTTACTGAAGCCAGCCAGTCCTCCCATGGGAGGAACGTGGGGAAGCAAAGCCGCTGCAGCCTGCACGCCCGGCGCTCTGGGCCCTGCCTGCTGCCTGCTAAAGAGCTGGAAAGCCCGGGAAAGTTTCCCCTCGCTCAGCTGCCCACGGGTCACCCCACCCGCCCCAGTCAGAGGAGGGTTTGTAGAGATTGAGGGTGTGATACATTCTAGCCACTGTACTTTTAATCTTCTAACCTTTTGAGGCAGGTCCTACTTATATCCTTAATTTATTGATGAGGCTGCTGACGCCCAGAAAGCATCCTGACTGGCTGATGGTCCAGCAGCTCCTGGCTGGGCAGGATGGGGCTCGGAGCCTTGAAGGGCTACCTTAACTGGGCCCTCCTGAGCCCCTCTTCAACTCCTTAAGTTTGAAGCAATGAGCGGAAATCTTAACACAGGTAATGTGCGGCTGAGGAAATCAAAGAAAATGACCAAAGCGGAAACAAAGTAATGGCTAATAACCTGAACTGCTGGGAGAAGGGAATCACAGCACGACTGTCGAGCTGCAAACCAAGGAAAAGCATGCCAGATGCTAAAACCTACTCAGAAAAGTCAGTATCGAATGCAAAAGTAGGAATCATACTATTGCTTCTTCAGCAATTATTGTTGGTGATCCATTGACAAGATCCATGAGGACGGTATCAGGCTGGCTGCTGTGGGAGGGAACAAAGGAACAGCTCCTGTCCTCAGGGAGCTAAAAGTCTAGCTGGACAGACAACCCTAAAAGAGCAACTCCACTGGCTACAAGGGGGTCACAGACTGACCAAAAGAGGTTCAGGAATTGAAAGAGAGCTTTGCGTAGGCAACTTCATGGAGGGAGTTAGACATTCCCTGCTGGTGACTATGTAAAAAGCACCTGGCATCAGTACAAACCAGCCTGCATTTATCATCATTTAATTCTTGCATCTGTCCTGAGAAATGGGTCCTCCCATTTTATGGATGGGAACATTGAGCTCAGAGAAGTTTTTATCTTGTCCAAGATCACACAGGACATGGCCAGGGAGATCATACTCCACAACTGGCTGCTGTGTCTAACCCTCGCTGCTGTGTGGGCATGCATTTACAAATACTTTACTCAGCAAGCCCCAGTGTTAGGGGCTGAGGACACAGACCACAGCCTGGGAGGGCGACAGACATGCAGACCCACAATCGTGGATGTGTGTGCTGTGCACCTGAAAGATGTTTCCCTTAAGAGGGATGGGCTACTGCTTTATAGAGCAGAGGAACGGAGGCTTCTCAAACAGAGCACTCCCTGCTGACCCAGGAAAAGAAAATCTATTTCTCACCTCTGAGTGAGAGCCTGGGGGCAGGGTGGCATAGCTAAATGCTGGCCTCAGGACTAGACAGGTTGGGGTTTGCATCCCAGCCTACCACTTACTGATGTGTAATTGTGTAATCCCAGCCTGCCACTTACTGCTGTGCAAGCTGTGATCTTTCTAAACCTCCATTTCTTCACCTGTAAACAAGAGGTTGTTGTAACCACATTTGGGGGTTAAATGAGATCAAGAAAGTAAAGCATTTAATACCACAAAGGAGGCACTGGGCGTTTGAGCAGAGTTCTATGTGACTAGATTGTAGGTAAGTGACGGAGAGAGGACTATGGAGGGAGATGGGTTTTCCTGACTTCTGTCCTTCCATTGTAATCAGAGTCACTGTCTTGTGTTGTGGTTCTCAATTGCGGGTAATTCAGGGGACACTTGGCCATGTGTGGAGATATTTGGGGTGGGTGCCCCTGGCGTCTAATGTGTAGAGGCTGGGGACGCTACTAAACATCTTGCAGTACTCAGCAAGAATGATCCAGGTCAAAATGTTGCTAGAGCCAAGGTTGAGAGAGCCTGGCTTAGTGTTCTGGAAAGACCCTTGGCATGAGGAATTCCAGAGATGCAGATTGTAAGTCAGGTTCATCAATCACAAGCAAACCTTCTTGGTCATGTTATTCCCATCTCTAGCTTCTATTTTTTCATCTATAAAATGGGGATAAAGAGCCCTTCTGCACCCTTTCCTAAATAAATGTGACATATCATCATTGTTCCTAACCTTAACTTCCAACAGCTAGAGCTAGCTCCAGCCCACCCTCTCCACCCCAAAAAACTAAAAAGTTCCTGATAGGAATGGTGCAGAAAGTAGGCCAGAGTAGCATAGCTGGCAGAGTTAGTATTTGTTTCGGCTCTGCTAGAGACACTAAGTAAGTGAGTGCTTGTAAATTATAAGGCGCAGTTTATAAATTAAAATATAAAAATGGAAATGCAGATTACTTTGGTGTGGTTCCAAGTTCCTCAGCAGTTTAAAAAAAAACTTAATAGACAATCAGAGAGACACAATCTGTTTCAGGAAATAGCAAGAGTTTTTGAAAAATCTTTGTAAAAATCCTTGTTGAGACGTAAACTTACTCAAGCTATGTCTTTATGACATGAATAACACACGTTCCTACAGTGGCTGAAATGGCGTAGGCTTGAGTGGCCTTCTCTAAAGTCTCAAACCGGTTCTACTTTATATGACTCCATGTGTTGGCAGCTCAAAATGGCATTCATTCATGTGTTCATGTACCCTCATGTTCAGCTACTTGTCAGTTAATTCTGTCAGTATTAACTGAGAACCTACTATGTGCTGGGCATCAATAATAAAACAATGACCAAGACAGACATGATCCCCACTTTCATTGCAGACAGATATTAAATTAAAAGAATGCATACATGAGTATGCAATTGCAAATTTTGATAGAGCCTATGAAGGAAGAGAATAGGGGAGACCTAATTTAGGTGTGTATTAGTCCATTTTCATGCTGCTGATAAAGACATACTGGAGACTGGTTAATTTATAAAGAAAAAGAGGTTTGATGGACTCATAGTTCCACATGGCCTCATGGGGAGGCTTCAAAATCATGGTGGAAGGTGAAAGGCATGTCTTACATGGTGGCAGACAAGAGAAAATGAGAGCCAAGCAAAAGGGGTTTCTCCTTACAAAATCATCAGATCTTGTGAGACTTATTCACTAACACGAGAACACTATGGGGGAAACCACCACGCTGCTGATTCAATAATCTCCCACCAGGTCCCTCCCACAACATGTGGGAATTATGGGAGCTACAATTAAAGATGAGATTTGGGTGGGGACACAGCCAAACCATATCAAGATGATGAAAGCCTGTCTGAGACCTTAGCTGAGTGCTTTGAGATGAGGAAGGGCAGGCAAGTGCAGGAGGGCTGCGGGCAGTAAGCAGAGGCTAAGGGAGGGGCGAAGCAGGCAGAAAGCATGGGATGTGTGAAGTCACCTGGACCAGAACATGCTGAGTGCATGTAAGGCTCTGAATGCAGGCCAGTGTGGCCACAGCATGGAGAATAAGGGAGAGGAAGAGATGAAATGAGGTCTGAAAGGTAGAAAGAAACTAAATCATGCAGGACCTTGTAGACCAAGGCAAAGGCAAAGAGCCTGCATGTTGTTCTAAATGCCAGAGGCCATTGAAAGACGTCAGTCAGAGAAGCAGCCTGCTATCCTTTCTACTTCACAGCAGTTATTTCTGACTGCTGAGTAGAGAATGAGAACTAGTTCCACTGAACTAGTCCTGGTGAGAGATGATGGCAACTGGGACTTGACTGGTGGCAGAGAAGAGTGGAGGTGGACTCAAGATGTATCTTTTTTTTTTTTTTGAGACGGAGTCTCGCTCTTTCACCCAGGCTGGACTGCAGTGGCGCTATCTCGGCTCACTGTAAGCTCCACCTCCCAGGTTCACGCCATTCTCCTGCCTCAGCCTCCCAAGTAGCTGGGACTACAGGCACCCGCCACCATGCCTGGCTAATTTTTTTTGTATTTTTAGTAGACACGGGGTTTCACCGTGTTAGCCAGGATGGTCTCGATCTCCTGACCTCGTGATCTGCCCGCCTTGGCCTCCCAAAGTGCTGGGATTACAGGTGTGAGCCACCGCACAGGAAGGATCAGCAAGACTAGCTGCTGGTTTAATTTAGGAGGGAGGTGGAAAGAAATGGTAAGAATGCCTCCCAGGTTTTGCCTGGAGCCAGTGGGTGGATGGAGGTGCCATTTCTTAAGATGAGAAAGCCTAGAAGAGGAAAGGGTTTGGCTGGAAGAGAAGTATTAAGAGATTGGTCTTGGGAATGTTGAGTTTTAAATGTCCATGAGGCATCCATGTGCAGATGTTGAGCTGTCAGCTAGAAGGCCAGTCAGGATGGGAAGGGGGAGATGGGTGGAGGTGGATGGGAAATCTTCAGACCATAGGCTAATCCTTGATTCTCTCTTGATAAGCCCTCAATGTAACATTGGTTGATTGAATGAATGAATGATATTTCAGAAATACAGACATTAGAGGGACGATATCTCTCAGGTGCAGTCAGTAAGAAGCAATAGAAATCTTACAGAAGAATGTGACTAAGAATATCACAGTTTGGGGATTCCATTTTAAGACCAAAAATAGGCTGTAAACTCTACACCAAACTGTGAATCTTGTAAGAATCTCAGATACCTCATCAGGCTGCTTATCCTCCCTCTCTTCTCCTACTCCCCGTTTTCCAAGCTAACTTTATCTCCACACCCTACCTGGTCTTCTCACCAGAGATAGAAGCTTTGGAAAGCCTCCACTAATGTCTAATACTTCCAACTCTGATGCTTGCTGTAACAACTAAAGCAAAATTATTCATCCAAACCTCAAGGGTACTTGGCTTGAATGGCTACAAATTAGATTCCTTGGGGTGAAAAAGAAAAAAGTTCTTGTCCATTTTTTTAAAATCATGGAGTATGTCAATCCCTTCTTGACCACATCACCCCAATAGGCTATTCTTGTGGTTGGCTGCTGACCAAATGTAGATCCTGTTTCTGGCTTCCCACCATTTGTTTTCTTCATAAACTCAGTGGGTGTCACAAGTCTGGAACTCATTCGGAACCTATCCCTGATTGGCCTCTTAGATTGCATCATGTTCTTGAAGAGCTACCTTTGGATATCTTACTCAGATTCCTAAATCAGCCCAAAGGCCCTCAGGACCCTGGCATTGGTTTCTGGTGACCTTTGTTACCTCCTCCCCATCACCAGTGTAATGTGCCTGTGGGATTTTTGTTACCCTGTACCAGCTTCCCCTTCTCATGACAACAGGGCATGACTTTGCTTTGGAGAGAATCACTCCTCCTCAGTGTTCAGTCTGTGTGGCTCACTTGATGAATACCTTCATCTCCCAGAAGTATACACGTCATCTAGACTAGAGCATTCCAGAATATTCCATTCTCCCAGCCACACTGAGTGGTTTAGAGATAAACACACCACCCAACTGGAACAACCAGGGCTAACAAAACCCCTTGA
Organism: Homo sapiens; assembly: GCF_000001405.40. Classification (NCBI taxonomy): domain Eukaryota; kingdom Metazoa; phylum Chordata; class Mammalia; order Primates; family Hominidae; genus Homo; species Homo sapiens. The sequence goes on from NC_000004.12 coordinate 25,036,794, forward strand.
CAGGGCTTTTTCTCTCTCTCCCCAATTTCATAATGTTCTTTCCATCCTCTTTGTTAAGGGGGTTTTGAAATTCTGCTCCTCTCCCCTTTATGTCATCTCTTTTTTTCTTGATCAATACTGTCAGAGTTTTGTTGATTTTATTAGTTTTCTCCAGGAGTCAAGTTATGCCTTTGTTGCTTTTCTGTATTCTATCTTGGTTTTCTGTTTTATTACTACATGCTTTTATCTTCATCATTGTTTTCTTTTACTTATTCTGCAATTCTGCACTGTGCAAAAAAGTTAATCAGAATCTTTTATTATGCTTTTTTCTTTTACACTTTATGTTTACAAGACAGAATGCCTTTATCTGTGTTCCTAGTTCTAGGAGAATGTGCCCAGTCTTTTAGTTGGGTTGAGTGGATGAGAAGTACATCTGTGAGGTCACAGAGAGTGAGTCTGTGAGTAAAGTCAACCCCCTAAGACAAGCACAGTTTTCTATATAACAAACTTTCAGTCTCAAGTTTACAAGTAACATAATAACTTTATGGGAAATCTCTTTGCTCTTCTTAGCAAACAGACTTAGCAGAAATTCTACGTTAGACGAACGAGTTGTGGAATAAGCAGAGATTTAACTTAAATTTATAATAAGGGGTCTGTAAATATCCTCTAAGCTCTTCTCTTATCCACAAACCATGGTTAATCCAACGCTTTGCATTCTGAAAGGTCTTATATCCTCTCAAGATTTTTGCTATTCAAGACTGTGGCCTCTGGTCTCAACCTAATTTTAATCAAGGCTAAATTAAATATATTTGGGATTTATAATTTTTCTGTTCTTTAGCATCTGAGTTACTCTGTGATCTGATGCCCTCTGTTCAACCCACCCTAGCTCACATCACAATGTCTTCTGGGAAAAGTGTCCGAAATGCATCCACATTTAACCCCATGACTGCTTGCTTATTGGGTTAGACTTCCCAGGGATGTTTGTGTTTGAACGTAGCTCTCAGACTTAAACTAATCACCATGGAGGGAATTTCAGAGTTCCCAAAATCAGAACATGGACAAAAGATTCCACTGCTACCTACGGGCCTGGCTGTGGGTCTCTCCTCTTCGCTTCACCTACATCTTATAGGAAGAGTTGCTCAGAAGACAAGCAGGCATAGCTCATCTTCAGAACTCACTCCCATGCCTCCCTTTCCAAAGCTCACCAACCAAGAAGGTGGTGCAGTGGAGGAGCATGGCCTGTGTTGTTGCATGGCGTGATTTGAATCTCAGTTTCACCAGTTCTAAGGCCTTGATTTCCTCTTCTGCAAATGGGAGAGGACAATGCACATCAGCTTGGATTGCTTGAAGGGTGAAGTCAGTTGAAAAATGTGAACATTCTTATAAGCAGTACAAATTAGTTAACTAAATGGTTAGCTAGTTGGTCTCTGCGTGTTTATTGAGAGCCACAAATCACTATAGATGTAGATATGGATATGGATAAGATATGGGTATGGACATGGATGGATGGACAGATAGATTAGGTAGCTAGATGATAGATAGATAGATAGATAGATAGATAGATAGATAGATAGATAGATAGATAGATAGATGATAGACAGACAGTAGACAGACAGATAGATATAGGTAAATAAGAGAAGATAGAGATAGTCTCCTCAAGAAGCTTAAAATGTACCAAGAAAATAAAACTCTTCTATGTCAAAACTGTCTCCTAGAACCTCAGAAATGTTTTAGTTTTTCTCCAACACTTTCCACAGTCCCAAGAGACAGTACCCGTGAATTTCTCTGAAAGCTGGGGAGCTTAGTTTAATTGTTCAGCAAGCATTTCCTGAGCAGCTCCCATGGACAGGCGCCGTGCTAGACTGTGGGAGTCCACTGGTGAACAAGGCGACTCTTGCTGCCTTCAGCCTGCCCCGCACATGCAACAATTCCAGGTGTACCTCTTGCACTCTGGGATTAGCAGCCCCCAGGCCATTAGGCAGTGTCTTGGGAGCCCAGCCCAAGGACAAGTTGGGGGAGACTCTAGCAATACTCTATCACCACTGCCCTTCCACCAGGACAAGGCCAGACCCGCCACTGTGCTGAGATAAATCTCCAACCGTTAAATAAACCTCATGACTCTTTGTTCTCGATTGTTACAAGGACATTGGAGCCTAGAATTTATGTGGCTCCTGAAGACTGCTAATTTGGTGGGAGAGTGGGTGATCTATCACTTAAGGAAGGGCAAGGGGGTGTGTCTGTTGGCCCAAATGCTGACACACAGGAGCAGTCATTTCAAGGAGAGGACAGTTGTAAATCCCAAGTCTGTCCCCAGCAGACTGTCTTAGCTCATGTCAGACAAAGGGTTGCCTTCTGCTATACATAAACTTCTGGGAGAGTTCTTACCTCCAGCATCCCTATGTTGGGATATTTACCTTCCCTGGAAGGAGAAGTCAAGTAGCCCTTAAGTTTACAATAATATTATCTGATGTTCATCTAGCAGTTTTCTAGGTTACAAGGTCTTTTCATCTCTATTATCTCCATTGCAGCTCACATAACCCAGAACAGAATTTTTCAGAGGAAGAAACTGAGGCTTGGATAGGTTATGTGATCAGGCAGCCAATGTGATCATGTCATCGACTATAGTAGATGGAGTTGTCCTATTCTATCAACAAAGCTATTGGAGAATATTGAAGAGGGAAAAAGAATATCAACGCTTTCCACAAAGTTCTAGAAGGCAGAAGCCTTATCATTCCTTCCACCAGCTAACTCCAAATTATTTGAAGGCATCTCTTTGATGTTGGAATATCATTCAAAAGCAATATTGAATATGACCATTCTTCAGGCCCTCAGAGGAGTCCCACATCCAGGGTCAGAGGCTTGATGACTTGCAGACACACATGAATTCCGTGATGAACCTGTCCAAATATCCCTTGAGGCACCAGCTGAGTGCAAAAGGGGGCATGGAGAATGGAAGCCGTCTGCAAATTCCTCCTTGATCCAAATTAGACCTGGCAAGAGTCAAGCTTTCCCAAGAGCCAAGAGAGAATCACTGGACGTTGACAAGGGCAGAGAGTAGAAAAGACATAGTCACCCTTGGATATCAGGGATAATCCTGGAGCCTCCAGACCAGCAAAAGTCCAGCTGGAAAACCTGCCCAGCCTCTTACACATTCGTCCCCACTCTAGTATGAGCCATGGCAGCTTCCTGGAGAGTACAATCCAAGACAGCCCAATTTATTTTTATCTTTTATCCTCTGAGAAAAATAACAGGATTCATCAATAATGCCATGTTTAGACTCATTTGGGAAATCAAGAAGTTTGCCATGAGAACAGCATTCTCTTTGATCCATTTTACTACAGTATCATATTTTGGAAAATGTAATTATAGCTGGATTCCCCCAGCAAAATCAAAGGACTCTGGGTGTCCTTCTGCTGTATGGGCAGCCCAGGCCACTGGACAAGGTGTCTGATGGCCATACGACTGATGCTGTCAGATCAGCTCAGTATTCTATGTTTCTTCACCTGCTGTAAATGAGCACTGCTCCTGGAAAATGAGGTCAGTCTTCCTCCCGGGTCTTTCCAAGCTCCCTGGAGACACTGGTTTGCAGAGGTGTGCTCTTTGGGATCTTTGGAAAGGAGAGGCTGAGCTGGTATTGACAGTGCAAAACCCTCATTAGGAAGTAACACTGTTAAAAGAGAAAGAGGAGTAGCACCGCAGACTGGATAAAGTCCCTACCAGCCCAGCAGTGAGCTCCGAAGCAGAGATTGCTTGCGGGAGGAGTCCCACATCCAGGGGAAGAGGCTGGGCCCTTGTACCGTGGCCTTGCTTAGTTACAGGACCAGGGTTCCCTTGCTCCCTGCATGCTGAGGAGAATCCAGAGGGGCTAATAGCTGGAGACGGTGAGCTAAGCACGCTCTCAGCCCCTGGGCAGCCAGTCCTTTCATGAAGAGATCTGAGCTGCGATTCTCCAGGTCTGCTACAAATGGTGAGAAGGACATTTGGGCTTGATCAGGGGACATGAGTTCAGAGGATCTCAGTCAAAGCTGTTACATATGTCCAGGACTTTCTGGAGCCAAAAGAATATTTACAGTGATTTCTCCCTAGAAATTCACTGCTTAACAGGAGTTCAAAACTGCTTCTTATTGAAATTTATTCTTTCCTACTTCACTAGCTAATTCAATAAACATCTATTGAGCATTTTCAATCTATATCTATTGAGTTCCTTGAAAATGGCAAACCCTGAGTAAGGGTTGAAGCTACAAATATTCCTGAGGCTTATAACCTCCTCTCCGAGGGCTTACACTTCCACAACAGATATAAATACGATGTGAAAATAACTGAAGAAATCCAAGAAAGCTTGGGACAATTGCTGTGGAAAAGAAAGACATTTGGGCTTGATTAGTTGACAAAAACTGAGAGAAACTCAGTAAAAGTCACAGAAAAACTTCAGGTCTTTCTGGCTGGACCCAAGAGACTTTTAGCAGTAATTTTTCTCTTTTTCTCCTTCCTTTCTTCCTTCCTTCCTTCCTTTCTCTTTCTTTTTCTTTTTTCTTCCTTTCTTTTTTTCTTCTTCCTTTCTTCCTTCCTTTCCTTCTCTCTCTTTCTTTCTTGCTTTTTTTTTTTTGTTTTTTTTTTTGTTTTTGTGAGATAGGGTTTTGCTCTGTTGCCCAGACTGGAGTGCAGCAGCACAATCATAGCTCACTGCAGCCTCAACTTCCTGGCCTCAAGCAATCCTCCTGCCTCAGCCTCCCAAAGTGCTGGGATTACAGGGGTGAGCCACTGTGTCAGCCCATTTTCCTTATAAATTAACTGCCTCACAGGGGTTGATAATGCAGAGGACTATAAATGTATAGAAGAGGTAGTGATTGCTTCTAATTTGCAAGGTCAAATTGGCTTTCCAGGATCGTTAACATTGGAGCTGGGCCATGAAGAATGGGTAGGACCTAAGTAGACAGATACCAGGAGAGAGACATTTTGCATGGAATGGAATGAGCAAAGCCACTGATTAATGACAGCAAAAATAATAGCTAACACTTTTCTAGTGCCTATTATGTGCCACACACTTTGTGTGAGTTTATCCTACCTAAGACTTGAAACAGTTCTGCCCAGGAGGTATTTGTATTAGTCCATTTTCACACTGCTGATAAAGACATACCTGAGACCGGGCAATTTACAAAAGAAAGAGGTTTAATGGATTCACAGTTCAACGTGGCTGGGAAGGCCTCACAATCATGGCAGAAGGTGAAAGGCACATCTCACGTGGCGGCAGACAAGAGAAGAAAATGAGAGCCAAGTGAAAGGGGTTCCCCTTATAAAACCATCAGATCTCGTGAGACTTATTCACTACCTCAACAACAGTATGAGAGAAACCAACCCCGTGATTCAATTATCTCCCACTGGGTCCCTCTTACAACATGAGGGAATTATGGGAGCTACACTTTGAGATAAGATTTGGGTGGGGACACAGTCAAACCATATCAGTATTAGTATTCCCAATGTATAGGTAAAGGTTCTCAGGCTCAGAGAGATGAAGTAATTTGCCTAAGGTTGCACAGGCAGTGGAAGATTCAGTTTTCAAAGTCAGATGATGTAACTTGAAAACCTATTCCCAGCCTTACACGATCTGCTAACATGGGTGGATGTGAGGCCGACACCACCATTAGCCAGGGAGGACACACAGCAGGATGAGGATGAAGAGAAGGAGATGTTCTGGAGTGGAGAAGAGTGGTCAGTCACCCCTGGGTGGTCTGTGGAACATTTAGGTGGACATGCCCAGAGGCCAGCTGGAAATTTGAATTTAAAATGCAGACAAGAGGTTGCAGTTAGAAAGGAGTTCTGGAGAGAGAGAGGGAGAGATCATTGCTAGTTTTAGAGGTGGAGACCTGTTTATTCACTCAAGGAGAGCAGTGGGTCTCTTTGGAAAAATACCACGGGCGTGAGATGTCAATGCTGTCTTGTAGCAGAAGAGCAGAATCTGTTTTGCTGGGGGTGCAAATGGGCTGGAGAAATAGGAAGAGAGAGAGCAGAGCAAAGATGGAGAGAGACAAGGAAGGCTCTGCTAGCTATAAGTTCTTTCTCTTGACTCCCTAGCCTTTGGAAAAACTACCAAAAGCACACATGATCTGAACGAATAATAATATGACTTTTATTGTGAAAGTCAGCAAAGCAGCCTTCATTTCAGGCCCCACACTGGGTGAAACAGAGACTGTGTACCTGGAACAGGGGCCCAGGCAGAGGAACCCTGAGAACCTAATCACGGAAAATTTGCAGAAATCATGGGCAGGGCTCTGGCCTTTCACAGGCTGCTGACTTGAATCAAATCTGTTGAGTTTTCATGGAGCAAGGGTGCCCTGGCTGAGAAGGAACAGGCTGAGGATGGAACTTCCCTTACTTTGCACCCCTTAAGAAGCTGCAGAGAAGACCAAATCCAGTGAAAGAGAAAGCAAAGGGCAGAATAGAGGATGGAGGTGCCCTTGAGTAGAGGGAAGAGCCTGGGGCTTGGTTCTGCCCTGGACCAAGTGCTGGGCTTTGGATAAATCGACTGAACATCTCTGTGTCTCACGTCTCCATGTGGGAGCTCCAGACCTCATGAGCCCAGAGCTTTGCATGTTATAATGCTTGTGGGCTTTGGGGGAGAAGGGGCCAGAAGGTAGAAGCTGAAAGAAGATGGGCATTGTCCTGATGCAAAGAGGGGAGTGACACGGAAACAGCCTCCAGTGCTGTCATGTGCTGGGACTGAGAAGGTGGAGGACTTAGAGGGGCCCACTGGGTTTGGTGAGGGCAGGTGCCTTTGGGGGAGTAAGTAATAGGACAAGATCACTGTTCTCTGTGTAGGAAATTAGGTGTCCATGGTTTCTTTTATAATAAGGTGCTGAGCATAGGTGTGTTGAGTTGTCTCCAAGTGTTCCTGTACCAAAGTTGAGTGGACCAGCCCTGTGGCACATGCCTGGCAAGGCTGCCCACTTCAAAAGAGCAGCACATTCTGTACTGGCAGCTGACCCATTTCCCAGTGCCAGGTGACAGGAATCCCACTGCTCAAACTCATGGCTCCAAGGATAATTAGGTTCTGATCACGCAGTTCTGGGAAATAACACTCCTCTCTCCTCAACGGATGAAGAACTCTCAGGAGGCAGGAGGGATGCGATCTCGTGTGGCGAGCCTCCTTCCTGTCACTCTGACTTTGACTATTCCAGCTGGATCTCTACAGTCCCCTGGCTGCACTGCCGTCAGCAGAAGAGGACATTGAGCAACTTCAGACACAACATCATTAGGCCAGGGGGAGCAGACAGGGGGATGCCAGGAAGACCCCCACTCAGGTGCTGCAGGGACCGAGACCCCACAAGATTCTTCCATTGTTAATTTCGCCCTTGGCAGGAATAAGAGCCCATTATTCATCTTCACTCAGCAACAGCTTACCCTGGCTTTATTCAGATCTTTTCTAAAAGGTCCCATTTTTAGCAAAGCCTTCCCTGCCCACCTCATCTAAAATGGGACCTCCATCACCTTCCATCTGTGCACGTAGCTTTTTCTTTGTAAGCAGTTCCCACTACTCAACGTAGTACATATTGCTTGCTCACACATTTGTTTAATGTTTGTTTGCCTCATTAGAATGTGACTTCTACAGAGGCAGAGACCTTGCCTGTCTTGTTCTCTGCTCAATCCCAAAGGCCTAGAAAAGCTCCTACTGCAGAACGAGTGGATGAGTGGATGGCATTGAAACTGCATGTTCCTGAAGAAGCCCAAGGGCAGAGCCCATGATGCCTGGTTCACTCTTATGGTTTCCTGGCTCAGCCCAGTCCCTGGTGCAGCAGAGTCTCTCAAATATTCATTAGATGAATAAATGAAAGAATAAAGAAAGGACCCATGTTCATCCCAGCATCCCCACAGTGTGGAAGTTTCCTAGACAGCATTGGATTTTGGAGCACCTGGGATAAGCATTAATGAAAAGGACAAGCCATACAAAGGGAAATCAGGGAGGACCAAAAGGTCTCCAAGCCCCTGGAGTCATTCAGAAATCTGGTCTAGGTCAAGATTATTCCTGTCATAGTTTGAAGTTTGGCTTCTTAAATTCTGCTTCCTTAGCTGAGCATGGTGGAGCACACATGTAGTCCCAGCTAGCTGGGAGGCTGAGGCGAAAGGATTGCCTGAAGCCTGGTAGTTCAAGACCAGACTGGGCAAAATAGCAAGACCCTGTCTCTTACACAGAGAAAAAAATCCTGCTTTCATTATAGGGAATGAGGCTTCAGACAAAAACGATAGACTCTGTCACTAATTGTCTCTGTAACCTTAACCACTAACCTCTCTGGGCTCCACAAATGGGTTAAGTGAATAAATGAATGAATGAATGAAAACATTGTGCAATAGAGACTTCCAATGGTTCAAATTTTCAATGGAGCACGGGGGTAGAGAGGAATTAGATTGCATTCAAAAATAGATTGCCTCAAAGATGTTCTTCTCGTGCTAACCAATGCATTTCCATTTTTCAAAGTGTAGAGGAAATTTCCTTCCCAGTTAAGAAACCAGATATATTTAAGGCAGCAGGGCTTAACTTGGAAATGAATACACGAATCTCCTTCTCTCTGTCCTTGCTTTCATTCTGTCATCTTCTTGAGCACAGCCTCATCCACGCTCTCAGCTCAGAGCACTGGGTTCACACCCTGTGTTAGGGTGGAGGGGGTATTCCTCTTCTGGGCACGAAGATTGGAATCCTGTGGGTACCATGGTAAATTCTTGCAGGGTTGTTGGAGTTGTTGTCTCTGATAACCCAGTAAAAACTGGTCCTATTGCCTAGCATGAAAAGAACACCCTGAAAGTCACAGCCACCACTGGCTAATGGGGGTAAACTGGAGATGTGTCGTTTGAGTGATGCCTAGGGAGTGTTTTAGTAACTTGAAATTGTTCAATTTGGTAATAGGCTCATCTTATCTTCCAAGTGTGCCTGAATTATTTACAGCTGTAAATAATTAGATTATTTACTCTAAGCTTTCAATTATACACGATGTTCCCCAGAAGCTGTTGTCTTTGAGTCTTCTTTACAACTGCGTGCCGCGGTTTTGTGCTACAGCGCCCCTGAGCGGTCAGGGGTGGGATTGCAGGGAGTAGTTAGCACCCACTAGCAGTTGAAAGACAACTTTTGGCCAGCTGTTGTGGGCAAACAGGAGTTCAGGCAAGGGCCATGCTCTTTCCTGCCTGTGTCTTTGTACAAACCCTTTCCTCTGCCTGGAGCTCTTTGCCCTTCCACATCTCACTCACCTTATTCCATCACTTAAACCCTAATGAATCTCAAGATCTCCATCTAGGCCAGGCGCGGTGACTTATGCCTGTAATCCCAGCACTTTGGGAGACTGAGGCGGGTGGATTGCCTGAGGTTAGGAGTTCGAGGTCAGTCTGGCCAACATGGTGAAACCCCGTCTCTACTAAAAATACAAAAAAATTATCCGGGTGTGGTGGCGGGCGCCTGTAATCCCAGCTACTCGGGAGGCTGAGGCAGGGGAATTGCTTGAACCAGGGAGGTGGAGGTTGCAGTGAGCCGAGATTGCACCACTGCACTCCAGCCTGGGCGACAGAACGAGAGTCTGTTACACACACACACACACACACACACACACACACACACACACACACACCACACAAATCTCCATTTAAATCTCATGTCTTTGGGAGAAGATTTTCCTGAATTCCCTAAGTAGGCCAGGTCTCCTTGTCTTCGGTGCTTATAGTATCTGTACTTTTCCCCTAGAAAAGTGCTATTGTATAGAAAAAAAGTGCAAGCTACATATAAAATTTTAAACCTATTAACTACATTTTTTAAAAGTAAAAAAAGAAAAGGTGAAATTCGCTTTAGTAATACATTTTATTTAACCCAAGTGCATTAGTTTGCTAGGGCTGCCATAAAAAAGTACCACCAACTAAGTGACTTAAACAAACAAACAAAAAAGTATTCTCCTGCAGTTCTGGAGGCTAGAAGTCCAAGATCAAGATCCAAGTGGTGTTGTTTCCTTCTGAGGGCTATGAGGGAGAATCTGTTCCATGCCTCTCCCTAGCTTCTGGTGGCTTGCTGGCAGCCTTCATCATTCTTTGGCTTGTAAATGGTGTTCTCCCTGTGTCTCCACATGGTCTCTGTCTGTATGTGTCTCTTTCTCTTCACTGGGCATTCTTTAAAAAGCACAGCAGTCCTATTACAGTGGGAACCCATCCTACTCCAGTATGACTTTATCTTACTGAATTACATCTGCAAAGACTCTATTTCCAAATACAGTCACATTTTGATGTACTGGGGGTTAGGACTTCAACATATAAATTTTGGGAGGACACAATTCAACCCAAACATCGAGATATTCCACATTTTATTATGTAATCAGTATTAAAATTATTGAAATATTTCACTTTTCCTTGTACTAAGACTTTGAAATACAATGGTGAATTTTATACATACAGTATAATATATAGTGGCACATTTCTTACTTATAATAGTTTATACTTATAACACTAAATTTTCATCAAAAATACGTTATCTGTATTTGCAGTTCATAAAATTTCCATTTTCTCTGCAGCCTTGCCAGCATCTGTTGGTTTTTGACTTTTTTTTTTTTTTTTTTGAGACAGGGTCTTGCTTTGCCGCCCAGCCCAAGCTGGAGTGCAGTGGCGCAATCATAGTTCACTGCTACCTTGAATTCCTGGGCTCAAGGGATCCTTCCACCTCAGCCTCCCAAGTGGCTGAGACTACAGGTGTGTGCCACTGCACCCAGCTAGTTAATTTTTTTTTTTTTTTTTTTTTTTGTGGAAATGAGGTATTGCCATCTTTCCCAGGCTGGTGTCAATCTCCTGGGCTGAAGTGATCCTCAAACCTCAGCTTACCAAAGTGCTGGGATTATAGGCATGAACCACCATACCCTGCTGACTTTTTTAATAATAGACATTCTGACTTATGTGACATAGTATCTCATTATATTTCTCTAATAATTAGCGATGTGAAGCATTTTTTTGTTTGTTAACTGCTTGTGTTTCTTCTTTTGAGGAGTATCTGTTCATATATTTTGCCCATTTTTAATGGGGGGTTATTTGTTTTGTGTTTATTCAATTGTTTAAGTTCCTTATAAATTCCGGATGTTGGACCTTTGTCAGATACTTTGCAAATATTTTCTCCCATTCTAGAGGTTGTCTGTTTACTGTGTTGATAGTTTCTTTTGCTGTGCAGAAGCTCTTTAGTTTAATTAGGTCCCACTTGTTAATTTTTGTTTTTGTTGCAATTGCTTTTGAGGACTTAGTCAATGTCTCCCAAGGCCAATGTCCAATGTCTAGAATGATGCTTCCTGTTTTCTTCTAGTATTGTTACAGTTTGGGGTTTTACATTTAATTCTTTAATCCATCTTGAGTTAATTTTTTTATTTCAATAGTTTTTAGAGTATAGGTAGTTTTTGGTTACATGAATAAGTTCATTAGTGGTGACTTCTGAGATTTTTGTGCACCCATAAAGCGAACAGTATACACTGTTCCCAATATGTAGTCTTTTACCCCTGACCGCCCTCCCACACTTTCCCCCGAGTCCCCAGAGTCCATTATATCATTCTTATACCTTTGCATCTCATCTTGAATTAATTTTTGTATATGGTGAAAGGTAGGGGTTTAGTTTCATTCTTCTGCATATGGCTAGCCTGCTATCCCACACTATTTATTGAATAGGGAGTCATTTTCCATTGCCAATTTTTGTCAACTTTTTCAAAGATCAGATGGCTGTAGGTGTATAGCTTTATTTCTGGGTTCTCTGTTTTGTTCCATCAGTCTACATGTCTGTTTTGGTACCAGTACCATGCTATTTTGGTTACTGTACCCTTATAGTATATCTTGAAGTCGGGTAGCATGATGACCTCGGCTTTGTTCTTTTTGTTTAGGATTGCTTTGACTATTTGGGCTTTTTCTTTCATATGAATTTTAGAATAGTTTTTTCTAGTTCTGTAAAAAATAACATTGGTAGTTTGATAGGAATAGCCTTGAATCTGTAGATCGCTTTGGGCAGTATGGCCATTTTAACAGTATTGATTCTTCCAAATCCATGAGCATGGAATATTTGTCCATTTGTTTTTGTCACCTGTGATTTCTTTTAGCAGTGTTTTGTAGTTTTCCTCATAGAGATCTTTCACCTGTTTGGTTAAATGTATTCCTAGGTATTTCATGTTTAGTGACAATTGTAAACAGAATTGCATTATTGATTTAGTTCTCAGCTTAAATATTATTGTTGTCTAGAAATGCTACTGGTTTTGTACATTTATTTTTGTACCCTAAAACTTTACTAAAGTCATTTATCAGTTCCAGGAGCCTTTTGGCAGGATCTTTAGGGTTTTCTAGGTATAGAATTATGTCATCCATGTAGAAAGATAGTTTGACTTCTTCTTTTCCTATTTGGATGGCTTTTATTTCTTTATCTTGCCAATTTCTCTGGCTAGCACTTCCAATACTCTGTTGAATTGGAGTGGTGAGAGTGGACATCCTTGTCTTGTTACAGTTCTCAAGGGGAATGCTTTCAGTTTTTGCCTGTTCAGTATGATGTTGGCTGTGGTTTCTTCAGAGATGGCTCTTATTATTTTGAATTACGTTCCTTTGATGCCTAGTTTCTTGAGGGTTTTTATCACAAAGGGATGTTGGATTTTATTGAAAGATTTCCATGTCTGTTGAGATGATCATATAGCTTTTAATCCTGTTTATGTAGTGAATTACATTTATTGATTTGCATATGTTGAACCAACCTTGCATCCTAGAAGTGAAGCCTACTTGATTGTGGTAACTTTTTGATGTGCTGTTGGATTCAGTTTGCTAGTATTTTGTTGAGGATTTTTGTGACACTATTGCTGGGAATGTAAATAAGTTCTGCCACTGTGGAAAGCAGTTTTGAGATTTATCAAATAACTTAAAACAAAACCACCATTTGACCCAGCAGTCACATTAACGGGGATATAGCTAAAAGAAAAAAAATCATTCTACCAAAAAGACACATGTACTTGCATGTTCATTGCAGCATCATTCACAATAGCAAAGACATGGAATCAGCCTATGTGCCCATCAAGAGTGGACTGTATACAGAAACTATGGTACATACACACCATGGAAAACTATGCAGCCATAAAAAAGAATAAAATCATATCCTTTGCCACAACATGGATGCACCTGGAGGCCCTCATCCTAAGTGAATTAATGCAAGAACAGAAAACCAAATACCGCATGAGAGCTATTTGGTGATCATAAGTGAGAGCTAAATGCTGGGTGATCATGGACACAAAAATGGAAACAATAGACACTGGGGACAGCTAGAGTGGGCAGGGAGGCCGAGGGGCAAGGGTTGAAAAATTACTTATTGGGTATACTATGCTCAGTACCTGGGTGATGGGATCATTCATATTCCAAACCTCAGCATCACACAATATACTCAGGTAACCAACCTGCACATGTACCTGAATCTAAAATAAAAGTTGAAAAAGTAGAATCGCATATCGAAATTTTTCAAAACACACTTTAAATTTTTCCAACAACTGAATTAAGTACCGAAAGAACCATTTTTCCTCGATATTCACGGAGGGTGGGCACATAGTGAGTCTTCAGGCCCAAAGGAATATGTAATAAGTGGGGAAGCCTCACATAACCAAGGCCTGTCACAGTCCTCCTTTCTGTCCCACCTCATTTGTGAGGGGCATCCTTTGCTGACATTATCAGTGGAGTTCTTACTGCGAAGTGGGGGTTCTCTGTTTTTGTCCTCTTGGAGGAATGAATTCAGCCAAGAGACACATGCGGCAAGAGTTACACAGTAGCAGAGTTTATTTAAAGGGACAGTACTCTCTGAAAGCTGGGTCAGAGCAGTCTGCTCAAGAGCATGAGACAGCTCCAATGGGCATGAAGGAGGCTTTCTTTATGGGGGTCTTACATGATTATTCATGAAAGGGGTGTGAACGGGTGTTACTAGTAAGCATGTTTAGAGTGGTCTTCTGGGTGTGCGTGCTCTGTGGTGTACATACTAGTATATACCCCATGTGTCTCATGAGTATATTAAATCTCCACCCAGGGGCATGTTTTTTACTATTATAATGAGGAAAGGTTACTTTAGGGGCAAGCCAAATCAAATTGCACATGCTTGCTACTAGGGAAAGTCCCTACTAAACTCTCTCCTGTTAGGGTCAGATAAGTCCTGGTTAGGGCCAGATTAAGCCTAACAGTAAGTCCAGATGCGGCTGTTGTGTTTTTGGCTGTTAGTGGAGCAAGGTTTCCAGGGCTGCCTTTCCTGCTTATGTCTATCTATCTGCCTACTCTAACAGAGTGACTGGCATCATATATCCCTGAATTATTTGTGCTTCATAAACTAATACTATTTTTTTTTGTCAATTTAAGCTGAGCTTTCTGCTACCTGCTATCAAGAATGCTAATTATTACAGCAAACAAGATCTTATTTAATTCTCACATCAGGAATCACTTTTTCTGTTCCACAGATAAGAAAACCAAGGCTCAAAGAGTTTAAGTTTCCAAGTTCACCTAGCCAGGAAGGGGCAACAGTAGGATTCACCTCCATTTCCTTCTGACTCCACCAGGAGTGGGCATTTCTACCCATCCCCACTGCCTCCTAAGCATAGGGGATGTAAGAACCGAGCAAAGGGAGAGGTGAGAAAATAGCAAATCCAGGTGGTGAATGACAACACCAAAAACACTCAACATCAGTAACAGGGAGTTTTTTTTATTTCCTGTATGTTAAAAAGTAGAACTTAATTATGTTCAAGTATATGGGGTATAAATAACTAAAAAAGGTAGCTGAAGAAAGGCTCTTAAGAGAAGTGCTTTAATGAGTGGGGAAGGATAATTAGAAATTATCGTGCCAATTGTATGTAAATAGAGGCTCTTAAAGTATTTATGAGTGTTGGAAACAGTGTAATGTTTTGCATGATTTTATCATTCTCCCTGGATTTGTTCTTTACCCAACTAGTGGTTTTGTGGTCACCAATGGTCCTTTGTGTTTACACTGGGGCTCAGTGGGTTTTTTCCCCTCACTCAGTGAGTCATTTTGGTATATACCAAACATTGGAATGAAGTGGAATAACTCTTGGGGAAAAAAAACACATTTATTTCAAAGTATGGCAGAGCAGGCATGGAGATATTAGCATCTTCTCTAGCAGAGGCTGTGGCTGGGGGCATTCTTATAGACTAGATATTAGCATCTTCTCTAGCAGAGGCTGTGGTGGGGGATCATTCTTATAGACTAGATATTAGCATCTTCTCTAGCAGAGGCTGTGGTGGGGGGGTGGGCATTCATATAGACTGGTGATATAGTTTGGCTATGTCCCTACCCAAATCTCAACTTGAATTGTATCTCCCAGAATTCCCATGTGTTATGGGAGGGACACAGGGGGAGGTAATTGAATAATGAGGGCCATCTTTCCTGTGCCATTCTTATGGTAGTGAATACGTCTCATGAGATCTGCTGGGTTTATCAGGGGTTTCCGCTTTTGCTTCTTCCTCGTTCTCTCTTGCTGCTGTGATGTAAGAAGAGCCCTTCACCTCCTGCCATGATTCTGAGGCCTCCCCAGCCATGTGGAACTGTAAGTCCAATTAAGCCTCTTTTTCTTCCCAGTCTCGGGTATGTCTTTATCAGCAGCATGAAAACGGACTAATACAACTAGATATTAGCATCTTCTCTAGCAGAGGCTGGGAGGCCATTCTTACAGACTAGATATTAACATCTTCTCTAGCAGAGGCTGGGAGGCCATTCTTATAGAGTATCTCACTAGTTCTCATACCCTTCTCCCACATGAGGGAACTGAGGCTCAGAGAGGTCAAGTAACTTGTCCAGGTCATGCAGTGCATCAGGGCAGATCTGGGATTCATTATCCTTCATGGGCCCAGACACCTGTGTTAGGAAGCCTGATGGTTGCGTTCTTTCATTTCTGTCTTGTTTTCCTTTCAATCTCCCTTTGGTGCTTTGTTATATTGGTCTAGTTCCTCTGGGCCTCATCACCTCAGGTCCTCATAGGAGGACACTTAATGACATAACGGGAGGTCTCAGATATGTTTCCAGTGGGGGGATCTGGGACCCTTGGCATGTTGGAAATCCTCCTGACAGGAAGTTGGAAGAACACTCAGCTCCCAGTTTTGCTTAACACTCTGTGAGCAAGGTATTCCAGCAGCAATGAGTGAGCCTAAGCACCTACTAAGGTTTTTATGAAAAAAACCTTTTGGAACCATATGGTACTTTGGAGCTTATAGTCCCTGCTCCCAGACTTGCAGTTGGGTGAACTTGAGTGCATGCTTTTAATCTATCCAAGAATCAGTTTCCTCATCTATAAAGTGATCAAAATAGTCTTAACCTCTTAGGGGTTGTTGTTAGGTGAATTCTAGGTATCACTTAGATATTTTTTTCCTAATCACCCCTCCCATGAAATGCATATGGATATATGTGCTTTAGATATAAAACAGTATGACTTTTTTCCCACCCCAAAACCAGCTTTCACATGGGAAATGCATGAGCTACCTTGCATCTTGTATTTTATTTCGTTTATTTATTTATTGGAGACAGGGTCTCATTCTGTTGTCCAGGCTGAAGTGCAGTGGTGTGATCATGGCTCACTGCAGCTTCCAACTCCTGGGCCCAAGTGATCTTCCCGCCTAAGCTTCCTAAGTAGCTGGGAGTAGAGGTGCACACCACCATGCTCAGCTAATTTTTTCTTATTTTGTAGAGATGAGCTCTCACTATGTTGCCTAGGCTGGACTTGAACTCCTGGACTCAAGCAATCCTCTCGCCTCAGCCTTTCAAAGTGCTGGGATTGCAGGTGTGAGCCACCAAGCCTAATGTTTCTACATCAGCCACTGAATCAAAGTTCCAGATACATCTGTTTCCAAAACCGACAATCAGTGCTAAGAACCTACTGCAGAGCTTCATTTTCCCCTCAAGTCATCTTCAGGTGTCCCAGAAACACATGGCAGACTTGAAGCCACATCCTCATGCCTGTTGAATGTGACACACACTGTACCTTTTTATAAAGTTACAGACCCTGCCCATTCTGGGTTAAGATTTCATTTGCCTGACATTCTTCCTGGTTTCGTTTAACTGCCTAGTCTCTCCACAGGCAATCCCAGGACTCAAGGATGTTTTTTCCCCACTGGCATGCTGGGAATATGGGGCATAAACGGATGTCTTCTTGCTGCTCTGTCCAGTGCAGTTCACAGGACCACTGGTCTGTGGGAGGGGGGATCAGTCATTAACTTTTAGCTTTTCATTGTTGTTGATAAATAGTCATAGCTCACGCATGTACGATTAAACAATTAGATATGAATAATGTTACTGAATCATAGGAATATGTTTCCTCAAACCTCAAATTGGGAAAAACCACTGTTGTGTAGGATTCATTCAGCAGATATTTATTGAGGACCTAATATGTGCCAGGCTTTATTCTGGGCCCCAGGGGTGCAGCAGTGAATGATGCAGCCAATGTTCTTTTGGAAAATCAAAAAAATTTGTTTTTATTTTCTCGAGATAGGGTCTTGCTCTGTCATCCAGGCTGGAGTGCAGTGGTGCCATTATAGTTCACTGAAGTCCTGAACTTCTGGGTTCAAGCGACCCTCCTGCTTCAGCCTCCTGAGTAGCCAGGACTACAGGTGCACACCACCATGCCCAGCTAATTTTTCTATCTTTTTGTAGAGATGGGGTTATGCTTTGTTGCCCAGGCTGGTCTCAAAATCCTGGCCTCAAGTCATCCTCCCATCTTGGCCTCCCAAAGTGGTGGGATTACAGGCATGAGCCACTTTGCCTGACACCAATGTTCTAAAAGATTCCCTTCCAGTGTAGGAGATGACATTAAACAAGTAAATACATGGGGAGGAGTGTCATGAAGGAGATGCCACAGGATGAGGGTTTAGAGAGGAGGCAGAGAGTGCTGTCTTTGAGGAGTGGAGGTGGCACATCACGGGAAGGTTGGGAAGGTCACCCTGCAGAGAGGAAACAGAAGGCAGAAAGGCCCTGGGGCAGGAAAGGGCTTGGTGTGTTCAAGGAGCAGAAAGGAGGCTGAGGTGGCCAGAGAGAGAGAGATCTAAGAGGAAATTGACAGGCTGGATATCAGAGAAGGCAGCAGGGGCCTCACAGGGCATGGTAAGAAGTTCGAGTTTCATTTTCACTGCAATGGAAAGCCACTGAAAGGCAAGATTGGCTACGCTGTTTCCAAAGGACATGCTGGCATAGAAGACAGACTCTAGCAAGCAAGACAGGGAGCAAGAAGGTGAGGCTACAGAAGGCACCTGATAAGATGTGATGGGGGCTTGGACTTGCCATGGTGCTAGGAGTTTTGTGAGCTAGAATCTGTATACTAAATAGTTTCAAAAAGTATTCAGTCTCAACATCATAGTATATTCACCAGTTTTGAAGGCACCTACAATATAGACAAGTAGATACGATGCACAAACATTAAACATGCAAGACAGTAATCACAGAAGGGAATGCATTCAGACCAAAAGCATGGTAGAGATAGTGAAATACAGGTTAAATATTTATCAGGTGCTGACTCTGGACAGATCCTGAGTTAATCACTTTATGTCATTTCATTTAAACTTCACCCCAATCCTCCAGAATATGTACTGATATTGTCCCCAAGTGAGCATCTGCAGTAAATGACGTCCAGCTAGTAAGTAGCAGACCCAGGATTTGATCCCAGGCCTATGGGACTCATAAGTTCAGCTGGTCAGCTGTAGCCTCCTTCATATGAGGATTCACTCCAAGGTCCCTTTCAGTACTAGGCTCTGTGAGTCTAGGGTATTATTTAAGCTATCACAGTGGGCTGAGGTTCCTGGCACTATAGAGAGGCCACTGGACACCCCTAAAAGAAGTACTGTGTTTTCTATACGTGTGACTCCCACTGACCAGCACAGTCTGGCTCCTGGTAAGTCCTCAGTGATGTGTGTTCAATGAAGGACTGAATGAATGAATGAATGAGCTCAAGCCGTTCATTCTTTTCCAAACTAGATGTTTTGCCTCTTTGCAACACATTGCTCAGGCAAAGAATTAGCAGGGAACTTGCCTGGAGGTGTGCAGTGGATGAGTGGACAATTTTTATTCATTTATTCAGACATGAGAGTGATAAATATTTAACAAATGCATACCACGTATAAATTAGGATTGATTTGAGGTGTTCTTCGGTATCCAAATGACAGAAAGCCAAGCTGGAAACAACAGCAGCCACAGCAACAACTGAATGTGGTATTTAAAATATTAGCTTTAAGAGCGCCAGCTAGAATGCTTAGCACCTGGATAAACTTCACCTGCCAAGACTAAACTGCGTTAGCTGCAAAATATTGCTAATCACGCCTCTTTCATTAGGTCGTGAGAACTAAATGAAAAGCGTATGCAAACTCGCTCTCTTAACATAGATTCTGTGTCATTAAATTACATGATTAGATTGTTATTATTAGTCTTTTATCATTTGGTGTGAAAGGAATCTGGCTCCTCATTTTTTTGCCTTCTCTTTCTCTTTCCCTGCCCCCAGAATGGAGAAAAAGGAAAGTAATGTCGCCGCCGTGGGGCTGTGCCATTAATTAGATTGTAAAAACCATTGCAAAAGCGTGAGCTATTATTTTAGAAAATATCCTTTCCCACTTAATTTATCTGAATCAAGCCTGCTTCATTTAACGAAGACACTCAAGTAATAGCATAAGACATTTTATAGCTTTAATAAATATCACCAAAGTAATGCTCACCAGAGTAAAGCGATTATGCCTAAATGTTGAAAAAGGTCATTTGTCAGAGCCCAGCGTGATTACCTGTTGAATGCATGGATTGGATTAAACACCATTATCAAACTTTTACACAAAGTAATTGTAATGTCATTTACTACAAAATAGTATGGCTTGTAATTCTTCAGAGTGCGTGAAATCACAGCCATTATTTCCTTGGCCATATGACTTTACTGGGAACTCTCCTGTTAAAGAGGTGCACTGGGGAATGAATGAACAGGAAAGGTGAGTGCACATGCACAGTCGGTCAGCTGGAGAGATAACAACGTTGGATGTTTTCTCCTACTATTTGAAGTGGGAAGTATGTTCGTTTTTTTTTTTTAATTGCTGCTATAAGAAATTACCACAAATTTACTGGCTCAAACCAACATAAATGTATTCTCTTATAGTTCTGGAGGCCAGGAGCCTGCAACCAGTGTCACTGGGTTAAGGTGTCAGCAGGGCTGTGTCCCTTTCTAGAGGTTCTAGAGGAGCTTCCAAGTCCTTACCTTTCTCAGCTTCTAGAGACCCCCCACATTCCTGGGCTTCTGGCCCCATTCTCCATCTTCTGAGCGCCTCGCTCAACCTGCGCTTCTGAGTCACCTGTCCTTTTCAATCTCTGGCCCTCCTACCTCCCTCTTGTAAGGCCCCTTGTGATTCCATTGGACCCACCCAGATAACCAGGATAATCCCCCCCCACCAAGCCCATCTCAAAATCCTTCACTTAATCCCATCAGGAAAGTCCCTTTTGCCAATAAGAAAATACATTCACAGGTTCCATGGACAAGGACATGGCCATCTTCAGGGAGCCATTACCCTGTCTGCCACAGAAAGGGAAACACAAAACAGAGAGAAACACTGCCAAGTCTTCTGGGAGAGAAGGAGCATGCCATCCCACCATCCAGAGCAGCCTTTTCAGAATGTGTTCTCGGGAGAGGCTCTAGGTCCTGGGCAGGCTGTCCTCAGTCCACCACTTGCCCTTCCTTTGCCCTGTCTCCTCAAGGCAGTTCCTCAGGAAGCTGCTGGCTGGGTTCAGCCGACGAGACGGACTGGGGTGGGACAAGAGGGTGAGGAGGGGAGGGGCTGGAGTATTGCTCTTCCCTCTCTGCCTCAGATAGCGTACCCTCGTACCCTCGGCTCCTGCTACTTCCCACAGAAGCCCACCAAGGTTCCAGCTTCCTGTAGGGATCCTCGGGCACCTCCCTAGGGTGCTCATGGCTTCCTGGGGCTGCTAATCTCTGGGTTACCTCTCTGTCTCCTTTTGCCTTCTGTGAAAGGAAAATAGATCTTGGGGCCTCAAAAAGTCCAAAAAGTCAAGCTGGGAACTGCCTAAGGCAAATCTGCGTCTGTTCTTTTCAGTCATCCCTCTGCTCACTGAGATAAACTCAAAAGAATGCAACCTTGTATCTCTTATCTACCTGTGACCTGGAAGCCCCCTTTCCACTTTGAGCTGTCCCACCTTTCCTGACTGAACAAATATGTACATCTTACATGTATCGACTGATGTCTCATGTCTCCCTAAAATGTATAAAGCCAAGCTGTGCCCCAACCACCTTTGCCATATGTTGTCAGGACCTCCCGAGGCTGTATCAAGGGTGTGTGTCCTTAACCTTGGCAAAATAAACTTTCTAAATTAACTGAGACCTGTCTCAGATTTTCCGGGTTCACCCTTCTCAGTTCCTCTATCACTGGTATAATAAATTCCTGCATTCAACTCCTTCCCTATAAATACCTGAAGGGTTTCTATTTTCCTAGTTGGACCCTCATGGACTATGTGGGTGACAAATTATTTTAAGTAGACTTTAGAGAGAAATAGACACATTTCAATAACACTATCACTAAAATTAGTTCTGAAATTTTTTTCTCTTTGGGAATTATCTTAAAACCAAGTTTTCAAGCCAGAAGAGAAAACCAATGTATTAACTTTATAGAAAAGCCATATTTTTATTTATAGAAGAAAAATTTTCTATGTTCTCTATATTCTCTTTATAGAAGAGCAATATTTTTCTATACCCCAAAATATAGAAACATGGTGGCTTAAAATGAGAGAAATTTACTCTGTCAGTCTGGAGGCCAAAAGTCCAAAATCAAGGTGTCCACAAGGCCGTGATCCCTCTGAAGGCTCTGAGAGAGAACCCTTCGCTGCCTCTTCGGGCTTCTGGTGGTTCCAAACATTCCTTGGCTTGTGGCTGCATCACTCCAATTGATATAGGCGTTAAGAAGAAATCACTTAGGCAGATAGTAAGGGTATGGGAGTCCTCAGTAAGGCTTTTCTTTTTAATGAAAAGCAGCCCCAAATCATTTTCTAACAAAGAGCAGCCTGTAAAGTCGAACTGCAGACATAAGCAAGCAAGTTGGGATCCTGCGCAGGTGAATGCCAGCAGGAACTAGGAACTAGACATCTTCAAGATGGCGACTCCATCTTCCCTTCTCTGCCAGCCACGTGTATGGTAGGGAGCAGACAAGATGGCACTGATGAACTGGAAAGCCTATTTGCATAATAAGATTAGGGTGGGGCGATCAGCCTTCCCCTCGAGCTAAACGTCATGCCTGATCAAACCAATCTGTGAACCCTATGTAAATCAAACACTGCCTCTTCAAACCTAACTATAAAATCTGGTGCATTCACCGCCTAGCCACTCTTTTTCTGCTCTGACACCACTTTCTCTCCTGCCTATTAAATCTCTGCTCCAAAACTCCTTGTGTGTGTCTGTGTCCTAAATTTTCCTGGTGTGCAACGATGAACCCCAGGGTATATACCCCAGACAATATAGCTGCTTCACAGTCTCTGCTTCTGTCTTCACACGACCTTTTCCTCTTTGCTGTCTCAAATCTCCCTCTGCCTTTCTCTTGTAAAGACCCTCGTCATTGGATTTAAGGCCCACCAGGCTAACCCAGGATGATCTCTTCTCAGTATCTTTAACTTAAGTACATCTGCAAAGACTCTTTTTCCAAATAAGGTTGTTCCTGGACCAAACCGAGGGTCGGCCTGCTTATTCTTGTGGCCCAATAATGAGATGCAGATTAGCTGGGAAAGGAGGGAGTTTTTATTTCTGTAACAGGTTACAGGGGGAAGGCCTGGAAAATATCACCAGACCAACTCAAAATTACAAAGTTTTCTGGAGCTTATATACCTTCTAAGCTATATGTCTAGGTGTAAGTGTGCATTCATCTAAAGACATAAGTGATGAACTTCTTCTAATCTATAACTAAGATCTGAGTCCTGAAGACCTTCCTCTGGAGCCTCAGTAAATTTACTTAATCTAAATGGGTCCAGATGCTGGGGTGATTCCCTTATCTTGTCTCCTGCTAAATCATGGAGGTTTGGGGAGTTCCTTCAGACCCCCAATAAACTTATTCGTGGAGGCCAGGGGAGTTTCTTCAGACCCCCAATAAAACTTGTTTAATTCTAAACAGATTAAGAATTCCTGTTAAGAATTCCTTTATTATCTTGTCATGCTTCAAGGCCCAGGAAAGCCCTGGGCAAAACTCTTGGTGGGCTTTTGTTACCTTCCTGCCTTTGTATAAGGGCACTGGCTCTCTCAGCTTTAATATTTAACTTAACCACTCAGTCAGTGCTGAAACAGTTGTTATGGAGGTCTGCGTTAGTGAGACCTAGCCTGCCACAAAGCTACATTCACAGATTCCACAGATGAAGACATAGATATATCTTTTTTGGGTGAGGGGAGGGGGCATCATTCAACCCACTATAATCAATTGGGAAAATTCTGTCTCTCTCTCTCTTTTGCATACACACACACACACACACACACACACATATACACACTCCACTACTCTACTTCATCACCAACATCATTCACCCAGCTTAGCGCTCGATGTTTTTTGCTTTTTCCAAATGTTAAATCAACTGTTAAAAGACAAGAAATATGTTCCACAGCCAATAATAGAAAACCTTATCACAGTAGCATAAATAAAGAGGAAAAATATTTGCCAACATCCACAAAAGTTAGTCAGTGGGAAAGGTCTGCTTTGAACTCTCTCACCATGGCGGACTCCCCCAATCATCAGAAAAGGGATTCAGACCTCTTTACTTGGAAGGTGTCATCAATCCATTTTATACTCTTTCTCTGCCCTAATTCAGCAATTGCTTCTTCTGTTTTTAATCGGAATGTATGTTTTCTAGTTTATTCTTAGTACACATTAGTCTGCCAAGTTAAATGTGATTAAGACAGCTCTTGGGCCTGTGATATTTTTAAGGGTAAAGGGAGGTCCTTCATAGAGCCATAATTTTCCACAGAATCATCTGAAGGCTTAATTTATATCATTGCTCATGTCCTGGCTTAAGTCGATGAAAAGCAAACAGTGACGTAAATGAAGACTCCAGATGACTTTACTGAGATTATACCCCATACTCCCGTTACTGGTTGGGAGCAAATAGAATCTTTTACTGAAATATAGCTGCGCTGACTAACAGTCACCAAGAATAAACTGGGAAGAGCATTAGATGCAGAAATAGAACAAGTAATTGCCCTGAGTTAAAAAATAAAATAAAAAGTGACGTGCTTTGTAGATGAGTCAAATTCCATATCATTTTCAACGTAAGGGTGAAACAAAGTTCTACGTAGAATGTTTGCAGATTCTTTAGAAAATGGAGGAGTGAACGAAATTGAGCCTTAAGAGCGCACCCTTGTGATGAGTTAGAGGGTGCCTCCCTCCCCTGGCTGTGCTGGTGGCTTACAGATATGAGCAAGAGGTTTTAGACAGAATTAATTAAAATGTAAAGAAGACAGAGCCCTCAAAATCTTCTCTCTCATTTCTTCTCTAAAATTGAGTAGCCAAATATAGGACTGACCATGCAAGTATATGGATTAGTCTAACAAAACACTAATCTGACACATATTTTATGAAACGCATAATAGACTTTCCATCGATGAATTAAAGCTACAAGTCACTGTACTAAGGCCATTACATACATCTCCAATATTTACAACAACCCTGCCCTTTTATAGATAAGGGAATTAGGACTCAGAAAGGCAAAGAATTTACCCAGGGCCACAGATAGAATTTCCTTGATTCCCAAATACCATTGATTGTGGTACTCACCATTGATTTCATAACTGCTTCACAGGGACCAACAAAAAATGCACTTCATTAAGTGTATGGCTCTGTTATAAGATGAATTTTGCTTTCAAGTACGTTAAAATTTGAAGGAGACAAAAGAGCATCTGAAATTCACAGAAATATGACAGACATCAGCCCTGAGAATGGGCTGTACATGTCAAGGTCTTCTGGTCCCAGGATCTAGGCTCTCTCCTCTGCAGAGCCTGCTTGTTCTCTGCTCCATGCACCAGGTGCCGACGATGGCAGATCACACTGAGAATGACAACCAGAACTCTGTGCAACAAAACCACAGTTTTAGTTCTGTTCTCCCCTTGTTAGCTTTTCTGTAACTGCATCAGTAAGGACTGTTTTGAAAATCAAGTTATCGATTCATCAACATCCCCTTCATCCATTTCCTTATTCTGGGAATATTGTGAGTCAGAGCCTATGTCAGGTCCTGGAGGGACAGCAGAGAGCAAAACACACCGTCCTCATGGAGTTTACACTTGAGTTGGAGGAAGTGGAGAGAGGGGAGGCAGGGACATTATCAAATCATCATCCAAACCAATAGGAGGTAGAATTGAGGCCTGTGCTGCACAGAAGAAGTTCTGAGTGCTCTGAAAGCCTCTCTCAGGACTTTGACTTACTTGAGGAGCTCATGGATGGCATCCCTGAACCAATGTCTGAAAGTGAGAAGTTACTGTTGCTTAGAAAGGAAGGAAGAGCATGCTCAGCAGAGGGCAGTGTGTGTGCAAAGGCCCTGTGGTGGGTAGGACCAAGAAGGGTACAAGTAAGTACAAGCAGGCAAGGTCCTCAGTGCAGAAGTAAGGAAGCTGACAAGGTGGTGGGGGAGCATGGCAGGTTTCAGAGGCCACCGGCCAATTACAGAGTGTCAGGTAAGAATACAGACACTGAAGCCTGTCTCTCTGGGTTCAAGTCCCAGCTCCATCACTTAATAGCTAGGCTACTTAATTTTGCTTATATGAAATATTAGGATATTCATGGGACAATTACATTAATTCATAGTGGTTTGTGTAAAATTTTTCTAATGGTGCTTGGCATGCAGTGCCGTATATAGTTGCTATGATTCTGAGATCAATAGGGAGACAGTGCAGCTTAGCAGCAAAAAGGTAACATCGTCAACAGGTTTGAATTTCAAAAAGATCGCTCTAGGCTCTGTGTAGAAAATGGATGGTAGGGAGGCAAGAAGCTGCAGGTTGGCCAGTTAAAACTGCTGCAATAGTCCAAGCAAGATAGGAACAAGGATGGTGGAGTGGAGGTAGAGAGAGCCGGACAAAATGAAGAGACAGAAGACAGAATCAACAGGACTTGGAGACGGAGAAGAAGGTCAGCTTTGCCAGTCTTACCCCTTGACAGCTAAAGTCTTTCCTGGCTCTTGGTATCCTACATGTAAAGGGCTTCATGCAGCAGAAATTCAGGGCTGTGGTGGGAGGGCAGTTGGAAAACGGCTGGCTGTGGTTCAGAGTCTTGAAAAGATAGTGTAATGGGTCCAACAGTGTCTCCCCAAATTCATGCCCCCCTCAACACAACCTTGTTTAGAAATAGGGTCTTTGCAGGTGTAATTACTTAAGAATCTTGAGCTGAAATTATTCTGGATTTAAGATGGGTCCTAAAGCCAACGACAGCATCCTTAAAGGAAGAGAAGAGTACACAGAGAGACACAGAGGAGAAGATGATGTGAAGACAGAGGCAGAGATTGGAGTAATGGGTCTATAAGCCAGCAAAGACCATGAGTCACCAGGAGCCAGAAAAGGCAAGGAAGCAATTTCCCCGAGATCTTTGGAGGAAGTGTGGCATTGCTGGCACTTTGATTTTGGACTTCTGGGCTCCAAAACTGTGAGAGAATAAATTTCTGTTGCTTTAAGCCACCATGTTTGAGGTAATGTCGTGGCAGAGCCCTGGTAACTAACACAGATGCAGGGAATGGAGCAGAAGAATGGTAGAGGGATGGGAGGTGTCAAGAAAGACAGACAGGAACCTCTCATCTCTTCCATTCCAACAGACTGCCTTTCAGGATCAGCCTCAGGCCAGACTGTGACTTTAGAATCAGAGAGAAGACTGTTGAAAATTAATAAAATTTAGATGGTATGGCAAAACTTTCTGTCTACCAACACCTTTCCTGCCCTTATTCCTTAGTGACAGAACTGTGCCCACCAAATTTTAGCAGAGCACAGGGCTACCCAGCCAGAGAATACATTTCCCAATGTCCTTTGCAGAAGGTTGTGCCTGTGTGACTGGATTCTCACCAGTATTAAGTCAGGAAAAGTGATGTACATGAATTTGGAGTCTTGACTCTAATAAGCCAGTTTTAACCATGCAAAAGAAGAGCAACTCTCTAGGACTGTGCTGCCTAATATGGTCACCACTGGCCACAATTGGAACATGTGGCTCCCAAGCACTTAAAATGTGGCCCGCCCAAATTGAAGTGCACTGTAAGTGTATAATACACACTGGATTTCAGAAACTCAGTACCAAAAAAAAAAAGTAAAACATTTTTATATTGATTATGAGCCAAAATGATAAAACATTAGATATATTTCATTAAATAAAATCTTATTAAAATTAATTTCACATGTTTTATTAGACTTTTTTAATGTGGTTAGTAGAAAATTTAAAATTATATGTGTGGTTTGCATTTTATGTCTATTGAACAGTGTGGCTCTAGAGCAGGGATCAGCAAACTACAGCTCACAGGTCAGATCCTGTCCACCACCTGCTATTTAAAAAAAAAATTTTTTTTAGGACCCCGTGATGTAAAGCATTTTGTTTGTTTGAGACAAGGTCTCACTGTGTCACCCAGGCTGGAGTGCAATGGTGCAATCACAGCTCACTGTAGCCTCTACCTCCCGGGCTCAAGCCATCCTCCTGCCTCAGCCTCCCAAGTAACTGGAACTACAGGTGTGCGCCACCACAC
Source organism: Homo sapiens (assembly GCF_000001405.40). Taxonomy (NCBI): domain Eukaryota; kingdom Metazoa; phylum Chordata; class Mammalia; order Primates; family Hominidae; genus Homo; species Homo sapiens. Next base: position 25,064,479 of record NC_000004.12, read on the forward strand.
CAGGTTAATTTTCATATTTTTTGTACAGACAGGGTTTCACCATATTGCCCAGGCTGGTCTTGAACTCCTGGGCTCAAGTGATCCACCCACTTCAGCCTCCCAAAGTGCTGGGATTACAGACATGAGCCACTGCACCCTGCTGACCACCACCAACTGCTTTTGTAAATAAAGTTTTATTGGCACATGGCTGTGTCTATTTGCATCTGTATAGTCCCTGGATGCTTTGGGCTACAAAGGTAGAGCTGAATAATCACAATAGAATCCATGAGGCCCACAGAGCTGAAAATATTTGCTCTCTGGCCCTTTACAGAACATGTGTGCTAGAAGAAGGTTGACATCAGGATAGAAGTGACCCAGTCCCCAGGTCTCAATAGACCAGACCACCCAACCTGGAGCATCCACCTACATCTGAAGTGTTCTGTGAGAGAGAAATAAATTTAAATCTTGTTTGAGGCTCTGCATTTTCTTGTATCATTACAATCATTTAGTATTTACTCTAAAAAATTGTGGGGAGCCCATAAAAGGAAGCTGCAGTGAGTGGACCCAAAGATCGAGTATTTAAGGTGAGACAGTGGATGGAGTACAGTGAGGAAAAGACATTTCCCAAGCATTGCCTGGAATGTTAATGGTCACCACAGATCATGAGTCTATAATGTAGGGTCAAAACTTCATCTGAGGTTGGCACCTAATTTTGAAAAAAAACAAGCGATAATAGGGGTCATGAAGGTTAATTGCAAGCTTTTACTAAACGGTCACATGCTTGGCATTTTAAACCCCATTGACACCAGGCTATCATTCATTTAAAGCCTTCAGTAATAAAGACAGTGCTGTTTGGAAACAGGCTCCAAAATGTGCAACCAGCTCTCTTTCCCAGGCTTGACAGAGGCTGAATAACTGGACTCCCCAGGTGACCAGGACAGTGTCCCCAGAAGGAAATGTCCAAACACATAAACTGGGTGGTCTTTCCCCTTCCCTGTCTCCTAGGCCTTGAGCTTCCCTCCACACCCTGCTGCTGCCTGCCAACTTCAGAAGTGCCCCCTTCACACCACATTTGCAATGCAGTTATTTACCTGCATTCCCAATGACAGCAGTGCCACGGGTAATAAATTCTCCTCTCTGACATGCTTGAGAAGGCAGCCTCTTCAGTCGATGGGAGAATTAACCTATAAACCAAGGGCCTTATTACCGGATACAGCTTGCAGCCTCGTGAGTCAACCCCCAACCCTCTCCTTTTATCTTGTTATTTAAATAACAATGTCACAGTAAAATATGGAATCTCCATGGGCATTCACATCAGCTTTGGCAAATAGTCACCCATTAAAGAAAGGCAAAAATGTATGCAGGGTGGGTAGGATAGAGTGCTACGTGTGTGTCTGCACAGCCAACTGTTAGTGTCTGCAATTATCCATCCATTTAGGGGAGGGGCTATTGTAGATACTCACAGAAAACCCATACTTTGAGTTTGGCCACTGTATTAGCCCATTTTCACGCTGCTGATAAAGACATACCCAAGACTGGGTAATTTATCCAGCAAAAGAGGTGTAATGGACTCACAGTTCCATGTGGCTAGGGAGGACTCATAATCATGACGGAAGGTGAAAGGCATGTCTTGCACGGCAGCAGGCAGAGAGAAAATGAGAGCTAAGCGAAAGGAGAAACCGCTTACAAAATCATCAGATCTCATGAGACTTATTCACTACTTGAGAATAGTATGGGGGAAACCACCTCCATGATTCAATTATCTCCCACTGGGTCCCTCCTACAATATGTGGGAATTATGGGAGCTGTAATTCAAGATGAGATTTAGGTGGAGACACAGCCAAACCATATCAGCCACCAGCTGGCCTCTATCATCTGTAGCAAATTCAATAGTAGCATTTCATGAACTTTCATTTCCCGCACTTCCACTATGGGGCGGGATGGGGGAGGAAACTGACTGAGAAAAGGCTGGAACCAGTAGATGCTAGAAACTGATGTGAACTGTGTGCTAACCTACCTTCAGGTCCTCAGGAGTAGACTGTGCTCCCCAGATACCTCCCAGGGAAAATGAGTTTTGTTTTCACAGGCTAAGGCTGACAGGAGATGTGATGGTATTCTTCTGGAATTCCTAATGTTTGAGGCAATAACTTCCCAAATCCTATATTTACCACCTTTCTCCTTGGTACCTCTTGCATTCTTGATTGCATGTGGCAACTGTATTGTAATTATTTGTTCCCATTTGTCTCAAAAAGTTGCAAATCCAGGAATTATGTCTTTGTTCTCATTGTGGCAGTCCTGCCAATCATATCTCTGTAATTCCTCCCCAACCTGTGCCTTGGGTCAAATCTCAGCGAGTCTTGGGTGGTCTCTCACCAGAGTCTCTTAATTGTCACCCCGCCTCCAGGATGCCTCACGAACCTCCTGAAGCAAAATGAATCCTCCCACAATTCTGGTTGTAAACTTCAGTTGACTGCCTGATATGGTTTGGCTGTGTCCCCACCCAAATCTCGTCTTGAATTATAGCTCCCATAATTTCTACATGTTGTGGGAGGGAGCCAGTGGGAGATAATTGAATGCTGGGGGTGCTTTCCCATACTGTTCTCATGGCAGTGAATAAGTCTCATGAGATCTGCTAGTTTTATAAGGGGAAACCCCTTTCACTTGGCTCTCATGCTGTTTTGTCTGTCACCATGTAAGACGCGCCTTTTGCCTTCCACCATGATTGTGAGGCCTCCCCAGCCACATGGAACTGTGACTCCATCAAACCACTTTTTCCTTATAAACTACCCAGTTTCAGGTATGTCTTTACCAGCAGCATGAAAATGGACTAATACACTAGCTATTATCTAATTCTCAGGATGGCATCAAAATCCTTCTGAAACCCATTGACTTCCCTCTTTTACCTTCCCTCTCTCTCCCAACAGTATGACCTAAGTCAGCTCATGCCACACTAAACTTCTTATTGCTCCTTAAATGTACCTTTCAGGCCTCTTCACATGAACATAGGCTCTTCTTTCTGCCTGGCCCTTCCTTTACCCTGCCTGGTAAACTCCTATTCATCTTTCAGGACCCATTTTAAATATCACCCTCTCTGCTAGGACTTCCTTGCTACCTCCAGGCAGAATGATTCCTTTCTCATCTGGCTGTTCACATTCCTTTGCATTTGTTGCATTATAATTATCACATTATAATATTCTATGACATGAGATACTGAGATTCTCGGTTACACCACAGAGCTGCCTATGACACATTGTGTTCAATCTTCCATTATAAGGAATACTGAGATGGTTGCATATCTGCTTATTTACACTGGAGAGCACCTCTATATTATAGAGGTGAAAAAAGTCATAAAAATTTTTAAGGTTGTTGATACACATCACAAAATTGTTTTCCAGAAATGTAATAATTGATACTCCCACTAGCAATGATAAGGGCTCTCTTCTCACACCACGCTCCCCAGTGTGGAGTATTATTTGGAAAACAAAATACACTTTGTCAATTTCATTGGCAAAAAGTCTTATTTTTTAAAATTTGCATATCTCTAATTACTAGTTGGTTAAAATTTTTATGTATATATTTCATATGAATTGTATATTTTTATCATTAGCTTATATTTGCCATTAGACTTATTTTTGTTTATAAAAATTCTTTCTATAGTAAGGATATAAATCCTTTGCCATATTTTTCACAAACTTTTAATCCTAGTTTGTTTCCGTTCCATTTTAATGTTGCTTATGGAGTTTAATATATAAAACTCTTTTTTCTCCTTATAATATATTCCATGCTTTAGCATGTCCTCCTCCATCCCCAAATCCAATAAACTTTAATCTACAGTGTTTTCTAGAGTTTATAATTTATTGGGGGGAGGACTAAACTCTTCAATCAATAATTGTGGCAAAATCTATATTTTTCCCCAATAATTCAATAGTTGTCATAATACTATTTATTTGTAATATTTTCTTTACCTTTTATTATTTTTACTAAACAAAAATCTTGTCCTAAGCTAATTCTAATTCCTAGGCTAATTCTTCTGCTCCATCTGTCCATCTGCTTGGATGGATTTTAGAGGCTGGAGGCTGGGGTGTTAAGTGTTATACTTTCTGGAATTAGGTTTCTCAAGCCTCATAATTATCCGTCTACTCCCTACACGATGGGGTTTTTCTCCTTAGCTGGCAGTCTTTATGCCACACCTTCCCATTTGAGAGTTGCCTCCTTAGAAGCTCCTTAACCTCCAGTCTAATGAGGTATCCCACCCCAGAGATGGGCTAACAATGCCCTTTATTACGATCCACTGTGCAGAATACCTTCACTCTTCATTCTCTTGACTACGCCACTAGACGCCTAGTCAACTCCTTGAGGGGATTTCTTTTACTTCTTTATTTTGTATCCCTATTATCTAGTAGAGTGCATTTCTCAAAGTAGGTGCTCAGTGAGCCTGTATTAATTTGAATTGAGTTAAATTGAGTTGTTGAGTTGAATTGAATTAAGCCAAGTCATACTGGATAGGATTGCTAATAGTTTTATAGACTGGGCTGCATCCCACATGTCTTTGCTTACCCTTAGCAAATTAGCTTCCCTTTCTGTATCAGTTAAACTCCAACCAGGTAAACAGAAACCACTCTAAGTATTTAAAACAGAAGGAATGTAACAAAGGGCCTTGTTTGCCCAGTTGACGAAAGAGCTGAGAAGCCAAATGGGAGACAGTGAGTCAGCTCTTAGGCTGGAGGGACAGAGGAGGAGGTGATGTTACCAAAGCCCAGGGCCAGGGTCCCCCCTACAGGGTCAAGGTTGACCCTTGGAGGAAGATGCCACAGAGAATATGCAGCCACTGCTGGGCATGCTGGGGCCTGAAAGGGGTTGGACATATCCTGGCTTCTGCCTTCTTTCCACCCTTCTGGCTCCCACCTTGGCCTCCCACTGGTCAAACCCAGCCGGGTCAACCGCACTGGAGCCTGGGAAGTACAGCCTGCAGGGTCAGCTACCTCCAATCTGGCACACAGCTAGAGAGGAAATGAATTCAAGACCCACAGGGTCCTTTTCTTTTTTAACTTGACGATATTATTTATTTCTAAATGGAGCAACTAGGGAAATTAGATAAAGAAATTCAACAAATAAAAAATCAACCCACAATGGAAGGTGGATTAACAGGACTTCAGCAACTCCTCACAACCAGCTCCCATCTGCAGCGGCCTAGGAATCAATAGGGACACTGAGGGCTTCGGGAGCCAGGCCGGGAAGCAGGGAGGCCATGACAAGTCAAGCATCACTGCAATTTCATTAAAGACCTGGGGGTGACATCCAGCCATCGATTTTGTTTTTCACATTACTTTTCTCTGATTCAGTGCTTTGTGAAGATAGATGGCTGGAATACTGGCCAGAGAGAGGGCAGAAAGGAAGCCCAGGGAATCTGATGCACACACAGGCTAAGTGGTTTTTATCAGGATCCTCAGATGGACCCCAATTTTCTCATCAAAGAGAAAATAGCAAATACGTAGAAAGACGACCAAAGAATGCTGAGCTCTCACTTCACGACTCCAAATAAGAATGTGAAGGATTTAGGGAAGAGGCTTTGGGAGTTTCGCTTTGGGAATTGGAAAGGCCAAGTACAATGCTGAGCTGTTGCTAACTGGCTGTGTGAATTTGGGTGAATTACCCAACCTATTACTCAGTTTCCTCATTGGGAGAACAGGAAAATTACCACCTATTATGAGGGTTAAATGACCTAATACCATACCTTACCTTACAGTAAGCACTCAGGAAACATTGGCTACTGCTATTTTTGGTGGTGGTTTTTTTTTTTTGTTTTTTGTTTTTTGAGACAGAGTCTCACTCTGTCACTCAGGCTGGTGTTCAGTGGTGCTATCTCAGCTCACTGCAACCTCCACCTCCTGGGTTCAAGCAATTCTTCTGCCTCAGCCTCCTGAGTAGCTGGGACTACAGGCGTGCCACCGTGGCCAGCTAATTTTTTGTATTTTTAGTAGAGACGGGGTTTCACCATGTTAGCCAGGATGGTCACAATCTCCTTACCTCGTAATCCACCCGCCTCGGCCTCCCGAAGTGCTGGGATTACAGGTGTGAGCCACAGCGCCCAGCAGGTGGTGTTTTATTATTATTAGGTGGGTCTTATATAGGTGATGCAGGCCTTTGCAGGTGCTGTATTTTCTGCCTGAAAGGCTTCTTGCCTTTGTTTCTTCCCCTTCTTTAACACCCACTCCTCCTTCAAGACTGGAGTCAAATATCACCTCCTCCGGGAAGCCTTCCCTGCCCCCACAGGTCCTGGTTGACCTTCCCTACTCTGTGTCCCCACGGTGCCCTGTTCTTATGCTCATCATAGCACCTGCCACATTGTATTTAACACATTGCTCAGTGGACCAGAGCAACTGCAAGGCTGGAACTGGATCTCACTCATCTACCTGTTCAGTCCCCAGTACAGTGACAGGCATGTAATAGGTGCTCAAAACTTGTCTGATGCACGGAAGAATTAGATAGTATAATTTCAGGAGTCCTTGGAAATCTCTTGCTTTCAGAAATGCCTCTCCAAGTTCCTAAAATTCTACCATCAAAGCTTTTCTCTCTAGCCTAAGACTGATCCCGTTTAAATTTTAGATATGTCTCTCCCACCACCTGCTGTCCCATTGTATGTGGTACGTGCTCAACAAATATTTAAAGGATCAAATTGGGTTAGAATCAGGGTCTTATAGGAAAGGAATTTCAGACACAGCAAATCTGTTGGGTGCAGTGGCTCACACCTGTAATGCCAGGACTTTGAGACGCTGAGGTGGGAGGATCACCTGAGGTCAGGAGTTTGAGATCAGCCTGGGCAACATGGTGAAACTCTGTCTCTACTAAAAATACAAAAATTAACCAGGTGTGGTGGTGGGTGCCTGTAATCCCAGCTACCTGGGAGGCTGAGGCAGGAGAATCGCTTGAAACCAGGCAGCCGAGGTTGCAGTGAGCCGAGATTGCACCACTGCACTTTAACCTGGGTGATAGAGCCAGACTCCGTCTCAAAAAAAAAAACAAAAAAAAAAAATGACACCAGCAAATCAGAAAGGAGGAGGTGTGGAGAGAACATAGAAGGAAGCTTCTCAGCGGGGACCTCTCACTAAAACAGAAATTCAGCTCCTCCCACACAGGCAAAGTGCAAGGAAAGCGGTTTCTTCTGTTCCCCCTTTTCTTTAGGGTGCCATTTTCTCTTCTGGCTCTTCCAGGCCTTCCTCCAACTTCATCTCCTTGGTGAGGCTCCAGGCACCTTGGGTCACTTCAGGGCTCCAGAAGGACAGACTCTGCAGAGGGGCAATGCTTAACCCACAGGAAGGGTGATTTGAATTAAGTCGTCCTGTTGTGTACGTTTACTAATGCTTCCAGAAATTCTAAGAGTAGATGGTATCAGCTCCTTTTTACAGATAAGGAGAGTAAAGCTCAGAGAGATTAACACCTTGCCCAAAGTCACAGAGGGACTCAGATACAAAACAGACACAACATGGCACCAAACATGGAAGAGGCCCTTGGCGAATGCTGACAGGCTTGGTTTCCCCTTAGCCATCCACCAGCTTTTGTATATTTATTGAACACTTACTGTGTACCAGGTGCAGTGCACAGTCTTTACTTGCATCTCCCAGTTGAGTCTCCCAATAGCCCTTTCACTATCCCCATTGTGGAGATGAGGAAACTGAGGCACAGAGACGTTAAGTATTCGATCCAAGCTGTCCCCAGCTGATAAGGGACAGAACCAGAGTTTGAGCCTGAGCCTGTGCCCTCCCTTAGCACTGCCAGACAAAATGCATGGTGCCCAGTTACATTTACATTTCAGATAAATAACAAATACTGTTTTCGTACAAATATACCCCAATATTGCATGAGACATACAAAAAAATGATTCACTGCTGATCTGAAATTCAAATGCAACTAGGCATCTGGTATTTTAGTTGCTAAATCTGGCCACCGTACTCTATTTCAATGCTTGAGTAAAAAATATTTACCTCTCTGTTCTGTGAGGTTCATAATGTGGAAAGTTTTCTAACATTTTCTTTTCACTCTTGTTGTTGCTCTACATCCAACTTCACTTTTCTAAGTTCCCAGATGTATGTTCTATCTCTGGGTCATTTTTCTACACTTTCCTCTTCAAAGTTTTAAAAAGGTTATCAAGCTCTCGGCTTGTTGTGATGAAACAGATTTTGATATAGAATAGAGAAGAAACATTCTGTTGAAACACTTTTTTAAAAACAGGAGATAGTAGTGGGTGATGTGCTAAGAAGAAATGACATTATGTTTAGACCAAAGACTGGGAGAAGCAGCCTTGCTGGGTGACAGCCAGTCGAGACAGCCTTTCCTAATGGATAGTGCAAGCATTGTTTGGGGACATTTACTGCAGAATACGATGGGGTAAAGGCACCAAAGGTGAACAAAATATCATCCTTCATAGGCAGAAAACACAGGCTGTGACAGGAAATAAATTGCTGGTGAAGCATCTCTTAAAGAAGAATAGGTTTAAATGTCTGCCTGACTTGAGGACCAGAGGCTCCTGGGATTTTTGTCAACTGGAGGGATGGAGCTCAGCAAAAGAAGCTTGTTTTATTTTTCTTTTGGGGAATAGCAAGATGTACAGAGGGTAGTTTGGTGTGGAGAGAGGGACATATGAAAATGCCTAGCTTTTTGTACAGAAGTAAGCAGTTTTTTAAGGCCATATATTTAACCTCAAATAGATACTTTGAGAGCAATGTGGACAACACAATAGCAGCAGAGTGTAATGCCAAGGCCACCAAATAGGGTATCAGAGAGAAGTGGGGTTGAATACTGACTCCAGTGGCTATTAGCTATAAAAAGTGATATGGTTTGGCTGTGTCCCACCCAAATCTCATCTTGAATTGTAACTCCCACAATTCCCATATATGTGGGAAGGACCCAGTGGGAGGTAACTGAATCATGGGGATGGGTCTATCCTGTGCTATACTCATGGTAGTGAATAAGTCTCACAACATCTGATGGTTTTAGAAAGCAGTTTCCCTGAACAAGTTCTCTTCTCTTGTCTGCCACCATGTGAGATGTGCCTTTCACCTTCTGCCATGATTGTAAGGCTTCCCCAGCCACGTGGAACTGTGAGTCCATTAAACCTTTTTCTTCATAAATTACCCAGTCTCAGGTATGTCTTTATCAGCAGTGTGAAAATGAACTAATACAGTAAGTCATTGGGTCTCTCTATATTAGGGTAGGATAGGCTTTGCTGCAGTAATAAAATTGCACAATATCTCAATTTGATTTCTTGTTCATGCCCCAGTTTGATGCAGGTTGGACACCAATTCTTGATGGCTCTGTCCAAGCAGGGACTCAAGATTCAGATTCTTCTCATGTTTTAACACTGCCACCTTAAATATGTAGCCTCTTAGGTTGCTGCAGAAGGGTGAAAGAGTGTGGGAGATAGCACAGGGGGTTACAGCCAGGCTTGGAAATGATATTCATCACTTCTGCCTATTTTCTATTGGCTAGAACCTAGTAGTATGGCCCCACCTACCCTGCATAGAGGCTAGAAAAGGTGGTCTTCCAGTGTGAGCACATAGAATTGTCTCTGCCACACTGCATGGTCATCTGTTCAGTGGAGGTTGCGATAGCACCTACTGAGATAGTTGCTCTGTAATTAACTGCTTAATCGAGGGTAGTTATAATTATTTGATTTTATTTGAGCTGTTATAGGAATAACTAATCTGTCATAAAATGAGGTCTGGGTTGCAGTCAGATTCAGAGACAGAAAGTAGAATGCTGGTTGCCAGGGGCTAGCAGGAGGGAGGAATGGGGAGTTATTGTTGAATGGGCACAGAGTCTCAGTTTTGCAAGATGAAAAGGTTCTGAAAATGAATAGTGGGTGTATTAGTGCATTTTCACACTGCTATAAAGAAATACCCGATACTGGGTAATTTATAAAGGAAAGAGGTTTAATTGACTCACAGTTCTGCATGGCTGGGGAAGCCTCAGGAAACTTACAATCATGGGGGAAGGCAAAGGGGATGCAAGCTTAGGCCTTCTCACATGGTGGCAGGAGACAGAAGAGTGAGCAAGAGCAAGAAAAACTGCCTTAGAAAACCATCAGATCTCTTGAGAACTCACTCACTATCACGAGAACAGCATGGGGGAAACCGGCTCATGATCCAATCACCTCCCACCAGGTCCCTCCCTCAACACGTGGGGATTATGTGGATTACAATTTAAGATGAGATTTGGGTGGGGACACAGAGTCAAACCATATCAATGGGGATGGCTGCACAACATTGCATATAGAGTTAATGCCACCAAGCTGTATAGGTAAAAATGATTAAAGTGGTAAATTTTATGTTACGTATATTTTACCAAGATTTTAAAAATTAAAAAAGTATATATATATATATATATATATATATATATATATATATATATATAAAATTAGGTCTGGATTAACTCCAGATATGGGTTAACCTGGCCCAGGGACAGGATGACGGCTCTCTAGTGGCATTTGTGTCAGACGGCAGTCTGGCTGGTTCTGGGCCTGAGCTACTGATGAAATTAAAGAAGTTTCAGATGGTTTGCTCTCTGTGCTTTAGGGAAACTTGGTATTTAAAGTTCTTCAAGTTTATCTTGAATGCAGTGTCACTTATCATTAAAAGGAAGGAAGAAGAAAGAAATTGTGATTCTTGTCTTCCTTCTCCCAGGCTCCCTAGTCTCAGAGTCTTACCTCTGCCCAGGTCACCTCAGGACTTACTTTCAGCTCCAACCCATCCAGCCATGGTTCACAGCCCTGACTGCACATCAGATTCACCTGGGGAGCTTTAGAAACAAACCGATGCCCAGGCCGCAGCCCAGTTCCATTCAGTCAGGCTCTCCGGGAGGCGCCTGGGCCCAGTGCTGTTTTAAAGGCTCCCCAGCTGATGTGACTGCATCTCCAGGGCTGAGAACCGCTGACTGCAGTCTGTTCTGGCTTCTTCCCGGCTGCGTCTCTGCAGAGCTGCTAAGAGCCGGGAGCTTCAGACAGATGCAGGCTGGAGACCCATCTCAGCCGCCCGTTCACTGAGTGGTCTTGCGCACACTGCATAACCTCTCTGTCTTCTCATATGTACAATGAGGGCAAAGAGAGCGGATAATTCGTGGGAAATGGTGCAGTTCCTGGCACACAGATTAAGTACTTAGTACTCAGTACTTGTTAGTGTGAACATTTCTTGTTACTATGACTTCCTAATGTGAGGACAAACTTGCCGTTTTCTCACAGGAATGATATGATTTGTATTTTGTAGCCTGCTCCACTGAGATCCCTAACTCTGTCAAAAGTGAGGAAGGAGCTACCTCTTTCCCCTCTGTTAAAGTGTCCCCCCCTTAGCCCGCATCCGCCCGTCACCTCTCTTCTCTTGACACATTCCTTTCCTTCCCTCAGATCATTCTAAATCCTATCAAGCAAAACCAAAAGAGAATATGAATAATCAAATACAGATCTCTGCCTAGCATGCACCTGCCATGAAGTGTGACAGGGCTGTTTTTACAGGAGGGGGTGGCTCTCTCCCCACGGCGGCTTGCAGGAATTTGTTCAGGCTGGCTTGAAGCTTAAGACTGTGGGGTAATAACGAGTTGGAACCAGCCTGAGTTAAACCAAGTCTGGTTCTTAATTTCCTTAAACAAACCCAATTCAGACAGGCTGAGGCAAGAGGCCACTTGAACTGTTGGGGGCATCAAGGCCGCTGGAGCAGCAGCTGGTGGAGGCTGGGATGGAGCTCCAAGAGCCTGCCCAGGGATGGCATGACCTAGAACTTGGTCAGAGTGGGAGGAGAGGCCCAGAAGCAAAATTACCAGAATCCTGTGGCCCCAGACATTGTGTGAGTTTTATTCTGGCACCATATTCACTTTATTTATTATATGTAAAATTAAATGCGAGTCAAGCCACCACCCACCAGGGTCCTTTGCTTGGGAAGAATCTTTTTCAGGGTTGAGTGGAGGGAGGCAGGAGTTTATAGGTAACAAACAGCATGTCCAAACAGTCCTTTGGTGCCCGACTCTCACTGGACAGGGCCGATGAGCCCATTGTCCGAGCCTTCTGCCAGAAGGAGCCTGGGGACCTCCTGCACCCTGCCCCACGTGGGAAGCTCCCAGAGTCCATGCTCAGTGAATCCCCTTCTGGGAGCTCCCAGGCAAATGGAGCCTCAGAACTGAGTTGCAGGCTGTGCCACCTCCTGCCACTCTCCCAAACCCATAGACTTCCAGCCTTTGGGAACCTCCCTTGCAGTTCTTGCAACTTTGAGGTCACCCACTTAACCGCTCAGTGCTTCCATTTTCTTATCTATAAAATGAAAACAATTGTGTCCTCCTCATAGGGTCAGATTGAAAAATAAATGAGTTCATATCAAATCCTTGGCACAGTGCTCAGCACAAAGGAAGTGCTGAATAAGTGTGATACTCTGTGGATACTGTGAACCCTCAGAGTGTCCCCAACCCCTTCCCAGCCTCTCCCAACCCCTCCCAGCCTCCCCCAACCTTCCAGCCCCCTCCCAACCGCTCTCAGTGTCCCCCAACCTCCTTCCAGCACCTCCCAACACCTCCTAGTCTCCCCCAACCTCCTTCCAGCCCTCAGGCTCCTAAGTAAGCTTTCAGGAACAGGGACCTCTTCCATCTGCCCCAAAGGTAACAAAATACATACTCTCAAGACTCCAAGTTTCCAAGTTCTGCTAGCCTCTTGAGGAGGAAAAGACAAAAAAAGGCCTTCTGGCAGCCGCAAGGACAAACAAAAACTGGCTCAATGCCTTTTCCAGCAGCTGGGAGCATAAGGTTCAGTTCCCTAAGAAGGAAGGCAGGGCCATTCATCATTCATTCACTTGTTCATGTTTTATTAAGTACCAACTGTGTGCCAGTAAGACAGCCCCCTGCCCTCAAGGACACCACAGCCTGGGATGGGATTCTCAAGCCCAGCTCACATTAGGATTACCTAGAAGCTCTAAAAAGCTTCTGTGCACCCAGACACATGAAATCAGAATCTCCAAGGGTGGAAGTCAGGTAGCAATGTTTTTTTGTTTGTTTGTTTGTTTGTTTGTTTGTTTTTTGAGATGGAGCCTTGCTCTGTTACCCGGGCTGGAGTGCAGTGGTGGGATCTCAGCTCAATGCAACCTCCGCCTTCTGGGTTCAAGCGATTCTCCTGCCTCAGCCTCCCAAAGTGCTAGGATTACAGGCATGAGCCACCATGCCCAGCCCAGGTGGCAATTTTTTTTACGTTCCCCAGATGAATCCAAAGTGAGAACCAGTAGGAATGGCATATATAAGATTATTCCAGGCCAGTGCTGCTAGAAATGAAAGGTGATGTATGGTATGTGTATATCTCAATAAAACTGAAGAAAAAGAAAAAGGAAGAGAGAGAGAGGAAGGAAGGAAGGAAAGAAGGCAGGAAGGAAGGAAGGAAAAAAGAAAAGAAAAGAAATAAGGAAAAAAATGAAGCTGTTGAAAGTACACGGGCAAGCGTAGGGTTACAGAAACCCAGTGGGGGAGGCTGATTCAGGCTGTGGCTGGGGTCGCACCCAGGCAAGGCTCTCCAAAAGGAGGAGTGTATTCTGTTTAGATATCAGCAATAGTCAGACATGCTGAGGTAATGAAAGGGAAAGTGTGTATTTAATTCTCATTGCTAAAGCAACAGCAACCTATGGTATTGACATTATAGGACACACTGCATAATGAAGTCTGTTAATGAGTATTAATAAAATTGGCACTTTTTTTTTCATTGAGATGAATGCTTCGCAAGCCTCAGGAATAGTTTTTGATGGTTCCGTGAGAACCGATCAGGAGCTCTGGAAGAGGAAATCTGACGTGTGAGCAAAAACAGCAAGTCCTGAAGCAGAACATCTCAGTGGCAGCTTTGACTCACCCCCGTGTCTGAGCAGTCTCCAATCTGACAGGTTGCCATGGTGGAAAGAATCCAGAGACAGCTTCCAATAATTTCTCCCCTCCCTGGGCTTTTGTGCCCTTCCTCAGTTCAAGAGATGAGTCTGTGTGCCCTCCCCTGAGATCTGACTGGCCTATGGCTTGTTTTTCACCAGTAGGTTGTGGAGGCTATTCTGTAGGACTTCCAAGCCTGGGCCTGAAGAGGATGGGCAGATGCTACTATCTCTCTGGAGCACAGGTGCCATGCTTTAAGGAAGTCCAGGCTAGATGACTTCAAGGTCAGAGGTTATATGAAGAGAGGCCTTGGAGGAAGAGCAGTTTCAGATCTAGCCAAGCTCCCAAGTGAATTCAGATGCGTGAGAAACCCAAGGGAGACCAACAGAAAATCACCCTGCTGAGCCCTGGTGTATTAGTCTGTTTTCATGCTGCTTGTGAAGACATACCATAGGCTGGGCAATTTACAAAAGAAAGAGGATTAATTGGACTTACAGTTCCACGTGGCTGGGGAAGCTTCACAATCATGGCGGAAGGTAAGGAGGAGCAAGTCACATCTTACTCGAATTGCAGCAGGCAAAGAGAGAATGAGCACCAAAGAGAAGGATTTCTCCTTATCAAACCATCAGATCTTGTGAGACTTACTACCACGAGAAAGGCTTGGGAGAAGCCTCCCCCACGATTCAATGATTTTCCACCGGGTCCCTCCCAAGACATGTGGGAATTCAAGATGAGATTGTGGTGGGGACACAGCCAAATTATATCACCTGGCCAGAGTCCTGATCTACAGAATCATGAGGAAATGTAAACCATTGTTCTAAGCCACTAAGTTTTGGAGTTTTATTACAGCAATAATAATTGAAAAGTTTCTCCTTCTGGCTCTGTAATTGGACTGTAAGTTCAATTAGTCCAATTATGGCATTGTATTATATTTTCATTGTATTTCCATTGTATTGCAGTCTTGTCTAAGCCCATTTGGTCATACCCAATAATTAGCTGGGCAGCTATTGGTAGCCTCCAATCAAGGGTGTTTATCCCAAGAATCATGAAATTCAAGAAAGTTGTGAACACAGATGGGGAAAAAGATAACATCTTTATTTTCATTAATGTTTAACTGAAATTTAGCATTGCCTTTCGTTACAAATGAGACAAGAAACCACAGTAGTATAAAAATTCTTGTGGCTTTGTCACAAGTGATTTCTACTGTCGCTAATAGAAATCACATATTTTTTTCATATCACATTACAATTGACTTCATTCTTTAAGATACTAACAAGGAAGTACATATATAATTATATAATAAATTTGTTTTTAATAATTTGATAACTGTAATATAATTGGTTTCCTCTGTAGTAATAAGTATTTTATTTTATGCATTTGGAACCATTATTTTGCAAAGGGATCCAGAGGCATTACCAGACTCTTAAAGGGTCCAAGGCCCTAAAAAAAATAAGAACATCTGAACCAGAGGTAGAGATGGGTCAAAGATCACTACTCCACAAACCTCCTTCTCAGTTTTATTGAAAGCAAGTTTCATACAGATTCCTGCTGCCCACACAGACATTGATTAGCAAACTGACACTAAAACAGTTCCTGCCTACAACTTGTTCTGGAAGCAAGATCAAGTTCTGGCACCCTCTCTCTTTTTAGGAGTTCCAACAGCATCTCATATGAAAGGTTCATTTAGGGCAAATATTCCAGTGGCAGGTTTCAGCCAATTAGTTACAGCGGACTAGGAACATGAATTCTCCAAGATAGCAGCTAGACACCATAATCATGCCTGGGGAAATTTTCCAAAGATCAAAGTAAAAATAGTTGAATAAGAATAACGTAGTAATGGCTAACACTTAATTGATAACTTCCTGCTTGCCAGACACTATTCTAAGCACTCATCATGGAATAATTCATGAATTCCTCATGATCAGCAGATGGGGTAGGCATATTATCACACCCATCTTACAGATTAGGAGACAGGCTCAGAGAGGTTAAAGAACTTACTCAAGGTCACATAGCTCCTAAGAGACAGACTGAAGTGTGAGCTGTTGCAATGCTTCTCAAACTTTGCCATGCATTAGAATCACACTGCAGCTTTAAAAATCCCAATTCCCAGGGTGCACACCAGCAACACACCATTACATTGGCCTGCGCCAAGTCTGCCGATTAAGTCAGTCTCTGTAAGTAGAGCCCAGATACTACATTGATATTTTTTAAAGCTTCCCATCAGGTGATTACAATATGCAGCCAAGATTGGGCTCCTTGGATTCTTAAATTCAGTTCTTCAAGAGCAGGGGTCCTGCTATAATACATTAAGCCAATCTTGAATGCTCCTTATTTCACCAATAACAAAAATAACTTCTAGCACCTATTATGTTAGCTAACAAAGCCTCTGACATTGATCTGAAATTTAAAAATAGTAACTGAAATCTTGTGGTAGCCACCTCAGGTTAGACGTCTGGCTTGAAGTTATTAAATGCTAACAAACCACCCTTGCAGTGTTGTGATTAGAACACTTAAAATGTTAACTGTCTCTAAAGAATAGATTAAAGTGAACCCACACACACTGGATATTACACTATTTCTGTTAAAATATTTTAAATGAAATTACAGACAGCATAACACATTGCCATCACATTCACTCTCTTCTTATGTTGAAAAGCCTAACAATGCTCCCACCTGCCCTGCAGTCACCAGATGAAATTTCCTGAATCACCTAATTAGTAATTGATATGGTTTGGATATTTGTCTCCTGTAAATCGCATGTTAAAATGTGATTCCTAATATTGGAGGTGGAGCCTGGTGGGAGGTGTTTGGGCCATGGAGGAGGGTCCCTCATGAATGGATTGGTGCCCTCCTCTTGGTAATGAGTGAGTTCTCGCTCAGTTAGTTCACATGAGATCTGGTTGTGTAAGAGTGTGGCACCTCCTCCCTCTCTCTCTTACTCCCACTACCACTCTGTGATAAGCCTGCTCCCCCTTCACATTCTGCCGTGATTGTAAGCTCCCTGAGGCCTCACCAGGAGCAGATGCCAGTACCATGCTTCCTGTACAGCCTGCAGAACCTGAGCCAATTAAGCCTCTTTTCTTTATAAATTACTCAGTCCTGGATATTCCTTTATAGTGACATAAAAACAAACTAACATGATAATGTTACTGTTCTTTTTTACCTCCTAGATCTTTGACATGTGACTTTGAGGTCAGGTGGTGTTTCCTTGCCCCTTGAGATCAAAGTTAGATCACCTTAAGACACCTGTCTCCTGTCCTTACTCTACCACCATCATTCTCTCAGGGTCTGGGAAGAGTCTGAGACATTCCCTACTTGCAAGCTAATAAGTTAGCCTGGCCGAGTCCAGTGACTCACACCTATAATCCCAGCACTTTGGGAGGCTGAGGCAGGTGGATCACTTGAGGTCAGGAGTTTGGGACCAGCCTGGCCAACATGGTGAAACCCTGTTTCTACCAAAAAATACAAAAATTAGCTGGGTGTGGTGGCACACGCCTGTAGTCCTAGCTATTCAGGAGGCTGAGGCGGGGTTATAGAGAGAGACTCCATCTCAAAAGGAAACAAAAGTTAGCCTGCTACTGTTTTATGGATGCTGGCAGAAGATATGAGACTTTTGGGTCAGAGTCAAAGGAACTTCTATTAGTCACAGCAGAGCAAGTAGAGACCATGATGTTAGCTTGGGTCTCAATGCGTCCCAAGTCCTGTGGGGGTGACAGAGGCAGGCCCAGGGAGACGGCACACATTACAGGTGATTTCCATCACACGCAAAGAACATTGATCCTGGGAAAGTGAGCAGTAAACAAACCTGCTCTTTGTCTGGTGGGAAACAAGATTGCCTGTTGCAAACACAACCCTGAGAAATAGCCCAGGTAAAAGCAGAATGGTTTGGCATTCCTGGCATACCCAGCAATCAAGAGCAGGGACGCTCAGAACTCACAGTGGATTGCTTCTTCTGACACCCGGCCGTTGACTTTGTGTTATTTTCTTCTCAGCACTTAACTCCCTGATAAGTTCTCATTAGTATGTCCTTATCTGTCTCTTTCAATGCAGTGGAAGTTCCAGGAGCTTGGGGTCATCTGTCCTTTCATTGTTAACTCCCCAGTACCAAGGAGAACAGGCCTGCAGAAGGCATTCCGTAAATGTTTGTTGAATGAATGAGTGGGACTAACCTCACTTTCCGACATAGGCTACAAATTCTCCACTCCAATCTAACAGGATTCTTAACTGCCCCCAAACCTGCCTAACTTCACGGCTTTGGCCTGGAGAAGCCTTGGCCGCAGGTGGCTTACCTCTCCTGCACCACACAGTTCACCCCCTGCAAAGCCCACGGCAGTATCTTCTCTCAGTTTCCTTCTACCTATGAATCTTCTCTGAACTTTTATAGCTCTCCTCTTTGGTCTCATGCATTATTAATATTTCCATCATTATATTCTTTTTTTCATAATTATTATGTAGTTGTTAAGGCCTATGAGTCTTGTTAAAATGTAAATGTCCCTGAGTTGGGAAAAGAAAGAAAGACGAGACCACAGCGGTGGTAAAGGGTAATGGTGACAGCCTCTAGACACCTGTATTGCTACTTACTAGCTGTGTAACCTCAGGCAAGCAGTTAAACCTCTCTGAGCCTTAGTTTTCTCATCTGCAACATGGGGAAAATGACCATAACTACCTCCTAGGGTTATTCTGAGGATTCAGTGAGATATTTTGTGGAAAGGACTGAGAAAAGTACTTTTGGTTATTTGTGGTGCAACATGCCATGTCATGCTGGATGCCTTCCCCGGTGACCCCTCAAGAGAGCCTCACCCCATTGGAGTGCCAGCCCCTTGAAAGAGAAGATGCATGGACTTCATTCTGCATCCGCTGCTGTTCCTCACTCTGCCCCAGAACACAGGACTGCGAGGAGGGGAAGGGCATGAGGAGCACGTTGAGCAGATGTTCCCACATGAAGTTAAATCTTCACAGAAGTGGGAATGTAGCAGAACGAGCTGCAGACAAAACCCCTCAGACACCGAGTTAAAGAAGGAAGGGCTTTATTCAGCTGGGAGCGTTGGCAAGACTCGTCTCAAAACCCGAGCTCTCCGAGTGAGCAATTCCTGTCCCTCTTAAGGGCTTACAACTCTAAGGGGGTCCACATGAGAGGGTCGTGATCAATTGAGCAAGCAGGAGGTACGTGACTGGGGGCTGCATGCGCCGGTAATCAGAATGGAACAGAACAGGACAGGGATTTTCACAATGCTTTTCCATACAATGTCTGGAATCTATGGATAACACAAGCAGTTAGGTCAGGGGTTGATTTTTAACTACCAGGCCCAGGGTGTGGTACTGGGCAATCTGCCTGTGGATTCCATTTCTACCTTTTAGTTTTTACTTCTTCTTTCTTTGGAGGCAGAAATTGGGCATAAGACAATATGAGGGGTGGTCTCCTCCCTTAGGAGGAGTGTTCAGTTGATGCAGCCCCACATGAGAAAGGACTCTTCCATGACTTTGACTTTGATTCTGGTCAAAAAGAAGAGACTCACTGAGCGAAATGGCCAGAGAGCAGTTATTTCACATTTCAGGTCTGGCAATGGAAGCAAAAGTTATAGTGGGTAACCTTGGAGCTGAGTTTTCTGGGCTGCAGAAGGCAAGTATTTCTAACTGGTCCTGGGCTGGCCTGAAGCAGTCTTTCTCTTTGAGTACTATTTTATTCAATAATAAGGAGTTATACATTCATAGAACTTTGCAAAGCACTTGAACATGTATCATCCCCTTTGACCTTCACAATCTTCAGAGGGAGGTATGTCCAGCAGCTTCATCATCCCCCATTTTACAGAGGAGGAAACTGAGGCACAGAGGCATCACATGGTAGAGCTGGGATTCAAACTCTGCCTCAACCTTACAGTAAGTAGAGTAAGGCATTCCCAAAGATGCCCATGTCCTAATTCCCAAAACTTATGAATATGTTACCTTACATGACAAAAGGAACTTAGCAGATGTGATGAAGTCAAACATCTTTTTTTTAGATGGAGTCTCGCTCTATTGCCCAGGCTGGAGTGCAATGGCTCGATCTCAGCTGTCTGCAACCTCCACCTCCTGGGTTCAAGCTATTCTCCTGCCTCAGCCTCCCAAGTAGCTGGGATTACAGGCACGTGGCACCGTGCCTGGCTCATTTTTGTATTTTTTAGTAGAGGCGGGGTTTCACCATGTTGGCCAGACTGGTCTCAAACTCCTGACCTTGTGATCCGCCTGCTTCAGCCTCCCAAAGTGCTGGGATTACAGGCATGAGCCACCGCGACTAACCCAAGTCAAGCATCTTGAGAGGGGAAGATGATCCCGAATTATCCAGGTGAGCCTAATCACAAGGATCCTTACCAAGAGGAGGTCAGAGTCGTAGACTGGAAGATGCTGCCAACTTTGACAATGAAGAGGCTACAGCCAAGGAAAGCAGCCAGCCGCTGGAAGCTGGAAGGGCAAAGGATGCCTCTCCTCTAGCACCTCCAGAAGGAATACAGCCCCGCCAATACCTTGATGTTAGCCTAATTAGACCCAGTTAGGACTTCTGACCTCCTGCACCGGAAGCTAAATCTGTATTAAGCTCCCAAGTTTGTGGCAATTTGTTATAGCAGCATCAGGAAATTAACACACCCCCCAAATCCTGCCAGGGCATCATGGTCATTTCAGGAAGCATGGTATTTTAAAATAAATTCATACTTGATGGGAACAGCACAGACGGCATGCAGGATCCACACAGGCCCTCCAACTACCCTGTGCTGCCAGCTCCTGGAATTCTTCAGCAGGATGTCTATGGAGGCAGGACAGTGCATGGCTGGAAACATGCCTTCTGGAGCTGGCAGCCTGGATTTATAATCCCAGCTCACTAGCTGTGAGACAATAAATAAGTTATTTAGCCTCCCTGTGCCTTGGTTTCCTCATCTGTGGATGGAAGTGAAAAATAGCACAGACTTCAAGGACCAGAAGAATCAACAGATGCTTAGGACAGTGCTGGGCACATGGCTGTTAGTTATTATTATTATTAAAGGGCTTTTAGTCTTTTTTTTTTTTTTTTTTTTTTTTTTTTGATACAGGGTCTTGCTCTGTCGCCCAGGCTGGAGTGCAGTGGTGCAATCTGGGCTCACTGCAGCCTCCACCTCCTGAGCTCAGGCGATCCTCCCACCTCAACCTCCTCAGCAGCGAGGATAAAGTGACTAATAAGCACCTCCCAGGACTATTGGAAGAATCAAAAGAGATAATAGGCATGAGATTCTTTTGCAAACGGAAACATGCCATTCAGATGAAAGGGGTGAGCATAATTACTGCCAAGGAGTCATTCCGGCTAGAATGAAATTGAGGAGAGGCAGGGGTGGGGGGTGACCCAGAGGCAGATGCAGCACCTTGGGGATGGGGAACAGGACTGGAGCCAAAGACCAGCCTGGTGCCTTTCCACCAAGCAGCGTGTGTTTTGGAGGCTGGCTCTGGGCAGGGCACTGCGCAAGACAGTTGGGCACTTAGCCCACGGGCCAGCCCTGCTCCCCAGGAGTGGCAGATTCCCACACACTTCCTCCTACTTAGAGAAAAAAAGAAATGGAGGCTTTGAAGGAAGTGTGTGAACATTTCAAAGCGCCACTAATTCATGACCAGCAACCACAGCTGAAATGCTGAGTAGAGTAAGTTCTGGCTCACAGTGCATCAGCTGATAGATTTCCCAGTAAGAAGTGGCCAGGCCTTTTGGGGTGAGTTAGCAACCTGCTCCAAAAGCAGATGTTTTGCAGTGGCTGGTAGATCTCTGTGCTGCATGCTCCAGACAGGGTGGCTAACTATCCCGGTTTTCCAAGGACACAGGAGTTTCCTAGGACACAGGAGTTTCCTGGGACACAGAACTTTCAGTGCTAAAACTGGGAACGTCTTGGCCAAACTAGGACAAGTTGATCATCTTATTCCCAGGACTCTGCATCTCCCTTCACCAAAATCCTCCTGGAAATGCTCCCCAGCTCACCCTGAAATAGTACGGCCTTCATGCTCTTGCTTTTAGATTCATTACATAAAGCAGAGATTGGCAGTGTTTCCAGACCAATTCCAAACACTGTCCATTCACTGAGTGCTTTACAGTTTGCAAAGTGGTTTCCCATACATTAACATGTTTGGTCTTTAGAACAATCTCAAGGCCAAGGATAATAAAGATGGCTGTGCTAGAAATGCTTCAGAATGTAAGAAACAGAAAATATAACTAGAATGACTTAAGGAAATAGGTTGTTATTGTTTTCCAAAACAAAATGTCTAGAAGCAGGCAGTTGCTGGGTTTGTGTCTTTAGCATGATATCAAGGCAAACTGACTGCAACTCTTCCAGTCTTCCCTCATGGCTGCCACAACACTAGATACCTGGTTTCATCTTAGGCAGGAAGAAGGTGGCTGATGGGACACAGCCAGCAGAATTCTGCTTAGGTTTCTTTGGCCAGAGCAGTGTTACAGGGGCATTTCCAGCTGCATGGCCATTAGAGATATGAAGTATTTAGCTTTCTAGCCTCTGTAGTAGAGGAAGGTGAGGGATAAAAGGAATAGGAGCAGTGTTGAATGAGTCACTTACAGTATCCGCCACAGTATGAACAGAGGGTGGCTTACTACAGGGCAGACAAGGCTAGCGGGACTTGGGATCTCATGGAGCCCTGTGATTCTCAACACTTCATTGTACATTGAATCAACTGGAGCCCTTTTAAAATAATGATGCCCTGGTCTACCCCAGACAACCAAAATCAGAATCTCTGAGAATAGGTCCTAGCATAATTATCTTTCAAATCTCCCTAGTTGACTAAAGTGTGCAGCCGGCCTTCTAAAGCTGCACTGTTCAAGTGCTAGTCCCTAGCCACATGTGGTTATTGACATTGAAATTAAGTAAAATAGTTTCTCGGTCATAGTGGCCACATTTCAAACAGTCAGTAGCTGCACGTGGCTCGTGACTACCCTTTGTACAGTGCAGATACAAAACATTTCCACCATCATAGAGAGTGCTGTGACTGGACAGTGCTGTTCTAGGGGAACCTGAGAGTGAGGGAGCCTGTTTGGAAGTTCAAGCAGGGCTGGGCTGAGTGAGGCAAGTCAGATAGCCCTGACCTGGATGCAGTACAGAAGAATGGTTAAGGGGGTGAACAGGGAGCCAGGTGGCCCCAGTTTCAATCGCAGACCCTCCACTCACCAGCTGGGCAACTTCAAACAAGTCACTATCCTCTCTGGCCTCTCTTTTTCCCCCTGCAAAATGCGGGTGATAACAGCATACCAACTTTAGGGGTTGCAGTGAGGACTCTAAGCTGATCCTTGTAACACGCTCAGGACGGTGCCCTGGCACGCGCTACCTGCTGCATATGTCGGCTGTTGATGTTATCCAGGAGGCCTGACAGAGGGCCTCTCCCCAGGCACATCTGTGATGTTAACTGTCAACCCAAGACTTTCTCCCAGGTTTCCCAGCAGGGACCGTGACACTGGCTTTTCCATGTCACCCCTTGCTCTGGGTCTGATTTCCTGGTACTCAGCCAGTCAGCCCACCCCAGGTCCAAGTATGTAGGAGGAGTGAAAGAATGAATGAGTGCACAAACACCGAACACATCCCTGGGATCATTCACTGAGTATAACCAGCCCCTTGACTTGTAACTTGGCCCTGGGTTCAGCAGGTGCAGAGGGCGTGGAGCAGGGAGTCAGTCCTTGTGGGCCTGGGCAGGTCGCTGGGCCTCTCTGAGAATACCTGATCTATAAAATCAGGGGTTCAGCCCAACACAGAGTACAGCCTCTCTGAAAGGCATTAAATCTCTGAAACACAGAATTTTCCTTCCTTGGGGAAAAATTACAGCTTCTTAACTAGGGTGCCTGTGCCCTGATCTTCCCAGGTTTCCGATCTCCCCAAGATACAATAGGAGTCCTTTGTCATCGCTCAGAGCTGCCACCCAGCCTTCCCTGTCCCCTCCATCTCTCCAGGTTGCGCTGTCTAGGAAGGGGGGCCAGGGCGTGCATCAGGAAGAAGACATTCACTGCAGCAGAAATGAGTAAGATGCCCCCTCCTTGCTCTATGAGGACTGTCAGAAAGTGGGGGGCGACGCCCCCTGATACAGGCCTGCTCAAACAGCCCCACCTCCCAGGGAAGGAAGGGCACTTTCAGATGCAACAACCTTGAGCCTCAGCACATCTGCTCCTGGCGTGCGAATGCCACAGCGCGGCAGACACGCCGCGATGGGTCCCAGTCATTAACTGGCTGTCAGGTTCCTCAGATGATGGAGCTAAAAATAGCGCGCTATAGATAGAAGCTTCTCCCACGCAGGCAGGCGCCGGCTGCAAATGGAAGTGGGGGGCAGGGGCTGTGCGCGGCTCTCTCCCCTAAAGCGAGGTTCGTGCTCATCTCTAGCCCCCGCCGCTCTCGTGGGCCACGTCCTGCTTCGCTCCGCAGCATCCCCGCTCAGGAACCGCAGATGCGCCCAAATGTTCCAAACCCGCGCGGGGCGGGGGCTCATTTGTATGCCGCACCCTGGATACAAGTGATAAGGCCCCAAACACTCCAAGGAGACCGCACAGATGAAACCCGGCGCTGCTCGCTCAGGAGGCGAGATATTTATAGAATCCAAATATCAGCATTTTCTCCCCATTTACACAAAGCAATTTCAGCCTTTTCAGATGAGAAAAGAGCAGCCCCGGCCGTCATTCATTCGGGTGCGGGAATCACATTTGGGACCAGGAAGCCCTGATTTTATAGGAAACCTCGAGGCAGGCTCGGATTAAAGATCAATGGCGACATAAAATGTGGGCTGTCATATTTTCGCTCTGAACATGTCCTGGTAATAAAAAATGTTGTTTTAGTAAATAAACTCGGGGAGATGCATTGCCTGCTGTTTATGCTCTTCAGCCTTGGTGCTTGGAGCAAAGGATGACTACAGAGAGAGAGAGAGAGAGAGAGAGAGAGAGACAGAGACAGAGAGAGAGAGAGAATGAATATCATCTTCGGAGTCCACAGCTGAGCCTACCAGCTGCAGGGGAAGCCTCTGACCCTCTCTCCACCTCCTGAGCCAGCGCAGCGCACTGTGTATTTCTCTGCCGAGATGCTCATTTTGCTACTTCTTTAAGAAAAGTGTGAAATGTGTTTCCAAAAAATAATGAGGCCGGCAGTGGAACAGGCAGGCTGTCAGTGCAGACCCTGGGGAGAGATAGGCGTGGGGTCAAGTCCTGGCCCTGCCGCATCCGGGCTGAATGGGTCTGGGGAAGTTACCTAACACCGCTGAAGCTCAGTTTCCTCATCTGTTAAATGGGGATATCGTAGTCCCTCCCTCACTGAGGCATAGTGAGGATTAAATGATAAAATGCAGGAAAAGTGCCTGTCAGGCCAGTCAATAGCAGATTTTATTATTGTGCCCAGGAATTGGAAGATGAATTCAGGGTATCAGTGGATATCTCCCTGGACCATAGGTCTTCAAGATTTGCTGAGCAGCTCCCAATTTGCCTGAAGTTTGACCAGGAAAAACACCTTATGGGGTTCCCCCATAATTCAGTTTTGTTCAATATAACAGGCAGCCAGTCACTGGGGCTCACACCTGTAATCCCAGCACTTTGGGAGGCTGAGGTGGGAGGATCGCTTGAGCCCAAGAATTAGAAACCAGACTGAGCAGCACAGTGAGACCTCATTTCTACAAAAACTTTAAAAAATTAGCCAGGTGTGGCAGCTTGTGCCTGTAGTCCCAACTATTTGGGAGGCTAAGGCTGGAGGATCGCTTGAGCCCTGGAGTTAGAGGTTGTAGTGAGCTATAATTGCACCATTGCACTCCAGCCTGGATGACAGAGTGAGGACTTATCTCAAATAATAATAATAATAACATGCAAAATATGAGGGCAGAGATCTGGGCCTTTCTGGCTTGGCCGTCTGAATGATCCTCGGGAGGAACTTAAGTGGTCTTCCCTGACATGTCCCAAAGCCCTGTTGACAGTGGGCCAGGGGGTGGCTTTGTGGGTCCAGCATGCAGTCATGCCTCATCTGAGATCTCTTTGGGAAACTGGGCATAGATCCTTGTGTATTCAGACCAATCCCCTCCAAACCTCCTGGGCATTTCTGACACCACCCTCCTCCTCTGGGCACACCAGGCAGGGAGGGACCTGGCATAGGGCTATCTTGTCTCAGGATCTCATCTCATTCCTTGCTTTTCCGCAACTCACCTTTCTCCCTGATGTCTAGCTTAGTCGTTCTGAAATTTTAGTATCATCAAAATCACCAGGACAGATCCTAGACTGCTTGAGCTCCATCCCCAGAGTTTCTGATTCAGTATCACTGGGATTAGGGCCCAGGAATGTATATTCCTAACAAGTTCTCAGATGATGCCAAGTGATGTTGATTTCCAGACCACCTTTGGAGAACCAATGATCTAAAGAAATTCATACGGAGGGTGAGGGACTGGGAAGTTCTGCTATTACTGCTATTACTCATCATGTCTCATAGGGTCTTGACGCATCAGCTCTTTTGGTTTTGTGGGCCTGGATCCTTTGAAATACAACAATAAATAATTATAAATTTAGATGAGTGCTCTGTAGGAAAACTCAGTGTGCCTTCAGAGAGCATATAGAGGGTCCTGACTGAGGGTCAGGAAGGACTGCTTTAAGGACACGACAATAGAAGCTGAGGATTAGGGTGCATAAAATTAGATGAGGAGCCAGGGAACAGCATTCCAAGGAGCAGGACTGGACTATGCTTTGGAGCCACATTGTCATGGGTTTGTTGCTCAAAGAAACCAACTAACAGCTGTGGTTTCATTGAGCCTCAATAATAAGAGGTCAGGGCCAGGTGCCACGGGTTATGTCTGTAATCTCAGCATTTTGAGAGGCTGAGGTGGGAGGATCACTTGAGTCCAGGACTTTGAGGCCAGGCTGGGCAACATACTGAGACCTCATTTCTACAAAAAAATTTAAAAATTAGCCAGGTGTGGTGGTGCGTGCCTATGGTCCCAGCTATCAGGAGGCTGAGGTGGGAGGATCACTTGAGCCTGGGAGTTTGAGGCTGCAGTGAGCTCTGATCGAAGCACTGCACTCCAGCCTGGGAGACAGAGAGAGACCTGTCTCAAAAGTAATAGTCATAATAATAAAAGGTCAGAAGAGAGACCCAGGCCCTTCCTTCTCACCTGTCCCTGCCCCTTCTTCCTCCCCTGCTTCCCCTCCTATCTGCCCTAGCACCATCAAGTCCTGTTGCTGGGTGCTCTGCCTTAGTTGACTCTTGTCTTCATTGTACATTGTGTCAGTTATCTATTATCGCTGCATAACAAACCCTAACATTTAGTTCTCCCAATTCGTGCGGTTGGCTGGGTGGTTTGGCTGCTGGACTCACCTGGGCTCACTCATGCAGCTGCACTCCGCTAGCAGCTGGTGAGGCAGCTGGGCTCTGGCTCTCTGGGCTGGGCATCTCTCTCCATATGGTCTTTCACTGTTCGTTCTTCATGGTAGGGCCATGTCAGGGCAATATTCCAAGATGGGCAGGAGGGAAGCACAAGGCCTTCCAAGGTCCAGGCTCCGGAGCCTACCTACTTGTCACTTCTGCCACATTCTATTGGTTGAGAGTGTTGGCCTGAAAGGAAGAGGCTGAGGCATGAAGTGTAATTTAAAGAGTTTACTTAAGCCAAAGTGAGGACAGCTGCCTGGAAGACTCAGACCCAAGTAACCTTGCCTATGAGCTTCGTTCTGCCTTTCTTAAAAGCAGGTTTTTAAAGGAAAGAAGGGGACACGGAGGCAGTGGGCTGCTACAACGCTGTCAGGAATCCTCATTGGTTTACAGAAATAACATTAATTAGGGATTGGCTATACATTGTGAAGCTACAGGGTATGGGTTATAGTGTCTGGTGTGGCATTACTGGGTTAATTTACAGCTTCTTGTGGTAATAGTAAGCAGTTTCAAGAGATGAATGCATAGCTCAAAGTGAAGTGTAGGATGAGAGTGCTGTCTCATTGTCTTGTCTCTCTGGGCTTGATCATTTAAAAGGACTTGCATTCCTCAGATAAAAGTTCTTTTTTTCTCAGGGGAAACCGGAAGGCAGCGGAGCAGAGAAAAGGAGCTTGTTTCCTCCTGTTTTCTTCCTGTTCCCATCTGCACAGCCTCAGCACCAGCCTTCAGCCTTGCAGCAGCAGTTGTTTCCAGCTTTTTCCCACCCTTCCAGAGCCAGCCTGGATACCAGCTTTACAGGGCACTTCCTCCATGCCTCTAAGTCCTCATAACCCCGACCTCTTCTGATTCTCCAGTCTTAAGGATGGAAGCTGCTTCCTTCAGCTACTACTTCTTTGAGATCTCAGTGGTCCCAGTTTGCCTTTTCAATACTCAGTTCAGCCAATTCCTTGTATTAAACTATCTCTGTTAATATAATAGATGTGGCCGGGCATGGTGGCTCATGCCTATAATCCCAGCACTTTGGGAGGCCGAGGTGGGTGGATCACTTGAGGTCAGGAGTTTGAGACCAGCGTGGCCAATATGGAGAAACCCCTTCTCTACTAAAAATACAAAATTTAGCCAGGCATGGTTGCATGAGACTGTAATCCCAGCTACTCAGGAGGCTGAGGCAGAAGAATCACTTGAACCTTGGAGGTGGAGGCTGCAGTGAGCCGAGATTGCACTACAGCATTCCAGCCTGGGCGACAGAGCAGAACTCTGTCTCAAAAAAATAAAAATAAAAAAGAGATGTAGTTTCTATTTTCCTGACTGAACCCTAATACTTAGTATATCAACAAAAATACACTCTGCTGCAAGTATCAGATACCCAACTATTGGTGGATTAAACCATAAGGTCATTTACAATTTACTCAAGAAAAGGCCTAGAGCCTTTGGTTTAGTTTCTCAACAAAAGATCTTCTTGCAAAAGATCCAACTTCTGTCTTCCTACTCTGCCATCTATGGATGGTTGTCTTTTCATCCTCATGCTTGTTACCTCATGGTAGCAAGATGGCTGCTTTTGTTCCAGACATCATGGCTACATTCAAAGGCAGAAAGTCAGCATCTCTTCTTCCTTGGCTCTCAGAACTTCTTCCTTGGCTTGCTCTTACTCTCTTTCTCAAAATTTCCTCAACAGACTTTCCTTTACATCTCATTGGCCCGAACTAAAACAATGGTCACACCTAGCTGCAAGAGAGGCTGGTAAATTTAATCCTTAGCAAAGGAGGATGGGATTACCATGATGGGCTAGGTCAATCATCATTCTACCCCTGGGACTCTATCTACTACTACCTGAAAGAAAAATCAGAGATCTCTCCTCAATGGAGAGCAGGGAAGGGGTATCAGGAGTGGGATTGCAGCTGAGAAAACACTTCTGCATCTACCCGCTGGCCTTGACTGCCTTCCTTGCCCCTGGCAGATGCATTGGCACTTAGCTTGCTTCCAAGTTTCCTTATCCATGGTTTGCTGGAACCTCTGGGTCCAACCCACGCAGCTCAGGAAAGCAGAGTGAGAAACAAACCCTGGCCCTCCTGGTGCTCCACATGCAGGCCACTGGACAGGCCTGAGCTCCAGGGCTTCTGGGCCTCTCCATCTGGGCTTGGCTTCCACACTGCTGGCTGAAGGCTCACTTTCTCTTCCCCCAAGTTCTGTCTCTCCACGTGTACCCTGGGTTGTGAGGCAGAAGAGAAACCCAGCTCTTTAGAAAATTCACAGTCTAACCAGCAGCCTGTGTCCCTTTCTTCCTGTGACTGCCTGTTTTCTGGCCTATGTTAAATAGTGAAATGAAGGAATTTAGAAAAAAAGCAATTTCTCTCCCTTCAGGGCTTGGTTTTTTCAAAACAAAAGAGGGCAGGAAGCTGGAAAGCACCACCTCAGGCTTGTGTGGTAGCCAGCTCCCCTTCCCTCCTCTGCTTCTCATCATCGCTCCAGAGCCGCGTTGGGGCCTGCAGCCTCCCCTGAGTCCTGACTACCCAGTGGAAAAGGTGCAAGCTCTGTGTGCTCTAGTACACTTGTGCCTGTCTGGATATTCCTAGAGCTACCCACTCCAGCCATGGCTGCTGGGAATGGAAAAGCTACGTGACCTGTTCAATCTCTCTCTAGTGCCATTTTTCTCCCACAACCACTGTCCCCCACCCCCCAGGGACAGAAGGAAGGTGATACAGTGATGTGTGTCCCTGCCCAAATCTCATGCTGAAATGGAATCCCCATTGTTGAAGGTGGGGCCTGGTGGGAGGTGATTGGATAATGGAGGTGGATTTCTTATGAATGGTTTAGCACAATTTTGATGGTGCTGTCCTCATGATAGTGAACTCTCCAGAGATCTGGTCATTTAAAAGTGTGGCACCTCCACCTCCTTGCTCTTGCTTTCACCATGTGAGATGCCCACTCCCTCTTCGCCTTCCACCATGATTGTAAGTTTCCTGAGGCCTCCCAGAAGGCAAGCAGATCCTAGCATCATGCTCCCTGTACAGCCTGCAGAACCGTGACCCAGTTAAACCCCTTTCTTTAGAAATTACCCAGTCTCAGGTATTGCCTTATAGCAATGCGAAAATGACCCAATACAGATAATAAGGGATTTCCATTCCCTTTATATTTTCTTTTTCTTAATTTGTAACTTAATATGTAACTTATATGTAACTAAATACATATACACAGATATACTATATATACCATGTACATATTTTATGTATATGCATATTATGTGTATATGTAATATGTGTATATAACATATGGATTATATATTACAATATATAATTGCACGCATGCAGGTATACTAAATTGCATATATACAGGTAAATTATATATACAATGTACATATTTTATGTATATTATATATTATAATATGTGTATATGTAATATGTGTAATAACATATGGATTATATATTATGTATAATAATTCTAATAATGAGCCTTCCTTTGTTCCAGGCACAGGTCTACATTCTTTTTTTTTTTTTTTGACACAGAGTCTTGCTCTGTCACCCAGGCTGAAGTGCATGGCGCGATCTCGGTTCACTGCAACCTCTGCCTCCCGGGTTCAAGCAATTCTGCCTCAGCCTCCTGAGTAGCTGGGATTACAGGCCTGCACCATCACGCCCGGCTAATTTTTGTATTTTTAGTAAAGAGGGGGTTTCACCATGTTGGCTAGGCCGGTCTGGAACTCCTCACCTCGTGATCTGCCCGCCTCAGCCTCCCAAAGTGCTGGGATTACAGGCGTGAGCCTCCGTGCCCGGCCAGGTCTACATTCTTTGCATATTACCTCACTCCATCTCCCCAGCAGCCCGGAGAGTTGCCCAAGGCCACGCAGTCAGTGGGTAAAACAACTGAGATTCTAGTACTGGAAACTACCTGGTTTGAAAAGTGATCCTAAGGAAAGGGCAGGTGGCCTTTTGCCCTTGGTAAATCCGGGAAAGCTTCTTGAAGGTGGGGGTGGGTTCGCTGGTTAAAGGAGAGGAAGAGTGTCCTCTTGGTGGGAGGTGGCAGAGAAAATAACCCGGAGGAGTGGGCGGTCCTGGGCACAGCCGTTTGCTCTTCGTCTGTCCTCCACTCATCTGGCCTTAAGTCAGCAACATCAAGAGCAACTGCATTATCTGGTTCCAGGGCATGATGGTTCCAACGCACATTACCCCCATATGCTGACTGCACCAGCCCTGCGCTGCTGGAAATGCGCTGGTCTCGGCCTATCAGAGCTCTAGTGAGCGGTTCCGGCGGGTTATCAGGAAGCATTACTTCCCGCCTAGGCATTCAATGAATTGCATAAATGCCATCCACTGTGGCTAAAGGGCTCCTGCTCCATCTGCATCATTTCCGAGGCTGTCATTCGGCGTGACATGTGTGCGCCGGGCCTCTCGCCGCCATCTGGCAGCCTCTTGGAAATCACAGCTCCCCCTGCACCCCCCATCCCGTGCTCCATCAGGAGCGGGGGCCTGAGCCAAGACCGTGGGTAAAGCAAGATCGGGACTTAGGCGCGCCTGTGCGGTGACAGCCAGGATTTAGTCGCCTCGATTGCTTTCTGACATGTTCATAGCTCTTCCGGGCGTTACCTCTGCAGCCGTTGAAGCCGCAGGAGGCAAGAAGCAGAAATTGCATTTTCCACAGTGCACGCTTTGGGAAGGCCCATTCTTCAGGTCTAGAGGCAACTACCTGGGAAGGTTCCAGCAGCTGCCACTGCCTCCAACGGCCTGCCCTGGCCAACTCCCCCAGGGGCGATGTTGCCCGTCCCAGGCAAGAGGACTGTCACTCGGACAGACAGAGCAGCAAGAGTGTGCTCTCCTCTGCGGCCACTGAGTAGGCAAATGGAAGTCCTCCCCTGAGAATCCTGAAAAATCCCAAGAGAATTTCGCATTTTACGGACAACTTAGCCACGAACATTCCCACGGCGGCAGGGGTACGGACACATCAGCAGCCACACTCAGCCAGTTCTCTAAATCCCGCAGACCAAAGAATGTTCTCCCACAGCGAGATTACACAAGAACCAGGGAGAGAGATTTCGCCTCCTGACACCAGAACAGAGGGGCTGATGTGAGGGTGTAAAGGGCAGGGAGGGTGCTGGACTAACGGGTTATTTGTTTTGATGCTAACCCTAAATCCCCCTTCTCTGTTTCACTCTAATATCTACTAGGTAGGTGTTGCCCCGAGCCATGGCTCCCAAGTTTCGCCATGTCAAGGAATTTCCTGATGGATGTGGCAGGACCTGCCCAATCTCAGGAGCTCCGATCCACTTGCTTTGTGGTGAAGACAGGAAAATGCATTTTTAGTAAGTATTCATTCAGGGCTCTCTTGCAGGTGGTTCTCAGCTGTAGGTTAAGAAACCACGGCCACTGCACAGAGTCCCTTCCTCCTTCATGGAATCTCTCCCTGAGGGGTGAGGCAAGGATGCCAACCGCAAATGCAGTGAGGGAGTGTCTGCCTCATTGAGGGAGGTCTCACTGCTCCGCGCTTCCTCCTTTCCACCTTAGACACTGTGTCCGCTCCCAGGACACGCCCTCTGTAACCCACGCCATGGGGGGACTCTCATTTTCCTGTGTTCTCCCTCCCACAGCATTGTTTCTTTCCAAAGGTGGGCGCCGACCATGTAAGATAACACGTCAAGTCTCCATGTGGCCAGCAGCAGAAACAATGACATATTTCTCTGCATGTCCTTGGGAGCCTAGCAGGGTGACAGGCTTTACAGACATTCTTAAGCAACGGCATTACATATTTATTAAGTACTTCCCTTACTTCAGGCTCTGGGCTAGCTGCTGGTAAAGAAAAGAAAGAAAGGAGACGAATAATTTTAACTCAAATTGATAAATGGAGCTTTAAGTATAAAGCATCGAACCTATTTGATTGGCAGAGATTGAAATAAAGGAGAAGACCCAGTTGCGGTGGAGCAAGGAGGAACTCCGACAACGTATGGAGGACCGTTAAGTGGGCAGGACTGTTCTGGAAGGCAAGGGGGCAATGTGTGACCAAAATTAAAATGTCTGTTCCCTTTGATCCCAAAATTCTAGTTCTAGGTACTTTTCCTAAGGAGATAACAGAACGAGGACATGAAGCTGTTTGCTTGAGTTATTCCCCAAACATCTATGGAGAACCTACCAGACACAGGGCAGGTGCTAGGTACTAGGCACGGAGTAGAAATGAAACGGCAGGAGGATGTCCGCGAGTGGATGGGTGCAGAGAGGATCACTCTGCTGGGGTCTCTGAGAGCAAAAAAGTGGCAACAACCTAAGAGTCCATCCATGGGTGTCTGAGTCCATTTATTTTGACACAGCCATGTAACAGAAAATTAAGCCATCATTTAAAATGTTGATGTGAGCCAGGCTTGGAGTTTCACGCCTACAGTCCCAACACTTTGGGAGGCTGAGGTGGGAGGATCACTTGAGGCAAGGAGTTCAAGACCAGCCTGGGCAACATAGCAAGACACCGTCTCTATAAAAATAATAAATAGGCCAGGCATGGTGGCTCATGCCTGTAATCCCAGCACTTTGGGAGGCCGAGGCAGGTGGATCACAAGGTCAGGAGCTCGAGACCAGCCTGGCCAAGATGGTGAAACCCCGTCTCTACTAAAAATACAAAAATTAGCTGGGCACGGTGAGGGGTGCCTGTGATCCCAGCTACTCAGGAGGCTGAGGCAGGAGAATCACTTGAACCCAAGATCATGCCACTGCACTCTAGCCTGGGCAACAGAGCAAGACTCTGTCTCAAAAAATACATCATCATAATAATAAATTTAAAAATTTTAAATGTTGAGGTGGGCCAGGCATGGTGGCTTATGCCTGTAATCCCAGCACTTTGGGAGGCTGAGGCAAGTGGATCACTTGAGGTCACGAGTTCAAGGCCAGCCTGGCCAACATGGTGAAACCCCATCTCTACTAAAAATACAAAATTTAGCTGAGTGTGTTGGCATACGCCTGTAATCCCAGCTACTCGGGGAGCTGAGGCACGAGAATTGCTGGATCCTAGGAGGCAGACGTTGCAGTGAGCCAAGATCACACCACTGCACTCCAGCCTGGGAGACAGAGCAAGATTCTGTCTCAAAATAATAATAATAATATAAAAAGTTGATGTGTGTATCTATAGTTATCGTTGGAGGAAGCTCTGTATGACATTGCTAAGTAAAAAATGCAAATTAGGAAACCAAAAATTCTCATTATGTAAAATTACATATAAATGTCTACGTGAGTATATACATAGGAGAAAGGTATCGAAGATGTCATCTGTTAGATGTCAGAATGTTCAAATAATTTGTTTCCAGCACATTCCTCCTTCTACCTTTCTGTTTTTGAATTTTCTACAACAGCATGGAGCCGGAATGCAAACATTATCTTTGCAAGCAGAACAAATGAATGAACGAGCAAAAGAAAGAAAGAAAGAAGAGAAAGTGAGAGAAAGAGAGAAAGAAGAAAGAAGGAGAGAAAAAAGAAAGAGAGAAAGAAAGAAGAGGAGAAAGAAGGAAAAGGGAGAAAGAAAGAAACGAAAAAAGAAAGAAAGAAAGAAAAGAAAAGAAAGAAAGAAAGAAAGAAAGAAAGAGAGAAAGAAAAGAAAAGAAAAGAAAAGAAAAGAAAAGAAAAGAAAAGAAAGAGAAAGCAAAACAGCACCAAAGCCCAACCAGGATGCTAACAGCCTCAGAGGATGAAGCAGCCTCTTGGGAATCCTGATACTCCTCACACTGCCTCGCGTGCTATTTGCCCTGCAGGATTTCAGTTCACAGAGGTTAGGAGTGGGGCTGACACATGGTGGGGATCTGATAACTGTTTGTCCCTTTGTTGTGGCTGCTGTCCTCCTGCTGTGTTCTGAGATGAAACACTTGTACCCCAGAAAGACTCATGGGTCTCCTGTAACCTGACAAGTGCTCCATGACCTTCCTGGGCTTCTGTCTTCCAACGTGAGAATCTCAGAGGCTGGGACTGCCATCTGACAATATGTATCATCAACCCCGGGCCCAACGCCAGGCTGGGATTTGGCCAGCTGGCCCTGGGCCTGGGTTGTTCTTTCTTATCTACTGAGGCTTCGTTGAACTGGCCAACTGATGAGGCACAGCTGAGGCAGTGAAATCTTCCCGAGTGATACATGTGGCTGTCAGGATTATTCACAGTAGTTTGTGTCCCCTGTCCAAGACCCTTCTCCCCATAGACACCCTTCCAAACCCAGCTCATGACTAATAAACCCATACCCAAATTGATCTCACAGCTGTTCTTCAAATGTGGTGCCAGCCCACTCCTCGGAGCCAAGCTGTTTGGACTTCCAGTAAATTGGGGCAATTTCTCATCTGGGGCTTGTTACTGGTTTCAGAAACTGTTCTCATTCAGCACAGGCTTTTCAGTGGCGACAGTAACATGTCTTGACAAAAACACTGAGTTTGGAGAACTGGTTTCTCCTACCACCAGACACACTAGCAAAAAGTCCCTGTCTAGCTGCTAATTCATTCAGTTCTTCAATGGATGCATGATTTACTCATGAAAAAGAAAACAGTGAAGGCCCCCTCCTCATGGCTTTCTTCCAACAAACTCAGGCACGACTTCAAACGGTGTGGCCCAGATAGGGGAGGGAGACAGGAAATTAAACACCAGTTGACCAAGTCAGTATTAGGCAGCTGGGGAAAGAGGGTGGGGTGGAGGTTATTTGGAATAAGGTGTCAGGTTATCCATGAGGGCAAGATCTGCCAACCACTTGAAGGCCAGCAGTGGCCAAAGTTCTAGAACCAGTAGCCACAATCGAGGTAGTAACAGTGGTGGGAGAAGTAACAATTGTAACCACAAACATCTGTGTGAAGCTCTACCCTTTATAAAGCCTGTTTCCATTCATAATCCCATCAGCTGCAGTTAAAAAAGCAGGCTTTTCCTTAGATCCAGAGCACCCAAGGGCCATAAGGATCTGTTTATTCATTTATTCATTCATTCACTTATCCACAAAGACTTACTTTTTGCCAAGCACTCCACTAGGTAACTATGTTCACCAACATTCTACAGAGAAACAGAACCAATAAGATGTGCATATATAAAGGGGGAGGTTTATTTTAAGAATTCACTCACAAAATTATGGAGGCTGGCAAGTCCACATTTTGGAGGGTGGGCCAGAAAGCTGGAGATCCAGGAAGAGCCAATTTGCAGTTGAATTCAAAGGTCATCTGCTGTCAGAGTGCCTTCTTGCTCATGGGAGGTCAGTCTCTGTTTTATTCAGGCCTTCAACTGATTGGATGAGGCCCACCCACATTATGGAGGGCAGTTTGCTTTATTCAAAGTTCACTGATTTAAATGTTCATCTCATCCAAAAACACCCTCACAGAAACATCCAGAAAAATATTTGGCCAAATAGCTGGGCATCATGGCCCAGCTAAGTTGACAGATAACATTTTATTTGCTTATTATCCTTTTTATTTTTACAAATTGATGGGGTACATGTGCAATTCTGTTACATGCATAAATTGCACAGTGGCCAAGTCAGGGCTTTAAGGGTACGCATCACCCAAATAATGTATATTGTAACCATTCATCAATTTCTCTTCATCCTCCCCTCTTCCACCTCCTCACCCTTCCGAGTCTCTATTGCACATAAAATTAACCATCACAATAATGAAGGCACTGAGCTGAATAAACCTAGCCCTATAGAAGGTCATAGGCTTGTAGTGAAAGCAATGGTATGTGCTAGAATAACTGTACAAGATTGAAAGTGATGCATGCTATAAAAGACATAGATGAAAGTGCTAGAAACCTGAATGCATTTCCTTTAGTCAGAGGAGGAAGTGAGGGAGCAAAGGGCTTTCTGAGAAAGGAGGATTTGAGTGGGATCTTGAAGAGTAGGTAGGATTTGGATGGGTGCACATGCACATAGAGGGAGGAACATGACACCAGCTAGACGGACGAGCATAAACAAAGAGAGATTAGAATCTGTACAGGGAGCATCCAGGAAGTCATTGTACTTATAGGCAGAGGAAATACTGAAAGAATTAAAAAGCAATATGGCAACCAACAGAGTAGACACAGGCCAATGCACCCTGTTGATGCATACCAGCTAGATATCAGCCTCAGCTATAGCACAGGGTTTTGAACATCTTCTTTCCCATCCCACTCCTGTAATAAGTGGTCTTATTTATTTGCACAGTTATCACTAATAATGGGTGAGCCAGGTTGTAGGAGGCAAGCATTACGGTGCTTGCCCCAGCATCCACTAAACCCAACTGTGGTTTCCCTCCCCAATCTCCAGCCCATACTCTTCAGTTTGTACTTCATCACTGGCTCTAGATGGGCCATGTGATGCAGTCCTAAGCCAGTCAGAGCCTCACACGCTCACTGCCAGGGAGATTGGTCAAGAACAATGACACCACTGGAGCCAATTATACACTGCAAGGCTATTGCGGTATTTTCACTCTTCTGCTCTCATCCTGAATACAAGAGGTGATAGGAGTGGAGCCACGGTCCTGTGTTCAGTTTGAGACTGAAGCCCAATACATTCATGGGCAGAGCAGAGAAACAGAGAAGATGGGTCCTGGTTACTTCGAATCCAGCCCACAGCACAGGGAGGAGGCTGTGAGACAGACAGCATGAGTCCAAATCCACAAGCACCTGGCAGTGCTTCAAAACCATGATAATCATCTTAACATCCAATGTTTATTAAGCACTTACCATGTATCAAGCACTAACATTGTATTTAATCCTTTCAACCTTCAAAGGTAGTTACTATGATCTCTCATTTTATAGCTGAGAAAACTGCCTCAAAAAAAAAAATTTAAGAAACATTCTCAAGGGCCCCCTCACAAGTCAGCAGTGAAATCAAGTTTCAAGCCCAGGTCTCTCAGATGTTGAACTCCGAGCTCTTGCTGCCTAAGTGGTTCAGAAATACCCGGAAAGAGGCCGGGTGTGGTGACTTACGCCTATAAATTCCAGCATTTTGGGAGGCCAAGGTGGGTGGATCACCTGAGGTCAGGAGTTCAAGACCAGCCTGGGCAACAAGGTGAAATCCCATCTCTACTGAAAATACAAAAATTAGCCAGGTGTGGTGGTGCACATCTGTAGTACCAGCTCCTGGGGAGGCTGAGGAGGGAGAATTGCTTGAACCCAGGAGGCGGAGGTTGCAGTGAGCTCGGATCGCACCACTCCACTCCAGCCTGGGTGACAGAGCGAGACTCTGCCTCAAAAAAGAAAGAAGAAAGAAAGACAGAAAGAAAGACGAAAGAAAGAGAAAGAAAGAAGGAAGGAAGGAAGGAAAAGAAAGAGAGAAAGGAAGGAAGGAAGGAAGGAAGGAAGGAAGGAAGGAAGGAAGGAAGGAAGGAAGGAAGGAAAGAAAGAGTGGAAAGATTTTTTTTTTTTTTTAATTACAGAGATCCAGGCCAACCCCTAGAGATCTGGGTCACTGGGTCTGGGGTGGGGGCCCAGACACCAGATTTTTTTCAGTGCTCCCAAAGTACTACAAATGGGCAGCCAGGATCAAGAGCCACTGGTCAAATCACATGGGATGAAGCTCTTATTTCTGTAAAGCAGTTTCAGGCATTTGTACAAAAACCATGTGACACTGACCTCCCAAACTCCCAGCAGCTTGGGGCGACCCCATGTTTCAGTAAACACCTCCCTTTAGATTACCTACACAATCTCGGCCAGCTCCTGATGGATGGAACTGAGATCTGACTTAAAGGAAGTGAGTGAGGGGTGAGGAATGGACTAGATGAGAAGAAGAGAAGCTCTCTTTTTTATTTGGCCTATCATTTTTAGAAAACACACTTTATAGTACTATGAAGGAACAGAAAGCAGCTGCTTTGGGAAACTCTGGGGGATGTCAGCTCCTGGCTTGTCACGGTTATGATCCATGTTCTGTTCCACTCCACTTACAAGAACAAATTTCCCCATGAAATGCCGGGTACAGTGTACACAGCTGGGCCCACCACACACACCGCAGCAAGGGCCAGGAAAGGGCCTGGCTGAGATAGGGCACGAGCCAGCCTTCCTCATCCTGGGGCCAGTTGGTTTTGTAGTTGTTGGAGGAGGGGAAGGGAGTTATTTGGTTTTTTTCCCAGAGGTTGGATGAATATAATCATTCAGGAGTTCCTCTCTGAACATTCTTCCTTGCTTTAAAAAAAAAAAAAAAAAAAAAAAAGCCTGGACTGCAATTTTGTCTTTATGGCCTTTCCCAGGAGATCGGCTTTTATTTCAAAAGTAAAACCCCAGCACAAAGGGTAAGGAAGCTTGCAAACCTTTTGAGGATGGCTGTATAGCAAAAGCTTTCATGAGAATGCTTCTGCAAGTCCTGTATTATCAGGAAAACGGCTTTTGCACTTGTTCTCAAAAATCTCCAGGTTCCTTCTGATTTTATGATTCTGAGTCTCTTGGTTCTAACACAGTGCTGGGCACATAGTTGATATTAAGCATGAAAATGGTGGTTTTTTGTTTTGTTTTGTTTTGTTTTGTTTCGTTTTGTTTTGTGTGTGAAAAAACATGAGCAGAAAAGAACGCCTATTGGCCAACTAGCTTCGTTCTTCATCAGCAAGACTCAGGACTTCAGTATCCCCTGAAATGTGAAATGATTACCAAATGGCTTGAATTTTGATGATACATTTCACCACTGGAGTGAAATTTAAGAAAAAAAATGCAAATACAAAATTATCCTATGTTTGTTGTTAGTATTTTAATGTGTTTCTACAAACAAACAAGAAAACATTAAAACTATATTCAGAGGGGTGGGGAGGGAGAGGAGATTCGATCCAGTGCTGGGAAGGATGTTATCCATTTCTAAAAGGCAACAGGGAGACCTTTGAACCCAGGACTCAACTCTTAAGACCTTCCTTTCAAACTGATTGTTACTCAACATCCTTTGCCTACAACCAAAGACAAATCGACCTATCTGTGCCAGATCACACTTCTCCTTCCTGTCCAAAAGGATAATGTGAGGGTCTCTGATAACATCTCACAAGATCAAGGTCCACCTGGTCTGGAGCATTTTGCAAATCCATATTAACCACATCCCAAAAGAGCCAGTGAGCCCATGAGAGTCCTGGGTGATTTTTACTCTTTTCTTCTACCAGTGTGCCAAACTGCCTAACAATTTTATAAGGGATTAACACCCTCCCATCTGGAACTTCTGCAATTTACCATTTTTTCCTTAAAAGGGAACTAAAAAAGCTCTTTCCATCGCCGGCTCTCTCATGCCACTGCCATACCTCGTGGTTCCTCAGGGAATACTCACAGCAGTTCCATGGCCATATCAGCAAGTTTTTCAGTGTCCTGGGGTGCAATTTAGCTGAGCTTTGGACATGGATGGTACTAATTTAAAGGAACTAGACATTTTTTCACTGTCCTCCTGGTCCGAAGGATCAGTTTGCTTGTTCCCTAAATAGTTGCTTTAAAGGTAAGCTTCTCTGAAAAAGCTAAAAGCAGACTTAGTGTGGTTATAGTCTGTTCTGGGCTTCAACACTTGCTGCTTATAGGCTCACAAGGAATCCTTGCAACAACTCTATGCAGTAGGTACAGCTGTTTACCCTCTCGTGCAGATGAGAAAACTGAAGGACAAAGAGAGTAACTTTTCCAAGGTCACACAGCTCATAAGTGGCAGAGCCGGCCACGCAACCCCCGTCCTGAACCACCATGCTACACTGATCTGTTCCTTGTCACTTTTTTTGAGCTTAGCTTGCAAAGTCCTTCATGATTGGCAGGTGGAATTATGGGACATGATTTTCTCTTTTCTGTTCAAGTGTTTTGCATCAAACAATTGTTTTTAAACCCTTTGAGATAGCTCTAGCGCCCCGACTGACCCCAGCCTTAATGGAACCCGAGCCTTCCTCTACCAGACCTGGCCTCCCTGCCTCCTTCAGCCTCCCCCTGGTTGACAGCATCAGTCACGGGGCTGCTGCCTCCTTCACTCTGCAGCGGGAAAGCCCACCCGGCTCCTTGTCTGCCTCCTGACTCATCCCCTGTCGGTCCTTTTGGGAGCCACAGATCCAATGGAGCTGGATGGTAAGGACCAAAGACTCTCCCCTGGAAGCATTGTGACTCCAAGAAAAGACTTGATATTATAAGTTGAATTGTGTCCCCTCAAATTCACATGTTGAAGCTCTAACTCCCAGCTCATTAGAATGTGACCTCATTTAGAAATAGGGTCATTGCAGATGTAATTAATTAAGATGAGGTCACAGTAGAGTTGAGTGGGCCCAATCCAATAAGACTGGCGTCCTTACAGAAAGGGGAAATTTGAACACAGATCTACACAGAGAACACCACGGGAAGATGAAGGCAGAGATGGGGCAATGCATCTACAAACCAAGGAACACCAAAGACGGCCAGCAAACCACCAGGAGCTAGGGAGGGGCATGGAGCAGATGCTGCCTCACAGCCTCAGAAGGAACCAGCTCAGCTGACACGTTGACCTGGGCTTCCAGCCTCCAGAATTATGAGGTAATACACTTCTGTTGATTATACCACCCAGTTTGTGGTACTTAGTTACACAGCCCTAGGAAACTAATACACTGAATATCACATGATAAAGAGGAAAAAAAGAAAATTCCAGTTAACAAAATCCTCCAGCTCTCCTCTTAGATTCCCTTCTTTTGGGAAACCTTTCCAGAGCCCTTGACCGTGGCCCTACAGAAAAGGGGACTGGCGGAGCTCGCTGGCAGAAGAGAAGGCCAGGACGTGGCGTTGAGATGGTATGCTGCAGGGATAACATGCTAGTGTGTTTATTTGTGGTGCCTTTGGTGGAAAGCTTGTGAGGCTGGGAGGAAATAAAGGCACCTCCGAGGTCCCCGTTAGGCTCCATCCTGCCCCGAGTCTGGGTAAGGTGCTCCTTCCACGTGTTTCCTGCCTTAGCTCCTTAGGCTTCCCCCATCCTCCCTCCCATCGCATGGCCTGAAGATCGTCTCTTTCCTTGTTGGCTCCCCAGCTAGACTCACCCTCAGGACCAGACTAAGGTCAGGAGATGCCCACTGGCTCCCCATTGTATCTGCATGGCCAGGCGACATGCCGGGGCCACCGTACACATCTGTTAGGTGGATGGATCGATCGTGTGTGTATAGGAGGAAAACGAGAGCCAAAGAGCTACGAAGATGAAGCCAGGCGTGGTGGCTCATGCCTGTAATTCCAACATTTTGAGAGGCCAAGGTGGAAGGATAGCTTGAGACCAGGTGTTCAAGACCAGCCTGTGCAACAAAGCAAGACCCCATCTGTACAAAAAGTAAAAAAATAAGCCAGTTGTAGTGGCATGCATCTACAGTCTCAGTTACTTGGGAGGCTGAGTGGGGAGGATTGCTTGAGCCCAGGAGTTCAAGGTTACAGTGAGCTATGATTGCAACACTGCACCCCAGCCTGAGTGACACAGCAAGACTCTGTCTCAAAAAACAACAACAACAAAAACTACAAAGATGAAAAGCAGAAAGGGAAGGTAAAGAAGAAGCAGAATATTTTAAAAATAAGAGGAGGAGTGAAAAGGGAGAGAAAAGAGAGAGAAAAAGGACAAAGAAAGAATGAGAGAAGGACAAGAAGAATATGCATTTTTCTGATATGGATTCACAATTCCTGGTCTGATCCTCTTGGGACCAGGTGTTTTTCATATTCCAAATCTGGGGGTTTTTAAAGAGGGTACTGTGGGGCATTGTACCCACATGAGGGCAGCCTCCTGTACACAAACACACATTGACATTTCTGCAGCAAAAAGGTATGTATATTCACACAATGTGGGATAAACAAAGACTAGAAAGAGCCTCACGTAGTTGGAGTTGGGTCAGATTTTCTTAAACTTTAGGTTTTCAGAGGATTTTGGACTTAGGAGGATGTTCATGGAGCATGGTTCTCTTATGGGGCCTCTGCAACCCAAGCCATGCTAAGATGGAGTCTGCTCACACTTTTTGTGTCTAAGAAGGCAAAATGCCCGGGGCCGAGAGCCTTTCCCCTGCTGTTGTGTTCTCAGGTCTCATCCAAGGTGAGTTTTGGGCCAAGTGTTCCCAAGAAAGCATTGAGGACAAACCATTTGCTCAGTCTAGAAAAAGACAGGGCTTTGTTCGCAATCAAAGCAAGATGAAGAATGAGAGACAGGGAGAGAAGCCTTCGTATGGAAAATCCAGTCCTTTAGTTGCATAATCTTCACTTTTCCCCACTAATAAGCCCCATTTTCCATTATTCTTTTCTGGGAAATAGTTCCACAGTCATTTTCCCAGCTGCTGGGCCCCCGCCTCTGCTGTCCTGGCTGCAGATGGTCTGGGCAGCGTCTGGTGGAACCCCCATGGGGCCTCCAAGCATTGAGAGTGCTCCCCTCCTACAGGATTTGTCCTGGAACCAGCTGAGCTTACTATTGAATGGCCTGAGGCAGCCGCAGACATATTTCTGCTGTCACTCAAGGATCCTGGAGCGTATCCA
This sequence comes from Homo sapiens, assembly GCF_000001405.40. Taxonomy (NCBI): domain Eukaryota; kingdom Metazoa; phylum Chordata; class Mammalia; order Primates; family Hominidae; genus Homo; species Homo sapiens. Next base: position 25,108,046 of record NC_000004.12, read on the forward strand.
AGCCCAACTCCCAGTGCCATATCTAGAGGTGAGGGTTAGGATAGGGCAGAGAAAAGAAAACAAGATTCACGGCCAGGTAGGTTTGGCTTTCAGGCTTGTCTCTGCCACTTGTCATGTGATCTTAGGCACATGACTTCATCTTTCTGAATTTCAGTCTCCTCCTCTGTAGAAAGTGAATAGTGATATTCTCTTGCAGAGCTGTTGTGAAGGTGAAAGGAGATAACATAGGATAATATAGGAAAAGCCTAGGCCCTTACTGAATAGCAAGTGTTCCTATGTTTGTTGTTCCATGAACCATCTGTTGACTCTTCTTTGGGGAGTGGTTTCCTGTTTCCTAGGTGGTGGTTGGGGTGACGGCTGTGGGAGAAATTGGAAGACTTTTGGAACAAGTCCCTGAGTTTCTCCTGCCCTGGTCCATACTCCCCAGACCTCAGGCAATTCCACAACTTTTGGGACCCTCCAGAAAGCTGTCCTGCAATTGGGCCGGTTTCTATAAAGCAAAGTTGACTTCAAAACCTCCCTCTCCAAGATGTCAATGGTTAGAAGCAACCCACTGGTGATCACACCAGCTCACTCGACCTGGCCTACCTAGGGGCCAGTGTAGCTCCAGGGCTGGCCCTGCCCCAAGCAGACACCTCCACCTGCCTGGGCACATCTGCCCTGGACCAGCCCCTTGGTGCTTCCCAAGTCAGCTGCTGCCGTGGTCGGCAGCTCACAGAGCTCTCATAGACAGGGAGGAGACCCAGCCAGCACTGACCACTGGTATTGATGCCCAGGGCAACACAAGGCCTCCTCAGCTCTTAGGACTCACCTGTGTCAGGTTGAGATTCTACTCACTGTGCATGGTCACTATTGTCTGTGCAGTGCTGTTGGCTCCTGGTGTCTGTCCGTGGAGTCCTCATGGTCCAAGATGGTTGCTTGAGCTCCAGCTACCATGTCTGTGTTCCGACTGCTTCCTCCCCACCCAGTGACCATCACTGAGCACACATCTCACTGATTCATGTGATGGTTCTAAACAAATCTATACATTATTTGAGAAAGGCGGGAGTCTGTGTCCCCTCCTCCTGAGACTGAGCCAGCCTTTGTGACTTACTTGTTACCAATAAAAGGCAATGGAAGAAAGGCCACATGCCTCATCCCAGAAAGCTCATGCAGTTTCCAGCTGGTACTCTTGCCAGGCGTGCTCTTGGGGACAGCCACCACTAAGTCTCACGCCCCAGGATCATCATGTTGAAAGGTCACACCTGAAGGGAATAGCGTTGTTATAAAGACTACTGGATAGGACCAGGCACGGTGGCTCACGCTTGTAATCCCAGCACTTTGGGAGGCCGAGGTGGGCGGATCATTTGAGGTCAGGAGTTTGAGACCAGCCTGGCCAACATGGTGAAACCCCATCTCTAGTGAAAATACAAAAATTAGCCGGGTGTGGTGTCGCGCACCTGTAGTCCCAGCTACTTGGGAGGCTGAGGTAGGAGAATCGCTTGAGCCTGGGAGGTGGAGGTTACAGTGAGTTGAGATCGCGTCATTGCACTCCAGACTGGGCAAAAAAAAAGAAAAAAAAAAAAGAAAAAAAAGACTACTGATGTCAGTTAGAGGGCCCAGCACTGGTCAGGCCACAGTTCCTGGGAAGTGGTTCCTCTCTCTACCCTGCTATGGAAGCAGTTGGGGAAGCTGCTAGGAGGGTGAGCTCTGGAGGCTGAGTGTTGGGAGTCACATGCTGCTTCCTCTGCTCATTGGCATGTGTCCTTATGCGTTACCTACCCACTGGGCCTCCTTTTTCATCTGTAAAATGGGTATGATAATTGTCACCACCTCACAGAATTGATATGAAGATTAGATTAGTTAATAAATGAGACAGTCTCAGAACTGTGTCTCACTCAATATCACCTGTTTTATTTCATGCCACCAATTATTTCATAAAATTACTGTTTCCTCATATATAGCTTTCTCTCCACTGGAATGTGGCTGTACAGGGCAGGCACTATGGTCACTGTGCTGGTGACCATCCTATCCTCACTGCTGGGTCACCACAACCTCGAAGAGTGTCTGTCACACAGCAGGGACTTGAATCAGTTTGGATCAGGTTTTTTTGCTTTTTCTTTTATTTTTGAGTTTGGATCAGGTTTGACTATGTGTAACAGATCAACTCAAAACAACAGTGGCTTTAAAAGGGAGCAGTTTATCTGCCTCTCAGGAATAAGAGGTGTCTGGAGGCGTACACCCCAGGAAAAGTTTTGTGAAACTGTCATTGTCAGAGGTCCAGACTCCTTCCATCTTGCTCCTGCAGCAGGTTTAGTGTGTCTACTTCATGGTCCATGATGGCTGCTTAAGCTGCAGCCATCACATCTGAATTCTGTGTCAGGAACAAAAAGGCACAAAGAGGCATAAAAAGGCATACCAGTTTTTTTTGGCGAAAATTTCTAGCAGTTCTATACAATAATTCAGTTTACATCTCATTGGCCTAACCTTAATGCATGGTTACATCAGCTAGGAAGCTTATCCCACTGGGAAGGGCAGTGTTATTCCCACCGGGAAGGGCAGCATTATTCCCAGTTAAAGTCAGGATTCTAAGGGACAGGAGGAAATATTGAGAAGAAATGAGCAGTCTCTGGCCAGTGCTCAGTAACTCTCAGACAGATAGATAAATGGTCCAGCCCGCCTCTGCCCTTTCCACCCACGCCCTGGGGGTTCCCACTGCCCTGCAGGCCAGCTGACCTGTGATTTGCGCCAGCTTTGTCTCTAGAAGGCTGTGACTACTGCCTGAGAGGGAGTCAAAAGGTAGGAAGGAGGCTGGCTCAGGAGAGGGGAATGGTGCAAGGCAGAAGCAGCCACTCTTCCATCCTTGGCATACCCATCCTTGACAATGACACTGTCATCAGTCATCCCTTCCATGCCCAGGGCCTGCTGTGGCAGGGACTTTGGGGGCTTGCTCCAAAGGAGTGAGGATAGCTAAGGACAAGACCAATCTTCTTTACTTCCTAAGATTTCATCACCCCAGGACTTCATCTGCTTGGTTACCAGATGGTTATCACCATCTACCCCCACAGGACACAAGCTGTCACCTTGTGGCCACCGTCAGTGCGAGTCAGCAGTCCTCTGGGCAGGTGTGAAGGTTCCAGCTGATGAATGGGAAACTTCAGGCCGGAGAGGGAGGGCAGAAGCCCTACTCAGGCTCTTGGGTCCCAAGAGCCCTGCATCCTCTTTGGCTCAAGGTGCAAAATCTTCTGAGAAGGTTGGGCCATAGTGGGTTCCGGAAACAGGTGCCAAGTCACAAGCTTCTGCTTCTGAAAGGGGAGAGCAGGGAGCTGGATTTGGGCAAATCTAGGCCAGGTTCACACATGCTGAGTGGACAGACTCTGGCTCCTACCTGGATCCTGCTCCTCTGCAGCTTTCTGTGCTCGTGGTCATTGTCCGTCTCGCTCTATCCTGGCCTCTTCTGCTGACCACCAGAGCCCCACAGACCACGACCTCTGGCCTGGGCTGAGTCTTCTGGCTGCTAGGAGTGGAGGATTCACAAAGTTCACAGTCTCATTAGTCCTCAGGAATAAAAGGTCCTACTTGGCTACTAGATGATTCCTTACCGCCATCACCAACACCAAAGCCAAGATCAAGGGAAGACCGTCACGGGTCTCTTGAGGACCTGAGCATGGAGGCGGGCACCAATGCAGAACACTGAGCTCTTCGTTGACTTTGGCAAAGTTCTTGTCCCATGCTATGCACTTTGCACCTAGCATCCTATTTCGTTTTCCCCTCAACCCCGTGCTGTTGAGACCATTGTTATTATCCCCATTTCACAGATGAGGAAACTGAGGTGTAGAGAGGTAGACTTGCCCAAGGACCTCACCTACAGGGAAGCCCCAGTGACCCTGTGGGGAGGTAAAAAAGGACATCTAGAAAACGTGTGATCTCCTCTTGGTGGCAGGGGCCTTGCTAGCAAAGCAAGAACATTGCAGACATGAATGCTGGATCTAGATATTTTGGTTATCACCTGGCATGACAGAGTGTTAGAGGTGGACTGACCCGGGAGAGGACCAAATCCAAAATTCTCCTTATGCAGAGGAGGAAACGCAGGCCAGAGTGGGGAAGCACCTTGCCCTGGCTTCATGTCAGCAGGTCCAACGTGCAGCCTGCTCTCATTTAGTTCGGACATTTCTTTTCCCTGATGAGTTGCTATTTTGTAAAAAGGCTTTTCTTTGGTTTAAAAAAAAAAAAAGTATTTCTGTCCTGTGGGCATGGTTGGATTTTCCCTCAACTTTTCACTAGCACCAAGTGCAAAAAAGGCTGAGGTTGTTACACAGTGACAAGCACCCCCTATCAGTATATTTTGGGAGGACAAACAACTTCAAGGGACTCAGCATCATCTTATCATGACACCTCCCACTCCCAAGAGTGATCTACGTAAGTATCATGCTAAACACTTCACAGTTACTCCATCGCATCCCCCAGTCCCTGACGGAGGAACTCCTCCTTACTTTTCGCGTCTTGTAGCTGAGGACACTGAGGTTTATCCAGGGAACCTATCCAAGATTACACACTTGATAAACAGCAGAACCAGCTCTAAAGGAGGGTTGGCAAACCACAGCCCACAAGTGAGATCCAACCAGCTGCCTATTTTTGCATGGCCCATGAGCTGAGAATAGTTCTTACACTTTTAGAGGATTGGTGGGGCGGGGGGGAAAGGACCAAAGAAGAATATTTCACGACTCGTGAAAATTATATGAATTTCAAATGTCAGTGTCCATAAATAAAGTTTTATTGGGACACTGCCATGCCCATTCATTTACAGATTGCTGCTGCTTTCGAGTAGTTGCAACAGAAATGGTACGGCCAGCAAAGCCTAAAATATTTACTGCCTGGCCCTTTACAGAAAAAGTTTGCTGACCACCCCCGCTCTAAAGCAAAGGCTCCTACCCCATGTTTTAATGTTCCAAGAAAGCTCCAAGGCTGGCATCAGAACTGTGAGCGTCAGGGTTTCCAGACCTTACCCTCAGAATGACGCCAGACAAGACAAGCCATGGAAATCACCAAACTTCTCTGGGGCTTAACTGCAAAATAAGGATAATCATCATGCCCTGCCTGGCTCCTAAAACTGTCAGAAGATGAAAACAAAATAATGTACATGAAAGCATTTTGTAATCCAGAAAGCACTCTACAGAAATGGAAATGATTCAGAGAAAGAGGGCTGGTATAAAGGAAAGAAGCCAACTGGAGGAGGTGGGGGCGGGTTTGCCTTGCTTTTGCAGGATTCATTAATAAAACAGACCAAGCCTGTTGGGAATGGCCTTTGTCATAAACCCTGTGCCCCTTGCTCCCCCATGGAGCATATTCTTTGACCCTGAAGCATGGATTCATCTCTTAAAACATTTACATTTGGGGCCAGTGTCACTGTCCCAGAGAAATGGCTTGCAGGGCATTCCCAGGTTTGGGCTTCTTCCCAAGGTGTGGGCTTCCTCCATGAGGCAATTTTAAGGTACTAGGAAGACTTCCCTGTCCCCAAATTCACTCTGCTCTTTTCTGCTCACTGATTTGCAAAATTTCACGGAGATTCATTTCTGTGATTATTCCAAATCTGTTAAAACAAATATTTCTGGACTAGGCTATCATTAAACCCTGTTGGTTATTTCTAGAGTGTGAACAAATCAGTTGATCATTTGTTCAAGAAATATTTGCTAAGGTCCCGCAAAATGTAGGAGACCAATGGGCATTCGAGGGACAGACAGGAGACGCTAGGAGGGTGAAACCGAATCAGATGTTGTCACCACTGTGTCCAACCAGCTCCATTTTTCAAGGTGTTTAAGAAAGAGAAGGGAGAAAGAAAAGAAGGTGTAGCAAGAGTTCCAGCAGGCATGGTTAGGGCTGGAATCCTTCTACGATGGAGAAGGGTGAGAGGCAGCAGAGCCCGAGAGCTAAGTTTTGTGGAGACACATTTTGATTTTGTGAAGGGGTATTTGGAGCTGCTGCCTGGTAACTCCGGGGTGGAGTCCACTGCTGCCATGAACCCCCTCCCACTTACAGGGGAACCTGCTGTTTTTGACTGTCAGCACAAAAGCCAATCTGAACCCGACAGCAGCCCAGCTTTCCTATCGCTCCCCACCCACAGGCGCAGCCCCCCTGCTGGCACCATGGATGCCTGACACTCAGCTGATCTTTTAAAAGTGAGAAACAAACAAAACTCTGTGCAGAATTGGATGTTTATTTCCACCATCTGCATGGCAATACAAGTTCAAGTTATAATGGCATCCGCTCTCCATCAGTATTAGGCAACCATTTAAACATCTACAGCCATTTACTGATTATAAACACACACTAAAAAAAAAGGCGGCAAGTGGCATGTGGCCCCACACCTGCTGCCTCTGTGTGCGTCAGTCAATTTCATGCCTAGGAAGCTCTGGGCTCCATGGGGATGGATCTATAAAGCAGTTTGGTTGGTTGTGGGTTTTACTTTTTTTTCCCTGGGAACAGCATAAACCAAGTTGGCCCAAAATACACTTATTGCAAATAGATGGGAATAAATGGAAAATAGACAATGATCATTTGCTTTTAATTAGAAGATAAAAATTGATGAGTGTTTTTACTGGCCTTCAAGAAAAGTTAGCAGGGATTACTGTTCAAATGCTCCTGCTTGCCACCACCCCCACCTCTCCCATCCCAGGAAGGTCTGAGTCACCAGGCAAGGACGGAACAGCACATCAACTGGATGTGGTGAGAGGCACTGGAAACTGAAGAAATCGATGCAATTTATAGGGGGAAAAAAAGAAAAGTTGATCCAAAAACTGGGAAAACGTTTTCTGGATCAACTTTTTGTCTTGCAAAAGGTTTCCCTACCTCCTTCAGACCTGCCCCTGGCCGTCATGGGCCTGTGGCTGGCTGCAGCCTGAGACCTGCCTCAGTACCGTCCTGAAGGGGCTGTGTGGTTTTGGGTTGCCATTCTCAGAATCTGCTTTATTACCTGGGAGAGCTAAAATGGGGAATTTCATAAGACTAATGGATTCCTAGGGACTCTGGATCTTACATTTCCAGGTTAATGTCTCCAACGTAAGGTTTGTTTTGGTTTGTCTGAGAGTTTTCTAACTAAAAGTATCTTCTGCCACTGTGGTGTAAAGGCCCCACTGATTGCCCATGACCAAGTTTTTTGGAAGGAGGAGTGGGAATAGACCTCTCTCAGCTTCTGATCTGGTCAGAAGCTCCAAGTTCTCCCAGAAAGCTCCTTCATCTCTCTCATGTGATCCATGAAGCGCATCAGAGACTCTTCCACCAGGAGCACCACAGTCAGCTCCTCTGCTCCACCCCGGGGGTGCCTCTCTGCCCCCCTTTCCTTTGAACACTGGTTTTGAGATGGCGCTCTGCCTTCTCGGCTCATTGAGCCTGGCTAGCGGGAACCCAGCATAGCTTGCTTTGTCTTCAATCCATTTTAGAATAAAAGTTAGCTCTATATAGCTACAACAATTACCACCCCACCACCAGCATATTACAGAACTAATCCTATTTGGGGTTCTAACTTAAAGCCTCACATTGGGAAAGTTGGCATTGAAAGTGAATTATTACACACCAATGTGGACTCAAGTCCATTTCTCACGATAACCAGCAAAACTTGAAGCTTGTCAAATTATAATTTCTCCAGCATCCTGAAAGACCTTTGGGAGCCTGTGTGGAGGCATAAACATCTCCTGTAAATCCAGTTTTATTAACCCAGGGGAAAGTTGTTTTAAAAAAAAAAACAAAATGAAAACACTGTCTCAAGTACTTTCAATCTCCCCTCTCTGCACTTCTGTAATTGTCACTGGTTCCTAATGCTTCCTGATTCCCTCCTCTTACCCTTTTTCCACTAAAATCTACCCTTAGGATCTTATTTGCATCCTGACTAACGGGTAAAAGGAAGGTCATTACAGAAATGAAACCGACAGCATATTTTACAACATCAAGACATTATTGTTAAATTTTTCAGGTGTGATAATGGTATTGTGACTTAAAAAACAAAAATGACTCCTTTCCTTTGGTGACCCATATTGAAATGTGAGCTACACCCAGAAATGATGATGAGATTTGCTTAAAGTGATAGAGGGGAGGACTGGCTGGTGCTGTAGGTGAAACAAAACTGGACTTGGTATGTGCCAAAGCTGATTAATGGATACTAGGCGTCATCATATTTTTTGGTATATGCTTGAAAGTTTCTATAATAAAAAGTGTGTTTTTTTTTTTAACAAAAAGCCCACTCTTAGGGAAACATCTGATAAATACATCCAAAGTAAGATGTCACCAACGAATAAGGATAAATAGCAGTTATCTATTTCCTGAGGCATCTGCGTTTAACAGGACTTAAAAAGCCTTAAGACAAAGAAATGAATCCAACAGTGCAAGTCAGGCAGGAGAAAAGAGAAGGGGAGCGAGTGGCCACCTCCAAAAAGGCCACTGAAGCCAAGCGCTCTGAAGAGAGTTCCAGGCTCAGTTTTCTTTCTTTATCAGAACGAATAGGATTTAATAAAGATAGGCCAACAAATACAACTACATTTTACAAAGACTGTTTCTGGTGCTATTTTATTGAGGATCTTTTCCAGTTTATTTTTAACCACCATTTAATAATTTTAAATAAGATTCATTTAATAATAGCTACTGTCAGACCACTTGCTATATACGAGACTTTTTGCTAAGTACTTTATATATGATAGATTCTTCCATTTGATCTTTATTTCAATCCTGTGAGATATTATCCCCATTTTACTGATGAGTCAAAAGTAACTTGTGCAAGATCACTCAGCCACTAAGTGCAGAGCCAGGGTTGAAGTCTGGCCTCTCACTTTGTGATCACTGTGGTGCCCAGGAGAAACCTCTTCCTGAAGGTTGGTCACTGAACAACTGATTCACCTTCTCACGGCATATGGACCACTTATCAAAGGTGTACTAAATCATTGAGTCATGAACCATTCCTCAAAACAGTAGTTAGTATTTAAAATCATAAAATAGCTAAAAAAAGATGCCAGATGAAAACAATGGCATAATCTGCGATAGCCAACACAGAAAAGATTCATGAGGCTAATGAACCTTACTGACGATTGGTGTCACTGTAGTAGTACCAAGTGGATGCAACTGGGTTTAGTAGACATGTTTAGAGCAAGGGAGAAAAGAATGAGTAGAAATGTGTGCAGAAGGGTGTAGGTCATTCTGTTGGCCACGGGTATCAAAGGTTGGATTCTCTGGGAGGTACATACTGAGGCAAAGTTAGGACAGCAAAAGTTTTATTGGGGAGTAACACCTAAAAAAGAAAAGAGGGGAAGCAGGCCAGGGCAGGGGGAGCCCTCGGACTGTGATGCAGACCCAACCAAGTGTCTGCTAGCCCAGCAGGGAGCTCCAGAGCCGCACTGGGTGGAAATGGCTAGGCCCTTATATCTGCGCCTTGCTCAGAAACTGGCTAAAGGCCATGACTTTGGCTCAAAGACAGGCTTGAGCTAACCTTGAAGGAGCTAACAGTAGGGAGGCTGTCAGCTAAGCACACTCCTTGCAGCTGGGTAGTCTTTCCGTGCAAGATCTGAACAGAACCTCTTTGTGTCTACCACCCAAGTAAAATTTTTAGAGCTCTATTCTAGGAGAGATGGAAAACCACTGAGTAGTTTCAATCAGATACAATGGGATTTCAAACATAGTTATATAAATACTTAATAATACCTATTGAATCATTCATGCAATAAATATTTGAGTGTCTGTCATGTTCCAGGTGCTGTTTAGGTGCTTGGGATACACGAGTGAACAAAACGAAGATTCTGCTTCAGTGGAGTTTATGCTATAGCCAGAGAGGGAGAGACAAACAGTACAACATAATAAATATGTAGATGACAAACTATGTTGGACCTCTGCTCCTCAGTGTGGTCATGGGCCAGCAGTGTGGGCACGCCCTAGGGATTTGCTAGAGATGCTGCCCCACCCCAGACCTAGTGAATTTGAATCTGCATTTTAACAACTCCAGATGATTCTTACAAACCCTAAAACTGAGGCCCCACCCTCAATTTTAAGACAATTTTTACACAATGTTAACCGGGGGTAGGGGGAGGGGGAGATAGCTACCGTATTAAAAAGGGTAGTCAAGGTAGAGCTCATTGAAAAGGGAGAACTTTGGTAAAAAGTATGAAGGAAGTGAGTTAGCCAAGCATCTGGGTTAAGAGATGTTTCCAGGCAGAGGGACTAGCTTGAGGCAAGGCTCTAAGGCAAAGCATGCCTGGAGTGTTTGAGGAACAGCAAGATGGCCAGTTTGGCTGGAATGGAGCAGGCAAGGATGAAGAGTTGGGTCAGAAAGATAAAGGGGGAGTGGTTATGATGGCCAGTGCTGTGGGGCCTTTTGGGACACAGCAAGGCCTTGGGCTTATTCTCTGAGTGACATGGGAGCTACTGCAGGAGTTTGAACAGACAAGCGACAGGACCTGTTTCCAGAGGATCACTCTGGCTGTGTGTGCGTCACATACCTAGGAAGCTCTGGGCTCCATGGGGATGGATCTATAAAGCAGTTTGGTTGGTTGTGGGTTTTACTTTTTTTTTCCCTGGGAACAGCATAAACCAAGTTGGCCCCATGTGTAAACGGACATGGGTAGAACCAGGGGAATCAAGGGTACTGTCATAATCCAGACAAGAAACACTGGGAGTTCAGAACTGGCTGGTTACAGAGCAGGTGGGAAATGGCTTGATTCTGGATAAATTAGTACATAGATATAGCATGATCTCTTGATGGATTTGGCGTAGGATGTGAGAGAGAAAAGTAGAGGATAACTCCAAGGTTTCTGGCCTAATCAACTGAAGAGAAGTTCAGATCACAGGTTTTCAGGGGAGATCAAGGAATCAATCACCTTTGTCATGTGGAGGTTGAGATGTCTATCAGACATGCAAAAGATGTTGACTAGGCAGTTGCATACAAGTGCAGGGTTGAGGAAAGAAGTCTGCTAAAGATATCCATTTGGGAGCTATGATCAGCTATTCTACTACAAAATCATGTAAGAATAGGGCTAAATATACTGAACAACTGGCATGCCTGTAGATCTGCCTATTATACCATAAATTTTGGTCAGATAATATAATCAATGTGGAAGTGATTGTGATGTGAACTTATTCTGTATATGTTTCCTGGGTTGTGACCTGAAATTTCAGGTAATTAGTCAATGCACTTTAAATATGGGTTTAAAAAAATTCTCAAAAATGCAAAACAAAAGAAAATCCATAAAAGCCAAAATAGAAAAACCCTGAAAATAAAAAATAAAGGTCATCTAAAATCAACTGCATACTTTTAATTTCCACTGGCAAATGGACAAAATTCATTGATAACTCCCCCTCAAAAAAAGTTCCACTGAATAAACTACATAATACTGAATACATTTAAATTTAAATCTAGCACAACTTAGGACAGTATAGCTTTTTGCGGAGCATAATAGCAGTTATTAAAAGTAAGTACTCTATGCATAGATACCGAGTTAATCACGTTACCATACATTGTCTCATTTAATCTTCAATCCTATAAGGTTGTATCTATTTTATATTTGATGAGACTGAGATTCAAAGAGGCTGAATATGTGGCCTCACATGGTTAATAAGCACCAGTGCAGAGATCAAATTCCAAATCAAAGACCACTACCTGCAAACTTCAAATAGCACAATTTAGATGTGAAATCTAAAGGAGAAAGTGATATTAACCTATTTTCAAATAAAAGATAGTATTTCTTTTAGAAAAGATTAAATGCTTCTAAGTACTTTCTACAGTCAATAGATCCTTTGCAAAATGATTGCTGGAATATCGTCTCTTTCCTTTTTTTTTTGTTTTAATTTAGCCCCCAGCCATGACTCATGCTTCTCATTAAGGTATGACTTTTCTTGCTGATTTCTAGACAAGCTGATACTGATGACTGAATCAAAAATGGGCAAGTAATTTAGTTCAGTTATTTGTACTTTCAGATTTTATCTATCGTAATGATTAGGTAAAATAACGTACTGTCAGTGACTTATCAAAAATTTATTTCATATAATAAATTATATAATTTATTTTCATCTTTAAACAGTCTACACCGAAAACATTTTTGGAAACATCTTTTCCTTTTGGTAAAACAGGTTAGCAGGCTGACATCAGCTTCATATTCTCATGGCTAAAATCCCCCACGGTTATACAGTTAAGCATAGCCTTTCTTTGTATTTCTCAAGTTGACACCACTTGATAAAAAACAAAACAATATAAACATTTCTAGATTTTGCCTAAGGCCTTAGCTTTAACTGCAGAGTAGTGAGTAGGAAATTACAAACATATATTCATTAGCCTTAAACTTACCATCTTACATGCGCACATACCAAAAGGGCAAAAGGAAAGTAAAAAGTAAGGCACAAAAGGATGCAGTGAGTGTTAGGTCTGTTTACTAAGATTGGCCATAAGAGACATTAACCAACATAATATGACAGACAAGGAAAAAACTGACTAATAGAACCTTTTCTTAAAAAGCTGTTAATAGCATATTCAATTATTATCAAATTATTCAGGTTGTGAGACTTCTAAAATGACCAAATTTCTGTGTATGCAAAACTGGACTTTTTTCAGTTACAAAATAAGGTTGGCCTCAAAAATGCAAAACATAACAAAATCATTTAAGGGTCTGGCAGAGGTTAGTACATCTCAGAAAGTGGGAAAAGGAAACCCAACTCTTATATGCACCAAATGTGTATGTATTCCAAAAACTTTCTCCGAGTATGAGTCAGACTCACCAGAGCTTTATTATTGTTGTTTTCAGCTGTTGGTTATTTTCCTCTGTGAAATATAACTCTCAGGATGAACTACTAATTCAATATTAAAGTAACATCAGCAGTAAACACAAATTATCTGTTTAAATTTTACTAAAATCTATGGAAGCCATAGATGTAGTCTAAGCACATTCTGTAGCCCAGTCCTCAATAACAGTTCTTATTATGAGGTGGTTAAAGACACAGAACCACAGTGAAGTGCTGATCATAATATTAGAAAAATTTAATTTATATTTAAATTTACCATTCTGTATATCAAGTGCCTATTGGCTGAACAGAACTGTATTCAATAATTCATATTCTATAACTTCATTCAACTAATACAAAAAGCTAAATAGAAAGATTTACAGTTGAACACCAGGTTCCTAAGGCTGGCGTCACATATCATTCCCTGATAGAGCGAGAATTCATCAGCAGAGGACCTAAGAACCAAACTGCGAGTTTGATTTAAAATTCCCTTCCCTGCCATGTATAAGTAACACATTGTGTAGTGACCAAAAGAATATTCTATGTTCCACCATTTTCTTTTCTAAGCACACTGCCACAGCCCAATGACTTTAAAAACCTAACTCCAATATTTTACCTGATAGTTTTAATAAGGGTAGTTGGGTCAAAAAGATAGAAGAGGTTATCTTCGGCAATGATTGGTAATGTATCATCCACTGCCTTCGTCACAGTACAAAGATAACAAAGGCCAATTATGAGGCTTACCAATCAGTACTAGCGAATTATAATAAATACATCCTTTTTAATACTTATGTGTAGAAATGGGAGTGAGTGAAAATGACACTAGGGTGGGGACAAAGGAAAGCCTGAATAGACAGAACTCTTCAAAAACTCTTGTGAATTCTATGCCCTCAAATTTTAAGCCAGGAGGAATAGAGCTAGAATTCCAAAACCACTGAAAAAGAAAGGGTTAATAATAAAAACCACAGCTGATTTTCTGCATCAGGAATGAAATATTGTAACATATCTATCATTCACATGTGAGTTCATGTAATTTATGTTCAATTAGAATTATTATCTATTCAGCAGCTGAAGCCCAAGAACTGCTGATACACTGCAGATGAGAAAACATTTGCTACTCTCCCAGCTCTGGCCTTTCTTAAGCTAAATGATGATCACAACAATATAGATCACTTGTTCTATAAAACAATTTTGGCTTACATGTATAGCAAGCTGCACTGCCAGCATTTACATTTGCAACAACATTTCAATCCCTTTTTTGACTCTAGAGGTTGCAACTCTTCAGCTTTATTGGTTCAGCAATTTAGTCCCAAATTCTCATGAAAAATTTACACTTTTTAATCCAGCATTTATTCCCTTGAAATGAGTTACTACACCTATGTAAATTTTTTTAATGTTTGAACCCCAAAGATAAAATAAATACATTTTTAAATAACCTTCATGATATTCATAGTTAAATACTTCATCTCAAAATAGTCATTGACTTCCAAGGTGGTCAAGCCAGTGGCCATAGGCGTCTACCTTACACATGTCTGACCTCATGTTTACAAACAGTCTGGGACAATGTACAACGTCACCAAAATACCAGAAAATCCCTTTCTCATACATAGGTTACAATTCCAAATCAATAAGAAAAATGCAGCCCAGAAGGCAACACAGCATTCTCTACCATAGTGTTTTTAAAAGTATGTTCAATGGGCTGTTAACAAATATTTCACTTTAAAAAAATGAGTTTCTCTTTGGATAAGGATATATTAAAACTGGGTTATTTAGTGAAGGAATTCTTAGAGCCTTCAATATGCCAACAGGCAGGTTTGCAAAGGCAGCTCCCAAAATTATTTGTCTGTAAACATTTTCTCCCCATGAGCATCTTTTAGGAACATGATCCACAGAGCTGGGTTTGAGAAACATAGCTTTGGCATGGTGGCATGTTCAGAAGCTTCAGTAAATCTTCAGGCTATGACATCTCTATTTCTTAAAATAGTCTTAAGTAAGTCTATTTCTTAAATTAACAACAAAAATTATTGTTAAAGCCAGTAAGTCTGGAATTTCAGACTCAGAAAAATGAGCACATGGGCAAGTAGAGGGGAATACACCTGTTTATCATACTATGTGATTTTCATCTTCCTGGCAAAAATATGTTCAAAAATACCCATGTTAGCTAATTTTGATGATGTCTGTGCACAACATCTGAACAAACTAACCAATATATGCAGGCTGCTTAAAGCAAAAACAGTAAGTGGAATAATGTTTTCCCTTATCCAAAAGGAAAAATGCACCAGTGAGCACCATATAAAACAATTTATAATGACATGTTTGGAATCCGTGACCCTGGTTATCACTTAAGATTCTCTATATAGTATAGTTTGATGACATTTATACAGCTATCTTCTTTGAAGTACTACTGAAAGTTGCTATGGTAAACTTCTCTTTACTCAAGGAGTTTATCTACTTTAGAGGAGTATTTCTCAACCTCAGCACTAATGACATTTTGGGCTGGATAATTCTTTGTTGTGGGAGTTGTCCCATGCATTGTAGGATGTTGAGTAGCACCCTGGCCTCTATCCTCTAGATGTTAACAGCATCCCACCAGTTGTGACAACCAAAAATGTCTGCAGATGCTGTTCAGATAAGCGAATCATCCCCAGTTGAGACCCACTGCTTTTGAGTCAAAACGAAAGTTTATACCTTGACTCTGCTTCCTTGGGGAATGCCCATTTTACAGGCACACTGTGACTTACACATCTCAACAAACAACTAGTAACTAGTGGCCTAAGAGATCTTTCTCAATTCTGTGTGATCAGAAACGGTAAAGAATGGTTAGGAGGAAGCACTCTACATTTCAAAGAGAATTGAAGTAATTTTACTGTCATTACACTAGTAAAAATTATCTGAGTCATGATGCTTAATTGACAGATATTCTAACAATTAGAAAAATGCTAATTGTATATTATAACCTGTTAAGGATCACAAGGATTGATGCAGTCTAAGAATGGGAAACTTAACAATCATCAATGGCTAGTTCAGACCAAAGTCTGCTCCTTGACTGAATATTCCCATGAAATTCTCAATTCAAAAATCTCAAGTCTTATCTTTAAACTGCTTGCTTGTACTACAGCCTTATCATTTCTTTCAAATGATCAAGAAGAAACCCTTCGCATGTCATGAAGAAGCATCCTGGTATGTGTCAAGAAGTACATTATCTAGTTTTAAAGCCATTTCTTCAATATCCACATCTTCAGTTTTGTCATAATTGTCATCACTCTCTTTACTTCGTTCTTTTCTTACTGCCTTTAAACACCTGTCAAGTCTCTTTATGAACAGGTCCACATCCTGCATCTTCATTCCGATGGCTGATGCAGCATTGAGGTAAGCACAAGGGTAATTATTTGTATGTGACATAAAGCCTCTGAAAGTATAGCCACTCACAGTTTGCATGGACCCAAGAGGCACAACCCTGAAAGAAGAAAGATTTACCAATTTAATATGTCTGGTAATGGTAACACAATGTCACCCATAAACAAAAGATATGTGTTACAAAGCCTTACATCCACTTATTACGAAGTTTAAAACAGCCACAAATCATGGCCTACAAAAATAGACTGTATCGACTTTAAAATGAAATTCTATAATACACTGCTTTTTTACATAAAAAAGTCCTGCCTCGTGATTATCGTTTACTTAACTTCTATTAAAGACCTATAAGCTCTAGGAATCTCTTTTGATTTTATTTTTGCCAGTATCTTTTTCTCTTTACCTGAAGCTCTAGGAATCTTAAACACCTCTACATCTTCTTTAAAGAGGTAAAAAGAAAATGATTTGGTTTTGTGCCAAATCTGGAATATGACTTCATATATACACACTTTACTGAAATATTGAAATTTGCAAGTCAAACCACTGTAATTGTCATGTGTTACCTCAAATAATCAACAAACTAAAAGTCTAACTATCTGATCAGTGCTATACAATGGATAGTTTTAAAGCACAGATACAGAAGAAGTTATGTAACTGTTTATAGTGGGGTGGTAGTCAGCAAACAGTAATATTTAGCAAAGGCACCTGCATTTTTAAAGCTTGATTTCACTGGCATATTAGATATAAGCAGATTTCTAATAGTTTAATCGCTTAGCTTTTTGTTTTTTTCAAAGAAGTCAATTAGGCTCAACCTAAACACACAGACAAATAGTGGCAATACTAAAAGCAATGTCAAGAAAACCATTTTAGAAGTGTCAAAACTATATTGTATATAGATGAGTTCATCAAGGTAAAAAGTAAATTAATCTAAGATTTTACTTTTAAAAAGTTGTCCTGTGATATAAAATCTCTATCCTCCGGTAGCTACAGAAAAATTATTTAATAGAAGCATGTAAAGTATTTACAGCAAGATATTTCTTTTCAAGTCATTTTTCTCTGACCTCATCAAATCTAAAATGAAAAATCAGATTCATTTTTCAGGCCATGTATATAGAAGAGGAAAAAGTAAAATTTTCTGAGGCAGTTACATAGGCAAGGATTGCATACTCTTTTTTTTTAGTTTAGGAAGAAGGCTTTTCCTTAAGAACACTTTCACTTCAATTTAGTGATGAAGATGGCTTATCTCTAATACCATAATGTGACTTGCTGAAGATCATCTAACAAAGGAAATAAAGAAAAAAATCTATGTAGAGAGGTAATAAAACTTTGGTTCTGTACATCTATGAAAACAAACAAGATTCATGTCTTTTTGTGACTATTTCAGGCATAAGCAGTCCACAGGTGGGCATACAGTAGCCTTACAGATTCTCTAACTCATCATTCTTTACTCCATGATGAATTCGCAGGTATAGTTCAGGATATACTTGGGGGACTATTGTTGAGGAAAGGTATTTTACTGGAGTTAAGTTTGAAAAGACAAATAAACCCATATCTATCTTAAACATACTTACCTGGCTCCAGAAACCTGTCTGGTAAAAAGCATCGAGCCAAGCTGAGTGACAGCTTTGTCACGGTGTTCATCTAGTGTTTTAAGTGTCATAGCTGAAAAAGAAAAAAGTATCCTAATAAGCCTTGGTTTACTGGCATAAAAATCACTCAAATAATAACAATAATAATGATGAAGGCATTACTTTTTATTCATTGTCAAGTGGCACAATTTCACTTTAATGTACTTAATAAATCTTAGGGATTTGTTTATATATCAGACAAAAATATTTTAATGTAAATTAACATCTCCAAATACGAAACAGAATTTCCAATATCAGCCTTCAGGAGAGTAAATTTTTCCAACTAAATAGATGGAACAATAACATGATCAGTGTGGCTGTTTATTCAAATTCAACCAAGTTTTAAAAACTTGTAAAGTGAGGATGTGGGACATATTTCAGTACATATATAAAACTAAGTAAGATCAAATTCTGCATATAGAAATGGAAATGATCATTCTGAGGCTGTGTGGGTAAACTGGATTGCATACATAGCACCACTCGTAGCTACCATTTACTAAGGACTCGCCATGCTAGATGCTTCACAATCTCAACCAATCATTTAACAATTTTGCATGTGAGGGAAAAGGAGGTCAGAGGCTAGGACATGGAAGATTCGGAATTCAAGCTACACAATATCACCTTCTATAACATCTACATAGATCATAAATCAGCAAAGGACTAATTGGGGTGGTTTTTATTATATATTGGTGTTCAAATGGTATTCCACAGAAGCCCATTCCTAAAAAAGGCTTCAGCTACAAATGATTCACCTTCCTTACTTTCTTCAGATATATGTGAAATATGAAACATTATATTACATATATTCACAATTTAAAAGGGGGTAATTATGAAGCTTAAAAGATAATTAAGTTCATAAAAGTCAACATTCACATTATTGTTTTTAGTAGCCCCTACATTACATGATAAAAACACAGTCCTTATATATACAAATGAAAATATCATAAATACAAATTTCTCTAACATCCGTAGGCTAAAGAAAACAAGCAATAATGACATTAAAAACAACATAAGAAAAGATTTAATTTCTGATATGTTGGGGTTTTGTTAACTGGAGAAAGTTTTGTTTATTTGTTTAGTTTAAATAATAGAGACAAGGTTTCACTATGTTGTCCAGGCTGGTTTTGAGCTCCTGAGCTTAAGTGACCTCCTGCCTCAGCCTCCCAAAGTGCTAGGATTACAGGCGTGGGCCACCAAACCCGACCTGGAGAAAGATTTAATTATTTATAAATAGAGTTATGGTTAGAAACAGGACTTTAAGTATTATTTTCTGCATTTTTGTTATAATACTTAATATTGATTCTTATTCTCTCAGTGTATAGGCTTTATCTTAGAAATACATTAGAGCATTTCAAAAGCCTAACTAAACTTTTTCAATTTACAAATTAAAATACTGTGATGAATTTATAAATATCATTATAACTAGAAAGAGTTTTCTCTCCTTCTAGAAGTATCAGCTTCCTCCTAGAGTGGATCATAAGTATTTGTTTTTCTTTAGGAAAAAAGAAATTACCTAAAGATATGGGATTGTGAGGTGTATGCAACAGTCTTTCATTGTAGGCTTCTGACAACTTCTTTATTTGGTTGGACAAATATGAAAACATTTCCTGCAACAACAAAATGTCACATTTAAAACAAATCAAATATCTACTGCCAGATTTAATAAGACAAAAATCTGATTGGTATGAAGTCTACATTTTAAATTAACTCATCCATGTGCCTTAAGACCAATTCTCTCCTTTGCCACAATACAGTGAAATTCAAAGCTGCCACAACTATCAGAAGCCACAGGATTTCAGTAAAGGCAAAGAACCAGCACATTTTCTCCCTTCACTATTACATATCTATCACAAATCCATCTTCTTCTCAGAACTTCCAGACCTACCACTCTGGTCCTCGTAGCCATCAACCTCTTCCCTGGACACAGCAATAGATCCTAAATGATTTTTCTGCCTGTTCTCCACCCTTCTGTAATCTGTTCTACACTCAGAGACTAGAGAGGTCTTTCAAAAGCATACCAGTTCATGCTTCTCCCCTGATGACTTCCTCCAGTAACTATTAGAAAACCACACTCTTCATCTCTAAGGCCCCACATAATGTGACCCAGCCAATATACTCAACCTAGTGACTATCATTTCCCCTAGTCACTACACACCAGTCACATTAGCCTCCTTTCCAATCATTCTAGTGTTCAAACCTTTGTGCTTGCTTTCCCTGCATTTCCTAGATCATTCCCCAAGTGGTCCCTCTTGGCAAATGCTAAAGACACCTTCCTTTGTTAACTTTGCTATTAAAGTAGCTTTCCAACTCTGCCAATCTCCTTCCCAATCCCAGTCTCCTTCCAGCATATTACCTATTTTGGTTCCTTCACTATACTTGCCACAATCTGAAATTATCTCATGTATTTGCTTAAATGAATATTGCCTATTACTACCCATTACAAGGGAAAAACTCCTTGACCACAAGGACTTTGTCTTCTTCACCACCGTTGCCCCAACACCAAGAAAAATGTGCCAGACTTTAGTATGCAAGTTATTTAGGAAAAGGTAGTTTATAAATGTATTTCCTTTAAATCACACAACATTAAAGTGAACAATTCCCTTACTTCAATTAAAAGAATACAGCAACTCCCATAGTCCAAGCTTGAGCCCAGGAGTTCAACACCAGCCTGGGTAACATAACAAAAACAAAAACAAAAACAAAAACAAAAACAAAACAAAAAAAGGCAACTAAAACTAAAAATTGTCCCACTCTGAAAAATAAAATATATTCAATAGTAGAAAATATAATAAAAATGTATTTTACAAGTATCAAATGTCACATGTATATAAGTGGCAGTTTAACAGTTACAGGTAAATATGAAGTTGGCAACTATTTGACCTAAAATTTTACTTTCTTCTCCTCACAAGACCTTTAAAAAGTGTTGAAATCAGTATCTGCCCAACTACATCTGCAGCTAAACAAACCCATTTGCACTGAGCTCCTCTAATCACAGAAAAAACATATAAACTCTAAGGATACAACAAACAGCCAGGGGCTAACAGAGTACCCAAGCAGAGACAGCAAGAAATGACACTTCCCCAACCTCAAAGGCCAAGATACTCTCATCCCACACTGAGTCCCAGAGGAATTTTTTTCATGTCTGAAGCACACAGATGACTAACTCCATCTTTTGTTAGGTAAAGATTAAGAGGAAAATTCCTACTAGGTTTATGAATTATTAATGAGTCTACTTAAGACCACAAACATTTTCACTTCTGTCAACCCAGTACACATATTTTATATTCTCACCTAAAAATTTTTGAATAATCATTTTTAAATTTTAGGATACTTCATAAAATTAATTCTCAGAATGTTGGAATTACAAAAATCTTAGATCACTAAAATAAATTCATTCCTTTTATATTCAAAAAGTTAACATCTACTATGGCCATACCTAATGAAGCTATTAATAAATGTTACTGCTACATGTGATAAGCCTTTCTCTTTCGTTATTTAAAGTATAGAGAAATATTTAAGGAGACAAATGTCATTATCATTTCCAGAAACAAAAAAAAAGCATCTTTTCTTAGACATATAAAAATATCCTGGGCCAAGCATGGTGGCTCACGCCTGTAATCCCAGCATTTTTGGGAGGCTGAGGCAGGTGGATCACCTGAGGTCAGGAGTTCGAGACCAGCCTGGCCAACATGGTGAAACCCCTTATCTACTGAAAATACAAAATTAGCCAGGCATGGTGGTGTGAGCCTGTAATCCCAGCTACTCAGAGGCTGAGGCATGAGATTCACTTGAGCCTGGGAGGCAGAGGTTGCAGTGAGCCAAGATTGTGCCAGTTTCACCACGCTGGTCAGGCTGGTCTCAAACTCCTGACCTCAGGTGATCCACCCGCCTCGGCCTCCCAAAGTGCTGGGATTACACCTGGCCCTGGTCCCTCTTTCTTAACCCAATATTCCCATACTACGAAAGGTGAAACAATAAGATAATCAAATGGAACAAATCAACAGTTTTTCCAGCAATTAGAACAACTCATAATTTTTTAGTAACACACCAGGGTTAATAAAGAGGAGGATTCCTGGGTTTCATCCATATATTTTCATCTCCTATAAAGTAATTAGGTTACTAATTTAAATGCTCTGTTTGTTTTTAAAGCAGTCACATATTTTCATTTAGATATTAAATGCTGATTTTTCTTCACTTATATAATTCACCAAAGTCTTAACTGGCCTCTGCCTTTCCAATTTACTCTGAAATTCATCAACCTCCCATAGGCAGAAACAAATCTCACAGGCAGGAAATGCCTTTTACAGAGCCCTACCTCCTACAAACCGCCTAACAACAACATAACCCACATCCATCCTTCATTTATCCTCAAGCATATATTCATGAAGCAAAATTTTCTCCAGTTTACATATTTCAGTGGTGAAGACAATTTAAAATATTATTCTATCTACTTTGGCAGCCACATTAAATGCCAATGTGGTCACATTTGTGAATAAGCTGAACCTGATGAGTACTTAATTTGTACTCAGGTTAGCTATTTCTGAAAAAAGAGAAAATGTTTCCTAAATAACACCCCTGGAGGGTGCTTTTAAACTTACTGATGCATACATGGCTATTAAAAAGTGAATTTGCCCAATGTTCAACTTCTAATACTTTAACAAATTAGTTTTTACCAGTTCTATCAATCACTTGCTAATGCCACTAGAATTCCTTTTGAACTGTAGGTAATATTAGGATAGTATTTTTAGACTACGAGGATAACACTAAAGTAATTAAATCTCGTATCACTAGTACGGGAGTAATTAGATTTAAAAAAATTTGAAGCAAGTTCACATCCATCAACAAATATTTACAATATGTTTACTCTGTGTAAAGGGTTATAAGTAAACCAATAAGCAAATATGTTTTAAATATCTTAAAGCACAATAGGCTGAATTCTATAATATTCCACATGTTAAGCTCCTAAATGCTCTCCTATTAATATTACTACATTTTAAAAATATCGTTTAGGAGACTATACCACTATCCTACACTAATACTTAGCTAAGCAGTTTTTTACCTGATATATTAAAGCTACTACCGAACCTGTACTATTTTTTGCTACAGTTAAATCTATAACTGGCATTTATTATAAAATACTTCTGTAAAGAAAGAAATTTATAAGCAACCCAAGCAAATGTATATAGAAAGATCTTACTTAAAAGAAATGAAATATTATTGATTTTCCATGTTCTCTGTGCTGTATTTAACTTAATTTTAAGAGACTTTTCACTAGAGATAAACTGAACTGTATACCTGAATGCTAATGTCAGCTATATTTCTAGAATAAAAATACAAAACTTTACACCACAGTTCAAGATGTTAATGGAAGAGAAGTTGAATTATATTAAGCATTATCTTTCATATGGCCTTTTGCAAATTGATTTGTAGTCATGAAATCCGACATCTAGCCCGTCTCTCCCAGAATCCAAAGATGTGCATAATTCACTAAATTTTATGTGAAACGGTCTTATGTAATCACACCTTTGGAAACATACTGTTTCATGTTATAGGATAAAATAAAAATGGAACCTCACATATTATTACAATATGTTTCAGAAGGCAGGTAATAAACCAAAAGAAACATACCCAGTAGTCTACTATTTCAAAGATAACATGAATGGATGGATGGATGACCGAGAGTAGGTAAATATTGAAGCAGACAGATGTCCATATTGGAGGAAAACAGTACTAAATATGACATGCTGCTGTCTATGACTGTGGCCACCTAAAAGGATCCAGGAGCAAGTGGCGAATCTTGCCTCAGAGGCTACACCCATCTGCATTCAAGTTGTTAAGGCCCCATATGTAGGCTTGAAATCAGATGCTTCTGCAGAGATTCAACTACTCCACTTACAGGGCTGCAAATCTAGTAGTGTTTTCAAACTTAGCTCTGCTATAAGGACACTGAAGTGTATGATGTTCTTTTAAAACTTAGTTTGTCCCCCAGTTCTTAGCTCACAAATTCCAGCCACTGAGCAGCCATAGTGCTGTTATTCTTCTTATCCAATTCAGCAGATATTTGCAACAATAAATGATTACCTGCCTTCCCTGTTCAGCAAAGCACTTTTCTAAAAGGAAAGCTAAACAGAATAATGATCTTCTCCAGAAGCAAAACAGAAGTGAGGATAAACTTCTAAGACCATAGACTTTCTTTCTGCATAGACAAACTAAAAGATACAGTCTTACATTTTCACCTCTTTTTTAAAAGGGGTTAAATTCATGGTTATTTCTCCCCTCAATGAAGCAAATGTGTTGATCAGGAAGGGGATAAGGGCAAAGAGGCTCAATTCACACACAGAGCTCCACTCTCTCTGATCCTTTCACCCTTCAAAAAAGAAAGCTTAAGAAGGAATGGCTTCAAGCTGAGTTCTTGTCTGCCACTACTGTGAAAAAGATAAAGCCTTTTCTGAAGAGATAGAGCTAGATGAAATAACCTCTAAAAATATCATTGTGGTGAATAAGGGCATAGAATGAAAAAAATTCTAAGTTTTCTTCTAACATTCCTTTTTTTAGTACACAATAACACCAATAATATAAAAAGGAGCTCTCAGTGATGGTATATAAATAGCTCTGGCTGGAGCAAAATAGCTTTGCCTCAGCTTCTCCAGAGCTGAACCAATAAACTATCACAATTAAATTTTCACAGTTCAAAAGCAAGTCCATTTAAACAAAAGAGGCCCTTATTTCTGCAACAAATCCAATAAAAAAACAATATTTATGCTACATATATGCAATTATGGTTTATGGAGGACATCCACATTTTTCAACAGAGAAACCTGCCTACTAAATGAAGTTGTTAAAAAAGCAAACTTTAACTTACAGTGACAGAGTTCTCAAATGGGCATCGTAATACTTTGAAAATTACTCCTAGAGATATTCTCTCTTATAAATTCTATACAGAGAATTTTAAATAAAACCAATTAGTACATTAGAGAGCTTTTGGGGTTTTACATACCTCCACTAGAGTGGGAGGGTCACAAGATCATCATCTTTATGGCTCAAATGCCTAGCACAGGGCCAGTGATCACTCCCTCAACAACGGATGAGTGACTGGAAGCAGTGACAAGAAAGTGGTAAGACGGAAAGCGCACAGACTTTAGCATCACACAGACCTGGGTTTCAATGGCAATTCTGGTACTTATAAGTGGTACTTGGGCGAGTACTTAACTCCTCTGGGCCTCAATTTTATCTGCAAAATGGGGATAATTCCTACCTCATACACTTGCTCTGGGTATTACAGGAAATAATAAGTACAATGAATCTAGCACAGTTCCTGGCATACAGCAGAGACATTCATAAAAATGTTAGCTCCCCACCCACCTATTTTTCCCCTAGCCTAAAAGAGTTCTCAGGATTAAAAAAAACTAAAGTTAGCTAGCAGGACTCCTACAGACACATGATAATACACTGTAGCTATAATCCTGTTCTTGTCCTGTTCCTGTTTATTCTACTCTACTCTATATATCTAGATAAAAGGAAAAGAACAAAGTTCTGAATGTTACAAAGAGAGTTACCTCCTGACATCTGAGATGAAGGCATCCAATTCATGAATACTACTCCAACATAAAATTTCTCCCATAAAGTGTTTACCCAGTGATAATAAAGAACAAAGTCCCAATGAAACTGAGCTGCCTGCTGGATTCATTTACTAGCTGAGCTACATATTCCTGCAGGTCATTTCCAAAGGAGATGGATTTTCACTCATGCTAAGCAAAATGTACACATGCATGGGCCTTTGGAATCAATCATCTACAAGTAGTCAAAAATCTTAAAGTCAAAATCCTAAATGTCACAAGACAGAACATCAAGACATAACAGAAATTCCAAAAAGATGACAAAATCCCTAAAATCAACAATTCCAAAATCTTAAGGCTAGAAAAGTGCTTCTGCTAGGCAGGAAGTACAATGCCTGTTATATACAACAGGTAATCTCCATTCCTTTTCACAAGTTTTTGACTATATCCATATAGTTGAATATTTAGAGAAATGTTTCTATAAGAACATAGAAATATACAGTAGATTATTCCCTTAAAAAAAAAAGGCTTGGTGCAGTAGCTTATGCCTGTATCCCAGCACTCTGGGAGGCTGAGGCAAGAGGATTGCTTGAGCTCAGGAGTTCGAGACCAAACTGGGCAACATGGCAAAACCCTGTCTCTACAAAAAGTAAAAAAAAATAAAAATTTAGACTGGCATGGCGGCATGCACCTGTGGACACCAGTTACTCAGGAGGCTGAGGTGGGAGGATCACCTGAACCCAGAGAGGTCAAGGCTGCAGTGAGCCATGATCATGACACTACACTCCAGCCTGGGTGACAGAATGAGACCCCATCTCAAAAAAAAAAAAAAAAAAAAAAAAAAAGTGCATAGAATTCACAATGGAAATCGGTATCAAAATATTATGTGCAACTGGACACAGAGGTACATGCCTATAGTCTTAGCTACTTGGGAGGCTGAGGTGGGAGGACTGCTTGAGCTCAGGAGTTCAAGCCCAGCCTGAGCAGCATAGCAAGACCCCATATCTTTAAAAATGTGTGTGTGTGTGTGTGTGTGTGTGTGTGTGTATAAAATTTGCTTTCTGACTAATTTTCCAGAAAGACACTTATTCTATATAAAATATGAGATGATTATACAACATTTGATCCAGGTGTTCTTAAATACCCTGTGTTCATACATTCAACAAACATATGATGAGCATCTACTATATATCAAGTAAGGGATGCTAAGAATAGAGGGATGGATGGCAAATTCCAAGGGGGCATTATTCTACCAAAGTACTCATAATTAAGGACCAAGTTTCATTTCAGACACATAATAGTAATTTTTTAGAAGAGTACACTCAAACTCTCAGTTTAATTTGCTAATTAAATAAGTTTAACTACAAAATTACTCAAGACTTACATTAGTTTATTGTAGTAAATATGGCATATTATTATTTTTATTTATGGTTTCGAAGTCAAGAACAAAAGCAAGAAATACTAAATAACATGCTTATTTGGCATTATAATGGCAGCATATAGAAATCTTAAAAGTGTCACCCCTCAGCAAATGCAAAAGAACTGAAATCATAACAGTCTCTCAGACCACAACACAACTAAATTATAACTCAAGGTTAAGAAACTCACTCAAAACCACACAACTGAAACTGAACAACCTGTTCCTGAATGACTCCTGGGTAAATAACGAAATTAAGGCAGAAATAAAGAAGTTCTTTGAAACTAATGAGAACAAAGAGATAACATACTGGAATCTCTGGGATACAGCTAAAGCAGTGTTAAAAGGGAAATTTATAGCACTAAATGCTCACATCAAAAAGCCAGAAAGATCCCAAATTGACATTCTAACATCAACTAAAAGAAGTAGACAACCAAGAGCAAACAAATCCCAAAGCTAGCAGAAGACAAGAAACAACCAAGATCACAGTGGAACTGAAGGAGACAGAGACACGAAAAACCGTTAAAAAAAAAAAAAAGTCAACGAATCCAGGAGTGGGTTTTTTTAAAAAATTAATAAAAAATAGGTAGATTGTTAGCTAGACTAATAAGAAAAGAGAGAAGAATCAAATAGACACAACAAAAATGATAAACGGGGTATCACCACTGACCCACAGAAATACAAACAACTATCAGAGAATACTATAAACACCACTATGAAAATAAACTAGAAAATGTAGAAGAAATGGATAAATTCCTGCGTATATACACCCTCCCAAGACTGAACCAGGAAGAAGTTGAGTCCCTGAATAGACCAATAACAAGTTCTGAAATTGAGGCAGTAATTAATAGCCTACCAACCAAAAAAAGCCCAGGACCAGACAGATTTACAGCTGAATTCTACCAGAGGTACAAAGAGAAGCTTCTGAAACTATTCCAAACAATTGAAAAGGAGGGACTCCTCCTTAACTCATTTTATGAGGCCAGCATCATCCTGATATCAAAACCTGGCAGAAATTTTAAAAAAAAAACTTCAGGCCAATATCCCTGATGAATATCGACGCAAAAATCCTGAATAAATTCCTGGCAAACCAGAAGCACATCCAGCAGCACATCAAAAAGCTTATCCACCATGACTCAGTAGGCTTCAACCCCAGGATGCAAGGCTGGTTCAACACACGCAAATCAATAAATGTAATTCATCAGATAAAGAGAACTAAAGACAAAAACCACATGATTATCTCAATAGATGCAGAAAATACCTTTGGTAAAATTCAACATTCCTTCATGTTAAAAACTCTCAATAAATTAGGTATTGAAGGAACATATCTCAAAATAATAATAGCCATTTATGACAAACCCACAGCCAATATCATACTGAATGGGCAAAAGCTGGAAGCATTCCCCTTGAAAACCAGCTCAAGACAAGGATGCCCTCTCTCACCACTCTTATTCAACATACCATTGGAAGTTCTGGCCAGGCCAATCAGGCAAGAGAAAGAAATAAAGGGTATTCAAATGGGAAGAGAGGAAGTCAAACTGTCTCTGGTTGCAGATGACATGATACTGTAGCTAGAAAACCCCATTGTCTCAGCCCAAAAGTTTCTTAAGCTGATAAGCAACTTCAGCAAAGTCTCAGAATATAAAATCAATGTGCAAAAATCACAAGCATTCCTATACAACAACAAACAAGCAGAGAGCCAAATCATTCATGATTTGGCTCTCACAATTCACATTCACAATTACTGCAAAGAAAATAAAATACCTAGAAATACAGCTAACTAGGGAAGTGAAGGAACTCTTCAAGGGAAACTACAAACCACTGCTCAAGGAAATTAGAGAGGACACAAACAAATGTAAAAACATTCCATATTATGGATAGGAAGAACCACTATCATGAAAATGGCCACACTGCCCAAAGAAATTTATAGAGTCAATGTTATTTTCATCAAACTACCGTTGACATTCTTCATAGAATTAGAAAAAAACTATTTAAAAATTCACATGGAACCAAAAAAGAGTCTGTATAGCCAAGACAATCCTAAGCAAAAAGAAAAAAGCTGGAGACATCATGCTACCCAACTTCAAACTATACTACAGGGCTACAGTAACCAAAACAGCATGGTACTGGTACAAAAACAGACACATAGGCCAACGAAACAGAATAGATAACTCAGAAATAAGACCACACATCTACAACCATCTGATCTTTGGCAAACCTGACAAAAACAAGCAACGGGGAAAGGATTCTCTATTTAATAAATGGTGCTGGGAAAACTGGCTAGCCATATGCAGAAACTTGAAACTGAACCCCTTCCTTACACCTTAGACAAAAATTAACTCAAGATGGATTAAAGACTTAAATGTAAACCCCCAAATTATAAAAACCCTAGAAGAAAATCTAGGCAATACCATACAGGACACTGGCACAGGCAAAGATTTCATGATGAAAATGTCAAAAGCAATTGCAACAAAAGCAAACATTAACAAATGTGATCTAATTAAACTAAAGAGCTCCTGCACAGCAAAAGAAACTATCATCAGAGTGAACTGACAACCTGCAGAATGGGAAAAAATTTTTGCAACTTACCCTTCTGACAAAGGTCTAATATCCAGTCTACAATGAACGTAAACAAATTTACAAGAAAAAAAATCAAACAACCCCATAAAAAAGTGGGCAAAGGACACGAACAGCCACTTCTCAAAAGAAGACATCCATACAACCAACAAACATATGAAGAAAAGCTCAACATCACTGATCATGAGAGAAATGCAAATCAAAACCACAATGAGATACCATCTCATGCCAGTCATAATGGTGATTATTAAAAAGTCAAGAAACAACAGATGCTGGCAAGGTTGCAGAGAAATAGGAACACTTTTACACTGTTGGTGGAAATGTAAATTAGTTCAACCATTTTGGAAAACAGTGTGGGGATTCCTCAAGATCTAGAACCAGAAATGCCATTCGACCCAGCAATCCCATTACTGGATATATATCCAAAGGAATATAAATTATTCTATTATAAAGATACATGCACATGTATGTTCAATGCAGCACTATTCACAACAGCAAAGACATGGAATCAACCCAAACACTCATCAATGATAGACTGGATAAAGAAAATGTGGCACATCTACACCATGGAATACTATGCAGCCTTAAAAAGAAATGACATCATGTCCTTTGCACGGACATGGATGGAGCTGGAAGACTATCCTCAGCAAACTAAAGCAGGAACAGAAAACCAAATACCGCATCGTCTCACTCTAAGTGGGAGCTGAACAATGAGAACGCACAAACACAGGGAGGGGAACACCACACAATGGGGCCTGTCAGAGGGGTGCAGGGGGAGGGAGAGCATCAGAAAAAATAGCTAATGCGTGCTGGGCTTAATACTTAGGTGATGGGTTGACAGGTGCAGCAAACCACCATGGCACACGTTTACCTATGTAACAAACCTGCACATCCTGTACATGTACCCCAGAACCTAAAATAATATTTTTTTAGTCTTAAAAGTTACTATCTATATAATAAAGTATACTTTTAAAATGACTTATAATTTTGTATAATGGTCTTATTGTTAGTTATAATATATTCCATTTATTTAGTTTAAAAATAAACTTAGGCTCATGCCTGTAATCCCAACACTTTGGGAGGCCAAGGCAGGAGAATGGCTTGAGTCCAGGAGTTCAAGACCAGCCTAGGCAACATAGCAAGACCCTATCTCTATTTAAAAATAAAATTAAATAAATAAATAAAATAAATTTATGATTTTAGCCAAATCTGAGGAGTGCTCAATATAAAACAAAAAGCAGCTAAGAAAAAAGAAAAAAAAATCTAAGAAAAAAGACTACAAAAGATCAGAAATAAACACAGATAACTAATGTTATATTTCGAAGTTTTGATATTTGGGATATTTATGCATTTCATCTCAAATGCCATAAAATATTATCTACCTATGTATAAGTGTTAAAATGCTATGACATTGTATGTTTCCTCTCCAAGTTTCTGTTATATATACAAGTGACCTATGTGCCCCAAAACAAGGGCTATCAAACATGAATCTGCACCAAAATTCATCAGGAAAATTTTGTTAAAAATGCAGTTGTCTAAGCCCTCCTTCTGATCTAATGAATCTGAATCTACCCTAAAGGAAAGCTAATTTTATAAAGTGACTCAAAACATAAACTCTCAAATAACTGCACAGTACTTTGCTTTCTAGACTCAGCTTAAAACACCCTTTCATAGTTCCACAGTTGTACTAGCCATCAGTATTACCTTAGGACCACACCACGAATGTCAATGAATAAATGCACTGTCTTTTCTCCAGGGAGATTTTACCTGACCCTTCCAGATCTGGGGTAGGTGTCCCAGCTGGGTTTGGTAATAGATGCTCTCACACACTCTTGCGTTCCTTTCATAATTCTCATCAGATTTGTAACTATTTAATATCTAGATTTCCTCCAAAAACTATAATTTCCATGGAGGTAAAAACTAAGTCAGTCTTGTTTGTGGATTTAGCTTTAGGGCCTACACATAAATATTTGTTTGAATGAATAAATGAATGAGCAGGGGCCAATACTATTTTTAAAGGAGTTTGAACTTTGTCTTGTAGGCAACCAGAACCCAAAGCAAAACAACTTGAAGAAAGTTGTGTCTTTTTTTTTTTTTTTTTTTTTGAGATGGAGTCTCACTCTGTCACCAGGCTGGAGTGCAGTGGTGCAATCTCAGCTCACTGCAACTTCCGCCTCCTGGGTTCAAGTGATTCTCTGCCTCAGCCTCCCAAGTAGCTGGGACTACAGGTGTGTGCCACCACACCCAGCTACTTTTTGTATTTTTAGTAAAGACAGGGTTTCACCATCTTGGCCAGGATGGTCTCAATCTCTTGACCTCGTGATCTGCCCACCTTGGCCTCTGAAAGTTGTGTCTTTAGAATATTAACCTGGCACTGCTCTACAATGTGACAAATTAGAGTAGACCAAGGTGGGGGAACAGGAGAAGTGTGAATAAATTACTGTAACCATGAGGTGTGATGTGGTAAGGACTTAAATTAGGGAGTGATAGCAGTGGAAATGGAAAGAAATGAATGTTGGAAACATTGTGAAGGACTTAATGATATAAGGGCTTAAGGGTATAAAAGGAATCAAAAGTATCAGCATTAGAAAGTTTAAAACAGAGATGGGAATTTACTGCTTCATCTCACAGCCCAGTCCACAAGCAGGCATGGCTGGATAGAGTCTCAAATGACTTAATTCTGTTTTTCTTCTTATAGTCCCTAGTGTTGAGAAGTCTCTCTTGGCATGGCTAGAAATACGGCAGCTGACAGTTGTAAGATTATATCCTTACAGCTTACTATCTGCAAAGCAAGAGGTCCTGTCTCTAAAGGATCAATCAAATCTACTGGAAGGACATTATCTCCACATGCCTGTGAACCAGGCTAGCCAGATCATCTGCCCACCATATGAAAGAGGAGGGACACTGTAATTGATAGACTCAGCAGGACCACCTGGAGTCAGGGAGGAGCAGTTCTCCAATGACAGTGATTCTGCACAAGCAAACAACATATATCCTCTCTAAAATATAACTGAGTTTTTTTGGCCAGAGTAGCTAGATTTATTCACTGTTTTTGTCTCCTTTAGATATCAGTAGACCCATATCTTGAGATTTACAGCCATATAAATCCACCAGGCTAGGTTATCTTCTATATTTAAAAAGGCAAAGTAGAATTTAGAAGTTAAGACAGAGAATAGGAGACCCAATTGCCTAGATTTCGGTCCATATTCCACAATTCACCTCATACATGTTACTTCTCGATTTCCTATGAAAATGAGGATAACAATACCTCATAAGAATATTTTAAGGATTAAATGTATACATAAAAATGTACTTAGAAGAGTGCCTTCCACATAGTAAGTGCTCAGTATTACGTGTAATTATTTCATATGTATATAAATGTATAAGGATGTATATGGTATTTGTATAAACACAAACTTTGCATGGAAAGACTATGTTAAGAATGATTTTTACATGAAACCTTTCTAACCAATGGTCAAATCTTAATGCTCACCCTACTTGACCTATCAGTGCCATCAGCTATGCTAATCACTCCCTCCTCCTTAATACACAGTTGGTCCTCCATATCCATGAGTTCTGCCTCCACAGCTTCAACCAAGTGTGGATTGAAAATATTTGAAAAAAAAAAAAAATTGCATCTGTGCTGAATATGCACAGAGTTCTTCTCTTGACATTATTTCCTAAACAATACAGTATAACAACTACTTATGTAACATTTATATTGTATTCAGTATTATAAGTAATCTAGAGTTGATTTAAGGAATACAGGAGGATGTGCATAATTTATATGACAATACTATGTCAGTTTATATACGGGTCTTGAGCATCTAAAGATTTTGGTATCTGAGTGATACCAAGGGATGACTTAGGACACCATTCTTGGTCTTCCTCCTCACTGAATGTTCCTTCTAAGTCTCCTTTGCTTGTTGCTTTTCTCAGACCTCTTAATGCTGTAGTGCCCAGAGCTCAGTCCTTATACCTCTTTTCTGTTTACACTCACTGTCTTGCAATCTCATCTAGTCTCTTGGCCAATTAACTCCCAGATTTTTATTTCCAGCCCAGTTCTCTCTTAATCCTAAACTTGTATATCCTACTCTCTACTTTGCAACTCTATCTTAAGGTCAATTCAAATTCAATTTTGTCCAAAACTGAACTCCTAGTCTTCCCCCAAAACCTACAGCTTCCCCATCATAGCTAATGGCTGTTCCATCCTTCCAATTGCTCAGGTCAAACCTGACTCTAACCACTTCTTATTACCTCCACTGCCACCATCTAGCTCCCAGCCAATATCACTTCTTAACCACTATAGAAGGCTCCTAACAGGTATCCATCCAGCTTCTGCCCTTGCCCCCCAATCTATTATCAATGTGAGCATTCAAAGCCTGTCAGATCATTCTACTCAATTCAAACCTCCAGTGGCTCCCTATTTCACTCAGAATATGAGGCACGGACCTTACTGTGGCCTAGAAGGCCCCACGTGATCAGCCCCACCCTCATTACCACCCTGACCTCAACTCCCACAGTTCTCCTTGCTCTTTTTGCTCCAGCCACACTGGCCTCCTTGCTGCTTCTCAAATACCCAAGGTCCACATCTGGCCTAGAGTCCTGATACTGGCTTTCTGCCTGAAACGCACTTCACCATCATATGTGTATATTCCCTCAAACTTCAAGTTCACTCAAATGTCACGGTATTGGGCTGGGCACGGAGGCTCATGCCTGTAATCCCAACACCCTGGGAGGCCAAGGTGGGGGGATCACATGAGGTCAGGAGTTCAAGACCAGCCTGGCCAACATGGCAAAACCCCGTCTCTACTAAAAATACAAAAAATAGCCAGGCATGGTGATGTGTGCCTGTAATCCCAGCTACTCAGGAGGCTGAGGCAGGAGAATAACTTGAGCCCGGGAGGCAGAGGTTGCAGTGAGGCAAGATCACGCCACTGCACTGCAGCCTGGGTGACAGAACGAGACTCCATCTCAAAAAAAAAAAGTCACCATCTCAATGAGGCCTGCCCTAATCACTATATTTAAAAATCAGTTCCCACCACCACCTCATCATCCCAAATTCTCCTTATTCTTGCTTTTGTTCATAGCACTTTTCACCTTCAAGCAAACTTTGTAATTTCTATATTATGTTGCCTGTTTATTGCTGGTTTCCCCCATAGGCAATGTGTGCTCCTCAAGAGCAAGTATCTTTATCTACTGTATTGACTGCTATATCTATATATATCTATATGCCTGACACATGACATGTGGTCAATAAATACACAGTAAATGTTTACTCGAATCTTATCCCACATTCAACTTTACCTTTGCATTTCCGTACTTTAGACTACGCTATTTTAAGTGGGCTTATTCAGATGCAGGGAGGGAAGCCAAGACAGCTTGATAAGGGTAAAAATGGGTATGAGGTAACATGAAACTGAAGAGACCATTGCGTTAAAAAGAAAAACTCAAATTTACAAAATGTCTAATTTATATTACCAATATGCCTTATACTGGATTACTAAATTACAGGCCAGTTCCCATGATTATTATGTCCAAAGTCCAGGAAGTAACTCTTTTAAGAAATATTCTAGAGTCTTTTAAGACTAAAAGTGGCCTGAGATATCAATTGTGTCTTTCACAAATGGGGAAATAAAATCTTTAAAACTTTTCCAGGACGAAACGACTAGTTATAGGAGAGCTAAGAACCACTGAAACAACTAAACTCTCATAGAAGCAGATGACAAGTTTTCCTCATCTATAGAGAGTTGTTATCTGACATATGGATCTGTTTTCTTGAAAGATTTGCCACAGTCTTCTCTTGGCTACAACAATCTACGACCATGAATGATTACAATTTGGAGTTTATAAAACCAGAGTTTTATTCTTATTGTATAAAAATTCATTGTCAGACTTACTGAGGTACAATTTGCTCACATAGTAAAATTCGGGATGTCTGTTTTTTAGGTGCCCACTTCTATGAATTTTGACAAATATATACAGTCATGAAACCACTACCACTATCAAGACATGAAACGTTTCATCACCCTAAAAAGTTCCCTCCCCAATCCCTACCCTTTAGCAACCATTAATCTTTCTTCTTTCCTTATATTTTTTACCTTTTCCAGGATGGCATATAAATGAAACTGTACAATATGTAGCCTTTTGAGTCTGACTTCTTTCATTTAGCATAATGCATTTGAGAGTCATTATCTTGTTGCATATTTCGGTACATTAGCCATTCTAAAAGGTGTGTAGTGGTATTTCATTGTGGTTTTAAATTTGCATTTCCCTAATTACTAATGACATTGAGCATCTTTTCCTATATCACATAAATCTTAAGAAATGTCCTCACAATTAAACAATTACTATCCCATGGAATGAATTAGTAGGGGAAGGAAGACTGGGGTAAAACAGAGCACAAGATTTTTAAACTTGTTATGTATTCATCCTAAGGCTATGAGATCATCTATGAGATAATACATATGAAAATGCTTTAGAATATATAAAGTACTATTATAAATATAAGGGACTACAATTGTTGTTAAGTGCTAGAAAGTTATCAGATTTAAAAACTGCACCAGAGGACTCACTCTCTCCCAGATAGAAGATGAATAAAACACTGCCTGCCCTAGCTATACAAGCTCTGTCTTTTGGAGGTGTCCTGAATTAAGCTAGTTGTGTTGGAGATAAAGTCATGTTTTCAAATATAAATGTAACTTCTTTTCATAACCAATATAACCAATGAGTTCAGCGTTCAATAATGACAAGAAATAGGCCAGGCGTGGTGGGTAACGTCTGTAATCCCAGCACTTTGGGAGGCTGAGGCGGGTGGATCACGAGGTCAGGAGTTGGAGATCAGCCTAGCCAACATAGTGAAACCCCGTCTCTACTAAAAATACAAAAAATTAGTCGGGTGTGGTGGCGGGCGCTTGTAATCCCAGCTACTCGGGAGGCTGAGGCAGAAGAATGGTTTGAACCTGGGAGGCGGAGGTTGCAGTGAGCCAAGATCGTGCCATTGCACTCCAACCCAAGACTCCGCTCAAAAAAAAAAAAAAAAAAAAGATAGAGCTAACTTCTGACCTGATTCTTCCTCTTGTGACTGACATCTCACTCCTAAACAATTTTCAAGTTTCCAAAAACTAAAAAGATGACTTATCCATTTGTCTTTTAAGAGCTTCTACCTTTAAGTACCTTTAAGTGATAAATGAATTGAATTTTATTGAATAAGAGTCCCTAATGCAGGAGTTTCTAAAAAGTAAATAAATAAAAGCAAAATCACCTAACCCAGATTCCTCGTAATATCTGGATAGACAGGCTGACAAAAAGTAATAGGAAACCACCTATGGTGGTTCCAGATCTGAATAAATACTATCGGACCATACTAGATGTCTCCCTCCCAGTGCAAGAAACCAACAGGCAGAAAACACCAATGATTTGGAGCACAGTTCTAGTCAAGAATGTTATTCGACACCTAAAGGGAAAGCTTACCTTTCTTTCTTTTAGTAGCTTCTTATAGCCATTTGATCCAAGTGACAATAAAGTAATAAGGACATCTAAAGAAGGTGAAGCTGAAGCTCTTCCTGAAATAAGAAGGATAAGTTACATTAAGACTGTGGTGGGGGGGTAGCTTTGGAAATTAAGATTTACTACAATAGCCTATGTACAAATGGATTTTTGTTTGTTAGCTACTTTTTCTGAAAAGCAACTTATTTATTTACCTGGATACATCTTGCTGATTTCCTGAATGAATGAATCATTAAAGCCAGCAATTATAGCACCACCTACTGGAACCATAAAATTTTTGTCCAAGCTCTGAACAAAAGCATCTATTCTACCAACTCGAGCCCCCTGGAATCAATATGATATTACATATTAGTTGCTAGGAAAACAGACAACTGCTATTAACAAACAAATACCACAACAAAAAATTATAACTATTTGAGTTAATTAATATATTAGCCTGATTTAACCATTTTACAATATATACATGCATCAAAACATCAAATTGTACACTGTAAATATATACAATTTTTGTCAACTCTACCTTAGAATAAAAATAAACACCATTAAAACAATGCATGGAAAAAACAATTGAAAAATTTTATTTTTATTTTCTTTGTAATAGTGCCAAGAAAATGTTTTTAAGTATTAAACCAAAATTTTTAATGGTGCTCCTTATATGTGCAACTTTAAGTTTACAACCTGCTTTCACACATAAATCATTTAATCTTCATAACAACTCTGTGAGGCAAGCACGGTTTCAGTATCAGCTCAGGTGGGAACTTTAATGAAACAAAGCTTTACACCTTAAAATTTGATAAGAAAGAATGGATTCATCCCATGCCTCTCATCTGTGCTCCTTTTTTTGACAACAAATGTCTACAATGGGTCCTATAACTATTAAGTGGTTTTAAACATCCTCTGTGAGTTCGAGGGTGGCCACCATAACCTAATGGACTATAGCCATCCGAGTTGCCAAACAGTTAATTATACATGTGCCTCTCTTTAATGCTTGGACAATCTACTACCTGTATGACCATTTTAAGCACTCAGATAAAAAACAAATGCAAAGTTTTACTTTTAACATCACTTAATGGAAGTTTTATTTGTATACTCTTGGCAATTCTAGAAGCAATGTTTCTACATAACTCATGCTCCCTAATATTATAAACTTAGATTTCATTCCACTGCAAATGAACTTCCAGTGAAAATCTAATATTCCGGTGAAAAATTGAATACTTACCTACTAGAAATGTAAAACTAAGTTCGGTCCTCATCCAACTTTCTGTCTAATGTGCTTCAATTTTCTCCTCTTAAAAATAGAGATACTGTCTAAATTACAACTAACATAGTCTTTTTCTTTATCTGTAGCCACAGATTTTCAATCTGTATTCACAATCTGTATTCCTATTAATATTATAACCATATTTGACCTTCATTTTCACACCTTGCTATCTGAGGGAGAACAGAAGGAGCAGATAGCTGGCCTAATCTCAGAGTCCAGATCCAGGCAACAGGTGGAAGCAGCCGAAGCAGGGAAGAGGAGCAGCTGCTCTGGAGGCCATTATACAACTGTTCAAATCTTAACCTTCCTCTTCCTCTTCTTTCTAATTTCCTAATAAACCATGATCAGAGAAAATCTCACCATATCACAGGAAAATAGAGAGATGCATATAAGACTAACAGAATAAAAAAAACTGGAAAACATGCGAAGTAGCAGCATATAAAGATAAGTGGACAGTCAGAGTTGCCTTTGTATTAACATTTTAGTACTGTCCAAGGCCTCCTGAGAGAAACAGGAACCTAAACTGGAAGCAGAAGTACTAGAGGAATCAATGCACCAGACTTTGCTAGAACCCTTCCATCACTAAAACACAGAAAGCATTTAAAAGGCAGCACATTCTGTGGCAAGAAAACAAACAGGCCAGACCCAATCTCAGAAATGGTACAAGACCCCCTTTTTCAGCTACATCTAAGTCATCAGTATATGCTCTAAAATCCACTCTCAAAATACATCTGAATAAAAGCATTTATTACCACCTTCACAACTACCACCCTGGCCAAAGCCACCAAAAAATCTCATATGGGTTGCTGCAACAGCCTTCCACTCTTGCCTCCCTACAGTCTATTTCCCACATAGCATGTCACTCTTTCCTGCTTGAAATCCTTCCATGGCCAATGATCATACCAAAAACAAAATCCCAAACCCTTAACACACCTCAAAGCTCTACAACCACTGTTCACCTTGTTCATTATGGTTCAGCCATACTGGCCTCCTTGCTATTTCTCACATATTCCAAGCACGCTCCTGCCTCAGAGTCTTGGCTGTTAGCTTCTGACTGGAATCTCTCTCTCTAGAGAGCTGCAAAGCTTCCTCCTGCATCATTCAGAGCTCCACTCACATGTACTTCTTGAAGAGTGCTTCCTAGATCACTCCATCTAATGATATCCATCCTCCCCAAATACCAGAGCATTTATCCAAGACTTGTCATACTCAAGGTTTACTCTCTGCTTTCGCACAAAAAATAGAATGCTCTATGAGGGTTAAAGATTTTGTTGGATTCACTATTGCATCTCCAGTTCCTACCCTGGTGCCTGGTACACAAGCAGGAACCCAGAAAGTATTTGTTGAATGAAGTGACAATTGGGTTTGTGAATAAACAGTAGTAATACCTACTTCTCTCAAATTCTGAACAGGCAAAGTTGCTGCTTCCCACACTTTTGGAACTTTACAATCCATTGTGACTCAAAATAATCAGTCTTATATGCATATTTTTGTGACTCTACTATATCCCTCTCCATTAATCTATCCTAACATCCATAATTCATGAATCTCTTAAATTCGTCATTTTAGTAAATATAAACAGAAATATAGGTTACTCAAAACTAACTTCCCCTGGAGGTGGGGTTATGTGCATACAGAATACTCTATATGCTCAGCCTTAAGTCATTCTGGGGTCTCATCTTAAAAACAAAAAAGTTAAAAACATAATGTTAAAACAATAAAAATAAAAAAAATTTATTTATACTTTTCTTCATTGATTGATTATTGCAATATTATTTTCTCAAGAAAAGACTTACAGTATTAGTATTTTAGTACTTTGTTTTTTAACAGAAAAATGGGACTTTGGAGTCGCACTGAACTAGATGGGCTATTTTGTAGCTACAGGACCTTAGGGAAGTCACTTAATCCCACTTATTTTATTTCCCCATGTGCAGAATGGGAATAAGAAGTACACCTTAAATTGTCAGGATTCAGCTGATAACTTTAAAAGCCTAGTAGAGGGCCAGGCACGGTGGCTCACATCTGTAATCCCAGCACTTTGGGAGGCCAAGGCGGGTGGATCACGAGGTCAGGAGATTGAGACCACCCTGGCTAACACGGTGAAACCCCGTCTCTACTAAAAAATACAAAAAATTAGCCAGGCATGGTGGTGGGCGCCTGTAGTCCCAGCTACTCGGGAGGCTGAGGCAGGAGAATGGCGTGAACCTGGGAGGCGGAGCTTGCAGTGAGCCAAGATCGCGCTACTGCACTCCAGCCTGGGCGACAGAGCGAGACTCCGTCTCAAAAAAAAAAAAAAAAAAAAAAAAGCCTAGTAGGATGCCTGACACATGGAGAGTGTGTAGTAAATGGTATATATTAACAATAAGGACTATTGAGATGAATTAAGGCTAACTTTAATTTTTTAGAATGTCATGAAACAGCAACCTGCACTCAACAAGACTCAAGTATTCATTTGATTTAAATCAATAGTGCCACAACCTCTTTTGGTGAAGGCCAATTTGGGAAAAATAGAATGTTTATATATTTGCTTTTTTTGTTTTAAAGAAATGTCCATTTTAATAAGTTCTAACGTTCAATAGCACAGTACAGTGACTATAGTTAACAACAATGTATTGTATATTTCAAAATACCTAGAAGAGAGTATGTGAAATGTTCCCAACACAAAAAGATATAATAAATGCCACATAATGGATAGCCTAAGTACTCTGACTTAATCATCCCACAATCTGTACATGTATCAAAATATCATTTGCACTCCATAAATATACCCAGATATTAGGTATCAAAGAAATTTTTTAACAAATGTCAACTTTAGAAGGTAATACATTATCTGCAACAATATCTGCATTTAAAAGTTTATTCATCCATCTTATAGTTTTATTTTTTGGTTAAAATTTTAGTAAAACCACCTCCCAAATGCAGAGAGGTAATGACAAAGCAGAGTATTAGGGATGTGCAACTCCAAGAGCACCTTTCTTATTGTATTCTGGAGCTTTTATTTTTTTTTTGGCGGAGTCTCGCTCTGTCACCCAGGCTGAGTGCAGTGGGGCTATCTTGGCTCACTGCAAGCTCCGCCTCCTGGGTTCATGCCATTCTCCTGCCTCAGCCTCCTGAGTAGCTGGGACTACAAGTACACACCACCACACCCAGAGAATTTTTTTTTAAATTTTAGTTTTGTAGAGATGGAGTCTTGCTTTGTTGCCCAGGGAGGTCTCAAACTCCTGGCTTCAAGTGATCCACAAGCTTCAGCCTTCCAAAGTGCTGGAATTACAGAGGGGAGCCACCACACCCAGCCTCTCTTAGTTTTAACCTCTTCAGGTGCACCACCAAATTTTCTAGTATTTAAAAATATGTTGTATCATTAAAATGATCATTATGAAAACTTTATAGCATCTGAAGGGTACAGAAATATAACACTAAAAAAATTAAATGTACACAATGAATATAACTATGTAAAAACAATATGCATATAAAAAGAGAAAAAGTAAATACATAAATTGTTAAGGGTATTTGTTAGGGTAATAGCATTATGAGTGATCTTCTACTCCTTCCTCATTTTCCTAAACTTTTAGTAATACTGATGGTATTTGACTTTTAAAAGGAGAGAAGCTGCTAAAAATTACACAGAAGAAGAGCAAGAGGGAAAGGGAAAGGAGGAATAAAAATCAATCACTGAAATAAAATGTTTTTCAAGATTTCCAGTGTAGAAAATTGTACACCCTTCCTCTATGACCATACAAATTAGATATAACCTAGTCTACAATAAGTGAAGAAGCCTTAAAAAGTTAAGGAATAGCAAAAAGAAATACCAAGGAAATGGTAAACAGTCTTTCTCTAAAGGTTTTAAGAAATCCCAACACACCATGCCTACAACCCACTCCACCTCTGGACTTGCTACATAAATTAATCCATTTCCTTATTGGTTTAAGCCAACTTGAGTTGGGTGCCTGTTACTTGCTGCCAATGACATCCTAACTGATACAAAGTTGAGTAAAGAAGTTAAGCAAATCAGTGATTACTATTTCATATAAACCACATTTATGTAAAAGATGATATTAGTATACTAAAAATAATATAAAAGACAAAAAATGTACTAGATAGTATCTATTGTGCTTCAGAGCATTTACCATATTGGAGCAAGACACAGGTAATCTGTGAATAACTTATGCCCACATAACACAAATCACATGTATGTCAAAACTGTATGTGTATATTAACATCATTATGCACACAAACTATGTAGTCCATACCATACATGCATAAATACAATACTTTATTTATTCACTGACTGTTCAGTAACCAGTTATTAATTGTCCATTACGTACCAGATATTGTCTTAAGTACTGAGGGCACAGCAGTGAACAAAACAAAGTTCTACCCCAACAGAACCTTAATTCTAATCACTGTCAATAACAAACATTATATCAAATGGTGATAAGTGTTCTGGAGAAAAATAGCAAGGAGCCATCAATTTTAAGAAACATCATTATTTTATATGTCACTACGTAAAAAAAAAACACTGCCTATTAACATTGTAAGACACCACTGATTATTAAGACATCAGAATTTCAGATGTCAAAATGTAGAACATAGCATCTTAAAATCAATGAACATGGTAAAAAAGCAAAAAGAAGGATAGAAAATGCTAGCAAGGGCTGGGCGCAGTGGCTCACATCTGCAATCCCAGCACTTTGTGGGGCCGAGGTGGGAGGCTGGCTTGAGCCTAGGAGTTTGAGACCAGTCTGGGCCGCATGACAAAACCCCATTTCTAGAAAAAATACAAAAAGTTGGCTGGGTGTGGTGGCACACACCTGTGGTCCCAGCTACCCGGGAGGCTGAGGTAGGAGGATCACTTGAGCGTGGGAAGTTGAGGCTGCAGTGAACTCCAACCTGGACAACAGAGTGAGACCCTATCTCAAAAAAATAAAAAACTAGAAAACGCTAGCAAGGAAGGGGGAGGTGTTAGATAGGGTTTGACATGTATGTCAAAACTGAGTATGTATATTAACATCATTATGCACACAAACTATATAGCCTGTATCATACATGTATAAATAAACACAATATTTCATTTATTCACTCACTTTGTTCAGTAACCGGTTTATTGATTGTCAATAATAACAATCACTGACAGAGTTTCTGAGGAAGTCTCACTGACCTAAAGAAAGCTACGCAACTCTCTAGAAGAGCAATCCAGCAAGTGGGATGAGCAAGAGCAAAGGCCTGGAAGTGCAGGCACGTGACAAAATGGAAAAAAAGTAAGGCAGCAAGGGTGGTTGGAGCACAGCAGGCAAAAGGAAAGCAGTAGAAAATGAAATCAGCAAATCAGCAAAGGCCTGAATACACAAAGCCTTGTAGGCCATAGTTCTTATTATAAGTCACATGGGAAACAAAGACATATTTTCAAAATTAGAACCTAAAACAAATGACCAGGATCTAGCTGATGCTTAAAAAAAAATACAAAAACCTGCCAATTCCACAGCTATATACTAGCATGTTTATAAATGAAGTCACTTCTAGTCTAAGATAATAAGGTACAATAATTCCTTAAATATAGACTAAATCATATCTTTTTAAATGGTATAATCCAGTATATTAGAAAAATGAAAATCCAGGTAATGAAACAGTCTCAGAAAGTTAAAAGCTAAACTACTAAAGTATTTCTATGTTGATTCTAGCCTACCAAAGCTATCAGTCCAATTATCACCACAGTATCAAAGAATAATGACTTTTATTGAGAGATTATCAGATGTAAGTTCCTAACACAACCTGAAGCAGATGGTCATAAATAACTGTTTTACTATATCAGATTGTAAGAAAAAGTAATAATCCTATAATATGTTAAAATGAATTTTTCCTTGACAT
Source organism: Homo sapiens (assembly GCF_000001405.40). Classification (NCBI taxonomy): domain Eukaryota; kingdom Metazoa; phylum Chordata; class Mammalia; order Primates; family Hominidae; genus Homo; species Homo sapiens. Next base: position 25,151,936 of record NC_000004.12, read on the forward strand.
ACATATCATTTTAAACTCTCTTACCTGCTGAATGAGATGCATACACTTTGAAGACTGCACTCCATAAGCATTATTAACTATATGTGGAATGTCATAATTAGCACAAATCACAGCCAGTTCTTCTAATCTATAAACATAAATATTCAATAGAAAGACATACTCACACTGTGTTTTATAAATGATAGTGCAGAAAGTTTTTTAAAAATTTAATAGTTATCCTTAATGTACACCAAAGGAAAAAAACGACAAACACTGAAATTTCTATTGCAGTATTTTGACATGTAATTCAGCAGCTTGGAAATACATAGCAAGCTCTTTCGAATAAACCTAAAAAGGCTTTTAAATTAATGTTATCAATATACAAAAAAAATACAAAAATTTATGTAGATGATAAATCATTTTAAAATTAAAAATTCCCTAAACAGAAAGCCAGAAGATTATTTATAATGACCCCTCACAAGATGGTATGCTCTTTTTTTCCACTTTTGGTTGCTTACCATACTGAAGCTAGTATCTGCAAAATAATTAGCATATCTGGAATCTTAAGAAATCTCACATTAAACATCTCATAAAATAAAAAATGCATTCTCAAATAGACTTTAATGTATTAAAAAATACAGAACATTAAAATGTGTCATTACCAAAATAACTAACATTTTCCAACAACTTGGATACTGAGGAATCTTCCAAATAGCTACTGGTTTTAAATCCACCCTTATCTACTCTTACTTTTTCATTTTACACCTCTCATATTAATCTAATTTGAGAGTCTAACTTTATGCAAAGTAAGGTAATAAATTTCAGTGACAGCATAATAAATAGATGTTCTTTCACAAAGCCAAATACTTCTTGTGACTGAGCTCATCTTTAATAGAAATGTCTTCATGCTATGAAACTAAAACTAAATCCTATGTTTTAGTAAAATTATTAAAAGTTTTCTTTCTAAAGTATAAAGAATTTGAAAGCATTTTTATACAAGTAAAGTCCTTTTTGACAGGATATACTTCAAATATATAGTTTGAATTACCGATTTACGCATAATACATGTCCTATTTCTAGTAGATGTCATTAATATATTTTTAACTGTAAGTAGGAATACCATTATGTTCATCTGTTACAAGTTTTCTTTTTTTTGTCCAGTTTGCCTCAGACCAAAAACAAGTTATCAATTTGCTTGCTTGAAGTCTTATGAATTAAAAACTCATTTTATCATTCATTTTCACAAACCCTACAAATTGATATAGACATCCTTTTTGTTACTTCAAACTAATCAGATGATGTTTTTAACAAAATAGACCTCTGGGATACACAGAAGTATTTTCTTCATAAAATAAAAGGCACTTTCATATGTGTGTGTTCTAATGAAAATATTCCTTAATAAATAATTTCTTTGAAAATAAGGCTCCATAACATTAAGCTCTATTTTTAAAAGAAAAAAAATAACTTGTGAGTAGTTTTAAATAATCTGAATTACCTAAATCTGTTAATGGTTAGGGTGTGTTAAAAAAAAAAAGTATTAAATGAAAGGAGAAGCAGAAAAAATATTTTTCATATGTATCAAATTGTTTTCTAACTTAGAAGCCAATTTAAGGTGTTTATCAGTTAGAAGAAATAATACCCTTCTTTTTTGCAACATTTCCCTTAAGTGAATTTCCTCCACAATAGTTTTTGTCTGATTAATTAACTAATAAAAACAAAATGTATACTGTATCCAAAAAATTAAAAGGAATGAAGCCAATGTAAAAAAAACAAAAAACAAAATGTGGTTTTAAAATTTAATAAAGTCAGAAATTCAAACATTACTGTGCATCACCCTTTTCCTAAACTTTGCTCTTACTCAGAAATATTCATTACACAACGGTGACAAATGAGAATTTTTCTGACTGATAAAAATCTTCATTAAATTTTTTCTAAAGGAGATAATACAGGTAAAACACTTAACACTGTGCCAGGCATACTGTAAACATTCAAAAGACGTTAGTCAAAATGAAACGAAAGCAAAGTATCCACAAGGATAAATAATCCAACTAACACAAATATCCATATGCTGTTTTTCAAAATGTGATTTCTATCACATTAAAAATTTTATAGCTATCAAAACCATCAACAAAGAACAATGCTTATTTTTCAATACAAATTTGAAAGCTGATTGGTAAGTAATGAATAAACCACAAAGCATATGAAAAGTAATCTTAAAATAGAGTTCACAGGCTCATGAATGTAGCAAGGTAAATTTTTAAGAGCATAGTTAAAAAACTGTCTCTTACAATCTGCCTGTAAGATAACAAAAGCCAACATAGAATTCATTATTGCCAAATAATGTAATTCCATGAATTAAAACCAAAGTATAATTTGATGCTACAAGAAAAGCCCAAAGTCAATATAGTGCTTACAAATTATTACCACTTCCATTCAAAATGTTAAAATGAAACAAAAAAAATTGTAGTCAAAAACAGAAATCTGTATTACTAGACATGAGCCTATTACATTTTCAGAATAAAAATGTGTGGCTATCCTTTAGAAGAGTAAACCTTTGCTTTTTCTTTCCTTTTTGCTTTTATTTTCTTAAATATTTGTATTATTCTCAAAACGCAGACAATGACAACCACTATGCACACCTAAGGTATAATCTGAGTTAATCTTCCAATTACAGAAATTTGAAAGTAAACAATCCTAATTTTTTTTTAATTTATTAATACTGATAGCAATGAAAAGAAGTAAACCCAACATTTAGCTTAGAAAAGAAACTTCTATTAAATAATAAGAAAAAACATGCTAAGAGATCAGAAACAGGACAAAGAGCAAGAAAACAGAGACGGTCTGCATCGACTCAGGTGATAAAGGGAGCTCCCCACCCTGTACTAATTGTTTTTCCTTGTTATATTTCAAATGGTTGGTTTCCCAAGCTGTTAATGCTATTTCTCCACAAGGTCAATCTATTCTCTTAGAACAGACCATTCACCTATTTATTGTGAAGTGTTATTTAAGCATATTTGAGAATTAGTATATTTTATTTAAAAGACTGATAAACAGCTAAAGGACAATATTCACAAATCATTTACCTATCAGGCACCCTTGGAGCAAAACAGGATGTAGTAGAATGAATACACAGAATGCAATCAGGCCCAAGTTCCTGGACTTTAGCCTCCACTGCTTTCAGGTCTGTACGCAGCTCGTCACCTTCCAAAACATTTTCTATCACCACAGGCTCAAAACCTAACCAAACCAACCAGAAAACAAAATGTTAGTGTGAACTAAAATAAGGGAAGATCCTGAAACTCTAGGAAGCATGCTATTCTACACAAGAACTCTTAATATTTATTTTGGTAGATTAACCTTCCTCTGGTAATAAATACACGGCTCAGTACTGGTATTAGTCAAAGGCAGGTCAAAATAATGTGAGGGACTACTACACAATTTTAGGACCATAAGTCTATTTAACACTTGGATATGACAAGAATGAATTCTGGAAAGTAAGGAAAACAAATGTTAAATAGATATCTATAGAAGTAATAACATAGACACTGATGACAAAAAGGATCACTTTAATCCAGTTCAGTTTCAATCCACAGAAAAATAAGTCCACTCATTCTCTGGTGATATTTCTGTTTTATTTTAAAGTTCATTTTATTTCAGAGATGGACATAAATAATAATACAATTCACTCAGTGAAACAAATCACAATCATCTACTTAATGTTTTACCTCTAAAGAAAAACATAATAAATTTCAGTAGCCTAAGGATCACTGATCCATCTCATAGCCTACAAAAGCCTCCTATGAAAACAAAATGTATACTGTAAATTTTGCATAAAAATTGTTTTCACATTTTCAATTAAAACAGTACACTTAACTAGTATATACGCAAAGGTCCCCCAACAAATAATAATTATGGAACCATAGATATTTAGGTATCCATAAACTTAAAAGTTGCATAAAGTAATACAAACATTAAATTTTGTTACATATATTTTACAATTTTTTCTTTTAAAAAAGCAATAGGGAAGAGAGTTAGTTTATTTTTCATTTATCTATCTTTATATAAGAAATCTGAATTTCATAATTATGATGTTTAAAACATTATGTATGACACTTCTCTTACCTGCAGTGATCATGGATTTAAAGCAGGACTTCTGGTCTATTCGTGGCCATATAATATACTTTGCCTTTGGTCTTTTGTGTCGTAATGTTAAGAAACACAGAGTTAGACTCATACCAGTTGCCATAGGAACTACAAAGCAGTTGGCTACTGTATGGACACCTACAAATAAGAAGCAAAACAGAAATCTGTTATCCCGCTAAGCACCCAGCATCCTTCTTGAGGAAATAATATATTTCATATATAAAATAGTAAGAGTCGTAGCCCTAGGGCTTCTGTTTCTGTACTCGCTCTTGGAAAGCTCAATGCCAAATTCAACTTCAGGGCTTATGGCTCTGATTTTCTATCTTATTCTAAAGACTTTTTATTTAAAAAAAAAAAGTCTTTTCGGCCGGGCGCGGTGGCTCATGCCTGTAATCCCAGCATTTTGGGAGGCCAAGGCGGGCGGATCACGAGGTCAGGAGATCGAGACCATCCTGGCTAACACGGTGAGACCCCCGTCTCTACTAAAAATACAAAAAAAAATTAGCCAGGCGTGGCGGTGGGCACCTGTAGTCCCAGCTGCTCGGGAGGCTGAGGCAGGAGAATGGCGTGAACCCGGGAGACGGAGCTTGCAGTGAGCCGAGATCGCGCCACTGCATTCCAGCCTGGGCAACAGAGCTAGACTCCGTCTCAAAAAAAAAAAAAAAAAAAAAAAAAAAAGAAGTCTTTTCAAAAGCCACTCATACTCTTTTTGGAAAGGGGCAATAATAAATGAAATGAGTCAGTGGTGTGTGTGTGTGTCCAGACAGCCAAAAGCATTATGATTAAGACGGTACATACCAGCCAGCTTTATAATGTCCAGGACCAAAGAATTGGTAATTTTGTTCAAAAGGCTAGAGCCTGCAGCTTTTGGTTGCACAGCAGAAATATCACCGGATCGTCCAATGCCATGAATGAACCTAAGCAAAAAATGGGCCAAAAACTGGACAAATACATTCAGCATTCCGAGTAATACAATGTACAAATATGCAAATGTAATAACCAAAAAAACACCAGGAGCAATATTTGGCTGTTACAGATATATGTCACAAACTATTAATGATGTGGAACTCTCCTACTTAAATTGAAATAATTTCATCAATTATGCTGTGATAGCTAGTTTCCAAAGACGGCCACCATCAATTCTTTTTCTCCCTATGCCCACATGCTACTCCCACACCAAGAGATGGAGTCTACTTCCTCTCCACTTGAATCTGGGCTGAATTTAGTAACTTGCTTGGCCAGGAAGAATCTAGCAGAAGTAACTGTGTGAAATTTTCATGCTAGGCAAACCTTCAGATGACTAAACTCTCAGCCAGTATCTGACTGCAACTACATGACAGACCCAAAGCAATACTCACCCTGCTGAGCCCAGTTAATCCAAAAAGCTATGAGAGGTAACAATAAATGTTTTAAGCCACTTAATTTTAGGGTGGTTTGTTCTGTAGCAATAGAAAACTAGAATACATGAAATATTAAATTATCTTTTTTTTTTTTTTTTTCGTTTTGAGACGGAGTCTCGCTCTGTCGCCCAGGCTGGAGTGCAGTGGCGCGATCTCGGCTCATTGCAAGCTCCACCTCCCAGGTTCCCGCCATTCTCCTGCCTCAGCCTCCCGTGTAGCTGGGACTACAGGCGCCCGCCACCACGCCCGGCTAATTTTTTTGTATTTTTAGTAGAGACGGGGTTTCACCATGTTAGCCAGGATGGTGTGGATCTCCTGACCTCGTGATCCGCCCGCCTTGGCCTCCCAAAGTGCTGAGATTACCGGCGTGAGCCACCGTGCCCGGCCAAATTATCTTTTTTCTTTACTTTTCCCCTAATTCCACACTGGGCTAAGTTCCAATGATGGTTCAAATATTGCCTTAATTTTAAAAGAACTATATGCTCCTAGAAAATCAGTGTGCAAATCTCATTTTAAATTAGACAATATTATACATTGTTTAAAGATACCTCTCAATACTCTTTAAAATAAAAAACCCTTTCGTAATTTGAGTAATTTCTAATTGACAGTCAAATATATCAGAAATTCGGTATAGGAGGATTATCGAAGAATACTAGTGCTGTACTTCCTCACCACTGAAATCTCATGTACAAAACATTTCTTACATATATTATCAACCATGTTATCAGCAAACTGTTAACTGAAATTTTCATCCAAGTTAGGCATTATCATCAGTTTTGACTGCAGTGGTTTTTACTGAAATACAAATTCTACGATGCCCAGGAAATTTTCATTATAATGTAAAAGCATGGAAGACAGGAGTTTCATTTAAAAGAGTTTACACTTCACAGAAAGGTTAGTGGACAGAGCAATGAGTGATCATATTAACTACCAATTAACTACCAATTAAATCGTTATCAGAATTGATGAAAAGCTTTCTGCAATAATGCAAAAGAAAAAGGTCACTTAATAATCTAATACACCTTTCCCTGTATCTATTGCAACAGAGGTATTTATAAAATGAGATTCAGTTTAAACACAGTTTAAAACAAAATTTAAAGTTGATAACTATAAATCATTCAAAAAAAAAAAACACTACAAATGTTAGAAAAGAAATATGGAAAGCTATAAACAACCTTAATGGATTTTGAACTCTTACAACCAGATATGTTTATTAGGGTAACCGTTCCTAAGAAAACGTATAGCCTGTGTTAGTCACCCAGAACCTGACAGGGTAACCCCCACTTAGTTTTTACTCTATTGTCTTTGAAAAGCACCTGCTGAGATAAAATTGTTTCCATCTCCCTGTTGCATTTGGCTTACATATCCATTAGAGCAGGGAAGAAGTGGTTTACAAACTGACATTTGATAATCTAATAAGATAAATACTGCTGCCATTATTTTGAACCAAAAATAAATAAACGATGTATCTCCTGTACTACTTAAAAAAAGATACCTGTAATGACGACGAGCAACCAGTGCGGATGCCACTCTCCCTTCCCTTTCTCCCACACCACAATTGCCTAAGAAATTGTTGCTGTCCATGATTGCAAGTTCATGTAAAAAGAGTTCAAGTGTACTTTCATCCCAGCCATTCTCTGGACACTTGCCCTTAAAAAAAAAAAAAAACTTATGATTATATTTAATAAAACTACCGTTCTCTAGAATACTACAGGAATACAGTTTTTCTTTTTAACGTGTATTTTGCCACGCTGCTTGTTTTCTAAAATTCAAGCATAAATTCACCACTGTATAGAGACCGCAAAGAGGCAAAACGTTTGTACATTTGATTACAATTATTTACAGATTTCGAGAAGTGATGATAAATGCATACAATGAGGTTTACTGAGATATTTAAATTTCCGTAAGTGAAACTAACTGAAAACCAATACAACACATCCCCAGTGAAGATGCTTCAAACCAGGGCGTTACGACTGGGGCGGTGGGACGTGGAGAAGGGCGGTAGTTGTCAAACTTCAGTGAAATTTTGGCCACGCGCTGTAGCTCACTCACGCCTGTAATCCGAGCACTTTGGAAGGCCAAGAATGGCCGATCACTTGAAGTCAGGAGTTTGAGATCAGCCTGGCCAACATGGTGAAACCCCATCTCTACTAAAAATACAAACATTAACCGGGTGTGGTGGCGGGCGCCTGTAGTCCCAGCTACTCGGGAGGCTGAGGCAGGCGAATGGCGTGAACCCGGGAGGCGGAGGCTGCAGTGAGCCGAGATCGTCACACTGCATTCCAGCCTGGGCGAAAGAGCGAGACTCTGTTTCAAAAAAACAAAACACAACAAAACTTTTAATGAAATTAAAATACATGAACGCTGGCAGGAGGGAGACCTGTGAAGTTCCGCGGAAAGCTCGTGGTTCGAGTTAGCATACAGTCTACAAACACCATTATGTGTTCTGAGTCGTTGAGGGTTGGTGAAAGATGGAGGTGCGAACTTTGCCCTTTCCGCGAATAAAAAAGTACACTGGGACTTTCCCTCACTTCCGCATCCCGAAGTTAGAAACAGCGGGACTCAAAACCCCGACCCCAACACCCCCTCCTAACAACACCATTTGGCTTTCACTGGCTTTGGCAAGGCTGAGAAGGCACAGACCGCAGTCGGTCAGCTAGGGCAAGCCAAGCTGAGACAGACTTGGGACTAGTCTCAAGCAGCGAAGAGCTGCCGGTGAGGCAGCACCAGCGGGGACGCCCGGCGGAGCCAGAGCCCCGGGGTCGCGGCGGCTGGGGAGGGGACCGACAGCTCGGTACCTTCTCCAGAAGCAGCCGTATGAGGTGCTCATGCGAGCGGCGGGCCTCACAGCCCTGCCGCACGTAAGCCGGCGACACCAGCCGCTCTCCCGCCGCGAAGCTCTCGCGGTTCATGACAGCGGTGGCGACAGTGGCGAATAAGCGGGAGCACTAGCTCCACACGCCAGACACACGACGGAACCAGAATGCAACTCGCCGCCTGGACGGTACGGCAGCGCCTTGGGACAAAAAACAAAACAAAACAAAACAAAACAAAAAAAACACTTCTCGTTCGTGCACATGCGCAGACCTTCTCAGATGGCGCTCCAGGAGGAAGTTGGCGTATTTGAGCATGCGCGAGGGAGTCCGCGCTTTTCGCTGACTTTTGGCAAAGGAAGGACTGAAATTAGCCCCGCCCCGCTGCGGCTGATTCGTCTAGTTAAACCCTGGTGTTCCTGACACAAACTTCAGGAAAGGATTTTGCACTTGTGCAGACCGGGCGAGCAGAGTAAGAAGCAGGTACGTGGGTTTTTCCAAGTTCTGTGTTTCAGTCCTGTTGGATGGTTGAGATCTGTGCAGGGTCTGTGCTTCCGCCTTATTCAAACTGTCAGATGCCAGAACCTTCGATCTTTACTTTGATACATTTCCACACTTATTACTGCCTCACAACCCCATAGGAAATAGCAGTGCCCCACTCATTTTCCCCTTGACACTACTGTTTAGCCATAGCACTTACTACTCACCACGTGACATGCCAGACGTTTGTTTATACACACACACACACACACCCATACCCATGAATGTAAACTCTCTAACCTAACGGCAGGACCTCGGTTTTTGCTGCGGTGCCCCCTTCCCCCGGGCACCTAAAACAGTGCCCAGAATAAAGTAGGGCCTAAAAAAAAAGTTGATATTGAATTAATGAATTAGTTTGACCATTCTGAAACTATCCCCAAGAACATTTTGTAAAATTGATTAAGGAGGGGAAAAAAATCCAACTAGGCTTACAGCTGCTGTTATTAAGCCAGCTTGCAGTGTGGCCGACTTTCTTGTAGCTGGTTGCTACTTACTACCCCAGGAGAATGTGGCCCTTGTCACAAGACTCTTCATTCTTTTTCTGCTCTGAAGATAAAATCTAAGACATTATGAGAAGATAAGCTTTCTGTTTGCATTGCTTCTTTAGGTCCCGCATACCAACAAAACTAAGGACGCCAACTTGTCTGGAAGGCCCAATAAAAAGCTGATTCATGGAGGAATGCAATTGTCACATCCTAATGATTTCATCTCCCTTACCCCAACGAATCGATAACCCCAAATTTTCCAGCCCCTCACCCTCCACAAATCCCCTTAAAAAACTTTGCCTAGAACCCCTTGATGAAATGGATTGAAGCTTGAGAACTCTTCCTGTTTCCTGGCTTGTAACTTGTGATTATTAAAACTTTCTCTGCTGCAAGCCTGCTGTCGGAATACTGGTCTGTTTCTGCACAGCCGGCATAGGAACCTGGCAGTGCTGTAACAGTTCAACAACTTAGAGGTTCACTGCTGGAGATCCCTGCCTCCAGTTTCCTTACAATCTTCATCTTATGTGAGCCTACAGTAATTCCTGACATTGCTTTCACCTGGTGGTTTGTCCATTTGCACTGAGTCACACCCACTTGCAAGAGCTGATTGTTAAATGTTCAGTAATTTTGTGAGCTAGTTTTCAAATACAGCCACTCAAAAATTATATTACAAGCAAAAGTAAAAATACTCAAAATTTGTCACTTCCTAATTATTTTACATTTTACTATTATCTATGCTCTTCAGGTTATTTACATGCATTTTATCTATATGGTGGAAATTCAATGTAATGTTATACTACTGCACATCTTCCAACTCCTCTTTTGATGATGTCACGTTGGCCATGGTGGGAGCATTTACACCATGGAAATCAGTAAACACCGCTAATCAGGCCCTTACACTCCAACCCACTCCCCTAGAAGTCAGTTGTTCAACATGTACCAGCTCATCACTGTTTCTACTGCATGTTCCCATGGCATCCAGCTATTAATATAAATCAGTCTATTTATGGTATTTGTTGAATTGCATTTCAATTGTTAATTTTCTGTCTCAACTAGACTGTGAACTCCTGGTTCACAAGGGCTATACCAATATCTGTGTTCAAAGCACAGCACTAAATACATAATAGCTGTTTGATAAATATTTGTTGAATGACATAGAGCATTTAACTACTTTAAACAGAAAGGTAAACCACAAAACAACAAGAATTTAGCATACTTTCTAAAATGAGTATTTTTCAAACTTTTGGAAAGTTGTGTTCCTATTCTCAAAATGCAACTATTTTTGCAACTTCTTCTTTGGAAAAGCCTTCAAAGCTGCTTTGTCAATCACATGCAAAATGTGCAAAAATCCCAAAATTAATGTCATTACTGAATGGACACGCCAGGTTTTTGAGCCAGCTTCTTCTCTTACCTTATTCACCACCTTACTTCAGAAAAATGTTTGTCTGTTTCCAAAAAGTTAGTCATTGTCAAGATATGCATTCATTAAAGGTATTCAAAAGATACCAGCTTTGGAAGCAATTTCAAGAGAAGTATTCTAAAATTACTTTCATCCATTCACTCACCCAACAAGTATTTATCCATATGCCCATTTTACAGATCAGGAAAGCAAAGCTCAAGAAGTTTGAGTAATGTATTTAAGGTTATACAATGAGTGACACTAGCAGAATTTAAACCTGTGTGTTCTGGACCTATTTTAAATGATGCTATCTATTAAAAATAGTATGTAATTATTATTTTAAAATAGTAGTTTGTAACTACTATTTTAAAATAGTATGTAATTACTATTTTTAATAATAGTATGTAATTACTATTTTTAATAGGGCAACATCAGAATAACCTCATGGTCTTTACAAGATGAAGCATCATTTAAAATAGGTCCAGAACACACAGGTTTAAATTCTGCTAGGGTCACTAGTTGTATAACCTTAAATACATTACTCAAACTTCCTGAGCTTTGCTTTATCTGTAAAATGGGGATATGGAAGAGGCAGTTATGATGATTAAATGAGAGGTAATTGCTCAATGACATCTTCCCCTAGATAGACTGACTATACAAATGGACAATGGCCAGATCATATGTGATAACAGAACTCTCACCCACAACCTCTCTAGCAACTAGACTTCCAAACCACCACCTCTGCAGCAATCAGCCAAGAATGGTTAAGACTTGGGCAATGACTGCCAGCTTCCCTCTTTTATTACTCGCTTCTAACTTAAGACCAACCAGAGAAAGCTAAATATCCTCCTTAAATTACATAAGATGCCCTGTTTCTAGTTAGCCAACCTCTAGCTTCTCCTTGCCAACACCTCCAATCGGCACACCTGAATTCTTCCCTGTACCTGAATCTTTCACTATAAAGCTTTCCCACTCCCCTGCCTGCCTTTGAGACTCTTGACAAATGTAAATGATGGTGACTGACTCCCTTCTCTAGCACGCTCTGAATTTCCAGTTTTCCTGGAGACTTCACTGAGACATGGTCTGTGCTGTCCATGGCGGTGGACCTCAGCCTTTGGCCAGTTGTGGTGCCCACAGGGGCTCCTCGTGCCTTGTTGCTTATGGCTTGTCAAGTCCATGCCAACATGGTAAGTCAGTGCTGGCTTGGAACTCCTCCCTGTTTGCCTTGAGTTCCTAAGCTATTCATTTGAAGTTTGGTACTCAGATTTTGTTACTGGTTCCTATTTGCATCCTTAGTGGAATCAGGCAATTCCTTTTCATCCTTTGTGCTGTCCTTTGTACTTCTGTTTTGTATTGTGCTATCTAAAAGTGTTATTTTCCATAAGAAGGAGAATCATAGGGTAGAACATGGCCATGGGCCCTACAACCCTGTTGTTTAAGCCAGTTTCACAGACCGATGAGTTTGCAGTTCTCACCAGACTACATCCGTTTGGACAAATTTTGTTGTGGGTCACCAATAAAACTGGATGAAGTTCTCCCTTCATCTTGATTTTTTGTTCTGAGGGCTTGCTTTTGATCCAAAGAAAGAGGTCATTCTGATATTCTGCCTGCCAGGGGGCACAGATTGTTCGGTCTGTGTTCAAAAGGGGCAAAAATCAGGCTGGGGACTGAGACAGGATAAGCACGAGCATAACTTTCAACACCGTAGCCAGCTCTAAGTCTAAATCCTCTCCACCAGGAAAAACTTCTGCTTCTTATACATACTCTCATTACAATCCTAATGCTTGTGCCTATCTCTCTAAGTGGCATAACTTCAGCAATGAGGAGTTGGGCCTTCAGTGGCCACTCTGGGAAACACTTGACTTGACAAAATTTTTTATTTGATGGGCAAGAAAAGAAAGGGAATTAAGATTTCTTAGGTTTGATGGGCAACAGTTTTTTAGTGGTACACAGAGGCCTCCAAAGGAAATTCTGATTCAAGAATTATTCCACTAAAAGATGCTTTGGCTAAAGCTAACAAGCAATTTGACATCTTAAGCAACAACAAACTAGACTCATTTCCTAGTAAATCTTCCCCTTTGCGTTGGCTCCCTATATCCAGATGTCCCTCTTATCCCTTAGCCTTCTGATAGCTCTCTTTCTTCCCTTCCATCAACTCCCCCCTTCTCTTCCTCTTGTCCAGGACTCCTGCATTTTCCCAACAACTCTCCTAAAACTCTAAAATGTCAATTGCTTCTAAAGATCCCTCTCCCCTCAAAAGCCAGGTATGCAGGCAACTGCAGAATTTAAACTTTGCACCCAAGATGAATTAAGAGCAATAATCAAGAATTTCTCTACTTCCAAACAAGACCAGCAACTATTTATAGAAGAATTTAGGATTCATTTGAATGCATATGATTCAGGGTTACCTAACCTAAATATATCAATGTATACATATATTGGCCAGATCCTCAGGTGTTAAATCTTGGATTTAAAGAAAAGCTGATTGGACTGACATGAGAAGGGATCTACAAGGATCGCTTTTTCCCCAATAAACTTAAGCGTCTGAAAAAAAAAAAGCCCTGAAAAGTAGAACACAGCCTCCTAAAAGCAATATCCCAAACGTTTTCTATAAAAATCTGTTGTACCATAATTCAATAATGCAAACACAGACAAGATGAAACTATAGGAGATTTTCAGGATAGACTGTAATATACCTCCTGACAATATTCAGGAGTTAACAACGGTGCCAGTGTAACAGCAGCCCTTTCGTCTTATTTTGTCAATGGAGTTAAATCCGAAACTAGAAGGCTAATTCAAAAGTAGAAATTAGAATGGAAAATAGCTCTTTACCTGAACTAAACACCTGTCAGAACATTTTGAAAGGGCTTTAGAATAAAAATGACACAAGGCCCAAAATAAACTATGGTCTTACAGATCAAACAGCTAGGTGGCCCTCCTCCCACCAGCCATTTTGGCAAGGACACTTACAGATATTGTAAACCAGAAAAAAAGATTGTCCTATCTTATAAAAGAAAAACCAAGACAAAAAAAAAATCCCTCAATTCCAATCAATGAGAGTGCTCTCAGAAGAAGAAAAATGCTCCCAATATCCTGCCTTGCCCTTATCTCTCAAGTGAATTAACTATATAGATGATGGTATAGTCTGAATGCGTTCCCCAGAATCTATATGTTAGAAACTTAATCCCCAAGGCAAATGTGTTGGGGGATGGGGACTAATGGGAGATATTTAGGTCATGAGGATTCTACCTCAGGGATGAATTAATGCAATTATAAAAAGAACTTGCAGGAGTAAGTTCATTCTTTTTGCTCTTCTGCCATGTGAGGACACAACATTTGCCCCCACTTGCCCTTCCACCTTCTGCCATGTGAGTACCATAGCAAGAAGGCCCCCAACAGACACCAGATACCAGCGCCTTGATCTTGGACTTTCCAGCCTCCAGAACCATGAGAAATACGTTTGCGTTCTTTATAAATTACCCAATATTCTGTCATAGCAGCATAAATCAATGAACACAGATGGTCAATCTCATCAATTCCTGGTAGGTACGTCTGCTGCTCTTTCTGCATTAAACTTCACCACCTTTGCTGAGCCTCCTCCTCAGAGTAAGCATACACACAAGTGGTAGGTCTCTCAAATAACCCACAGATTTTTTTCTATCTCCCAGCCCTTAATTGTAACCCCTTGAGTGAAAACATCCCTTCCTGGTCTGTGAAACTGCCCCTGTAAATTTAATAGCCTCCTCTTTGCAAATGGAATCATAATATTAAATGTGCAAGAGAGGAATTGTTTCTTAAAGTTCCAGAAGACTCATCTATTCATAATCAAGTTGTGCCTACTGTGGATATACCTTTACCTCCTCCATTATATTTGATGGATACCCCCACATGAAGGTCTTCACACTGTACCTGACATTTTGTGGCCTTAAAAGTCCACAGACATAGAAAAAAATAACTGGAGTAGAAACTGAAGAGAAGATAGGTTGTACCAAACTGTTACCCAATCATGCCCAATATCCCTTGAAGACAGAGCAAAGGAAGATTTTAAAGGTACATTTGAAGGCCTTATATCTAATGGTCTTTTCATACCCTGCACTAGCGTTTGTAACACTCTAGTCTTGCCAGTAAAGAAACCAAATGTGTGAGAATATCAATTTTGCAAGACCTCAGGATAATCAACAGATTTTTGTTCCTTGCTTCCCAGTAGTACCTAACTCAGATACCATCTTGGCATCAATTCTACCTGAAACCACTTGCTTCACTGTAGTGTATTTTTGCTCTGCCTTTTTATTTATTGATTGATTTATTTTGGATGTGCCTCTAGACCACTTCTAGGACAGTAAATACCTTTTAGCTTTCACCTGGAGAAGATAACAATATACCTGGACAATCATGGGTTTTATTGAAGCCCCCTCCTGTTTTTCCCAGTTCCTCAAACAGTTCTTAAAAGATCTGAATTTCTCTTGTGATTCAGTTCTGATATCATATGTAGATGATCTATTTTACTCAGAGAACAAGAAAACTTGTAAAAGTGTTCCATTTACTTGCTCTCAGCCTTAACAGAAAAGGAACAAAGTTTCAACAGAAACATTTCAAGTTTTCCAAAGTACAATCCATTATTTAGGACATGGTATGTCTAAGGAGGGAAAAACATTCTCTCATTAGGCAAAAGATTGTCCAAACTTATTTTAGACCTCTCACTAAATGACAGTTGATAGGACTTCTAGGTTTAACTAGATATTGCATACAAATTTTCTGAGATTGTGATATCCTTTTATGAATTGACTCAGACCTCAGGAAGAGACTTTTTCTTCTGGGAACCCAAACTTGGAATAGGCTTTCTGCAACCTGAAGAAAGTTCTTCAACAGCTTCTTTCACTGGTCATCTTTAACTACAAAAATCCCTTTGGTCTATTCATGTATAAACTATATGGATAAGCCCTTGGGGTTTTAATACAACTTGATAGGAACCATCAAAACTCATGACTTACTATATATAGCCTTACCTTTGATCTGGTTGCAAAGGCTTTCCTCTCTTATCTGTGTCGAAAGCTGCAATTCTGACCAACATGGTGAAACCCCATCTCTACTAAAAATACAAAAATTAGCTGGGTGTGGTGGTGGATGCCTGTGGTCCCAGCTACTTGGAAGGCTGGGGCAGGAGAATTGATTGAACCTGGGAGGCAGAGGTTGCAGTGAGCTGAGATGGCACCACTGCACTCCAGCCTGGGTGACAGAGCAAGACTCCATCTAAAATATATATATATTAAATAAATAAATAAGTGGGTGAATCTAGATTAACATTATCTATATAAAAATTACAATACAGTGTTGTAGGGTTTAAAATATGGAGAAAGAACATTATTGGCATTTATTTAAGTAGAGAGGAGGTAAAGAAAGTAAAGTGTTCTAAAGGCTTTCTAATCATAGAGTGGCTCATAGAGCTTATTAGAAGGCAGAATCTCAGAACTATCATTGAATCAGAATTTCTATTTTAACAAAATCCTCTATGATTCATATGCATATTAAGGTTTGGGAAGTATTGTTCCCAAAAGGTGTGTATCATCTGAAAAGGGAGTAAAAGAACCAATTGATATTAGATTTTTGCATATCTAGAATTTATTTTGTAGTCTCTATGGTAACCACTCAAGGAATGCTAAAAGACTGCATAATTTTCAAACACGGGGGAAAGTGAAAAAGTAAAAAATAATCAGCTCAAAATAAACCAAGGAAAGAAAGGAAAAGAAACAGAACAGGTTGAATACATAGAAACCAAATATAAGTAAGCAAAATATCCATATTAGAAGACAATGATTATCCGACTAGATTTTCAAAGACAAAAACAATTACATATACAAGATGATGTTTGTATTTCCATGTAAATGTGTATAGCAATTTACAATTTATAGTTTTTCACATACGCTAAGGCTGAGAAACATTAAGACTAGGTTATTAATAACCTGAAGAGCAGTGGGTTGTCATATTAAGGTCCTCTACAAAGTAACATACAAATCCCAGGATGATACCAATCTAGAAAATCACTTATACTCTTTAAAATGACCGGGTGCGGTGGCTCACACCTGTAATCCCAACACTTTGGGAGGCCGAGGTAGGTGGATCACGTGAGGTCAGGAGTTCGAGACCAGCATGGCCCACATGGTGAAACCCTGTCTCTACTAAAAATACAAAAAATTATCCAGGTGTGGTGGTGGGCGCCTGTAATCTCAGCTACTCGGGAAGCTGGGGCAGGAGAATCACTTGAACCCCAGGAGGTGGAGGTTGCAGTGAGCCGAGATCACGCCATTGCACTCCAGGCTGGGCGACAAGAGCAAGACTGTTGTCTCAAAAAAAAAAAAAAAGCCTTTAATAAAACTATGGGAAAAAAAAAATTTTATTACATACTGTTTTAACCAGGAATGTATCTGAAACAAAAGGCTACAGAAATATTGAAAATTGAAGGTAAAATAATGGAAAAAGATATTACATGCAAATACTAACAAAAAGAAAGCTAACATAAATTATTAATTTTAGACAAAGTAGACTTTAAGATAAATGACATTACTAACCATGAAAAATACTACATAATGATAAAAGGTTTAATTTACCATTATCAATTATTGTATGAGAAGATATAATAATTCTAAATTTGTATACACTTAATAATATAGTTCCAAAATACATAAAGCAAAAAATGAAAAATCTAAAAGGAAGAATAGACAAATCTGCAATCTTAGTGAAATTTTATGACACCTTTTAGAAACTGATAGAATATGTTAATGGAAAAAATTAGTAAAGATATAGAAATACCATGTTTAACAAACTTGACCTAATATACATTCCTAGAACACTGTACTCAATAACTGCAGAGTGAATATTCTTTTCAAGCTCATAGGGAATATGAACCAGAATAAACTATATGCTGGTTCATAACATAAAACAAGTCACAACAAATTTCAAAGCAGTGAAATCATGCAAAGTACATCCTCTGACACAATGCACCTAAGCTAGAAATCAGTAACAAAAACAAGGCTTATTTAGAAATTAAGCAATATTCTAAATAATCCATACATCATAGAAAATGTTACAATAAAAATTATAAAATATTTTCAATGGAATGATAATGAAAATACCACACATCAAGACATATGAGAGGCAGCCAAAATCATGCTTGTTGGAAACATAATTTTAAAAGCATGTAACAGAAAATAAAAAAAAAGCTAAACATTTATGAGTTAAGATTTTAATATCAAGAGTTGGTAAAATAATGGAAAATATATACTGGGAAGTTTTTAAAAGAATGGAAAATAAACCTAAAGGAAATTAAAGAAAACAAATGATAAGATCGGAAATTAGGAAATCTAAAATGTCTCAGTCCATTAGAGCAAATCTCATGTCCCCCACCTCCCCCTCTCCACTCCCCACCACCTAGTCCAGACTTCTGTCTGCTCCCCTTGGACAAATGCAGTGGCCTCTGCATCCTCTTTGCCATCATCCCCTCATTCCAGTCCACTCCTCACTGAGTCGTGAGAATTCCTTAAGTAGACATCTCCTTCCTCCCCTGCTTGGAACCCTTCAACCGTTCCCATCACACTGAGCATATGATCGCAACTCCTTTCCTTGACCTATAAGGCCCTGCAAGGTCTGGCCCCACTGATTTCAAGGATCAGCCTCCCTCTGGCCAGTGGGCTTCCACCCTGTGCACCTCCTTGCACACTGGAAATACACCAGCCTTTTCTTTTCCCACCTCACACCTTCCCACATGCTGTGCCTTCTGCCCCAAATGTTCTCTTCATTTTGCGTGGCAGCTTTTTCCTTTTCCTTCAGTGTAAATGTCACCTCCTCTGAGAAGCCTTCCCTTTCCATTTTGTCTAAGTAAGAACCTAGTTTTGAGGAAAAGCCCTATATATTCACTTTAATTTTTTTTTTTTTTTTTGAGACAGAGTCTTACTCTGACACTCAGGCTGGATGGTAGTGGTACGATCTCAGCTTGCTGCAATCTCCGTCTCCCGGGTTCGAGCGATTCTCCTGCCTCAGCCTCCCGAATAGTTGGGATTACAGGTGTCCGCCACCACGCCAGGGTAATTTTTGTATACTTAGTAGAGATGGGGTTTCACCGTGTTGGTCAGGCTGGTCTCGAACTCCTACTTCAGGTGATACTCCTGCTTCGGCCTCCCAAAGTGCTGGGATTACAAGCGTGAGCCACCACACCTGGCACCCACTTTAAATTATTGTATGAGTTGATCGCTTGTATAATATCTGGATTGGAAGCGTCTGGAAGACGGGAACCCTATTTATTCACCTACTCTTCTGAGCACTTAGCATAGTGCCTGGCACATAGTAAGCATTCACAGTTTTGGATGGATAAATGATAACAATGGATTCCAAGGGTTGCTTTTCTTTTGGTGGTTACTGAATGAACCCAGATGTGGAGACAGGAGAGAGAGTAGGGACCAGTGACAAATAGGCGACACCTCATATTTTGAGAGTATTTTAAATTGAAAAGGAGACGTTTTCTAATGGTGGATACAAATAGGCAAATAATGACCACATTGCTTTACCATTCCATCCGCGTATGTTTTACAATGTTTAGGGTAGAGGAAACGACAAGTCTCTTAAGAGGCATGGCAGGATCTGACTGTCATCAACCTCATTAATGAGGCCTCTTAAACAACTTGAAGCGGAATAATTTCCCTAAAAAAGCCGCTTCAAAGAGCAGTTGGAAGTGGAGAGTGAGGGAGTAATAGAATCAGTAACTAGGTTGCTGAGAGAAGTCTCCTGTGATTAGAAAAAGAAAAAAATGTAGTAATTACATTCTGTGGAGACTAAGAGAACTCAGAAACCATGGTCTTGCCTTCATCTTTATTTCTAATGGAGAGAGATGAAATAAAATCTGTGGATGTAGCAGAAGGTCATTTAAGGCCTTCCCTGTGATGAGTAAAGCAATCCTGTCCCCAGAGGGAGGAAAGATACGTAGAGAAAGCTTCCTTCAAACACTAAAACTGCTGAAATAGTTATAATTCCCAGTAAAAGCAGGAGCAAGAGAAAAGCTGCAGGAGATCTGTCGGGAGTCCGTGAACAGGCCTGGAGCCTGGGGCTTTTGCCACTTGAAACAGAGTGAGGGAGAACTTCAGGGGCCTTTGACTTGGAGAGACGGCGGCTGTGGGGAGGATCAAGTACTGGCGGGGAGTGCAGTCTCTGGAATCAGACAAATGGAGTTCCAAGCCTGGCTCCCCTTGTTGCTCCAGCATAGGTTTGTGCAAAATATCCCACACCTCTAGGCTTCAGCTGATTCTTCTATGAAAGGGGTTAATAATAAAGAGGGAAGGCAATGACCACGTGGTAGGGAGGGACTCCCTCTGCCTGCCCTCGCAAATGTGAGGGTTCATGATCACAGCTGATACAGCTAGTCGTAGCCATGGTGGCGAATAGGCCACTTGATCCTAGATGTGTGGAGAGTGTGGACTGGCTCACTTCAACTCCTTCCAACCAACCTTACCAGGGGCTACAAAACGACAAACTATATTCTCTAGGCTCCCTCCCAACTAGCATTCCAGAAACAAATCAAGTTTGGCCATTAGATTATACTCAACTGAGATTTGGAAGGTGGATCTGGTGGAGACCAACTTCCTGTTCCATGACAAGCCTTTGATGTCATTGGCAAACAAGGTAGTAGGAACATGAGGCTTTTCAGCCTTTCTGCATCCATTTTCCAGCCTTCTGCGTGTCTAGAGGCAGCGTGAGGAGCAGCGCTGTAACCAAATGCGGGTCCGGTTGCTTGTTGCCTACAGAGTTCAACAAGAGCAAGGTCTGGTGGAAAGAAAGTGACTTTATTAACCAAAACTAGTAATGGGAAGTGGCTGGATTCCCATCCAAAGTGACCACTTTGAATTTGGGGGGAAAGACAAGGGGCAAGGGATTAAAAAGGGGAAACTTGGTATGGAAGACATGCAAGAATTAGACTGAATACAATGTCTGTGTGTCTCATTCCAGTGGCTGTCTTGGGTCTCAGTCTACCTGGAGCATGGGCTGACATCATCTCCACAATGGCTGGGTTGTTCACTAGCCACCTTGAGATAATCTCTGGAATTTTGCAGCTGGGTCTCCAGGCTTGGTCTGCCCATCTCAAGATTAGCCCCTGGAACTTCTAAGAAGGCACATAATTAGATACTAGCGTACCGTTAGACAAATGTGGAGGGAGTGTATGCGGTGAGAAAGAGAGGGATGTGGAGTTTATTTTTTTGAAGGCTTCTGCAGTTTGCTTCAAGGTTACATCTTGAAACTCATTTTGAAGCCAAGCTGCTTGTTTAGTGTGGCTTCCTGATACGGGAACAGTCTCACAGTTGAAATCAGTAGCCCTAGTGGTGGCCTCAGAGGTAGTAGCTCTTCTGGTGGGTCAGTTCTGCTTTTTTCTGGGAGTCATTTCTGGAAACCTAGTCTAAAGCCCATACCCTTAGACCTTCCAATTATTGTGTAAACAGCCATTCCCTGAATTAAATCCCTTGGAAGTTAAGACATCTTGAGTCATTTCTTTCTCCTGCCCTCAATCTTGACTCTTACACCAGATTTTCGCATTTTTTTCCTTCACAATCCCAACTGTGTAGCACATTTTTATAAGTGAGAATTTTTTTTTTCTAGAAAAAGCATCATTCACTTCACTTGGTTGTGTTACTTTTCCTGAATTATTTACATCAATGGAAAGACTGACCAATCACCCCATTCCTACATAATTAAGCCTGAGGCATTGCCATTCCCTGGTGACAGCTGCACAAACTGCAACTGTAATGCTGGGCAGGGAATAATTAGAGTCAATAGAGCAACTTCACAATCCCAAGCCAATAAAGTGAAGCCTGATACTGATGTTTTAATGGAATATTGAAAATGAAGAGTTGAGAGAAAAGACTTTCTCCAGCATTGTCCAAGAGAGATAGAGCATTGATGACTCAATGAGTCTTCCTGCCAGTTTGGCAGATACAGCCTTTTAGTTGAGAGTGACTCACCATGCCTCAGTGGTGACTGTATTCCTTAAAAATAGCAGCTCCCGTTGCAATGGACTCAAATCCTTTTTGCAAGGAGGCAGGAAATAAACTCACTCTGCAACCTTCTTATTTCAACTTAGTTTCCCTATTGGTCATTCTAACCATCTGACATCTGTGCTGGTGTGGTTGTTACTTCTCTAAATCCATAGACACTAATAAATTAGCATTCTAGTCTTTTTTTTTTTTTTTTAGCTTCTTGTGAGACTGGTTACAATGATTCAGTTCAACAGAGCCTGATTCTCTCTAAGAGAACTGAGAAAAATTTGTGAACCTAAAGATCTGAGTCCAAATCTGAGACCCAAAAACCCATGAACCCTGAGATCTTCTTCTACCCCTAAAGCCTGATTTGCAGTCCAAGCGAGTGGGCAAACACACACTCTCTGGCCAATTCTTCATTATCTGCATGTGGGTCATTTGTAACCATTTATTTTCAATTATAAGACTAGTTGAAAAGGCCGGCCTCTTGAGTTCAAGAGATATGAGTTCAAATCTTGGCTATGCAGCTTCCTAGCTGTGTGATCTTGGACAAGTTACTTCACCTTTCTGTGCTTCACTTTCCTGATCTATAAGGAGTCAATAAGAAAACCCACTTGACATGGAATTAAAAATATATAAAGTAACTAGCATAAATAAATAATAGTGGCCAGGCATGGTGGCCCACATCTGTAAACCCACCACTTTGCAAGGCTGAGGCAGGAGAATCACTTAAGCCCAGGAGTTCAAGACCAGCCTGGGCAACATAGTGAAACTCCATCTCTACAAAAAATAAAAGATTAGCCAGGCGTGTTGACACATCCCTGTAGTCCCAGCTACTCCGGAGGCTGAGCTAGGAGGATCACTGTAGCCCAGGAGTTCAAGGCTGCAGTGAGCCATGATCGCGCCACTGCACTCCAGAACCTGGGCAAAAGAGCACTCCCCTGTCTCAAAAAAAAAAGTGGACTAGGGCTCTGTCCAAAGACAGATAGAAAAAGGGTTCCAGGAGGAGGAAAGTGTAGGAGGAACAGTGTGGTGATAAAAAGAAGCCTGATAGGCCTTTCTGTGACAGGTCTTAAAGGCCATTTTCAACTCAAATAGTCTGATTACAAAAGCAGCCACGAATGCTTCCTGCTCCCAGCATCCACGCCCTTAGGCAATCCTGTCTCACTCTGGACTTGGTCATGCAACTGGCTGTGACCAGCGGGATGGGTGGTAGCAAATGTGATTCAGGTAGAGGCATTCAAAGGGCTTGCACATCTGGGCTGACCCCAAGGATGTGCAGTCATCCCTCTGTATCCATGGGGGATTGGTTCCAGGACCTCCCAAAATCAGTGGACACTCTAGTCTCTTATATAAAATGCTGCAGTGTTTCCATATAACCTATGCGCATCCTTTTGTATCCTTCAAATCATTTCTAGATTACTTATGTTACTTAATACAATGTAAATGCTGTGTAGATAGTTGTTATACTAAATTATGACAAGAAATAATGACAAGAGAAAAATCTATATGGGTTCAGTACAGTCTCAATTTTTTCCTGAGTATTTTCTATCTGCAGTTGGTTAAAACCAGAGATGCGGAGCGCATGGATACGGAGGGCTGACTGCGCTTGGAACATTTCTGTCACCATGTGAACAAGCCTACTCTAGCCAGGTGGATGCTGTGAAACACGTGGCCCAGTCCTCTCCAACATCCCAGTCAACAGCCGGCACTGCCAGAGACATGGCAATCCAGCTCTCTGCAGCTGCCTATAGATTCACACGCAAGCCCAGTCAAGACCAATAGAATGGCCCAGTTGAGCCCTGTTCAAACTGTAACCCATAGAACTGTGACCAAAATAAATGGTAGTCATTTTAAGCCATTACATTTTGGGATGGGTTGTGAAAGAAGTAAAAGCTTGCTGAAAATTGGGGGGTGAGCATGAGAAGTGGGGGCAGATGAGTGACATAGGCAGGTATGAAATGCTATCCAGATCGATGTGCATTTAGGAAACTGGAGCATTCTAAATATTTGATTGAGCAAAATAACTATTTGCATAAATTTGCTTCAAGATAAATAGGTCGAGCTCCCCTTCCTTTTTCCCTTCCTTTTTTTCTCTCCTTTTCTCTACTTTTCCCTTCTTCCTTCCTCTCTTCCTCCTCCTCACAGAAAATAATAATAAATAAATAGGTTGACGAGTGATTACTGCCTGCAAAAGGTAGTGATTCATGATGTCTTACAGCCTTGTAGCTCTAGGTGCTGTCTGTGGACCGGAGGCATCAGCATCACCTGGAGCTTATTGGAAACATGGAAGTTGGGCCCCACTCTAGATCTAGTGATCATAATAGGAATTTCAACATCCCCAGGTATTTCTTTGGCGTGATCACAGTTTGAGAGGCACTATCCTATCCTAAAAACAGAATCCACATTGAGCACTCACGTCATTCTTTGCACTCTGCTTAGATTTTTTTAAAAAACTTCTTTAGCTGCTTCAACATCCCTTCGTTTCCACCTGCTCCCTACCATTGCATTAGTAAAACAAACAAAAGCCACCTTTATCCTTTGAATTGTATCATCACAAAACTGTGTGTGTGTGTTTGTGTGTGTGTGTGTGTTTTCTTGGGAACTTTGAGTGGACCCCAGTAAATAAAAATTGCTTTCCCCATCCAGATTTTGAACCAATTAAGAAATAAGACAAACGATAACGCAGATAGAGGCCAAGATATCATCTTTATCACTGTTAAAGGCTAAGAGACATTGCCAAATGAGCTTCCTCTATAGCATTCAGAATTAGCCAGATTTATCCATTATCAGTTGTGGTCCAGGGCAGTCTCACCCTGCCTTCCCCAAAAAGAAGGAAGAAAAAAGGACTGGTTGGGGGAAAGGACGGGAGTAAGAGATGGGCTGGAGAGAGCCAGGAGAGTAGCCTCTGCATAAAAGGAATCTCTAAGAATGGAGAAAGCCATGTGTGGTGGTGGTAATGAGACAGACACGTTCTATAAAATGCAGTCATCATCACATCTAGAAATGTCTTAAAATCTAAATGGTTTGGAAATGCTCTTTAATGATGACTGATGGTAATCTGTTAAAATGAAATAATACAGATTGTACTGTGTAATTTTTAAAAGTGATATTAGGTTTAGGTTTAAAGTTGATGATAACAAAGAACATGTTTGAAAGTTTATGTCTTATTTTTGTGGGTTTTTTTGTTTGTTTTTGAGACAGGGTCTCACTTTGTCACCAGGCTGGAGTGCAGTGGCATCATCTTGGCTCACTGAAGCCTCGACCACCTGGGTTCAAGCCATCCTCCTGCCTCAGCCCCACAAGTAGCTGGGACTATAGGTGCAAGCCACCACGCCCGGCTAATTTTTTGTATTTTTAGTAGAGACAGGGTTTTGTCATGTTGCCCAGGCTGGTCTTGAACTCCTGAGCTCAAGCAATCCATCCGCTTCAGCCTCCTAAAGTGCTGGGATTACAGGTGTGAGCCACTGCACCCAGCTGGTTTGAAAGTTTATGACAAGAATACTGCAAAAAAAAATGCTTGCCAGACAGAACATCTTCCTTTGACTCTTCTGTGAGTGAAATAAATGAACCTCTGTTGTTTCAGCCACTGTACAAATATTTCTGCAGTGATGCAAAATAGATGTTACTGAAAAACACACACTCAGCAAAAGCGAACATTAAAAAGACTGCTTTCAGGAATATCAGGATTATAGTCAGACCACTAAAAAATTTATGCAGCTTTGTAACTAGAACACTAACAAAACAGTATTGGTACCTTGAGAGAGACAACTTGGACAGTCCAGGCAGGAAGCTCAACACGTTTGGAAGTTGCCTCAAGGCTTTAAAATGCTATTCAAAATAATTGTGGAATATCACAGAGATGAAGAACAGATTAGCCATTGCTGGGGTTAGGGATGGGTGGAAGGGGCGAGGTATGGCTGTGAAGGGAGCCTTGTGGTAATGGAACAATTCTGTAGCTCAGTTGTGTAGTGGCTATATTAATCTATACATGTGATACAATTGCACAGAGCTGCACACACACACACACACACACACACAGTATATAAAAATGATCAAATCTGAATACACTCTGTAGATTGTACCAATAAGCAATTTCCTGGCTTTGTTCCTGTACTGTAGTTGTGCCAGATGTTACTATTGGGGCAGCTAGGTGCAGGGTATATGGAATACATATAGATAGCAATTTCCTGCAAAACTATAAATTTCTCAAAAATCAAAAGTTAAAAAAAACATTGGCCAGGTGCAGTGGCTCACACCTGTAATCCCAGTACTTTGGGAGGACAAGATGGGCGGATCACCTGAGGTCAGGAGTTTGAGACCAGCCTGGCCAGTATGGCGAAACCCCATCTCTAATAAAAATTCAAAAAAATTAGCTGGGTGTGTTGGTGGGCACCTGTTAGGAAGGCTGAGGCGGCAGAATCACTTGAACCTAGGAGATGGAGGTTGCAGTGGGCCGACATCGCGCCACTGCACCCCAGCCTGGGTGACAGAGCAAGACCCTGTCTCAGAAAAAAAAAAAAAATTTTAATTACCGGGCAGAAGTGCTATCTGTGGTTGTAGAATCAATGCAGATGGAAATGGAGCCCTGAGCCAGTGGCACTGTATCTAGGCAGCCAGAAAAGGAAGTGTAACCTGCCCTGGGCATGGCTGGGCGTCTGCCTGTTTAAAAAGGATGCTCAACATGTTGTACTTATTTTTATTTTCTCAACATATACCAGAAATAGTTCTTGCCTGTGTATCAGCCAACCTAAGGATATTCTCCCCCTTTCTGTTGAAGGTTAGAATTCTATTCTCACTACTCAAGCTCCTCTTCTTTCAACATATGTTAGCGTTTTGAATTTGATGTGTTCTCTTTATTCAGGATCTACGTAGCCATTTAGAAAGGTATACTTGATTGCAAGCGGGACATTTTCCAAATATAAGCCATAATATATGTAAGGATCAGAGAGTCTTCTGGGAAGATTTGAATCATGTGAACAGACCTCCCTTTTGTGCAGATACTCAGGTGTATTTCTGGGAACTGGCTTCTGCAGACTGTTGATGTCCCCATGTGTAAATGAATACACAGGCTCAACAAAACTATAGTTGGTGACTGCAAAAGCCCTCAACTCAAAGGTCTTAACCATCATTGCAGAGGAATCACCAGGGGCATTTGTTTAAAATGCACATTTCCTGATCTTTTCCCAGAGTTTCTGAATCTGTTGGTCTGGGGACAAGGTCCAGGAATCTGCAGTGTCACATGCACCCAGGGCATGTTGACGCTGTCTCTCTGAGGACTGCTCTTTGAAAAACAGGCTTATATCACAACAAGAAGGAGGCTGGCCCACTAGCTTTTAAGTATTTAGCTGATTTCCTGCTGAAATAGTGCAATGTGGTTAACAGTGAGCCTTGGAAGAGATGAGTAAAGGTGATGCTTCAAAGACATGCTGAGCAAACTGAAAAGCAAGTTAAAGCGCCGTGACATTGCTTCCAAAAGCCAAGGATTGACAGCAGCTGACAGTCATGCTGGTACCTGTGTCACCTTTGAATACAAAGAACATTGGGCATTTTGACTTATTTCAGCAGGGATAAAATGTTAGGGAGGAAAATATTCCCCTAACTGCCTTCCTCCTCTGAAACATCAATGTAGAATAATAATGCCTTCTACTCATGTATCAGCTTTCCAATCACCAACTTATTTGAAGGCATCACAAAAGAGACCTTTTAAATCATCTACCCTTAGGCAAATAGTACATTTCTTGAAATTCCTTGAATGTTGAAAAATGTACTTTTGAAAAAGACATTCCAAGACATTCTTTATAGCTTAGAAACATTTCCGTCTCAGGATGTTAGGAGATATCCAGGTGAAGTAAAAACACAGAAGGAGGCAAAAAGCTGGTTGGCAGATTATTCAGACATCCAGGAAAATTCTATGCCCATGTGACTCTGTGTTGCATTTGAATTTATAAAAATCATGAGATCTGTGTTTCTCCAAACACTGCTTCAACCATTCAATGAAAAACATCCTTCTTGCACTCTTGGAGACACTGAGTTCTGCCTGGTCCATTTTTAGGACTTGCATTTGGAAGACCTTCGCCTCAAGGACTAGAGTTCATTGTTTTTGTATATTCAACATTTAGTATATTATCCAATGTGTAAAAGATATTAAATAGTGTTGACAGATTGAAGGGCCTCTTCTAGATGGCACTAACTAAGGGGAATTTAGAATGGGGTGGAAGGAGGAAAAGGAAAGGTTATTACCAGACCCATTCTCTCCTTTTGCTTTGAAATTCATGGTACTCGATAATTGGTTCACATCCAAAGAGTTAACTGAACTAGATGAGGTGCTGTGTAACTTCTGCAGGCCAGAGGGAAGAGAAGAGAGTAAGAGCTAACAAGTATTCAAAAAAAAAAAAAAAGAAAAGAAAAAGCTGAAACCTATAGTCTCAGCTGCTTGGGAGTCTGAGACAGGAAGATCCCTTGTGCCCAGGAGTTCAAGTACAGCCTAGGCAATATAGTGAGCCTTCGTCTCTAAAAAAAATTTGTTTTTAGTTTTTTAAAAAAGAAAAAACAATAGAGCTAGAGATCTTCAACAAGTAAGACCCAGTGTCAAGGCAGGCCACTCTAATTAGATATTTGGATCAAATATAATTTAAGGTTAACAATAATTACTGCACCAGACCCTTTATTTGAATTATTACATTTAATCCATACAACAAACCTATGAAAAGGAATAATCTGTAAGAGGCTTATTGCAGCCCCAGCCACTATCACCTGATGGATGCCCAAATAATTGTGTTTTAATAAATGAAGGAATGAGTGAGGAAATCTTCACCTTTGCAGGTAAAGAAACTGAGGCTCAGAGAGGGAAGGGAGCTGTATTTGAATAGCCATTCTATATTTTCAATGTGCTAATAATAAATGTGGTTTCATGTAATCAAGTTTATTAACTGTGCTCATACATGTTATTCTACTCTCAGTGTGACCTCCAAGGTCTACCAGTTGTGAATCTTAGCAACCAGTAGGTGGCGTCCCCATGCAGTATTAATACTCAATGCTCATCCAGTAGCAGCCCCTTCCAAATTGAGGAAGTAAGACCCCTCTGGAGCACTTCAAAATAGTAATTTATAAGTAAGATAAAATGATCATTGAAAACTCCTGGAATTGCATCCCAATGGCTTTTATAAATGTATTTTTGATAACGGAGTGAATT
The DNA here is from genome assembly GCF_000001405.40 of Homo sapiens. NCBI lineage: Eukaryota > Metazoa > Chordata > Mammalia > Primates > Hominidae > Homo > Homo sapiens. Next base: position 25,180,902 of record NC_000004.12, read on the forward strand.
GTGCTACCCCTCCCCCACAAAAATATGGTCACCCCTAATCTCTAGAGCCTATGAATGTGACTCTATTTGAAAAAAGAGTCTTTGTGGATGTAATTAAGTATCACAAGATGAGATCATTCTGGATTACCTAGGTCATTACCTAAATCCAATGGCGTATCCTTATGAGAGCAGAAGAGGAGAAGGTCATGTGAAGACAAAGATAGAGAGTGGCAGCCACATACCAAAAGATGTCTGCAGCCACCAAATAAGTAAAACTGTTTCAAAATCAAGGCAGTTCGCTTAATAAAATCATGATGTTTCAGTCAGGCATACTGACTCACACCTGTAATCCCAGCACTTTGGGAAGCCAAGGCAGGCAGATCCCAGGCCAGGAGTTCAAGACCAGCCTGGCCAACATGGTGAAACCCCATCTCTGTTTAAAAAAAAGAAAAGTAAAAACATTTTAAAAAAATAATAAGATAAACATGATGTTTTAAACTCAAGTACTTAACCAAAGTATTCAACCTACAACATTATAGGTCTTTGATGTGTATATTACTTTGAACATGAATGTTTGTATCATTTGTGAGACAGAATTATATTGGAGATGTGTATTTTGATTTCCCCAAAGATAACAAACCTTGTCTCTTTTCTAAGATCATACCACTCCCATACATCATTCAAGAACAATGAGGCATTCAATTATCCATCACAACTTTTCCAAGCGCAGTATTAGAAGCAACCCAGGGACCATGGAGAGATAAATGTGCATTACAGTCATCTCTGAATAAGCCATTCTTGTCTTATTTATTATGACCTTGCATAGGCACTCATTCAAATACATTCAGCAAACACTTATAATGTACCTAGCAGGTGCCAGGTGCTCTACTAGATGCTGAGCAGTCAACAATGAATCAGATCTAGTTCTTGAAGTTCAGTTGAAAAAATCAAAGTCACCTAGGAGAGAAGAGCAAGGAGTCAAATATGGTGCATGTGACAAGTGAGAATGGGTAGGGGTGGTGGAAGCACACGTAGGAGGCAACCTTCACTCAGGGCCAAGAGTGGGAAGAGGAGGAGATAGCGCCCAGGCTGCATCTTGAAAGCACAGTTAGCAGAAGTAGGGACTGGGACACATGGTGGGAGGAAGCAGCAGCAGGAGCAGAGATGTCTGGGAACCAGCCAGAGAGTCACTTTGTCTGGACTGGAGACTTAAATTGAGGAAAGGCCGGATAGGCAAACAGAGCCATGAAGGGGAAGGGCTTTGGTAAGGGGTTTGAATTTTCTCCTTAAAACAACAGAGCATCAGTAAAGGGCTTTATATCAGTTACTGAGTGATAGGATCAGATTGCTTTTTTGGAAACATGAATCTGCCGGTGTGTGATGGTGAAACAGAATATGTGGCAGGGGTAGTGAGAGAAACCAGGTAAGGAGTGTTGAGACCATCCATGCAGACATTAGGAAAGCCTGGCAGCTGCAGAGGGGTGAAGAAGAGGAGAGAGTCTGGAGAGGGTTGATATGGTTAGGTTTTGTGTCCTCACCCAAATCCCATCTTGAATTGTAATCCCCGGGTGTTTAGGGGGAGATCTGGTGGGTAGTGAGTGGATTATGGGGGGGGGGGGGTTTCCCCCGTGCTGTGCTTGTGATAGTGAGTGGATTCTCATGAGGTCTGATGGTTTTATAAATGGTAGTTTCTCCTGCACTGACACACCCTCTCTCGCCAGTTGCCATGTAAGATGTGCCTACTTCCCCTTCTGCCATGATTGTAAGTTTCCTGAGGCCTCCCCAGCCATAGGAAACTGTGAGTCAATTAAAGCTCTTTCCTTTATAAATTACCCAGTCTCGGAAAGTTCTTTATAGCAGTGTGAAAACGGACTAATACAAGGGTATTAAGGGAATAGTTCTTAGGATTAGATATGGAGGTGAAGGAGGAAAAAGTAGAATGGGAGAACTCTTACCAGTTTTTGAACTCCTGAAAGATTAAGCCCTGGCTTTTCATCTCTGTACCAACCTAGCCACCTTGACAAAGTAAGTCCTCAATTTGTTAGCAGTAGAATAGAATTTCCTGGTTTTCTGTTAGAAACTGAGTCTCTGAGTCGTTTTCACATGCTCCTGGAATACCCTTCACTTTCAAGTATATAAAGCTGTTAGGAGAGTGAATTTATGACTCTCAGAAGGGCCTCCTGTTTTTGTTCATCTGCCCATTGAGCGGCTTCTTACTGAATTAATGGCCTGGTGCATGAATCACAGGGACTGCCAGTGCAGAATTGAGTGCTGACAGGTGGTTTCGGCTCTCTCATATCTCTGTTGCTGCCTTGAGTTCTAGGCAAGGGTCAGCCATGGCTGAAGCCTTCCCCTGCATCTGTCCCTGCCCCCAGGTCTCTCACAGGCATCAATAGCGTACATATTTATACTCATTCTGTAGAAAGGCCACTGTTCACGTCTCTCTGCCTACAACCCCTGAATAAATTCCTACAGCTCTACTGATTGAGGCCTTTTTAAATCATTTTTTGACTGAATGACTGAGCAAATGAAGCATTGTGCTCATGAAGTGCTAGATAGGGGAGTAGCAGACTTGCTTTCTGAAGCCAGAGTGCATTCAATGTGTTTCAACAGGAAGGCACCCAGAAGAGAAGGAAACCAGGGAACATAGGACTGAAATCTCTATAGGAGCAGCAGAGATGGTGTTAGCAGATAGTCATTCAAGAGGCAGAGATGACTTGGAGCCTCGCTGGGCAGAGAAAGCCTCACAGAGGAAAATGGGTCCCTAAAGACAGTTAGGATTTAGCCAAACATGGGGGGATTGGGGGGAGGTGTACTATTGGCCTACTAGGCTGAAGGACTCCTTTTGTGGGTCTGCTGCTTGCACGGTATGATGTTCAGAATCCCTGAACCCTGTCCACTAAGTGCAGCAGGTCCAAAATACCCCCTCCCTGGAGGGCTGTACTTCCCTGGGTGTGAATCATGGATGGATAGCAGAGGGGAGTGTGACCAAAGGGAGAAGACTAAGGTGCGGGGAAAATACGCGAGGCTTATTTGCAGACTGCTGACAGAGCATCGTGATAGTGGTAGAAGATGCACCAGGAAAACAATGTTTCAAACAGGCTGAAAATGAGGGTTATCTCTAAGTGCTAGTCACAACACGTCCAGATGACTCCAAAGGACCGTGTTAACACGAATGTCAGGCCCAATGAAGAGGTCAAAGGCATTAGCCAGGTGTCGTGGTGCATGCCTGTAGTCCCAGATACTCCAGAGGTGGAGGTGGGAGGATCGCTTGAGCCCAGGCAGTTGAGGCTGCAGTGAGCTATGATGACACACCGCACTCTAGCCTGGGTGACAGAGTAAGATGCTGTCTCAAAATCAAAGGAATGTGGTAAATATGATGTGAGCTTTGAACTTGGAACTAATTTGGAATACCACTTACCACTTACCAGCTGTTTCCTTGGGCAAGTTATTTATGTTTTCTCAGCCGGTTTAATCATCTTCAAAATGAAGATCATACTTGCTCAAAGAGTTATTGGAATTTACATAAAGTGCCAGTTTTGATTACTTGTGTTCATGTTAATTGAGGGTGTTACACATTAAAAGGACCACGACAAAATGGGCAGGACTATTTGTAGGACATTCAAGAGATCCACAAAAATATAAGATGATCTTTACTGAACTACATTACTCTACACCTACTCTGTGCTAAATGCTAATATTAATAACTTATGTATTTTATTCAATTCTACTCTGAGTTAGCCTTTAATCACTTTGTAGAGGGGGTAAATTAGGCTCAAAAAAGTTGCCTAATGTACATAAAAATTAACCATTCCAATTCTTACCTCACATTACTCATAAACAGTGATTTGAGATAGATCATTCTTCTAAGTATAAAAGCTAGAACTATAATGCTTGTAGAAAATAACATAGAACAATGTCTTTGCAACCTTGGGATAAGCAAAGATTTCTTAGAAAGAACACAAAAGCACTAACTGTAAAAAAAAAAAAATTGATACCCTAGACTCCATCAAAATTTAAAATTTATGCTCATCCAACAACACTTTTAAGAAAATGACTCTTTTTAGACAGGACACAGAAAGCATTAACCACTGAAGAAAAACATCCATCAGTAGGAAAATGGATAAATAAATTGTGATAGATGCATGGAACAGAATACCACTCGGCAGTTTAAAAATTAGAAAAAGAGGCCCAGGCGCAGTGGCTCATGCCTGTAATCCCAGCACTTTGGGAGGCCGAAGTGGGCAGATCACTTGAGGACAGGAGTTCAAGACCAGCCTGGCCAACACAGTGAAACCCCGTCTCTACTGAAAAAAAAATACAAAAATTAGCCAGGTGTAGTGGTGCATGCCTGTAATTCCAGCTACTTGGGGGGCTGAAGCAGGAGAATTGCTTGAACCCAGGAGGCAGAGGCTGCAGTGAGCCGAGATCATGCCACTGCAGCCTGGGCAACAGAGTGAGACTCCATGTCAAAAAAGAAAAAGAAAGGCTGGGTGCAGTGACTTACGCCTGTAATCCTAGCACTTTGGGAGGCCAAGGCGGGCAGATCATGAGGTCAGGAGTTCGAGAGCAGCCTGACCAACATGGTGAAACCCCGTCTCTACTAAAAATACAAAAATTAGCTGGCCATGATGGCATGGGCCTGTAATCCCAGCTACTCAGGAGGCTGAGGCAGGAGAATCACTTGAACCTGGGAGGTGGAGGTTGCAGTGAGCCGAGATCATGCCACTGCACTCCAGCCTGGGTGACAGAGCGAGACTCTGTCTCAAAAAAAGAAAAAGAAAATAGGACAAACTACTGTATTGATACATGCAATATTGTAGTTGAATCTTACTTCATATTGTTGAGATAAAGAAACCCAACTCACAAGAATTTATATTGTATAATTCCATTTTTATACAGTTTTTAAACAAGCAAAACAAATGCGTGGCAATAGAAATCAGAACACGAGTCACCTATAGGCCGGGCACAGTGACTCATGTCTATAATCCCAGTACTTTGGAAAGCCAAGGCAGGTGGATCGTTTGAGCCCAGGAGTTCAAGACCAGCCTGGGCAACATGGGTAAACCCTGTCTCTACTAAAAATACAAAAACTAGCCGGGCATGGTGACATGCACCTGTAATCCCAGCTACTTGGGGGGCTAAGGCAGGAGGATCACCTGAGATTTGGGAGGTTGAGATTGCAGTGAGCCGAGATCATGCCACTGTACTCCAGCCTGGGAACAGAGTGAAACCCTATCTCGAAAAAACAAAAGCAAAAACACAGGTCACCTGTACGGGTAGAAATTAACTGGAAGGGGAAGTGAAGGAACTTTCTGGAGTAACGAGAACATTCTACACTTTATATGAATATGGGTTACATGGGCATATACCTTTGTTAAAACTCTATGAGGAATACACTTAAAATCTTTGCATTTCACCTCACTAAAACTTTACCTTACTAAAAGGATAAACTGGGATGGGTTTGGAAGACCTCCACATTGTACTTCTGGCTTCTTTCATGATCTCATCTAGTAGTCATGAGACGCATAGCTAGCAAAGACGACTCTCCCCTTAATTCTGAAGAATGACCAATAATCCATTCCTTTTCCTGACCCCTTTGAGAATTACAAAGTGTGTATTTAATGAAAAATTAAGTAATGAGTATCTGTTAACTAAGGAAGTTAATGATGATAGGATACTTGCACATAACGTGTCAACATTTACATCATCATGAGGGCTGTAATTATATCACTGATAATATGAATAAATACAAAAGTATTTCGGGTTTTGTTTTTGTTTTTGTTTTGAGGCAAGGTGTCACTCTTGTCACCCAGTCTGGAGTGCAGTGGTATGAACACAGCTCACTGCAGCCTTGACCTCCCAGGCCCAAGTGATCCTCCTGCGTTAGTCTCCCATGTAGCTGGGACCACAGGTGTGTGCCACTGTGCCTGGCTATTTTTTTTTTCTTTTTTTTTCAGGCTGGTCTCAAACTCCTGAGTTAAGTGATCACTCCGCCTTGGCCTCCCAAAGTGCAGGGATTACAGGTGTGAGCCATCATGCCTGGTCATAAATACAAATTTTTGAAGAAACATCAGCATCTGTTTTTAAAACTAGAAGTTATTTTAAGTCTGTGCCTAAAGTTGACCATTAACATGTGTAGCTGCAAAAGGTGGATTTATCTGTCACTGTATGACACATGACTTTTAGATCAAACAACATTCATATTTTTGCTCGTTTTCCCTCATTTTTTCTTGTGTGTATAGAAAAAGTGATAGCAGTATACATGATGAAGAAAAACTTTACAGTTGAGTGGTGCTAATTGTATATCATTGCCAACAGCTTCAAATAGAAAACCAGTTCAGTCCAATAGTTATTTAATTTTTTCCACCCAGTGCGTAGGATCAAAGTAAAGCTTTTGAAGTTTATTCTCTTGAAGGTTTAATGTATGAAATTATTATGACTGTTATTCTATAATAAATTAAAATTTTCAAGCCAGGCCTGGCAGCTCACGCATGTAATCCCTGCACTTTGGGAGGCCGAGGTGGGTGGATCCCCTGAGGTCAGGAGCTCAAAACCAGCCTGCCCGTCTTTACTAAAAATACAAAAAAAAAAAAAAAAATAGCTGAGAGTAGTGGTGTGTGTCTGTAATCTCAGCTACTCAGGAGGCTGAGGCAGGAGAATCGCTTGAACCTGGGATGTGGAGGCTGCAGTGAGTCGAGATCATGCCACTGCACTCCAGCCTGGGTGATAGAGTAAGACTCCAGCTTAAAAAAATAAAAATTTCAATGCTAAAGAAAACTGATGAATTTTTGTGGTGATAATATACATACAAATTTTGAAAAAAGTAGTGTTCTTACTAAAGAGATTTACTTGCATTTGGATAATTTATAACTGCACATAATTTATAACTGCATTCAAACTCTCAAAAAATAATTCTTGTAATTATCAAAAAGAAACTGTAATTGCCGGGCTGGGCACGGTGGCTAACACCTGTAATCCCAGCACTTTGGGAGGCTAAGGCGGGTGGATCACCTGAGGTCAGGAGTTCAAGACCAGCCTGACCAACATGGTGAAACCCCGCCTCTACTAAAAATAGAAAAATTAGCTGGGCGTGGTGGCAGCTGCCTGTAATCCCAACTACTCAGGAGGCTGAGGCAGGAGAATCGCTTGAATCCAGGAGGCAGAGGTTGCAGTGAGCTGAGATCACGCCATTGCACTCCGGCCTGGGGAACAGAGCAAGACTATGTCCCAAAAAAAAAAAAATGTAATTGCCAAATATTTTTACATATGCACAGAATAACTAGATTACAAAATCTTGTGACAATGCTGACATTGAATATAAAAACATACTTCAATATGGCATTATGTGTTTTCTGTCTGCTACCTGTCATCAGTCTGATGTTTAAAAATGTTTAAGCCTTTGAATATCTATTTTATAAACCAATATAGATATTCAACCATTGTACTGAACTTTGTACAAACTAGTCCTCTTAATTTTGGTTGTATTTGTTCAAAATTGGTTGGAAACTGCTTTCTCCTTTTTGTTTATCAAGGTAATATTTATACTAATTTTTTTTTGAGACAGAGTCTCACTGTATTGCCTAGGCTAGAGTGCAATGGCGTGACCTCGGCTCACTGCAACCTCTGCCTCCTCGGTTCAAGCCCTTCTCTGGCCTTAGCCTCCCGAGTAGGTGGGATTACAAGTGTCTGCCACTGTGCCCAGCTAATTTTTGTATTCTTAGTAGAGATGGGGTTTCACCATGTTGGCCAGGCTAGTCTTGAACTCCTGACTTCATGATCCACCCGCCTCAGCCTCCCAAAGTGCTGGGATTACAGGTGTGAGCCACTGTGCCCGGCCTATTTATACTAATTTTAAGCGTCCGGGTTGGTAAATTTTGGTTATTGTGTCTAATCATTTAACCAAATCAAAAAATGGAGCAATTCTTCACCCCAGAAAGTTTTCTCATACCTGTATATATTCACTTATCTCCCCTAACCCTGGCGCCAGGCAACCATTGATTCTCTCTCTGTCCCTATGGTTTTACATGATAGAGAATTTCACATGAGTAGATTCACATAGTATGGAATCTTTTGTGATTGACCTCTTTCTCTTAACATAATATTTTTAGGATGTATCCATGTTATTGTCTGTATTATGTCCTTTCTTTGTATTGCTGAATAGTTTTCTGTGGTATGAATATATCACACTTTGTTTATCCATCTAATAGTGATGGACATTTGTGTTGTTTCCAGTTGGGACTGTTATGAATAATGCTGCTATAAACATTCATGTACACGTTGTTTTGTGGGTTTTTGTTTTTTGGGTTTTTTTCTGAGATGGAGTCCCACTCTGTCACCCAGGCTGGAGTGTAGTGGCGCGATCTCAGCTCACTGCAACCTCCACCTCCTAGGTCCAAGCGATTCTCCTGCATCAGCCTCCTGAGTAGCTGGGATTACAGGTGTCCACCACCACACCCCACTATCATGTTCATGTTTTTGTTGGACATATGTTTTTATTTCTCTTGGTAGAAATCTGGAAGTAGAATTTCTGGATCATGTGGTAATGAATCTAACTTTATAATGTAATGCCATGCCGCTAGGTACTATACCATTTTGCGTTCCTACCAGCGACGTCTGAGAATTCCAGTTGCAACTTATCTTTGCCAACACTTGGTAGTGTCAATCTTTACGATTCCCCATTCTAGTGTGTAGTGGTATCTCATTGGAGTTTTAATTGGTATTTTTCTGATGAATAATAAAATTGAGCACGTTTTCATATGCTTATAAAAAGTTTTAATCAAAGTATTTGTCAAATGAAATACCAAAATGCGGTTATTGGAAAAATCATTTGCAAACAGAGAAACTTGAAATTTATCCTTTCATAAGCACAGTGAGTACTGAACAAATTAAACAATAAGCCCTCAAATAGTATACAATATTAATGTTGAAATTCTGTAATTGCATTTTAGAATATTTCAACTTGCAGGATAAGTCATTTGCTGAAGCACCTATTTTTAATTAGATAAATTTATGTTCTGTACTGGAATAAAACGAAATTGTGGAAGCCCATAATTATGTGGAATCATAAATAGAGACAATTTATATTATGAAGTTGTTCTTATGAAATATTTGTTGAAGAAAGCTACTCTGAATGAAAACAAAAAAGACAGCATCTGTGAAAATATTGAGGCTGAAATATTTATGCATTTCAATGCACAAAAACATAGAATGATGAATATCCTTGTATTAGTTTGCTAGGGCTGTTATAACAAAATATCATAGACTGGGTGACTTAAAACAACAGTAGTTTATTTCTCACAAATCTGGAGGCTGGGAAGTCCAAGGTATCAGCAGGTTTGGCTTCTTCTGAGGCCTCTCTCGGCTTGCAGACGGCCACCTTCTTGCTGTGTCCTCACGTGGCCTTTCCTCTGGGTAGGTTAATCCCTGGCATCTCTTTGTGTATCCAAATTTCCCTTAGAGGACACCAGTCAGATTGGATTAGGGGCTACCCTCATAAACTCATCTTAACTTAAGCACCTCTATAAAGCCCCTATCTCCAAATAGGGCCACATTCTGAAGTACTGTAGGTTAGGACTTCACCATATGAATTTGAAAGGGCAGGATACAATTCAGCCCATAGCAATCCTCCATTTAGCAGACCAGGTTCTGACATTCCTTTAACTTCCATATAATGCAGGAGGAGACATGACCACAAACGTCTGGTGAGAGATAAAAGTCAGGCAGAAAGTAGCGCCCTCTGCCCTGCAATCAGGAACCACCCTGTGTTATGTGCTTTGCTGCATGTCACTGTTGATCTGTCAGGCTCCAAAGTCTACCTATTGAGGCCAATAATATCTACCTGACCCTCTCACATTGGCATCTTTTAAAAAATAGTTTTATTTCTACTGTTTATAAAATACATGCTCATTGCAAAATAGAAATAAAATGCTAGTGAATAATACAAAAGAAAAAAAGGATCGCCTCCAAAACACACCCAGTGATAGCCACTGTTACCATGCTGGATATATGTCCATCAGAATGTTTTCTCTATACAAACAACTTGTATGCTTTTAATATAAAAAATAGAAATCACAATATATACTCTTTTTCAGCTTTTAAAATTGCATATATTTCAGATGTACAATGTGATGTTTTGATACACATGTGAACATGGTCCAGCATATGAACATATCTATGCCCTAACGTAGTCAGCTTTCGTTTTCTACTTAACATCATGGACATCTCTCCTTTCAATAAATAGATACTTTAAGAACTATTAAAGGCCGGGCATGGTGGCTCACACCTGTAATCCCAGCACTTTGGAAGGCCAAGGCAGGAGAATCGTTTGAACCTGGGAGGTGGAGGTTGCAGTGAGCCAAGATCGCGCCACTGCACTCCAGCCTGGGCAACAAGAGCTAAACTGTCTCAAAACAAACAAACAACAACAACAACAAAAATCCCAAAATTTAGGCTGGCTACCCCACCTGACCCCAAGACTAGATTGTACTTAGATTCATTGGAACATGGTAGAAATTTCAGGACCAAAAGCAGCAAAGACCACTCAGTGCTAAGCAGAGTTCAAGCATTTGCCCCTACTGTTTGCAACCCTCTGCCTAAATGTAGGATACCAAATGTTGCTGAGCCTCAAGTTAGGGAAACTCTCTCAGTGATCTGGGAGTAGACAAGGGGCCTCTGGTATTCTGCAGGTCTGTTTCTGCAGGCCTGCGGAGATTGTCTTTCCAAGGTGGGAGCTGCCCTTACCTCTTTAATTTACTTTCCTCCAGGCTGAAATTGTGAACCTTGGCCACTCCCAATTAAAATTCTCTTCTCTCATTTGGGACACTGAAGGGCATCTTTCACCCCCAGCTGTCAAATAGAAACATAGAAAGCAACTCAACATAGCCTTCAACAACCAGGAACTGTAGAAAAAGAATTTGCAAACATTGCACATTCTCCTTTGTTGCTTCAAATATGTGGTATCTTCTAGGAACTGGGCCCAGAGGTGAGTGAATAAGAAAAGCAGATGTTTGTCCTAGTCTGTTCATTCCATCTCCAAACAAGATAAATATTACAGGGTAAAAGGATCATCAGCCCAGTAACACAAAATCCTCTTTTTTTTTTTTTTTTTTTGGAGACATAGTCTCACTCTGTTGCCCAGGCTGGAGTGCAGTAGCACGATCTTGGCTCACTGCAACCTCTGCCTCCCGGGTTCAAGTGATCCTCCTACCTCAGCCTCCTAAGTATCTGGGATTACAGGCACCAGTCACCATGCCCAGCTAATTTTTGTATTTTTAGTAGAGATGGGGTTTCACCATATTGGCCAGGCTGGTCTCGAACTCCTACCCTCAAGTGATCTGCCCATCTCAGCCTCCCGAAGTGCTGGGATTACAGGTGTGAGCCACTGCTCCTGGCCTTATCTTCTTCTTCTTCTTCTTCTTCTTTTTTTTTTTTTTTTGAGACAGGGTCTCACTCTGTAACCCAGGTTGGAGTGCAGTGAAGTGATCTCAGCTCCTTGCAACCTCCACTTTCCAGGCTCAAGAGATCGTCCCACTTCAGCTTCCCAAGTAGCTGGGACCACAGGTGTGTGCCATCACGCCCGGCTCATTTTTTGTATTTTCGGTAGACACTGGGTTTTGCCATGTTGCTCAGGCTGGTCTCAAACTTCTGAGCTCAGGAGATTCACCTGCCTTGGCCTCCCAAAGTGCTGGTATTTCAGGTGTGAGCCACTACACCCAGCTATCAACGAAATCCTTTTAAATAAGTGCTAGGTATTCCACTGCCTAATACAAACTGTGTCATAACTTATCTCTTATTGATAGATCTTTGAAGTTATTTCCAAATTTATTACACAATACGTCAATGAACATCTTATACATATATTTTGCATTCTTGTCTGAATATATTTTATTAGAGCTGTGTGCAGTGGTGCCTGCTTTTACTTCCAACTACTTGGGAGGATGAGGTAGGAGGATCACTTGAGCCCAGGAGTTTGAGAATAGCCTGGGAAAAAAAAAAGAAAATATATACTTCCTTAAAATATATTACCAGAGGTAGAATTTATGGGTCAAATAGGATTACATCCCAGAAATATTATACCAATTTATATCACTTCAGTTGTCTTGGGTCTATATCTAGGAGTGAAATTGATGGGTCATTTGGTAAACCTATATTTAACTTTCAGAGTAACTGCCACACAGTTTTCCAGAGAGTTTTTATAGTAACTGTTGAACAGTTTTTCAGAGCAGCTGCACCATTTTATATCCTCTCAACAGTGTATAAGGGTTCTGTTTTTTTTAATTATTCATTCATTTTTTTTAAATATAAAGATGGGAGTCTTACTATGTTGCCTGGGCTGGTCTCAAACTCCTGAGTTCAAGCAGTCCTCCTACCTCAGTCTCCCAAAGTGCAGGGATTATAGGTGTGAGCCATTGCACCAAGGGTTCTAATTTTTTCACATACTGATCAATACTTGTTATTATCTGGCTTTTTTTTTTTTTTTTTGAGACAGAGTCTTACTCTGTCACCCAGGCTGTAGTGCAGTGGCATGATCTCAGCTCACTGCAACCTCTGCCTCCTGGGTTCAAGCGATTCTCTTGACTCAGCCTCCCGAGTAGCTGGAATTACAGATGCCTGCCACCACACCTGGCTAATTTTTGTATTTTAGTAGAGATGGGGTTTCACCATGTTAGTCAGGCTGGTCTCAAACTCCTGACCTCAAATGATCTGCCTGCCTCAGCCTCCCAAAGTGCTGGGATTACAGGTATGAGCCACAGCGCCCGGCCTATCTGGCTGGCTTTTTTATTATAACTATACTAGTAAGTATGATGTGGTATCTCACTGTGATTTTGGTTTGCATTTCTCTAATGGCTACTGAGGTTGAGTATCTTCATGTGCTTATTGGCCATTTGTAAATCTTCCTTTAAGAAATTTCTAAGGCCAGGCACAGTGACTCACACCTGTAATCCCAGCAATTTGGGAGGCTGAGGTAGGTGAATTGCTTGAGGCCAGGAGTTGAAGACCAGCCTGGGCAATACAGTGGGACCCCATCACTACAAAAAATTGAAAAATTAGCCTGGTGTGGTGGCAATGCACCTGTAGTCTCAGCTACTCAAGGGAACTGAGATGGGAGTATCTCTTGATCCCAGATGGTTGAGGCTGCAGTGAGCTATGATTGTGCCACTGCACCCCAGCCTGGGTGACAGAGTGAGATACTGCCTTACAAAGAAAGACTAAGTCTAACTTCAAATGGGATGGGGAGGTACATTCTTCCCACAGCTGATTATATATAGGTAATTAAAAATCCAGTCTATCACATAAGTATTTTATATATATTAATTTGTTTAATCCTCTCAACAATTCCCTGTTGCTATCTTCATTTTACGGGTAAAAAAACAGAGACACAGAGAGGTTAAGCAATAGCTCAAAGTCACACAGCTCATAAGGGCAGAGCTGAAATGCCTGATTTTAAGACCAGGAGCTCTAGCTCTATTGTCCATGCTCTTTTAAGACAACTAAAGGGGACAAGGGAATTTGTGGTGGAAAACTAGGACTGGTATAACCAGGCCCCACTTTCCAAAGGCACAATCACCACCACTATGACTATATCACCCTCATTTTACCCCAATTAGGATCAAATCTCACCCACCCACTTACTGATATTTTAGAAGGGCAAAAGAAAGAGGTAAGGGAAAAATGAAGATGAAGGTGAATGAAATGAAATGAAAGTTACCAAAAGCCCAAAAGGATAAGTCATTTGCCACTTCTTACTTCAAAATTGTTAACAAGAGATAAAGCATAAGCACTGCCCAATTCGATGCCAACTAGAAACTGCTGCTCTACCTGTACTGGTGCCCTCTGGCTCAGAATCAGCCCTGTCCTTAGCCTTGCCCTCCAGAGTAGATACCTTTTTGTGGAACTATTGGAGAAAGAAGGTATTTTTTTTTCTGAGTTTGCCGAGAGGACAAACTACTGGCAGGTATTTTGTTACCTCTAGAGACTGGCTTGTCTGAGAATGAAGCCACTGTAGAGGAAAGCAGGCAAGACAGGAAACAGGCAAACCAATTCTTTGACACTTTTGAGCTCCTGGATCTAGCCACGTCTGAAGTCAAATATGACCTAGATTTTCAGTTGTGTGAGCTAACCAATTCCTTTTTTTTTTTTTTTTTTTTTTTTTTTTGAGATGGAGTCTTGCTCTGTCGCCCAGGCTGGAGTGCAGTGGTGCCATCTCGGCTCACTGCAAACTCCGCCTCCCAGGTTCAAGCAATTCTCTGCCTTAGCCTCTTGAGTAGCTGGGATTATAGGCACCTGCCATCACGCCCAGCTCATTTTTGTATTTTTAGTAGAGATGGGGTTTCACCATCTTGGCCAGGCTGGTCTTGAACTCCTGATCTCATGATCCACCCACCTCAGGCTCCCAAAGTGCAGGGATTACAGGCATGAGCCACCATGCCTGGCCATCAATTCCCTTTTTATGGATAAGAAGTTAAGCTGAATTTCTAATATTAAAATAAAAGAATCTTATATACCCACAAAGTCTTCCTGTCTTTTTTCTTTTATCTTTTTTTTTTTTTTTTTTTTTTTTTTACAGGGTATCACCCTGTCACCCAGGCTGAAGTGCAGTGGTACAATCATATCTTACTACGACTTCTAACTCCTGGGCTCAAGTGATCCTCCTGCCTTGGCCTCCCAAATCTTCCCGCTTTTAAAGTCAATTCCAAAGAAGCCATCATATACCCTACACAGGAAGAGGAAAAGGCTTGTATTTAAGAAATGAGAATTGGCCAGGTGTGGTGGCTCACACCTGTAACCCCTTTGGGAGGCTGAGGCAGGAGGATCTCTTGAGGCCAGGAGTTTGAGACTAGCATGAGCAACATAGCAAGACGCTGTCTCTACAAAAAAGAAATAAAATAGTCAGGTAACATGACATAGGCCTGTAGTCCCAGCTACATAGGAGGCTGAAGCAGGAGGATCTCTTGAGCCTAAGAGGTCGAGGCTGAGTAAGCCACAATTGCACCACTGCACTCCAGCCTGGGTGACAAGAGACAGACTCTGTCTCAAAAAAAAAAAAAAAAAAAAAAAATGAGAATCAACTTAAGAAAAGCAAATGAAGCTCATGAGGGATGATACGACTTTCCTAGGCACCAGCTCTTGAAATTATCACCCCTTCCACCCATCCTCACAGCCTCCAGTTTTTAGAAAAGCATGAATAAGAGCAGAGGAGGAACTGGCCACCAGGATGCATGGAGAGACACCAGCATACTAAGTCTCTTAGGTCTCCACTAAAAAGATTTAGTGCTAGAAAGCTTCAGTGAAGTCTCCTATTCCTAAAATTCATTGCAGCCATAAAAGCACCGCCGTATTTTCATGAGCTATTAAAACAAACAGTTAAAAATAAAGTCCATTTGGTATCCAATATCCTTCACACGACTATATTTTTTCATGTATTTGTGAAGCAAAACAATTCATTTAACTGCAATACATCTCCTGTAACTGATTCAGATTTCCAGTCTATTTTGCATCCTGAAATAATAAACTGCAATTTCTCCAGCCATATAATTTATAAATTACATACACACATCACGACATTAAATACATTCTCTTAGTTTCTTCTCTTCAGTTTTCTCAACTGGTGTTTTATTTGGACAATTGATGAAATCACAAATGTTGAGCACCAGAGGAGTAAGAATAGTATAAAGGGAGGCTATTAGTATTTATTTGATACCTATCACATCACATGTTTTTTTTTTTTCACTTAATACTGATCCTGATCTTTAAAGCAATTGTTATTGTTCCCATTTTTCTGATGGAAAAGCCAGAAAGTGAGTAAGTTACTTACCCAAGTTTAAACAGCTATAAAATAGCTATGGCAGATACTGTTGGTTGCTTGTCTATAACCATTTTTCTTCTTCTTCTTTGCTGGCTGAACATGCTTCTCATTAAAGAAGTTGAAAATGCTGGAAACTCAAAAAGAAGGAAAATGCTGGAAACTTTTTTAAATTTTTGAAACAGGGTCTTGCTTTGTTGCCCCAGGCTGGAGTGCGGTGGCACTATCTCGGCTCACTACAACCTTGACCTCCTAGGCTCAAGCAATCCTCCTCCCTCAGCCTCCCAAAGTGCTGCTATCACAGGCATGAGCCACCACACCCAGTCATTGGAAACTCTTCATCCAGACTTTTCTGCTATGGCATGAGCATATCACCTAACCCAGCCAATGGGGCCAGAGGGAAAGCTTGCTGGAGAGTTATGAGAAAGTTTTTTTTTTTATTAAAAAATAAAATAAAATGCACAAACAAGGAGAACCATTCCCCTTCTCCTCACCTGCTTTTTGTATGTGGATGAGATCTTGTAATGATATTAATATAATACGAGAAACTGCAGAGACCATCTTAAGACCAGGAGGGTAGGAATGAGGAGATGAAGTTCAGTGCCCTAAAACACTCTAAAGAGGGTAAAAAGAAAAAGTGGTCCCTAATGTCTTTGATTCTCTCAATTGACTAACCCTGGAACTTCTCCAACTCAGGACTTAGGACTGTACGTGATGCATAGTAGCGTTTACCATTTATCGAATAAATAATTAAGTGACTTTTTTTTTTTTTTTTGAGACAGTCTCACTGTGTCGCCCAGGCTGGAGTGCAAGTGGCATGATCTTGGCTCACAACTGCAACCTCCGTCTCCCGGGTTCAAACGATTCTCCTACCTCAGCCTCCCGAATATCTGGGATTACAGGTGCCCACCACCATGCCTGGATAATTTTTAAAAATATTTTTAGTAGAGACAGGGTTTCACCAACTAGGCCAGGCTGCTCTTGAACTCCTGACCTCAGGTAATCCACCCGCCTTGGCCTCCCAAAATGCTGGGATTACAGGTGTGAGCCACCGCGCCTGACCAACTTTAGCTTTTCAAAATCTGTCTTCGTAGACGATAATGGAAATATCTACCAAAGCTAAATATTCACCTACCCCATGACCCAGCAATTTTACTCCTAGGTATATATACCAAAAAAAATGAGTGTTCTGTGTCCACTAGAGATATGTGCCAAAGTGTTCATAATAGATCCAAACTGGAAACAGCTCAAATGTCCATCAATAGCAGAAAGATAAACAAATGTTGGGATGTTCAGAGCTTGAAATATGACACAATATAAAAGGACAAACTATTAAAACTCACAACAGCATGGATAAATCTTACAGACATAATTATTGAGCAAAAGATACCAGAAACACAAAAGTATATACTGTCTGATTCCTTTAAATAAAGGTTAAGATGATTCTCCCTCCTGCAGCCTTGTGAAGAAGGTGCCTTTCTTCCCCTTCGCCTTCTGCCATGATTGTAAGTTTCCTGAGGCCTCCCCAGCCATGTTGAATTCTCATTGTCCCTGATAAAATAGCACCCTCTCTTCCTCTGCTCTTCCACCCTTTTCCTCTTCCGCTGTGCAACTGAAGACTGGGAAAGAATGACATGCAAAATAAGAGGTTTTGGATTCAGCGTAGGACTAACTACTGGATGCTACTTACAGAAAACTTTATATTTGTGCTGAAAAATCTTGTTATCTAGGTGAAAGCCAATGCTATCCTAATGACAAAATTGTTGGGGAAATAAATTTATAAGAGACTTTATTTAAAGAAATAAAAGAAAAAATAATAAAGCTTAAGACAAAAAACTAATCCATTTTGGTAGACATCAGCACTTACCTCTGAGAAGGAAAATGGTTACTGATGGGGAAGTGGGAGGCATAAGGGAATCTTCTGGGTGATGAAAATGTTCTATTTCTTGATCTGAATTGTAGTTACTTGGGTTTAGACATATGCTTAAAAATCGTCAAGTTATGTGTTTAAAACATGTGCACCTTACAGTATATAAGCCACACTTCAATTTTTTTAAAGGTCCCCACAACATTGTTGTTTTCAAGGAAGTACAGGAAATATCTTTTACTCTGTGTTAATTCAGGGAAGTTATCTCCATAAGTGCTTTACAAAATAATCTTCATAATATAGTAGCACCATTAAGTAGGCATTATTATCTCTGTATCACAAATGCACAATATGAGAGTCAGAGAGGTTAAGTTATTTTCCAAAGTCACACAGCTAATCAATGGCAAAGTTAGGATTTTTTTTTTCTTTTTTGAGACAGAGTCTTGCTCTGTCACCCAGGCTGGAGTGCAGTGGTGTGATTTCAGCTCACTGCAACCTTCGCCTCCCAGCTTCAAGCGATTCTCATGCCTCAGCCTCCCAGGTAGCTGGGATTTCAGGTGTGCAACCACCACACCCAGTTAATTTTTGTATTTTTGGTAGAGATAGGGTTTCACATGTTGGCCAAGCTGGTCTTGAACTCTTGACCTCAAGTGATCCACCTGTCTCAGCCTTCCCAAGTGCTGGGATTACAGGTGTGAGCCATCACACTCGGCCAAAGCTAGGATTTGAATATAAGTTTGTCTGACCCTCAAAACCCATGCTCCTTCCTCTGTGTTAGCCAACTTCCTGCATAGCCAACTTCCCAGGGTCATGGAAAGAATCATTAACGCAACCCAGGAATGCTCTCCCGGAGTGTGGCTATATCTAGAGAAATTGTGGAAAGAGGCCAGGCACGGTGGCTCACTCCTGTAATTCCAGCACTTTGGGAGGCCAAGGTGGGAGAATCATCTGAGGCCAAGAGTTCAAGACCAACTTGGACAACATAGTGAGAACCCTTTCTCTATTCAAAAAAAAGAAAGAAAGAAAGAATTTGCCTAAATAGAACAGAAAAGGCTGTATGTGCAAGACAGTTACTGCAGGTTTTATAATAGTAAAAAGCTAGAAAAAAACTAATTATTCAACAGTACATAATTAAGCAAATTAAAATACATATATTCAATAGGATATTAAGCAGCCATTAAAAGTCATACTTAAGAAAGCTTATGATATAATTTTCACTGAGGTAAAACTGAATAAAAGTTGCATGTACTTTAAGAATACAACCACGAAAAACAAAGCTTTTTAAACTTATGCACAGAGAAAGGAAAGGCCAGAAAGTGTTTGTATGTAAAGACCATTAGTATGTGTTGTCTGTGATTTTTTTCAGCTGTGTTTTGTAGCTTTTCCTTGTAGAGGTCTTTCACCTCCTTGGTTAGGTATATTCCTAAGTATCTTTTTTTTTGCAGCTATCGTAAAAGGGGTTGCATTATTGATTTGATTCTCAGTTTGGTCGCTGTTGGTGTATAGAAGAGCTACTGATTTGTGTATATTAATTTTGTATCCAGAAAACTTTCCTGAATTCTTTTATCAGTTATAGGAGCTTTCTGGAGGAGTCCTTAGGGTTTTCTAGGTAAACAATCATATCATCAGCAAACAGCGACAGTTTGACTTCTTCTTTACCAATTTGGATGCCCTGTATTTCATTCTCTTGTCTGATTGCTCAGGCCAGGACTTCCAATACTATGTTGAGGAGGAGCTCATGGATAGGTAGAATCAATATTGTGAAAATGACCATACTGCTAAAAGCAATCTACAAATTCAACACAATTCCCATCAAAATACCACCATCATTCTTCACAGAATTAGAGAAAACAATTCTAAAATTCATATGGAACCAAAAAAGAGCCCACATATCCAAAGCAATACTAAGCAAAAAGAACAAATCTGGAGGCATCACATTACCTGATTTCAAACTATGCTATAAGGCCATAGTCACCAAAACAGCATGGTACTGGTATAAAAACAGGCACATAGACCAATGGAACAGAAAAGAGAACTCAGAAATAAACCCAAATACTTACAGCCAATTGATCTTTGACAAAGCAAACAAAAACATAAAGTGGGGAAAGGACATCCTTTTCAACAAATGGTGCTGGGATAATTGGCTAGCCACATACAGGAGAATGAAACTGGATCCTCATCTCTCACCTTATACAAAAATCAACTCAAGATGGATTAAGGACTTAATCTAAGACCTGAAACTACAAAAATTCTAGAAGATATCATTGGCAAAACCCTTCTAGACATTGGCTTAGGCAAGGATTTCATAACCAAGAACCTAAAAGCAAATGCAATAAAACCAAAGATAATTGCTGGGACTTAATTAAACTAAGGAGCTTTCTCATGGCAAAAAGAACAGTCAGCAGAGTAAAGAGACAACCCACAGAGTGGGAAAAAACCTTCACAATCTATATGTCTGACAAAGGACTAATATCCAGAATCTATAAGGAGCTCAAACAAATTAGCAAGAAAAAAAAAATGATCCCATCAAAAAGTGGGCTAAGGACATGAATAGACAATTCCCAAAAGAAGATATACAAATGGCCAACAAACATAAAAAAATGCCCAACATCACTAATGATCAGGGAAATGCAAATCAAAACCACAATGTGATACCACTTTACTCCTGCAAGAATGGCCATAATCTAAAAATCGAAAAATAGTAGATGTTGGCATGGATGTGGTGATCAGGGAACACTTCTACATGGCTGGTGGGAATGTAAACTAGTATAGCCACTATGGAAAACACTGTGGAGATTCCTTAAAGAACTAAAAGTAAAACTACCATTTGATCCAGCAATCCCACTACTGGGTATCTATCAGAGGAAAAGAAGTCATTATACGAAAAAGATATTTGCACACGCATGTTTATAGCAGCACAATTCGCAATTGCAAAACCATAGCACCAACCCAAATGCCCATCAATCAATGAGCAGATAAAGAAACTGTGGTATGTATATATGATGGACTACTACTTAGCCACAAAAAGGAATGAATTAACGGCATTCACGGTGACCTGGATGAGACTGGAGACTATTATTCTAAGTCAAGTAACTCAGGGATAGAAAACCAACATTGTATGTTCTCACTCATAAGTGGGAGCTAAGCTATGAGGATGCAAAGGCATAAGAATGACACAATGGACTTTGAAGACTCAGGGGGAAAGGGTAGAAAGGGGGTGAGGGATAAAAGACTACAAATAGGGTGCAGCGTATACTGCTCGGGTGATGGGTGCACCAAAATCTCACAAATCACCACTAAAGAACTTACTCACATAGCCAAACACCATCTGTTCCTCAATAACCTATGGAAACTTTAAAAAAAATGAAAAATAAAAAATAAAAAATCATCTAAATTGGAAAAACAAAGACCGTTAACAACGTCTGACTCTGAAGAGTGTACTTTAATAAGGTGGGGGTAGGAGTTAGGATAGGTGAGGGGTTGGAGGGAGGATAGGGACTTTCATTTTTTGCTTTACAAATTCGGTATTTAACTTTTTTTTACAATAAACATGCATAATTTTATGATAAAAATTTTAACTAATTTGTTAAAAAAACTAGAAGAAAATTTACAAAATATGATTGTCTTTAAGTAATGGGATTTGGAAGATTTTTTGATGTCTTCTTTCAGCTTTTCTATGCTTCCTAAAATTCCTATAAAAAAGCACTTGTTTCTTTTTATTGGTGGGGGCGAAGTAAATTTATTTCAATGAGTTGATGCATTTGAAAGCGCTCTGGAATCTGTGAAGCACTTCAATTATAAAAAGTGATTTTATTACTATTATTGAAAATATTAAATGCTGGCAATGGCATTTTGTAATGGCAGAGGCAGATCCTCTATCCACCTGTCCAAGCACCCAGAATGGCTGCAGCCTCCACCTTCCTGAAAGTGAGAGGGAGGTTGGATAAACCACTACCTGCCCACCTGGAACAGTTGTAATGCTTAGGAGTTTTTCTGGCTGGACTTCAGGTGTTAAACTGGAAAATCATTTCTTGAGGCTGTGTTTCTCTGCCCTGGCTGCACATTCGGATCACCTGGGGAGTTTTTTAACAGCTGCACCCCCAGAGATTATTGCTTAGGGCAAGACACCTTGGGATTTTTGAAATTCTTCCTAGTTGATGTCAATAAACATGCGATGCTGTGGATAAACTCTAAGGTAGGTGCAGGGAAGAGTTTCAAACTCCTCCGGGAAAGTTTAACCAAAAAACTGAAAAACATTGCTTTCCTCAAACCAACCTGAGTTAAAAAATAAAAAAGTAAGAATTTTAATCACCAATTATATATTTACAGTTTACAAAGGTCATGGGCAGAGATAATGCCTTTTGATGATCTCATTTGATTCTGGTAACGCATGTAAACTGCTAACAGATATAACCACCTAGAGAATTCTGGACAGTAAGTGAAGCAGAAACCATTATTTACATTTTGCCCAGGAGAGAATTGAAAGGGAACAGTTCAGAGTTTCCCAAAATCAAATTACCAAAGATTTGAGCCCCAATACTCATACCTGAAACTACAGCATGTTGTTACCAGGAACTGGCTTATATCTTGAAGTTGCCAATTTCACTACAACAGAAGATTTGAGGAAGCCCCTTGCCTGCCTCCATCCTACTCATACCCAGAGCATAAAAAACAATAGAAACATATTGTGCATGGAGTTGTGCTATCACCCAATAGCTCTGCCTACCACAGGGCTTGGACACATAAGTAAGTGTACGTTGAATGAAACAATGAATGACTATCTTCTACAAGATAACATTTGATCCCCATTTTACAGAACAGGTAAGTAAGACTCCAGCAGAGAAGATAACATATCCGAGATCACAAAACCTGTAAGAGACAGAGCTAGAATGAGGGGGAGCTCAGGACGGCTGACTTTGTACTCTTCTCCTCCATGCTACTACCAACTGTAGTTTTTTAAAGACTAAGCCCCAAGGACAATGGCCGTAGAAACAATTTATGTAGAAACTCCTCTCTAGATATGATACACAGATACTATAATAGGAGGAATATTGAATAGGAGTTGGCAACAGTGATTTTCTATTATAATGTTTTATTGAAAACAATTTATTTTACATAAGATTTACTTCCATTATCCTTAGTCTGACTAATGACAATCTTCTGAAATGATTTTTTTAGAATTATTTTGCTTCCTGAAAAATTCACATAATATAGTATGTGACAGATCACCATAGTCATATATTTAGATTCACAATTACTAGATACAAATAAAACATAGCTAGAGAGACGACATCATACATGCTTTTAATCAGGAAAGAAAAGGACCTCTCCAATCAATGTCTTGCAAAACCATTAACCAAAGTCCTAAACTGAAGCTCAAATAATTGAAAAATGAAAATGATCTATCTACTCGTGACAGGGAGATTGCAGTTTTATAAAAATGTTGAATGCACGTATGGATGAAAGGGATTGACACTGTTATTTAGTAATTGGCTAACTATCAGTCATAGACAAATGTGAGAAATAACTAAGCTAAGAGCAGAAGTCAGAATTTTCTCCATTGCTGTCAAGAGGCCACAACATGTTCATTCAAAAGTTTGATGTTTAAATCATTAGTTACATGGAATAGAATTGACAATGGTTAAAGGTATTACAATTTATCCATCCGTCCATTCATCCATTTATCCATCCATCCGCTGGGTTTAACCACATGAAATTTCCCTATTTCCCAATTGTACTTAATGCTTATTAAACATGCTACCAGGTTTAACACACCATGTAAGGTTTGGAGAGTAAGGGTTAAATGAAAAACACTCTCTATCTCTGCAAATCTCCAATGGGGGGAGGGGAGGAAGCACACACGACAACTATTTATAGAAGAGTTACGAATGTACAAAGTGCTATGGGATTGTATTGACATATATGCATAGAAAGAACATAGAGCAAATTGTCAGCAGAAATGTGGTTGGTGGGAGTTTATGAAATTATTTTTCCTTTTGTTTAGCTCTATCTTTAAAACTTTTAATTTGATGAACATGTATTCTTTTTATAATTAAAAATTTTTAGAAAATGTACTATGGAGGTTGCAGAATTGATGGCTATGAATAGATATGTGTAAGATAAAGGATTTGAAAGTTAAAATACATGAAGCAATCTAGGTAAAATGATAAGTCAGATGCCAGACCATCTACCAAAGTAGAACTCTGAAGCCAGACACAGTGGCTCATGCCCATAATCACAGCACTATGGGAGCCTGAGGTGGGCAAATCGCTTGAGCCAAGAGTTTGAGACCAGCCTGGACAACATAGTGAGACACCGTCTCTATAAAAAATACAAAAAAATTGGCTGTGCATGGTGGTGCATACCTATAGTTCCAGCTACTTGGGATGCTGAGGTGGGAGGACCACTTGAGCCCAGGAGGTCTAGGCTGCAGTGAGCTGTGATTGAGCTACTGCATTCCAGCCTGGGTGACAGAGTGAGACCCTCTCTGTCTTTCTCTTTATATATATACATGTACACACACACACATATATACACACACACACACATACACACACACACACACACACACACATATATATATATATTTTTTTTTTTTAAGTAGAACTTCCTGACCCACAATCTGTAGTAACCAACCCATTATCTCTAGCCAACAGCCCAGGAAGCTAAACAATAACCCCTCTAGCCATTGGCCCAAAATGGCCAAGACTTGATTAATAACTGCCAGCTTCCCTAATTTTAATCCCTGCTTCCAACTCAAGGCCAACCAGAGAAAGCCAAATATTATACCCGAATCAATCACATAGGATGCCCTCTTTCTGGTTAGCTGCCTCCAACTTCTCCTGCCAACAGCCTCCCATTAGGGTGTACCTGAAGCCTTCCCTTTTTGTTACTATGAAACTTTCCCACCCCTCTGCCTGCCTTTGAGTCTCTGCCAAATACAAGTGATGGTGGCTGACTCCCTTGCTATAACAAGCTGTAAATAAGGAGCTTTTGCCTGCTCTCGTTTGAGTAGGTCTTTGTTTATTTCCATGGAAGAGAAGATAAATAGAATCAGGAATGAGCTTAGCACATAGAATGCAAATGGCAAAGTCTTATACATTTACGAGAAATGTGAATTATAGCAGCTCTCCATACCCCACTGTCTGCAGGAACTTGCTGGGTTCTGACTGAGCCCCAGGAAGATGAAGTTATTTTGCTTCCTTTTTTTCTTTTTGAGACAGAGTCTCACTCTGTCCCCAGGCTGCAATGCAGTGGCGTGATCTTGGCTCACAGCAACCTCCGCCTCCAGGGTTCAAGTGATTCTCCTGCCTCAGCCTCCCGAGTAGCTGGGACCACAGGTGTGTGCCACTACATCCGGCTAATATTTTTATTTTTAGTAGAGATGGGGTTTCACCATGTTGACCAGGTTGGTCTTGAACTCCTGACCTTAAGTGATCTCCCAACTCAGCCTCCCGAAGTGCTGGGATTACAAGCATGAGCCCCTGTGCCTGGCCTATTTTACTTCTTTTAATTTCCTTCTTCATACATTATTTCAGCATGCTTTACTCCCAACCCCTTAACCTGGGAAGGAAAATTAACAGCCATTGAATACCTCTGCTTTGGTTTGAACTTAGAAGGCTGAATCAGAATCAGAAGGTCTCGGAACCAGATTCAATTGCAATATAAACTCCATGAGGGAAGGAAGCATGTCTGTTCAGCCTCTCACCATGTGTCCAGTTGAATGATTGAAATCAACACATGGAGGCATCCGACACATCAGCACCATATGGTACCTGCAACAAGACAACCCAAATGACTAGATCATATTAAAAACCTATCTTGCTTCCCTGAAATTACTGAACCAAGACACAGTCAGAGAAAATCTGTGGTCCAGCATACCATATATGGCCCAAGTAGACTAGCCACACAGAAGACAAAGATCAGCTCATCATTCCCTAGTAATTTGTCCTATGGTGCTCAGTGCTTAGTCAGATACAGCTGTGTTTCTAAACTCCATCTTTCTCTTGTTCTCACTGGATAGTAAACATGAATTGCTGTTAATAATAATTTTCCACTGCACATCCAGAACAATCCATCCAGAGAAAATTGGAACTTCTTCTTTACTGAGGTCCAGTCCCATCAATTTGATGCTCATTTTATAGAAAGGCCATTGAGCAAAATTAATGTACTCAAACAAATAGAGTTTGTCCTTGTAGCTGATTCAGAGTATGACAGGAAACAAAAGGGCTGCCTTAATGGCCTCCTCTGGGAAATTTATTTTCAGAACATTGAGTTATTTTCTCCTACTCTATCAGATTAGATTAAAATCTTTTTTAAAAAAGAAAGAAAAATAAAACTTAGTTGTCTGTTTTCATAGAAATCACTTTGAGATCTAGCTCCATTTAAATTCTCTTGTTATTGTCTAAGTCAAATAATGTTACAATCTGAGTTATTTTACTTTCCATTTTCTTTACACCACCCCTAGCATGGTTTTTCCCCAGCCCCTTAACCTGAAAAAGAAAATTGGGACCCACACATGCTCGGAATGAAAGTATTTGAGCCTTTTAAAGATACTACTATACCTTGCCATGAGAGAATGCATTGGACTGTTATCCAAAAACTGTGGTTTGAGGTGTTTTTTTGTTTTTTGCTGTATTGGACAGGTCAATGATGTTATCTGCCTCACTCTCAATCACAAGGAAAGAAAAAAATGCCTCCCCTACAATCTCCATGGAAAAAACATGTTATATTCCACATGACCTGCCTTTGTCCTCCCACATCATAGCTAATTGTCTGCAAAAGCAGCCAGCCCTTGGGCTAACCTATGGAGTGGCCAGACATAAAAAAAAAAAAAACCATACCCAAACAGAAAAGAATGTAGCCAAAGGAGCCAACCAGAGTAGCGTCGTCAGAAATTAGGATTAGAAAATATAGAAGAGAAAATCAGTTGGGTAGCAATAAGAGATGATAAAAATTTGCAAAGAGAAGGCATGTGCAAGCTCATCTTCCTGTTAAGCAGTAGCCATCAGGAAGGCATGCACAGAAGGTGGGTCACTGGTAGATAGCAGCAACAAGAACAGAAGCAATAGGGCAGAGCTGAGTCCTCAGGATGGCAGGGAACTGGTGACATTTTGCTGCTCAGGAACAAGGAGAAAACCTAGTTCCTGGTCAGGTTTCCTTCGGGCCTGGCTAGATGGCAATTCTTGTCACATGAGCTTTCTATCATCCTTAACGTGTGTGTCTAAAAAGAAAACAAGGAAACTCCCCCCAAAAATCCTATTACTTGCAGGAACCTGAGTGTGCCTCTCTTTTTTAATACAAAAGGGCTGAGCATAAACACACACACACACACATACACACACACACACACACTCACCTACCTCTAAAAAATAAACCTCATCACATCTGGATATTCTTAACCTTCCAGCACAAAGAGGAGTAGCAAAGTGGAGAAGAGCCCACATTTACAGGCAGGAGTTGCGAGTTCTAACCCAGCTTAACTACTATTTTTGATGTAGTCATGGATAAGGGGCTTATCATCTCTAAACCATTACTTCAACTAGAAAATGGAGTTGGATGAGATACATTCATTTGGTAAATATTTACTGAGTGTCTACTATGTGACTAGTTCTGTGCTGGCTAATGGGAGCATAACAGTGCACTAAGCATGGTTTTTTGGTTCTTCTGGCTTATGTTGTAGTTGGCAGTACAGATAGGTAAACAGGTTATTACAAAATTGTGTAATGTTAGCATATGTTGGAGGTAGAGAGTTTTCTTTGGAGCCAAAAGAGGGTACCTAATCTGGATGGGGCAGGAGACCCTTCCAGAGGTCTTCCTAGGGGACATTAAGACCTGGATGAGGAAATGTTGGTCTACCACATTGAGTGGCTGGGTATCTTCTGGCTGGACAGAAGAAAAGAAGAAGAATCCATGTGATAGTGTGGGGCTGTTGATGAAAAAGCCAAACTCTATAAAATATTTGAAGAGATTTGTTCTGAGCCAGATGTGGAGACCATGACCAATGACACAGCCCCAGGAGGTCCTGAGAACCTGTGCCCGGGGTGGTTGTGGTACAGCTTGGTTTTATATGTTTCAAGGAGACATAAGACCTCAATCACTACATGTAAGGTATACATTGGTTCAGTTCAGAAAGGTGGGTCAACTCCAGTGGGGGCTTACAGGTCACATGTGGATTCAAAAGTTTTCTGACTGCCAATTAGTTGAAAGAGTTAAGTTATTATCTAAAGACGTGTAATAAACAGAAATGAGTGTCTGGGTTAAGACAAGGGGTTGTGGAGACCAAGATTATTATGTAGATGAAGTCTCATAAGTGGCTGCCCTTAGAGGCAATAGATGGCAAATGTTTCCTACTTAGACCTTTGAAAGGTGCTAGACTCCCAGCTAATCTCTTCAGGATCAGAAGAAGACCTGGAAAAGGAAGAGGAGTCTCTACAGGATGTAAATTTCCCCCACAAGAGACAGCTTTGCAGGGCCGTTTCAAAATATGTCAAAGAAATATATTTGGGAACTTGTTGCAGTGACTCACACCTGTAATCCCAGCACTTTGGGAGGCTGAGTTGGGCAGATTGCTTGAGCCCAGGAGTTGGAGACCAGCCTGGGCAACATGGTGAGACCCTGTCTCTACAAAAAAATACACAAAAATTAACCAGGCATGGTAGTGCGTACACCTATAGTCCCAGCTACTTGGGAAGCTGAGGTGGGAGGATCATATGAGCCCAGAGGTTGAGGCTTCTGTGAGCCATGGTCTATGCCACTGCACTCCAGCCTGAGTGACAGAGTGAGACCTTTCCTCAAAAAAAGAAAAGAAAAAGAGGCCAGGCACGGTTGCTCATACCTATAATCCCCAGCACTTTGGGAGGCCGAGGCAGGCAGATTGCCTGAGGTCAGGAGTTCAAGACCAGCCTGGGCAACATGGTGAAACCCTGTCTCTACTAAAAATACAAAAATTAGCCAGGCATGGTGGCAGGCGCCTGTAATCCCAGCTACTTGGGAGGCTGAGGCAGGACAATCGCTTGAGCCTGGGAGGTGGGGGTTGCAGTGAGCCAAGATCACGCCATTGCACTCCAGCCTGGGTGACGAGCAAAAAAAAAAAAGAAAGGAAAAGAAAAAAATATATATTTTGAGGTAAAATACTTTAATTTCTTTCAAGACCTGCCATCAGTGATGTGATGCTATACTAGAGTCAGGTTGGAATTTGGTGTCTTATTGCTAAAAAGAGTCTGTTTTTTCAGTCTTAAGATCTCTGTTTTAATATTAATGCTGGTCAGATGAGCCTGAATTCCAAAGGGAGGACAGTATAATGAGGCGTATTCAACCCCTCTTCCCATCATGGGCTGAACTAGTTTTTCAGGTTTCTTTGGAATTCCCTTGACTAGGAGGAGGGGTCCATTCAGCCTGTTGGGGGTACTTAGAATTTTATTTTTGGTTTACAGGACCAAAGCCCTTGGCTGCCTAAAGGTTAGCTGAAAAATCAACTGACATGAGGCAGATTGATTAATAGGAGAAAAGGCATACAAATTTATTTAACACAGGAGACTTCAGAATGAAGACTCAACCTCCCAGTGAGGTACAGAAGCTTATGTACCATCTTGAGTTTACAGAAAGAATAGGGGCCTGGATCCTGGTGAAATGGATTATGGGATGGGGAGAAGTGGAATTTCACTGAGGGGCAATAAATGGTTTGTAGGGAGAATGACTGGATAGGAGAACAGAAATTAACTTGTAAATAGTTCTCTTTGGAATGTATATGAAACTTTGAGACAGTCAATACCTTGAATAAGGTCTGTTCAGGTGTGGTTACATTCTTGATCTTCTTTCCTGTAATGGATCTTAAGATAACAAGGAAGGGAACAGGAGCAATTGTTCTCCTTGGTGGGACAGTCCTATCTTTACGTAGATAGGGGAAAGTTTCTTCCAGAGCTTGTTGATCTTTAAGGGTTTTTACTTTAAAATACTCATTATACCAGGGAGCCATATTTTCTGGTGAACTATTTTTATTTCCTTCATTAGCTTTATGTGTCAATTTGTGTTTACAATTGGACAAGCTTGCTCTACGGAAAACAAATTTGTGGCAGAGAATTAGTGACACCTTTAGTTGCTTGTCCAATATCTTTTCCTCCCTTAGCTCTTACAGGCAAAATTATAGTTTTAAGGTATCCATGTCTCCTCCAGGTAACTCAGAGAAATGGGATCATATTCCCAACTCTGGGGATAAATCCTGATTGGTCCAAATCAATACAGATGGTCTCATTCTCTTTATTAGTAATTGAGGGTTTAGTGGTGGGCATGTGAACCGGTTTTGGCCAGTGAGCTTTGAGGGGGATATTTTTTGAGGGGGATATCTTGCAAACCATGCTCATCCTCTACTCTCACACCAACACAACAACAATCAACACAGAAGATTTCTGTGACCAAATATGGGGAGTTTTACCCACACACCAAGCAGCAGACAGCAGCTGGGGGTCCTCTAATTCAATTCCAGCACTATCTACCAAGAGATAGCATCAGATCCCAAGGTTGGGGGCTCAGTCCCCAAAACTGCCCCTCCCCCACCAGTAACAAGTCTGGGCCTGTGGAATGTCTGATGACTGGCTTCAATTTGGGATTACCACAACCCTCCTTTTGGGTTCAATTAGTTTGCTGGAAAAGCTCACAGAATTCAGGGAAACACATTTATCAGCTTATCATAAAGGATTTTTCAAAGAATACAGATGAAGAGACAAATAGGGTGAGGTATGGTCAAGGTGCATGGAGCTTCCATGCCTTGCAACCCCCACCCCCTAGGAACCCTCATGTGTTTAGCTATCTAGAAGTTCTCGAAAACCAGTCCTCTTGGGTCATTATGGAAACTACATGATGGCAGGATTCCTTCCTCCAGGTTATAGGGCCGGATGAAGTTGGGAGTATAGGACAGGGGAAGGAGGGGAATGATTAGAATCCTGCCTTGGGGCATGTGAAAGGAGGGCAGGAGAAGATCAGAGAGACAAATTTTGTTTTCTGAGGCCTGATCTAAGGCCTAACATACTAACACAACCAACATTATAACAAGGCTGTTACAATGGCTATGGGAGTTGTAAGCCAGGAACCATGGATGAAAACATATATATATATATAATAGCATCACACCTTGATTAGTCTATAGTGTCCAGTCTAATCAAACACTAATCCGAGTGTTGCTGTGAAGATATTTTGTAGATGTGGTTAGCATCTACAATCGGTTAATTTTAAGTAAAGGGTATTACCTTCCACAATGTAGGTGGGCCTCATCCAGTCTATTGAAAGGCCAAAAGAGCAAAAACAGGTTTCTCAGGGAGGGCATTCTGCCTCAAGACTGCAGCATCAACTCCTGCCTGAGTTTCCAGCCTGCCCTACAAATTTTGAACTTGCCCGCCCCCACAATCACATAAGCCAGTTCCTTGAAATAAATCTTTTATAGGTTGGTGTAAAAGTAACTGAGGCTTTTGCAATTACTTTTGCACCAACCTAATATATCCTATTGGTTCTGTTTCTGTACAGTCCAAGTTCAGGCATACACACAAGCCCTAAGATGGAGAGGAAGCCAGAAGGAGTGGCTTATAATTAATGAGGAGAGCAGTGTGCAGAGCCCACAAGGCCTTGTAAACCCAAATAGGATTTCAGGATTACATTCTATGTACCATAGGAAGCCATTGAAGTTTTTAGGTGAGGAAGAACATAATTGGAAATGCAAGTTGAGAAAAGTATTCTGGTTGCTCTGTAGCAAGGGTGTCCAATATTTTGGCTTCCCTGGGCCACATTGGAAGAATTGTCTTGGGCCACATATAAAATACACTAATGATAGCTGATGAGCTAAAAAAAATAAAAGCCACAAAAAACACCTAATAATGTTTTAAGAAAGTTTATGAATTTGTGTTGGGTTGCATTCAAAGGCATTCTGGGATGTGTGCAGGCTGCAGGTTGGACAAGCTTGCTCAACAGAAAAGAGATTTGTGGCAGAGGGTCTTGATGACACCTTTAGTTGCTTGTCCAATATCTTTTCCTCCCTTAGCTCTCACAGGCAAAATTATAGTTTTGTTAAGGTGTCCATCTTTTCTCCAGATAACTCATAGAAATAGGATCATATTCCCAACACTGGGGATAATTCCTGATTGGTCCAAGTCAGTACAGATGGTCTCATTCTCTTTGTTAGTAATTGATTGGTTTAGTAGTGGGCATGCGAACCTGTTTTGGCCAGTGAGCTTTGAGAGGAATATCTATTGTGGGAGACTTCTGGGGAAAGTATCCTTATTCATAGGAACGCACTAGGAGACAGTCTCTTCCTGCATCTGGATGTGGCCATGACTGGGTGTGAAGCTGCTGAAAACAGCTGCAGCCATCTTTCACCCATGAGGGTAGCAGCCTGAGACTAAAGATGACAAGCTAAGCATAGATGAGCTAAAAGATAGAAAGAACCTGGGACTCTGGTGACAATGATGAACTGCTGAGTCAGCCAGCTCCCAAACTTGCCCTATTGCTAGCCTTCCTCCTATGTGAGATAATAAATTTCCTTTAAACCAACTGGAATCAAGATTTCTGCATTTGCTGCCCATGGTATCCTAACTATTTGCAGGACTAGAGTGGAAGTGAGATTTAGTTGAGAGACAGTTGTGGTGGTCAGGACAGATATGATGATGGCTTGGACTATGGTGGTAGTGGTAGGGAGAAAGAAAAGCAGATGATTCAAGAGATATTTCAGAAGTAGAATCAATAGGGTTAAAAGTGGAGGAATGTATGGATCCATATAGATGAAGTCATTAGGAATGTTCTGTACATGTTGACAATTAATAGATTAATATGCCATTTGAAAATTTCTTATCAAACAGGAATGATTATGACTGTACTTCTGATGTTCTTTTGCATCTAATCTAATCCATTGCCCAATAATACCAACTCTGAGATTAGAAGTTAAAAATAGTATCATCACGTAAGGTTGGTTTTTAACCTCTGTCAGAGTCCAAAAGTCTAATTCAAGGAGCAGAAACTACTCTGCAGCCACTATGGAGTGTTTCCTCAAAGCCAAGAGTGACAGTTTCCACAGCCAGAGCTTCCTTGGACAAATTAAGTTTTCTTTTATCCTGAAGCCAGCTTGATAAGAAAGCTTAGCAGAAGAAAACTGTCATGTTGTTAGTGTAGCTGGTGCATCTTCTTAGGTCTGGGATGTTTAGAAACATGTACACCTTGTTCTCTCCCTATCCTGTCTCAGAGTAGGCCTGTCACACACCCAGTAGGGAAGGGACGGACCCTGCTGATGAAGCTCTGAGCACATCCAAGATGTTCTGCAGAGTTCATGGAACTACATTCAGTATCCAGTACTTCATAGGCAGATTTTATGGAAGATTTCCATTCAACAAAGAGCTTTTGTTGTCAGAATTTGGAATCATGGTCTTTTCATCCACGAAACAGCATAAATCTGGTCACATTCAGGAAGTGATTTTTCTTGTGCTCACTCTTTGTTGTGACCACTTCTTAGGTTTGCTCAGTGGTTCTCTTTCTGTGATAGTCACAGATTCTAGGAAAGTTATACTAATGACACACTGAGGCTTTTGATGAGACTGTCTATCTGATAATAACAGGTGTATGTTACTGCACTAAGTTTTTATAATGGGTTGAATAGCTTCCCCCTCAAATTCATGTCCCCTGGAAACCCAAGAACTTGACTTTATTTGGAAATAGGGTCTGTGCAGATGTAATTACTCAAGATGAGGTCATACCGTACTAAGGTGGGAGCTAAATCCAATGACTGATTTCCTTATAAGAAGAGGAGAAGACACGCAGAGATACACAGAGAGAAGACCATGTAACAACAGAGCAGAGATTGGACGGATTATCTACAAGCCAGGGAACACCAAGGATTACTGGGAGCCACCAGAAGCTGGGAAGAGGCAATGTATTAGACCATTCTCATGCTGCTGTAAAGACACTACCTGAGAGTGGGTAACTTATAAAGAAAGGAGGTTTAATTGACTCAGTTCTGCATGGCTGGGAGGCCTCAGGAAACTTAGAATCATGATGGAAGGTGAAGGGGAATCAGGCACCTTCTTCACAGGGCAGGAGGAGGTAGAAGGGATCTGCCAAACACTTTCAAACCATCATATCTCATGAGAACTCATTCAGTATCATGAGAACAGCATTGGGGAAACAGTCCCCATAATCCAATCACCTCTTACCGGGTCTCTCCCTCAACATGTGGGGATAACAATTCAAGATGAGATTTGGGTGGGGACACAGAGCCAAAGCATATCACTCTGTCCCTGGCTTCTCCCAAATCTCATGTCCTTCTCACATTTCAAAACATAATCATGCCTTCCTAACAGTCCCCCAAAGCCTTAACTCATTCCAGCATTAACCCAAAAGTCCAAGTCCAAAGTCTAATTTGACACAAAGCAAGTCCCTTCCCCCTAGCAGCCAGTAAAATCAAAAGCAAGTTGGCTACTTCCAAGATACGATGCAGGTACAGGCATTGGGTAAATGTTCCCATTCCAAATGGGAGAAATTGGCCAAAACAAAGGGGCCACAGGCTCCATACAAGTCCAAAACCTGGCTGGGCACTCATTAAATCTTAAAGCTCCAAAATAATCTTTTTTGACTCCATGTCTCACACCCAGAGCATGCTGATACAAGAGCTGGGCTCCCAAAGTCTTGGGCAGCTCTGCCCCTGTGGCTCTGCAGGGTACAGCCCCCAGGCTGGCATTGAGTGCCTGAAGCTTTTCCAGGTGCATGATACAAGATGTCAGTGGATCTACCATTCTGGGGTCTGAAGGATGGTGGCCCTCTTCTCACAGCTCCACTTGACAGTGCCCTAATGGGGACTCTGTGGGGGCTCCAACCTCACATTTCCCCTCTGCATTGCCCTAGGAGAGGCTCTCCGTGAGAGCTCCATTCCTGCAGCAGACTTTTGCCTAGACATTCAGGCATTTCCATACATCCTCTGTAATCTAGGCAGAGGTTCTCAAACCTCAAATCTGGTCTTCTGTGCACCTGCAGGCCCAACACCATGGGGAAACTGCCAAAGCTTGGGGCTTGGACCCTCTGAAGCCATGGCTCAAGCTGTACTTTGGCCCCTTTTAGCCACGGCTGGAGCTGAAGTGGCTGGAACACAGGGCACCAAGTCCTGAGGCTGCACAGAGCAGCAGGGCCCTGGGCCTGGCCTGTGAAACTATTTTTTCTTTCCTAGGCCTCTGGGTTTGTGATGGGAGGGGCTGCTGCTAAGAGGTCTGAAATGCCCTGGAGATATTTTCCCCATTGTCTTGGAGATTAACATTTGGTTCCTCATTACTTATGCAAATTTATTCAGCCAGCTTGAATTCTTCCCCAGAAAATGGGTTTTTCTTTTTCTTTTTTTTTTTTTTTTGGAGATAGAGAGTTTCACTCTTGTTGCCCAGGCTGGAGTGCAATGGTGTGATCTTGGCTCACGCAACCTCCACCTCCCAGATTCAAGTGATTCTCCTGCCTCAGCCTCCCAAGTAGCTGGGATTACAGGCATGTGCCATCACGCCCAGCTAGTTTTGTATTTTTAATAGAGATGGGGTTTCTCCGTGTTGGTCAGGCTGGTCTCGAACTCCTGACCTCAGGTGATCCATCCAGACCCAGCCAAAAATAGGTTTTTCTTTCCTACCACAAGGTCAGGCTGCAAATTTTCCAAACCTTAATGTTCTGCTTCCCTTTCAAACATAAGTTCCAATTTCAAACCATCTCTTTGTGAATACATATGACATTTCTGCATGCTTTTAGAAAAAGCCAGGTTACTTCTTGAACTCTTTTGCTTTTTAGAAATTTCTTCCACCAGATACCCTAAATAATCTCTCTCAAGTTCAAATTTCCACAGATCTTTAGTGCAAGGGCAAAATGCCACCAGTCTCTTTGCTAAAGCATAGCAAGAGTGACCTTTACTTCAGTTCCCAACAAGTTTTTTATCTCCATCTGAGACCACCTCAGCCTGGACTTCACTGTCCATATCACTGTCAGCATTTTGGTCAAAACCATTCAACAAATCTCTAGAAAGTTCCAAATATTCCCTCATCCCTCATCTTCCTGTCTTCTTCTGAGTCCTCCAAACTGTTCTAATCTCTGCTGGTTACCCAGTTCCAAAGTTGCTTCCACATTTTTAGATTATCTTTATAGCAGTACCCCACTATCCTGGTGCCAATTTTCTGTATTAGTTTGTTCTCACACTCCTGTAAAGATACACCCTGAGACTGTGTAATTTATAAAGAAAGGAGGATTTTTTTTTTTGGAGATGGAGTCTTGCTCTGTTGCCCAGGCTGGAGTGCAGTGGCGCAATCTTTGCTCACTGCAACCTCCATCTTCCAGGTTCAAGTGATTCTCTCGCCTCAGCCTCCCAAGTAGCTGGAGTTACAGGCACCCATCACCATGCCCAGCTAATTTTTTTTTTTGTATTTTTAGTAGAGACAGTTTCACCATGTTGGCCTGACTGATCTTGAACTCCTGACCTCAAGTGATCTGCCCACCTCGGCCTCCCAAAGTGCTGGGATTATAGGTGTGAGTCACCATGCCTGGCCAAGAAAAGAGGTTTAATTGATTCACAATTCTGCATGGCTGGGGAGGCCTCAGGAAACTTACAATCATGGTGGAAGGTAAAGGGGAAGCAAGCACGTTTTTCACAGGCAGAAGGAGAGAGAGAGTGGGGGAACTGTAAAACACTTTAAACCATCAGATCTCACTCACTGTCATGAGAACAGCATGGAAGAAAATGCCCCCATGATCCTTTCACCTCCCACCAGATCCCTCCCTCTACATGTGGGGATTACAATTCAAGATGAGATTTGGGTGGGGACACAGAGCAAACCACATCAAGCGAGGAAGGATTTTCCCCCAGAGCCTTCAGAGGGAGCATGGTCCTGCCAACACCTTGATTTCCAACTGTGAGGGCATAAATTTCTGATGCTTTAAGCCACTCAGTTTGTGGTAATTTTTATGGCAGCCCTAGGAAACTAATATAGGTTTCAAGGGTTGAGCCACAGGCCTCTCTGCAGGCCCAGATGTGTTCACTCCATTCTTTCTCTCTGCCACAGGTTTAGGGATTTGGCTTATTTTTCTTTTTTTTCAGCAACTGCCATCACCCACTCTCTCCTCTCATACAAGCCCAGCCGCAGAGTGGTACACATTGTTTCTGAGACAGGATCTCACTCTGTTGCCTAGGCTGGAGTGCGGTGGTACAATCACAGCTCACTGCAGCCTCAACCTCCCTGGACTCAAGCCATCCTCCCATCTCAGCCCCTCGAGTAGCTGGGACTACAGGTATGCACCAGTGCATCCAGCTAATTTTTTTTTTTCTTTGTAGATACAGGGTTTCACCCTGTTGCCCAGGCTGGTCTCAAACTCCTCAGCTCAAGTGATCTCCCACCTCAGCCTCTCAAAGTGCTGGAATTACAGGCGTGAGCCACTGTGTCCAGCCTATATAACTTGTTAAACCTCAGTTCCTGCACTCTAGTTCCTGAATTTGTCCAGCATATGAAATTAAATTAGCCTTGGATATTTTAGTTTTCTGTTAAAATGAAAAACAAACAAAAATTGAATTATATAATTATATAGTTATAAAATTTAAAAACTTTCTTAAAAATAATATAAAACAGCACAAGCTGTATAATACCAATGCATTATAATTAAGTACATACATTTTTAATCACCACCATAGCCTCGCATCCCATGAACCTGTTCTCATCACAGACCAGGATTTTGCCTGGCAAAGTCCCTGATACACAATAGGTGGTAGATACATGTTTAGTCCAGTGGAAAGAAAATCCTCTGCTTTAGCATTTTGGTAACCTTTCTCACAGTATGATAGATTAATAAGCCAATCAAACAGAGGACAGGTGAATTTTTTGTGCAGAGGACAAATGGAAGGTGGAGAAAACTCATATCACTTTGAATATCGTCCAAGCAATGCAGCACCTGTGGGTATGTATGAAAATCAAAGTGCTCTGAGTTGATGGGATATAACTATGTAAAAGAAAAGTAATCATGGGCTCTGGAGTTAAAGACACCTGGGTTCAAATCCCAATTCTTCTGTTTACTAGCTATGGGAAGATGAATGAGTTATTTAGCTCCTCTGAATCTCAGCTTCCTCATCTGAGAAAGATGAGGGTAAAGATGGAGGCAATATAAGTAAAGTGTGTGTTTGTTGTGTTGTAGGGTCTCTGTAAATGCTTGGTGCTGTTGTTCGTAATTTCGCTTCTTCCTGCAAATCATTTTTCATATCAGAAGAACACATTCACCTTGTTCTTGAAGGTCATTCCCAGATTATAATGATGGTAGATTGGAGATCAAATATCTGGAAGAAAACAATCTTATTTCCCCATGACCAGGGAGTACATTGAGTTGACTGGTATTCCTTTTTCTTAGAAACTTCAGGTATAAATTAACTAGGCGTAGTGGCAGGTGCCTGTAATCCCAGCTACTCGGGAGGCTGAGGCAGGAGAATCGCTTGAACCTGGGAGGTGGAAGTTGCAGTGAGCCAAAATTGTGCTATTGCACTCCAGCCTGGACAACAAGACTGAAACTCCATCTCCAAAAAAAAGAAAAGAAAAGAAAAGAAACTTCAGGTATAAATTAACTTCAGCTTTCACTAGCAAAGTATGTATAGTTGACCCTTGAACAAAGTGGGGTTTAAGGGTGCCAGCCTTCCTCACAGCCGCAAATCTGAGTATAATTTTTGACTCTCCAAAAACTCAAATAACTAACAGCCTACTGTTGACCAGAAGCCTTACCGATAACAGTCAATTAGAAAATATTTGGTATGTTATGTATCATATACTATATGTATATGTATTTTATATGTATTACTGTATTCAGTATATTCAATACTATATATATTACTGTATTCTTACAATGCAGTAAGCTAGAGAAAAGAAAGTGTTATTTAGAAGAATCATAAGGAAGATAAAATATATTTACTAATCTCTTAAGTGTAAGTGGATCATCATAAAAACCTTCATCCTCCTTGTCTTCACACTGAGTTGGCTGAGAAGGAGGAGAAACAGGAGGGGTTGATCTTGCTGTCTCCGTGTGGCAGAGGTAGAAAAAAATCCACATGTAAGTGAACTCACGCATTTCAAACCCATGTTCTTCAAAGGTCAACTGTACTTTCTGATTAAGATGTTTGATTTTTTTAAAAATGTATATTTGCTGAAAAAAGAACCTACCTAGTTTCCCATGTCTAATTGCATGAACTTAACTTTACTATTTCATTGTCTTCACTGGTATAACTTTACTATTCTAGTAGACTCTTTTCTAGTCAAATCACTTAATGTTCATTACAGAAACTTTCTGAAAGACCTACCAACTCTTCAATAAAAAGCATCAGAAGGCCAGGCACAGTGGCTCATGCCTGTAAACTCAGCACTTTGGGAGGCCACAGCAGGAGGATTTATTGAGCCCAGGAGTTCAAGATCAGTCTGGGCAACATAGTGAGACCCTGTCTCTAAAACAAAAGAAAAGAAAAGAAAAAAATGAAGATAGTTTGAGTGCTAAAATTCTTTGAATCCCTTGTCTCAAAAATCCTTGCCTTGCTGTTTCCACCAATCCTGATTCAATCCTAATCTAGGCCTCACATTGAAAGACCTACCTGAACAAAACTCCCAATATCAATGAATTCTGATTTTGCCCTTTCTTCTCTGGGATGCTGCCAAGTTTTAACAAGATGGTGGTCTTCCTTACCATGGTAAGCAATAACTCAGCTTGGTCTTATTGATATGTTGTGTTGCAAAGAAAAGTTAACACAGCAGACCTGAGACTGCTATCCTTAGAAAGACCAGCTTGGAAGGGTTGTCCTTGGCTGGAGTTGTGAACTTGGATTTTAGGAGGGTTCCCACCGTTCCTGATAAAAATGGCAAACTGTGCCTAAACTGTGCAGACCTTATGGTTTATGCTAAACACTTGCCTTGCTTCTGGAGGCCTGGAATTTTGGTACCTGCTAGGTAAAGTGTGTCTACGTTACCATCCGCAATAAAAACCCTGGGTACTGAGTCCGTGATGAACATCCTTGGTAGACAACATTTCACATGTGTTGTTACAAATTGTAGGTGGGGAACTAAGAGTGTCCTGTGTGACTCAAATGGGAGAAGACTCCTGGTTTCCCTGGACTTAGCTTCATGTGCCTTTTCCCTTTGCTGCTTTTCTTTGTATTCTTTCACCATAGTAAGTCATAGATGTGAATATGACTATATCTGAGCCCTGTGAGTCCTTCTAGTGAACAACCTTGTGGTTGTCTTGGGCACTTCCAACACAACTTGTCTTGGTGATATTTGGCCAGCAAATGTCAACATTACCAAAGAAAAGTTGGAGGTGGATGGCTTTCACAATAAAATTTATTTACAGAACTCCTTTAAGTACAATTTTACTCATTATTCATTTGCTCATTCATTTAGTTACAAAACTTTTGTCAAACACACAATATGTTCTGGTTACTCCCTTAGGGACTGAAGGGAATGAGAGAGAAATACAGAGAGGAGAACATCAGATTCCTCTTTACAAGGGGATCACAGTTTCAAGACACCTTCTGATAGGGAGATAACTAAACTTCAGTGGGAGAGTGTTCAATTAAAGGTCAGAACAAGAGTTTGCAGAGCACACAGCACAGAGACAAGATCTGCTTAGGAAACTGGGGACTGCATTCCAAAGAAATTGACATTAAACTAGGATTTAAAGGCTAGGTAGATGTTAGTCAAGTGGAGAAGAAGGTAAGGTATCCTGAGAGCAAGAACAAAGACACAGGGGCCTGAAATAACTTGTTCTGGAAATAGGGCATTTAGGGTGGCCTTAGTTGGAAATAAGTGAAACATAGGGTTAAATTAGAGATTAGAGTCTAGACTGTAAATTTTTAGATTTTTGGGTTTTTTTTTGTGAGCAATGGAATAACATTAGAAGTTACTGACAGTGATCAGAGTTGTGATTGAAAAACAACCTTCCACTAGTTTCCTAAGTGAAGGGTAGCTGCCTATTAGAATGGCTAAGAGAATGGAGCCAGACCATCTGTGTTGCAACATTACCTTTGCCTCTTATATCAGATTGATCGGGGACAAATTACTTAACTTTTATGTGCTTTAGTTTCTCTCTTTGTAAAGAGGGGTGTATTAGTCCATTCTCCCACTGCTAATAAAGACATACCCAAGACTGGGAAATTTATAAAGGAAAGAGGTTTAATTGACTCACAGTTCAGCATAGCTGGGGAGGCCTCAGGAAACTTACAATCATGGTGGAAGGGGAAGCAAACATGTCCTTCTTCACAGGGTGGCAGCAAGGAGAAGTGCTGAGCAAAGGGGGAAAAGCCCCTTATAAAACCATCAGATCTCATGAGAACTCACTCACTATCACAAGAACAGCATGAGGGTAACTGCCCCCTTGATTAAATTACCTCCCACCAGATCCCTCCCATGACACATGGGGATTATGGGAACCACAATTCAAGATTAGATTTGGGTGGGGACACAGCTAAATCATATCAAGGGGAAAATAGGTACCCCTGTCTAAATGGGTTGTTGTGAGGGTGTACATGCTAGTAAACTTAAAGCACACAGAACAGAGTCTAGCTCTCAGAAACTGTAGCCTTCATTATTGCTACATTCAAGCAGCATTTGTTTCACAAGCATTTTATTTGCACCTAAGGATACTGCTTAAAGCAAGATCCAGTATTAGTGTAAAATAAATTCTGGAAATGACAGAAAACCAGGTATTAAGATTTTTCTAAATGTATCTGTATTTAAATCACAACACATACATGTAAATATTAAAAATAGGGCAGATATAAAGATTGGCAGGCTCATCCAGAGGACCTCTACAGTTTCTTCAAGTGCAAGGCAACAGTAGATTCCTAAGATCAAAAGTCCACTGCAGCTAGCTGAACAAAGCAAATAAAGACATCATCCAAGGAGGTATTATCAGATTTACTCAAAGGCTAGTGTTCTCTCTGCTCTCCCTGCTTACTGATTGTATACAAGTTGAATCACAGCCTTAAAAAATCAACCACATCTGTCCAGATACAGTGGTGCATGTTTGTAATCCCAGCACTGTGGGAGGCTGAGGCAGGAAGATTGCTAGAGATCAGGAGTTTGAGACTGGCCTAGGCAACATAGCAATACCCCCATCTCTTTAAAACAGTTTTTAAAATTTTTTTAAAAAATTAGTCAGATATGATGATGCACATTAATAGTCCCAGCTACTCAGGAGGCTGAGGTGGGAGGATAGCTTGAGCCCAGGAAAAATATCAACCACATATAATTAAGACTTCCAGCATAGTTAAGTAGTTATTATTTCTTTTTTTCCCCCAATGCTATAAAAACCTTTTACTAATATTATTTTTAGGCTGGACATGGTAGCTCACACCTGTAATCCCTGCACTTTGGGAGGCCAAGGCAGGAGGATTGCTTAAGCCCAAGAGTTTGAGACCAGCCTAGACAACATAGTGAGATCCCATCTCTAAAAAATAAAAAATAAGCCAGGAATGATGGTGCATTTCTGTAGTCCCAGCTACTAGCGAGGCTGAGGCGAGAAGCTCTCTTGAGCCTGGGAAATTGAGATTGCAGTGAGCTTTGATTGATAGTGGACTCCAACCTAGGTGACAGAGTGAGACCCTATCTCAAAAATAAATAAATAAATAATTTTGATGTGATTTTTTTTTTTTGGTTAAAAAAATTAAGCAGTGCAAAAATATATGCAGAAGTAGAACCTCCACCATTCCAATATACAAGGGATTTAAAGGCAACCATGTGTTTGGAATGTTCTTCCCCCATGTAGCCTAATACCCCACTTCTGTACTTATGTCAAGACTCTCTTCAAGTGTTTGACTATGGTAATGAGTTTCCTGTGGCTGCTGGCTCTCTTTGGCTTCCTTGGCTTGTGGCCATATCGCTCTAATCTGCACTGCATCTTCACATCCATCTCTGTGTGCGTCTTCTCCTCTTCTATGTGTCTCAAATCCCCCTCTACCTCTCTTTTATAAGGACACTTGTCATTGGATCTAGGGCATACCATGTTAATCCAAGATGATCTCATCTCAAGATTCTAAACCTAATAACATCTGCAGAGATCCTTTTTCCAGATAAGATAACATTCCTAGGCTCCAGGGATTTTACATGAACATATATGGATCTAAAATTAAGTTAAAATTGGACAGACATGGTGGTTCATGCCTATAATCCCACCACTTTGGGAGGCTGAGACAGAAAGATTGTTTGAGCTCAGGAGTTCGAGACCAGCCTGGGCAACATACGGAGACATAGTCTCTACCAAAAAAAAAAAAAAAAAAAGAAAAAAAAAAGCACGGCATGGTGGCACATGCCAGGAGTCCCAGCTACTGTTGCAGGAATGAAGGAGGACTAGAGAGACCGTGGGGGTGAGATAGGAGGATTTATTGAGTGCACTCAGAACCAGCAGATTAACATCCGAAAACTGGGCCCAGAACAAAGACAGCACTTGACTTTTTTACACACTTCTAAAAGGCGGTGGGCTAGCTTGAAACAAGCTTACAGTGGTATAAAGCATAGTGGCACAAAAGCAAGGATACAGAGGC
This sequence comes from Homo sapiens, assembly GCF_000001405.40. Classification (NCBI taxonomy): domain Eukaryota; kingdom Metazoa; phylum Chordata; class Mammalia; order Primates; family Hominidae; genus Homo; species Homo sapiens. The sequence continues at coordinate 25,224,099 of NC_000004.12, forward strand.
AAAACAAAGGCAGTTAATCAAATTGTGACAGGTGACTGTTGCTATGCAGCCCAGATGGCTGTTATCCAGACTTGCTCAAAAGAGCCTTGCACTGGTTTATCTCATAACTTTGCTATGGCACCCAGACAGCCACAGCCCAGGCCTGCTCAGGCGTGTCTTATAACCTTCACTGTGCTGCTTAGATAAAACAGAATACTTGAAGTTACTAGCTACAGAAAACAGAAATCTGTAAACTCATAACACTTGCAAAGCAGGGTACAATCACGCGGAAGGGGGTGGGATTTGAGGGAGAAATTCACTTTTTCTTATCCTTATGTTGAGGGAGTGCTGGGAGAGTCTCCAGAGCACATCCCTTTGAGCCCTGGCTTCTTTGAGAATGTTATCAAGACTTCGCCTGGGTTCAGTCTTTGCCTGTTACTGCCTTTGGGATGAGTCAGCCTAATATAGAAAGCTTGTTTTTCTCTTCTTAATTTTATGTTTATTTAATTTCCTGCCTCACTACAAAGGAGGCTGAGGTGGGACGATCCCTTGAGCCCAAGAATTTAAGGTGGCAAGAAACTCTGATTGTGCCACTGCACTCCAGATTGAGCAACAAAGTGAGACCTTGTTTCAAAAAAAAAAAAAAAAAAGTCCCACTGAATTTCCAGTTAAATCCAAACTCTGTTGACCCATACATTCCAGCTCTGTAAATCCCGAAGATCTCTAACATCATCATTTTGTGCCATTCTTCACCCTATAGGTTCTAGCTAGCGGATAGAGGGGTGGTCAGGATCTGTAGCCAAAAGGCTGAAAATCTTGACACAAGAACAGTATTAAAGATGTGAAAACAAGTAATAGAAAATTTAAACTGTTGGAGGCTTAAATTATTTTGAGCCTTAAAGGAATGTGATTATGGGGTCTGAGTCACATTACAGGCACTTATAACCTAGGCAGCTATAACTTTTGTTTCTCTGATTGTGGATTAGCCTTATTCCTCACCTACATTGTGTTGTAAAATGTAAATTACTAAAGGGTGCCAGGGAAGACCCTGCTGATAAAGACATACCTGAGCCTGGATAATTTAGAAAGGAAAGAGGTTTAATTGACTCACAGTTTCATATGGCTGAGGAGGCCTCACAATCATGGCAGAAGGCGAGGAGAAGCAAAGTCATGTCTTACATGGATGGTGGCAGGCAAAGAGAGGGAGAACTTGTGCAGGAGAACTCCTCTTTATAAAACCATCAGATCTCATGAGACTTATTCATTATCACAGAACAGCATGGGAAAGACTTGCCCCCATGATTCAATTACCTCCCACTGGGTCCCTCCCAGGACATAGGGGAATTGTGGGAGCTACAATTCAGATGGGATTTGGGTGGGGACACAGCCAAATCATATCAACTGTTAATCTTCATTATAAATTAACTTCCCATTTTTTCTCTCACATAAAAACTTCATGACTATTAGGTTGTCTTCAGATAGAATATTAAATATTCTCTTTTAAATTGGAAAGGAAATGAAAACAAGACATAGGAAAAAGAAAACAAACTGTAACTAATGAAATTGTTGTAGGTCATAAACATGCCTTTTATAGAAAGTATTATAATCCTACTAAATGTCTTTGTTTCCTGCCTATGTAAGCAAGACCTTAACTTTTAACTTGAAAGCACTGACCCAATCTCTTGGAGTGTGTGTTACTCGAATGACTATTCTCAGCTTTGCATTTGAATAACCTCTTCAAAACTGGATTCTAGGCTGAGTGCAGTGGCTCATGCCTGTAATCCCAGCAGTTTAGGAGGCCAAGGCAGGCAGATCACTTGAGGCCAGGAGTTCAAGACAAGCCTGGCCAACATGGTGAAACCCCATCTCTACTAAATATACAAAAATTAGCCTGGCGTGGTGGCTCGTGCCTGTAATCCCAGCTGCTTGGGAGGCTGAGGCAAGAGAATCACTTGAACCTGGGAGGCGGAGGTTGCAGTGAGCCCAGATTGTGCCACCGCACTCCAGCCTGGGCAAGAGTGAGACTTCATCTCAAAAAACAAAAACAAAAACAAAACTGGATTTTAATCCTCTGGATTATTTCAGGTTGAGAAATAAAACACAGTGAGGCCCTGGACCACCTCTTGAAGCTTATGCTTCCCCCCTCTGGTCACAGGCACTCCTCCATCTGTGGTCACCAGAGAGCTTCAGGGAGCACTCTTCAGAGCCTTTGGTCCCGTCTGCCAGGAGCACTCTTCCTTCTTTTTTTTTTTTTTTTTTGTATAAACTGCTCTTTCTCATCCTTTAAGTCTCCACTTACATGTCATCTGCCCCTTGAAGCCTACCCTGACCATTTATTTGACCAGCAAAAAGCAACAGCTGAATTTCTGAAAGAAATGATCCAAAATTTCAGGTGGAGTTTGACTTCAGTCAAGTCCTTCCCCTACCCTTGTTTCGTCTGTATTAACTCTCTTTCCCGATCCTCCCAAATCTTGGTCCCTCTTCTATGCCCTCTTAGCAGCCCATACTTCCTCTACATAGCATTTATCTTACTGTATTGGAATCACCTGTTCATTGGTCTGTAAATCCCATCTCATCGAAATCTTCATGAAGGCAGGAACCTTGAGATCTTTGCTGCATTCTATGAATCATTCTACCAAATTGTCAAATCTGAGGGGGTCAGGTTTGACGCCTGAATTTGTATCTAGTTGTTCATAAGGGGAGGTGGCCAGGGGACCCCAGAAGCATGGCTGGCATCTGAAATGAGGATAAACTTGTGGAGGACTAAATGCTTAACTTGTGGGTTCTGTACTAACTCTGGGTGGTTAGTGCCAGAATTGAATAGCAGTGCATGAATTGGCATCAGAACACCTGTTCTGAATCTTCCAATGGCTTTTTGCCCCAAAGTGTAAACAAAGCCAAGGCTCCCAACAAAGGCTGTATTTGAAATATAGGTGTTGGCAAAGCCTCCTTAACAAAGGTTCCCTAAAGTAGCAGCAGTGTTTTCTTTCTTTTCTGGTTGAAGAAATATTCCTTTGCCTGTAATCCCAGTACTTTCGGAGTATCCCATAAGAACCAAGTGAAGAAAGTATCAGTAAGGTATACTGAAGGTGGTAGAGCCTTAGAATTTAAAACCGAGATGTCGATACAATAATACATTTTAGCATGTTTATGTGAATTGAAAAAAGTCTTCTTTGGCTGATGGATTTGATAATGAAACCTGGCTTTTCCAATTAACTTTTTGTTTTTTTCTAGAGACAGGGTCTCACTCTTGCCCAGGCTGGAGTGCACTGGCATGATCACAGTTAACTGTAACCTCTAACTCCTGGGCTCAAGCCTCCCACCTCAGTCCCTCCATAAGCTAGGACTACAGGTGTACGACACCATACCCAGCTAACTTTTAAATATTGGGTTTTTTTGTAGAGCTGGGGTCTCACTATGTTGCTCAGGCTGGTCTTTAAAACTCCGGCTTCCAGCAATCCTCTGGCCTTGGCCTCCCAAAGAGCTGGGATTATAGTCATGAGTCACCATGCCCAGCCCTGATTAACTTTTAAGTTAGATGTTTTACATACATTGAATGAGCCAAATCAGCAGTTCCAGGGCTTTGACAAAAATAAACTTAAATTTCAAGATAAAACCATTTTAACAAAAAATATTTTATTGGCAAAAGATCTATAGAAATGTTAATATTTCTATGTTCTCAACTCCAAGTTAAAAGGTGGCTTGAAATGAAAGAGTTGCAGTATAATTATTAACAATTTGGTAAGTCTTTTAAAATGCTTTTTGGTGTACTCCCCAGAAATTGAGAAACTGAATAATTCAAATGTTGGAGGACCTAAATAAGGAGTCTGATAATAAATCATAAGGTGTTTGATGCTAGAGTATTATGTGATTGATTTTTTTTTTAGCATATATCTTGGAAAAAGGTCTAAGACTTGAGTGACATTGCTATTACAAAATGTTTCCCATATCCATCTATTAATTTGAATAGGTTTTCTCAGTGTTTCCATTTGTAAAAACTAAAACTACAAATAGAGCTGATGATGAATCTTGTCTCATTTACCTATAAGTAATATTTCTCTACTAACAGATGACGTACTGAGAAAATATAGCATTATTCATTTCACTAAAAATGCATTTCCAATCAAACACACCATAGAAAACTATATTGAACTAATCTTATAACAAAAATGATAAACTTTGGACAAAATACAAAAAACAATTATTTGAAGACATTGAAAAGCAACCAAAAGCAAGCAGATAGGAATGGAAGTCATGGCTATTCTTCAAAACATGGAAATATAATGAGTAAGATTTATGTTCATACACCTTTTCACCTAAGAGCACTTCTGAATATTCACTGTGCAAGGCAGCTGGAACTCAATTAGAAAGCTACAGTTTCTTAAGGGCTTCAGAAGTTAGGGAATGGACTCTGGGACTCTCAGAACAGCTAAAAATGGAGGACAGATGTCTTGAAAACAAAGAAGTCAGAGAGGAAGAGAACTCCAAAACATGCATATATACTCTGCCCAAATCCTTGGTTGACTCCTGAACTGTGTATACATGGCGAGGCTTCAAGCAGCTCAGCAAAAAGCAGCAGTTGGATTGCTGAAAGAAATGACCAGAAATTTCAGGTGGAGTTTGACTCCAGCCAAGTTATTTACCTTCTAGAACAATCAGCATTCGTGAGAGGACTATAACAGAATTTAGAGGCTCTATAATATATTATCCACAATATTCAGTATACAATAAAAAATTAACAGATATTGCAAAGAAACAGGAAAGTTTGACGTATAACCAAGAGAAAAAGCAGTAAATAGAAACTGACTATAAGAGGACCCAGATGTAAGAATTAGCAGAGACATTTAAAAGTTATATATATACATTTTTTTCAAGGACTTTAAAAATATATGTCATAATGAGTTACAGATGGAAAATTTCAGCAGAGAAGTAGAAGCTCTAAAAAGGAACTAAATAGAAATTGTAGAACTGAAAAGTACAGGTCTGAAATTAAAAACAAACTGAGTGGGCTTAACAACTTTTTGGAAATAGTCAAAAGATTGATGAATTTAAAACAGATAAAGACAAATTATCCCAAACCTGAAGAACAGAGAGAACAATTATTGAGAAAAATGAAAACATAGGTAGAGTTCTACTGCCCTTTGGAACAATATCAAAGAGTCTAACATCCATGTAATAGAAATCTCAGAAGGAAAAGAGAATAGAGCAGAAAAGAAATATTTGAAGAAATAATGACTGAGATCACAGAACAGGCTAACTGTCTTTGGGTTGCTTTGCAATGAAATGCATGGTAAAATCACGCTCTGTCTTGTTCCGTAGCATTTCTTTTTTGGGGATTCAGGATCTAGTATGAAAAAGGGACCCTGAAGTTTTGGGGATCTGTTTTGCCTTCCAGCTCTGTATGCTTATTAGGCCCTAGAAACTGCACGTTTTCCTAGCCCTGTTCCTCCAAGGGCTCCACCTTGAAGCCAGTAATCCAATTAAGAAACAAAAACTGGCAAATGAAAAATCCTACAACTACTGGATCTTCTGTCTGTCTGTGTAGTTATATGTGTGTTATGTGTGTAATGTTTATATATGAAAGAGCTCTAATTAATGTTTTAAAAATAACAAGTGCTTAAATCAAATATTTTGTCAGAAAAATAAAAACTGTAATGCCTTTCAGTTGATGTTGTTACTGGTGGAAGGTATCCAAGTTACCAGCAGCGAATCTGCACTAGTCAGCACCAACCTCGATCCTTGCCTCCTCAGGAGAAACAATTCCACTGAGGGGCATAAGGCAGAAAAAGAGACCAAGGTAAGTTTCAGAGCAGGAGTGGAAGCTTATTTAAAAAGGCTTTAGAACAGGAAAGAAATGAAAGTATGCTTGGAAGAGACTCAAGCAGGCACGTGGGCACGTGAAGGTCAAGTGCAGTGTTGAACCTTGATCCTAGGACTTTATAGGCTGGCTCTTTTCCCATGATTCTTTCCTTAGGGTGAGCTGCCCGCATGCACAGTGCCCTCCCTATCCTTGGGAGGTGAGCACATGCAGTGTGTTTAGGAAGTTGTACACATGCCCACCCAAGGCTTTCTTCCCTTTTCCCATGGAGTGCCACGGAAAGGTCATACTCTGCCGTTTTGTCTCTTAATGCATTTGCCTGGGAAGTTGCATCTCCCTGGCATCTGCATTCAATTAACACTTTAGTGCAATAGGTGTGGACCATCAGGAAATGGCGTCTCCCTGACCCTAGGTGCCAATGTATGACTTTTAGAGAGGCAATGTGATAACTGCTGAGCCATCACCCAACATTCCTGGTGGGTGGGAGAAGAGCCCTTTCCTGCCCTGCTCATGCTGTCTAATGGCCTGTGACAGCATGACTTTAGTAGGCTTTGGGAAATCAAGAGTTTTGAAGATTATTGGTAAAATAAAGACATTTGGTTGAAATTAGGTCAGACATTAGGTTTGCTAAATGCTTTAAGGTAATAAACTGCTTCTAAAAAAAAAAAGAATGACATTTCTCCAAATTTTGTGGAAAACATAAATCTACAGATTCAAGAAGTAAAGCAAAACCTAAGCAAGATATTTGTAAAGAAAATCATACCAAAAACATCATGGTCAAACTATTGAAAATCAAAGAACCAAAGAACCAGAGAAAATCTTAAAGGCAGCTAGAGAAAATGACATAGCACAAGTCGGGTGTGTAAGTGAAGGGTTATGATTCAAAAACAATGAAGGCAAGAGGACAATAGAATGACATATTTACAGTTGAACTTAGATGGGTAAGGATAGCAATATCAACCCAGAAGTCTGTATCCAGAGGACATAGCATTTGAAAATGATGGTAAAATAAAGACAATTTCTAATAAATTAAAACTTAAATTTATCACCAGTGTATTAGTCTGTTTTCATGCTGCAGATGAGGACATACCTGAGACTGGGCAATTTACAAAAGAAAGAGGTTTACTGGACTTACAATTTCACATGGCTGGGGAGGCCTTGCAATTATGGGGGAAGGCAAAGAGGAGAAAGTCACATCTAACGTGGATGGGAGCGGGCAAGGAGAGCTTGGGCAGGGAAACTCCTGTTTTTCAAACCATCAGATCTCATGAGACTCACTTACCATCATGAAAACAGTATTGGAAAGATCTGCCCCCATGACTCAATCACCTCCCACCTCCCACCTCCCACAACACGTGGGAATTGAAGATGAGATTTGGTGGAGACACAGCCAAGCCATATTAATCAGCAAATCTGCATTATAAAATTTGTTTTTAATTCTTCAGAGGAAAGGGAAATGATACTAGATAGAAACTCTGATCTACAAAAAGGAAGGAAGAACACCGGAAGTTGTAACTATGTGGGTAATTTCTCTAAAAAAGCAATTAAGGCAAAAATTATTCACTGTATTTAAATATTTAGGTCTAGTATACATGACAGCAATAACATAAACGATGGGGCATAAATGGAATGACACTAAGTTCTTACCTCTTATGTCAAATAGTACAATATTGGCTCTTAGTACACTGAGATAATTTAAGGATGAGTATTGAAAACCCTAGTGTAAGCACTAAAAATTAATGTAAAGAAGTATAACAGAGGCCAGGCGTGGTGGCTCATGCCTGTAATCCTAGCACTTTGGGAGGCTCAGGTGGGTGGATCACAAGGTCAGGAGATCAAGAACATCTTGGCCAACATGGTGAAACCTCGTCTCTACTAAAAATACAAAAATTAGCTGGGCATGGTGGCATGTGCCTGTAGTCCCAGTTACTCAGAAGGCTGAGGCAGGAGAATAGCTTGAACCCAGGAGACAGAGGTTGCAGTGAGCCAAGATTGCACCACTGCACTCCTACCTGGGCAGCAAGAGTGAAACTCCATCTCAAAAAAAGAAAAAAAATAAGTATAACAGAAAGTCAATGGTGGAATGAAAATGAAATAATCAGAATTATTGAATTAATCCAAACGAAGGCAGGAAAGGAGGAACAGAGGAACCGAAAAGGTTAAAGCAAATAAAACCCAAATTGCAAAATAATAGATCTAAATCCAACCACATCATTATTACATTAAATGTAAATGGACCCCAAACTCCAATTAAAAGGCATTTACAGGCCAGGTGCAGTACCTCACACCTGTAATCCCAGCACTTTGGGAGGCCGAGGCGGGTGGATCATCTGAGGTCAGGAGTTCGAGACCAGCCTGGCCAATGTGGTGAAACCCTATCTCTACTAAAAAATACAAAAATTAGCCGTGCATGGTGGCAGGCACCTGTAATTACAGCTATTCTTTCTTTAAAGCGGAGAAGGCATCAGGGAAGAGGGTTGTAGGTGGTGAAGCAAATGGTTACATTTTTGCTAGACTTTAGGTAGTGCCCAGTAACTCTATGCTATGCATAAGATAAGGTGAATATTCAAAGAAAATGGAGTAAAGGAAGTTAATTATACAGATATCTCAGGTGAAGGAATGATTGATCTTATCCTTGTTCTGCATCTGGGAAGATAAGCTTGTAACTGAATTTATCCATGTGAAATTTAACAGACTTTAGTTGTACCAGTTTGATTTAGGTTGCAGACTTAAAGTTATACAATTGACACGTCCTTGTTTTATGGAAGGATATACATCTTGAAAGGTTTAAGGGCCAGTAAAGAATTTACTATGATTAATTTGTTGAGGACAGTCATCCTGAGACTGAGATGCATAAGGCTTTTTTTTGCATTTTGAGGAGGGTCTGGCTAACATATAAAGTTTTAATACAACTATGGGAAGTAACAGCTATCCATTTGGGAAAAGCATTGTAGTGTTGAGTGACTTCAGTCTCCAGGCTTAACTCTCCCTTTGACATAACAAGTTGGGGGTGGGGGGTGGTTCTGAGATTTTTATTTTCCTTTACAGGGTCAAAGAGGAAATCATAAAGGAAATTAAAAACTATTTTCAGCTGAAGGAAAACAAAAGCACAGTAGCAGGCCAGGCAAGGTGGCTTATGCTTGTAATCCCAGAATTTTGGGATGCTGAAGCAGGACGACTGCTTGAGACCAGGAGCTCAAGACCAATCTGGGCAACAGTGAGATCCCATCTCTACAAAAAATTTAAATTTAAAAATTAACAGGATGTGGTCGTGCACACCTGCAGTTCCAGCTACTGTGTCTTCTACAGTTTAAAGCTGAGAAGATCCCTTGAGCTTAGGAGGTTGAGACTGCAGTGAGCTATGATTGTGTCACTGCACTCCAGCCTGGATAACAAAGTGAGACCCTGTCTCAAAAATAACAACCACCAAGAAAAAAAAAAAGGAGAATTCAGCTAAAGCAGTGCTTAGAGGGCAATTTATAGCCTTAAAATACTAGCATTGGAAAAGCAGAAAGATCCAGAATCAATCATCTTCTACTCTAAGCAACTAGAAAAAGAAGAGGAAATCAAAACTCAAGTGAGCAATAAAGAGCAAAATAAGGCAATGGACCAGAAAACAGAAAATCAATGGAACCAAAACATGACATTTTGAAAAGATTTAAAAATTGATAAACTTCTAGCTAGATTAGTCAGAAAAAGAAAACATACAAACTGCCACTATCAAGAATATCTGAACAAAGACAAGGTCCCTGCCCTCCTGGACGTCTACTGGAGGAAAGAAATGTCATACAATTAAATCTATAGTTACAGATTATGGTAAACTCTGAGAGAGAATTCTGTCAGGGAGAAGCCGCTTTTGGTTGCAGGAGGGCACCTCTTTGAAAATTACTCACCTTCCCGCCCTCCACTGGGAGTAAAGCGAGCTGTGCCCAGCTTCTCCCCGCGCTCACGGAAGCAGGTGGCGGCCCCACCCCACCTGACCCCTCAAAAGCCCCGCCCCCTGTTCACTCCCACGTGCCCCGCTGCCGCCGCCGCCGCCGCCACGACCCTTCTGCGCAGGCGCGGGGGTGGTGCCTGGCGGAGGCGCGAGGTGGGGCGCGGCCGGCGGCGAGGCGGGACAACCGCTGGGCGGGCGCCAAGCGTGCCCGTGCGCTGGTGAGGTGGCGTCCGTTCTACCCGGTCGCTCCCGTTCCGCGCCATGCAGAGCCCAGTCTCTGGCACCTGGCTGCTCTGATCTGGTCTCAGCGCGGAGGGAGCAGAGGGAGTCCATGGAGGATCCCTCCGAGCCCGACCGGTTGGCGTCCGCGGACGGCGGGAGCCCGGAGGAGGAGGAGGATGGGGAGCGGGAGCCGCTGCTACCGCGGATCGCCTGGGCCCACCCGCGGAGAGGCGCCCCAGGCAGCGCCGTGAGGCTGCTGGACGCTGCCGGGGAGGAGGGCGAGGCCGGCGACGAGGAGCTGCCCCTCCCGCCCGGGGACGTGGGGGTCTCCCGGAGTTCGTCCGCCGAGCTGGACCGGAGCCGCCCCGCGGTTTCAGGTGCGACCCGGCCCTGCCCCACTCCCCGCGCCCCTCCGGGCGGCTGCCCCTGTCGCCCGGCTCGGTCCTGTCTCCCGCGCGCGCTGGCCGAGGTGGACGGGCTTTCCCCGCTCGCTGGGCAGCAGCTCCCGAGCTCGGACCGGCGCCAGCCGCAGCCGCACCGCGGGCACCTAGCTTGCTCGCTCTTTCTCCGGGAGCTCCCTCTCCTAAGGCCAGTGGTTGTCATTAAACCGATTCTTTAGACCTCCCCGCAAAGTGAGTCAAAACTTCTAGAAACCGACACTGGGGAGAGGTTAACGCTGTAAAATGACGTAAGTCCTTGCTCAAGTTTGGACTTGACTTTTGAATTAAGAACCTTGAACTCTCAGGAAAGTTCCCGGAGTGGTGAATTTGCAAAGTGGATGACAGGAGAGAGATGGACAGCCAGAATATCCAGTTGCCACTGGGGCACGTTTCAAAACCTTTTTCTATTAAATGTTGTTATTATGAAGTTAGCCACAGGGGGCAAAAGCAGTTGAAAGTCTGTTCCTGCCCTCTTACAGTTTAGTTTCTCTTTCTTGATTTACTTCTAATACATAAGAAAACCAAAACGAAAAACCTCTTTTCGCTATTAAGCGGACTGATAACCTCAGGCGAAACAGGGCAGTTGAAATGATGTTGAAGGTTAAATTTAGGTATGCTGTGCAGGCCTGGATATTTATTAATAAAGTGAGTTTTTCTGGCGTGTTGAATGGAGTTAGACAAATGTGATGGAAATAGCAAGAGACTTGTAAGACTCTCAGCTAGAGGTGAGACAGACTTGTTTGTAAAAAGGCGATGGTACACCTCCCTGCTGGTTGTGAGGATGGATTAAATGAGATGTTGTGCACCCGGTTGGTTTATCGCTTCACACATGACAACTTAAAAACCACAGAAAATGGAAGTTTCTTTAACACTGCTTAGTTTTTTTTGGAATTGTTAGATTTTAAATGTACTGTTAGTGGTACACTAATGTGTCCTTTACAGTTTAAAGAATTTTGGATAGAATCGGTCACTCAAGTTCTAGCTAGAGGCTACATTCAGGCATATTCTAGAGTAAATAAATCAGAGAATCCCAAGGGGAGCAGTTTGTCTGATTGTTTAAGCTTTAACCAACGTCTGCTCCCGTTATAATGTTACCTGATGGATGCATTGACGTTTAACCAAACAACGTGAAGCTGAAACCAGATCACAAACGGGTCTGCATTTGCCTAGCTACATTGGCAATTTGGGTATATGTTACTTAGAATTTAGTCTGTAAAATAGCTAGCTTGCCTTTTTCTGTCCCTTACCTTGTGTAAGCTACCTTGTGTACCTGGGTTTTTAAAAGAGCCTAAAGCCTTCAAAATGCACTTGTTCTGTGAAAGTGAGGTGTTTTATAAACAAACAGTATTAAGGCTAGAAAAAAATCAAAGCGAGAGGTCAACGAGATGGCAGGCCTGTAATCCCATCCCAGCATTTTGGGAGGTCTAGGCAGGAGAATAGCTTGAGGCTGGAAGTTCGAGACCCACCTGGGCAACATAGCGAGATCCCCATCTCTATAAAAAATAAACAACAACAACAACAAAAATTCAAAGTGAGGATAGAGTATAGTGTTAGAATACAAATGGATTCTTAGAATTCCTACCTTTTTTAAAGGTAATATCTTACCTGTATCACAGTTTACAATTTGCTAAGATCTTTTTTAAAAAAATATTTTATTCTCCACTGCACTCCAGCCTGGTTCTGTCTTGAGACAGAGCAAGACTCTGTCTCAAAAATAAATAAATAAATAAATAAATAAATAAATAAATAAATAAATAAATAAATTTTATTCTCTGTTGGGTGCCATGGCTCATGCCTGTAATCCCAGCATTTTGGAAGGCCTAGGTGGGTGGATCATTTGAGGTCAGGAGTTTTCAGACCAGCCTGGCCAACATGGTGAAACCCTGCCTCTACTAAAAATAGAAAAATTAGCCAGGCATGGTGGCGGGCGCCTGCAATTCCAGCTACTTGGGAGGCTGAGGCAGGAGAATCGCTTCTGAACCCGAGAGGTGTAGGTTGCAGTGAGCAGAGATGGCTCCACTGCACTCCAGCCTGGGTGACAGAGTGAGACTTTGTCTCAAAAAAAAAATTAATTATTTTCACAACAGCACAGCAAGTTAGTTGTTATTCGCCATTATTCTCATTATGAGGATTCAGAATTAATAAACTGGTAATGACTGGTAGCTCAGGTCTTCAGAGGTAAATGGTTTGCCCGAAGTCAAATATCCAGGAAGTAATAAATCAGGAGGAAGCCTGGTTCTTTCTTCATCTTCTGCCCCTTTTCCGTTTTGCCATGGGTCCACAAGTGTTATAAAATAATTGTGTCTGTGGTTATTTTGGAGGTTTTTACCTTTAATAGGACTTTAAAATAGTTTCTGTGAAAACTGTTTAAAAAATTTTTAAAGACTAAAATGTTCATGATTGAGTAATTTAATACTTTTTAAGTTTAGTTATTTTTTAAATGACTCCATTAACTTCATTTGTCCTTTACCATCCGATTTCCATGAAACTACCTCACTAGTTCCAAGAAATTCTTGCCTTTAGATTAATATGAACATCATTTATGATGCTTAACTCTTACTTATATAAGCAAGAGGTTTATGTACTTTAGCCAGTGGAAGAATGTCATATGTCTGTTATCTTCAACAAGGCATTTAACAAAGCCTACAAACAGCATAAACCATAGTGTTGTTGGATCAGTGTCAAAGTGGAAGGATTAGTGCATTCCTTGTTCTAGTTATTTTAATCAGTGAATTCGGTAGTAATGACAGCTAATGCCTACATAGCAGTTAATATGCGCTAGGCATAGTTCTGTATGCTTCATATATATTAATTCATAACCAACCCTGTGATGTGAGTACTATTTTTGTTTTTTTTTTTTGTTTTTGGCAGTGGGTGGCTGTAGGGGTGGCAGTGGGGGAACAGAGTTTCATTCCTGTCACCCAGGCTGGATTGTAATGGCGTAATCTCGGCTAACTGCAACCTCCACTCCCCAGGTTCAAGCGATTCTCCTGCCTCACCCTCCCAAGTAGCTGGGATTACAGGCACATGCCTGGCTAATTTTGTATTTTTAGTAGAAACGGGGTTTCACCATGTTGGTCAGGCTGGTCTCGAACTCCTGACCTCAGATGATCCTCCCGCCTCGGCTTCCCAGAGCACTGAGATTACAAGGCCACCATGCCTGGCCTTGTTCTCATTTTAAGAAAGTATAGGGAGAGGCTGGGCATGGTGGCTTACGCCTGTAATCCTAACACTTTGGGAGGCCTCTTTGGTGCACACCTGTAGTCCAAGCTACTCAGGAGACCGAGGCAGGAGGATTGCTTGAGTCCATGAGTTTCAGGTTACACTGAGTCCAGTGAGCTATAATTGCACCACTATACTCCAGCCTGGGTTACAGAAAAAGACCCTGTCTCAAAAGAAAAAAAGAAAAAGCACAAAGAAGTGAAGTGACTTCTCCAAGGTCCCAGTTAATACAAATCAGGAGCGCTTAGCTCCTGTTAGAGAGCCTAACAGTTAGAAAACAGTGTTAGAATTCACAAAGAGCTGCCAAAGTAAAAGAAAATGTGAATTTGTAAGTCATTTAATGATTCATGGTGGTTTATAAATATGTGAACAGAATAAGAAAATCATTTAAAAGGAAGAAAGATGAGAAGATGGAGCCTGGAGTAAGATTACACAAGATGTACCTCAGATGCTTGATGCAGGCAACCCACAGATTTGATTTTTGAAATTACTGAGCAGCTAACTTGAGAGAAACACAATCATGTGGTCTATACAGTTAAAATAAACTGGTTATTTGAACCAAAACAGAACAGACAAAGGGTAGCCTGTCACAGTCTCTTGGTGAATGCTGTATGCTGAACAATATCTGTGATTAAAGTGATTAATTTCATAAAGGTAGTTCTTATAACTTCCCTAAAGTCCATTTCAGCAGAAATGGTTTTAACTACTGGTGCTATTGTGTCCGGAATTGGTGGGTTCTTGGTCTCACTGACTTCAAGAATGAAGCCATGGACCCTCGCGGTTAGTGTTACAGTTCTTAAAGGCGGTGTGTTCGGAGTTTGTTCCTTCTGATGTTCGGATGTGTTCGGAGTTTCTTCCTTCTGGTGGGTTCGTGGTCTCGCTGGCTCAGGAGTGAAGCTGCGACCTTCACGGTGAGAGTTATGGCTCTTAAGCTGGCGCGTCTGGAGTTGTTCATTCCTCCTGGTGGGTTCCTGGTCTCGCTGGCTTCAGGAGTGAAGCTGCAGACCTTTGCGGTGAGTGTTACAGCTCATAAAGGCAGTGTGGACCCAAAGAGTGAGCAGCAGCAAGATTTATTGCAAAGAGCGAAAGAACAAAGCTTCCACAGTGTGGAAGGGGACCTGAGCAGGTTGCCACTGCTGGTTCGGGCAGCCTGCTTTTATTCCCTTATCTGGCCCCACCCACATCCTGCTGATTGGTCCATTTTACAGAGCACTGATTGGTCTGTTTTACAGAGAGCTGATTGGTCCATTTTGACAGGGTGCTGATTGGTGCGTTTACAATCCCTGAGCTAGACACAAAAGTTCTCCAAGTCCCCACTAGATTAGCTAGATACAGAGCACTGATTGGTGCATTTACAAACCTTGAGCTAGATACAGAGTGCTGATTGGTGTATTTACAATCCCTTAGCTAGACATAAAGGTTCTCTAAGTCCCCACTAGACTCAGGAGTCCAGCTGGCTTCACCCAGTGGATCCCACACTGGGGCCACAGGTGGAGCTGCCTGCCAGTCCCGTGCCTTGCGCCCACACTCCTCAGCCCTTGGGTGGTCGATGGGACGGGGCACCATGGAGCAGGGGGTGGCGCTTGTTGGGGAGGCTCGGGCTGTGCAGGATCCCACAGCAGCAGGGGGAGGCTCAGGCATGGCCGGCTGTAGGTCCTGAGCCCTGCCCTACGGGGAGGCAGCTAAGGCCCAGTGAGAAAGCGAGCACGGTGCCGGCCCAGGGGGACCCAGCAGCACCCTCTGCAGCTGCTGGCCTAGGTGCTAAGCCCTTCACTGCCCGGGGCCGGTGGGGCCGGCCAGCCGCTCCGACTGCGGAACCTGCCAAGCCCATGCCCACCCGGAACTCGCGCTGGCCCGCAAGTGCCACACGCAACCCCAGTTCCCGCCCACACCTGTCCCTCCACACCTCCCCACAAGCTGAGGGAGCTGGCTCTGGCCTCAGCTAGTCCAGAAAGGGGCTCCCACAGTGCAGTGGCGGGCTGAAGGGCTCCTCAAGTGCGGCCAGAGTGGGCGCCGAGGCCGAGGAGGCGCCGAGAGTGAGCGAGGGCTGCAAGGGCTACCAGCACACTGTCACCTCTCAATCCCCCCTCTAAACAGGACACCCCAACTGCTGTTGGGAATTTGGCCAATGACTGCTCTAGCTACTTCCTGCTGGATAGGGGCAATGAAGTGGCCCTGCAGTTTTAGTGTCCTCCAGAGGGGAGCTCTCTAGGCCAGTAAAAGTGCCAGCAGGTTGGTCCAGGGGTCCTCAGTAGAATTTGTTAGTTGAACTCATTTGGGGTTCCATTTGTAAGACCATTTGTAGCTTGATGGCCTCGATGCTAGAGGAAACAAATTTGACAAGAAGGTTAAAAATACAGGGTCCAAAGGCAAGTAACAGCAAGATGGCTGCCACAGGACCTAGAAAGGGGAGAAGTCATGTTGCCCAACTCCAGAGGTTGGTATAAGAGTTTGAAAGGCATTGTCTGATTTCAGAAGCCTTTTCCTGTAAACACCAGGTGGCATCTCGTACTGGTTAGTGTAAAAATAACACTCTTCCCCTAAGAAGGTGCAGAGTCCTTTCTCAGCAGCGAAGAGGTCTAGGCCTTGGCGGTTTTGGAGATTCACTGCTGCCAAAGAGTCTATTTGGGATTGTAGAGTAAGGATAGATTTTGTTATTTCTTGCAAACTGTCTGAAAAATCCTTTGAGAGTGTGTGGTAGTAGAATAATGAAGTAGATAAACTGGCTATTCTGGTTCCTGTAGCAGTAGCCATTCCTAACCCTATAAGTAGGGGTATTAATTGTATGGCTCTGCACTAATGGAGTTGAGCTTTGAGGGGTACTGATAGGGTCTGATTTCCTGGGGCAATGGTAATGTTGGGACTTAGAAAGACTAAGGTGCAGGTGCCAGTCCAGTTAGTGGGGAGGCAGATATTGGTCGATGTTCCACATAACAAGAATATGCCTTGGCTGGGTAGACAGAAATTTACCCTGGCTTTTAAAGGAATAGGGTATGCTGTTTTTCTTTACTACTTCCATCTCTCTTTCTTTCTCTTTGATTTCTTTGTCTCTTCCTCTCTTTCTGACTCTCTGACTTTGTGTCTGTCCCTCTTTCTTTCTGACTCCTTCTCTTTGTCACTTTCTCTTTGACTCTCTGTTTCTTCCTCTCTCTGTCTCCTTCTCTTTGTCTCTCTGTTTCTGTCTCTCTGTCTCTTCCTCTCTGTCTCTTTCTTTGACTTCCTGTCTCTTTCCTTCCTACTGGTCTTTCCCTGCCTCTGCCAGCCACTTATGCTGCTGTTCTCCCCTCTTCTTCCCCTTTTTGATGGCTTTGGCAGTGTAAGACTGCCACCCCCTTGGGTTTTTTGCACTGCATGCAATAACTCTATAATTTCCTTGTGGTATTTAGTGGGGGTTCCCCCGGAGGTTAGGAACTCCCTTTCTTTCCACATTGCAGCATGGGCATGTAGGATTAGATAAGCATACATGCTATCTGTATACACATTTATTCTTTTTCCCTTTCCCAGTTCTAAGGCTCTGGTAAGTGCCACTAGTTCTGCTAACTGGACACTGGTCCCTGGGGGAAGAGGCTTACTTTCAAGTATGGTTACATCACTAACTATGGTGTAACCTGCCCTTCGTATCCCATTCTCCACAAATGAACTTCCATCGGTATATAGGTTAAGGTCAGGATTAGTTAAGGGGACTTCTAAGAGATCATCTTGGGTGGCATAAATCTGGACTATAATTTGTTGGCAGTCATGCTCGATTGGTTCCCCATCCTCTGGGAGAAAAGTGGCAGGGTTGAGGGCCATGCATGTGCGTATTTGAAGCACTGGTCCCTCAAGGAGTAGCACCTGGTATCTAAGTAGGCGGTTGTCTGATAGCCATAAACTTCCTTTGGCACCTAGTATGCCATTTACATCATGAGTAGTCCAGACAGTGAGATCCTTTCCTTGTATGATTTTGATAGTTTCTGACACCAAGACGGCCACTGCTGCAACTACACTTAAACAGTGAGGCCAGCCTTTTGCTACTACATCAGTTTCCTTACTTAGGTATGCCACTGGTTGTGGGGTTGTCCCAGGAGTCTGAGTAAGGACTCCAAGAGCTATCTCGGCTCCCTCTGTGACGTATAAAGAGAAGTTTTGTCCTGTGGGAAGGCTTAAAGCTGGAGCTTGTACTAGGGCCTGCTTTAAGGTTTTGAAGGCTGTTTCTGCCTCTGGTTCCCATTCTACTAGATGAGTATTTGCCCTCTGGGTTTCCTTGTTTAGAGTATAGAGGGGCCTGGCTATCTCGCTGTATCCAGGGATGCATAGTCAGCAAAAGCCGGTAATTCCAAGGAACCCACTTAACTGTTTTAATGTCTTAGGGTGAGGATAAGCCAGTATAGGCTGTATTCGTTCCTTGCTGAGGGCCCTGGTCCCTCTGGCTAAGATTAGGCCTAGATATTTGACCTGCTGTAGGCAAAGCTGGGCCTTCGACCTAGACACCTTGTACCCTTGATTAGCTAGAAAGTTCAAGAGATCTAGAGTAGCCTGCTGGCATGAGGCTTCCAAACTGGCAGCCAAAAGTAAATCATCCACATATTGAAGGACCAGAGTGCCTGGACTTGAGAAGTGGCCTAGACCTTGGGCCAGTGCCTGACTAAACAGATGAGGGCTATCCCTAAACCCCTGGGGCAAGACCTTCCACGTAAGTTGGGACTTGTGGTCTGTGGGATCCTCAAAGGCAAAGAGGAACTGGGAGTCAGAGTGCAGGGGAATACAGAAGAAGGCATACTTGAGGTCCAGAACCGTGAACCATT
The DNA here is from genome assembly GCF_000001405.40 of Homo sapiens. Classification (NCBI taxonomy): domain Eukaryota; kingdom Metazoa; phylum Chordata; class Mammalia; order Primates; family Hominidae; genus Homo; species Homo sapiens. The sequence continues at coordinate 25,242,501 of NC_000004.12, forward strand.
CTGCTTCCTCCGGTATTTGAGAGAGCAGGGTATTGGGGTTGGGTACCACTGGATATAGAGGAATTACTGCCTCATTGATGAGTCTAAGATCTTGCACTAGTCTCCACTGACCATTCAGTTTTTGTACTCCCAGAATTGGGGTGTTGCAGGGACTGCTGCATTTCCTTACTAAGCCTTGAGCTTTCAAATGTTTAACAATATTCTGTAATCCTTTATGAGTTTTAGGCCTTACCAGATATTGCCTTTGGTAAGGAAAAGTGGTGGGATCTTTTAACCTGATTTGGACTGGCTGGGCATTTTTTGCCCTTCGAAAGTGTCCTTCCAATGCCCAGACTTCAGGGTTGATTCCCTCCTCAAGTAGGGGACAACAAATGGGTAACTTGTTCCCTATATTCATGCAGATAACAGCTCCAGCCTTGGCTAATATATCCCTCCCTAATAAGGGTGTGGGACTTTCAGGCATAACAAGAAATGCATGTGAAAAGAGCAAAGTCTCCCAATTACAACTGAGGAGGTGGGAGAAATACCTGGTTACAGGCTGTCCCAGGATTCCTCAGATGGTAGTGGACCTTGAGGACAGTCGTCCAGGACAGGAGATTAACACTGAGAAGGCCGCGCCCGTGTCCAGGATGAAGTCAATTTCCTGGCCCTCAATAGTTAAACATACCCAGGGCTCAGTGAGGGTGATGACATGAGCTGGCGCTTGCCCCGGGCACCCTCAGTCCTGTTGTTGGATCATCTGGTTGGGGGCTTCTGACCCAGGGAACCTTCGTCCTCTGGGGCAGTGCACCTTCCAGTGATTGCTTCGGCATAGTGGACATGGATGAGGGGGCAGCTTGTTTCTCATTGGACAATCTTTTTTAAAGCATCCTAGTAAACCACACTGATAACAAGCCCTACCGGGTGATTGGCCTGCTCCATTTTCTGTCCTCTCTGAACCACCAAGGTTTGTTTGTCTGAGGGCCATGACTAAGGCTGCGGCCTTTCTCTGATCTTGCTTTTCCTTTTGGGCCCGTTCCTTTTGGTCCCTATTATAGAACACCGAGGTTGCCAGGTTTAATAATGCCTCTAGATTTTGTTCAGGGCCCAGGCCTTGCTTTTGGAGCTTTCTCCTGATATCTGTGGCTGATTGGGTAATAATTATCTTTTAGAATCAATTGACCCTCGAGTGATTCAGGTGACTGGGGAGTATATTTTCTTAAGGCCTCTCGTAGCCGCTCGAGGAAGGCAGAAGGATTTTCTTCCTTTCCCTGAGTTATGGTGGACATCATTGAATAATTCATGGGCTTTTTTCTAATTCTCAGTCTTTCTAGAACACAGGTCGACAGATGTTTACGACTCCAGTCCCCATGATCTGGTCAAGGTCCCAGTGGGGATCCATACTGGGGATGGCTTGCTGACTGGTAGGGAATTTGTCCCTTTCTTCGGCTGTCATTCTATCATTTACTTGACTAAGACACCAGGTATCTCCAAACTCTTGGGCTGCATCTAAAGTCACATTCTTCTCATTAAAGGCCAGGATTTGATCTAAGAGTAGCATGACATCTCTCCAAGCAAGGTCGAAGGTTTGCCCTAGACCCTTTAGGACATCTATGTACCTATCAGGATCATCTGAAAACTTCCCCAGGTCTGCCTTGATCTGCTTTAAATCAGAGAGGGAGAAGGGGACATGTACCCAGGTTGGGCCAAATTCCCCTCCCCCTACAGCTTGAAGGGGACATAACCAATAGCCCGGGGGTTTGTGGTCCTTTGGAGATTTTTTTGCTTATTTCCTTCTGGGCAGGGGAGATTAGAGGAGGATTATCATTAATAGGAAGGGGAGCTATAGGGAGGCTAGGATATGGGGGTAAGCTGAGAAGTCCTCCTGTGGGATGTAAGTTGTAAGCTTTGCATAGTTGTGTATTCTCCCTCAATGAAAAGAAAGCTTGGACATAAGGTATTTCACTTCATTTGCTTTCCCTCTTACAGAAAAGGTCAAGCTGCTAGATAGTATTGTAATTTATACTTCCCTCAGGTGGCCATTTTTCCCCATCAGAGAGAGAATATTGGGGCCAAGCCATAGTGCAGAAAAAAATGAGCCGCCTCTTTTTCAGGGTTTATGGGTCAAATTGGTCCCAATGGCTTAGGATGCATTTCAAGGGTGAGTCTGTTGATGCCTGAGTGTTTCCCATCTGAAAGACAAAACCGCCTGCAGTTTTGGTTTGTTTTGTTTCTCCCCCTGCCCAAGAACCCGCAACGGTCCCTGGACCCTGCTGATCGGAATAGTTGCGCTCACTGACGCAGCAGCAGAAACAACCCCTGCCCAAGAACCCGCAACGGTCCCTGGACCCTGCTGATTGGAATAGTTGTGCTTAGTGACCCTTACCGACCCTTACCGACGCATTCTCAAAAACCTGTTAAGAGTCCTAAGCATTCTCCTGTTAGTATTGGGACTTTACCCCTGTCCTATAAAGATGTTATGCCCCAAAAATGAAGTGGAGAGCCATACCCTGAGGGAGGGAAGGGATCTCCAGGGTTGGAAGAGTGACACCTTTTGTCCTCACTTATATGAATAGGAAGGATACAATTTCTGAGGCTCCCCATATCCTAGCTTCAGGAATAGCTTTTGTTAGGCCTATTAGTCTGAGGAGGGATCCTAAAGTTCCAGGTAGTCCCCACTACGATGGGGCTTCGGGCAAAAATTATGTCTTTCTGATTGGTGAGCCTGGGTGCCTAAAGAAGGTAACAGTTTATACTAGAAGTCATTTTATAGGAGAAACTAGAAGAGCACCAGAGACAGGTAGCAATTTTTAGAAGCGGGACTAACCTCGGAGAAGAGAGGCGAGAGGAAGTTTGTCTGGCAGGCACTAGGACCCAGGGGGTAAGGGTCAGGATAGATAGGATAGATGGGCAAATCTCGCTTGGGTGACATGCCTTGGAGAGTTCCGCTCATGGCCGCAGGGTCAACCAAGTTGTTGGTACCTGCGGAGCTGCATGGCTTTCCTCTCTGTCGACCCTCGGCTCAGCCCAAAAGTACAGGAAAAGTGGAAGCTGGTTCTAGGCAAACCAACGCTCCCAACTCTGAAGAGTCTGGGGTTGTTAGAGAGCCCTTTCCCAGAAAGCCTGAGACCCGTGTCTTTAGTCCAGTGGCCATGCTAGTCGCTTTTAACTGGCCGACAGGTGCCCGGTATTTAGCCCCCGTTCTAAGGAAAAATAGGACAGAATAGCAAGTGAAAGGGGTCCGATGGCACTCACTGCTTGGTGATAGGTGACAGTCTCACTGCTCAGCGATAGGCGATGGTCTCACTGCTCGGTGATAGTCTCACCACTTGGCGATAGGCGATAGTCCCTTTGTTTAGCAATGGGCAGTTGTCTCACTGCTTGGCGAGTCTCACTGCTTGGCAATAGGCGATAGTCCCATCTGGGTCATCAAAATGTGTCCGGAATTGGTGGGTTCTTGGTCTCACTGACTTCAAGAATGAAGCCACGGACCCTCCCAATGAGTGTTACAGTTCTTAAACGCAGTGTGTCCGGAGTTTGTTCCTTCTGATGTTCGGATGTGTTCGGAGTTTCTTTCTTCTGGTGGGTTCGTGGTCTCGCTGGCTTCAGGAGTGAAGCTGCAGACCTTCGCGGTGAGTGTTACAGCTCAGAAAGGCAGTGTGGACCCAAAGAGTGAGCAGCAGCAAGATTTATTGCAAAGAGCGAAAGAACAAAGCTTCCACAGTGTGGAAGGGGACCTGAGTGGGTTGCCACTGCTGGTTCGGGCAGCCTGCTTTTGTTCCCTTATCTGGCCCCACCCACATCCTGCTGATTGGTCCATTTTACAGAGCGCCGATTGGTCTGTTTTACAGAGAGCTGATTGGTCCGTTTTGACAGGGTGCTGATTGGTGCGTTTACAATCCCTGAGCTAGACACAAAAGTTCTCCATGTCCCCACTAGATTAGCTAGATACAGAGCACTGATTGGTGCATTTACAAACCTTGAGCTAGATACAGAGTGCTGATTGGTGTATTTACAATCCCTTAGCTAGACATAAAGGTTCTCTAAGTCCCCACTAGACTCAAGAGCCCAGCTGGCTTCACCCAGTGGATCCCACACTGGGGCCACAGGTGGAGCTGCCTGCCAGTCCCACGCCTTGTGCCCACACTCCTCAGCCCTTGGGCAGTTGATGGGACCAGGCACCATGGAGCAGAGGGTGGTGCTTGTTGGGGAGGCTCGGGCTGCACAGGAGCCCACGGCGGCGGGGGGAGGCTCAGGCATGGCCGGCTGCAGGTCCCGAGCCCTGCCCTGTGGGGAGGCAGCTAAGGCCCTGCGAGAAATTGAGCGCAGCGCTGGCCCAGGGGGACCCAGCAGCACCCTCTGCAGCTGCTGGCGCGGGTGCTAAGCCCCTCACTGCCTGGGGCCTGGCGGGGCAGGCCGGCTGCTCCCAGTGTGGGGCCTGCCCAGCCCATGCCCACCTGGAACTTGCGCTGGCCTGCAAGCGCCGCATGCAGCTCCAGTTCCCACCCGCACCTGTCCCTCCACACCTCCCCACAAGCTGAGGGAGCTGGCTTTGGCCTTCGCCAGCCCAGAAAGGGGCTCCCCCAGTGCAGTGGCAGGCTGAAGAGCTCCTCAGGCACGGCCAGAGTGGGCACCTAGGCCAAGGAGGTGTGGTGAGTGAGCAAGGGCTGCCAGCATGCTGTCACCTCTCACTATCTGTATTGTCTTATCTAGGTTCAACATACTGATAATCTGGTTTAGTTTAGAGGAAGGTTTTAGCAGAGTAGATGTTCCATGTGTTTTGACCATTTTCCATAAGTGAGCTTTTGAAAGTCCGTGAGTGGCGGTGTGTTGGAGAGTATTTCTCAACCAGTGCATATAATACATTGTTTTCCATCCATTGCAGACATGCATCATTCATCAAATATTTTGAGTGCCTACTGGGTGCAGTGGAAATGAAGGCTTTGGAGAAACAATAGTGACCTGTATTAGATGGATGCCTGTTCACCTGCCCTATCCTCTTACAGCTTTATAGCCTAATGGAGGAAACAGTCAAACAAACGGTCCTAACAGACTGTATATATGTGCTTGGATGGGGAAAGTTGTGCATTGAGGCATGGAGCCATGCCCTAGATGTAGGGGCCAGGGAAGACTTAGAGAAAGTGGCATCCAGTTCAAGACCTGAAGGGTGAATAGCGCCAAAAGCCCTGAGGCTGGGTTCAATGCACCAAATTTGTGAACACCTCAAGTTTCTTTTTTTTTTTGAGACAGGGTCTTATTCTGACACTCAGGCTGAGTGCAGTGGCATGATCACGGCTCACTGCTGCCTTGAACTCCTGGGCACAAGTGATCCTCCCACCTTAGCCTCTTGAGTAGCTGGGACTACAGGTACATGCCACTATACCCAGCTAATTTTTTATTTTTTGTGGAGATAGGGTCTCACTATGTTGCCCAGGCTGGTCTTGAACTCCTGGACACAAGTGACCCTCCTGCCTCAGTCTCCCAACATGCTGGGATTACAGGCGTGAGCCACTGCACCCCAGCCAGTGAACATCTATTTTTTTCTGGAAAATATTCTGGTTAGTGAGTAAGATATGGTAAAGATGGGTAGGTTTAGGTTTACAGTTCTAATCCTCAAGAGAGAAAGAGTTTATTTTGATTTATTTATCTGAAATGAAAACTTGATAAGTTACATACTTCATACATACTTACTTCATACATACTTCAATTGTGCTAAATAAAAAAGGTTATATAATGAGTTCTCTTATTTTTAGTTCTCCATTTTTAGTTTCTGCATTTTAAAGGACCAGTAATAACCCTTAGGTGTGGTAAAGGCAAGGTCATTCAGCAAGTGTTTATTAAGTGCTTATTATGTTCCAGGAACATAATAAATTCTGTAAGTTCTGGGGTTACAGCAGTGAAATAAGTTCTCGTTTTGGAGTTTCTCTTGTCTTGGAGTTTCCTGGTTTCTTGGAGCACCCAAAATAAATACACAGTAGAGTAGGTGGTAAGTGCTAAATAGAAAAGTAAAGTGGAGGTTAGAGATTGGGTAAGGGTCTTGGGGGTCATAATGATGTGGACTTATTGTGAGATGGGAAATAAATGGACTGCTTGGTCCAAAAGAGTGACATGATGTATGGTTTTTTTTTTTTTACATTAAATGTTTATTTGAAATCAAATGATTTTGTACATAAAGTTCAATAATATAAAAGCTGTATTCTGTTTTGAGTTTTTTTGTTATTATGCATTGTTAACATGTACATTAAAATTTTGATTTAGATAGCATAGTAAGAATTCAGCCTCAAATGAGTCAGAGCTAATAATTAGGAAAATCTTTTATTTTTATTTTTATTTTTTTAATTTTTTTAGTATTTATTGATCATTCTTGGGTGTTTCTCGGAGAGGGGGATTTGGCAGGGTCATAGGACAATAGTGGAGGGAAGGTCAGCAGATAAACATGTGAACAAAGGTCTCTGGTTTTATAGGCAGAGGGCCCTGCCGCCTTCCGCAGTGTTTGTGTCTCTGGGTACTTGAGATTAGGGAGTGGTGATGACTCTTAACGAGTATGCTGCCTTCAAGCATCTGTTTAACAAAGCACATCTTGCACCGCCCTTAATCCATTTAACCCTTAGTGGACACAGCACATGTTTCAGAGAGCGCCGGGTTGGGGGTAAGGTTATAGATTAACAGCATCCCAAGGCAGAAGAATTTTTCTTAGTACAGAACAAAATGGAGTCTCCTATGTCTACTTCTTTCTACACAGACACAGTAACAATCTGATCTCTCTTTCTTTTCCCCACATTTCCCCCTTATCTATTCGACAAAACCGCCATCGTCATCATGGCCTGTTCTCAGTGAGCTGTTGGGTACACCTCCCAGACAGGGTGGCGGCCAGGCAGAGGGGCTCATCACTTCCCAGACGGGGTGGCCGGGCAGAGGCGCCCCTCCACCCCCCGGACAGGGCGGCTGGCCGGGCGGGGGCTGCCCCCCGCCTCCCGGATGGGGCGGCTGGCCGGGCGGGGGCTGCCCCCCGCCTCCCGGACGGGGTGGCTGCCGGGCGGAGGGGCTCCTCACTTCCCAGATGGGGCGGCTGCCGGGCGGAGGGGCTCCTCACTTCCCAGATGGGGCGGCTGCTGGGCGGAGGGGCTCCTCACTTCTCAGATGTGGCGGCCGGTCAGAGACACTCCTCACCTCCCAGATGGGGTGGCGGCAGGGCAGACACTCCTGGGTTCCCAGACGGGGTGGCGGCCGGGCAGAGGCACTCTTCACATCTCAGACGGGGCGGCGGGGCAGAGGCCCTCCCCACATCCCAGACGATGGGCGGCCAGGCAGAGACGCTCCTCACTTCCTAGACGGGGTGGCGGTCGGGCAGAGACTGCAATCTCGGCACTTTGGGAGGCCAAGGCAAGTGGCTGGGAGGTGGAGGTTGTAGTGAGCCGAGATCACGCCACTGCACTCCAGCCTGGGCAACACTGAGCACTGAGTGAGCGAGACTCCGTTTGCAATCCCGGCACCTCGGGAGGCCGAGGCTGGCAGATCACTCACGGTCAGGAACTGGAGACCAGCCCGGCCAACACGGCGAAACCCCGTCTCCACCAAAAAATACGAAAACCAGTCAGGCGTGGCAGCGCGCGCCTGCAATCCCAGGCACTTGGCAGGCTGAGGCGGGAGAATCAGGCAGGGAGGTTGCAGTGAGCCGAGATGGCGGCAGTACAGTCCAACCTCGGCTCCGCATCAGAGGGAGACCGTGCAAAGAAGAGGGAGAGGGGAGAGGGGAGAGGGAGAGGGAGAATGTTTTAAGAGCCATAAAAAAGAACGAGATCATGTCCTTTGCAAGGACATGAATGGAGCAGGAGGCCATTAGCCTCAGTGAACTAACACAGGAACAGAAAACCAAACAACCACGTGTTCTCACTAATAAGTGGGAGCTAAATGATGAGAACACACAGACACATAGAGGGGAACAACATATACCAGGGCCTTTCAGAAGGTGGAGGGTAGGAGGAGGGAGAGTCAGGAACAGTAACTAATGGGTACTAGGTTTAATACCTAGTGATTACCTGGGTGATTGCTTAATACCTGAGTGATTGCTTCTCTGTCTTTTGGCTAAGATCAAGTGTAGTATCTGTTCTTACCAGTTTAATACCTAGGTGATGAAATAATCTGTACAACAAACCCCCAAGATAGAAGTTTACCTATGTAACCTGCACTTGTACCCTTGAACTTAAAAGTTACAAAGAAAAAGTATTACTAGCTTCTCTGTTAGGTATAGAGAGGGACTGGGTGAGAGAGGGAGACCAGTTAGGAGGCTCTTAGAATAATCGAGGTGAGAGCCGATGGTAACCTGAATCATGTGGAAGGAATGGAGATGGCAAGAGGTGGTTGGATTCTGGGTATTTATTTAAGGTAGAGCCAATACAACCTGCTGATTGGATGTAGAGGGTAAGCGTGTGAGATCATGGATGATTATAAGGTTTTTGGCCTAAGCAACTGGAAGATTTGGAGGTGCCAGCAACTGCAATATGGGAAACGTAGGGATGAAGCCTTTGGGAGGCGTAAAGGTGAAGAATGAAGTTTTGGGTAGTGAAGTTTGAGATGTCTATTACGCATCCAAGTGGAGATGTTGAATACAGTTGTCGAGTTTAGGGCAGAAGTCCAGGCTTGAATTAGAAATTTGGGAGTCACCAGTGTTGGTAACGGAGAGAAGAGGACTGTGAATGGAACCTGGGCCATTCCAAAGTTAAGTAGTTGGTAATAAATGCAGTGCTGGGGGCTGGTCGTAGTATTTTGTGATTGCTGCTTATTTCTTAATGAAATAGGAAGCTAGATCCTCTCCTGAGAGAGAGGATGGAAGAGGAGGTGTTGGGAATTTGAGGAGAGAAATTGGCTCATGTGCATTTCTTTAATTCCGCTGCCCTGGTGCAGGCATGGAGTTGGTAGACAGTTGGGTTTAACCAGGACTGGGAGTTTTGCAGGTGACCATGATGAAGGGAGAAAGAAAGAGTTGATTTTGTGAAGACCCAGCATAATTTAAGCTGGCCAAGGAGGAGGGAAGCAAGGACATGAAGGGAGAGAATTCCAGTGACGTGGGGGAGCAGTCCTTTGTAGGTTCTAGTAGGGCAGAAGAATATTTGGACTCGGAGTGCCAGAGGGACTGAACTGGGAAGACAGGAGGTGCTTGAAATTGAAAGTGTGGTGAGGTTGCAGTTACTGGTATTGACAAAATCCGAGATATGATTGGGGAACTAGAGGATGAAGTAGGATGGATGATAGAATCATTGCAGGACCGAAGTTCAAAGAAATGAGAGGTATTAGTATTATTTTTAATGAACAGTTAACTTCCTCCCATGTTGTTGTTGTTGTTGTTGTTATTATTATTATTTGGACGGTGTCTCGCTCTTATTGCCCAGGCTGGAGTGCAGTGGCGCAATCTCTGCTCACTGCAACCTCCACCTCCCAGATTCAAGTGATTCTCCTGCCTCAGCCTTCCGAGTAGCTGGAATTACAGGTGCCCACCACCACATCTGGCTAATTTTTTGTATTTTTAGTAGACACGGGGTTTTGCCATGTTGGCCAGGCTGGTCTTGAACTCTCCTGACCTCAGGTGATCCACTCGCCTCAGCCTCCTAAAGTGCTGGGATTACAGGCGTGAGCCACTGTGCCCGCCCCCGCCCCCATGTTATTATTTGGAAATTTAAGAGAAGTGGGGGTTGTTAGGCAGTGGGGGGAAGGAGGATTAGAGCAGTCTATACAAATCTTGATTACATTTTTCTGTACCTTATATCCTGATACCGGCAAGCTAATCGATATTACAGGTCCATATCATGAGCATTCTCATAGCTGGTATTTCTTCTTAATGCAGTAACTATTGGTACTTCAGAGATGAATGCATTCTTGGATGACCCAGAATTTGCCGATATTATGCTGAGAGCAGAGCAAGCAATAGAAGTTGGAATTTTTCCAGAAAGAATCTCTCAAGGTTCAAGTGGAAGTTACTTTGTGAAGGATCCTAAGAGGGTGAGAATTTCACAGACCTATTATATGTAATGGAAACTTTGGTAAATACTAATTTAAATATGAAATCATTGTGAGTTTCTAAAGATATTTTCCTATTAAGTCTGATTGTAACCTCTTTTCCAAAACAAAGGTCAGTTTTTGTTTGTTTTTTGAGACGCCCGGGGTCGCCCTCTCTTACCCAGGCTGGAGTGCAGTGGTGCAATCATAGCTCACTGTAACCTTGACCACCTGGGCTCAGGCAATCCTCCCATCTCAGCCTCCCAAGTAGGTGGGACCATAGTTGCGTGCCACCACACTGGGCTAATTTTTGTAATTATTTGTAGAGACGGTGGTCTCCCTATATTGCCCTGGCTGGTCTTGAACTCCTGGGCTCAAGCAAACCTCGGCTTTGGCTCCCAAAGTGTTGAGATTACAGGTGTGAGCCACTGTGCCCAGCCTCAATGTTTTGCTTTTACTAAAGCACTCTAGTGCTTAGAAACAGAGCTAATCAGTTCAAGTCACAGTTTGCTATTTTGTTATTTTATACTTGGTTTCAAGCATTTATTGAATACCCACATTCAGCTGTAGCCTTTTTGAGTATATATATTCACAAGTCCTTATCTTATGGAAGTCTATAACCTTAATAGCCAAACACGGTGGAAGGTTAAACCTTCAAAAGTTGTTTAATGTCATTTCCAAAGTACTTGATTTTTTTTCAAAGGTATGTGAATACCTTTTCTGGCATTTTACCAGGGGAAGGAGGCTTAGCAATCTGAAGCTTGAAAGTATTGGAATGTGAAAGTGAAATGAACCACAGGATGATTCTAAAGTGGAAAAGAGAAGTTGATGTGGCACTTTGCTCCACTTAGTCTAGAATTTTTCAAAAATATGTTATTTTTTCTAAAAGCTTTCTGAATGATGCATAATGAGCAGTTCTTTTCTCCAGGGGAATAACGTTTATAATTTCACCCAATTTTTTTGGCAAAGATAGAAGTTCTATTTTTAAAATGATTTTAAAGCATAGTCCCTTTTTTAAGATTAAAATGTATTTGAAGGTACTGTCAATCTCTCAATCTTTATTCTAAGCTTGATTTCTTAATTTGATCTTGTTGACTTTTTTACTAGTGACTCAGACCTTATTGCATTATATTTATTGTGTTATAAAGCAATTATATACTTAAAATTATAATAAGATTTGTTCTTGTCTAAGGATAATTCAGCTTCTAAATTGAATATGAGTATATTGTATCAAACAATAAGAGTACAGAGACTTTTAGACATTCATGAGCAAAAAAAGATTTTTTAATACGAGAGAATTTAATCAATTTATTTGTTAAGATGGATTCTCACTCTGTCGCCCAGGCTGGAGTGCAGTAGCACAGTCTCGGCTCACTGCAACCTCCACCTCCCGGGTTCAAGCGATTATCCTGCCACAGCCTCCTGAGTAGCCGGGATTACAGGCGCTCGCCACCACGCCGAGCTAATTGTTGTATTTTGAGTAGAGACGGGATTTCCCCATGTTGACCAGGCTGGTCTCCTGACCTCAAGTGATCTGCTCACCTCCCAAAGTGCTGGGATTACAGGTGTGAGCCACAGCGCCTGGCCAAGAGTTTACTTTAAATTGGTTCCTGAAAAAATAGCTGGAAAAGAATTAGGGTACGAGAATCTGACAGCATGGATGTACACTGTATCTTATCATTATATTTGTATTTTAGAGGTAGTTTTTGTCATTGGATTAGTTAATTTAACAAATACTTGGATGTCCACTGTTCATCAGATACTGTTCTGACTACTGGAAATGCAGCCCTAACAAACCAAGTCCTTGCCTTATTAGAATGTACATTAATGTGGGGAAAGTAAACAGCAAACATGTAATGTGGATATTTAATAGATAGTGAATAATAACACTGTTTGACCTAGAATGGTGGTTTTGAAACATTTAAAAATCAGTGAAAGTCTTTCCTTTTTTTTTTTTTTGAGACAGAGTCTCGCTCTGTCACCCAGGCTGGAGTGCAGTGGTGCGATCTCCGCTCACTGCAAGCTCTGCCTCCTGGGTTCATGCCATTCTCCAGCCTCAGCCTCCTGAGTAGCTGAGACTACAGGTGCCCTCCACCACGCCCGGCTAATTTTTTGTATTTTTAGTAGAGATGGGGTTTCACCATGTTAGCCAGGATGGTCTCGATCTCCTGACCTCATGATCCGCCCGCCTCGGCCTCCCAAAGTGCTGGATTACAGGTGTGAGCCACCGTGCCCGGCCCAGTGAAACTGTTTCTTAACTTGGAAGTCCAGCAATATAAAACAGGTGAAATTAGAGTTAATCTGGTTAAGTGGCATGGGGTCTTGGAGCCTTGCCCCCACCTTCCCAGGGTTTGTCAGAGCACAGTTTGAAAACTGGTCTTGATTTTAGATTGTTGAATAAGAATGAATATGAAAATGTGATTGGAACTAAATCTCTTAATAGTTGAGGTTTATAAATCCTCTTAATAGTTTGGGGATTTATGCCTACATCTGTGGTAGGAAGCAGTAGAGAACAATTTATTAGAATGCATTTTATGGATGATTATCTATATATGTAAAAAGTCTAATAAGATTTTTACTTTTTTGCTCTAGAAAATTATTGGTGTGTTTAAACCCAAATCAGAAGAGCCTTATGGTCAACTCAATCCAAAATGGACCAAATATGTCCATAAGGTCTGCTGCCCTTGCTGCTTTGGCCGAGGCTGCCTGATTCCTAATCAGGGGTACCTTTCCGAAGCGGGTGCCTATCTTGTGGACAACAAGCTTCATCTGAGCATTGTACCTAAAACAAAGGTAAGCCAGACTTTATTTTTAACCATGGACTTTTAATTTACAACCTGCTTATATCTGAATATTTCAGTAATTATTCCTAATGATAGAACCTAAAGTGGAGCCCCTTTTTTGGTAGTAGTCCAAGAGTCATGAGTGACTGGTAACTAGTAAATTGATTGTAGTGTAGATCCACAAAGTACTTAAAGGAATGTGTCTTGTCTCTGTGAGATCTGACGATGCTAACAAAAAGAGGATAAAGAACTAGCATTCAGAAGGCAGGAAAATATCAGGGGATCCAGAGATCCTATTGAAGGCAGAGATAACCAATGTGCTTAAAGACTTGTATTGTCCTTTCAGCCTTTATACAAAATTTTTTTCTTTTCTCTTGTTTTGTTTTTTTAAGAGACAGGGTGTTGCTGTGTTGCCCAGACTGGCCTTAAATTTCTCTGCTTATGCAGTCCTCCTGCCTCAGCCTCCTGAGTAGCTGGGACTACAGGCACATACCATCATGTGCCTGGCACCCACATCTTTTCTCTTTATCATGGCTCACTGCAGCCTCATCCTGCTGGGCTCAGGTGCAGCCTCATCCTGCTGGGCTCAGGTGATCCTCCCACCTCAGCCTCCTGAGTAGCTGGGACTATAGGCACATACCATCATGCGCCTGGCACCCACATCCTTTCTGTTCTTTTCTTTTTTTTGAGACAGGGTCTCGTGCCCAGGCTGGAGTATAGGGATGCAATCATGGCTCACTGCAGCCTTGTCCTGCTGGGCTCAGGTGATCCTCCCACCTCAGCCTCCTGAGTAGCTTGTAATACAGGCATCACCACCACACCTAGCCAGCTTTTGTATTTTTAGTAGAGATGGAATTTCTCCATGTTGCCCAGGCTGGTCTCAAACTCCTGAGCTCAAGCAGTCTACCTGCCACAGCCCCCCAGAGTGTTGGGATTACAGGCATGAGCCACTGCACCCAGCTAACCTGGCATCCTTTCTAAATTTTTACTTGAAGCCTTCTTCCTTAAAATGTTTATTCCTAAGTCTACAGTTCAATACTGTTACTTTGACCACTGGCAAATTTAGGCCTCTAAAAGGCTTTTATACCACTCTCAGAAAGAAATATGTGCCCTTCATTTAACAAGGCTTTGCAAAATTCCCTGGCTTTTCTGTTTTAGATTCTCTGGGGCCTTTATTACAGGATTAAACTTTGCTAATTTTCATCATTAGAGTGAGTTTCATGGTGTATATGAAAAGAGATACTATAATGCAAATTCTAACCATTTTTCTGAATTGTATGTTTCTAGGTGGTTTGGCTTGTCAGTGAGACATTTAACTATAATGCGATTGACCGTGCAAAATCAAGAGGCAAAAAGTATGCTTTAGAAAAAGTGCCAAAAGTGGGTAGAAAGTTTCATAGGATAGGACTCCCTCCTAAGGTAAGTTTCTCTGATAAGCTGTATTTAGAGGGCATTTGGGCACATACATCCTGAGCTCTAGGAGCCAGGCATTGTGCTATTAGCTGTGGATATTATAGCACAGATTTTTCATCTTCCAGGAGCTTATAGTAAACAGGTAATTTTAGTGTAATATAAAGCTGTTGAGATGACGGTAAGTTCAGGGAGCTCTAAGAGGATAGATGGATGCCTAACCCAGTTTAGAGGGATGGGAGGTGTTTCCAGGAAGAGGTTGCATGAAAGGCTTATAAAGTAATGGGTAAAACCACAGGTCTGGAATCAGACCTAATCCCAGCCTCTCTGCTAGTTTGCTGGGATTAGGTCTGATTCCAGAACTTACCTCGGGTAAGTTCTTTACTTGCTCTTTCTCTTTCTTTTTTTTTGATAGAGGGTCTCACTCTGTTGCCCCAGCTGGAGTACAGTGTTGTGAACAGGGCTTACTGCAGCCTCGACCTCGTGGGCTCAGATAATCTTCCTGCCTCAGGCTTCTGAGTAGCTGGGACCACAGGTGCACACCACCACACCTGACTAATTAAAAAAAATTTTTTTTGTAGAGATAGAGTCTCACCATGTTGCCTAGGCTGGTCTTGAATTCCTGGGCTGAAGCAATCCTCTCGCTTTGGCCTCCCAAAGTGCTGGGATTACAGGTGTTAGCCGCTGTGCCTGGCCAAGTTCCTTACTCTAAGCTCCAGTTTCTATAAAATGAGAATGACAAAAACTACCTCTTAGGTTGTTGTGAGGAGAAAACTAAGAAATTCATGTCAAGGACTTGGTACATAGTAAAGGTTAAGTAAATGGCAGCAGCTATGTTTACTTACTACACATTAGGTTTTCTTTTTTCTTATCACCTTTAAGTAAACCTGAGGGATGATGAGCAGCCAGCTAAACAAGGGTAGAGAGGGTTAATGGGAAAGGCATTCTAGAAAAAGCTTTAAGACTTATTTTTTAGAAATGTATTTGGCTTATGATTTTCTTGCTTCCCTACATTTATCTAGATAAAAAGAATTTCAGTAGGAATTCATCATTAACCTAACTTTTAAGATAAATTTTACTCAAAGTGGGCAGGAAGTTTGAAAGTTTTTAAAAGGCTTGTTCTTCCTTAGACATGCTGAAATAAGTGTGACTAAAGGAGGATGTTATTTCCATATTTATGACTACTAGGTCTTAGTTATAAGTATTTTAAAGAACACTTGTAGGAAATCATGAAAATTTCATGCCAGCAACAAAAACATTAAGTGTTAGAATAAAAAGCAGATTTTCTTTGTGGTGATTTGTTTGTATTTTTGAAGCAAACTAGGGTTACCTGTTACCTGTTTGTCACATGCTACTTAAATTTTTATTTCCTTCTCCAACAAATTGTTTACTATTAACTAGTAATCTTAGTAACAAAAATGCCTTCTTAAATGGTCATATCTTCAAGGAAAGGACTTTTTTAAAACCGCTATCAATATTATGATTAATAGATTTGTTCTTTAAAATTTAAGACTGGGTATTTAATCTGTGTGGTTAAGGAATCTGTCCTTTTTTTTTTTTTTGAGACAGTCTCGCTGTGTCGCCTAGGTTGGAGTGCAGTGGTGCAATCTTGGCTCACTGTAACCTCTGCCTCCCGAGTTCAAGCGATTCTCCTGCCTCAGCCTTCTGAGTAGCTGGGACTACAGGCATGTGCCACCACACATGGCTAATTTTTTGTATTTTAAATAGAGACAGGGTTTTTACCATGTTGGCCAGGCTGGTCTCAAACTCCTGGCCTCAAGTGATCCACCCACCTCAGCCTCCCAAAGTGCTGGGATTACAGGTGTGAGCCACCACACCTGGCCTCATCCTATTTTTAAAATAAAATAATTTATTTAGAATTCAAAGAAAGAGTCTTAACAACTAAAAAAAAAAAATGAAAAAAAATTATTTATTGTATTTTATGTCATAAAAAGAATCTGGAAAAGTTCAGATAAAATTGCACTGTTACTGAATAAGCAGGATAGGTTTAAAATTTGGCCTCCATAATTAAATTCACCTTAATGAATATTTTTAGAAAAACGGCATTCTTTTTCAGAGTGTCACCTTGAAGACATGTGTTTATTCTTTTTTTAAATTTTCCCAAAATAGCTGCTATGCTCCTTGAAAGTCTAGGGGTAAGCATTTTTTATTTGCTATGTATTCTTTATGTGATTATTTAAAATTAGTGTATAAAAATGGTTTTCTTGATAAATGTGGCTTATCTAAATTAGTGTTAAGTTTTCTTATTGTGTTTACATGACATATTTTTTGACAGTACTGCTGAGAAATATAAATATTAATCCCCTTGTTCTTGTACTTTCTTTTCTAACTATAGTTCTTAAAATTATAGATTGGTTCCTTTCAGTTATTTGTTGAAGGTTACAAGGAGGCTGAATATTGGCTTAGGAAATTTGAAGCTGACCCTTTGCCTGAGAATATTAGAAAACAATTTCAGTCACAATTTGAAAGATTAGTTATTTTGGATTACATCATCAGAAATACAGGTATTGAAGTTCTCTCATTTGTTCACGTAAATCTTGTTCATTTTCAAACTATATTCTTGTTATCCAAATCAAAGCGGTAAACTTTTGTTGCAGAAGTCTTGAAGCCACTTTCTCTGTCTGTCTTGGCAAACAGATGTAGTATTGACTCTCCTGGGCAGAATTCATCCTGTGTGGGATAGATTCTGACTCATAGCAGGCTCCTAGATCAGTTCCTGTCCCCTAGGGAGGAATTTCCTAGGGGCAGGGCAAAGTCAGATATTGGAAATGTTATCTGCATAATGTGAGTAATTAAGGCTTCATTGTATAAATTATGTTAGGTGCTTATTTTGACATTATGTAACTCTTAGTGTAGTCTATAAATACACTAAACTCTTAATTTTTCCTGTGCTATAAAGGAGCAATGACGTAGACCAGGGATGTCCAGTCTTTTGGCTTCCCTGGGCCACACTGGAAGAAGAATTGTCTTGGGCCACACATAAAAACAGTAACACTAATGACAGCTGATGAGCTTAAAAAAAAAAAGTATAAAAAAAAAATCTCATAATGTTTCAAGAAAGTTTACAAATTTTTGTTGGGCCACATTCAAAGCCATCCTGGGCAGCATGCGGCCTGCAGGCCACGGGTTGGATAAGCTTGATGTAGATTATCCAAAGCAGGGGCTCCCCATTGTGGGTCCCTGGACTGTCAGGGTCAGCATTACGTGAGAATTTGTTAAACATGCATCTTCTCAGACACTACGCTGGACCTTTTGGAACAGAAATTGCAAGTGGGTACTGGCAGGCTGGGTTTTAAGGTACCCTCCAGGTAATTCTGATGCATTCTGAAGTTTGAGAACCACTGGTTCAAAATGTTTTCTTATTTAGTTTTTGGAAACGAATCAAATAATTTTCCAGATTCACTTTCTTAATTTACATATATATGTTTATAGTCTAGACTACTTCTATGCTGACATGAGGTGAGCCTGCTTAGAAATTTGCCTAGAAATAGGGGGTTAATGCTTTTTCTTCCTAAAGTGAAGAAAAGCTCTTTGATTTTAATAACCTTGATTTAATAATTGTATCACCTCACAGGGTAGTTTTGAGGATTACATGAATTATTACATACTAAGCACTTAAAACAATGTCGGCCCAGAGAAAATATTCAATAAATGTTAGCTCACATTTATGTTTGTTTTTTTTTTTTTAGTTTCTTTGTGTTAAATTGTGACCTTTAATATGCTACAGATAACCAGTGAAAGTCTCAAAAATCAGGAGATCACTAGAGTTTTCTCATTGATATTAAGCCATGATGTCCATAGAAATGAAGTAACAGATTTTCTTGTTTGTTTTGAAAGACAGGGGCAATGATAATTGGTTAGTCAGATACGAAAAGCAGAAATGTGAAAAGGAAATTGACCATAAGGTAAGGAAATTTACAATTTTATATATATATATATATATATATATATATATACACACACACACACACACACACATACACACACACACGTGTATATAATTGTGTATAACTTGTGAATATTATATATATATATATTCAATTTCTGTAAAAGATTCCTTTAAGTTATTCTTCACCATTTCCTCCTTCTTTCACTTAATCCTTGGTTTTTAAATCTACTGTCTCTGTTTTTCTCACACTTTTTATTTTTGTCACTTGTTTACGTTGCATTTCTTGATTCTTGATTTTTTTTTTTTTTTTTTTTTAGGGGTGGGATTTTGCCGTGTTGGCCAGGCTGGTCTCGAACTTCTGGCCTCAAGCAATCCATCCGCCTTGGCCTCCCAAAGTGCTGGGATTACAGTCATGTGCCACCACACCCAGCCAGTTCTGTTTTTTCTTTTATTAATTGTTGGGCAGCTTTATTTTTTATTTCATATTAGAATAGAAGAATAATACCTGCCTAGTACTTTTTTAGAGTTTGAGAAATATATGGAATCCCCATATTTTGCTTTTATGTAATAAAGGCTTCTGGGATTTTTGTTCACCATGTTTGTATTTTACTAATTCACTTTCTTCTGAGTCCTTTCATTCAGTATTAGATAATACAATATTACCTAATAAATGGAACATGTGTGCTTAACCTGTGAATCTTGTCCACTGAACTTAAAAAAAGTATTAAATACTTTTGCTATTTATAAGAAGCTGGTTTTAACATATATAATAGACTGCATAGAGCCTCAACACTGATATGAGAGTTATAGATTTTAGAGTAATTGCTATCGACTTTGAGTACCAAGTTGAAGTTTTAGATATTTACATAAGATTTTTTTTATAAAATACTTTTACAAGTTTAAAACAGTTTGTACATTTGGGAAAGTTTTAAGTGATTAAAAATATTTCTTCAATATTTATAATTTATGTTCTCAAGTAATGACTTAAAGCTGTTGCATCATTTTTAAAAGTTTGTGCTTTTAAATGTTTATCAAGGATATTTAAAAATACATATTCGTAGCACTTAGCAATAAAAAGGAACAAACGATACAATAGCGTGGATGAAACTTAAAATTATGCTGAGTGAAAGAAGCTACACATAAAGGGAACATATTGTATATTTATATTTAAAAATTAGAAAATGCAAACTAGTTTCTAGTGACAGAAAACAGACCAGTAGCTGGACTGCAGAGGGACACAAGGAAACTTTGGCGTGGAAGTTTCACATATGTCAAGGCTCATCACATTGTACTTGTTAATATAGGAAGTTAATTGTGTATAAATTATACCTTAATAAAGTTGTAAATAGGAAAGAATAGTAGAAATAATAATAAATGGCAGTTGTAGCAGAAATGGGCTTAAAATACAAACATAAATGCTCATATGTATAAGCTCCTGGGCTGGGCACAGTGGCTCATGCCTGTAATCACAGCACTTTGGGACGCCAAGGTGGGAGGATTGATTGAGTCCAGGAGTCTGAGACCCTGTGTCTACAAAGAATTAAAAAAAAATCTTTTTAAAGCGCCACTTAAGGATAAAAGACTTAAAGATAGTAGAAAAAGTAAAATGAAATAAATTAGCCGGACATGGTGGCAGGCACCTGTGGTCCCAGCTATTCGGGAGGCTGAGGTGGGAGGATTGCTTGGGCACAGGAAGTCAATGCTGCAGTGAGTTGTGGTTGTGCCTCTGCACTCTAGCTTGGGTGACAGAGCAAGACCCTGTCTCAAAAAAATAAAAAAATTAAAGATAATTAAATAACATAAGCTCCCCAAATTATTTTATTTGTATATCTTGAGCTGTTAGATTTTGCTGAAAATTCTTTTGCTCTAAGTATTTTGTGCACTTTCAATGAGGTGTAAGACATTTGATATAAACTAAAAGAAATAAAGTTGGCGTACCTCACATCAGCCTTCACTGTAGTGCTTTTAAATTAAAAATTTTCTGTTTTACTTTTTGTTATTGTATCTAGGCCACTTAGTAATGGCCATCTATCTTTAATCAGAATACCCTTTTTTTTTCTTTAAAAAACACACACTTTTAACTTTATTCTGTTTTAATTTCTAAGTAAAGCAATTCCAAAAATACGAAGTTAACATCAGAGCCGTGTGAACCACCGTGGTAAAATAAAACAGATATTCACAATAATTACCTCTAAAGATAGTTGAGCTTGATAAATTACCTTCCGCAGAAATACTCTTTAACATGAAAACCCTCTTTCTCCTGAGATCTTTATTTCTGTTATGGAAGAATACAGAAGTTAGGAACGGCCTACTGTATTAGTACATTCTCACACTGCTATGACGAAATACCCAAGGCTGGGTCATTTATAAAGAAAAGAGACTCACAATTCTGCATGGCTGGGGAGGCCTCAGGAAACTTACAATCATGGCAGAAGGCACCTCTTCACAGGGTGGCAGGAGAATGAGTGTAGGAGAAATGCCAGACGCTTGCAAAACCATCAAATCTCATGAGAACTCACTCACTGTCACGAGAACAGCATGGCAGAAACTGCCCCCATGATCCGATTACCTCCACCTGGTCCCACCCTTGACACATAAGGATTACAGGGGATTACAATTCAAGATGAGATTTTGGGTGGGGACACAGCCAAAAAATAACACCTACATTCAAGAATATCTTGAGGTTCCTTCTACTAGATCTTATATTTAATTATGGTCTTTGAAGGAGTTTCATTTAGAAACATTTTGTGTTTGATTTATTTCTTTGGGACCCTAAGAAAGACTAGGTCTTAATAAGGTGATTATTAAGGTGTTTAAAAAAATTAGTAATATTTTACATCATACATTTAAGCAATGAATCTAGCAGTAAATTATCTAGAACATCACTTTTTAAAGTCACAATATTTTCAAGCCTTTTAAAGAGAAAAAACTTGAAACCATTACTGAGTAATGGTATAATATGAAATTTTAAAAAATAGTGGTTAGGAAATACACTGTTTTTTCAGACAGTCTCTTCCATTCCTGTGTGAATTTGTACTTTTTCTGGTAACATTATTTTTATAGGCTCATCCGAGAGAATATGTTCTTAAACCTCAATAATTATTATAAATAATTTATCCTTTGGGAATATTTATATAGGTTCTTTTATCAACATATCATTTTTCTACTCTATAGGAATCAAAATGGATTGATGATGAAGAATTCCTTATTAAAATAGCTGCAATTGATAATGGTCTAGCATTTCCTTTTAAACATCCTGATGAATGGAGAGCATGTGAGTATTTAGAACCTTCTGTAGAGTCTATAATTACCTTTTTTCCAGAATGAGAAGGGAAAAAAATTTACAGATACCATAGCGGAGGAAAAAGTAGATGAAATATGATTATTCATTAAGGCTCAGTTTTAGGCATTAGGGATGCAAATGTATACTACAGGGTCTTGCTATGAATTTTTTGCTTATTCTGGGATGACTGGTTTTGATTTTTAGGTTTTGTGTTATCCTTGGAAAATGAGTTTAGTAGTGTTCCAGTTTTTAAAAAATATATAACATTGAAATTATTTTAATATTTGGTAGAACTATATTTTACGTTTTTCGTTGTATTCACTTCTAAAACAATTTAGGCCTGCCCTCCACCTGACCTCATTTTTAGGGAGTAGTGCTTTAATTGCTTTCCCAGTCTCTTTTGTGGTAAATGATTACGTTTTCTACATCTTCTTGAACCAGTTTTAGGCACTTTTATTTTGCTTAAAATTTTCCATGATTTCTTGAGTTTTAAATTTATGAGTATAGCATTTTATTAGAATTCTCTTATAATTAAAAAAATTCCCTCTGTGCGTATTGAGTATTTAGGGAGTTAAATGAAATGATTTCTGTAATTTGCCTTAAAATATTGGTGGTGTGGACCAGGAGGGATAAATAAAGCCAGTTTTGCAAAAAAAAATTGGTAATGATTGAGTTAACATGGGAGTTTATTATAGTTGTTTTCTGATATTTGTATGTGTTTAAAATATATGGGCCAGGCATGGTGGCTCACACCTGTAATCCCAGCACTTTGGGGGCTGAGGCTAGCAGATCACTTGAGCTCAGGAGTCCAAGACCAGCCTGGGCAACATGGCGAAACCCCATCTCTACAAAAAATACAAAAATGAGCCAGGTGTGGTGGCCGATGCCTGTAGTCCTAGCTACTTGGGAGACTGAGGTGAGAGGATTACTTGAGCTTGGGAGGTGGAGGTTGCAGTGAGCCAAGATGGCACCACTGTACTCCAGCCTGGGTGACAAGAGTGTAAGGCCCTGTCTCAAAAATAAAATAAAAAATATATAGTATGTTTAAAAAATCTGGCTGGGTGCAGTGGCTCACGCCTGTAATCCCAGCACTTTGGGAGGCTGAGGTGGGTGGATTACCTGAGGTCAGGAGTTTGAGATCAGCCTGGGCAACATGGTGAAACTCCATCTCTACTAAAAATACAAAATTAGCCGGGTGTGGTGACACATGCCTGTAATCCCAGCTACTCGGGAGGCCGAGGCAGGAGAATCGCTTGAACCTGGGAGGCAGAGGATGCTGTGAGCCGAGATCGCGCCATTGCACTCCAGCCTGGGCAACAAGAGTAAATCTCTGTCTCACCAAAAAAAAAAAAAAAAAAAAAAATTTGTATCCATGATATGTCTCTTTTAAATTCCTTCAATTTATTAGTGAGCCTTTTACTCATTAGGCTTGCCAAAGATTTGTCTATTGTTAAGCATCGGTCCTTCTATTTATTTAATTATTTATGCTCTTTTTCCCCAGATAATTGCCTTTTTATTTTATAGATCAGGCTTTTAGTTTGTTTGCTTTTTCTTTTATAGATTTATGTTTTCCATCATTATTCTTTTCTCCTATTATGTTCATGCTATATCGCTTTCCTATAAATGCATATTAGGCCTCATACTTTCCTCTGGGTATCATTTTGGCTAAATCACGGGTTGCACAGGTGGTACTCTATGGCTCTGCTTTACATACTCATATTTTCTGACTTTCTTTTTGACAGGAATAATTTAGAAGTATTTTGTTTGATCTTAAAATTTCTACGTCAGCTTATTTTAATTGTCCATTATTACTATTTCTAAGAAACTGTTCATTGTTATTTTCCAGCATTATTGCATTGTGATCTGTGAATATGGCCTGTGTAAATTCTGTTTTGCAATTTGTTAGTAATTTCTGTATGATCCTATATATGGCCTATTTAGAGGATAGTATTTGAAAAGAATGAGGACAAAATTCTGTCTGCTAACCTGAAGGTTGTTAGTCATATCATATCCTTTACTTATTTTCTGACTATTTAATCTGTTAATTTTCAGAGGAAATTAATGATCACTGTGATTGTGATTTTGTCAGTTTTTTCTTCAATTTCTATGCATTTTTTGCTTTGTATTTCACGTGTGTAGAGGTCCAGTGGTTTATCTTCCTGGTGGCTTCTTTTTTTTTTTTAATCAGTGTGAAATATGTCCCACTTTGTGTATACCTCAGTGGCCTTTGCTTTTCTTATTTGGTTTTCTGTAACATTGTTATACCTCCGTTCATTTTGTTAGCATATACCTGGTATTATTCTCTACATTTATGCATGTGTGAATGAATGACAAGGTCCCCCTCTGTCATCTAGGCTGGATTGCAGTAGCATGCTCATAGCTTACTGCAGCCTCAAACTCCTGGCTCAAGCAATCCTCCTGCCTCAGCCTCTCAAGTAGCTGAGACTACAGGCACACGCCATCACACTCAGCTAATCTACTTTTATTTTTAACTTTTATCATTTTGTTTTAGATATGTGACTTATGAAGAATACTTAGCTGTTTTTTTAACCCAGTCTGAGTCTTTTAATAGGTGCACTTTGTAGTTTAAGTCTCAATAAACTACTGATACGCTTAAGCTTTTCCTGCCCTCTTATTTTTTTCCTATTAAACGTGAATTGTAATTTGTTCTTTTTTGCTTGTCCTGTCTTTTATTGAACTGATTTGAAATGTCTTGGTTCCATTTTATTATTTTCTCCTAATGGTTTGGAACCTTTATGCAAATTGCATTTGTAAAGGGTTTAAAGGGTACATCTAGGAAATTTTACCAAACATGCAGTTGGGGATTAAAGGTTGGAGCTTGAAAAGGAATTGGTAGTGGGGATATAGTTTTTATTTCTTTTTCTTTTTCTTTCTTTTTTTTGGTTTTCTGGGATATGAGAGAGAGGAAATAGCTTTTAAACTGTCATCTTGTTGATGGAAGTCATGGTAGTGTTTGCTATTACTGAGGAAAATCACAGAGAACAAACACTATTGCCTAGCACAATGCCAGGTACATAAGTATTCAGTGAATGTTTTATGAATGCTTAAATAAATAGAGAAGAGAAAGGACTAAGTGTGGAATCAGGGGTAACAGTGACATTGAAAGAGGGGAGGAAAAACTAGCAAAAGAGAGAAGGAGTAGCTTACAAGACAGAAGGTAAACTTAGAGTGGTATCTCCAACACCATAGAGGAGAGAATTTCATAAAGGAGATGATAGAAAACAGTGCTACATGCTACAGAGAGATTAGGTAGCATGACAACTGCAAGTGAGCCTTTGGACAGACCCTTGGGTCTGGTGACTGGTGGCCTTAGGAGAGAGTGTTTAGATAGTAGTACTAGAAGTTGAGTGTTGGGATTAAATGTAGAGGCAGATGAAAAATAAGGGCCTTTCTTCTATGAAATTATTCAGGGAAAACTAAAAAGAAAATTGGACATATCTACAAGGAGATGTGAGCCAGGGGAAATGCTTTCTTTAGAATGAAAAGTGACCTTCCTACTGTGTGCAATGAGATAGATCAAGAAGTGAGAGCCAGGCGCTGAGGCGCACTCCTGTAGTCCTAGCTACTTGGGAGGCTGAGGCGAGAGAATTGCTTGAGCCCAGGAGATTGAGGCTATAGCGAACTATGATTGTGCCACTGCACCCTAGCCTGAGTGACTGAGGAGGAATGACTCCAAAGGCAGATTTCTTCTTCAGGGCTTTCAAAGTGGTAGGATCCACCAAAGCTGGGGATTCTCATTGGATATGCTCACAGTAGCTCTGTGGATGATCATGTCAAAAACCTTACACTCTTGCAGGAATCTGAATATGCACCCTCTCTAGAAGATTATACCTGTACAAATCTCTCTAGTCCTGGCGTAGTTTAGATTTAATGGTCTTCTTGAGGGAGAATTAGAGATAGCTTAGAGTCATGGATCTTTTGTCTCTTAAAATGACTCACCCATTTACCTCCTAATGATTTCAAAGTTTAGAACATCTTCTGTGTACAAGTAAGTGGTCAATTTCTGATGATTTGTAGCTGTGGAGGCTAGGCAGACCTCAGCTGTGGTATTCAATCTGTGCCCGGGTGCGGTGATATGCATCTGTAGTTCCAGCTACTTTTGAAGCTGAAGTGGGAGAATCCCTTGAGTCCAGAAGTTCAAGGCTGCAGTGAGCTGTAATCTTGCCACTGCACTCCAGCCTGGGTGACACAGTGAGACCCATTATCTTAAAAATATATAATAATAAAAACAATCTGGGGCTGTGTACAAAGTATAGGTATTCATCAGTTTCTGAACTGAGGAACCAGATAGACTGAGGTACATTTAGAGCTATTTGAGATAGATTCATTATCTAAACTCTTACTCTTTACTGTCTAAAACTCAGAGACATTACTAGTTTACTACCTGAATTGACTGTCCAAATCTGAGTAATTTGGATTGCAGTGGGTAGTTGTACTCTGATTAAGTTCTTATCCTGTCCTTTTTTGGGGAGAACCTAGGAGTTGTAGGAAAGAACCGGGAAAAATGTAAGTCTAAATAAACCATTTCCTACCACTGATTAGGAGAATGCTTTTTTCTATTAGATCCATTTCACTGGGCTTGGCTTCCTCAAGCAAAAGTTCCCTTTTCTGAAGAAATAAGAAATTTGATTCTACCATATATTTCTGACATGAACTTTGTGCAAGATTTATGTGAAGATCTCTATGAACTTTTTAAGGTAAGTTAATGCTTAGTTTGATTATTGCAGAAAATGAAATCTTAAAATAGAAGAGACTGCTTAATAGAGCTGATTTGCAATTTTCTATTTCTTGTATTGCTGCTTGCCATAAAACCTGACAGGACAGAGAGGAATTAGCAGTTTTATTTACAGGAGCATAGATTCATAAAGCTATACTTACTGTGAGCATTCTTTGAAGTGAGACTACATTAAAACTTAATTTGCTGTTTTCTTCAAAAGTTGAATTTTTACAAGAAGACTCTATAAATTATAATACATATTTGGTGACCTGCTATGTTTTAGTTCTCTTAAAAAGCCTAAATTCATTGGCTGGAAAGTCATGTTAAATCCTTTCTGGAACAAGTTCAGGTCCAAATAAATAAGTCTATTCGTGTCATTCTGGGAGTATACAAAAATACCTCAGGTAAAAATACTATTTTTGTTTTATTTTATCAATTAGGAAAGCTTTTTAATGGCCTTATTTGCTGAGTTGAAGAGTTCATCTGTTTTCAAATATTTATATCAAAGTCTTTATTTTGGGAATTGTTTTTTTCCTTTCTATAATAGACTGACAAAGGATTTGACAAAGCCACTTTTGAAAGTCAGATGTCTGTGATGAGGGGTCAGGTAAGTTACCTTTTTATTTGTTCATAAGGAAAAAAATCTCTTTGAAACAGTAGTCAACTGTTTTCCCCACTGTGATCTGGAGATGGAATTTTTAATACTACCTCTTATGCTGAACCAAAATAGCCCAGATTATTAGAAATGAAGTTGATTCGGCCGACTGCAGTGGCTCACGCCTGTAATCCCAGTGCTTTGGGAGGCCAAGGCGGGTGAATCACCTGAGGTCAGGAGTTCGAGACCAGCCTGGCCAACATGGTGAAACCCCATCTCTACTAAAAATACAAAAAAATTAGCTGGGTGTGGTGGCGGGCACCTGTAATCACAGCTACTTGGGAGGCTGCAGCAGGAGAATCGCTTGAACTCGGGAGGCAGAGGTTGCAGTGAGCTGAGATCACGCCACTGCACTCCAGCCTGAGCAACAAGAGCAAAACTCCATCTCAAAAAAAAAAAAAGAAATGAAGTTGATTCAAATAGTTTCTTCCCTCTATTATCTTATAAATTAGGTGGGTTTTTTTTGTTTTTGTTTTTTTTGAGACAGAGTCTCGCTCTGTAGCCCAGGCTGGAGTGCAGTGGAACGATCTCGGCTCACTGCAAGCTCCGCCTCCCAGGTTCATGCCATTCTCCTGCCTCAGCCTCCCGAGTAGCTGGGACTACAGGCGCCCACCACCACACCCGGCTGATTTTTTTCTATATTTTTAGTAGAGACGGGGTTTCACCATGTTAGCCAGGATGGTCTCGATCTCCTGACCTCGTGATCTGCCCGCCTCAGCCTCCCAAAGTGCTGGCATCACAGGCGTGAGCCACCGCGCCCAGCCTAACTTAGGTATTTTTGACCTTGTTGTATACTGTTTATTTAGCTCAGTGTTTCCCCTGCTATGAATTGTTTGTCCCCATTTTGATAGCTATTTTCTTGGGCATCACTACCTTTTTCCCTCTCAGATTCACTCACTTAGACATTTCAGTACCAAGTTCTGTTGTCAATAGATTACTTTTTTTCTTTTTTCGCGGAATGTGGCTTTTGCTAGAGCAGTCACTAAATAACCATGTCACCAAGATTGAGTATCAATTGTGACATGAAAAAACTAATTGTAACTCAGTCCTCTCCCTGACCCCCCTTTCCTCTTGTTTTTTTGGTTTTTTTTCTTTTTTTCTTTTCTTTTTTTGAGACAGACTCTTGCCCTGTCGCCCAGGCTGGAGTGCAATGGTGCGATCTCAGCTCACTTCAACCTCTGTCTCCCAGGTTCAAGCGATTCTCCTGCCTCAGCCTCCCAAGTAGTTGGGATTACAGGTGTGCATCACCACACCCAGCTAATTTTTTTGTATCTTTAGTAGAGATGGGATTTCACCATGTCGGCCAGGCTGGTCTTGAACTCCTGACCTTGTGATCCAGCCGCCTTGGCCTCCCAAAGTGCTAGGATTACAGGTGTGTGCCACCGTGCCCAGCCCCTCCTCACCTTTAGTTAAAGGTTAGAAGTACAAGGCATTAAGTCTGCTGATGTGGATCTGCAGGCTGGGCTCACTGCAGGCTGGGCTCACTGTTAGATGACTTCTGCTTCTTGGACTCTATGAATGGTATTTCTATTCCAAAAGGAAAGCTTGAAATATAAATAAATTATACTGTAAACATTGTCTTTTAGCGTCTTATAAATTAACATTCTCTTCCTAAAATATACATTTAAGGTAGCTGTTTGCCACAATACCTGTAGCAAAGAAGTACAAGTCCATATAATTACACAGAGAATCATTCATTCATTCACCAAATGTTTATTGACAGAACTAGTGCTGGCAACTAGTCACTGGAGATAAAGCAGTAAGCAAAACCAAGCTTCTGCTGTCATGGAGTTTTGCTCTGCAGAGAAGGCCAGGGCTCGGTGAAAAGGGACAGGTGATTTTAGATTATTAGCTCACGCATCTCTCTGCTCCATCACATTTATGCAGTGCTTAATGCAGTCATGAGTTTTAAGTAGTTAAGTGAAGGCTCGAGAAATAGAATGGAGCCAGAGTATAGAGGGCCTTAAACACCAGACTGTAGATTCCACAAGGAAAGGATTGGAGCAGTTAGAAATTAAGCATTAAAGAAGGGCTGTGATGAGACAGAAGTTTTCGAAAAGGAGATCTTATTCTGGGTTTCTTCTATGAACTCCTTGAAATTGTGTATGAAATGTTAATATGTGCATTTTGGGTGTGAGAGAAGATAGGATTTATATCTCAGCAAAAATATTTATATCCCTCAAAAAAGTTAAGGACTACTGCAGAAGGCTGGGCTGGACAGTAGGGTACAGATTTGCTTAGTAGACGAGGAGATGACAGCCAAGGAGCCTCACTAAGAGGCTTTTTCTGGTAATTGAGGCATCAATGGAAGGATTAGGTGATCAATGATTATAATCATGTTGCAGAGTTTTGCCATCCCAAAACTTATTTGAGCTAAATTTTTAGGCATAGATAAATATGCCTTGATTTGACCTTTGTGTTTGAAATAAATTGACTTGACATATCAATATGCTTCATCTTCTGGAACTTTCTTATCCCTAAAGGTTTATTTTTATTTTAGGAATCTGATTTAAAATAAAGAAGTAAATAAAAGCTGTTAAATAATTTTGTCAGCTTTAATTGTGGTTTAAAGTTAACACCTGAGGAATTTAAATTTTTAAAAAATACCTGTCTGAGTGCAGTGGCTCATGCTTGTAATCCCACCATTTTGAGAGGCAGAGGAGGGCAGATTGCTTGAGCTCAGGAGTTCAAGATCAGCCTGGGCAAATGGCGAAACCCCATCTCTACAAAAAAATACAAAAATTAGCCACGCATGGTGGCATGTGTTTGTAGTTCCAGCTGCCAGGAGCCTGAGGCAGGAGGATCACTTGAGCCCCAGAGGTGGGGGAGACTGCAGTGAGCTGAGATTGCGCCACTGCACTCCAGCCTGGGCAGCAGAGCAAGACCTTGTCTTAAAAAAAAAAAAGCCTGTCTAAGAAGGTGTGGGAGTGTTCCAGTTCTGAGGCCTGTTACAAAGATGTGTCTGTGGCTGTCTCCTATTTTAGGTTTATTTACTCATATCTTATCTCATGTACAAAAGAAAAAGGCATTATAAAAATGAATATAATAAAATATGAAGATGACAGGGTCAACAACTTAGGAGAGAAAGAAATAAAATGATGATACTTTGGTTATTATACGTTGTCACTTGATTTTGTTTTGTTTTTTAATTTTAATTTGATTTTGAGCTTTCCGATAGCCAAAAAAGATAATATGTCCTGACCATGTACATGACTATGTAGCTCTCTGGTTTTGGCTGTTTTTACTTTTTAAAAAAAAGTTGGTCTAAGGCCAGGTGTGGTGGCTCATGGCTGTTGTCCCAGCTACTTGGGAGGCTGAGGCAGGAGGATTGTTTAAGCCCAAGAGTTCGAGGCTGTAGTACACTGTGATGACACCTGTGCATAGCCACTGCACTGCAGCCTTGGCAACAGACCAAGACCTCATCTCTTAAGAAGAAGGGAAAAAAAGATCTAAAAAATCAGGTATTGGGCCAGGCGTGTTGGCTCACACCTGTAATCCCAGTTTGGGAGGCCAAGGTGGGTGGATTGCTTGAGCCCAGGAGTTCAAGGTTGTAATGAGCTGTGATCACACCACTACACTCCAGCCTGGGCAACAGAGAAAGACCTTGTCTCTAAAAAAAAAAAAAAATTTACCTATATTCCAAACAACAGAATAATTACTTCAGCAAATTCCTCAAGTCAAAATACTTGTGTTATTTCTGTCAGTTATAAATATCATTTAAATCCCTCTCCCTTCCAATTTTGCTTATTAACTTAATGGTTTGTGCTTTCTACAGCCAAGTCTTTTGCCCTAGTTTGTAGTAAGCCGTTAGTTTTACACATATATCAATGGCGTGCTCTAATTCTTCACATAAAGATGTGGACTGAAACAATATGAAAGTTTTTTTTTTTTAATTCAGAGCTGGTAATAATGTTTATGAACGTTAAAGATAAACAATGTTTTGAATTTTATATTAAATAGCAATAGGTCATAATCAGGGTAGGTAAAATTCATCTTATATTCTAATTTGGAACACTGAAACTGAGAATATATTTACTTATAAGCAATGTGAAATATATTTTCCATGTGACCTGAAAAAATGCAGAAATAATAACTAAAACTTTTTCTGAAAACATAATGAACTTACCTTCAGAGATTTATATACCAGAAACTCATTTACAGATTCAATAATAATTGACATTAAAGAAAGTGAAACTAACCCTTTAGTACCTCCTGGTACTTGACCCCTTACTGGACACTTTAATGATGCTTATTATTGTTTATCCTCAAAACACCTCCACAGAGTAGTCTACGTTTTAGGTGGAATGACTTTGGCTCAAAGGGCTTTAATAACATGTATCTGTGAAATAAGGGCGCCTGCCAGCCTGGCCAATCGGCAACATTTAGGCATTGCCTCTGCCCGGGGCCCTTATCATCTCTCCTCTGGATTTACCGACATTCTAAGTTGACCTTCCCTCTTCTCCCATTCCTCTTCCACGCTGAAACAAGAACAATCTCTAAAAACAAATCTGAGTATGTCTTCTGTTATTTAAAATTCCTATAATTTGTCCATGTGTACAGGCTCAAGTCCAGGCTTTCAGCACAGTCGACAACACAGTCGGGCTCCAAACAGTGCATCTACCTTTATCTCTTGCCGTTTTGCCCCTCTCCCTGGGCTTGGCAAATCTGAACTGCTCTTCCTTCCCCTTTCCCAGTGGTGCTCTTGCGCACGCGATTCTTTCCCCTCGATGCCTTGCCCTCTGTATCTAGGAAACAGTTTTTCTTCCAACATCCACGTCAGTCTTCCTAAACTCCTCCTGTTCTGATTTTTGCAGCACTCCCTGGGAATATGCTGGTGTCACATTTTACTCAGAAATTTGGTTTTTAAATCAACATATGGGGTACATTGCTATAGAGAGATAGCTTAAAATCTACGAAAAAGTAGAATATATGTGGTTTGATGTATATAGTGCAGTAATTCTCAGGCCCACGGAAATTTAAAGACCAGCGAACTAATCTAAAGGAAAGCAAAGTCAGTATGTAGAAGCCCACAAGTTTATACCACCTGCCTGGACCACAGCTGTCACATCCCCGTCAAGCTGTCATTATGGCATGGGTGGAGAAGTCTAGTGTCTCCCCTGGCCTGCAGAATTTGCTCCATTCTATTTTTTTAAATAATCCACTCTGATTTAAACAGATAGTAATAGATTTGTTATTCTTTGAGAAATGAAAAACTAGGTGGTATGTTGGGGAGAGGGGATCAGATTTTAAAGTCAGGGCAGAGGTCCTTTCCATCACACACAAGTATTGCAATTACTTGTTCATGTGGCTGCTTCTAGAATTTGAGTTCTTTAAGGGCTTACATGGCTTTTCCCTCATTTGGTCCCCTCTTCTCCCCAACACCGTGAGTGCTCAGTAAGTGTTTCCTTAGTAAATAAATGCAGGATTATCAAGTGTCTTCTGAATTCCCGAAGAAATATTAATAGGTTAATTTCAGGATTTAATAATTTATGCAATTTCTGTAACTATTTGAAAATTAATAATTTGTAGAGCAACTTCCGTTTTCCTATACTTTTTTTTTTGGAGACAGAGTCTCCCTCTGTCACCCACGCTGGAATGCAGTGGCGCGATCTCAGCTCACTGCAACCTCTGCCACCCAGGTTCAAGCGATCCTTGTGCCCCAGCCTCCCTGATAGCTGGGATTACAGGCATGTGCCACCACACCCAGCTAATTTTTATTTTTTGTATTTTTGTGTAGAGATGGGGTTTCATCATGTTGGTCAGGCTGGTCTCAAACTCCTGGCCTCAAGTGATCCACCCGCCTTGGCCTCCCAAAGTGCTGGGATTACAGGCATGAGCCACCACACCTGGTCAACGTTTCTGTTTTCCATATTCTCTGCAAGAGTCACATACTGTTCTTAGAGTCAGGAAAATATTAACTGTTACTTAAATTGGTATATTTAGGCTAACATTTTTAGAATAGAATTCTTAAAACCCAAAGAGGAAACTAACCAAAACATTTCCTTCCTTAGCTGTGCTAGTGCACACTTTTATATTCATGGTAGGAACAATGCTTATAATAAACTCAAATTTCATAAATTCTTTTTTTCTTGTTATCCAAATGTAGTCAATTTAGGAAATTTTAAGGGAAGGCTGGGTGTGGTGGCTCATGCCTATAATCCCAGCACTTTGGGAGGCTGAGACAGGTGGATCTCTCGAGCCTAGGAGTTCAAGACCAGTCTGGGCAACAAAGCGAAACCCTGTCTCTCCACAAAGTACAAAAACTAGCTGAGGTGGCGTGTGCCTCTAGGCCCAGCTACTCTGGAGTCTGGGGTGGGAGGATCGCTTGAGCCCAGGAGGCAGAGGCTGCAGTGCACTGTGATTGCACTCTGCACTCCAGCCTGGGTGACAGAGCAAGACCCTGTCTCAAAAACAAAACAAAACAAAACAAAAAAAAAGAAAATGTTAAGGGAAGAACTTAAAAGTGATCCTAAAACATAAACATAACCTATAACACTGTTACTAGTAAAGATCTATTTTCCTGATGTGTTAAATGCTCCAAATATTCTACAAACTAAAATCATCTAGTTTGGCCAGCTGTGGTGGCTCACACCTGTAATCTCAGCACTTTAAGAGGCCAAGGCAGGAGGATTGCATGAGCCAGGAGTTCAAGATCAGCCCTGGCAACATAGCAAGACCCCATCTCTACAATCAATCAGTCAATCAATCAATCAATCAACCAACCATCTAGTTTATACTATTTAAAGTATTATGAAGTTTATTTATTAGTATGGCTTTATGTGGAAACATTTATGCTTATCACTATTGACTAGTCTTTACAAGAACCAGTGAAATGCATAGGATGTATATATTAGATATTTTCAAATACCTGAAGGAGAAATCTGTATTTCTAAAATATACAAGAAAGGACATTTTTCCTAATATGCAGGGAAAAAAGAAGATGAACTGCTATAATTTTATTTGACCTGAACAGAGACCAGAATAATCTATGTATTGTGTTTCATAACCTTATTTGCATGCCCAAGTAGAAATTCCCAGAGTATCTTTGAACATGATATGTAATATATTTTACTTTCCCTAATTTTATTTTTCTTAAGAGTAAACTCTTAAATGTACCTTTATTTGAAATGACTGCCTTCCCAAATTCTCTAACCTATTTGCCCTGCTTCATGCTTTCCCATAGCAATTTCACCTTCTAATACATGGCATAATTTACATATTCATGTTTATTGACTCTTCTCCCTGCTAAAGTGTAAGCTCTACGAAGGCAGCAAGTTTGCTTGTTTTTTTAACTATTGTATCCCTAGCACTTACAGCAGAACCTCGCACATAGTAGGCATACAATAAATTTGTTGAATGAATGGATAAGGCAAGTATTTAGTTAAAACCAGACTGTTTAAACCAGTATTTGTTGAGTTTTTATGTTAAATTGAATATGTATGTAGACCTCTTCACTTACCGTTCTTTGATTCCATTGCTCCTGGACATAGGCAGGATATTCTAGAATATTTTAAACTTACCATCTGGCAAAAGTTATTTAATGCTAATTGTGTGTGTGTGTGTGTGCGCGTGTGTGTGTGCGCGTGTGTGTGTAAACATACATTCATATAATACATATTTATAACAGGTACTTATCTTCACAGTCTCTGTTGCTCATAAATGGATGAAATAAAAATTATAATGAATAAATGGTTTAAAAAATGTCAGTGAAGTGAAGCTTTTTATCTTTTTAAATTGGTAAAAATCTCTCTTCTTCCCACAGATCTTAAACCTTACTCAGGCATTGAGAGACGGGAAGAGTCCTTTCCAGCTAGTACAGATACCTTGTGTGATTGTGGAACGCAGTCAAGGTGGAAGTCAGGGTCGGATTGTCCACCTGAGCAATTCCTTTACCCAGACTGTCAATTGCAGGAAGCCATTTTTTTCCTCCTGGTAGTAAATGTCAGAGTAAGAGAAACAAACTGTTTAGAATTATCATGTTTTTAAAACATCATAGTAATATAAATCTGCTGTTAGGAGCTCCAGTTGCTAAAACCTCAATTTAAGTCTTTAAAAGGTTGTATTTTGAATGTAACCAAAAGTTTACAGTTTTTTGTCCAAATATTAAATTTCTATTTCAGGGAAGAAGTGCTATATCTCCTATATTGTATTTTTGTAGAAAATTTGTATTTTATGTTGTTGTTAGTTTAAAAGGTAATTTTACACATGCTGGAATGACTGTAATTACTCTAGAATTCCAAGTAGAATACAATAACTTTTAATATTGAGAAGAATGTTCATGCTAATTCTTCTTACATTACAAAAGGCCTTTGAGGATGCCTACGTCTGAAATTGCTCTTACGAACTTTAATAAAATAGTTAGCTAATAGAAAAACAGGTAAGAATAAAGCAATGTTGCCTTAATTTCAAAAGCTGCTATTTTAGAATTTGAATAAGTACTCCTAAAGTGACCATTATTAGGGACCAGAAAATTATATCTTGGCTAAGTAATAGAGGACCATTTTGGTTTTTGTACTTGAGAATATTTTTGGTGAATTACTTTGTTGTAGTGAGGAAAAAACCTAAGAAATTTCCCCTTTTTTTAAAAAATGGAAATATTCAATTGAGACTTGAGGGGAATAATAGAAAATTAAGGTAGATCCCCAATATTTTGGAATACCAAAATTGCCTTAAAAATTCCCTTCTGTTTCTTACATGGGATCAAATACTTGAGATTAGTACTTCAGAGTACTGGCCTTGTTCAATTTAGTACTTCAATTAGTATTAAACTTCACTAAAAAGTAAACCATACTCCAAATTGTATATTGGATTGCATTTTGGGGTCCTAGGTCATACGTTCTTCAAAATTATTATGATTGTACTATTGTACTTGAAATTACAGATGTTATTATAATTACAGTCAAATGTAGACTATCAGGCCAAATTAAAGGGGAGCATGGCAGATAACCATAAAGTCATTTATATTTGATTTTGAAATGTATTTTTGTACTTTATTTTGAATATCATCCATATGTCTGACATTATTGGAATTTGTAACATTGTTAATGCACTAAGTGATTTAAATTCAATTGATGAAGATGTGATTTTACAGAAGCAGAAGTTTCATTTTCTTGAGGCTTAAAACCAATGTCACCACTTGGGCTTAACTGGGTAATTTGTGGTCTAGGCCTTTTGTTTTCTAAGCTTACTATCTTGTGTTTGTTTATTTGCTTTTAATGAAGTATTTTGTGTAGAAGGTTAAATTAGGATGCAAAACAGATCTGCCATTCCTTTTTCCCTTATATCTTCCTTTTGGTCTTCATGGACGAGATGAATGAGGATTCTGCTGCCCTGAGGGAGTTCATTGGAAACCTGCGTTCTCCTACCTCTTCCAACCCTCCATTAGCTCAATTTTGAGATAATGGAAAATTGACTGGAAATTCAAAACTCAAACTACTATCTTTAGATATAAACACTAGTAATTAAAATGTGCCTTTTGAAGATGTTTTCTAAGAGAAAGGAAATACGTTGCAGTGATGTGGGTACTGCTTTCATAAAACAGTTTTTTCAGTATTTTGAGAATTGCCATATTAATTTTTATAATGGAAAACTTAATAAATTGCTACTGTTTTATATCATAAAATTAAAATACCATGGTAATATTTGCAAAAGGTCTGGCCATACCAGAAAAGTACAGTTGAGATAGTTAAGATATAACCACAAGTCAGAGTACATTGGTTGTATTTTGTAAACTTTCATGAACTGAATTCTTATTTAAATAGTATGGTTTTTTTTCAATAAGTATATTTATAGTGACAAATGTGGTAGACTAAAGGTAATAAAAATCATTGTCTTAAGATTATGTTCTTCTGTATGTACGTGTTTGGAATATTTAGAATGTTTATGAACACATTTACTATAAATGATGCCAAACTATCATTTTCTTCATATATTAAAGGTATAGTTTAATTCTTTTTTTTT
The DNA here is from genome assembly GCF_000001405.40 of Homo sapiens. Taxonomy (NCBI): domain Eukaryota; kingdom Metazoa; phylum Chordata; class Mammalia; order Primates; family Hominidae; genus Homo; species Homo sapiens. Next base: position 25,279,212 of record NC_000004.12, read on the forward strand.
TTTTTTTTTTTTGAGACGGAGTCTCACTGTGTTGCCCAAGCTGGAGTGCAGTGGCATGATCTCAGCTCACCACAACCTTCATCTCCCAGGTTCAAGCGATTCTCCTGCCTCAGCCTCCCGAGTAGCTGGGACTACAGGCGTGTGCCACCATGCCCGGCTAATTTTTGTATTTTTAGTAGAGATGGAGTTTCACTATGTTAGCCAGGCTGGTCTTGAACTCCTGACCTCAAATGATTTGCCTGCCTCGGTCTCCCAAAGTGGTGGGATTACAGGCGTGAGCCACCACGCCTAGCCTAATTCTTTATAATTCCAAAAGATATTTAACTGAAACCTTTATAATTAAAGACATCTTAATTGTACTTAATTAAATATGCCACCACCTTATCACCCCAAAATTTGTCAGCAATTGAAGACTGTTTGTGGAGACATGGTTTTTGCATACTTGAAGATAATTTGATTCACAAAACTTTTCAAAAATTTGAAATACTTTGGGCAGCCGAGGTGGGCAGATCACCTGAGGTCAGGAGTTCGAGACCAGCCTGGCCAACATGGCAAAACCCCATCTCTACTAAAAATACAAAAATTGCCCAGGCGTGGTGACACACACCTGTAATCCCAGCTACTCAAGAGGCTGAGGCACAAGAATTATTGAACCCAGGAGGGAGGGTGGAGGTTGCAGTGAGCCGAGATCACACCACTGCCTTCCAGCCTGGGTGACAGAGTAGATTCTGTCTCAAACAAACAAACAAACAAACAAACAAAAAAATTGAAGTACTGTACTATATGGAATTAAAACCTTTTTTAAAAATGACGGTGCCACGTTCTTTGATCAAATTACATCTTAAATCCTTGTACAGCTGTTTGAATAGACAGGCAGCATCCTAGGTTTTATAGTCTGCCTTCTTTCACCAACTTGCTTGGGCAACTGTACAGAGTTGTAGCAGAGATTCTTAGTGCTGTGCTATGTTTCCAAGTCTCTCATGCAATTAGTTTGGGGCCTTGTGACTGAGTTCTGGCCAGTGAGATGTGGAGACAAGTGATATATGCAACTTCCAGGCCTGGCAGTAAAACTGTCACGATTGACCACTCTCTTGTCTTTCCATTCAGCTATGAACGAAGAATTTGCAAAATGGAAGCAGCCAGGGCACAGGAGGCACTGCTGGGGAAAGCCACCAGGAGAGCCTCCTGACTGCACTTGATGGTGACATGAGCAAGAAAGAAGTTCCATGTTGAGTCACTGCAGTTTTGAATGTAATTGTTACTCTAGCTTCGTCTCTCCTATCCCAGACATTATGATGTAAAAAGAAAAATACCAATCACTTTTAAATAGGAGGCATACCGTAACATTTCTTCACTAAAGCTAGGTGAAAGGTTATCTTTTTGAATTCCAGAATATGAATAGTTTGGGTTAAAACCATCAATACATGGCCAGGCATGGTGGCTCATGCCTGTAATTCCAGCACTTTTGGAGGCCAAGGCGGGAGGATCCCTTGAGCTCGGATAGTTTGAGACTAGCCTGGGCAACATAGTGAGACCTCATCTCTTAAAATAAATAAAATCAATACCAACAAGATCACGTGGCAATAGCAGCTTCGGAGGATCAAGCAGAGAGAAGGGAAGGGGGATTTGTGATGGTCCTAAGAGCCAAAGAACCCAGAATTTGCCACCATGTACCAAGCCCCCACAAGAAGGATCCCCAATAGCGGTGGGAGTTTCAATTGGTAGAACCAAAAACCACAATCAAAATTAGGAGAAGGCTGCCCAGCATTCACCTGGTAGCTAGCAAAAAGGCCTGCAGAAAGGTGTGAGGGTACTAAGGCAATCTGGTCTTCGTAGTTTTCAAAAATAACCAGTGAGAGGACATAGGGCTATACCAAGAAAAAGTACTGGGAATAGAACATGCACAGACGAGGGAAGGACCCCAGGGGTAAAGGAGAGTGGTTCAGATAATGAGAGAAGAGGGGACCAAATGAATGAGACCGAATTCAGAAAGTACTGAAGAGGTAGGAACACACAAAACCATCTTATCTAATACTCTAATAACGACAGAAGAGAGAGCCCTAGAGCCACGAAGCTCAGAAACTGTCCTAGCCCACCCTCACCTCCTACACAGGAATCTTCTAAAAATACAGGAGGAAACATATAGAAAAATCCATCTGATTTAAACATCTTACAAGATGTAAGACTACATCTTACAATATGCTTGAAGAAAAAAAGGTTTACAATCTGCATAACATACCCACAGAAATGAAGATATCCCAGAAACATCTCTCTAAAGCAAAGGAAAACAGTAATCTAATGTTTTAAAACATGCTGAAGGAATTTAAGAAGCCATGGAAGCTAAGAAAGAACAAAAAAATTGAAAAAACTCTGATCGGGCATGGTAGTTCATGCCTGTAATCTCAGCACTTTGGGAGGCCGAGGTGGGAGGATCCCTTGAGGCCAGGAGTTGGAGAGCAGCCTGGGCAACATGGCAAGCCCCCCATCTCTACAAAAAAAATGTAAAAATTACTTAGGTGTGGTTGTGCATGCCCATAGTCCCAGCTACTAAGGAGGCTGAGGCAGGAGGATCACTTGAGCTCAGGAGTTCAAGGCTGCTATGGTCACACCACTGCACTCCAGCTCAGGCGACATAGACCTGTCTCAAAAAATAAAAATAAGGCCAGGTGTGGTGGCTCACACCTGTAATCCCAGCACTTTGGGAGACCAAGACAGGAGGATCCCTTGAGCCCAGGAGTTCAAGACCAGTCTAGGCAACATAGGAAGACCCCCATCTCTACAAAATAAGTAAACTAGAAGGAACACAAGTGCAAATAGACAACATATCTGCAACCACCCAACAGCAAACATCGTACTTAGTGTTGAAAAATCTAAAGCTTTGGGTGTTCGTTCTCTATTGCTGCTCTAATAAGTTATAATAAACTTAACTGGCTCAAAACAACAGATTTATTATCTTACAGCCCGTAGGTAGATGTCTTGATGCAGGTTTCATTGGGCTGAAATCAAGGTGCCAGTAGGGCTGCATTCCTTTCTGGAAGCCTTCAGGGAGAATCCATTTTCTCACCCTTTCCAGCTTTTTAAGGCCACTCACATTCCTCGGCTCTGTTTCTCCTCCTCCATCTTCAAAGTTGGAGGTAGTGCGTTGAATCCTTTTCTTATTGCATTGCTCTTAAACGGACTCTTCTGCCTTCTTCTTCCACTTTTAAGGGCCTTTGTGATTACATTGGGCCCTCCCAGATAATCTAGAATAATTGCCCCATTTTTAAGGTTGGTCGATATACAACCTTAATTCCATTTGCAACTTTTAAATTCCCCAGATAGAGACATCTTTGGGAACCATTATTCTGGCTTTGCACTTTCCCCCTGAGATCAGTGATGTGATGAGGACACCTGCTTTTGCTGTTTTTATTCAAGTGTTATACTCTAGAGCCTAACCAGTGCAGTAAGGCAAGAAAGAGAAGTCAAAGGAAGAAATAAAATTGTGATTATTTACAGATGGCATAATTATGCATATTGGAAATTCAAAAATATCTACAGAAACCTATTAGCCTTAATAAGTGAATTTTGCAAGGTTTACATATGAGCAACGTTAGTCTGAAAATTTTAAAAGAGATCATTTATAGCAGCATCAAAACACATTGGATTCCTAGAAATAAGTCCCATGAAGATGAGCAAGACCTCTACACTAAACCATAAGAGAGCACTGGAAAAAATGAAAGATTCTGATAAGTGGAAGGCTGTACGATGCTTAGGTATTGATAATATTAAGACATTGATTCTCCCAAACTTATAGATTCAACTCAAAATCCTATCTGATTTTTTTTGTAAAAATTGACAGCTAATTCTATAACGTATATGGAAATGTTCTGCCCAAAACAACTGGACAAGAAGAACGAAGTTGGAGAACTTATGCTACCTGATCTCAAAACTTATAAAGCTACAGACATTGTAGCATTGGTGTATAGATAAACACATAGATCAATGAAACAGAATAGAAAATCCAGAAATAAACCCAACACGTGGTAAACTGATTTTTTAACAAAGGTGCCAAGGCAATTCAATGGGAAAGGATAGTCATTTCAACAAATGGTGCCGTAGAGGGAGATAGGCAAAGAAATCAAAGATGAATCATCACCTGTACCTCATAGACTTAAAAGAGTTAATAAAAGCTAAACTTCAGAAGAAAACAGCAGAAAATCTAATGGTTCTGGGTTTGCAAAGATTTCTTAGACTACAAATGGCATAAACCATTAAAAAAAAAAAAAAAGGAATTTGGGCTTCATGAAAATTAAAAACTTCTTTTCAAAAGACACTTTTAAGAAACTGACATTTCTAGCTACAAACTGAGAGAAAATGTTTGCCAAACATATCTAGTAAAGTACCTGTATCCAGAATTCCAGAATGTATGAAGTGATCTTACAACTCAAGAATATTCCCAGGCCGGGCGCAGTGGCTCATGCCTGTAATCCCAGCACTTTGGGAGGCCAAGGCGAACGAATCACTTGAGGCCAGGAGCTCAAGACCAGCCTGGCCAACATGGCAAAACTCTACTAAAAATAGAATTAGCCGGGCTGGTGGCACATGCATGTAATCCCAGCTACTTGGGAGGCTGAGGCATGAGAATCCCTTATATCTGGGAGGCAGAGGTTGCAGTGAGCTAAGATCATATCACTGTACTCCAGCCTGGATGACCGAGCAAGACTTTGTCTCAAAAAAATTAATTAACAATAATAAAAGAATATTCCCAATTAAGAACCAAAAGATTTAAAAAGACACTTCACAAAAAAAGATGTAGAAATGAATGTCCAATAAGCACATGAAAAGATATTCAACATTGTTAGTCATTAGGAAAATGCAAATAAAAACCATGAGTAAAGTTAAACATACACTTATACCATCCGGTCATTCCACATCTTTGTACTTGCCCAAGATAAATAAAAGCAAATGTCCACATGAAAATGTTCATAGCAGGCTGTTTTGTAATACTCCGAACTAAAAATAACCCAGGTGTCCACCAACAGGTGAATGGATAAGCAAAATGCAGCATATCCATACAATAAAAAGATATGAACTACTAATACACAGTGACATGGATGAATTTCAAAATCATTACGGTAACTGGAGAAGCCAGACACAGAACATACTGTATGAATTCCACTTATATAAAATTCTCTAAAATGAAAACTAATCTATTGTTAAAGAAAAAAGTGGGTATGGACATTGAAGGAGGGTTAGATTGCATGCAGGCATAAGGAAACTTTGGGAGATGATGGAAATATTTTTATTTTATGATCCAGGATCTATGTATAAGACATGCAGATTTATTACATAGGTAAACGTGTGACATGATGGTGTGCTCCATCTATCAACCCATCACCTAGGTATTAAGCCTCATATGCATTAGCTATTTATCCGGATGCTGTCCCTTCCCCCATACCATCCCTGCAACAGGCCCCAGTGTGTGTAGTTCCCCTCCCTGTGTCCCTGTGTTCTCACTGTTCAGCTTCTACTTGTAAGTGAGAACATGTGGTATTTGTTTTTCTGTTCCTGCATAGTTTGCTGAGGATAATGGCTTCAAGCTCCATCCATGTCCCTGCAAAGGACATGATTTCATTCCTTTTTAAGGTTGCATAGAATTCCACGGTATACATTTACCACATTTTCTTTATCCAGTCTATCATTGATGGACATTCGGGTTGACAATAATAATAATAATTCCATGTCTTTGTTATTGTGAATAGTGCTGCAATGAACATACATATGCATGTGTCTTCATAATAGAATGATTTGTATTCTGGCCGGGCGCGGTAGCTCACGCCTGTAATCCCAGCACTTTGGGAGGCCGAGGCGGGGGGATTGCGAGGTCAGGAGATGGAGACCATCCTGGCTAACAAGGTGAAACCCCTTCTCTACCAAAAAAAATACAAAAAATTAGCCGGGCTTGGTGGTGGGCGCCTGTAGTCCCAGCTACTAGGGAGGCTGAGGCAGAAGAACTGCTTGAACCCATGAGGTGGAGGTTGCAGTGAGCCGAGATCACGCCACTGCACTCCAGCCTGGGCGACAGAGCGAGACTCCATCTCAAAAAAAAAAAAAAAAGAATGATTTGTATTCCTTGGGTATATACCCGGCAATGGGATTTCTGGGTCAAATGGTATTTCTGGTTCTAGATCTTTGAGGAATCCCCACGCTGTTTTCCACAATGGTTGAACTAATTTACATTCCCACCAACAGTGTAAAAGTGTTCCTATTTCTCCACACCCTCACCAGTATCTGTTGTTTCTTGACTTTTTAATAATCACCATTCTGACTGGCATGAGATGTTATCTCATTGTAGTTTTTTGTGTGTGTGAGTGAAGGAGTCTCACTCTGTTGCCCAAGCTGGAATGCAGTGGTGTGATCTCCCCTCACTGCAATCTCTGCCTCCTGGGTTCAAGCGATTCTGCTGCCTTAGCTTCCCAAGTAGCTGGGACTATAGGTACACACCACCATGCCTGGCTAATTTTTGTATTTTTAGTAGAGACAGGTTTCAGCACGTTGGCCAGGCTGGTCTTGAACTCCTGACCTCAAGTGATCCACCTGCTTTGGCCTCCCAAAGTGCTGGGATTATACGCATGAGCCACTGTGCCCAGCCTCACTGTAGTTTTGATTTGCATTTATCTAATGGTCAGTGATGTTGAGCTTTTTTTCATGTTTGTTGGCTGCATAAATGTCTTCTTTTGAGAAGTGTCTGTTCATGTCCTTTGTCTACTTTTTAACAGGGTTGTTTGTTTTTTTCTTGTGTATTTGTTTAAGTTCTTTTAGACTATGGATATTAGACCTTTGTGTAGTTGCAAAAATTTTCTCCCATTCTGTAGGTTGTCTTTCTCACCAATAATAGTTTCTTTTGCTGTGCAGAAGCTCTTTAGTTTAATTAGATCCCATTTGTCAATTTTTGCTTTTGTTGCAATTGCTTTTGACCTTTTTGTAATGAAATCTTTGCCCATGCCTATGTCCTGAATGGGTATTGCCTAGATTTTCTTCTAGGGTTTTTACAGTTTGGGGTTTTACCTTTAAGTTTTTAATCCATCTTGAGTTAATTTTTATAGAAGGTGTAAGAAAGGGGTCCAGTTTCAATTTTCTGCATATGGCTAGCCAGTTCTCCCAGAACCATTGATTAAATAGGGAATTCTTTCCTTATTGCTTGTTTTTGCCAGGTTTGTTGAAGATCAGATGGTTGTAGATGTGCAGTCTTATTTCTGAGATCTCTATTCTGTTTCATTGCCCTATGTGTCTGTTTTTGTACCAGTACCATGCTGTTTTGGTTACTGTAGCCTTGTAGTAGAGTTTGAAGTTGGGTAATATGTATTGTTCTTTTTGCTTAAGATTGTTTTTGCTACACGGGCTTTTTTTGTTGTTGTTCTATATGAATTTCAAAGTAGTTTTTTCTAATTCTGTGAAGAAGGTCTGAGGTAGTTGAATGGGAATAGCATTGAATCTATGAATTAATTTGGGCAGTATGGCCATTTTCACAATATTGATTCTTCTTCTCCATTAACTTGGAATATTTCTCCATTTGTTTGTGTCCTCTCTGACTTCCTTGAGCAGTGGTTTGTTGTTCTCCTTGAAGAGGTCCTTCACTTCCCTGGTTAGCTGTATTCCTAGGTATTTTATTCTCTTTGTAGCAATTGTGAATGGGAGTTCATTCATGATTTGGCTCTCTGCTTGTCTATGGTTTTTGGACAGGAATGCTTGTGACTTTTGCATATTGATTTTGTATCCTGAGACTTTGCTGAAGTTATTTATCAGCTTAAGAAGCTTTTGGGCCAAGACAATGGGGTTTTCTAGGTATAGGATCATGTCATCTGCAAACAGAGGCAGTTTAACTTTCTCTCTTCCTATTTGAATCCTCTGTTTTTTCCTCTTGCCTGATCGCCCTGACCAGAAATTCCAATACTATGTTGAATAGGAGTGGTGAGAGAGAGCATCCTTGTCTTATGCCAGTTTTCAAGGGGAATGCTTCCAGCTTTTGCCCATTCAGTATGATATTGCTGTGGGTTTGTCATAAATGGCTCTTATTATCTTGAGGTGTGTTCCATCAATACCTAGTTTATTGAGAGTTTTTAACATGAAAGGATGCTGAATTTTACTGAAGGCCTTTTCTGCATCTATTGAGATAATCTTGTGGTTTTTGTTTTTAGTTCTGTTTATGTGATGAATTATGCTTATTGATTTGCATACATTGAACCAGCCTTGCATCCTGGGGATGAAGCTGACTTGATTGTGGTGGATAAGCTTTTTGATTTGCTGCTGGATTTAGTTTGCCAGTATTTTATTGATGATTTTTGCATTGATGTTCATCAGGAATATTGGCCTGAAGTTTCTTTTTTTGTTTTATCTCTGCCAGGTTTTGGTATCAGAATGATGCTGGCCTCATAAAATGAGTTAGGGAGGATAGTCTCCTTTTATAGTTTGGAATAATTTCAGAAGAAATGGTACCAGCTTCTCTTTATACTTCTGGTAGGATTCAGCTGTAAATCCATCTGGTCCTAGACTTTTTTTTGTTGGTTGGCTATTTCTTACTGCCTCAATTTCAGAACTTGTTACTGTTCTATTCAGGAATTCAACTTCTTTCTGATTCAGTCATGGGAGGGTGTATATATACAGGAATTTATCCATTTCTTCTAAATTTTCTAGTTTATTTGCATAGAGGTGTTTATAGTTTTCTCTAATGGTTGCTTGCATTTCTGTGGGATCAGTTATGATATCTACTTTATCATTTTTTTATTGTGTCTGTTTGATTCTCCTCTCTTTTCTTGTTTATTAGTCTAGCTAGTAGTCTATTTTATAAATTTTTTCAAAAAACCAGCTCCTGGATTAGTTGATTTTTTTTAAGGATTTTTCATGTCTCCATCTCCTTCAGTTCCAGTCTGATCTTGGTTATTTCTTGTCTTCTTCTAGCTTTAGGGTTTTTTTGCTCTTGGTTCTTTAGTTCTTTTAGTTGTGATGTTACAGTGTCAATTTGAGATCTTTCTAGCTTTTTGTTGTGGACATTTAGTGCTATACCTTTCCCTCTTAACACTGCTTTAGCTGCATCCCAGAGATTCTGGTACGTTGTCTTTTTGTTATCCTTGGTTTCAAAGAACTTCTTGATTTCTGCCTTAATTTCATTATTTACCCAGTAGACATTCAGGAGCAGGTTGTTTAGTTTCCATGTAGTTGTGTGGTTTTGGGTGAGTTTCTTAATCTTGAGTTCTAATTTGATTGTGCTATGGTCTGAGAGACTGTTATGATTTCAGTTCTTATGCATTTGCTGAGGAGTGTTTTACTTCCAATTATGTCATGGATTTGAGAGTAAGTGCCATGTGGCACTGAGAAGAATGTATATTCTGTTGTTTTGGGTGGAGAGTTCTGTAGATATCTATCAGGTCCACTTGATCTACAGCTGAGTCCAAGTCCTGAGTATCTTTGTTAATTTTCTGTCTCAATGATCTGTTTAATATTGACAGCGGGGTGTTAAATTCTCCCACTATTATTGTGTGGGAGTCTAAGTCTCTTGGTAGGTCTCTATGAACTTGTTTTATGAATCTGGGTACTCCTGTGTTGGGTGAATATATATTTAGGATAGTTAGCTCTTCTTGTTGAATTGAACCCTTTACCATTATGTAATGCCCTTCTTAATTTTTTTTTCTTTGTTAGTTTAAAGTCTGTTGTGTCAGAAACCAGGATTGCAATTCTTGCATTTTTCTGCTTTCCATTTGCTTCGTAAATTTTCCTTCATCTCTTTATTTTGAGCCTATGTGTGTCTTTGCACATGAGATGGGTCTCTTGAATACAGGACCTGATGGGTCTTGACTCTTTATTCAGCTTGACATTTTGTGTCTTTTAATTGGGGCATTTAGCCCATTTATATTTAAGGTTAATATTGTTATGTGTGAAGTTTATCCTGTCATCGTGATGCTAGCTGGCTATTTTGCATACTTGCTGATGTAGTTGCTTCATAGTGTCATTGGTTTTTGTACTTCAGTGTGTTTTTGTAGTGGCCATTAATGGTTTTTCCTTTCCATATTTAGTGCTTCCTTCAAGAGCTCTTGCAAGGCAGGCCTGGAGGTGATGAATTGCCTCAGGATTTGGTTGTCTGAAAAGGATTTTCTCTTTCACTTAGGAAGCTTAATTTGGGCAGACATGAAATTCTGGGTTGGAAATTCTTTCCTTTAAGAATGTGGAATATTGAGCCCCAATCTCTTCTGGCTTGTAGTGTTTCTGCTGAGAGGTCCACTGTTAGGTTGATGGCCTTCTTTCTGTAGGTGATCTGGCCTTTCTCTTTGGCTGCCCTTAACATTTTTTCCTTCATTTTGACCTTGGAGGTAAATAAATATGTGTCTTGGGGTTGATCTTCTCACGGGGTATATTACAGGAATTCTCTGGATTTCCTGAATTGGAACGTTGGCCCGTCTTGCTAGGTTGGGGAAGTTCTCCTGGATGATATCCTAAAGTATGTTTTCCAACTTGGTTCTCTTCTCCCTGTCTCTTTCAGGTACCCCAATCAGTTGTAGGTTTGGTCTTTTTCTATAATCCCATAGTTCTCAGAGATTTCGTTTGTTCCTTTTCATTCTTTTTTTTTTTTTTTCCTAATTTCATCTGCCTGTCTCATTTCAGCAAGATAGTCTTCAAGCTCTGAAATTCTTTCCTCCACTTGGTCTATTCGGCTATTGATATTTGTGGTTGCATTGTGAAGTTCTTGTGTTGTTTTTCAGCTCCATCAGGTTATTTATGCTCCTCTCTACACTGGTTATTCTGGTAACAACTCCTGTATTGTTTTATCATGTTCCTTAGCTTCTTTGCATTGAGTTAGAACATGTTCTTTTAGCTCAGTGAAGTTTGTTATTACCCACCTTCTGAAGCCTGCTTCTGTCAAATTCATCCATCTCAGCCTCTGCCCAAATCTGTGCCCTTGGTAGAAAGGTGTTGCAACCATTTGAAGGAGAAGAGGCACTCTGGCTTTTTCAGTTTTCAGCAATTTTTCGTTGATTCTCATCTTTGAGAGTTAATCTAGCTTCAATCTTTGAGGCTGCTGAACTTGGGATGGGGTTTTTGTGGGGACTTTTTTGTTGATGCTGTTGTTGTTGTTGTTTTCTGTTTGCTTGTTTCTCTTTTAACAGTCAGGCCCTTCTTCCATAGGGCTGCTGCGATTTGCTGGGGGTCCACTCCCAACCCTATTTTCCTGGGTCCCTCCTGGACCTGAAGGTGTCACCAGTGGAGGCTGCAGAAGAGCAAAGATGGCTGCCTGCTCCTTTCTCTGGGAGCTCTGTCCCAGAGGGGCACCAACTTAATACTAGCAGGAACGGTCTTGTATAAGGTGTCTGGCAACCTCTGTTGGGAGGTCTCACCTAATTAGGAGGCACAGGATCAGGGATCTGCTTAACGAAGCACTCTGGCTGCCCCTTAGCGGAGATGGTGCACTGTGCTGTGGGGAATCCCACTCATCTGGACTGCCTGGACTTCTCAGAGCCAGCTGGTGGAAAGACTAAGTCTGCTGATCCACAGAGACCGCGACCATCCCTCCCTACAGGGCTTCGTCCCAGGGAGATTAGAGTTTTGTCCATAAACCCCTGGCTGGAATTGCTGAAATTCCCGCAGGGAGGCCCCGCCTAGTGAGGAGGCAGTCTGGCCACAATCAGCCACAGCCACTGTGCTGCACTGTGGAAAATTCCTCCTGGATCCAAACTACAGACTAGAGCTGCAGTGATGACTGCTGCCCCTCCCCCGGGGAGCTCAGTTGTCTTAGGCCAAAGGCAGCTGCAGTGATAATGGCTCCCCGCCTCCCTGCACCCCGGAACTCAGTAGCTCAGTAGTCTTCAGCAGTCTCCAGCTGAGTGGCCACTGAGAATCTGCACAGCTCTGTGCTTGGGAACCAAGGTCCCAAGGCATGGGCTCACAAGAGGGACCTCCTGATCTGCGGGTTGCACAGATCCATAGAAAAAGTGTGGTTTCTCTGTGAGAAAATATTTGAAATGGTCCATTTTCAAGGCATGATAAATCTAAGTATGGCAGCCAGTCTGCAAATGTGACAAACCGCATGGCTCATGCGCCTAGAAGGTCACAATAAGAGAACAGAATGTAGAGGAGGGGTCAACCCACGAGAGAGAAGAAAGTTTCATTATTGCGAAATCAAAACTGAAGTGGAGAAGGGGACGGGGTATAACCTTATAAGAGGGATAATGAAACTTAGGCGACAACTGGGAAGATTGTAACCCCATAGTACTCAACCAATGAGGAACTGGGGGAGGGACTTGCGTGCTAGGAGATAAATTACCTGTTGTGACTGCCGTGGATGTGCCTGCTCACCAGACACCCAATCTTGCAAGACTGTTATTAAAAGTCTCACTTTTGCTGTTCTTCATGCCTCTAAGTCCATTCTTTGGGTTTAGACGGGTGGGAGCTCCCCTTACCCCGTGTGGCTCCCAGGTGGGCTGTCACCACCCTGCTTTTACCCGCTCTCCATGGGTCGCACCAACCTCCTAGCCAGTCCCAATGAAAGAACCTGGATACCTCAGTTGCCATTTTTGTTCTTCTCAGCGGCAGGCCCAGACTACAGCTGTTTCTAGTCAGCCATCTTGGCCCCTGGAGATATTTTTTATCTTGATCATGGTTCTGGTTTCACAAGTGAAGACATTCGTGAAAGACCATCAAATTGTACAGCTCGTTGTATGTGGATTATCCTTCATACAATAATAAAAAATGATTTACCATTTCAAATGGATCAGATTTGGGAAAAATTGGTACAGTCATTTCGTTGTTTTTTGTTGTTGTTTGTTTGTTTGTTTGTTTTTGTTTTTGTTTTTTTGAGGTAGAGTCTCAATTTGTCACCCAAGCTGGAGTGCAGTGGTGCAATCTCGGCTCACTGAAGCCTCGACCTCGCAGGTTCAAGTGATCCTCCTTCCTCAGCCCCCAAAGTAGCTAGGGCTAAAGGCACACACCAGTACACCTGGCTAAGTTTTATGTATTTTTAATAGAGACGGGGTTTCATCATGTTGCCCAGGCTGTTCTCAAACTCCTGAACTCAAATGATCTACCTACCTCAGCCTCATTCTGGAGAGCAATTATCTGGTAAAACTGAAGGTGCAAATACCTTGTGGTACTAATGCATGCAAGCAGACATATGCAAGGTTGTTCAATGCTGTGGTGTTTATAACACTGAAAAATTGAGAACAACCTAAAGATCTGACAGCAGGAAAATGGATAAGTAAATTGTGGTATGCTCATACTATGGAAGACTATAGAACAGTGAAAATAAATGAACTATAGCTACATGTATCAAATTGTGTACATAAACCTCAACACAGTGTTGAAGGAAAAATTTGCACAAGTATTTAACCGTATCCTTTTTGTAAATACAAAGCAGTACTATATGTTGCTTTTTGACATAGGCATATATGTAAGTATATGAATATGTGGACAGGAATGGTCTCCTTCTTCAGAATTGTGGTTACCTCTGGGCTAGGACAGTATGGAAGCAGACCCAAAGGGTACCAAAATATAAAGTTTTAAGTATAAAAGCATAAAATTTTATTTCTGGGCTATATGCAGTGGCTCATGCCTGTAATCCCAGCACTTTGGGAGGGAGGCGGGCAGATCTCTTGAGCCCAGGAGTTCAAGACCAGCCTGGACAACATGATGAAACCCCGTTTCTACCAAAAATACAAAAAATTAGCTGGGCATGGTGGCATGCACCTGTGGCCTGAGCTACTCAGGAGGCTGATATGGGAGAATCGTCTGAGCCTGGGAGGCAGAGGCAGAGGTTTCAGTGAGCTGTAATTGTGCCACTGAACTCCAGCCTGGGTGACACAGGAAGTCCCCTTCTCAAAAACAAAACAAAACAAAACAAAAAACCCACAAATGTCCAGCTTGGTCAACATGGTGAAAACCTGTTTCTACTTAAAATACAAAAATTGGCCAGGTGTGGTGGCATATGCCTGTAATCCCAGATACTCGGGATGCTAAGACAGGAGAATCACTTGAACTGGGAGGTGGAGATGGCAATGAGCCAAGATTGCACCACTGCACTCCAGCCTGGGCAACAGAGCGAGACTCCATCTCAAAAAAAAACAAAAACAAATTTATTTCTTAAAGTTAAAAAAATATCTGAAGCAAATATGACAAGATGTCCACATTTGTTAAAATCTGAGTGGTAGGTAAATGTTTTTATATTCTGTTATTTTCCAAGTTTCAATTATTTTACTGTTTAAAAAAGCTTGTATAATATGAGAGAGTACATTTACCTGAATGTTTTGTTTGCCACCTTTATTAGGTTGTGAGGACTGCCATAACAAAATACCACAGCCTGCATGGCTTAAACAACAGAAATTTATTTTCTCATGGTTCTGGAGGCTGGAAGTCCAAGATCAAGGTGTTGGTAGAATTGGACTTGGAGACAGCTGCCGTCTGTACGTATCCTCAGGGGGTCTTTTCTCTGCATGCACATCCCTGCTGTCTCTTTCTCTTCTTATAAGGACCCCAGTCATATTGAATTAGGGCTCCACCCTTATGACCTCCTTTAATTTTAAAGGCCCTATCTCCAATTACTGTCACACTGGGGATTAGGGCTTCAAAATATGAATTTGGGGAGGACATGATTCAGCCATAACACCACCCAAAGTATTATATAAAGGTTGTAAGCACCTATGTATGCATTAGCCAGTACCCCTTCTTAGTCATATCCCCAGTGGAAGATTGAGATAGGATAAGGATCTTGAAACTATTGAGTCTTCAACCCACCTATAAACCCTTCCTAAAGTGAGTGTGAGAAGCTTTTACTTAAGTGTAGGAACTTTTCAACCTGGATCTGCAGTACCTATTTTGACTACTGAGATCAAGTTCTTTCTTATGACCAGGCTCATGGTTCTATTCTACAGAGTTGTGAACCAGAACAGCTCATTTCTCAATTATGACAGATATATTAATTTGCTGCAGCCCTTGTGTATTTCCTAAAATTCTCAGTCCTGAATGGATAACAGTTTGTATGATAGATACAATTCACTCATTGAATTCAACAAACATTGGGTGCTCATTGTGTGCCGGATTCTCAAAACATTGGTAGGAGAGCAAAAATCAATAAAATACAGCTTCATTTCTGGGATTCACTCTTCAAATACTGTTCAAAGTGAGGGAGAGGAAGCTGAAAATGGTAATAGCTCTAAAGTCAGATATTTTCTAGGGAATAATATCCTAATCCTTGCTCTTACATGTTTTATACCTGCATATTTCTACCTTTGCTTCTTAGATGATAAATTCCTTGCATACAAGGAAAAGAACTTAAATGTTCTATACACCAAATGCTTGTTGACTGTTTTTAATGTGAACTCTCTACATTTTTCTTATTTATAATAGAAACATATTTTCAGTGTCTGGATTTCTCATGTATTGTGGAGGGCAAAGCTTTCATTCCACCTCTTGATATGTTTAATCAGGTCCTTGGGGCTGGGGAGTGGATAGTCTCCAAAGATGGCCACTATCAATTCCTTCCCTTTTTGTAAGCATGAGTTGTTCCATTCATCATGAAGTGGGATCTACCTCCACTCCCCTTCTACTTGGGCTGGCCTTGCAGCTTGCTTTAACCTTACCCTTTAAGAAACCACGGAGCCTCCATTGTCACCCTGGGAAGTCAGCAGCCATGTGTGAAGTCTAGTTACCTAGAGCCCACTGTGCTATGAGGAAGTCCAAATTAGTCTCATGGAAAGGCCATGTTGGAAGAGAAAGAGAATGTCATTCTCCACTTACTACAACATCATCTCTACTAAGAAAATTAACACGCTGGACGCAGTGGCTCACGCCTGTAATCCCAGCACTTCAGAAGGCTGAGGCAGGTGGATCACGAGGTCAAGAGATTGAGACCATCCTGGCCAACATGGTGAAACCTCGTCTCTACTAAAAATACAAAAATTAGCTGGGCATGGTGGCACTGGCCTATAGTCCCAGCTACCCTGGAGGTTGAGGCAGGAGAATCGCTTGAACCTGGGAGGCGGAGGTTGCAGTGAGCAGAGATCCTGCCACTGCACTCCAGCCTGGCGACAGAGCAAGACTCCGTCTAAAAAAAAAAGCAGAAAAAAAAAAAGAAAATTAACAAAAAATTCCCACTCCACTATATAGACCATATTAAAATTTCTTCAATTATTCACCAAATATATATTTTACAGCTAGATTTTTGTGTGTGTGTGTGTGTGTGTGTTGGGATCCAATGAAGTTTTATACATTGCATTTTATTTTATCTTTTTCTTTTTTTCTTATTTTTGAGATGGAGTCTCGCTCTGTCGCTGAAGCTGGAGAGCAGTGGCGTGATCTCAGCTCACTGCAACCTCTATCTCCCAGGTTCAAGCCTCCTGGGTTCAAGCGATTCTCATGCCTCAGCCTGCCGAATAGCTGGGATTACAGGCACGTGCCACCAGGTCCGGCTAATTTTTTTTGTGTTTTTAGTAGAGATAGGGTTTCACCATGTTGGCCAGGCTGGTCTCGAACTCCTGAACTCAAATGATCCACCCACCTCAGCCTTCCAAAGTGCTGAGATTACAGGCATGAGCCACCGGGCCCGGCCTTGTTTTATCTTTTAATCTAGAACAGTTCCTTTGCTTTCCTCTGACATTAACATTTGGAATATTCTTGGTTCTGGATTTGTATAAGTATCTCCTCTTGATGTTCAACTTGATCCTGTAATCTATAGTCTATAAACTGGAAGTGATATCTAAAAGCTTAAATAGGTACAGGTTAAATATTTCTGGCAAAGTATTTCATTGATGGTGCTATAAACTTAATATCGCCTTTACATCAGGAGTTAGATAAGAGATCTTTAATTTTGATTGAATAATTCATCATGGTAGAGAAGAAGTCCCAAAGGATCCAGAGAGCTGTGGCAGCAGGAACTCTGTTCACAATCATAAAATATTCTTGTCCGTGTAGTACTGTTAGATCTTTCCTGCACTTCTTTGAAAACTTAATTCTTGTCCCAGCTTCACCAATGAGTTTTTATTCAGCTCTTTTTAAATGATGATGGTGTTTTGATTTTCTCTTTTTAATTGACAAGTTAAAATTGTATATACTTATGGTGTACAATATGATGTTTTGGTATATGTACATGTTGTGAAATGGCTAAATGTTTTATTTATTTATTTATTTATTTATTGAGATGGAGTCTTGCTCTGTAGCCCAGGCTAGAGTACAGTGGCGTGATCTTGGCTCACTGCAACCTCTGCCTCCTGGGTTCAAACAATTCTCCTGCTTCAGCCTCCTGAGTAGCTGGGATTACAGGTGCGCACCACCACACCCGGCTAATTTTTGTGTTTTTAGTAGAGATGGGGTTTTGGCATATTGGTCAGGCTGGTCCTGACCTCAGGTGATCCACCCGCCTTGGCCTCCCAAAGTGCTGGGATTACAGGCATAAGCCACCGCGCCCAGCCACTAAGCTTTTACCATATGCATTAGCTCACTTTTGTGTGTGTGTGTGTGTGTGTGTGTGTGTGTGTGTATCTGGTGAGAACACTTAATATCTACTCCCTTAGCAATATTCTTTTTCATCTTTTCTTTTTTTTTTTTTCAAAGACAGGGTCTCACTCTGTAGCCCAGGCTGGAGTGCAGTGGTGAGATCCTGGTTCACTACAAACTTGACCTTCTGGGATCAAGGGATACTTTTACTTCAGCCTCCTGGGTACCTGCGACTACAGGTGCACGTCACCATGCCCAGCTAATTTTTAACTTTTTAGAAATAAAGATGGGATATTGCTATGTTGTTCAGACTGGTCTTGAACTGCTGGCTTCAAGTAATCCTCCCACCCCAGCCTCCCAAAGTGCTGGGATCATAGGTGTGAGCCACTGTGCCTGGCTGAGCAATTTTCAAGGATACAATACAGTATTGCTGGGTGTAGTGGCTTGTACCTGTAATTCTAGCACTTTAAGAGTCCAGATGGGCAGATAGCTTGAGCCCAGGAGTTTGAGACCAGCCTGGGGAACATGGTGAAACCTCGTCTCCAAAACATTTTTTAAAATACAAAAGTTAGCTGCGCGCAGTGGCACATGCCTACAGTCCCAGCTACTCAGGAGGCTGAGGTGGGAGGATCACTTGAGTCAAGGAGGTCGGGGCTGCAGTGGGCTAGGATCACACCACCGTACTCCAGCCTGGGTGACAGAGCAAGACCCTGTTTCAAAACAGAATAAAAGAAACAAACAAACAAAAACCAAACAAGATAGTATATAAACTGCAGTTACAAGATGTGCAGTAGATCTTTTGAACTTATTCCATCTAACTGAAATTTTGTGTCCTTTGACCAACATCTCCCCAATCCTCCCACCCGCAGCCACTGCTAACTACTGTTTTTCTCTTCATTTTTATGAGATCAATTATTTTTTTACATTCCACATATAGTGGTATTATGCTGTATTTGTCTTTTTGTGCCTGACATATTTCAGTTAACATGATGTTCTCCAGGTTCACTCACATCACAAATGACAGGATTTTCTTCTTTCTTGAGACTGAATGGCATTCCACTGTGTATTATGCCACATTTTCTTTATTCATCTTCCACTGATGGACACACGGGCTGATTCCATACCTTGGCTATTATGAATAGTGCTGCAATTAACATGGGAGTGCAGATATCTCTTTGACATACTGATTTCATTTCCTTTAGATATATGCCCAGCAGTGGGATTGCTAGATCATATGGTAGTTCTATTTTTAAGTTTTGGAGGAATTCCTATACTGTTTTCCATAGTGGCTGTACTAATTTACATTCTCACCAACGGTGTACGTGGGTTCCCTTTTCCCCACATCTTTCCATCACTTGTGGTTCTAATTTGCATTTCTCTGTTGATTAGTCATGTTGAGCATTTTTTCATACACCTATTGGCCACGTATGTCTTCTTTTCAGAAATGTCGATTCAGATCCTTTGCCATTTTAAAATCAGATTGTTTACTTGTTATTGAGTTATTTGAGTTCCTGATATATTTTGGCTATTCATACCTTATCAGATGAATTGCTTGTAAATATATTCTCCCATTCTGCAGGTTGTCTCTTCGCTCTGTTGATTGTTTCCTTTGCTCTGAAAAGCTTTTTAGTTTGATGGAATCCTTTTTATCTATTTTTGCTTTTGTCGCCTGTGTGTTTGGGGTCACACCCAAAAACTTATTGCCTTGACTAGTGTCATGGAACTTTTCCCTTATGTTTTCCTTCTGTAGTTTTATAGTTTCAGAACTTGTATTTTAAGTCTTTCTCCATTTGGAGTTGTTTTTTTTGGCATATAGTGTGAGATGAGAGTCTACTTTCATTCTTCTTCATTGGATATCCAGTTTTCCCAGTGCCATTTATCGAAGAGACTGTCCTTTTCCTACAGTGTGTTCCTGGCATCTTTGCCAAAAATCCATTGACCACAAATGTGTGGCTTTCTCTCTGGGCTCTCTATCCGGTTTCATTGGTCTGTGCATCTGTTTTTATGCCAGTACCATGCTCTTTTGATTTTCATCAAGCAAACGTACTAATCTTTTCACAATATCAAAAGAATATTGTCATGATTGATACTAATTAAGGAAAAAATCTCCAGGGAACAAAATACATAACACGCAACGAGGTGGTATTTGACTTCTAATCTGTGAGTTCTCATTCACTAATGTGAGCTATTTTGCTTTTACCCAGTGTTCCTCATAAGAAGATTCCTAAATATTGTGAGCCTATTGCTTGAACATTAAAAATATATAATAAAAATGCATTTATCTAAGCAAACTGCATTATTAATCAGCATCATTTTGTTTACTAATTTTTAACCTACTTCAGAAGCCATATAAAGAGTTCTTCAAGAAAATAAATCCTTAAGCTTTAAAGTTTTTATTCTACCACTAAGCAATGACAATCGATTTAACTTTTGTCACTTAAAAATACTGTAAACTTACTTACTTTATGTTCTAAATGTTGTCTATCTTCAGTAAGTGGATAGAAAGTATGTACCATTCTGTTTTGAGTTTGGGTTTTGGGATAGGGACCTGAGTTTAAATCTTGGTTCTGCCCTTTGTTAGTTTCATGTCTTTGAGCAGATCTTGCAATCTCCCAAATCTGCTCTTTCTCCACGTATAAAAGACATGAGCAAATAGCTCGTGACGTTTGTACCAAGGATTAAATGAGGGTTGTTTTGTGAAAAATGTGGCATGAGCGGTCTTCATCTCCACTGAGCAGAGTCTGTGTGTTCACGGCACTTTTGGATCTTTGGTTTTAGATGACGAAATAAGGCATGCACCCATGTTTATGGGTTTGGATTATTGCATAAAGTGAATATGTGTGCATGCAAATTTCTAGATTTTATGACATCTTTCTTGGAGCACGGTGACAAATTTGGAATCATAAAGCTATTAAAGTTTTCTGTTCCATGGCATATAAGGGGTTACTCTGGGCTTGACAGGAAAAGGCACCTGAGGTCCCTAGTTAGAGACTTATCCAAAGCTGACTCCAGGATAGACCAAGTGGCATTTCCAAATGTATTTGTTCAGAATCCTGGCGCCTGGGTCTAGCGGGTGAAATGCTAACCTGGCAGTCAGTAGCTGGTGCTCTTGCATGTTGTCTTGTGGGTTTTTTAAGATCTGGAAATTGAAAGCATGTGATATCAAAAAGAAGCCGCTAATCTCTATAAGCGAAGAGATGTGTTTATTTTTCCTTTGACTCCCAGAACGCTGCCTGCCCCAGAAGCTCTGGTTACACAATTCCTACCTGACAGGTAAAGCTTCGGAAACTTCTGAGACTCACAGAAGCAGCAGAAAAATCAAGTAGACTTGCCTTCCCCCAAGAGTCAGAAAGTTGTATAAACATCTTGGGCTGGGCCGATCCCATAGCCGATGGAACTGGTTTAACCAGGTGCTTCTGCCTGAACGCCAGTCTGGGAGAACAACACTGCCTTTGATCTCAGTGTGGCTTTGGGAACAATCTAGAAAGCTACTGTAGCCTTCAAGTGTTTGTTTTAAATTGCAGTACTTAAAGGTAACCAGGAACTGCATTTAAACCCAAGTACTTGTTTAAACCAGGGAAGTAACTGCACTAGTATGACTTCTAAGCAATTTATCATCTAGCTACACTTGCTATCCATGTTGTCTGTGAGGAGTTGGAAATGCTTCATTCCCTGAATTTCTGGCTAAAGTCCTGCTCCTTCAGTGGGACAGTATCCCCTTAATATGTCTTGAGGACAAATGTTATTACCTTTAAGTTTCAAAAGTCTGAGGCTCGGGACAAGTTGTCATGGTTATGCAGAAGTTTAATGTAATCCTTACAGGAATGAAGTGGAAAAATCTTTGACTTTGAATGAAGAGATTAACTCAATTCTAGTGGCTGTTCTCCTTATAATTTGGGGCAGGTTATTTAAATTTCCTGTGCATGCATATGTATCATCTGTGTACATGTCTGTGTGTGTGCTTGCTTATTTATTTCACAGTGCTACCACACGTATCTTGGTATATCTTTTTTTTTTTTTTTTTTTTTTGAGACGGAGTCTCGCTCTGTCACCCAGGCTGGAGTGCAGTGGCATGATCTCGGCTCACTGCAAGCTCTTCCTCCTGGGTTCACGCCATTCTCCTGCCTCAGACTCCCGAGTAGCTGGGACTACAGGCGCCCACCACCACGCCCGGCTAATGTTTTCTATTTTTTAGTAGAGACGGGGTTTCACCGTGTTAGCCAGGATGGTCTCAATCTCCTGACCTTGTGATCCACCCGTCTCGGCCTCCCAAAGTGCTGGGATTACAGGTGTGAGCCACCACTCCTGGCCGTATCTTGGTATATCTCACTTTACTGGGTGCTAACTGTTGTCCATGCTACACTGGACATCTCCTGTTTTCTCCTCCAGATCTACTCTCCACCCTTCCCTCCTGCCTTGTGCTCTGGGAGGCTGACTTTCATGGATGGCACTTTTATGGACACCTCTCACTTCTGGTTGCTCTTTGCCAATAGGAGACACACAGAAGAAAGATGTGTAAGCTGAAGGAGGAGAGTGAGATTGAAGCATTTATCTCGCCAGCTTCTGCCCGGTGGGCTTGTCGTGGTTGGCTGAAGCCCTCTACCGAAGGCCACAGCTGTTGTAGACCTGCGTTTTCCATATACTTATTCTTTTTGGGTTCTATGAAAGTTCCAGAAACTTCCATGTCACTTTGACCTTGTAGACCTAGGGGTAGAAATGGCTCTCTGCTGTAATAGCCTAGCCTTAAGATAATGCATGTTCTCTTGAGTGGTTTATTTTAACTTGGCCCACAACCTGGCAAATTGTCCCTCTATGAAATGCCCCTCCATTAACCCACTTGAATGTGTCATCTGTGTCCTGCCAGCGTCCTGAATGTCACACATGTGATCTTATTTAATTCTTATTGCAGCCAGGAAGAGTTTTATATTATTACCACATAGCACACTTGAGAAAGCCTCAGGGATATGAAACACCTTGCCTGAAGTGACATACTTTGTAAACGGGAGGGCAGGACTCCAAGGGAGGCCCTCTGGCTCAGCTCTCCTGCCCCTTGCTATGCTGAACTCTGTTGGATTACCTCTGCGAGTCTCACACGTATGGTTTCACAGCCCCCTTTTCATAAAAATACTTGGCAAACCTCTTGACTTTCTTGAAATGAAATTAATAAATTATACAATTTATCTAAACACCTAATTTCCAATAAAATACATATATTAAAAATAAAAGGACAGTTATTTATAATAAAATATAGTCATGAACTGCATAATGATGTTTTACTCAGTGACTGACCATATATACGATGGTGGCCCCATAAGATTACAGAGCTGAAAAATCTCTAGTGACATTGTAGCCATTGCGCTGTTGCGGTGCAATTTCTATTTTCCATTTTTTTTGAGACAAGATCTCGCTCTATCACTTAGGCTGAGGTGCAGTGGTGCAATCACAGCTCACTGCAACCTTGACCTCCTGAGCTAAAGCAATCTTCCCACCTCATCCCACCCCTCCTCCCCATTACCCCCCAATCCCACCCCACCGCCCCCACAGTGGGACTACAAGTGCCTGCCGGCATGCCCAGCTAATTTTTAAAAAAAATCTTAGTGGAGATGAAGTCTCGCCATATTGCCCAGGCTGGCCTTGAACACCTGGGCTCAAAGCAGTCCTCCCGCCTCAGCCTCCCAAAGTGCTGGGATGCAATTACTTTTTAAAAAGTAAAATTTGGTATAGCCTAAGTGTACAGCATTTACAAAGTCTGCAGTAGTGTACAGTAACGTCCTTGGCCTTCACATTCACTCACCAGTCACTCACTCACTCACTCGCCCAGAGCAACTTCCAGTCCTGCAAGCTCCATTTGTGGTAAGTGCCTAGACTGGTGTAGCATTTTTTATCTTTTTTACGGCACTTTTTACTTTGCCTTTTCTATGTTTAGATATGCCTAGATACACAAATACTTCCCACTGGGTTCCAGTTGCCTTTAATATTCAGTACAGTAACACGCTGCACAGGTTTGTAGTCTAGGAGCAAGAGGCTATCGCCTGTAGCCTAGGTGTGTAGTAGGCTATACCACTGAGGTTTGTGTAAGTCCATTCTACGATGTTCACACAGTGATGAAATCGCCTAGTAATGCATTTCTCCGCATGTAGTCCTGTTATTAGGTGACACGTGACTATATGTATTTTGTATGTAAATAGTCATGACCACGTGGTTAAGTTATAATGAAATCATCAGAGGCATGGACTTTCTTATCAGAGTGCATTAGTACTGGAGATATGTAAGGCAAAATGGTTTTTTTTTTCTCTTTGTATATGACTTTTTTTTTTTTTTTTTTTGAGAAGGAGTCTCGCTCTGTCGCCCAGGCTGGAGTGCAGTGGTGCGATCTCGGCTCACTGCAAGCTCCGCCTCCTGGGTTCACGCCATTCTCCTGCCTCAGACTCCCGAGTAGCTGGGACTACAGGTGCCCGCCACAATGCCCGGCTAATTTTTTTTTATATATATATTTTTAGTAGAGAAGGGGTTTCACCGTGTTAGCCAGGATGGTCTCGATCTCCTGACGTCATGATCCTCCCGCCTCGGCCTCCCAAAGTGCTGGGGTTACAGGCATGAGCCACTGCACCCGGCCTGTATATGACATTTTGAGATCAGGGCTAAATTAAGATAATCAGGTCAAATCACCGAGGTAGGTTAGATTTTTGCTCAAACATATTTACTCTCTTCCCTCCGCCTCCATGGCAGGCGTGTGCTTTTACTTTTCCACCTGTTGACTTCGGGCTTGGCGATGGGGCCTGCTTTGGCCGCTTGGGCTAACAGCAGACAAGACTGAAAGCAAGCTTGAAATGTGTGGTGCAGGGAGGCTCGCTTTCTTGTGCCTCTGCCACTGTCATGAGAAGAGCCTCTCCCAGGAATCTGCGGCCCCATCTGCCTGGGTCCCACAATGAGACACTTAGAACAGACCTGGACCCATCACAAGCAAGGGGCCAAGCCCAGCTAACCACACTTGAGGCAGGACTGCCCAGCTGAGCCCAGCCAAAACCAGCCAACCCCCAGCAAACCCACCGATGCATGGGAGAGAATGATTGTTGTTTTGCTTTGGAATGGCTTATGATGCAAAAATTGCTGACAGACAAAATGATCATGAATGTAGTGGCTACAGATGCAGATGATACAGGCAGATTGTACTGGGAATTCAGATACCATGGGCCCTGGTGCTATTGCCTATGTGATTTTTCCACGATAGTGAGCATTCTGGATAAAACACAGTGTCATTTCACCTTCATATACACAGTAGTTGCGTTCCTGAAATATTCAGATATATTAAAACTGTACAAAAATAATTTGCTTTTGTACAGCGTAAATCAAAGTTAGAGTCTAGGCTGAAGTAATTTTAACAGCTTTTTGATCTACGTAAATGTTTGTGCAGACAATAAAAGTATGTGGGACGTTAGATGGAACTGTCCTAACCATTACAGGTCACTTAGCACCCAGCTGCCCTCCAAATACCAGAACTGTCCCGCAATTCTTGTGAAAGCCAAAAACACCTCCACACATTTCCAAAATCCCACCAGGTGACCTTGGTAGAAACACTAGAAGTCTAAGTGGTCCCTTCCAGCTCAAGTATTATCAGATTTAAAAAATCCGATTATAGTAGTAATTTAATCAATACATAGATAGTAAATATTATGTGCCAGTAATTTTTTTTTTCTGAGACAGGATCTTGCTCTGTTTCACAGGCTGGAGTGGCATGAACACGGCTCACTGCAGCCTCAACCTCCTAGGCTCGAGTGACCTTGCCACTTCAGCCTCCCATGTAGCTGGGACCACAGGCACACATCACCACACCCAGCTAATTTTTTTTTTTTTTTCATTTTTGGTAGAGATGAGTGACGTCTCACTTTGTTGCCCAGGCTGGTCTCGAACTCCTGGGCTTAAGCAATCTTCCTGCTTCGGCATCCCAAAGTACTGGGATTACTGTGAGCCACTAGCCAGTACTGTTGATATAAGAAAAATACACAACATTGCTGTCCAAGGGCTTACAGCATAGAGGGGAGCGCAAGCCAGCAATTAGGCAATTATAATGTGGAGTGATAATTCATACCAGGAGTGTACATTCAGGATGCTGCAGGAGCACAGCCCAGGAGCATCTAACCCAATCCTGGGGCTCCGAGAAGTCTTCCCTCTCCTGGGAGATGAATAGGTGTTAACCAAGCAAGCAGCGGTGAGAGGTGGAACAGAGGAGACGGAGCAGGCAGCACACTCCATCCCATATAGAAAGGGTCATTATAATGCATCTACTGAGACCGCAAAAGGAGCAGCAGCCTCAGACTTGGATAGATTTCAGTTCAAATTCTGGCTCAACTCTAATCCTGAGCCATTATAATGACTACACTTTATTAATTGCTTATTATGTTCCAGGCTCTGTGGGAAGTACTTTATATGAATTATTACCCTTAATCCTCCCAACAGTACCTTAAAAGGGTAGCTACTATGGTTATCATCCTTATGTTACAGAGTAAGAAACTGAGGCACAGAAAGAATAAGTAACTTGCCTAAGCTAAGGAGTGGTGGAGCTGCGATTAGAACCAAGACAAAAAAAAAAACACAAAAAACAAAGAATGAAGACAAGGTGACTTGAGAGCCAACATTCTTTACCACCGCCCCACAAGGCAACCTTCTCTGATCCTACTGCCTCATTGAGATGAGTGCAATCACAGCTCCTGTGAATTTATACATGGATGAAGTGGTTTCTGTATTTAAAACACCAGACACATTGGTAGAATTTTCAAAAAATAATATAGTTATTATCCAAGTTCTAATTCTTCCATTATTGGTATCTTAAAAAATTTTTACCTGTATTTTTAAAAATGTGGCTTCTGAAAAAATTGAAATTACGTATGTGTTTCATATTATATTTCTTTTTCTAATTTTATAGATTTAGGGGGCACAAGTGCAGTTTTGTTACGTGGATATACTGTGTAGTGGTATAATTCTTCCCTTTTTAAGGGAGGAAAGTAATCATTTGGAGAGTATACAGTGTATATAATTTTATTTACAAATCACACCTTTTTTGGCCTTAAAAAAAAAAACCAAGCCTATACTGGGTTGCACGTAACAGAAAACACAAAATACAAGTGACTTAAACAGACAAGGGTTTATTCTTTTTTTTTTGAGATGGAGTCTCGCTCTTTCGCCCAGGCTGGAGTGCAGTGGCACGATCTCAGCTCACTGCAAGCTCCACCTCCCGGGTTCACGCCATTCTCCTGCCTCAGCCTCCCAAGTAGCTGGGACTACAGGCGCCCGCCACCGCGCCTGGCTAATTTTTTGTATTTTTAGTAGAGATGGGGTTTCACGGTGTTAGCCAGGATGGTCTCGATCTCCTGAACTCGTGATCCTCAGCCTCACAAAGTGCTGGGATTACAGGTGTGAGCCACTGTGCCCAGCCTTTTTTGTTGTTGTTTTTTTTTTTTTTTGAAATGGAGTCTTGCTTTGTCACCCAGGCTGGAGTGCAACGGTGCAAACTCGGCTCACTGCAAACTCCACCTCCCGGTTCAAGCGATTTTCCTGCCTCAGCCTCCCTAGAAGCTGGGATTACAGGTGCCTGCCACCACACCCAGATAATTTTTGTATTTTTATTAGAGACAGAGTTTCACCATGTTGGCTAGGCTGGTCTCAAACTTCTAACTAGGCAGGTGATCCACCCACCTTGGCCTCCCAAAGTTCTGGGATTACAGGCGTGAGCCACCACGCCCGGCTGGACAAGGGTTTATTCTCATGTCAAAGAAGCCGAATTAGGTAGTCCAGGTCCTCCTATCTTTTTGGCCTCTATCTCCAGGTGACCTTATGATCCAAGGTGGCTGCTAGAGCTTCAGTCCTCAGATCTGCATCCATGCTGCAGGGAGGAGGAGAGGGGAAAGAACAAGGAGATAGACCTAGTCAATTCTTTTAAGGGGCTTCTCTAAAGTCCCATGCAGGACTTCTACTTACATCTGGGATTGTGACAGGGAGGCTCACAGCCTGTGACTGACTGATAAAGGCGTATAAAAGCCCCAGCCTCAAAGAAGGCAATACTGCAGTGCCCAGAGCCTCCTGTATGAGCAGGCTGAGGCTGGAAGCCACACCTTCAGCTAAAACCACCTCTTGCCTCTTTCTTGCCTCAGTGTCTAGAGGAACTCTAGAAGCTTCTAGAAGCCTTTAGCTTCTGGAGACCTCAGGCGTACCTTGGCTTGCGGCAGATAACTCCAATCTCTGCCCACCTCTGTCTTCATGTGGACTTTGTCGCTCTGTGTCCTTTCCTCTTTTTTATAAGGACACCAGTCATTGGATGTAGAATTCACCCTAATCCAGTGTGATCTCATCTCAAGCATTAACTGATTATTTCTGCAAACAGCCTACTGCCAAGTAAGGTCATATATGATGTTCTGAGTGAACATGAACGTTTAGGGAACAACCCACTACACATGGCATTCTACTTTTCAGCAGATTTATTTTTCTTTTTTCTTTTTTGAGACGGAGTCTTGCTCTGTTGCCCAGGCTGGAGTGCAGTGGTGTGATCTTGGCTCACTGCAACCTCTGCCTCCCTGGCTCAAGCAATTCTCCTGCTTCAGCCTCCAAGTAGCTGGGATTACAGGGGGCCTGCCACCATGCCCAGCTAAGTTTTATATTTTTAGTAGAGATAAGATTTCATCATGTTGGCCAGGCTGGCCTCAGACTCCTGACCTCAAGTGATCTGCCTGCCTCGGCCTCCCAAAGCGCTGGGATTACAGGCGCGAGCCATCGTACCAGCCAGATGTATTTATCTTGAGGTTTCATTTCTATGCGTTTATAAGAAGCAGTCACGTATACACACACACACACACACACACACACACACACACACACACACACACACGTTCTCTCCTGCACTTCATTCTCAGCTTTCACGCCAGAGAGGCATCATATTCAGGCAGGAAGACAGGGGACAGGGCAGCTCCTTAAGATGTGGATGGAGGAAGTCCCAGGAGTTCCATGCCACGGGTCTTTATTGGCTTCTGAAAGGCCCGTTCCATCGGGGCTCCTGTCCAGCACAGCAGAAATGACCAGTGAATCTCAATAGCTTATCAGAAAGCGTCCTTAGTTTCAGGGTGTTTGGTTCAGCAGTGTTGTCGCTGTTTTTCAAAGATCCAAGGAAGGCTACACAGAGTCCCTTTGTATCCAAGTCCTTTCCCAGCCAAGTTTTCACAGTTGAGACTTTTCAGGGCTGGGAGAAGGTTTGGTGAGCTTTACTCTCAGAAATTAGAGAGAGGAAGTCAAGGGGGTTGCGGGACCATCTCAGCAGGGGTGCCGGGATCCAGAACTGGAAGGCAGAGGCTGCCGGGGCAGGGTCTCTGCAGGTTTTATTCTTGTTGCTGGTCTTCCCTGATTGCTTTCCCCTTAAAACAGAACAACAACAACAAAAAAAAAAACAGTTGTGAATGCTTACTTTGGGGCAGCAAGACGAAAGGCAGCAAGAAGACCAGGTTCCTCCACAAAGGCCGGAGAGGATGGAGGGAGGAAAGATGGAGGGAGGAAAGCAGGCAGGTCTACAGGGAGTGTGGCAGGGACAAGGAAGGTCAGAGTGAGCTGATCTTGATTGGGAAAGGACTTCAAGGACAGATACATCCATCCAATATTATGGCTGCAGCCATAGGGCATTAATCAGCATTCTTGATTATGAGTGATAGAACCAACCCCATCTCAAACTGGCTTAAAGAGCCACTGAGGAATTTATGACTCGTGTAACTGAAAACTTCAGGCATGGCTGAATCTGGGTGCTCACATGGTGTCCTCACACCTTCCTGTCTCCCGGTTCTGCTTTTTTCTTATTGGGTTCCTTCTAAGGCAGGTGCTCCTCAAGGGGTGGGAAGCATTGCCACTGGCTCCTTGGTTGCCCTGGTGAAGAAGACTTATGCAATCAATTGTGTCATGGACCCCAATTCTTCACCATTTCCTGATCACATTCTTTGCCATGTAACTTTGCAATGCTTGGTCCATGTGACTTACTTGAGCCAAAGCAATGAGATGGAAGTGAGAGTGGTGTAATTCCAAGCCCAGGCCTCGCGGAACTTGTCTGCTTCTACTAGTTCTCTTGTGCGTCTGCCATCCCCAGGCTGTCCTGGTGGTTCCAGGAGAAGGAGAGACACACAGAGCACAGCTGAGTTATCCCGGCCCCAACGCATTTATGCCTAGTGTTCCATTATTGGAATGCTAAGCATGTGGGAGTTATTTATATCCTAATGCTCAAGGTCACCGCCAAGGTCTGATTGCAAAAATTCAAAAAATTGCAACTTCAGGCATAAATGGGTTAAGATGATCCCGGATGAGCCAACCACTAGACGTGTGACTCAGCCCAGGCAACACTGGAGAGCTGAACCCCTCGGACACATGAGGAATCAACATCTTGAATGCCACTGAGATTAAAACATGTAACCATGACACCTTCTTTCTCAGCCATCCCAGCAGAAGCTGCAAGCCACCTGCCCAAATCCAAGCCAGTCCCTGCCATTTTTTATACTTCTCACACTACATGGGCTAAAATCGGGAGGGTTGGCTTCCCAAAGGAAAACTGGGGTCCTGTTACCAGAAGATAGAGAAGATGGTCAGATCTCCACTACAGAACTCTCCTCTGGCTTCAGCCATTTTCTCTGAAGGAGGTTTGGGAATTGAAGGTTTTCAAAAGACACTGATTTGTTCCATTAATGAAGCCAAGGAAGGAGACAAACCAGCCCTCTGAGAAAGCTCACCAGTTTGGCCCAGGCGCGGTGGCTCACGCCTGTAATCCCAGCACTTTGGGAGGCCGAGGCGGGTGGATCACGAGGTCAGGAGTTCGAGACCAGCCTGGCCAGCATGGTAAAAGCCCATCTCCACTAAAAAAAAAAAAAAAAAATTAACTGGGCATGGTGGCATGTGCCTGTAATCCCAGCTACTTGGGAGGCTGAGGCAGGAGAACTGCCTGAACCTGGGAGGTGGCGGTTGCAGTGAGCCAATACTGCTCCACTGCACTCCAGACTAGGCGACAGAGTGAGACTCTGTTTCAAAAAAAATTAAAAAAAAGAAAGAAAGAAAGCTCACCAGTTTGACCAGACAATCGGCTGGGAGAGTAGCTGAGTTCCAGCAATCTTAGCAGCCTGGGACCACGCTCTGTGTGATAAGTGTCTCATGCATCCATGTGAAGAGATCACCAAACAGGCTTTATGTGAACAACAAGGCTGTTTATTTCACCTGGGTGCAGGCGGGCTGAGTCCGAAAAGAGAGTCAGCCAAGGGTGGTGGATTATTATTAGTTCTTATACGTTTTGGGATAGGAGGTGGAGTTAGGAGCACTGTGTTGCGGGCAGGGGGTGGATCTCACAAAGTACCTTCTCAAGGGTGGGGAGAATTACAAAGAACCTTCTTAAGGGTGGGGGAGATTACAAAGTACATTGATCAGTTAGGGTGGGGCAGAAACACATCACAATGGTGGAATGTCATCAGTTAAGGCTATTTTCACTTTTGTGGATCTTCAGTTGCTTCAGGCGATCTGGATGTATACGTGCAGGGCGTAGGGGATATGATGGCTTAGCCTGGGCTCAGAGGCCTGACAATAAGTGTAATCTAGGTCTCTCCTGGTGCTTAGGCCTCAAGGGACCTATTTTCAGTTCTGTCTCTGGCTTCCTTTCAGAACCTTGCTGAATCTCTCAGTATGTTTCTACTCAAGCATTTTCCTGTGCAGACTAAAGACACTATCAGGAAATTAAATGAAACATGTATAACTTATTGGTCATATTCATAATCCCATCAGTAAATATTTAACACAGGCTATTTACCATATATATATCTGAAAATAAGGTGAGTTTTTTTTCTCCCCAAAATTATCCCTCTGCAAACAAAATGGCCTGATGTTTGAAACCTTCAGCAGCTCTCACATTTTGCAGTGCCCTCCCATTTACCTTATTTGGATCAATCTTTGTTGTGTTTTTACTGTTTGGGGAAGCTTATCTGTAAAGGCTGCACATCTGTACTGGTTTTGGCTGCTTAGAGAGGTTGCCTCACAGAATCAGCATTATTTAAAAGAGAAAGAGGAAATACAGACTCAGTAACTCTGGTTTTACGAGTTACAAATTCACTTGCAAATTTTATAAACAAGTCTTTTAAGATCACAAATTTGTACATCTAAAACAAATTTGTAAATAAAAGTGCTAGAGTTCATGTGAGTAGGTAGTTAGGTCTTTTAGTTTTTATTCTGCCTAGGGCACTGTCTCAAGGGGTCCTGAGAATGTGTGCCCAGCTAGTTAGGTCTTGAGATAGTGTCCGAGAGTATCATCATCATAGCTGTAGAAAGTTTCCTATCTCAAAAGACCAGACATGTGCAGATAATATACACTGAAAAAGTGTTCTGGACAACTTGAAAAAGGGGACACTGGTACATCAAAGATACAGATGCTACTGGTGCAGATGGAGAATTTGAGTAAAACCATTACATGAAATGTGAAAGAAAAACAGCCATGTTTTTACAGTAATAAACCATAGCACTCAATGTGTGAAGTTAACTAGGCACATGCCCCAATGGTTCTTTAAATAACATAAGAGACTATTTCGTCTACAACCATAGACATGTGGCTGCGTCTTGATTACTGCACTATAAGACTTGAAATTGAGTAGGCTGATTCCTCCCACTTCATTATTCTTTTTCCAAAATTGTTTTAGCTATTTTAGTTCCCTTGCCTTTCCATATAAATTTCAGAATATTGTCTAAATGTACAAAAAGAATCTGGCTGGGATTTTCATAGCAATTGTGCTACACCTGTATAAGCATTAAACCTGGGGAGAACTGATATCTTTACTATGTTGAGTCTTCTGATTTATGAATGCAGTATGTTTCTGCATTTGTTTATTCTTTGATTTTTTTTTTTTTTTTTTAAGACGGAGTCTCACTCTGTCACCCAGGCTGGAGTGCAGTGGCACAATCTCGGCTCACTGCAAGCTCCGCCTTCCGGGTTCACGCCATTCTCCTGCCTCAGCCTCCCGAGTAGCTGGGACTACAGGTGCCCGCCACCACGCCTGGCTAATTTTTTTGTTTTTGTATTTTTAGTATTTTTAGTAGAGACGGGGTTTCACGGTGTTAGCCAGGATGGTCTCGATCTCCTGACCTTGTGATCCACCTGCCTTGGCCTCCCAAAATTCTGGGATTATAGGCGTGAGCCACCGTGCCCGGCTATTCTTTGATTTTTAAAAAACTTTAAAAATTGCTTATTTATTTTAGAGATGTCGTCTCGCTTTGTTGCCCGGGCTGGTTTCGAACTCCTGGATTCAAGCAATCCTCCCTCCTTGGCCCCCCAAAGTGCTGGGATTACAGGTGTGAGCCACTGCACTCAGCCTTGATTTTTTTTAATCAAGCATTTTGGAGTTTTTAGCATACATAAAGCTCTGTACATATTTCGTTAGATTTACACCTATTTCATTTATTTGAGTGATTGTAAGTGGTATTCTATTTTTTAGTGTTCTTGTGATCATTGCTAGTATTTAGAAATCCAGTTGATGTTTGTGTGTTTATCTCATATCCTGCAACCTTGCTGAACTCAGTTTAAACCGGAGGTGTTTTCCTGATAGATTCTTTCGGATTTTTAAAATGTGGACAATCATGTCATCTGCAAATCAGGACGGTTTTCTTTCTTTCTTATGTATAAATGTCAATGAGTATGCAACTATGATGTGCAACTTTCAGCATTGTCCAAAAGTTACAGAGGATGATGCAGTGACTGTGACTTTGAAAAACAAAGAATGATCCTTAAATCACAGCTGCTGCAGCCATTTCAGCTATTTGGCAGAGGTGGTAATGCTGCCTTTTGGACCTACAATACAACCAAGTCTTTGTTCGAATCATCTCACTTCCTGGCTATATTCTTAAGAAAGGAGGGTGCTTCATGCGCTGAGCTCATGGCACAGGTCCCGCAAGTGACCTGCGAGCCCCACCGCTAGGGGCCGCTTAGGTGCAGCCCCCAGGTGGGCGGGGACTGCGTTTCGGGGCGTGGCCTCCGCCGCGGCAGCCCCCGCCCAAGCTCCTCCTAAGCGCCTGGGGGCGCTGTGGGTCGCTTTGGGTCGCGGGGGCGCTCTTTCTCAGCATTCTTGTTTCGTACTGAGGCTTTCGGGACGGCGGCGGGAAGATGGCGGCCTCCAGGAATGGGTTTGAAGCCGTGGAGGCAGAGGGCAGCGCAGGGTGCCGGGGAAGCTCGGGAATGGAGGTGGTGCTTCCTTTGGATCCTGCCGTCCCCGCCCCGCTGTGCCCTCACGGTGGGTCAGAGTCTGGGCTCAGCCTAACTGCCGGGCGCTGAGGGTGTGAGTTGGCTTGGAAGTGGCTTTTGGGGCTCCTGTATTTTTACCCGCCTCTTTCCCTCACCAGTGTGCTGCCTAGAAAATACTCCTTCCTCGGAACGCGGTGTTTTTCAACTTACTTGAGAAACATTCAGAGCAAGTCTCCACTCTTGTGGTTTTGGCTCCAGGACTATTTCATCTCTTTTGGGGGGAAGGGGCAGAAAAGTAGGCAAAGAGAAGAATGCATGGTATTGAATAGTTCTCGTTGACAAGTACTTGGGGATTTCATTTGTTGATTTGCTCTCCCTTCAAAAATAAAAAATTAGGGAGAAAAACAGTGTAATTCTTGCCTGCGAACTAGACTCAGTTTTTCTCTAACTTACAGAAAGTGGGCGTTTCCAGCTCAAAGCTCAGGTTTTCACTGCAAGGGTAACCGCGCAAGAGATGTCAAAGTCCTCAATTCTCTGAGTCCCTTCCTTGTTTTAGTCTCAGGTTTGTAATATTCACAACGTAGACAGCAACTGTACCGACAATAGCATTTTCTTTCTGAAGAGACCGGTTTTCAAAAATTATTTATAAGTAGTCACTGCCGGAATGTTGTAACAGAGAGAAAAGAAACATTCATTAAACACAGAGAAGCCGGCGTGGTGGCGTGCACCTGTAGTTCCAGCACTTGGGGGGCCGAGGCGGGCTGATCGCTTGAGCCCAGGAGTTTGAGACTAGCCCGGGCAAAAATGATGACACTCCGTCTACAAAAAAAGAAAAACAGCTGGGGACACGCAACTGTAGTCCCAGCTACTCGGGATGCTGAGGCGGGAGAATCGCTTGAGGCTAGGAAGCAGGATCTCAGTGAGCCATGATTGTGCCAGTGCGCTTCAGCCTGGGCGACAGAGGGAGACCCTGTCTCAAGAAAACAAAACAAAAAACCCTAACAAAACAAAAAACAACCAACCAAAGAGATGGATTTAATTATGATAAATTGTGCCTAAAGCTCAAACAAATTTTATTTAAGGGCAGCGAAAACTAAGAACTTGACGTAGATGACCATTACTTGACACTTTTTTTTTTTTTTTCTATTCTGGAACTAGGACCCACTCTTCTGTTTGTAAAGGTGACCCAAGGGAAAGAAGAAACTCGGAGGTTTTATGCCTGTTCAGCCTGTAGAGATAGAAAAGACTGTAATTTTTTTCAGTGGGAAGATGAAAAGGTATATCAACTTTTTGGATATTTATTTTTTATTTTTGGTATGTGTGACAATTTTGTTGAGAACGTGTAAACCAATAAAAATATGCGGTCTGAACATACAAGATAAATCTCTTAAGAGAGATGGAGATACTATGTTTGTTGGTTCAGAAAATGAGTTCATGTTTACTCTGATTACTGATATCTTAAACTACTGTCTCAAAGTCTTATTTCCCCATAAGACTCTCTGAGGTGGTAATATTGGGTGGGGCTGATCTTCTGTGTGTTAGCTTGGGCTTCTGTAACAGAAGTACCATAGGCTGTGTGGCTTAAACGACAGACATCTGTTTCTTACAGTTCTGGAGACTGGGAAGTCCAGGATCAAGATGCTGGCAGATCTAGTGTCTGGTGTAGGTCCTGTCCTCTTCCTGATTTGCAGAGGGTCATCCTTTCTTTATATCCTCATTTCCCAGAGAGAGGAAGCAAGCACTGTCTGTCTTAGAAGGACACTAATCTCATTCCTGAGGGCTCTACCCTCTT
The DNA here is from genome assembly GCF_000001405.40 of Homo sapiens. Lineage (NCBI taxonomy): Eukaryota > Metazoa > Chordata > Mammalia > Primates > Hominidae > Homo > Homo sapiens. Next base: position 25,314,680 of record NC_000004.12, read on the forward strand.
GACGTAATTACCTCTCAAAGGCGCCTCATTTAAATACCATCACATTGGGGTTAAGGCTTCAACATACGAATTTTAGGGGGCACAAACATTCAGTCGATAGCACCGTTGGCAGATACAGATTGCTCACTAAAGAGAAATCATGATCATTCCAGAAAGTGTTAAAAAACACTTTTTTTGAACATTTGCATTGAACATCCCTTATACAGCTATTAGATGACCAATGAAGGCACTTAGAGATATAGTCATGAGCTTGGTATCCTCTTGAACTCGGCTCCAGTTGAAGTTTCTGAAAACTTTGACCAGAGAATTTTCAGTTTTGTTAGGTTTATGGTAAAACAGTATTATATACCACTCTTCTGCAGACCCATTAAGGTGAATACTTGGTTTGTGTCCACCTTTTTGCTATTGTGGATGATGCTACAGTGAACATATGTTAATCTCTCAGTGCTTTAATATGCTGGATATTGCTTCAAGCTGCTCTAGAATTTTCCCAGTTTTCGCTGTTTTGTTTTCTCCTGAAATGAATGCCTGTTGAGTTGGTTGAATTTCTGACTTCTTGATGTCAGAATGTGATGCCAGTTCTTCTAGGATGATAGATATTTCACAGTTTATTCAATGGGTTTTGTACTCTCTTTCAGTTGTCAGGAGCTAGACTTGCTGCCCGAGAAGCTCATAACCGAAGATGTCAGCCTCCCCTGTCCCGAACGCAGTGTGTGGAAAGGTACTGATGCAGTGTCATTTTTCTTTATTAGTTTAGCTGTCATTTTTTTTGTTATTGCCTTTTTCTGTGCCTTTAAGTTTACTTTCATTTATTTATTTTTATTGTAGTTACATATATAATATAAAATTTGCCATTTTAATCATTTTCAAGTGTGCAATTCAGTGACATTAAGTACATTCATGTTGTTGTGTAACCATTGCCCCTATTCGCAAAACTTTTTCATCACTCCAAACAGAAACTGCCACCATTATGCTGTAACTCCTCATTCTACCTCCTCCCAAACCCTAGTAACCTCTGATTTATTTTTGTGTGTTTTTTTTTTTTTTTTTGAGACAGGGTCTCACTCTGTGTTGCCCAGGCTGAAGTGCAGTGGTGCTGTCACGACTCACTATAGCCTCAACCTCCTGGGCTCAACCAGTCCTCCACCTCAGCCTCATGAGTAGCTGGGACTTCAGGCACACGCCACCACACCCAGCTAATTTATTATTATTTTTTATAGAGATAAGGTCTTGCTATGTTGCCCAGAACTCCTGGTCTAGAACTACTGGGCTCAAGGGATCCGCCCACCTCAGCCTCCCAAACTGTGAAGGTTACAGGCATGAGCCATTGTGCCCGACTATTTTTGTTGCTATGAATTTGACAATTCTGTGTACCTCATACAAGTGAGACTATACAATATTTGTCCTTTTGGGTCTGGCTTATTTTACTTAGCATAATGTCTTCAAGGTTCATGCATGTGGTAGCATGTATCAGAACTGTATTCCTTTTTACAACTGAATAATATCCGTTGTCTGTCTATACCACAGTTTAAAAATCTGTTCATCTGTTGATGGACACTTGGGCTGTGTCTACTTTTTTGCTGTTGTGAATGATGCTACAGTGAACATTGATATACAAATATTAGTTTGAGACCCTGTCTTCAATTCTTTTGGGTATATACCTAGATGTGGAATTGTCAGTAATTCTGTGTTTAATTTTTTGAGGAACCGCCAAACTGTTTTCCATAGTGGCTGCACCATTTTACATTCCCACTAGGAGTGTATATGCATTCCAATTTCTCCGCATCCTTGCCAACACCTATTATTTCTTGTTTTTCTGATTACAACCATCCTAGTAATTGTGAAGTGGTATGTCATTGCAGCTTTGATTTTTGTTTTTTATCAAATTACTAATGATGTGAATCATCATTTCATGTGCTTACTGGCTATTTATGTATGATCTTTGGAAAAATGTCTGAGTCCTTTATCTATTTTTAATTGGGTTATCTTTTTGTTGTTGAGTCACAGGAGTTCTTTATATGTTCTGGATATTACAACTTTGCCAAATATATGATTTGCAAATATTTTCTCCTATTCTGTAGGTTGTCTTTTGACTTTCTTGATGTCCTTTGAAACACAAGAGTTTTAATTTTGATGAAGTTCAATTTATCAATTTTTTTTGTTGTTGCTTGTGCTTTCGGTGTATAGATCAGAACCCATTATCAAATCCATTGTTATGAAGATTTGCTGTGATGTTTCTTTTTTGAAATACTAAACCAAACTTTAAAAATCTCTAAACATCTATTTTTAAAAATCTGCATTGTTGAAATGTTTTATTGGGTGGATTAGAGTTGAGTCATAGATGTAATTTTTTGACAAACTTGTGAAAAGAATTTATCTCTTACCTGTGTCACTGACATTGTACAGTATGTGCTGGGAGAAGCTCCTTAAAAAGCCTCTTGTCTAGGTTACTGATGACAAATAGGTTTTTACTTTTATGGCAGCTCCTTCATTTTACCTGGGCTGCTGTGTTCAGAAAGATTGTGAGGCCTCATTTAGACTAAGCACAGAGGAGTACTGGGGTGTATTTATAATATTTTTCCTGAGCTGTTTAGTAGTAGATTTTAAAGTCATTTGATACAGGAGGCATTTCTCAGGATAATTTGATTGTCCCTTAACTACAGTGGTTAGTCAGAGATGTCTATGTATTCACTGTGTGGGAATTCAGTCATCACCCAAAACATCTTGAAAAGGGAATTAAAGAAAATTGAGGCCAGGCATGGTGGCTCATACCTGTAATTCCAGCACTTTGGGAGGCCGAGGTGGGTGGATCACTTGAGGTCAGGAGTTCGAGACCAGCCTGGCCAACATGGTGAAATCCCATCTCCACTAAAATTACAAAAATTAGCCAGGCGTAGTGGCAGCGCCTATAATCCCAGTTACTTGGGAGGCTGACACAGGAGAATCGCTTGAACCTGGGAGGCAGAGGTGAGCCAAGATCGTGCGACTACACTCCAGCCCAGGTGACAGAGTGAGACGCTGTCACAAAAAAAAAAAAAAAAAAAAAAGAAAGAAAAGAAAATGGAGCACTACTGTGAGGTAGGCACTGTGCTAGGTGTTTTACATGAGATATTATTTAGTCCTGCAGAGGTGGTTTACTTCAATGAGAAAACTGAAGCTTATAGGAGTTATACTTTATCATGTTCACATTATGAGAAGTACTAAGCTGTGACTCATCTTATGCCTGATTCTAAAAGATTGTTTTTAAATGTAAAAGCAGATAGTAATATATGATGCATAGTGATTTAATTTGAGGATACATGAGGAGAGAAAAGGTAAGGACTTATGTAGAGATTTATCATAGTGATTATTGAGAGAAAATAGAGTATTGAAGACGGAGAAAGTAGAACCACACGGTCCGTGGTTTCTTCCTTTGAACTCATCACCTTGGTCATTTTGTATTATTTCCTTCTGGCTTTTTTTCCAATGCCAGGTTTGTTTGTAGCCATAATGTATACATAGTTTTGTATTCTGTCCTTAACACTTTTATCTGATAAGCATGTTTCTGTTAGAAGGATATTGGTGATTTAATTAAACTCTGTAAGAAAATCTAGGTGATCTTATTTTTATGCATAGTAAAATTTTAGTTTGGAGCTAAACCACTGTTCTTTTTTTTTTTTCACTCTCTCTCTTTTTTTTTTTTTTTTTTTTTTTTGAGCTACAGTTTCACTCTTGTCGCCCAGGCTAGAGGGCAGTGGCGCGATCTCATCTCACTGCCACCTCCACGTCCTGGTTTCAAGTGATTCTCCTATCAAGCCTCTCAGTAGCTGGGATTACAGGCACCTGCCACCATGCCCAGCTAATTTTTGTGTTTTTAGTAGAGACGGGGTTTCACCATGTTGGCCAGGCTGGTGTCAAACTCCTGACCTCCGGTGGTCTGCCCATCTTGACCTCCCAAAGTGCTGGGATTACAGGCGTGAGCCACCATGCCAGGCCTAAACCACTGTTCTTATCTTTGTAGTGCCAGAGTATATTTTTTTGATAAAAATTTTTTTGAAATTCATATTTTATATTAATTAGAACACAAAAGCTGGGTAAAATATGAATTATTAAAGAATTTCCAAAAGGTTATTTTTTTTGGGGGGCCATAATTTCATCTTTTATCTAGTGCTAATTCTTGCCAGTATGTCTCAATAAAATGCTTTTCAATATCTTAAACCATCTGTGACCCATTACCTTGGATTGTGTGGCCAGAAGTCTCCATCCAACCATCTGTCCACCTAGTCATTCATTCACTCATTCATTCATTCAGTAGGTATTTATTGAAGGCTCAAAAAGCATTTAAAATGCTAGTAATGGGGTTGAGATATAGAAATAAAGATAATTTAGTATAAAGTAAGGTGTGTTAAGTAACTACAGTATTCATAGAAAAGGCTAAGTGCTGGCCGGGTGCGGTGGCTCACGCCTGTAATCCCAGCACTTTGGGAGGCCTAGGCGGGTGGATCACGAGGTCAGGAGATCGAGACCATCCTGGCTAACATGGTGAAACCCCGTCTCTACTAAAAATACAAATAAAATTAGCTGGGCGTGGTGGCGGGCGCCTGTAGTCCCAGCTTCTCGGGAGGCTGAGGCAGGAGAATGGCGTGAACCTGGGAGGCAGAGCTTGTAGCGAGCCGAGATTGCGCCACTGCACTCCAGCCTGGGCGAGAGAGCGAGACTCCGTCTCAAAGAAAAAAAAAAAAGAAAGAAAAGGCTAAGTGCTTTGGAAGTCAGAAGCGTTAGGGCGTAACTTGTGGCTTAGGTGATCAATACAGGGTAAGGAGAGGACATCTGAACAGGTTTTGGAAGATGGGTAGAAATTTAATATCATTGATTTCACTGTATCACTTTGTAATCAATGTTCCTATGCTTTATTATATGCTTTCTCTGGAGCAAACGGTTTGAAATCAGTCATTCTGAAAATATTCAGTGTCTTAAGATAAAGAGTCCTATTATAATTTTGGCTTTTTAAAATCAAAGGCATAATAAATAACCTATTCTCTTTGTCTGTCTTCAGCTTGAGACTAGCAGTTCATTCTCATGTGTAAGTAGACCTAAGGATGATGTACTATTGCTTGAGAGTGTAATTATTTTCTAATGTGGATAATTTAATTTTGTATAACGCATTTATAAGTTAGCTTATTAAACAACTATTATATTTGAAAATATTAAACTGCATTTAAACTTTATACTGATTCTTAAAATTATACATATTCTATAAAGCAAATTTTTCATGTTTTTGTGCAGTTACAATAGCTTTTCATTGACTAATTTATTTTTAAAATCATTTGTAAGGACTTATGGTAGCTAGCAAGATAAATTGACCTGTTAGCTGATTTTTATTATAGGATTGGTAGCGCTGCACAGATTTCTAGGTTTACAGAGTAGGATTTGATTTTCATTTTTCTAATCTCACTCTTTGAAGCATGCTTTATGTTTCATATGTGTTCAGTTGACATATTTACATTTTGTGCCTGAGATTTGCTTTTTTTTTTATAGTTTTTAGCTGCCTGTTACGCTCTGAAATGTGTTATTATGTTTGTTATATAGTATGTTTGCACCCTTATTGTGACCTATGAAGACTTAGGGAAGATATTTAAATGCTAAAATCAGCATTAATTTATGTGCATCCAAATAGTTTTGTTTCGTTGATATTTCATTTGGTTATTTTTTTTCAGATCTCATTTAAACTGAGATTTTCAAGGTCTGCTCTTAGAGAAATGCCATAAACATAATTTGTGTACTCCAGGAAAGGCAAATGGAACATCAAATGGAGATCAATAAAAATGACATTTCAAAATGCTAGCCTGCAATTTGTGAATCATGCTGAGCCATGCAGCAGAATGAATTTCTCTCCCCCTGGGGAATGTGTTGTAAATACGAATAAGGGGGGAAAGCTGAGTAATCTTGAGTGCTTCATATTCTCATGTTCTCTCTACCAACCTTTTAGAAGGCCATGTGTCTGAATGTTAAATTTAAGGCATAATAGTTGCTGATTATGTTGTGATTTTGAATAGAGAGAAATATGCACAAGATCTCAGTTTATCTTTTATCAAGAAAAGGTTAATAAACTAGCAGTGAAGCTTTCTGAAGGGCAGTTTGGAAATATTTAAAGGAAAGAGTTAATTGACAAGGCACAAAGATGTATCATGTAAGTGGAGGTTCATTTTGCAGTGTTCTTTTCCTTCTTTTAAAAATGATTAAACTCAGCTCCTTATGGTGAGTGAATCATCACCACATCAGCCCCTCATTGCTTTGAACTTTCTTTCTTCCCTTCCTAGTGATTTTGCAACTTCTGCCTTCAGCTAGTGTTACTCAGTGGGTGATAGGTAGTCCTTTTGACCATATTTGAGTAACAAAACCCGATACAACTTCCTCTACTTGTGGGATTTTCCTTTCTTAGGTCCTCTAAAGGCCTTAATTATTGTTGTTATTCTTTCAACCAGGTATATTTTTTCTTTCTTTTCTCTGTCTGTCTCTTTCTTTCTTTCTCTCTCTTTCACTCTTGCTGCCGCTCTTTCTTCCTTTCCTTTTCTTTCTTTCTCTTCTTTCCTTTCTTTTCTTTCTTTTTTTGGAGGCAGAGTTTCATCTGTTGCCCAGGCAGGAGTGCAGTGGTGCATTCATAGCTCATTGTAGCCTCCAACTTTTGGGATTAAGGGGTCTTCCTGGCTAATTTTGTTTGTTTGTTTGTTTGAGATGGAGTCTTCCTCTGTTGCCAAGGCTGGAGTGCAGTGGCGTGATCTTGGCTCACTTCAACCTCCACTTCTGGGGTTCAAGCGACTCTCCTGCCTCAGCCTCCCAAGTAGCTGGGATTACAGGCTCCCGCCACCACGCCCAGCTAATTTTTGTATTTTTAGTAGAGACAGGGTTTCACCATGTTGGCCAGGCTGGTCTTGAACTCCTGACCTCAAGTGATCTACCCGCCTCAGCCTCCCAAAGTGCTGGGATTACAGGTGTGTGCCACGGCGCCTGGCTGGCTAGTGTTTTAAAATATTTTTAGAGATGGGGGTTCTCAATATATTGCCCAAGCTGATCTGGAACTCCTGGAATCAAGTGATCCTCCTGCCTCAGCCTCCCGGGTAGCTGGGATTACAGGTGTGAGCCACAGTACCTGGCCAAGGGATATTTACTTCTCTGATATCAAATGCATGTCCTGTTGCTCTGTTCTGGTGGCTGACTGAAAGTACATGATATGTTTCAGTAATGAATCATAGGGTGATGGCAATTAACTCTCCACCTGTAGTTCCAGCCATGCACAACACTTGCCTGAAGACATGACAGCTTCAAGAGCAAGGACCAAGTTTTCACGAGGTCTGAACTACATCTTGGCCTCTGTTTGGCTGACGGCAATTATAAATCATATCTCCATATTGCAGATGCTAAAATGTGAAAAAATATACACCTTAGAAATGATGAAATAGAGTGGTTGGATTTTGCTTTGTGATGCAGGCTGACAGGCTCTCTTTTTATTTATTTGTTTGTTTGTTTTTGAGGTAGGGTCTTGCTCTCTCACCCAGGTTGGAATTCAGTGGCATGATCATGGCTCACTGTACAAAGATGTACAACTATTACAATCTATTTCCAGAACATTTTCATCACCTCAAAAGGAAACCTCATGCCTGTCAGCAGTTACTCCCATTTCCCCACTCCCCACCCCAGCTTCTAGCAACCACTATTCTACTTTCTGTCTCTATGGATTTGCCTATTCTAGATGTTTCATATAAACAGAATCATACAATAGCCACATATCATTTTTGATTTAACCTTTTTTTAATTAATAAAAGACTTCTGTTTAAAAACCACTGAATTGTACACTTTATTTTTTTTATTTTTTTGAGACAGAGCCCCACTGTGTCACCCAGGGTGGAGTGCAGTGGCATCGTGATCTTGGCTCACCATAACCTTTGCCTCCCAGGTTCAAGAGATTCTCGTGTCTCAGCCTCCCAAGTAGCTGGAATTACAGGTGCACGCCACCATGCCTGGCTAATTTTTGTATTTTTAGTAGAGATGGGGTTTTGCCATATTGGTCAGGCTGGTCTTGAACTCCTGGCTTCAAGCGATCCACCCACCTTGGCCTCCCGAAGTGCTGGGATTACAGGCATGAACCGCTGCACCTGGCCTGAATTGTCCACTTTGAAAGGGTGAATTTTATGGTACCTGAATTGTATCTCAGTTTAAAAAATCTATATATGGTAGTAGAATCAAGTTGTTCTATGACAGTGCATTTGCAAAGAATAATCAACACTCCTGTTTCCACCTCTGCATTTCTCCTTCCCCAGTAGCAACTCTAGTCACCTCTTAAGGCTAATTCTTTGCATCACATCAAAAGGCAGATAATGTTTGGTTGTTCCTTTTTGTGATATTAAGATTAATCACGTGTTCAGGTATTAGCCGGCAATAAACCATCCATTACAAAGCTCCCCATCAGCCCTTTGTCTAATGATTTTAGCTGTAACTGATGATCATTGCCCAGAGGTTGTAAAAGGTTTTAGAATCTTGTCATTGTTTATGCATTCATTAGCTGTAATTCTTCTGTAAAAAAGAACTTTGTTTCACCAACTGTTAGCTTACTTTGTTACAGTTCATGTGGGAAAGAAAAGATAAATGTTTCATCCTTCCCCTCCTGTCCTTTTTAACTAGTTTTTAGAAAAATGATTTGGTACTGCAGCAACTTCCAAAGTTGATTAATCAGGATCATTGTTCTGTTGTGTTTTTTTTTCATATCACTATGAAAATATGTATTTTTAAAATTTGGTGTTTTGTAGTTCTTTGAGATTATTACTCTTTATGATATAGCACTTTTGGAATTTGATTTAATTTTCACAATATGATGGGGGTTGTATGTAGGGTGACTGTAGAATTTAAATCCAGACCCAGATACTTCTTGAGACTGTAGGGGGAAGGAGGCAATAACCAGACAGAACTCCAGGATGGAAGATGTCAACTGGGACTGTCCTGGGCAACCAGGGATGTGTGGTCACCTTAGTGATATGGGGATCATTAGTGGAAAATTCACTTTTCCCCCATCATTTTTACCTTTACTGAGGTATGATACTTTACATATCATAAATTGCACATATTTAAAATGTACCATTTGATGAATTTTGACATATACATCTGCCCGTGAAATCATCACCACAGTCAAGTTAATGAACATACTATTACCTCCAGAAGTTTCTGCCTGCCCCAATATTCTATATCCCTGCACCCCTAGGGTCCCCAGACATCCACTGATCTGCTTTCTGTCACTATAGATTAGTCGGCATTTTCTAGAAGTTTATATAAAGGTAATCGTACAGTATGTACTGTTTTTTGTGTTTTTTTTTTTTTTTTGAGACAGAGTCTCGCTCTGCTGCCAGGCTGGAGTGCAATGGTGCAATCTCAGTTCACTGCAATCTCCACCTCCCAGGTTCAAGCGATTCTCCTGCCTCAGCCTCCCAAGTAGCTGGGACTACAGGTGCACACCATGCCTGGCTAATTTTTTTTTTTTTTGTATTTTAGTGGAGATGAGGTTTCACCATGTTGGCCAGGATGGTCTCTATCTCCTGACCTCATGATCTGCCTGCCTTGGCCTCCCAAAGTGCTGGGATTACAGGCATGAGCCACTGTGCCTGGCCAGTATGTACTGTTTTTTAAGGGCAGGTGCATTCATTTATTTAGCATAAATATTTTTGATATTTATCCATGTTGATGTGTTTGTCAACAGTTCATTCCTTTATTCACGAATAATGTTCCACTGTATGGATATTTCCATTCATCTGTTTGTAGTCATATAAGTTTCCTCCAGTTACTGTGTTGTAGAAAAAAGCTGCTATGAACATTTATGTATATGTCCTTGTATGGACTCATGGTTTTATTTCTCTTGGGTAAATACTAGGAATAGAGTAGCTGGATCATATGGTGGATATACGTTTAATTTTTCCAAAACTGCCAAACTTTTCCAAAGTGGCTGCACCGTTTTACATTCCTATCAGCAACGTACGAGGAATCAGATTTTTTTCCTGTCTCCTACAACACTTGTTATTATCTGTCCTTTTAATTATAGCCATTGTGAAGTGACATTGTATTGTGATTTTAATTTGTGTTTATGACATGGAACATCTTTTTATGTGCTTATTGACTGTTTTTGTATTATCTTTGGAGAAATGTCTATTCAGTTCCTTTGCTATTTTTGAATTGGGCTAATTGTCTTTTTATTGTTGAGTTATTCCTTATACATTGTGGATACAATTCCTTTACCTGGCATATAATTTGAAATATTTTCGGCCGGGCGCGGTGGCTCACGCCTGTAATCCCAGCACTTTGGGAGGCCAAGGCGGGTGGATCACGAGGTCAGGAGATCGAGACCATCCTGGCTAACACAGTGAAACCCCGTCTCTACTAAAAATACAAAAAATTAGCCGGGCGAGGTAGTGGGCGCCTGTAGTCCCAGCTACTCGGGAGGCTGAGGCAGGAGAATGGCGTGAATCCCGGGAGGCGGAGCCTGCAGTGAGCCGAGATCTCGCCACTGCACTCCAGCCTGGGCGACAGGGAGACTCCGTCTCAAAAAAAAAAAAAAAAAAAAAAGAAATATTTTCTGCCATTCTTGGGTCGTCTTTTCACTCTCTCTTTTTTTTTTTTTTGGCAGTGGTGCCATCTCGGCTCACTGCAACCTCTGTCTCCTGAGTTCAAGTGATTCTCGTGCCTCAGCCTCCTGAGTGGCTGGGATTACAGGCGTGTGCCACCACACCCGGCTAATTTTTTTTTAGTAGAGATGGTGTTTCACCATGTTGGCCAGGCTGATCTCGAACTCCTGACTTCAAGGGCTCTGCCTGCCTCAGCCTCCCAAAGTACTGGGATTATAGGCGTGAGCCACTGTGCTGTCTTTTCACTTTCTTAATGGTATCCTTTGCTGTGCAAAAGTTTAAAATTTTTTATTAAGTTCAATTTATTTTTTGTCACTTAAGAGTATCTTTTGAAGAAAAAAATGTTAAGTCATGACGAAGTTCATTTTATTGATTCTTACACTTTGTGCTTAGTCTTATTTAAGAAATCTTTGCCAAACCCAGTCATTATTATTTTCTAATATGTTTTCTTTAAAGTTTTCTAGTTTTAGTTCCTAGAGTTAGGTCTATGATCTATTCGGGGTTAGTTTTTTTATATGAAGTGAGGTAAGAGTCAAGGTTCATTGCTTTGCATATGGCTTTCAGACTTTTCCAGCACCTTATCTGCTGTGGGATTAGAGAGAAAAAAAAATACTTTTCCAGCACCATTTGTTGATAATATTATCCTTTCCTTGTTGAATTGATTTGGCACCTGCATTAGTTTTCCTGTTGCTGCTGGAGCAACTTACCACAAGCTTAGTGGTATACAACGACATAGATTTATTCTTCCAGTAATGGAGGCCCAACATCCAAAATCAACTAAAGCAGGTTAAAGTTAAGCTGTTGGTGGGGCTAGTTCCTTCTGAAGACTCTGAGAAGAGAATTTGTTTCTTGCTTTTTCCAGCGTCTGGGACCACCTGCATCTTTGGCTGTGGCCCGTGCTCCGTTTTTATAGCACATCACTCCAGTCTCTGCTTCTGTCACCACATAATCTTCTCCCTCACTCCACTGCCTCTGGCTTATAAGAACCCTTGTAATTATGTTGAGTCTACCCAGATGACCCAGGATAACCTCCTCATCTTAAGATCCGTCACTTCATGACATCTGTAAATTCTCTTTGGTCCTATATGTGTATTCACAGGTTCCATATTCTCTTTGGTAGGATGTGGGGAGTGAGGGGGCATCATTCAGCCTACTGCAGCACCTTTCTCAAAAGTCAGTTAACTTTATATGTGTTTTTTTTTCTGGACTATTTTTTTCCCTTGACCTATAGGTATATCTTTACATAAATACCACATTGTCTTGATTACTGTGACTTTATAATGTCTTCTTGAAATTGGGTAGTGTAAGTCTTCTTTGTCCATTATTTTCAAAGTTGTTTCCGCTATTATAGGTCCTTTTTATTTTCATATGAATTTTTTGAATGAGGTTTTCAGTTTCTACAAAAAATCCTGCTGGGATTTTGATTGAGAGTGTGTTGATTTTATAGATACATTTGGGGAGAATTGACATCTTAATAGTATTGAGTTTTCTAGTCTGTGACTGTGGTGTATCTCTTCAGTTACTAAGTCATCTTTAATTTTTCTTGGTGATGTTTTGTAATTTTCAGTGCACTGCAGTTACACATCTTTTGTCAGATTTATCACGAAGTATTTCATGTATTTTAATGTGGTTTTAAATTGTATTGTTTTAAAATTTCAGTTTCTAATTGTCTATTGCTAGACTCTAACAATACAGTTGATTTTATATATTGATCTTTTATTTTGAAATCTTGATAAGCTTACTTACTAGTTCTAGCAGGCTTTTTGAAGATTTCCTTAGGATTTTGTACATGTGTGATCATGTTGTCTGTGAATAAAGAAGTTTTAATGTTTACTTTCCAATTTATGTCTTTTGTTTTTTTATCTTGTCTTATCAAACTGGCTAGAAACCCTTAGTCAATGTCGAGTAGAAGGCTGAGAGCAGACATCTTTGCTTTGTCCCAGTCTTGGGGAAATGCATTCAGTCTTTCAGCTGTATGGTGTTAGCAATAGGTTTTTCTTTGATGCCCTTTATCAGATTGTAGAAGTGCCCTTCTATTTCTGGTTTTTTGAGAATCTCCCTCCCTCCCTCCCTCCCTCCTTCCCTCCTTCCCTCCTTCCCTCCTTCCCTCCTTCCTTCCGTTCCTTCCTTACTTGCTTCGTCCCCCACCACCCTTCCTTCCTTTCTTTTCTTTCTTTTTCTCTGTCTTGCTCTGTCACCCAGATTGGAGGGCAGTGGGACGATCATGGCTCACTGTAGACTCTACCTCCTTGGTTCAAGTGATCCTCCCACCTCAGCCTCCCCAGTAGCTGGGACTATAGGTGTGTACTACCACACCCAGCTAATTTTTTTACTTTTTGAAGAGATGAGGATCTTACTGTGTTGCCCAGGCAGGTCTCAAACTCCTGGGCTCAAGCCGTCCTCCTGCCTCAGGCTTCCTAGAGTGCTGGGATTAGAGGCATGAGCCACCATACCCAGCCTGAGAATCTTTATCATCAGTGGATGTTTGATTTTGTCAAGTGCGTTTTTGGGGGGCACCTAATGAAATTATCTTTTTTTCAAAAAAGCCTGTTAATATGAATTACATTGATTGAATTCAAACTTTTAAACAACCTTGCTTTGCTAGGATAAACTATATTTCGTCATGATGTAATAGCTTTTTATATATTGCTGGTTTTGATTTGCTTAAATTTTGTTAATAATTTTTGAGTTTGTGTTCATAAGGCATGTTTGTCTGTAGTTGCCTTGTAATTTTTTTTCCTGGTTTTGGTATTGGGATAATGGTGGCCTCATGAAATGAATTGGTAAGTGTTCTCTCTTCAGTTTTTTGAAAGAATTTGTGTAGAATTGGTATTGACCCAATGTCATCTTGCTTATATTGTTTTCAGTGAGAAGCCTGATGTCATTTTTATCTTTATCTCTGTTCGTCTGTACAGAATCTATCTTTTTTTTTTCCAAGACGGAGTCTCACTCTGTCTCCCAGGCTGGAGTGCAGTGGCACGATCTCTGCTCACTGCCACCTCTGTCTCCCAAGTTCAAGCAACTCTCCTACCTTGGCCTCATGAGTAGCTGGGATCACAGGCACCCACCACCATGCCCAGCTAATTTTTGTATTTTTCGTAGAGATGGGGTTTTGCCATATTGGCCAGGCTGGTCTCGAACTCCTGACCTCAAGTGATCTGCCCACCTCAGCCTCCCAAAGTGTTGGGATTACAGGCTTGAGCCACCTTGCCCAGTCCACAATCTATCTTTTTTCCTCTGGTTTCTCTTTATCATTGCTTGTTTTTTTGTTTGTTTAGAGAAAGGATCTTGCTCTGTCACCCAGGCTGGAGTGCAGTGGTGCAATCATGGCTCACTGCAGCCTTGACCTCCCAGGCTCGAGCAGTCCCCCCACCTCAGCCTCCTGAGCAGCTGCAACTACAGGCACTTGCCACCACACCTGGGTAATTTTTGTATTTTTTTGTAGAGACAGGGTCTTGCCATGTTTCCCATGCTGGTCTCGAACTCCTGGGCTCAAGCGATCCTCTCACCTTGGCCTCCCAAAGTGTTAGGATTACAGGTGTGACCCACTGCATCTGGACTATCATTGATTTTAAATCATTCTGGCCAGGTGCAGTGGCTCTTGCCTATAATCCCAAGACTTTTGGAGGCCAAAGCAAGTGGGTCACTTGAGCCCAGGAGTTTAGATCAGCCTGGACAGCATGGCAAAACCCTGTCTCTACAAAAAATACAAAAATTAGCCAGGTGTGGTGGCAAGCACCTGTAGTTGTAGCTGCTGAGGAGGCTGAGGTGGGAGGACTGCTTGAGTCTGGGAGGTCAAGGCTGCAGTGAGCTGTGATCACACCAGTGTACTGCAGCCTGGGTGACAGAATGAGACTCTGTCTCAAAAAAATGAAAATAAATAAATAATTTTATTATGATGTGTCTTGTAGTTTTCCTTCATGTTTCTTGTACTGTGGTTCTCTGAGCTTCCTGGATCTTTTGATGTAATTTTGAAAATTATCATTTATTATACTTTCAAAATCCACCCTCCCCTTTATTTTGAGGGCTTCATTTCCACATATTTAGGCCCCTCAGTTTTTCATTTTGTATCATTCTGAGACCGTACCTTCAAGTTCACAAAGCTTTTCGCTTTAGCCCCTGAACTACTGTTATTCCCATGTAAGGTGTTTTGTTTTTTTTTTTTAATAATTTTAACAAACCTTTGTAGATTTCGTCTTTTTATATTTTCCTTTTTTTTTTTTTTTGTTTTGAGACAGAGTCTCGCTCTGTCACCAGGCTGGAGTGCAGTGGCGTGATCTCGGCTCACTGCAACCTCTGCCTCATGGGTTCAAGTGATTCTCCTGCCTCAGCCTCCCGAGTAGCTGGGACTATAGGCGCATGCCACCATGCCCAGCTAATTTTTGTATTTTTAGTAGAGACAGGGTTTCATCATGTTGGCCAGGATGGTCTCGATCTCTTGACCTCATGATCTGCCTGCCTCGGCCTCCCATAAGTGCTGGGATTACAGGCGTGAGCCACCGCACCTGGCCGGATGTTTTTATATTTTCTATGTCTTTGCTTAACAGGCTCATGCTTTCCTGCACCTCTTGAACACATGGAATACAGTTACAATGAGTGGCTTTAATGTCTCTACCAATATCATCCTATGTCATTTCTGGGTTTGTTTAGACCTTTTGATTTTGATTTTTTAATTTTTTACTTTTTTGAGACAAATTTTCACTCTGTCACTGAGGCTGGAGTGCAGTGGTGTGATCTCAGCTTACAGTAGCCTCCGTCCCTGTGTTCAAGTGATTCTCCTGCCTTGGCCTCCCAAGTAGCTGGAATTACAGGTGTGCTCCACCACGCCTGGCTAATTTTTGTATTTTTAGTAGAGACAGGGTTTCACCATGTTGGCCAGGCTGGTCTCAAACTCCTGACCTCAGGTGATCCACTGACCTCAGCCTCACAAAGCTCTGGGATTACAGATGTGAGCTACCATGCCTTGCTGATTTTTTTTTTCTTCTAATCATGAGTCATGTTGTTCTGTTTCTTTGCATACCTGGTAATATTTTATTGGATACTAGTAGTATGGGATTTACCTTGTTATATACTGGATATTTTTAATTCCTTTGTGTATTTTTGATTTTGTTCTGGGACAGTTACTTGTTGTAGTGTGATGTTCTTGAGCAGGATTTAGCAAACTACTACCTGTAGCCAACTCTGGCCATGCCTATTCACTTGGCTGTGTTTGCTTTTGTGGTATCACTACAGAATAGTTGTGACTGAGAGACTTTGTGGCCTGCCAAGCTCCAAATATTTATTATCTGATCCTTTACAGAAAGTTTGCTGACCCTGCTTTTGAAGACTTGTCTTTAAGCTTTTTAGGCAGGACTGAGCAACCTTTCGTGGTTCTAGGGCTAATTTTTCCTCCCTACTGAGGCAGTGCTCTTCTGAGTACTTGAGTACTTGTGTATTGTGAGGCATTTCCACTCTGGCTTGTTGGGAGACAAACCATTCTGGACCTGTGTGTATTTTCCAGTGATAATTCCACCTGCTTCTGGCCAGTGGTTCTTTCCCTTGCCTTGGGGAGTTTCTGCATGTGCACATGCTGCTCAGTACTCAGCCGAAGACTCGAGGGGAATTGTCAGCTAGTCTGGAGCGTTTTTTCTCTCTCTCTCAGTGTACAGCTTTCTGCTCTCCTGTCCTCCCTGGTTATTCGCCAGTACTCTTTCTGTGAATTCTGGCCGCCTAGCCTCCTGGAGTGCTCAGCTCTGTCTCATCAATTCCTTGGGCTGTGTTTCGGTTCTCCATCCCTGTGCTGCCAGCTCTCCACAGGCAGGAAGCTGGGCAGCTGTACCACTCACCTCTGTTCCCTTCCCTCGGGGTTCACTGTTTTGGGCTGCTAGTTGTCCGATATCTTCAAACTGCTTTTTCATATATTTTGTCTTTTTAAAACTTCTTTTGAAGGCCCATGGTAAATCTGGTCTCTGTTACTCCATCATAGCTGTCTGCGGAAGCTGTCAACATTTTTTTCTTTTAGAGACAGAGCCTCACTCTGTTGCCTAGGCTGGAGTGTGGTGGCATAATCATAGCTCACTGCAGCCTTGAAC
The DNA here is from genome assembly GCF_000001405.40 of Homo sapiens. Classification (NCBI taxonomy): domain Eukaryota; kingdom Metazoa; phylum Chordata; class Mammalia; order Primates; family Hominidae; genus Homo; species Homo sapiens. The sequence continues at coordinate 25,331,394 of NC_000004.12, forward strand.
TCCTGGGCTCAAGTGATCCTCCTGCCTCTGCCTCCTAAGTAGCTGGGACTACAGGCACATACCACCACACCTGGCTAATTTTTAAAATTTTTTGTAGAGATGGAGTCTCAACTATGTTGCCCAGGCTGGTCTTGAGCTCCTGGCCTCAAGTGATCCTCCTGTCGTGGGCTCCCAAAGTGCTGGGATTTCAGGCGTGAGCCACTGTTCCTGGCCTGTTCAACACTGTTAGTACTTAGTGATGAGAGGTAATAGTAAATTCAGTGTTTCTGTTGCCGAAGAGTGTTTATTGGTTCTTTCACTTTCATTTCATAGGGCCCTTTCTTCTACTGGCATTCTCACTTTGAATTACTAAGAAGTTTCTTCTAATATCCCTCTATCTCCTTTTTCTTTCTAGTTTTAGATAAAGCTGTCAAAAGAACAGTTATCATAGAAATAGAAACATTTAAATTACCGGCACGATAGCTTATTTCTTGCTGCAACCATTCAGAATATCTATTTGTCACTGCCTTGGGTGCTTTGAAGTGAAACTGTGCTTAGATATAAAAAGTTTAAAACTCACTTTGATTACATGTTAAGCTCACAGTTTTTACACTGCAGTTCCTGAATTTAGTTCCATCAAAACTGTATGACTAGGCCACATGTGATGGCTCATGCCTGTAATCCCAGCACTTTGGGAGGCCAAGGCGGGCGGATCACCTGAGGTCAGGAGTTTGAGACCAGCCTGGCCAACATGGTGAAACCCTGTCTCTACTAAAAATAGAAAAATTAGCTGGATGTGGTGGTGCGTGCATGTAGTCCCAGCTACTTGGGAGGCCCAGGCAGGAGAATCACTTGAACCCGAGAGGTGGAGGCTGCAGTGAGCCAAGATTGCGCCACGGCACTCTAGCCTGGGTGACTCCATCTCAAAAAAAAAAAAAAAAAAAAGATATGACTCTTCCCAAACTATAAGGATTGTTTAGTGCATTATTTATTTTAACTTGCTTAGTTTTAGACATTTCTGACTCTCCATGTTCCTCAATCATATTATTTATTTTTCTTTTGTTTTCTTACTGATATCATAGCTGGCATCACATGTACAAAACCAGCAGTTTTTAAACATACTGACCATGATTATTTTCTCTCTCCAATAATCTCTAATAAAATTAAAAAAGAAAGAAAAAAGAAATGGTGACTTTGAAATTGGATATAAGGGTGACTTGGAAGAAATCAAATGGGATATTCAGTGTAGTCTTTTTTAAGGCTTTGAATATTGTCTTGTTGTTTTGGAGGTGAGCTTATAACTCCATCAGTACTGCTAAGAACAGAGGAGCTTTGAGAAACATCTTTTCTTTTAGGAGGTAATTTTTCTTGCTAAGTATGTCATAAGAACTTGAAGAATGATCTTAATTTCTCATTTTAAAATGACTGTCAAGTGAGCCAGACTGTTTAACAGATAAAAGTTAGACATGTGGATTTGTCAATAAATTTAAACTTGATAGTAGTTGTCATTACTACTAAGTTGTTTGAGTAATATATTATGTTCACATTTTAAATGGATATTGATCTTCATTCAGTGACTAAATTGGAGTGTCTCAATTCTTATGAAATTGCTGATCCTTTTCCTCTTTGTAGGTATGCAGCCAGACATAAATTCTAGCCAACATTCCACAGATTTCTTCCTACTTTTCTTCTTTACGCAGTACTCTTTAGGAAGTAAAAATACTTTTTGGATGCTAAAAATAGCAAAACACATTGTGTTTACAACAATAAACTTAAAATATATTTCTTTGTGTTTTATTTTGTCTTGAAGGTACTTGAAGTTTATTGAGTTGCCCTTGACTCAGAGAAAGTTTTGTCAAACATGTCAGCAGTTGTTGTTACCAGATGACTGGGGGCAACATAGTGAGCATCAGGTTCTGGGTAATGTGTCCATTACCCAGTTAAGAAGGCCCAGTCAACTCCTTTATCCACTGGAAAACAAGAAGACAAATGCCCAGTATCTGTTTGCTGATCGGAGCTGTCAGTTCTTGGTAGACTTACTTTCTGCCCTCGGATTCAGAAGAGTACTGTGTGTTGGAACACCAAGGTATGTCATGTGATTTTTTAAAGAATTATCTTCTCACCACTATTGAAACTGTATGAAGATTTTATTAAGTAGTTACTTACTCTGTGCAAGGTATAGCATGAAGCTTTGAGTATTTAAAATGTAAAGCACAGTCCCTCTCTTAAGGAGTTTGCAACCTGTATTCCATTTGAGAAAAATCTTCATAGATTTCTTTCTGATGCATGAGAGAAGATTCTTTCTGATTTAACTGCTAAATTGTTTATAATTTTAGACCTCTCTGTTTCAGATAAGTTCTGCTCTTAAAAAATATTTGCAAAATTGAAACCTTGATTATACCTGCCAAATTCTCTTCAGTGTTTCATTGAAATATCATAAATACCAGAAGAACATTGATGGTTTTGTTGTTTGTTTGTTTATTGTCTATGACATTTGTAATATCTTATTACATTTGCTTTCACTAATTGCTTTAGGTTGCATGAGCTGATCAAGTTGACAGCATCAGGTGACAAGAAGTCTAACATTAAAAGCCTTTTATTGGATATTGATTTTCGGTAGGTTTACAAAATACAGTATTTCCTTTCATTGTCTCCTGTTTCTTTTTAATGTTTTTCTGTTTTTAATTGTTTATACTCTGTTACAACTCTTTAGTTTACATCTAGAAGTAGTAATTTGTTATGAGGAAACTTTTTAGTCGAATAAATTCAACATGTAATCTGTATTTCAAACAGGGAGGCAGTTGATTTCTCCTTTTGCTGGTGGGCTTCCTAGATTTTCTCTGTGAATGTGGCTAGTTCGTCTTTGGCTTATAATCTACAGATGAATCTCTATTGAGTGAGGTTTCTTCTCATATATTATGTTCAAAGATAATTCTAAACTGCCTCATACTTAATCAGACTTCCAGGATTTTGTTTCATTAGATCTTTGAAGTGTGAGAACTCAGACATTTCTTTTAGTATATTTTACTGGATGTTGTACATATTGTCTTTCACTGAACATAGCCTGGAGTGAAGGGAGTGCTAAGTAGGGGATAGACAGGTCCCAAAGCAGAGGAGTAGCCGACAGATAGACTTTGTGAGAGGGTCAGAATTAAATGGCATCTGATGATTTCTGAGTTGATGACACAGAGGGAGGAACACATCTTGAATCTCCCCTCTGGTGGTAGTTTTGAAGATACCTTTAACTTATAACATGGATGGTAAATACATTGTCCACTGTGTCTATAATTCTGTACATTTGAAGTACTCTTCTCAGTTTCTGTAATTGTTTAATACCAGGAGTTCATGTAGAATTTATAAGATACTATGTTCTTAGTATTTTTAATGTGTTCTTGAAGGTGTTGAAGGAATCAGGCTTTGTGTTTCCTTTTATTTAGATCTGCTTCCTAAAAACAAAGAAGACAGATTTTTTTTTTTTCCTCTTAGACAGGGTCTCGCTCTGTCACCCAGGCTGGAGTGCATTGGCATGGTCATAGCCCACTGTACCCTCAAACTCCTGGGGTCAGGCGATCCTCTAACCTCAGTCCCCCTAGTAGCTAGGACTACAGGTTAGCACTACCACACCCAGGTAATTTTAAAAAAAGAAAGTTTTGTAGATTTGGGGTCTGGAACTCCTGGCCTCAAGCAGTCCTCCTGCCTTGGCCTCCCAAATTGTTGGGATTACAGACATGAGCCACCAAGCACTAAACAGATTTTTAAAGTGTAAAATGTCCGTTTAAAAAGTGTAGTTTGGGTCAGGTGTGGTGGCTTATGCTTATAATCCCGGCACTTTGGGAGGCCAAGGCTGGCAGATCACTTGAGGTCAGGAGTGCAAGACCAGCCTAGCCAACATGGTGAAACCCTGTCCCTACTAAAAATAAAAAAAATTAGCTGGACATGGTGGCTCATGCCTATAATCCCAGCTACTAGGGAGGCTGAGGCAGGAGAATCGCTTGAACCTAGGAGGTGGAGGTTGCAGTGAGCTGAGTTCACGTAACTGCACTCCAGCCTGGGTGACAGAGCGGGACTCAGTCTCAAAAAAGATAATAATCATAAAAGTGTAGCCTGGCCGGGTACAGTGGCCTATGCCTGTAATCCCAGCACTTTCGGAGGCTGAGGCAGGTGGATTACTTGAGTCAGGAGTTCAAAACCAGCCTGGGCAACATGGTAAAACCCCATTGCTACTAAAAATACAAAAATTAGCTGGGTGTGGTGGTACGTGCCTATAGTCCCAGCTACTCCGGAGGCTGAGGTCAGAGGATTGCTTGACCCCAGAAGGTAGAGGTTGTAGTGAGCCGAGATTGCGCCACTGCATTCCAGCCTGCACAACAGAGTGAGACCCCTGTCTCAAAAAAATAAAATGAAGTGTAGCTTTAATAATTTATTTGCCTTTAGATTTCTGAGTCAACTCTAAGTTGTCTGACATACACAAGCACATTACTCAGAAATTACCTATACTGTCTCATTCCTTATGAATATGTCTGGCCTGGTAACCACTCATCCCTTGTTGACAGCACTAGCACACTTTACTAACATCTGCTTAACATGAGTGACCCTTGACAAATGATGATATAGACTTCTTAAAGATAAACTCGATTTATTTTTAATTGGATATAATTCACTTAATAGTCACCATTTAAAAGTATATATTTCAGTGGTTTTTGTTGTTATCACCGTGTTGTGCAGTCATCACCACTAGGTACTTCTAGAACATTTCTATCATACTGAAAAGAAACCTAGAGTTCGCTTCCCCTCACAAGCACTTTCTGTCTCTCTTTTCTGGAGTTGCCTGTTCTGCACATTTTATATAAATAGAATAATAAAATCTATGACCTTTGTGGCTGGCTTCTTTCACTTAGCATCATGTTTTCAAGGCTCACCCATGCATGTAGCAGTACTTCATGCCTCTTATGGCTGGCTGTATGATACTCGATTGTATGGATATGCATGGAGCTAGAAACTTCTTTTTTTAAATTCTGTGTTCCTTTCCTAAAGTATTAAATTATTCTAAATGCATTATTTTAAAGGTAGAAGTTTAACTTTTGGGTTCTTATAATGTATTATTAATAGGGGATATTTTTATTTGTTTGTTTGAGACGGAGTCTGGCTCTGTCACCCAGGCTGGAGTGCAATGGTGCGATCTCAGCTCACTGTAACCACTGCCTCCTGGGCTCAAGCGATTCTCCTTCCACAGCCTCCCCAGCAGCTGGGATTAGAGGCGTGCGCTGCCATGTGCAGCTAATTTTTGTATTTTTAGTAGAGAGGGGATTTCACCATGTTGGCCAGGCTGATCTTGAACTCCTGACCTCAAGTGATCTACTTCCCTCGGCCTCCCAAATTGCTGGAATTACAGGTGTGAAACACTGTGCCTGGTGTAGCTGGTGTTTTTTGAGTGCCTGTTATATTTCAGGCCTTGCCCTGACTCATTCCTCACATTAGCCCTGTAAGATAGATGCTATCATCATCCTCATTTTTCCAGATGAGAAAACTGAGGCATAAAGAGGTTAAATAGCTTGATCAAAATCACAGTTTATAAGTGGCCAAGCTAGAATTCAAGCCAAGGCAGTCTGGCTCCAAAAACTAAGCTATCCTTTGGAAATAACTTTGCTTTTAAACTTGTTTATATGCCTTTCTCATATAGTCAGTTTCTTTCTTGTCATCCTTCCATCTCTCCCTTTCTCCCTGTATCCTCCTGCCTTGTTCCACAAAGATTTTCAGATGAATCAAAACTGGTTTCTAGGTTATTTATATTTTTAGAATAAGGCACTCAGGATTTTTTTCTTTGGAGACCTGGAAATCCAATCACGTAAAAGAGAATTTATTGATTTACATTACTGAGGTCTGGGATATAGCAGGCTTTAGTCTAGTTGAGATAGTGAGCCTCACACAATGTTGCTAGGGCTCCCTCTTTCTCTCTCCACCTCTCATTCTGTCTTTCTCTGTGTATTGATTTCATTCTGCAGACAGCTTCCTTCCTACTGCCAGGGACGTTGGTGGCAGCAGCTTTAAGTTTATCTAGTTTTCAGCTTAACTGCCCAGTGGAAAGAGGCAGTTTTTCCTGAGAACTCCAGCAGCAAAACTCCAGAGAGTGTTCTGATTAGCCTGGCTGGGGTCACTTGCCTATTCCAGAGCCATCACTGTGGCCTGGCAGATGGGGTACTCCAGCCAGCCTCTGACCAATCACACAGAGTTGGTTCTCCACAGGAAACAGGTGTTCGACTTAAAGAGTAGGGATGTAGGTGCTGGAGAGACAAAAAACCAGATGTCCATAACTAAACTATTCAAGACAATGTATACAGTTGCCAGCAGCACTCATGTTCCTAACTTTGGCACTTTTACTTCAGTGAAAATGGTACAATGTGATCTTTCTAATAGTATGGTTTTGAATTTACATTAAAAGTTATATAATGATTCTAAGTTATTAAAGACAAGCTTTTTCAAGCTATTTTTAGTGGACTTACTTACAAACAGAGACTAGGTGATACCATAGTGCGTCTTCTCAAAGAACTTGTTAAAATTGCAAGAATCCTTGGTTTACTTTGTTTTTAAAAAAGGAAAAATGATCTTTAATTCTGCCATCCAAAACATTATGGGTTTTGGCTTTTTAAACCTTTTTTATGCATATAAACATTTTAAAAAGTAGATATATAACCTTGAAAACTTTTCCTGCTGGTGATATTTTAGGTATATTTCTTTTTGAGACAACATCTTGCTCTGTCACCTAAGCTGGAATGCAATGGTGTGATCTCAGCTCACTGCAGCCTCAACCTCCTGGGTTCAAGCGATCCTCCTACCTCAGTCTCTCCCAAGTAGCTGGGACCACAGGCGTGTGCCACCACACCCAGTTAATTTTTGTATTTCTTGTAGAGACGGGGTTTCACCTTGTTGCCCAAGATAGTCTTAAACTCCTGGGCTAATGCAGTGTGCCTGCCTCAGCCTCCCAAAGTGCTGGGATTACAGGGTGTGAGCCATCATGCCCAGCCCATTTCTTTTTTTAAAATTGAGATATATTTTACATACATAAAACAGTAGTTTTCAGTATATTCACATGGTTGCGTAGCCATCACCGCTATCTAATTCCACAACATTTTCATCACCTTCAGAAGAAGCACTCTCCCTGTGAGCAGTCCCTCCCCATTTACCATGCCCCCAGCCTTTGACAACCATGAATCTACTTTCTATCTTTATGGATATGCTTTGCCTATTCTAGATATTTTTTATATAAGTGGAATAATACTCTGTGTGGCCTTTTGTGTCAGACTTCTTTCACTTAGCATAAAGTTTTTGAGGTTCACCCATGTGGTAGCATGTGTCAGTACTTCATTCCTTTTTTTGGCTGAATAATATTCTACTATACGGATATACCAAATTTTGTTTATCTTTTCATCTGTTGATGGACACTTGAGTTGCTTCCACTTTTTGGCTATTATGAATAATACTGCTATGAACATTTGTGTACAAATTCCATGTGAACATAGGTTTTCAGATCTCTTGGGTATTAGTTTGTTAGGGCTGCCGTAACAAAATACCACAGACTATGTGGCTTAAACAACAGAAATTTATTCTCTCACAGTTCTGGAGGCTGGAAGTCCAAGATCAAGGTTTTAGCAGGTTTGGTTTCTCCTGAGGCCTCTCTCTGTGGCATGCAGATGGTCACTGTCTCCTCATAAGTTCTTCTCTTTGTGTGCGTATCCCTGGCGTTTCTTACTATGTCCAAATTTCCTCTTCTTTTAAGGATACCAGTCAGATTGGAGTAAGGCTCACACTAATGGCCTCATTGTAACTTAATTACCTCTTTAAAGGCTCTGTCTCCAAATAGCCACATTCTGAAGTACTGGTGATTAGGGCTTCAACATAAGGATTTTGGGGGTGAAACAGTTCAGCCCTTATACCTAGAAGTGGAATTGCTAGGTCATGTGGTAACTATGTTTACCTTCCTGGGGAACAGCCAAACTATTTTCCAAAGTGGCTGCATCATATTTTATTCTCACCAGGAATATATGAGGTTTCTAATTTCTCCATGTCCTTGCCAATGTTTATTATCATCTGTCTTTTTGAAGTGGTATCTCCTTGAGGTTTTGTTTTGTATTCCATGATGGCTAGTAATGTTAAGCATCTTTTCATGTGCTTATAGGCCATTTGTTTATCTTATTGGAGAAATATCAATCCTTTGCCCAGTTTTTAATTAGTTATTTGTATTTTTGTTGAATTGTGAAAGTTCTTAATATATTCTGGATACTAGACCCTTATCAGATATATGATTTGCTAATATTTTCTCTCATCTTGTGGATTGTCTTTTCACTTGTGATGAAGTCCAGTTTTTCTTTTTTCTTCAGTTGCTTGTGTGTTAGGTGTCATATCTAAGAAAGTCTTGCCTAATCCAATGAGTGTCTATACCCATGTTTTCATCAAAGAGTTTTATAATTTTTGCTTTTACACTTAGGTCTTTAATCTATTTTGAGATTTTTTTTTTTTTTTGAGACGGAGTCTTGCTGTCACCCAGGCTGGAGTGCAGTGGCACATCTTGGCTCACTGCAACCTCCGCCTCCCAGCTTTGCACCATTCTCCTGCCTCAGCCTCCCGAGTAGCTGGAACTACAGGCGCCTGCCACCACGCCTGGCTAATTTTTTATATTTTTAGTAGAGATGAGCTTTCACCATGTTAGCCAGGATGGTCTCGATCTCCTGACCTCGTGATCCACCCGCCTCGGCCTCCCAAAGTGCTGGGATTAAAGGCATGAGCCACCGTGCCTGGCCTGCTAATTTTTATTTATTGTATGAGGTAGGGGTCTAACTGCTTGCATGTAGATGACTAGTTGCTCTAGCACCGTTTATTGAAAAGACTGTTCTTTTCCCATTGAATTGTCTTGGTACCACAATGAAAACAAAAGGACCACAAATATATAGGTTTATTTATGGACTTTAAATTCTGTTCCATTGATCTATGCCCATCCCTATGCCACTCTTACACAGTCATGATTACTGTTGCTGTATGGTAAATTTTGAAAATGGGAAGTATGAGTCTTCCTATTTTGTTCTTTTTCAAGATTGTTTTGGCTGTTCTGGGTGTCTTGCGTTTCCATATGAATGTTAGGATCAGCTTGTCAATTTCTACAAAAAAAGCCAGCTGAGATTTTTAAAGGGATTGCATTGAATTTGTAGATTAATTTGGGGAATATTGCCATCTTAATATTAAGTTGTCCAGTCCATGAACATGAGATGTCCTTCCATTTCTTTAGATCTTCAATTTCTTTAAATGATATTTTGTAGTTTTCAGTATGTAAGTTTTGTGCTTCTTTTATTAAATTTATCTCTAGATGTTTTATTATTTTTGGTGCTATTATAATTTAAATGGTTTTCTGAATTTTATTTTGTGGTGTTAATAGTACTCTGATTTACTTTAAAAAATTTTTCAAAAATACAGTTAACCATTGAATAACATGGTTTTGGACTGCTCGGGTTCACTTACAAGTGGATTTTCTTGTGCCTCTGCCACCGCTCCTCTTCTTCCTCCTCCTAAGTCTGCTCATTATGAAGATGAAGACCTTTACGGTGACCCACTTCCACTTAATGAATATTAAATAATATCGTCTCTTCCTTATGATTTTTTTTAATAGAAACGGGACTTGCTGGCTGGCCAGGTTGGTCTTGAACTCCTGACCTCAAGCAATCTTCCCACCTCGACCTCCCAAATGACTTTCTTAATAACATTTTCTTTTCTCTAGCTAACTTTATAGTAAAAATGCTGTATATAAAACATACACAAAATATGTGTTAATTGACTGTTATCTGTAAGGCATCCAGTCATCGTAGGCTATTAGTAGTTAAGTTTTTGTGGAGTTGATATGGTTTGGAGTTGATATCTCATGTTGAAGTGTGATTTCCAGTGTTGGAGGTGGGCCTAGTGGGAGGTGTTTGAATCATGGGGTTGATTCCCCATAAATGGCTTGATGCTGTCTTTGTGATAATAGAGGTAATAAGTGAGTTCTCATTTTATTAGTTCATGCAAGAGCTGGTTGTTTAAAGAGCTTGGCACCTGCTCCTCTCTTTCTTGCTCCTTCTCTTGCTGTATATGACATGCCTGCTCCCCTTTCCTTTCCACCATAAGTAAAAACTTCCTAAGGCCTCACCAGAAGCCCAGCAGATGCTGGTGGTATGCTTGTACAGCCTGCAGAACTGTGATCCAAATAAACCTCTTTTCTTTATAAATTACCCAATCTCAGGTATTCTTTTATAGCAATGCAAAATGGACTGACACAGAAGGTAAAAGTTGTATTTGGATTTTCTACTGCGCCCCTAACCTCTGTGTTGTTCAAAGGTCAACTGTACATATAACATTTACCATAGTAGCCATCTTTAGATATACAACTTAGTAGTGTTAAGTAAATTCACGTTGTTTGTAACTGATCTCCAGAACTCTTCATCTTGCCTGATTTAATTTGAAAGATTTATATGGCCCCTTAGCTATTTCACCTTTAATTCCATGCCTTTTAGTTTTCCTTTTCTTGCACCTGTAGTTGTAATATCCTGGTCAGAGTAGGGGTTAGGGGATGTGGATAAAGTTATTGTATAATGTATGGAATATATTGATACTTTTTTTTCATGCTTATAAACTTTTGTGTGTGCCTTGCAAACAAAAACTGATGGTGTTTTATTGGGGATATCACAGTTCAGTTTTTTTGATAACGTAGTCTGTTATTGAGTCAGTTCTGTAGAGGTCAACAATAGTTCTTAAGAGAGAGCTGGTTTATTGAGACACATAAGTTGCTGGAATGCTCTGAGGCTGGTTACCTGTATTTACAGCATGACGGAGTGTGTGGTTGGTTCAGATTTCTCATAAAGACCACAGTTAAATCAGAAAAAAAATTCTGCATAGTATAGAGTGACAGTGAGTAGTTTTTTGGCACTTTGACTTTGGTTTTTTGGTGCCTTACAACAGGTTTATCCAAGGTTGGAGAACAGCCTCAAACTCCAGTGTTCTCTATAAATGTGCTATAAATATATTTTTTAGGGGGTAGGAGGTACGAAGTTCACATTTGCTAAGATGGATTTCTATATGCTTAATTTTAGCATGAAAGATGTGAAACTCTATTTGGCAAACTATTATCCAAATAAAGTTATGTCAAAAAATGAATTTCTTAGGTTCATTTCATGAACTAATTTTATTCAGCTCTTGATTACATTTCCTGTGTGTAGAGCATGTTTCACACTTGGTAACTGACTCTCATTTAAAGAGAATGAATGGCCAGATGAATGTCCTTTTGAGCATTTTTCAAGTGCATGCATTTCTGATTGGTTTTGTTTGCCTTATTCAATGGAGAGAATAATTCTTTGTGGCCAATTTCATTTTAAGAGGGCAATGTTGAGTGATTTTTCATAATTTAAAATATGAATAATTATGCTCTCAAATTATGTATTTGATGGAAACTTAGAACTGAAATCTTGGCTTTTCTTTCTCTATTCCTCTGCACACTGCTGCCCAGAATGTTTTGGACAGGTGTGCTGTGCTGAGTTTCATGTAAATCAAATTTCCTTTTTCTAATTTTTAAAAATGACTGTTGTATCTTTGTGAAGGAATGACAACAATAGGGATTATGTTAAAAAGGGATTGTATTTTCCTTTGGTCGTACTTATAAAGCAGTGCAAGAGAGAAGAAAACCCTCAAATGATATCATGTTTACACATGGTTGTACTAGTACTAATACACTTTTTTTAAAGGCAGTTATGTGAAATTTAGTTAAATAGGAAGACATATTTGTTTAATGGTCATTTGACATTGCCTACAGTCAATTTTTGGAAAGTTCATTAGGTTACGGTATATAGTTTAAATATTTTCCAGTTATCTAAACCTTTTATTTCTTCAGTGCAAATTTATATTTTAGGAAATGTGCTAACAGTGTCTTAAATGACATTAAAGGATATTGTACCGAGAATGGTTGGCAGCTCTTTGTCCATCTCCACAGAACAAGAATAAATAGGCTTAGATTATTTCTGGTGAACATAAACATAATTCCCTAATATGAGAGGCATTAAGACATAAATATTTACGCTGCTAATTATTAAAATAACAGTAACAGTACTTAACATTTTAGTATATGCTATGTAGCTGGCATTGTATTAAGTACTTTACATACATCATCTTATTGTTATCCAGTCCTATGTGGTAGAAATTATTACTTTTACCATTTTACGGATGAAGAAACTGAGGCTCAGAAAGGTTAAGTAACTTACTAAGGATACCCAGCTAGTAAGCGAGAGACACATAGTTTGAAACCAGACCGTCTGACTATAGAGCCTCTGCTCTTAACCACAGTTAATGGGAAGAGGATAAACCAGTGCTGTCCCTTACATTAAATATTCACCATGGATGCTCAATCAGTTACAGACAGTAATGGGTAACTGAGTAGAAATACAAGCAAAGAAGTTGACAGTGTCATGACTTGGTTCAAGAAGTCATAATAAGTAAGGATGTGTCTCAGATTTTTTTTCAGTCTTTTTACCAGGTTACAAATTCCCAAGGATGATGTGAGTCATATGTAAATTATGTGTAATAAAATAGTTGGAGTTCAAAATCCTATTGAGATAACAAAAAGGTTTCTATATTATATGGAAAACTGAGAAATCAGCAACGCAGACATTAAGACCCAGATACATAAATGGGGAAAACATATGGACAGACGGTACAAATACAGTTAAGAAATATAGAAAGTTCCACCTTATAAGTAGTCAAATGCAGATTTAAGTCATAATGTGATATGAGTTTTTCCTAGTAAATTAGCAGGAATTTATAAAATGTTAATACCCAAAGGTGGTACTCTCATGCACTGCCAATGGCTTTTTAAAATACTGTGTTACCATGGAATACTATGCAGCCATAAAAAATGATGAGTTCATGTCCTTTGTAGGGACATGGATGAAATTGGAAATCATTCTCAGTAAACTATCGCAAGGACAAAAAACCAAACACCGCATGTTCTCACTCATAGGTGGGAATTGAACAATGAGAACACATGGACACAGGAAGGGGAACATCACACTCTGGGGACTGTTGTGGGGTGGGGGGAGGGGGGAGGGATAGCATTAGGAGATATACCTAATGCTAAATGATGAGTTAATGGGTACAGCACACCAGCATGGCACATGTATACATATGTAACTAACCTGCACATTGTGCACATGTACCCTAAAACTTAAAGTATAATAATAATAAAATAAAATAAATAAAATAAAATAAAACACTGTGTTAGCAAAACAAAATAATTCAATCAGTAAATAAATATTCCTCTTTCCTGGCACTGATTTAGTAAATATGAAATGCATATACTTTCTCTATTATATTGAAAAGCATATTTTATTAAGCTAGCCTGCGTTAGACAAAAAAAAAAATTTGTATTACTTTTTTTTTTTTTTGAGACAAGGTCTGGCTATAGCGTCCCGGCTGGAGTATAGTGGTGTGATCTTGGCTCACTGCATCCTCCGCCTCCTGGGCTCAAGCCATCCTAACACCTCAGCCTTCATAGTAGCTGGGACCGTAGGCATGCATCACCACGCCTGGCTAATTTTTGTATTTTTTGTAGAGGCAGGATTTTGCCATGTTGCCCAGGTTGGTCTCAAACTCGTTAGCTCAAGCAATCTGCCTGCCTCAGCCTCCCAAAGTGCTAGAATTACAGGTGTGAGCCACTGTGCCCGGCCTGTATTAAATACTTAAAAAAAAATCAGCTACAGAAGAAAATAAATGAACAGCTGTCAAGCAGAAATGTTGATTTAGTATTCTCCTTAAAATTATTAACCATGAGGGATGTATCTTAATTGCCAACCCATTGCAAGCTTAAATTGCATAATCATCTGTCAGTAACCTGATTGTTTATGTATAACCTCCTGGTACATAGGAACATGTGTGTTTTATATATGAGTATTCTTTGGTTTTACTACTGGTTAATTAAACATGGGAAAATCACTTAAGTTTGTTATTTATTCACTGTTACAGATTCCCTGAAATTTTTGCAAATTATTCTTTATTTCAAAAAACTAAAAAATGAAATTTTTTAAAGGTGTGATTTTATTGTTTTAAAATTTAGTTTATATTTGTCTACTCTATAGCTGTGACTGGGCAAATAACTCTGTAATTATTTTACAGGTATTCACAGTTTTATATGGAAGATAGCTTTTGCCATTATAATATGTTTAACCATCATTTCTTTGATGGAAAGGTAAGAGCTGTGACCATTATCTCATTGTTCTCTTATTGTGGAATAACAGATTTCAGAGTGCCTCCTTTGTTCTTTTTCTAAATTCCCTCAAGGTCAAATTGTGGCTGTTCTACCATTTACTGATATTTATTTTTGTTCTTTCACTGTTTATTGAGCACCTAGAGGTGATTTTATTATTCCCTTGTTAAGACTTCTCACTACTTTTTGGATGAAGGCCCACATTCTTAGAAGGCCCGTGGGGCTCTGTGTGATCTGACCCCGATTTCCACTCTAGCCTCCCCTCTCCCTGTTTCCCCTTTGCTGTCTGTGCTCAGGGCACAGGGCTTTCATCTGGAACTGGTCAGACGCCTTTCCACCGCAGGGAAGGTCCATGCTGTTCCTGCTGGTTTCTGCTGTCTTTTGCCTTGATAACCTCCACTCATGTTTTAGAACTTTGTTCCAAATCACTTCTTCCAGCCTCCCCCGACCCCTACTCCCCAAAGGGTCAAGTTTTCCTTTGTAGACTTACCACACTGTAATTAAATGCATGTGTCAGGGCTGGGAGTGTACGGAAAATCTCTATTCCTTCCTCTCACTTTTTCTGTGAACCTCAAACTGCTCTAAAAAATAAAAGTTCTTTAAAAAAAAAAAGGACTGCAGTTTAAAAAAGCTTCTTTCAATTTGAGGTTAATAATGTCACTGAGAATAAACAGCATAGTAGAGCTGATACATTTAGTTTAAGCTCTTTGTCAGGCCTATTATAAAATAAAATCTGTAACCAACCAAGTAATCACGCTGGCCAAAAATATTGTGAAATTATCAAGACACCTTGAAGCATACCCATAAATATATGCATATATATCAATTTTGTAAAAATTCTGAACCATGCTTACTATGTATTGTGCTTTGAGATATTAACTAATGATAGGAGGATGAAAACCAAGCAAGACTTTAAAAGTCAGCGTTCAGGAAATGAAAACAAATGTTAAATTGTTGGTTGGGATTGAAAAATGAGTCCCCTGATTTAGTAAGTATAGCACTCCTTCCATTTGAATCAATTTAGCATTGGGATATATATTAATATTTTTCAGCTGTGAAGCCATTAAAACAAGGTATTGAAATAAACAGCAGTTATAATTAGATGTATTTCAGCTGTTTCCCAAAGCGTTTATGTGGTTGCTAATCACTAAGAATTGAGAACTGTTGAGGTGAATGTGAAGGAAAATGGGAGTTGAAAGTCACTTGCCAGTGGATGATGAGGGGCTTCGCAGCTGGGACAGTGGCAGTGAGAAAAGGAGAGAAAAGAACTGGGTTGTCTAGGCATTCACGGAAGCAGTGAGAAGACTGTACTGAGGGAGAAGTCCAAGCTGACTTGGTAGAATGGCCTGGATTTGTATTTTTTCTTCTAACAGAGGGAAGTGAAGTTTGGAAAGGTTGAGTTTGTGGGGTTGGTAGGATATTGATGTAGGGGTGTCCCCCTTGAAACCACAGGACCTTGATGTCAGGTGGAGTCAGGGCTGTGTCGTAGTAAATGAGGAAGTAATCGAGTTTGAATCACTTCTTGATCCTACACTAGTGAGTTAGGGTTTTCTTGTTTTTTGTCTGTTTTAATACCATACTATGGTTTTGCTTTTTATTTTGAACAATGAAGACAAAATAAGGATAAAATTAAATACCTAAAGGTTGGCTAGCAATTTTTTATATTTTTAAAGAGTAACAGGTAATTAGCCTTTTTTTCGAAACTCTTTGTAGCTTATAGAAAGTGTACAGCATTACCTTATAAGTTTCTACAATAATGGTTGGAATAAGCTGCCAAGATTGAGCCCCACTTTATCTTCCCTGAAGAAAAGAGTCGTCCAGCTCAGGCTTTCCTTACTCTATATTTCAGCAGCAGCCTCTAAATAGCACTGCAGCTGTAGAGATTGATCTGCAGAAACCCATTGTTTTAATGATTTTACTATCTGCCCTTTTTCTACCTACTCCCAGAGTCAAGTTTTTCAGTAGAGATTTACCATCCACTAATCAATCACTAAGTATTTAAGTGTCGGCTCAGTGCCTTTGAGGCTGTCCAGGGTGCTTAGGAGAATAGAATACTCTGCTAGTGCACCTCAGCACTTTACAGTCCACTAGATTCAAAAGCTGGAGTTCCCTGCATAGGATTTCTCATTGCAAATCATAGAGTCTTTAAAAAAATGTCATCTGCCTTAATGGCAAAGTCAGTTAAAGTATGTAGAGAGGATGGCTAATTAAATTGCCGGGCACTTTTTAAATGATAACTGAGATAAAGGAAAGAGTCAAATTACTGTCAACATTGTAAGCAAGTATCTATTTCCCACAGGAGATCAACATTAAGACCATCAGCAGCTTGTGTTTGGCTATGATGCCATTGATTCTTACCTGGAAAAAAAAATCCTTTAAAAATATTTTTAAAGTTAGGTTAGGAGTTAGACATCATTTACTTGTATAATTTCTTTTTTCTACTTTTAACTCTAAGGAGTTTGAAGATTTCAATATCATCATCTGTGCTTTCAGTCCTTGTTCTTGTAAGCAGGTTAAGGAAGTGCCAGACAGCACTTGAAAAATGATTAACCTTCTTGACAAGTCATCCTCTGCTGTAGGAGTTCCAGTAGGAAATTAATGAAGACTCTCCTAGGGAGAAAGGTTTTCCTCTTATCAGTGGGATCTTCTAAATTGATTTCGCGGTAGAACAAAATATATTTTATTATAAAATACATATAGGCTTGTTAAAGTTTAAAATGCCATTCAATTTTAAAATCTCATGTCATTTTGTATACTGTGTTGACTTATTTTTGTAGATGAGTACAGTCAGCTCTCCCCACTTGTGGGTTCTGCATCTGTGGATTCAACCAACTGGAGATCAAAAATATTTAGGAAAAAAAGGATGGTGGTGACTGTACTGAGCATGTACACTTTTTTCTTGTCATTATTCCCTAAACCATAGAGTCTAAGAACTATTTATGTATCATTTACGTTGTATTAGGTATTATAAGTAACCTAGAGATTATTTAAACTATATAGGAGGATGTGCATAGGTTATGTGCAATACTACAACATTTTATA
Source organism: Homo sapiens (assembly GCF_000001405.40). Lineage (NCBI taxonomy): Eukaryota > Metazoa > Chordata > Mammalia > Primates > Hominidae > Homo > Homo sapiens. The sequence continues at coordinate 25,348,681 of NC_000004.12, forward strand.
TCAGGGACTCTAGCACCTGCAGATTTTGGTATATGCAGGGGTCCTGGAACCAATCCCTCAGGGATACTGAGGGGACTGTACTTGAAAGCTACTTGCAAGTCAGTTGAGTGGAGATACTGTTATATGGTATCTCTTAATAACTTCACTTATAGCAAAAACCATTAAATGTCCCTGTTAATGTTTACTTTGCAATTACTAAAAAAGCTTAAATTAACCTTTGGGAAAATGTGTTAATAGCATGGTTTCATGGACCAGATGCGCTTTGTCGTTTGTGAACTTTCATTTTTTATTTACTTACAGTGCATGTTCAAATATGTCTGCCTGATACTCAAAAACATATGCATGTTTAACTGCTAATTTGTAGCTGTTATTAAACTGAACTCATGGCATTGGACAAACCAGATAGGAAAACAATGTTTTCTTCGTCTTTGTGTGCCCAGTGCTTAGCACCATCCTGGCTTCTGTTTGTTAAATTGAATTTAACATTTTAGATAGTTTTCATGGGTAATGAGTTTCTTTTAGGACATTAAATTTAGCCTTTTAATTTAACCATTTGAAATGTGTAGTCTTCTGATAGTGATGGTGTTTGAATTTGCAATTTTAAAAACCTGCTTATCAAAGAACCCAAAGATAAAATCTCATAGGAGCAAAGAGAGGCTTCAGAATGTCACTGAGGAATGCTGCGGTGGCAAGATGACTTGGTAAAGTTTCCAGTATTAAGAGAGAGACTGAGTCTAATGCATTCTCCTCCAAATAGGATGAAGTGCCTCTCTCTAGTCCTAATTTAGAAATGAATTTTTATTTGTTCCAGACTGCCCTTGAAGTATGCAGAGCATTTTTACAGGAAGATAAAGGCGAAGGAATCATTATGGTGACGGATCCTCCGTTTGGTGGCTTGGTTGAACCTCTGGCTATTACATTCAAGAAGTTAATTGCTATGTGGAAAGAAGGTCAAAGCCAAGGTGTATAATTTATTACTGCAAAATAAATACATATCTATATATCTACTTCCTGTCAAATATTAGCTGAGCTCAGTGAATCAGAGCAGTGATAGAATATACATGTCTTGAGTTCTCTTTTTAAAAACAGGCTTATTTGATGTTGCAGCAAACTTCATTATCATGATATACTTTGTATTATTCTAATCATGTGGATTTTTTTAATGGCTTATAGGTAAAATACTATGTTTTTGATGGGGATAATGGGACATTATGCAGAACAGCAGTGAACTGCTGTCATTCTATTCAGTAAATATTTACCGAGTGGCCACTGTGTGCCAGGCACTGTTTAGGTACTAGGAATAGATTTTTGAACAAAGCCGACACATACCTCTGCCCTGTGGATCATACATTCCCTGTTCCTAAAGCCTGGCCCAGAACACTAAGAGGGCACTCAACCTGAGGTCCAGGGCTCTACGCTTTGCCAGGATATGAGTTTGGAGGTTAGACATCCCATAGGCTGATTGTGGTTATCAGTGACACAGATTCCCAGCCCTATAGGTAGGCTAGTGGCTGGGGGTTATTATTCAGTTTAAGTGACTTAGCCGTGTACGGTCTTCAGGCAGGTACTGCTTCTTTTTTTTTTTTTTTTTTTTTTTTGAGACAGAGTCTCACTCTGTCACCCAGTCTGGAGTGCAGTGGTACAATCTCGGCTCACTGCAACCTCTGCTTCCCAGGTTCAAGCGATTCTTCTGCCTTAGCCTCCTGAGTAGCTGGGACTACAAACATGTGCCACCATGCCCACCTAATTTTTTTTCCCCTGTATTTTTAGTAGAGACAGGGTTTTGCCATGTTGGCCAGGCTGGTCTTGAACTCATGGCCTCAAGTGATCTGCCTGCCTCAGCCTCTCAAAGTGCTGGATTACAGGCGTGACTTAGGACTTCAAAGTATTTTATATAATTATCTAATTAGTTGGTACATTCATTTTTTAGAAACATTTTCTAGCTCGCAAGTTGATAAATTTGTTAAGAGTGTCAGGAATTTTGTGATCATGCTTCTCCACTAATAGTGCTTTGAGGGACAATGCAAATGAAATATAAAACGTGACTCATATTGTTAAGTATTTCACTTATTTGCTGTTTTTAAGTCCACTAATTAGAGTGGATAAAGTCAATGTCATTGGGGAAGCAATAAAGAGCTTTGTGGGCTTGAATTCCTGTTCTGCCACTTATTAGCTGCATTGGACTTGATAGCTTATGGCTTCAGTTTCCCTATCTGTAAAATGGGATAACATCTAATTCTAGGGATTATTGTAAGGAGACAGTACATAGAATGTACTTATTATAGCTTAGTGTAAGCACTATGATTAGGCTTGCCTCTGATTAAGGCTTTTCAGCCTATTGGAATTTTAGCTGTAATAGTGCTATAATGAATACTAGCCTATACTAGGTGCTTTGTAAGTAATAGCTGTGTTCCCTGTCTCTCACAAACACTAATTTTGGTAAAACTGTTTTGAAGAATCTTCCATGATGCAGACAAGGTTGATTCATCCCTGAAAACTAAGATAATGAGTTGTGGCAGAGCTGGGATTCACACCGAAGACCTACTGCCTTCTAGTCCAGAGGTCCTTTCACTGCATCATGACTACCTTTGTGCCTCAAAAGTGGCACTCCTTTTCTATTTTCAACTTTTTAGGTAACATCTTTGCCTTACCTAGACAATAGTAATATACATATAAGGGTTACTTTTACATACTCTTAGTAGCTATATTTCGATATAAAGGAATATGTCCACTGACCTTTGGGAATAGACAGGTTTGAAATGGCACTCTGGTAAATATTTTCTGTTTTTGTATGAGATTTAAATGTGTTGAATCATTGCAATTTCTTATGCTAGCGGAAGTTTTTCTACTGTAGCCTTCTATTTTTTCTTTAATTTACTATTATTTTTTCCTTTTTGTGATCCATTAGATGACAGTCACAAAGAACTACCCATTTTCTGGATTTTCCCCTATTTTTTTGAATCCCGAATTTGTCAGTTTTTTCCAAGCTTCCAGATGCTGGATTACCAGGTAGAGTACATATTCTGTTTTCTGGCATGGTTGGGGAATGGAGATTCTACTTGAATAGATATAAGACTATTCATTGATTTTAGTAAAATACAATGAGCTGTATTAAACACTAATATTATACCATATATAGCTCAGTCCAGTGTTTTCTAAATATCAGTAATCCCTAGAGTGCATGTTGAAAATACAGATTGAGTACCAAAATAAACCCACTAAATCAGAATTAGAGGACAAAGCCCCAAGAAAAAATATCTCACCAAGCTCCTTGGGTGACTCCAAGTGTGCTAGGGTTTAGAGCGGCTGATTTAGTCTTTCATCATCACTAGGAGATTTTGCAGCCCCCCCACCCCTGGTTCATCATTATGAACGTTGGTTTCCTCTTTTCAGGGCATATAGAAAAGTAAATCACCTTTGTGGTTGGTGAAATGCCATGCACACTTTACTGCATCACTCTTGGGATGTCAGGAGTGTCAGAGAAGGCAGAGATGGCTCTGTGTGAATGTGTTGATTCCGGGAGGAAGTTACTGGAGTGAGTAACTTCACAGCAATGACTATGGAATTTTCCCCCTGCCTGAAATGAGAATGAGGCTGCTGTCCACAGCAGCTCCACCTGGTCTTTTAAGTTCATTCTGCTTTAAACTCCACTTTCCTGTATTTTCTTCCCTTGTGTTTGAAGTTAACCCTGTTGTCGCCATCACTGTTTATGGTCTTCAGGCAGGTACTGCTTCTTTTTTTTTTTTGAGACAGAGTCTCACTCTGTCACCCAGTCTGGAGTGCAGTGGTACAATCTCGGCTCACTGCAACCTCTGCTTCCCAGGTTCAAGCGATTCTTCTGCCTTAGCCTCCTGAGTAGCTGGGACTACAAACATGTGCCACCATGGCCACCTAATTTTTTTCCCCTGTATTTTTAGTAGAGACAGGGTTTTGCCATGTTGGCCAGGCTGGTCTTGAACTCATGGCCTCAAGTGATCTGCCTGCCTCAGCCTCTCAAAGTGCTGGATTACAGGCGTGAGCCATTGCACCCAGCCTGCTTCCTCTTTTTGTAAGAGTTTTCTATTTGAGTTTTCTGAATAATCGACTAGCCCCTGATTAAGGCAGAGTTTTAGCTGTAAATGTCTTCACTAGCTGTTGCAAGCTAGCACTTGGTTCTAATCTTTCTAATCCTGAAGGCATATACCATTATGAAAATTATTTTAAAATTCTGAAAGAAACAGTGTTACCAAAAATGAGAGTAAAAGACTCTACTTGTGATTCCACCCAAACAGCAGACACTGTACTTTCAAAGTGTTCACTTTTAATCTTTTTTTAAGAGTACTTTTTACAGGTTTGTAATCGTAGAAGACAATTTTGAATTCTGCTTTCTTCATTATGTCTTATAAGTATACATTTTTAAACATAGCTACACAATCTTTATGCTTTAATAAATAAATTATTTCATTTACAGGCTATTCCCTTCTTTTTGGACTACAGGTTGTTTTTACCTTTTAAGGTAATATAAATAACACTGCTGTAAACACCTTTTATGCATATAATTTTTTCATGTTTTATATAACTTGCTTAAAATAGATTTCCAAAACTGAGATTACTTTATCAAATATAATGGACTTTTTTATGGCTATTAAGTAGCATTAACAGGTTTTGTTCTAAAAGTGTGTAGCACAAGCCATTTTATACTTGACTTCTTGAGCTCTGCTTTGAGCAAAATTTATATCATAAGTCTTCTCAAAGCTCATTTAACTCGTTTTTGGGGCATCAAGTTTTCTGTTTCTTGTCTGAGGGATGCTTCTAGTATTGACATTTGCAATACGGAGATAGCTGACATATTCTAAAGAAGTTAACTACGTAAACGGGTTCTAGTTTTCAGCAGCATCTTCCGCCTTTGGCAATGGATGGTCATCTAGTGCAATGTTTGGCACACAGTAGGTGCCATGTATATGTCAAATGGATAACTGAGTGAAATAGCATGAACCCTGGAGTCAAAAAGGATCTGAGTTTTAATCCTGGTGCTGGCACTTACTTAACCCCTCTGAAGCTTATCTTACCTGTTAAATGAATGTGGCAATATATCTGTCTTTTAAGGTTTTAAGGATTTTATGAAATAATACCTGGAAAGGCTTAGCCCTGTCCTTAACACACAGCAAGTATTAAGTTTAGGTTCTTGCTGTCGGCATTGTCATCACCATCACTGTCATTGTCATCATTCAGATAGTCCCAAGGTAGGGGTAAAACTCTCCCTCAGGTCCTTTTTTGATAAATCTGAGAGATTAAAATTGCATAATTGTATAAATTGGGGCAAAAGTAATTACAGTTTTTGCCATTCATTTTAATTCATTCATTCCTTTTAATGGCAAAAACCGCAATTACTTTTGCACCAACCTAATAATTCGTGCCCTTAGAAAACTGTTACATCCATATTTAGAGAGGAGTTTTTCTTTTTTCACTATGGGCAAGAGTTTGAAATGGTGAGAGGACAAAAGAAGACAGATCCAGAATACAGCAGATGAGAGAGGCAATTTTGGAGTAACCAGCTGTCACTTGTTAGGCAGTCTGTGTTACTAGGAAAGAACTTTTGGAAATATTAGGGTTACAGTTTTGAGAAATAGTTGCAAGGTCCAAGTGTGGACAATAATTATGCACTTCAGTGTATTGATGAAGAAAGGTTCTGATTAGGTCATATGTGTCTGACAGGCTAAAAAGCAGTCTTCTCAATAAAGAGAAAGCCAACCTTTGGGAAAAAAAATGAGAACAAAGTCTAAAAGCAAATTTGTTTTTCCTAATTCCTGCTAAAGGGAAGAACAGTACTGTCCATTACATGCTCATGTTGGAGAAACTGTGCCGTATCTCCTCATGTATTTATAAACATTATTTGATTACGTTCTTGGACAATTTTTCTATTTTTTGAAAATTTCTCTGGACCTATTATTCCTTTCTGAGCATTTTGCTTTCCTCTTTTTCTTTTGTTACTTTAACTTCATTAAAATTTTTTTTTTAAATAGTGATGGGATCTCTCTGTGTTGCCCAGGCTGGTCTCGAACTCCTGGGCTGAAGCGAGCCTCTCACCTCAGCCTCCCAAAGTGCTGAGATTACAGGTGTGAGCCACCATGCCTGGCCTAACTTCATTTTGTGGTACTTTTTTTTCTTGTATATTAGCCTTCATTGAATGAAAACTTTGAGTCCCCTCTCCTTCACAGATCTTTTCCCATAGACCTTGATTAGGCCTTTTTTTTTTTTTTTTTTTTGGACATCACCTGAGATGATTATAAGCCCCCAAACCACAATGCAGTAAAAAACCCCAAATCACTAAATCCCTTCTTTGGAAATACTTCCCAGGTAAGAGGAAGGCAGAAATGCTGCAAATCTTCATAAAACATAAATTATGTAGACTCTTCAGTGATCAAGCACTTGATGAATACAGAATAAAACAGTCATCAAAGACCTAGAAAACCAAGAGTTTTATTAACAACAGATTAGAAAGGAAGGATGTGATGATGAAAAGAAACTCTGATTTCAAGTCAGAAGTCTGAGTCCTGGCACTGCCTTTTAGAGACCACTTAATCTTGGGAGAAGTCACTTTATCTCTCCAGGTTCTGTTTCCTTACCTATAAAATAAAATGATTGAATCAGAAAAGAGATGGTAGATAAGTTTCTCTTTTGGTACTAAGCCTGATAAATTGCTAGTGATTTTCTGGAGAATTTGTTGAGAATACCAGGCTTGGTAGCAAAGAGTAATGTGATTAGTGGTGTCCACCATGGGGGTGGGGTCAGGGAGTGGTGGTGTTCATGTCCTGAATTTTCTGTGTCTGAATTAGATGATCTCACCTCCTTTCCACCTGAGATGTTCTGCTCTCTCTTGTATGTACTTAATATGGGACACTTGTTTGGGGTGTTAAAAATATAGCTCTTTGCTTTTGTCAAAGCTATCCTTTTTAAACATCAGCCTGTTAGGACAGTATGTTTTTCAAGATTAGTTTCACAGTCAGAAATGAAGATATTTTGGCAGCAATTTCTGGAAAATTATTGCAAATTAAAAGATGGCTACCAAAATTCTTAAAATTTAATCTGTAATAAACATAAAACATGTAGTGGGTTTGAAGTAAAAAGGGGTATAAGATGTCCGCATGTCAATTTCAAATGAGAGCTTATGGGATATGGGTATTATGATAGACTTTGCTGCTGTGGTAGAAGCTGGTTGCTGGAGCAGAAGAAGGTACTGGGGACTTTGTGTGTGTGCTGAAATCCAATAGAACACAATCCTTAGGGAGTTACAGAAATGCAAGTACTCTGTCTTATTTAATCTTTCTTTCCTGGCCTGATACCTGGAACATAGTAGGCACAAAATAAATGTTGACATGGACGTCTCGGTCTCCATTTAACTAGTTTCAGTCTCATGTTACAGAAGACATTTGCGTATAGATAAAATTAAAAATTGGAAATTGCAGAGATTTTGTGCTTTCCCTCATTTCTATACAGTACTTCATCACATTAAATCAGTTCCATGGGAGAAATTTTCTATTTGAAAATGCCTCTCATCATCATTGTGAGTGAAATGTCAGGGATAATGATGGGAAAATGGTGTATCAGCTCTACTACTAGTGATAGGCAATTTGCAAAATTGTGTTTGCTTTACAGCACTTCCATAGGAGGTTTATTTGTGTGGCTGAAGCTATGAAATATGGATATATGTTAGAGGTACATTAATTTACTCTAGCAGCATGCATTTTACATACCATATGTTTATAGTTAATTAGCACAACAAACCCGCATTTAAAAATAATAATAATCTCAATTAGGTTATGCAAAGTCAAGCAATCAACCACCTTCCTGACACATACATTCGCTGACTCCTTGGGTAACCATAAAGAAATTGTTCTTTTTTTTTCCCTCTCTTCCATCTGCTATCTAGTATATTGCATAGAATATTCCATGTACTAGAAACCTTTCTAAAATATTATTCTCCAACATTTGAAAAGCTTCATATGAATCTCTTGGGAAGAATTTTTTTATTATGACACTCATAAATGCTCAAAATATCTTTGTTGAGTTTAATAAGGTACCGTATATTTATTGAGTACACAGAGGAGTGCATTAGGGGAAACATTATGAATTTAAATGATTTTAAAAGAAAATGACTTATGGTACTATTTTCAGGTGATTTTGTAGTAAAATCTATTTTTGTATGCTAGCCTCTAATAGATAACATATTCATAGAATTTTCAAAGTTAGAAAGAAACAGGTAACGTAGGCTGACTTCCCAACATAATAATCCTCTCCACTAAATTCATGACCAGCCGTCATCCAGCTTCACTTGAATGCTTCCAGTGAGCAGAGGACTACAGCCTTAGAAAGCAATGCAATTTATTTAATAGCTCTAATCGTTAGAAAATTTTCTCATATGGAGATAAAATATGCTCCCCATTAACTTCCAACCATTGGTCCTAGTTCTATTCTCTGAAGCAATAAAGGATAAGTCCAATTGCTATTCCATATGACACACCTTCAGTTATAGAATAGCTATCAGATCCTCCCAGTCATCTCTTTTCTGGATAAACATCCCCAATTTGTTAAGCTATAAATTCTGTTCATTCCCATTATTTTTCAAAGAAATGAACTAGTTTTATCAACGTCTCTCCTGAAATGTAGTGACTGAACACAGGGCTTCAAATGTGATCTAACCTGAAAGTTTCCTTGTTGTGATACTGTACTTCCAAATAGGCCAACTGTGAGTCCGTGCCAGCTTTTACACAGTTATGCTGGACTGCAAACTCACCATACTGACAGCCAGAAACCCTTAGGGGCTTTTCCACAGTGTCCCTTGGGTCTCCTCATCCTGTGCTACAGTGTACTTAGTTTTTCCCACTGCTGAAGCTTACCCTTAAACTAGACAGGGCTGGAGAACGAGCCTAGGAATCTCCCCTTAAAGGCCTCTCTTTCCCTTGTCCTCAATTTCTTACATTTTTGTGATTCACTTATTAAATAGCTAGCTTACAAGCCAGTTTTGTTGTAAGTTCTTTTGTATTCTTGTTTATTATAGAAACAATTCAGTACATAACTTATTTGAATGTCAGGCTTACCTGTACTGACCTCATAAAAAACCTCATGGTATTCTTGTGGATAATCTAAAGCAGTGGTTCTCAAACTTTAGTGTGCCAGGAGGGCTTGTTAAAACACAGATTGCTGGGCCCTACTCCCAGAGTTTCTGTTTTATTAGGCCCTAGGTGAGGTGAGAATTTGCATTCCTAATGAGATCCCAGGTGACACTGATATTGCTGATCCAGACACCACACTTTGAGAGCTACTGATGTAAAGAAAGGTGGATTTAGTGGCCAGGTGGATTCATAGCAGTCTTAAAACCAAATTGAGAATGCTTGTGGATAATAGGTTGGAGGAGGAGACTGAAGTAAGAAGCTAATAGAAGTCATGCTTGTTCACTTCGGTTTGCTTTCAAGATAATCTGCTGAAACTAAAAGTTGAGTTAAGGACCTTGAGGAGAGAGGTACATGTTTGAAATAGTCACTGTGGGGAGAACAACAATAATTGTGAACCTGTGTCTTCATCTCCATTTTTTACCTTATGCCAGGCCTTGAATAGTGTTTTACAAACATTATCTCATTTAACCTTCACAGCAACTTTAAGTACCGGTACCCTGTTCTTAAACATAAGATGACACAGAGCAAATTTCACACACAGAATGGGAAACCCTGACCAAATGAGCACACATCTTCAAAGACTGAATTTTTTAATGCCAAAAGCTAAGTTCTTGAATACACAATAGACTTTCTTGTAAAGTCTGTTGTATTAGATAAAAGATTAGAGTTGTTCCCTTAATACTAGACAATGTGAATTTGTCATAACAAATCTCTTTAATAATGAAATTTTACTGCTACAGAAGCTGTTGGTTAATAAGTAAACTCTTGCTCTTAAGAATTTCTTGTTAAATACTATCTAAGAGAGATGGCTGTGCTTTAGTCAGGAGTAGGCCAAGGCAGCTTTCCAGCCGCAGCATGACTCAGCGGGTTTGGAGCACAGGTGCACAACTCTGCACGTTATGTAACCACACCGCAGGTGCATTAGGTGATCACTCGTGAGCTCGTGCTTGGCTTGGAGCCACTATTGTCTGTAAAAGGTATAATTACCCTGCTAACGCTGTACATATGGCCTGTGCCTAGGTTGGCTCATGCCCGGGCTCACTTGCACCCAGAGAGAGAGTAAAGCCATGTTGAAACTGTCTACAATTCCTCGAGTCTTTTTCCAGTTACCCGCCACTGGTCTACCCACTCCCCTTGGTCCTCTGTTTGGGCTGAAACCTGACACTTGGCGTGACAATTGACATCACGAACAGGATACTGAGGAGAGTGAGCCTTCATTCCCTGGTGATTCTGGGTCAGCCATGTGGCCACAGCATGGGTTGTGGTGCCCATTGTCAGCTGTGCTGCTTGGATGGGCTCCAATGGAAACCTGGGCAGCAGTAGATGGGTCCCCCGCAAGCATGGAGAAGGTACTGAAGCAGCTAGAAATGCAGAGCACTGAGAAGGAATGAGCTTTTGCCAGCAGAGTTGGATGGGCATTTTTGACTGTGCTACGAGAAGTACACACCCAGTCCCTGAGGGATGCAGTACAGATAAGGGCCCACCAGGTACAGATGGGGCACCTGGAGGCCTGGCTACACAGCTCAGAAAAAGAGTTAGAAGCTGCCATGAATGGGGACCTCCAGGCACAGGCGGGGCACCTGGAGGCTCGGCTACAGAGCTTGGAAAAGGAATTAGAGGCTGCTCTGGATACAGGCCTGGGTCTGTTGTCTTGGCCAGAGACCGCCACCTGGTCTGATACCAAGGAGGCTGTTGGCGGGATCAAGGGGTCCGTGCCACAAAGAAGGGAAAGATGCCCCACCTGCAGGGGTGCCCCCAATGGGAGAAAAGGGGGTCCCAATGAGTGACATGCTCACAGATGTGGATAGATTTGATTTTGGCCAGGGTCGACTAGGAGAGAATTGATAAGCAGCCCAGTGAACTTTGTGGAGACAGTTGTTTCCAGAGCAACAATTCCAGAAAATACCCAAGCAGGAGAAGAATGTTTCTGCGCGACCTGGTCCCACCCTGGCACTCCAGCCTAAAGACTATGTGCTGCAGCCAGGTGGGGTTATAAAGTCTTTTCTGTTTGATGAGGGAACTGGCCGAGGTTTCCCTCCCGAGGAGGCCACATGTGAAATTAGCAATCCACTGGTCTCCCACCAATGTACAGCAAGTGCTGGTGCTGGTAGACACCAGCGCAGATACATTCTGGGGTTGGATATTTTACATGACTTGGCAGCTGTGCCGTCTATCACGGACTTGATGGACCACTTGATGGAACTAGGACAGTATCACTATATAGTGGACTTGGCTAATGCATTCTTTTCCAGAGAGCCAGGAACAGTTTGCCTTCATGGGAGGATGACAGTGGACTTTCATAGTGTTGCCGCAGGGCTTTTTGCATAGCCCCACCATTAGCCATGGTCTTGTTAATGATATTATGCTAACCTCTGATTCTCTTGCAGATTTAGAAGCGGCAACACTCCCCTTGCCTAGAATTAAGATGGTGCGGCTGAGACCGCCTTCCTTGCAGCCAAGTGGGCCATTTAGCGGGCATATGCCCTATAGGTAGTTGACCGGGGCACCCATTTGAGCTGGATGTGCTTGTGACTACAGATAGTTTTGGCTGGGGCCAATAGCAGTGCATAGAGAACACCCTTGGGCTTTTGGTCCCAGCTGTGGAAGGGAGCTGAGCCCCGTTGTTCATTGATAAAGAAGCAGTTCATAACTCATATGCTGCCGTTCAGATTCATGAGAGCATGGCAGGACAGGCTACAGACATTGTGCATACGACTTGCCTGATAGTGTGATGGATGTGTTCATGGATAACAATCCCCCAAACTGGGACAGTGCAGGCATCCACTTTGGCAAAGTGGGGCACCTACTTGGAGCAGCAGAGTATGCTGAGTACAAGTCCCTTAGCAGCAGAGTTGCAAGAGGTCTTGGGACCTGTAGTCCTAATGCAAGATAAGGCCATGGTGCCTGAAGCAACCCTACACCTTGAGCCATTGCTGTTTAAGAAAGGGCATCCCCACATTCCTGATGGGGGGGCATGATACACAGATGGGTCTAGCCAAGGTGCTACTGCTGCCTAGACTGCTGTTGCAGTCCAACCTAGTACTGATACCATATGGTTTGAAACTGGGCATGGGCAAAGTAGCCAATGGGCTGAACTTAGAGCATTGTGGATGGTGATCACCAAGGAGGTGACCCCTATGGTAATCTGTACTGATACCTGGGTGGTCTATCAAGGGTTAACCTTGTGGTTAACTACCTAGAAGTTACCAAGGTGACTAGTTGGTCACCAGCCCCTGGGGGCCAGGCCATGTGGCAAGACCCTATAGGAGGAAGGATGACCTCCTCCAACCAAGTATGGGGACAAAAGGTAATCTGTTGTTGCCTGTCCTAATGCCTTTAAAGGTAGGGGAACAAAAACCTGGCTTAATGTATAAAGCAACATTGGGGTAACGTCACCATGAGGTGGTTGCCTGCCATAACCTGGAGCTGTTGCTTTCTGTGTTGTTGTGTGTTATGAATTCAGGGCTCCACCCTATGGGCATGTGTCCCTGCCCAGAGGACACCCTTGTCCAAGGAGGTGGAGTGTAAGAGAGATGGCTGCGCTTTAGTCAGGAGTAGGCCGAGGTGGCTTTCTGGCACAGCATGACTTAGCAGGTTTGGAGCGCAGTCGTACAACTCCACATGTTATATAACCACGCCATGTGAGGCTCATTAGGTGATCACCCACATGAGCCCGTGCTTGGCCTGGAGCCATTGTTGTCTGTAAAAGGTATAATTACCTGCTAATGCTGTACATATGGCCTGCACCCATGTGGGCTTGCACCCACAGCTTGCGCCCAGTCTCGCTCATGCCCAGAGAGAAAAAGCCATGTCGAAACTGTCTATGATCCTTGAGTGTTATTCCAGCTACCCACCACTGGTCCACCCACTCCCCTCAGTCCTCAGCTTGGACTGGAACCTGACACTTGGCATGACAAATACTTTAACTCATATATTGGCATCAGTTTGTTCGTTTATTGGTTAAAGAATCTTAATGTTGACTAATTTGAGTAAATTTTCTTTCTGCTCTAATTTTTAACTTTCTAGGTAGATTATGATAATCATGCACTTTATAAACACGGAAAGACAGGTCGAAAACAGTCTCCCGTGCGTATTTTCACCAACATTCCGCCCAACAAAATAATCCTTCCTACTGAAGAAGGGTACAGGTAAGATCACAGTGGAACTTTGAAGTACACAAGTCACTGAAAATAAAGTTACATATATCCATCAGTCAAATGCTTTCAGTATTGAATCATGTTATTCTTCTGTTACTTTTAAATTAGGTCCATAATTTCATACTTAATTGAATTCAGATTGCACCCAGTTTTTGTAATGAGTGCTTTGTAAAGTTTTATCTACTCTGTAAATCTCAATAAATGTATGCAGCTGATTTCTCTGTCCTTTACTCTAGATTTTGCTCTCCGTGTCAACGGTATGTTTCTCTAGAGAATCAACACTGTGAGCTCTGTAATTCTTGCACATCCAAGGTATGGTGTTCTTATAGAATGTATTTTTATTTAGATATATTCATTTTATTTTAGTTTACTAGTTTTATTACTTTTTCAATGTTATTTTGTTAATAGGATTTGTATTAATATGTATTATCATTTATTAATTATGCTATAATACAATATTTTAAATTATAGAGTACAACAGGCTTTTAAAAATACTTAACTGCCTTCATTATCACGAACTCATTTTCAAATGGTACTGTGTGACTGCTAAAATTATCAGCGTCTCAAATAAGGCATTAAATGAATGCTCAATTATGTGTATGTTGAGGACAAAATTATGGTGTTTCAAATAAGGCATTGACGTATTGGGTACCATCATCATTCTGATGAAATAATTAATAACATGTACTGTGCACTTTTAATATGCCAGACACTTTCCTAAGAGCTTTACATGGATTAACTCATTTAATCCTCACAACAGCCTTATTAGGTGCAGTTACTCATTGATTTTTTACAGATGAAGGACTGCAAAGGGACATCCTCCTATTTATTTATTTATTTAGGTATTATTTTTTCTTAATAGACTTGGTTCTTTAAAGCAGTTTTAGGTTCACAGCAAAATTGAGCAGAAGGTACAGAGATTCCCCCTATGTCCCCTGCCCCGACACATGCACATTCTCCCCAACTAGCAGCATCTTCCACCAGAGGGGTGCATTTGTTACAACTGATGGGCCTGCGTTGACACATCATTAACACCCTGAGCCCATAGTTGACATTAGGTTCACTCTTGGTGTTTTACATTCTATGGGTTTGAAAAATGTATAATGACATGTTTTCACCATTACAGTGTCATACAGAGTGGTTTCACTGTTTTCACTAAAAATCTTTTGTGTTCCACCTATTCATCCTTCTTCCTGAAGGGTGTCTCTGGCTACTACTATCTTTTTACTGTCTCTATAGTTTTTCCTTTTCCAGAATATCACACAGTTGGAATCATATAGTATATAGCCTTTCAGATTGGCTTCTTTCACTTAGTAATAGGCATTAAAGGTTCCTTCATGTCTTTTCATGGTTTGATAGCTCATTTTATGTTAGCTCTGAATGATATTCCTTTGATGTACCACAACTTGTTTACTCATTCACCTACTGAAGGACATCTTGGTTGTTTCCAAGTTTTGGCAATTATAAATCACCAAATTTTTTAGGAAGGCGGGTGACCCTTGTTTTGTTTATTTTAACTAAATCTGGTCAGAAAGGGCCTGTGAAGTTTAGTTTGGCTCATAAACACAAATTATTCTCCAAAGAAGAGGCTACATTTATATAAACATTAGAAAGCACATTTTTCTTGATTATATAATGGTATTACTGGTTATACTTGTTTTTAACAATGTTAATACATCTGATCGTTTATATTTAGTTTTTATTAGTTGAGACATGATGTGTATTCTTCATTTTAAAACAATTATGCCCAGACTGTATAGTTTAAAGTTGAGGAAAATGGACTTATTATTTAGAGATGCACACAAAGGTGGTAAAAGGAAGCAAGAGCTAGGAAATGACAGTCACACAAACTAAAGAGGTGTTATTTGGAGGGGAAGGGAGGGATGCTGTGACTTAGTAGGAGCATGGGGCAGTTTCCAGAGGGCTGGTGGTATTTTTTCTTGACCTGGTGGGTTTTATCCGTGTTTGCTTTACAATACTCATTAAATTGGATATATTTTATGCACTTTTCTAGATATTTTTATTTCATAGTTTTAAAATTAATCAAACAGTAACCTGTAATCTATCTTTCTAAATTATGTAAAGTTCTCAAATATGAATTTCATTAAGGATTATGCAGTATAGACACACAAAATTATGAATCATTAATTCTCTTGAAATTTTCATTTGAGTCCTTCTTTGTGCAGATTGGGTTGCTTGAACTGGAGTGGATTTTCAAGATCATTTAGATAAATCTCCTAGTTTTACAGTTAAGGAAATTGAGGCCCATCAAGGAGGCATTTGAGTTGAGTGGAGAAATGCATAAATTAAAATCAAAGTATCTAATTGTGAAGCCCAGAAAAGGCAGAAATAAGGAGTGAATAATTTACACAGATTTTAATAAGACATTTTAATTTTTAATTGTAGAACTTGATTTTTAATAACAAATTAATTATAATTTAAAAATTGTTTTTTTTTTTGGTAGGATGGCAGGAAATGGAACCATTGCTTTCTCTGTAAAAAGTGTGTAAAGCCTTGTAAGTATTGAGACTTAGTGTTTGAGATCCTATGAACATATTTTAGAGTTTTTCTCCATCTAAATAGATTTTTCATTGGATTTATAAACGAAAAAATAATCAGTGTAGAGACTTGTAATTTATTTGCTTTTTAATTTTATAGTTATCAGCATGTATGTTCTGCCATGTTCCGCCTTGCATGAGAGATGATTGCTAACCTGTTTCAGTGTGGCGTTTGGTTTGACTTATTTTAATAAGGCATTGTGTCACTCAGCCAGCCTCCATTGTAACAGTAGCTGTCAGCTCATAACTCATTGGAGAAGGGCTGAATTTGTTGCATGTAACAGAAAGAAGTTAGCTAGTTTATGTGGAATTCCAACCTCTTCTCCCTGGTCTCTTTAGCCAAACTAAAACTAGCTGTGCAAACTGGCCACAATACTTCAAGTAAACACTGTTCGTATATCCTACCTTAAAAGTTAATAAGATGAAAAATTACGTTACATGAACTTCCTTTAAAACTTAATTTTTATTTTACAGCCTGGATCCACTGTAGCATCTGCAATCACTGTGCTGTTCCAGATCATTCTTGTGAGGGCCCCAAACATGGCTGCTTTATTTGTGGTGAACTGGATCATAAACGCAGTACTTGTCCTAACATTGCTACATCTAAGAGAGCTAACAAGTCAGTCGAATACTTTACTAGAAAAATGTATTCCATCTGTGTTTTATACAGGATAATCCACAAAAGCATGCAACATTCAGAGGATCTTGAAGTGCCAAGTTAATTGTCACTTTCACTATTAAGTACTGGCTGCATAGATGGATGGAGGGAGGAGAGGAAGATGATTCAAAGAGCTTGCTTTCAAAGAGCTTACAGTTCTACAGCTTAGAGATGAAAATAACCAAAATATGAGGTAGAAAGTGGTTAATTTTACCTCTCCTTGGCTTTACGTCTCATGTGTAAAGTTATAGGGGGTGACAGTTCATGCTTTATTGAAGGACATGATATTTACGTCAGGCTTTGAGGGACAGATCAGATATAGACACATGATGGCAGGAAAGGCTGGAGAAGGCATTTCAGATTGAATAGCAAGTAATTCCACAGTAGGAAAATTGTGAGAAAGCTATTTCTTTGTATCAAATTTTAAGAAAAATATTTAGACATGCTTAATGCTTAAATATTTGAAATTTTTATTACTTTTTTTCCTGTGATTATTTTCACATCTCTCACCAATATTTGATTGGAGCTATGGATTACAACTCAGAGTATGGGGATACCTATGACAATAGCTTATTTAGAAGAGGCACTGCTTCTGGAATAGTTATCCCCAAAACAAAACAAAAAGAGAAAAACATTGCTATTTTAACCGAGCTAATTTGAATGATTATACTTTTTTCCTAACTAAAAGGGATGATAGTGATTAAGTCCTCTTCCTTTATTGCTAAGAAAACTAATGTTACACAGTTATTAATTGGAGATTACCAGACAGCTAAATTTGACATTATATGAAATTATATGACATTATATGAAAATTCAGATTGGGCTACCATGTGACTATGACTTGTAATTTAAAAAAATTGATTTGTGTTAGAAATATCTGATAGTTTAATAATTATTTATGGTAATATTAGAATTCTTTCCCATGTGTTTTATTTATTTGTGGTCAGTGAAAATTTTTTTTTCCATTGTGGTCTAGCCACTTGAATTCTGGCTACTATTACAACTGCCTCGTTCCTACATTTACTCTACTTTAAATAATTATTTCCACTGAGTAATCCAGGATAAAGTAGAGTTTTAAAAACTTAAAGAAGCTTATTGAAGAATCTTTTTTTTTTTTTTTTTTTTTTAAAGACAGAGTCTTGCTCTGTCGCCCAGGCTGGAGTGCAGTGGCCTGATCTCGGCTCACTGTAAGCTCCGCCTCCCGGGTTCATGCCATTCTCCTGCCTCAGCCTCCCTAGTAGCTGGGACTACAGGCGCCTGCCACCATGCCCGGCTTACTTTTTGTATTTTTTAGTAGAGACGGGGTTTCGCCGTGTTAGCCAGGATGGTCTTGATCTCCTGACCTCGTGATCTGCCTGCCTTGGCCTCCCCAAGTGCTGGGATTACAGGCGTGAGCCACCACGCCCAGCCTGAAGAATCTTATAAAATATTTTCCTTAGAATAAACCTTCAAAAATTGAATACAACTTCATAATCATATTAGTCTGGGATTGCTGTACCATTGTCAGTGTGATTCTGTGTGGTAGTCAGTAACGTGCTCAGCCTTTAATTCTGTGAACTTACATGGAAACAATTTGCATTTTGATACTCTATTGTAGGCCCTTCATTGCTTCCTAAATAGCCTCAGCTAGTGTGTTTGGCACTAATATACTATTTCATTAGGGGAAATCATCTAGTATCTTTCAGGACTAGATCTTATCAGGTTTAATTCCAAGAGCAAATCCTGTGAGATGTGGATGCCTGATAATTCTTAAATAATATTACTTTTTTTCTCAGAGAAGACACCTAAACTCCTGTTAATAGTTACTGCTTTCAAAAAATATATATAGTGAAATTGACAAAGCAAAATTATTTTTTTCTTTACAATAGTGAAAAATAACAGCCTTTTTAGCATACGTGACATAAAAGGTCTTTCCAGCTCATGCATTTTACAGCTATCTTATATTAATTTGTTTTTCCTTGGTGTTAATTTTTCTTTAGTTGCTAACTGGAATGATGCTGGCTCCCTCTTGTGGTTAAAGCTCATTTTATCAGTTACATAAATACCTATAATTTAAAGGACAAATACTAGGTCAATTTAATTTTAAGACAAAATAAAACTGACTTATAGTCAGTTCATCATCATTCAAAAACTTTATCTCTGGAAAGTTTTGTGTATTCATATTACAAATGAATATTTTCAAATATTTTCCTCCTGTTTCTGTTTACCGTATCCCCTAGTGAAAGTTCATTCATTTTTAGTCCTGCTTATAAGTGGATGAGCCAAAGAGAAACTTAAATTTTGTGTACAGGCACACATGGCTTCATTGACTTTGCCATTAGAGATTATACTATATTTCATTAAGTTTGCTAAATCATCACTTATCAAGAAATTATCCTACTTTAAAAAAGTGGGGAAATAGATTTATATAGTATGCATGAATCAGTATAATACTGTAAAGATGACTTTTTTGGTTTTAGTTTTCAATCCTACTCCTTCTGTAGACTGTTCTATTTTGAACTGATAAGGTATCCCTAGTCCATAGTGCAAAATCTAAATATGAAAAAATTTAAAGTTGTCAAGCAAAATTCTGCATAATAGTCATGTGGAACTAATAATAGCTAATACTTATTGAGTGATTATTATATGGTTAGCAGTTTGCATATATAAATAATTTAAAGTAGAGTATATAGTAGAGCACAGATCCTGGAATCAAGCTGGTTCTGCAAGTTCCTCATGGGGTGTTCATTGATTTCATAGCATTTTCACCTAAAAAAGTAGGGATAGAGAGGGGGTGACTATCCCCCTTATCTCTGTCTCCCAGCTCCTTGAAGTCAAAGATTATGCCCATTCATTTTTGTTTTCTCAACAGGTAACATATGCTGAGTAAACAAAAAGTGAGGCATAAATTGAACCCATTAGGGGATACATTGTTTATGAAGCTCTTTTCCCAGGTTTATTCCTGACAAGATCAAGAATAAGCTTTTCCTATGGAGAAGCTTATGAGAGGTGAACCTAACAATTGATATTGCTGGGTAATCAGGGGAGGAGTCCTGGTTTGGCATTGTTGTAGCTCTGGCCCCTTCCTTGGTTCTCAATATGTTGAGTGTCATGGCATGATTCTGCTAGCTTGGAGAAGTGAATGGATGGGCCAGTCATTTTCTCAGCTGCAGGTCGCCTGTAACTTAGTGTGGAGAACACCAGAAACAAAGAATCTGTTTTGTCTGGTGTGGTTCAGTGTTTTCAGAGGGTGAGTTCCAGCTTGTTTATTTTGAAGCTAATCTTCAAGATAAGGACCACAAAATGCTGATAACCCTGCGTGGCACTTGTCAGGACTTTTAGATCCGCTGAGGAAAGGAAAATCTGTACGACTTAGGAAACAGGCCCTTTCAAGGCTTCTCGGTTTTTTCCATTGTGCTGTTTCATTTTTCTGTCTCTGCTGACTGCCCCATGTATCAGCTCCTCTCCAAAAAAAACGGAATTCAAGGATTTGGAGATTGAAGTGCTGAGTTGAGCAATACAGATGTACAAAAAACTTTTTTAAAAAGTCCAATCTCACTAGCTTTGCATTTACCTCTGTGGTGTGTTTGCCCCGGACAGCTTGTTCTAAATCCATAGTAACCATCTTTTAAAGAATTTTTTTTTCTCAAACATTTTGCTTGGTTAGGCCTCTGACTCTTCCCTTGTTGTTATGGTTAGGAGACTGAGGATTTATGCTTGCAATACAGTAGATTCTTTCCCTTCTTCTATTTTCTTATTTGGTTAGCTAGTTAATTAAACTTCAACATAATTACATAATTCACTGTGCTCATTCTGTGAAATAATTTAGCACCTTGTTTTCCAGAGCTGTCAGAAAGCAGAAGCAAAGAAAAAGTAATAAGATGAAAATGGAGACCACGAAAGGACAATCCATGAATCATACATCTGCTACAAGGAGAAAGAAAAGGAGGGAAAGAGCCCATCAATATCTTGGCTCTTAAATGTCCAGTGACTGGAGAATAAGAAAGATTTATGGTCCAACCTTTGATGCCATTTTCTGAAAGTGCCACACTGGACTTAAATTCAGCTGCTTCCAGAGGTGTGCACCTTTCTGAGCTAGATAACAGGCAGGTGGCATTTGCTGGTTTACAGTCCCTTATCTGCCTCTCTGGAGACATGGGGAGTTGTTCCATCTTCAGCCAGTTTACTAGTTCTTTCAGCATTCATTTTTCCTCACTTTAAGTCTCTCCCAGTCACATTGTTCTATTTTTATGTTTTCATTTTTTTTGAGATGGAGTCTTGCTCTGTCTCCCAGGCTAGAGTGCAATGGCACAACCTCAGCTCACTGCAACCTCTGCCTCCCGGGTTCAAGCAATTCTCCTGCCTTAGCCTCCTGAGTAGCTGGAATTATAGGCACATGCCACCACGACTGGCTAATTTTTGTATTTTTAGTAGAGACGGGGTTTCACCATGTTGGCCAGGCTGGTCTCGAACTCCTGGCCTCAAGTGATTTGCCTGCCTTGGCCTCCCAAAGTGCTGGGATTACAGGCATGAGCCACCTCACCCAGCTCCGGTCACATTATTCTAGCCTTTTTATCCAAAAAATGGGCAGACCATTCTTTTGCAGAAGATGTCAGAAGAAAATGAAAGTGAAAACCTATGCAGTTTGTTTACCGTGAACATAAAAGTATGTTAATTTAAATAGGAAAATATTTTATGTTAAATATGAAACAATAGTTTAAACCCCACTTGAAAAGTATAGCGTACAATTATTTTTAGACTGAATTTGAAGATGATGGAAAGGGTTTTTACAAAGGCACTGTTTAGATATACAGATTATAATTATAATTACATTATTATTAAATATTTATTCTTCAAGTACTTTTTGCAGTTGTCCTCTGACGGTCTAGAATCACTTAAATGCTTGTTGAATGAGTGAGATGTTTAGAACTACGACTTGCTCTGTCATTCCAGTGTCGTTTAACCTATGCAGTAAGATTCTGTCTTTGTAAAAGTAGTTCGTAGCAGAAGCCAGGATAGTTTGGTAATTAAACGCCCAAACTAAACTCCTCATTCCTACCCTTAATATTTCCTGGCTGTATGATCTTGGCCAGGTCACTCTCTAAAAGCCCCGGTTTCTTCATTATTATCATTATTATAATGGGGAGAATAACAGCTATACCTGAGGTTTGTTTTGTGATTAAATTAAATGAGACCCAAGTGCTTGGCTCTCAGTTCTCCTCTGTCATTGGTGTGTTAGGTTAACAATGAAGATTGTTACTGGGTCTAATGGTAATTACCTTTTGGCCTGATAACAAAGCATTGAAGGCAGTAATTTGAACTCCCAGAACAAACAGTTCATCTCCCCGTTTCTGTGCTAGTTATTGTCTCCTTAAGACTGAATTGTTTTGAATGACTTATATTTGCATAATGACTTTTCTCTTGTTTCCAAACAACTGCTGTAGAGCAGATTTGAAGGCATCTTTGTTTGGGGTTAGGCAGAGCCCTGTAAGTAAGGGTGGAGGAACTGCACTCTATCTGGTATTTAAATTCCAGGTAAGTTAGGACTGATGCCTGGTGTAGAATGCTCAAGTGTGGCCCAGATCAGTGTGGCAGTGGTGTACATCAGTTGATGTCAAAAGATGAGTTATACCCCTGGACTTCATAAGCATCAGAAAGCTCTTCTCCCTTTTGTTACATGGAGGGCTATGATAGGAGGGGCACATTTGGAGGTGACTGGGTGAGATATGAAGTTTGTAAAACCGTTGTGAGAGTTCCCCTCTCTGATTCAAGCAAGGATAGGGACATTGCCTGACTTTATGGTGTTCACCATTCCATGATAAAATCTATTGAAATCTCCTCTGAAACTAAGACACCTGAGGGACTATGACTACTGAAAAATTGAGTTCTGAAGGCCAACAGTTATTCTCATCACTATATTGCCTTAATGTTAAGATACCATCAATTATAAAATACATCATTGATTTTATCATAGCTTTTCAGGGGGAGAAGAGAAATAATACTTCATTAATTAATTTTTAGATCATCTGATTTCAGAAATACTGAAATGCAAAAAAAAAAAAAATCTTAGAATTGAGGAAATAGTTATAATCAGGAATAATGTACTTATTTATTTTGAGACAGAGTCTTGCTTTGTTGGACAGGCTGGAATGCAGTGGTGGGATCTCTGCTCACCGCAACCTCTGCCTCCTGGGTTCAAGTGATTCTTGTGCCTCAGCCTCCCTGGTAGCTGGGATTATGGGTGTGTGCCACCACACCCGGCTAATTTTTATATTTTTGTAGAGACTGGGTTTCGCCATGTTGGCCAGGCGAGTCTCAAACTCCTCATCTCAGGTGATCTGCCCGCCTCAGCTTCCCAAAGTGCTGGGATTACAGACGTGAGCCACCACACCCAGCCAGGAATAATGTACTTTAAAACTTTATTACTGTCTTAGAAAGTTAAAAATAGGAAATTTGGTGATTTTACACTTATATTCAATTAATACTAATTTTAAGGACTTAATCTCTATTCCTTTTTCAGAGAATAAACTAATTGGTAGCCTGTAAAAATGTGTCTCTGGGAGGTAGAATGTGAAGCGGGATGAGGTCATTTGTTCTTAATAGAAATCTGAACATCTTAACATTAAGATACCTTCTCAAAATAGCAATAGAAGAAAATCCCTAAAATTTGACAGATAACATTTTCTAAGCTTTTTAAAAGGACATTTTTAATAAATACAGCTAAATTTCATTCTTCTTATATTATGAAATTTAATGAGAAACAAAGTCTTTTTGTAGGCTGGATTTCATGTTTTTTCCTAATTAGTCCAGTACCTAGACTAGTTTATCACTCCATATGCCCCATTCTTTTCATCCGATACTGTTCTTTCTGCTTGGAATATGTCCCTCCATGTGGCCACTCCGTTCTCTTTTGGGAATCTTCCACGAGTCCCTGATACTGAAACCTTCTTTGGCCCCTTGGTGTTTGATACCACATTTAAGGCCTTTCACATATTATTCTGTGATTATTTTTACTGATTTTATTTCCCTCAAAGATTTAGGTCTCTTAATGTCAGCACCCATTTCATCTGCTCTTGTGTATCTTGTGCCTTTTTGGTGCTCAATAAAAATTTGATGTAAGCATGGAATTTTCTAGAGGCTTTGAAGTGGTAGGCATGCCTGAAATACGGACTGGACCCACTCTATTATGTTTCTTCTAGGGACTGAAAAGGGAAACAGATTTGTATTAGGAGGCACTTAGAGTCAATATGAGGACCACCCTAACTGAAGTTTTAAATGTGGGGATGTGCTGCGTGAAGATTAGTAGCCTTGTAGCAGGATGAGCCGTGGACAAAACCCCACAGACACCAAGATAGTGAAGGAAGTAGCTTTTAATCAGTTGGAAGCATCGACAGTCTAGTGTCTTAAAATCCGAGTTTGTTGAGTGCACAATTTCTGTCCCTTTTAAGGGCTCACAACACTAAAGATTTTACATGACAGGGCCGTGATCGATTGAGCAATCTAGGGGGTATGTGACAGGGGCTGCATGCACCGGTAATCAGAGTGAAACAACAGAACGAGAAGTTTCACAATGTCCTTCCATACAATGTCTGGAATCTACGGATAACATCGGTTGCTAGGTCATGGGTTGAATTTTAACTATCAGGCTAAGGTCAGGCAGGCCCAGGCCTGGTTTTGGGTCTGGTGCCTGGCACCCGGCTGCCTGCCTTTGGTTTTGCTTCCTTGTTTCTTAAAACAGGTACTGAGCATAAAACAATATAGAACAATACGGGGGGGGATCTCTTTCTCTCTTCTCTCAGCTTTATCTGCAAGACCCCTTCAAAGTAATCTGCAAAATACTAGGCATCTGGGAGAAGTTTGACTAATCTTGAAATATAAAATCACAACCTACAAAGGGTCCTGGTCAGCTGCCACTGCCTTCACAATGTCCCTGTTGGTCTCTCCACTGGAGTAGTACATCTGTTGCCAGAGAAATAAAAATGTCAGTTTGTGTGTTGTTTTTATACTTCTTTTATGGTACTTAAATCATGCCTTGTATAAGAATGACTTTATATACTTGTTTAGCCCTGTACAGATTAGAAGCTCGTTGATGGCAGTGCCTGTGGACATCATTGTGTTTGCTTACTAGGCACATGCCTTTTCTACGGCGATAGAGATGACCAGCCGCATCACCTGTGACCTCAGTTAATGGGAAGCAGGCAGCCAGGCTAACACATTTCTTCACCATCTAGGTAGTAGGTGCTCATAAATACCAACTGAGTGAACGGAAATGCCATTTAATATACCGCTTTATGCCTCACACCTTAACTATACTATGGAAGAAGCAGATACACTTCGAGCTCTCTAGGTAGGACAGCTTCCACAAAATCTAAAGGAAAATCCAGTTTCACTTATTTGATGTGATTTTAGTTGGACCATGAGGACCTGGGCTGAAATTAAGGGTCAACTAAGAAGGTCATTGCAATAAAGTAAAGATAAGATCTCTGCTATTTGATTTCAGGCAATTTAGTATAAATGTTAACTCAGCAAGATGAGGCTATAATAGCACCAACATTGAGCAACAAGATCTCAGAGCCCTGAGAGGCTGAGTTTTATCCCAGTTGTCTTTGGTGGAACAGTTAGTTACAAGATCCCTGGTTTAACTGCTTCATACCACTGGATACTAGAAGAGGTGAAACAGCCGGTAATCTCTAAGATGGTAGGCCTGAATAGATGGGTCAGTTTCTTCATCTGCAAGTGTGGAGAGGAGGAGTGGGAGAACACTAGAGGAAGTCAGCCCAAATATTCCACATGCTTAAAGAAGACAGGCCAGGTGCGGTGGCTCACACCTGTAATCCCAGCACTTTGGGAGGCCAAGGGTTGGGGGGGGGTGTGAAGGGTGTGGATCACCTGAGGTCAGGAGTTCGAGACCAGCGTGGCCAACATGGTGAAACCCCGTTTCTACTAAAAATACAAAGCCGGGGATGGTGGCGGGTGCCTGTAATCCCAGTTAGTTACTCGGGGCAGGATAATCACTTGAACCCGGGAGGCAGAGGTTGCAGTGAGCCGAGATCACGCCATTGCACTCCAGCCTGGGCTACAAGAGTGAGACTGTCTCAAACAAACAAAAAAAAAACAGAGGAAAACAAAGGTTGCTGCCTGTTAACTTTACAGTTAATACATGAGCCAGGTAAATCAAGGAAAAATAAAAGCATCTCTAACCCTACCACCCAGAGATAATCACTATTATAACTTCCCTGTCTACTGTTCCAAAGATAGGTTCTTGCATAAATAGGCTTACAGACACATGCAAAAATTTCCCTCAAGAAAATGGAATTTTAAGTACATACTGTTTTATGACCCATGCTTTTTCATAAGTATACTGTGAACATCGATTTATGTCTGCATAATATTCTTCAGGATAGATATATTTTTTAAAAATCTATGATGGGACATCTAGGTTGTTTGCATTTTTTCACTTTCGTAAATAACCTTATAATGAACATGCTTAAGTAAATATTTATTTCTCCTGCCCTTGCCTCCTTAAAAAGCACTGATAGCCGATCCCTGAGCCTTCTTCCCTTTTTCTCTTTATTCTGCAGTATTTTCCTAAGGATGGGGGAGGCAAAAAACGGAGTAGGTAGAGCTAAAATCTTTATGGGGCAGTGGGAAAAAGAAAAGGCTGGAAACACGATGTGTTAATATTTCTTGTCTTACGGCTACTTTGGATCATTTCCAAGAACAATTCCTGCCCCTTACTGCCTACCAACACACATGAGGGTCTATAGCAAGCTTGTCTAACTCGCAGCCTGTGGCCCAGGAGGGCTTTGAATGCAGCCCAACACAAATTCATAAACTTTCTTAAAACATTGTGAGATTTTTTTTGTGATTTTTTTTTTTTAGCTCATCAGCTGTCATTACTGTTAATGTATTTAATGTGTAGCCCAAGACGATTCTAATGTGGGAAGACAAAAGATTGGACACCCCTGGTCTATAGCAGCATAAAACTCTGCTGTTTCCTGCCCACATCTGGAACTCCACACTTAGGCTGTTTCCTTTGCTGTAAGGCTTAGAAAATTTATATTCTGTGAAGACTTAATGTGCAGGTGGTTATACTCTGTCCTTTGCAGTACGGTGTTTATGCCTCTGGGAACAGTGATTTTCACGTGCTGTATGGGTGTTTGTATTCAGGTAAGTTCCAGGAAAATGGACATTCAATTTCCGTAAGAAGGTTAATGTGCATAGATACTAGACCCCCACCAGGTGATCCATTATAACTGCCCCAAAACACTAACACCTGAAAATGCATTTTGTGAAAAACAAAGGCAAATGCATTTTTACCTTAGAAATGTTGATTCTGGAAGAGTTGGGGGCACTTGGTAAGTTGTTTGTGGCAAAGGCAAGGGCTGCAAAGCCCGTGACAGGAAGCAGGGTAGGTATAAAGTCAAGGATTAAGAACAGTACTTGGCACAAAATAGTTACTTGATGCTGAATGAATTAGTCTCCCTCCGTCATCTACTTCCCAGGGGCTAGATCCAGACAGAGGTCAAGAAGATGGGGCCTGTTGAAAGTTAAAGGACCTGCCGTCTGTTTCTTCTTTGAACAAGTGAAAGGTAGTAAAAAGTAGATGGCTTTCTACCATAGGTTTTAAGTTTAAGAACCCTAGGATGGTACTGTCACATTCTCTTAGGGAGGTCATAGCTGTGGGAACTGTCAACAGGTTGACTCATTTAAATGTGTCCTACATAAAGCAACATCAGATGAGTTCTGATTTACAAGTCTGCCAGGCTGGCCTGTGAGCCTCTGGGCAGAGTTCCCGTCCCATGCATTGCTGTAGCCTCAGTTCCTCCACATAGTAAATGCCCAAGTACCTATAGAAGAAATCGTGTGTGAGCCCACACTCTTTTTTTATATTTTAGAGACGGAGTCTGGCTCTGTTGCCCAGGCTGGAGTGCAGTGGCACAATCTCGGCTCACTGCAAGCTCCGCCTCACTGCAAGCCCCGCCTCACTGCAAGCTCCGCCTCACTGCAAGCTCCGCCTCCCGGGTTCACGCCATTCTCCTGCCTCAGCCTCCCCAGTAGATGGGACTACAGGTGCCCGCCACCATGCCTGGCTACTTTTTTGTATTTTTTAGTAGAGACGGGGTTTCACCATGTTAGCCAGGATGGGCTCTATCTCCTGTCCTTGTGATCCGTCCGCCACGGCCTCCCAAAGTGCTGGGATTACAGGCGTGAGCCACCGCGCCCGGCCCTGAGCCCACACTCTTTATTCGTTATGACGGTGCTGCAACTACCAATAAGTTGTGAGGGTTAAATGGGATGAGATGTCACAGTATTATTTGCCTGTTAGGGAGGTTTTAGGGCACGCGCCTCTTCTCTCCAAATTGGAATCACCCAAAGAGTTTTAGTAAATACTGGGCCCATCCAGGGTTAATTTTCTTCTAATTGGTTTGGGGTGCTGCTTGGACAGGGGGACTTTTAAAATTCTATACTGACCCACCAGGACTGACATGAGAACTACTCGCTTAGTAACTGTTAGAGGAGGCGCCAGCTGATCAGGACCTAAAGTTCATATTCTTTTTCATCTCCCCGTTGTCGCTGAAGCCTACCCCATAAACCCCTACCGTCCCTTTGCCCACAGCAGAGAATTTCCGGGAAAACGGGAAAGGTATGCAAGCATGCCCACACACGTGCACACACGGGTTCCCAAAAGACCTGCGTGTGGCCGCAGGGGCCTGCCCCGCCCTTCTCGGGCCCTTTCAGGTCCCGGCGCCCAGCGATCCCACCAGCACCTGGGTCCGGCGCGCGGCTCCCTCCCTCTCCGCGCCCCTCGGGGCTCCCTGCCCCGCCCGCGTGCCCCACCCTTCCTAGCTCTGCCCCATCGCTGCTCCCTGCCCCGCCCACGGGCCCCATCCTACCCCCACCTCGATCCGCCCCTCGCTCCTCCCTGCCCCGCCCACCGCGCCCCGTCCCTGTCCGCCCCTTCTGGCTCTCAGCACCCCCAAGACCGGTGCGCGCCCCGCCCCTCCTCCTCCTCTCGCGAGGCAGTCCCGACGCCGGAAGTGCCTGGAGCGCGCGACAGCGGCGGGGCGGGGCGGCCTGGAGGCTGTGGCGCGCGGCCGGCAGAGGGAGGGGAGAGGCCACTGGGGCCGTGTTAGTCTGCCGGTGGGGACTCTTGCAGGTACAGGCGCGGTCGGGGCTCCTCGTGGAGAGCCGGGGGCTCCTGCCGGCCTCTGACTGGGGTGTCGTTGCAGGGCCGTCCCCATGTTGCGTTTTCCGACCTGTTTCCCATCCTTCCGGGTGGTGGGAGAGAAGCAGCTCCCGCAGGAGATTATTTTCCTGGTCTGGTCGCCCAAGCGGGATCTCATTGCTTTGGCCAACACAGCTGGCGAGGTGAGTGAGCCGGCGGGAGCCCGCCTGTGCTGGGTCTGCTCCCGGGGGGCCCAAGAACACCGAGCCCGAGCCTGTTCATTCGGGCCACAGGCGGCCGGAGCCTCAGTTTCCCCTTCTGCAGACATGGCTGGCCACCTGCTACCCCTTCCCTGCCTCCCAGGACGGCAGTAAACTTTAAGTATATATGCGAAAGGTGATGTCTGTGCTATTTTCGGTACTTTTATGGCTAAAGTAACAGTTTTCACACAGCTTAACACCGTCACGCAATCCTGCTTCCCCAAGTCTTCTTCACTCATTGGTTTATTAGTTAAATGAACTTTTTAAAAAAGCCCACTATGTGCTGCTCATGAGCTAGACATAATGGTAGATGCAGGGACCCTGCCCTAAGTTTGCTTACAGTTTTAATAGCAGTAGGAAGAGTTATTGTCAAACTTCAGCTGCAAATGTGCCTGCATGTAGCTGCCACACAGGATATATTTAAGAACCTGGCTTCTCTTGTCCACGTTTTATAGTACGGGTTGGATAACCACCCTCCACTAAAAATACCTCTAAATTGGACAAGGAAGGCATGCATTGGATTCCAGACAGAACGTGCATGGGTGTTATCAGCATTTCTTGTTCACATAAAACTTCATCGAGTATAAACCAGTTGTACCCAACTTTCTGCTGAGAGTTATTACCTGCCAGCCATTTTGTAAGGAAACCTTCACCTGTGCATCTTTCCGCCTCTGGCTTGAGAGTTATCTGGCCATGTGAGAGTTGTATAGAGCCAAATTTGGAAACTAGGTGATAAGGAAATCTTAGCACCCTGCAGACTGTAGTCTGCACCATGTTATCTACCATGATCCAGTCGCCAGGGTATTGATGTCTAATTTTTCAGGGCCCTCCATGAAATCTAGCTAGTCTCCCTCCGCTGCCGGGATGCTTTGAAACTCTGTTGTGGCTCTAGAGAGCAGCAGGTGGTACCGTCACAGAAGTAGGAGGGAAGGTAGACGGGAGGCACATCCGTGCAATCAGATGGGTAGGCGTGATAGAGGGCACTGTTACATCCATTTTCTCAGTGAAGGAAGAAGCAAGGGCATTGTTTATGGGTGAAGATGGAGAAGAATATATTGGAAGTTTGAGGAGAAAGAAGAGGTATGAAAAAGCTAACAAAGCAGGTGGACTTGGGAAACCTAATAGGATTGCCAGTCAGTGTTAAGACCCACATGAGATCGGTGTTATTATTTGAGAGACACTGGTTGAATAAGGTTGTATGTGTCTCTCTCCGTTCTGTTTGGCTGTGTGGGTGCAGGCATGGTTGGGTTTAACCAGGATTGTCGTTTTGCAAGTATGACAAAGCAAGGCAAAGATGAAAGAGAGTTGAAGTTACGTGCAAGAGGAGTGATTGTGTTTCTGAACTTTGGGTTCTAACCTGATGAAGGAGGGAAGTGAAGGCATGTGTGGGGAGAGGGACAGTGAACAGGTGGTAGAATCAATAGACTGTATCCTGGTGAGGTCAAAGAATTGGAGTTGAGTGTTGTAGAGATGACCTGGAAAGAGGGGTGGTGGATGGAAAGTGGGAAGTTTAAAATGGAGATTTTGGTGGCCCTGCAGTTGTTGGTAATGACCAGGCCGGAGGTGTGACCCTGGGAGTGGCTGAGTGCAGTAGAAGATGTGATCACTGGAGGAGAGGTAATTGAGAGCTGAAAAGCCAGGACATCATAGCTCTTGAAATCACCAAAAATGATGATGAGTGTGTTGTTAGAAGGCATGAGCAAGCCAGGTATCCAGATCTTTAAGGAATGAGGGGAATGGCCTAGGGGTCTGTAGAGGACTGCAATTAAGACGGATAGCGAGTGGTATGGTCTGATTGCATGTGATTCAAAGTTAGGAGATTTACAAGAAGAGAAGAAATGGCATCAAGCATCAAGGAAGACACCTACTTCATCTCCTAGCCCAAAAGCAGCAGTACAGGGGCTGTGGGATACAAAATGGCCACCACCTAGCAAGGCTGCAGGGAAGCATTGTCCTCAGGTGAGAGGCACATTTCAGAGAAAAGTACGAAGATATTAATTTCATGATGACACCTGACCATGAGCTGCAGAAAGCACAGAGGAAGGGTTTCAGAAGTAAGGTATGGCAGGAGTGGTTTCAGAAAAGAGAGGGTCAAATCCAGGGGATGTTGTAACCAGGAGTGAAGGGTGCTGTGAGCTGTGAGATAAGGCAGGGTCATGGTGGCTTAGCTGAGTGTGGAAATGGGGAGGGGTCTTGGAGGAGCATGTGCAGTGGTGAGGCCTTTTCTTCCTTACTGTCAATGGTTGTATAGAAGCTGCAACGGGGCAGTCATAGAGCTCTTGGGCAACATTTTGACCTTCCAAGGTGGGAATTTACTGATGTGGAAATGGAGATTTAGAATGGTTAAGTGATATGTCTAAGATCCATGGCTAGTGAGTGACACAGCTGAAACTAGGTGCCACGTGGACTAATTCCAAGCTTAGTATAATTTGACTGTATTACAGCTAGCTACCTTTTTAGTGGTGTTTGTGTTCTTTTATTTCTTTTTTGGTTGTCACCTTGGACAGCCGCCTTCTTTATAAAAGGTAAGTCTCCCGTTGACATAAAAGATTAGGTACAGGGTTAAATTAGACCTTGTTTCACCCATTTATTTTAAAATACCTTGTGTTCATTCAGACACTGTTGTCTTTTTCTATTCTTCTGATAGCTAAGTATATATGAGAGATGGTCATTTAAAAAAATTTTTAGTAGGGATCTAGGTTTATTTTATTTTTGGAAATGAATTTTTAATTTCCTGCCATTATATCTGCTTTGTCTTAGGTTTTACTTCATCGACTGGCAAGTTTTCATCGAGTTTGGAGTTTTCCACCAAATGAAAATACAGGAAAGGAGGTGACGTGTCTGGCATGGAGACCAGATGGCAAACGTAATGATAATATTACAAAAAAAATATGTTTTTATTTTCACAAAGAGTATTCTGTAAAGCCCATTTTCAGAAAGGATTTATTGTTCTTAGTATACATAAGAATTATAAATATCACTTTGGGAACTTTTTAAAAAAAATGCCTTAAAATATTTTTATAGAACTCAGATTAATTCTGCTATCTTGTTTCTTGGCAAAGATATCTCTTAAATAAAATCTGGCTTCTTGGCAAAGATAACTCCGAAGTGAAATCTGATGGAATATACAAAATGTTTTGGTTTTGTTCTTTCCACTGTCATCTTGTCCTGTATTATTTGGCCCAAGCACCACTTGCCACTCGCCAGTGAGTTAGTTCAAAGCCATCATGGCCTTTTTCTTTCACAATATATTTTAGCATGAAATGTGTGGCTCATATTCCCTTGGTGCATGTGTGTTTGCCTCACCTGGGGGACTATCACCTTTGACCCCATACCTTCCATTTCTGTGTGTGATCTTTCTTCTGGTACCCTCTTACGTTAAAGCCTGTTATGGCTCTGGTGACTGAACTCTCCTTTTCCATGTAATGTTTTTACAATGACAGTCTGTATTGGAACTGTTGTACACATACAATCAGCACAGTAAAATGCTGTAAACCCTACAGCTTAAAGTTCATTTGTATCATTGGTACTTTAAGAAAAAAGTGAACTGTTTTTGTAAAATATGTGTTGTTCTTTGCTTAATTTTTCTGTAGATAAATATAAAGTATTTAAAAATTTTATTGGTGCTTTAAGAAAAAAAGTGAATTGTTTTTGTAACATATATGCTCCTCATTGCTTTTTCTTTTCCCCCCCAGACAGTGTCTCACTCTTGTCGCCCAGGCTGGAGTGCAGTGCAGTGGTGCAATCTCGGCTCACTGCAACCTTGGGCTCACTGAAACCTTCACCTCCCGGGTTCAAGCAATTCTTCTCCCTCAGCCTCCTGAGTAACTAAGACTACAGGCGTGCACCTTCATCCCTGGCTAATTTTTGTGTTTTTTGGTAGAGAAAAGGTTTCACTGTGTTGGCCAGGCTGGTCTCGAACGCCTGGCCTCAAGTGATTCGCCTACCTTGGCCTACTACAGTGTGGGGATTACAGGCGTGAACCACTGCACATGGCCTTCATTGCTTAATTTTGTCCCTACATAAATATAAAAAAGTACTTAAAAATTCCCTAGGTGGGGCATGGTGGCTCACGCCTGTAATCCCAGCACTTTGGGAGGCTGAGGTAGGTGAATCATGAGGTCAGGAGTTCAAGACCAGCCTGGCCAATATGGTGAAACCCCATCTCTACTAAAAATACAAAAATTAGCCAGGCGTGGTGGTGGGCACCTGTAATCCCAGCTTCTCAGGAGGCTGAGGCAGAGAATTGCTTGAACCCGGGAGGTGGAGTTTGCAGTGAGCCAATATCGCACCACTGCACTCCAGTGTGGGCTACAAGAGTGAGACTCCGTCTCAAAAAAAAAATCCCTGAAAGCAGATAACTTAGAGATGACAGTTGTTTCTGTTTTGGTGAACATCTTTTCCAATATTTCCCGATAAAATACATACATGTAGAGATCTATATATAATTTTATCAAAAGACAGTTATTTGGTGCATACCATTTTGTTGTATAGCTTTTTCTTTTTTTTCCCCCCCCTCACTTTTTCCCATGTCAGTGTGGATAGATTGACCACATTAATGTTAATTGCGTACTAACCCACTATATTTATATATTGTAATTTACTAAACCTGTTGCCCTTTGGTGGATATTTAGATGGTTTTCAGTTTTTGGCTTTGATAAGCAATGCTGTGTAAACATTCTGAACACTGGGAAGAACTTTGCCAGTAGCTCCTTAGATTAACACCCAAAATGGAATTTCTGGAAATGTCTTAAACATTCTATGCTCATTCTGTAGTCATTTTGCTTGGAGTATATGTAGAATATGTGTAAGATTAGAGGACTTTTATAAGTAAAGTTATGAGATCTTGCACTAAATCATTCAAAAACATGGAATCTCAAAGATAAATCACAAAAGTGTGCGTTAAAATGTTTATAAGTAGTTGTATTATTCATTTTTTAAAAGTCTCATGTTTTTGGACAGTAAAATGTGTTTTTTGTTAGATAATGATCATTTCAAGTTTTAAATTGTTTTTAAGTAAGAAGGCTGGGATTGGTTCACATCTGGCAAAGTTGCATGTGATGGTGATATGCAGTGAAACTCACTGCCCTCTTTTTGGAAATTCTTAAATTCTTAAATTGCACGTTAGGAAGAAATAATGACTTGTGTGGAGAAACCATACTAGAAAATTCAGCCACACTCAAAGGAAGATTTATGTGTGTTTAATGGCCTCGTTTCCCACCATCGTTTAGAAACATAAAAGAGGAATAAAAAGCATTCCAAGAACAAAGCAGATGGAATCATTGCTTACCTTTTAGACATGTGATAACATATAATTGTTTATTTGTTGAAGCCTCTTTTGTATTTTCTGCTTGACAACAGGGTTTCAAGTCTGGAAACTTTGATGTGTAAGACGTTAAGTGTGCTACGTGAGAAAGTAGTAGATCTCCTATAAAGTTTGAGCACTTGAAAATAAGCTTAGTTAATGTAACTACAATATATGCAAATATTTCTTTTTTTAGTTTTTAAAATATTGAAGGATGTTTAGGTCAAAAATTGCCATGATGAAGATGCACTTAAAAGAGTAAAACTGGGCAATAAGGGAAATACCCATTTATTTTTCTCAATTGTTACACTAATTTATTCTGATTGTTTTTTCTTGTTTTAGTTTTGGCCTTTGCTCTTGCTGATACCAAGAAAATTGTTTTGTGTGATGTAGAAAAACCTGAGAGCTTACACTCTTTTTCTGTGGAGGCTCCAGTTTCCTGTATGCATTGGATGGAAGTGACAGTAGAAAGCAGGTAATTAGAAAAACTTATGTAGTCATAGGGTATTCATGAGATTTTTATTTTTTGAAATGGAAACTTAGGAGTATCTGAGTATTGGGTGTATGTGCGTTGTATTTAAATTTTGGTTTCAGTTTATCAAGATGAAATTTTTTAATGCTTTCTTAGATTTTTTTTTTCCTTCCGATAAACATCTATAGGCATACCTCAGAGATATTGTGGGCTTGGTTCCAGACCACTGCAATAAAGTGAACATTGCAATAAAAGCAAGTCATTTGAATTTCTTTGTTTCTCAGTGCATGTAAAAGTTATGTTTATATTATGCTATAGTACATTTAAATGTGCAATGACATCATGTCTAAAAAAATTAAGCATGTAACTTAATTAAAATATACTTTATTGCTAAAAAATGCTAACGATCATCTGAGCTTTTAGTGAGTTGTGATCTCACTGAAGGTGGAGGATTTTGCCTTGGTGCTGACAGCTGCTGACTGATCAGGGTGGTGGCAGCCGAAGGTTAAGGTGGCTGTGGCAATTTCTTAACATCAACAACAGTGGAATTTGTCACATCAGTTGACTCTTTCTTTCAAGAAAGATTTCTTTGTAGCATGAGATGCTATTTGATAGCATTTTACCCAAGGTAGAACTTCTTTCAAAATTAGAGTCAGCTCTCTCCAACTCTACTGCTGCTTTATCAACTAAGTTTATGGAATATTCTAAATCCTTTGTCATGTCAACATTGCTCATAGCATGTTTACCAGGACTAAATTCCATCTCAACAAAGCACTTTCTTTGCTCATCCCTAAGAAGCAACTCCTTATCCGTTCAAGTTTCGTCATGAGATTGCAGCAGTTCAGTCCCATCTTCAGGCTCTACTTCTAATTCTAGTTCTCTTGCTATTTCCACCAGATCTGCAGTTACTTCCTCCAGTGAAGTGTTGAACCCCTCAAAGTCATCCATGAGGGTTGGAATCAACTTCTTCCAAACTCCTGTTAATGTTGATATTTTGACTTCTTCCCATGAATTGTGAATGTTCTTAATGACATCCAGAATGGTGAATCCTTTCTAGAAGGTTTTCAGTTTGCTTTGCCCAGATCCATCAGAGCGATCGCTATGTCAGCTCTAGCTTTATGAAATGTTTTTCTGAAATAACAAGACTTGAAAGATGGCCAGGCACAGCAGCTCATGCCTGTAATCCCAGCACTTTGGGAGGCCAAGGTAGGCAGGAGCTCAGGAGTTCAAGACGAGCCTGGGCAACATGGTGAAACCCTATCTTAAAAATTAGCCAGGCGTGGTAGCTATAGTCCCAGCTGCTCAGGAGGCTGAGGTGGGAGGATCACCTGACCCTAAGGAGGTTGAGGCCGCAGTGAGCCGTAACTGGACCACTGCACTCCAACCTGGGTGACAGAGTGACCTGTCTCAAAAAAAAAAAAAGACTTGACAGTTGAAATTACCATTTGACCCATACGATGCAGAATGGATTTGTGTGTTAACAGGCATGAAAACAACATTAATCTTATATATCTCTATCAGAGCTCTTGGGTGACCAGTCATGAATGAGCAATAATATTTTGAAAGGAACCTTTTTTCAGAGCAGTGGGCCTCAACAGTGGATTAAAACATTTAGTGAACCGTGCTGTAAACAGATATGCTGTCATTTAGGCTTTGTTGTTCCATTTATAGAACACAGATGGGATAGATTTAGCATAATTGTTAAGGGCTGTAGGATTTTCAGAACAGTAAATGAGTTTTGGATTCAACTTAAAGTTACCAGCTATGTTAACCCCTAAAAAGAGAATCAGCTTATCCTTTGAAGCTTTGAAGCCAGGCATTGACTCCTCTCTAGCTATGAAAGTCCTAGGTGGTGCTATATTTCACTGGCTTTAAAATACATACATACGTATACATATATATATCTCTATATGTATATATGTTTTAATAAATAAATAGAAAATCCTCGATGGCATCTTCCAATAAAAGGCTGTTCTTCTCCATTGAAAATCTGTTGTTGAGTGTAACCACTTTCTTCAGTGATTTAGCTGGAAGTTCTGTATAACTTGTTGCGGCTTTCTCTCAGCACTTTCATAGAATTGAAGAGAGTTGGGGCCTTACTCTAGATTAGGCTTTGGCTTAACAGAATGTTGTGGCTGGTTTGATCTGTCCAGATCACTAAAACTTTCTCCATATCAGCAGTAAGGCTGTTTCACATTTTTATTTTTTTTGTATTTACTGGAGTAGCACTTTTAATTTCCTTTAAGAACTTTTCCTTTGAATTCACAACTTGGAGGACTGGCAAAAGAAGCCTAGCTTTTGGCCTAATCTTGGTTTTCAACGTGCCTTCCTCTCTAAGCCTAATCATTTCTAGCTTTTGATTTAAAGTGAGACAGTTGAACACTTAGAGGTCATTGTAGGGATATTAACTGGTCTGGTTTCAATATTGTTGTGTCTCAAGGAATAGGGAGGCCTGTGCAAAGGAAGAGAGAGGGAATGGCCAGTAAATAGAGCAGTTAGAACACTCACATTTCTCCATTTTTTAAAATTTATTTTTATTTATTTATTATTTATTTTTGAGACGGAGTTTCGCTCTTATTGCCCAGGCTGGAGTGCAGTGGCGCCATCTTGGCTCACCTCCCAGGTTGATTCTCCTGCCTTAGCCTCGAGAGTAGCTGGGATTACAGACATGCGCCACCACGCCCAGCTAATTTTGTATTTTTAGTAGAGATGGGGTTTCTCCGTGTTGGTCAGACTGGTCTTGAACTTCCGACCTCAGGTAACCCGCCCGCTTCGGCCTCCCAAAGTGCTGGGATTACAGGCATAAGCCTCAGCGCCTGGCCTTATTTATTTATTTTTTGAGACACAGTTATCATTCTGTCACCCAGGCCAGAGTGCAGTGGTACAATTTCAGCTCACTGTAGCCTCTGCCTGCAGGGTTCAAGTGATTCTCCTGCCTCAGCCTCCCGAGAAACTGGAATTACAGGTGTGTGCCACCATGCCCAGCTAATTTTTATATTTTTAGTGGAGACGGGATTTCACCATGTTGGCCAGGCTGGTCTCGAACTCCTCTCAAGTGATTTGCCCTCCTCGGCCTCCCAAAGCTCTGGGATTATAGACGTGAGCCACCATACCCAGCCGAAGCTCACCATTTTATATGGCCATGGTTTGTGGCACCCCTAAACAATTATAATAGTAACATCAAAGATTACTGACCTCAAATCACCATAACAAATAATATAATAATGAAAAAAATTGCAGTATTGCAAATATTTCAAAATGTGACACAGAAGTACAACGTGAGCACATGGCTGCTGGAAAAAGGACTCCAATAGACTTGCTTGGCTGATAGACTTGCTTGACACAGGGTTGCCACAAACTTGATTTGTGAAAAATGCAGTATCTGGGAAGCAGGATGAAGGGAAGCACAATTGAAGGAGATATGCCTGTATTTTCTTGTTGAAGCAGTAAACCTGAATAGCTAAGAGTTTTCTCCTCTTTCTAGTCATTTCATACTCCAAAAATAGTTACTGAGGCACAAAAAACAAAGCTCTAGACGAGATAAATGGTGAAATGGAAAACAACCTCAATTTGCCAATCAGTAATTTTAAAGTTTTATTAATTAATACATATATTAATTTCCATTTCATGATTTATATCATCTGGAACTTTTTTTTGTGTCTCAGTAAGTATTCTTAGAGTATGAAAAATGCTAAGTTGAGCATTCTGTCTAATGCTGGACAGGTTTTTTCTTTGTCCATGGTCCTGATAATTTCCTTGTTTCATAAAAATAATTCTGCATTAGTGTGTGTAGTCAAGTAATACACCAGGGTTGTAGTGAAGAAGGCCGGAGGAATCAGTGGGTTTGGCTAATACTGAAAACAAAAATTGTTTTTCTTTTTTGGGGAAATATGCTAATTTTCTTACCATTAACTTTTCCTTTCTAATTAAGTTATACTAAGGTAATATCAAATGAATTTGTAAATCCTGAATATTAATTGCCAGCTTTCCTAAGGGAAGCCTGAAAGAATTGGATGACAAGGGTTTGACCTGGGGTTTGAAATTCACTGTAGATAAACCAGAGTGATAAATCCATCATCAGATAATGAAGGATTACAAATCGTTATGTGAATATGTAGAATGTTAGAGGGTCAGAGCATATCATGTAATTCCTATTCCAGCCCGGTTATCTGCTGTGTGTATTCCCAACATACTTTCTACTAACAGTTTAGAAGTGTTATGTGGCGATTCCAGGGTCTCTCAAGACAGCTCCTTTTTATTAAAGTAGGAAAAAATACTTGCTAAATCACCACTTTTTTACTTGCTTACTCATTTATTTCCAACCTTATTTGGAGTTAGAATTGAGAAGGAAAAGGGGGTAAATAAGACTATTTCAAAAGGCATGGTGTAGTCTCAAATACCTGTTGGATTATCAAATCCACAAGTGTGTATAAGTCATAGAACCAATAACTAAATCACATAGTAGGCCATGCATAGTGGTTCATGCCTATAATCCTAGCACTTTGGGAGGCTGAGGCAGGAGGAAGGAGTTTCAGACCAGTCTGGGCAACATAGTGAGACCCCCATCTCTAAAAAAAAAAATGTATATATTAGCTGGGTGTGGTGGCTTGCACCTGTAGTCCCAGCTACTCAGGAGGCTGGGGCAGGATGATGGCTTTAGCTCAGAAGGTGAAGGCTGCAGTGAACCATGATCACACCACTGCACTCCGGCCTGGGTGAGACCCTGTCTCATAAATAAAAGATAGTGCTACTCTTAGTAGTCATATGTTTGGTGTGAGTTCTTAAATGAGAGTTAAGAAATCATAAATTCTCAGTATCTGAGTACATATGAATGCATTTCATATGCTAAGAAAAGTGTTTATTAATATCATTTCTCTAAATGTAACGTGTGCAGGCTGATGTTTTTTTTCCCCTAAAATAACAGAAATTCCTACTTTTCAATTTCCTATTTGGGACTGTTAAACTGACTACAACTGTATAGTATTTGTGTCATCTATTTACTTGATAATGTTGTAAAACTGGGTATCTTTTTTAAAAATTAGCATTTTTAATGGCAAGAGAAGTAAAATCTTTGGTGTTTTTATAATGCTTTTATTTTTTCCTTTTTAGTGTTCTCACATCATTTTATAATGCTGAGGATGAATCAAATCTTCTCTTACCTAAACTACCTACACTGCCAAAAAAGTATGTATCACTGGTTTCTTTGAAATTAATCTTGCAGATTTCTCTTTCTTCTGCTTTTAACACTGTGACAATTTTCTCATGCGTTTTAAAATATGTATTTTTACTAAGAGTATTTTTTACCTTAATCTCTGTTTCCTTCTAGCTATAGCAACACCTCAAAAATATTTAGGTAAGATACGCCTTTTCTTGTTTTCAAGTAAGATAATCTGCTATTATTTGGAAGACAGAATTGAAAGATGACCCAATTTACTTCTATATTTTAGTGAAGAAAATTCTGATGAAATTATTAAGCTCTTGGGAGACGTCAGGTAAATCTTACAGATAAATAAGTCTAATTTCTTAAAGTTATTTCATATTTGAGGCAGTTTTCAGAAGCTTTAAGAGCAAATCCTTTATTTGCCATTTTATTTCATTGTTTTTTGTTTTTGTTTTCTTTTTGAGATGGAGTCTCTGTCACCCAGGCTGGAGTGCAGTGTCGTGATATTGGCTCACTACAACCTCTACTTCCTGGGCACAAGCGATTCTCCTGTCTCAGCCTCCTCCGAGTAGCTGGGACTACAGGCACGCGCCACCACACCCAGCTAATTTTTTTTTTTTTTTTTTGAGACGGAGTCTCGCTCTGTTGCCAGGCTGGAGTACAGTGGCGTTATCTCGGCTCACTGCAACCTCCGCCTTCCTGGTTCAAGTGATTCTTCTGCCTCAGCCTCCCGAGTAGCTGGGACTACAGGCACCCGCCACCAGGCCTGTCTAATTTTTTTATTTTTAGTAGGGACGGGGTTTCACCATGTTGGCCAGGATGGTCTCGATCTCTTGACCTCGTGATCCACCCGCCTTAGCCTCCAAAAGCGCTGGGATTACAGGCGTGAGCCACCGCGCCTGGCCTAATTTTTGTATTTTTAGTAGAGACGGGGTTTCACCATGTTGGCCAGGCTGGTCTCAGACTCCCAACCTCAGATGATCCACCCGCCTTGGCCTCCCAAAGTGTTGGGATTACAGGCATGAGCCACCGCACCTGGCCTTATCGTTGACATTAATACCTTCAAACAATATATAGACCTTAATATCTATTATTGTTTTTATTGTGTGGCCTTTCGTTTTATGAAGTTTTAATAATAATATGATGTACATATGTTTATTTTAATAAGTTAAAGGATATAAGTACTAGAGTTTCTAAAATTTTAAGTATTCATGTTTTTTAAGCCCATTTAATATATTTAGCATCATAACCATGATAAAACTGATGGCACTTTGTATTAGTTGGTAAAAGGATTGTTTTGTTATTGAGAGTGTATAAATATAGTTGTTATTAAAATAATGTATTCTTATTTTACTGTAAGCTGATTTTTTTTTAGGCTAGAGGAAATTTGTGTTCTTTGAAAAAAGGAATGAGCCTGATGTGACTGAATATTGAGTGTTAGTGGATTTGATGTCTCACTTCCCTCTGCAGGGGAGCTTTAGCATGTAGATTATATGAAAGCAGTAATAATTTATATCTCGCTTTAACAATGCAATCATCTGTGTTGTTGATTGGTTCTCAGCTTGTTGCATTGTTTTTAATTAGGCTTAATATTCTCGTCCTTGGAGGAAGCTCTGGATTTATTGAGCTTTATGCTTATGGAATGTTTAAAATTGCTCGAGTCACAGGGGTAAGATTTCTTTAACATTTTCTCTTCCTAAATTATTTCTCTTAGAATATACTAGGTACTTATGGAAAAAGAATAAAACACTAGGTTTTTTTTCAGTTTCGATTTTTGGAATTATTCTTAAATGTTCAGAGACTAATTTCCTTACTAAGATAAAATAATTGTGATATGTCTATAAAGATTGGGAGCTATTTGTGGAATTAGTCAAGTTTTTTTTTCTTTTTCTTTAACAGAAAGATTAGTATGATACACTTGATTATGATTTGATGTTTTTCTAGTGTGAGATGTAAAAGAGCTTCAATTTGTGATTGGAATGTAAATCTTCAGAAGCATTCTTAAGTCCAGTACTGACTGTACTATAGTTGCTACGTCTCAGTCTTCTCCATAGCTTTTTCATCAGACTCTTACACTCGCAAAAGGGGTAGAAAATATTGTAGGCTCTGTGGAATATGTTGGTTCTGCAGCACTTGATTTGAGACTTGGGTAGGGGTGAGGGAACCAGGTTATTTTTGTGGCCTTGTAACTAGAAAGGTCCATGCAGGCAGACACCTACCTTCATCTGCTACATGTGTGTGGCTGGAGCTGGGAATTTGTTTCTGCTTTTTAAAGCTCTGAGTTTTTGCTTTCTGCATGATAATCAGCTTCAACCTAGCAGTGATACTAAATATACTAAGGGGTTTGACTCTTTTACAGATTGCTGGTACTTGTCTTGCATTATGTTTATCAAGTGATTTGAAATCATTATCAGTGGTCACAGAAGTCTCTACCAATGGTGCTTCAGAAGTTTCATACTTTCAGGTGAGTATTGGAACTTGATAACGGTAGAGAGTAAATATGTATTTAACAGGTTTTATATAGGTTTTTATCCACATCTCACTGTATTGTAATGATCATTAAAATAATGCAAAAAAATCGACTTGGAATTTCTACATCCTAATATACTGAGTGTTATTATAGTGAATACCATATTATTCTTCCCATGCTCCAATACAGTTTTCATAAAAAGTGTTTTGGTGGTCTATTAATGACCATATTAATTTGTTGCTATTCCAGTTTGACTTTGTACCAAGTGTTTGCTTAGGACTCTGTCCCTGATAATAACAAAGGTTAATATTTATTGATTGTTTAATATGTGCCATATGCTGAATGCTTCAGAACAGTTGATTTGAATCTTCACAGCATCATAATAGGCAGATACTGTTATTATCCCCATTTTATAGGTAAGTACATGGACACACAAATACTTCAGAACTTGCTTGATGTCACAGGATGGGAAAGTGATGCTAGACAATCTGGCTGCATAATCTGTGCTCTTAACTAGCACATTGCATCTTGTGTAAAATGATCACTTAATATTGGGAAAATGCTTTATTGCGTGCTGTCTGCATTGTAGATTAAGGAAGCTAACTGGGCTCCCATAGAGTATTTAGATCATAGCCTTGCCAAGAAATCGAAAATTTTCATCTTAAATATCCCAGCCACTTAAGTATGTGTGAACTCTCAAACAAAAGTAGAACAAAAAAGATGCAAGATGCAATGTGTGTGATGTCTTCCAACATTCTCTTTGTATTCAGAGCATCAGAGAACTCTTGGTTTACTGTTCACTATGGTAATGGTTGTTCATATTTGCTCATCTTCTTAAGGTTATGTGAAACTATGATCACCAGGATTGCATTTGGATTATAATAAAATGATTCACTACTACTGTGAAGTTGGTAACAGATCATTTTTA
This sequence comes from Homo sapiens, assembly GCF_000001405.40. Lineage (NCBI taxonomy): Eukaryota > Metazoa > Chordata > Mammalia > Primates > Hominidae > Homo > Homo sapiens. The sequence goes on from NC_000004.12 coordinate 25,391,950, forward strand.
ATGACAAATTTATTAAGATACAATTCATATACCATTGATAGATATTTTCCCAATATTTATCAGTAGCCTTTAATTCCTTATACTTCCTTTAAGTTTTTACATATATTTGTGATTTAAACATTTCTTTGTAATACTGTTTCAAAATAGGTTATATTACATTTATTCTATCTACACAGGAGGGGTTGATAACCCAGAGAGAGTGATTTGTGTATGGTTATGTGTAGGTTAGGAGATCCTAAGGCTATGTGCTGTTTCCAAACCGTTCTGCTCAAAGAGGGCACAATTCTGACATAGTCTTTCTGATACGTAGTTTGACCCACACTCTAAATTACAGACTTTGCAGCAAGTGCATCTGATGATGACTCACTTTACTCTTTTGATTTTACAGCTTGAAACTAATCTGTTGTACTCTTTCTTACCTGAAGTAACTCGGATGGCCAGAAAGTTTACTCATATTTCAGCTCTGTTACAGGTATTTATTTAGAGCTTGTTTTATGTGAATATTTATTATCGGCTTCTAAAGTTCTGTAAATAAAAAGCTTCAAAATTTTGTTTTGTAAAGCTTTCTGAAGTAGAGGTATCTAGTCTGATAGATGATCTTATAAGGTCCATTAAAGCAGGAAAAGGACATTTAATTGAGAACCTACTTTCACCGCACCCTATTTTCCACCTCCAAAAGAGTTTAAATCTTTTAAAATACTCCCATAAATAAAATACCATTTACATTATAAAGTATTGTGGGAAAAACAGTCTTCACATGAGTTTACATTTGTTCATAATAAACCCACCCCAAATTACCTCCCAATTCTGTAGGTTGGTGATTTAGGCTCAGCTTAGCCAAGATGTTTGGGTGACCTGGAGAAGGTTCAGCTGATCTTGACTAGACTTGGTCATGCCAGCTGGTATGTGTCCCTTGGCTGTGATTCCTTGTCTCTACTCCACATCCTTCATACTCCAGCGAGCCAGCACAGGCTTGTCCACATGGTGGTGGTAACGGGGCATCGAGGGTGCAAGTGGAAGTGTACAAAGACTTTTGAGGCCCTGGAGTCAACAGTGTTATTTCTGCTGCATTCCGTTAGTCAAAGCGAGACTCAAGGGCTGAAGAAATGGACTCTGCATCTGACTGGAGGGGCTACAAAAGATTGTGGCCATGTTTTTCATTCTACCACAGTCATTAATTTATTTGATATTAAAGGTTTCTAGAGATCAGTATCTTTTTAAAATTGAATAATTGACCAAACCAGTATTTTGACAGTTAGTGTAGATAAGACATATCTTATATAAAAAGCTTGGAGATATTTGTTTCACCAGATAAAAATTTAAGAATGTTTTATTATGAAATTCTAAGAATCAATGGAATGTTTCGTAGTTAAGTGATGACCAAGCTGTTGTCTTTTTCTCCATCTTAACTGAGTTAAAAGAGTGATTGAGGCTGGGCACAGTGGCGCACACCTATAATCCCAGCACTTTGGGAGGCTGAGGCAGGTGGATCACTTGAGGCTTGGAGTTCGAGACCAGCCTGGCCAACATGGTAAAGCCCCGTCTCTACTAAAAATACAAAAATTAGCTGGGCATGGTGACGCACGCATATAATACCAGCTACTTGGGAGGCTGAGGCAGGAGAATCGCTTGAACCTGGGAGGCAGAGGTTGCAGTGAGCCAAGATGGCGTCACTGCACTCCAGCCTGGACGACAGAGCAAGACTCTGTCTCGATAAATAAATAATAAAAATAAAACAGTGATTGAAAGTAAATTCTAGATTTCTTTGAGACACTTGATCATAAGCACATATTATTTAGATAGCAAGTTGGTTTAAATATTTTTTACCATTTCAATTTTTCTTTTTTGCTAATAGTATATAAATTTGTCACTAACATGTATGTGTGAAGCATGGGAAGAAATACTAATGCAGATGGATTCTCGTCTCACCAAGTTTGTGCAGGTAAAGCAGCTGAAGTTTCCCATGGAGAGAGTTAAAGAATGCATGATGTATGTCTTTACCTTGAGGTACATGAGAAAAATCAGTTTGATTCATAAAAGGCTAAGATCATAATTTCTTTCAAATGGCTTCGTCTGACTTCAAACTGCTTCCTCAGATTTGCCAAAAGGGCTCTTTTCCCATTGATACAACTTAAGTGGGGACAGGATTGTGAAGTGGAGCTGGTGGGGCTTTGGCAATAAGGGCAGGTGTTAGAACAGCTGATTGGCTATCTTCTAGTCACTGATGTTCAGATGATCACTTTATGGATTTGATGGAAGTCTAAGGCAAGGAAAGGGAGTCATGCTCCTATAATTTTGAATAAATATGCTTATAATTTAAGAAATACATATATCACAATTTTTTTTTCACTTTTTTCCAGGAAAAGAACACAACCACATCAGTGCAAGATGAGTTCATGCACTTGCTATTATGGGGGAAAGCAAGGTAATAAACTCAGATTAGGTGCTCCTGTTTTTGCTTCTTTTTTAACAGTAATTATTTATTTGAAAAGTAGTTTATAGTCATAGTATGTGATTTTTTTAATTGATACATAATATTTTAATTGATACATAATGTGTTACATACTTACGGGGTATATGTGATGTTACATGCGTAGAATTTTTTGTGGGGCTATTTCTTTATTTTGTTTCTTGTTTGTGCTTCGAAATTTAAAAGTTGTAAGTGATGCATTCAGATTTCCAATAGAGAAGTGACTAAAAATACTTTGTTTTTCATTGTAGTGCTGAACTTCAGACTCTCTTGATGAATCAGTTAACAGTAAAGGTGCAGTTAATGTATCTATGTATTCAAATGGCTATGAACACATTCTTAATTTTTTTTTTCGAGTGGCATATAATATCCTGATTGTATGCTAAATATATTTTCCTTTTTTAATTAGGGCTTGAAAAAGCTTGGCCAGTCTATAGAGTCATCATACTCCAGTATACAAAAATTGGTCATAAGTCATTTACAGAGGTATGAAGGTGACGTAGAATTTTTTGGTATTGTATCCACACATACCTGGCGTTGGCCTTCTTTCCGCCGCCTTTTCTTCATCTGGCATTCTCTTTTTAAGCCTTTTCTAGCTAAAATTGTTGCATGGCATTTGAGAAGAATCTTCCTATACCCAAGATTGAAAGAGTCAATAATAATTCTGCTTTATGAAGTAATTTTCCAACATCTTTTCACCAGGCTAGACTCTATCTGGGTTTTTTTCTTAATCAGCTAAGCATGAAGTATATTTTGAAATAAGGCATATATCTTTTTTTTGAGCAGTGAGATTAACATTTTACAGTTTACCAAGAATATTGTATATTTATTTATTTAATATCTTGGCAAGGTGTTGGTGATTTTACACAAGAGGATACAGAAGTTCAGAATCAGTTATATGGCTGGCCCAAAGTTACTAAGTGTCGGAGCCAAGACTTCATCCTAGATTTTCAAATCTCATGCTTTTTCTATCCATAGCTACTTCATTGAAGCATTTTACAAGTGGATGCTGGGCGTTTGATTTATTTTGTTTGATTTTTGGTTTTTTGTTTTTTCGAGATGGAGTCTTGCCGAGGCTGGAGTGCAGTGATGTGATCTCGGCTCACTGCAACCTCCGCCTCCCGGGTTCAAGCGATTCTCCTGCCTCAGCCTCTCAAGTAGCTGGGATTACAGGCGCAAACCACTACGCCTGGCTAATTTTTGTATTTTTAGTAGAGACGGGGTTTCACCGTGTTGGCCAGACTGGCCTCAAGCTCCTGACCGCAAGTGATCCACCTGCCTCGGCCTCCCAAAGTGCTGGGATTACAGGCATGAGCCACCACACCTGGTGGTGTTTGGTTTAAATTTTGGTATATTCCTTTATGCTGAGTCCCTGGCCCTAACTACATCACCCCTCCCTTGGACCACTGTAGCACCCTCTGGACTAGTTGGGCTCTTTCAGTACACACTGTCCTTTGAATGTATTTTCCCCAGTAGAGCTAAACATATTTCTCTCTTAAAAACTTCTAATGCCTTCCGTTAGAATGGAGACCTTTGTGTGGCCTTTAGCATACCTGCCTCTCTGCCTCGCCCACACTGATGGCCATTTAGTTTCTCCAACTTGACATTTTGTCTCCTGCCTAGGGCTTTTGCATATTCCTCTTGTCCCAACTTGTTCTTCACATGCATTCTTCAGCTCTCAGCTCATTCATTCCTTCAGAAAAGCCTTTCTGAATCCCAGATTAGCTCAGGTTCTTCTGTTATACCTGCACCCCATGTGTTTCCTTCAAGGCATTTATAGTAGTTGGAATGGTACACTGTATGACTATGCGATCATGACTGTCTTCCCTGTTATACTGTCAATGCCATGAGACCCTTTGATTGTGTTCACCGTTATGTCCCCAGTATATAGCACGGTACCTGACCCAAAATGGGAACTTAAGAAATATTTATTGAACATTGACTGTGTAGTAGTTGGGTGAACAAGATGGCTGTACAACTGTCTTAAAAGGGTCAGGACTAACTGTGGAACACAATTTGATCATCTTACAAAATTTGATCTTGTCATTTGTTTATCTCTGTAGTCACATTGACCAGATGGTTCTGCTGCAGTTTTTAGGAACAGTTTTGAGAAATAATTATTTCTCATGGAAACAAAATGAAAGTTACTTTCAGTTTTTATTTCTGAAAATTTAGAAATATTCAGGCAAGTTAGTCACTTGATGATCGTCATGATACTAATTTATTTCTGCTCTGTTTGGATAGTGGCTCGGAGTCTTTATTATACCATTTGAGTGAATTGAAAGGAATGGCTTCATGGAAGCAAAAATATGAACCTCTTGGACTAGATGCTGCAGGAATCGAAGGTAGTGATTTAATTTCTCAGTGAAATACATTAAACACAGTTTACTTATTTGACAAATGACGTTTATTTATTTTTTCCCTTTAGAAGCTATAACTGCTGTGGGTTCTTTTATACTCAAGGCAAATGAACTTCTTCAGTAAGTATTGGGAGTACCTGGAATCACTGACCTAAGAATATGTCACTTTTGACCTAAATAAGAACCTAGTAAGCTGTTATGATTCTCTTAAAATCAGTTTTTAAATTTTTATCACAATTATGCCTTTATATGGTTCCGAAAAGCCAGCAGCACAGAGAATTTATAAAGTAAAGCTGTATTTTCCTGTCCTGGTCATCCTTACCTCAGGTCTTCTCGCCAGAGGGAATCATTTTAACTCTTTAACTACTTCTATTTTTAGTTCTTCTATGGGTTACCTCCATATTTCTAAATTGTATGACTATGCCACATTTCTTTTGTCAATTTTTAGAAGTTATTCTCTTTGTTTTGTTTTTCTTAGACTGTTAGGCTTGCTTGTTTTCTTGCATTGTCTGTTTTTTCTGCATCCTTCCGTCCTTTCCCTTCTGAAGGGTGGTGTAGTACCTCTGGAGTCCCCTGTTCCAGATGCCTTCCTTAGCCTCCCACCCCTCTGCTTCAGCCTGCAGCTGTGGTCCAGTTCTCCTGCACGGCTACCACCCGGGCATTTTCTTCATTACTCTCCTGGGTTAGACCCAGAACTGCCAGGATTGCCTTTGTTTCTTGGCTTATTTAATCATTTTGCTGGAAAACATCCTCTAGTAACTTTCTCAAAAAGCAGACATAGAAGGTAAACTTTATCTCCTTTTGTGTTTTTTCTCCTACCCTCACACTTAATTGACAGCTGGCTTTAGGATTCCCTGAGGGTTATTGGTTTTCACATAGAACTTCAAAAGCAGAGTTCCATAGGATTCTGTGCTTTTTGTTGCTGATGGAAGGTCTGGTGCTTCTAATTCTTAGCCCTTTATAGTTTTTTTTTTTTTTCGTTTTGAAAAAGCTGTAAAAGCATTACTCTTTATTCTTGATATGTTGAAATTTCATAACAGTGTTTTTGGGTGTGGGCCTTTTAATTCATTGTGCTATAATAAGCCATTTTAACCTGAATTCTCTTGTATTATTCTTTTAATAATTTACTCCTCCCTCTTTTATTTACTTTATTATTATTTATTTATTTTTGCGATGGGGTCTTTCTATGTTGCCCAGGCTGGACTTGAGCTCCTGGGCTCAAGTGATCCTCTTGCCTCAGCCTCCTGAGGAGCTGGGACTACAGGAGTATGCCATTACGCCAAGCTTTCTCTTTGTTTTAAACTAGATTTTTGTTCTAGAAATCTGTTTGGTCAGATATTAGAATTTGTGGTGGATTGATTTCTGTGTCTTTTCTTTTTCTCTTACATTTTTCATATCTTTGTCTTTTTGATTTTCTGAGAGTTTTTTGATTATTGTCAAATGTCAGTAAACATTTGTTGAGCACTTAACTATGTTTTAAATACAGTGATAAGTAATGTTGAGAAAAACCAAGCAAGAAACAAGGACCTAGGGCATGATAAGGTAGGGGATTCAACTTTATATAGGTGGTCAGGGAGGCCTCACTGAGAAGGTGAAGTTGGAAGGAGACGGAAGGGAGCAAGCCCTGTTGATATTTGGGGGTGGAAGGGGCAGCAAGTGTGAAGGCCCTGAGTTTGGAGCATGCCTGGCATGTTGCAGGGACAAGGGCACTATAGCTGAAGCAGATTGAATGAGAGTAAGGTAGGAGGTGGATTGACAGGTGATAGAGGATGGCCAGGTTGCATAGAGTCTGTGGGCAGTTGTTAGGACTTTGGCCTTTACTCTGGATGTAAAGAGAAGCCCTTGGGGATTTGGGAGTAGTGGAGAGGATATGATTTAGGCTTCAGAAAGATCCCTCTTGCTGCTCAGAGTTGAGAATAGCTCATAGATAGGCAAGGACAGAAGCCAAGAGAGAAATGGTGGTCAGAATCTGAAGTGGTCAGGATTGGGATATATTTTGAGAATGTAATTAACAAGATTTTCTCAATGCTTATCTGTAGATGGTGATAATAAGGGAGTCATAGATAATTATGAGTTTAGGGCCTTGGTACTTGAAAGAGTAGAATTGATATTTACTGAAAGGGGGAACAAATGTGAGGGCAGGTTTAGGGAGGGGGAGTGTAGAGTAAGATCAAGAGTTTGGTTTGGACATACTAGATTGTTCTTTAGACTTACTATTTTGAAGTAATTTTACATAAAAATTACAAGAATAATAGAGACAACTCTGCTAGTACTCCTTTACTTGATTCATCATTTAAAAATATTATACTGTATTTATCATATAATTTATCTTTTCTGAAACATGTGAGAGTATGTTGTTTATATCAGGTGCCTTTTACCTGGAATACTTTAGTGCGTATTTTCTAAGAATAAAATTATTTTCTTACATAACCACAGTACAGTTAACAAATTTAGGAATTTTTAACATTAATACAGTATATTAACCTACAGTTCAATTCCCCTTTAGCAGTTATCCCAATATGTCCAGTATGATAAGATGCAGTTCGGGATCACGTATTTGTTTTAGTTGCTGTGTCTCTTTAATTTTGAGCAGTTTCTTAAATTTTCTTGGTCTTTTATAAAAGTTGACATTTCTTTAAGAAGCACATCATGTATGTATGTATATGTATGTCTGTGTATCTTTTTTTATGTTTCTCATTTTAGGGTTATCTGATTTTTTTTAATGATTATATTTAGGTTATGCATCCCTGGCCAGAAATACTACATAATTGGTATGTCCTTCTCAAGTTGTCATATCCAGCAGCACACACAGTGTCCGTCATCCACCCCTCTCAGTGATGTTAATTTCGGCCACCCTGTCAGTGTGTTAGATGTATGGAATTTGAAATGCCCATTAGATCTGCAGGTGGAGCTGTCCAGCACAGTGTTAGTTATGTGAGACTAGCGTTCAAGGGAGGGGTCCAGGCTGGAAATGTGCATTTGGGAGCCATCAGCACATTGGTGTTATTTAAAGCCATGGGACTGGATGAGGTAATGAGTGTGCACAGAGAACAGGAGTGACCTGATTTAAGAATGGGGACGATGAAGAACTAGCAAAGGAAATGGGAGAGACAGAACAACCAGAGGAGTAGGCGTCCTGCAGGCTGAGTGAAGAAGGCATTACAAGAAGGAATGAGGGATTGGTTGACAGATGCTAAGTCAAGCAAGGGAAACACCAAGAATAGAATAGAGTCTTAGAATATTATTAGGATAGTGACCTTGATAAGAGCCACCTTAGGGAGTGATGGGAGCTGGTACGATACAGAATAAGAGCAGATGCAGAGAAGACAGCAAATATAGCCTCTTGAGGAGTTTTGCTGTAAAGGGAATGGCCAGTAGATGGAAGCAGAATTGCTGGGGTTTTTTCTTCTTTTTATCTTGGGAAGAACTGGAGCATGTTTATGTATGGATGGAATGATCTAGAAGGTAAAAAATTGAGATGAGAGAGGAGAGGCTATAAAGAGTGTGAGAGAGGTGGGACCTAGTGCAGAAGGGAAAGGGTTGGAAAAGCAGAGGTAGGAGCTCATCAGTTGTAGGAGGAAAGGCTGAGAGAGGAGGGTCACAGAGGCCAGTGTATGAGCAGGTGGGAGATAGGGGACGTTCCCTTCAAGGTGCTTTTATTATCCTAACAAGACATCTGTCATCAGCTGAGAGTAAGGATGGGGAGGCGGTGTTGGAGGTTTAAGAATACAAGGAGAGCTGTGAAGCAGCTGTCTAGTCCAGCAGGAGATCGAGTGCACTAATGGAACAGGAGGGCTCTGGGAGTGGGAAAGTGAGGCCAGCCAGCATGGCTGCAGGTCTGCTGCAGGAGTGGGGCACAGAGCAGGGGAGCAGTTAGATTTACCAGACTTCATGAGTAAAATGAAGCAAGAGGAGCAAGAGAATTGTAGCAAGGACCAGGTTAAAATGATGGCCGTTGAATCTGAACTACTTTAGGAAGGAAGTGAGGACATGTAGGGGCTGAGAGATGGTGAAAGGTAGTAGAACCAGTAGATGATGCGTCCTGGTGGGAGGAAGGTGGGGGCCCTGGAGAGAGGCTGGACAGATAGGAGGGGGTGTTTGGTCAGTGGGATGCTTGAAATTGAGACTTAGAAGGGTTGCAGTTGGTGATGACAGCCTCTGGGGTGTGAACTTTGGAGTAAATGTCTAAGGTCGGGTTGGAGGACAGGATCATTAAACTGAACCATTCTCTTCAATTTCTTATTATAGCAGTTCTTTCTTTTAATTTCTCAAAGTGTTCTCCTGTTTCTTTAATCCTCGTTCAAAACTTTGCTTTCGTTTTGTGGATGTGACATCTCACATCTTTCTGAGGATATTAATTAGATTGCTGTTCCCTGAATTATCTTCCCTTGATGGGTCACTTTTCTGTTTATCTTAGTCTCTCCTTGCAAGGTTTCTTTAAATACCAGATGCTTGGTTGCTTACTCATGTTTATTCAGGAGGCAATTTAAAGTTGCTTGGAATCTGTGTAGGTTGGGGCAGCAGGGAGCAGGTGCCAGAGTGTGTGGAGCTTTGCTTCAGGATACTGGTGCCCACGTGAAAGTGCCTTAGCTCTTCCCACTTTACTCAGTTTCTCTGAGGAATCCTCTGTTTGTTTTTGACTGGAGAGTAGCCCCCTAGGCATTCTTCATGTTTTGGAGGAAAGAACGTATTGACCACTCTGTGTTATATTTTCAGTTTGTCCCCCTGTGTCCAGCCCCACACATCACCCTGAGGTCTTCTGTTAGACCTGACATTGCTAAGGTCTGAGCATCCCTGGGCTTCTCCAAGGCGGAGGCTCCTTCCCAGCTGCCCTCTCCGTGCACTGCGTGGCACAGGGCCTACGCTCTTAAGCCACATCAGTCACTTTTGCTGTTGAGCTGCATCAGTCTTCCGTCACTTTTGACATTTCTGAAATTTAATTTCTTTTCTATTGTTCTTTTTGTTTTTGTGAGTTTCTAACACATGTACCCCTCTCCATCCACAGCCATTTTAATGGTATTTTAGAAGGTAGAGGCTGTAGATGTGTGTGCTCAGAAGACAAAAAAAACACGAAGAGAAATGGCATTGCTTTTCCTGTATTTCGAAGTATTTTTTGGTTCACCGTATTTGCAGAGAGCAGATATAAAATACTACGCTTTCTATGATCACTTCTCAGTATGAATGAAAGGTAGTTTAACTTATTGTTCTTTCAGGTAAGTAGAATTATTACAGGTTCCAGATGGAGAAACTGAGGCATTGAGCATTTTGATGTTGGTCTGGTGGCCTGGGGTAGGGTTGAACATATTGACTGCACAAAGGAACTTTTTTTCTTTCTCTTATCATTGCTGCAAGAGGGTTTTGATTATATTGCTTAGTAACATAAGAGATGTTTCAGTCTTTTATTCCAAGCGTTTTACTTTGTACTGAAAGGTTAATGATACTGACCTACCTCTTCATTGGTATTATGAAACTTAATGCTTGGAAAGGGCTTTGAGATTTGGGAATGAAAAGCACAGGTTTTTGCCTAGAATAATTATCGTATACATGTGAGCTTAAAGAGATTGTTTAAAAAGTGATAACCCATGTCTGTATTCAGAAACAGTTTTATCAAAATGAAGATGACTTCCATTTATAACACTTAATTTTGGGGGTACATTTGTGTAAAGCCAAGGGAAATTCAACTTTTGAGATCTCAATTGTTAGGATAAAAAATCAGCTTCCAAAAATAATGGTCCATTGATATCAGAGGTAATGACAGCACAAATTTGTAATAATGGTTTTCTGTTGAAGTTGATGTTTTTTCTTCTTACTGACCAATGAGTATTTTCTTTTAAAATGAGAATAATGCTGAAAACTGTTTTTTCTGATTTCTTTTATTTGCAAAGTTAGAAAAGGAGTTCATGCTTTACTGAGTCATAAGAAAGACTATTACACAGTTTGTGGCAAGGCTCTTGTAACCAGTTGGAATCTAAGTTATTTGCTTTATTTTTATAATCAGTATTTTCTTTTTTGAAATTTTATTTTTAGGTAGGCGTTTGATTTGTAATATCTGCTGTTCTAAAGACTTAAATGTCACCCAGATAGGATAAAATAGAACAGTAAGGATTATGATATTTCCTGACAGTTGAGTAGGATGTATGAATCCCCCACACACTAATCTTATTTCTGATTTTTTGTTTTTATCTCTTTAGAGTTATAGATAGTAGTATGAAAAACTTCAAAGCATTTTTTCGGTGGCTTTATGTGGGTAAGTTAATTGAGTGAAGCATTTTTATTTTAACACTTTAAAAAAATTATAGGAGTATTATCTTAGACTGTTTCAATAAATCTAGTACAATTTCAAATACTTTGAGAGAACTATATAATGATCCCTGTTGTACCTTTCACCTAGCTTCAGCAGTTATCAACACATGGGCAGTCTTACTTTATTCATACACCCAGCTCACCACAGAAATATTTATTAATTTTTTATTAGTATTTAATAAATATACATATTTTTGGAGTACTCATGATAATCTAATACATTCATATAATTTGTAAAGATCAAATCAGTATAATTGGGATATGTATCACCTTAAACATTTTTCCTTGTGCTAGAAACATTCCTCACAGAACTGTTAAAGCTAACTTGTAGTCTGTTATCCCTGTCGCTCACTGATAGTTCACATTTTTTACTTTATAATGTCTCCTTAGGTTAAAATAACATTTTAAAAAATTTTTGTAAGTATCAGGCACTGTTAGGTGCTAGATTTTAAAAGTAAAAAAGAAAAAAAAATAAGAGTCTCTGTCCTTGGGTAGCTTATCTTCTGTGTGATTATTTCGTCTTCTGTCTTTAGATCTCTGCTGTCCACTGTGGTAGCCACTAGCAACATGTGGCTATTTAAGTGGATTGAAATCCTATAAAACTGTATATTTGGTTCCTTAGCCATACTGTCCACATTTGAGGTTCTCAGCAGCCACAAATGGTTAGTGGCCACACAGAAGTAGAACATTTCCATTACCACTTCTATTGTGTATTGATGCTCCAGCTAAATAGAATGCAGACCACTTACAGCCTGTCTTTGTGTCTTCACAATGTCTTTGCATTTGGGCAGGTAGTTAGTAAGTATTTGCTGACTTGATATTAAATGTTTTGTATTCACTCTGCAGTATATGCATATTTTATTTAGGTCCATTTATATTGCTATTTTTGTGAACTCTCAATATCCTTAAAATAATCCAGCATCTATTTCCCTCCAACAAATGCAAAATTTAGTGTTAATGTAATTTATCTCACACTTGTTGAAACTCTAAAGAGTAAAATAGAATGAAAATTACCTGTAATGTGCTGATATCCTTTAAACAAATGTCCAGATCTTCAATTCTAATATTGTAAAAACAGACTATATTTTTCAACCTAACATAATTGCTTTTGTTTAAAAACTGAATGTGATCTGCCTATGTTGATACTTGAAATTTTTTGATATTTCTGAAAACTGTACCAATACTAACCAGAATGAGGAACCAGAGAGCTTATCAGGCTGGCCTGTTTAAGATCCATGTTGTTAATTGGAATAAATTACAATATTAAAACTGAATGAGACCTTAGAAGACTTTTTTTTTGCAGAGGTAGTTTGGTTTTACTTATAATTATTGGAGGTAATTTAGGCAGTGTCTATCCTTACTACACATTCTAACTGTAGTAAGAATCAGGATTGTCCTTACTACACATTCTAACTGTAGTAAGAATCTAACTGTAGTAAGAATCCTTACTACATATCCTAACTGTAGTAAGAATCCTTACTACATATTCTAACTGTAGTAAGAATCAGAACTGTAGCACTGTGGTACTCTTATTCAGGATTAGGAGAGAAATGGCTTACCGCTCGGTCCTTCTCATTAGGGCAGGACATTGTAGAAAGCACACTGGATTGGAGAAGTGGAGATCTACTTGTAATCCTGGCTCTGTCCCCAGTAGATACCTGTATAACCTTGGTTTTCTTCTTTGTAAAATGTAATCTCCATGAAGGCAGGGATATCTTTTATACTGATATATTGCTAGCACCTAGGGTATGCTCAATAAGTAGTTTTTTTGGATGGATAAGAATGAGTGGAACTAGATTTTAGCTCCCCTTTCAGATAACTTAGATGTTTAAATTAATTAAAAAACAGTTATGTATTTGCAAAAGTACTTCTGACTTGCTTGTTACTGACCAAATGCAATTAAGAACCATGTTCAAATACCATGCAGAGGCACATAAAACATACTTTGTCTTGACTTAGGTGGAACGTAATACAAAACACATAGTACTGATGAGGACAATCCTGTGAAAGGACGGAGAGAGTCAACCACAGATACTAGATCAAAGAAAAGTACATAAATATACTGTAAGCGCGTAGCAGAAAAGACCAAGGGAAATAAACAGATTTCTTTGGTATCATAAGGCTTTGGAGGAAAAAATGGCTTGCAGATTTTAAGAGCAGAAACATCACCAGGTTAAAAGGAGGGATCCTTACACACGTAGTCTTAGCACAGACAGCAGTTAGATTTGTCTGGCGTGGCAACAGGTGGAATTGAAGAGGAAAAAGAATAGTTTAGAATGGTTAGACCAACAATTTTGAACCTGAAAATATGAATCAAATTTAAGTTCTGGCACCCCTTAGTTTTTGGAAGAAAAATGTTTTTGTTGGTGAAAAGCTGTGTAAAATTGAAGATTTAGTTCAGTCAAACACCTTGTCTTTGAAATGTATTTATAATTAAAATTATGTTTGTAGTTTGCTTTTAAAGATAGTTTTTTAACTTTGTATTTCCAGCAATGTTGAGAATGACAGAAGACCATGTGCTTCCCGAGCTGAATAAGGTAGTATGTACTAGTGCATTTTCACAGTGTTCACATTGTCCTGCTTGAACTCAGCTGTGCTGGTCATTTTGGTACTCTTATTCAGTTATTAGTTAACAGGATGTCAGGATGTAGACGTTAGATCCCTTAAGCACCACCTTTTTAAAAAAGAAATTTGCATGTTTTGTGTATTGTTTCATCTCATAGAATACCTTTATTATGACTATCTAAATTTATAGTTTTCATGTTTGGATAAGGTTTTATAATACATGTAAGACAGCATCCTTGTATTCCTTACTTTGACTTCCTTAAATTTTAAATGCTTCTTATTTTCCTTGGAAATCAGGTGCTTAGATATTAGTCCCTGTGTTGATGTCTGGTAAGCAACAGTTTCTTTCTAAAGAAAGGAAGGAAGGATTCCTGTAAGGACTGTGACAACCAGTGATGGAATCTTCTTCCAGGGAAGTCTTACGGAATAGGGCAGAATTTCCACTTGATTCTTGCAGCTCACTCTTCTTCACCCCTGCTGAAACTGTTGATAGGTTAGGTAGTTTTGAGCCTGAAAAAATGGACAGCATTAAAATTAGCCTCATGAGCTAGATGAGAAAGGGTTCCTCCACTTTCTACAACTCGTTTGCTAAGTCGATCTTTTGCACTGTGGGTGACTGGCCTTGCAAACCAGGAAAGTTTCACAATAGTTGTTTTTCTGACATCACTGTTAGCTTTATTTTGGGAGTAAAATATGTCAGTTGTTGGAAGGGATCCTAAGGTATAATTTTCTGAGGGCTGAAGAACTAAATTGGGATAAATTCAGGTCACTGCAAGAAGCAGGAGCCTACACTGAAGCAGACAGCACTGTTTGCCTGCAGCCCTTAACTAAGGGTGACACATCTTATCTGGGGTCCAGTTCTCATTTCCAAAGGAGGGACCTCAGCACATGTGGTCTTAGCACAAGGCCTGAAATAATAAACAACCTTAGGCCATAAAGAGTTCTGTAGCTATTGGATTAACTGATTGGAAGATGAGTTCACATGTTTAATTACATTCTCGGAACCCCAGGCGTTCATATTTTCACAGTCGCATAATCTATATTTCTTTGAAAGAACTTTGCCAGTTTTCCCATGGCTTTTAGTAGATAGTAAAAATGTCACATTTATAATTATGTACCATTTCTTTTATTGAGCAGCTTTCTTTTATCTTGATTTTTCTTTTTGTTCCTTTTGTTGATAGATGACTCAGAAAGATATCACATTTGTTGCTGAATTTCTTACTGAACATTTCAATGAGGTAAGAAGTTGATATTTCTGTAATGCAGTTTAAAAAAAAATTACAGTAAACCTGGATAATGACAAGACATAATTAAATTTAACCCAATTTAATTGAAGTCTATAGCAATTACTTTTTTAAAACTGTTGAACTAATTATGTTTATAAACATAGTCAATAAACCAGACTTTTGTTTGTGTGTCTTATAATCTATAAAAGAAAATAATAACTGCCACTCACAGCTCTCTTGAAAAGGAAGGTTTTGGGTTTAAATTTAAGATATTTTTCTTCGTGAGTTGACTTAAGAATTAAACTATGTTTATTTTTTTCCAGGCTCCAGACCTTTATAATCGAAAAGGAAAATACTTTAACGTTGAAAGAGTTGGTCAGGTATGGGCTTTGAACTCATTTTAAAACCTTAGCAGTGTTCATCTTTGTTATCCAAAGTCTCTGGAAAGAATTACAATACCAAGTAATACAGGATCTCTGCCCTTTTAGTAAAATTAACAAAGAGCAGCAGTTTTTAAACATTTTGATCTGAGAACACTTTTACATTCTTAAAAATTATTGAGGACTAAAAATACAAAAATTAGCTGGGTGTGGTGGTGGGCACCTGTAATCCCAGCTACTTGGGAGGCTGAGGCAGGAAAACTACTTGAACCCAGGAGACAGAGGTTTCAGTGAGCCAAGATCAAGCCACTGCACTTCACCCAGGGCGACAGAACAAGACTCTGTCTCAAAAAAGAAAAAAAAAAATTATCGAGGACTAGAAAAGAGCTTTTGTTTATGTGAGTTGTTATTTATTGCTGATAGGCATTATTAGGTATTAAAAATTAAACATAATAAAAAATTATTCCCTAATTCACTCAAAAATAGAATATACCAGCCAGGCATTGTGGCTCATGCCTATAATCCCAGCTACTCGAGAGGCTGAGGCATGAGAATTGCTTGAACCCAGGAGGTGGAGGTTGCAGTGAGCCAAGATTGCATCACTGCACTCCAGCCTGGGTGACAGAGGGAGACTCAGTCTCAAAAGAAAAAGAAGAAGAAAAAAAAGAATATACCCATTACTATTACATGTTAATATAAATATTTTTAGTGAAAAATAATGAAATTTTACAATATAATTTAGTTAAGAGTGGTAACGTTTCATATTGCAAACCTCTTTGATGTCCAGCCTAATAGAAAACAGCTGGATTCTCATATCTGCTGCTACATTCAGTCTGTTTCGATATGTTGTTTCTATAGTATCAGTGTATATGAAAAAAGTCTGGCCTCACACAGGTGTGTATATGAAAAGGGAGAAATATTCTATTAGCTTTTTCAGATAATTGTGACTTTGCTTTATTATATCAAATGTGGACAAGTGATAGTATCTTAAAGGTTTGTTTCAGTGTGGAATCTAAAATTGCATCAGTGAACGTTTTTTACATTAAAATTCATTCATCTTCTTGCACTTTGAACGGATCTTTTGTCCACGCATAATTTTGTAACATCCTGCTTTGGTCATTTGGGAAGTATTGGTTCCCTGAGTCATCCAGCTGTTCTAAATGCCGCCACCTTTTATCAAACTATAAGCTAGATTTCATTAATAGCACCACCAATTTAATCAGAAAAGTCTTTGTGTTGTGAAGCACACAGGGGCAGATGCAGGTTTTCCAAAAAAAAAAAAAATTTTTTTTTTTTTGAGACAAGATATTTCCTCTGAGTAGTACAGTGGTGCAATCACAGCTTACTGCAGCCTCCACCTCTCGGACTCGCCTCTTGTAGCTGGGGCTACAAGCACACACCACCATGCCTGGCTAATTTTTGTCTTTATTTTGTGGAGACCTGCCATGTTGCCCAGGCTGGTCTTGAGCTCCTGGGCTCAAGTGATACGCCTGCCATGGCCTCCTAAAGTGCGGGGATTACAGGCATGAACCACCGTGCCCAGCCTATTTTTGCTTTTAACATAAGTGCTTTTCCTCAAGATAACCATCATACTTTGTGTAGCAAAAGTTCCTATGTATAACTCTCAATTCTGTCACACAGAATATTAAAGATTCGTACTCAAGGGTTGAAAATAAAGTTAATAATTTAATGACTTCATTAAAGATAAATGAAACTATGAGTATGTGGCAGAAAAAGAATACAGTGACTGCTGGTATGATTTGGGACTACTACCTTGACTCTTGGCTGAGACACTTACAGCTTTCCCCACCATCAGTACAAATGTTAGCATAGTGTAAAGGGCAGGTGACAGCTACATTATTATAAAACTAGTATTGACTTTGTGGATCCCCAAAAGCATCTTGGGGATTCCCAGGGGCTTGTGGATCTCACTTGAAGAACAACTGCCATAGAGTATATTGACAGTACATTGACAATGGATACTTATGAAACTAATTTATAACTTGCATATGTTAAATTAAAATATGCTCATGAAAAAGAAACACAATTTAAGTTCGATTTGTGATCTCTACATCTACAACATAATAATCTTTTAATACTTTGTGGTTTGTTTAGTTGCTTGACTAAACAAACTACCAACTGTTCAGCAGTTTCTTTAATTTTTAAGATAGTAGCTAGCTAACATTTATGGAGGGCTTAATTCTGCCACATACACATAGCAGATTTTGGCTACCTCACTTAGAATGATAGTAATGCACTTTCAGAGGACTTGGCAATAAAACAAAGTAACTTATTAAGTTAAAAAAGTGTTAAAAATAAACCGATTTTAGGCCCTAAGTCTTTGATTTACTAAACTTAACTTTTTTTTGTCTTTTACTTTTTTTCTTTTTCCATTTTCCCTTCCAGGTATGAATAAACTTAAATTTCTAATTCTGTATTTCTAGTACTTGAAAGATGAAGATGATGATCTTGTGTCACCCCCTAACACAGAAGGAAACCAGTGGTATGACTTTCTTCAAAATAGCAGCCACCTTAAAGGTACTTCATGAACCAACCAGATTTTGGCCATTTTTGTTTTTATTTAAGACTAGGTCTTGAATAGTTCTGCTAACAGTTTTGCTGAAAACTTGCTGAACACTTACCTAAGTTTATTAGACTTATATTTATTTGATTATAGGAACAGCAAAATAACCAATAGTGTATGACATCACCATGATAGATAGAAGACACTCTGAAGTTAACTACGCTGTAGGAAGATTGCTTATTCCTAAGTGTTCTCATATAAGTGTTTTGCACCCTGTAAAAAATAGGATTTTGAGGGAAACTATAGAGCCAAATAGTGAGAAAAGTCTTTTTTGCCAATTCCAATTTATTATCTTCTGAAAGCACAGGGATGCTCAACTGTATTCTCCTCGGGTTGTAGTTGGTGTGTGTGTGTGTGCATGTGTACTTGTTATACCTTTCATTTTCTAGAATGTCAGAATGTTAATACCGTAAAGCTATCCAGCATTATTAGGGATGCAGCACATAATAGCAACCATTAAATATGCCAGCACATCTTACCATTTTAGATGAAAATATTTTAAAGCTCGTATTTCTTTGATGTCTGAAAGAATAATCTGACCAGATTTAGCAATTGCTTAGATCTTTAAGGTAGTGGGTGCTTAGTCTAACTAAACATTTATGGGGTGCTTAGTCTGCCATATACACACAATACCTGCTTTAATCCTCACAAGATTCTATGGGTAGGTACTTGGTATCACCATTTACTAATGAGGAAACAGAAGGTTAGAGAAGCCCAGGATCACACAAGCTGGTTAGTGATGGAGCTAGGATTCTGTTAATGTGAAAGCCTGAGGTTTTAACTAGACTGGCAGTACAGGTTGAGCATCTTAATCCAAAAATCTGAAATCTTAAAATGCTCCAAAATCTAAAACTTTTTGAGCACCGACATGACACCACTAGTGGAAAATTCCATACCTGACCTCATATGATGGGTCCCAGTCAAAATGCAGTCAAGACTTTGTTTCAAGCACAAAATTATTAAATATATTGTATAAGATGTACATGAAGCATAAATGAATTTCGTGTTTAGACTTGAGTTCCATCCCCAAGATATCTCATTATGTATATGCACATATTCCAAATTCCAAAAAAATCCCAAACACTTACAGACCCAAGCATTTTGGGTAAGTGAAACTCAACCTATAGCAATTTCTGCCACTTGTATTTGGTTGCTGCTTCTGTGAATGAATGAATGAATGAATGAATGAATGAGGGAGAGAATTCTTTGATGCCAAGAACTTTGCATATAGTCCAAATTCTTTTTCAAGGCAGAACCTATTATGTATTGCCAGAGAGTCTTGAGGTCAGTAAGGAGATGCATTGGTGCAAGTTGGCTATTGAATGGAGGGAGGATAAAGGTACAGGAGACGCTACTTATTTACTGTATTTAATCAGGATGCCCAGGGAATAAGGCAGGATGTCTGGAGAGGGTCAGTGGCAGTGCGTCAAGAGTAGTGGCACCTGGACCCTGTTGCTATTTTGGCTATTATTGATCCAGGGAACTTTGCCAGGCTAAAAATAGGTCCTGTCCTCTTTTATTTGCCCCACATCTTACGTGTTTGAATAAGAAAGGCCTGATCTTAGCTACAGACCTAATGGAACTCACTATTGAGTTCCATAATGAATTCTAGTGAGGAAATATCAGTGAAACTGTTTTCTTACACTGCAAAAATCAAGTGCTAAATACTTGATCTGTGTACTTTCTTTAGGGTACATGGGTCAGTATTGTGTGGTGGGTAAAAGTTGGTGCTCTGAAAGCTGGATTTTCTGGGTTGGAAGCTGCTCTACTACTTCGTAGTAACACGGCTGAGAGCAAGTTGCCTAACCTCTCTGTGCCATAGTTTCTCATCTGTAAAATGAAGATGGTAATAATGCTGCCCTCAAAAAACTGGTGTGGAGATTAAATAAATTAATCTACATAAGCACTTAGACTAATGCCTGGCACTTAGCACAGAAGCAGTCTGTAGGTTAGTGTCTGAGCACTTTTTACTCAGTGTTTCTGACAACAAAATGAGAGAAATTTTTTTCCTCCTGACACCAACCAATTTTGACACCAACGGGGTGTCCTACAATTCAATTCTGACACGAATTACAGATAGTTAGCGCAGACCTCACAGGATAAGGATGCAGTCCCACAAGACTGCCCTCGCGTCAAATGTCAGGTCTCTGGGTCCCCACATCTCTTGGGTAGCCATGCTTGTTGTCTGACTTGGCTATAAGGTTAAGGTCAAGAGTTCCCAGAACCTTCCTCCCTTTCAGGTTGGATAATTTTGCTAGAATGGCTCACAAAACTCCGGGAAACATATAATTTTTGTTTACCAGTGTGTTGTAAAGAATATGACTCAGGAACAGCCACATAGAAGTGCTATATCAGGCAGGGTATGGAGAGAAAGGTGCAAAGCTTCCATGCTCTCCCAGCACCTGGACATATTCACCACCCAGAAAGTTCTCTGAACCTCATTGTCCCAGTGTATTTCTGGCGGTTTCATTATGTAGACATGATTGATGAAGTCATTGGCCATTGGTGATTGAACTCAACCTCCAAGCCCCTCTCTCTTCCTTGGAGGCTGGCGGGTGGAGCTGAAGTTTCCAAACTTCTAATCAAGGCTTGGTCTTTTTGGTGGCCAGCCCCTATCCTAAAGCTATCTAGGTGCCAGCCAAGAGTTGCCTCATTAAAACAAAAGATGGTAGTCCTAGCACTTTGGGAGGGTGAGGTGGGCGGATCACTTGAGATCAGGAGTTCGAGACCTGACCAACATAGTGAAACCCTATCTCTACTAAAAATTAGCTGGGTGTGGTGGTGTGCACCTGTAGTCCTGTTACTCGGGACACTGAGGCAGGAGAATCGCTTGAATCCGGGAGGCAGAGTTTGCAATGAGCTGAGACTGCACCACTGCACTCCAACCTGGGCAACAGAATGAGACTCTGTCTTTAAAAAAAGAAAAAAAAAAATGTTCCTGTCACCTTTATCACTCAGGAAATTCCAAGGGTTTTGGAAGCTCTGTTCTAGGAACTAGAAACAAAGATCAATGTTTTTCTGTGATAACATAGCATCTGTCACCTTGAGAACTTAAAATGTTAATGTGATTGTAGTTCATTTTATCCAGCATGGCTTTATCTAAGGGAGGGCCTACAAAGCACAGTGGAAGAGGGTGGGCATTAGAGTCAGACTTGGGTTTGATTGACAGAACTAGATACTTAGTTATTTTCACACTGGGCAATTGCCTAAACCTGTTAAGCTTCATTTTTTTTTTCATCTGTAAATTGGAGAATATGGTGTTTACTTCATATGGCTATTGTAAGCAATAAAAAAAAAGGTATTTTAAACACCTAGCATAGCAGGTGTTAGTGCTAAATTATATATTACTTTCTCCTGATAAAGTAACCTTTTAAAAAGTAAAGAGCTTATTTATATAGAGCTAGTTTCCAGTCTCTTGTTTTAGAGACTTAAAAAACAGTACTGGACTGCTGTTGTTGTTTCACTGTGGCAAAGAATAGAAGAATGAATTTTATTTCATCATATATTTGATGGTTCCCAAATCATTCCTTGCTTCTTATAGCCAGCAGAAACCTACAGTTGGATTTTGGTGAGTCTAAGTTTGTAGTAAGTGAGATTGTTTTTAGTGAGCTGTCAGCGGGGGTTGATGAAAGGCAGAAGACCATGGTCGTTTTTAATGAGGTTGTGTGAAAATCCAATGAAGTGGTCAGTGAAAATTCTACCTCGAGATAAACTGTGCAGACTGGCTCTAACAGTAGATTATTTTCTTCTAATTATAAGTTTGCTATAGCTTCTTTTATTTTTGTTTCTGTTTTTGTTTGAAACCAGAAAGTCCTTTGCTGTTTCCTTATTATCCTCGAAAATCATTGCATTTTGTGAAAAGGCGGATGGAGAATATTATTGATCAGTGTTTGCAAAAGCCAGCAGTAAGTTTGAAAGAAATGCATGTCTTTGTGTAGGAGCAATAGTGTCTACAGTATGTGGCTCACTTATGTAAATGATCTTAATTTTTAGAATGAACTATGAAAATGTTGATAGTCAACTGTTTTTGATTAACAAAAGTAACAATTTCATATGGTTCAACCTAATACTCCAACTTAAGTTTCTTACACACGTGTGTGTGTGTGTGTGTGTGTATAAAGATTACTGAAGGTGTTGGCATCTTGAGTATTTTATTTGTTCCCAGAAGAAATTCATTGTAAACAGTCTTAGTTACAGAGCTGATGTGTCTCTGCTTACTACTGAAGGATGTGAATGAATGGTTGTTATGAGACCAGAGGGAGGTGGTCTTAAACCTGCCATGTGCTTAGCACCAAGGTCCTTTTCAGCTCAGAATTTTCTCTTTTTCCTTACTGTTACAATTGTCATTAACGTTTCTTATGTACAAGGTTTGGTGATGTAGGCGATTTTTTTACCACATTCGAACAGTGATGGTCAGTCACTTTCTGTAGAGTATCTGTGTGCATATTAACGCTCTAATTATATTTTAAAATCTTATTTTATATAGGATGTAATTGGAAAATCGATGAATCAAGCAATCTGTATTCCATTGTATAGAGATACCAGAAGGTAATTCTGTTTACCTATTGGATGGTGTAATTCCGCAGCCAATTTAAATTTTTCTCATTTCTTTTTCCCTTTTATTTTAGTGAGGATTCTACACGTAGATTGTTCAAATTTCCTTTTCTGTAAGTATATATTTCTTCCCTATCTTGAGTGAACAATACAATTTTGTTTTATCCATCAATAGTTAAAAAATATTATGACAATTTTTTTTCTTAGGTGGAATAATAAAACTTCAAATCTACATTATCTTCTTTTTACTATTCTAGAAGATTCACTTTATAAAATGTGCATCTTAAGGAGACATACTGATATTTCTCAGTAAGTATTAATCTGAAGTTTGAATCAAAGAGATAAGATTTTATTATTTGTAAGAATGAAGCATACAGCCTTCCAGCATTTCAGATTTTAAACTACTTTGTGACTTTTAGATGTGTCATTTAATTGTTAGTTTTCATGTCATTAAAAGGGTAACACTGAATTAGGAAGTTATATGATCTTGTTTTAGATTATTTAATTTTTATTGGCATATAATCATTGTAGGACTTTTTTTAGAGTTAGGAAAAATATGACAGCTCAGGATATTATACTTCATTTTTTAGAAGTTAAAAACTTCCGAAAAACTAAAAGTTAAAGAAGTTTTAACTTTTTAGAAGTTAAAAACTTCTAAAAGTGGCTGCCTTATAGAAATGATTTTTGCCTAGGGTTAAGTATGCTTTTCATTAAACAAGAGGCCTTGCCTAACAGAGACTTACTTTGAAATTGAAAGTAGAAGTTCTGAAAAATAAATCATATTTAGAACGCCATTGGTAGCTTAAAAATGGTTTTAAACCTGAATTTGAAGAAAATGTTGAGACCACGATGTAACCAAAAAGAAATAATTGGGTTATTTCTATTCCAAATGTCTTTGGTGACTGTGTGATTTTAAACCAAATTGGTTTATCTATCTAGGCATTTAAACAAGTTCTCAGTGTTCTAAAGAAGTACATGTACTGACCCTGACAATCATGTTCTTTTAAGCCTTTAGATTATTGACTATCCAGGTTGTTCCACAGAGTCTCTTTTTTTCCCCCTTCTTTCTTGAAGATCTGTGAGTAATGGACTAATTGCTATTAAATTTGGGAGCTTTACATATGCCACAACAGAAAAAGTCAGAAGAAGGTAAGTCTTGAATCTTGTTTGGATGAAATGTAGATACATGTGATATGTGTATATGTTTAGGAATAGGATCAGACTCAGTTACGGTGGTAATATAGGTAAAAGGGCTTTGCCACTTCCCACATCAAGGGCAGGATTCTTTGTGTATTTATACATAGAGAATGATTTGACTTGTGATTGAATAGAACCTTACTGCCCTGCAGTTTATGTCGTACGGTTTCCTATAATTAATACTCCTGAGCTCCCTGTTGACAAAGAAAGTAATGTGGTTCCCATGGGCAGATGGCCTGCAGGGCTGAAGTTCTTGTTACGACCAAAAAAAATTATGAGGTGATGCCATTCTTAGTGATGGGAGATTTTCTTAGGATTCAAAATGGTAACAGTACCTAAGCCATCCCTGAGGCTTCGCAAGGGAAAGAAGTGACTAATCATAGGCTGATCTTTTTCTCACTTTTTTCCTCACATAAAATAAGTTTTTTTATGATAAAGTCCTTGGAGTTGCTGTGCCTATTTTTCATGTGTAGTATCTTATTTTTATTTCTCAGTCTAGTCAACTCTGCTGAATGTGTATATAAGGTGTCATTCATAGAATTTCCACAGGCTTAAGGCCTAACCATTGATGGCCAGGGGCTTTCTAGAACTGAAACAACTTCACAGATTTTTGGGGGTCATGATTACCCATTTTTAAGATTTGGTTATATATGTGAATAATCAGTACAAAAAGTAACTGATTTTAATACAAACCAATGATATATTTTAAATGTTATTGTACAGAATGTCACTTAACTTTTAAATTTTTTTCTGCTTGCTGCCAGTATAACATGCATACAATATTTTCTCAGTAGTCACGATCATCTTTGATATAACAAAACTTATTTTAATTCTAGCATCTACAGTTGTTTAGATGCACAGTTTTATGATGATGAAACTGTAACAGTAGTTCTTAAAGACACTGTAGGACGTGAAGGAAGAGATAGACTCTTGGTCCAGCTGCCTTTGTCTTTAGTATATAACAGTGAAGATTCTGCAGAATATCAGTTCACTGGGACTTATTCTACAAGGTAACTAGTAACATTGTCTTTCTGATATTACAGTTAAATGTTTTTTTAATGCACATTATAAATTCCAACCTTTTAGGTACGCTAGATAATGGTTATTTCGTTACTAGAGATAACCACAGAGGTAGCTGAGCAGAAATGCTCCAATTTTTCATTCAAAATATGCTGGCCTTAATAGCTTTTTTTGTCCCTTTGCTTTACTAGTAAATCAGGAAGTATTTGCTGGAATCAAGGTGGGGAATTATTTGGAGTGGATAATGGGACTTCTTTTAGTTACATTTTTAAGGATAGCATTAACCCTAGTTGGTTGGAATTAGTTATTTTTGATTTGCCTTCAGTATTTTCCTTCCAGAATTAAGACCTCAGTACCCATGTAGGAAGTATACTGTCAATTCCAAGAGATGGCTTTAATTGACTGAGACTTAAGTAAGCAGATCTCTAATTTAAAAATGTATCCATTTGCTTTCTTTGAAAGGGAGTCAGAAACCTTGCTAAGATGATATTCTGCCTGTTTGGAATTACAGTATTTCTTTTCTTTTTTTTTTTTGAAACAGGGCCTCTCTTTGTCACCCAGGTTGGAGTGCAGTGACGCAATCATAGCTCACTGCAGCCTCCAACTCATGGGCTCAAGTGACCCTCCTGCCTCAGCCTCTCATAGCTGGGACTACAGGCATGTGCCACCTTGCCTGACTAATTTTATTTTTTTACAGAGATAGAGTCTTACTATGTTGCCCAGGCTGGCCTTGAACTCCTGGACTCAAGCAATCCTCCCACCTTGGCCTCGCAAAGTGCTGAGATTCCAGGCATGAGCCACTGTGCCTAGCCAGAATATAGAATATGGAATTTTTATAGAATATTATATCACAGCTTTTTTTCTAACACAACAGTTGCTAAAATTATATTGGAAATAGAAGTATGAGTAGAAGTCAAAACCATAATTGACCCTAATACCACCTGTAGTAAAACTAGGGAGGATAAGATCCCCTTTTCATTCCTGAGTTGGTTTTTTTCCCTCTTTAGGCTAGATGAACAGTGTAGTGCTATTCCCACCCGTACCATGCATTTTGAGAAGCACTGGAGATTACTGGAAAGTATGAAAGCACAGTATGTTGCTGGGAATGGTTTTCGAAAAGTGTCCTGTGTGGTAAGTGTTTAGAGATCGTTCAGCAACTAAGAAATTACAAGAAGTAACGTTGCTTCTTTGGAACCTTCATCAAATACATGATATATAAGGTCCTTTTGTGCAAATATTTTTACTGTGATTTATAGCTTGTATTGATTATGATCATGTGGTGGCCTTAGCTATTTAGTTCTTGTTCTGATAAAGCTTACTAAGTAGTTAATAATAATACTAGATTTTAATCTCACGAAATTGCCACTGTTGTTATGTGGAGATCTTTTTATACAAAATGAAGGCTGAATTTATTGATTTTGTTGTAAATTGATGGGAATATAACTTTCCTATAAAACCATTCTTTGATTCAGACTTCTGATTTCTAATTCTTTATATATGATAAGCCATTAATTTAAAAATGCTTTTATGGCCTTTTCTTTTTTAGTTAAGCTCAAATCTTCGTCATGTGAGAGTATTTGAAATGGACATAGATGATGAATGGGAGCTCGATGAGTCTTCAGATGAAGAGGAGGAGGCCAGTAATAAGCCTGTAAAAATAAAGGAAGAAGTGTTGTCGGAGTCAGAGGCAGAGAACCAACAAGCTGGTGCTGCCGCTTTAGCTCCAGAGATAGTCATTAAAGTGGAAAAACTTGACCCTGAGCTAGACTCCTAATCTAGCTTGCCATTATTGTGTGTGTAATTATGGCCAAAAGGACATAGGAGATGGACTAAGATGTCTTGGACCACCTTTGTGTAACAAAGAAATAAACAGTAAATTTTATTTTTTCATATTCTGCTTCATCTTCTCTTAGTGATATAGTCACTATGATAGACTTTATTTTTTCTGAGCTTTCTCTTTAATGCTATGTGCAGAACTAGTGTTTAAAGAAAACAGGGCCAGGCATGGTGGCTCATGCTGGTAATCTCAGCACTTTGGGAGTCTGAGGTGGGTGGCTCACCTGAAGTCAGGAGTTCAAGACCAGCCTGGCCAACATGGCAAAACCCCGTCTCTACTAAAAATACAAAAATGAGCTGGGCGTGGTGCATGCCCCTATAATTCCAGCCACTTGGGAGGCTGAGGCATGAGAATCGCTTAAACCTGGGAGCCAGAGGTTTCAGTGGGCTGAGATTGCGCCATTGCACTCCATCCAGCCTGCGTGATGGAGTGAGACTCTGTCTCAAAAAAGAAAGAGAGAAGGTGAACAAATTGAATATGAAGAAAAAGTCTAATCTTTTCTGTCAGAAGGGTAGGTATCAGGAATTGTTCCTGTATCATTGAAATAGTCGCTCATCACTGGAAATTTTAATGCATTTAGTATTTTAAAACTATAGACAACATTCCTATTTTTCCATCTCCCCTTCTAGTTCATTTTGGGTCTCCAGAATGATTTTAAAATTATGTTTTCAGAATATATTATACTGATTTACTGAAATGCTAAGCCAAAGGATGGATCCTGTCTTTTATGGTTTAAATAACATAAACACTGCTTGATACCTACATGGTTATCTTTTCTCATTCTGTCCCTGCATTTGAGCTCTGAGTTATTTGAATCAGCAGTGCTTAGATGTGCCCTTTTGCCTTTTCAGACTTGGTTAAGGACATATAGTAGCTGTCTGTTTGGTTGACTCCTTGAGAGTGTGAGAAATATGGGTCAACTAAATGTTATCTGGCATTAGTGCAGATAAGCTACTGTTGATTTCCTAATGCTCATTCATTCCTAAAGTACAATAGTATTCTTGTGTGACTTTCAAAGAAATTAATTTAATATATGAATTCCACTATCACTTCATCGATAATCACTTTTTAAAGCTTAAATATCTTTAGGCAGGAGGATATACTATAACCAGGTGAATGGGTAACTGCAGGGTTGCTGTGTCATTTGTCTATTTAATAGGTAGCTGTCTCTCTAGGTACTCCAGGGTACCTCTGTGAATGGAAGCCACTGTTGGGTGACATAGCATTTAGGACTGTGATCAGGAGGCTGACTATACTGATCTGTAGCCTTGCATATGATAGGCCTTAAACTCTATTAACAAATTTACGTAAATGTTTACTGACAGTTGGGCATTGTTCCTGGGGTAGTGCAGAATGTCTTGAATTAGCTTTTGTGAGCAAGAAAGGTGAACTGTGAGATGACATTACTGAAAAATTATAGGTTGTGGGTATATAGAGCATTTTTAGAAAGAATGCATTGTGCAGATTTACCATATAACATTTAAAGAGCTTTAATGGATTTTAGGAACCAATAATTAATAGCCTGTTCTTAGAAAGAACGACAGTTTCACCAGTTCTTTATTAGTTAGTAATTTGTCCTTTGTGACCTCACTGTTAGATTTATAAAGATTTTTTGATACATACACATTTGCTTTCTATGGTTCCAGCGTAGACATAAAATATGGGAGAATTGGTTTTTCAGTAATGGTTTTAATATGTATAGCAAGTAGGAACTAGAATTGTATTAAAGTGAAAAAGTTTAAATTGACATCTGAATCTCTTTTTAAGTTTTAATAAGATGCATAGAGCAGAGAATTTTATTGTATTTTTAGATATATGCTATAATTCTTGACACCACTAGACATTTTGCTTTTTTAAAAGAAAAATTTAATTTTTAATTTTTGTGGGTACATAGTAGGTATATGTATTTATGGGGCACATGAGATTTTGGTAGAGCATACAATATAGACACTTTGCTTTTAATATGTAGAGCAATTTGATCATTATACACTGGCTACTTTTAGTATGTTTAGCTGCAGATGCTGAATTTGAGCTTTGAATTTAGTGAGGAGCAAGTGAAGGGTGGGAATGTGAGGACCCTGGGAAGAGGAGCCTCCAGGTCCTGGCTCTTGTGGACCGTGGCATAAAGTGGGGTAATTGAGTGTCTCTCTCAGGGTTTGAGGACTAATGAGGGTTACTTATAGAACACTGTGGTTAGCGCATGTGAGATACCCAATAAAGACTAGCACTTCTATTTACAATATTCTATTCTGCTTTTTGCTGACATAAATTGTGTTGATTTTTTTAGAAACTTAACTAGCCTTTTTTTTTTTTTTTTTTTTGGCCAGACTTGATAGAACTATAATAGTAGTCTTTCTAATTCTCTGGCTTAGTAGGGTTTTTTGTTGTTGTTGTGTTCTTGATTTTTTTCCAATGTAAAAATTGTACACTTAGCAAAATGCTAAAATATTCTGTCTTCTTAATTTGGAACATTTGAATGTAAATGTGAAGAAAACTATTATGATATAGCCTTGAGTTTATGATGCCATAACTAGGGGAATTTATATATATTTGAGTTGATCTAAATATTTTCCCATTCTTGAGGGAAGTCCAGCAAGCAGACATGCGCTAAACACTTCTTTCTAAAGGATGCTATAATTGAAATCATGGGTTGCATTTCACCAGGAGCAAATCAGTTTCTTTGACACCTCTTTAAGTTGCAATGTTGTGGTGATTATCTACAGACTGTTTACATTTGCTAGAAGCTACAGTTGACTATCCAGCATAATATTTTTAGTCTTCACTGAGCCCAAGGAGATAGTACTTAGGATTTTATGAATTTAAGGTCACTAAAACCTTATAATATGAGAGCAAATAACATATTAGCATAGAAATGATCTCTTATGAGGAATATTCAGTTCAGAAACTCGATTATTAAATGGGTCTGGGAAATGATTTGTTAATATGGTTGATAGCCAGTGTTTACTTTCCACTTTTTTTCTTGTTCTGAGGAAATGAAAATTTCTATAACAGGATTTCTCATGAAGCACACAGTAGTACATCAGAAGTGCCAAGGCCAGTGATTAAAAATGTATGGATTTTACCCTAAGCCTACTCAATCAGAAGCTGAGGGTGAGGCCAAGACTACATTTTTAACCAACTCACTTGATCATTCTTAAACCCACCAAGGTTGAGAACCATTATTTTTCTATGAAAGCTGTGTTTTAGAAATTAGATGGTTATAATTTCTTAGTTGTAGGTTCATAAGCTGTTCCCTTGGATGCAATGAAAATTGATGTATTTTTTTTCTTTAAAAATGACCCTAACTGGTGGTTAATTACACATGCAAGTTGCTCACACTTCAATAAATCTGTTTAAATGATGGTGAGCATAATTGTACCCCAACTCCCTCTCTGCACTGCAGCATTGTAGCAATGGATCCCTTAGGGCCACATTTCAGCCCTAACAAGATTATGTTCAGCCAAGTGGGAGATAGTTGGGTATGTATGGGCTTTGCTGGTAATCAGCCATTCTAGTTCATAAATGTCACCTTTCCTCTGGTGTGTGCAGTCAGACTGAACTCACTGCTCAAGATATGAGGTGTAATGTGTAGTTATCACGGTACAGATGATAAATCTGTCCCACAACATGACTATAAGTGAAACTTATGTTTACTGGCTTATTATGTTTTAAGCAGTAAAACAAGACAAGTTTGTTGTTTGTGCTTCCTGCCATCAGATTTATGACTGAAAACTTTAGGGACTGTTTTTCTTCATTTCTGCATTCCTGATTCCTGTTACAGAGTGAATATTATTCTTTCAAGTGATATTTCTGTCCACTGTTCAGATAGTAAAACTGGGTGGAGCCCAAACTGGAGGAGTGGCCAGCTTGCTATAAATGATCCTCGTGATTGTCAGCATTTTCATGATACTGCAAAACTTTCTAACCTTGAGAATATGTTACTTCCCTTTTTCCTTTCCACCGCTTACTTTGTCCTGCCAAATTGTTGCAGGAAGAGAGATTCAAGGATTAAAAATATTTATGGGCCTGGCAGGTAGCTCACGCCTATAATCCCAACACTTTGGGAAGCCGAGGTGAGTGGATTGCTTGAGCTCAGGAGTTTCGGCAACATGGCAAACCCCGTGTCTATAAAATACAAAAATTAGCTGGGCGTGGTGGTGCATGCCTATAGTCCCAGCTACTCAGGAGGCAGAGGTGCAAGGGATTGAGCCTGGGAGGTGGAGGCTGTGGTGAGCTCTGATTGTGTCACTGCACTCCAGCCTGGGTGACAGAGACCTTGTCTCAAATAAATTATATGTATGATATATATGTGTGTGTGTGTGTGTGTGTGTGTGTGTGTGTATGTATATATGTATACATATATATATATATCCTCGTTCTCTTGGGATGGAAAGTTAAGATCTAGCGGCAGAGTGTGGATAGCAAAGGGGCTGGCTGAGACCATTGTTCTGGGGCCCTGCAAGGTGTAGGGCCCATTTTCTCCACTGGAGAAGGAGGAGACTACATGGCCCAGGTGGCAGGACACCCAAGTGACCAGTTCAATGGACACCTTTCAGGCTGGTGTAGTCAGGCATATCAGATGCTGCGGAGAAACAGCGAGATGGAAAATTGCCCATTACCTCTGAAAAGCTGCATGTCAGTTGTGACCCTGATAGAAACTTGGAGGCGTGTTGAGGACAGGAGCCCTATTGAAATGGGTGTAGAATGGATGTGAGGTGAGTCAGTGGAGGCCAAGTGGAGGCAACTCTGGAGGATTTTGCTGTGAGGGGCACAGAGATGGAGTGGTGGCAGGGGAGGGAAATGGCACCAGAGAACTTTTTTTAGAAAGATGGATGATACTAGGCATCTTTATTCGTCAATATGAGTGATCCACCAAAGAAGGAGAAATTGACCATTCTAGAGTAAAAGGAGATGCGCTGGAAGAAATCCTTGAGAAGGCTAAAAGGGCTAGGGCCCAGTGACCATTGCAGGGATCGAGCGTAGGGTGGAACATGACTTTCTTCCACCCTAATGGGAGTCTGTGGGGACAGGTGCTGGTGGGTGCAGCACCGCGTGGCAGGTGTAGCATTTTTCCCTCGGAGAGAAGTGTTCAGGTCTTTATGGAGAGTGATGAGGAGAGGAGAGGTAGAAAATAGGTGTCTCAGATTGGAAAATGAGAGAATTATGGAGTTTTAGAATCAGAGGGATAGAAATAAAGAGGCTATGACCAGAGAAGAGACATTGGCAGTCTTAGGGAGGTGGTGAAGTCTCTGATGACAGGTATAACCATGGCAGTTGGCAGCTGCTATTGGTGTGAAGGGGAAAGTCACTGGAGCCAAGTAGATTCAGAGCTGAGTGGCTGGGGTTTTGGATGGCTCATCTGTGTGGCTGGTAAAGTTGCAAAAGCAGATGGAGATGGTAACAGTGAGTTGGGTCCTGAGGTCACCCGTGAATGAGGAGGTATCAGTGGGGTATTGAGAGCAGAAGGAAAAACTGCTTCTGAGACTCTTGCTACCTTGAAAGACCCAGAGGAGGGTCAGGCACCTACCTAGTCAGTTAGTAGCAAGGCTGGGATCTAAGCCCAGGGGGACTGGACTGCCCTGGAGGAGCTCCTAACAGACACCTGTGGTTAGAAAGGACATGAGAACAGGATAAAAAGACTAAGCCAACCTGTAAGCATGGCCACTGCCTTTGAATCTCTGTCTACTGTAGGTTAGTGCTCCTCACACCTGGGAGGTAAGATTAAGGGCTCTAATGGTGGTGGACTTTTTAATTTAATTTAATTTTATTTTATTTTATTTTAGACACGATCTTGCTCTGTTACCCAGGCTTCAGGCTAAAGTGTAGTGGCATAAACATGGCTCACTGCAGACTTGATCTCCTGGGCTCAAGCAATCCTCCCGAGTAGCTCAGATTAACAGCACATGCCACCACGCCTGGCTAATTTTTTTTTTTTTTGTAATGACGGGGTCTTGCCATGTTACCCAGATTGGTTTTGAAACCCTGGGCTCAAGCAGTCCTCCCACCTCAGCCTCCCAAAGTGCTTGGACTACAGGTGTGAGCCACCATACCTGGCCTTCTTTCTTCTTTTCTTTTTAACCCCAAGGCAGGGAGAAGTGGTCATTTCCGATTATTTTAAATCTGGAACCAGTAGCAATCCCCAGGTGTTTTAGGAAGGGGGTCTTTGTGGTTGCTGTCCTGCCTAATTTTGTCTTTAGTGCACTGTTGGTTACAGACACAATTATGTGTGTGGCACAGGGAGGAGAGGGCCCAAGATGACTGCGTGGAGAGTGGGCCTGAGCAAGCGCCTGCTCAAAGTCCAGGTCAGGAGGCTGGGTGAGGCGGGATGAACTGAACAGTCAGTTTGTTGCCCTGTGAAGGTGCAGTCCAGGGCCTTCCTAGCTCTGGGCCAATGTGGTCCATATCGCCAAACCTTTCCTGGGTGGTCTGAAGATTTTCTTAAGGGGAACTAACTGCCCAGTCCAGGCACCTCTGGCCATTTGGGGAATGAGGCAGGCAAGTCTCGGCTTGGCCTCAGTTCCCAGGCCCCTAGGAATTGGCACTGGGCTTCAGCTCGCTACTTAGCAGATCCAGTAGGGCCTAGACCCAGCTGGACCTGGGAGCCTCTGGAGCTGCCAAATTGTACATGAAATTCCTGTGTGCTTGGCCGGACAAGAGGTTCATGATCGAAGGGTTACTGCCTGCACCTGCCTCTGTCCCTCCCCCAGATTTTTCCTGTCTGCATTTGGCTTTTTAAGGTTCTCCTATGCAGAATTGGCTGTGGAAGAGAAATAGCATGGGAGAGATTGCAAGGTGCTTTTTATATACATTCTCACAGAATTCTCTAAACAACTAACTCTGCAATAAAGGGATTGCTCATCTTATTTTACAGAAAAGTTGAGAGAGATTTGGTTTGACGTGTCCCAAATCACGCAGCTAGTAGGCGGAACGGCCTGGATGCAAAACAGGTGGTCTGACTCCAGATAAGAATAATTGCTAACATGATTATTTAGTAAGAGTCAGAAATCATGCCAAGAACATTCCATGGATACTTACCTAAACATCATCACAGTCCTACAAGGTAAGTGCTATTATTATTAGCATCATTTCACAGATGAAGGACTTGAGGCCAAGAGATGTTTACTAAGTTGTCCACAGGAATTACACGGGCAGCAGGGTGGGACTGGGATGGGAAACCAGGCAGTCTGGCCACAGGACCCATTCCTTCAGCCACTGCACATGTTTCCTTTCTGGGGCCTGGATCCTTTGGCCCCTCCTGCCTTGCCCATGGCTGCACTCACAGAGCTCGGTCTTCCTGCAGTGGCACAACTACTTGAGTGTCTGTGTGGCACAGGCCAGCAAGGATGGCCAGGCTTGCATTCGTGATGAGCTTTGTTTTTCTCAGAGGTCCTTCATTCATAGCCACCATCGGCTCTGCGGAAACAGGCTGTGAGGAATGATGTCTGGTAGACCTTGGACCAGAACCTGGGCTTCTGACCCCGTAGTTTAGTGTGCTTTCCTCCAAGACAGTGCTTGTACAAAGCCAGTGTTACTTATGCATCCTTTGTCACCTTAAGAGAGTTTTTTTTTTTAAGACAGTCTCACTTTGTCACCAGGCTGGAGTGCAGTGGCACAATCTCAGCTCACTACAACATCTGCCTCCTGGGTTCAAGGGATTCTTGTGCCTCAGTCTCCCAAGTAGCTGGGATTACAGGTGCCCGTGACCACACCCAGCTAATTTTTGTGTTTTTGTTAGAGATGGGGTTTCACTGTGTTGGCCAGGCTGGACACCTTAAGAGATCTCTTGTGTGTCTTCAGGCTTCGCGGAGACAGAGCTGTACTCTCCCCAGAGAGGCTACCAGCTTACCAGGCTAAAAGAAGGGAGATTTCCCACTCTGTGTGTGTGTGTGTGTGTGTGTGTGTGTGTGTGTGTGTGTGTGTGTATTTATATATGTATTAGGGTCTTACTCTGTTACCCAGGCATGATCACAGCTCACTGCAGCATCCACCTCAGCCTCCTGAGTAGCTGGGACTACAGGTGTGTGTCACTATGTCCGGCTAATTTTTTAAAAAAAATTTTTAGAGATAGGGTCTTGCTTGTTACCTAGGATGGTCTTGAACTCATGGACTCAAGCAATCCTCCCACCTTGGCCTCCCAAAGTGCTGGGATTACAAGTGAGAGCCACCACACCCAGCCTCCTACTGTATTTTTGCCATGTTTTCTGTCCCCTTTCCCAATTTTTTGGGATTATTTTGCATTTTGTTGGTCTACAGACTTCCATTGGGTAAAGCATTCAGGGGAGATGGTGTGCTTGGGGAGAGGGAGAGAAATTATCTCAAGAATGAATACATGGGTGAAACAGATGGCAAATTTGTCGTTTGCAATAGAGAAACTATTAAAAAATCAGAGAATGCTAAGTCCTGAACACTTTGAGGAATACTGTATGACTCTCTGAAATACCAGCAAAGCACACATTTGGTCCATTAATTGGGATCTAGGAACTATGATAATGCAGTGTCAAGAAAATAAGTGTTTTTATACCAAATAGAGCATCACAAGCCAAATATCCTATTTATCCATCCAAGATATAAAAGGGACTTGATGGGGTGAGACAGTCTTGGGATGGAATAGGAAATGTAATAATTTAGTTTCCATTTGAGAGATGGAAATTGAAGGAGCAAATTTACAAGTCAACTTAGCAATGCAGTTAAAACATGAGCCTTAGATCTTTCAAGTTTCTAGTCCAGTACTTTTCACTCCCTATAAAGTGTCAAAGTTATTGCAAGGGCCCATTTATGTTTAATTAAATGTAATGCTAATCTACAACTAGATTTGCTCTGGTCTAGGCAATTGGCAAGTGATACAAACTACCTAGTCCATTGCATTTCCAGAAGCCGAGGGATGGCTGATGGCTTACTGCCAGAAAGTGGTTGAGTAGATGACATTATGCAAATCTTTACAAAAGAAAAGATTCACGTTCTCTGGGTTGAAACAAGACAGAAGTGTATGAAATGTGTCCACCTAAACTAGAATAAAGATTTGTCATTGCCTTCCTTCTGTCTGCCCTAGAGTCCAATTCAAATGCTTTTCCACAGCCTCCCTTCACTCCTCCAACCACCTCCCGACTTCAGCCCCTGACTAGCTGTCATCTGTGCCTCAATGGAGTTCTCACGTAACCCACGTGTTCATTGAGTCCTGACCATGGTGAGGTCCTTGGCTAAATACACTCCAGGTTTACTACTTGTTTAGCTGCTCCCACCCCACCACCCATAAGGAAGAAAGCATTATTGATCCTTTTGTGCAGAGGAGGACAAAGAGGCACAGAGAAGTTAGGTATCTTGCCCAAGGTCACACAGCTAGGGAGGAGTGGGGTCCAAATTCTCAGTCATATGCTGTACATTTCTGACATCTACCACCTGCTCCCTTTAATTATAGATAATGCACATTTCCCTTTTGGCAGGCGAACTCCTTAAGTTGAGGGCAGGCACCCCAAGGTGCCTGGTTATGGATCCTCGCTAATATCTCTGCCCTATGGGCAGCCCTGCTCCTGAAATTGATGAGGTGTGTATACCCTGCGTCCTGTTTGGAGGTTCTAGTGCCCCCTGCTGCCTAAGAAATCTACCTTTATCCCCCAGCCGGCTAATGCCACAGCCTCCCCAGCCCTTAGCGTCAGGTCAGCAGAGCTGAGCCACCCAAGGTAGGAGAGAACTGCTCCCCACAGCTTTGACCACATGGGATTCTGAGGGTACTTTGTGGGAGAAGCTGGTGGCAGGTTTCAAAGTGGTGGAAGTGGAGAATGCCTCAATCCAGGAAGCCCAGGCAAAGCACAGGCTTCCTGGCTGAGTCTGGGGGTTGCCGGGCATTACTCCGCCAGACCCAGTGGTACGGGTCTGGGCGTGGATCTAGGAAGGTGTACATCCCAAAGGGAGGCTGTCTGGGAGGCTCCCCATCAGGAGACTGGGATTCCAGAGGTCTTGGCTTGCAAAGTTGGAGGGTGGTTGGAACCTTCTGCAGAGGGCAGCATTTTGCTTGTTTGTGCTGTTCATTGTAGGGCCAGCTTCTTGGATGGCAGATCTGTACAATCATGCAGGGCCCCGGGCTTTGAGGGCCCATGTCTGAGGGCCTGTATTAGTCCCTACATACCCGAGACTGGGCAATTTACAAAAGAAAGAGGTTTAATTGGACTTACAGTTCCACATGGTTGGGGAGATCTCACAATCATGGCAGAAGGCAGGAGGAGCAAGTCACATCTTACATGGGTGGTGGAAGGCAAAAAAAAAAAAAAAAGAGATTGTGCAGAGAAACTCGTTTTTTAAAACCATCAGATTCTCATGAGACCCATTCACTATCATGAGAACAGCACAGGGAAGACCCGCCTCCATGATTCAGTCATCTTCCCCCGGGTCCCTCCCACAACACATGGGAATTATGGGAGCCACAAGATGAGATTTGGGTGGGGACACAGAGCCAAACCATAGCAGGGCCTATGCTTGGTTAAATGCTCTTTGGAAATAAATGAAGACCAAGTGAGAATAGGCCAGGGCTCTTTATTCAGGGCTTGCTGTATAGCAAGAGACAGCCACCACCATTTGCATTTGGCAGAGACTCAAAGGCAAGCAGAGGAGTGGGGAAGCTTTACAGGGGAAGGGGAAAGGCTTCGGATGTGCCCTGATGGGAGGCTGTTTGCCTGGGGAAGCTGGAGGCTTCTAACTAGAAGTGGGGCCTCTTATATAACTGTTTCAGGGTGTGTAATTGGCTTTTTTTCAAGTTGGTCTTAAGTTGAAAGCAGGGACAAAATTTAGGGAAGGCTGGGTGCCGTGACTCATGCTTGTAATCCCAATACTTTGAGAGGCTGAGGCAGGAGGATCATTTGAGGCCAGCAGTTCGTGACCAGCCTAGGCAACATAGACTGTATCTCTACAAAAAGTTGAAAACATTAGCCGAGTGTGGTGGCACGTGCCAATAGTCCCAGGTACTCAGTGATCACACAACCTGCACTCTAGCCTGGGCGACAGAGAGAGACTTTGTGTAAAATAAAATAAAATAAAGGAAGCTGTCAGTTTTTGGTTTTTTGTTTTTGTTTTTTTGAGACAGAGTTTCGCTCTTGTCCCACAGGCTGGAGTGCAATGGTGGGATCTCGCCTCACTGCAACCTCCACCTCCCGGGTTCAAGCGATTCTCCTGCCTCAGCCTCCCAAGTAGTTGGGATTACAGGTGCCTGCCACCACGACTGGCTAATTTTTGTATTTTTAGTAGAGATGGGGTTTTGCTATGTTGGCCAGGCTGGTCTTGAACTCCTGACCTCAGGTATTCCGCCCGCCTCGGCCTCCCAAAGTGCTGTGATTACAGACGTGAGCCACCGCGCCTGACGAAGCTCTCAGTTGTTAAAGTCATGGATGTTATGGGTTGATCATTACAGAAGCCGTTTAGCTTCCTAGGTTGTTACTAGAGGTAACAGTCTGACTTCCTAAAGAATGACATATAGCAGGCTGGCTTCCTGGGCTGATTACTGTAGATAAAGCATTGGTTTCCTGGGCAAGTTGTGAATCAAACCTCTGTTTTTACGTAAGATCTGACCATTGTCCATTTGTATACTCAGTGTATACTCAGTATCACTCTGCTGTCACCGTCTTGAAATTCTAAACAAGAGGCCCTGCATTTTCATTTTAAGCTGGGCCCTGTGAATGACAGCCATTCCTGGGCTGACCTTGGCACTGATAAACAAGGAAACTTCCCTGACACTGTGGCTTTGGGCAGACGCCTGATCCGCCTGCAGTTCTCAAGCTTTTACTTAGAATGGTAGATTATTTGTCACCAAGTACCGAGGGCCTCCTAGCTGCACCGAGATGCACCTCCAGGGCAGACAGGGGCTGTATTTCCTCCATCTGGGCATGGCCAGGGCCTTCTGGGCAGTGTGGGGACTCAGAGAGTGCAGGTTGAAGCCAACGTCTATCTTGGGCCAAATCGCACTAATTCAGATCCGATTCATTTTACATAGGGAAGTTTTGATTTATTTTTGAAAAAATAAAAAAGGATTTGCTAATCAGATGTACTGTGCGAAAAGTTTTCAGGGACGAGCAATATTTAATGTCAAGAGCAAAACTTTCCAGGACCTGCAGAGCACCGTGTGACACAAACCCATCACCTCTTAAGTACAAAAATCTAATTTCAGTGCATTCTTTGCTGTTAATGAAGTGGCTCTTCAGCCCTCTACTTGGAAACAGCCTGGTCAAGGCACCCCAAAATACTCAAAAGCAAGAAAACCAAATCCTTTTATGGTGATTTGCTAATTGGGGTCCCTGCAAAAAGCAGCAGAGCTTTTGCAGCCCACAGACTGAAGTGCTTCTGTTTTTCTCATTGCTTCCCTAGGCTTCCCAAGTCAATCTAGCACGTGTGGGTGCCCAGCCTTCCCTGCAGCGCTTGCTCCCTCCCTTCCCTCCTCTGGGCCAGTCCCTTGGCCAGTGCATGCCACCTCCCCGCTCTAAGGCTACTGCTCTACCCCACACCCCAGCCCCAACCAAAAGCTCTGGAGACAGACGCAGCAGGTTCTGGGGCCACTTAGCAGCTGTGAGACCTTAACCAGGCTGCTTAATGTTTCCGAGTCTGATTTTCCTCATCTGTGAGATGGCGACAGTGATCCTACCCTGTGTAGCATCCAGGTGAGAGCGAAATGAGATGATAATGAGATAATGAGATCATGTTTGTGTAACATGTGCTGGCCCAGATTCACATTCAGGAACTCAGCTGATGCTCTCACTTGCTTACCTAGTTAGCTCCACATAGGCATCCTCACATCCCATTGCTTTGGTTAAGTTTTTCTGGTCAAAGCAAGTTTCCATCTTGAACTATCATCTCTGCCATCAGCTCTCGCTTTGCATCGCCTCCAAACTCTCAAAGGATGAACAATTTTCTCCATGGAGTGTATTCAAGAGAATATTCCCCAGGGGTCATTGGCAGCTGCCAAGGATGTCTTTCCCCAACTTTTGGAAAAACAGTAATATTGGCTGGTGTAAGTGTGTGGCCTCCCAAGGTGGCTGTTTGCAAGGGGAAGGGCTCACTGGCAGGCACAGTTCTGAAGGAGTGTTTTGGATGAAGTCCCTTTGCTGTCTAGTGGCAGCTGTAAGGCAGAGTGTTGGGGAATGGCCATGGGCACAATAGATGGTGCCAAGCACTAACCAGCAGCCATGTGCACTGCACCTCTCTCTGCCCCCTGGTGTCTTTCCTGCCAGGAAGCGTCATGCTGCCATCAGTTTGAAGACCCTTGCACCTGGCTGGCACCCATATGGGTGATGCATGGGACAATGCGGTCACGCCACTTTGGCAAACACTTGGTGCTCACCTTGGTTCACAGTGGCCAGAGAAAAAACAATAAGTGCTCACTAAATGCTTTTGCCTGGCATAAGCCACTGCACCTGGCCCTGGAATGTAATTTTTTAATAGTAGCTGTATTTAATGACTTAGTTGCAAAATATCTGAAAATTTAAAAAGTGACTCTAGGAGGCTGGGCACGGTGGCTCACGCCTGTCATCCCAGCAGTTTGGGAGGCTGAGGCAGGTGGATCATATGAGGCCAAAAGTTCGAGACCAGCCTGGCCAATATGGTGAAACACCATCTCTACGAAAAATACAAAAAATTAGCTGGGCATGGTAGTGGGTGCCTGTAATCCCAGCTACTGAGAGGCTGAGGCAGGAGAATCGCTTGAACTCGAGGCAGAGGTTGTAGTGAGTAAAGATTGCACCATTGTACTCCAGCCTGGGCAACAAGAGCAAAACTCAATCTCAAAAACAAAAAGAAAAAAGTGACTCTAGGAGCCAAAACAGGACAGCTTCACTTTCCTACTGGAACTTATGCCCTTCAGTTCTGGAGATTTTTTATTATTATTATTATTTTCTTCTTTGTTTTCTCTGCTCTTTGGAATTTGTGTGAACTGATTGTCTTTTTAAATAATCTTTTCTCTCCTATTTTTGCTCTATTTGCCTTTTCATTATATTTTCTGAAAGATTTCCTCACCTTTTATCTTCTAACCCTTTAATTTTCATTTGTTCTAGCATATTTTAATTTTCTAGCTTTTCCTTGTTCCTTGATTACCATTACTATTTTCCTCTTCCTTCTTGTAGATCTTGTTCTTGTTTCATGGATACAATATCTTGTCTCATATTCCTAAAAATACGGGGGATTGGTTTGTGTGTGTGCTGTGTTTAGTTTTTATTTTCATTCATCGCCAGGTTCCTCCAAGTTGTTTTGCTTTTCATGTAAGAAATTTACTTCAGATATCTAGTGATATTTGCTCATTTTTAAGAGGCAAGTACAACGAATCTGACTGGGATATTCTTTGCATGCAAAGAGGCTTGTTGTCTTTGGGCCTCACTGTAGCATAATCTGGCTGGACCATTATTGTTGGGAAAGTCCTTTATCAGTTAGCTATTGCTGTGTAACAAACAGCTCCAAGCCTTAGTGGGTCCAAACAAGAACTGCTTATTATTTCTTAAGTCTATAGGTAGGTTGGGTGGCTTGTGACCTGGCCCACACATGTCTAATTTCAGCTGGGCTCATTCATGTGTTGGCTATCAGGTGCTGGCTAGCTGGGGCCTGGGTGTTCTAGGATGGCCTTGCCTAGGACATCTTGGCTTTGTTCTATTTGGCCTTGTGGATTTATGTACTTTAAAAAAATCCTCATACCCTCATTTTAGTGAGATTTTACACAAGGTAGAGGTAAATACGTATGCCTAATCTGCCATTACAATTAACTAGAAGTCTTGCAATTACTTTTTTCTTTTTTTCCTTATTACAACAAGCAGGGAGGAACTGGCTGGTTGAAGAAATTAAAAGGAGAACTGTGTGGTTGGAGGCAGAAGTGTAGGAGGAGAGTGGTGTGTGATGAGGTAGGCAAGGGCTAGATCATGCAGCACTTTGCAGCCAGGTTGAGGATTTTGTATTTTCCTTTTTTTTTTTTTTTGAGACAGAGTCTTGCTCTGTCACCCAGCTGGAGTGCAGTGGCACGATCTCGGCTCACCGCAACCTCTGCCTCCTGGGCTCAAGCTATTCTCCTGCCTCAGCCTCCCGAGTAGCTGGGATTACAGGCACACACCACCGTGCCTGGCTAATTTTTGCATTTTTAGTAAAGGTGGGGTTTTGCCATTTTGGCCAGGCTGGTCTTAAACTCCCGACCTCAGTTGATCCACCCGCCTCGGCCTCCCAAAGTGGTGGGATTACCAGTGTGAGCCACCATGCCTGGCCTGTATTTTCCTTTAAGGGCATTAGAAAGCTATTGAAGCAGTTTATGAGGAGCAGAGAGATGATCAGATCAGCATTCTCTAGAGACCTCTGGGCCTGCTGTGAAGACTAAATTGGGAGAGTCATGAGCAGATATGGAGACACCCGTTAGAAGCTATTGTAAGAGTCTAGCCAACAGATGGTGGCTTGGTCTCAGGTGAAGGAGGGAGCAGAATTGAACAGGGGATTGGGTAAGGAGGTTGGGGGAGAGAGATTTCTATGGCTCACAGGTTGGGAGAGGTTGGCAGGATAGTGGACAGAGATTTGTTTTGTTTAGTAGTGGGGATGGGGACAGAAAAATATCCAGCTTGAATGTGGACACATTGAATTGGAGGTGGCTTTGATATATCCAAGGGTAGGCGTCTGCTCTATGGGGGCACAATAAGACGGATCTAAATTGGGATCTAAATTTGGAAATCAGCCTGAATGTGATGAGGTCTCCTGACGAGAGAGCAGAGAGTAGTAAGAGAACACAGGGCCTTTGTGGAACTGACCATAGGCCTCCCAGGTGCAGGACTCTGGAAAAGGAATGAGCCCTGGAGAGAAAACCCAGAAGGGGCAGCTGGGGAGGGAGGAGGAAGCCTGGAGCATGGGTGTCAGAGAAGCCGGACACAGGGTTTTCAACGAGACCCTGAGAGGCCCAGCAAGATGGGAGAGAAAACTCCCCAGGGGGTAATCCCATCGGGCTGGTTGTGGCTCATCATTTAAACCCAAGTCTCTGCCTCTAGCCATGATATGACTGTCAAGCTCACCCTCCCAAGTCGCAGTATTTCTATGTCAGCCTGCATCTTGCTTTCATGTGCCTCAGGCTCTTCTGGGTCATTAAGACTTACCAGCACCAACTGTGTGCAGACACTGCAGCCTTCATTATGCCATCATTGTGCTGCTGCTGACACTATTTTGGGACTGTGTCTCCTGTGACAGTCACAGTGCCAGGCACTTTGTGAACACCGTCTTGACGCCTTGCTTCAATACTATGATCACCATTTCACAGCTGAGTAAACTGAGGCTGAGTGGAAAACTGACTTGCCCGACGTCACACGACTGGTGAGAGGTTCTGCGGGATCCCTAGGCATCCGAACAACCTGAGTGTCCTTTTTAATACCACATTGCCATTAGTGATGACAATGGAGTCTCACTCCAGCGGAGTATCTCAGTATTGCTGCATTGATCACAGTGCCTAATATTTTCTGTCCAGCTTTTAGAGGAAATGTCTCATGCTTTGCATTCTCAGGCCTGCTGGAACTCTGCAGGGGTTTGTCACAAGGCTAAGCAGTCATGGGTCTTTGGGTTTTGAGGCTGAGCTAAAGAGAACCTTTGACTCTCCCTTTCCTTCCACTTCCTTTCCCAGCTATAGTCACAAGATTCTCATTGTCCATTCCCCTCCCACCCCCCAAAAAAGCTGAATAAAAACAGTAGGCCTCAGGGCCGGGTGCAGTGGCTCATGCCTGTAATCCCAGCACTTTGGGAGGCCAAATTGAGTGGATCACCTGAGGTCAGGAGTTCAAGACCAGCCTGGCCAACATGCTGAAACCCCATCTCTACTAAAAATACAAAAATTAGCTGGGTGTGGTGGCAGGTGTCTGTAGTTCTAGCTACTTGGGAGGATGA
Source organism: Homo sapiens (assembly GCF_000001405.40). NCBI lineage: Eukaryota > Metazoa > Chordata > Mammalia > Primates > Hominidae > Homo > Homo sapiens. Next base: position 25,435,309 of record NC_000004.12, read on the forward strand.
GCCACAAGAATCACTTGAACCTGGGAGGCGGAGGTTGCAGTGAGCCCAGCTCACATCACTGCACTCCAGCCTGGGGGACACAGCAAGACTCTGTCTCCAAACAAACAAACACACACAGTAGCCCTCAGGCTTGCTTTTGAAATCCCACCACCTGTGAGGCTGTGGTGCCAGGGCTGCTGCGGACCCCAACTGCTCAGATGTGAGGCCTGGCCTCTCTCCTACTTCCTGTGAGATTTTGGGTATATCGCGAAGCCTCTGCTGCTTCAACCGTGAATGCGGAAGACCAATGGATGGAATCTCATGGGTTTTTGGAGAATTACATGACATAGTGGATGTAAAAGCTTTACATAACAGATGAAGGCTCCTGGCATTCACAGAGAAAGCGCTTGGCAGTGTCAACAGCCACTGCTCCCACTTTGGGCAAGAGAATGGGCTGAGAACCCTGGCTCTAGACTGCCAGGGGTCGAGTCTCCTCTATCACACAATGCCTGGGACCTAGAGCAAGTTACTTGATTTTTCCATGCCTCAGTTTCCCCGTATGTACACTAAGGATTATAATGCTACCTGCTGCAGAAGTTTGTTGTGAATATTGAATGAGTTAAGAGATGTGACGTGCTTGTGACAGTGCTGGCATTTGCAAGACACCCCTGCGTTCGCTGTTGCTTCTATGGCAATGACATGGTTATTCTGTGCACAGGGCTTTCCTGTAGGTAGCACTCCTCTGAGTGCTGTACAGAATTAGTGGCCCTTACCTTCCCTCTCTCCAAAACTGAGCAGCTAAGATCAGATCAAGATAGGAAAGCTGTGATAGAGATGAAATGAAGGCACATGGCTAAGTCTTTTTTTATTACTTCTGTGAGGGCATAAGTACATTTAGCCAGGAGCTGTGTGATATTTATACACCTCCAAGCTAGAACTGGGTCTTCTTCCTTTCATAATTAACATTTAATTTTTTCCTAATTTTCAAAGTGATAAATATTTGTGGTAGAAAATGTGAAAAATACAGAAAAGCAAAGAACAAAATCACTCACAATCCCATTAGTTCGAGAGAACACATTTGGCTGTGTATCCGTCCAGTTTTTGTCATGTACTTATAAATATTTTAGCAACATTGAGATTATATAATACATATTATTTTGTAAGTTGCTCTTCTACTTAACAGTATATTGAAGGCTGGGAGTGGTGGCTCACGCCTGTAATCCCAGCACTTTGGGAGGCCGAGGTGGGAGGATCACTTGAGGTCAGGAGTTTGAGACCAGCCTGGCCAAAATGGTGAAACCTTGTCTCTACTAAAAATACAAAAATTAGCCAGGTGTGGTAGCAGGTGCCTGTAGTCCCAGCTACTCAGGAGGCAGAGGCTGGAGAATCACTTGAACCCAGGAGATGGAGGTTGCAGTGAGCCAGGATAGCACCACTGCACTCCAGCCTGGGCGACAGAGTGAGACTCCATCTCAAAACAAAACAAAACAAAACCAAAAAAAAAAACAAATAAACCCATAAAACAAAACAAACAAACAAGCAAAAACCCAGTATATTGTGATTTTCAGGGGACTCTTAGATATCTTTGTACCTCTTGTTTTTAGAGCACAGTTTTGCCCTCTTGCTCAAGGTTTCTCCATCTGAAGTTATTATTATAATGTTTTTACTGTTAAACTTCTTTTTCAAATAAAAGTCATTCTATTTTAGCTTCGGGAGGAAGCTGTGAAGGATTGTTACCTGGGTATATTGTGTGATGGTGGGGATTGGACTCCTAGTGTACCCATCAATCAAATAGCAGACATCGCACCCTTGAACTGTTCAAACCTCACTCCCTCCCCAGTGTCTATCATTTCCACCCTTGTGTCCATGCACACCTATTGTTTAGGTCCCACTTATAAGTGAGAACGTGTGGTATTTGATTTTCTGTTTCTGAGTTATTTCACTTAGAATAACGGCCTTCAGCCCCAACCAAGTTGCTGCAAAGGACATGATTTCATTTTTTTTTTTTTTTTTTTTTTTTGAGAAGGAGTCTGGCTCTATCGCCCAAGCTGGAGTGCAGTGGCGCAATCTCGGCTCACTGCAAACTCTGCCTCCCGGGTTCACGCCATTCTCCTCCCTCAGCCTCCCGAGTAGCTGGGACTGCAGGCGCCCGCCACCACGCCCGGCTAATTTTTTGTATTTTTAGTAGAGACGGGGTTTCACTGTGTTAGCCAGGATGGTCTTGATCTCCTGACCTCATGATCTGCCTGCCTTGGCCTCCCAAAGTGCTGGGATTACAGGCGTGAGCCACCACGCCCAGCCATGATTTCATTTTTTATGGCTGTGTAGTATTCTGTGTGTGTGTGTGTGTGTGTGTGTGTGTGTGTGTGTGTGTGTATGTCACATTTTCTTTATCCAGTCAATCACTGATGGACATGTAGGTTGGTTCCATGATTTTGCTATTGTGAATAGTGCATAAACATACAAGTGCAGGTATCTTTTGGTATAATGATTTCTTTTCCTTTAGGTAGATACTCAGTGGTGGCATTGCTGGGTTGTTCTATTTTTAGTTCTTGAGGAATCTCCATACTGTCAAACTTAAGTTATTTATGGCCTCCTTTACAGGAAACAGTTCATAGGCCCCCAAGAATCTTCCATCAATGAACATTTGGAACATCCTCAGGCCCCAGTTTGAGAAACAGTGCATTGGATAGGTTGCTAGATGGACACCAAATGAATAAATATGGGCAGCAGGCACCTGCTTTGGCAGAGACTTCTTTGGGTCTGTGAAAGTCTTCCTTTATGTTGGATGAGGCTCATAACAGTGATTGATATCTGCAGGTGCAGGCATGGTCTGGACCAACAACAGCCAGCCACATGCTGTTCCTGCTATTTGCCATCTGCACTGTGTTTTGACTCCTATTTCAACTCCTATTTGCAGTACCATAGCTGTTTCCAGCTACCAATGACTCTAGTCATCAGCCAGGCTACTCAGCCAACCTGAAAATATGCCAGATTGTCCATACATTTCCAATCCACCATGATTTTAAAAATACTCATCCTATATTTCTATTAAAATCATAGAGTTTTAAAATCTTTTTATCAAAGGATTACATACATTAAGAAAAGGAAGCAAATTGTCACAATATAGTTTGATAAATGATCATAAAGTGAAAACACCCAGGTGATCAACCCTCAGGTCAAGAAACAGAATATTATCAGGATCCCGGAAGCCCACTTTATGCCCCCCACTCAAAAGATAACTGCTATGCTGACCATATCTTACTTTCATCTGGCTTTGAACTTCCTATAAGTAGACTTATCCGCACTGTACATGTATTTTTGTGTTTGTGTGTTTACTTTCTTTCTCAACATTATTTTTGTAAGATCCATCTGTGTTGTGTGTAACAACAATCTGTTTATTCTAATTCCCTTATCATATTCCATTGTCTGAATATGCCACAATTTACTTATCTATTCTGTTGATGGGTATTGGGTTGTTTTCATTATTAGGTTATTAGGAATAAACTGCTATGACATTCTTGTACCTTTATTTTGGTTCATATGTGTAAGTATTTCTGTTGAGTATATACCTAGGAGTGGGTCATAAGGTGTATGACAACAGTTTTTTTCAAAGTGATTGCGCCATTTACACTCCCACCAGCAATGTCTGAGTGTTTCAGTTGCACCGTCTATTTGCCAAGACTTGGTATTACCTGTCTGTTTCATGTTAGCCATTCTCTTTGGTGTGCAGTGGGTTGACATTGTGGTTTTACTTGCATTTGTGTATGACTTATGAAGTTGAGCATGTTTTCATATGTTTCTTGGCCATTTGTAAATCCTTTTTTGTGAAGAGCCTATTTAAGGGTCTTGCCTGGGGAAGTAGGAAGAGGATGAAGGCTAGAGATAGGCAAAGGTAAACCAGGGAGAACTTTGGGATTCACCATTTTACTGAAAACTTTTGGTACCTGCAAGTAATGATTCTGGAGTCACTGTATGTTATTCTGGGATGTCCATAGCTGAAAAATCCCTTTGTATGACAAGATGCCTGCAGGGAGGCTCTCTATTGCTCAGGTATGCTGGAACAAGTAAGGAATATGTTAGGGAGTGTGTCCCAGCCTGGCTCACAGAAAGGCTATTGCTTTTCCTAGGCCATTTGAGTTTCTAACTCCCACCAACAGTTTTAGTAGACCTTAACCTTGCAATCAAGTTGTAGATTATAGTACTATTGAACCTACATGAATCAGCCCCTCAGGGCCAAGGTCACATATTTGATTAGAGGCAAGTCTCATTTAAGTACATTTTCTCCCCGTGTGATGTTTATGAAAATGATGAAATTCATAGCATTTTTCTACTTCTCTGTATTTCAAATCAACCATATAATTTCCCCCTTTTGAAGGCTGCTGCAATGTAAATGGAAAAGCTCATGATTTGGGCTCAGACTATACCAGTTTAACTCCCAGTGCTAAATTTAACTAGTTTTGTGATTTTGAGCAAGTCACTTTACCTTTTTGAGACTTAATCTGCTTGCCTATAAAATGGGTACATCTACCTTACAAGGATAGGATTCAGATAATTGATGCAAAAGCAAACTGTAAACCTTAGGTTACTGGACAAATCAATATTATTATTTATGTTAGTTTGGGACCTATAGAAGGAGATCTTGGAAAATTGTAGGGCTGGGAGCCAGAGGCCATGGAAGATAGGGAAGGAGGTGAAAGTGGGAAAAATTACACCCTGGAAACCCAGTGACCAAGTCTCAACTCCTGGCTGGCTTGCATCAAAAGCTGGAGCCTGAGCGTCTGTTACAAGTGAAGGAGCCAATGCAGAAATTCCTCTGACCACTAGAGGGAGCCATACCTTAGGCTGGGCATCAGATGGGCCTCTATTATCTTTAGCAAAGATCCCCATGGTGCCTGCCACTTTGATTTCACATCTGTAGGTCTGAAAAAAGCACTAAGCTTGACACTACTTCTCTTGATTTTAAAAAATTATCTTCTTCCTCAACATAACCACCACTACCATCATCATCCTAGTCTTTGCCCATCTGTCCATTAGTCTTGTTATCTCTTTGCCCTCTTTTAGGAGTGAAACAATTGCCTTTAAAATCACAATTTATAATGAGAAACGTAATTTTCTAACAATCCAGAGCCTGTGTCTACCCACCAGGATCTCTTTTCTCTTTAGTGCAATTACATGAAGTGCCAACTTTTAAATCACAAGTTGGCTGGCCGCCTACGTCCATCAGAGGACAGGCCTGCCTTGGAGGGGAGCCATGTGGCCAGGGCTGTGCAAAGCCCTTCCATTGTTGCGTTTGATTTCTTCAGAAGGGGAACACCAAGGCCATGTGAGGGTCAAGCCTGAGAAAGAATGTTTATTTTTGGAGTTTCTGATAAGACCAAAAACAGACAGAAAAAAAGAAAAAGTTGAACATTCAGCACATTCATTTTACTGATACTAATGCTGCTAACTTCTCTGGGAAAATTCAACTTAGACAACTCCGCGGTGATAAGAAAGCAGTGTCCCCACACATTTTCTCAATTCCTGGAGGAGGGCAAGGCGGAGGATGTTGCGTGTTTCTCCTAGAGGAAAAAGCTCAATCCTAGAGTCAGCTGGGTCAGCCTGAAACCTCCCCTCCCGTGGGGTTCACTCCCACCTCTGCCTGACACTCAGGTGGAGCTCTGCTAGGAAGCTGGTGGGGTCCTGGTGCCTGCTCCACTCCCTGGACTTCTGCCTGGGCTCCCACAAGCTATGAGGGAGTACTTGGGGGTCAGGAGCCTCAAGAGCATCCTGGAAAGTTTAGAAAATTTCACTTTTCAGGCCGGGCACAGTGGCTCACGCCTGTAATCCCAGCATATTGGGAGGATCACCTGGGGTCAGGAGTTCAAGATCAGCCCGGCCAACATGATGAAACCCCAATTCTATTAAAAATATAAAAATTAGTTGGGCGTGGTGGCAGGTGCCTGTAATCCCAGCTACTCAGAGGTTGGGGCAGGAGAATCACTTGAATCCAGGAGGCGGAGGTTGCAGTGAACCAAGATCATGCCACTGCACTCCAGCCTGGGTGACAGAGTCAGTGAGACTTTGCCTTAAAAAATAAAAATAAAAAAGAAAGAAAAATAAAATTTCACTTTTCTTTCATATATTCAGGCATTGCTTTAAAGATAATTAGCATTATCATTTCTGTCACTTTAAGGGTAATATTAAGAGAAATAAAACTCAGGGGGTTTGGCTGATTTCTGCTCATTGTTTCTTTTATTCAGCCAATATTCCTGGGGCATGTACCATGAACCAGGCTCTGTGCCAGCTCCCGCAGATGCAAGATGAAGACCTTGCCCTTGCCCTTGAGTGGATGGAGAGGACACAGATGGACAAGCACCTAGATGAGATGAGAGGTGTAGGGGTTGGGCTTAGCTCTGCCTGTGGGAACCTGGGCAGGCTTCATCAGGAGGTGGCGCTCAAGTCCAACTGAAAATATGGGTAAGTCATTCCCTAGACTGACAAAGTAGGAAAGGGCATTTCAGACAAAAGCACAGTGTGTGCAAAAGCTTGGAGGTGTCAATGATTGGGTCACCTCCTCCGACTTGTAAGTCAGGTTGAGTGTGGTTGGGGTGTTCTCTGGAGAGGAACAAGAAGTCTGGCTAGAGAGGTGGGCAGAGATCATGGAGAGATGATGTGCCATATTAGGAAGTTAGGGTGTCATTTATTCATTCAACAAACACTGTGTGCCTCCGATATGCCATCATCATTGTGGGCGCTGATCAACATCCAAGCCTTGCCCTTATGGTCTTACATTCTAATGGCGAGGGAAGGATAGACAATAATCAAGTACACAAATACATGAGCAAGGTAATTTCACATAACAGCACAGCTTACAAAGAAAGGTGAGGCAGGTTAAGGAGCTAGAGAGAAAGGAAGGAAGAGGGAAGAAGTTGCTATCTAGGTTAGGGCATTTGAGAAGAGATCTGAGTGAGGTGAGAGAAGAGGCTGGGTGAATATCTGGGATTGTGGGGGGTGGGGTGGTGGTGGGATGGGGGGGCCAGAGGACAGCAATAGCAAAGGCCCTAAGGTGCGCAGAGGTGCAGGGGCCAGATCAATAAACCTCAGAGGAAATGGTAAGGCCAGCAGGTTTTATCCTAAATGAGATGGGACACCGCTGGAGGATTTTTGTGTTTGAGACAGGGTCTTGCTCTGCCTCCCAGGCTGGAGTGCAGTGGCACAATCGTGGCTCACTGCAGCCTCTACCTCCTGGACACAAGTGATTCTCCCATCTCAGCCTCCTGAGTAGCTGGTGTGTGCCACCACACCAGGCTAATTATATTTATTTTATTTTTTGTACAAATGGAGTCTTGCTTTGTTGCCCAGGCTGGTCTTGAACTCCTGGGCTCAAGCCAGCCTCCCACCTCAGCCTCCCAAAGAGCTGGGATTACAGGCATGAGCCACCATGTCTGGCCCACCACTGGAGCATTTTAAGGAGAGGAAGAACAGGATCCTAGTTCTGTGGTAAAAGAATCACTCACAGCTGTGTTAAGAATCGACTGTAGGGAAGAAAGCGCTGAACAAGGGAAGCTGGTGAGGAGCCTATTGCAATAACCCAGCAGGAGCTGCCTCCCGATGGGGAGGGGTGGTGGCCACGGAGTAATGAGGTACGGAATCAGGTTCTGCATACCTCATTCTCCAGCTCAGTGGCTCTCAAAGTGGGGTCACTGGACAGCGGCATCAGCCTTACCTGAGAAGGGGTTAGGAATGCAAAATCTCAGGCTCACCCACACCTGTTGAATCAGAGACCAGAGGTGTAGGGCCCTGCTCAGCAAGCCATGTGTGGTAAGCACGCTCTCCAGGTGATTCTACCCTTCAGGTGATGTGGGTGTACGTTCAAGTGAGAGGGCTACGTCCACTGAGGATGATGAGTAGGCGGGAGGGATTGTGAGCCAGAAACTGGACTGGATCTGATTTACCCATTAGGAGGGTGAGCCTGTGGTCACTGTGGAGGGGGCGGGGGAGGTGTTCATCAGCAGGAGGTGATGAGGGCACCAAGATGGCCAGTGTAACTGGGAGCACACAGGAGGAAGTGGAATAAAGCATAAAACAGCAAATATTGGCTGGGTGTGGTGGCTCACGCCTGTAATCCCAGCACTTTGGGAGGCCAAGGCGGGTGGATCACTTGAGGTCAGGAGTTCGAGACCAGCCTGACCAACATGGTGAAACCCAATCTCTACTAAAAATACAAAAACTAGCCGGGCGTGGTGGTGCATGCCTGTAATTCCAGCTACTCAGGAGGCTGAGGCATGAGACTTGCTTGTACCCGGGAAACGGAGGTTGCAGTGAGCCGAGATTGTGCCACTGCACTCCAGCCTGGGCGACAGAGTGAGAATCCGTCTCAAACAAAAACAAAAACAACAAAATAGCTAATACTTGTTGAGGGTCAGTTATACGCTGGCACTGTGCCATTTCACTTGGATTATCCCGGATAATCCTGCAGTTTCTCTCAAAAGTGGGTGCTATTGTTACCCCCACATAACAGATGAGAGGACTAGGCTTTCTGAAGTTAAATAAGGAACATGACGTGTACAACATTGTGAATGTAATTAATGCCACTGAATAGCATACTTAAAAATGCCTAAAACGGCAAGTTTATATAATAGATGTGACCCAAATTTTAAAAAAATGTTAAAGAGAAAAAACACAACACCACCAAGAAACCCCACACAGTTCCATCAGTGAGACAGAATTGAAACACAGGCAGAGCAGGCCCAGGCCCTGAACATCGCAGTGTGTAACAGGTGGAAATGACCATCGGCACGAGGTTCCAGGGGGTCATCTGAAGAGGGTTAATGCTGATGTGTTAATTTTCTGGCATTTGGTTAAGATAGACCGCAGTTCAGATGCCCGGGTTTTAAGCTTAAGGCTCACTTTCTCCTTTCTCTTGCTTATCCACTGTATCCAGTCTGGATTATACTTTTGAAATATTTCCTAGATTTCATGTCCCACTCCCCATCCACAGTGCCACCATCGGGCCAGAATTGCCCTCAGTTTCTGGCTCTTCCAAGAGGCACAGGAGAAAGGGTTAAGGCAGAGTGAAGAAGGGGAGCCCAGGCAGGAGTCTCCGAACTGGTTTGCGTTTCTCAGAAGCGTTGGAGAAATGCAGCACTTCTGAAAAATGCAAATTAACTCAGACTCCAAGGAGGGGCAGTACAACACTACTCGGATGATAAGGTGGTTTTTTTTTTTTTTTTTTTTTTTTTTGGAGACTCACTCTGTCACCCAGGCTGGAGTGCAATCGTGCAATCTCGGTTCACTGCAACCTCCACCTCCCAGGTTCAAGCGATTCTCCTGCCTCAGCCTCCCGAGTACCTGGGATTACAGGCACGCGCCACCATGCCCGGCTAATGTTTGTATTTTTAGTAGAGATGGGGTTTCACCTTGTTGGCCAGGCTGGTCTCGAATTCCTGACCTCAAGTGATTCGCCCACCTCGGCCTCCCAAAGTGTTGGGATTACAGGCGTAAACCACCATGCCTGGCCAAGGTGATTTTTTTTTTTTTTTTTAGTTTAAATTAAGATGCTTTTCTATCTTTCCCACCTATAACTTCTCTGCCTCTGGCCATGTTTTCAAACCCAACCCAGGTCTAGCAAGAGTACAAGACAAAGAGCTGAAATGAAATGTGGTAGCTTCATTTGAGAGCTGGGCTTCCACCTTTCTAACTAGTTGCCCTTCTAACTTGGCTGTTGGACTTGGACTTCCATGTCATCTTTTGATTGCGTGTTGCCAACAGCTCTGGAGCTGCTGTTGTCTCCTTTGCCAAGGAGGAAGTTTGCATCTCAGCGTTCCATCCCCTTGGTGGCTTTTCCCATAGTCTGGGCCGTGCCAAGATATAAATGTGCGTGATCTGGTTTCCAGTTGGCTCTGCCATCTTCTGTCTTCACAGAGCCGTCATTTTCAGAATTTAAAATGGTGTCCCCAGTGCTTTTAGTGGAAATCCAGGAGGCTCTGGAAACCAAAAGTTGTTATTTTGTTTTAGTAACTAATTTGGCATGTGCCGTGCATTTGGTGGCAAAAGCCCACCTGTCCTGAGCTATTATTTATTTAGCATACTGAGTGTAAAGATCGTTATGTTTGCCGCATAAATATGAATATGTTTAATTGTGGTGTGCTCTGTATTCCAGATCTCCCAGGAGTGTCGAAGATGACTCTGTGCCTGCACTCTATGAACCTTCTGAAATGTGAGTATCCTGGATTCCAGCCCACGGCCAGCGCTGGGTTGTGCGTAAGGGACATGGACCTGTATGTGTCCTGGAGTGAGAGATGGCAGGGAGTAACTCAAAGCATAGCTCTCAGAGTCAGATGACCCGGCTCAGCTAGCACAAACTGGCAGTGTGGTCTTGGTGAACCCGATAACCACCTAGACCATCTGTTTCTTCTTCTGTAAATGGCAGCCATGGCCTCGCTCTCACAGCACGGTGTGTGACATAGTCTGCCCCTGGCTGAATTGCCACCTGCACCTCCCATAGCCTCCTCTTAGGTCCCTCTTCTTAAGACATGCCTAACCTCCCTGTGCTGAGATGTCCCCTGTGCTCAAAACTGCCTCATTAGAGAGGCCTCCTCATCCTACAGACGAGGTATTAGCCTCCTTGCCCAGGCCCTCTTTCTCTCATTCTCCCACTTTGCTTTTCTGCCTAGCACGCGTCTCTCCCTGCAATTATATGATGTGATTATTTGTTTGCTTATTAAATCATCTCTCTCCTCACTAGAGGGTAAGCACTGTCAGGGCAAAGAGTTCTTTGCCTGACTTGCTGCCATCGGGCCAGCACTTAGAGTAGCCCCTGTTGGTGTTCAGTGTGGAAATCTAGGAGGGGGAACACCCTTGCAAAGGTGCCCTCTGGAATGGTGAGTGGAGTCCAGTGTTGAGAGGTGGCAAGACCAAGACAGACTCAGCCACCTGCCTGCCGTCCTACCTTTCCATTGATTCTTCCCAGAATTCCACATGGAGATAATGAGTTCTCATTTCATGTTTAGAAAGAGTTGGAGGAGGCAGAGGAGAACTGCATGCGTGTGGGCATGGGCGGGGGGGACCTCTGATATAGAAAAATGAAAGATGATTTTGTTTTTTCTGATCAGGACCAAAGACCAAGCTATTAGATATTTCCTTAAGTGCTTTTTTAGTGTGGATTTGGAGAAATAACTTGGAGGGATGATTGCTCTCTGCCCCCACTTGTACAGTTCTTAAAATGCTGGAGTTGGTTTTTGCTATTGAAAAAGGCAGGCAGCAGCCCCCAGAAACCTCCTGAGGGTGCAGATGAGGCAGGGGCCCCAGCAGACCCCCAGCTGATGGACACAGTGTCTCCCCTTTTGGGCGTGGCCTGCTAACAATGACCTTTCTGGAAAGCCTTTGATTCTGGCAAGTGTCCTCAGGCTTCCTGGTACCTGTGACTGAGAAGAGTCACCTGGTGAGAAAAACAATGTTTTCTCTGGTCCAGTGACAGCACTCAAAACCTCTCCAGGGGTGAGGGAGAAGTATGCAAAATGTTCCTGGGGTGGGCTGGGTGTCAGATGACTCCTAAAACAAACGGAAACAGACACTCAATGGAACCACAGTGGACTCTCCAACATTCCAGAAAAGTGGGGCGAGGACCGAGGGGACTCTCCAAGATTTCAGGGAAGTGGGGTGAGAGCCCCAAGAGTGTTTCCTACAGATGGGCAGGGCAGGATTTGAGAGTAGGTGGAAAGTGTTTACAGCCAAGCAAGCCAAGTTCGTTAATTAAAGGGTGGTTTAAAATATTGCGCCCAAGGGTCCCGGCATGAAATTCATCAAATATTAGAGACCTTGAAAATTGGTGCATGACTTTAGCAAGCAGAAAAGCTCAGCCAGTAATGTAGTGAGCACCATGTACCTGATACCTAGGTTTAGGACATTTTAGCACTTTGCCATATTTTCTTCAGATTTTATTTTCTAAAAGTAGAAACTGTTATAGACACAGTCGAAGTCCCCTGTGTATCCCTCCCCAATTCTTTCTCTTTCTTCCCTCCCTCTGAACTTGGCTATGATTTCCAGGCATGTTTTTATTTTATTACTACAAATACTCTCTCCATAAATAGCTATATTACTGTATGTATTCTTAAAGTTCATGCCTAATGTATAATATAAAGCTGTTATTATATAATAATATATAATATGTATACATATAAATTACAAATGATTATGTCCTTATACAGACAGCCTTCTGCAACTAACCCTTTCTTTTTTTGCGGGGGGGATGGAGTTTCATTCTTGTTGCCCAGGCTGGAGTGCAATGGCCTGGTCTCAGCTCACTGCAACCTCCGCCTCCCAGGTTGAAGCGATTCTCCTGCCTCAGCCTCCCAGGTAGCTGGGATTACAGGCACCTGCCACCATGCCATACATAATTTGTTTTTGTATTTTTAGTAGAGACAGGGTTTCACCATGTTGGCCAGGCTGGTCTCGAACTCAACCTCAGGTGATCTGCCCACCTTGGCCTCCCAAAGTGCTGGGATTACAGGTGTGAGCCACCATGCCTGGCCAACTTACCCTTTTTGTTGTTCAATGTTATGCTTTGGGGATTTGCCTGTTTTCATACAGAGAGCTGCAGTTCAGTCAGTTCAAGTCTGAAGTCTAGAGTATTCCACCAGGTTAATACACCACCAGTTATGTATTCATTTTTATGCTGTGGGCATTTAGGATGTTGCAAGTTTGTGCTGTTACTTCAATTAACACTTTCCTACCAGTCTGCTTGTCTTCTTGCTATAATGCGTCTAGAGGGTGTATCTAGGAGTGGAATTCCTAGGTCAAGGGATCTGCAAATATCCAGCCTTACTATATGTTGCCAAACTGGACTCCACAGTGATCAATACCAACATAAACTCTCACTAGTGTTGTGGAACAGTTCCTGTGGCCCTGCCTGCTTACCAGACATTTAGTGTTGCCAAAATGTGTAACTTTTGGCCAGTCTGGTGGGTAGGAAACTTACTGTTCAGTATTTGAGGACTCGAGAGCTAGGAAATCCTTAAGAGGGAAGGTTACTGACAGTTTTTGAGGACCTACTCTGGGCAAGGCACTGCAACACCGTCTGCTTGAATTCTCCTGAGAAACTCTGCGAACTTGGTATTAACATCCTCTTTTCACTAAGGAGGAAACTGAGGCTTGTTCAGGGTCCCACTGCTGGTGGAAGAGCAGGGATTGGAGTTCAGCTCTGTCTGTCCCCAAACCCTGCCCTCCCCTTACCAACTCCTCCATAGTCCAAATGTCTCACTTCTACAGAGAAGAAAATCATGCTCTAGAGAGGCAAGGCAGTGGGACTGTCCCACAATGAGGAGGTGGCAGAGAGGACTGGAAGCCTGCTCCATAGGGGTGACCAAACTTTAAGAGCTCTCCCTTGAAGCTCTCCTGGCTCTACTGGCCCCGTGGCATCCACATGCCCTGAGCAGGACCACAACATGGCAACTTCATTATTGCTGCCGAGGTCCTGAACCTGCCCAATCTCCTGGCCTTCTGGGAGAGGGGAATGTTAGCTACAAGCTGTCACTCATGTGCCAGGAAGTGTGCTATGTGGTGTACTTACGTGACCACATTGAATCCTAGATACCCTCATTGTTTCCATTTTGCAGATGATGAAATGAAACTCAGAGAGCTTCGTTTTCCCTGTGCTGTTCCCACTCACACACCCTGGCCTCAAGCCTCACTTTCTCACTCTCTTTTCCAACCAGGGGAATGCCAGAAATGCGCCTGGAGGGAAACAGCTGGGGAGAAGAGCCTCATTTTACTGCTTCTGCTCAAGGCTCTTCCAAGCTGAGTGTTAAATGCCATTCCTTTTTTCTTTTCCTAAAATGAAATGTACTTAAAAAAAAAAAAAAAACCAACCTTTTAACTTTAGAATAGTTTGAGATTTACAGAAAAGTTGTGAAGCTGGTGTCGTTTCCATGTACTCCACACCCAGATTCTTGTAGTTAACATATGACATTAGCAAGGTATGTTTGTCACAATTCATGAACCAGTATTATTAATTATAATGTTATTAACTAAATCCCATACTTTACTCAGATTTCCTTAGTTTTTTTGTTGCTGTTTTGTTTTTGTTTGTTTGAGACAGAGTCTTGCTCTGTCACCCAGGTTAGAGCACAGTGACTCAATCTCGGCCCACTGCAGCCTCCACTTCCTGGGATCAAGTGATTCTCCTGCCTCAGCCACCCACATAGCTGGGATTACAGGCGCTTACCAACACGTCTGGCTAATTTTTGTATTTTCCTAGAGACAGGGTTTTGCTATGTTGGCAAGGCTGGTCTCAAACTCCTGACCTCAGGGAACCTTGGCCTCCCAAAGTGCTGGGATTATAGGCGTGAGCCACTGTGCCCGGCCAGATTTCCTTAATTTTTACCTAAATGTCTCTTTCCTGCCCCAGGAGCCCATCTGGAATACCACATAGTCATCACGGCTCTGTAGGTTCCTCTTGGCTGTGAAAATGTATCAGACTTTCCTTGGTTTTTGGACAGTTGTGGGGAGTACTAGCCAGGTATTTTGTAGAATGACCTCAGTTACGATTTGTCTGAGATTTTTCTTATGATTCGACTGGGGTTATGGGTTTTTAGGAGGGAGATCCCAGAGGGAAAGTCCCCCTCTCACCACACCACAGTATATGAAGCGTACACACCCCCAACATGGTTTATCCCTGCTGCTGTTAACTCTGATCACCTGGCTGATGTTAACGCTGATCACCTGCCTGCTGTTAACCCTGATCACCTGGCTGATGTAATGTTTGTCAGGTTTCTCTACTATAAAGTTACTCTTTTCTCCCCATTTTCATACTGTGCTCTTTGGAAGGAAGTCACTATACACAGCCCACACGGAGTTGGGGAGGCTGGGGACAGTGGCTCATGCCTGTAATTCCAGCACTTTGGGAGGCCTAGGCAGGTGGATCGCTCGAGTCCAGGAGTCTGAGAGCAGCCTGGGTGAGAAACAGAAACCCCATCTCTACTAAAAATACAAAAATCAGCTGGGCATGGTGGCACATGCCTATAGTCCCAGCTACTTGGGAGGCTGAGGCAGGAGGAACGTTTGATCCCAGGAGGCAGAGGTTGTGGTAAGCCATGATTGCACCACTACACTCTAGCCTGGGCGACAGAGTGAGACCTTGTTTTAAAAAAAAAAAAAGTGAGAGGTGTCTGGCTGCAGTCTGTATTCCTGAGCACGTGCTGTGTGGCCTCCTGGCCTCTGGTTTCTCCAGACCCATGCTGTGCTCTGGCACTGATAATAACACCTCTGCCACCCTTAGCCCTGGAATTACAGCTGCCAAAGCCCTTTACAATTTCATATCCTTCCTGTCATTTGCTGCTCTGCCAAGTAGGAAGCACATGCACTATTATCTGCCCCTTTTTAGAGTTGGAAAAACAAAGGTTCAGAGAAGGACAGTGACTTACCAAGTGCTGCACAGCTGGTCTGCCGTAGGGCTGGGGTTGAAGGCAGGTCTCCCTGGCTCCACTAGGCCACTCTCCCTGGGGCTGCCCTCGTCCTGACTCCCAGCAGCTGTTCCTCCCCAGGACAGGCTCTTTGCTCCCTCTCACCTGCATATGTCCTCTCTCTCAACCACTTTTCTCTTCCTAATTGTCACGTGGCTCCTGCCCCGAGGCCCCCTTTCCACCCTCTGACATAGTTTCCATTTCATCCACTGCGCCAGCCCTTCGGCTCCCTCCTGGCCCCAAAATGTCCGTTCTTGGGCTGTTTCCTCCTTCACAGCCTCCTCCACAGGCTGTGTTGAAGTCTCCATCCTCCCCACCTGGGGACAGAGGGGTTCTCAGGGCCACAGATGTTTTGGGAAGAGAGATGGGCACCTTCAGAAAATATATTTTAGCCTATCCTTTCTCAAACTTCTCTGTACAGAAGAGGCCCGGGAGGTATCTGTAAAAAATACCAATTTCTGGGCTCCCGCTGTTGAGTCCATTGTCCCGAGGCCCAGGAATGTGCATTTTAAACACAATTGTCTGAAGTGATTCTGATTCAGGTGATACTGCAGTTTGAATTGCTTGAGCCCAGGAGGTTGAGGCTGCAGTGAGGTGTGATTGCACCACTGCATGCCAACCGGGCACTAGAGTGAGACCCTGTTTCGGAAATAAATAAATAAATAACTCACCAAAACCTTTCAACACATACCTACTAGGATGGCTACGAAGGAAGGAAGGAAGGAAGGAAGGAAGGAAGGAAGGAAGGAAGGAAGGAAGGAAGGGAGGAAGGAAGGGAGGGAGGGAGAAAAAGAGGGGCAGAGAGAGACAAAAAAAGAAAAAGAGAGGAAGACAGAAAGGAAGAAAGAAAGAGAGGAAGAGAAGGAAAGAGAGAAATAAAGAAAAAGAGGCCAGGCTTGGTGGCTCATGCCTGTAATCCCAGCACTTTGAGAGGCTGAGATGGGAGGATTGCTTTAACTGGGGAGTTCTAGACCAGCTTTGGCAACATAGCGAGACCCCGTCTCTAAAATAAATAAATAAATAAAATGAAAGAAGGAAGGAAAAGGGAAGAGAGAGGAAAAGAAAGAAGCAAGGAAAAGAGGAAGAAAGGAAGACAGAGAAAAGGACAGAAAGAAAGAGAAAAAAGGAAGAGAAGAAAGAGAAAAAAAGAACAAAGGAAGGAAGAAAGAGAGAGAGAAAGAGAAAGAAGGGAATAAAGGAAGAAAGGAGGACAGAAGAAGAGAAAGAAAATAACAATTGTCAAGGATGTGGAGAAATAGGAACCCTTGTGCCTTGTTGGTGAAATGTAAGTTGGTGCCTCTAATGTGGAGAATAGTAATTGGTTCCTCAAAAAATTAAACATGGAACTACCATATGACCAAGGAAGTCCGTTTCTGGGTATATACCCAAAAGAATGAAAGATAGAGATATCTGTACACCATGTTCATAGCAACATTATTCACAATAACCCAAAGGTGGGAAACAACCCAAATGTCCACGACAGATCAGTGGATAAACAATATACCGTATCTACCTGCAGTGGACTATTATTCAGCTTTAGAAGGAAGGAAATTCTGAAACGTGCCACAACATGAGCGAGCCTTGAAGACATTATGCTAAGTGAAATAAGCCAGTCACAAAAGGACAAATATTATATGATCCTGCTTATGCGAGGTACTTAGAGTAGTGAAACTCACAGAGACAGAAAGTAGAATGGCTGTTGCCAGGGTCTCGGGGATGGGGTGGGATTGAGGAGTTAGTGTTTAATGGAGTTTCAGTTTTTCAAGATGAAAAGAATTCTGGAGATGGATATGGTTGCACAATTTAGTGTACTTAATGCCATTGAACTGTACACTTAAAAATGGTCATGAGGGTAAATTTTGTGTATTTTACCACAATTTCAAAAATTTTACCACAATTTCAAACCTCTCAACAATTCTATGAAGTAGGTACTATTACTATTCCCATTTAACAGATGAGGAAACTGAGGCATAAAGAGGTTAGGAGATGTCCTTAAAAATCACACAGGGCCGGGCACGGTGGCTCACACCTGTAATCCCAGCACTTTGGGAGGCCGAGGCAGGCGGATCACTTGAGGTCAGGAGTTCCAGCATGGCCAACATGGTGAAACCCCATCTCTACTAAAAATGCAAACATTAGCTGGAAGTGGTGGTGGGCGCCTGCAGTCCCAGCTACTTGGGAGGCTGAGGGAGAAGAATTGCTTGAACCTGGGAGGTGGAGGTTGCAGTGAACTGAGATCGTGCCACTGCACTCCAGCTTGGACAACAAAGCGAGACTCTGTCTCCAAAAATAAATAAATAAATAAATAAATAAATAAATAAATAAATAAATAAAAACACTGATAATAAGTGACAGAGCTGGAATGTGAATCTGGGAAGTGTGCATCCCTCAAATGTCCACACGTCCATTCCCACCTCTTCCAGGCTGCGTGCAAATGCCCACCTGTCTTCCCGCCTTTTGTCACCATCCTGCATAAAATAGCTGTCCCCTCTCCCCAAGACATTTCCTATCCCTGTTTGCCTGCTTTATTTTTTATTTATTATTATTATTGTTATTATTATTTTCTGTGACTCTAGCCAAAGATAGTTTTTATTCTTGGCACTCGACTTGTAATATACTTATTCGATTCCATTTTTATCATCTGTCCCCTAGACATAGCTTCATGATGGCAGGGATTTTGACTTTTTGTTTGCCATGATATCCGTGTGTCAGGCTTTACTAGCAGCTGCTCAGTAAATACTTGTCGAATGACTGAACCAAACATGGATTGGGTGGCTTCTATGTGCCAGACACTGGAAATGCTAATATGTAAATGAAGCCCAGTTTTTGACTCCAGGGCTCCTGGTCTGGTGGAGCGATGGAGCAGCAAGGAGCCATGTAATGATCCTGTTTCCACGGGGCACTGGGACAGTAGAAAGCACAGAGGAGGAACACCCAGCCCAGCTTTGCTGGGGCCAGGAAGGATGCCTGGAGGCGAGACAGCCCCTTGAGCTTAGTTCTCAGGAATGAGTTGGGGATGTCCAGGTGAAGAAGAGAAGGAAGGGCTTTCTAGGTAGAGGGAATAGCATATGCAAAGGCTTAGAGGTCTGAAAGGGCACTGGCCTTCAGGAGAACCCAGTCACTAAGTGCAAGGGATGCCAAAGTGTATTGAGAGGAAGCTGGAGTCTCTCTGAATCTGCTGTGATTCTGAAGGCTGCCTGATAAAAAAAAAAAAAAATTTTAAAAAAAGAGGAAACTGAGGCAGATCTTCAAGGGCCTTGTTTGCCTGCTAGAGGACCCCTGAAAGGCCTGGAGAGCTATTTCTTTCATCTCCTATGCCATCATTTCCTGTTTCCTATGTACGAAGGAGGTGCCTCAGTTTATGTGAAACCTATTTCTAGCGTGGTTGCACTCAAATTCCATCAGTGATGTTTAGAGTCATCATAAATACAAACTACCAGGAAAAGGAGGGAGACTGACAGTGATTGAATATCTCCCTTTTGGTGTCTGAAGCTTAGTTTGCATTAACAATGGAATCACTACAACCACCCTGAGCAGTGAGTAGGTGAGTGCAGTTAACATGTGCATTTTACAGGCTGGAGCACTGATGCTCAGAGGAATTACATCATTGCTCAAAATCACACAGATGGTAGAGTCAGGATTTGAACTCAATCCACCTACCCCAGAACCTGGGGGTTCTTGCAGTGAGAAGAATGGACTTCTCTATTCTTGCTTTTCCTGATTCCTCTGAGTACGCCAAGTGGCTTGGATCACTTGATTCTCCTTCCTCTGAAGAGCAGTGACAGCAGAACCTTATCTACGTGTTAGGTGTAGACAATCAGACAACTGCAGTACCAGTTCTTCTTTCCAAAGCCTCTTGGATGATTGTGAACCATGGCTAACACTCTTCTTTGCTTTTGTCAACTGGCCAGGCAGCAAAGAGGACACCTGGGCTTTGCTGATAAACTTAGGAATCTGGCACCTATCCTGCAGCCTGGAGAGAATTTATTTTCTCTTGGGGTGCTTGTGTGCTGCTTCTTTGCCAGGGCTTGGCTAGGGAAAGGCTGCATCATGCTTGTGGCACACAGAGCAAAGCTATGAGGATGTGAGTGGCCCCAGGTCTCAGTGATTTGAAATAAAGGGTGGCAGATGCAAATAAGATTTAGACACAGTGAAAATCTCCGGCTATATAAGGTGGAGACAGAGGACAGGGGTTAGGCATTTAAAACCCAGAAGTAGATGGAAAATTAATACCATCTTAATGCCTGATGGAACTATGTAAATAGTCACTCTCATTGTGTTTGCTGCTGTCAGTGCTTGGTTCTTTCTTGACATTTGTGTATTTTCTCAGATGGAAATACCTAGCCTGCTCTCCAGGAAAGAAGGCAAGGAGGTGCTCTCAGTTTCTGTGTCTGGATGAGTTATTTTTTTTCAGTAAGACTTGGTGCCCTGTGTATGTGTAGAGAGGGATGGAGAGAGGGGGATAGTTGCACATCAATGGCAGACGCAGTTTTGCCTCATCTTGGTGCTCCTGAGGAGGGAGAGATTAGAGCTTTGTGGTTTATTTGGGGGACAAGTTCTTAGTTTGAGGAAGAAAAGGGTATTAAATGACTGTCTTCGTCCATTTTATGAATACTAACAGACTAGATAATTTATAGTGAATAGAAATGTATTCGGCCCATGGTTCTGGAGGCTGGGAAGTCTGAGAGCATGGCATCGGCATCTGACAAGGGCCTTCATGCTGTGTCATCCAGTGGCAGAAGGCAGAAGGGCAAAAGGGAGTAAGAATGAGATCAAGAGAAGGCCGAGCTCACTGTTATAAAAAGTATGCTCTCCCAGTAATGAACTCGCCCTGACAATAATGGCATCAATCCATTCGTGAGGGCAGAGACCTCATGGCCTAATCACCTCTCAACATGGTTGCATTGAGATGTGACACATGAACAAGTTTCCAACACATGAACTTTGGGGGCCATATTCAAACCATAGCAATGACCCTTGATGACCCAGGACCCACCCCTTTTATAATTTTATCACTCTTCCATTCATATCATTCATTCAACAGATATATATTGGCTTTGGTTGCAAAAGTGGAAAGGAAAGCATCCTTTGTATCAATCAGAAAGGAACATGTCAATGGATTTCCCGTAACTGCTGACTTCACTCCCAACATTTCCCATGGTGGCCTCTGGAGTCTCTCCCCAGTTGTTGACCCTCCCTTCAACTCTCCACCTCCCAACCCGAAGGGAAACCAGACTCTAGCTTGAGGACCTCATTTACCCTGCAGCTCTTTTGAGAGGAGGGAGCTTCTTTCTCTGCATTCAACAACCCAGCTTAGAGCAGGTATAATCCCCATGCTCCTCATTGGGATTTTTAGTTCCACTGGGGCTCTGCCCATTTCCACAATACCCTGCCCCCTTGCACTCTTGTTGTCCTTGTCATTTGCTGACCTCCTGGTAATTCCCACATGCATCCATGGGCACCGCAGGCACCTGGCTCACTGTTTTTTTCTCCATTCTGGATGCATTACCCCCCAGGCCCTGCTCCCTCTCTTGGTTGTCACTGCTCAGGCCCTGCTCCCTTTCTTGGTATGCTCTAACATACCTTCTCCTCCTTCCTTAGACCTCCAACACCTCCTTCCTATCCTCACTCTCAGCTCATAATGTAGCCTTCTGTTTCACTGAGAAAATAGACGCCAACAGAAAAGATGCTCCTGCCAGCCTCCTGTCCACACATCTGCACTCTCTGCCTCCCCACCCATGACTTCTCTGCACTCTTTCTTTGGCCAGTCCTGCTTGCCTTCACCCTGCAGGGGCTTCCTCTTTCCTGCATCACCAGTTTCCCTCCCTCTTTTGGCTCATTCCCATCAACATACAAGTGTCCTATAAAACCCCCCACCTTTAAGATATAGAACTGCTTTTGACCCCAGCAGCCTCCAGCTGTGGCTCTATGTCTCTGCTCCTAACACAACTCCTGGAAGCAGCTGTCTCCACTTCTTGTCCTCCAATTCTCTCTTGAATGCACCCTAAGCTATCCTTTGTTCCCATACCACTACCTAGAAATGTGTCTTGTCAAGGATCATAGTGGCTCCCTCCTCCATGGCCATATCCAGGGTCTTATCTTAGTCCTCACTGTTCCTTACTCCCTACATGCCATGAGCCACCAAATGCTGTCAATTCTGGCCCTTAAATCTCTTGCCCATCTGTCCCCCTCCTCTCTGTCAACACTGCCCCGCCCTAGTTCAGACCTTGGCCCTTTTCACCTTCCCTGTTATAATAAATGCCCTCTTTACCTGTCTCCCAGCTACAGCTTTTCCCCTCCCCAAATACTCCCTCCCTGCTTCCCTCACAGATGCCAGAATGACCCAATCACCTCCTATCCTTCAAATCCAATGTTTGGGAATTCTAAAGCTCTTCCTTATTTTTTTTGACTCCTCTACTGACTACTCATTTCCTGAAACTTTCTCCCAACTTAGATGTGTCACTTCCTCTCTCAGAATTCTTCAGTGACTCCAGCACCTACAGGACACAGTGAAATCTCTCTTCCTGGAGTACCAGATTCCTCACAATCTAGCTCCGGACCCTGCTAAGCCTCTCCTCCTTACCGCTTTTTCCCCTGAATTTCTCTCCTAGCCCCTGTGGTTCTTCTGAATTTCCATCTCTCTTTGCACACAATGCTTCCTCTGGCTTGGATGCCTTCTCCCTCCCCTGCCTCCACTTCATCTTCCAAGTCTGTTGTCTCATTTTTCTCCCACAAATGTTTATAGCATTCCTTCCTTGTGCTAGACTCTGTCACAGCCCCAGAGTCTGAAGCCTCCTGCACCTCTATTGCAATCTCTCTGCTATCTGGCCCATCTGTTTCCCAGGGATTTTCATATTGCATAATTGTTGGCTTGCATGATTTTTTTTTTAAGAGGCATGGTCTTATTCTGTTGCCCAGGCTGTGGCACGATCATAGCTCATTGAAACCTCAACCTACTGGGCTCAAGTGATCCTTTTACCTGGGCCTCCCAAAATGTTGGAATTACAGGTGCAAGCCATCCCACCTGGCCTTGCTTGTATTCTTTTTCTCTTCTCACTAACCACAGCCTCTCATGTTTTTTGTTTTTTTTTTGTCTTTTTTTTTGTTGTTGTTTGTTTGTTTTTTGTATTTTAGTAGTGATGGGGTTTCACTATGTTGGCCAGGCTGGTCTGGAACTCCTGACCTCGTGATCCGCCCACCTCGGCCTCCCAAAGTGCTGAGATTACAGGTGTGAGCCATTGCACCCTGCCAGCTTTTCATTTTTGTGCCTCCAGAGTCAAGTCTGTGTTTGGCCCATGGTAGGTAATAAGTCAACATTTGTTGAAAGGATCAACGATGAATGAGCTATGCTAGAGGCCCCCAGTAATCGGGACTCTGGTATCTGAGCCACTGCCTCCTAGTTTTCCCATATGGTACATGGCAGGAGTAATATGTTGCCTTTGGGGAGCTTCACTGAGGACTCTAATCAGGATCCCACGTATCAACAAGGATGCTCTTAGAGCATTTTGTCTTTTCTATTAGAATGCCAGTTTTCTGCTTGTATTCTATCAATCCTCACTGAGGGATAGAGCCTGGCCTCCCATGGGGTGAGGGTAGGAGGCGAGCTTGGATTTTTGGATCCATCTGATCAGTTTCCTCCACAAAGATGGGAGACAATGGAGGGGAGAACCCTTTAGGGCAGAGCCCATGCCTGGTCTTCATTTCCCAGGATCTCACTGAATTGGTGGTGCTCAGTGCAGCCTCCAAGAAAGGTTTGCTGAGTGAATGATGAAGCCCTGTTTGCCTGTCACAGGTAATTTAATAGACTGCATGAGGCATATCAAAACAACTGGGAAATAGTTCCTTCTCTCAAAGATTCTACAATCTATTTGGGAAAAAAATGTATTGATTTGAATTTTAAAACTCCATGAAGAATGTTTTCCCCAATGTTATTTATCTATTCATTTATTTTTATTTTTATAGACTTAGTGCAGTTTTGTTACATGAATATATTTCATAGAGGCAAAATCTAGGCTTTTAGTATAACCATCAGCTGAATAGTGTTCATTGTTCCCATTAGGTAATTTCTCATCCCTCACCCCCATCCCACCCTCCCACCTTTTTGAATCTCCAGCGTCTTACTATTTTTCTTTTTTGAGACAAGGTCTGACTCTGGTTATGCAGGGTGGGGTGCAGTCCCACCATCTTGGCTCACTGCAACCTCAGCCTCCTGGGCTCAGGTGATTCTCCCACTTCAGTCTTACAAGTAGCTGGGATTACAGGCTAACGCCACCATACCTGGCTATTATTTTGTATTGTTAGTAGAGATGGGGTTTCACCATATTGTACAGGCTGATGAGTCTCCGACGTCTATGATTCCACTCTCCATATCCATGTGTACTCATTATTTAGCTTACACTTACAAGTTAGAACATGTAATATTTGACTTTCTGAATTATTTTTCTTAAGATAATGCCCTCCAGTTCCACCCATGTTGCTGCAAAAGACAAGATTTTATTCTTTTTTATTCTTTCTGATATATATAGATAGACCACATTTTCTTTATCCAGTTATCTGTTGGCAGACACTTAGGTTGATTCCACATCAACCCACATCACTTTGCTATTGTGAATAGTGTTGTGATAACATATGTATGGAAGTATCTTTTTGTTATAATGATTTCTTTCCCTTTGTGTAGCTACCCAGTAGTGGGACTGCTGGATCAAATGATAGTTCTTTGAGAAATCTCTATACTCATTCCAACAGAGGTTGTACTAATTCACATTCCCACCAACAGTGTATAAGTGTTTCCTTTTCTCAGCATTCTCACCAATGTCTGTTATTTTTGACTTTTTTTTTTTTTTTTTTTTTGAGACAAAGTCTCACTCTTATCACTGGAATGCAATGGCATGGTCTCGGCTAACTGCAACCTCTACCTCCCGGGTTCAAGAGATTCTCCTACCTCAGCCTCCCAAGTAGCTAGGAGTACAGGTGCTTGCCACCATGCCTGGCTAATTTTTTTTTTTTGTATTTTTAGCAGAGATGGGGTTTCACCATGTTGGCCAGGCTGGTCTTGAACTCCTGACCTCATCCGCCCGCCTTGGCCTCCCAAAGTGAGCCACCATGCCCAGCCTATTTTTGACTTTTTAATAGTAGTCATCATGACTGGTGTAAGATGTTTCTCATTGTGGTTTTTTAATTGTCCTAATGTGATTTAGAGTCCAACCAAGAGCAAAGGTGAAATCCTCTTTAGGCGTCAGATTATGATTTCTTTCTTCACCACACAATAAAAAAGAAAGGAGAGAAAGAAACTAAAGTCATCTCCCAGACGACTCTTGGCTCTTAGCTCCTGCTGAAGTTGGAGACCCTCATGGGATATTAGATAGGATGGGAAAAAGGGAAGAGGGAAGGCGTGAAACACAGCTCCCTTTATTTTTCTTCTTATTCAAGTAGTATCTTTTTATCTTTGGAATTTGGAAAGCAGAGATGAGTGTGAAAAAAACTGCCCCAAAACTTATTCAGAGATAATCGCCTTGTATTTTAGTGTAGTTTAATCTTTGTTTCTTAAAAACAAGACAAACTATATGTTTTTTGCTTTGTGTATAGGGATTCTTGTTGTTGTAATTACAAAAGCAACACATGGTCACTGTTGAAAGGGTTGGAAACATCAATAAGAAAAAGAAATGAGAATGAAAATTGCCCTCAGGGTCACCAAATAAACACCAAACAGTGTTGACATTAAAAGGTGTATTTTGTCTTCCTTGTTACTTCCCTCCTTTTTCATTTTCTACATGACACAAAGAAACAAAACTCCACAGATTTTTTTCATATTTTGTACCAAATTAGAAAACACAAATAAATAAAGGAATACAAATGAAAAGGGGAAAAGGCTGGGCATGGTGGCTCACACCTATAATCCCAGCTACTTGGGAGGCCATGGCAGGAGAATTGCTTGAGCCCAGGAGTTTGAGACCAGCCTGGTCAACATAGCGAGACCCCCATCTCTACAAAAAAATTTTAAAATTAGCCAAGCATGGTGGTGCATGCCTGAAATTTAGCTGTAATTATTTATTTAAAAATGCCCTTTTAGCTGGGTGTGGTGGCTCACACATGCAATCCCAGCACTTTGGGAGGCTGTGGCAGAAGGATGGCTTGAGCCCAGGAGTTGAAGACCAGCCTGGGCAACATAGTGAGATCCTGTCTCTAAAAAAAAAAAAAAAAAAAAAAAGAAGAGGCTGGGCACGGTGGCTCACACCTGTAATCCCAGCACTTTGGGAGGCCAAACCAGTTGGACCACCTGAGGTCAGGAGTTTGAGACCAGCCTGGCCAACATGGTGAAATCCCATCACTACTAAAAATACAAAAAAAATTAGCTGGGCAGGGTGGTGCACGCTTATAATCGCAGCTACTGAGGAGGCTGAGGCAGGAGAATTGCTTGAACCTGGCAGACAGAGGTTGCAGTGAGCTGAGATCGCCCCCCTGCACTCCAGCCTGGGTGACAGAGCATGACCCTGTCTCAAAAAAAAGGGGGGGTCACAATCTAGAGAGAAAGGAAGACCAGGAGATAGGTGGTTACCAAACAGTAGGCCAAGCACAAGACAGAGCTAATCACAGGGTGGGGCCGTGTGGGGCAGAGCTGAGGAGCATCTGGACCAGGAGGGGTGGCCAAGGGGAGATGGGCCTGAATCTACCCTTGAGGGATAAAATTAGCTACATAAAAGAAAAGCAGGCAGATGGGGAAGTGGTGATGGTGGCAGAAACCATAAGGAGATTTTAAAACCAGGGACTGGCATGTGCAGAAACATGGTGACATGTTGCCATCCTTTACCCTAGCCCAACAACACCCTGTACATAGAGGTTAGGATAAAAATTTGCTGAATGGATGGATGATCAAATACAAATTTGATTTTATTTGGAGACCATGGTAGGTAATAAATTAACATTTGTTGAAAGAATGAATGATGAATGAGCTACACTAGAGGCCCTCCAGTAATCAGGACTCCGGCATCTGAGCTGCTGCCTCCTGATTTTCCCACACGGCACATGGCAGGAGTAATATGCTGCTTATGAGGAGCTTCACTGAGGACTTTAACTGGGATCCCAAATATCAACAAGGATGCTCCCCTAGGCAAGATTTTCTCTGCTTCTTGGGTTGTTCTGCATTTGATGTTGTTAGAATGGGCAATGTCTGAGCTTGGCTGGCACAGAGAGACTTGAAGTTGGTTGTGCCCAGTTGGATCTGGTGCAGGAAGGGCTTGGCCATACATACTTCTTCAGCTGAATATTAATATTAATTGACATCTGAATGTTGGAGGTAGAATTCCTGCAAAACCAGTCCCAGGTGTTTCATGAAGCCTGGAGTGGGGTGGACTGAGTGGGGTGGGGTATTGCAAAGTTGTCACCTTTGACTGGTGTCAGGCTCTGGAGAGTAGGTCACAACAGTCACTGTCAACTCGGCCTCCTAATGAACCTCTAACCTGGCTTCCCTTCCTGCTTGCTTTGGAACCGGGCTGCCTGTTATCTTAAGGGCTTTCCATCTCTCTCTACCTCTCACTATACTAATCTCACTAAGTTATGACAGCAACCCCATGAAATGAATACCACAGACAAGGAAACTTGGTTTTGGAGAGGTGATGGGGCCACACAGGCCATTCAGCTGGTGAGTGGCAGAGCTCAATATCAAGCCTTGGTGTTTGTCTCTTCAGAGTTTGTTCTCTTAGCAACTCAGTCCGTTTGGGCTGCTGTAACAAACTATCATAGACCGAGGGGCTGATAAACAACAGTTTATTTCTCACAGTTCTGGAGGCTGGTACATCCAAGGCCAAGGCAGCAGAGTCAGTGTCTGATGGGGGCCCGTTTCCTGGTTCATGGATGGCCATCTTTTTGCTGTGTCTTCATGACAGGAATGGGGAGGGGGCTCTCTGGGCCCTCTCTTATAAGGACACTAATCCCATTCATGAGGGCTCCACATTTATTACGTAATTACCCCCACAACCTCTCCTCCAAATACCATCACATTGGGGTTTAGGAGCTGACATGAATTTTGGATGGGACACATTTAGTCTATAGTAGCAAGCACCCCACACCACTCCCTTTCAAACACCAGTTGGGCTCCTGTTGTGCCCTGGGCTAGCAGGTATCAGAGTCTTTAACCATTCATTCATTCATTTGTTTGCTGGCTTAACATCTTCCATCTCTTTGGGAATACAGTGCTCCTGAGGGCTGGGGCCTTACTCATTGTCATGTCACCCAGCCCCAGCACAGTTCCCGGTGTACAGAACACCTTTAGTCAACCTTGGCTGAAGCACCGGCCCCATGAGTGCAGGGTTTTTTGCCCATTTTCTTTCCTAATGTATCCTTAGTGCCTGGAATGGTGCCTGGCCCTTACATAGGCACATAATAAATAGTTATTGAAAGAATCCATGAACGGAAGGAGCAAATGTTAGACTTTGGGATACAAAGGTGAATGACCATAGCCTGTGCTCTGGGAACTTCACTGTTGAATGGGGGAGGCAGGCATTAGGGATGAGGCAATAAGAGGAGAAGGAACTCGGAGTGACCAGAGCCACCTGCTGCCTGGCCACCAGGCCCTCCTGTTGTCAGCAGGAAGATGTTGATAGGGGCTTTTCTAGGGGCTCGGGGTATGGCAGGTAATGAGACAGACAAAGTCCCTGCCTGCAAGGAGCTTATATTCTATTGGAATCATTTGCTGCCAGCTGGGGCCAGTTTGTTGATGGGTGAGGTTATGGCTTATAAAGGGAGAGTGGCTGGGCACAGTGGCTCACGCCTGTAATCTCAGCATTTTGGGAGGCCGAGGGGGCTGATCACTTGAGGCCAGGAGTTCCAGACCAGCCTGGCCAGCATGGTGAAAACCCATCTCAACTAAAATTACAAAAATTAGGCCGGGCGCCGTGGCTCACACCTGTAATCCCAGCACTTTGGGAGGCCGAGGCGGGCGGATCACTTGAGGTCGGGAGTTCAAGAACAGCCTGGCCAACATGAAGAAACCCCGTCTCTACTAAAAATACAAAAATTAGCCGGGCGTGTTGGCGCATGCCTGTAATCCCAGCTACTTGGGAGGCTGAGGCAGGAGAATCACCTGAACCTGGGAGGCGGAGGTTGTGGTGAGCCGAGATCACGCCATTGCACTCCAGCCTCGGCAACAAGAGTGGAACTCCATCTCAAAAAAACAAATAAATAAAAATAAAAATACAAAAATTAGCTGGGTGGCTGCACCTGTAATCCCATCTACTCGGGAGGCTGAGGCAGGAGAATCGCTTGAAGCTGGGAGGAAGAGGTTGCAGTGAGCTGAGATCCTGCCACTGCTCTCCAGCCTGGGCAACAGAGTGAGACTCTGTCTCAAA
This sequence comes from Homo sapiens, assembly GCF_000001405.40. NCBI lineage: Eukaryota > Metazoa > Chordata > Mammalia > Primates > Hominidae > Homo > Homo sapiens. The sequence goes on from NC_000004.12 coordinate 25,464,074, forward strand.
AATAAATAAATAAATAAAAATAAAGGGAGGGCACCCTTCCCCTCACAACAGCCAGGCTGTTAGTCGCTCAATCAGCAGAGACTTGCTGAGGCCTCCTGAAGACAGAGCCTTTGCTGGGTGCTTATTCCACATGGAAGGGAGCAAGAGTTTGCCCTCAGCCTGGTCAAATCAAGGAGATAAGAGACCCTCTCACGCCCACTGAGAAACAGAAAAACACCTTGGGGCTCAAAGTGCCCAAATTGCAGAACAGAGAAGTGCCTGCTGGAGTTAGGAGGAGCTGGTCATAGGCAGAGAGCTTCTGGATTTCTTGGGTAGTGAGAGAGGTTCCATGTGACAGGAGTGTCAAGCACTTAATGCAGTCCACCACACAGAGTCGCTCAGGAAGCGGTTGCTGGTGCTCAAAGGCTGAGGGTCATTGTGGGCTGAATGGCCCAGGAGCATCTTCACAGCCGAGCTATAAAACCTGGAGCATGGTGGCTCACTTAACCCCAGTGCTTTGGGAGACCTACGTGAGAGGATCACTTGGGTCCAGGAGTTTGAGACCAGCAACATAGTGAGACCGTGTCTCTAAAAAAAAATTAAAAATTAGCTGGACATAGTGGCATGCACCTCTGGTACCAGCTATTCAGGAGGCTAAGGCAGGAGGACTGCTGGAACCTGGGAGGTCAAGGCTGCAGTGAGCTATGATCACTATCTCCATGCCACTGTACATGAAGACATGGAGTATGGGTGACAGAGCAAGACCCTGTCTCAAAAACAAAAAACCAAATCTGGCTGCAGCAAGCGACCTTCTGTCCTGCAGCAGGTCTGGAGAAATGGGGATATAGGGCTGGTGACCCACCCCACCCCAGCATCATTTATTTACAAATTCACCCATTCATATGATGCATATTTACATGTGGTACTTTTACCATGAAACATCAGCTTAATCGGATTAATTACCTAAGAGTTTAACAAACAATTAACATTTATGACTTGATTTTTATAATAAGCCATATTGTAGCATAGCGTTAGGTTAGTTAGTGTTCACACATGAGGAGATTTTGACCAAAAGTCAGTCCTTCTTCTAGGCCAGGGAGTAAAAGTCTATGTGCTCTTAGGAAACCCACTCATTATAGGATGTCAGCTCTGTGTCAGGCACTGACCTGGGCATTGGGACTTCTGCTCTCAAGGAGTTTGTTTTCTAGAGAAGGAGCTAGACAATAGATAAATAAACAATAACTATATAGTGCTAGGGAGAAAAATTAGATAGCAGAGGAGGAGAGCAATAAAAATCCCAGTGTGTGCTGCCAGGGTGATCAGGGAACAGGGTGTCACCTGTTCTCTGAGCAGGTGACATTTGAGCAGGGACCTGAATCCAGGGAGGGAGGGATCCTCATGGGTGTCCACCTGCTCCAGGGACCTATGGGGAGGAAATCTGATTGTGTATATAACATGGTGATCATTCAGCAAAAGTTGGTGCCTCAGGGCTCACTGGTGTTAAGGTCATTGCTAGCCTTTGAGCATGTGACATCTCCAGGAACCCAAGATCGTGTGTCAGACAAAGAGGTAGAATGGTGGAGTGGAGTTGGGGAGCCATGTGGCTATCAGGAGGAAGCTCATTCCTGGGTAGAGAGAACAGCAAATGCAAAAACTGCGAGATGGGAAGGTGTTTGATATGTCCAAGCAATGGCAAGGAAGGTGGCGAGCCAGGAGGGTGGGTGGAGAAGGTGCACACCGCAGGAGGGAGGTCGGCAGGACCAGACCTCATACTATGTTTTGGGCCATAGGAAGGACTTGAGATTTGTTCTAAGTGGGATGGGAGCCACAGGAGGGTGTAGGTTGCAGAAGGCTCATCCTGACTGCTGTGTGGAGAGTAGATGGGTGCAGGTGGGTTGTGAGCAAGAATGGAACCGGTGGTCACCCAGTAGGTATTGCAGTAGTGGCTGTGTGGCAGATGGCAGTGGGGGCCAGGTGGCAGTGGTGTAATGGGTGAGAGGTGGGAGTCAGGTCAGGCAAACACCTAGGGCAGTCAAGAGGGAAGAGAAGTCACGGGGTATGGACAGGTCTGGTAGGGCTGGGCAGGGATGGTGTCCCTTTGTTAGTCGGGTGGGTGGGGTTGGCTACTGCAGATCATTGCGGTTGCGTGGGTGGAAACCCCAGGCTCAGGTGCTGTGCCCCTGTTGTCTGGGCCCCGTGCTCTTGATCCTGTGACTCTACTTGGAGGTCACTGGCTTACTGAGCCTCCTCCAAAGAGATGACTGCATTAATTTGCTGGGGCTGCCATAACAAAGTAGCATACACTGGGTGGCTTAAAAAACAAATTTATTCTCTCACATTTCTGGAGGCTTGATGTTTGAGATGAATGTGTAGCCAAGGTTGGTTCCCTCTGAGTGTCATGAGAGAAGGACCTGTCCCAGGCTCCTGTCCTTGGCTTGCAGATGGCCACCTTCCCCCTGTGTATGTCTCCATCATCTTCCCTCTATAACTCTCTGTGTCCAAATTTCCTCTGCTTCTTCTAAGGACACCAGTTATATTGGATTAAGGCCCATCCTAATAACCTCCTTTTAATTTAATTACCTCTTTTAAGACCCTGACTTCAAATATGGCTACATTCTGAGGTCCTTGGGGATGGGATTCCAACATATGAGTTTTGGTGGGGACACAGTTCAGCCCATAAGAATGATCCATGGCACCCAGCGTGGTGGCTCACACCTGTAGTCCCAGCGCTTTGTGAGGCTGAGGCAGACAGATCACTTGAGGTCAGGAGTTCGAGACCAGCCTGGCCAACATGGCGAAACTCTGTCTCTACTAAAAATACAAACATTAGCTGGGAGTGGTAGCAGGGGACTGTAATCCCAGCTACTCAGGAGGCTGAGGCAAAAGAATCACTTGAACCTGGGAGGCGGAGGGGGCTGCAATCGCGCCACTCTACTCCAGCCTGGGCGACAGAGGGAGACCCTGTCTCAAAACAAACAAACAAACAACAACAACAAAAAAAAACACAAAGAAACCCAAGAATGATCCATGGGCCCTGAGACGGGGTTTAGTGCTGGTTTGTCTTAGCTCATCTAAAGCACCAGGAGCTAGGAGGACACTCCCTCAGTCTCGGGCCCTTCCTGTAGCCTTCCTCTTCCGGTAACCCGGCCTTCCATTTCTGCCTCCTTTCCTGCCTGGGCTTGGAAACCCCTCTGCAGCACCAGCCTGAGTTGTTGTCAGTGGCTGTTGTTTTTACTGTCTGTCTTCCTTTCTTCCTCCTTCACTAGGTGAGCAGCCCCAGCCCCAGCAGTGGGGGACACTTTTCCCAGAGGGACGGCTCTTATGGGGCCACGTGACTTCATCCTCAGGCCATTTCATCGCAGGAAGCCTGATGTACTCTGCAGTTTCTCAGTGTTCTGACCATCTTGAGACCAATAATATCCCAGTTTCCTTTTGTTGTTGATTTTGGCCTTGGATGAGCAAATGTGATTAGGCAAAGTGTGTGAGATAGGAGATTTCATACAGTATCTGATGAGTAACAGAATGAGCACTGCGGAGGACAGCACTGTTATTTTTACCATCTGTCCTGGCCCTCTTTTCTTTAGGAAGGGGCCTGGAGATGCCAGCACCATTGAGTTCCAGGGCACAGATATTCATTGGATAATTACTACATTACATCCATCATCTGATTTACTTTCCATGTGTAACTGGATGAGGTGAGTATTTTCATCCTCATTTCAGATACGAAAAATCAGAGGCTCGAAAAGTTGAATTGATTTGCCCAAGGCCACATAGGAAAGGGAAGAGAAAGGATTTGAACCCAGGCATTGGACTGAAACCCAAAATGTTTTCATGCCACCCTTCTTGCTCCTTTTCTGAAACAAGGAGCTCCAGCAGTGCAGGACCAGCCCAGATTAGGGGGCTGCAAAAGGGAGAAGGCCAATATGATGATTGAAATAGGAGAAATAGGCCGGGCGTGGTGGTTCACTTGGAAGACTTACAGGATGACGACAGTAATAGAAGCCAAGACCTTTCCGTTTCTCCTCCTGGAAATTACACAAAAGCAACAAAGCAATACATACTCCTCTCCTCATCTCTAACCCTTCCCACGATTCACATTTTCAAGAATCTAAGAGGCAGAAATAATCCACAAATTCTACAATACCTGTAAGGGCTGCCCAAAATATCCAAGGTGAGACCTTACATGGGAGGAAGCACTGGTCTCAAGCTTGAGTGTCCCTTATCCAAAACGCTTGAGACCAGAAGTGTTTGGGATGTCTTTGGATTTGGAGATATTTGCATATACATCATGTAATAGCTTTAAAAACGGACCCCGGTCTAAACACAGAATTTATGTTTCACATCATCTTATACACCTAGCCTGAAGGTCATTTTGTACAATATTTTAAATAATTTTGTGCGTGAAACAAAGTTTGTGTATGTTGAACCATCAGAAAGCAAAAGTGTCCCTAGCCCTGCCACCCATGTAGATGATCCGTGGTTGTTTGGCATCACCATCATTCCTAACTTTTGAGTTTATATGTTATGGATAAATGATTCTTTTCTTTTCTTTTCTTTTTTCTTTCTTTCTTTTTTTTTTTTGAGACAGAGTTTTGCTCATGTTGCCCAGGCTGGAGTGCAAAGGCGTGATCTCTGCTCACTGCAACCTCTGCCTCCCAGGTTCAAGTGATTCTCCTGCCTCGGCTTCCCGAGTAGCTGGTATTACAGGCACCCGCCACCACCCTCACCTAATTTTTTGTATTTTTAGTAGAGATGGGGTTTCACATGTTGGCCAGGCTTGTCTCAGACTCCTGACCTCAAGTGATCCGCCTGCCTTGGCCTCCCAAAGTGCTGGGACGACAGGCGTGAGCCACCGCGCCTGGCCCTAAGCAATTATTTTCTGAAACTTATTCACACATAAGTACTTAGCAGTAAAAAATATGACACACCATTAATGCAGTGAGAAAATAAAATGTTCAGGGTAACTAAGCAGCACAGTAGCATCCCCAGAATACCCGCATCAGCTGGTAAACAACAGCGACAGGTGATTAACAGTAGGCGTTCAGTCTCCACCTACGATGCTGTGTTTTGATTAAAAGGTTACTGTGCACTGTATTTTATTTATTTATTTATTTATTTTTTAGGTAAGAAGAAATATCAGAAACAGTTGAGGGACCAGGAAGTGGGTCCTCCAGGGATGATGAAGATGGCTTTCCTTTTTTTTGTTTTTTTTTGTTTTTTGAGATGGAGTCTTGCTCTGTCACCCAGGGTGAAGTGGAATGGTGTGATTTCGGCTTACTGCAACCTCCACCTCCCGGGTTCAGGCAATTATCCTGCCTCGCCCTCCCGAGTAGCTGGGATTACAGGCACCCACCTCCATGCTAGGGTAATTTTTATATTTTTCGTAGAGATGGGGTTTCACCATATTGGCCAGGCTGGTCTCGAATTTCTAATCTCGTGATCTGCCCACCTCAGCCTCCCAAAGTGCTGGGATTACAGGCTTTTCTAAACGCTTCCTCCACTGTCATCTGCCCCATTAATGATGGTTTTTGTCTTAGAAATCTCTCTTTGATTTTATAGACTGACATAATTTATTGTTCTTTTGTGAATGAAGGCTGCTGGAGTCCTTCAATAAGTCCATCATACATTTTCACCATGTCATTTATAGGCACTTTTTCTTCAGTGCTAACAACGTCATCTTCATCATCACTATTATCACAGTCACCTTGACTTAGAATAATTTTGGGCCAGAGGTGGTGTCTCATGCCTGAAATCCCAGCACTTTGGGAGGCCAAGGTGGAAGGATCACTTGAGCCCAGGAGTTCAAGACCAGTCTGGGAAACATAACGAAATCCTATCTCTACAAAAATTAAAAAATTAGTCAAGTTGGCCTCAGGCAAGATTACTCCTGCCTCAGCCTCCTGAGTAGCTGGGACTACAGGTGCCTGCCACCATGCCTGGCTAATTTTTGTATTTTTTTGTAGAAGTGGGGTTTCGCCAAGTTGGCCAGGCTGGTCTCGAACTCCTGACCTCAGGTAATCTGCCCGCCTTGGCCTCTCAAAGTGCCGGGATTACAGGCATGAGCCACCATGCCTGGCCCAAAAATGTTTTTATGTTTAGTCTTCATTGCTCTGATACCCTGGTCACTCAACTGAATTTACAGAGTCACATTTGGGGGAAAGTACATGGCATAAACATTATTTTTGATGAGAATTTTAGCTGGAGGATAAGCAGAACAGTTGTTAAGGAATAAAAGAATCTTATAGTCGTCATCCAGCCCAGTTTCCCTGCAGTGAGCACAGGTCACTTGTACAAAATCATTGTGAAACCAATCGGAAAAGATGTCCCTGGTGATCCATGCTTTTTTGTTAGCATAGCAATGGACTGGTAAGAATTCACTCCTTAAACAGGGAGGATGCAAGATTTTGCCTATCCCAGAAAGTGTACCCTTATTTCTGCCTGCTACATTGGTACATCCCAGCACGGTTACGCTGTCCTTGGCATCCTTAATTCCTATAGGGGCCGTCTCATCAGCTGTACTCAGTGTCTTTCTGAGGCAATAACACCAAAACATTGATGTTTTGTCAGCATTATAGACTTGTTCTGGTTTCAGATTTTCATAAGTGATGACCTTGGCAATGAATTCCTCTGCTGCTTCATGACCAACACATGTTTTATCACCACAAATCTTTTTTTTTTTTTTTTGTGAGATGGAGTCTCGCTCTGTTGCCAGGCTGGAGTGCAGTGGCACGATCTCCAATCACTGCAACCTCCGCCTCCCGGGTTCAAGCAATTCTCCTGCCTCAGCCTCCCGAGTAGCTGGGACTACAGGTGAGTGCCACCACGCCCAGCTAATTTTTGTACTTTTAGTAGAGACGAGGTTTCACCATGTTGGTCAGAATGGTCTCGATCTCTTGACCTCGTGATCCACCCACCTCGGCCTCCCAAAGTGCTGGGATTACAGGCGTGAGTCACTGCGCCCAGCCTATCACTACAAATCTTTAAAACTTTATTGTTGTCTTTTCTTAAATTTCTGCAACCAGCCTGTTGAATATTCACAGTTCCCTTTGTGATAAATCTTTGCTTGCTTCATGATCTGCATACCATTGAGTGCCATGTGTTCACTGCAATGCTGATGGATCTACTCTTTCAATACGTGATCAAGATCTTCCCTTTTAGCTTGATGCAGGGTTTTTCTATATTTGTCATTAACTTCTGTTCATCTCTTTCAGCACAGAACGTGAATAGCTTATGCTTCTGTTTCTTCAGTTACACATGGTGGTCACTCCAACACCATAGTCTTCTGTAAGACATTTCACACTTCCACCCCGTCTAGTTTGTCCAATAGCCTGTCTTGCTATAGATAAACATAAATGCTTCCATTTTTTCTTATGACTGTTTAGTCTTATGACTAAAGGGATGTCTGCAGGCTTTTCTGACAGTTTCAACAATATCTTTATACCACAGAGCAGAAAATAAGCTAAACAAAATAAAATAAATGAAAACCACAATGAGTAATGCACATAAGTCTTGGTTATATGTAGGATATCATGGGGAACATGCTGTTGGCGCTTCTGGCCTGCACACGTGCCATTTTCTTACCCTTTGTGGGTGTGCTTGCATGGGGGGATCTGGGCATGCATGGAAAATATATATGCCAGATATAAAGTTGAAGGCAGCTGAGAAGGTCTTTTTTCCTTGGGGATGCTGAATAAACTGTGTGTTGGGTACTTGCATTTTGACTGCAACCTATCACAGGAGGTCAGGTGTGGAATTTTCCACTTGTGACATCATGTTGGCCTTTGAAAAGTTTTGGATTTTGAAGCATTTCAGATCTCAGGCTTTTGGATTAGGGATTGTACGAGAGTGGCACCCAGAGTGATGGAATGGCCCAGTGGTTTCATATGTTACAAAGTGCCACCAAAAATTTGTCTCCTGAAGGAAGGGCTCTAAAATGTGAAAGTTATTGCTTTTGTTTGTAACCACCTGTAAGTGAACTGGGATATGCAGGCTGGGAACAGAAGATCTCCTAGACTCAATTATATTCAGAGAAGCAATGCAGGAAGTATTATAGAAATACTTTGTGAAGCCATTTTTGCAGGAAGCAGTCTGTCTTTGTGGCAGCAGAGAAAGCTAGACCTTATAGATTATAAAGCCTGGAGAGCTATCCTGGCCTGTTCCCATTTCTCCCCAGTTGACTGGTCCAGGAAAATTCAACCTGATAAATTTCAAAGAGATAAAAGATTTCATTGTACAAGATAAAACCATAAAAACATAGCAGAAAATGTGAAATAATTTCTTTCTTTTTAAAAAGAAAATATGAAAAAAGGTATTTCTAGCTTTAAAAAGTTATTAACATCATTAAAAAAGACAATCAACTGGATGAAATTTTAGCATAGATAAAAGACTAATCTCTCAAGTGGATAAAAATCCTCTAGAAATTGATAAGAAAAAGAACAAATTCATTAGAATATATAAGTAAAATTACTGATCAGAAAGGATGTTTCCAAGGGGAAAAAACAGGAATCTTCATCTGAAGCAGTCAGGGATCCATGCTTTCTTCAAGAAGAAGGAAAGTGTTCCCCAAATCTTCCTCAGGTCAAGAGGAAACAGAAATAAACTTTATTCAATGACTCATAGATTCGACTTTGGGAGGCTGAGGCGGGTGGATCCCTTGAGGTCAGGAGTTTGAGACCAGCCTGGCCAACATGGTGAAACTTCATCTCTACTAAAAATACAAAAATTAGCTTGGTGTGGTGGTGCATGTCTGTAACCCCAGCTACTCAGGAGGCTGAGGCAGGAGAATCGCTTGAACCCGGGAGGTGGAGGTTGCAGTGAGACCAGATCGTGCCACTGCCCTCCAGCCAACAGAGCGAGACTCTGTCTCAAAGAAAAAAAAAACAAAAAAACAAAAAATCATAGATTTGGGAACATTTATTGATTGATTGATTGGTATGGAGTCTCTCTGTCGCCCAGGCTAGAGTGCAGTGGCATGATCTCAGCTCACTGCAACCTCTGCCTCCTGGGTTCAAGCGGTTCTCCTGCCTCAGCCTCCCCAGTAGCTGGGATTGCAGGTGTGAGCCACCACACCTGGCTAATTTTTGTATTTTTTTGGTAGAGACAGGGTTTTGCCATGTTGGCCAGGCTAGCCTCAAACTCCTGGCCTCAGGTGATCAGCCCGCTTTGGCCCCCCAAAGTGTTGGGATTACAGACATGAGCCACTCCTCCGGGCCTGGAACACATATTCTTTGAGAGACATGAAGAAGGAGAAGGAGAAGGGGAAGGGGAAGGGGACGGGGAAGGGGACGGGGACGGGGACGGGGAAGGGGAAGGGGAAGGGGAAGAAGAAGAAGGGGAAGGGGAAGGGGAAGAAGAAGAAGGGGAAGAAGGGGAAGAAGGGGAAGAAGAAAGGTTATTAGCATTACAGCTTCAGAAAGAGATGGATAAAGAGCAAATGAAGCCAAACTGGCAAAAAGAGTTCCCAGATGAATATCAGTTATGCACCTACATCCTCACCCCTAAATTGCTAAATGGAGAGAGGAAGAATTCCAAAGGTAGGAACCTCAAAAGACAAACTGATCCAGAGCATTCGAAACCTTGGAGAGGCTCAAGGGAAGAAAATTGGCAACCTTCTTTTAAGATCCAGTTGAAGCATTCAGTTAATGGAGGAAAGATGCCAAGTTCCACTAGAGATAATTGTAAGGAATCTAAAAGTGCTAGTTCCCTACAGCCTAGTAATTCACAGAAAAGTATTTTTCAGATGTTTCAGAGATACACAGCTTAATGCCTGGGTAAAGGGAGTGTTTTGTAAGCTTGTTAGGTAGATTGTGAGGATCTCTTTTCTGTCATAGAACTTCATACATTTGTCATTCATTCTGCTATGCAGGCATACTCATGGAGTTTTGCTCTTGTCACCCAGGCTGGAGTACAGTGGCGCGATCTCGGCTCACTGCAACCTCAGCCTCCCGGGTTCAAGCGGTTTTCGTGCCTCAGCCTCCCGAGTAGCTGGGACTACAGATGTGTGCCAACCATGCCCAGCTAATTTTTAATATTTTTAGTAGAGATGGGCTTTCACCATGCTGGCCAGGCTGGTCTTGAACTCCTGACCTCACGTGATCTGCCCACATCAGCCTCCCAAAATGCTGGGATTACAGGCATGAGCCATTGCTCATGGCCATATTCATTGTTCTTAAAGGCCTATGTGATTATAAGAGAAGATTTTATAAATGTGTTTCTGCAAAACTCAGTGATAAGCAGGGGTGTCCCTGTCTTTTCCATTGTTAATAACTGTGATATGTACTTTTCCAATCTTTTTGGATATACAAATGCCTTGACCAACTCCAAGAAATCTTCAAGTGACATTCTCTTTCCAAAAAAATGCATGTTTTGGGGGCCAGGTGCAGTGATTCATGCTTGTAATCCCAGCACTTTGGGAGGCCAAGGTCAGCCTGGTCAACATAGCGAGACCCTGTCTCTATAAAAACAAAGAAACATACATACAAACAAATGTATGTTGCATGGCCTTTGCCCACTTTTTTGTCATTACTGGTAATCAAAGTAAGATTATACTATTCCAAGTAATTAAGGAACCCATGCAGAGTCTAAAGTCTAAGTATTCTTGCTATTATTGTTGCAAATATTTACAGAACACTTGAAATATATTTTTCATAAAACTGAAGTAATTTGATTTCCATCTCCAATTTAATTACATTTTAAGCATCATAGCATTTCTTTTTATTTAAAATGGATTAGGATCAACGTTAAAGCAGAAAAGCAGAGTTTTCTAGGACATTGGGAATTAGTTGACAGAAAGGAAACTAGACTCTGTAAAAGGAGTTAAGAGCTAGGGAGAGGCAGGGTGGGGTGATGGACAGGTTGGTAGCATGGGAACTGAATGGGTAATCAGAAACTGGGTCCAGAATGAAGTAGCAGGTGAATTTCAGCACAGCATTCTCCTTGTCCTTTCTCTGCTAAGACACAGAAAACATTAGGGTTTTAGGTGGATGGACCACCTGAGGTCAGGAGTTCGCCAGCCTGGCCAACGTGGTGAAACCCCGTCTCTACTAAAAATACAAAAATTATCCAGGCATGGTGGTGGATGCCTGTAATCCTAGCTACTTGGGAGGTGGAGGCAGGAGAATCACTTGAACCTGGGAGGTGGAGGTTACAGTGAGCTGAGATCACACCATTGCACTCCAGCCTGGGCAACAAGAGCAAAACTGCATCTCAAAAAAAAAAAAGAAAGAAAGAAAAGAAAGAAAACAGTAGGGTTTTACAGTTTTTCACATCATAACAGCTGGTGTCAAAATCAAAATTAGTTACTAAATTACCTGAAATTTTGGAAATTCGTATTTCTAATAATCTGTTATTCCAGAAAAAATAGGAATTTACTATAGGAGAGTTATATCACATTGTCTTATGTTGTAGAACCTGAAACATAACCATATGTTTTTCTTGTGAATTTGTATTGTTGTTGACTTTTATTTGTGTTGATGAACAGAAATAGAACATATGATACTTGGGTTTTGCCCTGTCTGATTCCCAAAAGTTAAATCAGAACACAGTGATTGATTTCTTTTTGTGAAATGTAACTTAGAGACTATTGATCTGTTTTCCTTTTTTTTTTTTTTTTGAGACAGAGTGTCACTCTGTTGCCCATAGTACAGTGGTACAATCTTGGCTCACTGCAACCTCTGCCTTCTGGGTTCAAGCAATTATCCTGCCTCAGCCTCCTAGGTAGCTGGGATTATAGGCGCCCACCACCACATCTGGCTAATTTTTATGTTTTTAGTACAGATGGGGTTTCGCCCTGTTGGCCAGGCTGGTCTCGAACTTCTGACCTCAAGTGATCCCTACCCTCTCATCCTTCCAAACTGCTGGGATTACAGTCATGAGCCACTGCGTCCGGCCTATTGATCTGTTTTTCATTACTATGAACAACTGGTCAGGCTCAGTGGCTCATGCCTGTAATCCCAGCATTTTGGGAGGCCGAAGTGGGAGGATCACTTGAATCCAGGTGTTGGAGACTAGCCTGGGCAACAAAGCAAGACCCTACCTCTAATTTAAGAAAATAATAATAATAATATGAACAACTCTTACCAAACAATAGTTTTGGCAGCATTTCTGGTGCTGTCTAGTCATCCATCCTTTTACAAGTATAAAAATAAGATAAAATGTCCTAGAGCCAATCCTAGCTTAAATTTGTCAGTATTTTTATATGTTATTAAGCTTTTTCCTCCAAATTTTGTAACTGAAATTCTGTTCATCTTTGCATACTTGATGGCATCTATGTCAATATTGATTGACTATTTATGAGTAGAATTCTGAAACCTAATTTAAAATTTAGTTTGCCCTTTTTTTTTTAAAAAAAAGTATTGCCTTCTGAGTAAATGATGGTAGTAACATGAAGTATAGTTTAAAACTATAGTATCGCATTGGTTGTTAAGTATAAATAAATAAAATCTAACCAAATTCGTCTAAAACAGACTGAACTCTATCTTTTCATCAAACCAACATTTTTGTAAGAGCAATTTCACTTTGTGTTTTAGAGTAGACATTTTTGGAAATCCTTGAATAAAAAGCTCTTATTAAATCTCCCTGGAATAGCTCATAACCAAAGAGGAAGAAAAAAATAGCTTATGGTGTGATATATTTAGGATTTATATATTTAACTACTTATTTGTCTGTGAAGAAGTCTTCCTGACTAAAGATGGCTTTCAGATAAATTTTAATTTCTCTATGAGTCTTTTGCTATTCCTATAATTCATGCCTTTTTGTTAGAAACTAATATAGGTTTTGTGTGATTTTTTTTTTCAATGAGCAAAAATAAGTTAAATAAGTAAGTAAGTGAACAAATAAACAGGTAGTTTAAAGCAAAGGAAGGGCCCAGCGTGATGACTCACGCCTGTAATCCCAGCACTTTAGGAGACTGAGGCGGGCAGATCACCTGAGGTGAGGAGTTCAAGACCAGCCTAGCCAACATGGTGAAACCCCGTCTCTACTAAACATGCAAGAAATTAGCCGGGTGTGGTGGTGGGCGCCTGTAATCCCAGCTACTTGGGAGGCTGAAGCACAAGAATCGCTTGAACCTGGGAGGCGGATGTTGCAGTGAGCTGAGATCGTGCCATTGCACGCCAGCCTGGGGCAACAAGAATGAAACTCCATCTCAAAAGAATAAAAAAAGAAAAATAAAGCAAAGGAAGTATAAACGGTTCTTAAATTGATGGAAATATGCCCAACTTTACTCATAATAAGAAAAATAAACTAAAATGACATTGAGCTAACATTTTTATCTCTGAGATTGGCAGGATGTCACAAATTTGGTAACACACTCTGTTGGTGAAGCTGTGGGGAGACACATGCTCTAACACATTGCTTTTGGATGGCTAAACAGCATCCATCCTGTGGGGCCATGTGGGAATATGATGCTTTTGCTTGACTCACCACTTCTACCCCTGGGGAATTTATCTGCAGATACTTGTGTATGTGTACAAAAATGTGCACACAAAGTCATTCACTGTGGCACTGTTTAAGCTTCAAAATATTGGAAACAACAAAATTGTCAATTAGAATATTGCTAAATAAATGATGGTTTACTCATACAATTAAATGTTATGTGGCTGAAAAAAAGAATGAGGACACTATGTAATAATTTGGAAAAAATTCTAAAATATATTACTAAGTGAAAAAACAAAGTAGGGAAGAATGTTTCAGAAAAGGCTAACTTTTGGGTAAGAAAATGGGAGAAATAAGAATATATATTTGCCCAGCGTGGTGGCTCGTGCCTGCAATCCCAGCACTTTGGGAGGCCGAGGTGGGCGGATCACCTGAGTTCGGGAGTTCAAGACCAGCCTGGCCAACATGGTGACACCCTGTTTGTACTAAAAATACAAAAATTAGCTGGGCATGGTGTTGGGTGCTTGTAATCCCAGCTATTCAAGAGGCTGAGGCAGGAGAATTGCTTGAACCCTAGAGGTGGATATTGCAGTGCACCAAGATCATGTCACTGCACTCCAACCTGGGTGACAAGAGCAAGACACTGTCTCAAAAAAAAAAAAAAGAATATATATTTACATTTGATTGTGTATGTGTATACACACACACACACACACACACACACGCAAACAAATGGAAAAACATTCCATGCTTATGGATAGGAAGAATCAATATTGTTAAAATGGCTATACTGCCCAAGGCAATTTACAGATTCAATGCTATTTCTATCAAACTACCAATGACATATTTCTCAGAATTAGAAAAAACTATTCTAAATTTCATACGGAACCAAAAACGGAGCCTGAACAGCCAAAGTAATCCTATGCAGAAAGAACATAGCTGGAGGCATCACATTGCCCAACTTCAAACTCTACAACAAGGCTACAATAACCAAAACAGCATGGTAGTGGAACAAAAGCAGATACATAGACCAATGGAACAGAATAGAGAGCCCAGAAATAAAGCCACACACCTACAATCATCTGATCTTTGACAGCGTTGACAAATACAAGCAATGGGGAAAGGACTCACTATTCAATAAATGGTGCTGAGATAACTGGCTAGCCACATGCAGAAGATTGAAATTGGGCCCCTTCCTTACACGATATACAGAAAGCAACTCAAGATGGATTAAAGACTTAAATGTAAAATGTAAAACTATAACAACCTTTGAAGAAAACCTAGGAAATACCATTCTGGACATAGGCCCTGGCAAAGGTTTCATGATGAAGATGCCAAAAGCAATTGCAACCAAAACAAAAATTGACAAATGGGACCTAATTAAACTAAAGAGCTTTTGCACAGCAAAACAAACTATCAACAGGGTAAACAATCTACAGAATAAGAGAAAATGTTTGCAAGCTATGCACCTGACAAAGGTCTAGTATCCAGAATCTATAAGGAACTTAAACAAATTAACAAGCAAAAAAAAAAAAAAAAAACAACCCCATTAAAAAATGGGCAAAATATATGAACAGACACTCTTCAAAAGAAGACATACACACAGCCAACAAGCATATGAAAATATGCTCAACATCACTAATCCTGAGAGAAATTCAAATAAAAACTACAGTGAGATGCCATCTGACACCAGACAGAATGGCTATTATTATTATTATTTTTCTTTTGAGATGGAGTCTCGCTCTGTCGCCCAGACTGGAGTGCAGTGGTGTGATCTTGGCTCACTGCAACCTCCACCTGCTGGATTCAAGCAATTGTCCTGCCTTAGCCTCCCCAGTAGCTGGGATTCCAGCACCTGTCACCACGCCTGGCTCATTTTTGTATTTTTAGTAGAGACAGAGTTTCACCATGTTGGGCAGGCTGAGAATCGCTATTATTATGAAGTCAAAAAATAACAGATGCTGGCAAGGTTGCAGAGAAGAGGGAATGCTTAAACACTGCTAGTGGGAATGTAAATTAGTTCAGCCGCTATGGAAGGCAGTTTGGCAATTTCTCAAAGAACTTAGAACTACCATTCAAACCAGCAATTCCATTATTGGGTGTATACCCAAAGGAATACAGATCATTCTACCATAAAGACATATGCACATACATGTTCACCACAGTGCTATTCACAGTAGCAAAGCCATGAAATCAACCTAAATGCCCATCAACAGTGGACTGGATAAAGAAAATGTGGTACATATACACCATGGACTACTAAGCAGCCGTAAAAAAGAACAAGATCATGTCTTTTGCAGGAACATGAATGGAGCAGGAGGCCATTATCCTTAGCAGACTAGCCAACTAACACAAGAGCAGAAAACCAAATACCACATGTTCTCAATTATAAGTGGGAGCTAAACATTGAGTACACATGGACACAAAGAAGGGAACAACAGACGCTGGTGCCTACTTAAGGGTGGAGGGGGTGGGGGGGGGGTGGATCAAAAAACTACCTATTAGATACTATGCTTATTACCTGGGTGACAAAAAAATCTGTACAACATACCACCGTGGCACGCAATTACCTGTATAACAACCCTGTACATGTACCCTTGAAACTAAATAAGAAGTTAAAAAAAAAAGTTAAAAAATTTTAAATGATGTCATAGACCATATCTAGGCTAATGCTCCATAAAAATAAGCCAAAAAAAGAATATATATTCACATTTGACTGTGTGTGTATATATATTCATATGTTTAATTTTATATATATATATATATAAAATTCTAGAAAGATACCCAAGAAACTAATAATACTGGTTTCTTAGGGGTGTAGGGGGCATAGGGTGAGTGCCAGGTAGATGGGGGACAGTCAGACTTTTCACTGTCTACCTTTATGTATAATTTAACCATGTGCCTATATTACCTACAGTAGCAGTGCCATAACAAACTACCATAAACTCTGTCTTAAAATAACCCAATTTATTCCATCAGTGTTCTGGAGGTGAGGCACTGGCAGGGGCCTGTTCTCCCTGAAAACTTTAGGGAAGAATCCTTCCCTGACTATGACAGCTTTTGGTGGCTCCTGGCATTCCTTGGCTTGTAGATGTGTCATCCCAGTCTCTGGCTCCATCTCATCTTCCCCTCTGTTCTGTGTTCCTGTGTCCTTTCCTCTTATAAGCTCATCACTCATTGGATTTAGAGCCCACCCTAAATCCAAGATGATTTAGTCTGGAAGTCCTTAACTAACTACACTCGCAAAGACCCTATTTCCACATAAAGTCACATTCTGAGGTTCTGAGTGAATATGAATTTTGGGGGGATGCACTTCAACCCACAACACTATTCAAAAATAAACATTTAAAAAAACTTAGCTGTGATGAAACAAAATGAAGTTCACATTGTCAAACCAAAATATTCTTTTAATGTTAGTATTTCTAGCCTGAGCAAGCATTTAAGCTGAAATATAGTGGTAATCCATTCTATAGAGTGAGGGAGAAATTAACTGAAGCCCTCATGCCTCTCAACACCATTTACCTGTCTCAGAGGCAGAAGAAGGCAGACAATAAATGAAAATATATTCAGCACCCATTGAGTATAAAGAGACAGTTGAATGGGCTCAATTCTGTTAACAAGGGGACCAGTTAGCCAGATTTATGCTTAGTTTGTGTCATGTAAAATGGTGATGTTTCTCTGCACTGTTTCTAAGATTGTCTCAGAAGATCTTTGCTGTAAATGTAGGAAGCTCATATATCAGGACTGGGGACATAGCATTTTTAGAGGAATGAACTGAGAAAAAAAGTGGGTATTATCTTAACCTGCTTGGGCTACCATAACAAAATACTGCAGACTGGGTGGCTTAAACAGTAAAAATTCATTTCTTACAGTTCTAGGGAATGAGAAGTCCAAGATCAAAGTGCCTGCCAATTCAGTTCCTGGTGAAGGCTTTCTTTTTGGCTTATAGATGGCCACCTTCTTGCTGTGTCCTTACATGGCAAAGACAGACAGAGAAAGAGCAAGAGAGAGAGAGAGAGACAGACAGACAGATAGACAGACAGAGAGAGCACACTTTCTGATGTCTTTGCCTACAAAAACACTACTCCTGTAAGAAAGGGCTCTACCCATATGCCTTCATTTAACCTTAATTGCTCCTTATTCCAAATACAACTACACTGGGAGTTAGGGCTTCAACGTATTAATTTTGTAGGAGACACAATTCAGTCCATAGCAGGTATTTTAAATCAACCTGAGCATTTTCAACATTTGTAAAGAGGCATGATATACTACAGCACTTAAGCAGAGACTATGAATCAGGCAGAATTTAAGATCTTTTAGACACAACCATGGGGAACTCTAACCTAGGTTTATCAAACTGTGTCCTAGCTTGAGCGCTGGGAATGAATGACAATGTATTCATTCATATGAATAGGAAGTACTTCCTTTCAAAGTCTTTGGGATTCAAAAGAAAAAGCATTCCTTTAAGAAGAGTTCTTAGGACTTAAGGGGCTTCGAGTCAGACAGGCCTGGCTTCCCATCCCAACTCTAGGACTTAACAGCTGTGGAACTTTGGGCAAGTTTCCTCACCTCTTTGGGTCTCTGTTTCCTCAGCTGTAAGATGGGAATATAACAGCCCTCTTTGGGTTGTTATGGAATTAAATGAGGCAAGATCTGTAAAAAACTTAGCACAAGGAACACAGTGAGTGCTCTTTCAAGTTGCCTCTTATTATTATTATTACCAATCATGAGAAACATGCATGGAGAAAATTTTGCCAAATGCCCAAAAAAAATCCGGAAAGGATTATTCAACCTGTGGATGTGGAAAGGAAAAGTGGTGGTAGCCGGAAGGCAGGGCTGCTCGATTTGGAAACAGTAACAAGCTTGCTTTGGCTGAGTATGGAGTACACTAATTCACCACTTAACATTCAGAGTTTATATTCTAGAAGCACAGAATTGAGAGGAATGTATACCCAGTTAAAAATTTAATGCAAGCCTGGGCGCGGTGGCTCATGCCTGTAATCCCAGCACTTTGGGAGGCTGAAGCGGGCTGATCACCTGAGGTCAGGAGTTCGAGACAGCCTGACTAACATGGAGAAACCCCATCTCTACTAAAAATACCAAATTAGCCAGGTGTGGTGGCACATGCCTGTAATCCTGGCTACTCAGGAGGCTGAGGCAGGAGAATCTCTTGAACCCAGGAGGTGGAGGTTGCGGTGAGTCAGGATCATGCCATTACACTCCAGCCTGGGCAACAAGAGTGAAACTCCGTCTCAAAAAAAAAAAAAAAAAAAATTGCACCACTCTGGTGGGGAATGTTGATAATGGGGGAGGTTATACATGTGGGCTGTGGGGAGTAATTGGGAAATCTCTGTACTTTCTGCTCAATTTTGCTGTGAAATGAAAACTGCTCTAAAAAAAATTAAGTCTTGGCCAGGTGCAGTGATTCACACCTGTAATCCCAGCACTTTGGGAGGGCAATGTAGAAACACTTGAACTCAAGAGTTCGAGACCAGGCTGGGTGCGGTGGCTCATGCCTGTAATCCCAGCACTTTGGGAGGCCAAGGTGGGCGGATCACGAGGTCAGGAGATTGAGACTGTCCTGGCTAACATGGTGAAACCCTTTCTCTACTAAAAATACAAAAAATTAGCCAGGCGTGGTTGCAGGCACCCGTAGTCCCAGCTACTCGGGAGGCTGAGGCAGGAGAATGGCCTGAACCCGGGAGGCGGAGCTTGCAGTGAGCCGAGATCGCGCCACTGCACTCCAGCCTGGGCGACAGAGCGAGACTCCGTCTCAAAAAAAAAAAAAAGAAGAAAAAGAGTTCGAGACCAGCCTGGGCAACATAGCAACACCCCATATCTACAAAAATTTTAATGAATTAGCTGGGTATGGTGGCACACACATGTAGTCCCAGCTACTTCGGAGGCTGAGGCAGGAGGTTGGCTTCTGCCTAGGAATTCGAGGCTATAGTGAGCTATGATCGTGCCACTGCATTCCAGCCTGGGCCACAGAGCAAGACCTTGTCTCTAAAAAGTAAAATAAAATAAAATAAAATCTATTTTAAAAATGGAAAAGAATCAGTGAATACTTTTCACTGTAATGAAGAAACACACCCTTACCCGGGAATCTACACTCTGGTGCTTGCACCTGGTTCCCCTGACACTCACCCAATCCGCCCCCACTCCAACACCACCCTGGGTTCAAAAGGAAATGCATATTAGCTCTAGGGCTCAGAGTATCCAGTTTAACTCTGTACACTTGCAGGAAGTCTTTTTACTGTGAGGGCCCTTTAGTCGCACTTTTGCACATTTTCTTCTAATAAAAATGTGACAGATTTCTCACTTAATGGACTAACTAAGGAATGCTTTGGAAAAAAACAAGGAAAGTGAGAAACAGCTATAACATCCATTTTTTTTTTAGCTTCCTTATAGAATCAGAGAGAATAACCTGTAAGATGTATTTCTTCACTAGGAGGGCAAATAATACCAAATTTTGATTCCCAATGGTTTTTTTTTTGAGACTGAGTCTCACTCTGTCACCCAGGCTGGAGTGCAATGCCGTGATCTCAGCTCACTGCAACCTCTGCCTCCCGGGTTCAAGAGATTCTCGTGCCTCAGTCTCTGAGTAGCTGGGATTATAGGCACCTGCCACCACACCCAGCTAATTTTTGTATTTTTAAAAATTTTGTATTTCAAAGATAAAAAACAGAACTTACTTCATTAGACTGTTAGGGAGAGTAGTTGAAGTAATAAACCTGCAGCTCTCAGAACCATGCCTGGCACACAGTAAGCACCCAATGAATAGATATTCTCAGAATTAGAAGGTGAATCACAAGGGTTTGTCTTTTCAGCGGCTCCTCATAGTGGCTTTTCTCATGTGCTTTATTTATTTGACTTGCTATTACTGCATGTATCATTTACAACTAAACACCAGACAGGGGCTTACGTACAGTAATACCAGGGAAGGTAAATTAGTATTCCAATGCACGAAAGCTCCTTTATACTCATATAATGAAAGACAGCTATTCACTGACTTAAGATCTCTGGCATTAATTACAGGTTTCAGTACATAAAAGTGTTACCCAAATCTGAGTTCCTGCTTTGAAATGCAAGATCTGTGAAACTGAGCCAAGCCAATGGAAATGCAAATGCCTCAAACATTTTCATTTACCTGTGACACATGGCTTTCATCAAGATGGATTACCTCACTTGTAAGAACACATTAACAATTGGTTTTGTTTGTGGTCAGATAAACCAGTCATGATTAATGAATCTGGCCACAGCTCTTCCTGTCTGTGGATGCCCCAAATGAGAGCTCTGATCTTTCCTAATCTTAAAAGAAAAGGATTGTAAAAGAAATCGAGATGTATATGCGTATTAAAATATTGCCATTTATTGGACACCAGGAAAGTGGCTGAGCCTCTGACACCTGCCATCTTTGTTCATTGCTTTAATGTCAGTGTAACTCGCAGATCTTTTCATATCCACTAAATATTGATATAAAAAGTCATTAAAATAAAGTTAATTATTTTTTATTTTCAAAAACAGATAATCCAGATATGGGCATTCAAATATATGATCCATTTGGAAGAGCCACTTTGATATCCTAAGAGCCTTAGGAGTAGGATGCTTCTGTTAAAGCAGACTAAAGATGGCCTGAGAAGGACACCGAACTTCTATATTTGAGTCCCTGTGGAGGAACCACAACCTAACTTAATAGGTAGACAAGATTGAAAACTTAACTTAGGAGTATGTGCCTGGAACAATAGCTGAGTCTTGGCCAATCCCAGCAGCCGTATTTCAACCACTCATACACTGCTGAGTGTTCAAACTGTGTTCAAATAAGGCAAACACCGAGATGTAACCAATCAGTTGTTCCTCTACCTTACTTCCGATTGCTGTACCTCACTTCCCTTTTTGTCTATAAATCTTCTTCCACCACATGGCTCTGCTGGAGGAGTTTCTATGAATCTGCTGTGATTCTGAGGGCTGCCTGATTCGTGAATCTTTCATTGCTCAATTAGACCCCTTTAAATTTAATTCTCCTGAAGTTTTTCTTTTAACACTCTTAACACCGTACAACGTCTTTTGGGAATTGCCTTCCTGGTTCTTGGCACATTCTTTCAGATATCTTTATTGGTGAAAAAAATATTTTCCTTTGATGAGAGTATGAATTTTTTTTTTTTTTTTGAGACAGAATCTCTTTCTTGTTGCCCAGGCTGGAATGCAGTGGTGCGATCTCAGCTCACTGCAACCTCTGCCTCCCGGGTTCAAGCGATTCTCCTGCCTCAGCCTCCTGAGTAGCTGGAATTACAGTTGCACACCACCACGCCTGGCTAATTTTTGTATTTTTAGTAGAGATGAGGTTTCACCATGTTGGTCTCAAACACCTGACCTCAGGTGATCTGCCTGCCTCGGCCTCCCAAAGTGCTGGGATTTCAGCCATGAGCCACCGTGCCTGTCCTGGAGGATGAATTTTTGAAAATATTTGGAAGTCATTCAGATTTCCTTGAGGTAATGCCATTTTTATTCAAAAACAAGGTGCCACTAACGTAAGTGATATTTCTTGCCTGGATCATAAACTGGCTTGGAAGACAACCCTAAAGAAGGAATTCTAAAGCAGACTTCTCAAGGGTGAGCATTCGTCTTTTCCTGAAACAACAGAGTCATCTATGTAGGTAAACAAATTGTTACGGTTTTCCAGGACTTTTTCTGTTTTTCTGCCAAAAGTCCTGTGTCCCGGGACCTCTTCAGTCCTGAATGAACTAGGAGAGTTAGTCCTCTCCTGTTATGAGGCAGTCATATGCCTCCAGTTCACAAGACTTTGATCCTGCTCCTGTAACACAATAATCCAAGAGTTTCTCATCCTAGCTTACTTGCCATGGGTTATAGGCTCCAGGCAATTCTACTGAAGGACAACTCTGGTTTGAGTGTACGCATTACAATAGGTTGCTTTCCTTGTTTCTTGGTTTCTTTTTAAGTCCGGTCTAGATGAGTCATTCTAGTACCTTTGAACTTTTCATTGTTATTTGGAGCAATGTTTGCAATTCTTTTGGGGTTTGCAGTCCCTACCTCCTTACAATGTTTTTGCTTAAACTGAACCAGCATGTGAGATCCAACAAGTGGATTAGAATTTCTAGTCTGAGCTCTGCCGTGTATTCAGACACGAATCCCTTAGCCTGTCTTGGCTCTCAGATTCCTCATCTGACAAATAGAAAAAATAAGTACCTTCATTATTACATGTGGTTAATATGAAGATGAAAAGAGATAATGCACATGAGCTGCAAAGTTATTAATTTTAACAATTAATTAATGTAGTCATAATTTATTGAATAACTGCTACGTCTAATACCTTTCAGAAAGCCATAATCCTGGAGAGAAAATACGCACACATGCAGAAATATAGCTGACCACTGGATGATGTCTTTAGTGCAGTCATAATTACCTGAAAAAGGTTCTAACTGCCACTGCAAAACTACAACTGAGACACTGAAAGAGATCTGAGCTAACCAACTCCATCTTGTTTCCAACTTCCAAGCCATTGTTGTTCATTCCTGGGTGCAGGCTGAACTACCTCTGGAGGAACTTAGTTTATACCTTATAGTTTAGAACAAAGACGGTAACAAAACAAACCACTTTCTTGCCTGGGGGCTAGACTGCCTTTGTAGGACTAACAAATTAGCCAAAAGATTAGAAATTATGGTTTAGGAGTCATGCAGCTGGAGGCTACAAGACTCTGACCCTCCCCATATTGCTCCTGGGGATAACATCACTTTCTAAAACCTAAGATCAGTGCTTGAGATATTTTGCAGACACTGCACTCGATGGATCAGCTGGCACCATGCGGATCGATAAACTGGCTCATCTGATCTTGTGGCTCCCACTCAGGAACTGACTGACTCAGTGCAAGAGGACAGCTTCAGCTCCCTATGAGTTCATTTCCGACCCAACCAATCAGCACTCCTGACTCACTGGCTGCCCCCACTTTGACCAAATTACTCTTAAAAACTCTGATCTGTGAATGCTCGAATGCTGAGGGAGACTGATTTGAGTAATAATAAAACTCCAGTCTCCCGCACAGCTGGCTGTGTGTGAATTGCTCTTTCTCTATTGCAATTCCCCTGTCTTGTTAAATTGGCTCTGTCTAGGCAGCAAGCAAGGTAAACCTGTTGGACGGTTACAGGACCTCCAAGAAAAGGCCGATTAATTTTGCTTGTGTCACTCTGGAAGGCTTCCCAGAAGAGATGATGTTTGAATTGGATCCTGAAGGGTGACAGAGGAAATGGCATGAACAGAGACATGGAGATGGGAAGACTGGGAGCATGTTTAGGGGAGGGCAAATATGCCAGTATTACAGTGCTTTCTGAGTGAGCAGGATAGGACCAGATCTCAAAGGACCTTAAGTGCCAAGCTAAAAATGTGAACTTTATTGGCCAGGCACGGTGACTTACGCCTGTAATCCAAGCACTTTGGGAGGCTGAGGCGGGCAGATCACGAGGTCAGGAGATCGAGACCATCCTGGCTAACACGGTGAAACCCCGTCTCTGCTAAAAATACAAAAAATTAGACGGGCGTGGTGGCAGGTTCCTATAGTCCCAGCTACTCGGTAGGCTGAGGCAGGAGAATGGTGTGAACCCAGGAGGCGGAGCTTACAGTTAGCAGAGATCATGCCACTGCACTCCAGCCTGGGTGACAGAGCAAGACTCCGTCTCAAAAAAAAGAAAAAAAAAGAAAAGTGAACTTTGTCAGGGGTTTGACCTAATCAGATCCCTCTGGCTGCAGTGTGGAGGACAGAATAGACTTTAAGAAGCAGGACAAGCAGGACGTGGGGAGAACAGTTATTGAAGTTTATTGTGCACATTCAGAGAATACCAGGGTAGTATAAAGGAGGATGACGGCAAGTGGGAGAGGAGACAAAAAGAGAGATGAAAACCTCCTCATCATCAATAACGCCACCTTATTGAAGAGGCCTGGCTTGACCACTCTATAGAAAATAGAATAGAAAATAGTGTAGAAATATCACACATCCTCATCACTTCCCTTCCTCCACTTGCTATATTTTTCTCCTTAGCATTATCACCATCAGTATGCAGATGCAGGTACCACAAAGGCTGCACTTGGGAAGCAAATACATGTCTGAGCTTCCTATAAGCCAAGGCAAAGAGAGAAACATGGCCAGTTATGACACCCACAGTCTTCATTAGGCAAGGACATGACATTTTGCCAAATGAAGTCCTATTTCTTCATAGGATATATTTACTTTTCAGATGCTTATTATCTATTCTCTCACTAGCATGAACATTCCATACAGGAAAGGCTTTTGTTTTATTATTTGCTATGTCCTTGGTGCCAGAACAGTGCCTGGTGTATAGTAAGTGCTCAATAAATATTTGCTGATTTTATAAATAAATAAATAAAGTTTGAGTTTCTTCCCACTCTGTAAATCAATAGGTCAATATGGTTGATCAGCTCCTGTTTTCATTTATGGATAAAATTTACTTCATTCTAAAAAGCATTTGAGATGGCTCCAAAAATATATAATATTAAAAGAACAAAACAAAATGAAGTCTAAATGACAAAGAGAATTGCCTAAGATGATGAAGCACAGAAAATCAGTATGCAGATGCAGGTACCACAAGGGCTGTACTAAGATTTTCAAAATGGGAAGCAAATACGTGTCTGAGCTTCCTATACACCAAGGCAAAGAGAGAAACATGGCCAGTTATGGCACCCACAGTCTTCATTAGACAAAGGTGTGACATTTTCTCAAAGGAAGTCCTATTTCTTTTTGGTGGATAAAGATGATGTTGAAACCATCTGCTTTATGTCCATGTTGTTTGGTGGGGTGACAGTTAACCCCTTAGCTCTTTTGGAGGGAGCGCAACCTGTGTTCAGCCTTACTTATCCACTGCAAGAGGTGACCAGAAATTTATCCAAACCAGAAACAGCTAGAGAGCATGAAAAGCTGCAGACAGATTAAGTGACACTCACCCAAGGGTAGGATTGAGTGGGGAGAGAATGTAAACACTCCATTCCTGACCTCCTGTCCCCTGCAGAAGCTTTATCAATCTCTAAGAGAATTACCTCTGCTTATAAAAAGGAAAGTTACATAGAAATCTGGCAAAGTTACATTGAAATCTGGATCCACTGTTGGTCTCTCTTCCTTTGATTTATTAAAGTTTCTTTGAAGTACACTTAAGTAAGAGGTTGAGTTTGGCTGATGATTTATTTTTAAGAGAGTGAAACAAGGTGAGAAAGAGAGAGGAAGCTGCTTTTCCAAATGATTAAAAGGTGAGTGTGACTCTAGTAAAGGATTTTCTTCCTTAAAAGATATTTTAAGGGATTTTTTAAAAGGTAATACATCCACATGATAAAAAAAATCCAATAAGGCCAAAAAACGTATCATATTTTTTGCATTTTTGCAAAGATATTTATATTTAGGCATATACATAAATGCTTTGGTTAAATAAATGAGAATTTATGATATAAACTCTTCTCTTGCTTTTTTTCACTTAATAAATGTTGGAGACTATTTCTGTTGTCTTTTCCCCCATCTTGGTTTTTGGTCATTTGGACTTGTCTTTTAGCATTTCTGGTGACTTTTAAATTAATGGCATGTATAAAAAACAATGTTGGAAGACACAAAGGAGGGAACAATAGACACTAGGGTGTACTTGAGGGGGATGGGTGAGAAGAAGGTGTGGATCAAAAAACTACCTATTGGGGCCGGGTGCAGTGGCTCACATCTATAATCCTAGCATTTTGGGAGGCTGAGGCAGGCAGGTCACCTGAAGTCAGGAGTTTGAGACCAGCCTGGCCAACATGGTGAAACCCCGTCTCTAATAATATAAAAATTAGCTGTGCATAGTGCAGCGTGCCTGTAATCCCAGCTACCTGGGAGGCTAAGGCAAGAGAATAGCTGGAACCTGGGAGGCGGAGGCTGCAGTGAGCCAAGATCCTACCACTGCACTCCAGCCTGGATGACAGAGCGAGACTCCATCTCAAAAAAAAACCAAAAAGCAAAAACAAAAACAAAAATAACTGCCTATTGGGAGGCCGGGCCCAGTGGCTCAAGCCTATAATCCCAGCACTTTGAGAGGTCAAGGCAGGTGGATCACCTGAGGTCAGGAGTTCGAGACCAGCCTGGCCAACATGGTGAAATCCTGTCTGTACTAAAAATACAAAAAAAATTTAGCCTGGTGTGGTGGCACACACCTGCAATCCCAGCTATTTGGGCCACTGAGGCACGAAAATTGCTTGAACCTAGGGGGTGGAGGTTGCAGTGAGCCGAGATTGCACCACTGCACTCCAGCCTGGGTGATGGAGTGAGATTCTGTCTCAAAAAAATTAGGAAAAATAAAAAAAACTACCTGTTGGGTACTACCTAGGTGACAAAATAATCTGTACATCAAATCCCCATGGCACACAATTTATCCATGTAATAAACCTGCACATGTACCTCCTGAACCTAAAATAAAAGTTGGAAAGAAAAACAAAAAATTAAATAAATAAATTAAAAAAACTCCAATATTGGAAATAATGACAGGAACAACAGACACTGGGGACTACTAGATGGGGTGTGAGGTAGGGAGGTGCCAAAAAATTGGGTACTATGCTCACTACCCGGGTGGCGGTTTCAATCATACCCCAAACCTTAGCATCACGCAATATACCTTTCTAACAAAACCTGCGCATGTACCCCCTGATTCTAAAATAAAAGTAAAAAATAAAATAAAAGATAATGCTACACTTATAAGTAGTAGAAAAAAGAAACAAATAACAACAAAAACAAAAACAAAAAAAAATTTTGAGGCTCTAAATGATGTTGTGTTCCTCCAGAGAGAGTTATCATTTCCTTAGCTAGTCAGGCAGAGTGGGGATTGATTATCCTAAGACAGAGACTGAGCTAACTGTAGACTGTGTTGCAGTTTGCAGAAAGCCCTCTCTACCTCCTCCCCTTCTAGGGTAGATTCCTCCAGGAGTCCTGACCGAGAATCTTGGGTCTTAAGCATGGCGCCTGTTTTAGTAGATCTTGAACTGTAAGACTTGTGTCATTACCACTGTGAGATTGCTCAAACTCTGTGTTTACTTTTTGGGGCTTCCTGTTTAGCTTCTATTCTTTTCTTGTCGAACTCCAATTTAATATGTTTTAAACTTCATCAGCCCACCCGACAAGCCTTTTAATCTTCCGTATTTTCCATCTTGATCTCTCTGTTCTATCCTCAGATTTATCTTCTAACTCACTAATTTTCTCTTTACTTGTTTTGGTGCTATGGTTGACACCTTGGTTTTTTTCGTGTACATTTTGTGACTTTTTGATATTTGATGGAACTTTGTCTGTTGAAACTTTTTGAAGCCTAGGTCCCTCCTGAGAGAGTTTATCTTTAGTTTGCGAGGCGACTTTTTCTCTTTAAACTACAGAAATAGCGTGAATTGTTCTGCACAGCATGAATAAAGACTGGCTTGTGGTTATTTATTCTCAGAGGGGACTTTCTCTCCTGACAAGTCAAGCTGTGACAGGTAAGCATATGACCTCTCTTGCCTTTTTGAGAAGATAGTTTTTATAGATCATCCTTTTACTGAGAACATAGATGTTAGGGATCTCAGCTTTGTGCAGTGGTCTCCAATCTGACCCCTTCACCTTGCCAAGCCCTTACACTTTGCCTCCTCTCTCTCATGACGCCAGCTAAAACTCTTGCTGTAGATCACAGAAGAGCAGGAGATGCCTCTAGTTCCAGCTCTTGATGACTTATTTGGATTCTGGCTCCTGTTTTACATTTGGCTTTTCTGTATCCTTTTTATTTTCTTTTCTCCTCAGTCATGCATTAAAAATATTTTTTTAAGCCAGGCGAGGTGGCTCACACCTGTAACCCCAGAACTTTGGGAGGCTGAGGCAGGAGGATCACTTGAGGTCAGATCAGGAGTTCGAGCCCAGTCTAGCCACTATGGTGACACCCCATCTCTACTAAAAATACAAAAATTAGCTGGGCATGGTGGCGCATGTCTGTAGTCCCAGCTACTCAGAAGGGTGAGGATCGCTTGAACCCAGGAGGTGGAGGTTGCAGTGAACCGAGCTGGAGATTGTGCCACTGCACTACAGCCTGGGTGACAGAGCGAGACCCTGTCTCAAAAAAAAAAAAAAAAAAAAAAGTTATCTAGTCTGCAGCAACACAGTCAATTCATTCATCTCTAAATGTCATTTATTCATATCTGTTAAATGCCAAGTAATCTGTTCAGTACTGGTGGCAAACAGATGGCTGGAATGTATAGTAATTCCGGCCTCTTCTCAACTTATTTATGAGGCCAGTAATTACCTGATATCCAAACCAGACAAAGATATCAGAAGAAAAGAAAACCACAGATCAACACTTCTTATCTATATAGACACAAAAATTCTCAACAAAAGACTAGCAAACAGACTCCAGCAACATAGAAAAAGGATTATTAAGCTGGGCACAGTGGCTCACGCCTGTAAACCCAGCATTTTGGGAGGCCAAGGTGGGTGGATCATTTGAGGTCAGGAGTTCGAGACCGGCCTGGCCAACATGGTGAAACCCTGTCTCTGATAAAAATACAAAAAAATTAGTTGGGCGTCGTGGCACACATCTGTAATCCCAGCTACTGGGGGAGGCTGAGGCAGGAGAATTGCTTGAACCTGGGAGACGGAAGTGCAGTGAGCCAAGATCATGCCACTGCACTCCAGCCTGGGCAATGGGGCAAGACTCCATCTCAAAAAAAAAGAAAGAAAAGAAAGAAAAAGGATTATACACCATGACTAAATGAGATTTATCTCAGACATGCAAGGTTGGTTTGACATATAAAAAGCAATCAAGATAATATACTAGACTAATAGAATAAAGGAAAAAAAATTACATGATCATCTCAATAGATGCAGACAAAACTTCTGACACAATCCAACATCTTTCATGATAAAAACACTCAATAAACCAGGAATAGAAGGGAACTTTCTCAACCTGATAAAGGACATCTATGAAAGACCAATGGCAAACATCATACATAATGGTGAAAGACTGGAGGCTTTCCTCCTAAGATAGGAACAAAATAAACATGTCCACCTTTGCCACTTTTATTCAACATTGTACTGCAATTAGGCTACAAAAAGAAATAAAAGAAATGTAGCCTGGAGAGGAAGAAATAAAACTATCTCTACTTGCAGATGACATGCTTTTTTTTTTTTACATATACTGGTAGATCAGTAGTTGCCTAGGAACAGGAGTGGAGGAAGTGGAGGAGAAACGAGAGTGTCTGTTGACAGCTATGGATTTCCTTTGGGGATGATGCAGCTGTTCTAAAGTGGATTTTTTCATAACTCTGTGAATATTCTAAAAATCATTAAACTATACACTTCAAATGGATGAACTGCATGGTATGTGAATTATATTTTAGTAAAACTTTGTTCTATAAAAAAGATGAAATGGGTGATTTTTCAGGGAAAAAAAAAATGTGTTTTGAGACAGAGTCTCACTCTATCACCCAGGCTGGAGTGCGGTGGTGCAATCTCGGCTCACTGCAACCTCCACCTCCCAGGTCCAAGTGATTCTCGTGCCTCAGCCTCCTGAGTAGCTGGGACCACAGGAGTGTGCCACCATGCCTGGCTAATGTTTGTATTTTTAGTAGAGATGGGGTTTTGCCATGTTGGCCAGGCTGGTCTCGAACTGCTGACCTCAAGTGATCCACCCACCTCGGCCTCCCAAAGTGCTGGGTTTACAGGTGAGAGGCTCTGTGCCCGGCCAAGGAAAATTTTTAAATTAACTCAGGAAGAAATAAAAAACCTGAATAGTCGAATAACCCTAAAATAAATCTAAAGGGTATTTTAAAATATTTTCTCCTGCTTGCTCCATCTAGCTTGAGACAAAGATAGCAGACCAGACTATTTTTGAGTCAAACTATATAAAACCTCTAAGCTTTTCCATACACTTTATAAATTGTATTTAGAGCATAGAGAAAGATGGGAAACTTCCCAGCTCATTTGACTTGGCTAGCATTACTTGCCAATGTAATAAAACAGGATGATGAGCACACAAAAGCAAAAGAAGAGGGGAAAAAAATGATAGGCCAATATATTTATGAGCAGAGATGCAAATAGCCTAAATAAGACATTAACAGGCTGGGTGCCATGGCTCACGCCTGTAATCCCAGTACTTTGGGAGGCCAAGGCAGGCAGATTGCTTAAGCCCAGGAGTTTGAGACCAGCCTGGGCAATATGGCAAAACCCAAACTCTACTAAAAAAAAAAAAATACAAAAATACAAAAATTAACTGGGCATGGTGGCATGCACCTGTAATCCTAGCAAGTTGGGAGGCTGAGGCACAAGAATTGCTTGACCCCAGGAGGTGGAGGTTGCAGTGAGCTGAGATCACACCACTGCACTACAGCCTGGGCAACAGAGTAAGACTGTCTGGAAAAAAAAGAAAGAAAGGAAAGAAAGGAAAGAAAGGAAGAAAGGAAGAAAAGAAAGAAAGAAAGAAAGAAAGAAAGAAAGAAAGAAAGAAAGAAAGAAAAAGAAAGAAGAAAGGAAGAAAGGGGGAGGGAGGGAGGAAGGAAGAGGGAGAGAGAGAGAGAGAGGAAGGAAGGAAAGAAGGAAGGAAGGGAGGAAGAAGTGAATCTATTGCCATCTTTTCCAGCAATAGATTTATGGAGAAAAAAAATATGATCATCTGAATAAATGTTGACAAGGTATTTAATTAAATTTAATACCAACACCTGATTAAAAATCTTAGCAATCCAGAAAAGTATGAATCTACATTAACTTGGCGAGGCACAGTGGCTCATGCCTATAATCCCAGCACTTTGGGAGACTGAGACAGGAGGATCACTTGAGCCCAGGAGTTTGAGACCAGCCTGGACAACATAGCCAGACACCATCTCTTCCTGAAAGTTAAAAACTTAGGCATGGTGACATGTGCCTGTAGTCCCAGCTACTTGGGAAGCTGATGCAGGAAGATCATTTGAGTACAGGAGTTCAAGGTTGCAACGAGCTATGATTACATCACTGCACTCCAGCCTGGGTGACAGAGCAAGAACCTGTCTCTAATTAAAAAAAAAATAGTAATAACAAAAAACAAAACTTCTGTATGACAAATAAGCATACAAACAAAATATAAAGACAAGTGACAGGCTGGGCGCGGTGGCTCACGCCTGTAATCCCAGCACTTTGGGAGGCCGAGGCGGGCGGATCACGAGGTCAGGAGATCGAGACGATCCCGGCTAAAACGGTGAAACCCCGTCTCTACTAAAAATACAAAAAATTAGCCGGGCGTAGTGGCGGGCGCCTGTAGTCCCAGCTACTTGGGAGGCTGAGGCAGGAGAATGGCGTGAACCCGGGAGGCGGAGCTTGCAGTGAGCCGAGATCCCGCCACTGCACTCCAGCCTGGGCGACAGAGTGAGACTCCGTCTCAAAAAAAAAAAAAAAAAAAAAGACAAGTGACAGATGAGAAGAAAATATTTGTAACATATTGTGGACCCTGGAAAATAATATTTAAGTCCTTGATAACCTCTTGTGCATGAGATCCTGTGCTGGACCTATCACTTGTATCATCTCATTTCATTTCCTTCCTTCCTTCCTTCCTTCCTTCCTTCCTTCCTTCCTTCCTTTCTTTTTTTGAGATGGAGTTTTGCTCTTGTTGCCCAAGCTGGAGTGCAAAATGGCACAATCTCGGCTTACTGCAACCTCCAACTCCCGAGTTCAAGCAATTATCTTGCCTCAGCCTCCTGAGTAGCTGGGATTACAGACATGCACCTCCACACCTGGCTAATTTTTCGTATTTTTAGTAGAAATGGAGTCTCATCATGTTAGTCAGGCTGGTCTCGAACTCCTGGCCTCAGGTGATCCACCTGCCTTGGCCTCCCAAACTGCTGGGATTACATGCGTGAAACACTGCACCCGGCCCTCATTTCATCTGTAAATCAAGTCTCTGAGGCAGTGGTGATCGACACGATTGTTCAGAAGAAGACACTAAAAACTGGAGAATTTAAGCACCCTGCCCAAATCTCATGGCTCAGAAGTGAGTTAAGGTTCCAACATGGACCTAAGCTGGCTCCCACACCTGCCACCATTTATCTCTCCAGGAACTAGCATGATTCCTCATCTCCTAAAGTCACTTCACTTATTATTTGTGCTTTTGATGTGTTTGTTTCTGGACAGATTGTCTGAAAGGGTCTTTTCAGTAGAAAGGTCCTGAGGTGAAGATGGAGAATGGGTCACAAAGCTGTCACATGCCTTCCTTCTCATGAACTCTTGAGGAGCAATCTTCCTCCTTAGCTTTTTCTTCTGCCTTCTTCCTTGGCTTTTGAGTTTCCTGGGGTGGCCCTAATTTCCAGCCAGTGGAGAGCTGGGCTTGGTTGCCCCATTCATCAATCCTAGCATGCCCCCACCCTTCCCCTTTCTCATTTGCTTGTGACAGGGAGAAAGAACGGAGTGTGGGTAAACCCTCTGACTTATCTGATTGTGCTGTAGGTGGGCCAGGTCAGGCTTGGCTTGACTGGCTTGACCTGCTCTGCTATTTCCTTTTCTGTCCCTCTCTTTTTCTTTTCTTTTCTTTCTTTCTTTTTTTTTTTTTTTTTTTTTAGATTAGGTCTTACTCCACCACCAAGGCTGTGTACAGTGCCGCTGTGTACAGTGGCACAATCACAGCTCACTGCCGCCTCCACCTTGTGGGCTCAACTGATCCTTCCACCTCATCCTCTGAGTAGCTGGGACTACAGACACACATCACCATGCCTGGTTAATTTTTTAAAAGTTTTTTGTAGAGGTGGGATCTCACTGTGTTGTGCAGGCTGCTCTTGAACTACTGGGCTCAAGTGATTCTTCTACCTTGGCCTCCCAAATTACTGGAATTACAGGTGTGAGTCACCATGCCCAGCCTTCTGACTGATGGATGTAGACTGTCCTGTGTTTCTGTGAGAGGGGCAGTCACTGTTATTTAGGATGTTCTGGAAAGGGTGACTGCTTGTCAGTGAGCCTCCCTCTCAGAGCCCCTTGAGCATCTGAATCAGAGTTAGCAAACTCTGTCCATCTCCTCTGCCATGATCCCTTTCTCTCCCCCATCAGCTCCTTCTATGCCTTCCTGCTCCTAGTTTCCAAGTCTCCAAGGTCAAGCTAAAGCCCAGATTTTATCATATTTCTCTTTTGCTTAAGAACCTGTAAGAGTTCACCAGTGAATTTTCAAAATAAGGTTCGTGGATGTTATATTGGGGTCCAGGAAGTGTTAGACATTCTATTTACTCTTAATCCAAAAATTCAGAAAGAAACAGCTTGGGTACTAGGTAGCTGGTGTATTGATTGTCACTAGTGCCCCACTTGGCCCATCTGTCAGATCGTTTCCTGAATCATGGTGTATGTCAGAAATATCATAATGCAGAGGGCCAGAGAGAGGGGTGTATTCTCATCCACTATCTTTCAATCTATTGCCAAGTGTTGCAATTTCCATGAGTCTAGCTCCATGAATTCCTACGGCCTCAGGATATGGTGGAGAAAATATTGTTAGAAATGAAACATTCATGATTCTTTGCATATAATCATGAAAGTCCATTCTAAAGTGTCTGTGGGGATTTTTCCTTCCCCTATATGAAAACAAAGGCATGACATTTCTGGCAATTTTTGGTAATAAAAAGCCTTGTGGTCCTTTTCAGTCATATCTCTGTCTTCAGACCTCTGGTCTAGGAAGGAGAGTAGTAGTGGCCAGCTTGTCTCTTTAAACCTCTCTTCCTTTGGGGCTGGAAGCAGGAGGAAGGAAGAGAGGTAAGGGATAGAGAGTTCTTATTTGGCTGGTACTAGAATAATCTGACCCCATGCTTTGCAGACCTGGGAGGTTTGTGGAGCTGGCTCTCTCTTGTGGGCACTTATATGGGTTTTCTGGAGACTCCCTTGCTCGGGGTGTTCAACAGCAACTCCAGAATGTCAGGCAGTGTTTCTCTTGCCCCTGGCTGCTCCTGACATAGCCTCAGTTTCTACCTCCAATGGTTCACATCACAGCCTCTTACCACCAGGGTCCTCTCTGGCTGTAGGCCGCCATCTTGGAAGAATCTCTTCTAAAATGAGCCAGACCATATTCTTACTGCAAGCTCATGTCTGGTCCTTGTGTTAGAGGGAAGTTCAGCCACTTCTGACCCACCATTGAAGGGGAGGAGTGAAGAGACTTCCCAGATGCTCAGCCATAGGGAGCGAGGCTGGTCCATGGAGGCCCAGCTACAGGTGCCCTGAGCTCTGTGCAAGGTCAGGTGAAGGTTCTCTCACTGGGTTGAGGTTAGGAGGGCACTCCCCTCCCAACTATCTCTCAGTGCACTAAGTGCTGTGGGCTACATTGTCGCCGTGTATGTTGTGGGCACCACATTGATTCTGCTGCCTGGGTTGAAATCCTACCTCTGCCTCACTAGCAGTGTGAACTCATGCAAATTTTTGAAAGTCCCCATTCCTCATCTGTAAAATAGGGCAATGTTAATGCCTACCCAGTATGGTTATGATAAGCTCAGTGTATTTCTAATACTTGGAACAGTACCTGGCACTATTTGTGTGTGTGTGTGTTTGTGTATGTCTGTGTTTGTGAGTGTGTGTGTATTAGCTATTATTTTTTCAAAATCAGGACCTTTAGAATAGAATTTTTATAATTCTTTCTAATGAGATGGTGGCCTCTCTGCAAGGGATACTCGTTTCCATTTATAGTGGTAATGCAGTGTTTATTTCAAAAATTCATAATTTATGTTTTAAAATGTAAGTTGAATTAAACAAAAATATGAATTAGACAAAAGTGTTGGAAAGCATGGCAAGCATTTTGATGGTGGCATACAAATGATTGGTCTTTGGAGGCACAAGTCTAATAGCTCTTGAGTTCATAATGGCACTCTAAGAAGAACCTGACCACTATTCTTCCTTCTCCAGAAACTTTCATGGAATGAATATAGCTTTTTGTTGTTGTTGTTTGAGATGGAGTCTCGTTTTGTCGCCCAAACTGGACTGAAGTGGCCTGATCTCGGCTCACTGCAACCTCTGCCTCCTGGGTTCAAGCGATTCTCCTGCCTCAGCCTCCCGAGTAGCTGGGACTACAGGTGTGCACCACCATGCCCAGCTAATTTTTGTATTTTTAGTAGAGATGGGGTTTCACCATGTTAGCCATTTCAATCTCTTGACCTCGGGATCCGCCTGCCTCAACCTCCCAAAGTGCTGGGATTACAGGCGTGAGGCGCTGCACCTGGCCAACATAGTTTAATTTTATCTCAACTTGCCAATATTCTCCAAACATTGTTTTTTGTTTGTTTTCTTCTGAACACCTTCTTCAATAAACCAAACAAAAAAACTAAAACAAAACCAACCACAATGAACAACTTGAACATGAAACCCCAATATATATTTGCTTAAAATGTGAAAATTATACTTACATATGACAGACAGAATAGAGTAGTAGTTATGAATGTAAACTTTCCAGCCAGACCATGGAGTTCGAATCCCAGTTCTGCCACCTGTCTACTATGTGATCTTAGAGGGATAGCTTGACCTTTCTGTGCCTGGAAAGTAGAATTAATAATACCTACCTCATAGAGTTGTGGGGGTTC
Source organism: Homo sapiens (assembly GCF_000001405.40). Classification (NCBI taxonomy): domain Eukaryota; kingdom Metazoa; phylum Chordata; class Mammalia; order Primates; family Hominidae; genus Homo; species Homo sapiens. Next base: position 25,499,975 of record NC_000004.12, read on the forward strand.
AATGAAATGATATATGTAAGCTATTAGAATGTTGCCTGACATAGAATAAAAACTCATTGACATTACTTATTATGATGATTGTTGTGCAGCAAAATAGGTACCTTATAAAATACTTTAAAATTATAAATTTAAGATTAAGATAGGCGGTAATCCCAGCACTTTGAGGGGGCTGAGACAGGTGGATCACTTGAGGCCAGGAGTTCAAGACCTGCCTGGCTAACATGGTGAAACCCCATCTCCACCAAAAAAATACAAAAAAATTAGCCAGGCATGGTGGCATGTGCCTGTAATCCCAGCTACTCGGGAGGCTGAGGCAGGAGAATTGCTTGAACCCAGGAGGAGGAGGTTGCAGTGAGCCAAGATCGTGCCACTGCACTCCAGCCTGGGTGACAGAGTAAGACCCTGTCTGAAAACAAACAAACAAAAAAAAGCACAAACAAACAAAAAGAGATCAAGATTACAGAGGTTCTGTTATGTCCCTTCACCTTCATGAATTGTCTTGTGATGTCTGGGGTGCATTCACCCCCACTTTGGAAACTGCTGGCTTAAGCAATGATAGAAACATACTATGTCCCTGGGTATTCTGATTCTTGAGATGCTCTGTAAAGCTTGGAGGACTGTGGGTGGGTGGATTCTTCCACGCTTGGATTATGCACACTCTCATTTCTACACAAACCTCTTGGCTTCTCTGCTTGTAAACAGTAATCAGGTCAGGCTGAATGTGGGGCCGGTAGTCCCAAGCTCCTGGCCAGTCCTACTCAGTCATTCCTAAGGATGGAGGCTGCACGGGCTCTGCCTCTTACCTTGCACCTGCCACCCTGTGCTTAAGCAACTCCCGCACAGCTTAACTCCTGGAGACAGTGGCCGGTGGGGACAGCTGCATGTCAGTCTGTGCTGTGAAACCAGTCATCCTTGTAACCAAATGTGAGAGCGGCAGATTAAAGCAGAATTACCTAAAGAGGTTTGTAGGACACACACTGACTGAGTCCCCTGCTGCCAGCAGCTGCTCTTCTTGACATGGGGCCAACCCAGAAACTTTGCAGGATGCTCTCAGATGCTCCAGCAGCCAGAGAGGTGATGATGGCCCTGGAACTGCTGAGAGCAGCTGGTTTCATCAGGGCTGGCTGAATGTCTGGATCAACAGCGAAATCTCTGACTCTGTGCCAGGGAGTGGGCTCGTGGGCACTGCGTTGACAACTGTGACTAGTAAACCCAGCGGGAACCAGGTCTAATTACAGTAGAGCTACAGAAATTGCCCCCACATTCCAGCTGTTTAAGTCAGATAATTTTAGGGTTGAGAAAGACCCTAGAGATCACCTAATGGATCCCAAACCTAGTTGCTTACAGCATCAATGAGAAGCCTTAAAATTTTTATAGTGAATTAGCTCAGTCATATAAAACAGTGGAGGGGCTGAGTCACCACATCATCCTGTGTTCCACTTAGCTTAAGAAATGGAGGCCAGGCGAGGTGGCTCCCACCTGTAATCCCAGCACTTTGGGAGGCTGAGACAGGCAGATCACTTGAGTTTGGGACCAGCGTGGCCAATATGGTGAGACCCCATCTCTACTAAAAATACAAAAATTAGCCAGGCGTCGTGGTGCGTGCCTGTAATCCCAGCTAGTCAGGAGACTGAGGCAGGAGAACCACTTGAACCTGGGAGGCGGAGGTTGCAGTCAGCCGAGATGGCACCACTGCACTCCAGCCTGGGTGACGAAGTGAGACACATCTCAAAAAAAAAAAAAAAAAAAAGTTCCCCAAGCATTCCCAGTGACCCAGTGATGAGCCAGGATTGGTGAATAACCGCTCTCACTGGGGCTTGCCTGAGTGGACTGAGCACCTGTGTTGAAGTTAAAAGACCTGAGGTCCCATCCTGGTGGTGCCACCTCCCTCCTGTGTGACACCTGGCAAGGGGCATATTCCCCAAAACCTCAATTTCTTCATCTGTAAAAAGGGGATAAGGACAATAAACTTCCTTTCGAGCTCATGCATGTATATGAAGCTCTAAAACACTACACAGACATAGGACTTAAGGGCTCATGCAGCCTAGGGTTGGTCACCTCCAGTGACAGGAGGCTCATTACTTTCAGAGACAGCCTCCCCCCACCCTTTTTTCTGAAAGCTCTGATGGACAAAACGTCCTTCCTTATTCTGAGTAGAAATCTGTTCCCTGTCATTTTCTCCTATTGGATTTAATTCCACCCCTCAGGGAACCACAGAATAAACTTAATCCTTAATTTGCAGACCAGTTTTTTGAATAATCGAAGACAATATAGCCCTTTGGCTTTCCTTCTCTACCTCAATTCTAGGCTTCTCCACACACTGTACTGAGAAAGTCCCTTTATGAATAAGCAATATTTCCAGAAATTACCATAGGCATGGCTACATTTCAGCAAACCGGAGAGGCTGTGTTCCTGGATTAGTGATTCAGGAAAATCCATTTAGCCTCTAGTTAATTAAATCGCCCAGTCACATCAAGTCGTCTTGTTAAATTAATCACCTGTGCTATGGGATCTACTTATTAAAGTATTTGCTTAGTAAGTGTATAACATCTATGCAACCCTTTTATGTGCCAGGCACTGCTCAGTGATTTGCATGTACTTAGTTCTCACGATAAACCCTGAAAGGTAACCACTGTTATTTCCATTTTACAAATGAGGAAACTGAGGCTCAGAGAGGTTAAGAAGGTGCCCAAGATGATGCAGCCAGTAAGTGACACAGTAGGGTTTGGACTCAGGTCTGGCTGACTCTAAAGCCTGCGTGGGCCTGACACAGTGGCTCATGCCTGTAATCCCAGCACTTTGAGAGGGCCAAGGAGGCTTGAGCCTAGGAGGTTGAGGCTGCAGTGAGCCATGATCATTGCCAGCCTGGGTGACAGAGTGAGACCCTGTCAAAAAAACAAGGCCGAGTGGGGTGGCTCACGCCTGTAATCCCAGCACTTTGGAAGACTGAGGCGGGAGGATGGGTTGAGCCCAGGAGTTCGAGATCAGCCTGGGCAACGTGGTGAAACCCCATCTCTACAAAAAATTAGCTAGGGGTGGTGGTGTGTGCCTTTGGTCCCAGCTACTGGGGAGGCTAAGGTGGGAGGATTGCCTGAGCCCAGGAGGTAGAGACTGCAGTCAGCCAAGATCACACCACTGCACTCCAGCCTGGGTGACAGAGCAAGACCCTGTCTCAAAAACAAAACAAATTAAAGCCCATGTACTCAGGACTGTGGCAATAGCCTCCTGAGGTAGAAATTCTAAAACAAACGAACCTAGAATTTCAAAATACCCTCTTAACTGGAACTAAATCAAACTGCGATTTCATTCAAAATTATTTGATTTGAAGAAGCTGTTCCTTTTGCTTTCAAGAATAGGGTTGTTTGGTTTTTTTTTCTTTTTTTTTTTGAGATGGAGTCTCACTCTGTCACCCAGGCTGGAGTGCACTGGCGCAATCTTGGCTCACTGCAACCTCTGCCTCCTGAGTTAAAGCGATTCTCTTGCCTCAGCCTCCTGAGTAGCTGGAATTACAGGTGCCCACCACCATGCCCAGCTAATTTTTGTATTTTTAGTAGATACAGGGTTTCACCATGTTGACCAGGCTGGTCTTGCACTCCTGACCCCAAGTGAGACACCCACTTCGGCCTCCCAAAGTGCTGGGTTTACAGGCGTGAGCCACCGTGCGCAGCTGGTTTTTTTTTTAATTTGAAGAAAAATGTACGTAACATGGAAATGCACAGATCTGAAATGTACAAATTTGGTGAGTTTTGGCAAACATATAAATCTGTGTGTCTTAAATTCCAATCAAGATAAAATAGTTTCATCACTACAGAAAGTTTTCTCATGCCCCATCCAGCCAGTTCCCAGCCCCAGGGGTGACTGACCACTGTTCTGATTTCTGATACGAAGACTGATTTTTGCCTATCCTTGGCATGTCATGGGTGGACTCATGTAGTGCGTACTCTTTTGTGCCTGGCTTCTTTTGCTAAACATGTTTTGAGCCTCAGTCTCCTTGTGTGTGCATCAGCTGTTCCTTTTTCATGGCTGAGTACTACTCCATTATATGAACATACCACATTTTCTACATTCCTCTTATAACAGGTTTTAACACTTTGATACATCATATAGAGGTAATAATATGTAAATCACTCATTTATTCATTAGGCAAATTTGTCTTTCCAGAGCTTTCTCTATGCAAGGTACTATTGGAGGTGCTAGGAGACTTTGGTGAAAAAAACGAAGCCCCTGCTCTCACAGGGCTTTTCTTCTATAGTAGGAGAGAAAAACAATATAGAAAAAAATTAAAGGAATGATCAAGGCAGTAGTGGGAACTGCAATGAACATAATAAATCTGAGTGAAGGTACCAGGGTGGCTTGTAAGGACGTTGGGTGTTCCATTTTTTTTTTTTTTTTTTGAGACAGGGTCTCATTGTCACCCAAGTTGGAGTGCAGTGTTGCCGTCTCAGCATTGCAGCATCAACCTCCTACCTCAGCCTCCTGAGTAACTGGGACTACAGGCACCACGCCCAGCTAATTGTTATTTTTGTAAAGACAGGGTCTCACTATGCTGCCTGGGGTGGTCTCAGGTCTTCTTTAGAAGTCACGCAGGCCCACGTGAGGGACCTGGAAGTGAACCGGGGTCGTGCAAACAGTGGTACTTGAACAGTTTCACAGCTGATGAAACTCCTTGGCATTGACTCATTCATCATTACCCTCTCTTCATTTTTTAGATGAGAAAACTAAGGCATAGAAAGATTAGCAACTTGTCCCAGGACAAGTGTCAAGTCCAGGTCCTGAACCCAGGCAACATAGTGCTGTGGTTACCACACATGCTTTGGAATCAGACAGAGCCAAGTTCGAAGTCCTCTTTCACCTGGATGTCCTTGGGCATGTCACACTCTGAGTCTCAGTTTTCTCATGCATCACATGAAGGGGATACCGTCTAACTCAAAGGGTTGTTAAAAGTGAAAGATAATCTTAGGTAAAGAATTTAGCGCGCTGTCCACCGCCGCTGCCTGAGCCGACTCCGCGCCGACTGCCGCGATGGAGGCCGCCGTCCAATTCTTGGTCCAGAGCCAGGACGTGGTCTTTGGCCTCGAGGCCATCGAGGCTCAGTACAAGTACCAGACAACGCGCGTCAGAAGCAAGGGCGGCGTCCTCGAGGTGCACCTCAAGTCCACGCACTTCACCTTCCGGACCGCCCGGCCCGCATGTGCCCAGGCTACGGGTCATGCTTGTCGCCTGCGGTGGTAACAACGGATCCACGCTCACCGCCGCGGTGCTGGCCAACCTACTGCGTCTGTCCTGGCCCACGCGCAGGGGTCGCAAGGGGGCCAACTACTACGGTTCACTGTCTCAGGTGGGCACCGTGAGCCCGGTCTTGGACGCCAAGGGCCAGGAGGTGTTCGCGCCCTTCCGCGGCTGCTGCCCATGGTGGCGCCCAACGACCTCGTGTTCGATGGCTGGGACATCTTGTCGCCGAACCTGGCCGAGGCGATGCGGCTCGCGAAGGTGCTGATTGAGGGCTGCAGGAGCAACTGTGGCCGCACATGGAGGCCCTGCAGCCCCGGCCTTTGGTATACATCCCACAGTTCATCGCGGCCAACCAGAACGCGCGCGCGGACAGCCTCATCCCGGGCACGCGCGCGCAGCAGCTAGAGCAGATCCGCCGGGACATCCGATGACTTCCGGTCTAGCGCAGGGCTGGACAAAGTCATAGCGCTGTGAACGGCGAACATGGAGCGCTTCTGTGAGGTGGTCCCAGGTCTCAACAACACGGCCGAGACCCTGCTGCGCACCATCGAGCTTGGTCTGAAGGTGTCGCCCTCCACGCTCTTCGCCGTGGCCAGCATCCTGGAGGGCTGTGCCTTCCTCTGGGTCCCCACAGAACACTCTGGTGCCCGGAGCCCTTGGGCTCGCGTGGCAGCGCCAGGTTTACGTGGGCAGAGATGACTTCAAGTCAGGCCAGACCAAAGTCAAGTCCGTGCTCGTGGACTTCCTCATCGGCTATGGCCTCAAGACCAAGTCGATTGTGAATTATAACCACCTGGGGAACAACGACCGGCAGAACCTGTTGGCGCCATCGCTGTTCCCTCTGAGGCGGTGTCCAAGAGCAACGTAGTGGACGACATGGCGCAAAGACACCCAGTGCTCTACGCGCCTGGCGAGGAGCCTGACCGCTGCGTGGTCATCAAGTACATGCCGTACGCGGGTGACCCCAAGCGTGCGCTGGATGAGTCTACCTTGGAGCTGATGCTGGGCGTAACCAACACGCTGGTACTGCACAACACGTGCGAGGACTCGCTGCTGGCCGCCCCCATCATCCTGGACCTGGCGCTGGTGACCGAGCTGTGCCACTGCGTGAGCTTCTGCACCAATGACAACACCGAGCCACAGACCTTCCACCCCATGCCGTCCCTGCTTAGCATCTCTTCAAGGCGCCGCTGGTGCCGCCGGGCAGCCCGGTGGTCAGTGCGCTTTTCCGCCAGCTCAGCTGCATCGAGAACATCCACAGGGCCTGTGTGGGGCTTCCGCCACAGAACCACGTGGTCCTGGTGCACAAGATGGAGCTCCCAGTGCCTGGCCTCAGGTGAGTCGGACCCGTGGCTGCCGCCTGCCCTGTGTCGAACAAGAAAGGACCGGTACCCGCTGCCACCAATGGCTGTACCAGTGATACCAATGGACACCCACAAGTGGAGGAACCCCAGATGCACACCACCTGAGGCCCTGGTCACACAGCTTCCCGGCCTTTCCTTGCTGCCCCCCAGGACCCAACCTTTCCAGGCCCCCACAAAGACAGTAAAGCCGGTGCCACTCTCAAAAAAAAAAAAAAAAATTAGCTCTTCGCGGTCGGGTGCGGCGGCTCACGCCTGTAATCCCAACACTTTGGGAGGCCGAGGCAGGCAGATCACTTGAGGTCAGGAGTTCGAGACCAGCCTGGCCAACATGATGAAACCCCGTCTCTATTAAAAATACAAAAATTATCTGGGCATGGTGGCGCATGCCTATAATCCCAGCTACTTGGGAGGCTGAGGCAGGAGAATCGCTTGAACCCGGGAGGTGGAGGTTGCAGTGAGCCGAGGTCATGCCATTGCACTCCCGCCTGGGCAACAGAGCAAGACTCTGCCTCAAAAAAGAAAAAAAAATCTTTGTGCTCATGTTCATTAATTCATTCAACTCATGTGAATGTATCATCTACCACTAGGTGGGGAGGATACAACGGAGAATAAGCAGACACAGCCCCATCTCATGCAGCTAATGGCCTATCATTAGAATAAATAAATTTGATAAAAAATGTAGATAAAGCACATGGAATGCCAACTTAACATAGTCTTGGGGAAGTCAGGGAAGGCTTCCTGGAGGAAGGGATGTTTAATCTGAGTTTACCCAGTGAAGGAAATGTGAAGGTGGGAGAGGCTTCTTTGTAGTTGCTTTTGGGTGTGATTTTGGTTTTATAAATCAGATACACTTGCTTGAGAATTGGAAGGCACGTGCATGGTGCCATGAGTAGTATATCATTGCTGGTTTTTCTGGAACACGTTTCATTGTCTGGGCATCAGCTTCTTGGGAGTCGAGAGGCAGGGTGAGGCTCATCTATTTTTTGTTGGATTGGATCTCTCAGGTGTGGTGTGGCTCTAAATCTAATACTCAGAGTTTTAGCAGCTGAAGAGGTGTGTTCCTGAAGCCAGCAGCTTCAGCAGTCCTGCCTTCCTAGTGGTGGCAGCGTCCCTGGTAGGCTGGTCCTGGGGCCTGGTCTAGAGTCCACTGCCCCAGCCCTTCCAGTGATATTTGTAAATTCTTTTTTTTTTTTTGGAAACGGAGTCTCGCTCTGTTGCCCAGGCTGCAGTGCAGTGGTGCAATCTCAGCTCACTGCAATGTCTGCCTCCTCGGTTCAAGAGATTCTCCTGCCTCAGCCTCCTGAGTAGCTGGGACTACAGGTGCCTGCACCATGCCCGGCTAATTTTTGTATTTTTAGTAGTGATGGGGTTTCACCATGTTGACTAGGGTAGTCTGGAACTCCTGGCCTCAAGTGATCTGCTGGCCTTGACCTCCCAAAGTGCTGGGATTACAGGCATAAGCCACCATGCCCACCTGTTTGTAAATTCTTAATTTCCTATTTGAAATCCCTTTCTGCTTAAAATAATTGGAGTGGTTTCGATTTCCTGCTACTGACCCTTCCTTATACTACTGAGGTACAAGTAGATTAATTTATTTAGTTGTTATTTTCTGAGCACCTAGAATGTGCCAGGCACTAGTTTTTGGCTCTGAAAATATAACAATGAACAAGGCAAAGGTCTTGCACTTTTGTCTTATTATCACGGCTGTTATATTCTCTATCAGAGCTGTCCAATACAAGCATAATGTGAGTTACATGTGTGTTGAAAAAATTTTAGTATCTGGCCGGGTGCGGTGGCTCATGCCTGTAATCCCAGCACTTTGGGAGGCCAAGGTGGGCGGATCACCTGAGGTCAGGAGTTCAAGACCAGCCTGGCCAAATGGCGAAACCCTGTCTCTACTAAAAATACAAAAATTAGCCGAGCGTGATGGCAGGTGCTTGTAATCCCAGCTACTCAGGAGGCTGAGGTAGAAGAATTCCTTGAACCCAGGAGGCAGAGGTTGCAGTGAACCGAGATCACACCACTGCACTCCAGCCTGGGCAACAGTGCGAGACTCTGTCTCAAAAAAAAAAAAAATTAGTATCCATATTAAAAGAACAAGTGAAATTAACCTAACACATCCAAAATATTATCATTTCAACATGTGCTTAATATAAATATTAATTAATATTTTATGTACTTTTTTCATGTTAAGTCTTGGAAATTTAGTGTTTAGTTTTTACTTACAGTACATCTCGATTCAATGCAAAATTTTTATTGGAAATACTTCATCTGTATTACATTTCATTACATTTATAGTTGAAAAAGTAGACTCATCACTAAGAGGTTCCAGATATACTTAAATATTTTCCACTAACCAAAAAAATACCAAAAACAATTTTTCCTTAATATTTGCATTCATATTGACAAAACTTGTTCATCCTTTCTAGAAGGATTTGACTTTGGAGCAAAAGTATATCAGTTTCAAAACTATATCTGTTCAAGTTAAGTAAATTCACCAACTCGAGTCAAATCTGAAGCATACTACATAATTGAAAAATAACTCAAAATTTATCAATGATAATCATGTCCTTCACATTTTTTTCTGTCTTTGCAGCTTAACTTACATAACATGTTTCAATTAAATGAAAATAACTTGCCTATTAATTTCATTTAGAAAAAAGTATAAAATCATTGTATTGATTTGTATTTTAAGTTTCAGTTTCAACATTAATTAAATGTCTAGCTATGTAACAAATAAGCTTTTCCTTACCTTGGAGTTTCAAATTTAGCTCATCCATTCATCCATGTGCAGTGTAATTTTTTCTTTCTTTTCTTTTTTTCTTTCATTTTTTTGAGATAGGGTCTTGCTCTGTCTCCCAGGCTGTAGTGCAGTGGAACAACCTGGGCTCACTGCAATCTCCACCTCCCGGGCTCAAGTGATCCTCCCATCTCAGCCTCCTGAGTAGCTGGGATTACAGGCATGCACCACCACACCTGGCTAATTTTTTGTATTTTTGATAGAAACAGGGATTCACTATGTTGCCCCGGCTGGTCTCAAACTCCTGAGCTCCAACCGTCTGCCTCCCTCAGCCTCCCAAAATGTTGGAATTACAGGCATGAGCCACTGCACCCGGCCAGATATGCAGTGTAATTTTGATGAGAGAACATAAATCATGCTGCCATTTTTTGTCTTTTATTATGGGATAATTTGCCAAGCTTCCCTTTGTTTAAAGAAAATCTTGAATTGGAGTTAAAAATACAGTAACCCTTTGTAAAGCTCTTCCGTGACTCAAAGAGCATTGACAAAGACCACAAGATCATTAAATCTGTCATCTCCTATTTGTTTCAACTGTTTCTTAAGCTGAAGACGATTCATAGCATTTGAATGAATACAATGAACAATATTAATCTATGATGCTTTTCACAGAGTCGGCTGCAGAAAACTAAGCACAACTATTTTCAAAATGTATCACCTAATGGGCTAAGCAATAAGGAAAATATTAGTCTCTTATTTGAAAATTCTAATAAATCCAAATTTTTGATTCAGCATAATGGAACTACCATTTGTGGTGAAAGAAACTAATTTTTTTCTTATCTGGCTGGAATTCTTCTTTGACAGTTATAAAAGATTTAAAAATATCCATGCCGCGTGTTAAGTTTCTTTTAGGCTATGAATTGACATTTCTTCATAAATTTGAAGTCCTTTGAGACAAAGTACCCAAAGTATTAATTGGGCAGTGTCTATTATATCAAATGACTCATCTAAAGCTAAAGTACTTGTGATTTTTCAAGATTATTGATTGGTCTTTGCTATTGTTAGAAAAGTCTTCATATTTTATGGACAATTATTTGAGGGCTCAATTGAAGAGCTTTCTCTTTTTGTGAAGTATCTTTTAAAATCTTTTCCTCAGAATTTTCTAACAATATTTCCATTGTTAAAAAATAATTTATTTTACCATTTCTTCACCTAAAAGTGTTTTTCAACTGAGTACTGTGGCACGTGCCTGTCGTCCCAGCTACTTGAGAGACTGAGATGGGGAGGATCACTTGAGCCTGGAACTTCGAGTCCAGTCTGGGCAACATAGTGAGATCCTGTCTATAATAAGTAAATAAATATATTTTAAAGTGTTTTTCTTTTGTGTATAAAAAGAATTCCAGTCTTTTTATAGCTGGCTAAGTTTATAAGCACAGATCCTGTTTAGATTTGTTTAACAATTATTTTAAAATTAAACATTATTGATGACCTGGCGCAGTGGCTCACTCCTCTAATCCCAGCACTTTAGGAAGTTGAGGCGGGCAGATACCTTGACTCAGGAGTTTGAGACCAGCCTGGGCAACATGGCAAGACTTCATGTCTAAAAAAAAAGAAAAGAAAGAAAAAAAATAGCTGGGTATGTTGGCACATGCCTTTAGTTCCAGCTATTATACTTGAGGCTGAAGTGGGAGGATCACCTGAGCCCAGGTAGGAAGAGGCTGCTGTGAGCTGAGATTGTACCACTGCACTCCAGCCTGGGTGACAGAATGAGAACCTGTCTCAGATAAAATAAACATTATTGCTTGATATCTTCTCACATAGGAGAAAAATTAAATACTCAACAAATTTTTGTCGAATGTTTAAAACACTCAACAAATTTTTGTTTAATGTTAACTCTGTTTTTAGGTAACTAATTTTGTTGATTCTTTTTTTTTTTTACTATTGAGAGGAAACTTCTTATCAAATCCACTATGCATATGCTGAAAATGTCTCTTAATATTGTCCACTTTATTATTTTATTTAATTAATTTATTTATTTTGAGACGGAGCTTTGCTCTTCTTGCCCAGGCTGGAGTGCAATGGCACCATTTCAGCTCACCGCAACCTCCGCCTCCCGGGTTCAAGTGATTCTCCTGCCTCAGCCTCCCGAGTAAGCTAGGATTACAGGCATGTTTCACTAAGCCCAGCTAATTTTGTATTTTTAGTAGAGATGGGGTTTCTCCATGTTGGTCAGGCTGGTCTCGAACTCCTGACCTCGAGATCCACCCTCCTTAGCCTCCCAAAGTGCTGAGATTACAGGAGTGAGCCACCACACCCGGCCACTTTATTATTTTAAAAAGATTTTTTTCTCTCACAAAAAAAAAAAAAACAACAAAAAAACACCAATTTGCTGCAGCAAATTGCAATTACCTTTCGTCATCTTTTTTTGGCTTTACTCTTCAGGTGCTAGTTTCTGCATCTCCACTCAATTCTGCATCAGTAGAATGCCTTTGCTTAAAACTTTTAAATTTGCCCATACTTTTTTTAAGCTAAACAAATTTAATTGCATTATAATTAAAATCAGTATTTCGATCTACCTCTTACTGTCTGCAGAAAATATTTGTTTTTTGTTTTGTTTTGTTTTGTTTCGCCCGGCCTGCAGAAAAGATTTGAATAGGCCGGGTGCGGTGGCTCATGCCTGTAGTCCTGGCACTTTGGGAGGCTGAGGTGGGCAGATCACTTGTGGTCAGGAGTTCGAAACTAGCCTGGCCAACATGGTGAAACCCCATTTGTACTAAAAATACAAAACAATTAGCCGGGGATGGTGGCTTTAACCCAGGAGGCGGAGGTTGCAGTGAGGCGAGATTGTGCCACTGCACTCCGGCCTGGGTGATAGAGCAAGAACCTGTCTCAAAAAAAAAAAAAAAAAAATTTAGGATTTTACTCTGTAGTCTTTATTCCTTCAGGACTGGCTTCAAGAACTGAGTTCCTAGAGTCAGGATAACCATCGTGCTCATTCCCTCTCAGCTGAGTGCTTGAGGTTCACCACTCTGTACCCCACAAACCAACACAGGGCCAGCATGGAGCAGACATGAAAAACAAATATTGAGTTGAATAGCACCAAATGAAACTGAACTTCAAGCTGAAGGTCCAGGACCCTCGCTCTTCTCCAGTGACTCACACTGCAAAACTTTCTCTCTTTTCTTTTTGTCCTTTACCATCGAATCTCCCAAGACCTGATGATTCTTCCCTCTCTGGCCCTCTAAATGCATCTTCTCCTCTGTGCTCCCTGCATTTTTGTGTAACCCTTGTAAACCCAAGTCCAGATTTCTGCCCCTGTTCCTGACTGGTCTCCGGGCTCTCCCTGACCCTGTGGACAGCTAAGTTAATGCCATTCAAGCTTCCCAAACAGGAATTCCTTCTGGCACCCTCTGCCGACCTGCGTGACTGCCTCCTTTGCCAAAGATACAGGTCAAATTCTTTAGCCTGTCACAACTAGCCTGGCAACATGGCAAAACACCGTCTCTATAAAATAAAAATTAAAAAAAAAATTAAATTTCTTAGCCTGATGTTCAGAGCACTGCATAACCCAGATTTATAATCAGTCGGTAGAGGAACTAGAGGCACAGGTGGCTACTGAGCACTTGAAATGAGGCTAATGTGGACAGAGTGAAAGTCTGTCTCAAAAAAAAAAAAAAAGAAAAAGAGGCTAGTGAGACTGCAGAACTGAATTTTTTTTTTTTTTTTCTGAGAGAGTCTCGCTCTGTCCCCTAGGCTGGAGTGCAGTGGTGTGATTTCGGGTCACTGCAACCTCCATTTCCTGGGTTCAAGCAATTCTCCTGCCTCAGCCTCCTGAGTAGTTAGGATTACAGGCGCATGCCACCATACCCTGCTAATTTTTGTATTTTTAGTAGAGACGGGGTTTCACCATGTTGGCCAGGCTGGTCTCGAACTACTGACCTTGTGAGCTGTCCACCTCGGCCTCCCAAAGTGCACCACACCCGGCCTGAATTTTTAATTTTAATTTAAAAAATGAAGCATTTATAATATTTTTCTATGAACAGTTTACTGTTTTGCTAAACTACATTTCACATTAATCATTGCATTACATAAGATATCATTATTGTAGTTCACATGTAGGGCGAAAACATCACTTCTTTTTTTCCCTTTCTTTTTGTTTTTTTGGAGATGGAGTCTCACTCTGTGGCTCAGGCTGCAGAGCAGTATGCAGTGGCGTGATCTCTGCCCACTGCAGCCTCTGCCTCCCAGGTCAGGCGGTTCTGCTTTCTCAGCTGCCTGAGTAGCTGGGATTACAGGCGCCTGCCACCACACCTGTCTAATTTTTGTATTTTTAGTAGAGAAGGGGTTTCACCAGTTGGCCAGGCTGGTCTTGAACTCCTGGCCTCAAATGATCTGCCCGTCTCGGTCCCCAGAGTGCTGGGATTACAGGCGTGAGCTACCATGCCCAGCTGAAAACATTATTCCTAATGTTACACATTAACACATCAATTAATTACTTCAGTTCAAAAAATTTTAAATATACTTATGTGACATTGTAACATACTTATTCAAATATTTTCTTTTTTCTTTTCTTTTCTTTTTTTTTTTGAGACAGAGTTTTGCTCTGCCAACCAGGCTGGAGTGCAGTGGCGGGATCTTGGCTCACTGAAGCCTCCACCTCCCAGGTTCAAGTGATTCTCTTGCCTCAGCCTCTGGAGTAGCTGGGACTACAGGCGTGTGCCACCAAGCCCGGCCCGAAAACCTTAATGAATCTGACCTCCTCTCTCTGTCTGTCTGTCTTGAGAAAGTACTCATTGTTCTTGAAGTGCCCTTGAAACATATTTTCTTGCATGATTTGCTGCTAGCTGTATTTTTTAATGGCTTGAGTTTCTAGATCTGGCTGGATTGAACATCTGCTACACACTCTTCTGCCCTTGAACCAAACAACTACTATGTATACATTTGGGAGAGAAGGCAATTTACAAAAAACAATGTTCAGTATAATCCCCTTTTTTGAAACAGCATAGAGAAAAAGAGTGGACAACTGTCGTCTTAAGGTGGCCATAAGAAACTACAGCCAAGAGACAGTGACCCTGGGTCATTGTCATTGCCATTCTGGTTACCTCATCGTTAACAGTTGTGATATCTGGATGGTGAAATGTGACTTTTGGTTTCTTCTTTTGACCTCTGAATAATCTAAAATATGTGCATGTATTTTAGAAAAAGCAGAAGAAAAACAATGAAAGTTTTTTGTTTTTGTTTTTGTTTTCTGAGAATTTAGTCTTGCTTTGTCACCCAGGCTAGAGTGCAGTGGCGTGATCTCGGCTCACTGCAACCTCCGCCTCTGGGTTCAAGCAATTCTCCTGCCTCAACCTCTTGAGTAGTGGAGGTTATAGGCATGCACCACCAGGCCCGGCTAATTTTTGTATTTTTGGTGGAGATGGGGGTTTCATCATGTTGTCCAGGCTGGTCTCGAACTCCTGACCTCGTGATCCACCCACCTTGGCCTCCCAAAGTGCTGGAATTACAGACATGAGCCACCACCCCCAGCCTGAAAGTTTTTTAAACAACTTGAGAGGAGCCTCCCATGGTGTCTGGCCTCCCTCCAGTGATTCAAGTGATAGGCCCGTTGGTCAGGGAGATGTCTCCCAGGGTTTTTGGGAGGCTGGAAAAGAGGCCAAAGGCCCAGGAGGATAAGAGGGAGATGCAGGGGCTGAACGTTGTGGAGAGAGGCCTGGAGATAAAGAGGGGTTACTCGGGGCTGGGAGGAGAGCAGAGGGAAGCGGGGCAGGCACAGCGGCTGGGAGCCAGCCTGTGCCATCCTGAGCAGTTCAAACTTGGTGGGAGGAAGCAAAGGAGGCTTGAAGCAGGAGGCAATGTGGTTACATGCATTTTGCAGCAAGTCAGTGGCGGCAATGCAGTGGCTCCCCAAGACTGGGAGACTAGGTAGGAGGCTGCTGAACAAACCTGGAGAATGACAATGGGTGTCAGGCAGTGGGGAGTATCGGGATTCTATGGACCTTTTAAGGTTGAATCAGCCACCGTGGACAACTGTGAGCTCCTCATGGGAAGGAAACGTGTCACATCAATCTTTGCATTCCCAAGATCCAGCACCATATCAAGGTTAGGGGTGGAGGTGGGAGGGTGGCTTCTGACTCCATGCTGCTGGGACTTGAAGGAGCCAGGCAGGCAGCTCCCCACTCCTCTCCCAACCCTGGCCACCCCTCCCCTTTGGCCATCATGGGTACATATTTTGAGGATCCACATTCTGGCTAAGGCCAGATGCTCTTTTCCCTTTTTATTTACTTTTTAAAGTTGAAATAGGCCAGTCGCAGTGACTTAAACCTATAATCCTAGCACTTTGGGAGGCCAAGGCGGGAGGATCACTTGAGCCCAGGAGCTCAAGACCACCCTGGACAACATGGTGAGACCTCAGCTCTACAAAAAAATTTAAAAATTAGCTAAGATGAGATCTCACTATGTTGCCCAGGCTGGTCTCAAACTCCTGAGCTCAAATGATCCGCCCACCTCTGCCTCCCAAAGTGCAGGGATTACAGGCATAAGCCACTGCACCCAAGTAGTTATTTTAAAATGTGCAATAAATTGTTGTTGACTCTGTCACCGTGTTGTGCTATCAACTACTAGACCTTATTCATTCTATCTAATTATATTTTTATACCCATTAACCATCATTTTTGGCTCCCACAAATAAGTGAGAACATATGAAATTTGCCCTTTTTTGTCTGGTTTATTTCACTTAACATAATGACCTCCAGTTCCATCCATGTTGTTGCAAATGACAGGATCTCATTCTTTCATACGGTTGAATAGTGCTCATTTGTGTATACATACCACATTTTCTTTATCCACTTGTTTACTGATGGACACAGGTTGCTTCCAAATCTTGCTTGTTGTGAACAGTGCTGCAATAAACATGGGAGTGCAGGTATCTCTTCGATACACTGATTTTCTTTTTCTTTGGCACATACCTAGCAGTGAGATTTCTGGATCATAAGGTAGTTCTAGTTTTAGTTTTTTGAGGAACCTCCAAACTGTTCTCCACAGTGGTTGTACTAATTGACATTCCCACCAGTAGTGTACAAGGGTTCCCCTTTCTCCACATCCTCCCCAGCATTTGTTACTGCCTGTCTTTTGCATAAAAGCCATTTTAACTGGAAGTGGTACCTCACTGTAGTTTTGATTTTCATTTATCTGATGATCAATGATGTTGAGCATTTTTTCATATGCCTGTTTGCCATTTGTATGACTTCTTTTCAGAAATGTCTATTCAGATCTTTTGCTCATTTTTAAGTAATATTATTAGATTTTTTTCCTATAGAATTGTTTGAGCTTCTTATATATTCTAGTTCCTTGTCAGATGGATAGTTTGCAAATATTTTCTCCCATTTTGTGGGTTGTCTCTTCACTTTGTTGATTGTTTCCTTTACTGTGCATAAGCTTTTTAACTTGATGTGCCCAATGTTTTCTTGTAGTAGTTTCATAGTTTGAGGTCTTAGGTTTAAGTCTTTAATCCATTTTAATCTATTTTGATTTGATTTTTGTATATGGTAAGAGATAGGGGTCTAGTTTCATTCTTCTGTATATGAATATCCAGTTTTTCCAGCACCACATATTGAAGAGACTGTCCTTTGCCCAATGTATGTTCTTGGCACCTTTGTTAAGCACTCATTTCTTTCTTTCTTTCTCTCTTTCTTTTTTCTTTCTTTCTTTTCTTTTCTTTTCTTTCTTTCTTTCTTTCTTTCTTTCTTTCTTTCTTTCTTTCTTTCTTTCTTTCTTTCCTTTCTTTCCTTCTTTCTTTCCTTTCTTTCTTTTTTTTTTTTTTTGAGACGGAGTCTTGCTCTTGTTGCCCAGGCTGAAGTGCAATGGCATGATCTCAGCTCACCACAACCTCCACCTCCCGAGTTCAAGCGATTCTCCTGCTTCAGCCCCCCGAGTAGCTGGGATTACAGATATGTGCCACCACACCTGGCTAATTTTGTATTTTTAGTAGAGACTGGGTTTCTCCATGTTGGTCAGGCTGGTCTCAAACTCCCGACCTCAGGTGATCTGCTGCCTCGGCCTCCCAAAGTGCTGGGATTACAGGTGTGAGCCACTGCGCCCAGCCTTAAGCGCTCATATCTGTTGGTTATATACCTAGGAGTGGAATTGCTAGCTCATAGAACAGGCATAGATTTAACTTTAGGAGACACTAGCAAATGGTTTTCAAAGGGCTTGGATCAATTTACACCCAACCAATAATATATGCGAGTTCCCATTGCTCTATGTCCTCAGGATAGAGGCTTTGAATCCTCTCATTTTTCCCATTTTGCAAATCAGGAAACTGAGGCTTCGGGATGCTAAATAATCCACTCTGGTTGACATAGCTAGTGAGGAGTGACTCTCCAGTGGAATCCAGATATTACTGCAAATTCAATGCTGCCTGTCACACCACGTTTCATATGAGGATAGT
The DNA here is from genome assembly GCF_000001405.40 of Homo sapiens. Lineage (NCBI taxonomy): Eukaryota > Metazoa > Chordata > Mammalia > Primates > Hominidae > Homo > Homo sapiens. The sequence continues at coordinate 25,517,757 of NC_000004.12, forward strand.
AAGCAAATGGTATACATCATGTGTATCGATGGAATTCTGAGAAAGATGAGATCAATGTTAGGCTTTGTCGAAGAGTTGGAACTTGAACTTGGTTTTAAAGGCTGTGTAGAACACAGAGAAGGCTGAGAGCTCTCTGGGCAGAAGGGAAGACTTGGCTAACAGCAGGGATAGGAGAAGTCTATTGGGGTTGAGGGTGATGTGAGGTTGCCTCTCTCATTTGAGAACTGCTGATCTGGTTGGTATCTCTATCTCAATGTCATCCTTGGGTTCCTTGACCAAAGGACCATAGTCGCTGCAGTAGTCCTAACCTCCTGAAGTCTCCATTCTTTGCTCACTTTCTCTTGTTGGAGAGAAAGTAGAAGCATAGTTTAGCCCACATAATCTGACTTCCCTTTTTATTTTGAGCTATAGTTTGGGCTGCTGCAGCAAAAACACCATGGACTGGATGGTTTCAGCAACAGACATTTCCTCACAGTTCTGAAGACTGAAAAGTCCAAGATCAAGGTGCCAACTGATGGGGTTCCTGGAGAGGTTTCTCTTCTTAGTTTGTGGAAAGACACCTTGCTGTATCCTAACATGGCAGAGAGAGAGAGAGAGAGAGAGAGAGAGAGAGAATGCACTAGTCCCTTCGTCCCCTTACAAAGGCACTAATTCCATCATGAGGGCGCTAACCCTCTTCCCTCACCTGACATTAATTACCTCCCAAAGGCCTCAGCTCCAAATACGATCACAGTGGGGACTAGGGCTTTAACATACAAATTTGCAGGGGACACACACCTGCAGTCCATAGCACTCACTCTCTTCTATCTGTTGAGTGAAATACTATTTTATTCACCTTTATTCTCTGTATTTCAGGTGAGCAAGTCTAGTCTTTCCAATAAGACTATAATCCCCCTGAGGGCAGGGGCAGGATTGTGCCCCTTGTGTGTAACTGACAGTCCCTAGAGCTTTTCTGGGATATGTAGGGCATAGAGACTCAATGTTCACTTGTGCTGCTTATGGATTGATGAAGTCACTCCTGCCTTTAGCTTACCCATAGGTCTGATTCCTTTCCTTACAAGTCTTCTGTTATTGCAAGCATGTGGCCTTTCAAGTCCCTGCAATGAAAAATTTGTCAGCTGTTTAGACTCCTGTGATGAATTAATCTAGGTATAATGAAATGTTCCTTTTCTTCATTATTATTTCTCACAGTTTGGTATAGCTGGGAAAACTCAGAAAACTAATTCTAATTAATTATAAGCTGGAAATCATGTCTGAGAGAAGGATAAAAATGGCATGTAATTTCCTCTCCACTCCTAATTCCTAAATTCTATGTGCATGATTACCATCGCCCTTGTTTCTAGCACAGAACTTCCCTTTAAAATTGATCACAGCTTGACTTCTTTCTTTTCTCCTCCTTGTGTAGTTGTGGCTTCTATATTTTATCATTAAAGCTCTTTTCAAAACTGCTATGCGCTGCTTCTTTGAGCTCTTCTGCTCTCATTGTTCCGCAGCATCTCTTGGAATCAATTTCCTCTTGTTTCTTCCTAGTTGCACTATTTCACCTGACTCCTATTGGCACACGGATTCATTTCACCTGGCCAAAGTCAATTTCACTCATACACACACCCCTTTCAACTCTCTTCTTGCCAAATTTTCTGATTCCAAACCTACCGGTGGTGCCCTTTCTTTTCTCTGTGGCTTTTGTTTTTTTTTTTTGTTTTTTTTTTTTTGCATGGGCTCAGACTCTGGCATTAAAAAAGTTACTAGACTTTATTTATGTAGTACAGTATTAGATTTACAGAATAATTGAGCAGATAGTACAGAGTTCAACATGCCCTCCCCACCTCCCCTGCAGCTCCTAACCGTTTCTTCCATTATTAACATCTTCCATTAATGTGGTACATTTGTTACACTTAATGAACCAATACTGATACATGAATAACTACAGCTCATAGTTTACACGAGGTTCACTCTTTATGTTGCATGGCTCTGTGGGTCTTGACAAATGCAATATGACATGTATCTGTCACTACTGTGTCATACAGAATGGTTTTACCTCCCTAAAAACCCCTCAGACCACAGCTCTTAAGAGGCTTTTTTTTTCTTCCTGGCACTTCATCTCCATCTGACAATACAATTTAGTTTTTGTTTGTTTCTTTATTGTCTATCTTCCCCATATCTCAACCTTTTCTAGACTGTAAGCTCCATGAAAGTGAAGACCTTTTAAAACAAATCTATTTTGTTCATTGTTGTATCCCCAGCTCCTAGAACACTCAAATTTAGTGAATGAATGAATGCATGAATGAATCGATAATGATTTAATGCCCATTTAGAGCTCGAGTGAATTGATCATTGATCCTTGTGCCCTCTTAGTTGTTGAAGAAGGCATCGTTGCACAATGTCTTAGTGTATATGAAAACATTTCTGCCAGCCTGGCCAACATTGTGAAACCTCATCTCTACTAAAAATACAAAAATTAGCCAGTTGTGGGTGGTGTGCACCTGTAGTCCCAGCTACTTGGGAGGCTGAGGCACGAGAATTGCTTAAACCCAGGAAGCACAGGTTGCAGTGAACCAAGATTGCGCCACCACACTTCAGCCTGGGCGACAGAGCAAGACTCCATCTCAAGAAAAGAAAAGAAAAGAAAAGAAAAGAGAGGAGAGGAGAGGAGAGGAGAGGAGAGGAGAGGAGAGGAGAGGAGAGGAGAGGAGAGGAGAGGAGAAGAAAAGAAAAGAAAAGAAACGAAAACAAAAAAAAACATTCCTGCATCCCTACCTATCTGAAAATGGTCAGCTGGCCCTGATGGAGCCAGAAGGCCCTGCTGCAGCTAGAGCCATGTCATTTGAGGGGTCTGGCAGCTCTGGGGAGATGTCCAGCAGACTCATGTGATATTTGTCCAGAGCTTTATCCTCTAGACTACTGTTTCTCAAACTTTAAAAAATTATCATTCCCCTGAGGACCCTTATTGTTTTTCCTGAATACCCACCCCCCTTATGAAATTTTAACACCACAGATGATACACCTTCAATCTGCTTATGGACCGTACGCCTATCTGTGCTTTCTATATAAAAAGAGTAAAAGGTTTTTTGCCCCCTTGGAGAGATGTCACCCTCTTTGAGGGGTTGCATACTCCCAATATTCTTCTTGATGACTTAAAGAGTGTGATACCCTACCTTGTTTTAACCTGAGTGACTCTCTCCTAGCAGAGAGAGAGCCGGACAGACTCCATTTTAGTTTCTTCGCCTGCAGCCCCCTTTCACCTCCCTCCCTTAAGGCATAACTAGTGTAAACTGACTCAAAGCACGTCCAGGAATGCACCTACTGATAAGATATTGAGGCAAACTGCACCAGCAGCTCCTGGGGATGCGCGCGGTGGATGGCACCCAAAACCCCTGCATTTATCTCTTTGTGATAGTTTAAGCCCCTGCACCTGGAACTGTTTATTTTTTTGTAACTGCATTTGTAACCAATTAATTTTTTTAACTTTTTGCCAGTTCTGCTTCTGTAAAAATTGCTTCAGCTAAAATCCCCACTCCCCTATTTAGACCACAGTATAGAAACAAAACTAGTCCCTTCCTCGGGGCTGAGAATTTTGAGCGTTAGCTGCCTCTCGGTCGCCGGCTAATGAAGGACTCTCTAATCTGTCTCAAAGTGTGGTATTTCTCTGTAACTCGCTTGGTCACAACAAGAGGAGGGCAGGAAAGGTATACTGATTTGACCCTCAGATGAAACAACATTGAGAGGGATGGGGGACATAACAGATGATGAAATGCAGATTCAAAACTCTTTGGGGCTGGTTGCGGTGGCTCACACCTATAATTCCAGCACTCTGGGAGGCCGAGGCAGGTGAATCACCTGAGGTCAAGAGTTTGAGACCAGCCTGGCCAACATGGTGAAACCCGGTCTCTACAAAAAATACAATAAATTAGCTGGGCATGGTGGCAGGCTCCTGTAATCCCAGCTACTTGGGAAGCTGAGGCAGGAGAATCGCTTGAACCCAGGAGATAGAGGATCTGGGTAGCCAAGATCATGCCATTGCATTCCAGCCTGGGCAACAGAGCGAGACTCTGTCTCAACTAAAAAACAAAAACAATAACAAAACAAAACAAAACAAAAACTCTTTGGGATCATTAGATTCTATTTTAACCAATCAATTTTAAATGTAAACTCTTTCTTTTTCTTTTTTTTTTTTTTTTGAAACAAGGTCTCGCTCTGCTGCCCAGGCTGGAGTGCAGTGGCGCAATCTTGGCTCACTGCAACCTCTGCCTCCTGGGTTCAAGTGATTCTCCTGCCTCAGCCTCCTGCATGGCTGGGATTACAGGCACAGCCACCACACCCAGCTAATTTTTGTATTTTTAGTAGAGATGGGGTTTCGCCATGTTGGCCAGGCTGGTCTCAAACTCCTGGCCTCAAGTGATCTGCCCGCCTCGGCCTCCCAAAGTGCTGGGATTACAGGCGTGAGCCACTGCACCTAGCCTTAAATGTAAACTCTTGTACCCAAGTTCAAAAATTCAGCTGCATGGGTAGGCTGGGGAAACCAGCCTGATTGCCTGCATTAATTGAACAAAAGTTTTTCTTTCTTGGGAAGTGGTAGATTCCTCATGTTGCCTGGTGGATGGGCTGCCTATGGAGAAACCTGTTGTGCCCTGGGACTGGCATTTAAAAGGAGATCCTCTAGAAGTCTGAACATAAGAAAGATCTCTCCAGAAACGGAATGGGGAGACTAACAGGAGACATAATAGCTGTGTCCAGGTGTCCCAAGTACTGAGGTTTGGAGCAGGAAGGCGACTTCTTTGGCATAATTCATGAGGCATGCTATGGGTCAAATTGTGTACCCCAACAAGATGTTGAAGTCCTGGGCTAGGTGCAGTGGCTCATGCCTGTAATCCCAGCACTTTGGGAGCCTGAGGCAGGTGGATCACTTGAGGTCAGACCAGCCTACCCAACATGGTGAAGCACTGTCTCTACCAAAAATACAAAAAATTAGCCGGGTGTGGTGGCTCATGCCTGTGGTCCCAGCTACTCAGGAGACCGAGGTGGAGGATTGCTTGAGCCCAGAAGTCAGAGGTTGCAGTGAATCAAGATCATGCCACTGCACTCCAGCCTGGGTAACAGAATGAAACCCTGTCTCAAGAAAAAAAAAAAAAAAGAAAGATATTGAAGTCCTAACTCCCCACTGCCTGTAAATGTGATCTAATTTGAAATAGGGTCTTGCCGATGATTAAGATGAGGTCACTAAAGGGGGTCCTAATCTAATATGACTAGTGCCCTCATAAAGGGGGGAAATTCAGATACTGGGACAGATAAGACAGTCAAGATAGAGGGAAGATGCTACGAAGCCACAGGGAAAAGGAATGTCATCTACAAAGAGTGTCTGAGGTTACCAGAAACTGGGAGAAAGGCCTGGAACAGATTCTCCTTCACAGTCTTCAGAAGGAACCAACCCTGCTAACACCTTGATTTTGAACTTTTTAGCCTCCAGAACTGAGACGATGCATTTGTGTTGTTTAAGCCACCCAGTTGGTTGTCCTTTGTCATAGCAGTCCTAGCAAACGAATATAGGATCTAAGCAGTGTCAAAAGGTGAAGGTTTCAAGGAAGCAGCTTTTAGTTTAATAAAGGCTAGGAGTGGGGTGGGCACAAGAGGATAGGGGAGGAATCCACAGCAGCTGGCTGCTTACAGTGTGCTCATGCTTTCATCCTCAGCAAGGGCCCCACAGACGGGGATACTGACACCTCCATTTCACTCATTAGGAAAGGAAGTCTCAGAGAGAAAGCAGCTTGCTCAAGGTCACACCACTAGTAAATGTCAGAGTCAGCCTTCCAATCGATACTGGTCCCAGTCCAAAGGAATGATTACTCACCCTTCTCAATGAAATTGGACAAGGTCCCAGTCATCTCACTATCTTGTGGATTCTGCTTTGCTCCAGCAGGAGCACCCTGACCTGCAGTTGTACTAAGCGCTTAAGACTGTGGGGTGGACTGGGCACAGTAGCTCACACTTATAATCCCAGCACTTTGGGGGGCTAAGGTGGCCGGATCACTTGAGGTCAGGAGTTTGAGACCAGCCTATTCACCAACATGGTGAAACCCCGTCTGTACTAAAAATACAAAAATTAGCCGGGTGTGGTGGCGCACCTCTTGAAACTCCAGCTACTTACTTGGGAGGCTGAGGTGGGAGGATCGCTTGAACCCAGGAGGCAGAGGTTGCAGTGAACTGAGATCGCACCACTGTACTTCAGCGTGGGTGACAGAGTGAGGCTCTGTCTCAAAACAAAACAAAACAACAAGACTATGGGGCGGACCAGGCACGGTGGCTGATACCTGTAATCCTAGCACTTTGGGAGGCCAAGGCAGGCAGACTGCTTGAGCCCAGGAGTTTGAGACCAGCCTGGGCGACATAGTGAGACCTCAAAAAAAAAAAAAACAACAAAAATGAGGTGGGAGGACGGCTTGAGCCCAGGAGGTCGAGGCTGTAGTGAGCCGTGATTGCACCACTGCACCCCAGCCTGGGTGACAGAATGAGACCCTGCCTCAAAATAATAAGAATAATAAAAAAGACTGTGGAGCATGGTAGTTTAGATTATGGCTTGGGATCCTGACTGCCTGAGTTTGAAGCTTGCTCTGCTTCTCGCACACTTTCTGCCTTTGAACAAAGTGGCTCAACCTGTCTGTGCCTCCGTCTCCTTCACCCTAAAATGAGGATTATGAGGACAGCATTCACCCCATGGAGTTCTCCTGTGCATTAAATACATTCTCTCAGGTAAAGTATTTACAAGAGCACTAGCTGTTACTATTATTTCTTTTGAGGGCATCTCACACACTTCAGCTGGCTCCTGACTTGAGCTCAGCTCACAGGACTGTATTTCCCACATTTAACAATAATGAAGACAAACTGGAGGCCTGGAGAAAAATGCAAAAAATCTTATTAGAAGGAAAGGGCACTTGAAGAGTCAGGATTCACATAAAAAGAAATAGCTCTTGTTTATTTTCTCCCTGGGGAAGATTTTGTCTTGGGCTTTCAGGAGGAACCTATGGTAATTTACAGCCCTAGTTGCTGGTAAATCCTTAAAGGACTATTGTCTTCAGTCAGCTGGTTTCCAGAAGATACAAATAAAGAAAACATCCCCAGGATGATAGAGCCCTGTGTGCCTTTTATTTGCGTTGCTTCTTTGGCTCTGTGGCAGGCAGGCCTGAGTCAGTAGGCAATATTTAATTTGATATAAGCACCCGGAAGGACCTTAACATTTACAGAGAGAATTATTCCAAATGGTCTTAGCAGGAGGAACACTGAAACAGTGATGACTGAAACTTTTTCTTTTTTTTCCCAGAGGCTCAGGAAGCAGCAGCTGTAATTCTGAAGCTCACCCTTGGCCATGGTGTTTTGTTTGTTTGTTTGTTTGTTTATTTGTTTGTTTTGAGTCTCTGGCTTTGTCACCCAGGCTGGAGGGCAGTGGCGCGATCTCGGCTCACAGCAACCTTTGCCTCCTGGGTTCAAGTGATTCTCGTGCCTCAGCCTCCGAGTAGCTGGGATTATAGGTGCCTGCCACCACACCCAGCTAATTTTTTGTATTTTCAGTAGAGTTTGGGTTTCACCATGTTGGCCAGAGAGCTGGTCTGGAATTCCTGACCTCAAATGATCTGCCCGCCTCGGCCTCCCAAAGCGCTGGGATTACAGGGGTGAGCCACCGCGCCCAGCAGGCCATGGTGTTTTCTCTCATTTTCAATGGGCCTGGGAATCTGCTCGCCAACCCTCATATGGCCATCCCTCTCTCCTCCTCAGCTCCAGCCCAAACAGCCTTCTCTGAGCTCCTTCAACACACAGTGTCCACATTACCCGGCGAACACTCAGCCTTGTGTGATAGTGGAGTCAGGAAGACCTGGGTTTCACTAAGGATGAGCTACAGAAGCTGTGCCCCAGTTTTGTCATCTAAAAAAGAGAACAGTGCCGGGCGTGATGGCTCACGCCTGTAATCCCAGCACTTTGGGAGGCCAAGGAGGGCAGATCACTTGAGTTTAGGAGTTGGAGACCAGCCTGGCCAACATGGTGAAATCCCATCTCTACCAAAAATTACAAAAATTAGCCGAGTGTGATGACAGGCGCCTGTAATCCCAGCTACTCAGTGAGCTGCACGCCAGCCTGGGCAACAGAGCGACACTTCGTCTCAAATAAATACATAAATAAGAGAACAGTAAGATCAGATGGTTTTGCCCTATCAACTTGCCCCTCCTCTTTAAGGGAGGATGACTTTGGAAAGGGACCCGGGAGGCCTATGGTCAGAAGACTGCCCTATGGCCAGAAGACTGCCCTGGAGGTGTGGGGTATGCCAGGAGCCCTTCCTGCCTGCGGGCAGCCTGCTGAGTGCAATGTGTTTTGGAGACCAATGCAGGTAGTGAAATAAGCACTGGTGGGAAAAGGGAAAGATCCGGGCATCTACTGTGTCATTTTGGGCTACTGGCATACTCAACTATAAAATAGGTGAGTTGGACAAGGTCGATTTTTTTTTTTTTTTGCAATAAAACTGTAAACTCGAAATAAAATCCTAAGCCCTCACCAACTGAACGGACCCCCTCTTAGCCAAGAGGACCCTAGAAAAAAATTGTTTTTTCTTTTTCCTTTTCTTTTTTTCTTTTTTTTTTTTTTTTTGAGATGGAGTCTCACTCTGTCACCCAGGCTGGAGTGCAGTGGAGCCCTCTTGGCTCACTGCAACCTCCACCTCCCGGGTTCAAGCGATTCTCCTGCCTCAGCCTCCCAGGTAGCTGGGACTACAGGTGCGTGCCACCATGCCTGGCTAATTTTTTGTATTTTTAGTAGAAACAGGGTTTCACCATGTTAGCCAGGAGGGTCTCGATCTCCTGACCTCATGATCCACCTGCCCCAGCCTCCCAAAGTGCAGGGATTACAGGTGTAAGCCACCGTGCCCGGCTAGAAAAATCTTAAAAACCCAGCCAGGTGCAGTGGCTCATGCCTATAATTCCAGCACTTTGGGAGGCCAAGGTGGTCAGGAGTTCTAGGCCAGCCTGGCCAACACAATGAAACCCTGTCTCTACTAAAAATACAAGTTAGCTGGGCATGATGGCACACACCCTATAGTCCCAGCTACTCGGGAGGCTGAGGCGGGAGGATCGCCTGAACCCGGTAGGTGGAGGTTGCAGTGAGCTGCGATCACACCACTTGCACTCCAGCCTGGGCGAAAGAGCAACACTCTGTCTCAAAAAAAAAAAAAAAAAAAAAAAAAGAATTAAAAAATCTTAAAAAAATCTTAAAAACTTAATTCCCAGTCATGACAGGAAGGCAGGTCAAAGAAGCCTTTGTTACATCCCCTCCCTTTTGGAGTGTAGGCACTTAATCAACATTATGTTAAAATAGAGATCATTATGATTAACAAAACAGACTATGATGACAAAATACTAAATTATAAACAGGACCTAAGGCCATGCCAGACAAGAGTGAAGTCATACACTCTTACCATGCCTACAGGTCATTCTGACACAGTGTATTAGGCAAGAGACTTCTTTATCTTAACTTAAAACATTCCTTTCTACAGACTCCATATTTTTAGACAAAGTTTCAACCAATCGCACATTAAAGAATTTCTAGGCTAGGTGTGGTGGTTCATGTCTGTAATCCCAGCACTTTGGGAGGCCAAGGCAGGAGGATCATTTAATCTCAGGAGTTTGAGACCAGCCTGGGCAACAACGACACCTTGCCTCTATTAAAAAAACAAACAAACAAACAAACAAAACTCCTATAACCTGTAAGTCCCAAGATATTTTGACTTTTTGGGCCAAACCAGTGTATAACCCCCATGTGTTTTTTTTTTTTTTCTTTTCTCTTTCATTTTTTGAGATAGGGTCTTGCTCTGTTGCCCAGGCTGGAGTGCAGTGATGTGATCATGGCTTACTGCAGTCTCTACCTTCTGGGCTCAAGCAATCCTCCTGCCTCAGCCTCTTGAGCACCTGGAACTATAGATGCATGTCACCACACCTGACTATTTTTGAATTTTTTGTAGAGGCAGGTCTTACTACGTTGCCCAGGCTGGTCTCAAACTCCTGGGCTCGAGTCATCCTGCTGCCTCGGCCTCCCAAAGTGTTGGGATCACAGGCGTGAGCCACTGTACCCGACCTAATTTCTATGTATTGATTTTTTATGACTTTTTCTATAACTTAAACTTCCCTAAAATGTGTAAAACAGAATTGTGTCCTAACCGCCTCAGGACCCCTCATTCGAGGCTTCTTGGGTTTGTGTTTTCCCAGGCTTTGGTCACTCCTATTGGCTCAGAGCAAACCTCTTTAAAATATTTTACAGAAGGCCGGGCGCGGTGGCTCCTGCCTGTAATCCCAGCACTTTGGGAGGCCGAGGCGGGCGGATCACGAGGTCAGGAGATGGAGACCATCCTGGCTAACACAGTGAAACCCCCTCTCTACTAAAAATACAAAAAATTAGCTGGGTGTGGTGGCGGGCACCTGTAGTCCCAGCTACTCGGAGGCTGAGGCAGGAGAATGGCCTGAACCCGGGAGGCAGAGCTTGCGGTGAGCCGAGATCGCGCCACTGCACTGCAGCCTGGGCGACAGAGCGAGACTCCGTCTAAAAAACAAACAAACAAACAAACAAATATATATATATATTTTGGTTTTTCCATTAACAGAGCTCTTTCTTCAAACAAAATCTCTCACACAAGCCCAGAATGGAAAATCTTGCACTCAAGCTCAGATAGTAGCAGAGTTTCGTTTCTAGACTTGGGGGAGGGGAATCTGGAACCGCCCTTCCCACTCCCCATGCTTTCCAGGAATCTAGGAAATCCACAGAGCACAGCTGAAAAACAACTGAAATCCGGCCGGGCGCGATGGCTCGCGCCTGTAATCTCAGCACTTACGGAGGCCGAGGTGGGAGGTTCACCTGAAGTCAGGAGTTGGAGACCAACCTGGCCAACATGGCGAAACCCTGTCTCTACTAAAAATACAAAAATTAGCCATGTGTGGTGGTGCATGCCTGTAACTCCAGCTACTCGGGAGGCTGAGGCTGGAGAATCGCTTGAACCCCAGAGGCGGAGGTTGCAGTGAGCCGAGATTGTTCCACTGCACTCCAGCCTGGGTGACAGAGCAAGACTCCGTCTCAATAAATAAATGGATAAACAAAATATATTTATTGAATGTATTTATTGAGATTATTATCTCAATAAATAAATAAATAAATAAGTCTGATGGCTGCTTAGTTTCCTTCCAGGTGGAAAAGTTGTGTCTCTTATCTCAAGGGCTTTAGCAAAGACCCCCATCTTTGTGCTTATCTATCTTCCACTAGTACCAGAAATTTTACCACTAGCAGATTATCTTTCTGTGTTGCCTTTCCTTCATCCTGCTGTAAGCACGGTCACTAGGAAAGGCAATCTTAAGCACTAACACTTCAGGGTGAATTCGTACATTTCATAGCCCTGTTTTGGGCCCCACGATATTCATCCACAGCACCCACTCTGCGCCAGTGCCCTGCTGGACCTGTGGATACTATGGTTAATGAAGGTCTCATGTCCCCCATCAAATGACAGTTGAGAAAGGGATCGCCAAGCAGAAACTCTCAGTGATGTGTCTGTGTCCCCAGGCTTACAGGTATGATTAGAAAGAGGTCAGCTCAGGGACTCCGGAATGGGGAGGATTTCTTGATAATGGATGGCTTCCGGGAAGAAGAGACTCTTGAGTCTTAATGTGTCAAATGTGTCAGTAGGAATTAGCCAGATGAAGAAGGAGAGGGAGAAAGTAGTTCCAGGCCGAGGGACCATCTTATGTAAAGACTGAGAGATCAAGGGCCCTAAAAATCCAGAGTCCTTGAATTGGGTCCAGGGGCAACATTTCTGAATTGAAAGCATAACCTCTTTTTCTAGGGGTGGGAGAAGGATGAGGATGGAGATGATAAAGGAGACTTTGTTATTATTTTTCTTGGTGAGTTTATCACATTTTTAAAAAAGCAATGCATGCGTGTATATATACGTTTGTCTCTTCCAAACCCTTTAATAATCCCATGAGCCTTCCCATTTGACAGACAAGGAACACTTAGGACCTGTGAGTAAGCTGGTCAGGGTCTCAGGCAGATATATGTAACTCCAGAACCTGTTTGCACTGTAGCATTCTGATTTATTTCTGCTGTCTCATGAGGAAACAGGGAAAATAAGAGCAAGGAGAAAAGAAAGAGAGGAGAGAAGAAGGGAGGGGAAGGGAGGGGAGGAAAGGGAAGGAGAGGGGAGGAGAGGAGAGAGGAGACAGCGTCCAAAAGAGAAGAGGTTGCATGCAGGTTTGGAGGAAGGCTAAGGGGATATGGAACTTTTACCCCGCTAGGATCCAACTGGGCTCTGCCCTGTCCTCCCTTGAGCCCTAGCCCCAGCTCCAGGAGTAGATCCCTGCAATCTTCCCTCAGCACACTGCATAGCCCTGCCACCATCTGCACCCGGAGACTGGCTCTGGTTTGCTTTCCCAGATTTTGTTGGCACTCAACAAATACCATTGCTGAGATGGAGCAGTCATGGTGGCATGGGGCTTTGGTGGAGGCCATGGTCATAGCTCCAAGGGCATGATCTTAGATACTGGAGCAGCACTTTTTGGCACCATGCTCATTGGACAGTGCACCAGCTAAATGGGTGGGTCTGGAGACCAAGTTCTCTTATCTATTTCACGAGGACCCTCCCTTTTGACAGCTCCTCTCTGCATGTCAGTCTTCTCACCCATAAAACCAAGGGCTCTGTGATCCTAAAGCAAATCCAAGGTCTGGCTTACTGATTCCATCAATCATCCCAAACTAATTAGGAGGTGATTTCAGAGTGGATTTCATGGTGCCCGGGTCCTGCTGCAGATTTATTTGTGTGCAAGGAGAATCAGATGCTCAGACAGGGTGGGCTTAGGCTAATTAATTTCCAGGGGCAATGGGGCTACATATTTAGACTTCGATATTTTCCTTGTGGGCATGGGACTCAACTGGTGAGTTCAGCGATAATGCGCTGTGATGTGTTCTGTTTGAGCTTCCACTTCCCTCATGGAACAGAGGGCCTCCCTTGGCACAGTCAACCAAACTGCACCCAAAACTGCCATTCGGGTCTCTTCCTTTGGGTCTTTTACAGTCACTTATGTCTACTGCCCCTTTGTTTAACTTCAGATCAGACAAGTCCTGCAATACACCTGCCATGTAGGTAAGGGTAGGAATGCAGGTGACTGAGCCCAAGTGTTTGAACCTTCATCTATCTTTCACAGATATAAGTCAGAAGACCCAGAAGTGGGGGCCACACCATGTTATCCACTGCAAATTAATTAACAACTTAATAGCTTATTTGATTATTTATTGTGGGAAGGGTGTAGTGATTAACATAGGCATGGGAGGCAGGTTTCCTGGGTTGAAATCTTGATTTTGCCATCTCCCTTGCTGTGTGATCTGGAGTCAGGCCCTTAACCTCAGTTGTCTTAATCTGAAAAATGGAATCATAAAATCCTCTCACATTTTAAGGAGATTGAGTTAACTCATACAAAGCACTCAGAACAGTTCTCAATAAAACGCATTAGCATTAGCCATCATTATTATCTGCACTGAGGGGGACTATTGGCCAGTTATAAAGTTTAAGCCAATGCAGGTCCTGTCCTCCAAGCTCATGGTCTAGTCACAGGAAATAGTTACAAAGGACTCTTTCTCCTTCCAGGGTCCCTTGTAAATCAGCTGCCCCATGAAGATGGAACATGAAATTTTGTGGGGATGCCAGACCTCCCACCTTCCTACAGAGGGAGCTCTTTTCAGGGTAACTGTTTTGAAAATTTTTTAAAATTTATTTTAGCCTGCTACAGTGGCTCATGCCTGTAATCTCAGCACTTTGGGAGGCCAAGGCAGGAGGATCACTTGAGCTGAGGAGTTGGGGGACCAGCCTGGACAATATAGCAAGACCCCATGTTTTAAAAAGATTATTTTAAAAATTGAGGTATCACCCAGAGAAAGTGCATACAGATGTTTATACCCATGGAATCACCACCATGATCAAAATGTAGAATAATATTACCATCACTCTGTAAGGTTCCTGCTGCCTCATCCTGGGAAGGATCCCCCAGCACCACCCCAGGTAATCTCCTTTCTGCCTACTAACCTCCATATGTGAGTTTCATACAAACGTAATCATAGCAGTGGTGTACTGATACATGTCTGACAACCAGCTCTCAAAACAAAAAGAAGCAGCAGAAGAAGAAGAACAGGAAGAAAGAAAATAAGAAGAAGAAAAGGAGGAAGAAGAAAAAGGAGAAGAAGAAGAAGGAAGAAGAGGAGGAGGAGGAGGAGGAGGAGGAAGAGGAAGAGGAGGAGCCCTGATCCGTACCTTTGTCAATTTTTCTTTTTTTTTTTTTTTGAGACGGAGTCTTGCTCTGTCGCCCAGGCTGGAGTGCAGTGGCACGATCTCGGCTCACTGCAAACTCCGCCTCCCGGGTTCACGCCATTCTCCTGCCTCAGCCTCCTGAGTAGCTGGGCCCACAGGCGCCCGCCACCATGCCCAGCTAATTTTTTGTATTTTTAGTAGAGACCGGGTTTCACCGTGTTAGCCAGGATGGCCTCGATCTCCTGACCTCATGATCCCCCCACCTTGGCGTCCCAAAGTGCTGGGATTACAGGCGTGAGCCACAGCGCCCGGCCCTCCTTTGTCAATTTTTCTAGCAATTGCCACTGCTGATTTGAAGCAATCAAGGTGTGATTATTGAACATGGTATTGGAAATATATGTACAGTACAACACAATTATATATATTTTTCCACCAAATAGAATAGATGCAAATAATCTCAATTGCATAGACAAGAGTAAAAATGTGGTAAAATTATTAGGAAGTGAAGAGGTTTGAGTTTACTACCTTTATATGCAATTTATTTAGTTGTAAGTTTATAATTTAATTTTAAATAAAGCATGTATTTAATGATTGGATTGCAAAATTCCTAAAAATGTATGTAATAATTTGTTCTCATGAGCTAGTATGAGCTGTCTTTATCACACTCCTGAATCATGCACACTGTGTATTATTCTCTTGTGTGGGCTTATTTCACTCAACACTCTGTGTGATTCATTCCTGTCATTCTTTTTTTGAGTCAGAATCTTGCTCGGTTGCCCAGGCTGGAGTGCAGTAGCATAATCGAGGCTCGCTACAGCCTCAACTTCCTGGGCTCAGGTGAACCTCACACCTCAGCCTCCCAACTAGCAGGGACCGCAGTTGCCTGCCATCATGTTGGGCTAATTTTTATATTTTTTGTAGAGATGGGGTTTCACCATGTTGCCCAGGCTGGTCTCGAACTCCTGGCCTTAATCAATCCTCTGGCCTCAGCCTCCCAAGGTGCTGAAATTACAGGCATGAGCCACTGCCCGGCCCATTCTTGTCATTCTGTGTAACAGTCATTTGTTCTTTTGTTGTTCTTGTTGTTGTTGTGTGGTGTTCTATTGTATGGACAGACCACAATATTCATTCTCCTCTTGATGGCCATTGGGCTGCTTCCTGGTTTTGGCTACTAATTACTTTCAATTTTAAAGCTGCTTATAATCATTCATGTACACATATTTTTGTAGATATATGTGTTTATATCTCTTGAATTTATACCTAGAAGTGGATTTGCCAGGTGTTGGACAGGCATTTGTTTTCAGTAGATAATGCCAAATGGTTTTACCAATCACCCACTGGACCCTTGCCATCTGCAGTGCTTGACTGTTCCCTGGTTCCACTTCCTTGCTCCTACTTGCGACTGTCAGGCTCTAAAATTTTAGCCATTCTGGTGAATGTGTAGTGATCATCTCAGAACAATTTTAATTTGCATTTCCCTGAAAAGTTGAGTTGTCATTAGGTTTGGACTCAAGTGATCCGCCCTTCTTGGCCTCTCAAAGTGCTTGGATTATAGGCATGAGCCACCACGTCCAGCCCATATTTTCAATCATAAAAACCCTGAATACTAATTAAAGAAAATTTTGGAAACACAAGAAAGTACAGAAAAGAAGAAAAAAATTCTCCACGATCTCATCTCCCAATGTCAATTATTATTAATAATGTCCACACACATTTTTTCCCACTTTACATTATAATAAACCATTCGTAACTCTTTAACATCATGTTTTTTAATGGTTGCATTCCATTTTGTGGATATATCAAAATGTGTTTAACAACGAAATAGTGTAATCTGCTTTCCACTTAATATTTTCCATGGTTTGTGGACATTTAAGATTCATAAATCTTGCACAGATTTTTGTGCCGCAGGAAGGAGATGCCAGAGCTTGCCTACTTATCACTTGTTGAGCACTGAATCTCTGACCATTGACAGGACTGTCTGGCTCACAGTTGTTTATGGGCAAAGAAGTGATTCTGAAAGTAAACAGGGAAAGAAACAAAAGTCCCTGATTAGGCCAGGAGCGGTGGCTCACGCCTATAATCCCAGCACTTTGGGTGGCCGAGGCAAGTGGATCACTTGAGGCCAGGGGTTCAAGACCAGCCTGGCCAACATGGCGAAACCCCATCTCTACTAAAAATACAAAAAATTAGCCGGGCATGGTGGCACACACCTGTAGTCCCAGCTACTCGGGAGGCTGAAGCAGGGAGGCAGAGGTTGCAGAGAGCCACCATTGCACCACTGCACTCCAGCCTGGGCAACAAAACAAGATCCCGTCTCAAAAAAAAAAAAAAAAAAAAAGAATTAGCTGGGAATGGTGGCCTGAGCCTGTAATCCCAGCTACTCCAGAGGCTGTGGCAGGAGAATCGCTTAAACCCAGGAGGTGGAGATTGCAGTGAATAGAGGTACCACACCACTGCACTCCAGCCTGGCGACAGTGTGAGATTCCGTCTCAAAAAAGAAAACAAAAAAAAAAGTCCCTAATAAGACTTAAAATCTCTAAAACATAAGTTTAATTCCTTATTTTTATCATTCACTCAATTATCACTCATTCATTTTATACTATTTACAGCTAGACATATCTGGGCTTTTGACTCAGCTCTGTCACTTACCAGCTGAGGGACTTTATGCCAGTGACTTGTTTCTCTTGGCCTGTTTTACCATCTGTAAAATGGGTAATAATGCCTGTCCGGGTTGTTAAGAGATTAAACTTAAGTGCATGAAGCACCTTTCCCATCTGACCTTTGAATCTCCTCTCTTCTGTTGGTTGAGCAACATGGCAGGCTTGACTGAATTATCCACACAGTGGCCTGTAATTTGGCTTTGTTGATGAGTGGATGAAGACACAGAGAATGCAACTGGTGGAAAACAGAGTGGCTTACGAGCTCAGAACTGGAGCCAGAAGAAGAACACGGGCCTTTGTTCCTTCCAGTGGTCTAACATGTCTCGTTAGGTCTTCTGCCCAGTGGAGTTCAGAAAGCCATGCAAGCACATCTCACTCTTCACCATGTTTTTGTGTGGGAGTGGTCAAACATCATTTCAATTTCAGAGCTGCACTTAGAAAAATGACCATTAAGACTCTTACCTTTTTCCCCTGTAACTTCAGCAATGCTTCTTAAAGAGTTTTCATTTTTGTCTAGTCGCTACTTTCTCATTCCTCCCAGTGCTTTCCTCTGGGTCTAAGAATGAAGGAAGAAGCCCTTTTGAGGTCTCCAGCACTAACCATGTCACCTCAGTGAATTCCATGGGCCATTAGGCAGCCAGTCAGCAGCATGTATGTCCTTGCTATCAGCAGGACATGGAATATGGGGGAGGAGAAGTCATTTCTCTCCTGCTGATTCAACATTCATTAACGTGTTAGCAACAGAGGGGGCATTGTTAACTGCAGCTCCCATCTGAACTACAGACTTCCTAGAAAGATTAATGCTATCTTCAATATGAAACAACAACAACAACAAAATGGTTACAACCAGTCCTTTCAGAAAAGCAGGCAAAGATGTGCTGTTTTACTCCTCCCAGACCCCTTGCTTCTCCTATTTCGACCACATTTGAAAAAGGATTTCTCTGTTTCAACCATGAATAATACTCTATTGTCCAGCACATTGCAGCGACTTAATTTCCTTTGTGCATGGACCTTTTTGACAACCAGTAGGCACTGGAGAAACTAATACCATCCAGGGTCCATCATCTTCTTCCTCTTTTTTTCCTTTTTCGAGATGAAGTTTTGCTCTTTCACCCAGGCTGGAGTGAAGTGGTGCAATCTCAGCTCACTGCAAACTCTGTCACCCCCACCCGCCCCGGTTCAGCGATTCTCCTGCCTCAGCCTCCTGGGATTACAGGTGCCCACCACCGTGCCTAGCTAATTTTCATATTTTTAGTAGAGACAGGGTTTCTCCATGTTGGTCAGGCTGGTCTCCAACTCCTGACCTCAGGTGATCCGCCCACCTCGGCCTCCTATAGTGCTGGGATTACAAGCATGAGCCACTGTGCCAGGACTCCATCATCTTCTTTACAGTGAAGTCCAAATGGTCTCAACTTCCTCACTTCTTTACTTACCTCTTAATCCCCTGCCATTTAGGGTTGGCCCTTGACACTGCCCTGAGCCTGTTCCTGCCAAGATCACAATGTCAATAAACGCTGTGGTCACTCTTCTGCCCTCCTCTTCCCTGACCTCCCTATGGTGTTACCCAACCTTCAGCCACTTTCTGCCTCTTGAAAAGTTCCATTCCTCAGCTTCCTGGTCTGCAAATATTCCTCTTTCCTCTTGCATTTTTGGCACTTCCTTATCACTCTTCCTGGGCTCTTCTTTTCTCTGCCAACTCTTCAGCTCAGATGTTGCCGAACATTTTCTTTTTTTCTTTTTGCAGTGGAACCTTTTTTTTTTTTTAAACAAATGAGATTTTATGTATATTCGAACCCAATATAAAACACAGAAAACCACAGTTGCTATGGTTGAAATCATGGGTGGCACTTTCCCTCCTCTTATCTCCTCTCCCAGAATCCCCAAGAGCTCCTCTCCAGAATCCTGGGCCTCTGAGAAGCCACAGCCTATGTGATGAGGTTCTATGTGGGTCTTTACGCCTCACTCCACTCATGCATCCTGGATGGCCCCAACCCTCCTGGCGTAACAATGACTATCCTTTTCTCCAAATGTGCTGTGTGTGGAGGGGCAATAAACAAATGCTCTTTTCTTTCTTCAATGCTTCTTTCAAGCATTTGAAAAATGAGAGGAGGCAGATGGAGAGCGAAAAATGTCAGCTTTATTGCTGACAAAGCTGCGTAGAGAATGTCTTTACATAATTAGCCTAATGGGTTTGCTATCTTTCCTAGAGTTAACTCTCCCATCAGTCCTGGGCAGAACTGGAATTCCCAGGCATTTATACAGAAGAGATGAGGTTCTCCCAAACTCACCAATCAAAAGTCACTCCTTCTCCCATGGGGAAGAGTGGGCACAGAGACCAGGAACACTAACCTCAGCCAACAACGATGGCTCCACTCCCTGGGGGTGTCTTGTGGTTTGTGAGGCACTGAGGCATTTAGTGTACGGGGAACTGTGATACCAGGCATCCTCAAACACACAGAACAACTCAACACATGAAAGAATTGTCCAGGTGCAGTGGCTCACACCTGTAATCCCAGCACTTTGGGAGGTCGAGGCAGGTGGATCACCTGAGGTCAGGAGTTCAAGAGCAGCCTGGCCAACATAGTGAAACCCCATCTCTACAAAAGTATGAAAATTAGCCAGGCAGGATGGCGGGTGTCTGTAATCCCAGCTACTCAGGAGGCTGAGGCAGGAGAATCACTTGAACCGGGGAGGCAGAGGTTTGAGTTGAGATCGCACCATTGCACTGCAGCCTGGACTACAGAGTGAGACTCTGTCTAAAAAAAAAAAAAAAAAAAAATTCTCCTGAATCTTGCATGACCTTTGAACATCTGATCGGACATTCCATACATAGGTGAATGAGGATATAATTATCTGTATCTAGGCTGGATGCCATGGCTTATGCCTGTAATCCCAGCACCTTGGGAGGATGAGGCAGGGGGATCACCTGAGGTCAGCAGTTCAAGACCAGCCGGGCCAACATGGTGAAACTCCGTCTTTACTAAAAATAAAAATTAGCTGGGTGTGGTGGTGCACGTCTGTAATCCCAGCTACTCAGGAGGCTGAGGCAGGAGAATCACTTGAGCCTGGGAGGCGGAGGTTGCAATGAGCTGAAATCGTGCCACTGCACTCCAGCCTGGGCGACAGATTGAGACTCCGTCCAAAAAATAAATAAATAAGTAAATATATATATGTATATATAAAATCTGTTTCTAGAACATTAATCTATTTTTACATACTGAAAGTACTTTTTGCACAGTTTTTTTTCTTTTCTTTTCTCTTTTTTCTTTTTGAGACAGAATGTTACTCTGTCTCCCGGGCTGGAGTGCAGTGGCGCAATCTTAGCTCACACTGCAACCTCTGCCTCTCGAGTTCAAGTGATTCTGGCACCTCAGCCTCCTGAGTAGCTGGGATCACAGGTGCGAGTCACCAGGCCTGGCTAATTTTTGTATTTTTAGTAGAGATGGGGTTTGGCCATGTTGGCCAGGCTGGTCTCAAACTCCTGACTTCACGCGATCCACCTGCCTCGGCCTCCCAGAATGCTGGGATTACAGGCATGAGCGACCGTGCCCTGCCTTTTACAGTTTTTATACGCACTATATACTGAATTTTCTAGAAAAGCAAATACTACACAAATTGAACGCTGATTATACTTTCATAGATTGAGAACTTACCTGAGGGTTGTTCAATAATTTAGAAAATTATGAAATTTTCTGATGACAACGGCTCCTGTAGTATTTTCACCATTAATGCAATAACACATTCCTGTATTGGTTGGTATCCGTGGCTGTTGCACTTACAGTGAGAACATCTGACTGCTCCTTTGTGGCTTCCGGTAAACTTCCACCCAAATATTGCTCAGATGCATGCAGATCCCTGCAGGCGCCATGGTTCTCTTTCCCCCTGGCCTTTGCACTTCCTGTGCTTCCTGCACTTATCTGAGGAGTGTCCCTGAGTATGAAGGAAGAGTACCTCCTCTAGGTTTCCAGAGTGTTGCTCACTCTGCATCTGAGTCTCTGTCTGTCTGCTGCCTCTGCCACCAGACCTTAAGTTCTGCCAGGGTAAGGACCCATGCACACTGCTGGCTTCTGCATCCCTAGTGCCTGACCCAGGTTCAGGCACACGATAAGCAACCCTTCCCTCGATATATATCTTCGCATCAAGATAAATAGCATCTATTTGAAAAGCTATAAATCTCTGGTCCATCAGGAACTAATGGTGGAATCTTCCCATCAAAGTCAATCGCAGGCAAACTAAAGGTGAAATAAAGGTCTCAGCAAAAAGGAAATTTTTCCTCCCAAGATGATCTTAGGAGGCCTTGTCTTTCATTCTTTAGTGTTTCTGCCAGAAAATCAATTGTTAAATTATTCATTGAGTCAGATCAGGTCATTTTGAAAGTAATCTTCAGAGTGAGTGAATCTTTATCAAAGTTGACACTATTCCTGATATCTGAACAGATTAGTTTTATAATTTAATACTTAATCTGTCCACAAAACACAATGAGAAAAAAATGCTGCAGTAACCTGGGTATTGAAGGACTCGCCTTCTTGATTGTTTTTATTCTCTTTTTACCTTATCAGGTGAATAAAACTTGAAAGTAATAAAAAGAGACTCATAAAACAATGCTCATTTTGATTTACACTTCTAACCCCTTAATTATCAGCAGCTTAACTGTCTCTCCTGATTTCCATCTGACTTCAGGCTGAGCGACAGGGTGCACTCATTGACTCAGAGACACTGGCAGGGGTCATAGAGGTTATCCGTATCTATAAGTCAGACCAGGTGAGTTCAAAGTCACCAAGGTGAAGCTGCATGCATGGGTTCTGCTCTTGACTCCTTAGTTTGTGGCCTTGGAGAGGCACCCCCTCTCAGAACTTCCTTTTCTTTCTTTCTTTTTTTTAAATTTAACAGAAGCAGGGTCTCCCTATGTTGCCCTGGTCTCAAACTCCTGAGCTGGAGGAATTCTCCGGCCCCAGCCTCCTGAATTGTTGGGATTACAAGTGTGAGCCACTGCTCCCAACCTGAACTTCATTTACTTCAGTGGTAAAATAGGGATGAGAGTGTCTACTTTGCAGGGTTGTTGGGAGAATTGAATGAATGATGGATAAATGGCCCGTGAAACCAAGAAAATGCTCAATGAAGGTTAGCTTCTGCTCCAAAGGGATGCACAATCACTGTGCTTTCCTCTCTTCTACTCCTTATGCATTATCTTTGGCCTTAAACCACACGGGAACATCTCATTTCTTCTTTTAATTCAATCCCTCTGTTACAATTTGGGTCTTCCTCAGAAAGTCTGTAAGGTGGTGACTGCATATTTATTCTGGTAGAATTAGGGAGATTTGAGTGTTTAATAAAAACCATGGATGGCCGGGCATGGTCGCTCATACCTGTAACCCCAGCACTTTGGGAGGCCAAGGTGGGAGGGTCGCTTGCATCCATGAGTTTGAGACCAACCTGGGCAACATAGCGCAGACCCCTGTTTCTACAAAAAAATAAAAAATTAACCAGGTGTGGTGGTGTGCCCCTGTAGTCTCAACTACTCGAGAGGCTGAGGTGGGAGGATTGCTTGTGCCGGGAAGGATGAGGCTGCAGTGAGCTGTGATGGCACCACTGCACTCCAGCCTAGGTGACAGAGGAGACCCTGTCTCAAGAAAAAAAAAAAAAAAGAATACTTTAAAAATTAAAAAAGAAAACATAGGTATGGCTCAAAGAGTGAGATTTTCTTCGCTAACACTTCCAGTGACTGGAATTTTGGAAAAAATTCAGCTTCACCTTTTACAAAGACCCCAGTTCTATTTACAAAGAGAACCTGACTCCACCATTCATCAAGCTGCAAAGCACTTAGCATTTTTGGTTGGCTAGGATTCACTTATATATTACCTTGTACCACAGGCCAGGATGACAGCTCTTCCATGTGGATTATCAGCAACATAAGGCCAGGGGCTGTGTCTGTCTACATCACTGTATCTCTTAGGACTGTGCCTGATACCTAGTAGGTGCTCAGAAATATAACTGCCAAATGAATGAATAAATATATCTCACCCATTCATGGAATCATAGTATTGAAACTGACTTGCTACTTAGGAGGATATGATCAATAGTTTTATATCCCCCAAAGCTTTCCGTAGCCCCAGGAATTTTCCATGTGCTAACCTGATGATGGCTGATAAAACTTCTATGTTTTGGGAGTTGTCTACATATAGAACAAAGTTCACTTTGCTTTGCTGTACTTCACAGCTCGGCCTTGATTAGACAGTTAGAGGAGATTCAGGAGATTTTGTGCCAGGGAGAAAGCCAATTAAAGCCCAAATGGAAAGAAATTAATGGCCTGCAGTAATTCTGTGGTCTGAGGGCAAAGTCTCAAATCTCTCCCTACCTAAAGCCAGTGCTGGGTTTTCCAACCTTCTCAATGCTTTTGTAATGCATGTTTGTTGTTGTTGTTGTTAATGTTGAAATTCCTAGTGAAATAATGGCCAGACAACTGTTTATAGCCCTTACTTTAGTAAATGAGAAAATCTGAAAAATGTCCTCCTTTGTGTTAATTTTACCAGATTTATACCTTGGCAAGTCACTGGGTGGAATTGGAACAGTTTGGGAATCAAATATATAGTAACTGGAACAACCCTATCATTATTACCAGTTTTAAATTACTGTGGCTGTTATCAGCTGAAATGCTGTAGGAAAATCTCAATTAATTGGACATGAGCCTTCTAGGAACTGCAAGTAATTTGATAAAACATAAAACGACAGAATAATATCATTTAACCAAGTTCCCGTAGGGGTCTATATCTATGCTGCATGCTCAGGACTCATTTGGTCTACACTTTGCATATTGCTATCACTAATACCTACCTACAGTATTAAAAATGAGAAGTGGCCAGGTGCTGTGGCTCATGGCGAGACCCTGTATCTATTAAAAAAAAAAAAAAAGAAGAAGAAAAAGAAAGGATGAAAGAAAGAAAGAAAGAGAAAGAAAGAAAAGTGGCTAGAGCCACTTTGAAACTAAAATTTTAATTTAATTCAAATGTTAATGTAAATTTAATTTATTAAACATTCCAGCTCTATAATATTTTGAGTCATGAATGCATTTTTATTATGACATAAACATCCAGAAAAGTACAGAGTATGATAAAGTACCAACAGAAATGAACACATTGTTAATTTTTTGATGTCTTTGTTTCAGACATTTTTAAAGAAGTAATGCGTTAAAGATAAAATTGAATGGCTAGGCACTGTGGATCACGCCTGTAATCCCAGCACCTTGGGAGGCTAAGGCAGGGGGATCAACTGGGGTCAGAAGTTCAAGACCAGCCTGGCGCAACATGGTGAAACCCCATCTCTACTAAAAATACAAAAATTAGCTGGGCATGGTGGTAGGTGCCTGTAATCCCAGCTACTCAGGAGGGTGAGGCAGGAGAATTGTTTGAACCTGGGAGGCAGAGGTTGCAGTGAGCCAAGATCGCACTATTGCACTCCAGCCTGGGTGAAAGAGCGAGACTCCGTCTCAAAAAAGAAAAAAAAAGATACAACTGAACCTCTCTTTCCCCATTCCAGAAGCTTCTGTATCCTTCTCATCCATGTCTTTATAGTTTATTTATGAACAACATATAACATTCTTTGAATATTTAAACAAATTGCATTATACTATATATAATTATTAATATATTATTATCTATAGTATATGGCATTATACTATATATAATATAGTAATATATTAGAATATATTACGAATATAATAGTACTAATATAATTATATTATAATATAAAATTTTTTTTTTTTTTAGATGGAGTCTCGCCCTGTCCCCCAGGTTGGAGTGCAGTGGCGCTCTCTCAGCTGACCGCAACCTCCCTCTCCTGGGTTCAAGGGATTGTCCTGCTGCAGCCTCCCAAGTAGCTGGGATTACAGGAGCACACCACCATGCCCGGCTAATTTTTTTGTATTTTCAGTAGAGATGGGGTTTCGCAATGGTGGCCAGGCTGGTCTCAAACTGCTGACCTCAGGTGATCTGCCTGCCTCAGCCTCCCAAACTGCTGGGATTACAGACCTCAGTCACCATGCCCAGCCTATAATATATAATTATGCTATTATTAGTATAATAACAAAATATATTATTATACTAATATAACATATTAGTAATATAATTACCAATAGAATAATATATTACATATAGTATAATGCCACATACTATAGATATTAATATATTATTAATATACTATACTAATATACTATTAATATAAATATATCCTATATTATATATAATATAATGCCATTTGTTTACGTATTCAAAAAAGCTATATATTGCTCATAATAAACTATAAAAACATGAATATATAATATATTATAATATGTAAAATATAATATATAATGTAGCTTATAATTTTTATTATAAAATATAAATATAGAATATATACTATATTATAATATTATGCTATATTATATGTAATACAAGTACATAACATAATAATATATATTATATTCTTAATTATATAATATATAGCATATGTTATATATATAAAATACTACATATATATACAAAACTCTGCAACTTGGCTTTTTTTCAGTTGTTATAATTTCGGGCCCTATATATATATATTTATCAAACCTCCCAGGTTTGATATATAAGAACAAATGTCAGGCTGACACAGTGGCTCGCACCTGTAATCTCAGCACTTTGGGAGGCTGAGGCAGGAGGATTGCTTGAGCCCAGGAGTTCAATACTAGCCTGGGCAACATAATGAAGCCCTGTCTCTACAGTAAATAAAACATTAGCTGGGTGTGGTGGTGCACACCCGTGGTTCCAGCTACTCAGGAGACTGAGGCAGGAGCATCCCTTGAGCCCAGGAGGTCCAGGAGGCAGTGAGCCATGATCCCATAATTATTCCCATCCTGGGTCACAGAGTGACACCTTGTCTCAAACAAACAAACAAAACCCCCAAATTTCATATATAAATAAATTTTATTCACTTTTAACCCCTCTAGACAGTTTCAAATTATAAATATGCCATGATGCATTTATCTAGTGCCCTAAGGCTGATAAATTTGGACTGTTTCTAATTTTTTCCCATTAAAAACAATGCTGTAATGCACATCTTGGCATATTTTTTGGGGGGAATATGCGTGAGAATTTCTCTATAGTCATTCATATTTCTTATGATTCCTGGTATGTTTGGGCTTGTTTTTACTTATTTAGCTTTTTTTTTATAGTTTTTTTTTTTTTTTTGAAACAGGGTCTCACTCTGTTGCCCAGGCTGGAGTGCAGTGGTGTGATCTTGGCTCACTGCAACCTCCCCTTCGGGTTCAAGCAATTCTCCTGCCTCAGCCTCCTGAGTAGCTGGGATTACAGGCATGTGCCACCATGACCGGCTAATTTTTGTATTTTCAGTAGAGTCAGGGTTTCACCATGTTGGCCAGGCTGGTCTCAAACTCCTAGCCTCATGTCATCTGCCTGCCTGGGCCTCCCAAAGTGTTGGGATTACAGGCGTGAGCCACTGCCTATAATGTGTACCATGCTTTTTCTTTGCTTCTTCATCCACTCTTTCCTCTTCCCTTGTTTAGAAGTTAAACATTTGATTTATTTTCATTGGTGGTTAATTATTAGCATGCATGATTGCAGGTTTAGAGCTAATGAAAATCTCTATTATTTCCTCAAACAATACAAGGAACTTTGCATGCTTTTACTCCTAAAACCTCCTCCCATCTTCCGTAATATTGTTGGGCAATATTTTAGTTTCACTTACAAAATAAAAATAAATACTCCCAGTTGCTCTTCATTGTTGTTAGTTATCATAATTTTACAGTGAATATTGTTTAGATTTATCAACTTTTTAATCCATTCCTGACTCATCATTGGCTTTTTGCGTTATACACCTTCCTTATAGGTTTGGTTTCTTACTTGCTGAGATATCATCTTTGTTATTTCTCTTAATAAGGAATTGTTTGCAGTAAAATTCCCTAACCTTTTGTGTCTGAAATATCTCTTTCTGCTCACTCCTGCATAATGATTTGGCATGTATGCCTGATACTACCTCCCTCCTCTTGTCTCTATCGGCCCTGTAGGACTCCTAGTAAATATATGCTGAATCTGTTCCTTCTGTATGAACTGTTTCCTGACTGCTTTCATACTTTTCACCTCTTTATGAGCTGCATTTTGTGTGATTTCCTCAAATCTACCTTTTAGTTTATGAGTTACTTCTTTAGTGTATTGTATAATGTGTTCGTTGAAGTTTTATTTTTAATGACTCTCATTTTATTTCTAGCTCAGTTGAATTTTTTAAAAATTTCACAGTCCCCCCCAATCCTAGTTTTGTGTTTTATTCTTTTATTTTCTTTTGTTTCTTTCTTTCATGCATTTTATTCCTGTGTATTATTGCCTGCTTGAATATATGATTTTAAGGTCTCTTTGAGATGGCTTTATATGTAAGTTCTTGGTTCTAAATTCTGTTGCATTTGCTGTGCATACTAATTTTCTCTTACAGCAGTTATTTACTTCATGAACTTAGTAATTTTTTTTTTACCATGAGTTTATCTTTGCGGGCAGTGATTTTCTGTGAAATGCGTGTGCTTGTTCCAGACCTTATAGATCCAGACCAGTTTTTTTGTTTTGTTTTGTTGGGTTTTTGTTTTGTTTTGTTTTGTTTTTTGTTTTTGAGACAGAGTCTCACTCTTTTGCCCCAGCTGGAATGCAGTGGTGCTGTCACGGCTCACTGCAGCCTGGACCTCTGGGCTCAAGCGATCTTCCTGCCTCTGCCTCCCAAAGTGCTGGGGTTACAAGTGGGAGCCACCCGCCTGACCAGCTTTATGTTTGTTTCTCGGAATGGGTTCTTTTGACTGATTGGTAGCATGGATTAAGACCACAGGTTTGTGTATGATGCAGGTGGATGTTCTGCGTTCTTTCAAGTGATTCTCTTTTTTTTTTTCTTGAGACAGGGTTTCACTGTGTCACCCAGGCTGGAGTGCAGTGGTGTGATCATAGCTCACTGCAGTCTCAACCTCCCAGACTTAAGTGATCCTCCTGCCTCAGCCTCCTGAGTAGCTGGGACAACCAGCATGAACTACCACGCTAGGTTCACTTTTTAAATTTTTAGTGGAGATGTGGTCTTACTATATTGCCCAGGCTGGTCTTGAACAACTGGACTTAAGCAATCCTGCCTCGGCCTCCCGAAGTGTTGGGATTACAGGCATGGGCCACCATGCCCAGCTTGATTCTCGTACTTTCTATGGCCCTGGAAGATGGTCAACTTTCTTGCTGTGTTTCTGGCTAATAAAAGGACTTCTGTTGGCTGTTTCTTGGTGCTCAGATTTATGCTGGGGTGAGGGGGTGGTCAGTTCCAACTCCCCACCTCTCATAGGCTGAGAGGTTCTGAGCATTTGTTAATCATCAGTCTCTGCAGTATTTATCTAGCTCTAATACCCTCATGGACTATTTCTTTTTAGCTCCTGCTCCCTGCCCTGAAGTCTGGGGGATATTCTTTTCTTATTTTCAGAATTGGCCAGGTATTTAAAAACTGGGACAAAGGGTTTAAATTTTATCTAGCATTTCTATGTGATGAAAATGGAAGAGTCTCCCCATCTGCAAAATTAATTAGAAGTTCAGTAATCAGTGATTCCATTTTTTTGTATAGGACATTACTTGCCCCTTTTGAGCCTTGAGATCCTTAACTGTGTTTAGGAGTAATGTTAATATGTACCTAATAGGATTGTTGTGAAGATTAAAGAAAGCAGATAATGGAAATGTTACTTAGAGATCAGCTGGGGTCTTGCTACTCCCTTAATTTTAGATAAAATGTTCTTCAACCCCAGCCTTCATGCAGTGAGTGGGGAGGTGGTAGGGCTTACCTTCTGCTCATCTTGGGTTTGAGTTTCTGCATGTGGTGAATTAATTCTGTTTAAGTATTGCCTCTATGTCTTAAACATGCTGGGCTGGGCATGGTGGCTCACGCCTGTAATCCCAGCACTTAGGGAGGCTGAGGCCAGCGATCACCTGATGTCAGGAATTGGAGACCAGCCTGGCCAACATGGTGAAACCCCGTTTCTACTAAAAACACCAAAAAAATTAGCTGGGTATGGTGGTGCCCGCCTGTAATCCCAGCAACGTTGGAGCCTGAGGCAGGAGAATCACTTGAACCCAGGAGGCGGAGGTTGCAGTGGGCCGAGATCACACCATTGCACTCCAGCCTGGGAGACTAGAGCGAAACTCTGTCTCAAAAACAAATAAGAAAAAATAAAAACAAAACACACATAACAACATGCTGGTCCTCTCCCATAATGTGTTTCCCCATGTGGGAATTTTTTTCTTTTTTTTTTTTTTTTGAGACGGAGTCTCACTCTGTCACCCAAGCTGGAGTTCAGTGGCGCAATCTCGGTTCAGTAGCTGAGATTATAGGCATGAACCACCACACCCGACTAATTTTTGTATTTTCAGTAGAGACAGGGTTTCGCCATATTGGCCAGGCTAATCTCGAACTCCTGACCTCAGGTGATCCACCTGCCTCGGCCTCTCAAAGTGCTATGATTACAGGCATGAGCCACTGCACCCAGCCCATGTGGAAAAATTTTACAAAAAAAAAAAAAAAAAAAAAAAATCACCGAAACATAAGCCACCCTCATAGGGCTCTGTGCATTGTGTTACAGATAGAATGCAAGACGTTGTACTGAAAATTGAAGGATCCCTTGATCATTTCAGCACCTTGAGATCCATCCATCACCATATTGACTGAAACCCCCCACCCTACCTCCCATGTTTCCTCTCCTCTCTCCTCCTCATTCCTTCTCTCTCTGTTTACCCTAGAACTCCACATTCTTCTCATTTCATGAGGCAGAGTGGTTCGGCTTTCTCTAGCTTTGAGCACCAAATTTCCTTCTGCACTCACTTTTCGTAATTGAGCCAAGGTGCTCAGTGAACTTTCCAGATAAGAGACTCCCTGTCCTTAGAAGGAAGTTGTCATTTTAAATAGCAAGTTTTTCATTCCTTTGTACGTAAAGCACAATAACTAGCACATAATAAACACTCAACAAATATTAGCTATTACGATATCACAATTTCCACTTTTAAAGACTGTGATTCTTTTTTTCTTTTTTTCTTTCTTTTTTTTTTTTTTTTTTTTTTGAGACAGAGTCTTGCTCTGTCACCCAGGCTGGAGTGCAGTGGCATGACTTTCGCTCACTGTAACCTCTGCCTGCCGGGTTCAAGCCATCCTCCTACCTCAGCCTCTCAAGTAGCTGGGACCACAGGCATGTGTCACCATGCCCAGCTAATTTTTGTATTTTTTGTAGAGATGGGGTTTTACCATGTTGCCCAGGCTGGTCTCGAACTCCTGGGCTCAAGCGATCCGCCCACCTTGGCCTCTCAAAGTGCTGGAATTATAGGCATGAGCCACCATGCCTGGCCAAGTCTTTGATTCTAAATTAGATTTAATGACTGATTAAGCAGAACTGATTTCAAAAGGGAAGTATGGAGGCAAAACAGTGACTATCCCAAAGTTGAATTAAAATTATTATTATTATTTTTTGAGACGGAGTCTCACTCTGTTACCCAGGCTGGTGTACAGTGGCGCGATCTCAGCTCACTGCAACCTCTGCCTCCCAGGTTCAAGCGATTCTCCTGCCTCAGCCTCTTGAGTAGCTGGGATTACAAACATGTGTCACCACGGCTGGCTAATTTTTTGTATTATTAATATAGACTACCATGCCCGGCTAGAATTTAAATTATTTTGTATTTACTTACATTCTTATTCCTTTACTAATGCATATGAATAAAGAAAATACAGATGGCTGCGTGCAAACAGTGTACGATAATATTAAATTAAAAAAAAGAAAGTAGGCTGGGCATGGTGGCTCACGCCTGTAATCCCAGCACTTTGGGAGGCCGAGGCGGGCAGATTGCCTGAGGTCGGGAGTTTGAGACCAGCCTGGCCAGCATGGTGAAACCTCGTCTCTACTAAAAATACAAAAATTAGTCGAGCGTGGTGGCGCATGCCTGTAATCCCAGCTACTTGGGAAGCTGAGGCAGGAGAATCACTTGAATTCTGGAGGAGGAGGTTGCAGTGAGCCGAGATCATGCCATTGCACTCCAGCCTGGGCAACAGAGCAAGGCTCTGTCTCAAAAAAAAAAAAAAAGAAAGTAGTCTGGGTACTGTGGCTCACGCCTATAATCCCAGCACTTTGGGAGGCCAAGGTGGGCAGATCACCTGAGGTCTGGAGTTTGAGACCAGCCTGGCCAACATGGTGAAACCCCTTCTGTATTATGTATTATATATTTTGTATTTTGTAAAAATACAAAAATTAACCTGGCGTGGCAGTGGGTGCCTGTAATCCCAGCTACTCGGGAGGCTGAGGTAGGAGAATCGCTTGAACTGGGGAGGCGGAGTTTGCAGTGAGCCAAGATTGCACCACTGCACTCCAGTCTGAGCAACAAGAGTGAAACTCCGTCTCTAAATAAATAAATAAATAAATAAATAAATGTAAAAAGCACAAATTGATCTTATAAAGAGATTGTCAATCTCATTTATAATCAGGGAAAATAAAAATAAAACCACAGGGAGACACCATTTTACTCTCACCAGCAGGGCAAAATTAAAGAATCTGATAGGCCAGGTACAGTGGCTCACACCTGTAATCTCAGCACTTTGGGAGGCTGAGGTGGGCAGATCACTTGAGGTCAGGAGTTCAAGACCAGCCTGGCCAACATGGTGAAACCCCATCTCTACTAAAAATACAAAAATTAACCAGGCATGGTGGTGCATACCTGTAATCCCAACTACTTGGGAGGCTGAAGGAGAACTGCTTGAACCTGGGAGGTGGAGGTTTCAGTGAGACAAGATTGTATCACTGCACTCCAGCCTGAGCCACAGAGCAAGACTCTATCTCAAAAAAAAAAAAAAAGTCTGATAATAACAAGTGTTGGCTAAGATGTGGAGCAATGGTGACTCCCATACACTGCTGGTGGGAGTGTTAATTAGCACAACCACTTTAGGTAACAGTTTGATATTATTTGGCAAAATAGAAGAAATGCCTGTCCTTCTAGAGAAATTCTTACTCATGTGCACCTGAAACTTGACAAAGTGGTCACACCAGCATGGATCAAAATAGCCCCAAAGAAGAATCAACCCAAATGTCCAAAATAGTAGAATGGATAAATAAATTGTATATTATTCCTGCAATGGTTCCCATACAGCTAGAGTAATAACAAAATTTTACAGCTGCACATGAAAACATGGATAAATCCTGCAATCAGAATATAAATAACAGAAGCAAGTCACAAAGGGACATCTAAATCATGAATTCTCTATAGAAAATGCAAAAACAGATACAGTAGAATGAACGTATATTCACAGCCAGTCAGTTCTGTGTTCCTCTCTGTTTCTGTTCCTCTCTCCTGCCATCTTGAGATGACCTTGGAGTCAAGTTCATAATTTGCTAGTGCAGGGCTTCCTTTGAGTGGTGTATATGCTGTGTTCCTCTGGTTTCATTTGCTCATACATTCATTCAACAAGTACTGAGTACCAACTCTGTATAGGGCACTGTTCTTAGAGCTGATGGCAAAACAAAAAGACAAAATTCTGCTTCTATCCTGGAGCTAACATTTTTTTGGGGGGCAGAGGGGTGGGTAGAGGATGAGGAGGAGACAGTAAACAAAATAAAAATGTAAATTATACATACACTAGATAGTGATAAGTACTGTGAGAAAAAATAAAGCCAGAAGAGGTTGTAATTATAAGTAGGGTGGCCAGGAAAGAACTCTTTGTGATGGCAATATCTAAGCAAAGATTTGAAGAAATGAGGAAGGTAGTTATGCCAGTATCTGGGGAAGTGCTTTCCAGATAGAGGGAACAGCAAGTGCAAGGGCCCGGAGGCACATCCTTATCTCACCTGAGCATTTCAGAATCTGAGGAACATCTACTCCAAAAATCTCAAAATTTCCTTGCACTGTTACATGATTCTTGCCACAAATATGACTCATGCGATTTTTACAACCAAGGAGAAACCTATAATTTGTGAGCCAGCATGTGCGTGTAGGAATAATCTTGACATAAAGTAATAATAATTAAGTAAATAATAAAGTAATAAAGTAATAAAGTCACATTTGGTTACTTCATTAACTTATATCAGTTCCTTGGGGCTAGCAGGAGTTACCATACGGAGCACAAATGTGAGAATCTGGTTTAAATTGCAGCTTTGCTGCTCTGTGGACTTGAGCAATTTATTTAATCTTTCTGAGTGCAGAAAGATAAAATGATATCCACCTTGAAGCACTGTGATGAGGATTGAGAGAAAATACAAGTTCAAGTCTTTGGTGAACTTCGGTAAGATTTTACAATGTTCTTTGCATACATCTTGCACATTTCTTCAATTATTCCTATCCTTGGTATGCTATTTTTGTTGTTGTTGTTGTTGAAAAAGAAAATTCTGAAAGTGCTCAGAGAGAAAAGGCAAATTTTTTTTTTTTCTTTTTGAGATGGAGTCTCGCTCTGTTGCCCAGGCTGGAGTGCAGTGGTGCAATCTTAGCTCATTGCAACCTCCGTCTCCCAGGTTTAAATGATTCTCCTGCCTCAGCCTCCTGAGTAGCTGGGACTACAGGCTGGTGCCACCACATCCTGCTAATTTTTTGTATTGTTAATAGAGATGGGGTTTCACCATGTTAGCCAGGCTGGTCTCGAACTCCTGACCTCAAGTGATCTCCCCGCCTTGGGCTCCCAAAGTGCTGGGATTACAGGCGTGAGCCACCATGCCCGGCCTCATAGACCTATTTTTAATCCCTCCAGCTCTAGAAAATCATATGGGGAAAAGAATTAATATATACTACACACAGACATTCATTCTTAGTGCTGCACTGCAACATAACCTATGTGTGTTGCGGTCTCTAACATCTCACACTCTATGTTTGTTCATGTCTTTGGTTAATACCTGTATCATTTTAGTCTACTAAGATTCAATTAATATCAATAAAAATAAAATAATAATAGTATAGTAAATTCATAATGTTTTATGCTTATATTACTTGTTTCCTGAGCGATCACAAAACTGTAATAACATTATTTTATGACTCATCTTTGCTAACTTGACTTTTATTCCCTTGAATGGATGTACATATTTACACTAAACTATCATTCCTTGGCTGGGAGCGGTAGCTCACACCTGTACTCCCAGCACTTTGGCAGACTGAGGTGGGTGGATCACTTGAGGTCAGGAATTCAAGACCAGCCTGGCCAACGTGGTAAAACCCTGTCTCTACAAAAAATACAAAAATTAGCCGGGGTTGTTGGAGCATGCCTGTAGTCCCAGGTACTCTGGAGACTGAGGCAGGTGAATTGCTTGAACCCAGGAGGCGGAGGTTGCAGTCAGTGAGCCGAGACTGCACCATTGCACTCCAGCTTGGGTGATAGAGTGAGACTGTCTCAAAATAAAACAAATTAAAAATAAAATAAAATAAAATATCATTTCCTGTGTATGTGAAATTCAAATTTAACTGGGGCCAGGTGTGGTGGCTCATGCTTATAATCCTAGCACTTTGGAAGGCCAAGGCAGAAAAATCACTTGAAGCCAGGAATTAGAGACCAGGTTGGGCAACACAGCAAATCCCTATTCTTAAAAAAAAAATTAAATAATAAAACTAGGCCATGTGTGGTGGCTCACGCCTGTAATCTCAAGCCTTTGGGAGTCAGAAGTAGGCAGGTCACTTGAGCTCAGGAGTTCAAGACCAGCCTGGGCTATATGATGAAACCCCATCTCTATAAAAAATTTTTAAAAATTAGTCAGGCATGGTGGCATCGCCTGTAGTCCCAGCTACTCAGGGGGCTGAGGTGGGAGGATCACTCCTGACCTCAAGGAAAGCATGTGGATGTCTGGGAGGGGGGGACAAACTTGGGTTGGGGGGACAGTAAACCAGAGAGACCAAGAATTCTAGTTTTTGGTAGCAGGAGGTTTGGAGCCCTTTAAAGGAAAGTTACTTCTGTTTTTTTTTTTTTTTTTTTTTTTTTTGGTCAGTGTCTTCCTTGCGAATGAAACTGAATCTGTGAAGGTGATGTCAGATGAGAGATTGAACGATTCCGCGTGGCAGCTACAAGGTAGAGGTGGCATTCTGTGAACACTCAAGCTCTCCCTGACTTCCCCATCAGCCAAATAGAAGTCTGAGCTGACTGAGACATCCACATGTTTTCCTTCCGGGCAAAACAAAAGCTTTCACTATGTCTTTTCTACATCTCCCAGGGCCTCCACAACTCCTGTGATCCAAGACCTTCTCGAAATGCCAAAGTTACCTATTGTTAAATATTTTCAAAGCAGTGTAGGCAGTCCTGCCAACCCCGTCCTGGCTGTCTCCAAGAGCGCTGGCCAACAGTGCCAAGGGTCCTTGCCAGTTTCCTGGAGAAGGGGGGTGTTACAGTTAAGTGGGGAGGGATCTTAAAGGGCCACAGCCAATATTAGGGCTTCAGGCTGCCACATCTTCTGTCATTAGTGGGGACAGTTGGTGTCTCCTCCCTTTGTTCCTCACCCAAGCAGTTATTGTCTCCCTGTCTGATAGATGCAGTCTGGGAGGAGCTTCTGCCAGCTCACCTCTAGATAAGAGTGTGGAAAACACAGCCTTTGCTTCTTCCTGGGGACACTGTCTTGACCCTTGAGCTGGAAAGAAGAGGCTGGTCCCAGGGAGGGAATGGGCCATGTCTCAGTCAACTTTTCTTTCTTTCCCTTTCTTTCTTTCTTTCTTTCTTTCTTTCTTTCTTTCTTTCTTTCTTTCTTTCTTTCTTTCTTTCTTTCTTTCTTTTTCTTTCTTCTTTCTTTCTTTCCTTCCTTCCTCTTTCTTTCTTTCTTTCTTTCTTTCTTTCTTTCTTTCTTTCTTTCTTTCTTTTTCTTTCTTTCTATAATTTCTCTAGAAGAAACTCAGTTGACTTCTTTCTTGCCTGCTGGACCACAGAGAGGTGGACATTTGTAAGGGAGGAGAGGAGGGAAGACAGCCACTAAAAGCAGGCACTGGCTGGGCAGGGTGGCTGCTCACACTTGTAATTCCAGTATTTTGGGAGGCCGAGGTGGGAGGATCACTTGAGCCCAGGAATTGAGGCTGCAGTGAACTATCATTGGCACCACTGCACTCCAGCCTGGGTAACAGAGAGAGACCCTGTCTCTAAAATAAATAAATAAATAAATGATAAATACGTAAATAAAAGCAGGCACTATTTTGGCTGTTCTGGGTCTAGAGCAGTATTTTCCATGTTTGGGCATTTGCATTCCACCTTTGTAATTTTTGCTGAGTCTCTTTATTTTATTTTAATTTTTCTTTTTTGAGACGGCATCTTGCTCTGTCGCCCAGGCTGGAACACAGTTGCACGATCTCGGCTCACTGCAACCTTGGTCTCCCAGGTTCAAGCGATTCTCATGCCTCAGCCTCCCAAGTAGCTGGAATTACAGGTGTGCCCACCACACCTGGCTAATTTTTTGTATTTTTAGCAGAGATGGGGTTTTGCAGCATTGGCCAGGCTGGTCTTGAACTCCTGACCTACCTCAGGTGATCTGCCCACCTCGGCCTCCCAAAATGCTGGGATTATAGGCATGAGCCACCACGCGTGGCCTGCATTTATTTTTGTAAATGCACATCTCTGGACCTAAAAATGCTTATCCATGTGACCTTTGAAACCATCTCAATAATAGCTTAAACTTATTGAGTGTTTTGGGCCCTGAACTATTTCCAAGCCCTTCATGGTATGAATTTATTTATTCCTCACTGAGAGGAGGGGAGGAGGAGGAGAATAATGCTACTGACTTCAACTACTGCTGTGTGAGGATTCTCTGGCTGGTATGTGGAAAGTGCTCAGAACCGTGTCTGATAGGAAGAAGATACATGCAAGCATTTGCTGTTAGTATTATCATTGCCATTTTACAGATGGCAAAATGCAGGCAAGTGTAGGGATACTGGCTTGCTTAAGGGCCCAAGATGGTGGAATCAAATCCAGACACTGAGTCCGGAGCCTAGACACTAATCCTTGGTGCTGTTCACCTTCCACACTATTGGAAACACTTCAACCCACCTAGAAGAAGTGCTGGCTGTTTGTCACCTGGATGCAAAGGGCTGGGGTGTGGTGCCTGCCTCTCTGACCAGTGAAGTTGGTGTGCAGTTTCTGTAGAGGACTGGAGGATGGAGGAGTCCCGTGTCTACTCAGAAATGTCAGGAACTCACCTGCTAAGCTGCCCCATCCAGGGAGGATGCTGAACCTTTATCCATTCTGAACAGAATCTTCAGAGGAAGGAGATGCTGTCTCTCTTCACTGTTCCTGCAATGCAGAACCAAACGTTCCGGCTTTGAACAAAGGCATTGACCATAAGTTACTGGCTTGAGTATTCTACATGCCTAGCCCTGGGGGAGGAGGGGTGGACTTGAATCCAGCCTGTTCTATAAGTGTGCAATGCCTAATGGTCCAAAAGATGTTGCAGATGAAATTTTTGATCTTTCTGAGAGTAATCTGTTTTTCACCACCCCAGTGGCCCTCATTTGCACACCAACATATTGATTTGGTAAATAAAACTGTTCCTTTTCTTCCATACAGCAGATCCCTAAAGGGTCTTAACCTGACCAATGGAGTCCAGTTGAAGTTACGATAGGGACCTGAAAGTGCCTCCTGCCTGCTGCAGAGAGTTGAGATTTAATCTATTAATTTAGACTTCCAAACAACCCCAGACAATGAACAGCTTATGCTGTGTGCATTTTTCAAACATTCAGAAAATGCTTTTGCCGTTAGAAACTTCTATCTTCTCTCCTCTGCCTTTTAAGGAAGTACCAATTCTAAGGCTTTGTTTAGAACATGTTTTTTTGTTTGTTTTTGTTTCTGTTTTTTCCTTAAGCAACGGAATCTCACTCTGTTACCCAGGCTGGAGTGCAGTGGCACAATCACAGCTCACTGAAGCCTTAGACTCCTTGGGTTCAAGCGATCCCAGCCTCCTGAGTAGCTAGAACCATGCCTGGCTAATTTCTTAATTTTTTTAGAGATGGGGTCTCACTATGTTTCCCAGGCTGGTCTCCAACTCCTAGCCTCAAGCAATGCTCCCACCTCCATCTCCCAAAGTTCTGGGATTACGAGTGTGAGCCACTGTACCTGGCGTAGAACAAGTTTCTAATACAGACTCATCTCAACTTGTTGAAAAACAGTTGTTGTTGTTGTTATTGTGTGTGTGTGTGTGTGTGTGTGTGTGTGTGTGTGTGTGTGTTTAAGTCGGGTTTACTGAGATATAACTTGCCACAGTAAAATTTGCATTTCTTAGGTATACACATCTAAAGTTTTAACAAATGTAAGCTGTACCACTATCACCACAATTACGATAGATACTACATAGATAATATTTCATCATTCCCCCTAAAGTTCCCTCATGCCCCTTTGTAGTCAATCTCTTCCCCATCCCAATCCTTGGCAGCCCCTGTCCTGATTTTTGCCTCTGTAGTTGTATCTTTTTTTTTTTTTGGCAGAGTCTCAGTCTGTTGCCCAGGCTGGATGAAGTGGCATGATCTTGGCTCACTGCAGCCTCCACCTCCCGGGTTCAAGCGATTCTCCTGCCTCAGCCTCCTGAGTAGCTGGGATTACAGGCATGTGCCACCATGCCCAGCTAATTTTATATTTGTAGTAGAGACTGGGTTTCGCCATGTTGGCCAGGCTGGTCTTGAACTCCTGACTTCAAGTGATCCCCC
Source organism: Homo sapiens (assembly GCF_000001405.40). Taxonomy (NCBI): domain Eukaryota; kingdom Metazoa; phylum Chordata; class Mammalia; order Primates; family Hominidae; genus Homo; species Homo sapiens. The sequence continues at coordinate 25,556,372 of NC_000004.12, forward strand.
CGCCTCAGCCTCCCAAAGTGCTGGGATTACAGGCGTGAGCCACTGTGCCTGTCCTGTAGCTGTGTCTTTTTTATAGCAGGTATTTTTACTTTTAAATGGCAAGGTGGCTATATATTTTTTTAATCACATGTTCCCTGCTAAAAATGTCTGGCAATACCAAATAAAATAAAATAAAACAAAATAGAATAAATAAAATTAAAGTGTCTGGAAAGAAGCTGCTGTTTTTAAATCATTTACACCCCACACTCCTTATTGCAAAAAGGATATAAAGCAGTCCAGGTGCAGTGACTCACACCTGTAATCCCAGCACTTTGGAAGGCCGAGACAAGTGGTTCACTTGAGGTCAGGAGTTCAAGACCAGCCTGGCCAACATGGTGAAACCCCATCTCTAATAAAAAATACAAAAATTAGCCAAGTATGGTGGTGTGTGCCTGTGATCCCAGCTACTCAGGAGGCTGAGGTGGGAGAATCACTAGAACCTGGGAGGCAGAAGTTGTAGTGAGCCAAGATTATGCCATTGCACTCCAGCCTGGGTGACACAGCGAAACTCCATCTCAAAAAGGAAAAAAAATTGGATATAAGGCAGCAATAAAGTCATACAGTGAGAAAAACCACTGCAAGGATGTCTAGACAGAGTGAAGACTGGTTGAAGGATTCTTTCTCCCCAACTTTAAAAGAAAAATGGCATAAGCCTTTGGTCCCAGCTACTCAGGAGGCTGAGGCAGGAGGATGGCTTGAGCCCAGGAGTTTGAGGCTGCAGTGAGTTATGATAGTGCCACTGCACTTCAGCCATAGACAACAGAGAGAGATCCTGTCTCAAAAAATTTAAATGAGAAGTTTACATCTTCAAATAAATTGCAAGAATAGGACAATGAATGCCTCTATATACTCTTCTCCTAAATTTACCAACTGTTAACATTTTTGCCACATTTCTTCTCTCTCTCTTTGTATTTGTATACACTCTTGTTTATTTATGTTTGTTTGATTTTGCTGAATCTTTTGAGAGTTACTTGCAGAAATCATAAGACTATCTCCCTAAACACTTCAGCACACATCTCCTAACAACAGAGGCATTCTCCCTCAGAAACACAATAAAATTATTACTCAGTAAATTTAGTAATCATTAGATGCTATTATTTAACATATAGTGGCACTTTGGGAAGCCAAGGTGGGCGGATCCCTTGAGGCCAGGAGTTCAAGTCAGCCTGGCCAACATGGCGAAATGTCTCTACTAAAAAAACAAAATTTAGCCGGGCATGGTGGCGAGCTCCTGTAATTCCAACTACTTGGGAGGCTGGGGCTTGAGATCACTTAAACCTGGGAGGTGGCGACTGCAGTGAGCTGAGATCATGCCTCTGCACTCCAGCCTGGAGACAGAGCGCAGAGCGAGACTCTGTCTCAATAAATAAATAAATAAATAAATAAAAATAACATATAATCCATAATCACTTTTCTTTTCTTTCTTTCTTTTTTTTTTTTTTGAGACGGAGTCTCACTCTGTCACCCAGGCTGGAGTGCAGTGGTGCGATCTCGGCTCACTGCAAGCTCCGCCTCCCGGGTTCATGCCATTCTCCTGCCTCAGCCTCCCGAGTAATTGGGACTACAGGCGCCCGCCACCACGCTCAGCTAATTTTTTGTATTTTTAGTAGAGACAAGGTTTCACTGTGTTAGCCAGGATGGTCTCGATCTCCTGACCTCGTGATCCACCCGCCTCGGCCTCCCAAAGTGCTGGGATTACAGACGTGAGCCACCGTGTCCGGCCCCATAATCACTTTTCTCCAGTTGTCCCAATGATGTCTTTTATAGCTGTTTAGGTTTTTTAAGAAAAACATTAATTCAGCATATCCAATGAAGGATCAGGCCTTGTATTTTGTTGTTATGTCATTTTAGCTTCCTTTATTCTTGAACAGCTCTCCCAGCCTATCTATCTATCTATCTATCTATCTATCTATCTATCTATCTATCTGTCTGTCTATCTACATCTTTTATGACATTAACATTTTTGAAGAGTTCAGGCCAATTGTTTTTCACAGTGTTCCTCAGTTTGGATTTGCCTGACTGTATGCCCATGGTTTAGACTCAGCCAGGGGAACCACGGGTGAGAGGTTGTGTCCTTTTCAGTGTTTGGCAGAGGGAGGCAGCTGCAAGACACTTCTGAAAAGTTCCTTTTGCAAAAGAAAAGCAAGCCCCAAGTTCTTCCTGCAAGAAGAGCATTTAGCCTTGAATGCCTCCTCAGCTGCTACTGTGTGCAAATCTCTTTAGCAAGGCATTTCCAGGAGGGACTGATTAAGAATGGTGGTTTAGATTTTAGTTAAATGCTGTCACTTAGCTTTAAAACATATGTTCCCATATTCCCTGCATCAATGATGATTTCTATTTTATTACTCTTTGAATCATTTCTCCCTCTTTGGGAATATATATCTTCAGTTATTATGTAACATGGTGGAAAAGTAGGATCAGACTTACAAAACGTGAGTCACACGCCCATTTTTTGTAAGCCTACTTGAGTTCTTTTGCCTGGTGTGCACACGCTAACTCCCTTACAGTCTCCAGATCTAAATATTCCCTCTCCAAGTGGCCAATCCCGACTTCCCTCCTGAAAACATCAACTACCACTCCCTACCTGTATCCTCAATCCCTTTCATCCCCCATATTCTAAAAAATAGAGACAGGTGACCGGGCGTGGTGGCTCACGCCTATAATCCTAGCACTTTGGGAGGCCGAGGTGGGTGGATCACCTGAGGTTAGGAGTTCAAGACCAGCCTGGCCAACATGCTGAAACCCCATCTCTACTAAAAATACAAAAATTAGCTGGGCGCGGTGGTGCACACCTGTAATCCCAGCTACTCAGGAGGCTGAGGCAGGAGAATCACTTGAACCCAGGGGGCGGAGGTTGCAGTGAGCCGAGATCACACCACTTTACAACAGCCTGGGCTATAGAGCAAGACTCTTACTCCAAAAAAAAGAAAAAAAAAATAGAGATGGGATCTTGCTACTTGCCCAGGCTTGTCTTGAACTCCTGGCCTCCAGCAATTCTCCCACCTCAGCCTTTGTAGTAGTAGCTGGGACAACAGGCATGTGCTGCCATGCCTGGCTTCACTCCACCTATTTTCTCTCTCTCTCCTTTTCAATTCTTATCTCTTGTTATCTCCAATATCCAATATAACTTACTTATTTGTGTATTTATTATTGTTGGTCTAGTCCTGACAGCACATGGGCCCTATGGGGCAGGGATTTCTGTCTGTGGTGTCCACTGCTATAGTCCCCGCACTGAGAACTGTGCCTGGCACATCATACGATCTTATGCATATTTACTGAGTGAATGAAGGAACAGATGAATGGCTCTTTGTCCAGTGAGCAAATTGTTTCATGTTTAGAATGAGAGAATTGTGAAAGTTATTGATCTCGTAGTAGTTAAGAGTATACAAGAGCTTGGGTTGGGTTCAAATTGTTGTTTGAACGTGGCTCATCTTTTGCAGGAGACTATTCCAGAATTTCAAGATTAAGTGGCAGTGAAGTGTGGTGCTAAGAGGCCCAAGAACCCGGACCTGGTGTCCTGACTCCATGTGTCATAGTGGTAGAGCCTTGACACTCCAGGCTCTGTCAAACCGGGGTTCTCTCCCCTTGGGGCCACACCCTTTAATTCCTTTCATTTCAAGGAGATGGCCCCAAAGGATAGAGAAAGGGTTTCCCGCCAGGCGTGGTGGCTCACCCCTGTAATCCCAACACTTTGGGAGGCTGAGGCGGGCGGATCGCTTGAGGTCAGGAGTTCAACACCAGCCTGGCCAACATGGTGAAACGTTGTCTCTACTAAAAATACAAAAATTAGCCAGGAGTGGTGGCTGAGCCTGTAATCCAAGCTACTCCAGAGGTGGAGCCAGGAGAATCGCTTGAACCCAGGAGGTGGAGGCTGCAGTAAGCCAAGATCACGCCACTGCACTCCAGCCTAGGCGGCAGAGCAAGATGCTGTCTCAAAAAACAAAAAAAAGGGGTTTCCCTTATTTTTTATTCGTTCTCGTACCCAAGTAGCAGTTCTGCTGCTTTCATCCTTCCTATTGAGGCACCTTCCACCTCCATTACTCTCAATGTCTGGGATGAGGACACAGTGGGACCCGGCCCTCCTGCCAAGACCCAATGGGTTACTGCTCTGACAGGGCAGAGGTCCCAACTCCTTTTATTATGATCATGGGGCAGAAATTGTGATGCCGTGGGGCCATGCAGTCACAACTCTTATGCCATTCAGACATCAAGGACAAGGGTTTTCCAGTTCTTTAATAGAAACAAACAAATCAAAGCAGAGTGATTTCTAAACAGAGAAAGAACCCTGATACGGAGTGCAAATCAAGGAGAGTGATTTCTAAACAAAGAGAGAGTCTTAACGTAGCGTGTGTGCGGGCAAGAAAAGACCATGGACGTCACGGGTTGTTACATATGCTCACTGGAGAAGGCAAAGTCACGGTGGGTGTGGTCATGGGAACCTAGGACTGTTGAAAGATTTTCCTGAGAGCTGTCCCTTCCCCTTGGGCAAGTTCCTCAACCTTTCCAGCTGAGGGATTTTTTTCCATCTGTATTTGAGGATAATAATATTTACCTTCTATGGTTCTTGGTAATGAATAGAGGTAATACGTGCAAAATGTTGGACAGAGAGTAGGTATTTAATATTAATAATAGTGATAATAATGTAGTAGCTACCATTTATTGAGCAGCTATTCTGTGCATGCTCAAGCAACCTTATAACCTCATTCCATAGGCACTTTTTTTTTTTTTTAAGACAGAGTCTGGCTCTGTCACCCAGGCTGGAGTACAGTGGCATGATTTCAGCTCACTGCAGCCTCCACCTCCCATATTCAAGTGATTATTCTGCCTCAGCCTCCTGAGTAGCTGAGATTACAGGTGCCTGCCACCACACCCGGCTAATTTTTGTATTTTTAGTAGAGACAGGGTTTTGCCATGTTGGCCAGGCTGGTCTCCAACTGTTGACCTCAAGTGATCCTCCCGCCTCAGCCTCCCAAAGTGCTAGGATTACAGGCATGAGCCACCGCACCCGACCAGCACTCTTGTTAGTTCTATTTTACAAACTCAAAAATGGAGTGTTAAAGAAATATGTTTCTGCAAAGAATAGGTGGCAGGTAAAAAAAAAAGATAAAATAAAAATAAAGGAATATGTTTCTACCCAAGCCATACAGAGAGAGAGTAGAAAGGATTCAGGCCAAAGGTTGGATGCCTGACTCAAGAACCCAGTTGTTAAATTCTTTTATTTTTTAATTTTATTTTTAAATTTATTTTATTTTTAAATTTTATTTTATTTATTTATTTATTTATTTATTTACTTACTTACTGAGACGGAGTCTCGCTCTGTCACCCCGGCTGGAGTGCAGTGGCGCGATCTCAGCTCACTGCAAGCTCCACCTCCTGGGTTCACTCACTCCATTCTCCTCCCTCAGCCTCCCGAGTAGCCGGGACTACAGGCACCTGCCACCATGCCCGGCTAAATTTTTTTTGTATTTTTAGTAGAGACGGGGTTTCACAGCGTTAGCCAGGATGGTCTTGATCTCCTGACCTCGTGATCCACCCGCCTTGGCCTCCCAAAGTGCTGGGATTACAGGTGTGAGCCATTGTGCCCAGCCTAAATTCTTTTCTTTTTTTAATTTGTTTTTTGAGACTGAGTCTCGCTCTGTCGCCCAGGCTGGAGTGCAGTGGCATGATCGTGGCTCACTGCAACCTCCACCTTCTGGGTTCAAGCAATTCTCCTGCCTCAGCCTCCCAAGTAGCTGAGACTACATGTGTGCACCACCATGCCAGGCTAATTTTTGTATTTTTAGTAGTAACAGGATTTCACTATGTTGGCTAGGCTGGTCTTGAACTTCTGACCTCAGGTGATCCACCTGCCTCGGCCTCCCAAGTGCTGGGATTACAGGCATGAGCCACCACACCTGGCCTTAAGTTCTTAATTGCTTCATTTGATGTCTTTTCAAGTAAGTGAAATAGACACATATTTTTCAAATAAAAGTATATATAAAATATATATGTTTTAAGTTAAGTGAAAAAATACATATATTACAATTTTCCAAGTAAGTGAAATATATACAGTCATGTGCTACATAACAACATCTCAGTCAACAATGGACTGCATATATGATTGTGGTGCCATAAGATTATAATACTGTATTTTCATGGTACCTTTTCTATGTTTAGATACACAAATACTTCCCATTGTGTTACAATTTCCTATGTTTAGATTCATAAATACTTCTTATTGTGTTACAGTTGCCTACAGTATTCAGTACAGTCACATGCTGTACAGGTTTGTAGCTGTACCATATATCCTAGGTGTGTAGCAGGCTACGCCATCTAGGTTTGTGAAAGTACACTCTAGGATGATCACACAATGATGAAATTGCCTAATGATGTGTTTCTCTCTCTCTCTTTTTTTTTTTTTTTGAGATGGAGTCTCACTCTGTCACCTGGGCTGGAGTGCAGTGGTGCAGTGGCGCGATCTCGGCTCACTGCATCCTCCACCTCCTGGGTTCAAGTGATTCTCCTGCCTCAGTCTCCTGAATAGCTGGGATTACAGGCATGCACCATCACACCCAGCTAATTTTTGTATTTTTAGTAGAGAGGGGTTTCACCATGTTGGCCAGGCTGGTCTCAAACTTCTGATCTCGTGATTTGCCTGCCTTGGCCTCCCAGAGTGCTGGGATTACAAGCATGAGCCACTGTTCCTGGCCTCAAGCGATTGTCTTGCCTCAGCCTCTTTAGTAGCTGGAACAACAGGCACGTGCCAGCATGATTTCGCCATGTTGCCCAGGCTGGTCTCGTGACCTCAAGTGATCTCTCTGCCTTGAGCTCCCAAAGTGCTAGGATTACAGGCATAATCCACAGCACCTGGCCTGAGTACTCTATTTAAAATGCACTCCTCTCCTGTTACTCTTGCTATGGTTTTGTTTACCTTCATAGCAATTAGCCTCACCCGAAGTATCATATTCTACTCATGACTCCTCTGATGTAAGCTCCATGAGGCAGGGGCTGTATTTGGGCCTTTGCTTGTTCCCAGTGCCTGGCATGGAGTTATCTCTAAGTAAATATTTGTTGAATGTCTGGACGTGGTGGTGCATGCCTGTAATTCCAGCACTTTGGGAGGCTGAGGTGGGAGGATCACTTGAGCCCAGTAGGTTGAGGCTGCGGTGAGCCGTGACGACGCCACTAAACTCCAGCCTGAACAACAGAGCAAGACCTCATCTCAAAAAAATTTTTTTATTGTTGTTGAATGAATGCTTGGAGAGCCAAAGGAGCTGATTTAACCCTTCAAAGGCATTAGATCAAACAGGCAGGGCCAGTTTTTCAGATCTGAAAGGGTGTCCAGGAGCTCTTCCCTCTTTCCAGCCCCTCAGTTCAGTTTTCTGGAACAAGAAGGCAACACTACATTTGGATAATCACAGCTTTTTCTCAAAGGCTTTTGACCCTGCAGTTGGTTTTTTGTTTGTTTGTTTGTTTGTTCTGAAACGGCATTTGGCTCTTATCACCAGGCTGGAGTACAAGGGCGTGATGTCGGCTCACTGCAACCTTGGCCTTCCAGGTTCAAGCAATTCTCTTGCCTCAGCCTCCCCAGTAGCTGGGATTACAGGTGTGTGCCACCACGCCCGGTTAATTTTTATATTTTTAGTAGGACAGGGTTTCACTATGTTGGCCAGGCTGGTCTTGAACTCCTGACCTCAGGTGATCTGCCTGCCTCGGCCTCCCAAAGTGCTGGGATTACAGGTGTGAGCTACCATGCCCGGCCAAACATCTTTGATCTCTGACAATCCACCAGACCATTCTGACTACCTGCCCACCTAGTAATTTGTTATTTCCTCCCTTCCTTGATTGTCTCCCCCCCGTTACCAATTAATACCATATTTATTAATTTCCTGCTATGAATATGACACTATCTGCCGATGCTTTATTAAAATGTAAAATGACTCTTCCTCCTCAAGTAGGGTAGAGGCAGTATAGTTTAGTGGTTAAGGCGGATAAGGATACTGATTGACTGAAAGTCTGGGTTCAAACCCTCTTTTTGTTTTGTTTTGTTTGAGACAGGCTCTTGCCCTGTCACCCAGCCTGGAGTGCAGTGGCACTAACACAGCCTGGGTTCAAGCAGTCTCCCCCCTTGGCCTCCCAAAGTGTTGCGATTACTGGTGTGAGCCATTGCACCTGGCTCAAACCCTCTTTTTACTACTTACTAGCCATGTGACTTGTACAAGTCACCTAAACTCCCTAAGCCTCAGGTTTTTTTGTTGTTGTTGTTTTTGTTTTTTTAGATGGAATCTCGCTCTGTCACCCAGGCTGGAGTGCGGTGGCAAGATCTCGGCTCACAGCAACCTCCGCCTCCCAGGTTCAAGCAATTCTCCTGTCTCAGCCTCCCAAGCAGCTGGGATTACAGGCACATGCTGGCACGCCTGGCAAATTTTTCGTATTTTAGTAGAGATGGGGTTTCACCGTGTTGCCCAGGCTGGTCTCAAACTCCTGAGCTCAGTCAATCCACCTGCCTTGGTCTCCCAAAGTGCTAGGATTACAGGCGTGAGCCACCGCGCCTGGCCCAGCCTGTTTTTAATCTCAGAAATGGAGATGACAACAGTACCTACTGCTGGGGAACCACGAGTTTGTTACAGTAAGCTACCAGGGCCGTGCTCGGCACAATGCTACCACTAGATGACCTTTCATGGCTAACATAGAATCGTATCGTGTGCCCGGCTCAGTGGCTCATGCCTGTAATCCCACCACTTTGGGAGACTGAGACGGGTGGATCACATGAGGTCAGCAGTTTCAGACCAGCCTGATCAACAAGGTGAAACCCCGCCTCTACTAAAAACACAAAAATGAACTGGGCATGGTGGCGCATGCCTGTAATCCCAGCTACTCGGGAGGCTGAGGCAGGAGAATCAATCGAACCTGAGAAGAGGAGGTTGCAGTGAGCTGAGATTACACCATTGCACTCCAGCCTGGGCAACAGGGGCGAAATTCTGTCTCAAAAAATAAAAAATAAAAAAGAATCATATTGTGAAGAGTGTCGATGCATCGATAAAAACTGAAATAACAATACGTGGATTGGGTGACTCAGTGCAGTATTTATACACACATGTGGACACAGGGGACATCCTGGTATAATGGAAAGAGCATGTGTTCTGGAACCATGCTGACCTGTGCAGGAGTGCCCACTCTAGCTTTTGCTAGCTGTGAGATCTTGAGACCTCCCTCACCCACAGTTTCCTTGTTTGCATAACATGGACCTGAATTTTTGCTTATCAGAGTATTTGTGAAGATTTAACAAGATGCTCATTTCCTTCCCTATGAATGTCTATTGCTGTTTAGAAATCCTGATGAAAAGGCAAAGACCGTTCTGATTGACTTGGGAAGTGGGTATGAAGTCAATACCTCACTTGGCTAATCAGAAAGATTCCTTTCAGTGAACGGGATTAGAGTTTTGATTGAAAAAAAAGCTACCGGGTGCAGTGGCTCATGCCTGTAATCCCAACACTCTGGGAGGCCAAGGCAGGCAGATCACCTGAGGTCAGGAGTTCGAGACCAGCCTGGCCAATTGGTGAAACCCCATCTCTACAAAATATTCAAAAATTAGCTGGGCATGGTGGCATGTGCCTGCAGTTTAGCTACTTGGGGGGCTGAGGCATGAGAATTGCTTGAACCTGGGAGGCAGAGGTTGCAGTGAACCAAGATTGTGCCACTGCACTCCAGCCTGGACAACAGAGCAAGACCCTGTCTCAAAAAAAAAAAAAGAAGGAAGGAAGGAAAGAAAGAAGCTAAAGAAAAATTGTTCTATCAAAACAGAATAAAAGAGGATAATGATTTAGTCAAGGAATCTGTTGATGTCTGTATTATATAGATTCTTATCTTGCAATCCGTGTTAAAGAATCCTAAAAACTCAACCTCCGAGGGGGACCAAGGAGCTCTGTAGCTTATTGTAGAAGCCCCTCTATAGACACCATCTCCCAAAAAGGGGTCATCTGACCTCTATTGGAATACTTCTAGGATGGCCAATTCACTGTTGCATGAGGCTGGCGATTTTGCTTTTGATAACTTGAGCTCTTCCTAAGGTTTGCCCCCAAATTCTTCCTGCAGCCGACTTCCGCCAGCCTCTGACAAAGCACATTTTCCCATCTCTTCTCTCTGTGACTTGGCAGGGATTGGATTTTAATGGTTATCTACTGAACAGAGTACTTTACAGTTCTTGATAATAGCCCCTTATTCGGGAAAATCAATACCAGAAATAGTTGAAGCTTTAAAAAAATTCAACAGACATCTATCTGAGGTGGTTTAATAGCATGGCATTTGTAATTCCCACCACAGTCTGCAATGCAGTGGTGAACACTGGCACTGAGAACAGTGATGATATATTCCATAGCTAAAATATATTTCCTAGTATCACATCTCAAGTCCAGTTCATTTTATCAACATTATTGAGCATCTTACTAGGCTGTGGAAGGCACTAAATCCAACATAAGCCTCAAGCTGGTTTTCTTTTTTTTTCTTTTGAGACGGAGTCTCGCTGCCGCCCAGGTTGAAGTGCAGTGGCACGATCTCGGCTCACTGCAGGCTCCGCCCCCTGGGGTTCACGCCATTCCCCTGCCTCAGCCTCCCGAGTAGCTGGGACTACAGGCGCCTGCCACCTTGCTCGGCTAATGTTCTGTATTTTTACTAGAGACGGGGTTTCACCGTGTTAGCCAGGATGGTCTCGATTTCCTGACCTCGTGATCCGCCTGCCTCGGCCTCCCAAAGTGCTGGGATTACAGGCGTGAGCCACCGTGCCCGGCCTCAAGCTGGTTTTCTCTTTCAACTCCTATTATCATTGTTTAGAACCACATTCATGAGATGTGATGTAAAATAACATGATTGATGCTCTTAACAAAGCCATGAATGGGATGGGGTGGAGGGAGGCAGCTTAAATGTGTGCTAGAAAATGTTGATGTAAGACTGGGATGAGGATGAGGAGAGTGAGGGACCTGGGACACAAAGTCTAAGGATCCTGTCCCCCTTGTCCCTGCTCCTGTCTTCAAGGCCTCTTCTAGGTCTGGTATGTTGTGACCCAGTGCATACAAATGAGGTATGCAGTCTTCAAAGTCACCACCTGGGAAAGCTTGACTTTCAAACAATGCTTCTATTATTCACACTTTAGCAACGGTGCTTGAGAATTACCTTCAGAGCCTGCATTGCATTTTTAAATTTCCGTATGTCTTTGGGGGAATGATAAATCTTCATCCTTTGGAGGTAGATTTGATTTTTAGAAATAGACACAAACCATCTGTGGCCAAATCTGGGGATTAATATAGAGTAGACAAGCCACATAACTGTATGTGGACTCAAAAGTAGATTTTCACTTGTGTGTTGTAAATTAGCCTTGAAGGCAATCTTGATGGAGGGGGCTGCAGAATGTGTTTTGAGCTATAACAACTTTCCAGATTGGTACATATGCTCTGAAGGTATCTACTCCAAAGCCATTACTTGCTCTATTATGAGAGTTTTGAAGTGTTTATTCTTTTTTTTTTTTTTTTTTTTGGAGATGCAGTCTTGCTCTGTCACCCAGGTTGGAGTGTGGCACCATCTTGGCTCACTGCAACCTCCGCCTCCTGGGTTCAAGCGATTCCCCTGCCTCAGCCTCCTGAGTAGCTGGGATTACAGGCAAGTGCCACCACACCTGGCTAATTTTTGTATTTTTAGTAGAGACTAGGTCTCACCATTTTGGCCAGGCTGGTCTCAAACTCCTGACCTCAGGTGATCTGCCTGCCTCAGCCTCCCAAAGTGCTGGGATTACAGGTGTGAGCCACCGCGCCCAGCCTGGAGTGTTTATTCTAAAAGTCACTTTGATTACTTTCTAGTCAAACTCTGTATTATTGAGTTAGAGTAAATAGAAACCATTTAATTTATATTCAATCCGCCTTCTTAAAGGTTGGAAGTCTGGAGAAATTACGTAAGACTAATATATTACAAAATACCAACATATTTGCTTTATGATTAAGAGTTGACCCTTAAGAGAAATTGAACGGAACCAAGACATCTTAAGTCCTCTTTTAATCTCTCAAACATCTCAATTTCTCTTCAGGTTTGATTAAAATGTTTCATGTTGGGGAAATCCAAAGATTCCTTGGTGACTTATCTCAGTCAAAGCAGGAAAGAGGGTGCTTCCAGTATTACTACTGCTGATCTGGAAAATCTTAGTTGGCAGAGAAATGAAGAACCAAAGGCCCTGCAATCCAACCAGTCAGCATCTTAAGACAGTTCCAAGAACTCAGACTTGTTGACTTCTACCGTGGTCATGTGTTGGGCCACAGTTTGAAAAACAGAACATCTGAGCTCCATGCCTGAAGACCATCCCAATCAATATTGTACTCACTTTTTTTTTTTTTTTTTTTTTTTTTGAGACAGAGTATCACTCTGTCGCCCAGGCTGGAGTGCGGTGACACAATCTTGGCTCATTGCATCCCCCTCCTGGGTTCAAGCAATTCTCCTGCCTGAGCCTCTCAAAAAGCTGGGACTATAGTCACGTGCCACCAACCACACCCAGCTAATCTTTTTATGTTTTTAGTAGAGACAGGGTTTCACCAGGTTGGCCAGGCTAGTCTTGAATTCCTGACCTCAAGTGATCTGCCTACCTTGGCCTCCAAAGTGCTGGGATTACAGGAGTGACCCACCACACCCGGCTGACACTGGGCTCTTAATCTCCTCAGATATCTACTTACCCATTTGCAAGTCCCTGCTCCAGACAGCACACTGCCTCTCCAGCTTCCCAGACAGCTTTTATTCCTTGTGAGAAACCAGCAGTTTCAGATGTCACTCCTAAAATTCAGTCTGAGCTTTTTCAGGCCCAAGTCCTGTTGGCCACTTTCTGCTGACATGGCCTTGGGGTAGAAGTAACCTTCAGCTGGGCTTCCCAGCCACTTGAGTTTGCAGGAAACTATTTTGTATAAGCCTTCAAAAAACGGCAAGCTTCAAAACTCCTATTAGTCTGTAAGTTGGAGCCTTGAGCACATATTTACACTCCCTGGTAATTAACTGTTTGATGGCAGAGTTATTGCTAATTGTTTTATGGTTTTGCAACTCTGTGTGGTGGCTTAGAATTGCTTCTCAGCCAGGCTGGGAGCAGTGGCTCATGCCTGTAATCCCAGCACTTTGGGAAGCTGAGGTGGGTGGATCATGAGGTAGGAGTTCAAGACCAGCCTAGCCAACATAGTGAAACCCCATCTCTACTAAAAATACAAAAATTAGCTGGGTGTGGTGGCACTCGCCTGTAATCCCAGCTACTCAGGAGGCTGAGGCAGGAGAATTGCTTGAACCCGGGAGGCAGAGGTTGCAGTGAGTCAAGATCGCACCACTAAACTCCAGCCTGGGCGACAGAGCGAGACCCTGTCTCAAAAAAACAAAAAAAAATTGGTTCTCAGCCGAGACCAAAGAAACATATGCCTTCAGGATATATTGAAACAAGAAATTATCTTTGAATGGATGGATTGATAGAGGGAAAGTCCAAAGGTTTATTATGCTTGAAAGCTAAAGAGGAGGGGAGCAAATACCTCCTATGAGCTGGGCACAGTCATGCTGTCAAGCAATGCTCTGCGTTATTCTATTTGATCCACTGGTCTAAGAGGATAGGGCCATCGACTTCTTTTTAGCAGTCCAGAAAGTAGAGACTCAGAGGAGTTAAGAAACTGCACCAACTCTGGATGGGCATGGTGGCTCATGCCTATAATCCCAGCATTTGGGAGGCCAAGGCAGGTGGATCACCTGAGGTCAAGGGTTCGAGACCATCCTGATCAACATGGTGAAACCCTGTCTCTGCTAAAAATACAAAAATTAGCTGGGCATGGTGGCGGGCACCTGTAATCCCAGCTACTCAGGAAGCTGCGGCAGGAGAATCACTTGAATCCAGGAGGCAGAGGTTGCAGTGAGCCAAGATCGTGCCACTGCACTCCAGCCTGGGTGACAGAGCGAGACTCCGTCTCAAAAAAAAAAAAAAAAAAAAATTAGCCAGGCGTTGTGGCACACACCTCTAATCCCATCTACATGGGAGGCTGAGTCAGGAAAATTGCTTGTACCTGGGAGGCGGAGGTTGTAGTGAGCCGAGATTGTGCCATTGCACTCTAGCCTGGGCAACAAAAGCAAAACTCCATCTGAAAAAAAAAAAAAAAAGGAAAAGAAACTGCACCAAGTCACAGAACTAGTGAGTGGCAGAGCCACAACTTTAACCCAGAGTCCCAGTGAGGCTGGGAATTACGGGAGAGGTCAGAGAGGGGAAGAACTGGCTATCAGAGTGGACAAGTGAGGTAAGAAGTGTCTTGGAGGATAAAATCCTTTAAGAGAGAAGCCAAGGGAAGAAGGTGGAAAGGAAGATGAGGCCCCAAATAACCCTGGTTCAGTCATTAATTCATTCAACAAACATTTGCAATTCCAGCTGCTAAGTTTTCTTCAGAGCCTCAGCTGCCTGAAGAGCAGCCATGAAGAGCTATTTAAGATGCATGTCATCCTTAAAACCCACTTACCAGGTGTGTGTATCAGATTTCCCAGCTGGACTTAAACCGATGCAGTTCTGACCTCTAACCCTTGACTTCTAGTAGCAGATTACCAGAATCCATATCTCAGCTTCTACATTTCCTAGCTGTGAGACTTTGGGCAAGTCACTTGACCTCTCTGGGCCTTTGTTTCCTCATCTGTAAAAGGGAATAATAATGATAGTAACTACCTGGCACACAGTGATCATTTATTGGACGTAAGTTGAGTTCTGTGGCCTATAGCCTAGGATGGAACCTGGTCTGTCTTCACCTCACTAACCTATGGTATGAACTTCAGATGTTTCTAATGCAGACCCAGCCTGCTTCACTCTTCTTTTTTTTTTTTTTTTTTTTTTAAATAGAGATGGGGCCAGGCATAGTGGCTCATGCCTGTAATCCCAACACTTCGGGAGGCCAAGGCACGAACTTAGGACTTCCAGACCAGCCTGGCCAACATAGTAAGACCCTGTCTCTCTCTCTCTATTTTTTGTTTGGTTGTTTGTTTTGAAGACAGGGTCTCACTCTGTGGCTCAGGCTGGAATGCAATTTTTTTGGCTTGCTCCAAACATAATCGTAGCTCACTGTGATGGGATGAAAAAGGGGAGCACGTGCTGGCAATCCCTAAAGCCATGCAGAGCAGAAGCTGAACCCCATTGCTACATAGATCCTTTGACACATAAAGGCCAGATCTCCCCATTCTGGGCTGGCGAGATGTGTGGAATCAACCCCAGAGATACATCCAGGAAATATGGTGGAGAAAAAACTCTTAGGGAAATACACCATCACCCCTCTTCTGGGGGACCCCTGGGGTCTCCAGCCCCTGGTGTGTTTTCTCCTGTGCTGGCAGCAGGCATAGCCCCGAGTCTATGGGCTGCAGCCCCCCTTTCTCTGCTGTGGATGTGGTCAACTGGGGTCCTATGAATGAGCTGCTCTCGGTTTGCTTTGGTTTCCAGCCAAAAGATTCTCTGGGCTCAGGATGGAAATGTAGGTCTGCTCCGAGGTGGACTGACTGGATCCTAAGCTTCATTTAGAATAAAAAATGTTATGAGTAAGACAGGAACTTGGGAGCATGTGCTGTCCCCTCTCCCACTGGGGCATTTTGGGACCCTGGATTGTGTCTCATTTTAATCCGATTGCTCCAGGGACCTTGACCTGGCCTGGCCTTTGCTCAGTTGTGTGGCTTCCATTGCCTCCAACACCCTTCTGCCTCCTCCTTGAGTAACCCCAACTCCCTGTCAAGCCTCAGCTTAGGGGCCACTTTCTCCAGGAAGCCCCCATGACTTCCTCAAGACAAGAAGTTGCTTTGCCTGCCCTGGGGTTTCCTCTACCCAGTTTCCTCTCTGAGGCCACAGGACATCATAATGCACTTGCTTGTTTAATCGTCTGTTTCTCTTTTTACACTGTAGCCCTGAAGGTCAGAGATTGGGTCTGACTTATTCACTCTTGTAGCCTCAGTGCCTAGGGTGTTGGGCTCATAGTAGGTGTCCAGTGAATGTTGAATAAATGAACAAATGATGAGCTAGGGCAGGGTGGGTCTCTGGGTCTACACAACAGAGATGACCTAGAATAATACAGAACTTTTGGAAGAAGAAAAACAAACCAGGAGCAAGGCATGGTGGCATGTGCCTGTGGTCCAAGTTACTTGGGACGTGTGAGGATTGCTTAAGCCCAGGAGTTTGAGGTTACAGTGAGCCATGATGGTACCACTGCACTCCAGCCTGGACAACATCTCGGTTTGCCACCCAGGCTGGAGTATAGTGGCACAATCATTGCTCACTGCAGCCTCAACCTCCTGGGCTCAAGAGATCCTCCCACCTCAGCCTCTCGAGTCACTGGGCCTGCAGGCGTGCACCGCTACATCCAGCTAATTTTATTTTTTTGTAGAGTTGGGGTCTCACTGTGTTGTCCAGGCTGGTCTCAAACTCCTTTCATCAGAGGTTTTATTTGTTTGTTTTTGGTTTTTTGAGACGGAGTTTTGCTCTTGTCGCCCAGGCTGAGGTACAATGTCGCAATCTCGGCTCACTGCAACCTCTGCCTCCCAGGTTCGAGAGATTCTCCTGCCTCAGCCTCCCGAGTAGTTGGGATTACAGGCGCGCCCCACTATGCCTGGCTAAATTTTCGTGTGTTTTTAGTAGAGACGGGTTTTTGCCATGTTGGCCAGGCTAGTCTCGAACTCCTGACCTCAGGTGATCCGCCTGCTTCAGCCTCCCGAAGTGCTGGGATTACAGGCGTGAGCCACTACATCCGGCCCTTGTCTGTTTTTAAGATGGAATCTCACTCTGTCACCCAGGCTGGAGCGTAGTGGTGGGATCTCGGCTTACCGCAACCTCCGCCTCCCGGGTTCAAGTGATTCTCCTGCCTCAGTCTCACAAATAGCTGGGATTACAGGTGCCCACAACCACACCCAGCTAATTTTTTTTTTATATATTTTTAGTAGAAATAGGGTTTCATCACGTTGGCCAGGCTGGTCTCGAGCTCCTGACCTTAACTGATCCTCCCACCTCAAACTCCCAAAGTGCTGGGATTATAGGCGTGAGCCACCCGTGCTTGGCCTCGAACTCCTGAGCTCAAGCAATCCTCCTACCTTGGCCTCCCAAAATGTTGGGATTATAGGTGTGAGCCACAGCACCTGCCAACCCTGTCTCTTAAAAAAAAAAAAGAAAGAAAAACAAACCAGAGAGGAAGTCCCCAGGGTGCCTGCTCACCAAAATACCCACCTTGCTGTGGCGCTCTTTCACCCCTTCCAACTACTGCCTGTTTTTAATCAGACAGAACTTCAAGAGCAAGAGGCTGCTTGAATAGTTTGCTGTTTGGTGCTCCCAAGCCTTGGTAGATGTGGGTCAGCTTCATCTGAGTTGGAGCTAAGTGCTTGGTTACAAGGAATAAAGTTCTCCTGGAATTCCCTCAAAAAGAAAGAATGCTGGTCCCAGGGCTGTGTGTGTGTGATGATCATAAGGACAGAATCTCATGGAAAGCTAGGAGCAGGAAGTGCAAGAGGACGTAGACTCCCTGGAAGCATAGTTATAGGGCATCTGCATCCAAGCTAGCACCAGGGACCTCTTGCATTCAGAAATTCATGGATTTTCACCTTAGGGTTGCACCATCAATGTGATGGGGGCTCTCTGTGTGTCTGCTCCTCTCATCTCCTTGTGTCTGATGGGGGACTTTTTCCCGAGAGAGGCAGAGGATTGGCCCCAGCTCATGATGCTATGCCAGACATAGACACGGGCTACTGGGGACGGGCCCCATTCCCAATCCACTTGTGGTTGGCAAGGGGTGTACAGAAGAAAGCAGGGTCATAGGATGCCACATGTGATCCCACAAGCAGGCAAGATCTGAGGTTGAGTGTGCCCAGGACACATGCCCAGGGCGGTCTGTGAGACCAGTCCTCTCCTACTCAGCTCCCCGCGCCAGGGCTCTGCTCAGATGCGAAAGCCACAATTCGAAGTTCACTGGCATGGTCCTCAGTCCTGCATCATGAACAGCAGAATGTAATATTTATTGCCCCCCTACAGACTGGGTGTCAAGGTGAAAAAAAAGTAATAATTCTAAATCTCACACAAGGGCTTTGGAGATCAATGAGGTAATTTACATGAAATAGTTTGGGCTCTCTGGGAAACAAAGTATGGCATAAATTTTGGCTTTTTCAGTGGATGGATCCTCATGCCAATAACTCACCCCAGTTAATGAAAAACTTGCTTGGCTGTGTAGACAGCAGGAATGTGCAGGCTACTATCCGAGTTCAGAATGGAATATTTTGGCCCGGCAGGGACTTCCTCTAACCATGATGCAGACACTTGTCTTACGATTTTTTCAGGCTGGGCACAGTGGTTCACACCTATAATGCCAGCGGTTGGGGAGGCCGAAGCGGGCGGGTCACTTTGAGGTCAGGAGTTTGAGACCAGCCTGGACAACATGGTGAAACTCCATGTTTACTAAAAATACAAAAATTAGCCAGATGTGGTGCGTGCCTGTAAATCCCAGCTATTTGGGAGGCTGAGGTGGCAGGATCGCTTGAACCTGGGAGGTGGAGGTTGCAGTAAGTGAAGATCGTGCCACTGTACTCCAGCCTGGGTGACAGAGTGAGACCCTGTCTCAAAAAAAAAAAAAAGACTTTTTATCACAGGGCAACATACAAATAAATAGGCATTGGGTGTTTGGGATCTGCAATACAGTGGCCCATCTAAATAATGCCTGGGACCACACCATCAAATCTTAACCTTATATTTATTTATTTATTTTATTTTATTTTTGAGAAGGAAACTCAAGGCTGCAGTGAGCCAAGATCATGCCGCTGCACACCAGCCTAGGCGACAGAGCAAGACTCTGTCTGAAAAAAAAAAAAATTAAAAAACAAAAAGAGAAGGAATCTCACTCTGTCACCCAGGCTGGAGTGCAGTGGTACGATCTCCGCTCACTGCAACCTCCTCCTCCTGGGTTCAAAAGATTCTCCTGTCTCAGCCTCCCAAGTAGCTGAGATTACAGGCACCCGCCACCACGCCTGGCTAATTTTTGTAATTTTGGTAGAGACGAGGGGTTTCACCATGTTGGCCAGGCTGGTCTTGAAGTGCTGACCTCAAGTTATCCGCCTGCCTTGGGCTCCCAAAGTGCTAGGATTACAGGCGTGAGCCACCGTGCCCAGCCTCTTAACCATATTTTGATGGCTTCTAACTTAACTCTAGATCCTAAGGGCTGTTTTTTCTTACAAGTACAAATAGCACAAGTTACTTGAAACAATGGAAAAATGCTCAGTTTCCACCACTGAATGAGTCCTAAAAAACTCTTCGAAAGAGTTGTTTCTGCTCATGCCCATGCTTACAATTTAGAGCTCACTCTCATCAGGCTTTTGTTCTTACCACTCCAGGAAAAGTGCTCCTGCTGAGGCCATCTGTGATCTCTGTGTTCCCATAGTCAATGGCTGCTTCTCTTTCTTCATCTGACTCAAACTGTCAGCCACATTTGATACCACTGATTACTCCCCTTTGCAACACTTTGTCCACTTGGCTTCCAGAACACCATGGCTACCATTCTTTCTCCTCATTGCACAGCTCATGGGCGCCATGTAGATTCACCAAGGTTTGACAAACTACAGCCTGCAGGCCAAATCCAGTAAAGCTTTACTGGAACAACCGTGTCCATTCACTTCCATATTGTCTTTGGCTGCTTTTGCACTATAATGGCAGCGTTGAGAGGTGGCAACAGAGACCACATAGTCCACAAAGCCAAAAATATTTACTATGTGCCCCTTAATGGGCCAACTTGCCAACCCGTGGCACAGACTCATTGGGTACCTGGTGTTGTCTCCTACCCCACTGACCACTCCTTCTGGTCTTCTTTGCTTCTCCTCGTCTCCTTGATGTCTAAGCCCAGAGTCCTTGAACTCTTCTCTTCTCCCTCTGTACCTAGTCCCTGGGTGAGCACATCCAAACCAATAGACCAGTATATCCAATAGACTTCTCAAACTTAGCCCAAACTGAACTCTTGTTTTCTTCTCTGCCATCCTAGTCTTCCTGTGGTTTTGCTCATTTCAGTTAGTGGCAGCTCCATCCTTCTAGGTGCTCGGGCCAAATACACTGCAGTTATCAATGACCCTTTTCTCTCATACCAACAGCTAAGACTCCAACAAATCCTGCTGAACCTACCTTCAAAACGTGCCCCTCTCCCATTCACATCTCAGTCCTTCCGCCCCATTGTCACACTGAAACAGCCATTATCTCCTGCCTGGACTATTTCAGTAGCCTCTAATTGGTCTCTCTTTTCAGGCCGTTGATCCTTCCAACCTCTCTCACAGCAGACTAAGCAAACCTTTCAAATAGAAGCCAACCATAGCGTTTCCATGGCTTTCCAGCTCACTCCGGGTGAAAACCAGATATTTCCTGCATCCTCCTATTTGAACACCTCTTCACCCCTGCTTGCTACACTGGTCTCCTCGTGACGTGAAATCCACAAAAAGTCCCTGCCTCAGGGGCTCTGCTTTTGCTGTTCCTTCTGCCAGGAATCCTTTTCCCCTAGATATTTGCATGACTGCCTCATGTCTTTTTTATTTTTTAGTACAGACAGAGTTTTACCATGCTGGCCAGGCTGGGCTCGAACTCCTGACCTCAGGTGATCTGCCTGCCTTGGCCTCCCAAAGTGCTGGGATTACAGGCATGAGCCACTACAGCTGGTGTGTTTTTTTTTTTTTTTTTTTTTTTTTTTTTTTGAGACAAGAGTCTTGTTCTGTCACCCAGGCTGGAGTGCAGCGGTATGATCTTGGCTCACTGCAACCTCCGCCTCCTGGGTTCAAGCGATTCTCCTGCCTCAGCCTCCTGAGTAGCTGGGACTACAGGCCTGTGTCACCACGCCCAGCTAATTTTTGTATTTTAGTAGAGACGGGGTTTCACCATGTTGGCCAGGATGGTTTCGATTTCTTGACCTTGTGATCTGCCCGCCTTGGCCTCCCGAAGTGCTGGGATTACAGGCGTGAACCACTGCGCCCAGCCCTGCCTCACGTCTTCTTAACATGAGCCTCCCCGGACCGCCCTAAATAAAACAGCGGCCTCCCCGACTCTCCCCACTCCCTTCTCACCACCATCTGATACACTCTGCTTTGACTTCTGTGTGTGTTGAGTGTTCATCTTGCCCTCTCAGTTATAAACTCCATGAAGGCAGACTTTTGTTTTGTTTACTGCATGTCCCCGTTGCTTAAAACAGGGCTTGGTACTCAGGAAATACTTTGTTTTGTTTTTTAGAGACAGGGTCTCACTATGTTGCCTGCCCAAGCCGGCCTCGAACACCTGGGTTCAAGTGATCCTCCCGCTTCAAATCCTAAGTAGTTGAGACTACAGGTGTGCACCATTGTGCTCTCAGTAAATATTTAAATATCTTTTCCCCCTTACAATTCTGTGAACTCTGCGTTTAAGTTAAGGACGTGAATCTGTGGCTGGGTGCAGTGGCTCATGCCTGTAATTCCAACACCGTAGGAGGCTGAGGTGGGTGGATCACATGAGGCCAGGAGTTCGAGACCAGCCTGGGAAACATGGTGAAACCCTATCTCTACAAAAAGTACAAAAATTAGCCAGGGTGGTGGTGCACACCTGTAGTCTCAGCTACTTGGGAGGTTGAGGCAGGAGAACTGCTTGGATCCAGGAGGCAGAGGTTACAGTGAGCTGAGATGGTGCCATTGCACTTAGCCTAGGTGACGGAGCGAGGAGAATCTGTCTCAAAAAAACAAAAACAAACAAAAAAAACACCAACTTAGGTTAGGGCACTTGCACGAGATCAAATTAGGGTGGGAGTGAGGCTGACGTGGAATTTGGAGTTTATACCTGAGGGCTGTCTGACTCCAAATTCAGTGCTCATTCTGCAATTATATGTTGCTCTCAGCCTCTGTCAGTGGCTCTGAGGGTTGTTTTGCAGAAAGGCAGTTGTTCCCAAGGGGGAAAGGATTTTTAGGATGCATAGACAACTCATCGTGGATCTCTGTTTTTCTGTCACCTTTATATTCTTGCTCCATCCACCCTGGGAGTTTGGGATATGCGTGTGTGTGTGTGTGTGTGTGTGTGTGTGTGTGTGTGTGTGAGTTCTCCAAGTTCGTCTTCCAGTATATTAAGTAGAACTCTCTTTGATTTTTCCTGAAACAAAATTTCCATGGTTTACATAATCATGAGCTGTTTCCCCTCCCCAGTGACCTACACTATTGTTATGCTGGTCTGGGAATTCAGCAGTCTTTTGTGGATGACCAAATGCCTTGAATTTTAAGTTTCTGTGCCCATTTGCACTGCTGCAGTGTAGCTAAGGATCTCCAAACAAATGCTTAAATGGAGCAGAATTGGTTCCAGGACCCCCTGAAGATACCAAAATCCTGCTCGGTTCTCTGGTATAAATGGCATAGTATTTGCATATAACCCATGCACTTTCTCCTGTATACTTTCTTTCTTTTAGAGATAGGGTCTGTTCTGTCGCCCAGGCTGAGTGAGTGCAGTGGCACGATTACAGCTCACCACAGCTTTGAACTCCTAGGTCCAAGCCATCCTCCTGCTTCCTGAGATGCTGAGATTATAGGCATGAGCTACCATGCCCAGCTACTCTGATATACTTTAAATCATCACTAGATTACCTATAATACCTAATACAATGTAAGTAGTTTTTTTTTTTTTTGAGACCAAGTATTGTTCTATCACCCAGGCTGGAGTGCAATGGCACTGCAACCTCCACCCCCCAGGGTTCAAGCAATTCTCATGCCTCAGCCCTCAGCCTCCTGAGTAGCTGGACTATAGGCACGTGCCACCACGCCTGGCTAATTTTTTGTAATTTTAGTGGAGACGGGGTTTCTTCCTGTTACCCAGGCTGATCTCCAACTCCTGACCTCAAGCGATCCACCCGCCTTGGCCTCCCAAAGTGCTGGGATTATAGGTGTGAGCCACTGCACCCAGCCTAATGTAAATAGTTGTTATACTGCATATTTAATTTGTATTATTTTAAATTGTTATATATTTTTTTCTCCCAAATATTTTCCAGATGTTGTTGGTTGAATCTGAGGATGAACCTACAGATATGGAGGGCCATTGCAGTTTCTAGTTTAAAAAAACTGTGGTAAATTCGAACTTTTTTTTTTTTTTTTGAGGCAGAGTCTTGCACTGTGGCCTGGGAGTGCAGCAGCGCGATCCCAGTTCACTGCAACCTCTGCCTCACAGGTTCAAGCCATTCTCCTGCCTCAGCCTCCTCAGTAACTGGGATTACAGGTGCCTGCCACCATGCCCAGTTAATTTTTTGTATTTTTAGTAGAGACGGGGTTTCACCATATTGGCCAGGCTGGTCTCTAACTCGTGACCTCGTGATTCGCCCACCTTGGCCTCCCAAAGTGCTGGGATTATAGGCGTGAGCCACCATGCCCGGCCTGAACCATTTCTTTGTAGAAAACAATTGTTAATTGATTTTCTTTCTAAATTTAAGGCCTTCCTCCTTCCTTCTTTCTTTTCTTTCTTCCTTCCTACTCTGGCTTCCAGAACTGCAGGAGATCTTGTCTTGCAGCATTTTTTTCCTCCCAGTTTCTACATGATAGTAGAAAAAGCCTCTTTAAAGGCCAGGTGCGGTGGCTCACAGCTGTAATCTCGGCACTTTGAGAGCCAAGATGGGCGGATCATGAGGTCAAGAGATCGAGACCATCCTGGCCAATATGGTGAAACCCCGTCTCTACTAAAAATACAAAAAAAAAAAAAAAAGAAAAAAGAAAAAAAAAAGGCTGGGCATGGTGGCGCACGTCTGTAGTCCCAGCTACTGGGGAGGCTGAGGCAGGAGAATTGCTTGAACCCGGGAGGCGGGAGGCGGAGGTTGCAGTGAGCCGAGATGGCGCCATTGTACTCTAGCCTGGCAACAGAGCGAGACTCTATCTCAAAGAAAAAAAAAGAAAAAGCCTCTTTATTTTATTTTTGAAACAGGATCTTGCTGTGTTGCCCAGACTAGAGTGTAGTGGCATAAACATGGCTCATTGCAGCCTCAACCTCCTGGGCTCAAGTGAGCCTCCCACCTCAGCCTTGCACCACCACGCCCAGCTAACATTTTATTGTATTTTTTTCATAGAGATGAGGTCTCACCGTATTGCCTGGGCTGGTCTCAAACTCCTGGGCTAAGAGATCCTCCCACCTAGGCCACCCAAAGTATTGGGATTATAGGGCATGGGCCATGACACCCTGCAGATAAATCCTATTTAGTGTGGCCTGAGAGGAAGAGGCATTATGATACCTGAGAGGTGAGAGGGACTGCCTGTGTAGGCACCAAGCGGCTGGGCTACAGCCATCAGGAGAGGCTCTGTCCTGGCCTCCCAACTCCACTGCTGATCCCTGCAGTGAGTCCCTCTGCAGAAAGCTCAGTCGGGCTTCTTTAATCCCTGCACCTTCATCCCGAGAAACTCCTTCCCCTTCCTTCCAGACAACTTGAGTCTTCTGCTCACTGCAGGGTCAATGCTGTCACCCCTGGTGGTCAGGTTTGATATCAGCCTGTCTGTCCCTCACGTCTTCCCACTCTGGGGGCCTGTGGCAGCGGGTCTAACACCTGAGGATGCTGTCTGCGAAGGCGCGTTGCCCTTTCAGCCCTTGCGCCGCCGCCAGGCGGGCACACACCAGCCACCCTGCACAAACAGGCTCTCACGGTCAAACTTTGCTCTGGGCGTTCGGGTTTAATCCTCTGACCTTGCCAGCTCCACCTTCTCCCAGCCTGCAAGGTTTGGTTTTGCTTTTAATCCGATTGCAAAGTGTTTGGAGATCACAAGGATCATGTGAAAAAGCAGGATGTCAGTGAGAGATTAAACCACCATCCAAACCCCAATCCAAAGCTTCCTCATCCGCTTTCTGGTTGCTGGTTGTTCCTTTCTTAATTTCAGAGACAGAGTGGATGATTCAGAGGCGGATGTTTATTACGCAGTCCTTAGAGTTTTCCAGACTCTTTCTTCCTCTCCTGCTCCCCCTTTCCCTGCACGTTTGTCCTGCTGACGATTTCTCTGAAATTGGCATGTTTGCATGAGAGAGTGCTCTCCAGCCCTCCCCACCCCCATTAGGCCTGGATCCGAGTCCTGGTGGTGCCACGTTGCTGCTGCGTGACTTTAGGCAAGGTGACCTCCAAGCACTGGCATCTGAAGATGGAGATTGGGAGTCACACCACCACTTCAGAAGGTCGAGAGGATTCAGTGAAACCGTGGTCATCCATCACACAGCCCAGGTCCTGGCACCATCATCATTGCTGTCTATGTGGTTGATATTATCGTTGGTGAAATTATTGAACTTTCCTGCAGAAAATTAGCAAGTAGAGGCTAGGTGCAGTGGCTTACTACTGTAATCCCAACACTTTGGGAGGCCAGGGCAGGAGGATTCTTTGAGCCCAGCAGTTTGAAAACAGGTTGAGCAACATAGTGAGACTCTGTCTCTACAAAAAACAAAAATTAGCAGGGCATGGTGGTATGCACCTGTAGTCCTGGCTCCTTAGGAGGCTACTGTGGGAGGAACACTTGAGTGTGGGAGTTTGAGGCTGTGGTGATCTTGCCACTACACTCCAACCTGGGCAACAGAGCAAGACCCTGTCTCAAAAAAAAAAAAAAAAGGGACTGGGCATGGTTGCTCATGCCTGTTATCACAGCACTTTGGGAGGCCAAGATGG
Source organism: Homo sapiens (assembly GCF_000001405.40). NCBI lineage: Eukaryota > Metazoa > Chordata > Mammalia > Primates > Hominidae > Homo > Homo sapiens. The sequence goes on from NC_000004.12 coordinate 25,582,033, forward strand.
GAGGATCACTTGAGGCCAGGAGTTCGAGACCAGCCTTGTCAACACAGAGAGACTCCCATCACTATTAAAAAAAAAAAAAAAGGCCAGGCACAGTGGCTCAACGCCTGTAATCCCAGCACTTTGGAAGGCTGAGACAGGTGGATCACAAGGTCAAGAGTTTGAGACTAGCCTGACCAACATGGTGAAACCCCGACTCTATTAAAAATACAAAAATTAGGCGTGGTGGCACGCACCTGTAATCACAGCTACTCAGGAGGCTGAGGCAGGAGAATCACTTGAACCCAGGAGGCAGAGGTTGCAGTGAGCCAAGATTGTGCCACTGCACTCCAGCCTGGGCAACAGAGCAAGACTCCATCTCAAAACCAAAAAAAAGAAGAAAAAAGAAAAAGATTTAAAAAGATTAGCAGGTAGAGAGAAAGTTAGCTTCCTAAACAGGCCGCTAATGAGGATGAATTTGAACATTTGAACAGACTCAAAGCTGCTGCTGGTTGGAAAAATGTCTAGGCCCAGGCTGGAGCTGTTTATTATTATGTATTTTAATAAGGTGTTTAGTGCCTCATCATTGTTCATAATCACCCGTCTTCTTTTCCTTCTTCATACCTGAAGACTGGAACCTGCATTTGTCTTTTGTCAATGACTTTGCCTAGAAGTCCTGTACCCCCTTGTACCATCAGTTTTCAGCTGTCCAGAAGGACAGGGAATCATGGACTATGGAACACTCAACTATGCCAAGCATACTACATTACTCAACTGTGCCAAGCATACTACATTATGACTTCATTAGGTCTTCACCACAAACCCATGTGGTGTTGTGATTGTCACCATTTTATTAATAGGGTCATGGAGGCTCAGAGAGATGAAGTAACTTTCCTAAGGCCACACAGCTTGTGATGGGCCTATACTGATCCCCAGGTGAATCCAACAGCAAAGCCCAGGCCCTCACTCCATTCCACTGCTTCCTGCTCATTCCTCAAAAGGCACCCCTTATCACCTGAGGTCAGGAGTTCGAGACCAGCCTGGCCAACATGGCAAAACCCCATCTCTACTAAAAATACAAAAATTAGCAGGCCGGGCACGGTGGCTCACGCTTGTAATCCCAGCACTTTGGGAGGCCGAGGCAGGTGGATCATGAGGTCAGAAGATCGAGACCATCCTGGCTAACACGGTGAAACCCCGTCTCCGCTAAAAATACAAAAAATTCTCTGGGCGTGGTGGCAGGCGCCTGTAGTCCCAGCTACTCTGGAGGCTGAGGCAGGAGAATGGCGTGAGCCCGGGAGGTGGAGCATGAGTGAGCTGAGATCGAGCCACTGCACTCCAGCCTGGGCAACAGAGCGAGACTCCGTCTCAAAAAAAAAAAAAAAAAAAATTAGCTGGGCATGGTGGTGCACCCCTGTAATCCCAGCTCCTTGGGAGGCTGAGGCAGGAGAATTGCTTGAACCCGGGAGGCAGGTGTTGCAGTGAGCCGAGATTGCGCCACTGCACTCCAGCCTGGGTGACAGAGCTGGACTCTATCTTGAAAAACAAAAAAACAAAAAAACCCCACGCCCTTAATACAGGTATAATCCACTCTTGCCAGGCTGAGTTTTGTGACATGAGGTAGGTTTGGGCCCCAGCCAGAAAAGGTCTCACTACTCTGGAGCCAGGGTTCTGGGAGAGGTATAATCCTTTATACCTGTATTAAGGGGGCAATTCTTGAGGAATGAGATCTCACAGGCTTATACCTCAATACAGGCTTATACCTGCACTAAGTTGGACTTGTATCATTAGATCCCATTCCACCTTCATTTTACATCAGAACATTTACAACAAATTAACAGATGAAGCTCACTTCTGCATGTTTTCTTTTTATAAAACATCTCTCAACAAATTCCTCTCAGATCTTTTTTTTTTTAAGATGGGATCTTGCTATGTTGCCCTGGCTGGACTCGAACTCTTGGGCTCAAGTGATCCTCCCGCCTCAGATCCTGAGTAACTAGGCTACAGGAGCACACCACTAGGCCCTCCTCTTAGATCTTACACTCTTCTCACTTTCTTGGGAGTTATCTTCTCAACTGGCCCACCTTAGCATTCCTTTTTTGGCCAGGTCATGGCACCCTCTGCTAGGGAAGAGAGCCACAGTCTAGTCCATGGCAAGGCAATTTCTGGCTGTTCTTGCTCAGACATAGAAACCCTCCTTGGTGCACACAACTCCTTCCAGTAGCCACCCGCATCCCCCTCCATAAATCACTTTGAAACTGTGTGTGTGGCAGGGAGAGGTTGCTGCATCTCCAAAAGGGACAGCAGTTACTGGTTACTTAGCTCCTTAAATATTTTGTAAGAAAGGATCTAGGAGAAGTACAAGAGCAGCCCCTGCATTTTTCAGATGGGAAAAGGGCAACTAAGGGCAGGAAGGGTTGGAGAAGAGGTCATGGCAGAAGGGAATAGAAGAAAGAGGCAAAATTACACACAGGAGATGTGGAGGCAAGACCCACACCCGGGATAGACAAATGCAGCTCGGTTCAGTACAGCTTCCTGGGGCTTGAGTATCCACTAGTGCCAGGCAGGATTTTGCTATGTGAGGTGGGTTTGGGCCTCAGCCAGAAAAGGCCTCACTACTCTGGAGCCAGGGTTCTAGGAGGGGGGGGCTCAACCCTGGGCCTAGAGGCAAGGAGAAGGTCAGATGAACAAGCCCATCCCTCACACACCCCACACAGGACATGAACCCAGGGATCTCTACCCTGGGAAGACCAGAATCTCCTGGGTGCTTGCTACATTTAGACAGTAGGGCTTCTTCTCTATTTTTACTTTTCCTTTTTTTTTTTTTTTGAGATAGAGTCTCACTCTGTTGCCTAGGCTGGAGTGCAGTGGTGTGATCTTAGCTCACTGCAACCTCCGCCTCCTGGGTTCAAGCAATTCTCCTGCCTCAGCCTCCTGAGTAGCTGGGATTACAGGCGCCTGCCACCATGCCCAGCTCATTTTTGTATTATTAGTAGAGATGGGGTTTCACCATGTTGGCCAAGTTGGTCTCAAATTTCTGACCTCAGGTGATCCACCCACCTCGGCCTCCCAAAGAGCTGGGATTACAGGCGGGAGCCACCGCACTCAGCTTCTTCTTTTTCTTTTTCCTTATTTTTTTGAGACGGAGTCTCACTCTGTTGCCAGGCTGGAGTGCAGTGGTGCAATCTTGGCTCACTGCAACCTCCACCTCCCGGGTTCAAGTGATTCTCCTGCCTCAGCCTCCCAAGTAGCTGGGACTACAGGCACGCACCACCATGCCCAGCTAATTTTTGTATTTTTAGTAGAGATGGGGTTTCACCATGTTGGCCAGGATGGTCTCAATCTCTTGACCTCGTGATCCACCCATCTCGGTCTCCCAAAGTGCTGGGATTACAGACATGAGCCACCATGCCCAGCCTCTTTCCTTTTCTTTCTTTTTTTTTTTCCCAAAAGCAATTTACCATGAGATGGGCCTCTTCTCTAGAGGTTGGAATTTAATCCTTTTGAGGCCAAGAAATCTGTATTTTATTTATTTATTTATTTATTTATTTATTTATTTATTTATTTAATTTTTTGAGACAGAGTCTCACTCTGTTGCCCAGGCTGGAATGCAGTGGCATGCGATCTCGGCTCCCTGCAACCTCTACCTCCAGAGTTCAAGTGATTCTTGTGCCTCAGCCTGCCAAGTAGCTGGAATTACAGGCGTGTGCCACCACACCTGGCTAATTTTTGTATTTTTAGTAGAGACAGGGTTTGGCCATGTTGGCTGAGCTGGTCTCAAACTCCTGGCCTCAAGTGATCTGCTTGCCTCAGCCCCCAAAGTGGGATTGCAGGTGTGAGCCACTGTGTAGGGTTGAAATCTATGTTTTAATGAGAGCCCCTGAAGGTTCTGAAATGGAAGATCCACAGATTACCTTTGGAGAAACACTAACCTAGAGTGAATGGGCACAGCTTAAAGAAACTTTAATCCCGTCCGTGCCTACCAGGGCCCCTAAACAATGGGTCAGTCACAGCCTTTGTTGGTCACTGCGGGGACCTCCTGCTCCTGTTGTTTGGGGGTTGATGAGCTCATATCGTGAGCTGGTTGCTTGCCCAGATGGACAGAGCAAGGGGGAGAAGGCCAGAGTGTGAAGGGCCGACCTCGGTACTGGGACAGCAGCTGCCTGAGAAACAGCCCGTCCCTTCTAGTCCTGAGAGTAGCAGCAGGAAGCCCTGGCTTGCAGACCTAAGCTGGGGCTCCAGCTGTGATTCTTCCATTTCCCTCCCCAAGCCTTGATGTCCTTATCTGTGCAATGGGTCAGCATATATTTGTAGAGGATTCCACAAAGAAGTGTCTGTGGGTTGGGCATGGTGGCTCACACCTGCAATCCCCACACTTTGGGAGGCCAAGGTAGGAGAATCGCTTGAGCCCAGGAGTTAGAGGCCAGCCTGGGAAACATAGTGAGATCCAGTCTCTATAAAAAAAATTTTTTTTTTTAATAAAAAGAGGCCGGGCTCAGTGGCTCATGCCTGTAATCCCAGCACTTTGGGAGGCTGAGGCGGGCGGATCACGAGGTCAGGAGATCGAGACCATCCTGGCTAACACGGTGAAACCCCGTCTCTACTAAAAAAATACTCTCTACTAAATACGTCTCTACGAAAAAAATTAGCCGGGCGCCTGCAGTCCCAGCTACTCTGGAGGCTGAGGCAGGAGAATGGAGTGAACCTGGGAGGCGGAGCTTGCAGTGAGCCGAGATGGTGCCGCTGCACTCCAGCCTGGGCGACAGAGCGAGACTCCATCTCAAAAAATAAATAAATAAATAAAACAAAAAGAAGCATCTGTGGAAGCAAGTGTCAGGCACTGTACCCGACACATTTGACAGGGGGAGATAGAGGTTCCCGGTAACAATGATGGGTGCTTCAGGCACAGCACCCTGCACTTTACACGGATGAACTCATGCAATTCTCACAGCAACCACAGCAACCCCAAAACACAGCTACTATTTTTTTTTGAGATGGAGTCTCACTCTGTTGCCCAGGCTGGAGTGCAGTGGCACAATCTTGGCTCACTGCAACCTCCACCTCCCGGGTTCTAGCAATTCTCCTGCCTCAGCCTCCTGAGTAGCTGGGACTACAGGCACTTGCCACCACGCCCAGCTGGTTTTTTGTATTTTTTAGTAGGGACGGAGTTTCACCGTATTGGCCAGGCTGGTCTCAAACTCCTGACCTTGTGATCTGCCCATCTTGGCCTCCCAAAGTGCTGGGATTACAGGCGTGAGCCACTGCGCCTGGCCAGGAGCTACTATTTTTATCCACACTTTACTGTTCAGGAACCAGCACAGAGATGTGAGGCAGCTTGCCCAAGATCACAAAGCTAAGAGCCAGGCCATCTGTTCCTAAGGATTGTGTTCCTTACCAGTATGCTATTCTGACACTGGGGAGAGCCCTTTTCATTTCCTTTATTTTTTTCCTGCCCCCAGACTGTGTTTTGCAAGCATTTGTAAGCCACTGAAATCTTCTCTTCCAATGAAATCTTGTAAGGAAGTCTAAGGTGAAAACAGGTCCACAGGTGGCGTTTAGGTTGAAGGGGGAGGGGTGCTGTGTGCCCCAGCCTCATCCCTCCCCCTCCTCTTCCCTAGTCCAGCATCTGAAACCTGGAGGGGCTCCACAGGGTGCTGGCTGAAAAGTGGAACAGTCACATCATCTGAGCCATAACTAATTTCAGCTTCGGCTTAATGAATTCTTGGAATTTGGGGTAGAAACACATGGTTTCTTCCTGACCTCAAGACTGGGACCTTATTTGTCCACCTTGGTGTTGAATGCACACAGGCACACACACACACACATACAGACACACACACAGAGACACACACATAGGGACACACACACAGAGACACATACACAGACATGCACAGAGACACACACACAGAAACACACACAGAGACACACAGACATACACACACAGACATACACAGAGACATACACACAGAAACACACACAGAGACACAGACACACACACAGACACACATGCAGAAACACACAGAGGCACACACACAGATACACACACAGACACACACAGAGACACACAAGCAGACACACACACACACAGAAACACACACACACACACACACACACACACACACCTGCCTAATCCTCTGCTTTCCCCCTTGGGCTTCCCTCTCTTTCAGATGTAGCTTTGTGGGCCACCAATCACCTCCTTTTCTTATCCCTACCCCCTCCCTTCTGTCCATTCTCACCCTCGCTCTGTCCCCATAGAGCTGGCCAATGCTCTTTTCTGGCCCGTTGGGACCAGAGTGAGCGAAGGAAGGAGACTTCCCCTCATGGAACCTCAGGCTGACCCCCAAGCCAAGACTCATCAGCATCCTGTCCATCACACCCTTTTCATCTCAGGAGCTCCGTAAACAAGCGGCCTCATTAAAGTCCATTTTACAGATGGGGAAACTCATCACGGTAATGATGCTGAGAGTGGCCTTTCATCTGTGGATCACAAAGGACTCTTTCCACACACTAATTAGAAGTCACAGAGCAGGACTCCCCCTGGTTTTGCCTTGTTGCAGTTCTGGAAGGAGGAGGCGCAGGAAGGAGGCTCAGGATCAGGACATTAGAAATGCGGACATAGCCCATTCCTCAGCCTGGCTAGCTTGGGGGGCGAGCGTGTGCATTGCAACTGGACGGTTAGGCAGCTGGGAAGGGCCTTAGGAAGGGAGAAGCAGCCTGTAGACTATTCCTTGTAGTTTTGTTTGTTTGTTTGTTTTGACAGAGTTTTGCTCTTCTTGCCCAGGCTGGAGTGCAATAGCGTGATCTTGGCTCACCCCAACCTCCACCTCCTGGGTTCAAGTGATTCTCCTGCCTCAGCCTCCTGAGTAGCTGGGATTACAGGCACATGCCACCATGCCCAGCTATTTTTTTTATTTTTAGTAGAGACGGGGTTTCACCATGTTGGTCAGGCTGGTCTTGATCTCCTGACCTCGTGATCCACCCGCCTCAGCCTCCCAAAGTGCTGGGATTACAGGCGTGATCCATCACGCCCGGCCAACTATTCCTTGTAATAGTAATAATAGCAAGAGCTGCTGTGAGTGGATGCTGCCTGCAAGATTTGCACAGTTCCTGGCTAATGACAGGGGTGGGGGGCAACTGTGGAGCACTTCCCAGCACAAGAGGCCGAGGCCATTGTCCAAATCCTGCTATAGGCCTGATGCCACCCAGATGGGATCGATTTTAGGACTGGGCAGCAGCCATGGAAGGAAGATAGTGTATCCATGGTACACCAGCCATGGAAGGAAGATGGTGGTGTGACAATCGATGGGACCCCACAGCAGTTAGACCCAGGGAGCGTGCATAAGAGAGGAGCTGAATTTGCCTTCAAGATTTTGAGCCCAGTTTTCCAGGAATCTGGAAGAGGGCGTTCCTCCATTATCCATGTTGTAGCTGAACTTGGGAAGATTTTTGGTTTTATTTTTTATTTTTTTGAGACAAGGTCTGATTCTGTCACCCAGGCTCTGGAGTTCAGTGGTGTGATCACAGCTCACTGCAGTCTTGACCTCCTGAGCTCAAGCAATCCTCATGCCTCAGCCTCCCAAAGTGCTGGAGTTACAGGCATGAGCCACCACGCCTGGCACAGGGAGATTTGTGCAAATGCTTGTGCTCAGGAACACCTCGGATTCTGATTCAATCGACCTGGAATGGGGTTAGATGTGGCCTCTTATGTGACCCTAGGGGACAGCTGGGGCTGAGAATCGCCATTCTAAACCCTGTTGATTCAAGGTGTGGCCCATGCATTGGCATCATCTAAAAACTCTTTAGAAGTGCAGATTCTCAGCCCCACTCAAGACCCACTGAGTCCAAATTTGCATCCTAACTTCTCAAACAATGTGCCTGCATCTTACATGGAATCATGTTAACATATGGATTCAGATTTAGATTTAGCTCCTCTTAAACCCTAAGTCTGAGATCTGTCCGTGGGCCCACTAGAAGGTCAGCATGCTAATAATGGATATTTCTACAGTGATTCAGAGCTTGCCAGACATTTGAAGTGGCCTAATTGCATTTTCCCTAACCCTAAACCTCATCCTGCTCTGCAAAGCGGACTGGCCAGGCATCATAGCACCACATTCATGGTTTTATTTGACAAAGTGGAGACCGAGGCTCTCAAAGCGGCCTCTTTTCTGAAGACCCATATCTAGTATTGTGGCAGGAGAATAGGGCCTGCAGGCAGGGAACATAAGGCTGATCCACTCTGGCTTAATCAAATGAAAGCACTTCAGTAATGATAGAAATGCGAACGGCTTTGTAACCTCTCTTCATCCTCTCCATTTACACCGTTTATACTTTGTAACTTCACATTCATCTTCTCTGTTACATAGATCACACAAAGGTAACATCCTCTCCATTTCCACAGGGCGCATTCCTAGCAAATGACTGCATAACTTCACTTCATTCTCTTCATTTACACAGAGCATACACCAAGTAACCAATGGGAAACCTCTAGAGTATTGAAACCCCAGAAAATTCTGTAACCGGGGCTCTTGAGCCCCTATGCTCAGGCCTGCTCCCACACTGTGATGGGTACTTTCATTCTCAATGAATCCCTGCTTTTGCTTTCCTCGCTTCTTGCTTTGTTTGTGCATTTTGTCCTTTTTTTGTTTTGTTTTGTTTTGTTTTGTTTGAGATGGTGGAGTCTTGCTCTGTCGCCCAGGCTGGAGGGCTGGAGTACAGTGGCGCGATCTTGGCTCACTGCAACCCCCGCCTCCCAGGTTCGAGTAATTCTCCTGCCTCAGCCTCCCGAGTAGCTGGGATTACAGGCGCACACCACCACGCCCAGCTAATTTTTGTATTTTTAGTAGAGACGGGGTTTCGCCATGTTGGCCAAGCTGGTCTCAAACTCCTGACTCAGGTGATCCACCCATCTCGGACTCCCAGAGTGCTGAGATTACAGGTGTGAGCCACCACACCCAGCCGTTGCCCAATTCTTTGTTCGAGATGCCGAGAACCTGGACATCTTCTACTAGTAACAATATGGGGTCCACTCAGGCCTTGCAACTCCAACTCTCTGGCACCAGATACCAGACCACAATAATCAGGGTCACCAGCCTCCCATAAGTATTTGCTAGTTGAATGACAGCTTACCACACTCTGTGAAGGGGAAAAATGATTAGCATGTGACTTGTGAGAGGGGAGGAAAGTGGTCCTGGATCAGTAAATCTCAACCTTGGCTACACGATGGAATCTTCTAGGGATCTTTAAAAAAGTACTGAAGGCTGTGTTCCAGCCCTAAAGATTTGGTTTTAACTGAAATAGATGTGGCCTGTGCTTTGAGAGGCTTTTTTTTTTTTTTTTTTGAGACAGTCTTGCTCTGTCACTCAGGCTGGAGTGCAGTGGCACGATCTTGGCTCACTGTAACCTCCTCCGCCCGGGTTCAAGCAATTCTTCTGCCTCAGCCTCCCAAGTAGCTGGGACTATGGGTGCCTGCCACCATGCCCGGCTAATTTTTGTATTTTTAGTAGAGACTGGGTTTCACCTTGTTGGTCAGGCTGCTTTCGAACTCCTGACCTCAGGTGATCCACCCACCTTGGCCTCCCAAAGTGCTGGGATTAGAGGTATGAGCCACCGTGCCCGACCGCTTTGAGACTTTGTAAAAGTCATGCAGGTGATTCTCATGTGCAGCAGAAGCAAGCAACCTCTTCCTTTCTCCTGCCCCAAATGACACAGTCCTCTGAGTGGAGACAGCCTTCCCTTTTTTTTTTCTTTTTTTTTTTTGAGACAGAGTCTCACTCTGTCACCCACCCAGCCTGGAGTGCAATGGCATGATCTCGGCTCACTGCAACCTCTGTCTCCAGGGTTCAAGCGATTCTCCTGCCTCAGCCTCCCAAGTAGCTGGGACTACAGGCGTGCACCACCATGCCCAGCTAATTTTTTGTATTTTAGTAGAGATGGGGTTTTATCATGTTGCCCAGGCTGGTCTCAAACTCCTGAACTCAGGCAATCTGTCCACCTAGGCCCTCCCAAAGTACTAGGATTACAGGTGTGAGCCAATGCACCTGGCCGATTTTTTTTTTTTTTGAGACAGAATCTTGTTCTGTCGCCCAGGCTGGAGTGCAGTGGTGTCATCTTGACTCACTGCAACCTCCACCTCCCAGCTTCAAGTGATTCTTCTGCCTCAGTCTCCCAAGTAGCTGGTATTACAAGTGTGTGCCACCACACACCTGTAATCCCAGGTAGAGATGGGGTTTTGCCATGTTGGCCATTCTGGTCTTGAAATCCTGACCTCAAGTGATCTGCCCACCTTGGCCTCCCAAAGTGCTGGAATTACAGGTGTGAGCCACCTTGTCTGGCCAGGAGACAGCCTTCTGGCTGCTAAAATCCATCCTCCAAGCCCTGGAATTCCCTGGGATTGGCCTATAATCCCTGGGTAGGCTTGCACTGGGAATGCCTGCTGGGTTCCCAATCTTCAACTTCATTTAGGGTTGCCACATACAGCCAAAAAAATAAAAGAAGAAGAAGAAAAGGACATCCAATTTAAATTTGAATTGCAGATGAACAATGACAAGTAATTATTTTGGTATAAGTATGATCCATTGCAATACATGTGGCATTTTCATACTTAAAATCTGTGGTTTATCTGAAATTCAAATTTAACTGGTTGTACTATATTTTTATCCATTAACCCAAATTCTCATTCCCAGCGAGCGACCAGGGTATCTGGCGTGAGGGTATCTGGACGTAGTGTAGGTCACCCAGCTTCATTAGGTGCAGCTGCCAAGAGGAATTGGTTTTCAGGTTCCTTTGTTAAAACTCCCCCAGATGGACAGACACAACACCCTCCTTGTCTCCTTGGCTACAGAGTCGATTTTCCATGAATACATCTCATGGGAATGAGCAAACCGGTTTCTCCTCTTCCTGGCACCAGACAGTGTACACCAATAACGTAGCCCAGCTAGAATCTGGGAGCCTAGAATTTGAACATGGAAAGATTTTTTTTCCTGGAGCCACATAACATGAGCCAAAAAGCTATACATAACATTTGGTAGAAATGTTACTGCTAGCACATTCTGAGAAGGTTGGTGGTAGGTGATTTTGACTTAGAGACACAGCTGGTGTTCACACTGAATGCACGCAACAAATGCGATCTATTGATAATAAAAATAGTAGCTGCTGAGTGAGGTCAGCGTGATGGCAATCTAAAATGCAGGGTCATACATTAGTATAAGTTGCTGTTCACTCACTAATTCATTCAAAAGTGATTTCTGGCCAGGTGCGGTGGCTCACGCATGTAATCCCAGCACTTTGGGAGGCCGGGGTGGGCAGATCACTTGAGGTCTAGAGTTCGAGACCAACCTGGCCAAAATGGTGAAACCCTGTCTCTAGAAAAATACAAAAATTAGCCTGGCGTGGTGGCACGTATCTGTAATCCCAGCTACTTGGGAGGCTGAGGTGGGAGAATCACTTGAACCCGGGAGGTGGAGGTTGCAGTGAGCTGAAACTGTGCCACTGCACTCCAGCCTGGGCGACAGAGCGAAACTCCATCTCAAAATAAATGAATAAATAAATAAATAAATAAGTGATTTCTTGTCCACCTATTATGTGACAGGCATTGGGCAAAAAAGATGCACCCCTGCACTCAAATTGTTCCATTCAATCTCCTTAGGAGAGACAGATGAGTGAAGGCAATTATAATGCAAAATGATGAGTGCTTTGATGAGGGTAACTACAAGGTGCTATGGGGACCCTTGGAGGGCATTTACCCAGGAGTGAAGGTCAGGAAGGTGTCTCTAGAGGAAGACCTGAAGCATGAGTGCAAACTAGTGCACTGAAGCAAGTGGGAGGAACGGAGAGAACTCCAAGCAGAGGAAATAGCACATAGCAAGGCAGGGGGAAGAGAAAGAACATGACACTCTCAGGATGCTGCAAGTTGTGGGGTGCAGCTGGAGGGTAAGCGATTGGGGAGCTGAGCAGGGACCAACGAGGACATTGGTGAGCCTGCAGTTTGAAGCAAAGGAAAGTCTCATGGAAGGTGTTTAAGCAGAAGAGTATGAATCAGATTTGTCCTGGCTAGAGTATGGAGGATGAATTGCAAGGGGCAAGCCTAAAGTCAGAAAGACAAGTTGAAGGCTGGTCTAGGCATCCATGGGAGAGATGATGATAGACCTGCGTAGGTAGTGACAAAGGGATGGAGAGAAGTGCATACGCTGAAGAGGCATTGTGGAGGTGGGGTCTGCAGGACTTGGAGCATTCATAGAATGTGAGGAGCGAGGGAAGGTTAGTGTCTAGATGGCTCCCAGGGTAGGAGACGGATTTGGCAATGTAGACGACCAGGTTAGGAGATGTGGCCCAAGCTGGCACCTGAGCTCCAGGCTTGAAGACCCAATTTACCTCTTCTCCATCCTCACAGACAGCTAATAGGCTTTTCCAATTGGATGTGGCTACAGGGGAGGAAAAAACTTTTTCTTCTACCCTTGGCTGGGTACGGTGGCTCATGCCTGTAATCCCAGTACTGTGGGAGGCTGAGGCAGGCAGATTGTCTGAGCTCAGGAATTTGAGACTAGCCTGGGCAACATAGTGAAACCTCATCGTTACTTTTTTTTTTTAAATAAAAAAAATTTAAAAAATTTTGTTTTACCCTCTTAGGTCAGTGACAAGGGCTCTGCAAATTAAACAAATGACAGATTAACAGAAAAAAGCCATGTTCATTTTATTTGATGTTAATATTTTAATTTTTACATGTACATAGGGATCTCATAGAAAAAGAAGTAAAACTCTAAAGAAGCAGTTAGGTCTGAGAGCTTATATAGTAACAAAGAGCGTTACATTTATAGAGAAGTGAAAAGACGAAGGAAAAGGGTGTGGCCTTCTAGGGAAGGTAATTCTGGGAAGGTAAATATATGGGGGAAAGAAGTCCGGGTGAGGTGGCTCACGCCTGTAGTCCCAGCTCTTTGGGAGGCCAAGGTGGGCGGATCAGTTGAGGTCAGGAGTTTGAGACCAGCATGGCCAACATGATAAAACCCTGTCTCAACTGAAAATACAAAAATTAGCTGGGCGTGGTGGTACTCGCCTATAATCCCAGCTACTCAGGAGGCTGAGGCAGGAGAATTGCTTGAACCTGGAGGGCGGAGGTTGCAGCGGGCCAAAATCCTGCCACTGCACTCCAGCCTGGGTGACAGAGCGAGACTCTGTCTCAAAAAACCAAAAAAAAGTTGTTTTCTCTTCCTGGATTAGAGAGGGGAGGGAGAAACCTTCACAATAGGAAATGTATGCCCTGCTTTTAGACAGAAAGGAGGGTGGTAGAGAGCTTTTCCTGTGTCTGCTGTTTCTCAACTGCCATCATCTCAAAATAATCTTCATGCCAAAGAGGCATATTTTGGGGTGGCATATTTTGGAGAGGTATATTTTGGGGTGGCATATTTTGGAGAGGCATATTCTGATCCTCTTTATGGCCAATATGGAAGTCTTGGTCTCATCCTTCTCTCTCCCTTCTGGATCCCTCTCTTCTGTCCCTCTTTCCTTTAATTCCAGTTCTGATCCCATCTATTTGACCTCAGGTGGGTCATTCAAACCCCTGGGCCTTTCTGCATCAGTGAAATGGAGGCACCAGTGAATTCCTGTAGCTCATCTTCAAGGAATCTTCCTGTTTTAAAGTTTCAAGGCTTGGGCCTTTGAGCAAGCAGAATGTAACAGTTATGAAGGGGGACTTTCAAATCCAACCACCAGGATTTTATCCCAGCTCTACTGATGCTAAGCCTTTAATCTAAAGCAAGTCACGTCAACTCTCCAAAGTTTCAATTCCCAATATAAATTAGGAACGATCATAATACTTACCAAATACAGTTATTGTGGGGAGATAATTTATTTAGTATAGTGCCTGACACAGAGTAAGCTCCCAATATATGTTAGCTATTAAAATATAATATAGGTAGGCCGGGCATGGTGGCTCTTGCCTGTAGTCCCGGCACTTTGGGAGGCCGACGTGGGTGGATCACAAGGTCAGGAGATCGAGACCATCCTGGCCAACATGGTGAAACCCCATCTCTACTAAAATACAAAAAATTAGCTGGGCATGATGGCGTGTGCCTGTGGTCCCAGTTACTCAGGAGGCTGAGTCAGAAGAATCGCTGGAACCTGGGAGGCAGAGGTTTCAGCGAGCTGAGATCATGCCTCTGCACTCCAGCCTGGTGACAGAGCAAGACTCTGTCTCAAAAAAAAAAAAAAGAAAAGAAAAATAAAAAAGAAAATATAATATAGGTAATGATATCACTATAGCCATTATTGTTATTCATGCACTAGCAAATGTGGTGAGCAGATAAGTGAACATAATAATAGCTAACACTTATTGAGCCCCTGCAATATGCCAGGATTTTTTCTGCATTTTACATAATTCATTTATTATTTGCACAACTCCTTGAGGAGGGCCTATAATTAGCTCCATTTAATATATCAAGAAACCTGAGCACAGTAAAGTTAAGTGACTCGCCCAAGGTGATATAGCTAAGAAATGGCAGAGCCAGGCCTTGGAACTCAGGAAGTCTGGCTTTGAGGACCATACCTGTGATTACTATGTGTCACACGAACCTATCAGAATACACATTTTCAGGCCGGGCACAGTGGCTCATGCCTGTAATCTCGGCACTTTGGGAGGCAGAGGCAGGCCGATCACCTGAGGTCAGGAGTTCGAGATAAGCCTGGCTGACGTGGTGAAACCCCATCTCTACTAAAAATACAAAAATTAGGGCCTGGCATGGTGGCTCACGCCTGTAATCCCAGCACTTTGGGAGGCTGAGGCAGGTGGATTGCTTGAGGTCAGGAGTTTGAGATCAGCCTGGCCAACATGGTGTATCAGGGGAACCCACCCTCAATATTTCAATGTAGATTCTTTCTATTTTCCCTAAGTGTCGGCTGGCTGAGAAATAAAGAGAAAGAGTACAAAAAGAAGAATTTTACAGCTGGGCCTCCACGGGTGACATCACATATCAGTAGGTCTGTGATGCCCACCTGAGCCGCAAAACCAGCAGAGTTTTTTTAAGGATTTCAAAAAGGGAGGGGGTGTACGTACTGGGAGTAGGTCACAGAGATCACATGCTTCTGAGGTCAATAAAGATCACAAGGCAAAGGGCAAAGCAAAGATCACAAGGCAAAGTGCAAAATCAAAAACTCCTGATAAGGGCCTATGTTCAGCTGTGCACGTATTGTCTTGATAAACAGGGTTCGAGAGCAGAGAACCAGTCTGCCCTCAAATTTACCAGGGCTGGGGTTTCCCAATCCTAGTAAGCCTGAAGGTACTGCAGGAGACCAGGGTGTATCCCAGTCCTTATCTCAACCGCATAGGACAGACATTTGCAGAGTGGCCATTTATAGACCTCCCCCCAGGAATGCAATTCTTTTCCTAGGGTCTTAATATTATATTCTTTGCTAGGAAAAGAATTTAGCAATATCTCTCCTACTTGCACATCCATTTATAGGCTCTCTGCAAGAAGAAAAATATGGCTCTTTTTGCTCGACCCCACAGGCAGTCAGACCTTATGGTTGTCTTCCCTTATTCCCTAAAATCGCTGTTATTCTGTTCATTTTCAAGGTGCACTGATTTCATATTGTTCAAACATACATGTTTTACAATCAATTTGTTCAGTTAACGCAATCATCACAGGGTCCTGAGGTGATATACATCCTCAGCTTATGGAGATAATAGGATTAAGAGAGTAAAGTAAGACAAGAGTAAGAAATTATAAGAGTATTATTAGGTAAGTGATAAATGTCCATGAAATCTTCACAATTTATGTTTCCTCTGCTGAGGCTCCAGCTGGTCCCTCCGTTCAGGGTCCCTGACTTCCCGCAACAATGGTGAAATCCTGTCTCTACAAAAATACAAAAATTACCTGGGCGTGGTGGTGGGCACCTGTAATCCCAGCTACTAGGGAGGCTGAGGCAGGAGAATTGGTTGAACCCAGGAGGCAGAGGGTGCAGCAAGCTGAGATTGGGCTCATTCACTGCACTCAATCCAGCCTGGGTGACTGAGTGAGGCTCCATCTCAAAACACACACACACACACACACCCACACACACACACACGCACATTTTCAGCATTTTATTCTCAATCTCTGCTCATTCCTTTGCGACATCCCATGAATCTCCTCATTCAGGAAAATAGACTTAACATCCATGTAGCTTAGATTATTTTTTCCACCAAGAACTCTAAATGGGCCAGGTGCAGTGGCTCACAGCTGTAATCCCAACACTTTGGGAGGCTGAGGCAGGAGGATTGCTTGAACCCAGAGTTCAACACCAATCTGGGCAACATATGAGACTCTGTCTCTACAAAAAATTTAAAAATTAACCTGGCATTGTAGTGCATGTCTATAATCCCAGCTTCTTCGGAGGCTGAGATGGGAGGATTTCTGGAGCCCAGGAGGTCAAGGGTGTAGTGAGGCTGGGTAACACAGCAAGACCCTGTCTCAAAAAAAAAAGAAAACTTTAAGTAACCTAAATCTGTGCTCCTCAAATTGTGTTCCATGGTCTATAACTTCTGTAGCAGTAACATGTTTTTGGTTTTTTATTGACTTTTGGGGGGCAGGGCTTTCTGGCAAATGCCAGAAAGCCTGCTGGATAAATTCCAAAAGAGCTAGAGCTATAACACCGTTTGTTTCTTTCTTTCTTTTTTTTTTTTTTGAGATGGAGTCTGTCTCTGTCGCCCAGGCTGGAGTGCAGTGGTGTGATCTCGGCTCACTGTAGCCTCCTCCTCCAGGGTTCAAGCAAATCTCCTGCCTCAGCCTCCTGGCCTCCTGAGTAGCTGGGACTACAGGCTAGTGCCACCACACCCAGCTAATTTTTGTATTTTTAGTAAAGACAGGGTTTCACCATGTTGGCCAGGCTGGTCTCCAACTCCTGACCTCAGGTGATCCGCCTGCCTCGGCCTCCCAAAGTGCTGGGATTACAGGCGTCAGCCACCACACCTGGCCTGTCAGCCTGTTTTTTTTTTTTTTGGTGGTTGTTGTTGTTGTTTTGAGATGGAGTCTCACTCTGTCACCCAGGCTGGAGTGCAGTGGCGCAATCTCGGCTCACTGCAACCTCCACCATCCAGGTTGAAGTGATTCTCTTGCCTCAGCCTCCCAAGTAGATGGAACTACAGGTGTGTGCCACCACATCCAGCTAATTTTTGTATTTTTAGTAGAGACAGGGTTTCACCACATTGGCCAGGCTGGTTTCAAACTCCTGACCTCATGTAATCCACCCACCTCAGCCTCCGAAAAGTGCTGGGATTACAGGTGTGAGCCACCATGCCCATCCTTTTTTGTTTTTTTGAGACAGGGTCTCTTTGTCACTGAAGCTGGAATGCAGTGGCACAATCTCAGCTCACTGCAGACTCAAACTCCTGGGCTCAAGCAGTCCTCCCACTTCAGACCCCCAAGTAGCTGAAACTACAAGTGCATGCCACCACACCTGGCTAATTTTTTGTATTTTTTTGTAGAGATGGGGTTTTACCATGTTGCCCAGGCTGGTCTCAAACTCCTCAGCTCAAGCGATCCGTCTGCCTTAGCCTCCCAAAGTGCTTAGGATTACAGACCTGAGCCACTGTGCCCTGCCAGCAGTAACAATTTAATAGAAGCTATGCTGGCCAGGAGTGGTGGCTCATGCCTAGAATATCAATGCCTTGGAAGGCCGAGTTGGGAGGATCACTTGAGGCCAGGAGT
This sequence comes from Homo sapiens, assembly GCF_000001405.40. NCBI lineage: Eukaryota > Metazoa > Chordata > Mammalia > Primates > Hominidae > Homo > Homo sapiens. Next base: position 25,599,684 of record NC_000004.12, read on the forward strand.
TTGACACCCAGCCTGGGCATCAGAGCAAGACCCTGTCTCTACAACAAATAATTAAAAATAAAAAAATTATCAGGGCATGGTGATGTGCATTTGTAGTCCTAGCTATTCAGGAAGCTGAGGCAGGAGGATCACTTGAGCCTAAGAGTTTGAGGCTAGAGTGAGCTGTCATCACACCACTGCACTCCAGCCTGGGCAATAGAGCAAGACCCTATCTTAAAAAAAAATGTGCCAGGCATGGTGGCTCATATCTGCAATCCCAGCACTTTGGGAGGCCAAGGCAGGTGGATCACTTGAGGTTAGGAGTTCAAGACCTGCCTGGCCAAAATGGAGAAAACCCATTTCTACTAAAAATACAAAAATTAGCCAGGCATGGTGGTGCACGCCTATAAGCCCAGCTACTTGGGAGGCTGAGGCAGGAGAATTGCCTCCCAGGAGAACTCGGGAGACGGAGGTTGCAGCGAGCTGAGATTGCACCACTGCACTCCAGCCTGGGCAACAGAGCCAGACTCCATCTCAAAAATATATATATATATAAGAAGTTATGCCCCCAAAGGGTTCTGTGGCCATGTGAGCTTAGAAAATAAAGGAGAACGTCACACCCTGGGGCCTGTTGTGGGGTCGGGGGACGGGGGAGGGATGGCATTAGGAGATATACCTAATGTAAATGACGAGTTAATGGGTGCAGCACACCAACATGGCACATGTATACATATGTAACAAACCTGCCCGTTGTGCACATGTACCCTAAAACTTAAAGTATAATAAAAAAAATAGTAGACTACGCAAAGTTTACTTGCTTAGTAAACTGCAGGACTTCTCAGACATTTTAAAGCACCAGTGGACACTGGGAATCTCTGGATGGGGAATATAAAAAGCAGTGTTTCTCAAACACATTGAACCATGGAACCCCCTGCCTACCTTTGTTTTCAACAGAGCATCTCATGGGACTTGTGTTCCCTGGAATATACTTCGGGAAATACTGACCTAGGTACTAATGTTGAAACAAGCTAATAGAGAGGCTGGAGAAGAAGGGGAACAGGGCAATTATAATACATTTTTAAGTTTTTTGTAGAAGCGGGGTCTCACTATGTTGCCCAAGCTGGTCTGTGACTCCTGGCCTCAAGTGATCTTCTGGCCTCAGCCTTCTAAAGTGCTGGGATTACAGACATGAGCCACCATGCCTGGCTGGGCAGGGCAATTAAAATCTATAGTCTGGAAGTAAAAGCCAGAAGTTTGAGTATCAAGTCAGAGTGACCGGAAACTTTAACTTAAAGGTCACTGACAATGGCAAACTGGAACATAGATTTTGTTTGACCTCACTGTTAAAAAAAAAAAAAAAGGTGCGGGGCAGGGGGTGAGGCCGCAGGGAGATTTGTAGAAATGCTTGTGCTCAGGAATACCTCAGACTCTGATTCAATCAACCTGGAGTAGGGTTAGATGTGGCCTCTTATGTGACCTTAGGGGACAGCTGGAGCTACGAATCGCTGTTCTAAACCCTGGTGATTCAAGGTGTGACCCATGGCCCATGGTGTTGGCATCACCTAAAAACTCCTTAGAAGTGCAGATTCTCAGCCAGGTGCGGTGGCTCATGCCTGTAATCCCAGCACTTCGAGAGGTTGAGGTGGGTGGATCACTTGAGGTCAGGAGTTTGAGACCAGCAGGACCAACATGGTGAAATGCTGTCTCTACTAAAAAACACAAAAATTAGCCGGGTGTGGTGGTGAGGGCCTGTAGTCTCAGCTACTTGGGAGGCTGAGGCAGAAGAATCGCTTCAACCTTGAAGGTGGAGGTTGCAGCGTGCTGAGATCTCACCATTGCACTCCAGCCTGGGTGACAGAGCGAGACTCCATCTCAAAAAAAAAAAAAAAGGAGAGTGAATTTTACCTAAATGTCCAATATCAGAGTATTTGATAACACTGGCCTCACATTTTCACATGGCAATAATTGGCTGCCCTGTTTAGACAAATTTCCTCAATTTGCCACAGTACCCATTGTACTTACTATATATTATATTATATTATATTATATTATATTATATTATATTATATTATATCATATCATAGTTGGCCCACTTCTGTCACTTACGTTACATGGAAGTGGTTGAGTTTGTGACCCTCGGTCTAACTGCAAATTGTAAACTTCTCAGAAGCTGGAATAGTGGTCTAGATTCTATAACTACCACTCATGCATTTATTTTTGTAACTTGTTTCTTTTTTTCTGATTATAAAAGTTACTCATGCTGATTCTAGAAAACTTGGAAATACAAAAAAGTATGAAAAATAAAACAACAGTGACATGCATGGTAACCGCAATTTAGTGATGACTGTTTAACTTCTGTTTTTTTTTTTCATCTTTTTTTGCATCTAGTTATCTAAATTTTCATCGTATTTTGGATCAGACTATATTTGCAGTTTGGTATTTTGCCTTATTTAGAAGACATTCTACCAGCTACTAAGTATGGCTTGTTCTGCCATATTGCAGTAAGTAGTTCAGTTTTCAAGAAAACTCACTTGATCAAAAATCACTTACAATGGAACTAGAGAGGTTACAGCCTAGAAAGTTTTAGACTCCCTCAAAAAGGGTATTTTTTTATGCTGGAATGTCTATCCGAGAGTACTTTTTTTAATAGTTATAAGGGCACAGCTCTAAAAGTTAAACATAATTGGAGAATTCCAACATCATATGGTTCGAAAGTCACTCAAAAAAAAAAAATAATGTCTAAGTGCATGTGAAAGGCTTGAATAATGTTATTTCATTAAATGAGAGAATTGAGGGTCAGGCTTGGTGGTTCATGCCTGTAATCCCAGCACTTTGGGAGACGAAGACGGGCGAATCACTTGAGCTCCGGAGTTTGAGATCAGCCTGGGGAAGACGATAAAACCCTGTCTCTACAAAAAATACAAATTTAGCCACATGCAGTGGCATGCACCTGTAGTCCCAGCTACTTGGGAGGCTGAGGCAAGAGAATTGCTTGTGCCCGAGAGACAGAGGTTGCTTGTGCCCAGGAGCTGAGATCATGCCACTGCACTCCTGCCTGGGCAACCGGAGTGAAATCCTGACTCCAAAAAAAAGAGAATTGGAAAAAGCAAATTTTCTAAATTCCTATTTAGAATTTAGAATTATAAATTCCTATTCATAATTTTATGTAACAAGTAAATGTAAAGATTTGTATAACTGATATAATAAAAGTATGGGCCAGGTGCGGTGGCTCACGCCTATAATTCCAGCACTTTGGGAGGCTGAGGAAGGCGGATCATTTGAGGTCAGGAGTTTGAGACCAGCCTGGCCAACATGGTGAAACCCTGTCTCTACTAAAAATACAAAAATTAGCCAGGCGTGGTGGTGGGTGCCTGTAATCCCAGCTACTCAGGAGGCTGAGGCAGGGGAATCACTTGAAGGTGGAGGTGGAGGTTCTTGTGAGCCGAGATTGCGCCACTGCCCTCCAGCCTAGGCAATAGAATGAGACTCCGTCTCAAAAAAAAAAAGAAAGAAAAGTATGAATAGACATTTGACTATTTCATCTATATGCCTAAAAGTTTATTTATTTTAATTAATTAATTAATTAGTTTATTTACATTGGAGATGGAGTCTCACTCTGTCACGAAGGCTGGAGGGCAATGGCATGATCTAGGCTCACTGCAACCTCCACCTCCCAGGTTCAAGTGATTCTCTGCCTCAGCCTCCCGAGTGGCTGGGATTACAGGTGCCCGTCACCACGCCCGGCTAATTTTTGTATTTTTAGTGGAGACAGGGTTTCACCATCTTGGCCAGGCTGTTCTTGAACTCCTGACATCGTGACCCACCCACCTCGGCCTCCCAAAGTGCTGGGATTACAGGCATGAGCCACCGCGCCTGGCCTTATTTATTATTATTTTAGAAATGGGGTCTTACTCTGTTGTCCAGGGTGGAGTGCAGTGCTTTCCTCACAGCTCACTGCAGTCTTGAACTCCTGGGCTCAACTGATCCTCCCACCTCAGCCTCCCTCATGGCTGTGACTACAGGTGCAGGCCACCACTACTGGTTTTTATTTTTTATTTGTAGAGATGGGATCTTGCTATGTTGCCCAGGCTGGTCTCAATATCCTGGCCTCAAGGGAGCCTCCTGCCTCGGCCTCCCAAAGTGCTGGAATTACGGTTTAATTTTTTCGTAAATTAAATTAAATTTTACTTTTCAGACAGGATCTAGCTCTGTCCCTCAGGCTAGAGTGCAGTGGTACAAAATGACAGCTCACTGCAACCTCAACCACCTGGGTTCAAGCTGTCTTCCTGCCTCAGCCTCCCGAGTAGCTGGGAGTCCAAAAACATGCCACCATGCACAGCTAATTTTTCATTTTTTTTCAGAGATAGGGATCTCACTATGTTGCCCAGGCTGGTCTTGAACTCCCAGCCTCAGAACTCCCAGGCTCAAGTGATCCCTCCACCTCAGCCTCCCAAAAGTCGGAGGTGTGAGCCACCACACCTGGCTGAAAACCTTTTTCATGAAGAAAAACATTGGAGATATTAGGAACATAAGTAGTCATTGTATTTAGTTTATTTTGTTTGTTTTTTGTGTCTTTTTTGACAGAGTCTCACTCTGTCACCCACGCTGGAGCGCAATGGCATGATCTCGGCTCACTGCAACGTCTGCCTCCTGGGTTCAAGTGATTCTCATGCCTCAGCCTCCCAGGTAGCTGAGATTACAAGTGAGCGCCGCAATGCCTGGCTAATTTTCGTATTTTTAGTAGAGATGGGGTTTCACCATGTTGCCCAGACTGGTCTTGAACTCCTGGCCTCAAGCAGTCCACCCGCCTCAGCCTCCCAAAGTGCTGGGATTATGGATGTGAGCCCCTGTGCCTGGCCTCATATTTGGCACTTTATTTCGAATCATAGCATTCTAAAATTGAGAGGGCTTTGGATGCCATCCCTGTAACTCTCTCCTTGAAATTGAAATCCCCTCTACAAATCACAGTAAGTGATTGTCCATTCTCCACCTGAAGGTCTCCTGCGATGGGAAATCCACTGCCCCAGAGGAGCAGTCCAGAGCTTCCTGACCAAAAAGTTCTTCCAGGCTGGGTGCGGTGGCTCACGCCTGTAATCTCAACACTTTGGAAGGCTGAGGTGGGTGGATCACCTGAGGTCAGGAGTGTTTGAGACCAGCCTGGACAACATGGTGAAACCCCGTCTCTACTAAAAATACAAAAATTAGCCAGGCGTGGTGGCACAAGCCTGTAATCCCAGCTACTTGGGAGGCTGAGGCAGGAGAATCACTTGAACCCAGGAGGCAGAGGTTGCAGTGAGCCGAGATCACACCATTGCACTCCTGCCTGGGTGACAACAGTGAGACTCCATCTCAAAAAAAAAAGTTCTTCCTCACGTTGAAGCAAAGCATCTTCTGCTGACTTCCACCTGGTTGCCCAATTCTGCTCTCCAACTCTGATTCTTGTCCATATGACAGGCTCTTCACTATTTCAAGAAAGTGATGACATTGCCAAACAATCTTTTTTAAGCTAAGCATCTCTAATTTTTTCATGTTTCTGATATGTCATCGTTTCCAGATGTTTTTAGAAATTCAGAATGATTTTAGGATTACATGAAATTAAAAAGGAGTTAGATGAAAATAGTTCTGGATCTGAACAAGGAAAGGAATCTTGCTCATAGTAGGAATAATTCATGTCATCTCAATTAATCCTCACAGCTGCACACTAAGGCCGACTGTTGGTCAAGACTTACTGTCCTGCAAGTGACAGACAACCTAACTCAACCTGGCTTAAGCAAAACAAATAAATACACTAATGAGGAGCTAAAAAGTCCCACAGTTGATCTGAGCCTTCAGTATAACTTGAGCACAGGGCCGGGCGCAGTGGCTCACGCCTGTAATCCCAGCACTTCGGGAGGCCGAAGCAGGCAGATCACGAGGTCAGATCAAGACCATCCTGGCTAACACAGTGAAACTCCATCTCTACTAAAAATACAAAAAATTAGCCGGGCGTGGTGGCGGGCGCCTGTGGTCCCAGCTGCTCTGCTCGGGAGGCTGAGGCAGGACAATGGCGTGAACCTGGGAGGCGGAGCTTGCAGTGAGCCAAGATCGCACGACTGCACTCTAGCCTGGGCGACAGAGCGAGACTCCATCTCAAAAAAAAAAAATAAATAAATAAAAAATAAAAAACAAAAAGAAAATAACTTGAGCAGGAACTTGTAGGGACCAAAGGAAATTTCCTCTTCACCCTTTGAAGATTTGCAGAAAAAAAAAATGAACTCACAAAGGACAGATTAATTGGAGAAAAGGGATACAAATCTTTTTTTTTAATTAATTAATTTTTTTTTGAGCCAGAGTTTCCACTCTGTCACCTAGGCTGGAGTGCAGTGGTGCGATCTTGGCTCACTGCAACTTCTGCCTCCTGGGTTCAAGTGATTCTTCTGCCTTAGCCCCCAATTAGCTGAGATTACAGGCGCATGCCACCACACCCGGCTAATTTTTGTATTTTTAGTAGAGATGAGGTTTCACCATGTTGGCAAGGCTGGGCTCGAGCTCCTAGCCTCAAGTGATCTGCCCGCCTCGGCCTCCCAAAGTGTTGGGATTACAGGCGGGAGCCACGGCTCCCGGCCACAAATCTTAATATGTATTCGGGGAGAATCGCAGAGTGATTACCCAACCACACAGTGGTTCAGAAGTTTATATACCATCCTGGTAAAATAGCCTATGGGAGGATGGGAAAAGAGGAAATCTATTGAGGGGATTACTAGGAAGAACGAGTGGGTCAGGGAACAGAGAACTTGGACAAGCCAGGCACGGTGGCTCACACCTGTAATCCTAGCACTTTAGGAGGCTGAGGCGGGTGGATCACTTGAGGTCAGGAGTTTGAGACCAGCCTGGCCAACACGGCAGAACCCTGTCTCTACTAAAAATACAAAAATTAGCCAGACGTGGTGGCACAAGCCTGTAATCCCAGCTACTGGGGAGGCTGAGGCAGCAAGAATTGCTTGAACCTGGAAGGCGGAGGTTGCAGTGAGCTGAGATCGCACCATTGCACTCCAGTCTAGGGGTCAGAGTGAGACTGAATCTCAAAAAGAAAAAAGAAAAAAAACTTGGAGATTATCTTGGGAAAAGGTCTGTTCAGGTGTGGTTACATTCTTGGTCTAACAGGGAGGGGAAAGAAAACACAGTAGTTTTTCTGGCAGGTCTAGATTTCAGTCAGATAAAGGAACTTCAATGTTATCCTGTGCTTTGGGAGGGATGGCTGGGGAGGGGGAAGGTCAGGGAGGCCTTGAGGCTTCTTCAGTTTACCATGTCAAAGTGCCATATACTGGTTTCTGTGCTCCAGCAAACTCAAATGATGACACTAGGTCCTGGTTTCTGTCCCCCTCTCAGCAATGTTGTCTTCCGTATTGCCTTCATTCTTGGTCAAAACTGTGGTGGCTCCATGACCTGGGGTAGTGGCTTATACCTATAATCCCAGCACTTTGGGAGGCCAAGGCTGGAAGATCACTTGAGGTCAGGAGTTTGAGTCCAGCCAGGCCAATATGGTGAAACCCCATCTCTACTAAAAATACAAAGAATTATCTGGGCATGGTGGTGCATGCCTGTATTCCCAGCTACTTGGGAGACTGAGGTGGGAGGATCGCTTGAACCTGGGAGGAGGAGGTTGCAGTGAGCAGAGATTGTGCCGCTGCACTCCAGCCTGGGTGACAGAGTGAGACTATCTCAAAAAAAAAAAAAAAAAAAATTGGCTGGGCATGGTGGCTTGCCTGTAGTCCAGCTACTTGGGAGGCAGAGGTGGGAGGATCACTTGAGCCAGGGAGGTCGAGCAGTGGAGCCTGTGGTGAGCTGTGAACACACCACAGCACCACACTCCAGCCTGGGTGACAGAGCGAGACCCTGTCTCCAAGAAAGGAACAAAAAGAAAATCACTTTTAGTGACTCCTGCAACTGTAGGCTCACATCCTCCCCAAGTTCAAGTACATCAAGGAAAAGCACTTGATGTTCCAATAAAAGTTTCATTGTATTGCACTGGCTCTAACTGCATGAAATGCCTGCCTGCGAACCAGTGATTTGGCCAGGGATGTGGTAAGTCTTGCTGGCGGTCAGCATCCTATATTACCTCTGAAGTTAAGGGCAGTGGTGCCACCATCCAAAATGTATGGACTACGAGTGGCAGAGGGGTGTTTCCCCAGAAGCAAATCCGCGTGCTGTTACCCAAAGAAAAGGAAATCAAACCAGCCATGTCCAGTTATTATTTTATTATTTTATTTATTTATTTATTTTTTGAGATGGAGTTTCCCTCTTACTGCCCAGGATGGAGTGCAATGGCATGATCTTGGTTCACTGCAACCTCTGCCTCCCAGGTTCAAGTGATTCTCCTGTCTCAGCCTCCCAAGTGACTGGGATTATAAACACCCACCACCACGCCTGGCTAATTTTTTTTAATTTTTATTTTTAGTAGAGACAGAGTTTTACCATGTTGGCCAGGCTGGTCTGGAACTCCTGAACTCGGGTGATCCACCCACCTTGGCCTCCCAAAGTGCTGAGATTACAGGCATGAGCCAGCGTACCCGGCCCAGTTATTATTTTAATCTCCCATTTAGATATAAGGGAACCAAAGCTCAGAGAGAGGAAACTGCTGGTACCAGGTCATTCACTTAGAAAGAGGCAGAACTGGGCCGGGTGCAGTGGCTCACGCCTGTAATCCCAATACACTGGGAGGCTGAGGTGGGTGGATCACCTGAGTTCAGGAGTTCCAGACCAGCCTGGCCAACACTGTGAAACCCCGTCTCTCCTAAAAATACAAATATTAGCCGGGTGTGGTGGTGCATGCCTGTAATCCCAGCTGTTCGGGAAGGTGAGGCAGGAGAATTGCTTGAACCCAGGAGGTGGAGGTTGCAGTGAGCTGAGATCGCACCACTGCACTCCAGCGCGGGCAACACAACAACACTCCGTCTCAAAAAAAAAAAAGAAAAGAAAAGAATCCAAAAAACAAAACAAAGAAAGAGGCAGAACTGGGATTTATGCATGTTTGTCTGCAAAGCCATTCTTTTATCCTTCTTCCCACAGTGTCCAAGGAAGTTCTGCCGACTGGAACTGAACCATAGCAAATGCATCTCCATTTCCATGATTCAGTAGCTTTGAGTGACAAAGTAACTAATCTCCAGCCCTGGTTATTGAGAAACTCCTGAATTGTTTGCACTGAGCTGCCGGTTTCATCCAGAATTCCTGGCAAAGGTGTTAGAACGGCTCCATGATTGGTCAGTGAAATCATCACCATCTTCCCAGAACTCAGGTGCAAGCTGTTGGGATGGGAAGCCAGTCACCCACTTTATTTTCATTTCCTGAAAGTGATCTGGTACCGTTTGTCATGGGTCTTTGTCTTAAGAAGCCTCAACCGTAAGCGTAGAGACTGGGGACACCACAGTGGACACTGATGCTCCAGGGATGAGGCGTGCCCAGCCAGTGCAGTTTTAAGACGGAAAAGTGAATGCCTTGGTCACCATTGGCACCGGCCATTATTGTTACTCTGCAAAGCATTTCATGTATTTCTCTTATCTGTCTGTCCTGAAGACATTTGAAATGCCATCCCCAGTTAGAGTTCAGAAAGTTAAACTACGTCCTTCATTAATAGCAGAACAAACTGTGATATAACCATGCAGATAATATGTTCATGCATGGAATACCATCCAACTGTTTAAAATAATAAACTGGCTGAGCATGGTGGCTCACACCTATAATCTCAGCACTTTGGGAGGCCAAGGCAGGAAGATCCTTTGAGCCCAGGAGTTTGAGACTAACCTGGGCAAAATGGCAGAACTCCACCTCTACAAAATAAATAAATAAATAAATAAATAAATAAAATAAAAATTAGCCAGCCATGGCTGTAGTTCCAGCTATTCGGGAGGTGGGCTTGAGCCCAGGAAGGTGCTGCAATTCAGTCGTAATTGAGTCACTGCTTTCCAGCCTGGGCGATAAACTGAGGGCTGGGTTTGGTAGCTCACGCCTATAATCCTAGCACTCTGGGAAGCTGAGGCTTCTCCTGAGCCTAGGAGTTCAAGACCAGCCTGGGCATCATAGTAAGACCCTGTTTTTTGGGGTTTTTTTTTTTTTTTTGAGACGGAGTTTCACTCTTGTTGCCCAGGCTGGAGTGCAATGGTGTGATCTCGGCTCACTGCAATCTCCGCCTCCCGGGTTCAAGCAATTCTCCTGCCTCAGCCTCCCTAGTAGCTGGGATTACAGGTGCTCACCACCACGCCTAGGTAAATTTTTGTATTTTTAGTAGATACGGGGTTTCACTATGTTGGCCAGGCTGGTCTGGAACTCCTGACCTCAGGCGATCCATCCGCCTCAGCCTCCCAAAGTGCTGGGATTATAGGCGTGAGCCTCTGTGCCTGGCTAGGACCCTGGTTTTATAATAAATAAAAAAATAAGCCAGGCGTGGTGTCACATGCCTGTGCTCCCAGCTACTCAGGAGACTGATGCAGGAGAATCGCTTGAGCCCAAGGAGGTTGAGGCTGCAATGAGCTATGATCATACCACTGCACTGCATGCCAGCTGTGTGACAGAGCAAGATTCTGTCTCTTAAAAAAAAAAAAAAAAAGAAGAATAAACTGGGATGACTGTATATCAGTATTGGTAAATCTCTAAAACATAATGTTGAGGAAAAAAAGGAAGTTGTAGAAGGAGGCACACAAAGTCAGGGATATATGGGCTACATAAGAGGTAAAAATGTAAACACATACAGAGGCACTTCAAGATGATAGGTCTTTGAAATAAGAGGTAGGGGTTTTAAGTGGTAAAGAGGAAACAGAGCCATCAATTTTATTTCCTTCTTTTTTTTTTTTCTTGTTTTTGAGATGGAGTCTGGCTCTATCACCCAGACTGGAGTGCAGTGGTGAGATCTCGGCTCACTGCAACTTCCACCTCCCGGGTTCAAGTGAGTCTCCTGCCTCAGTCTACTCAGTAGCTGGGATTACAGGCACCCACCACCATGTCTGACTAATTTTTGTATTTTTAGTACAGACAGTATTTCACCACGTTGGCCAGGATGGTCTTGAACTCCTGACCTTAGGTGATTCACCCGCCTCGGCCTCCCAAAGTGCTGGGGTTACAGGCATGAGCCATTGTGCCTGGTCATTTTTTGTTATTTATTTATTTATTTGTTTGTTTTTGAGACGGAGTCTCACTCTGTAGTGCAGGCTGGAGTGCAGTGGCCCAGTCTCGGCTCACTGCAAGCTCCGCCTCCCAGGTTCAAACAATTCTCGTGCCTCAGCCTTTCAAGTAGCTGGGATTACAGGTGGTGCCACCATGCCAGCCTAATTTTTGTATTTTTAGTAGAGTTGGGGTCTTTGCCATGTTGGCCAGGCTGTCGCGAACTCCTGACCTCAAGTGATTCGCCCACTTCGGCCTCCCAAATTGCTGGGATTACAGGTGTGAGCCACCTCGCCCAGTCTCAGTTTTATTTTTGAAACTTGGTGGTGGATAAAAAGATGTTTGTCATGCTATTCTCTATGCTTTTTGTTTAAATAAAGCATTTGGCAATGAAATCTCCTCCCCGCCCCAGTTATGGTCAAGTTTTCATCTCAATGCTGTACTGGTCAGGAGTCAGTGACAGACATAATCGACTCTGGCTGGCTAGCTAGTTTAGGCTGAAGGAGAATTAATATTGATTACAGAATCAATCAGGAGGCTGAAAGTACCACTCTGAGCTTTAGAAGGGGGAGGATATGCCAGACATGGTGGCTCACGGCTATAATTCCATCACTTTGGGAGGCCGAGGTGGGCAGATCACCTGAGGTCAGGCGTTAGAGACCAGCCTGGCCAACATGGTGAAACCCTGTCTTTACCAAAAATACAAAAAAATTAGCCGGGTGTGGTGGCACACACCTATAGTCCCAGGTACTTGGGAGGCTGCGGCACGAGAATTGCTTGAACCCGGGCAGTGGAGGTTGCAGTGAGCCGAGAGAGTGCCACTGCACTCCAGCCTGGGGGACAGAGCGAGACTCTGTCTCAAAAAAAAAAAAAAGAAAAGAAAAGAAAAGAAAAGAAAAAAAAGAAGACCAGGCACAGTGGCTTACGGCTCACGCCTGTAATCCCACCCAAGCCGAGGCGGGTGGATCACGAGGTCAAGAGATGGAGACCATCCAGGCCAACATGGTGAAATCCCGTCTCCACTAAAAATACAAAAATTATCTGGGTGTGGTAGTGTGAGCCTGTAATCCCAGCTACTCGGGAGGCTGAGGCAGGAGAATCGTTTGAATGGGGTGGGGTGGGGGGGCGGGGTGGTGGCGGAGGTTGCAGTAAGCCGAGATTGCGCCACTGCACTCCAACCTGGGTGGCTGAGCGAGACTCCATCCCGCCCCCACCACAAAAAAAAAAAAAAAAAAAAAAAAAGAAAGAAAAGAAAAAAGAAAAAGAAAAAAAAAGAAGTGGAAGGTCAGGCAGCAAGGAAATTACTGACTCTTATGTTACTGGCTGGCTTGGGAAGCCACCGTGGGAAAGCCAGACTCCACAGGAATGGCCCTTGCCACAAGAAACAGTGGAAGCAGCAGAAGGGTGGTCTTATCCTCGTTGCTTCCTGCTGGTTGATGGAATCTCATCAGCATGTGGAATCCTGGAGCCTGGGAATTGTGTTTCTTAACTTTCCAGCCTCTGCCGTGGAGAAAGACCCACCCTAGGAGAAGGCAGGAAACGTTGATCCATCCACTGTATGTACTTCTCACAGAAGCCATATTGTTCATCTCTTTTAGCTTCTACACACCCAGTCTTCCAGCCCTGAACTTCCACCTTTGCCCCTACTCTGAACTGTCACCACCAGCCTTCTTAATAGATTGGGGTGGGCAGTTGGAGCCACTCTTAGTGAAAAATAATGCCATTCAGTAGGCACTATTATAAGATGGCATGTTTATGCATGTATGATGCAGGCACAGAATTGGTATGAATGCATTAGATCTAGAAAGAAATCTGAGGTCACAGTGGACCACAGCTAGCTAGATGGTCCAGGGGAAGGCAGTAGTGTTTAGTGGTAAAAGAGCTTGGCTCTGAGCCAGGCACAGTGGCTCACGCCTGTAATCCCAGCACTTTAGAGGCTGAGGTGGGTGGATAACAAGGTCAGGAGTTCGAGACCAGCCTGGCCAGCATGCTTAAACCCTGTCTCTTCTAAAAACACAAAAAATTAGCCGGGCATGGTGGCGGGTGCCTGTAATCCCAGCTACTTGGGAGGCTGAGGCAGGAGAATTGCTTGAACCCGGGAGGTGGAGGTTGCAGTGAGCCAAGATAGCGCCACTGCACTCAAGCCTGGGCAACAGAGCCAGACTCTGTCTCAAAAAAAAGAATATACACACACACACACACACACACACACACACACACACACACACACACACACACAAAGGGTTCGGGACAGACTATGCACCTGGTGAGGCCAAAGTAACCTTTAGGTGTTACTCCCAGGTGGATCAGGTAGAGACAGAGGGTGGGGAACTAACAACAACTACCTGTTGAGTCAAATGCCAAACGTTGAGTCAAATGCCAAACGTTGAGTCAAATGCCAAACGTTGAGTCAAATGCCTGCTCCATGTGGCCAGGGGCTAGGGCAGAGCTTGGCTGAGCCCCCTGGAGGCAGGAAGCTGTGTTATCTAGCACCATGCACTCCTACCTACTGTGTCCGGAATTTATTCCTTCCGGTGAGTTCTTGGTCTTGCTGACTTCAAGAATGAAGCCACGGACCTGCACGGTGAGTGTTACAGCTCCTAAAGATGGTGTGTCCGGAATTTGTTCCTTCAGATGTTCAGATGTGTACAGAGTTTCTTCCTTCTGGTGGGTTCGTGGTCTCGCTGACTTCAGGAGTGAAGCCGCAGACCTTCGCAGTGAGTGTTACAGCTCTTAAAGGTGGTGTGTCCGTAGTTGTTTGTTCCTCGCGCTGGGTTCGTGGTCTTGCTGACTTCAGGAATGAAGCTGCAGACCCTTGCAGTGAGTGTTACGGCTCATAAAGGTGGTGCAGACCCAAAGACTGAGCAGCAGCAAGATTTATTGTGAAGAGTGAAAGAACAAACCTTCCACAGCGTGGAAGGGACCCCACTGGATTGCCGGTGCTGGCTCGGGTGGCCAGCTTTTATTCCCTCATTTGGCCCCGCCCACATCCTGCTGACTGGTCCATTTTACAGAGCGCTGACTGGTGCGTTTACATTCCTTTAGTTAGACACAGAGTGCTGATTGGTGCAATTTTACAGAGTGCTGATTGGTGCGTTTACAATCCTTTAGCTAGACACAAAAGTTCTCCAAGTCCCCACCCGACCCAGAAGCCCAGCTGGCTTCACCTCTCACTAGACAAGTGGTGACAGGTGAAAGGAAGGAGAACCTGCAGCAAAAGCAGTTTTGATTTTTTTCACTTTTTAGAAAGTTTTCCCATGTGACAAGCAGCAGCAACCCACTCATGCTTCCTCAAATGGAAATGGCATCTATTGGAAGTCTATGGGGGCTCTGGCAATCAGTGGGTGCCCAAAGGTGCAGGTTGGGAAGATGGGTAGGAGCTGAGAAGGAGCCTTGGAGAGGAGCCCTGCAGGTGACGGCCAGCAGGGATACTGCAACCATGATCTCCCCGGGAGAGCTTCTCATCACCTCTTCATCTCCTGGGTAGTAGCATCTAAGTGACAGTGCTTAGGTGTGCCTGGGCTCCTGGCTCCCAGGAGGTGAAAAGTACCACGAGGAGCTGTTCAATTCTAATCAGATATTTCTGCCTGGGGAAGGTTCTCAGCCTGTAGCCTCCTCTAAGTTACAAAGGGAACTTAGCAAGTGTTAGAAAAGTGTTAGAGACAGGCTGGTACTTAACCAGGACTTTCTTGGGTAGAAAATATACTCAGCAATAAAATGTCACATAAAATTAAGAAACTCTTTCAAATAAATGTGTTAGTGATAACATAGGGCTGGGCGCCATGGCTCACGCCTGTAATCCTAGCACTTTGGGAGGCTGAAGTGGGCAGATTACAAGGTCAAGAGATCGAGACCATTCTGGCCAACTTGGTGAAACCCCGTTTCTACTAAAAATACAAACATTACCTGGGCGTGGTGGCACGCGTCTGTAGTCCCAGCTACTCCGGAGGCTGAGGCAGGAGAATTGCTTGAACCCGGGGGGCGGAGGCTGCAGTGAGCCGAGATCACACCACTGCACTCCAGCCTGGGCGACAGAGCAAGACCCTGTCTCCAAAAAAAAAAAAAAAAAAGGTGATGACATAAACCCTGAAAAATAGCAGTAGATAGAAACACTAGAAGTATTCACTCAGCCTGCAGATAATGACTGCTTGGTGAATATATGCATGAGAGGATGAGAGGGGGAGTAGGAAGCAGGAGGATCTGAGCCCCCAGCGCTTATGATTTCCATAACCACTAGGCAAGACCGGTTACAGTTTGCAGAGCTCAGTGCTGATAGAAAATGTGAGCTCATTGTTAATAACTTATTAAGAATTTCGGGCCAGGCGCAGTGGCTCATGCCTGTAATCCTAGCACTTTGGGAGGCCAAGGTGGGTGGATCACCTGAGGTCAGGAGTTCGAGACCAGCCTGACCAACATGGAGAAATCCCGTCTCTACTGAAAAAAAAAAAAAAATTAACGGGGCGTGGTGGCGCATGCCTGTAATCCCAGCTCCCTGGGAGGCTGAGGCAGGAGAATCGCTTGAACCCAGGAGGTGGAGGTTGCGGTGAGCGAAGATCGCACCATTACACTCCATCCTGGGCAACAAGAGCAAAACTCCGTCTCAAAAAAAAAAAACAAAAAAAACAAAGAATTTTAGCTGGGCATGGTGGTTGAGGCCGGGCGAGGTGGCTCATGCCTGTAATCCCAGTACTTTGGGAGGCCAAGGCAGGCGGATCACCCCAGGTCAGGAGTTTGAGACTAGCCTGGACAACATGGTGAAACCCCGTCTCTACTAAAAATAAAAAATTAGCCGGTTGTGGGGGCATGCACCTGTAGTCCCAGCTACTCAGGAGGCTGAGGCAGGAGAATCGCTTGAACCCAGAAGGCGGAGGTTGCAGTGAGCCAAGATCGCACCACACTCCAGCCTGGGCGACGGAGTGAGACTCCATCTCAAAAAAAAAAAAAAAAGAAAAAGAAAAAGAAAAAATAATTTCAAGATAGTAACAGAAGAACGTTAAATTAAATGTAAGGGCTTTTTAAGTGTGGGATGCTGTGTGATGGTACAGGTCACACATACTCGAAGCTGGCCTGCTGCTAGGGGACTCTCCCCAAATAGATTGGATGCAGCAATGGCCACTCTACTGGAATCCCCTTTTTCATGCCGAGAAGTTAGGTGGGCAGGCTGACAAGTCACTTTTGTGGACTATCACAATATGTGAAGCTCAATGGGCTTCCTATTGCCCAGCTTCTATTCTTTCTTTCTTTTTTTTCTTTCTTTTTTAGAGACAGGGCCTCCTTATGTTGGCCAGGCTGGTCTTGAACTCCTGACCTCAGGTGATCCACCTGCCTCAGCCTCCCAAAGTGCTGGGATTACAGGAGTGAGCCACCAAACCTGGCCTTTTCTTTTTATCTACAAGCAATTTTTTGTTTGTTTGTTTGTTTTTAAACCATTTTCTCAGTGTGGGGCACCGGGAAAAACATAGTTCCCCCCTTTAGGATGCTCATAGTCTAGTGAGGCAGATTGTTTTTTTGTTTGTTTTTTGAGATGAGGTCTACCTCTGTCACCCAGGCTGGAGTGCAGTGGTGTGATCTCAGCTCACTGCAACCTCCCGGGTTCAAGCAATCCTCCCACCTCAACCTCCCAAGTAGCTGGGATTACAAACATGTGCCACCATGCCCAGCTAATTTTTGTATATTTTTTTAGTAGTCACAGGGTTTCACCATGTTGCCCAGGCTTGTCTTGAACTCCCGGCCTCAAGTGATCTTCCTGCCTCGGCCTCCCAAAGTGCTGGGATTACAGACATGAGCCACTGTGCCCGGCCTTGAGGGAGATAATTTTGCAAGCAAAGAATTAAAATGCTGTGCAATCCCCAGTGCAGGGGACATACGTGAAGGTCTGAGAGAGGGGCCCCAAGTTGGCCTGGGGGAGGCAAGAAATGGCCTCAATGGGCCATTCTAAAGACCATGGACTTCGTATATGGTGGATGCGGAGCCAGGGTTCTGATTTGTGTTTAGAACATCACGTGGCTGGGTGCAGTGGTGGCTCACACCTGTAATCCTAGAATTTTGAGAGGCCAGGGTGGGTGGACCACTTAAGCCAGGAGCTGAAGACCAGCCTGGGCAACATGGCAAAACCTTGCCTCTACAAAATATACAAAAATTAGCTGGGTGTGGTGGTGCATGCCTGTAGTCTCAGCTACTTAGGAGGCTGAGGGGTGGGATGATTGCTTGAGCCCAAGAGGTCAAGGCTGCAGTGAGCTGTGATCGTGCCACTGCACTCTAGCCTAAGTGACAGAGTGAGACCCTGTGTCAAAGCCCAAAAAAACAGGCTGGGGACAGTGGCTTATGCCTATAATTCTGGCACTTTGGGAGGCCGAGGCAGGTGGATCACCTGAGATCAGGAGTTTGAGACCAGCCTGACCAACATGGTGAAAGCCCATCTCTACTAAAAATACAAAAATTAGCTGGGCGTGGTGGTGCGCACCTGTAATCCCAGCTATTGGGAGGCTGAGGAGAATCGCTTGAACTTGGGAGGCGGAGGTTGTAGTGAGCCGAGATCCAACCACTGCACTCCAGCCTGGGCAACAGAGCGAGAACCTGTCTCAAAACAGACAAAAAAAAAAAAAAAAAGACCAGAACATCACACTAGCAGGGTGGAGGCAGCCAGACTGGTACTAGGGAGCACAATTATGGGACTGCTCATGAAATCGCTGTTGCAAAATTATGTCTGGGATAGTGAAAGAGATCTGACCTAACCATTTCCATCTTGCTTCTAAACCTCCAAGCTGTCCTTGTTCATTCCTAGGTACAATTTTGGGAGGCACTTAGCTTACAGTTTATAGTTTAGAACAAAGATGATAACAGTCCTTTCCCAAAACAAACCCCTTTCTTGCCTGGGGACTAGAGTGTCTTTGTAGACTAATGAATTAGTCAAAAGATTAGAAATTATGGTTTAGGAGTCATGCAGCTGGAGGCTACAAGATTCTGACCCTCCCCAAATTGCTCCTGGAGATAGCATCACTTTATAAAGCCTGAGGTCAGCGCTTGAGATATTTTGCAGAGCCTGGACTTGATGGATCAGCTGGCACCACCCAGATCCATAAATTGGCTCATCTGATCTTGTGGCCCCCATCCATCTGTGTTCTTGTGGAATTCACCCAGGTGAGTTCATGTCTGACCCAACCAATCAACACTCCTGACTCACTGGCTGTCCCCCTACTCACCAAATTATCCTTCAAAACTCTGATTCCTGAGGCAGGTGGATTACGAGGTCAGGAGATCGAGACCACGGTGAAACCCCATCTCTACTAAAAATACAAAAAATTAGCCAGGTGCAGTGGCGGGCGCCTGTAGTCCTAGCTACTCGGGAGGCTGAGGCAGGAGAATGGCATGAACCTGGGAGGCGGAGAGATCGCGCCACTGCACTCTAGCCTGGGTGACAGAGCAAGACTCTATCTCAAAAAAACCAACAACTCTGATTCCCATATGCTCAGGGAGACTGATTTGAGTAATAATAAGACTCTGGTCTCCTGCACAGCTAACTCTGCTTGAATTACTCTTTACTGTTTTCTCTATTGCAATTCTTCCTGTCCTGATAAATTGGCTCTGTCTAGGCAGTGGTCAAGGTGAACCCACTGGGCTATTACACTCACTATTCCAGTGAGACACAGCCAGGTCCTGAGCTACAACAGTGGTACCAGGCCTGGGGAGGGGCTGCGGATTCAATAGTTAATTCAGGGCTGGGTGCAGTGGCTCACGCGTGTAGTTCCAGCAGCACGTTGGGAGGCCAAGGAGGGCAGATCACTTGAGGTCAGGAGTTCGAGACCAGCCTGGCCAACACGGTGAAACCCTGTCTCTATTAAAGATACAAAAAATAGCCAGGCGTTGGTGGCACAGGCCTGTGGTCCCAACTACTCAGGAGGCTGAGGAAGGAGAATCGCTTGAACCCTGGAGGCTGAGGTTGCAGTGAGTGGAGAATATGTCACTGCACTTCAGCTTGGGCAACGGAGTGAGACTCTGTCCCACCCCCCCCAAAAAAAGAGTTAAAGAGTTAATTCAGGTTGGGTACAGTGGCTCACTAAGTGCTATAATCCCAGCACTTAGGGAGGCTGAGGCAGGAGGATTGCTTGGGCTTAGGAGTTTGTGAACAGCCTGGGCAACATAGCGAGACCTCATCTCTATTAAACAAACAAACAAACAAAAAAGGAGTTAATTCAGAGATAGGATCAACTTGGGCTGTTGATTGATTGGATTGGGTGGAGGTTGAGTGGGTATTAGAGTTGAAACAATAATTTTTATTTTTGCAAAGTCGAAACAATATTCTAAGAATAATTAGCTTCTGACTTTGGGCAGATATATGGACACAAGAAGAAAGGTAGCTTGGAGGGAAAGACTATGAATGTTATTAGTAATTTTGTAACTCAATAAAGATATTGGGAGAACTACATGTCACTAAATTTTTTTTTGTCTTGCAGAATCACCAGTGATTTTTAGTATAAATACGGCAGAGCTGGAAACCTGGAAAATAGAACAAAATGAATGGATTGGTTATCCTACCGCTGAAGCAATCAAAACAGCACAACTTGGGAAGAGAAAATTTAGGGTTCACAATTGTTTTTAGTTCTGTAATTAAGCCAATCATTCGAACACAAATATGTTATTTAAAAATAAAAACCATTTCCCTAGCTTTTATCAGTAGACTCGTAACTTATTTATTTATACCTTTAATAGACTGTGACAGAAGAATCCAGGTACTTAAATTAAAAGATGTAGGGGGATGGTGGGGAAGGAGGATTCTTCTAAAGTTCAACTAAATCATTCAAATTAAAAAATGTCCTTAATGATTTAATTGGTTAGTAGTCACCCTGTGTATACAACATAAATCCTTGAAATGATTAACAGAAGGGAAAGATGGGTGGCAGCCCATAACAGTCTCCTTATTTAGAAAGCATTTGGGGGCAGGTTTTATAATGCAGTCTTAAAATAGCCGCTAACCAGATTCTGATTTCAGGAGCTGTAAGAATGTGGAGGCCTTAGCCACATCACCTGAGTGGTAATTAGCATTAAACGACACAGCAACCATTTCTCATTTCACACTTTATAGGCCCCTTAGTTCCACCTCTGCGGTAATGGAGGGAAACTATTTAGGTATTCATATATGCGAGATCATACCGGGTGCCCTTGTGGGGGAAATATTCCTTTGATAGAATTTAGCAAGCCGGGGCAGGGGGGCGGGGGGCGCGAGTGCAGTGGCTCACGCCCGCAATCCCAGCTACTCAGGAGGCTGAGGCAGGAGAATTGCTGGAACCCGGGAGGCGGAGGTTGCAGTGAGCCGAGATCGCGCCACTGCACACCAGCCTGGGCGACAGAGCAAGACTCTGTCTCAAAAACAACAACAAAAAAGTATTTAGCAAGGGAATTCTTGACTGTTGAAACATACCAGTTTTCAAGGTACCCAGCACAGGTCTTAAAGCAAGGGCTTTTCTTCTCTTCCCGGCTGTGATGAGGACTCTGCCACCTTGAAGCCATGTGCTTGTCTTAGCTCAGGTTTGGGAGACAGGCACAGAGAACTACAAGGATTGAGGTACCTGTTCTCAGAGCTGCCAGGCTTCTCCTTTCTTTCCTTCTTTTTTTTTTTTTTTTTGAGATGGAGTCTCTCTGTGTCTCCCAGGCTGGAGTGCAATGGCGCGATTTCAGCTCACCGCAACCTCTGCCTCCCAGGTTCAGGCGATTCTCCTGCCTCAACCTCCCGAGTAGCTGGGATTCTAGGTGTGCACCACCACTCCCGGCTAATTTTGTATTTTTAGTAGAGACAAGATTTCACCATGTTGGCCAGACTGGTCTCAAACTCCTGGCCTCAGGCGATCCACCCACCTCGGCCTCTCAAAGTGCTACGATTACAGGCTTGAGCCACCGTGCCTGGCCCAGCCTTCTTCTTTTATAGCTTCCTGCAGGAGGGAGCTACCACAGCAGTTGGCACAGGGGGAGATCAGAGAGAGACTTTGCTACCAACCTGTTAAATGATGTGATCACATATTTTTCTTTTTCTTTAGAATTTTAAAAAATTGAAACAGGGTCTCCTTATGTTGCCCAGACTGGTCTTGAAGTCCTGGCCTCAAATGATCCTCCTGCCTTGGCCTCCCAAAGTGTTGGGATTACAGGCGTGAGCTACTGCACTCAGTCGATAACACACTTTTCATATAGGTAATGGCTCAGTAAATTTGGTTTTTGAGTCTTTCCACCTATAAGGCTGGGCAGCTGGGAGGATGAATGACATAATAGTCCTGATGATACAGGCTCTCTCTTCTCTCTGCGTTGGGGACATTGGTTTTTGTCAGAGGCCAGCTGTCTCCTGGAGCACACGTTCACTGGGGCCAAAGAGTCTGCACCGGTCTAAGGGACTTCGTATGTGGAAATCGCATTACTGCCTCTTACAGGAACTCCTTTTGTTTGGAACCAGCCTAACAAGACTCCTCTCTGGGCAATAGTTGATGTAGAAGTGTTTCTTCTCTTGACAGCCCTGCTCTAGGGGTTGAAGAATGACCAAGTTGATTCGGGTTCTCAAAACTTAATCAAGCATCTTCCTAAATGGGATTATTCACATTCCTGCGGCATGTGAAGCAAAATTGGAATCTGCTTGAGTATTTTTGCTGGAAGCAGGTGGAAGTATTATAACCAGCCTTTAGGGGAAAATGCCAGATATGCTGATGGACAAAGAAGTAACTTTGCTGAGAGAGTCGGCAGCTGGAGGGCATGCATGGGGGTCATAGATTGTACTTGGCAGCCAGGGTGGGACAGTTGCTGGCCTTGGAGGAATCATTGAGAGATTGCTTGTCACATGGCTTTGTGTCAAAGTGTCAGACCATGAAACGCCTCCACCCTAGGTGACTTCTGGATGACTGAGCACAGAGCACATCGGGGCTAAAACAGCTTCAAACCTTCCGTGAATTAGTGACAGTCATTGTTTGGTTATTAACTCTTGCGTGTGGGGGGCCGAGCCCCTGACGGCTAAACCAGGGGAATAAAACCGCCTTCTCCACTGACAGCCCTTAACCCATTGCTGACTTATGTTCTGGGTCCTGTTTGGACAGCCTTTCAGATTGGCTACAGGATGTGTTGATCTAGGTACTGCAAAAAAACTTCCTTCTAGAAGCCAGGACTTTTAACTTTACTCAAATATCTCTTTGACCAAAGGATGTGGTTATTTTGTTTCCTTCTCTCCAGCTCAGGGAAGCTGTCAATAGCTCTCTGAGGCAAAGAGTCTTCCAGCTGAAAACAGGTACCTCTGGGATTAGGAGGGTAAAAATGCAGGAAGTTCCCATAACTATGTACAACTTCATGTATGCATAATAATTAAAAATAGTTTTTTTGTTTGTTTGTCTTTTGAGACAGAGTCTTGCTGTGTCTCAAAAGACACAGCTGGAGTGCTGGAGTGCAATGGCACAGTCTTCGCTCACTGCAACCTCTGCCTTCCTGGTTCCAGTGATTCTCCCACCTCAACCTCCCGAGTAGCTGGAATTACAGGCATGCGCCACCACGCCCGGCTAATTTCTTGTATTTTTGGTAGAGATGGTGTCTCACTGTTTTGCCCAGGCTGGTCTCAAATGCCTGAGCTCAAGCAATCTGCCCATCTTGGCCTCCCAAAGTGCTAGGAGGCATTCCAAAGTGCTGGGAAGGTCATTCCTCCCAGGTCACCCCTCCTACAGCGTCCAGTCCTAAATTTTTTTTCAAAAAAGAAAAAAGTGGAGAAAGGAATGACTTTAAATGTCCTTCCTCAGATCACCCAATATAATTTATCTACCCCCCACCCAGGCACTGTTTACTATATCACACTGATATATTTCCATACATAGTATAACACATTGCTATTTAAAATGATCCTGTTTGAGCAGATGCTGCATCGCTGCAGAGGCCCCGTCCTCTGCCTTTCCTCTTTCTCCACTGGGGCCGTCAAGCTCTCCTTAGCCTCTAGCTGGCTGTCTCCTTAAGACCCAACACCCATAATACCTTCAATTAAGTTGCTGAGTTCTGATGGAGAGCTATTTGAAGTTGATGTGGAAATTGCCAAACAATCTGTGACTCTCAAAATCATGTTGGAAAATTTGGGAATGGATGATGGAGATAATGACCCAGTTCCTCTGCCAAATGTTAATGCAGCAATATTAAAAAGGTCATTCAGGCTAGGCACGGTGGCTCATGCCTGTAATCCCAGCACTTTGGGAGGCTGAGGCCGACGGATCACATGAGATCAGGAGTTCGAGACCAGTGTGGCCAAGATGGTGAAACCCCGTCTCTACTAAAAATACAAAAATTAGCCAGGCATGGTGGCAGCATGCCTGTAGTCCCAGCTACTCGGGAGGCTGAGGCAGGAGGATTGCTTGAACCCAGGAGCCGGAGGTTGCAGTGAGCTGAGATCGCGCCATTGCATTCCAGCCTGGGTCACAGAGCAAGACTCCATCTCAAAAATAAATAAATAAATAATAATAATTTTTTTTAAAAAGATAATTCAGTGGTGCACCAACCAAAAGGATAACCCTCCTCCTCCTCCAGAGGCTGATGAGAATGAAGAAAAGCGAACAGATGCTATCCCTGCTTGGGACCAAAAATTCCTGAAAATTGACCCAGGAACACTTTTTGAAGTCATTTTGGCTGCAAACTACTTAGACATCAAAGGTTTGCTTGATGTTCCATGCAAGACTGTTGCCTATTTGATCAAGGGGAAGGCTCCTGAGGAGATTTGCACAAACAGGCTTCCGTTGATACCAAAACTGACTTTACTGGAGGAAGCCCAGATACCCAAAGAGAACCAGTGGTGTGAAGAGACATGAAATATTGTGCCTGACACTGTCACACTGCAAGGATAGTTTCAAATACTGGTTGCACTGCCCTGTTTATAATTGTCAATATCAGACAAACAGTAGACAAGCGCAGCAGCATATCAATTGTATCAGCAGAATATCATCCTCACTGCATGTGTAGTTTGAGTACATATTCCAAACCTGTGGCTGAGTTTCCTCTAGTATGATCAAAAGTTTCTTTTCTCTTTGCTGTGAATAAAACTGAACTGTGGGTTCTCTATAAGTGACATTTTGAGCTTTCCTTCTTTTTTTTTTGTAAAGCAATGTCTGCCTAGTTTATTGTCCAGTTAACTTTAGTGACCTTTTAAAAGGTGGTATTATAAATAAAACAACTTGCAAAAAATAAATAAAATAAAATAATCCTGTTTATTTAAGGGTTTCTTTGATTATGGTCTTTTCCCCATGTAAAATAAACTCCAGGTCGGGCAAGGTGGCTCACACCTGTAATCCCAGCACTTTGGGACTGAGGCAAGTGGATTGCCTGAGGTCAGGAGTTCAAGACCAGCCTGGCTAACATGGTGAAACCCTATCTCTACAAAAATACAAAAATTAGCTGAGCATAATGGCGGGTGCCTGTAATCCCAGCTACTCGGGAGGCTGAGGCGGGAGAATTGCTTGAACCCAGGAGGCGGAGTTTGCAGTGAGCTGAGATCGCGCCATTATACTCCAGCCTGGGTGATAGAGCAAGACTCTGTCTCAAATAAATAAATAAATAAATAATAAAATAAAATAAACTCCAGTAATCTCATTTGTCTTTTTTTTAGAGACAGGGTCTTACTATGTTGCCCAGGCTAGTCTCAAACTCTCAAGCTCAAACAATCCTCCTGCCTCAGTCTCCCAAGTAGCTGGGACTATAGGTGTGTCCCACTGCATCTACTTCATCTGTCCTGATCATCCATCTATCCTTGACCTAAGACAGTGCCTGGTCCAGGGTAGGTGCTCAATAAATATTTGTTGAATGAAGAAATTCATGATTGTATGAATTTCTTCAAGTGTGAACCTTCTACAGAGCCCCACACTTTTTTTTTCTTAAGTAGATATTTGGGTTAGAAATTTTCTAAAATGAATTATTCAGTTCCATGCTATCTGCAGATAGAAGATACCAGAAAATTAAACCTACTCCAAATGACTCAGGGCACCATCATGAACACTGCCTATTATACTGGGCTATCATCCAGTTCTATTGAGCTCATGAATTTTTTTTTAACCTCTACCCAAATCACTGTGATTGTTGAATTTTTGGCTGTCTCTGCCATGTGTGGCTTTTCTCTCTTCGTTTTGGCTGGGCTATCAGCTCTTTCTCTCATAGAAGCACCTGCCACAGCTGTTTTCCTAATATTCATTTTTAACTTTGATAAAAACTGCATAATTGAGCTTGTGAGGAATGAATTTAACATATAAGTAAATAGGCCCTGCCTGAGATGTAAGGGAATCTCTTAAGCACCCTATGTGACTGTTAAATTGTCCTTAGTAGCATTTATTTAACTTAATTCAAAAAATTTTTTCCCACCCGTTGTTCATGCTGGATAAGTCAGGGAGTAGTCTCGTTGCAAGCAACAGAAACTGATTTTGGTTATCTCCAGAAAAGGGGGACTTTTTTGGAGCCCTGTGAAAGAGCGCATAAAATGGAAGCTATTCTATGTCACCAAGGAGCTCATAGTCTACACAAGGAAATTAGCTAAAACCATTTGGAGGCAATAACAGAAGAGGCAATTGTATCATTCTTTCTGTTGAGTCTCCATGTTATGTATACAAACTCTAAATGAGCAGGATTTCTGAGGAAGAATGGGTCTCTCTCCACTGAGAAGGTCACATTAGACTTTAAAGTAGAGGCGAGATGGGATTGGGAGCCTAAGGGGGTTTATAATTTGCTTAAGTGGGCCAAGCACAGTGTCTCATGCCTGTAATCCCAGCACTTTGGGAGGCCAACGTGGGAAGATTGCTTGAGGTCAGGAGTTCAAGGCTGCTGCAGTGAGCAGTGATCACACAACTGCAATCCAGGCTGGATGACAGAGTGAGACCCTGTCTCAAAAAAAAAAAAAAAAAAGAAAAGAAAAGAAAAAGAAAATTAGCCAGGCATGGTGGTATGCCCCTGTAATCCCATGTATTTGGTGGAGGGTGGGGGTTGGTGTGGGGAGCTAAGGAGGGAGAATTTCATGAGGCCAGGAGGTCGAGGCTGCGGTGAGCTATGATTGTGCCATTGTACTCCAGCCAAGGCAACAAAGCAAGACCCTATCTTAAAAAAAAAAAAAAAAAAGGTTGAATCTTGACTCAAAAATGCCCCTATAATGCAAAGGCAAAGTTTTGAGTGCCTTCACAGCGTGCTAGGTGCTGGCGATACAGCAATGGATAAGACAAAGGTGGTTCTGTGTATATTTCTCATCTATTTTTGCACTGAAATAGATATTTTGTGGGAAAATGCTTAATGTAATGTCTGGAAGCTAGGGTGGGCTTAATCGGTGTCAGTGCAATGAATAAGTGAATACATGAATAAAAATGATAAAGCTAGCAATTTCTCTGATTGTTTAGTAGGGGAGCACAGAAATCACCTCATTCAGTATTTTCCAATTTTCTATCATTTTCATACCATCATCATGATTTTGCCGTACACACAAATCACATTACTATTATTTATTGAATATTCATTCTTAAAGCCTAATCACTTGCTTTTTGCCTAAAAAATTATTTGAAATGAAAACATGCTATTACTGTGACAAATGGAATATTATTATCACTTTGTATTTAGATAGAAGTAACCCTGAAAGTGCATATAATGGAAAAAATAAAACAGCAATGTTATTCAATTCTATGCAGGTATTGCTTCTTAAGGAAGGTTCTAAGCCTATGGCTTCCTTTCTACTGCTTAAAAAGGGAACTTAGCAAGTATTAGAAAAGTGTTAAAGGCAAGCTAGTATCCAACTGAGACTTTTTTTAGTACAAATATACACAATGATAAAATGCCACTTACAATTAAGAGACTTGGCTGGGTGTGGCGGCTCATGCCTATAATCCCAGCATTTTGGGTCACCAAGGGGGAAGGATTGCTTGAGTCCAGGAGTTCAAGATCAGCCTGGGTAACATAGTGAGACTCCTATCTCTCTTTTTTTTGTGTTTTTGTTTGTTTTTGAGACGGAGTTTTGCCCTTGTTGCCCAAGCAGAGTGCAACGGTGCGACCTCGACTCACTGCAACCTCCGCCTCCCGGATTCAAGCGATTGTCCTGCCTCAGCCTCTCAAGTAGCTGGGATTACAGGCGTCCGCCACTGCATCCAGCTGGAGACCCCCATCTCTACAAGAAATATTTCAGTCCGGGCACGGTGTCTCACGCCTGCAATGCCCGTGCTTTGGGAGGCTGAGGTGGGTGGATCACTTGAGGTCAGGAGTTCAAGACCAGCCTGACCAACATGGTGAAACCCCATCTCTACTAAAAAAATACAAAATTAGCCAAGCACGCGCCTGTAGTCCCAGCTACTCAGGAGGCTGAGGCAGGGAAATCACTTGAACCTGGGAGGCAGAGGTTGCAGTGAGCCAAGATTGTGCCACTGCACTCCAGCCTGGGTGACAGAGTGAGACTCTGTTCAAAAAAAAAAAAAGGAAAGAAATAATTTTTTAAAAATTAGACTGGCATAATGTGTGAGCCTGTAGTCCCAGCTATTAGGGAGGCTAAGGCAGGAGGATCGCTTGAGCCTAGGAGGTTGAGGCTGAGTGAACTGTTGATCATGCCACTGCACTCCAGCCTGGGTGACAGAGTGAGACCCTGTCTCAAAAACAAAACAAAACAAAACAAAAAAGAATTAAGAGACTCTTTCTTATTTTATTTTATTTTATTTGAAGTTCCAGGATACATATACATGTTCAGGATGTACAGGTTTGTTACATTGGTGAACGTGTACCAAGATGGTTTGCTGTACCTATCAACCCCTCACCTAGGTATTAAACCCCACACACATTTGCTTTTTATCCTGATGCTCTCCCTCCCCCCACCTCCTCCAAGAGACTCTTTTGATGAAGGCTTTTTGGGTGAAATTCACGTGATTACACAGCTTTGAAAGATAGCAATAGATATGTAAAAAGTATTCACTCAACCTCACAAAATGAATGCATGATGAATAGAGGTGCTGGAGGACACGGACTTGGTCTTATTTATAGCTGTGTATTAGTTTGCTAGGGCTGCCAAACATAGTACCACATACTATGTGGCTTAAATAACAGAAATGTATTTTCTTTCATTTCCAGGCTAGAAGTCTGAAATCAAGGTGCTGGCAGGGACGGTTTCTTCTGAAGCCTCTCTCCTTGGCTTCTAGGTGACTATCCTGTGACTTCACAGGGTCCTCTGTGTTTGTGTCCAAATTTCTACTTTTTGATACAGAATCTCGTTCTGTCGCCCAGGCTGGAGTATAATGGTGAGATCTCGGCTCACTGCAACCTCCGCCTCCTGGGTTCAAGTGATTCTCCTGCCTCAGTGTCCTGAGTAGCTGGGATTACAACTGTATGCCACTACACCCAGCTAATTTTCATGTATTTATTTATCTGAGACTGAGTCTCGCTCTGTCACCCAGGCTGGAGTGCAGTGGCGTGATCTCGGCTCACTGCAACCTCCGTGTCCCCGGGTTCAAGCGATTCTCTTGCCTCAGCTTCCCAAGTAGCTGGGATTACAGGTGCCTGCCACCCCACCTGGCTAATTTTTGTATTTTTAGTAGAGATGGGGTTTCATCATATTGGCCAGGCTGACCTCAAACTCCTGACCTCAAGCGATCTGCCCGCCTCAGCCTCCCAAAGTGCTAGGATTACGGGCCAGAGCCACCATGCTCGGCCTTCTTTCTCTTTTTTTTCTAATCAGAAGAAAGTTGGAGTACCATTATAGACTACGCATTAATTCATTCATTCAATACGTGTGTATCTAGGAGGGATGGTGAATTGGTCCTGGCTTCCTTGAGTTTGTTTCCTTGGTTTCACCTCTGATTATGTCATAGTCTCAATCTGCAGCAGATACCCAGCAGTTCCTGGCAGACTGTCTGCATATCTGCATGCCTAGATCTGACCAAAGCCTTATAAATTCCAGGAGGCCCCAAAACTGCCCAGTTCTGGCTGCACATTAAAATCATCAGGAAGCTTTTTTCTTGGCTTTTTTTTTTAGATGGAATCTCCTTCTGTCACCCAGGCTGGAGAGCAGTGGCACAATTATAGCTCACTGCAGCCTCAAATTCCTGGGTTCAAGCAATCCTCCCACCTCCCAAGTCACTGGAACTACAGGGGTGCACCGCCACATCTGGCTATTTTTTTTTTAACTTTTAGTAGAGGTGGGGTCTTGTTATGTTGACTAGGCTAACCAGGAAGCATTTTTTTTTTTTAAATTCCATTTTTGGGCCAGGTGCGGTGGCTCACGCCTGTAATCGTAGCACTTTGGAAGGCCGAGGGTGGATTGCTTGAGCCCAGGAGTTCAAGACCAGCCTGGGCAACATGGCGAAACGCTGTCTCTACTAAAAATACAAAATTAGCCAGGCGTGGTGGTGAACACCTGTAGTCCTAGCTACTCAGGAGACTGAGGTGGGAGGATCACCTGAGCCCAGGGGGTTGAGGTTGCAGTGAGCTGAGGTTGTGTCACTATACCCCAGCCTGGGCAACAGAGTGAGACCCTCTCTCAAAAAAAAAATTTTTTTTCATTTTCAGCTCAGCTGGGTGCAGTGGCTCATGCCTGTAATCCCAGAACTTTGGGAGGCCGAGGAAGGAGGATGGCTTGAGGCCAGGAATTCAAGATTAGCCTAAGCAACAGAGTGAGGCCCTGTCTAAAAAAAAAAAAAAAAAAAAAATCTATTTTCTAGCCAGGTGCAGTGGCTTGTACCTGTAATCTCAGTGACTCTGGAGACTGAGGTGGGAGGATCACTTGAGTCCAGGAGTTTGAGACTAGCTTGGGCAATGGAGTAAGACTCCATCTCTAGAAAAGTAAAAAATCCAGTGTCCAACTCTCATCATTGCCCATTGAATTGGAATCTCTGGGTGAGAGGCCTTAGAACTGGTATTTTATCAACTGCCCCACATGACTCCATGTTCAGCGAATACTGAGAACCAAGGAACTCCACACCTCTCTGGAGAATAGGCAGATCATGAGATTGTAAGTTCCAGGGGTGCTCACACTTACCTTGGTCTCCAAAGGCACTGCCTTTCTGCTTTGACCATCCTTCCTAACTCTCATTTTTCCACACAGGGACACACTTGTCCATCCATTCAACCAAGGCTCATTGAGTATCAATGTAGCAGCTACTGGGAGAAAAATATAAATACGACATGACCTTTCCTGTTTAAAAAATAAAGCATATAGTCTTGGAGGAAAACCAGAAGTATGATTATTTAATAAGTATTGTGTTATTCATTCATATATTTATACATTCATCAACTATTATTTATTTATTATGTATATGATATATACTTTTTTTTTTTTTGAGACGGAGTTTTGCTCTTGTTGTCCAGGCTGGAGTGCAATGGCGCAATCTCAGCTCACTGCAATCTCCGCCTCCCAGGTTCAAGAGATTCTCCTGCCTCAGTCTCCTGAGTAGCTGGGATTGCAGGCATGCACCACCATGCCCAGCTAATTTTGTATTTTTAGTAGAGACAGGGTTTCTTCATATTGCTCAGGCTGGTCTTGAGCTCCCAACCTCAGGTGATTCTCCCACCTCGGCCTCCCAAAGTGCTGGGATTACAGGCGTGAGGCACCGTGCCTGGCCATATATACATATTTATATCCATATAAATTAAAGATGGGATCTTGCTATATCTTGCTATGTTGCCTAGGCAGGATTTGAACTCCTGCCTCAACCTCCTGAATAGCTGAACTACAGGCATGTGCCACCATGCCTGGCTTTCATTGACTACTTTGTGTTTGTATTTTTAAATATTTATTTATTCATTTTTAGAGGCAGAGTCTTGTTCTGTTACCCAGGCTTGACTGCAGTGGTGCAATCAGGGCTCATTGCAGTCTTGACCTCCTAGGCTCAAGCGATCCTCCCACCCCAGCCTCCTGAGCAGCTGGGACTACAAGTGTGTGTCATCACATCTGGTTAATTTTTTAAATTTTTTATTAATAGAGATGGAATCTTGCTTTGTTGCCAAGGCTGGTATTGAACTCCTGGCCTCAAGTGATCCTCTCACCTTGGTCTCCCAAAGTGCTGGGATTACAGGAGTGAGCCACTGCACCTGGCATCATCAATTACTTTTTTTTTTTTTTTTTTGAGACAAAGTCTGGCTCTATCCTCTAGGCTGGAGTGCTGTGGCACAATCTCAGCTCCCTGAAGCCTCTGCTTCCTGGGCTCAAGCCATCCTCCCACCTCTTGAGTAGCTAGGACTACAGGTATGCCTCACCAGATCCAGCATATATATATTTTAGAGCTGGGGTTTCACTCCTTTGCCCAGGCTGGTCTCGAACTCATGAGCTTATGTGATCCGCCTGCCTCGGCCTCCCAAATTGCTGAGATTATAGGTGTGAGCCACTGCACTCGGCCTCAACTACTTTTTGAATGTCTACTATGCACCACACTGGGTGCTGGGGACACAGAGATGAGCAAGAGAGCCAGTGCCCATCCCCATGGCTCTGGCAGCAAAGAGAGAGGTTGAGCAGCAATCAAGTGTGGGATAAGTTATGGTAGAGAAGGGCAAAGCATTCTGGAGACACACACCAAGGGACTCAAAGAAAGAAGGAGCATGGCCTTGAGGAACTGATATTTAAGTTGATATCTGGAAGATAAAAAGGAGCCACCCAGCCCAGTGTAGCCCTCATAAGAGCAGAAATCATGTTGCCTTCTTATTCTTCCAGTGCTTGGCTCACATTAGGAGCTCAACAGATTTTTGTTAAATGGCAGAGGGAAAATGTCAAGGTTGATGGCTGGAGGGGTAGGCAGGGGCTAGATCAGGGAGTTTCATAAACTGTCAAAAGAAGTTTGGCTTTGTATTGGAGTCAAGGGGGAGCCACTAAAGATTAGGAAGAGTGGCCAGATTTGTGCTTTAGAAGCATCATTTTGGCGGTGATGTGGGATTGGATTGGAGGGGGATGTGGGATTGGATTGGAGGGGGATGTGGGAAATGAGATCAGCAGTTGGGTGACAGTGGTCTGCTCTAGGGACTGGAGAGGTGAGGATTATCCAGGCAGAATAGACTGGGTTTGGTGATTGATTGATTGGATTTGGGGTGAGGGAAGAAGCAGAGGCAACCCTTGGACAGCTGGTTCAGGAAGCTTGAGGAATGGTGACACCATCCACTAGAGCAGAAAGCACTGGAGACCAGACAGGTGTGGGGCAAACATGCACTGTTTGTCTTTTTAATTTTTTTATTTATTTAATTTTTTGTTGTTTTTATTTTATTTTATTTTAGAGACAGGGCCTTGCTCTGTCACCCAGGCTGGAGTGCAGAAGTGTGATCATAACTCACTGCAGCCTTGAAATCCTGGGCTCAAAGGATCCTCCTGCCTCAGCATCCCGAGTAGCTGGGACTATAGGCACACGCCACCACACCCAGCTAATTTTTGTATTTTTAGTAGAGACAGGGTTTCTCCATGTTGGCCAGGCTGATCTCAAACTCCTGACCTCAAATGATCCACCAGCCTCGACCTCCCAAAGGGCTGGGATTACAGGCATGAGTCACCGCACCCAGCTCAACTGTTTCTTTACACAAGGGGTGCAACCTACATCATAAATTGACTTTTTGAGTTTGTCAAATCTTTTGACGAGCACAAACAATAACCACCATTTACTGAACAACAAAATATGTATGAGACACCCTGGCACGTGTTAGCTCTGTGGCTTTGGGGAGATTACTTAGCCTCTTTGTTCCTTAATTTTCTAACTTTCAAAATGAGGCAAAAATTACTTACTTCAAAGGGTTGTTGTTGTGAGGGTGGAATGAGTTTCTTACTAGATGTAGACTCCTGGAATAGCTCCTAGAACGTAGTAAGCACAATCTGGCATTTGCTGTTGATCACCTTTATTATTGCTGTTGCTGTTTTGTCCAATTACTCTGCACAGCAGGAATTAGTAGCATCATTTTCCAGATAAGAAAAGAGAGGCTCAGAGAGGTAAAATAACTTGTCCGAGTCCACCACTAACCTATAAGGAGTTTTGTGTCTTTTTTTGTTTTCTCTTTTTTTTTTGGTGGTTGTTGTTTTGTTTTTTTGAGACAGGATCTCACTCTGTTGCCCAGACTGGAGTGCGGTGGCATGACCTTGGCTCACTGCAACCTCTGCCTCCGGGTTCTTTCTTTTTTTTTTTTTTCGAGATGGAGTCTCGCTCTGTCGCCCAGGCTGGAGTGCAGTGGCGCGATCTCAGCTCACTGCAAGCTCCGCCTTTCGGGTTCATGCCATTCTCCTGCCTCAGCCTCCCAAGTAGCTGGGACTACAGGCGCCCACCACTGCGCCTAGCTAATTTTTTGTATTTTTAGTAGAGACAGGGTTTCACCGTGGTCTTGATCTCCTGACCTCATGATCCACCCCCCCCTCTGCCTCCCAAAGTGCTGGGATTACAGGTGTAAGCCACCGCGCCCGGCCTTGCCTCCGGGTTCAAGCGATTCTTCCGCCTTAGCCTCCTGAGTACCTGGGATTACAGGCACACGCCACTACTGCCTGGCTAATTTTGTATTTTTAGTAGAAACAGGGTTTTGCCATGTTGGCTAGGCTGGTCTCGAACTCCTGATGTCAAGTGATCCACCCACCTTGGCCTCCCAAAGTGCTGGGATTACAGGTATGAGCCACCACGCCTGGCAGGACTCTTGACCACAAGAGATGGAAATACACCTGGAGCTTACTTCCGGGGATGTATACAGGGCTGTCTCATGGAACTCAGGCACCTGATATAACTGCATATATCAGTCAGTACCTCTCAGTGGCAAATCAGAGAAACCAACTCTGGTTTTGCTAAAACAAAAGGGAACTTAGAGACAGAAAGAAGGGGGCACACAAGGCTGAAGGCTGAGGACAGCTGAGGCAGAGCCAAGGCAGCCTGGAGGGGTGGGCAGGAGACTTACCAGGATCGCATGGGCAGGCAGCCACCACTGCAGTCACTTGCATGGGGTTTGTGACCTGGGAGAGGCCAGCTGAAGACACGTGCCTGTGTGTGGCAGTCCCTGGCTGTGGGCAGAAGAATTTGGCTCCCCTCAGTATGGTGAAGGTGGCCTGGAATGACCCTTCTTTGAAAGGCGACCCACTGTTTTAGTTTATTTGGGCAGCTGTTAAAAATGCCACAGACTGGGTGGCTCACAAACAGCAGAAATGTATTTCTCACGGTTCTGGAGTCTGGGAAGTCCAAGATCAAGGTGCCAGCACATTTGATGTCTGGTTAGGACCAAGTTCCTGGTTTGTAGAAAGTACCTTCTCCCTGTATCCTCACATGGTGGAAGGGGTGAATGAGCTCCTGTGAGTCTCTTTTATAAGGCCACTAATCCCAAAGCCCTCACCTCCTGATACCATTACCTTAAAAGGATTTCAACACATGAATTTGGGGGAAACATAAACATTCAGACATAGTGCTCACAGTGGAAATGGGGGCCTGTTTTGGAAGCTAATGGGTACTGGGCAGCCAAAAACACACAAATCTGCCCCTCATGAGGCCCTGACCGGGGACTTGCCAGGGACAGGAATGCCCACAGGACTGTCTCCAAGTCCCATTTCAGCCCTTATTTTATTTCTGCTTCACTCTTCTCTCTTTCTTTTCCTGAAAACTCTCTCTGCAACCTATTATCATTCCCGGAGTAGAAAAGGCCTTAGAATTTCTTTTTCTTTTTCTTTTCTTTTCTTTCTTTCTTTTTTTTTTGAGATAGAGTCTGGCTCTGTCACGCAGGGTAGAGTGCAATGGTGCAAACTCGGCTCACTGCAATCTCTGCCCACCTGTTCAAACGATTCTCCTGCCTCAGCTTCCTGAGTAGCTAGGATTATAGGCACCCACCACCATGCCCGGCTAATTTTTGTATTTTTGTAGAGATGGGTTTTCACCATGTTGGCCAGGCTGGTCTTGAACTCCTGACCTTAGGTGATCTGCCCACCTCGGCCTCCCAAAGTGCTGGGATTACAGGCGTGAGCCATTGCACCTGGCCAAGGCCTTAGGATTTCTTGACTGGTCCAGCCACCATGGGACTGAAATCTCTTAGCATGATTTCAAAGTTTGAGGCCAGGAACCCATTGGTTCCACTCAGGTAAGATGTCTACTTGTGGGCCAATCAGTTGAGGCCGGGGGGATGGAGACAAGCTGAACACTCTACCAGCATGGACTGGGAGAGGGGAGCACTTTGCAGGACGAAGTTGGGGACCTCTCATAGGATATGAACCCCAGTCGAGATCATGCCACTGTACTCCAGCCTGGGCAACAGAACGAGACTCTGTCTAAAAATAAATAGGCCGGGCGTGGTGGCTCACGCCTGTAATCCCAGCACTTTGGGAGGCTGAGGTGGGTGGATTACATGAAGCCAGGAGTTTGAGACCAGCCTGGCCAACATGGAGAAACCCCGTCTCTACTAAAAATACAAAATTAGCCGGGTGCAGTAGCGCGTGCCCATAATCCCAGCTACTTGGGAGGCTGAGGCAGGAGAATTGCTTGAACCCGGGAGGCAGAGGTTGCAGTGAGCCGAGATTGCACCATTGCACTCCAGCCTGGGCAACAGGAGCAAAACTCTGTCTCAAAAAATAAAAAACAAAAAAACCCAAAAACAAAATTAGCTGGGCATGGTGGTGCATGCCTGTAATCCCAGCTACTCGGGAGGCTGAGGCGGAAGAATCACTTGAACCTGGGAGGCGGAGGTTGTGGTGAGCCGAGATCTCACCATTGCACTCCAGCCTGGGCAACGAGAGCGAAACTCTGTCTCAAAATAATAATAATAATAATAATAATAATAATAAATAAACAAATAAATAAATAAATAAAACTGGAAGTCCAGGCCAGGCACAGTGGCTCATGCCTGTAATTTCAGCACTTTGGGAAGTCGAGGTGGTAGGATGGCTTGAGGCCAGGAGTTTGAGACCAGCCTGGGTAACACAGCAAAACCTTGTCTCTCCAAAACAAACGAAAAAGAGTCTCACCTTGCAGGTTTTAGTCTCTTTATGCATGTGTCACTTCCGGAAAACCAGAAGGACTCAGGTTACAGTGAAGTGAGTGAGTCACTCACCTGGAGCACAAAATCTAAAGGATACCAAAAAACTCAGCACCCAAGAAAAATAATATCTTAATGCAATATTTAAAAAGTAATCTAAGTTAATGCAAACAATTCATAATGAACAAAATAACAATAAGACGTAGTATTGCTCTTTTGCCCATGCTGGCGTGCAGTGGTGTGATCTCAGCTCACTGCAACCTCTGCCTCCCAGGTTTAAGCAATTCTCCTGCCTCAGCCTCCCAAGTAGCTGGGATTACAGGTGTGCACCACCACGCCTGGCTAATTTTTGTATTTTTAGTAGAGGCAGGGTTTCCCCATGTTGGCCAGGCTGGTCTCAAACTCCTGACCTCAAGTGATCCATCTGCCTCAGCCTCCCAAAGTGTTGGGATTATAGGCGTGAGCCACTGCGCCTGGCCATAAAATTTAAATAAATAATTGGTGCCAAGTGCATCACTACTCCCCTCCTCCTGCTCTGAGAACACATATTTTTGGGTGGGAGACGTGGGACCAGACATAAGGAAGAAAAAGCAGGAATGCTAACAGCCTCGGGCAGTTTAGCGGAGACAGGAAGGTCCAGCTTCTCCTCCCTTCCCTCCCAGTTCACCCTAGGGAACGTACTGGTTTTTCTTCACTTTAGACTGGTGGGCAGGGGTCTCTGCAGACAGCAGGAATAGCTGCTGCAATGGAGAAGGAGGAGCTTGTGGGAGGAAATGCAGGAGGTGATATTCCCTCCAAGGGAAGCATATGGCTACCAAGAGCAGGTCATGGGGGAAAGGCCAGCACATGGGATAGGAAAGTGGTCCTTTTAGTAGGACAGAGGACTAACTCTGTTGGGAAAGGCTTCTAGAAGCCCATTTGCTGTAAAGGCATCATTGGCAGCTGAGGTCAGAGGAAGGAGAAAGATGTTCTACAACAGAGGAAAGAGAAATAATTGGACCCGGGGTGGAGTATCTCGGTGGAGCTAGAGACAGAGAATGATGCTCCTACATTAACTTGATGTGACCCCTCCTGCTGCCCTCCCCTCCCCATCTTGAATTAAATTTGCATCCATCACAAATTGCTGGGGGTGGGGTCTGTAAGGAGACAGCAGAGGCCAGGGTCAGCATGGCCCCCAGCTCGCTTCTGGATTTTGCTAACATCGTATCTGTTGGAAACGGATGCATCCCCCTCTTTCTGGGAAGGATGGCTCCTTTGTGACTGCTAGCCAGCAATTGTGAGATCCCAGAGCAATTTTGCTGTTGATTAGATTGCCTATTTTTGTATTCACTTTGGATCTCCATAGATCTGGGAGAGCAGAAGGTCTCTCTCAAGGGTTATAACAGTGACTTTGCCATTTGGCAGAGATTTATGGAGCTCGCCTTTGGTATCTCAGAAAGTTGAACTCTCGATTTTCTCTCTGAATCTGTTCCAGTCTCATTTTCTGCATCCCAGTAAATGGCACCACCAGCCACTCAGTTGCTCAAGCTAAATTCCTATCAGTCACTGTCAATTTTTTCTTTTCCTTCCTTCTATCCATCAGCGAGTAAGGTGGACTTGATCTCTACCCATGGTGGCCTAGGATGACCACCCATCCAGGTTTGCCAAGGACTTTCTCATTTTAGCACTGAAGTTCCTGTGTCCCAGGAAACCCCTCAGACCCAGCAAACTGGGGTCGTTGGTCACCCTCATCTTTCACAGCCATGTGAATCCAATTGGCACTAGTCTGTCCCTTCCTAGCCAGCATCCCTGCTTCCTTCTGGACCTACAAACATTCTCCACACAGCAGCAGAGTCAGCTGGTAACTGAATGAATCAGAGGATAGGATTCCTCTGTCTGCTTGAGACCCTTCAATGCACTTCAACCCACGAGAGCCCCCTTACAGCCCTGTACGATCAGCTCTGGCTTTGCTTGGGCCTCTCTGCCACAGCGCTTCCTCATTTGCATTCTAGAGCCACATGCTTCAATGTGCCCAGGCCCTTCTTCCATGTCTACCCTTGTTGTCCCTCCTCCCTGACATGCTGTCCCTGAATCTCCACAAGGGGCTTGCTTCTCATCATTCAGGTCTCAGCACACAGGTCACTATCTCAGAAAGGACCACCCAGGTCTGAATTAGCTTTCCGTTTCCTGACTTAGTGAAGGCTAAAGTTGGTCAGTTTCTAATCATTGGCCTCTTTATCTCATAACTCTGTTTTAATCTCCTGATGTATTTGTCACTGCTAAAACAACTTTGTGCTGGGCACGGTGGTTCATGCCTGTAATCCCAGCACTTTGGGAGGCTGAAGCAGGTGGATCACTTGAGGTCAGGAGTTGGAGGCCAGCCCGGCCAACATGACGAAACCCCGTCTCCACTAAACATACAAAAATTAACCGGGTGTGGTGGTGTGTGCCTGTAAGGAGAAAAAGATCCCTAAATCTTTGTGGAGGATGTGAGTCCTGAAAGAAGATGGATTTCCAGAGGCAAAGCGAAGGGCACTTCAAGGGCATTCCCCATATGTAAATGGATAAAGGCAGGAATGAGCAATGCGCACACAGGTCTGCCGCTTGGTGTGGCTTGTGGAGTCTATATGAAGACACCAATGTGACGAAATCTGCCATGGAAGGAGCAGGGAGCCACAGAATGCTTTGCCACAACACATCTTTTTTTTTTTTTTTTTTTTTTCTTTTCAGAGATGAGGTTTCACACCTTTGCCCAGGCTCACTCCATTGCAATCATAGCTCACTGAAGCCTCAACTTCCTGGGCTCAAGTGATCATTCCAAATAGCTGAGACTACAGGCATGTGCCACCACACCTGGCTAATTTTTAGAAATATTTTAGTAGAGCCAGGGTCTTGCTATGTTGTCCAGGCACCGAATAGTATTTTGGGGAAAGTCATTCAGTTTGCAGAAGACAGCAGAGTGGCATGGAGAGCTATTGGTCCAGGGCTGTGCTGATACTAGTGTGAGGGGCAGAGGGGGGAAGGCAGGACTGGGAGAAAGGAAACAAAATAGGGAACATTAAGGGGGAAGCAGGCCAGGTGCGGTGGCTCACGCTTGTAATCCCAGCACTTGGGAGGCTGAGGCAGGTGAATCACTTGAAGTCAGGAGTTCAAGACCAGACTGGCCAACATGGTGAAACCCCATCTCTACTAAAAAATACAAAACTTAGCTGATTATGGTGGTGTGTGCCTGTAATCCCAGCTACTCAGGGGGCTGAAGCATGAGAATTGTTTGAACCAGGGAGGCGGAGGTTGCAGTGAGCCGAGATTGCGCCGCTGCACTCCAGCCTGGGCCACAGGCCAAGACACTGTCTCAAACAAAAAAAATTAAAAAGAGAGAGAGAAGCATTACTAGGGCCTCATGGCAGTTTAGATCCTTGTGGCAAAGAGGAAGGAAATCTCCAATCAATTACCAAATTCTGTTGATTTCCAGTAGAATTGATCAATAGAATCAGGTAATTTCAGAAATCAATAGAAGTAGGGAATTCAATAGGAAGAGAAACAGAATTAAGTAATTGGCCAGATATTTTTGGCAAAGGAGAGGATGAAAGCTGACAAAATTTGGGTTGCTGGGTAGAGAGTGATCTCTGTGTGAAGTACTTGCTTGAGAGGGTCACACTAGTGAAACGGTTTTGCAGACTATTACATATAGGGTACTGGTGGCTTCCCAGGTGGTGTTCTCAGCAGCCACTGTGTCCTGTGGGGCTGGAGAGAGAAAGAGGCAAGTTGCTTCTGCTACAGGAAAAAAGGCTCTTAAATTCCTTTAGGACAAGGACCTTTGTGAACACACACAAAAAGCTCCCCAGAAAGATTCATTTACCCACAAACTTAGAAAAACTTGCATTGATAGCCAATCATGAGACTAGTTAAAACAAATAAATAAATAATTTTTAAAATTTTATTTTCATTTTTTAAGACAGAGTTTCACTCTGTCAGCCAGGCTGGAATGCAGTGGTGTGATCTCGGCTCACTGCAACCTCCACCTCCCAGGCTCAAGTGATTTTCCTGCCTCAGCCTCCTGAGTAGCTGGGATTACAGACATGCACCACCATGCCTGACCAATTTTTGCATTTTTGGTAAAGGTGGGGTTTCGCCATGTTGGCAAGGCTGGTCTCAAACTCCTGGCTTCATGTGATCTGCCCGCCTAGGCCTCCCAAAGTGCTGGGATTATAGGTGTGAGCCACAGTGCTGGGCCAATTTTTTTTTTTTTTTTTTTGAGACGGAGTCGCCCAGGCTGGAGTGCAGTGGCGTGATCTCAGCTCACTGCGAGCTCCACCTCCCGGGTTCATGCCATTCTCCTGCTTCAGCCTCCCAAGTAGCTGGGACTACAGGCGCCTGCCACCACGCCCGGCTAATTTTTTTTGTATTTTTAGTAGAGACGGGGTTTCACCGTGTTAGCCAGGATGGTCTCAATCTCCTGACCTCGTGATCTGCCCGCCTCGGCCTCCCAAAGTGCTGAGATTACAGGCGTGAACCACCACACACTGCCCAATTTTTTTTTTTTTTTAAAGAAAATCTTGCATTCTAATTTAACCCATCTGTCTTTGTTTTTTGTTTTGTTTTGTTTTGTTTTTTGAGACGGAGCCTTACTCTGTTGCCCAGGCCGGAGTGCAGTGGTGCCATCTCAGCTCACTGCAACCTCTGCCTCCTGGGCTCCAGCGATTCTCCTGCCTCAGCCTCCCTAGCACGCACCACCATGCGTGGCTAATTTTTGTATTTTTAGTAGAGACAGGGTTTCACCTCTTTGGCCAGGCTGGTCTCGAATTCCCGACCTCAAGTGATCCGCCCTCCTCAGCCTCCCAAAGTGCTGCGATCACAGACGTGAGCCACCGCGCCTGGCCAAACACGTTTCAAATGGGTGTTTTTTTGTTAGTTTTTTATTTTTTTGTGCGCCGTTGACAGTTGGGTTTTATGCATGGAAAAGATTTTCCAGAAATGGTTTTGGTTTTTGAAATAGCATTTTAAATTTGTTAAAGTTTTAACTTTTAAAAACTCTCTTTTCTTCATCTTCTTAAATTCAGTTTATAAATATTTTTGTACTATTTCTAAAGTTACTAAAGTTTAAACAACCCATTTTAAAAGCACTTTAATTACATTTTAAACTTCACTTATACTTTTAATATATTTAGTTTATTTTTATAAGTTACTTCAATTGTCTAATATAACAAACCTTCCAATATATCTGAATAATTTTTTATAAATCTAATGAATTAAACCTAAAAATGATGGATCTGAAGTTCTCATCGGGGTTCTAACATGGTTTACAAACTTAATGAGATTTCAACGTAATCAGAGTTCCAATGCAGAAAAAAAAGATTTCAACTTAAATTCACAAGTCTAAATCAATTATTTTTATATTTATTTATTTAGAGATGGAGTTTCACTCGTTGCCCAGGCTGAAGGGCAATGGCGTGATCTCAGCTCACTGCAACCTCCACCTCCCGGGAATTTCAAGCCATTCTCCTGCCTCAGCCTCTGGAGTAGCTGGGATTACAGGCATGCGCCACCGTGCCCAGCTAATCTTTTGTATTTTTAGTAGAGATGGGATTTCTCTATGTTGGTCAGACTGGGTTTGAACTCCCAACCTCAGGTGATCCGCCCGCCTCAGCCTCCCAAAGTGCTAGGATTACAGGCGTGAGCCACCGTGGTTGGCCTCAATTACCTGTTTTAAATTATAATCACTAGGTTAGGCCTGGCATGGTGGATCCTCCCTGTAATCCCAGCACTTTGTGAGGCCGAGGCCAGCAGATCACTTGAGCTTAAGAGTTTTAGAGCAGCCTGGGCAATCCATGGCAAAACCCCATCTCTACTAAAAATACAAAAATTAGCTGGGCATGATGGCGCACGCCTGTAATCCCAGCTACTCCAGAGACTGAGGCATGAGAATCCCTTGAAACTGGGAGGTAGAGGTTGCAGTGAGCCGACATCGCACCACTGCCCTCCAGCCTGAGTGACAGAGCGAGACTCTGTCTCAAAAATAAATGAATAAATAAAAATAAATACATAAATAAAATTAAAATTAAAAAATAAAAATAAAATTTAAAAAATCATTGGGTTAACCTACTATAAATGCCAATATGCTAAATTATCCTTAACATTTCAAGAAATTAAAATGACAGACAGGTACAGATTATTTTTAAATTCATCACAAAAAATGGAATATTCTAGGTTTGATTTACCTTATAGCTCTTCTAAATTCTGAATCTCCCCTGGGGTTAGTTTTTCTGGCAAGAGAATATCATTTAATCAAGGGACAACATTATGCCACCCGAATTTGGAGCCTATTTTTGCAGTCCTTCTATCAAGGGCCCCAAAACTCTGAAAGGGATAGGCCCTCATCTCCTCCCAGAAGTCTGCATGGCCCACATTGCCACCCAGAGGACC
Organism: Homo sapiens; assembly: GCF_000001405.40. Lineage (NCBI taxonomy): Eukaryota > Metazoa > Chordata > Mammalia > Primates > Hominidae > Homo > Homo sapiens. Next base: position 25,642,092 of record NC_000004.12, read on the forward strand.
CTCACAAGAGGACATTTTTCTGTTTTTAATCAGACTTGATGTTTAAAAATAGATTAGATTAGATTTTCTGGACTTTTTGTTTGTTTTCTGTTCTTAGGATTGTTAAAATACCTTTTTTATCAAACCCTAAATACCTTGAACTTGATGGAATTCTTTCATATGTCCTATTGCTGTCCCACTTGATGGGACAGGAGTTGTGTGGCAGGATCTCCCTGGTCACGTGAGTCTCAGGCCTGCGGGGGCAGCAGGGTGGTAAAAGGCCAGCCAGCCCTGGGGAATGACCCCCAAGGCATATGTTACCAGCCAAATTTAGAGAAAGTAGAGAAAAGACCTTGTTCACAGGGGGCAGAGAGGTGCTGGGACGGTGCCAAGTAGTCACTGGCAGAACAAACCAAACCAAGAACTGGGAGGGGACCCAGAACCATGCAGTGTCACAGAAGCCAAAGGTGGAAAGTGTTTCCAGAAAGAAGCGTTTATAAAAAATGTCAAGCTGGTCGTGGTGGCTCATGCCTGTAATCCCAGCACTTTGAGTGGCTGAGGTGGGCAGATCATGAGGTCAGGAGTTCGAGACCAGCCTGACCAACATGGTAAAACCCCATCTCTACTAAAAATACAAAAATTAGCCAGGCATGGTGGCGGGTGCCTATAATCCCAGCTACTCAGGAGGCTGAGGCAGGAGAATCGCTTGAACCCAGGAGTCAGGGGTTGCAGTGAGCTGAGATTGCACCACTGTACTCTAGCATGGGCAACAGAGTGAGACTCCATCTCAAAAAAACAAAGTCAAAACTAGGTAAAGTTTGATGGCTGGGCGTGGTGGCTCATGCCTGTCATCCCAGCACTTTGGGAGGCTGAGGCAGGCAGATCACTTGAGGTCAGGAGTTTGAGACCAGCCTGGCCAACATGGTGAAACCCCATCTGTATTAAAAATACAAAAATTAGCCAGGCGTGGTAGCGGGCACCTGTAATACCAGCTGCTTGGGAGGCTGAGGCAGGAGAATCAGTTGAACCTGGGAGGCAGAAGTTGCAGTGAGCTGAGATCCTGCCAATGCACTCCAGCCTAGGTGATAGAGCAAGACTCAGTCTCGAAAAAGAAAAAACAAACAAACAAAGAAAACAACTATGTAAAGCTTGAGATGGATGAGGGCTTATGAAAGATCAGAAATCATTTGGATTACAACAGCTTGGTTCCTGAACTTGATCGTTAGCTGAAGCTTTTCTGATACCAGGCACAAAGGTCAGCATCGTTTCAGAGAGTGTACCCTTTTCTTAAAAGTTGTTGGAATTTCTATGTCCCCAATACTATGTTATAGTTAAAATGGCAGCTGTGTTTTTCCATATAGGCTCCATATTGTCATACCAGGTATTTCAAATTTATGCCAAAGTCCCTGAATCTGCTATGCTGAGGACTAGAAGAAGAAATTGACCATTTGACTTTCCTTAAGGTCACTTCCCTGCTTCTCTTGGAGAGAGGAATTATTCTTTACACAATAAGCTTCCTAGGCGGGACTGGAAACAGCACCACGCAGTAGATGGGACATAGATTTAGGACAGAGATTGCAAAGTGGCAGCCTCTTTGCAGCTCGGGATTTCTTGACTATGGCACTAACGACTTTCTGGGCTGGATCATTCTTGGTTGTGGGGTCGGCCCTGTGCATTGTATTATAGGATCTTTAGCAGCATCGCTGGCCTCTACCAGTAGATGCCAGTTACACTCCTTGCCCCTAGTTATGACAACACAAATGTCTCAAAGCTTTGCTAAATATCCCCTGTGGGCAAAACTGCCCCTAGCTGAGATCCTGTGCTGTGGCTATTTTAAGCAGAGAGGGGTTTAATTCCAGGAATGAGAAGGTGCTTTCAGATCCACACTAACATCATTGCGGGAGCCAGGCTGTGCTTCAGAAACACACAGAACTGGCCTTTCCCTGGCCCTGCCTCTCAGCCCCATTCAGCGGGTGCTCTCTATCATTCCCTTGCCCTGGAAGAGGTCCCCCTTGACTCATTCACATCCCCCAGGCTCCAAAGGCTTTGATTTTGCATCAGTGTCCGACAGACCTGTTTGCAAATTGTTGGTTCTGCTTCTTGCCAGCTGGGCACTCTTGGGCAAATTATTTAATTTTCTTGAGCTTGGTTTCCCCATCTCTGAGCGTCTTTCTCAACTCACATTCCCTGTCTGCCTTGAGACTCTGTGAGAGTCTCAACTCCTCTTTCTTTTTCCCTTCATCTTTTATTTTCCTTGACATCTTTTTTCCTTCTCTGTGTCTTTCCTTCAATGACTAAAGTACATTGATCAAATGTAAGGTTTGATGGTGTGCTCTTTAAAAAACAGTGTGTCGCAAAACAAAACCTCTATCAAAGAAAATTGGGAAAAACAAGGAACATTTAAAATACTCCCTTTAATCTTATCTCCCTAAAACAATCGTTCTGACAAATCTAGATGCATCTTGTCTTTGTTGCTTTGCTTGTTTTTTCCCCTTATTTTTTTCTTACCACAGGCAGCAATAATCAAATACCATAGACTGGGTATTTTATAAAAAACAGGCCAGGCGCAGTGGCTCACGCCTCTAATACCAGCACTTTGGGAGGCCAAGGCAGGTGAATCATCTGAGGTCAGGAGTTCGTGACCAGCCTGGCCCACATGGCGAAACCCCTTCTCAACTAAAAATACAAAAATTAGCCGAATATGGTGGCAGGCACCTGTAATCCCAGCTACTCTGGAAGGTGAGGCAGGAGAATCGCTTGAACCAGGGAGGCGGAGGTTGTGGTGAGCCAAGATCGCGCCACTGCACTCCAGTCTGGGCAACAAGAGTGAAACTCTGTCTCAAAAAAAACAAAAACAAAACCAAAACCAAACAAAACAAAAAACAAAACAAAACAAAATTCCAGAGGTTTAAAGTTTGTTTCTAAAAATTCCAAGGCTGGGAAATTGGAGATTGAGGCATTGGCATATTTGGTGCCTGGTGAGGAGGCGCTTCTTGGTTCATAGAACAGCACCTGCTAGCTATGTCTTCACTTGGTGGAAGTGGCAAAGGTCTCTCTTGGGCCTCTTATTTTTTTATTTCATTTCATTTTATTTTTTAGATGGAGTCTTGCTCTGTTGCCCAAGCTGGAGTGGTGGCACGATCTCAGCTCACTGCAACTTCGGTCGTCCAGGTTCAAGTGATTCTCCTGCCTCAGTCTCCTGAATAGTTGGGATCACAGATACCTGTCACCACACCTGGCTAATTTTTGTATTTTTAGTAGAGATGGGGTTTTGCCATGTTGGCCAGGCTGGTCTCGAACTCCTGACCTCTTGGGCCTCTTTTATAAGTACACTAATCCCATTCATGAGGGCAAATCCCTCATGACCTAATCACCTCCCAAAGACACTGGGTCCTAATACCATCACCTTGATGATTAGGTTTCAACATAAATATTGGGGGAGGGGAGTCATAAACATTCAGACTATAGCACCCCATATTTCTGTTTTGAATTTATCATTTCTTTGTTACATTGTATCATAAACATTTTGATGTTGCTACATTGTTTTCATAAATGTCTTTTTTTGTGAGATGGAGTCTTTTTGAGACGGAGTCTCACTCTGTCGCCCAGACTGGAGTGCAGTGGCATGATCTCGGCTCACTGCAAGCTCTGCCTCCTGGGTTCATGCCATTCTTCTGCCTCAGCCTCCTGAGTAGCTGGGACTACAGGCACCCACCACCACACCTGGCTAATTTTTAGTATTTTTAGCAGAGACGGGGTTTCACCTTGTTAGCCAGGATGGTCTGGATCTTGTGACATCTGATCTGTGCACCTCATCCTCCCAGGGTACTGGGATTATAGGCGTGAGCCACCATGCCTGGCTAATTTTTGGAATTTTTGGTAGAGACAGGGTTTCACCTTGTTAGCCAGGATGGTCTCAATCTCCTGACCTCGTGATCCCCCTGCCTTGGCCTCCCAAAGTACTGGGATTACAGGCCTGAGCCACCACGCCCGGCCCATAAATGCCATTTTTTAAAGGGACTGCAAATAGTCTTGCTTATCTAGTGAAAGTGCCGTAACTTACTCAAGTCACTCTCTCATTCTGGACATGTAGTTTGTGTCTTTCTTATCTTTATTCTTTACTCCGTAATGAATATTTTCATACATAAGGATAAAATATTTTTTCAATGTGGGTATCTGTAAATATAATTATTAAGTCAAAGGATAAAAAAAGTCATGTTTCTAAATAAATGTTGAGTTCATTTAAATTACAAAGCCAGAGGCCGGGCGCAGTGGCTCACGCCTGTAATCCCACCACTTTGGGAGGCTGAGGTGGGCAGATCACGAGGTCAGGAGTTCGAGACCAGCCTGGCCAACATCATGAAACCACTGCTCTACTAAAAATACAAAAATTAGCTGGGCATGGTGACACACGCCTGTAATCCCAGCTACTCAGGAGCCTGAGACAGGAGAATCCCTTGAGCCAGGGAGGTGAAGGTTTCAGTGAGCCTAGATCACGCCATTGCACTCCAGCCTGGGTGACAGAGTGAGACTCCGTCTCAAAAAAAGATAATAAATAATAAAAAAAAATTACGAAGCCAGACACTAAGGGTTCCATAAATAAAAGGAATAAGCAGAAATCCACCACAAAAGATATAGATCTACTAATTCAATCATGAAAAATGCCAATTTTTGAAGTACATATTAAAACCGTGAATAGGACACTTTTCCCGCTAGTACAATTTGTTTGAAACATTAATGTCTAACAGTGATGAGGGAGAAATGAAATAGATATTGGTGATTCACATGAACAGAACCTTTGAGGGAAAACTAGAAATATAAATGATCTGTCTACTGTTTATTATACTGTTCAGTGGGGATATTTTTTCCCACTGTGTTTGCCTAATTTTACATAGCTATATTGTCAAATCTATAGCTCTTTTGGGTTATCTCATTCATGGTTTTTCTGTGATCTGAGTTTTAAAGTCTTTCTCCTGGAATTAATTTTTTTTCCATTGTTTTCCATCCCAAATCAACATCCCTGGAATTAATTTTGATATATGATATGATATATGTCTAAGTCAATTTTTTTTTTCTAATTGACAATTGGTTACTCTAGAAAATTTATTAGTAATCCTTAACTTTAAAAATTGATTTGAAATGCCTTTTTAACCTAACAGCAGGAATCTATTTCTGGGTCATTTTATTCAACCATTCATCTTGCTGCTCCTTGGTTATTACCACATTGTTTTGTTCATTGTAGTTTATTACATTGTAGTTTATTATTTATTTATTAGATTGTAGTTTATTATTTTGTATTTATATAAATACAAATTTATACAAATATTAGTTTAGTATTTATTATTTATTACATTGTAGTTTACTAGTGTGTTTTGATATCTTATAGAGCTTGTTTCATCTCATTTCTTTAGTTTCTTCTGAATTTTCTTCTATATTCTTGTCCTCTCTATTCTTCTGTATTGGTTTTACAGATGCTTTCTTTTTTGTTGTTTGCTTTATTTTTTCCTTTGGAAACAGGGTCTCACTATTTTGCCTAGGCTGGGCTCCAACTCTCCATCCTTCCATCTCAGCCTCCTGAGGAGCTAGGATCACAGGCATGTACGACCTTGCCCAGCTACTCAGATGAGGTTAGAATTTTCTTGCCAATGTCCTATCTTCTCCCTGGGTGGGGGATGCCAGGGTGGGCTGGCCCAAGTGTTTCGGTCCCTAATGCCCTCATAGCACATATGTGTGTGTCAGACAGGCCTGCTTAGGCGGGTCACCACAACAAGAGGTTTGACGTGAGTGTGTGTAGAACCAAGGAACAAGCTCTAAAACAGGGGCTTCCAACCAGAGAGAAGGGATTAAACCCGCCTTAGGGTGGGACTGGGTTGATTAAATTAAGGAGATTGCAGGCATGGGTGGGGCTAAGTGGGACCTATTTAAGGCCTCTTATCTTCCCCGGTCTCAGACTAGTGGCTTCCAGTTCTGACTGAAGCGGTCTCCAGCTCTGAAGCGGTCTCCAGCTCTGAAGCTATCTCCAGCTCTGAAGCGGTCTCCAGCTCTGAAGCGATCTCCAGCTCTGAAGCGGTCTCCAGCTCTGAAACGATCTCCAGCTCTGAAACAATCTCCAGCTCTGAAGCGGTCTCCAGCTCTGAAACAATCTCCAGCTCTGAAGCGGTCTCCAGCTCTGAAACAGTCTCCAGCTCTGAAGCGGTCTCCAGCTCTGAAGCGGCCTCCAGCTATGAAGCGGTCTCCAGCTTTGACTCCAGTTGTTTCCAGCTCTTCTGGACTGACTTCTTTCCAGGTAGGAAGACCAATGCAGGGTCTGAGGGATCTGGAACCTTCACCACAGTATAACTAATTTCTTCAAGTCCTGAGTGGGCAAAGGTGGTCTCTGGGGAGATGGTGAAGGGTGGGGTATCAGAGTGTCATGTGGGGCTTGGAATGATGAAGGAAGTTGGGGTGACCAGTCAAGGAGGTCCCCATTTTCCAGCCCGGCAGGCTCTCCGTGTGTTGTTGGGAGTGGAGTAAGGGGCTAGTCCCTTTGTCCAGTGAAATAAGAGTGTGCTCGTGTGTCAATGAGCTCCCCATGGGGCCTGTTGGAGAGCTTGGGTCTCATTTAGGAGATGATGTCCACAGATTCTTGCTTAGGCTTATGAGAGGTTGGTAGAGTTGTGAATCTGGTTTGAATCCTGAGTGGACCAGAAACTTGGGCAAAATCTAAACTCCCAAGCCAGACTCCTCATCTGCAAAATGGCGATAAAATTACTGGATAATCTAGGGTTGTTGTGAGAATTTAACAATTGAGTGTTCAGGCTTTTGACATTTATTGGAGACAGGGTCTCGCTCTGTTACTCAAGCTGGGGTGCAGTGTTTGCTGTGCTCACAGCTCACTGCAGCGTTGGTCTCCTGCTCAAGCAATCTTCCCACCTCAGCCTCCCAAGTAGCTAGGGCCCCAGTTGGGCATCTCCCTGCCTAGCTTATTTTTGAAGTTTTTGTAGAGACAGAGTCTCGGTATGTTGCCCAGTCTGGTCTTAAGCTCCAGGACTCATGTAGTCCTCCCACCTCTGCTTCCCAAATTAGTGAGATTACACGTTTAGAAATCAAAAGTTAAGAGATGAAAGTTTCGGCCAGGCGTGGTGGTTCACGCCAGTAAACCCAGCACTTTGGGAGGCCGAGGTGGGTGGATCACGAGGTCAGGAGTTCAAGACCAGCCTGACCAAGATGGTGAAACTCTGTCTCTACTAAAAATACAAAAAAAATTAGCTGGATGTGGTGGTGCACGCCTGTAATCCCAACTACTCAGGAGGCTGAGGCAGAGAATTGCTTGAACCCAGGAGATGGAGGTTGTAGTGAGCTGAGATCGTGCCACTGCATTGTAGCCTGGGCAACACAGCAAGACTCCGTCTAAAAAAAAAAAGATGACAGTTTAGAGGTGAAAAGTGATAGGTTTTGACATCCTGGTTTCACCATCTGATGCAGGTAATCTGCAAAATGTGGATAATGAATCAACAGTGGTTGTTAAAGTTTTAACTTTTAAAAACTCTCTTGCTTTCTTCATCTTAAATTCAGTTTATAAATATTTTTGTATTATTTATACATTTACTAAAGTTTAAACAATGCGTTTTAAAAATACTTTATATTTTAAACTTCATTTATACTTTTAACATATTTAGTTTATTTTTATAAATTATTGCAATTGTCTAATATAACAAAACTTCCAATCTATCCAAATAATTTTTATAAATCTAATGAGCACCAGGCAGAGGTAGTAAGCTGGCAAGCAAGCAGCTAGTGGGCTGCATTTAGCTTGACATGGATTTTGCTTGGCTCCTACAGTTGCTTTAAAAAAAAAACCCACACTTAAATTCTGAATATTTTTATTTGTTTTATTTTGAGACCAGGTTATGAGACTGGTTGATTTTTGTATTTTTGGTAGAGATAGGGTCTCACCATGTTGGCCACGCTGGCCGCAAGTGAGCTGCCCACCTCAGGCCTCTCAAAGTGCTGGAGTTACAGGTGTGAGCCACCGTGCCTGGCCAAAATTCTAAAATTTTACCCGAAAGGCTTAATTTCTAGCTTCTGAAATGTGAGAAAAGTAGCAACACTTGCCCCAGTTCCCAGCAGCAACAGCCAGGCGAAGATGAGGCGTGGCTGCTCCATTTAGAGGAAAATCAGTGTGTCAGTTCTCTACTCTGAGATCTTTTTTGTCCCACCTGGCCTTTTTCTGTTTTCTTTTTTGAGACAGTCTCCTCCATCACCCAGGCTGGGGAGCAGTGGCAATCACTGCTCATTGCAGCCTTGACTTCCTGGGCTCAAGCAGCCCTGACTTCCTGGGCTCAAGCAGCCCCCTTGCCTTAGCCCGCTGAGCAGCTGGGAATACAAGCGTGTGCCACGCCCAGCTAATTTTTTAAAAAAATTTTTGCAGAGACAGGTCTTTCTATGTTGCCCAGGCTGGTCTTAAACCCCTGGGATCAAGGGATCATCCCGTTCCAGCCTCCCAGAGTGCAGAGATTATAGGCATGAGCCACTACACCAGGCCAATAGCAGGGGATTTTAAGGGAACATTTTTAACTTTAAAAAACTAATCTCTTGGCTGGGCGCAGTGGCTCATGCCTGTAATCCCAGCCCTTCCGGAGGCCAAGGTGGGCAGATCACGAGGTCAGGAGTTCGAGACCAGCCTGGCCATAGTGAAACCCTGTCTCTACTAAAAATACAAAAATTAGCTGGACATGGTGGCGGGCACCTGTAATCCCAATACTCCGGAGGCTGAGGCAAGAGAATTGCTAGAACCCTGGAGGCAGAGGTTGCAGTGAACCGAGATCACAACACTGCACTCCAGCCTGGGCAGCAGAGCGAGACTCTGTCTCAAACATACACACACACACACACACACACACACACACACACACACACAAACTGATCTCTGCCAGGCACAGTGGCTCATGCCTGTAATCCCAGCACTTTGGGAGGTGGAGGCGGGCTGAGGCAGGAGAATCGCTTGATCCTGGGAGGTAGAGGTTGCAGTGAGCTGAGATCGCACCATTGCACTCCAGCCTGGGCAACAGAGTGAGACTCTGTCTCAAAAAAAAAAAAAAACCCAAAAAAACAGCAACCAAAAAAACCTGATTTCATGGGGGCAAGATTCAAATGTCAACTTCAGTTTGAGATTAGGAGGCCCTGATTCATTAAACCGATAGTTATGTATTGGACCTACCATGAGTTGAATGCATGCATACAGTGTGGTGGGAAGGGTCTGTGAGCTCTGAGAGGCCAGAGTTTGAGAGTCTGGCGGTGCTTCTAGTCATAACAGACACATAATAGGACATAAAAGGAGTAGTATTTACCTACTAAGTTCCAGGCCTATGATAATGCTTTACACTCACTGGCTTGCCAAATAACTTATAAACTATACAAACTTTATTATCAGGAACTGTTATATTTAATAACTCAGGCAAAATATTCACATACTCTTACCAGTACTAATAGTCATTACCATGATTGATCTTTTAGGCTGTCTTTGACAAACAGAAATGGACAGTGTCGTACGGTTCCAGCATTTAACCTCTCCTCCACCTCAATCTTACTTCCCTACGTTTCTCTTTGCCTCTTCTTTCTCACTTAGTTTTGAATCAATTATACTTTGTCGATCTGTTAGCTGTCTTAGATCCTTTTAGGAGCAGCATACAAATAGAAAAATACAGTCTCCCATATCCCACAACCAAATATAACCACAATGAACATTTTTGTGTATTGCTTTCCGGTATTTTTCTCTGCATATTTATGTACATATTGAAGCCAGGTTGAAGACAGCCTGTAATTATGTCAGCCCTGTGTTCTGTTCCGTTAGCATTTCTCCATTTAAACCTGACTCTTTGAAGTCCAGTGCTGTCTCATGACTAGATAACACATTATTTGACTTTTCTGGAATTCTGGCTGTATCTAAGGGGATAGGTTTCCTGTCACTGAGCCTGACTGAACAATTCTGAGATTATCAACACTGCCATAGGGCCCCGAAAAAGCGTCTAATGAATGCAAAAGTTCAAAGCGGTTTTGTTCAGGTGTTATTTTTGGAGACACTTTCTCAGGCTTTTATGATGCAATCCACTTTGTGCCCCTCTCTTGCAGCAGCTGCGGCCAGGGAAAAAGCACTAAGTGGGCTTGCTCACTGGTCCTCAGGGGTGGGTACCCTGGGCAGGTCAGCCCAGAAGTCAGCTGCCTCCTCTCCAGGCCCTGCCTGGACAGCTGAGAGTCAAGCAGACAGTTATGTGCCATCCCTACCTCTTTTCTGTCTTCAGTAACTGGCAGCTTCATCCTGCCAGAGAGTTTGGAATGAGCTAGGACTTTCCCATCAGTCTGAACTCCTGGGTTTTCCCAGGCCTGGTGACTCAGAGGGTAAGGCACCGAGCCGAGGAAGAGAAAGGAGAACCTGGACTCCTGGGTGCCTTTGTCTCACCACACAATCACCTCCCAGGAAGGCTGTCATCCAATCACTCCTGTGGAATCTCTCTGCCACTTTGTTGTAAAGAAAGTCAGCCCCAGTGAAGGGTAAAAAGAAGTGCCAGAGGGCCTTGGGGACAAGCCATATACTGGTAGAAAGGGCACTGGGGCAGGGTCCGAACAGCTGAGAGTATGTCTAGCACCAGGATGAAAATCAGTAGTTCACAGAGCTGCTTTGTTTGACCTACTCCGTATTTTTTTAATGGTACATTTCACATAAAGACCTGTATATCTGGCTTCCCCACAAAAGTCAAGATCTGACAGCATCTGACTATATTTTCTCATGCAATATCTGAAGCTGGGTAGCAGCCAGCCCTGGATGGGGTGTTTCCTCTCCAGATTAACACAGAGCCTACCAACTTGTTAAATCTCACCTCATAGGACAATAGGCGCAAAAATATACTGAAATGAGTTGAAAAAATGGTAATACTTTTTTTTTTTGAGACAGAGTCTCACTCTGTCGCCCAGGCTGGAGTGCAGTGGCACGATCTTGGCTCACTGCAAGCTCTGCCTCCCAGGTTCATGCCATTCTCCTGCCTCAGCCTCCTGAGTAGCTGGGACTACAGGCACCCGCCACCATGCCCGGCTAATTTTTTTTTGTATTTTTAGTAGAGACAGGGTTTCACTGTGTTAGCCAGGATCATCTCGATCTCCTGACCTTGTGTTCCGCCCGTCTCGGCCTCCCAAAATGCTGGGATTACAGGCTTGAGCCACTGTGCCCGGTTTGGTGACACTTTTTTGATGAAAGTATTTTTTTTTAATTTAATTTTTTTGAGACAGATTCTTATTCTGTCATCCAGGCTGGATTGCAGTTAGCTCTCACTGCAACTTCCGCCTCCCGGGTTCAAGTGATTCTTGTGACTCAGCCTCCTGAGCAGCTGGGATTTTTTTATATTTTTAGCAGAGACGGGGTTTCGCCATGTTGGTAGACGGGTCTCCAACTCCTGGCTTCAAGTGATCTGCCTGCCTCGGCCTCCCAAACTGTTGGGATTACAGATGTGAGCCACCACACCCAGCCTCGATGAAAGTATTTTAGATGTTTGTATTTATACATAAGGCTCTATGTTTGAAGTACTAAATGGTGAGAGTATTTTGTATCTCAGATGGAATAACGATAGGAAAATGTTCTTCAGCAAATTGTACTCTCCTAAAGGGAGAGATTATAGAGTGATGAACACAGACACGCCATCTACCTTTCCTCCAGACTTTGTAAAAAAAAATTATATAAATTACAATCCCAAACTAGAATCAGATACCATCCCTGATCTACTACCAAGATCTATACACATTAAGAGAACAATGTTCGGGATTGAACCTGTTTTGCCTTTTTAATCGGAACACAAAAGGGATACCTTTTTCTTTCTCCAAGTTTTTGAAATTTTGGTCTCCCTCCTACATTCACTCCTTGTTGAAAGTAATGGAAAGGCAATTAGGTCTGTGTCCCAAATGAAAGCCCACAGTCAGGAGGGGATTCTCATTGAGGTGACTGTCCTGTTAAGACCTGCTCCTGTGAACCCCCAAGCACAGGGCAGAGCAGGACATGAACTAAGAGCCAGGCTTTGCCGAATCCGGGTCGAGTTCACCGACAGCAGTGTGTGCAGCACGCTTCCTCCTCTGCACCCTGGCAGTAGAGCCCTTCCTCATTGTAAAGCCAAGTGGTGTCTGCAGTCCGCCTTGCCCAGGGCTGGAGGCAGAGCTGAGCTTGGTGAACAGGTGCCAGGGGATTCCTGTCATCAGTGGACTATGCTTTAGAAGCTGCTTGTTGCAAAGGTACTGGTTGATCATTGTCTGAGAGTTGGATCTGAAGGCCAACACCCACTAGCAAAACCATCATCCCTGTAATAACAGCAACCCAAGCAGATTTGATTTCTCCAGTGAAGGTTCTAGATGAGTCTAATCAAGGCTTCCCACCCATCTTCTCCCAACACCAGAGTTTCCCTGTGAAAACGATCATGGTTAACTCGCACTGAATACTATTTATGTGCCAAGTACCATTCCACATTCTTTACATATTTTAGCTCACTTTACTCCAACGGGGACCATTATTCCCAGTTTGCACATAAGCAAATGGAGCCAGGGAAAGCAAGGGGCAGAACAGGGAACTGATTTCCCGGAGTTTCGGCCCAGAGTCAGTGTGCTTAGCCACCGCCAACACCAGCCCCAGAGCTCTAGGCTCCTGGAAGTCGTGCTCCCGAGTCCTTCCCCTTGCACAGTGGAGAGAACTCGATGTTGGAATGAAACCAGCTAATTCCAGTAGGGTGCTTCCGCTGTTGTGAGGAGCTGGGCAACTAGTAAGCTCACTGAGCCTCACTGTGCTCCACTATAAAACCAGGAGAGTGCGCAGCAGAGGAGAGGGTCTGGGTTTCAGAATAAGAAGCAGGTTTTCTTCCTGCTCAGCAAATCCTGGGTAATTGTATCATATCCCCTAACCCCTTAAACCTCAGCTAGAGAGGGCGCCAGTCTTAGCCCCAGGGAAGGCTTTCGTGTGCACATTGGAGACAAAGCCTGCCCAGCAGTGCCCGGCACAGAACTGGGGAGCTGTTGGGATAAGCATGGGGGTGGACTCTCCCTGGGACAGATCCTATCTCACAGCAGTTTGGAGAACTGTTGTATACACACGCAGGTGACACGAGGCAGAGCAGGATGTGAAACGAGCGCAGTGGTTTGCCAAACCCGCAGCAGGCTTAGGACGGAGTGGTGAGAACAGCCCCCTTCCTTTTCCTCAGCTTGACGGTCCCAGCCTTTCCCATTGCGGACCTAGAGCCCAGACTCCCAGGGCAGAAAGCGCCCCACAGACTGATAAAGGTGAACAATCCAGGCTTTGTTTCCAAGGGCTTTATCCCTGACTTTCCAACTGGCTTTTATCTGTGTCTTCACGTCTCTGACCTCTTGAGCCTCACAGGAGCTAGACTAGAAGGTTCAAGTTCTTGAGGAGAAGGCAGGGGCGGGAGAGCCCCACTTGCGGGAATCTCGTGCGGACCGAGTCGGGGCGGGAGAGGGCGCGCACCAGCCAGGCTAGGGCGCGCGGGGCGCCGAGGGGCGCGGGGCCGTTTGGGGCCGTTCGGGCCAGTTCGCGCGGCGGGGCCCGTCGGAGCTTTTCTCTCGGCAGCCTGGCTGGCCGCGCGTCTTCTCCGCGCAGCGGGCGAAGTCGCGATGGGTTCATTAAGGCGGCAGGTAGGCAGTGCCCCGGCGGCGGCTGCGGCAGGCGGTCCTGGAATGTGCGAGGGGCGTGATGACAGCGGCCAGCCTCTTTGCGCAACACCTTCGCCATATATACCCGGGGCGCTGCGCTCCACCTGGCCGCCGCCTCCAGCCCAGCACCTGCGGAGGGAGCGCTGGTGAGTACCGCCGCCGGGGCAGGGGCGCTTCCTCGCTCTTTCAAGGACTTTGATTCACTTAATTCTTGCAAATACCTCTCGGTGCTGACTTCAAGGAACTTGGCTGGCTTTGGGCCGCAGAAGTGAAAAACACAAAGCTCTCCACAATGTTCAAGTTGTTTTCTTCTTAATGTTACGGTTATTGCTTTTATTACAGCTTTTGCTGCTACACTCTTACGATCGACAGTGTTATTAATCAGCCACACTTGTGGATTCTAAAATGATCACTGTTTTGAGAGTCGTGGTTTGGAAGAGGAAAGGCCCAGGGGATAGAAATCTCCACCTAGGAATCAGGATAGCTAGGCTCTTTGTGGCTGGGTCACCAACTAGCCATGTGACAACGCTAGTCCCTGTGAGCCCCTGGGCTGCCGTCTTCCATTCTTTATAAGAAGGGGAATGCGACATCTCAGGACCATGAAAATTCTAGGTTTGTGGTGGCTGCCTGGTGATGTGACACTGCCCCCCACCCAAGTGTGACTTCCACGTGGTACAGTGCTTGTTTGCAGTTATTTAAGGTGCCTAGGAGACAGTCTTAGTTTGTTTCTATTAGGGCCCGTGGCCATCAGCGAAGGGTCCGTCCTTCAGCCGTCTTGGGGAGCAAAGCCCGCAATTTATGTTTTCCAAGCCACAAATGGGTGAGCAGGCTGGGGAGATAACTTACAAGGAGATGTGCACAGGAGTGGTTGGGTTCGGGGACTGCGCATCCTCAGGCCAGAAAGTTGGGGGCTGCATGGCATGGAGTTAGTTCAGGTTCCCTGCAACGGTGCCTGCCACCGGTGGCTCGCACTGCGCTGAAGAGAGTTGGAATCTCGTTTTCTTTGAGGAGGTCCCTTTTTCAAACATGTTGATTTCATGGAAGCAGCTTGTGGATTTCATCACTCGAGTCCCCTCTTCCTGTTTGGGTGCCCCAGGGGGTTTCTGTGTTAGCCCTGATCGCTCTGGGCCTTGTCGTTCTTTCCTTTTTCCTTCTTCCCTTGTGTGCTGGCAGTTCTTTAACTTGTCCTGGGTTGGGTATTCTTGGAAAACTGTGCTTGTAGGAGTGGCCGTTGTTTCAGATTGTTAAAGAAAAACAAAAATAAAAAAGATTGCCTCTTTTGTCCCATGCCCGCTGATCATGATCTTCTCTGCTTTTGTAATTTGGGGAATGGGTGATAAGAAAGGCGTGCTTTGTAAAAGGTTTGGATGCTAAACAAATTGCCCCATCCAAAACTCCCCAAATTGCTCAACTGTCTCAATGAAGCAAGTCCCCTGTGGTATGAGGATGGGCTTCTGATTGTTGCTGTTAGACACAAAGGGGACAAAAAAATAGCCCGAATTCAATGCAATGAGGAAAACAGCCTCACAGAATCAGAGTGCTTTGGAATAAACTGGGCTTTAGTAACCAGTTTCAGGCATCTTCCACTCCTCCATCCTCACCCACACCCCCACTTCCATTCTGGGGACCGCAGGGAGCAATCAGGACATCCCAGGGAATTTATTCATCTCAGTGAATTTTTAAAATGCAAAGGTACAAAAAGAGGGCTATAAAAAGATTGCGGTATTTTTAAGATGTTTATATTTACAAATTTAACTGCTTTAACCTCCCCCCCCAATACAATGCAGCACAACTGATATAGTTACAAGTTATTTACAGGATTTATTTTAAGATATCATAAATACAAATTGATAGTGCATGGTGAGGGTGTGGTTTGGTGATATGGCCCAAGTTTAAAGTTTATTAGTGTGCCACATCAAAAATGTAAACTCAAGTTATCTATCAATGTGAGGCCCAGGCCAATTGCTTCCTTGACTCCTCTCATCACTACCACCATTGTGTCCTTGAAGAGATTATTATTAGCAGTAATGTAGGGACAGGGTCTCACTATGTTGTCTAAGCTGGTCTCAAACTCACAGGTTCAAGGGACTCTCCCACTTTGGCCTCCCAAAGTGCTGGGATTATAGGTGTGAGCCACCACCCTTAGCCTATAGGGGTGATTATTTTTCCTTGTGATGGCTGTAAGGGAAGCAGAGGAAAAGGAGACGTCACCCTCTTGGGAATTTTTGAAGCACAGAGTCATTCTTTCAAAGTACAAGAAAGTTTTCCTGGGCATCCCGAGAACACTGGCCTGCATGAGGTTGAAATTATCTCTGCAGTGTTGTGGTGCCTATGTGATTTGAAGCCATTAACCTCTCTGTGGCTCAGTTTTTCCCTCTATAGAATGAGGATACTGTTCATTTTAAAGGAGACTCTAAGTTTACATAGATACATGAAATGCTGTGAGTAAATTTGTGCACCAATTTGCAAGTGCCAGGCACAAAGTCTTTAATAAACACTACTTGGCTACCATGTGCCCAGCACTGTCCTATGTGCTGGGGATACAATGGCCATACTCTAGTCCCTGTGCTTGTGAAGGCTGCCATTCTGATGGGAGACTGTGTGTCCATGTTCTGGTTCCTCACAGGACCACTGCCCTGGGCTTCCTCCTCTCCCCATTTCTTCAGATGGCCTTGACTGCTGCTCTGGGCACAAGGGGCCCAGGAACAGGTCTTGGTTGGAGAAGCCCAAACAATGCGAATGTAGGGGTTGGGTGACTGCCAGGTACCCTACATTCCCCTGCTTCCCAAGTCTGAGCCAAGTCAAGAAAGTTCCTCTCCTGGGTCTTCAAGAAAGAATAAGAGCTCTTTCTGGCAGTGGGTGCCCATGTGGTGCAGGAAGTGGAGCCAAGAGGGTGAGGCACACAGGCAACTCGGTTATAGAGGCCAGTGTGGCAGCGGGGGAGCCCCTCCCTGGGCTTTAGTAAAAAGCTTCCAAATGATGACTTCTCCCTTCCTCTGCTGCTTCTGGCAGGTGGCAAGAATGTGCTGGAGTGAGGCCTTGGGAAGGCTGGGAGAGAACAAGGCAGTGGTTGCGCCAGGGCTATGGGGGTAGGAGAAAGGCTTAGAGGGGCTCAGAGCTCCAGGGTACATTCTCTGCCTGCACCATTTAATACCCACCCCCACCCACCCACCCCACCCCCACCACCCTCCCCTCCTGCTCATCCATTGCAACATTCTTGGGCGGGCATTTCCAGCATCTGAATGATCATGTGGGAGTGACCTGCAGACATGCCAATCTAGCCAGCTATCCGAAAACACTCAGAGCCCTCAATGTGCCTAGACCTAAGGCCCCTGGGTGCCCTGGTGCTTTGAGGGCTGGAGAATTTCTCCTCCCTTTGCCCCTGGCTGTGAGATCTGTGGAAAAGCTTCTGGCTTTGGAGCCAGCAGTCTTGGGTTCATATCCTGACACCAGCTCCAGGTAGTTGGAGGCAAGCTTCTTTGTTTCTCTGTGCCTCAGTTTCTTTGTCTGTACACTGAGAAGAAAAACTCCTTCCTTGGTAGATTTAATGAGGTCACAAACTGTATAGGACACTCCTCTGCCACAAAACAAACATTAGCATCTTTCTCTCACAGGCTTTGGATTCATTTATTCAAATATTAACTGAGATCCACTACCATGCTGAGCATTGGAGATGAAGAGCTTATAGTCTAGGGTACACACAGTGGAAATGAGGCCATTTACTGTTCATGACACAGTGCATTTCCACGTAATAAACACTCTTGTTTATTGTTCATGACACAGTGCATTTCCACATTGTGTCATGAACAATAAACAAGAGTTCCGAGTGTTTACTCTGCCAGGCACCATGCTCTAGCCTCACCTACACTTATTAACCAATTAGTCCTCATAACAGCTCAGTAAGCAAGATGGTATTGTCCCCATTTTTACAATGATGAAGCTGAAGCTCAGAGTGGCTCAGGGTTGCATATAGTGAGGGGCAGGCCTCTGCAGAGCCAGCCCTCCCTCACTGTGATTCGCCTCTCTCCAGGTATCACTGAGCCATCTTACCTTTGTGAGCTTAGAGGTTGAGTTGCATCTTTTAAAATAATTTTCTTCTAAAATTTAAAAAATCACCCACAGTCTCACCACTCCCTTTTACCTCCAGAGAACATTTCTGGATCTTGTCTGCCTTGTTGAGATGATGCTGTGAATGGGAAAAAGAAGTGCTTTAGATGTGAAGTTTATCTAAAGCATTTCCCTATGGTTTTACTGATTCAGTATAACCTCTTTAATGGCATGCTCTTACAATGCATGGACATACCATAGTTAGAAGGAGTAATTTCTCTTTTTTCATTTTTTCACACTGTAAATGATAGAGCAGCAAATATCTTTTTGGTCTACATCACATTCATTCTATCATAAATATGCCCGGCAGGGCTCAAGACCTTAAAGATGAAGTGATGGACAAGACAAAGTCCACTTTTTGGTAGGGTTTGCAGTCTGGTAAGCAGGAAATAGGTTGACGAAGAAAGGAGTCAGGTGGACTCAGGCTCTAAGAAGCCCTCTTGGAAGAGGTGATCAGAGTAAGTTAGGTATTTCTGAATTTCTGAGAGGAAATATTCCTAGCTTCCTGATTCCTAGAAGTGAAATGACTGGGTCACAGACGTGTGATGAACATAAGGCACTTTGGACAGTTTGCTAACTTTTCCAGAGCTTCTAGCAGTGTTCAACTCATAACATCTTCTCCAGCATAGCATAATGAACTTAAATTCTTTTTGCTACTTTGATAGTTGTCACTGTTTTAGTTTGAATATATGGGATTGCTTCTGTTTTTTTGAGACGGAGTTTCACTCTTTTTGCCCAGGCTGGGGTGCAATGATGTGATCTCAGCTCACTGCAACCTCCACCTCCCAGATTCAAGTGATTCTCCTGCCTCAGCCTCCCGAGTAGCTGGAATTACAGGTGCATGCCACCACGCCTGGCTAATTTTGTATTTTTAGTAGAGACGGGGTTTCACCATGTTGTCCAGGCTGGTCTCTAACTCCTGACCTCAGATGATCCACCTGCCTCGGCTTCCCAAAGTGTTGGGTTTACAGGCATGAGCCACTGTGCCCGGCCTGGATTGCTTCTTTTTTAATAGGCATTTTAGCCATTTGTTCCTTTTCTGTGAATTGCCTTTCTCCAATCTTTTGGACTGCTTTGTCTAATGGACAAGGACTAATTGTCTAATGTCAAAGAACAAGGACTGCAAGGACTGGAATGTGAGGTGTGTCAAGTACCATGTAACTGAGAAAGGCCTTGTGAAGAAAATAGATTGTAAGAAGGTCTTTTCTGAAGGCTGAAAAGAATGTGGTTCTAACAAAGGATGATTAATCCAGACAGCATGACATAGTAATAATTGCTGCTATTTATTGGATGCCTCCTCAATGCCAGTCACTTTCTAGACTTTTAATTTCACTATTAGTCTCATAACCCTGCAAGAACTGTTCCATTTTATAGATGGAGAAACTGACACTTTATGCTCAGAGGCATAAAGGGACTTGCCTAAATACACACTCATTAATAGGTGGCACTGCTGGATTTTAAAACCAGGTCCATCACTCTTTTCACAGAAGGCCTGGGTGGTAGGTAAAACACGCAGAAGGTATATGAACACCTGCATATACTTATATATTTTGAGACAGAGTTTTGCTCTGTATCCCCCAGGCTGGAATACAGTGGCATGATCTCAGTTCACTACAACCTCCGCCTCCCAGGTTCAAGCAATTCTCATGCCTCAGCCTCCTAAGTAGCTGGGATTACAGGCACCCACCACCATCCCCTGCTAATTTTTGTATTTTTAGTAGAGACAGGGTTTTGACACGTTGCCCAGGCTGGTCTCGAACTTCTGACCTCAGGTGACCCACCCACCTTGGCCTCCTAAGGTGTTGGAGTTACAGGCCTGAGCCACCTCGCCTGGCCCCTGCATATATATTCACATACACACTAAGTTGTATAAATCTGTTAAATTCCACTGGATAAGGTTTTGCATAGATTTGCAGTGCACTTGTCTTGATATAAGAAGTAGATGGGGTTCCATTGAAGGGTTGTGAGGATTTGGCATGCTATGAGACAACAAAGATGAATGGGCTTGCACCCTGCCTTTTTCTTTTTTTTTTTTTTTGAGAAGGAGTTTCACTTTTGTCACCCAGGCTGGAGTGCAATGGCACAATCTCAGCTCACTGCAACCTCTGCCTCCCAGGTTCAAGCGATTCTCCTGTCTCAGCCTCCCGAGTAGCTGGGACTATAGGCGTGTGCCACCACGCCGGCTAATTTTTATATTTTTAGTAGAGATGGGGTTTCACCATGTTGTCAAGGCTGGTCTCAAACTCCTGACCTCAGGTGATCCACCTGTCTTGGCCTCCCAAAGTGCTGGGATTACAGGCGTGAGCCACGGTGCCCGTTGCACCCTGCTTTTGACTGAAGGAGAGAGTCAAGACAAAAACAAGTTTACGAGATTAAAGGTGGTACATGCAGCTAACTCAACACTGTACGAGGTAGTTTGCTTTAGCGACTGGGTGAGTGTTTGAAGGGGAACCACAGAGGAAATATGGTGCTTAATATGCCACACTTAGGGGGCATAAGTGTGAAATCTTTCCCTTCCTTTTACTGCCGCCTCCGGCCGAAACCCCCACCCAGTTGATGCTTTGCAACCAATGGTTCTTCCTCTTATAGCATCTCGGTGTGCCTCCTTTCCATGACTGCTGCTTTAAGCTGTTTTCTCATCCACAGACCATGGCTCCCTGGCCTGAATTGGGAGATGCCCAGCCCAACCCCGATAAGTACCTCGAAGGGGCCGCAGGTCAGCAGCCCACTGCCCCTGATAAAAGCAAAGAGACCAACAAAAGTAAGTGTCGCTCGTTTGTCTGCAGATCGGCCTTTGTGAGGACCCCAGGAGACTCAGGTCTGATTCCTCATTACCCCTTTTGCTTGTTTCAGCAGATAACACTGAGGCACCTGTAACCAAGATTGAACTTCTGCCGTCCTACTCCACGGCTACACTGATAGATGAGCCCACTGAGGTGGATGACCCCTGGAACCTACCCACTCTTCAGGACTCGGGGATCAAGTGGTCAGGTAAAAGTGAGGCCAGCTGAGACATTCAGGAGGGAAACTTCCTGTGGTTCACGGTGTCATCATCCTCCTGTCCCTCCCCCTTTTCATTGTTCTGATTCCCTTGAAGCAAGGGTCCTGGCTAGGGATGTCACCCTCTCATCTTTTTTTTTTTAGACGGAGTCTTGCTCTGTCACCCAGGCTGGAGTGCAGTGGTGCGATATTGGCTCACTGCAAGCTCTGCCCCGTGGGTTCAAGCAGTTATCCTGCCTCAGCCTCCTGAGTAGCTGGGATTACAGGCTAATTTTTGTATTTTTAATAGAGATGGGGTTTCACCATGTTGGCCAGGCTGGTCTCGAACTCCTGACCTCGTGATCCACCCTCCTCGACCTTCCAAAGTGCTGAGATTACAGGCATGAGCCACAGCACCCGGCCACCCTCCCATCTTTGAGGTAGAGTCAAAGCATGTTGGAGTAATTGGGGGTCATTCATTCAACAAATGTGCCAGGCACTGTGGTTATAGCAAAGATGGACATTGTCTGGCTCCTTATAATTCGCTGTGGGTGATGAGGTTCCAGGTACTGCTTTGGAGATGCTGTGGATACAGTGATGAACAGAAAAGGCCCCTCTTCTCAGAGAGCTTTCAGAGGGGTCCCCTCACCAAAATGTGGGCATATTTCTAGTAAAAGAAAATATGCAGCCAGACAGCTGGATGCAAGCAATCACTGTTTCATTTCCAAATGTATGTAGGGCAGAAGGTCTGTCTGTGAACTAGACAGCAAGGAGGAAAAAGGAGATTGGGGTGTGGGGTGGGGAGGAGAGGTAGGAAGGAAAGAGCTGGGAGGGGGAAGATGAGAACCATTTTAAAAGCCAGTGGAGTAAACAGCACTTAAGGATGTAGCATCCCAGGATGTATGATGCCCCAAGCCCTCCATAAATTGAGGCTGATTGCTGCTGTGCAGCTGCATTCTAGAAAATACTCTGTGCTGTTTGGAACGTGACAGCCATTATCTCCGACCCTGCACTTAGCAGGTGGCTAGTGCTGTCAACTGCCTCACTCAGTGACACTGTGGCTCAGCTGAGCATGGAGCCTGGTTTTTCTGTCGCAGACCACATTGAACCCCTCCTCCCAAACGCAAATCCTTTAGAGGCACTTTACCAGGGGTTTCAGCTAAATGGACCACAGCGGTAACTGCTTTGAAAGCTGCAGCGATGGCTGCTTCCCATCTGTAAGGCTGGCTAGACATAAGAACTTAACGGCTGCCAGGCTGGGAAGGGAGGGGAGGTCGGGGGAGCTCTGAGCTCATTGCCAAACTTCTCAGGGTTTCCAACACTAAAAGTTTCATGCCTTTCTCTCTCTCCCCCCATCCCACCCCCCTGCAGAGAGAGACACCAAAGGGAAGATTCTCTGTTTCTTCCAAGGGATTGGGAGATTGATTTTACTTCTCGGATTTCTCTACTTTTTCGTGTGCTCCCTGGATATTCTTAGTAGCGCCTTCCAGCTGGTTGGAGGTAAGAATGAAAGGGTGAGAGGTCTGCGGGTGAGGGGCATTATCTTGAAATGTGGTTCCGAGAGTAAAACTCAGCAAGCCCTCTCCAGCTGCAGCCTCCTGGAGTGTTTTAGGACTGGAACCGACCTCAGATCATTTATGAAGTCTATGCTTTCCGTTATAGAAGAGAAAACTGAGGCCTATACAAAGGGCTATGACTTGGCCCAGGTGGCTTAGGCCAGGAGCTGGGGCTAGACTATTCCAAGCTATCCGCCAGTTGAGTTTGTCCACAAACCCCAGGCAGGAAGTTGTCTGACATACAGACTTAGCTGAGGAATTCCTATATCCTCCACACCAGAGAGAATTCTGGAATGAGAAAGAGTGCCCTTTCAAATATGGGCCCTTGCTGGGGGAAGGACAGGGCCCCTTCTCTGGGCTGGAGGAATCTGCATCCATTGTACTTACCTTCACAGCCCTTAGGGCTGCGTGTGCCCATGCAGTGTGAGAACCCAGGAGTGAAGTCACCATGTGCTTGGTTCCCTTTGTACCTCAATGGTGATGTCAGAAACAAACAAGCAGCACTCCGTCTACTGGGTGCAGGCATTTTCGGGGGCCCTCTATCAAACATTCTTTCCCAGAGCCCTCCCATTTACGGAGAGATCATGAACCAGCCCTGAGACTCACAGCCTGTGATTAGCAGAGTAAGATTCAGTCTCAGATCTGGGTGACACAAAGGACCATGGATTTCTGCAACCCTTGGTGCCTTTCTTGGGAACCCATCTGTGTGACTTGGGAGAGTTGGGGAGGTGGGCATTCATGGGAGAGCATGAGGGGCAAACACTTCCTGGACATTGCTTTTTTTTTTTTTTTTTTTTGAGACAGAGTTTCACTCTTGTTGCCCGGGCTGGAGTGCATTGGCGTGATCTCAGCTCACCGCGACCTCCACCTCCCGGCTTCAAGCGATTCTTCTGCCTCAGCCTCCTGAGTAGCTGGGATTACAGGCATGCACCACCATGCCTGGCTAATTTTTGTATTTTTAGTAGAGACGGGGTTTCTCCGTGTTGGTCAGGCTGGTCTGCAACTACTGACCTCAGTTGTTCCGCCCGTCCTCCGCCTCCCGAAGTGCTGGGATTACAGGTGTGAGCCACCGTGCCTGGCCTCCTGAACATTGCTTCTGGGCTCCCTGGTCCATGGGAGCATCAGCTAGGGGCTTTGCTGTCTGGTTATCTCAGACAAATCACCTGCATCCTCTGGGCTTCCACCTTCTTTATACAATGGACTTGGGAATGCATTGATGGTCTCAGGTACACTCTTGAGAATAACTCTCCCAGCATTCAATTACAGGCTGGTGCTAGGGCTAAGGGTGGATAGAGAGATCTACTCTTGGAGGATAAATCTGAATTGGGTATACACCCCAGAGACATCCAGGAGGCTCATTGGAACCCACTGGTCCCAGTATGGAGTTGAGGCTGGGTTCCTGAGCACAGAAGGGCTTGCTGACTGAGGAGTGTTTGAAGAGTGGGAGGATGCAGGGTGAAGGAACAAAAGTAACCAGGGGCTCACAGTGGGTCGGGAACCAGGGCAGAGAGACAGAGACAGGAGGCACGTGTGGGCAGCTAGTAGATTTCCTGCCTTATCGGGGCAGCACTGGGAAGAGGCATGGGGAAGCAAGATTCCTTGGGTGCCTGCAGCGATGGAGGCTGGACTCTGCAACCCACAGCCAGCTGGCCTTGGATGGAGACTTCTGTTTACTCAGTGCCCACCTAATCCCCCTCGATCACGTTGTGATTGTTTTTGTTTGTTTGTTTGTTTTTCCCAGGAAAAATGGCAGGACAGTTCTTCAGCAACAGCTCTATTATGTCCAACCCTTTGTTGGGGCTGGTGATCGGGGTGCTGGTGACCGTCTTGGTGCAGAGCTCCAGCACCTCAACGTCCATCGTTGTCAGCATGGTGTCCTCTTCATGTGAGTCGGGGCACCCATGAGCCCACCTGCATTCCAGACACTCTCCTGTCTATCTGAGGGTGGGAAGGACGGGGGAGGAATTCACTCTGAATATGTCCAGGCCTTGCCACCATTGTCTTGGTATCTTGCCCCAGCTACAATGTGTTTCCCTCTTGATCCAAGGCAACTTCCTGTTTCCATTTCGATGGCAGGATCTGGAAATAGACCCTGCTGCTGGAGTTCTCAGCTCTGAATTCTCTAGTACTGTACTTTCCAGACCTGTAGCCACTAGCCACATGTGGCAGTTTAATTTTGTTGAACCTTAATTGATTTAAAATTAAAATATAACATTCAGTTCCTCAGTTGTACTAGTTACATTTCAAGTGTTAAAGAGCCACATGTGGCTGGCTGGCAGCTACCCTATTGAGAAGTAGAGACATAGAACATTTCCTTCACTGCAGAAAGTTAGTTCTCTGGGACAGGGCCACTCTCAGTGCTAAGAAGAAAGACAACTTAATCACATCACAAATTGCTCTGGGACAACCGAGCTTGGGAGATGGCACACTAAACTTGTACCTGTCTGATAATTGCTGCAGCTACGTTGGACAGACCCTCTGAGGGGGACCAGTTTGAACTGATTATTATTATTTTTTTTTCTATTTTCTTTTTAAATAGAGACTTGGGTCTCACTGTGTTGCCCAGGCTGGTCTCAAACTTCTGGGCTCAAGTGATCCTCCCAAAATGCTGGGATTACAGGCCTGAGCCACAGCCCCTGACCAGAACTATTTTTCTTCCCAAGCTAGCATCTTAGCCAAAATTAACTAGAATGTTTCTCGTCCAGTTAGAAAAAGGTATTACACTTTCAAAATATTTTACTTGTTTATATCAAAAAAGGTGCAGCAATATGCTGATTTTGTTGGAAAAAGTTACACTGCCTAGAATTAAATGTCTGATATCCAGCACAGAAATGATGCTTCCTGGCTGGGCCTAGTGGCTCACGCCTATAATCCCAGCACTCTGGGAGGCTGAGGTGGGAGGCTCACCTGAGGTTGGGAATCTGAGACCAGCCTGACCAACACGGTGAAACCCCGTCTCTACTAAAAATACAAAAATTAGCTGGATGTGGTGGTGCATGCCTCCAGTCTCAGCTACTCAGGAGGCTGAGGCAAGAGAATCACTTTAACCTGGGAGGTAGAGGTTGCAGTGAGCTGAGATCGAGCCACTGCTCTCCAGCCTGGGAGACAGAGCGAGATCCATCTCAAAAAATAAAAATAAAAAAGAAAAGAAAAAAAACTGATGCTTCCTTAAAGGCGAGCCTGTGTGCCATGCACAACTGACTCAACTGTACATGCAAGCCCTGCACTCATCCACCTAAGTCCTTAATCAGTGGGTGCCTCCTGGTCTCCTTCAGGCTAGCCTTGGATCTGCAATAGGGAGGAAGGAGGAAGCTAGAAAGGCACTTTCTTCAGATTCATAGTGAGGTGCAGAGTGAGGTGCAAAAAAAAAGTTTAAGAATTCACTTGCATAGAGGATAAAAACTACTTCTTTAGAGGATACCAGCATAGGTAACTTTAGCCTGCCTCCAGGCTGCCTTTCTAAGCTTGCTAATGGTACTTTTCCATCCTCTAGTGCTCACTGTTCGGGCTGCCATCCCCATTATCATGGGGGCCAACATTGGAACGTCAATCACCAACACTATTGTTGCGCTCATGCAGGTGGGAGATCGGAGTGAGTTCAGAAGGTAAGAGGCTCAAAACCAGCCTTTGCGACATCAGCTCTATTGTTCTTGGCCACGCTGTTGTAACTGCTTTTAACCAGCCAAAGATGACATGCTTATCAGGTTCATTCCTGGAGTTCCTAGAAGTAACCACAGGGAGGTATGGCTAGGGTTGGATCACATACTCACCAGCTGATTAGACTCAGCTCCCTGATCGGCAGAGCAGGGATAATACTATCTATCACTACTGAGTTGTTGTAGGATTAAATATACAACCCAGCAGGTGAGTGTTCAGAGCACCCAGCACATTGAGTTCACTAAATAAATGCAAACTCTAGCTAGAAACTTAGCCGCTGGGTGGCGGAATTGAAGCAAGGCCAGTTAGAAGAGTAGGATTTATTGGGACTGGGCGTGGTGGCTCATGCCTGTAATCCCAGCACTCTGGGAGGCCCAGGCGGGTGGATCGCCTGAGGTCAGGAGCCTGGCCAACATGGTGAAACCCCATCTCTTCTAAAAATACAAAAATTAGCCGGCCGTGGTTGCCAGCGTCTGTAATCCCAGCTACTCTGGAGGCTGAGGCAGGAGAATCGCTTGAACCCGGGAGGCGGAGGTTGCAGTGAGTCGAGATCGTGCCACTGCACTCCAGCCTGGGTGACAGAGTGAGACTCCATCTAAAAAAAAAAAAAAAAATAAATAAATACTGTTTTGTTTGGTCATAATTATAACTTATTTAAACTTCCACTTTCGGTCAGCTCAACCCATGCCACCTTTTCTTTGTTCTTCACTTACAAGTTAATAAAAAACAAAACCTAGTTTCTGCGTATGCAGAAACTCTGAAACTAGAGCAGGTAGAATGCTGGAAACTCTTTTCTTTCAAAAAGGTTAATGTGAAAATTAAGTGTTTCTTAGCCTCTTCTAGCTAGTTTTTTTTTTTTTTCAGTTTTTTTTTAAAAGGTAAGCTGTTTCATTGAAGACATAAAAATCCAGAACAGAGTTTTTTAAATCTGGAGATAAGATGGAATCGAGGAGGAATCTTTGAACCTCCTCAGATGGATGCAAAATGTTTTAGCCTTGTTTCCCATGGAAACTATTCATGTTTCATCACTTTCAAGAACTTAAAAAAAGTTTAAGAATTCACTTGCATAGAGGTCTTTTTAAGTTAAATTTTTTTATTGATACAAAATATTTTTACACCTTTCTGGGAAACATGTGATATTTTGTTACATTCATAGAATGTGTAGTGATCAAATCAGGGTATTTGAGGTGCCCACCGCTTTGGGGATTTATGATTTCTATGTGTTTGGAACAATTGAAAACTCCAGCATAGAGGGCTTTGGTTGCCTTCATACTGGTCCCCACCTTTCCAAAAGAAGGTAGCCTTCAATATACATGATACAAAAGTGCCCTTGATGCAATTCTTCGAAACAGTGATTGCTGAGCTAATTATTCCAGCCGTAACATGCTTGCTGGCCCGCAGCTTCTTCATCTGGCCAATGGGAATATAGATACCAGCCACTTTGGGGATCGATATGAGAGAACAAAAATGAGATTGTGTACATGTGCACACTTCCATAGGTGACACCTAGCAGAGGGTGGCAGATGATACAGGTAATGACCCACCTCACATGGTGCCCACTTGCTTAGTGACTAATCTGGCTGTCGGGGTTTCCCTCCCATAGAGCTTTTGCAGGAGCCACTGTCCATGACTTCTTCAACTGGCTGTCCGTGTTGGTGCTCTTGCCCGTGGAGGTGGCCACCCATTACCTCGAGATCATAACCCAGCTTATAGTGGAGAGCTTCCACTTCAAGAATGGAGAAGATGCCCCAGATCTTCTGAAAGTCATCACTAAGCCCTTCACAAAGCTCATTGTCCAGGTAACTTAGCTCCTTCAGAGAGAGAAGGAGACTAACTTCCTACCCACAACATCCCCTACCTGAGCTGACAGATATAGAGTGTCTACAACACTATTCTGGGCCTGGCATGGTGGCTCACCCTTGTTTTCCCAGCACTTTGGGAGGCCGAGGCAGGTGGATTGCTTGAGGTCAGGAATCTGAGACCAGCCTGGCCAACATGGCATAACCCTGTCTATACTAAAATGCAAAACATTAGCTGGGCATGGTGGCGTGCACCTGTAGTCCCAGCTATGTGGGGGCTGAGAAAGGAGGATCGCTTGAACCCCGGGAGGTCAAGGCTGCAGTGAGCTGAGAATTGTGCCATTGCACTCCAGCCTGGGTGACAAAGTGAGACTGTTTTTAAAAAATAAATAGATGAATAAACACTACTCTGTAGCTGCCTCTGGAAAAGGCCAAGGGAGGCAGAACTTTTGGGCCACCTGATAGAGTGACTGACCTTGATGGTTACTTTGACTTCCATAACATGCCACCTTTATTGGGGTGGAGGTGCTTCTTAAGACTGGACACTTGAGACCACTTTGTTCCCACTGCTGTCCTCAACACCAGTGGACTTGATAAAGTATGATCTACCCTTTCCTGCCTAGAGTCATCTCAGCCCCTTCTCCCTGGGTCCTTGCTAGGACCTTGTGTTTTCACTCTTACTGGTTTTCTTGGCCATTCAGTCATCCAGAAAATATCTACTGTCTGCTCCCTAGATATCAGTGCCTCTGCAGATAGAGTGAGTCCCACTTTGCCTCTCTGGGGGCTCACAGTCACATTTATCTCCTTAGAGCCCCTCTCACTTCAACCCCCTGGGTTTGTGTCCTAAATCGGTTCTGAGGATATGCTGATGGTTTCCTGTCTACTGTTTCCACAGCTGGATAAAAAAGTTATCAGCCAAATTGCAATGAACGATGAAAAAGCGAAAAACAAGAGTCTTGTCAAGATTTGGTGCAAAACTTTTACCAACAAGGTACGTTTCCAAGAATATTCCCGGGGCGGGGAGTGAACCTTTGCATCTGAACATGAAACTAAATCTTGCCTTCAAGGAAGGTAAATAGAAAGTCAGGGGAAAGAAATATTGGGAGTCCCTGAAAAATCAAAAGTGACCAGTGAATGCCTTTAGAAAACAAGTCCTTGAATGAATGCCAAATGCAGGTAAACAGTAGGACAGACAGACTCCCTTTTGCCCCATCCCAGGGATACATTATTTCTGGTTTGTTATTTCCATGCCTCTTGGAGAAGGCTTAGCTCTGCCTGCCGCTCTGTTCTCATTTTTGGAGAGACTTGTGGAAGTAGTCCAGCACGCCCTACGGGTGTTGGCAGCAAGTGTCCTCTCTCTTACTTTCCAGACTTTTCCAGAGTATTCCCCCTGCTCGGGCCCAGAGCATTCATGCCCTCTGTCAGGAACCTACCCAGGCTGCTTTGCACCTGGGTTGTGGCTTGCCCTTGCTTCTGGGGTGTACATGTATTTTTTTTGTGGGGTGCTAAAGACTGGAGACTAGAATAAACAAAGTAGATGTTTTTAAATGATGAAGGCTGATTTCAGTTGTCCTCAGTTATTCTAAGATTTCTAATAAAGGTGAGAAATAAGTCTTCAAGAGAAAAGAACTGTTCTGTTGGGGCCATACTGCATGCACCATGGGTGGTGTCTGCGCCTGTTCATTCCCACCCCCGCCATTGCCTCCCATTCCCCACTAAAAGCCAGTGTTGTGGGCATTTGTCATGTTTGTCATCCAGACCCAGATTAACGTCACTGTTCCCTCGACTGCTAACTGCACCTCCCCTTCCCTCTGTTGGACGGATGGCATCCAAAACTGGACCATGAAGAATGTGACCTACAAGGAGAACATCGCCAAATGTGAGTGGAGCTCAGTGGATTGGCCACTATGACAGGTGTTGTCTGGGGGTGACCTATTTATCCGTGTGAAGTCCCAGTAAGTGAAGGAAAGGACAGTAGGAGTCACCAAGCACCTGCCCTACATCAAGCAGTGAGCAACATGCTTTCACAGCAGAGGAAACTATGGCTTAGGAACTGAGGTGACAGGCCTGAGGTCCCACAGCAAGGGCAGAACTGGAACTTGAAGTCCATTTCCTTTGCCAGCTCCACACCACCTCAGAAAAGCTCAACAGATTCTAGAGGATTCCCTCTACATGCTTTGTTCAGATTCCTTTAGTCAATAACTCTAGGGGCCAGGCATGGTGTCTCAAGGCTATAATCCCAGCACTTTGGGGAGGCCGAGATGGGCTGGTCACTTGAAGCCAGGAGTTTGAGACCAGCCTGGCCAACATGGTGAAACCCTGTTTCTACTAAAAATAATACAAAAAAAGTAGGCATGGTGGCTCAAGCCTATAATTCCAGCCAAGATTGCACCACTACACTCCAGCCTGGGCAACAGGGAGATAGTCTGTCTCAAAATAAAATAACTTTAGGGAGACGACAACCCGATTTGAAGGAAGATGTGGGACCCACATAGAACAGATGTATTCACTCAATTAGTCCCTACTGTACAGCAGGCCCCATTTCAGGGCACTGGGGCTGTAGCTCTTGAACGGGCAGTGAGCTTGCATGATGCTCTGATTATTAAGAAGCTGTAATGTTTTTTCCAACCCAGCCATCCTTCGTTATTCTAATTACTCCTTACATATACTTTTGTATATCTCTGCTTCTCTCTTCTCACCCTCCCACCACATTAATTCTGAGCACTATATCTTAATACTCTAGGTATGATTACCCCAAAGAATCAAGTTAACTTACCACCTCCCACATTCTAGGCACTATACATTCATTCATATAACCATGTTTTGCTGGGATTATCTGGGGGATGCAGAAGGGGCTTTATAATTAGCAATGCCCCTTACTTTGACTTGCCCATCGAATCCCTCAAAGCATACTTATCATTAGTAAAAAAAAAAAATTAGACCATCGACAGCATGGTCTTTAGAGACAGAACTGGGCTGAGTCTACCCCTGAACAGTTGTGTGATTTTTAAAGCCATCACTTCATCTTCCAGCCTCATGCGATCCCACTGATTATGACATAGTTTCAGTGGTGCCCCTTGCTGCGAAGGAGGCTGAGAAGGGCTGTCTTGATTTGGGGCTGCCATCTGTTAAACTAACAACCAGGAATCTGTTTGTAGGAAAGACAGGATCTGGGGGAATAAATAACAATCTGTAGCCGTGGTGGCTCCATGCCCTCCTGACAAGATTCTTTGTGGTCTTTCAGGCCAGCATATCTTTGTGAATTTCCACCTCCCGGATCTTGCTGTGGGCACCATCTTGCTCATACTCTCCCTGCTGGTCCTCTGTGGTTGCCTGATCATGATTGTCAAGATCCTGGGCTCTGTGCTCAAGGGGCAGGTCGCCACTGTCATCAAGAAGACCATCAACACTGGTAGGTACACTGCCCTCACTTGTAGGCCTCACATGTAGTCACTGCATGGGGTGTGGGGGTCCTTTAGATTCCCATCTAGCAATGGCCTCTGCATGGAGTTTCTCTCTCAGATTGGATCAGCACCAGAAGTGAGGATGTCATTCACCTGGAAATGTTCTTGGCATCCTGGGTGGGGTCTAGGGAGCAGGCCCAAGTTTCCATTGCATCTTGGCAAGGTCCTGAGCAGGAGTTCATATCTAGAGAGCTGTGAGTCAGGCCTTCCTTCTTAGCGGGTTTCCTGTATGCTCAGAGCTTTACTGGCTCTGTCAAGACCCCTTAGAAAAAGGACCCCAGGTGTCTGCCCTCGCCCCCACCTCCCTTCACTCTTGTAAAGGAAATGTGATGCATAAATACATCAGCATCTAGAGGTGGCCAATGAGACTGCTGGCTAAGAGGATTTCCTGCCAAGTAGGGTGTCCTGGCCAATGAGAGCTCGCTAAGCCAATGACATCATCACTTCATGAAAGCTCAGTGAAATATAGCCAAGAAAATTCGCCCCCCACCCCAGATTGTCTTGGGGAACAGAGCAACTCTGGGTGCTTCTGGGAAATGCAGGGCCTGATCCGGTGCTAGTTGGGTGGAGGACTCAGTTGGCAGGCATGTTCCAAGCTGCTACAGTTTCTTGATGCTCTTTAAGGCAGAAATGAAGGTTGAAGGTCAAATGTGGGTGCTGACAGGAGACCAGGGCAGGCGAGGAAGCATGCTCTCAGCACTTTCTGGAAGGAGAGTGGTTACTTGGGTGGGTTCACTCTTTCTAACCTGACCTCCAGGGAATCTGTGTTTTTGTTTTCATAACACTTACCTGTATCCTTGGTTTTTCCATCTGAATATGCGGAGCAAAAGACAATGGGGAATGAAACTGGATTCTAAAACTCTACTCTGTAATCTGAGACCATATATGGGATGATGTACAACCTCACCCCTAAGCCCAGCCCCTACCCCAGGCCACCAGGCCATACCTTCCCCGGAGAGGCCATGACATCTCTTCCTTCTGTCTTCCAGATTTCCCCTTTCCCTTTGCATGGTTGACTGGCTACCTGGCCATCCTCGTCGGGGCAGGCATGACCTTCATCGTACAGAGCAGCTCTGTGTTCACGTCGGCCTTGACCCCCCTGATTGGTGAGTTACACCCTGGCTTCTCCCTCTGGCCACCACTGCCATTTCCTGTCATCCCATGGGGCTGATATGTTTGTGTTTTGTGTTTCCCCCAGGAATCGGCGTGATAACCATTGAGAGGGCTTATCCACTCACGCTGGGCTCCAACATCGGCACCACCACCACCGCCATCCTGGCCGCCTTAGCCAGCCCTGGCAATGCATTGAGGAGTTCACTCCAGGTCAGGACTTGGGGCACGGGGACAGGGGCCCTGGGAGTGGGACCACCCATGGTCTTGCAAACTGGTCTCTAACAAGAGCCAGGCTTTTCTCTGTACTATCCAAAATATGGAACTAATATGTGGAGGGGAAGCCACGGGTAAAGTTTTCAGGACCTTGATATGAGAACAATCAAAACTATCAGTTCTGAGAGAAGCAGTAAGACCCTCATAACTGGTGGTTGTTTCAGCAAAAGTGGGGTGGCCCCTTGATATAGATGTGGAAAAGGTACTTAGGAAGCACAGACACCACCTCCCATCTCCTCACTGCCTCCTATGGGGAACTTTACAATTAGGAGAACTCCTTGGCATGGACCATCTATGTTACTTTGTGCAAGACCTTTGGGATTTGAATTTATTTATTTATTTTTATTTTATTTTTTTGAGACAGAGTCTCGCACTGTAGCCCAGGCTGGAGTGCAGTGATACAATCTCCACTCACTGCAACCTCCACCTCCCAGGTTCAAGTGATTTTCCTGCCTCAGCCTCCCGAGCAGCTGGGATTACAGGCACCTGCCACCACACCTGGCTGATTTTTTGTATTTTTAGTAGAGACGGGGTTTCCCTATGTTGGCCAGGCTGGTCTTGAACTCTGGACCTCATGATGTGCTTGCCTTGGCCTCCCAAAGTGCTGGGATTACAGGCGTGAGCCACTGCACCCAGCCGGGGATTTGAATTCTTATCTCACCATTTACATACTAAGTGACCTTTGGCAAGTGATCTAACCTGAGCGTCAATTCCCTCATCTGAAAGATGGAGGACATAACCCCTATCTCATTAGGATTATTATAAAGATCTGATGAGGCAAAGCCATCTGTGCAACAGAAATAGAAATTCAGGCATCTAATATAAATTAACCGCATATGTCATCCTAAAATTTTTTAGTAGATACATTTTTAAAAGTAGAAACAGGCTGATTCATTCTTCAATAATGTATTTGATCTAAACCATTATCACTTTAATATGTCATCTGTCAAAAATTGAGAGTCTTTGAAATCTGGTGTGTATTTCATACTTAAAGCACATCTCAGTGTGGACATGCGGCTAGTGTATTGGACAGTGCTGGTCCACAGCCTGGGCATGGAAATTGGCACCTTGGGAAAGTGACCAAGCGCCTGGCCTCTGGAGCCAGGCTCCCAGGATGTGAATTTCCACCTCTTCCATCTCCCACCTGTGGGACTTGAGGAGCCTCCATTTTCTCATGTCAAGAAATAATGGTTGCCACTCTGTAGAGTGTTTTTTGAGAATTGAGATAATGCACAGTTGAGTGCTCCTGGCCCTCCCAGACACATAGTAGGTCCTCATGGAATCCAGGTACCCTCTGGGCTGAGCCATAAGGACAAAGAAGGCCTGGAAGGCCCGAGACTGTGCTGCCTGTGATGCCTGCTAGCTTACCTCCCCCTCCTCCTCCCTACTGCCACCCGCATTGGGCAACAGGCCCCTCACCTGTCCAACCTCTTGTGTTGCAGATCGCCCTGTGCCACTTTTTCTTCAACATCTCCGGCATCTTGCTGTGGTACCCGATCCCGTTCACTCGCCTGCCCATCCGCATGGCCAAGGGGCTGGGCAACATCTCTGCCAAGTATCGCTGGTTCGCCGTCTTCTACCTGATCATCTTCTTCTTCCTGATCCCGCTGACGGTGTTTGGCCTCTCGCTGGCCGGCTGGCGGGTGCTGGTTGGTGTCGGGGTTCCCGTCGTCTTCATCATCATCCTGGTACTGTGCCTCCGACTCCTGCAGTCTCGCTGCCCACGCGTCCTGCCGAAGAAACTCCAGAACTGGAACTTCCTGCCGCTGTGGATGCGCTCGCTGAAGCCCTGGGATGCCGTCGTCTCCAAGTTCACCGGCTGCTTCCAGATGCGCTGCTGCTGCTGCTGCCGCGTGTGCTGCCGCGCGTGCTGCTTGCTGTGTGACTGCCCCAAGTGCTGCCGCTGCAGCAAGTGCTGCGAGGACTTGGAGGAGGCGCAGGAGGGGCAGGATGTCCCTGTCAAGGCTCCTGAGACCTTTGATAACATAACCATTAGCAGAGAGGCTCAGGGTGAGGTCCCTGCCTCGGACTCAAAGACCGAATGCACGGCCTTGTAGGGGACGCCCCAGATTGTCAGGGATGGGGGGATGGTCCTTGAGTTTTGCATGCTCTCCTCCCTCCCACTTCTGCACCCTTTCACCACCTCGAGGAGATTTGCTCCCCATTAGCGAATGAAATTGATGCAGTCCTACCTAACTCGATTCCCTTTGGCTTGGTGGTAGGCCTGCAGGGCACTTTTATTCCAACCCCTGGTCACTCAGTAATCTTTTACTCCAGGAAGGCACAGGATGGTACCTAAAGAGAATTAGAGAATGAACCTGGCGGGACGGATGTCTAATCCTGCGCCTAGCTGGGTTGGTCAGTAGAACCTATTTTCAGACTCAAAAACCATCTTCAGAAAGAAAAGGCCCAGGGAAGGAATGTATGAGAGGCTCTCCCAGATGAGGAAGTGTACTCTCTATGACTATCAAGCTCAGGCCTCTCCCTTTTTTTAAACCAAAGTCTGGCAACCAAGAGCAGCAGCTCCATGGCCTCCTTGCCCCAGATCAGCCTGGGTCAGGGGACATAGTGTCATTGTTTGGAAACTGCAGACCACAAGGTGTGGGTCTATCCCACTTCCTAGTGCTCCCCACATTCCCCATCAGGGCTTCCTCACGTGGACAGGTGTGCTAGTCCAGGCAGTTCACTTGCAGTTTCCTTGTCCTCATGCTTCGGGGATGGGAGCCACGCCTGAACTAGAGTTCAGGCTGGATACATGTGCTCACCTGCTGCTCTTGTCTTCCTAAGAGACAGAGAGTGGGGCAGATGGAGGAGAAGAAAGTGAGGAATGAGTAGCATAGCATTCTGCCAAAAGGGCCCCAGATTCTTAATTTAGCAAACTAAGAAGCCCAATTCAAAAGCATTGTGGCTAAAGTCTAACGCTCCTCTCTTGGTCAGATAACAAAAGCCCTCCCTGTTGGATCTTTTGAAATAAAACGTGCAAGTTATCCAGGCTCGTAGCCTGCATGCTGCCACCTTGAATCCCAGGGAGTATCTGCACCTGGAATAGCTCTCCACCCCTCTCTGCCTCCTTACTTTCTGTGCAAGATGACTTCCTGGGTTAACTTCCTTCTTTCCATCCACCCACCCACTGGAATCTCTTTCCAAACATTTTTCCATTTTCCCACAGATGGGCTTTGATTAGCTGTCCTCTCTCCATGCCTGCAAAGCTCCAGATTTTTGGGGAAAGCTGTACCCAACTGGACTGCCCAGTGAACTGGGATCATTAAGTACAGTCGAGCACACGTGTGTGCATGGGTCAAAGGGGTGTGTTCCTTCTCATCCTAGATGCCTTCTCTGTGCCTTCCACAGCCTCCTGCCTGATTACACCACTGCCCCCGCCCCACCCTCAGCCATCCCAATTCTTCCTGGCCAGTGCGCTCCAGCCTTATCTAGGAAAGGAGGAGTGGGTGTAGCCGTGCAGCAAGATTGGGGCCTCCCCCATCCCAGCTTCTCCACCATCCCAGCAAGTCAGGATATCAGACAGTCCTCCCCTGACCCTCCCCCTTGTAGATATCAATTCCCAAACAGAGCCAAATACTCTATATCTATAGTCACAGCCCTGTACAGCATTTTTCATAAGTTATATAGTAAATGGTCT
Source organism: Homo sapiens (assembly GCF_000001405.40). NCBI lineage: Eukaryota > Metazoa > Chordata > Mammalia > Primates > Hominidae > Homo > Homo sapiens. The sequence continues at coordinate 25,678,333 of NC_000004.12, forward strand.
GCATGATTTGTGCTTCTAGTGCTCTCATTTGGAAATGAGGCAGGCTTCTTCTATGAAATGTAAAGAAAGAAACCACTTTGTATATTTTGTAATACCACCTCTGTGGCCATGCCTGCCCCGCCCACTCTGTATATATGTAAGTTAAACCCGGGCAGGGGCTGTGGCCGTCTTTGTACTCTGGTGATTTTTAAAAATTGAATCTTTGTACTTGCATTGATTGTATAATAATTTTGAGACCAGGTCTCGCTGTGTTGCTCAGGCTGGTCTCAAACTCCTGAGATCAAGCAATCCGCCCACCTCAGCCTCCCAAAGTGCTGAGATCACAGGCGTGAGCCACCACCAGGCCTGATTGTAATTTTTTTTTTTTTTTTTTTACTGGTTATGGGAAGGGAGAAATAAAATCATCAAACCCAAAAGGAGTGTGTTGTTTTTAATTACAGGGAAATAGGGACCTCCTTGGATCTATTTTATAAAAATGTGAGGTCTCCTTTTACCTCGTTGCACTGCTAGGAGCAAGATGGGTCACCAGCAGCTGTACTGGAGCCACCCAAAAAAATTCGGCCAGGGTTCTCGTTCTTGTCGTGTCTATTCAAACCAGCACGGTCTGATCCGGAAATATGGCCTCAATAAGTGCCGCCAATGTTTCTGTCAGTACGCGAAGGATATCGGTTTCATTAAGTTGGACTAAATGATCTTCCTTCAAAGGATTATCCAAGTCATCTACTCAATGAAAAACCATGATAGTTCTTTGTACATAAAATAAACATTTGAAAAAACAAAACAAAACGAACAAAAAAAAATGTGAGGTCTCTTCCTTCACTGAATGTCACTACCCACCACTTACCATCTGACCCTCCAGCTGCATAATTTGTGGAGCCTCTTGTTCAAAAACCTGGAGAAAAGTGTCATTTTATATTGTTCAATGCCAATTTCAAACACAAACATAAGACCTATTAACTTGTCTGTGGAATCATTGACATGATGTAGCTCTTATATGTAGCTCACATGTGTATTTTATTCCAAGAACAGTGAAAGCATTGCACAAAACTAACTCAATTGTTTTGATTTCACTACTTTTTTTTTTTGAGACATTGTTTCGCTCTGTCACCCAGGCTAGAGTGCAGTGGTGTGATTTCTGCTCACTGCAACCTCTGCCTCCAGGATTCAAGCGATTCTCCTGCCTCAGCCTCCCAAGCAGCTGGGATTACAGACGCATGCCACCACACCCAGATAATTTTTGTGTTTTTAGTCGAGACGGGGTTTCACCATGTTGGCCAGGCTGGTCTGGAACTCCTGACCTCAAGTGATCCACCTGCCTTGGCCTCCCAAAGTACTGGGATTACAGGCGTGAGCCACCCCACCTAGCCTGACTTCACTTTTTGTGCACATTCTGCCAATGCTCTCTGCCTTCCTGATGAGTTTAAGGAAGAACTGAAAGGAAAAAGAGCAATGGGCCACACTTTCCATATCAGCATTTTTCAGCCTAAGTGAGAAAAGACAGGGTAGGGTTTCTTAGTTGTTCCTTGCTTGTTTTCTTGGAGTGCCATTACCTTCTTGCTGCATTCAAAGAAAGTTCTGGTTTGAATGGAAAGTATGGCCTTTCAGTGCTGTGCGTTCTGCCAACAACTGCGCTAGTCAAAATAATAACATGTTGGTTGGGTGCGGTGGCTCATGCCTCTAATCCCAGCACTTTGGGAGGGAGGCTGAGGCGGGTGGATCGGAAGGTCAGGAGATCGAGACCATCCTGGCTAACACAGTGAAACCCCGTCTCTACTAAAAATACAAAAAATTAGCCGGGCATGGTGGTGGGCGCCTATAATCCCAGCTACTAGGGAGGCTGAGGCAGGAGAAACACTTGAACCCGGGAGGCGGAGGTTGCAGTGAGCCAAGATCGTGCCACTGCACTCCAGCCTGGACAAAAAGAGCTAAACTCTTAAATAAATAAATAAATAACTTGTTAAGGAAGAGTGGACTTTAAGAAACATTTGTAGGACTAAGCTGGTCACACCTCTTTGTAGGCCAGCTGTGCTGAGGAATGAATCCGTATTGCAGAGCACAGTGAATTTGGGCTTGGAATCACTCAGGTTGCTGGGTTCCACTCGTAGCTCTGTCATTTACTGTCTCAATAGCAACTTCCTCATCTGGAATATGGGACAGTAACACTTGGCTTCCTGTGATTATGAAAATGAAGCAATATATGTAAATATTTAGCCAGGGTGGGTTTACTGTAAGTGCTTGGCATATGGCTCTGCCTCAAAATATAGGGGATGAGCATGCATGGCAGATGTACAAGACACACTTCCCACGCTTGTTTGCATTTTTCTTCCTCTGAGTATTTCCAAAGTGACATGCCAAGTCAAGAAGGCTGCTATCAACCCAAGAAACCGAGGCCAGGACTGGCCTGGGATTATTAGGATGAGCTGAATAAATGTCATGTGGCCTGGGAGCAGTCCCCGGACTGGGCTCTGCAGCCACGGGACAGGAGTCAAGGACCACTCAGCATTTCCAAAACAAATCGTTGCTCTGTAAACTCACTTCCGAGTCCCAACAAATGGCAGTGGTGAGTGTTATTTTAAAAGGGTTTTGTTTTTGTTTTTGAGTCAGAGTCTTGCTCTATCACCCAGGCTGGAGTGCAGTGGCATGATCTCGGCTCACTGCAACCTCCGCCTCCTGGGTTCAAGTGATTCTCCTGCCTCAGCCTCCCAAGTAGCTGGGACTGCAGGTGCCCACCACCATGGCTGGCTAATTTTTGTATTTTTAGTAGAGACGGGGTTTCACCATGTTGGCCAGGCTGGTCTCAAACTCCCGACCTCAAGTGATCCACCTGCCTTGGCCTCCCAAAGTTCTGGGGTTACAGGTGTGAGCTACTGCGCCCAGCCTTAAAAGGGTTTTTTACATTATTATTTGTCTAGGTTGAAGATCACATACGTCTGGCCGGGCGCAGTGGCTCATGCCTGTAATCCCAGCACTTTGGGAGGCCGAGGCAGGCAGATCAGTTGAGGTCAGGAGTTTGAGACCAGCCTGGCCAACATGGTGAAACCCCATCTCTATTAAAAATACAAAAAATTAGCCAGGAGTGGTGGGTGCCTGTAATCCCAGCTCCCTGGGAGGCTGAGGCAGGAGAATCGCTTGAACCTGGGAGGTGGAGGTTGCAGTGAGCTGAGATCGTGCCACTGCACTCCAGCCAGGGCAACAAAGCGAGACGCCATCTCAGAAAAAAAGAAAATCAAATGTCTAGAGAGTGTACAACAAACAACATTACCCTTTGCTCTGCCCGCCTCTGCCCAATACTCCTGTCTGTCTCCCCAGGGGCAATCCTTTCCAGCTCTTTTCAGTGCTTTCTTCTGGTATTTTGTTCTGCAGTTATCACATGATTACAGTGGCTTTTTCTTAATGCAGCCATTGATCTGTTTTGGAGGAGATAGAATTTACCTCTCATGCCACACCCTCACTACCAGTGACTCCTTCTCCCAACCGGTAGTTAATATTTACAATATTATTATAATTGTGATAAACTGCAGAACTGAATAGTGCACCAACATTTGCTTTCTTTGTTTTCATCAGTGCCGTCACCTACCTATAAATAATCTTTCCCAATTGCTTCCAATCATCTGATAACCTTTTGGTTCTTCCCTCCCCTCTCTCTTCCCCTTCCCTCATCTCCTCTCCCCTTCCCGCCCCCCTCTCTCTCTTTCTTTCCCTCACCTTCTGCACTTTCTCCCTCCCTCTCTCACTCCCTTTCTCTTTCTCTCTCTTTCTTTCGTACCCAAGAAAGGATACAGAGAAAATAAAATTTTTGAGTCTATGCATTGAGTCCATGTGTGTGTGAAAATGTATTTTAACCTCAAGATTGATCAATAGTTTGAAAACCACTGCCTTGGCATAAGGAAGGTATTGCTCCATTGTCTTCTAGAATCTTGTGGATAAGAGACCTGGAGCAGAAACAGGCCCAGCATCCAGCCAGCACTGTCACCAGACTTGCAAATGAAGCCACCATAAAGGATACAGCCAGCATCCTGCCTGACTGGTGGGGCCAGCAGAACAACCCCTGCCAAAAACGCCCAGCCCTGATTGCTGACCATGGAGTAAACAAATAAAATGGTGATTATTTTTAAGACGTTACAATTTTGAGTTGTTTGTTACACAGCGCAAGATAACTGATACAGAATTCAACACTCTGAAGTGTAGACTGTGGCTTCAGTCTGATGTATTTCCTGCAGCTCACTGCCCACCCCTTGTCCTTCTTACTGTGGCTCCTTTGGTTACATCCTTCAGAGAATAAATCTCCTATCTCTTGCCTGCAGTGGTGACACAGGTTCACCAGGGTGCCTTATTTAATTATTAGCTTCAGGCCAGACACAATGACTCAAGCTTGTAATCCCAGTGCTTTGGGAGGCTGAGGTGGGAAAACCACTTAAGCCCAGGAGTTCAAGACCAGCCTGGGCAACAAAGTGAGACCCTGTCACTACAAAAATTTTTTAGGCCTGGCATGATGGCTCAAGCCTGTAATCCCAGCACTTTGGGAGACCAAGGTGGGTGGATCACTCGAAGTCAGGAGCTCCAGACGAGCCTGGACAACATGGTAAAATCCTGTCTCTACTAAAAATACAAAAATTAGCTGGGTATGGTGGCAGGCACCTGTAGTCCCTCAGGAGCTACTCAGGAGGCTACTGAGGAGGCTGAGGCATGAGAATTGCTTGAACCTGGGAGGCAGAGGTTGTAGTGAACTGAGAATCGTGCCACTGGGCGACAGAATGAAACTGTGTCTCAGAATAACAACAATAATAATAATTTTAAAAAATTAGCCAGGTATGATGGTGTGAGCCTATAGTCTCAGCTACTTGGAAGGCTGAGGCAAGAGGATCACTAAAGCCCAGGAGTTGGAGTTTGCAGTGAGCTATGATTGCACCACTGCACAGCAGCCTGGGCAACAGAGCAAGACTCTGTCTCTAAAAAAAAATTGTTTTTTTTTTTTTTTGAGACGGAATTTTGCTCTTGTCTCCCAGGCTGGAATACAAAGGCACGATCTTGGCTCACTACAACCTCTACCTCCCAGTTCAAGTGATTCTCCTGCCTCAGCCTCCTGGGTAGCTGAGGTTACAGGCACTCAGCTCCACACCGAGCTAATTTTTGTATTTTTAGTAGAGACAGGGTTTCACCATGTTGGCCAGGCTTGTCTTGAACTTCTGACCTAAGGTGATCCACCCGCCTTAGCCTCCCAAAGTGCTGGGATTACAGGTGTGAGCCACCATGCCTGGTCTAAAAAATATTTTTTTGAGTTAAAAAAAAAATCACTAGCTTCATGTCATTGGTGTGCTGTATTAGCAGACTAAATCATTTTCCACAGGCCCTGGTTAACCTATGGCCTGTGAGGACAGCATAAATTACGCTGCCATGAAGTAAAATTATGCCTTCTCATTTGGCTCAGGTTAATTACCTAGGACCCAAAGGGGCTCTGGAACCTGCTTGTTGGTGCTGAGGTTGTAGTTTTGCATTTTTCACTTCGTTGGAGTCTTAGGAAGTCAGTAAATAACATCCCTTTCTTCCCTTACATAATTTATTTTATTTATTTATTTATTTATTTTTTGAGACTGAGCCTTGCTTTATTGGAGTACAGTGGTGCCATCTCAGCTCACTGTAACCTCCGCCTCCCAGGTTCCAGTGATTCTCATACCTTGGCCTCCCAAGTAGCTGGAATTACAGGTGCACACCACCATGCCTGGCTATTTTTTTTTTTTTTTGTATTTTTAGTAGAGACGGGGTTTCACCATGTTGGCTAGGCTGGTCTCAAACTCCTGACCTCAAGTGATTCACCTGCCTCAGCCTCCCAAAGTGCTGGGATTACAGGTGTGAGCCACCACGCCTGGCCACCTTACAGAATTTAGAATCAATTGAAAAATAAGACACACAGGACAGAATGATGGAGATGAAAATATTCATTTTATTATTTATTAAGGAAGCTAATTGTAAGATGCGGCATTTAGAATTGCCAGGAGGTGGGGACAGGAGAGCTTACTAACACTTTACCTTTGAATTAAACCAATTTTCTTACCCAGGCTCAGGCAGAGGTGAATCTACAGGCCTTTCCCATGAGAATGGAGACTGTCCTGAGGTTTCCCAGCTGACCCATGGGTGGGCAAGCTCCAGAGCTCAGTGTGCTTTGTTTCTCCTCCCAGAATTGACAATCAGATGCCATGGAAGCCCAGATGTGACAACTGTGGATGCTCTAGGGGGTTGAAGGTCCTGTTCTAACATTCTAGTAAGGTCAGGCGCAGAGGCTCATGCCTGTAATCCCAACATTTTGGGAGGCGAAGGCAGGCGGATCACTTGAGGAGTTCAAGACCAGCCTCGCTAACATGGAGAAACCTCATCTCTACTAAAAATACAAAAATTAGCCAGGCATGGTGGTGCACGGCTGTAATCTCAGCTACTCAGGAGGCTAAGGCACGAGGATTGTGTGAGCTTGGGAAGCGGAGGTTGCAATGAGTCAAGATCGCCACTGCACTCCAGCCTGGGCAACAGAACAAGACTCTGTCTCATAAAATAAAAAACAAACAAACAAAGAAACATCATAATAGGAACTGCAGGTGACTTCCCTAAATAGGCATTTTCTTTCTTTCTTTTTTCTTATATAATCCTCATTATTTTGGAGGCATTTTCTTTTTTTAAAAAATATATATTTTTTCAGAGTCAGTATCCCTCTTGTCACCCAGGCTGGAGTGTAGTGGCATGATCATGGCTCACTGCAGCCTCCAACTCCTAGGCCCGAGCAATCCTCCCCCCTCAGCCTCCCAACCTGCTGAGATTACAGGTGTGAGCCACTGCACCCAGCCCTACATAGGCATTTTCCATTCATCACCTCACTGACTTATCATAGCCTGAGGAATAGGAGTTATTTATCTCCACTTAATAGAGAGAGATGCAGAAGCTTCCAGGGACATAGCTGAGGGTCCCAAGATGAGAGGATTAAGATCCACAGCCCACCCCTCAGACCAGTGAATTGTGCTGCCTTGGGACTCACTGACCTCACAGTACTCATGGTTATTAAAGCAGGACAGACGCATGGGAGTTGAAGAATCAAGGTGTCTGGAAGGAAGGACTTAGAGAAAGGCTGCAGAGCCACCCAGGTGTAAGAGTAAAGGGCAGGCCGGGTGCGGTGGCTCATGCGTGTAATCTCAGAACTTCGGGAGGCCGAGGCACAAGTATCCCTTGAGGTCAGGAGTTCGAGACCAGCCTGGCCAACATGGTGAAACCCTGTCTCTACTAAAAATTCAAAAATTAGCCAGGTGAGGTGGCACAGGCCTGTAATCCCAGCTACTCAGGAGGCTGAGGAATGAGAATTGCTTGAACCCGGGAGGTGGAGGTTGGAGTGAGCAGAGATCATGCCACTGCACTCCAGCCTGGGAGACAGAGTGAGACTCTATCTCAAAATAAATAAATAAATAAGTAAATAAAAATAAAAATACAAGGTCAGAGACTCAGAGACTCAGTCTTACTGAAAGTCATAAACACGTGACAAACACCCACCACTCTCTGTGCCAGCCCCCAAGCCCAGCTTCCTCGTCCTCAGGAGTGACCTGGTCCTTGCATCTCACAACTGCATGAAGTATTTGTGGGACACGTCGTGTGTCAAGGCAGGAAGATCACTTCCCAAATATCCACCACTGCGGGGAAAGGGAATGGAGTTATCACCACAGGCCGCCTCGGAACCGCGTGAGAACCTTGAGGTTAGCTGGTGGAGGGGATAAGCTCTCACTCACCCGTCTTCCCTTTGGAGTTTATCATCCCTGGTAGCCAATGAGGACATTTGTTTGTTAGTTTGTTGTTTTTCTCAGTTATGTTAACTTTATTTAATAAGCTGAAACAGTCTCAAAAATCTTTCTCTTCATCATCAGATGTTTGCAAAACTTTTGGCCTTTGAGCTTAAACCTGGAGCTTTACTCCACCTATAATATGATATTCCTGCTGTAGTGCATTCTGAAGTTCTGAAGAACACTGAACCCAACCCAAACCTCTGTGAAAGCCAGTCTCCTTGTCTTGGTCCAAGGAATTTTTCTCACAAAAACAACTGGCCGACTGATACTTCTACGCAGCACCATGGCACCTCTCCCTGCTAAGGCCGCCATCTTCAGACTTTTTTTTTCTTTTTCTGAGACAGAGTCTTGCTCTGTTGCCCAGGCTTGAGTGCAGTGGCACAATTTCAGCTCATGGCAACCTCTACCTCCCAGGTTCAAGTGATTCTCCTGCCTCAGCCTCCCAAGGAGCTGGGATTACAGGTGCCTGCCACCACGTCTGGCTAATTTTTTTGTATTTTTAGTGGAGACAGGGTTTCACCATGTTGGCCAGGCTGGTCTCGAACTCCTGGCCTCATGTGATCCGCCTGCCTTGACCTCTCAATGTACTGGAATTACAGGCGTGAGCCCCCAGGCCTGGCCACCAATGGGGAAATTTGGTCAGAAAATTGTGTCCACTTCTGGCCCTGTTCCTGCCCCTGGCCCCAACATTCTGTATGAAAACAGTGAGAAAATCTTGTTCCTTCTGTTAAAATAATTAAATGAGAGGCCATTAGCCTGAAGTGACTCTAACACCCTGGAATCCTACATAAAGAAAGAGAAACTTTACTCAGAATTTAAAGGAAAAGGAAGCTTAAGCTCAGCCCAGCACAGCAGCTACCTGGGCATTGGTTGTCTTCCCATTAACCTCCTACTGGAATAGGCCAAGTAAAGCAATGGCTCAAACTTTAACCAATCACAGAGTTTCTTTGCTCTGCTTCTTCATTCACCCTATAAAAGCCTCACCTTTATGCCCCTGCCTGATTCATCATTGCCTGCTCAAATACACTCTTTACTTCTTTTCCTGTTTAGAGAACAAAAAGTGCAGCCCACTGGCAGCACTCATTTAATTTTACATAAACTCACTCTTGGAGGCTGAAGCAAATCTGACTGATTTTCAATGCAATAATAAAATATAAAAACTCTTCCTGGAGTTCTTTCTAAACATAACATCAGAATTGTCTGAATCATCAGAAGGGTCTTTTTTGGAAAAATCAGATTCATCAAATGAATCTTTGGCCAACAAGTGTTCAAGAACAATGCTAACATCATGCGTAGGAATGCTTTGTTTTCTAGGATTTCACGTTTTCAGTGATTGAGAATGATTATATTTTGTCAATGGAAATACCACTACTAAAAACAGAATGCTCTAAGTAGAATGATGCCTTTTGTTTCCAAAGTCGATATACTAGAGCAATGCAAAAATGATTTTAAAAAGCACCAGGCACAGTGGCTCACGCCTGTAATCCCAGCACTTTGGAAGGCCGACGTAGGTGGATCACGAGATCAGGAGTTCAAGATCAGCCTGACCAAGGTGGTGAAACTCCATCTCTACTAAAAATACAAAAAATTAGCTGGGCACAGTGGCAGGTGCTTGTAATCCCAGCTACTTGGGAGGCTGAGGCTGAGAATTGCTTGAACCTGGGAGGCGGAGGTTGCAGTGAGTGGAGATCGAGCCACTGCACTCCAGCCTGGGTGTCAGAGTGAGACTCCGTCTTAAAAAAAAAAAAAAAAAAAAAAAAAGGCGAGATCTTTTGTGGCAAAATTATCTCAGAGTAAACACTGTGGCTGCAAGTGCCACTGGTGAGTATTTTGGGGTGCAAGCAGGAAATGGGTTGAAATTTTAACATGCCCAACCTTACTTTATAACACTTCTTTGATCTTCCTATCACTCTCAATCTTAACGCCCCAAGGAAAAAGGAACGGAAGTATTAATAATCGATATGTGGTGGATGGAAGACATTATCAAGAGATATTTTTAGACAGAGCAAGAAGTGTGGGCAGAAGCAGGCCTGGCTGTTGGTGGTCCAAGCTAAGCTGAGGAATGTTGGCTGTGATCACTAACCTCCTGCTCCCCACCCCTCCATATGTTTTCATCTGAGGGCCAGTCCAAGATGGGTGCTATGATTGGAATATTTGTCCCCTCCAAAAACCCCTCAATCTAGTCCCCAGTGCAACAGTGTTGAGAGGTGGGGCCTTTAAGAGGTGATTGAGGCTGGGCTCACACCCGTAATCCTAGCACTTTGAGAGGACGAGGCAAGCGGATCACAAGGTTAGGAGTTTGAGACCAGCCTTGCAAACATGGTAAAAACCCATCTCTACTAAAAATACAAAAATTAACCTAGCCATGGTGGCAGGCGCCTGTAGTTTCAGCTACTCGGGAGGCTGAGGAAGGAGAATTGTTTGAACTCCAGAGCCAGAGGTTGCAGTGAGCCAAGATTTCACCACTGCACTCCAGCCTGGACAACAGAGAAAACTTCATCTCAAAATAAATAAATAAATAAATATGAAGTGATTGCATCATGAAGACTGCGCTCACAAATGGATTAATCCATATGTGAATGAATGGATTAATGGGTTATCATGGGTATAGAACTGGTGGCTTCACAAGAACATAAGGAGACCTGAGCTACCACGCTCACCCCCTCACTTTGTGATGACCTGCACCACCTTGGGACTCTACAGAGTCCCCAGTGGCAAGAGGGCCCTCACCAGATGTGTCTCCTCAACCTGGGACTTCCCAGCCTCCATGATTGTAAGAAATAAATTTATTTTCTTATAAATTACCCAGTTTCAGGTATTCTATTAAAATGCAACAGAAAATGAACTAAGACAATGGGCATGCTTCCCTCTCCCTCAAAGTCTAGTGAGACGGCTTTAGTGGCACCCTTGGAGAGCTGGGTAGGAGTTCTCTGCAACTGGAAGCATGAAGGACTGCTACCTGACTTGTGTCCAAGAAGAAAAGATTGTATTTAAGAAATAACCAGTCAGGTGCAGTGGCTCACGCCTATAATCCCTGCACTTTGGGAGGCCGAGGAGGGCAGATCACCTGAGGTCAGGAGTTTGAGACCAGCCTGACCAACATGGTGAAACCCCGTCTCTATTAAAAATATAAAAAATAGCTGGGTGTGGTGGTGAGCACCTGTAATCCCAGCTACTTGGGAGGCTGAGGCAGGAGAATAGATTGAGCCTGGGAGACGGAGGTTGCAGCGAGCCTAGATCGTGCCACTGCACTTTAGCCTGGGCAACAGAGTGAGACTCCGTCTCAAAAAAACAAAACAAAACAAAACAAAACAATAACACCTCACAATTATTCTGGTGACTCTTAGATTTTTTTAAAAAGTTTTATTTTTGTAGTCAATATAAAATATACTAATGAGATATTTTGCATTCCTTTTTCATACGAAGTCTTCAAAATCCAGTGTGAATTTTACGTTTACACCACATCTCAATTACATTTACACCACAAATGATCACTGGAAATACTTTACTTGTTTTGTGACCAAAACAAATCTCTAAGCACAAATCTCATGGATTAAAGAAGGCCACACATGTTTTGCCATTCTTCCACTGGAGAGGTGGAATTATGTATATATAATTTTTGTGTGTGACGTAGTCTTTCTCTGCCACCCAGGCTGGAGTACAGAGGCACACTCTCTTGAATCCCAGGTTCAAGCAATTCTCCTGCCTCAGCCTCCTGAGTAGCTGGGACCACAGGCTTGTACCACCATGCCCAGCTAATTTTTGTTTTTTTTGTAGAGACAGGGGGTCTCGTTGTGTTAGCCAGGCTGGTCTTGAACTCCTGACCTCAGGTGATCTGCCCTACTTGGCCTCCCAAAGTGCTGGGATTATGGGCGTGAGCGACCATGCCAGGGCTGTACAAAATATATAAATATTAAATTTAGCTGGATATGGTGATGTGTGCTTGTAGTCCCAGCTACTCAGAAGGCTGAGGTCAAAGAAATCACATCACTTGAGCTTAGAAAGTCAAGGCTGCAGTGAACCATGATCATGCTGCTGCACTCCAGCCTGGGTGACACACCAAGATCTTGTCTCAATAAATAAAATAAACAAATAGGGGCATAGAGCTGCCTGTTCAGTACAGCAGATTATAGTCACTTGTTGCTGCTGAGCCCCTGAAATGTGGTTAAGGTGACTGAGAAATTGAATTTTTAATTTTATTTAATTTTAATCTATTTAAATAGTTTTTTTTTTTTGATAGGGAGTCTCACTCTGTCACCCAGGCTGGCATGATCTCAGTTCACTGCAACCTCTGCCTCCTAGGTTCAAGCAACTCTTGTGCCCTAGCCTCCTGAGTAGCTAGGATTACAGACGCCCACCACCATGCCCAGCTAATTTTTGTATTTTTAGTAGAGACAGGTTTTCACCATGTTGGTCAGAGGCTGGGCTTGAACTCCTGGCCTCAAGTGATCTACTGCCCTCAGCCTCCCAAAGTGCTGGGATTTCAGGCGTGAGCCACCATGCCTGGCCGGTATTAACAAATTTTAATCTTGTGACTGGTATTAACAAATTTTTAATTTTGTGACTCTATTTCTTCAACTTCTTCAAGTAGATTTTATGACTTCAAGACACAGATTAAGTATTTCCAATGACATTTTAGCATCTGAATGGAGATGTGCTGTAAATGTGAAATTCACACTAGATTTTAAAAACTTGGTTTGAAAAAAGAATGCAAAAGATCTCAATATATTTTATATTGAGTACATGTTAAAATGGTATTACTTGGGATATATTGGGTTAAATAAAATATATTAATTAAAATTAATTTTACCTATACTATTTTATTTTTTGAGACAGAGTCAAACTCTGTCACCCAGGCTGGAGTACAGTGGCACGATCTCAGCTCACTGCAACCTCCACCTCCCAGGTTCAACCAATTCTCCTGCCTCAACTTCCTGAGTAGTTGAGAGTACAGGTGGATGCCACCATGCCCAGCTAATTTTTGTATTTTCAGTAGAGAGAGGGTTTCACCATGTTGGCCAGGCTGGTCTCAAACTCCTGGCCTCAAGTTTGGCCCTCAATGCTGGGATTACAGGTGTGAGCCACCGAGCCCAGCCATATCAGGGGAACCAGCCCCCAGTATTTCAACGTAGTTTCTTTTCTATTTTCCCTAAGTGTCAGCCGGTCCGGGAAATAAATGAGAATGAGTACAAAGAGAAGAATTTTACAGCTGGGCCACCGGGGGTGGCATCACATATCGACAGGTTCCATGATGCCCACCTGAGCCGCAAAACCAGCAAGTTTTTATTAGGGATTTCAAAAGGGGAGGGGGTGTACAAATAGGGAGTGGGTCACAGAGATCACATGCTTCAGTGGGCAACAAAAGATCACATGCTTCAGTGGGCAATAAAAGATCACAAGGCGAAGGGCAGAGCAAGATCACATGGCAAGAGCAAAATTAGAATTACTGATGAGGGTCCATGTCCCGCTGGGCACGCATTTCTTAATAAACATCTTAACAGGAAACAGTGTTGGAGAGCAGACAACTGGTCTAACTAGAATTTACCAGGCTGGAATTTCCCAATCCTAGTAAGCCTGAGGGCACTGCAGGAGACCAGGGTGTATTTCATCCCTTCTCTCAACCGCATAAGACAGACACTCCCAGAGCAGCCGTCTATAGACCTACCCCTGGGAATGCATTCCTTTCCCAGGGTATTAATTATTAATATTCCTTGCTGGGAAAAGAATTCAATGATATTTCTCCTACTCACACATCCATCTATAGGCTTTCTGCAAGAAGAAAAATATGGCTCTATTCTGTCCTATCCCACAGGCAGTCAGACCTTATGGTTATCTTTCCTTGTTCCCTGAAAATTGCTGTTATTTTGTTCTTTTTCAGGGTGCACTGATTTCGTATTGTTCAAACACACGTTTTACAAACAATTTGTACAGTTAACGCAATCATCACAGGGTCCTGAGGTGACATACGTCCTCAGCTTACAAAGATAATGTGATTAAGAGTTAAAGACAGGCATAAGAAATTATAAGAGTATTAGTTGGGGAAGTGATAAATGTCCATGAAATTGTCACAATTTATGTTCAGAGATTGCAGTAAAGATAGGCATAAGAAATTATAAAAGTATTAATTTTGGGAACTGATAAATGTCCATGAAATCGTCAAAATTTATGTTCTTCTACCATGGCTTCAGCCAGTTCCTCTGTTTGGGATCCCTGACTTCCTACAACATGGCCACCTTTTTATTTTTTTAATCATGGCTACTAGAAAATTTTAAATAACATATGTAGCACAAAGTAGATTTCTCTTGGCTGTCAATGGTACAGAAGTTCTGAAAGATATAATTAACAGTTAATTTCATAGATATATATTTAACTCTCATTTTCTTCAAACATAACATAAAGTTTTGCCAGGCGTGGTGGCTCAAGCCTGTAATCCCAGCACTTTGGGAGGCCGAGGCAGGTGGATCACGAGGTCAGGAGTTCTAGACCAGCCTGACCAGCATGGCAAAACCTGATCTCTACTAAAAATACAAAAAATTAGCCAGGTGTGGTGGTGGGCACCTGTAATCCCAGCTACTCAGGAGGCTGAGGCAGGAGAATTGTTTGAACCTGGGAGGTGGAGGTTGCAGTGAGCTGAGATTGCGCCACTGCACTCCAGCCTGGGCGACAAGAGCGAAACTCCATCTCAAAAAAAAATAAAAAATAAAAATAAATAAAGCTTTTCTATACTCGTAGATCACTTTAATTATACAGTTGACCTTGAACAACACAAGTTTGAACTTCAAGGGTTCACTTACACGCAGATTTTCTTCCACCTCTGACACCCCTGAGACAACAAGACCAACCCTTCCAGGGCTGGGCATGGTGTCTCATGCCTGTAACTCCAGCACTGTGGGAGGCTGAGGCAGGAGGATTGCTTGACCCCAGGAGTTTGAGACCAAACTGGACAACATAGCAAGACTCCAATCTCTACAAAAAATTAAAAATTAATTGGGTGTAGTGGCTCATGTCTGTAATCTCAACTACTTGGGAGGCTGAGGTGGAAGAGTTGCTTGAACACAGGAGTTCGAGACCAGTCTAGGCAACATAGTGAGACCCTTTCTCTATAAAAAATTTAAAAATAACTAGAATTAATGAAAAGAGTGTTGGATTAAAAACAGTGACAAAATAGATAACATTTTACTTGTATAGGAAAGAAAAAAAAGTGAAAAATCTCAAATGCCAAATATTAGATATACAAAAATAGCCCACATTTACCAAATATTTCCTCTTTGCCAGGCACTGAACTAAGTACTTGTCTTGCCCTAGCTCACCTCCTAGTTCAGTGTCCTTATGTGGTCCGAGTATTATTATCTCTGTTTTACATTTTCCATTTCAGGAAGCCAGGCACAGAGAAGCTGCAATAACTTGTCTAACCAAGCTCATCATAAGAGTGAGTGGTAAACTGAGATTTTAACCCAGATCCTCTGGATTTAGATCTTGCCATTTTAAATCTATACACTGCAGGGAGTAGTAGCTAAAATTACACATACAGGCCAGGCATGGTGCCTCACGCCTGTAATCCCAGCACTTTGGGAGGCTGAGGCGGGTGGATCACCTGAGGTTAGGAGTTCCAGAGTAGCCTGACCAACATGGTGAAACCTCATCTCTACTAAAAATACAAAATTAGCCAGGCGTGGTGATGTGCACCTGTAATCCCAGCTACTTGGGAGGCTGAGGCCGGAGAATCGCTTGAATCCGGGAAGTGGAGGTTGCAGTGAGCTGAGATAGCACCACTGCACTCCAGGCTGGGCAGTAACAGCATACAGATGGGCCGGGCATGGTAGCTCACGCCTGTAATACCAGCACTTTGGGAGGCTGAGGCGGGCTGATCACTTGAGTCCAGGAGATAGAGACCAGCCTGGGCAACATGGCAAAATCCCATCTCTATAAAAAAAACACAAAAATTAGCCGGGCATGGTGGTGTGCACCTATAGTCCCAGCTACTTGGGAGGCTGAGGCAGGAGAATCTCCTGAGCCCAGGAGGTGGAGGCTGCAGTGAGTCGAAATTAGCCAGGTGTGGTGGTGGGCACGTGTAATCCCAGCTCCTCGGGAGGCTGAGGCAGGAGAATTGTTTGAACCACGGAGGCAGAGGTTGCAGTGAGCTGAGATTGCACCATTGCACTCCAGCCTAGGCAACCAGAGCAAAACTCCGTCTCAAAAAAAAAAAAAAAAAAGGTGGGTTCACTTCATTATGAACTTGTCCAAACCCACAGAATGTACAACACCAAGAGTGAACCTGATGTCAGCTATGCTCTTTGGGTGATAATGATGTGTCAGGTAGGCTCGTGGATTGTAACAAGCATGACTCCCAGGAAGCATGTCAACTCGGAAGCTGGATTTTGCTCAGAAGTCTCCTCTGCTCAGGGGAAACACATCATCTCCTTGTATCTTATCTCAGTAATCAGGGGCATGCTTCTAGGAATCCAAAGAAACATCCCAAGTGATAGTGTGTACTCAGGACAGGAAGTTCCTGTGGTTTGGGGCTGCTGAGGTCAGAGCCTGGAAAGGGAAAGTGTACTAGAGGTTAAAGAACATTTGCTTCCCAGGTCTGCAGAGCAGGTCATTTTCTTATCATTCCCTGTCCTTCCCTCTCTATCTCCCGCCTTCCTACCCTCTCCTGCCCCACCCTCCAACACATCTCTGGGGCCTTTCTGGCCTCCTGTCAGTTTGATCCTACACTGCTTTTCTCTTAGCATGAAGGCAAGACTCATTATCAGTGCTCTCTCCTGTGAAATATAGAAGAAGAATAATCATATTTTCTACAGAAGGGTGTTGGAAGAATTAAATAGAAATGCTTGTGTGGCTGGGAGCGGTGTTCACACCTGTAATCTCAGCACTTTGGGAGGCTGAGGTGGGAGGAATGCTTGAGCTCAGGAGTTCGAGACTAGCCTGGGTAACATAGGAGACACCATCTCTACAAAAAATTAAAAAAAAATCAATCAGGTGTGTGGCTCATAGCTGCAGTCCCAACTACTGGGGAGGCTCAGGTGGGAGGATCACTTGAGCCCATGAGGTCTAAGGCTACAGTGAGCTGTGATCACACCACTGCACTCCAGCCTGGGTGACAGAGCAAAACCCTGCCTTAAAAAAAATAATAAAATAAAATAGATAAATAAATAAAGGCCGGGCACAGTGGCCCACGCCTGTAATCCCAGCACTTTGGGAGGCCAAGGCGGGCAGATCACCTGAGGTCAGAAGTTCAAGACCAGCCTGGCAACATGGCAAAACCCTGTCTCCACTAAAAATACAAAAATTAGCCGGTCGTGGTGCCGCGTTCCTGTAGTTTCAGCTACTCAGGGAGGCTGAGGCAGGAGAATCGCTTGAACCTGGGAGGCAGAGGTTGCAGTGAGTTGAGATTGTGCCATGCACTCCAGCCTGGGCGACAGAGCAAGACTCTATCTCAAAAAAAAAAAAAAAAATGCTTGTGAAACTGCTTTGTAAATTGTGCACAGACAAGCCACTGGTCCCTCCCCCTTGCAGTCATTCATTCTTTCTACAGAATCCTAGTAAGTGTGACTGTGTGCCAGCAAGTACTCTAAGCACTAGGAATCCCACAAGGCATGAGATATACTGACAATTAAGCACATTCTAGTGAGGAAGACAGAGAAGTAGACAGTTCCCAGGGCGTAAGTTTTGCTAGGAGACTGGGCAGAAGAAGCCACCCCAACTGCAGATCCTATTTATACCCGCCACTTAATGGTTCTGTATGTTTAGGAAAGTTATTTCACCTTTCTGACCCTTGGGTTTCTATCTCAACAATGTGAACAAGATCTCTATTTCACAAGGTTATTGTGAGGATTAAATGAGATTTCCCTAAATCTCAGGTATTAGCATTCTCCCTTAGAATGCTTGCTCTATCTCCCTGCAGCCTCTACAATTGATTAACATTGCCACCTACTTTTGCTTCATCTTGGGTAATAATATTTGTGAATCATGGAGTTAGTGTTCAAGTCCTCTTGTTTTCCTAATAAACAGTAAAGCAAATGCTTAGCTGTTAGCATTTTAACAGTTCAATAGGGTCCCACCTAGAAATAGCTCATGTGCCCCAAGGTTATAAGTACTGAGATCCATAATTAAAGCATGATCACATTGTATTGCTTGGTGTTGGTAAGGCTTAAATATACACAATTTTATTGATTCTAAGAAGTAAGAATGGAGTAGATGACAGGACCCAATGCATAGAAGGAGGATGAGGGGAGGGAAGAAAGAAAGCCTTCCATCGGGGGTTGGGAGGTGGCTTCGGAGCTTAGCCCTGGAGCCTGCAGATCACCTGGCAGGTAGAAAGGGGTTGAGGACTGAAATGGGTGAAAAGGAAGTGCTTTCTAAGAAAAGAACAAAGATCAACTGGGCTCGGTGGCTCACGCCTGTAATCCCAGCACTTTGGGTGAAGGATGAGCCTGGGGCTATAGATAAGCTGAGGTCAGATAAAGAAAGGCTTGCATGCTCTCTGGGGAGTTTGGACTTGATCCTGATGGATATGGTGAAATTCAGCAGGTGTTTGAGGCCTGAATGTCACGTGTTCCAGTTATAGCCTAAGAAGATCTCAGGAAAATTATTTAGAGTGGGTCAGCACAAGAGGTACACAAGGATGCATGTACCAAGGTTTCGAGCCTGATGCATTTGTAAAAATACCTCTTGTGCTTCTGATTCTCACTTCTTTGTGTTTTCGCTCCTTGTTCTTTAATAGAGTCTTCCAAATAAATCAGTCCGTATGGAGGTATACATTTATTTCAGTAGAAATAAGCACTATGTTTCTGATATAAGCCTCTTATCAGAAAGATAGAGGCTTTCTGATAAGCCAGAGCTCTTTGAGAAATCGGAGGCTGATGAAAGTCAGAAACCTGAGATCTGTCTTCAGTTCCTTCCGCTGCCCACCCTCCTGGGGAAGACCAGGGTTGACAGGCCTATCAACTACACCTCTCTTTTTTTAAATTTTTTTCTATTTTGAGGTGGAGTCTCACTCTGTCACCCAGGCTGGAGTGCAGTGGCGCGATCTCGGCTCACTGCAATCTCCGCCTCCCAGGTTCAAGCGATTCTCCTGCCTCAGCCTCCCAAGTAGCTGAGATTAGAGGTATACACTACCACGCCTGGCTAATTTTTGTGTTTTTATTAGAGATGGGGTTTCACCATGTTGGCCAGGCTGATCTCAAACTTCCAACCTCAAGTGATCCTCCTGCATTGGCCTCCCAAAGTGCTGGGATTACAGATGTGAGCCACCGAACCTGGCCTCAACTGCCCCTTTCATTACCGATCAGTTCTAGTCCTTCCTCACTGCTCACTACCCCTGCAGTTCCTACCTTCATTGTCTCTTATCTCAATGCTTTGTAATGATCTATGAACCAGTCTCAATGCTGGTTTTATCTCAATTCCTCGACTTAATAGCTAAGAATTCTGAGTAGCTAAAGGATCCTAAGCAAATCCTTTAATCTTACTGTCTCAGCTTCCTCGTCTGTCAAATAGAGATAATAAATGAATATATCTGCCTCATGGGTTGTTGTGGGGATTGCCAAGACCAGCTTGGCTGGGGAGACCCAACCCAGCGGCGCCAGAGGAATTAAAGACACACACAGAGAAATATAGAGGTATGAAGTGGGAAATCAGGGGTCTCAAAGCCTTCCAAGCTGAGAGCCCAGAATAGAGATTTACCCACGTATTTATTAGCAAACCAGTCATTAGCATTGTTTCTACAGATGTTAAATTAACTAAAAGTATCCCTTATGGGAAACAAAGGGATGGGCTGAATTAAAGGGATAGGTTGGGCTAGTTAACTGCAGCAGGAACATGCTATTAAGGCATAAATCGCTCATGCTATTGTTTGTGGCTTAAGAATGCCTTTAAGCGGTTTTCCGCCCTGGGCAGGCCAGGTGTTCCTTGCCCTCATTCCTGTAAACCCACAACCTTCCAGCTTGGGTGTTAGGGCCATGATGAACATGTTACAGTGCTGCAGAGATTTTGTTTATGGCCAGTCTTGGGGCCAGTTTATGGCCAGATTTTGGGGAGCTTACTCCCAACAGGGATTATGTGAACTACTGAGTTGAAACACTTACTATATTACATGGCACACAGTAGAAGTTCAGTAAAGGCTTGGTATTAATATTATCACTCCACTCCCACCTCCCATTCTGTTCATTAGAGCTGCCTAAAAAAATAAAATAAAATAACTGCCAGGCATGGTGGCTCATACCTGTAATCCCAGTGCTCTGAGAGCCCAAGGCAGGCTTACCTGAGGCCAGGAGTTTGAGGTCAGCCTGGGTAACACAGCAAGAACCTGTCTCTACAAGAAATAATTAAAAAAAAAAAAAAGCTGGATGTGGTAGCATGAGCCTGTAGTCTCAGCTACTTGGGAGGCTGAGGCAGGAGGATTACTGAGCCCAGGAGTTCAAGGCTGCAGTTAGCTATAATTGTGCCACTACACTACAACCTCGGTGACAGAGCAAGACACTGTGTCTAAAAAAAAATAAAATAAAATAAAAAATAGAACCAGTAAGCCAGTAGTATTATTAATTGAGTGTGTGGTGGCTCACACCATAATCTCAACTCTTTGGGAAGTCAAGGCCGGAGGATCACTTGAACCCAAAAGTTTGACACCAGTCTGGGCAACATGATGAGACCCTACATCTACCAAAAGAAAACAAAATTTAGGGCTTAAAACAACAATGATCATTGAATATTATTATCTCTCAGGGCTCTGAATGTTGACTGGGCTTAGCTTGGTTGTTCTATCAGGGTCTCAAGAAGTTTCCAGTCAGACGGTGGCTGGGATTGGAGTCAGTGAGTAGGCGAGTCAGTCTTGCTTGCTCACATGTCTTGTAGCTGATGTTGGCTGCTGACGGCCTAGAACCTTCGCTGAGGCTGTTATTCAGAAGTGAATGTGGCCTCTCCTTCTGGCCTGGACTTCTTCACTGCATGGTGCCTGGGTTTCAACAGACAGTGTCCCAAGAAAGAGAGTCAGATGGAAGTTGTATCACCTTTTGTGACCTAGCCTCAGAAGTCACGCAATGCCACTTCTATTACTTTTGAAGACTGAGTTCTGATTTTTTTACCTTGCCCAAATTCCTACCTAAAGGGGTCTAGGGAGTCATGCCTTATAAACCATAAATTCTCATCAGAGGGGTTATTTGACCCTATATATCGTGACTTAGTTTTCAGTCTGACTCTGGCATAACATTATGAGACAAGGAAAAATATTTAACCCCAAAATATATTTCCTTGCCATACCTTGAAATTGCCCTGCAACGTCTCTTGGGGGAAATATCCACATTCTATAGAGAATCCCCTTTCCCCTTTGTTTTTCTTCCTTTCTTTCCAGATCCAGGAGATAATCAGCTAAGAGCCAGGCACCCTTTTAGGTTCCATAAGAAATATTTTACGGCTGGGCGCGGTGGCTCACTCCTGTAAGCAGACTTCAGGGAGAAAGCAGGTTGTAAAATGTTTCTTTTGCTGGGCACAGTGGCTCATGCCTGTAATCCCAGCACTTTGGGAGGCTGAGGCGGGTGGATCACGAAATCAGGAGTTTGAGACCAGCCTGGCCAACATGGTGAAACCCAGTCTCTACTAAAAATACAAAAATTAGCCAGGTGTGGTGGCATGTGCCTGTAATCTCAGCTACTCAGGAGGCTGAGGCAGGAGAATCACTTGAACCCAGGAGGCGGAGGTTGCAGTGAGCCGATCTTGCGCCACTGCCCTCCAGCACCCGAGTAGCTGGGACTACAGGCGTGTGCCACCATGTCCAGTTAATTTTTGTATTTTTAGTAGAGATGAGGCTTCACCAAGTTAGCCAGGATGGTTTCGATCTCTTGACCTTGTGATCCACCCGCCTCAGCCTCCCAAAGTGCTGGGATTACAGGCATGAACCACCGCGCCCGGGGAAAAGAAACATTTTACAACCTGCTTTCTCTCTGAAGATTGATATCTGAGAGATTCCTCTACACAGTAAAACTTGGTCTCCACAATCCTTTATCTTAACTTGAACATTCCTTTCCATAGATCCCAGGTCTTCAGATAAACTCAACCAATTGTCAACCAGAAAATGTTTAAATTTACCTATAGCCTGAAAGCCCCTGCTTTGAGTTGTCCCACCTTTCTGAACCAAACCAATGTATTTCTTAAATGTATTTGACTGATGTCTCATGCCTCCCTAAAATATATAAAACCAAGCTGTGCCCCAACCACCGTGGGCACATGTTCTCAGGACCTCCTGAGGGCTGTGTCATGGGCCATGGTCACTCATATTTGGCTCAGAATAAATCTCTTCAAATATTTTACAGACTTTGATTCTTTTCATAGACACTTTCTTTCTCTCTCTTTTTTTTAATTGAGATGGAGTCTCAGTCTGTTGCCCAGGCTGGAGTGTAATGGCATGATCTCAGCTCACTGCAACCTTTGCCTCCCGGGTTCAAGCAATTCTGCTGCCTCAGCCTCCTGAGTAGCTGGGACTACAGGTGCACACCACCACACCCAACTAATTTTTTTGTAGTTTTAGTAGAGGTGGAGTTTCACCATGTTGGTCAGGTGGTGTCGAACTCCTTACCTCAAATAATCGGCCCACCTCAGCCTCCTAAAGTGCTGGGATTACAGGCGTGAGCCACCGTGCCCCACCTTCATTGACACTTTCTATTCACTGGTGGGTAAATCACTAAAGCCAGCCCTTATTCAAGGGAGTGGAAGTAGACTCTAGTGCTTTATGCAAGACTGTCTACAAATTTGCAAATATGTTTTAAAACCACCCAAGTTCACCCTCTGGTCACAATTTATTTACATTCCTCCCACATGCAAAATACACTCATGTCCTTTCAAGACCTCTGTAAGACCCTTGTACTACAACATCAGGCCAAGGGATATAGTTCAGGATCTTGTTAACTAAACCAGGACCAGGTGTGGATGCAGCGCCTTGGGTGTGATTTCTTGGGTATAGCTCCTGGCATATCATTCCTCTCAATCTGAAGTTCTGTGAGCTAAATAAACAAGTTGTCTGCCCTTTACACACCCAATATACAATGACAACACAGGCATACATTTTTATTTTTTTGAGACAGAGTGTCACTCTGTCACCCAGGCTGGAATGCAATGGTGTGGTCTCGGTTCCCTGCAGCCTCTGCCTCCCGGCTTCAAGCAATTCTCCCGCCTCAGCCTCCCTAGTAGCTGGGACTACAGGCACATGCCACCACACCTGGCTAATTTTTGTATTTTTAGTAGAGACGGGGTTTCACTATGTTGACCCAGGCTGGTCTCGAACTCCTGACCTCGTGATCCGCCTGCCTCGGCCTCCGAAAGTGCCAGGATTACAGGCGTGAGCCACCATGCCCGGCCAACACAGGCATAAATTAATAGACCCTCCCATTCGAAATGGGGGAAAACAGGAAGCACACACAGTCACTGATCCACAGTAACTCTGAAATTCAGCTGGTTACATGCTGCTGGTTTGTTGATCAGGGTGCAGTTCCCCTGCTGGGGAGTTATTCTCCATAGGTCTTGGCTCCACTTTCTGAGCTCATGCTTCTGTCCTCTAAATTAGTTTTCCTTTTCTTTTTCTTTTTTCTTTTTGAGACCGAGTCTCACTCTGTTGCCCAGGGTGTAGTGCAGTGGTGTGATATCGGCTCACTGCAATCTCTGCCTCCCGGTTCACACGATTCTTGTGACTCAGCCTCCTGAGTAGCTGGGACTACAGGGTATGCCCAGCTAATTTTTGTATTTTCAGTAGAGACAGGGTTTCACCATGTTGGCCAGGCTGGTCTCAAACTCCTGACCCCAGGTGATCCGCCCGCCTTGGCCTCTCAAAGTGCTGGGATTACAGGCATGAGCCACCTTGCCTGGCCTAGATTTCCTCTTCTATAAAACTTAGCTTTGGGTTGAGAGCAGTGGCTCACACCTGTAATCCCAACACTTTGTTTGGCTGAAGTGGGAGGATCACATAAGGCCAAGAGTTCGAGGCTGCAGTGAGCTATGATAGTGTCATTGCACTCCATTCTGGGCTATAGCACAAGATCATATCTCTAAAAATAATAATAATAAATAAAACATAGCTCATTTTTGCAACTGAGTATGCTTCCTCCCTGAAGATATTTGACAGACCATAGTTTTCTCTTTTTTTTTTTTTTTTTGAGACAGAGTCTCACTCTGTCACCCAGACTGGAGTGCAGTGGTGTGAGCTTGGCTCACTGCAACCTCCACCTCCCTCGTTTCATCAGTTCTCATGCCTCAGCCTCCTGAGTAGCTGGGATTATAGGTGTGCGCCGTGATGCCCAGCTAATTTTTTGTATTTTAGTAGAGATGAGGTTTCACCATGTTGCCCAGGCTGGTCTTGAACTCCTGACCTCAGTCAATCCACCCGCCTCAGTCTCCCAAAGTGTTGGGATTATAGGCATGAGCCACTATGCCTGGCTTTCTCTTTTCATTCCCAAAGTGGGAGGATTGCTTGAGCCCAAAAGTTTGAGATCAGCCTAGGAAATATAGTGAGACCTTGTCTCTTAAAAAAAAAAAAAAAAAAAAAAAAGTATAAATAAATAAAACAATACAAAAACAAATTTCTTCTTTTTATAAGGACACCAGTCATATTGAATTAGGCCCAGCCTAATTACCTCATTTCAACTTGATTGCTTTTATGAGGACATTATGTCCAAATAATATTACATCCTGAGATACTAGGGGTCCGAAGTTCAACATATCTATTTTTTTTTTGGTTGGTGGGGTGAGTGGGGAGGTGGATAAAAATTCAACCCATGACAGCTACGCTCAGTTAGGTGGTTCTCACTCAGCATCTCTCAAGCAATTACTGTCAGATGCTGGCTTCAGCCGGCATCATCTCAAAGGCTTGCTTACTCACATGGCTCGTGGTTGATTTTGGCTGTTGGCTGGGATCTCAGCTGGGCTTTCAACCAGAATTCTTACATGTGATCTCTCCACATGGTATGGGCTTTTTCAGAGCAAGGCAGCCGGTGGCAAACAATCAGACTCTGCCCCTTGAGGGGAGAAGTGTCAATAAATTTGCAGACAGATTTTAAAATCACCACATCCTCCATCTCCTAATCCTTTCACGGTGCTGCTGACAGCAAGAGCCTGGTTTTTCTGAAATGCAAATCTGACCATGCTATTTTTTTTCTTGTAACTCTTTAATAGTGCCTGATTTCTTTTTCTTTTCTTTTTTTTTTTGAGACGGAGTCTCACTCTGTTGCCCAGGCTGAGTGCACTGGCGCAGTCTCAGCTCACTGCAATCTTCGCCTCCTGGATTCAAGCGATTCTCCTGCCTCAGCCTCCTGAGTAGCTGGGATTACAGGTGTGCACCACCACGTCCAGCTAATTTTTGTAGTTTTAGTAGAGATGGGGTTTCACCATGTTAGCCAGGCTGGTCTCCATCCATTCGGCCTCCCAAAGTGCTGGGATTACAGGCGTGAGCCACTGCGCCAGGCCTTGTTTCTAATGAGATAGAGGCCAACCCCCTCAGCATGAGCTTCAAGGCCTTCATTTCTGCTGTCCTCTCTACCAAGAACCACACTGATACCTGGGAGCCTGTCAATATGAGGCCTCCTTTCAGGGCATTGGAAGCCATGGAGTATGATTGCTGTTCAAGAAAGGTAAATTTGCAGATAAATACAAAATGAAATTGAAGCAGAGATGTGCAGTCACCCAAAAGAGACAGATTGGCTTCCAGGCCCAAATACTTTGCTGTAAAACCAACTGAAAGGGTTGCCATGTCCAAATTGAGATTGTGCTTATCAAAAGTGGAGCTGGGCAGCCACAGAGGCTGTCAGCATCCACTCCAGCTTTGTCAGGAGACAGGGAGCCCTGGCCTGAGGGCCTGGCCTGATGATTCTGAAATTTCTACTGTGGAAATAAACTATTTGAATACCCTAACTCATTGGGACTAACTTCCTTGTTCCAAATATGCATCTAGCCACTCTTTGATTATGATCTGGCTTCCCATGTAGCTTATTATGGGAGAGAATTAGACTGCTATGATGGTTCACATCCTTCTATAAATGAATAAACTAGCCTTCTGGGGTTAGTCATCAGCTTCCGAGATTGCATTAATGGGAGTCTGTCATGCTCTGCGTGCTCAGCTGATTTCTGAGCTCATGTGGCTAAGGATAAAAAAGGGTGAATGTAGGGTGGGGCAAAAGAGGCACCTTGGACACAAAATTTAAGAAGGCACTCACTCTCAGGGTCTTGCAAGTGTGTTTTACTCTGTTTTCCGTTGCTGTAACAGAATACCTGAAACTGGATAATTTATAAAGGAAAGAGATTTTTTTTAGCTCATGGTTTTGGAGGCTGGGAAGTCCAAGATTAGGCACCCACATCTGGTGAGGGCCTCAGCTGCTTCATAGCACAGTAGAAAGCAGAAAGCAGAAGGGGAGAGAGGGCATAATGCAAGGGAAAACAGGGCTGAACTCCCCATAACTAAACCCATTTCCTTGAGAAGGCATTAATCCCTCTTAACGACCTAATTACCTCATAAAAGCCCCACCTTCCAGCACTGCCACAGTGGCAATCCAATTTCTACATGAGTTTCAGAGGTGACAAACCATATTTAAACCATAGCAAATTGCTTTCTTAAACTTTGTGCCCTAGGTGCCTCTCTTGCCTCACCCTAGTCTCAGCCTGATATATTCAGAAAAGCAGGTGCCATTTTAGGGAATCACCTTTATCTGATCAGAACCTAAGTTCCTAGTTCCAAAGGTGACATTATAATCTGCTTGCTTTTCCTCTAGGCGAGTGTTCCTATCTTTTTTCTTTTATTTGAGGCAGAGTCTCGCTCTGTTGCCCAGGCTGGAGTGCACTGGTGCAGTCTCAGCTCACTGCCATCTTCGCCTCCTGGATTCAAGGGATTCTCCTGCCTCAGCTTCCTGAGTAGCTGGGACTACAGGCATGCACCACCACGTCCAGCTAATTTTTATAGCTTTAGTAGAGACGGGGTTTCACCATGTTGGCCAGGGTGGTCTTGAACTCCTGACCTGAAGTCAGGTGTGAGCCATCATGCTGGCCAGGTGGTCCTTTCAATAGAGAACCAGACTTTCCAGCTGTGAGTAAAACGCAAGCAAGCTCTAAGACAGCCTCCCAGCGACATGAGACCCAAGGAGATAGGAGCAAGAGGGGAAAGCATAGGGGAGGTTTAGGGTAACAGTAACACTACTTTAGAGGGAGTAGGGTTTATGCTGATTGGGGAAGAGATTAGTATCAAAGTCCTAGGCATCCTAGGACATTGTCCCTGTGGACACTGTTCAAGGATACGAATTTGCCCTCAATCCCATAGACACAGGCTGACTAATAGACTGGTACCTTTCAGTACCAAAATATGTATCATATTTTCTCCCACCTCCAGCTCAACCTTCTATTAATAGCAAGCAAGTAACCGCTCCCTCTCATCCCTTGGTTAGCCCTGGCCCTAAGAAACTAAAACATATGCTGATTAGCTAAGGTCATTTTTTCTGTCCCCTGCCAGCTTTATATTGCTGATTACACAGGTAACTCTAGATCCCACTGGGCAAGATATTGGGATTTGGGGGGTTAGCAGAGAGCAGGGACAAGGCATCATCCTATCAGGGGCAAAACAGCCACCTCTATCTTGAACCCCTCACACCCAGCATAAATAGCATCCTCTTATGCAGTGCTGGAGATATCGCAAGCTTGAGTTAGGAGTGGGATGAAAGTAAAGGACAGAGACAGGTCTCAGATTTCCCACGCATCTGTGCTGGCCAATATTTTAGAACTCCTTTCAAATCAGTAGGTTAATGTAGCAAGGCGAGACCACATCAGGTTGGTCCCAATCTGGTACTTGGGATTAATGTATCATGAAAGGAATAAGGCATGTGGCTGTGGCCAATTAGAAAGCCAGTGATGTTGGGAGTACTAGTTGGCAGAGTTCGCACTCCAAGCGAGCGGGGCTTTCCCTTTGTCCTGCAGTTTTTCCTTCTGTCTTCACCTCTCACCCTCGGCCCCCTCCAATAGGCTTGGCCTAGAAAGTTACTTTGTGCAGAGAAAGCAATGCAGTAGAGTGAGGGACTCCAGTCTTGGTAAAAGCCAGACCTGGCTTTGAACTCTCAATCTGCCACTGACCATCTGTGAGGTATTGGTCAAGTCAGTTAACCTCTTTGAGCCTCAGTTTCCCCTGCTGCAAAATGAGGACCATATACCTACCCACAAGTGTCACAGTATTTGCAAAGTATTTGACAGGTAGTAGAGTCCAGTGATACTAGTTATATTGAGGTCAGTTCTTTTGCATCTTTTTTTTGAAATGAAAAAATCATCTGAAAAAAAGATTTCATTTTTTTTATTGATTTTTACAATCTTAATAGGATTGAAGGAGAAAGTGATTGCATTAGAATTTTTTGAGAAAGCTTTCTAGTGGGTTCTTTGGGCAAGAATTTATAACAATGATGATAGATAACATATATGGAGCATTCACCATATGTATGGCCCTCTTCTAAGTACAATGCATGGGCCAGGCACAGTGGTTCATGCCTGTAATCCCAGCACTTTAGGAGGCTGAGGCGGGCTGGTTACTGGAGGTCAGGAGTGTGAGACTAGACTGGCCAACATGGTGAAACCCTATTTCTACTAAAAATACAAAAATTAGCCGGGCATGGTGGCGGGTGCCTGTAATCCCAGCTACTCAGGAGGCTGAAGCAGGAGAATCACTTGAACCCAGGAGGCAGAGGCTACAGTGAGCCGAGATTGTGCCACTGCACTCCCACCTGGGCAACAGAGTGATACTCCATCTCAAAAAATAGTAATAATGATAATAATAATAATAATAAACTAAGTACATTGCATGAATTAATCATTTATTATTCTACCAGATCTGTGAAGCGGGACTACTGTCATCTCTATTTTACAGATAAAACAAAATACCAATGTCTCCTAGACAGCATGTTTACCTCTTTACTCCTTCTGTATTGTTTGTTTGCTAAAGAATAGCTTTGTCCCTTTCCTGATTAAAAAAATATATATATTGAGGGGATGGCCAGGCGCAGTGGCTCACGCCTGTAATCCCAACAATTTGGGAGGCAGAGGCAGGCGGATCTCTTGACATCAGGAGTTTGAGACCAGCCTGGTCAACATGGTGAAACTCATCTCTACGAAAAATACAAAAATTAGCCAGGTGGGGTGGCACACGCCTGTAATCCCAGCTACTCGAGAGGCGGAAGCAAGAGAATTGCTTGAACCCAGGAGGCGGAGGTTGCAGTGAGCTGAGATCATGCCACTGCACTCCAGCCTGGGCAACAGAAACTTTGTCTAAAATAATAATAGTAATAATAAATACATATATATGAAATTTCGTAACACAAAATTAACCATTTTAAAGTGAAAAATTCAGGGGCATTTAGTACATTCACAACGTTGTACAATCACCACCTTTATCTAGGTTTTATTTTTTTATTTTTATTTTTTTGAGACAAGGTCTCACTCTATCACCCAGGCCGGAGTGCAATGATGCAGTCTTGGCTCACTGCTGCCTCAACCTCCTGCGCTCAGGTGATTCTCCCCTCAGTCTGCCAAGTAGCTGGGATCACACGTGCGTGCCACCATGCCTGGCTAATTTTTTTTTCTTTTATTTTTTTTTGAGAAAGAGTCTTGCTCTGTCGCCCAGGATGGAGTGCAGTGGCGCGATCTCGGCTCACTGCAACCTCCGCCTCCCAGATTCAAGTGATTCTCCTGCCTCAGCCTCCCGAGTAGCTCGGATTACAGGCATGTGCCACCACGCCCAGCTAACTTTTGTATTTTTAGTAGAGATGGGGTTTCACCATGTTGGTCAGGCTGGTCTCAAACTCCTGACCTCGTGATCCGCCCGCCTTGGCCTCCCAAAGTGCTGAGATTATGAGCATGAGTCACAGCACCCTGCCTATCTAGTTTTAAAACATCTCCATTACTCCAAAGTGATACCCCTTACCCATTAAGCAGTTTCCCCTCATTACACATTTCCACCTCCTCGCCCACTGGCAACCACCAATCCATGTCTGTGTGTATGGATTTATCTATTCTGGATATTGCATGTAAATGAAGTCAAACAATATATGACTTTTTGTTTCTGGCTTTTTTCACTTAGTATGATGTGCTTGTGTTTTTGCTGTTGTTGTCTGAGACAGAGTCTCACTCTGTCGCCCAGGCTGGAGCGCAGTGGTACGATCTCGACTCACTGCAACATCCGCCTCCCGGTTCAAGCGATTCTTCTGCCTCAGCCTCCGGAGTTGCTGGGACTACAGGTGCCTGCCATCATGCCCAGCTAACTAACTATAATGTTTTTATCTACATTTGGATAATAATAATAAACTAATTACATTGCATGAACTGTCATTTATTATTCTACCAGATCTGTGAAGCGGGACTACTGTCATCTCTATTTTACAGATAAAACGAAATACCACTGTCTCCTAGACAGCAGGGCCATTTGCATATATTCTTCGGGGAAATATCTATTCAAGTTCTTTGCCTATTTTTTAAATTGGATTGTTTGTCTTTTTAAATTCTAAGAGTTCTTTAATATCCACATTTGGATAAAAACATTATATTAAAACAAACAACCCAATAAAAACATTATATTAAGTGAAAAAAGTTTAATGTTCACCTAGTATAATGTGTTTATCCACATTGCAGCCTGTATCAGTACTTTTTTTTGGCTGAATCATACTCCATTGTATGCATATACAACAACTTGCTGAGCCATTCATGGGATGAGGAACATTTGGGCTCTTCACACCTTTCGGTTATTGTGAGTTGTGCTGCTATGAACATCCATGTTCATGTACTCGTTAGAGTGCCTGTTTTCAATTATTTGGGGTTTAGATCTAAAAGTGGAATTGTGAGATTTAGATCTAAAAGTGGAATTTAGATCTAAAAGTGGGTTGGGCACGGTGACTCATGCCTATAATTCCAGCACTTTGGGAGGCCAAGGCAGGCAGATCACCTGAGGTCAGGGATTTGAGACCAGCCTGGCCAACAAGGTGAAACCCCTGTCTTTACTAAAAAAAAAAATACAAAAATTAGCTGGGCATGGTGGTGGGCGCCTGTAATCCCAGCTACTTGGGAGGCTGAGGCAGGAGAATCACTTGAACTTAGGAGGCAGAGGTTGCAGTGAGCCGAGACTGCACCACTGCACTCCAGCCTGGGTGACAGAGTGAGACTCTGTCTCAAAATAAATAAATTAATTAAAATAAAAAATAAAAATAAATACATAAAAGTGGAATTTTGGGGTCCTGTGGTAATTCTGTGTATAAATTTTTGAGGAACCCCTAAACTGTTTTCCATGGTGGCTGAGCCACTTGACATTCTCACCAGCAATGTATGGGCATTCCAGTTTCTCCACATCCTCCTCGACACTTGTGATTTTTCTTTTTTTTTTAACACCATCCTGGTGGTGTGACGTGGTAACTCTTTGTGCTTTCTATTTGCACTTTTCTAATAATGAATGATGTTGAGCTTCTTTTCATGTGCTTCTTGGCCATTTGCATATATTGTTCGGGAAAATATCTATTCAAGTTCTTTGCGTATTTTTTAAATTGGGTTTTTTGCCTTTTTAAGTTGTAAGAGTTCTTTATATATTCTGGATACTAGACTCTTATCACATATGCAATTTGCAAATATTTTATCCCACTCATAGATTATCTTTTCACTTTCTTGATAATGTCTTTTACTTTTTTTTTTTTCTTGAGACAGAGTCTTACTCTGTCTCCCAGGCTGGAGTGCAGTGGCACAATCTCAGCTCACTGCAACTTCTGCCTCCCGGGTTCAAGTGATTCTCCTGCCTCAGCTTCCCAAGTAGCTGGGATTACAGGCACAGGTCACCATACTTGGCTAGTTTTTGTATTTTTAGTAGAGATGAGGCTTCACCATGTTGCCCAGGGTCGTCTTGAACTACTGGACTCAAGTGATCCAACTGCCTTGGCCTCCTAAATTGCTGGGATTACAGGCATGAGCCACTGTGCCCGGCCATTTTTTTTTTTAATTAAAAAATTTTTATTTCTTTTTTGAGGCAAGGTCTCACTCCATCTCTCAGGCTGGAGTGCAGTGACATGATCACAGCTCACTGCACCCTCAACTTTCAGGGCTCAGGTGATCGTCCCACTTCAGCCTCCCAGGTAGCTGGGACCACAGGCATGCACCACCATCCCCAGCTAATTTTTGGTATTTTTTAAGAGACAAGACCTTGCCATGTTGCCCAGGATGGTCTCAAACTCCTGGGCTCAAGCCATCCACCCACTTCGGCCTCCCAAAGTGTGGGGATTACAGACATGAGTCACCATGCCTGGCAGTTTCTATTTTTCATAGTGATGAGGTATGGCTTTGTTGCCCAGACTCTTCTTAAGCTCCTGGGTTCAAGCCATCCTCCTAACTTGGCCTGCCAGAGTGTTGGTGAGGCCAGAGAATAGAGTCTGGAGGCAGGGAACTTGAGAACAATTTGTGCTGACTTCCTAAAGCTGAATCAAGGGAAAACATCAAGTTCTGGGGGCCAGGAATCTAAGCCCAATTCATGAAAATTTCCTAAGGTGAAATCAGAGGGGAAATACTTGGGTCTGGGAGCAGGAACCCTAAGGCCAATTGGCAGGAACTTCCTAAAGCTACACCAAAAGGAAAAACTCAATCTCCCCAGGCCCAAGTAACAAAGGATCAAAGGCTACTTACTCTCCTACAACTTCCCTCCTTCCCCCAGGATAGAGAGGGAGAGTGCCCTGGAGCGGAAGGGGACTGAGGAAGCACTACCCCTTCATCTGCATAGGGCATCAATCTGCTCCAGCCTTGGGTTAGCCACCGGCCAATTCACCTCAGCCTTTAATTAGCCACAGGCCAAATCTTTCATCCAGATAAGAGGTAGCTGATAGGAACCTCAAACGGACTACTTAAACCCCCACAAACTTTGTAGGTGGGGTCCTTGAGCTGCTTGCTTCATTCTACTCCTACCCTATGGAGTGCTTTCTTTTCTTTTTTCTTTCTTTTCTTTGAGATGGAATCTCGCCCTGTCGCCCAGGTTGGAGTGCAATGGTGCAATCTTGGCTTACTGCAACTTCTGCCTCCCGGATTCAAGCGATTCTCCTGCCTCAGCTTCCCAAGTAGCTGGGATTACAGGCATGCCCCACCACACCTGGCTAATTTTTTGTATCTTTAGTAGAGATGGGGTTTCACCATGTTGGCCAGGCTGGTCTCAAACTCCTGACCTCGTGATCCGCACACCTCGGCCTCCCAAAGTGCTGGGATTACAAGCCTGAACCACCACTCCAGGCCAGAGTGCTTTCTTGCTTTAATAAATCAGTGTTTTTGCTGGGTGCAGTGGCTCACACCTGTAATCCCAGCACTTTGGGAGGCTGTGGCAGATGCATCACTTGAGGTCAGGAGTTCAAGACCAGTCTGGCCAACATGGTGAAACCCCCATCTCTACTAAAAATATAAAAATTAGCTGGGCTTAGTGGCTCATGCCTGTAGTCCCAGGTACTCAGGAGGCTGAGGCAGGAGAATCGCTTGAACCCGGGAGGCAGACGTTGCAGTGAGCTGAGATCATGCCACTGCACTACAGCCTGAGTGACAGAATGAGACTCTGTCTCAAAAATCAATCAATCAGTCCCTGCTTTCGCTGTTTCATTCTTTTGTTACTTTGTGCACTTTGTTCAATTATTTATTCAACCTGGACATCTCACAATGAATGGCTGCCTTCCGGTAATACTGGGATTACAGCTGTGAACCACCATGTTCAGCCGATAATATCGTTTGATACGCAAAAGTTTTTAACTTTCATGAAGTCCAATTGATCAATTTTGTCATTTGTTGCTCATGCTTTGGTGTCATATCTAAAAATTCTTTGCCAGCCGGGTTCATGGTGGCACACACTTATGGTCCCAGCTAACCAGGAGGCTGAGGCAGGAGGATGGTTTAAGCCCAGCTGCAGTGAGCCATGATCACACATGGTACTCCAGCCTGGGCAGCAGAGCAAGACACTGTCTCCAAAAAAAAAAACAAAATGAAACCATTGCCAAATCCAAGGTCATGAAGATTTATTCCACTTTTCTGCTAAGAGTACTATGGCTGTTATATTTAGGTTGTTGATCCATTCTGAGATTTATTTATTTATTTATTTTTTAGACAGTCTTGCTCTGTCACCCAGGCTGGAGTGCAGTGGCATGATCTTGGCTTACTGCAACCTCCGCCTCCCGGGTTCAAGAGATTCTCTTGCCTCAGCCTCCCGAGTAGAGTAGCTGGAACTACAGGTACACGCCACCACGCCCGGCTAATTTTTGTATTTTTAGTAGAGACGGGGTTTCACCGTGTTGGCCAGACTGGTCTCGAACTCCTGACCTCAAGTGATCCGCCCAGCTCGGCCTCCCAAAGTGCTGGGATTACAGGCATGAGCCACCGCACCTAGCCCTGAGATAATTTTTGTATGTGATATGAGGAAGGGGTTGAACATAATACTTCTGCATGTGGGAATTCAGTTGTGCCAGAACCAATTGTGGAAGAGCCTATTCTTTCCCTACTGGTGGAGAAAGATCCTTACATGATTTTAATCTCTGTGGAATATGCATGGAGGCAGGTAAAGAAAAGTCAGCCACTCCAAACCCTGGTCTGGAAACAAGCAGGGAGCCCAGGACAAGTTGATCAGTGCTTCAAACAAAGGACAGGGAGGAGGAAAATTTCCAGAGTCGCAGCCCTGCGTGTAAGTGGAGGAGCTGTTCTCTGTTTATGATTTTATCAAATGTAAGTTGAGTGGCACTTTCAAAATAATTTAATTTATAAAATGCAGTCAATAGAATGAATGTTGCAAACCATGTGGTAACATTTAAATCCCATAGTTGGAGCTCAGTACATTCAACATACCCACACACAAGGCTAATCTTTGTATAGGGGAGCTGAAAGATTTCTATCATTTAGGTAATTTACTTCCTCTGTTTGCTTTTTTTTTTTTTTTTTTTTGAGACAGTATCATTCTGTCACCTGGTCTGGACTGCAGTGGCATGATCTCAGCTCACTGCAACCTCCACCTCCTGAGTTTGAGTGATTCTTGTGCCTCAGCCTCCCAAGTAGCTGGGAGCATGTCATCATGCCTGGCTAATTTTTGCATTTTTAGTAGAGGCAGGGTTTTGCCATGTTGGCCAGGCTGGTCTCCAACTTCTGACCTCAAGTGATATGCCCGCCTCGGCCTCCCAAAGTGATGGGATTACAGGCATGAGCCACTGAACCGGGAAACTTAGTAGGGTTTTTATAGAGATAAATTAGTTAAAATATGTGAAGTCCTTTGAGTAGTCCTTGGCTATATAAGTGGTAGCTATTTGCCATCAAGATGATGATCATGATGATGAATGATGATGATGATGATTATTTTATCATCTTCATCATTATGTTCTCCTGACTCTTTAAGGAAGGGGAGAAAAGAACAGTTTATAATATCCGCAAAACAGCAATATATCAAATAATAGTTTTTTTGTTTTTTGTTTTTTTTTTGAGACGGAGTCTCGCTCTGTCTTCTAGGCTGGAGTGCAGTGGCTTGATCTCGGCTTACTGCAACTTCCGCCTCCTGGGTTCAAGCAATTCTCCTGCCTCAGCCTCCCGAGTAGCTGGAACTACAAGCGCCCACCACCACACCCAGCTAATCTTTTGTATTTTAGTAGAGACGGGGTCTCTCCATGTTGTGCAGGCTGGTCTTGGACTCCTGAGCTCAGGCAATCTGCCTGCCTCGGCCTTCCTAAGTGCTAGGATTACAGGCATGAGACACCGTGCCCGGCCAAAGAATAGATTTAACAAAATATTTGTTAAACCTTTAGGATAGAAATTATAAAACTTCATTAAAAGCCTTAAAAAAAGATGAGGATGCAATTTATCTATTTATTTTTCCCACACGTGAACCACCAGTGATGATGCAATTTAAATGATTTGTCTGATAAGGCAAGTCACTCCTCTTTGTCTTTCTCCAAAGTTGTCTTAAGTACTTTTTGTCCCTTTGCTCTTCCAAAAAAATTTTAAAATTAGGTGAGTTTACAGATGAATTTTGGGGGGACTTGAAATCTTTATGAGATTGAGTTCATGTCATAAAGTGAGGGGGCCTGCAGTAGCTGAAGCCCCATGGGACCACCAGCCTTTTTCATATACTCCAAAGTACCTTGCGAAGATGATCATTTTCTATGTGAAAATGATGTACAAAGGTTACTAAGCACTGGAATGGACCAGAGGGCTAGAACAGGGAACTCAGAAATAGAGCCTCATATACATTGCAAATTTCATCATCTCCAAAAGTGCCATTACCAGTCTGCTGGGATGAAAAGGATTATTCAATAAATGGTACAGCTACTTATGTATATGGACAATAAAATAAAATTGCTTTCTTTCTTTCTCTTTCTTTCTTTTTCTTTCTTTCTTTCTTTCTTTCTTTCTTTCTTTCTTTCTTTCTTTCTTTCTTCTTTCTTTCTTTCCTTCTTTTTCTTTTTTTTTTTTGAGACAGAGTCTTGCTCTCTCACCCAGGCTGGAGTGCAGTGGTGCAATTTTGGCTCACTGCAACCTCCATCTTCTGGGTTCAAGAAATTCTCTGCCTCAGCCTCCTGAGTAGCTGGGATTACAGGCATGCACCACCATGCCCGGCTAATTTTTGTATTTTTTAGTCGAGATGGGGTTTCTCCATTTTGCCCAGGCTGGTCTTGAACTTCTGGCCTTAAGTGATCTGCCTGCTTCAGCCTCCCAAGGTGCTGAGATTACAGGTGTGAGCCACCGCGCCCTGCCAAGAATGCAAAATATTACAAAGTTTTTTGAAATGTAGGATAATATTTTGATGACATCAGATCAGGAAAAAACCTAACAAAAGCAGAGAAAGCTCAAATCATAAAACAAAAACAAATAAGTTGAATCATATGCATGGGAACAACCACTACAACTTATGTCACAGACAAAGAGCTAATTTCAACAAGAAAGAACATTTTCAAATCAATAAAGTAGCAATAATTCGATAGAAACAGATAGATCACAGAAAAGTATACATAAGTGGTCTTAAGAATCTAAAAATACTAAATTTTTGCACCCTATGTTCAACTTCGTTAATAATAACAGAAATACAAATCAATGGTCAGGCATGGTGGCTCACACCTGTAATCCCAGCACTTTGGGAGATTGAGGCAGGACCATCACTTGGGTCCAGGAGTTGGAGACCAGCGTGGGCAACAGAGCAAGACACGCTCTCAATTTTTAAAAATTATATTTTTTAAAAAAGAAATGCAAATAAAAACTACATTGAGATCCCATTTTTCACCTATCGGGTTGGTAAAAATCCAGAAGTCTGACTTATGTTATTGTCCATGGTAGAGGAAATAGACCCTTTTACAATGCTGTGGGGAGCAAATTTTTACAACCCCTATGGTGGAAATTTGGCAATATCTGTCAAAATTACAATTGTACCTACTCTTTGGCCATTTCCATATCTAAAAATGTTTTCCCTAGACATCTACACACGCGTGTGCCATGATAAAAGAACAAGGTTACTCAGTGCACCATTGTTTGTAACAACAAAATATGGGAAAGAAGCCACTAAATATTAATCTTGTTAAATATAAATTATAGTACATTCATATTATGGAATATTATATAGCTATAAAACAACAAAGAAACTCTCTTAAATATATTACTGGTGTGGAATAATCTCCAGGTTATATAGTAAAGGAAGAAAAAAAAACCCAAGATGCATAACAGTGTACACTAATATTTGGATTAAAAAAGTGAAAATATTTATTGTATTTTGCTTTTATGTGCATAATTCTGGGAGGACACTAAAGGGAATTGGGTGATTTGAAGAGGCAGAGAATAGACCTTTTACTATATGCTCTTTTGTACCTCTTGAAGTTTAAGCTATGTGCTGTATGCATTATCTTTCAAAAGAAAGAGCAATATATTAAAATTGAACACATTTGCTACATTGAAGTTAAAATTTTTGATATAATAAAAGGTATCATAAGAGGTTAAAAGACAGTAGGAGAATATATTTTCAATACACGTAACTGAGAAAAGATTCGTATCCAGAGTTCCAAATCAATAAGAAAAAAAAATCCAATATGAAAATGAACAGAAAATATGATCAAAACACTCACAGAAGAAGAAATGTAAATGGCCAATTAACATAATAAGAAAGGCTTATTATAGTGATCAGGAAACTATATATTAAAATGAGCTATCATTTTACTACAGTTGATTGGGAAACGTTTTAAATTCTGACACATTCAAGTATTGGTGAGGATATAGAACATAGAGAACATTCATAGCTTGCTGGCAGGAATGTAAATTGGTATTACCACATTGGAGAACTACATGGCAATAAAGTAGAAAATATGCATGCCCTTTGACACAGTAATTGCACTTTTGGGTACATAATCTAGAAAACTTCTAGAACATTTGCTTTAAAAGATACGTACAAAATATCCATTGATATATTATTTGTATTAACAAAAATCAACAAGAAAATGAATAAATAATGTTATTACAAAATTGAACATTATATAGCAATATTCCTATTCCAAGATTCCTATATGTATCAATGAGAATAAAGTGTAAACACGTAAGCTGGAGTTGAAAAGCAAATGGTTTAAAGAATATTACTTAAATAAAATTTTAAAACATTCAAATAATTCTATGTAATTTTTGTGCTAATCTACATATGTAGTAAGAGTATGACAAGTACAATGGAATTAGAAACACTAAATTCAAAAAAAGGCCAGGTGCGGTGGCTCATGCCTGTAACCCCAGAACCTTTGGAG
Organism: Homo sapiens; assembly: GCF_000001405.40. Taxonomy (NCBI): domain Eukaryota; kingdom Metazoa; phylum Chordata; class Mammalia; order Primates; family Hominidae; genus Homo; species Homo sapiens. Next base: position 25,716,890 of record NC_000004.12, read on the forward strand.
GCCAAGGCAGATGGATCTCTTGAGCCCAGGAGTTCGAGACCAGCCTGGTCAACATGGTGAAACCCTGTCACTATTAAAAATAGAAAAATTAGCCGGGCATGGTAGTGCATGCCTGTAGTCCCAGCTACTTGGGAGGCTGAGGTGAGAGGATCACTTGAACCCAGGAGTCAGAGGTTGCAGTGAGCCGAGATCACACCACTGCTCTCCAGCCTGGATGACAGAGTGAGACCCTGTCTTGAAAAACAAACAAAAACAAAAACAAAACTCATGTAATCCATAAATATATACACCTACTATGTAGCACAAAAATTAAAAATAAAAAAAACCCCATTAAATTCAAGTCATGGTTACCTCTGGGCATAGAGGGAGGATGAACCTTTTCCTGGCTGTGTGACAAGAACTAGGTTTTTTTCTACCACGATAGGAGTAGGGAAGAATGGTTATGGGATATTTTTTGTGGCTATAATATTTTGTTTTATAAAAACCAATGATTGTGCAGGGCACAGTGGCTCACGCCTGTAATCCCTGCACTTTGGAAGGCTGAGGCAAGTGGATGACCTGAGGTCAGGAGTTTGAGACCAGCCTGGCCAACATGATGAAACCCCATCTCTACTAAAAATACAAAAAATTGCCGGGCGTGGTGGCAGATGCCTGTAGTCCCAGCTACTTGGGAGGCTGAGGCAGGAGAATCACTTGAACCCGGGAGGTGGAGGTTGAAGTGAGCCAAGACTGGGCCACTGCACTCCAGCCTGGGCGACAGAGCGAGACTCTGTCTCAAAAAAATAAAATGAACAGAGGAGGAATTTAGCATAGAATGCTAAGAAGCAAAGATGTTTTTGCCAGGGTTTACTTTCAGTTCTACCATTTGTAAGCACTGTGACCCTGGGCAAGTCACGTAATCTCTTTAAGCCTCATTTTCCTCAGCTGCAAGATGGGGATAATTATAGTAGCTAGAAGATTAACTAAGATAAAGGTTAAACAATCTTATGAATGCATGATCCTTGTACATAGTAAGTGATAAGTCCCTAAGACCAACGGATGACTCTAATCCTTTAAAAGTTGAGAAAACCATATTATCAGGCATGGGGGCATGAGCTGTCAGTTCTTGCATACTTTCTTGATAGGTAAGAAGTTGCAGGCTTCTATTGTTAGATCCACAATCTAATGTTTTGGTTGAACTATAGCTACAGCATGCAAACCCTATAATAATTTTAGGGTTTAAGGATAATAGGAAGATAGGCTCAAGATGTATAAGTATTAATGTATTTTCTCATGTAAAGGAAGGTTTAATACTGTTAATATAATATGCAAGTGTCCCTCATTGTGTCTTGATTAGCATATACAGGGAGGAAAGGGCTGTAATTAGTATATTAAGTCCTATAAGCATAATAGTGACATTTGATCAGGAGAATGAGGCCATAGTCACAAAGAGTTCTCCTGCTAGATTAATGGTAGGGAGTAAGGCAAGGTTAGTAAGATTTGCTAGAAGAGGCTATTAGTGGGAGCAGTGTTTGAAGCCCTCGGGTAAGTAATATGGTTCATCTATGGACTCGCTCATAGTTTGAATTTGCTAGGCAGAATAGTAAGGATGAAGTGAATGCGCGAGCAATTATAAGGGTGATTGCACCTATAAAGCTTCAAGGGTCTGGATGAGGATAGGCATAATAACAAGTGCTATGTGGCTTACGGAGGAGTAGCCAATACGTGATTTTCGATCAGTTTATCGTAGACAAACAGAGCTATTCCTCATAGGGACAAGATGAGGAACAGACAGGCTATCTATTCTGTTAGGGGGGTGAGGATAAGAGTAAGCTGTATCATACCGTAACTGCCTAGCTTTAGGAGTACTGCTGCAAGAACTATTGAGCTTCTATATGAGCTTTGAGGAGTCTTAGGTGAAGTCCATATAGAGGTATTTTTACTATACAAGCCATGATACATGCTAGTCATATAAGATTATTGGATCAGGAGGTTAATAGCTCTTGGGTAGTAAGTATTATTACTAGGCTGGGCGTGGTGGCTCACGCCTGTAATCCCAGCACTTTGGGAGGCTGAGGCAGGCAGATCACCTGACGTCAGGGGTGTGAGACCAGCCTGACCAACATGAAGAAACCCCGTCTCTACTAAAAATACAAAATTAGCCTAGCGTGGTGGCACATGCCTGTAATTCCAGCTACTTGGGAGGCTGAGGCAAGAGAATCGTTTGAACCCGGGAGGCGTAGGTTGCGGTGAGCCGAGATCGTGCCACTGCCCTTCAGCCCAGGCAACGAGAGTGAAAATCTGTCTCTTAAAAAAGAAAAGAAAAGAAAAGAAAAGTATTATTACTAGCATATTTAGTGACCTTGATATCTTTTGAGTATAAACGAGTGTTACAAGTAGAGGAAGGGATCCTACTAATGTGTAAAATAAGAAGTATGAGCTTGCATTGAGGCGTTCTGGTTGGTTGCCTTAGTGGGTGATGATACTTAGGGTAGGAACTAGCGTGGCTTCAAAGAGGATATAAAATATAATTAGTTCTGTGGCGGTGAATGCTATGATTTAAAAAGTCTGTAGGGAAATCAATATAGAAATATAGAGCTTTTTTTCGGGGGTGTGATTCATTGGACAGGTGATATTGGCTTGCTAGAATTTTAAGAGGTAGTAGTCAGGCTGTTAAGATTAGAAGAGGTGATGTCAGCGGGACAGAAGAGAAGACTAATGAGAAATTGGATGAGGTATTGTTGAATTGGTTAAAAAATAGTAGGCTGATGAGGCTGATGAGCAGGCTGTGGATAACCAGTTGATTCAGATTACAGAATTTTTAGAGAATCATGTCATCGGTAACAGTGTAATTGTTGGAACAATAATATTTAGCATTGAAGCAAACAGATTTTGTACATAATCTAGGCCATACGTACTGGAGATTGAAACTAGTAAGGAAAGGCCCACGGCAGCTTCGCAGACAGCAAATACTAGGAGGATAATAGGTATTATGGATGCTAGAGCGAAATGTATATTTAAAGTTATGAGAGGATTTATGATAAATATTGATAGTATTATGCCTTTTAGGCATCATAGGGATATTAGGTGTGATTGATAGACTAATACTCCTAGTAGTGATATGGTGTATGCTAATATAATATTAATGTAAATAGAGGGCATTTGGTAAACACGGTCTATCATAATCTAATGAGTTGAAATCATTTATTTTGACTTAAACTATTTACCAATTCAACTCAGTCTAACCCTTTTTGGGCTCATTCATAAGTCAAGCCTGGGATTAAAATGGTAACTAATATAAGGGCTGTGCTGATTATTAGTGTCAGATTGGTTGTTTGAAGGGCTCATGGCAGGGGTAGTAGTAGAGTGATCTCTAAGTGGAAGAAGAGGAATGTGGTGGCTACTGGGAAGAATTTTAAGGAGAAGGGGAAGCAGGCGGAGGTTATTGGGTCAAATCCACATTCATAGGGGTTGGATTTTTACATATAAATATTAAGTTGTGGGATCCACAATGCTATTATTAGTAGTAATAGGGCCAGTGAGGTGTCGGTTACTAGGCCTAGTGTCAGGTTGATTACTGTCTTTCAGATAGTATCGAAACTAATTGATTGGAAGTCAATGGTACTGTTTATGCTAAAAGAGTAGGATCCTCATCAGGAGATAGAGACGTATAATAATAGTCATACTACATCTACGAAGTGTCAATACCAGGCAGCGGCTTCAAAGGGAAAGCGGTGGTTGGATGTAAAGTGGAATTTTAATTGGCAGAGGAGACAGTGAGAAATGTTGATCCAATAATAATGTGAAATCCGCGAAAGCCTGTGTCTGTAAAGAATGTTGAGCCGTAGAGCCCATCAGCGATAGTAAAGGGGGCCTTGAAATATTCCTAGACTTGTAGAAAGGTAAAGTAAATACCTAAGGCAATTGTGATGGATAGTGCTTGAAGTATCTGCTTTTGACTACCTTCTATCTGTCTGTGGTGAGCCCAAGTATTTGAAACTCCTGATGCAAAAAGTACAGATGTATTTAGGAGAGGACTTCTAAGGAGTAGAGGGGAAAAATGCCTGTTGGGGGTCAGCGTCCCCCTAATTCTGGGACCGGGGCTAGACTAGAGTGGTAGAATGCCCAGAAGAAACCATCAAAAAAGAATACTTCTGAGATAATGAATAGAATTATTCCATATTGGAGGTTGCAAATTAATCAGTATTAGTATAATCTTCATCTGACCAGGAAAAGGACATTTTTGAATCACTTTGACTCTCATCTCTTGACTCTCTTTAGAAGGTGAGATTTTGGTCTCAGATTTGCATGAGAAGTAACTGAACATAAGGATATAAGCTTGGAACTTTTTTTTTTTAATGTCTAGTATTAAGAAGCTGAGTTCTGATAAGGAGCTGCTAATTAAGTCTGCAAGGATATGGTGCGGATTAACCCAGCTGTACCTGCTGGTAGAAATCCTCTGAAATAATGAAGAGCTGTCAAATTCCTCCAGCAATGTGGGGCCACAGGTACAAGCTCAGCTCTTTTGCGTTTGTTTTCATGTAATCTGCCAGGATACCCACAGCGGCACTTACTGCAGGCTTCTCGGTAGAAAGATAGAAAAAAAATACACCTGACCAGTCCTTCCACAATGACTTACCGTGTACTTTCTCTGTGTCAGCATTGTACGAATGCTGGGGGTGTCTCAGAATTGCCCTTGCCTTAATAATGCAAAAATTCTATTGGGGAGACAAAGCAAATACCAAAGAACTAAGACTTGGACAAGATGACAAAAGTACATAACTGTTTCATGGAGTGGTCAAGTCAATGAGCCAGGGAAATTCACAGGAGGAAGGCTTCAGCGAAGGCTGCAAGGCGGCAGCTCCAGCTTTGGTGTAGACAAATGGAGGTTGAAAATAACCCACCTCCCACTTCCATGGGAAGCCTACACTTCTCTGTCCCTTGACTTTGACTTACCCATGTGACTTGCTTTCGCCAGTGGGATCTCAGTGGAAGTGACATGATGGACGTCTTCAAATGTGTTTGCACAGTTGTGCTTTCGAGCCTTTTTGCCATGAGATTGCTGGAGAGGACAAACTTTTACACTACTCTGTTATATTTTGTTCCTGGGGGTCTGCGAATTAAAGTAACAAAAGACAGGGGAATGGGAGAAAAGGCATACAATTTTTATTAATGTTTGTGTGCACACGAGTTTACAGGAAAAAAGTAAAACTGAAGTGGTTAGACTCAGGGCCTTATATACCATTTTAACAAAGGAAAGGGGCTTTGAGCTTTGAGAAATAATGAATCATGGGGAAAAAAGTGACTAGGAAATATATGGCAAAGGTAATGGAAGATGAGTTATTTTAGCAAAGTTTGTTTATGCAGACTCATTTAGGTGCTATCTCTGATGATAAGAGTCTCTCTTCTCTTGGTACGAAAGAGGACGTTACCTTCACAAGATAAATTTATATCCTACTTTTAGGCAGAAAAGGGGAGAGTAAGAATTCTTTTGCAACTACTGAGTCTTAATCATCCTTATGTCAAGGTGCATTTTTTGGTGTGGCATACTCTGATCCCATTTAAGATGAACATGCCTCACTTGCCCACTGATCCCAGAAGAATAAAAATACATAGAGCAAGTGTGGATGTTGTGAGCTGCGCAAAGTCAGACATAACCAGGTCCACACACATCTGAGTCTTTCCATAAGGTAAGACTTTTACTGACACCATTTCGATCATAAGAGCCACAAGATACATGCAGCTCCAAAGGAGGCTTTTTTTTTTTTTTTAGAGATAGGGTCTTGCTGTATTGCCCAGGCTGGTCTCCAACTCCTGGACACAAGCAATCCTCCTTCCTCAGCATCCCAAAATGCTGGGATTACAGACATGAGCCACCGTGCCTGGCTAACAATTCTCTTGAGTATTACCTGTTTACTCAGTAGTCAGAGCTGTGGGCACACAGGTTCAAGCTATTCCACAGTCAGTCAATATTGCAAACCATAAATAATAATAGTATGCTTAATCAATATATAAATGTTCTAGATTAATATTTCACACAAAACAGAGTAACATTTAACATGAAGAGAAAAAGGAATAGGAGAAGGGGTTAATGAACCAGTCCAAGGAGAGTTACGTGGACAAGGAGAGTGTCCCGGCCTGACCCCGACAGTCATCAATGTCTGGCAAGAACAGTCCTTAATGTGGGCAGAGCCTTCAGCAGCAGATGCCAGGTGCTAATAATGAGTGACAGCAAGACAGAGTCTGTCAAGAAGGCCATTCCTAGCTGGTGATGTTCTGCTCATTTTATGGCCCTGGAGTCCTCTGCTGAGGACTGATAGTAAAAGGTTATGCCCTTATCTTTTTGGGTGTTATCTCTGTTGATTAGGAGAACATCTGAGCCCAGCTGGCTTGATGCCTTTTGAAAAGTAAGTTGAAGTATTTTTCTAAGATGGAGTTACTTACATCAAGGGTGCTGTATACACTGGACCTACTGCAGAGCCTGGAACCCAGCCCAGCTGAGTCCAGCTTAGATGAGCTAAATCACAGCCAACCTACAGGTGCCCAAGTGAAATATAAATGTTTGTGACTCTGAGATTTTGTGGTTGCTTGTTCCACAGTATTATTGTAACAGTAGTTTATTTATCCATAAAATCAGGAAATGTATACCTCAACTTGCAGTGGTATTATAAGAATTCAGTGAAATAGAAGCCTAAGGTCTCAGATTTCAATACCCTGAGAATGCAATTGTGGTCATGTCAATATTGCTATCTGATTTGCAATGGTTCCTGTACTCATGAGGAAATTCCCTTCCCAGAAGAGGGTTTGTAAATAATCCTGATGTTGCTTAGTGTTATGGCATGCCCCTCATCACCACCACCAGCTGCTGGTCCTCACAGCTCTGCCAGGGCCCCACTCTAAGTTCAGGCTCAGCACCTATTGATCGACTCAGGCTGGTCATCTGGGGAACTGCAGCGGAGATTCACCAATAAATAACAGTGAACTTGAACTTCATGATGCAGGACAGCTTGACTTATTTATTCACATAGCAAACATCTATCATGTTCCTATTACTCGCCAAGCAGTGTATTTAGTGTACTAAGCAAGGTTCTGACTTACAGCAGTTGCTTTCACAAGAGGAATGAGGATAGAAAATATTCTCTCCCTCATTTATACTCAATTAGTGAACTCCACAGCCCGGTAGGGCCCCAGAGAGTCACAATTTAGTGAAACAGTTCTTTCAATTTTGAAATGTTTCCAGAATGGCAGGCTCAAGAAAAGATCCTCTGGACTGGGCCCGGTGGCTCACACCTGTAATCCCAGCACTTTGAGAGGCCGAGGAGGGTGGATCACTTGAGGTCAGGAGTTCGAGACTAGCCTGGGCAACATGGTGAGAACCCATCTCTACAAAAAATGCAGGAATTAGCCAGGCATGGTGGAGAACGCCTGTAGTCCCAGCTACTTAGGGGGCTGAGGTGGAAAGATTGCTTGAGCCCGGGAGGTTCAGGCTGCAGTAAGCTGTGACTGTGCCACACTACACTCCAGTCTGTGTGACAGAGGGAGACCCTGTCTCAAAGAAAAGAAAAGACAAGGTAAAAGAAAAGAAAAAAAAGGCCAGGTACAGTGGCTCATGCCTGTAATCTCAGCACTTTGGGAGGCCGAGGCAGGCGGATCACGAGGTCAGGAAATCGAGACTATCCTGGCTAACACAGTGAAACCGTCTCTACTAAAAATACAAAAAATTAACTGGGTGTGGTGGTGGGCACCTGTAATCAGCCACTCGGGAGGCTGAGGCAGGAGAATGGCGTGAACCCGGGAGGCGGAGCTTGCAGTGAGCCAAGATGGCGCCACTGCACTCCAGCCTTGGCGACAGAGCCAGACTCCAACTCAAAAAAAAAAAAAAAAAAAAAAAAAAAAAAAAAAAGGAAAAGAAATTAAAAGGAAAAAAGAAAGAAAAAGAAAAGATCCTCTGGTAGTTATAACAGTAAACCCAACAGTTCTCCCTTGCAGCCCTCAGGGCTGGTGGATCAGCATGGGTCACAGCTCCCTAGGGTCAATATCCTCCTCAGCTCCTGTAAGCCCTTCCCCACCAGTGGCCCTCAAATCTGTCGGGCATGTCTGTGCATGAGTCCCACTGAACAGCAGTCAAGATATCTTCCCAGAGGACATTTCAGCCCCTGTGCACATGCTAGTCTGCAAATGGCTTCCTGGGAGGTGGAGTATTCTCCGACTATTTCCGGTGCATAGATGGGGACTTGCTAGGATCCCTGCTTACAGAATAACAAGGAAAGTGTTACCAGAAAGGAGTCCCAATCCAGACCCTAAGACAGGGTTCTTGGATCTTGCGCAAAAAAGAATGCAGAGCGAGTCCACTGATTAAAGTGAAAGAAGTTTGTTAAGAAAGTAAAGAAATAAAAGAATGGCTACTCCATAGGCAGAGCAGCCCAAGGTCCCAAGGACTGCTGGTTGGCTTTTTTTTTTTTTTTGAGACGGTGTCTCACTCTGTTGCCCAGGCTGGAGTACAGTGGCACAATCTCGGCTCACTGCAGTCTCGGCCTCCCGGGATCAAGCAATTCTCCTGCCTCCGCCTCTTGAGTAGTTGGAATTACAGGTACGTGTCACCACGGCTGGCTATTTTTTGTATTTTTGGTAGAGACGATGTTTCACCATGTTGGCCAGGCTGGTCTTGAACTCTTGGCCTCAAGTGATCGCCTGCCTCGGCCTCCCAAAGTGTGGGATTACAGGTGTGAGCTACTGCGCCCGGCCCTGGTTGGCTATTTTTATGGTTATTTCCTGATTATACGCTAAACAAGGGGTGGATTGTTCATGAATTTTCTGTGAAAGGGGCTTGGAATTCCTGAAACTAAGGATTTCTCTTCCTTTTAGACTCTCTTAGGTCTCTCTTCCTTTTAGTTCCATGTGGGGTAACTTCCGGAGTTGCCATGGCATTTGTAAAGTGTCACAGCACTGGTGGGAGTGTCTTTTAGCATGCTAACGTATTATAATTAGTGCATAATGCACAGTGAGGACCACCAGAAGTCACTTTCATTGCTATCTTAGATTTGGCGGGTTCTGACTGGCTGTTCTACTGCATCCTGTTTTATCAGCAGCGTCCTCGTGACCGGTATCTTGTGACCTCCTATCTCATCCTGTGACTAAGAATGCCTAACATCCTACGGATGCAGCCCAACAGGTCTCAGCCTCATTTTACCTTGCCCCTATTCAAGATGGAGTCCCCCTGGTTTGAACGCCTCTGATGAAAGTACCAGGTCAGAGTATCAGTTCTCATCCACTTCCTGAAGGAGAGGAAACCTGAGCTGGGTTTTGGAGCATTTGGAATGAATAGGGAAGGGGCAGAAGTTTCTGTGCCCATCTTGGGTTAAAAAAAAAAAAAAAATTTGGCCTGGCACGATGGCTCACACCTGTAATCCCAGCACTTTGTGAGGCCAAGGCGGGCAGATCACGAGGTCAGGAGTTCAAGACCAGCCTGACCAACATGGTGAAACCCCGTCTCTACTAAAAATACAAAAATTAGCTGTGCGTGGTGGTGTGCGCCTGTAATCCCAGTTACTTAGGAGCCTGAGACAGGAGAATCACTTGAACCTGGGAAGTGGAGGTTGCAGTGAGCCGAGATTGCGCCACTGCACTCCAGCCTGGGTGACAGAGCAAGACTTGGTCTCAAAAAAAAAAAAAAAAAACCCAAAAAAAAACCTGTTGTACTTCAGACTCTGAAGACAGCCTGAGATGACAGATTTAGGCCAGTGAAGTGAGTCTGGCTTCTGAGAGTTACACGATGCCGGGAACGGGCCAGGTTTCCCTGCTCTGTGGACTTTCAGACTTCGAAGTCCCAGATACCCTTTGGGTGGTGAAATTATTACAACAAGCCTTCACAGAATTCCTAGAAACATTCCCTAAGTCTTAATAAGTACTATTTTTTCGCCTACATTTGTGATTCTGTTATTCGCTTGTGAGACGTGCTACAACAAAATACCACAGACTGGGTGGCTTTTCCATGGCAATGGAAATTTATTTCCTCACAGTTCAGGAGGCTGGAAGTCCAAGATGAAGGTGTTGCCAGGTTTGGTTTCTTCTGCAGCCTCTCTCCTTGGCTTGCAGACAGATCTTTCTCTCTGTGTTCTCATGTGGTTGGTCGTCCCCCAGCGCCCTTCGTGTCTCTCTGTGTGTCCAAATTTACTCTTCTTTTTAATTTTCTTTTTTTTTTTGAGACGGAGTCTCGCTCTGTCACCCAGGCTGGAGTGCAATGGTGGGATCTCGGTTCACTGCAACCTCCGCCTCCCGGGTTCAAGCAATTCTCCTGCCTCAGCCTCCGAAGTAGCTGGGACTACAGGCCTGTGCCACTACGCCCAGCTAATATTTTGTATTTTTAGTAGAGATGGAGTTTCACCATGTTGGCCAGGATGGTCTTGATCTCTTGACCTCGTGATCCGCCCTCCTTGGCCTCCCGAAGTGTTGGGATTACAGGCATGAGCCACCATGCCTGCCCCAAATTTCCTCTTCTAATAGGGCCATCCTGTTGGAATAGGACCACCCTAAAAACCTCATTTTATAATAAACCCATCTTTGAAGGCATTGTCTCCAATGTAGCCCATCGCACTCTTGAAATGTTAATCGACATTATTCATCTAAAATGGTTACTGATCCCTTACTAGCTTTTGGTCATTGCATTTTTATTTGGAGGTGAAGGCAGGACCTTCATATATAACCAGTGTGGAAAACCCCCTTGCAGGCTCCTGGGCTTGTCCTGGCTGCCTTTGTCTGTGATCCTGCCCAAAGTCTCCTCTTCCTGCTTTTGAAAGCTGTGAGTCTGGCATTTACAATCTCTGCGCCATGTTGGGGAAGAATAGGACAGGGGCTTCACAAACCAGCATTTCCCTGAGACACGCTGGCACTCCAGGTGCAGACAGGACACCTGGGGTGCATCCCAGGATGGGAGGCCAGAGTCAGAGGGGAGAGATTGGGTGCCTGTCATGGCTAATTAATTAAAAACAGTGTCGGGAAACAGGCTGTGCCCACGCATCACAGCCCACTAGTTAACACCCTTCCTGATTCTGTGGGCCCTCAGCAAGATGTTCTGCCTGGCTGAGCGGCTTGGCCACAGGAGGTGACATGAAATATGAACTAGGCCGGTTCTCAGAACTCAATCCAGTACGTAGTCTTCATGGAATGAACAGACACTAGAAAATAAGAGCTCTCCTTACAGGGTGCCAGCCATCTTTTGTTTGAAGTCCCTCGTTTTCTTATGTTGACCACAATGAGAATGACCATTAGTGTTTCTAAGGCCCCAGGTTTGTCCCCTGAAGAATAATCTGGGTTTCCGTAAGTGATGCTCAAGCTGTTTACTGCTCTGCAAGCTATCAGATGGCCACTTTCAGTTTCTTGACCCATGGAGAAATCAACTGACATTCGTTCTGGTGGCCACATTCTCTGGCTTTCTATTTGCAAAGTTTCCAGAAGGCAAGTCCAGGCCTGTAGAGAGGCTGCCTCTTCTGAGCTCCTTCACAGATAATTTCCTGGGTCATGCTAACCACCTGGGCACCATGGGCCATTCTCATCAACAGCAGCCCTCTGCTCCTTTCTGTCTCCCACTGTTCCCTGAAACACCATAGGCACATCCTCACCCCCATGCCCTTGCTCATCAGTTCTTCCCACCTGGCATGCCCTTTCCTACCTACCTGTCCAAAATCCTGCCCGTCCATCAAGGCTCAGCCCCCATACCTAAGGCTATCTTGCACTTAATACTACCAGTCATTCCCCTTGTGAAATAAAAGTAAGATCCAGCCAGGCATGGTGGCTCATGCCTGTAATCCCAGCACTTTGGGAGGCTGAAGCGGGAGGATCACTTGAGGTCAGGAGTTCAAGACCAGCCTGGGCAACATGGCAAAACCCCGTGTCTACTTGGGAGGCTGGGGCAGAAGAATTGCTTGAGCCCGGGAGGCAGAGGCTGCAGTGAACCTGCCACTGAACTCCAGCCTAGTCAACAGAGACTTGTGTCAAAAAAAAAAAAAAAAAAGAAAAGTAAAATCCTAAGCCCCCTGATCAACTGAACAGACTCTTACTGGCCAAGGAGACCTTAGAAAAACTCTTCACAAATACTACGTTTCCAACCATGACAAGATGGAAGGTCAGTCACACTTCAGTGAGTCCCCTTCCTCACTGTCACCAGACGTTTTTTTTTCCCCAACCATTAAATGCAAAGAAGCCTTGGAAAAAAAAGAATGGATGATTCCTCCACTGACTTCAATTAACCTCTTGATGCCAAGGCTGGACTCCCCTCTCGTTTTGAGATTTTGACATGACAGCTGACTGGTTTACAAAGCATTCCTTCCTGATAAATGACCACCAACCATGCACTGGTTCTGGCTGGTCTATGGAAGCTGTGCACAGAGTGTCTTTGTTTCACCTTTTGACATATAGACCTAATTTTACTGCATTTTAATGTTAAGTCTCCACCCCAAAGTGAACATGGAATGTATATAACACATGTTTGCTTACCACGCATGCACGTGACCACCCTTCATGAGTATTTGTAGCTTCTCCTATAACCTGTTAAATACATATATTTAGGCTGGGCACGGTGGCTTGCACCTGTAATCTCAGCACTTTCGGAGGCTGAGGCGGGCAGATCACCTGAGGTCAGGAGTTCGAGGCCAGCCTGGACAATGTGGTGAAACCCCTTCTCTACTAAAAATACAAAAATTAGCTGGGCGTGGTGGCACATGCCTGTAATTCCAGCTACCCGGGAGGCTGAGGCAGGAGAATCGCTGGAACCTGGAAGGTGGAGTCTGCAGTGAGCCGAGATCGCGGCACTGCACTTCAGCCTGGATGACAGAGCAAGACACCTTCTCAAAAACAAAAACAAAACAAAACATATATTTAGCCAACCCATTTAGCATAAAACCCGGTCCACCCTTCCTCTGGTGACGTGCCTGTGTTCAGTATCAATCGGAGGCTCCACTTCTCAGCTTGCAATGTTGCAACCTATCATAAGAAATCAAGTTCTCCTTTATAAATTCATAAATCTTGTGATTTTAAGTTGACATCTTTCTTCTTCTTCTTCTCCTTCTTCTTCTTCTTCCCCTCCTTCTCCTTCTTCTTCTTTTTTTTGAGACAGAGTTTCTGTTGCCCAGGCTGGAATGCTGGAGTGCAGTGGCATAATCTTGGCTCACTGCAACCTCCACCTGCCAGGTTCAAGTGATTCTCCTGCCTCAGCACCCGCCACCATGCCTGGCTAATTTTTGTATTTTTAGTAGAGACGGGGTTTCACTATGTTGGCCAGTCTGGTCTCGAACTCCTGACCTCAAGTGACCCGCCCACCTCGGCCTCCCAAAGTGCTGGGTGAGCCACCGAGCCCGGCTACTGAATGCCTTCAAATATTTCTCGTATTATGTTGGTAATGGGGTTGCAAATTTATTTCCACTACACTTGGGTGTGCATTTGGAATGCATTTCCTTTATTTTGTCTATGAACTAACTTTTATTATTTTTTTTTTGAGTGAGCATCTTCTGGATATCGATGGGGATGCATAGAGGAGTAGGGTGAGGAAACTAGTTAGTCCGATATAATAAATTTACACAGTGCCTTTGGCTAATGCTCCATTTCTCTAGGTAAAATGCCATCTCTCTCAGAATCCCTCCAACACATACGCACAATTCCTCTGTAAGTAGATGTAAGGGTAGAGCCTGCCAGCTGCTTGTGGTGATGTGTATAATGTCTTTATACTACCTAGTCGTTGGGACAGCCTCTGATGCTAACATCTGCGCTCAATAAACCTGTAGTCCCTTCTCTTGGTTTTGACTTTGCTTCTGAGCACTTTCACCCATTTCCTCTCTCTCACAGGCCCCACTTCCGGCTTTCATGGGTGTTAAAAGATTCCTCTACGGCCAGGCACGGTGGCTCACGCCTGTAATCCCAGCACTTTGGGAGGCCGAGGTGGGCAGATCACCTGAGGTCAGGAGTTCAAGACCAGCCTGGCCAACATGGCGAAACCCCATCTTGGCTAAAAATACAAAAATTAGCCAGGCGTGGTGGTGCATGCATCTGTAATTCCAGCTACACAGCAGGCTGAGGCAGGAGAATCACTTGTACCTGGGAGGCGGAGGTTGCAGCGAGGAAAGATCACACCACTGCACTCCAGCCTGAGCAACAGAGCGAGACTCTGTCTCAAAAAATAAAATAAAGTCAGGTAACAGATCTTTTCAGCTCTCTAGTTACAAGTGTCAGGGCTGTCTCCAAGAAAGCTGCAAAGGAACATGAGTTCAAAGGGACATTAAAACACATTGCTTTAATATTTACAAATATTATCTCCTGTTTCATCTTGTTTAACACTTGTGCTTTTATTTAGCTTTTAGATTTGTTGGCCCTATCTCTTTAAGTGAGTAAGATGTTTGTTTTACTGGCCATGGAGTTTCACAAACTATTGTATACAGAGTAAACTCATACAAGAACATTACAAATAAAATTGTACAGCTTCATTAAGGTACAATTGACCCACCATAAGCTGCACATATTTGAAAAATATGATTTGATGAGTTTTGGCATAGGTCTATGCCTATAAAATCCTCACCACAATCAAGATGGTAAGTGTATCCATCACACCCAGAAGTTTGAAAAGCATCCTTCCCTCCCTGCCTTCTACCCCCACACTTCGCCCAAGCAATCATTGGTCAGCTTTCTGTCACTATAGGTTAGTTTGCGTTTTCTAGAATTAAATAGAATCAATTGATAGGTACTCTTCTTGGTCTGGCTTCTTTCACTCAGCATAATTATTCAACTGTGTTACGTGTGTATTAATAGTTCATTCCTTCTTATTGCTGAATAATATGCCATTGTATGAATATACCATAATTTTTTTATCCAGACTTCTTGTTCATGGGCATTTGGGTTAGTTCCAGTTAGGGACATATTACAAAGAGAGCTGCTATGGGCTGGGTGCAGTGGCTCATGCGTGTAATCCCAGCCCTTTGGGAGGCCGAGACAGGTGGATCACCTCAGGTCAGGGGTTTGAAACCAGCCTGCCCAACATGACGAAAACCCATCTCTACTAAAAATACAAAAAGTTAGCTGGGCATGGTGGTGCGTGTCTGTAATCCCAGCTTCTTGGGAAGCTGAGGCATGAGAATCACTTGAACTTGGGAAGTGGAGGTTGCAGTGATCGGAAATCACAGCACTGCACTCCAGCCTGGGCAACAGAGTGGGAGTCTGTGAAAGGAAGGAAGGAAGGAAGGGAGAAATAAAGAAAGAGAGAGAAAGAGAGGCTGCTGTAAACATTGGTGTACACGTGGACATATTTTTATTTCTCTTGGGTAATTACATGGAGGTGAAATGTCTGGGTTGTATGGGAAGTAGATTTGCCAGATTTAGCAAATAAAAATACAAGGCATCCATTTAAACTTGAATTTCGGATAAATAAGAAGTAATTTTTTAGGATACATATATCCCATGCAATATTTAGAGCCTATATTGACAAGTTATTCACTATTTGTCTAAAATATGTCCCTTATCTGACAATACTAACTTGGGAAGTGTATGAGTAACATTGAAGAAACTGCCAAACTCTGTTTTCCAAAGTAGTTGTGCCATTTTACATTTCCACCAACAGTAAATGAGAGTTCCAGTTGTTTTAAGTCATTGCCAACGCTAGTCTTTTTAACTTTAGCTATGATAATGGATATGTAGTGGTATCTCAATGAGGTTTTAATTTTCATTGAATGATGACGTTCAGCCTACTTTCAATGTACTTTTTTGCCATCCTCATGGCTAGTTTGGTGAAGAGCCTGTTCAGTTTGTTTGCCTCCCGCCCCACCACATTTTTTTTTGTACTGGATTGGGTCTTTGGTCTTTTATTATTGAGTTTTAAGTGTTCTTTGTGTGTGTGTGTGGTGGGGAGTCGGACAGAGTCTTGCTCTGTTGCCCAGACTGGGGTGCAGTGGTGCCACCTTGACTCACTGGAAGGCTTACCTCCACCTCCCAGGTTCAAGAAATTCTCCTGCCTCAGCCTCCCAAGTAGCTGGAATTAAACAGGTGCACACCACCAAGCCAGGCTAATTTTTATATTTTCAGTAGAGATGGGGTTTCACCATGTTGGCCGGTATGGTCTCAAACTCCTGACCTCAAGTGATCTGCCCTCCTCTGCCTCCCAAAGTGCTGGGATTACAGGCATGAGCCACTGCGCCTGGCGAGTCCTCTAACTTTGTTATTTTTTTTTTTTCCCAACTGGGCTTTAGCTATTCTAGGTCCCTTGTATTTCCATATAAATTTTAGAATCAGCTTGGAAACTTCTACAAAATAGAAAAATTTTGCCAGATTTTCACTGGCATTGCATTGAATCTATAAAATCAATTTGGGGAGAATTTACATCTTGAAAATATTAAGTATTTTGATTTATGCAGATGATATATCTCCATTTTATTTAGGTTTTCTTTAATTTTTCTCAGTAATACTCTCAGTTTTTAGAATACAGGTCTTGTAAGCCTTTTGTTATCCCTCAGTATTTCTTATTGTGTGATGATCTAGTAAATAGTTGTTTTCTTAATTTTTCCATTCAATGGTTTATTGCTAACATATCAAAACATAATTTTTTTAATGTTGACTTTGGATTCTACAACATTGATAAGATCATGTAGTTGTTATAGTATTTTTTTTTTATATTCCTTAGCTTTTTTTTTTTTTTTTGAGATGGAGTCTCACTCTGTCACTCAGCTGGAGTGCAGTGGCGCAATCTCGGCTCACTGCAACCTCTGCCTCCCAGATTCAAGTGATTCTCCTGCCTCAGCTTCCCCAGTAGCTGGGACTACAGGCGCGCACCACCGCGCCCGGCTAATTTTTGTATTTTTAGTAGAGACGGGGTTTCACTATGACTGGTCTCGAACTCCTGACCCCATGATTTCCCTCCCACCTCCGGCCTCCCAAAGTTCTGGGATTACCGATGTGAGCCACCGCGTCGGGCCAGTTTGTTTGTTTTTACAAAGGACTTCCAGTACAATGCTGAGTAGGACTGGCCATAGCAGACATCCTTGCTTTGTTCCAAATCTTAGGGAGGAAGTGTTCAGTTTGTTGCCATTAAGTATAATGTAGCTGTAGGTTTTGTTATAGATACTTTTTATCAGATTGAGGAAGTCCCTTTCTCTTCCTAATTTGCTGGAGTTTTGTTTTTTGGGCTTTGTTTTTTTTGAGACAGAGTCTCGCTCTGGCTGTCGCCCAGGTTGGAGTGCAATGGCGTGATCTTGGCTCACTGCAACTTCTACCTCCCACGTTCAAGCCATTCTCCTGCCTCAGCCTCCAGAGTAGCTGGGATTATAGGCACATGCCACCACGCCCAGCTAATGTTTTTTGTTTGTTTGTTTGTTTTTTGTATTTTTAGTAGAGACCGGGTTTCATCATGTTGGCCAGGCTGGTCTCAAACTCCTGACCTCAGGTGATCTGCCCATCTCGGCCTCCCAAAGTGCTGGAATTACAGGCATGAGCCACCGTGCCCAGCCTGCTATGTGTTTTTAATATAAAGGAACATTGGATTTTGTCAAATGCTTTATCTGCGTCTATTGAGATGAAGTTTTATCCTTGTTTAGTCTGTTAATACAATTAATTATATCGATTGGTTTTAAATGTTAAACAACCTTTATTCCTGAGATAAACTACACTAGATCATAACGTCTTCTTTTCATTAATTGCTTGTTTCAATTCGGTAATATTTGGTTAAGGATTTTTGTATCTTCTTTTTTTTTGAGACAGTCTCACTCTGTTTCCCAGGCTGGAGTGTAGTGGCCTGATCTCGGCTTACTGCAACCTCTGCCTCCCGGATCCAAGTGATTCTCATTCCTCAGCCTCCTCAGTAGCTGGGATTACAGGCGCCCACCACAATGCCTGGCTGATTTTTGTGTTTTTAGTAGATACAGGGTTTCGCCATGTTGGTCAGGCTGGTTTCAAACTCCTGACCTCAGGTGATCCGCCCGCCTCAGCCTCCCAAAATGCTGGGATTATAGGTGTCAGCCACGATGCCCAGCCTTTTGTATCTATGTTTATGAGGAATATTGATCTGAGTTTGTTTACTATTTTTGTAATATTTTGTCTGATTTTGACATTAAGGTAACACTAACCTAATAAAATAAGTTCAGAAGTATTTTTTTTCTTTTTTTTCTGAGTTTGTGTACAGTTGGTATATTTTCCTAAAATGTTTCATAGATTCAGTTTGTGTACAGTTAGTATTATATTTTCCTGAAATGTTTGATAGATTCACTGCTGAAGCCATCTGGGCTTAGAATTTTCTTTTTAGGAAAAGATTTTCATAGATTTTAACTATGAATTCAATTTCTTATAAGCTATAGGCTAGTCAAGCTATCTATTCTTTTTTTTTCCTTCCCTATGAAGACAGGGTCTTGCTATATTGCCCAGGTTGTTCCTGGACTCCTAGGTTCAAGCAATCCTCCTGCCCCAGCCTCCCAAAGTGCTAGGATTACAGGCGTGAGCTACCACATAATATTCTCTTATTACTCTTTTAATGTCTGTGGGATCTGAAGTGATGGCTCCTTTTTATTCTTGATATTGGGAATTTTGTGTCTTTTCTCTAGAGCTTTTAAAATCAATGTTACTGATTTTTTTCACAAATAACCAGTTCTTGATTTTATTGATTATCTTTATTTTTTTCTGGTTCCAATTTCACCAATTTCTTCTCTTTTCTTTATTATATTTTCCTTCAGTTTTCTTCAAGTTTAGCTTAATCTTCTTTTTTTATGGTGGACGTTGTATCATTGATTTGAGATATAACTTGTTTTCTTATAAACATTTAACGTTATAAAATCCTACAAACGTTGATGTTGTTTTTATTATCTTTCAGTTCAAAATATTTTATTTTTTTTTCTTTTTAAACCCAGAGACAGTTCAGAATATTTTCTAATATCCTTTGTGATTTATGTTTTTGACCAGTGGATTCTTTAGCAGCAAGTTGTTTATTTTCTAACTATTCTTTTTTTTTTTTTTTTTTTTTGAGATGGAGTCTGGCTCTGTCGCCCAGGCTGGAGTGCAGTGACCCGATCTCAGCTCACTGCAAGCTCCACCTCCCGGGTTCATGCCATTCTCCCACCTCAGCCTCCCAAGTAGCTGGGACTGCAGGCGCCCGCCACCACGCCTGGCTAATATTGTGTATTTTTAGTAGAGACGGGGTTTCACCGTGTTAGCCAGGATGGTCTCCATCTCCTGACCTCGTGATCCACCCGCCTCGGCCTCCCAAAGTGCTAGGATTACAGGCATGAGCCACCGTGCCCGGCCAGTATGTTCTAACTATTCTAGCTGTTTTATTTTTGTTGATTTTCAATTCATTTCCGTTGTGGTCAGACAATATATGCCATAAGATTGTGTGTCTGTGTGTGTGTGTGTGTGTGTGATGGAGTTTTGCTCTTGTTGCTCAGGCTGGAGTGCAGTGGTGCGATCTCAGCTCACTGCAACCTCCGCCTCCTGGTTTCAAGCAATTCTCCTGCCTCAGCCTCCTCAGTAGGTGGGATTACAGCGGCTCACCACCACGCCTAGCTAATTTTTGTATTTTTAGGAGAGACAGGGTTTCATCATGTTGGCCACGCTGGTCTCGAACTCCTGACCTCAGGTGATCCACCCTCCTCGGCCTCCCAAAGTGCTGGGATTACAGGTGTGAGCCACTGCACCTGGCCAGATTTCTATAGTTTGAAATTGAATGAGACTTGTTTTATGGTTCAAGATATTGTCCATCTTGGTGAGCGTTCCATGTAACCTTGAAAAGAAAGTGTATTTTGCAATTGTTGGGCATGATATTTTATAAATGTTAGTTAAGTTAAGGATGTCAATAGTGTCTTTCAGATCTTCTGTAAACCTACCATTTTTTTAAGTTGTTCTATTACTGAGAGAAGTGCATTAAAATCTCTAACTTTGTAGGTTTGTCTATTTCTTCTCATTTCTATCAAGTTTTGCTTTATACATTTGTCATACGTTGTTAGTGGGCATATATATATATTCCATCCTACTGCCCTTTTCCTTTTTGTCTCTTGTAGTACTCCTTATCTTGAAGTCTATTTTATCTAATATTAATAGCCACTGAAGCTTTCTTATTGACTATTAGTACCTTTTAATAATATGCTACTCTTTTTTTTTCTTTTTCTTTTTTTTCTTTTTTTTGAGACAGAGTCTCACTGTCACCCAGGCTGGAGTGCAATGGCACAGTCTCGGCTCACTGCAACCTCCGCCTCCTGGGTTCAAGCGATTCTCCCACCTCAGCCTCCCAAGTAGTTGGGACTACAGGCACACGCCACCACGCTCAGCTAATATTTGTATTTTTAGTAGAGATGGGGTTTCCCCATGTTGGCCAGGCTGGTCTCGAACTCCTGACCTTGTGAACTGCCTGCCTTGGCCTCGTAAAGTGCTGGGATTACAGGCGTGAGTCACCACGCCCAGCCTCAGACTAGGTTTAAACAACAGAACTTTATTTCTTACACTTCTAGAGAATGAGAAGTCCAAGATGAAAGTGCTAGCAAGGTACCTTTTATCCTGAAGCCTTTTTTCTTTGTTTCTAGGTGGCTGCCATCTTGCTGTGTGCTTGCATGGCCCCTTCTTGATGGATATGTGGGAGACAGAGCAAGCTCTCCAGCCTCTCTTTTTATAGGGGCATTAATCCTGTCATGAGGGCTCGAACCTCATGAACTCATCTAACCCTAGGCCTCTCAAAGGCCCTAGCTCTAAATGCTATCCCATTGGAAATTAGGGATTCTACATTTGAGTTTTGGGAGGACACAAACATTCAGTCCATAACAAAAATACAGTAGTGTCTCTGTATCTGTGGGGATTGGTTCCAGGACCTTCCTCAATTCTTTGCATGCTCAAGTCCCTGATATAAAATGACATAGTATTTACACACAATCTATGCATATCCTCCCATATACCTTAAATCATCTCTAGATTACTTATAATACCTAATACAATGTAAATGCTGTGTAAATAGTTGTTACACTGTATTGCTTAGGAAATAATGATCAAAATAAGTTCGTACATGTTTAATACAGTTGCCTTTTTTTTTGTTTGTTTGAGACAGAGTCTCACTCTGTCAACCAGGCTGGAGTGCAATAGCACCATCTTGGCTGACTGTAGCCTCCCTCTCCCAGGTTCCAGTGATTCTCCTGCCTCAGCCGCCTGAGTAGCTGGGATTACAGTTACGTGCCGCCACACCTGCCTAATTTTGTGTTTTTAGTAGAGATGGAGTTTCACCACGTTGGCCAGGCTGGTCTTGAATTCCTGATCTCAAGTGATCCCTCCGCCTGAACCTCCCAAAGTGCTGGGATTACAGGCATGAGCCACCACACCCAGCTTGCAATTTTTTTTAATAATATTTTTGACCCAAGGCTGGTTGAGTCCAGAGATGCGGAACCCATGGGTATGGAGGGGATGACTATACTATTTATTTTTAAAGGCATCTTTCTGGCTGTTTCTAATTGGAAAATCCAGGTTAAGTCCCTTGGGGCTAATCTTGTTTTCCAGCAGTGTTTGCTGTCTGCTTTACTGAACGCTGCAGTACAGGTTTTGTCTGTCTGTTGGTTAATCCAACACAGTCTTCCTGACACTAGAGCTTTTGCACCCTTCAAAAATTGCTTTCATACATCTCATTAAAGAAACACCAAGGCTTCTTCACTCTATCTAAAGTCACAGTGAAAGCAAAAGTGCAAAAGATTATATTGTGCACTAAATTTCTTTGCCTTCAAAGACACTCAGGTTGTGGCTGACTGAATACCAATAAACATTCACCAATTCAGAGGATTAAGGCCAATTTTAGTTTGCTTTTATTTCTTGTATTTGGACCTCAGCTACCCATAGTTGAGGTAATCATTGTCTTCAGTTCATGGCACATCATAACCATTGTGTGCAAGACTCTGCTCTTGTTTTATTTTAATATTTTTCCTTTCCTCACACAGTCCCTCTCACAACCCCTGCCTCAGAACCTAAGTGGTCACACTAATGCATTTGACATATGGTTTAGATGAGTTGTTCTTAACCAGGGCAGTTTGGCTCCCTCTACCACAGGAGACATTTAACAATGTCTGGAGGTTGGCTGGGCACAGTGGCTCACGCCTGTAATCCCAGCACTTTGGGAGGCCGAGGCGGGCAGATTACAAGGTCAGGAGTTCAAGACCAGCATGACCAACATGGAGAAACCCTGTCTCTACTAAAAAAAAAATAAAAAATTAGCCAGGCATGGTGGGGGCACACCTGTAATCCCATCTACTAAGGAGGCTGAGGCAGAACCATCACTTGAACCTGGGAGGCAGAGGTTGCAGTGAGCAGAGAATGTGCCACTGCACTCCAGCCTGGGCGACAGAGCGAGACTCTGTCTCAAAAAAGAAAAACAAAAACAACAACAACAAAAAAACAATGTCTGGAGGCATTTTTGGTTGTCACAACTGAGTGGGTGCTACTGGTATCAGGTAGAGAGAGGCCATAGAGATGTTGCTAAACATCCTACAATGTACACACAGCTTCTCACAACAATGAACTATCTGGTCCAAAATGTGAATAGCACCAACGATGATTTAAAACCATGTGTGTATTCTGGCCAGGAGTGGTGGCTCACGCCTGTAATCCCAGCACCTTGGGAGGCCGAGGAGGGTAGATCACGAGGTCAAGAGATCGAGACCATCCTGGCCAACATGGTGAAATCCCATCGCTACTAAAAATACAAAAGTCAGCTGGGCATGGTGGCACGCGCCTGTAGTCCCAGCAGCTACTCGGGAGCTGAGGCAGGAGAATTGCTTGAACCCAGGATGCAGAGGTTGCAGTGATCCAAGATCGCACCACTGCACTCCAGCCTGGTGACAGAGAGAGACTCCGTCAAAAAAAAACAAAAAACAAAAAAAAAACCCATGTGTGTATTCTGAAAGAAAAAATAATGTGTGTGTGTGTGTGTGTGTGTGTGTGTGTGTAGAAACACAAATCTGTATATATACATATAAGCGTACATTCACACATGTACATATGTAGTATCCTTTAGGGGGTTGGTTTTTAACTTATACAACTAGTATTGAGATATAGCTCTGATTCAGTTTCTTTTTTTTTCATTCATCAATGTATTTTTTAACTGAATTAATTAATTAATTAATTTATTTAATAGAGACGAAGGTCTCACTATGTTGTCCAGGCTGGTCTCAAACTCCTGAGCTCAAGTGATCCTCCCCGCTCAGCCTCCCACTAAGTGCTAGAATTACAGGCGTGAGCCACCAAGTCTGGCTATTTCTAACCTTTTCAACATATCTGTTGCTGTGCATAAATCTAGTTCCTAGTGGCCGGGCATGGTGGCTCATGCCTGTAATCCCAGCACTTTGGGAGGCTGAGGCGGGTGGATTACCTGAGGTTAGGAGTTCAAGACCAGCCTGGACAACATGGTGAAACCTCATCTCTACTAAAAATACAAAAATTAGCTGGGCATGGTGGCCACACCTGTAATCCCAGCTACTTGGGAGGCTGAGACAAGAGAATCACTTGAACCCAGGAGGCAGAGGTTGCAGTGAGCTGAGATGGTGCCATTGCACTCTAGCCTGAGCTACAGAGTGAGACTCCATCTCAAAAAAAAAAAAAAAAATCTAGTTCCTAGCTTTCTTACTGGTGCATGGTTTTCTATGACAACCATCGAGCACATCCGTTCTCCTACTGATGGACACATCCAGGATCCAGGCTGCTCCAGCTTGCTCTCTCAAACAGTGCTGTTTGCATCACCCTCCTTCATCCATAGCACCTATTGGACCTGTGCAGAGTTTGGGAAGCTCATACTTGGGAGTGGGCTTTCTGACCCCTAAATGCTTTATTTCATTAAGTACTTTACTGCCACATTGTTCACCTGTTTACTCTGCCACCTGTGCAGTGAGACTGGAGAATTTGTTTCCCCACATCCTCAGGGTATTACATACATTTCTTTTCTTTTTTCTTTTTTTTCCTGAGATAAGAGTCTTGCTCTGTTGCCAGGCTGGAGTGCAATGGTGCGATCTCGGCTTACTGCAACCTCTGCCTCCTGGGTTCAAGGGATTCTCTTGCCTCAGCCTCCCAAATATCTGAAATTACAGGTGCCCCCCACCACGCCTGGCTAATTTTTGTGTTTTTAGTGGAGATGGGGTTTCACCATGTTGGCCAGGCTGGTCTTGAACTCCTGACCTCAAGTGATATGCCCACCTTGGTCTTCCAAAGTGCTGGGATTATAGACATGAGCCACTGCACCTGGCCATATTACCTATATTGCTTTCTTTCTTTTTTTTTTTTTTAGATGGAGTTTTGCTCTTGTCACCCAGACTGGAGTGCAGTGGTGCGATCTCGGCTCACTGCAACCTTCACCTCCCGGGTTCAAAAGATTCTCCTGTCTCAGTCTCCTGAATACCTGGATTACAGGCAGCCACCACCACACCCAGCTAATTTTTGTATTTTTAGTAGAGACGGAGTTTTACTATCCCTAGGCTGGTCTCGAACTCCTGACGTCAAGTAATCCGCCCGCCTCAGCCTCCCAAAGTGCTGGGATTACAGAGGTGAGCCACTGAGGCTGGCCATATTACCTGTATTTCTAATGTTTATGATGGGAGTGAAGTGACATCTTTGTATTTTAATTTGTATTTCTTTGACTTCAAGTTAGGTTGAGCAGCTCTTCATCTACTTTAAGTCTTTAGATTTTCTCCTTCCATGGATTGTTCCTGTGCTTTGAATATTTTTTCTACGAGGTTCTGCCCCTTGTTGTGGTTGATTAACATACATTCTTTGCACATTCTAGATGTTGATACTTCAGGTGTGGGATGTTGCAAATCTCACACCTAAATGCACCAACTTTGACAGTGGTGTTCTTTCTTGAACAGAAATCCTTTATTTTTGAAGAAGAGAAATCTGTATTTTTATATACTGCTTAAGAAATCTTTTGTCATTCAAAATGTATAAAATCTTCTTACATTTTCTTTGATTTATTATATTATATTATTATTATATATATTTTTTTTGAGATATTGCCCAGGCTCAATTGCAATGGCGTGATCTTGACTCACTGCAACCTCTGCCTCTTGGGTTCCAGTGAGTCTCCTGCCTCAGCCTCCCAAGTAGCTGGGATTACAGGCACCTGCCACCATGCCCGGCTAATTTTTTTTGTAGTTTTAGTAGAGATGGGGTTTCACCATGTTGGCCAGGCTGGTCTCGAACTCTTGTCCTCAAGTGATCTGCCTGCCTCGGCCTCCCAAATTGCTGGGATTACAAGCGTGAGCCACCGTGCCCGGCCAAATCTTACGTTTTCTATTACTAGCCTTGTAGTTCTGCCTTTCACAGTTAAGTCTTTAATTCATTTGAAGTATTTATTTATTTATTTATTGAGAGACAGTGTCTTGCTCTGTTGCTCAGGCTGGAGTGAAGTAGCACAATCTTGGCTCATTGCAGCCTCGATCTTCTGGGCTCAAGCAATTCTTCCACCTCAGCCTCCCGAGTATCTAGGACCACAGACATGCACCACCACAGCCGGCTAATTTTTGTAGTTTTTGTAGAGATGGGGTTTCACCATGTTGCCCTGGCTGGGCTCCACCTCCTGCACTCAAGCAATCTTGGTGCAATCAGGTGCGTGCCACCACACCTGGCTAATTTTTGTATTTCTAGTAGAGATGGGGTTTCACCACGTTGGCCAGGCTGGTCTCAAACTCCTGACCTCGTGATCTGCCTGCCTCAGCCTCTCAAAGTGCTGGGATGATAGGCGTGAGCCACCGCACCCGGCCAAGGAGTAGACTTTTTAAATTTCCTTGATAAACATCTAATGAGTTCATAGTTTGGTTAATTTCTAGACACTTTACAACTGTGTCATTACTGTAAATGAAATCTTACTTACATTTAATATTACTTAGTATTTAATTTTCTAGTTATTGCTGGTGTAGGAAAACACTAATTTTTTTAAATTGGCATTTTGTCTTGCAACTTTGTTGGATACTTTACTGAGACTCCAAATGACCTACTGCTTGGCATCTCCCTCTATCAGGCAGCAGAAAGAAAGACTACCAGAGTACCGCTTCCCCAGCTCCCAAAAGCTTGGAAATGATTAAGCAGTAAATGAATTTGGAGATCTCTCTCAGACTTGTCACAATGAAGTCATTAAGAATGAAGAGAAGGAGTTTCAAACCACGAGTTATGAACCCAAATGCCTGCATAAAGGAATAAATGGACTAGGTGTAAAGCAATAGGGAATGGTGGTGACTGCGGCAAATCGGAAAGGACAGACTCTAACTAAAAAGGGCAGACCTAGTCAGCCTCAGCTAACTCTTGCCATGCAACAATGAAAGCCCAGTTTTTTCACATCATTAGAGTTTTTAGGAGAAGCCCCAAATCCTTGATTTTACAATGTTAGCAATTAATTGAAAAATTTAAAAATATTGAGTGGGCCAAAAAAATTATATCTGTAGGATGGATTTGTTTCAACCTACTGGTCTGCAACTTATGGTCTAAGAATGTCCAAAGTGGAGGGGACAATAGGGAAGTAACTGAATATCACCTCTGTACCCTACCCTCTGTTAACCCAAAATATCTGAGACAGGTCTCAGTCCATTTAGGAAGTTTATTTTGCCAAAGTCAAGGATGTGCACCATGACACAGTCCCAGAAAGTCGTGACGACATGTGCCCAAGGTGGTCAGGGCACAGCTTGATTTTATACATTTTAGGGAGACATGAGACACCAATCAATATATGTAAGACGAACACTGGTTCAGTCTGGAAAGGCAGGACCACTCGAAGTTGGGAGGGGGCTTCCAGGTCACAGATAGGCGAGAGACAAACTGTTGCATTGTTTTGAGTTTCTGATTAGCTTTTCCAAAGGAGCCAATCAGATACGCATTTATCTCAGTGAGCAGAGGGATGAGACTTTGAATAGACTGGGAGGCAGGTTTCCCTTAAGCAGTTCCCAGCTCGACTTTTCCTTTTAGCTTAGTGATTCTGGGGTCCCAATATTTATTTTCCTTTCACACCTCCTACTTCCTTTTTCCTTCCCTCCTACCCCACGTTGCCTTTACTGTGCAGGGTTCTATTCCAGCCAGCTTGGACACTAGGCTTGTGGAAATTCAGTTTAGAATTTAAAGAGAGAAGAGGGAGCTTGGGGCTTGAGAAGGTGTGTGCCGGACCCAGATCATACAGCCTTGAGAAATCCCCAGAGGACAGATGTCTAAGGTGGGACATGAATTGACAATTAGCTTACCAGCTTCACCTGAACCCAGGTTTGACCCTAGAACCATGTCAGCATTTCCCAACCTCATTTGGAGCTGAGCAGACCAGGATGGCTCCCGTGAATGAGTCCATATGCTGGACCAGAGCCAGCCTCCCATGGTGTAAGGGCTGTTGGTGGTAAGGGCTGAATTGTGTCCTGCCACCAAATTCTCAGACTGAAGTCCTAACACCGAGTACCTCAGAATGTGACAGTATTTGAAGATAGGGCCTTTTAAGAGTTAAGAGTTAATTAAGGTAAAATGAGGTCATATGTGTGAGTCTTTTTTTTTTTTTTTTTTGAGACGGAGCCTCGCTCTGTCACCCAGGCTGGAGTGCAATGGCATGGCACGATCTCAGCTCACCGCAACCTCCACCTCCCAGGTTCAAGCGATGCTCATGCCTCAGCCTCCTGAGTAGCTGGGATTAGAGGCGTGCACCACCACGCCCAGCTAATTTTTGTATTTTTAGTAGAGACGAGGTTTCACCACGTTGGCCAGGCTGGTCTCAAATTCCTGACCTCAAGAGATCCAGCTGCCTCTGCCTCCGAAAGTGCTGGGATTACTGGTGTGAGCCACTGCGCGCTGGCACCCATGGCAGGCATTCATTAATTAGAGGCCAGGGGTACTGTTTAACATTCTGCAATGCACAAGACAACCCTGCACCCCAACAAATGTGTGTGGGTCTTAATCCAATGTGGCTGGTGTCCTTATGAGAAAAGACTAAGACACAGACACACGCAGAAGAGACACCAACCATGTGAAGACACCGAAAGGTGACGGCCATCTACAAGCCAAGGAGAGAGGACTTAGAAGGAATTAATCCTGCTGACGCCTTGATCTTGGACTTCCAGCCTCCAAAAGTGTGAGAAAATAAATTTCTGTTGTTCAAGCTACCCAGTATTTGGTACTTGGTTATGGCAGCCCCAGCAAACTAATACATTAGGGTTTTTGTTTGTTTGTTTGTTTTTTAAGAAATTGAGGTACAGAGTTGGGTGTGAAGATTTCTGGGGATCAGTGTTGGAAAATCCTATAAGAACACGAGGAAAGGCCAGGCGTGGTGGCTCAAACCTGTAATCCCAGCACTTTGGGAGGCTGTGGTGGATGGATCACTTGAGGTCAGGAGTTCAAGCCCAGCTTAGCCAACATGGCGAAAACCCACCTTTATGAAAAATACAAAAATTAGGTGGGCATGGTGGCACATGCCTGTAATCCCAGCTACTTGGGAGGCTGAGGCTGGAAAATCTCTTGAGCCTGGGAGGCAGAGGATGCAGTGAGCCAAGATCATGCCACTGTCCTCCAGTTTGGGTGACAGAGCGAGACTCAGTCTCAAAAAAAAAAAAAAGAAAGTGAGGAAGGCAGAATTGAGCAGAGTGAGAAGCTGCATTCAGTGAGGTTGCAACCAACGTAGAGTTTTGGAGCTGGGATGCCCTGCCGTTCAGCACTGTTCCAAATTGAGGCAAGGGACCTTTGTTTTCCTACATCAGTCATTCTCAAGGTGAAGGGAGTGTGATTTTGCTCCCAAGGAGGTGTTTGGCTGTCACACTGGGAAGCAGGGGTGATGAGTGCCCACTGCAGCATTCATTAGAGGCCAGAGATGCTGTTTAGCATCTACAATACACAAGACAACCCTGCCCCACAACAAAGAACCATCCAGCTCAAATGTCCATAGTGCTGAGATTGAGAAACTCTGCCTACATCAAGGAGCCACTGGCCACGGGCTGCTCTTGCAAGGGTATGCCCTTGGGCAGATCCCAGCAGCTTAGGGCAATTCCCAGTGTGGCGTGTGGCTGTGAGCAGTCAGCAGCTCATGTTCCCAACAGATTGGAAATGG
Organism: Homo sapiens; assembly: GCF_000001405.40. Taxonomy (NCBI): domain Eukaryota; kingdom Metazoa; phylum Chordata; class Mammalia; order Primates; family Hominidae; genus Homo; species Homo sapiens. The sequence continues at coordinate 25,745,898 of NC_000004.12, forward strand.
GTGTGTTTGCCATGGAGAGAGGATCTCAGCAGAGCAGAGTCACTCTCTGGCCCCTCAGACTGCTCTTTCTTATGTTATAAAAATAATGACCTACCATATTTAGGACCTGATATAGTTTGGATATTTGCTTTGCTCAAATCTCAGTGTTGAAATGTAATCCCCCATGTTGGAGGTGGGCCTTGGCAGGAGGTGATTGGATAATGGGGATGGATTTCTCATGAATGGTTTAGCACCGTCCTGTTGATGCTGTCCTCATGATAGTGAGCTCCCATGAGAGCAGGTTGTTTAAAAGTGTGTGGCAAAAAATATAAAAAATAAAAATAAAAAAGCATATAATAGGCCAGGCGCGGTGACTCACGCCTATAATCCCAGCACTTTGGGAGGCTGAGGCAGGCGGATTGCCCGAGCTCAGGAATTCAAGACCAGCCTGGGCAACATGGCAAAACACTGTTTCTACTAGAAATACAAAAAATTAGCTAAGCATGGTGGCACATGCTTGTAGTCCCTGCTACTCGGAGGCTGAGGCACCAGAACCTAGGAGGGGGAGGTTGCAGTGAGCCGAGATCGTGCCACTGCACTCCAGCCTGGGCGACAGAGCAATATTATCTAAATATATATATATATATATATTTAAATATATATATTCAAATGTATATATTTAAATATATATATTCTTTCTATATATAGATAGATATAGATCTCTATCTATAGAGAGAAACAAAAATAAAATAAATAGAAGTCTGTGGCACCTGCCTCAGTCTCTCTTGCTCCTGCTCTAGCCACGTAAGACATGTCTGCTTCTCCTTCGCCTTCTGCCATGATTGAAAGTTTCCTGAGACCTTCCCAGAAGTCAAATAGCTGTCAGCGCCTTGTTTCCTGTACAGCCTACAGGACTCTGAGCCAATAAAACCTCTTTTCTTTATAAATTACCCTGTCTCAAGTATTTCGTTATAGCAATGCAAGAATGACCTAATACAAGACTCTATCCTGTAGGCTTTACATATATTATCTCGTGTAAGCCTCATAAAAATCCCAAGAGGTAGTTTTCATCGCCCCATTTTATAGTATGGGAATCTGAGACTTAGAGAAGGTTAATCACTCACCTAAGATTACTGAGCTTGTCAGTTACAGGACCAGAATTTGAATCCAGGACTGTCAGCCTTCAATCTCTGGCTTTTTTGCAAATAGGAGGGACAACATTTGCTAAAACAAGAGCAACACTCATAGGAGAAGGAGGAGGATGAACTACAAGCTTAGCCTGGAATGAACATAGAGCCCAGGCTCAGAGCAGCACAAAGCCCTGAAACAATGTCTGATACTGTGCGAACATTCTAAGGCCAGACCTGAGCTCAGGATTCCTGGAGAGAAGCCTCCTGCCACCTTCCTATCCACAAATATTAATGGGTTATGAAAAATAAGCCCTCTCACCAGGAGGACTTTTCTTTTTTCCCTCCTCAAGGAGAATATATGGACCTTTAGACTTTATATGGTGACAGTAATTATAAAAAAGGGGAAAAAAAACCACTTTCTGGTAGTCAATTGTATAAAAATAATTTTATTTACTACTGTAAATAAAGTAGTGCAAAGAGTAGTTTGGACCCACAATATTGCATTACTGATTTATTCACTACCTTAGCAGCATGTAGTATACAGACATTCTGCTCTTCCTCTTCCTCTCTAACACACACACACACACACACACACACATATCCCTGTACAGACTCACGCAGGCATGAGGGGTAGGGATGAAACTATAAGCTAGAGGCTTACTTGCTGCATATTCCGTTGCTGCCAGTCTATTCTAACGTGTAATTCATGGAGAAGACTACAGTTAAGTACTAAGAATCTTCTAAATGTAATTTCATGGATTGCAATTGAAATGTAAAAGATATCCGACAATGCCATTAAATGATTCGGAAGCACTAGGACCCTAGAAAAATTCAAGGAGAAAAATGTAAACCAATTTACAAAGCTATTGCCCTCCCTGCATTTCCAGGCACAAACAATTTATTTCAAGGTGCCTTATAACTGCTAGGTCTTGGAAGTCAAAGAGAAATCTATCAATTCAGCTTTGAGGAACAGGGCTGTGGCAAGCACAGGTACCAAAATATTATCCACCTTGTAGAGTAGTCATAATTTTCTGTTCTTCAATAAAGGGATGAAGCACGCACTGTGATTCTTAAGACACATCTTAGTGTATAAGAATCCAGATCTGCCGTAGGGCATGCTATGACTCCTAATACATACAATCACTAGAACAAAAGTCTGTGATGGCCCAGTAAACTTCCCCACATGCCCTATGATCAAGATGTTCCTTGTATGTGTTTGATGACCTTTGGTATTACCACTGCCTGATCTGGGTACTTCCTTGTAATTTGACTTTAAAAAAAATGACACCAATTGCAAAATTTGCATCCAGTTGACAAGACATTTAAGGTGTTTATCAGGATCATGCCCTGGCCCCAGCTTCCCAATACCAGCTGTTGAAAAGATTCTCTCTCATCTGGAGAGAACTGGAGTGCACAGTTCACCCACGTGGCTCCGGGTTATTAGTTACTGTGGGCTGGTCTTGGTCAGAGGCATCTGCAGCTGGAGTCACAGCTGGACTTGCAGTGGACGTGGCAGTGTCTGGGGAGGCCTGGGATGGTCTTGGAGGGGGATCGCTTGCTGCAGAGACACATGCACAACAGGTGCTGAATACTCAAAACAGTGCATTCAGAATGTACAACCACACCTAGAGACTCTGGCAAGCCAGGAGAGATGCATCTAGTCTAATGAACCTGACACTAACTAGCCAGGCAACTCTGGACCCGTTATCTAAGTTTAAGAAGATGCCACCACATGCTGACAATCTGATTTCTAAATAAAAACCCTTCAAGAGTTTCACCTCCAAGTGCCGATGCTCATTCCTAAGGGGACATTCTAGGAAGTTTAAGAATGGGTCCCCAAACTTCTGGCTTTTCTGGATATATGCGGGAATTCTTCGGGCCCCTTCCAGTACCTACAGAAGAGGTCGTGGATTCCAACACTCTTCTGAAAGAATAGGAGAGTGATGGGGAGGGGCAGGATGTTGTAGAATGATGTACCCTTTCTAAGGTCATTAAAGCCACTACTCTGGCAGGTGATCTAGTGATTAGAGCCCCAGTGATGAGGTACAAAGACCATTTTGCAGCAGTCAGGAGAACTGGGTTGGACAAGCCTCATTTATCTGCTGCTAACAAGGGACCTTGGGATAGGTACAGATGGCAGACATTTTGGTTGTAAAATGTTTGAGTCTCCCGGGCCTCGGTTTCATCACTTGTGAATTGAGAGTCTTGGATTAGATGATCTTGAAACCCACTTTGATCCTAAGATTTACCTTCCTGATGATCTCTGAGGAAGTTAATGAAGTACTAAGGCATGTATTTTCAAGCTCAGGGAAATGTTTAAATCACCATGGTAACAAGATAAATCAGCAATGAGTTTTCTGATTTAAAAAAAAAAAGTGCCAATGTGTAAATGTAGAAAGAATGCATAATTAGCATTGCCACCATTTAAATCTTTGGTAAGAGCATAGTAAAAATGTTTGATGTTTCTACAGGAAGTTAGTCATTATCTGTGTGAGGACTCCCCTTCTTCCACTGGGGGGTTTGCAATCACTGCACAAGCCCCCCACAGCCCGGCCTAATTTTAAAGTGGCCTCTTTGTCTCTGCTCATCTGGAATGTGTGCTAATTTTATTATTGGACTAGAATCAAGGTAACCAGGACAATAAGCATGTTGTTTAAAAAATTACAGAGTATATTCCAGAGCCAAATAGGAGTGATTTGTGAATTATTTGCTGCCTGGGGGACCATTTTCTGTACATTAGTGAGAAATATCACGAACTGGCCCAAACTGCAGCCCATGGGCCAAACGTAGTCATTGCTTGTTTTTGTACGGCTCGTGGTTTAAAAAACAGTTTTTACAATTTTACACAGTTGAACAGAAAAAGAGTAATATTTCGCGACATGTGAAAAATATATGAAATTCAAATTTTGCATCCATAGTAAAGATTTATTAGAAACCCAGCCACAGGCCGGGCGCCGTGGCTCACGCCTGTAATCCCAGCACTTCGGGAGGCCCGGACGGCCGGATAACCTGAGGTCAGGAGTTTGAGACCAGGCTGGCCAACATGGTGAAACCCTCTCTCTACTAAAAATACAAAAATTAGCCGGGCGTGGTGGCACGTGCCTGTAATCCCAGCTACTCGGAAGGCTAAAGCCGGAGAATTGCTTGAACCTGGGAGGCCGGAGGTTGTGGTGAGCTGAGATCTTGTCACTGCACACCAGCCTGGGCGACAGAGCGAGACTCCATCTCAAAAAAAAAAAAAAAAAAAAAGAAAGAAAAAAGAAACCCAGCCACAATGGCTGCTTTTCAGCTACCGGCTGAGTGGAGTAGTTGTGACCAAGACAGCCCCGAGGGCCCAAAATATTTATTATCTGGTCCTTTACAGAAAAAGTTTGCTGATCTCTGCTGTTAGGAAGAACATCTGCTTGCCGACTGACCAGATGGAAGCAAAAAAGAAAGAATACGTGGGACTATGTTGGATTCACATGTGAAATGAGAGAATGTTTGCACAAAGGAGGTATACAGGGGAAAACCCTAGAAATTGTATGCTATAAGTAAGATCATGCCTACTTCATCTGGGCCTCTGGATCTAGCAGGGACCAGATTTGTGTCACTGAAACACTCTTCAGGAGTGGAGATACTGGTAAGATGTCAAGCTAATGAGACAGGACAGAGTACAACCTCCTCATGAAATCTCTCTGACTATAAGGCTACTGCTTTCTTCATAAGCACTACTTTGTGACATTTTACTATAATTTTAGTAGAAACCTCATTAGCTGGAAATGTAGATGACAGGAAACAGCAGGAAAAGGTTTAATTAATCTTATACATATCACCATACTCTTTTTAAAAGAACATTAGGCTAACCACTTAGCTGGAAGGAATGAGTTGTCTTAAATTATAAATGTATTGAATAGGCTGACGTTGGTTTAAAACGTTACCTAGTTGTACCGAGGAGCTAGCAGTTCTGCAAATCTTGCTCTATATGGTGTATTCTATTGAGACATAAAGTTGACATGATACTAGTAAGACAGGGCTCTTTCTTTGAAATAGTGACTTCTATTTTCCACTTCTGTTCTTGCCTTTAGCTTCCTTCAGGCAGCTGACGGTCAGGCTCTGTGATTTTTTGGTCTCAGGGGAGGTTTGTGGCCAGGCAGAAGTGGAGATGGCTCCAGACATATACTTTGGGATTTTTTGTTTTTCAAAAGCCTGATCCATTAAGGCAATTATGCTTGGTGTACCCTCCCAAAGAGTGGACAAGGAGAGTGCTTTTGAGATGCAACAGGTGAGGAAAGGAGCTTTTTGGAGTCCTTGGGTTGTACCCACAGTACCCTTGGGTGCCCCATCAGCAATCAGAAATGAAGACTTGGGAGAAGAAGGGCTAATGACGCTTGGCTTTGGCAAAGATGACGGAGTTCCCAGGTGACCCAGAAGCTGCAAAGCCAATGGACCTAGGGGAACAGTGTAGGCCCAGGGTGATGTGTGTTCTGCTATCAGGCTGGTGACTATCTGAGTGACCCTAGGACCACCCAGACCCAGGGACCTTTCCACCACCGTGGGAGGTATAAGCAGCAAGAAAGACTGAGCTGCCTGGTGGAATGCGAGCCAGGAGTCAAACACAAGTTCCCTTGAAGGAAAGAATACATATATTTATATGTATTCTTTATATATATAAATAAATATATGTTCTTTATATATAAGTATATATTCTTTATATATATAAGTATATATGATGAAGATCAAGACATTGACTAATCTATTGAAAGTATCAATTGAGCTATCTTGGTATTTTTTATTGATCAGTCAATGTTTTTGTTGAAATGCTTTAAAAAATAGTTGAATGGGCTGGGCACGGTGGCTCACGCCTGTAATCCCAGCACTTTGGGAGGCCAAGGCAGGCAGATCACGAGGACATGAATTGGAGACCAGCCTAACCAACATGGTGAAACCCTGTCTCTACTAAAAATACAAAATTTAGCTGGGTGTGGTGGCGTGCATCTGTAATCTCAGCTACTCAGGAGGCTGAGGCAGGAGAATCGCTTGAACCCGGGAGGCGGAGGTTGCAGTGAGCCGAGATCATGCTACTGCACTCCAGCTTGGGCGACAGAGTAAGACTCCATCTCAAAAAAAAAAAAAAAATAGTTGAATGGGCAAGGTGCGGTGGCTAACGCCTGTAATCCCAATACTTTGGGAGGCTGAGTCGGGCGGATCACTTGAGGTCAGGAGTTCAAGACCAGCACAGCCAACATGGTGAAACCCAGTCTCTACTAAAAATACAAAAATTAGCTTGGTGTGGTGGCAGGTGCCTGTAGTCCCAGCTACTCAGGAGGCTGAGGCAGGAGAATGGCATGAACCCCGGAGGCGGTGGTTGCAGTGAGCCGAGATAGCGCCACTGCACTCCAGCCTGGGCAATAGGGTGAGACTCCATCTCCGAAAAAAAAAAAAAAAAAAAAGTTGAATGTTTTAGAAAGAGTCCTAACAGCAAAGAAAAACATACTAGGCTTTGGTCATTATGTCTGTTTCTGAGGTAAATCAAGCTATTTATGTGTGGGTATTACCTAGTGTCAGCATGCTTTAATTACAGGTCCAGTGCCCCAGAGGACATACTCCTTGAGAACTACCAGCTAACATTTGTGGTTTTGTTTTGTTTTTGAGACAGAGTTTCACTCTTGTTGCCCAGGCAGGAGTGCAATGGAGCAATCTGGGCTCTCTGCAGCCTCTGCCTCCCAGCTTCAGGTGATTCTCCTGCCTCAGCCTCCCAAGCAGCTGGAATTACAGGCATGCACCACCATGCCCCGCTAATTTTTGTATTTTTAGTAGAGATGGGGTTTCACCATGTTGGTCAGATTGGTCTAAAACTCCTGATCTTAGGTGATCTGCCTGCCTTGGCCTCCCAAAGTGCTAGGCGTGAGCCACTGCGCCCAGCCCATTTGTGGAGTTTTAAACACTTTACATTGTGTTACCTCATTTGGTTATCTCAACTACAACAGGCAGTGGATGTACTACTATTTCTGCTATTTACGGAAGAGGGAACTGAGGCACAGATAGGCTCCTTCCTTTGCCCAAGGTCACATAGCTAGCTACTGGCAGGGCCAGAATCTTAGCAGTGTGCCTCCCACACCGATGCTGTTAACCACCGTCCTGCGCGGCTAGCCTTCTGAATGCAGGACAATTTAATGTGGCAAATGCCATGATGTGTCAACTATATATCACAGAGCATATAAACTCAGGAGGAAAATGAAGGTAGTTGGAGCTGAACGCAAAATGGATGGACAGCTCAACTGCAAGTCTTGACTATAAATCATTAATTTTTAAATACAACTGACTGGAAAAAATGCAAATCACAAAATGACAAAGCTCTCTAACTTATAGCAACAATCCTCACCCAAAGCTGCTGACGGGAGGCTCCTAACTCTCAAATACATTTCCTCTTTTTTACAGTCAGTCAGCACCCAGAGTTCATTATTAAGTTTGTTTCACAACGCCATGGCTGCTACATGCACCCATCCCTGTCTTCCCCCAGCTGTGGGGCAGGTCTCAGGACCTTGTGCACCAGCTCACTGGGGAGACACCAAATGGTAGAAACTTGGTCTCTGAGCAGCATCGCCTTTGCAGCAGCTTCTCCTCACCTCCTCCATGCCTCGATTTCCCTGCCCCATCATCCCATCAGCTTCACTGTACTGCTGGAGTAACTTCCTACTTAAAAATTATTGATAGGCCAGGCACAGTGGCTTATGCCTGTAGTCCCAGCACTTTGGGAGTCCAAGGCAGGTAGATCCCTTGAGGTCAGGAGTTCAAGACCAGCCTGGCCAACATGGCGAAAGCCCATCTCTACTAAAAGTACAAAAATCAGCTGGGGGTGGTGGCGTGCACCTGTAATTCCAGCTACTCAGGAGGCTGAGGCAGGAGAATCACTTGAATCCGAGAGATGGAGGTTGCAGTGAGCTGAGATTGTACCACTGTACTCCAGCCTGGGCGACAGTGAGACTCCGTCTCAACATAAATAAATAAATAAATAAATAAATAAATAAATAAGGTCAGTTGCAGTGGCTCACACCTGTAATCCCAGCACTTTGGGAGGCTGAGGTGGGTGGATCACCTGAGGTCAGGAGTTCGAGACCAGCCTGACCAACACAGAGAAACCCTGTCTCTACTAAAAACACAAAATTAGCCAGGCGTGGTGGCGCATGCCTGTATTCCCAGCTACTCGGGAGGCTGAGGCAGAAGAATCACTTGAACCCAGGAGGTGGAGGTTGTGGCGAGCTGAGATTGCACCATTGCACTCCAGCCTGGGCAACAAGAGCGAAAGTCAATCTCAAAAATATATAAAATAAATAAATAAATAAATATAAAAATTATTGACAACTTTTTTTTTTTTTTTGACACAGGGTCTCACTCTGTTGCCCAGGCTGGAGCGTGGTGGTGCAATTTCAGCTCACTGCAACCTCCGTCTCCGGGGTTCAAGCGATTCTCATGCCTTGGCTTCCCAAGTAGCTGGGATTACAGGAGTGAACCACCATACCCGTCCCATATTTCAACTCTTAACATTAGTTCTAACAGGGCTGGCAGGTACCACTGTCGGGGCACATTTTGGAAATGTGTGGAGTTTTTTTCTTTTTCTTTTTTTTTATACTTTTCGGCCCTTACTACTCAAAGTATGCTCTTACTAAACAGCAGTGTGGGCATCATCTAGGAGCTTGCTAGAAATGCCAAATCTCAGGGCTTACCTACTGAACCAAAATCTACTGAACTAGAATCTGCATTTAATAAGAATGCTGGATGATTCATATGCACATTAAAATTTATAAGCACTGGGCTAGAATGTACTTATTGAAATCAATATTATTTTATTACAATTAGTTTCTTTTTATTTCCCCTTTATATTGCTGTTAGGGCCCTATATTGATTTTTAAAAATGTGTGTAGATGGGTTAATTATCATGAATTTCATTTCAAGGTACTAAAAAATATGTTTCAAAATATTTCCTATGTGAGAGGCAATGGGTTTGAGGCAGATGACAATCACTGTTTTAAAGTATTGTGATGCTGAAAAGAAGTTCGAAATTCTGCTGCCCTACATCTATTCTTAATCTTTTTTTTTAACTTCTACTTTTTTAGAGACTGGGTCTCATTCTATTGCCCAGGCTGGAGTGCCATGGTGTGATCATAGCTCACTGCAGCCTTGAACTTCTGGGTGCAAAAAATTCTCCTGCCTCAGCCTCCCTAGTAGCCAGGACTGCAGGCATGTGCAATGACACCTGGCTAATTTTTATTTTATTTTATTTTATTTTATTTTATTTTAGAAATGGGGTCTCGCTATGTTGCCCAGGTTGGTCTCAAACCCCTGAGCTCAAGTGATCCTCCCTCCTGGGCCTGTCAAAATGTTGGAATTATAGCAGTAAGCCACTGCGTCTGGTCTCCTGGTCTTTATTTCTTTATTTGGGCAAGCTACTTCGCCTCTCTGCCTCAGTTTCCTCATCTGTAAAGTAAAGGGCATAGAATTAAATAATTTTTATGATTGATCCTATCCAGACATAGCCTTCTTTAGGCTGGTCAAGCAGGAAGTAGGTATGTGCTGGAGAAAGCAATTGAAAAAGTTTGAGAAAATGACGAAAATGTATGAAAGAACTATGGGGATATAGGAAGAGCAAAACATCACAGGACAGGAGAGACACGGAGACAAGAATGTGGAGAGACTGATAATGAAGGCATGGAGACAGAAAAAAGAGATGACTTCTGATCAAAGCAATTCCACCCGCCCATGAATTTTCATGGCTACCAGCTGGCATAAAATCACAAAGACAAATTTCAGCTCCTCTAACGGAACTGCATTTGTAATAATCATCACAATATTTCTACAGAGTAAAAATGACAAAGACAATTTGAAATGGAAAACACTGACAAGATGCAAAATAAATGACTATACCTGGCAACAAATTTAAGGATGGGACAGAATTTGCATGAGTGAAGTTTATTAACCAGCAGACTATGGGGCATCAAGCCTGGAAGGTTTTGATGGGTCCTTGTTAACCTCCTCAGGTAAATCAGAGAGAAATGATTTCGCATTAGCTTCTTGCAACAGTGACTTCCTTCTCACCGTGGAAGAGACGCTGACGTGCACCCCTTTCACTTTCCATTATCTGCTACAGAAATAACAGCTACGCAAATGCTCCAATGCCATGTCCAGTCCTAATCTACCCATTTGTAAATGTCTCTGTTTGCCTTCATGAGTTATTATACCCTTTTGTAGCCGTCCGAGATGGTAAAAAATCAGTTTTCTTGTCTCTTGAGAGACCGGAGTCGTCTGTGGGTGTGAGTACCTACTATGCATGAGTTATCACAAATGACACGACTGGGGCCTTCCTCTTACTCAGCTTATGGTCTAATAGAGGAGTAAATGTAAGAGCTAACATTTATTGAGAAGGTTTTATATGCCAGATAAATATAACAGCTAACGTTTAACTACAGCCGTCATTTTGGTAAGTATCTTACGTGCATTTTTTTTCACTTAATATTTTTTTCATTTTATGTTCCTAGGAAGTAGCTACTCTCATAACCTCATTGTATTGATGAGAAATTTGGGGATCAGGAAGGTTAAATAACTTGCCATGAGTCATACAGCTAATGAGTAGCCAAGCCTGGACTCTAAGCCCAAACAGAAGCAAGCAGGGCTCCCTTGTCCTTAACTATTCTATACTGGCTCAGAAAAATAACAATGATTAGTGGAAACCATGCTCAGCTAAATGCCCACTTTACGATTCCTGCTCAGTCCCTCCCTCTGAGTCCGTGTGGCCGAGGATTTTTATTCATTACGAGTGTTTGTTTATCCTCTTACACATCTGATTGCTTGACTGAAATGAAAGGGAAGACTTCATGCTGCCAGGAGCTTTGGCGCTGTGTTTTCAGGCACACAGAGGCAGAATTCTGACAGATAAATTTTCAATGGAAGAAATTGTATTAGGTCAGTTTCTTAGGCTTTTTAAAGAAAGTCCTTATTTTGAGGCTGGGTGCAGTGGCCCACGCCTGTAATCCCAGCACTTCAGGAGGATGAGGCAGCCAGATCACCTGAGGTCAGGAATTCGAGACCAGCCTGGCCAACATGGTGAAACCCCGTCTCTACTAAAAATACAAAAATTAGCCGGGTGTGGTGGCGCACACCTGTAGTCCCAGCTACTCGGGAGGGTGAGACAGGAGAATTGCTTGAACCCAGAAGGCAGAGGTTGCAGTGAGCTGAGATCACACCACTGCACTCCAGCCTGGGCGACAGAACGAGACTCCATCTCAAAAAAAACAAAATAAAATAAAAAATAAAATCCTTATTTTGAAAAATACAATAGTAACTTTGTGGCCTCCCACCGGCCAGGAATTTCATACACCTCTAGAAGGATTCCCACCCTGTGAAGACCACCCTAGGGATAGGAGATAGCATGACCAACAGCACCAGGAGGGAAAACACAATTTTTCCAGTAGACCAAAAAAAAAAAAAAAAAAAAAAATCCCTGCTTTTTTTTTTTTTAATATATTGCTTTCGCTTTTTATAAATCTTTACCTGAGACAGACTGGAAATACTGCACAGTCCAGGCGATCAATATGGATAGCAGAAAGGTTCCCAGAAAGTAGATCTGCAAACATCAGAAGCACGCATTAGTGACTGACAAAGGGCAGGGGCCACAAGGGTGGGGCCGGTGGGACATGAAACCTACCAGGGCTGAGTGCAGGATAGCACCCCAGAGAAGCCGCAAGTGCAGGTAAAGCCAGGCCAAGGAGCAGGGGCTGAAGGACTCCTCGTTACTGTGGCTCCAGCACCTGCAGACAAAGCCCAGGGCATCTTGACGTGTCAGCCAACTTTGGTGGCACGACTCAGGACTGGCATTTTCAGATCCACAAACCTACATTCTTCTGCTTTTGGACAAATGAGCACACTCAACTGACAAAGATGAGAGACAAAGAAATAAAGCCAGTGGCCAAATAAGTGGTTTGGCCTGATCTGAAATTCTAGAATCCCAGTAGAAATTTTAGAAAAAGGTCAGTTTTGTGCTTAATTAAGAGTCAAGTCTGTTCTGCTGTGATGACAGCAAAAACTTAAAAATAAATAAAATAAAAGTCAAGCAAGACGCTGAAGAACAGGACCCACTAGAACAGTATTTCTGTTTAAAGCACAGATGTAGGAATGCCTCATCTTTCAAAAAAGCATTGGCTATTTACGCAGGGCATGGTGGCTCACACCCGTAATCCCAGCACTTAGGGAGGCTGAGGCAGGTGGATTACTTGAGGCCAGGAGTTCGAGACCAGCCTAGCCATCATGGTGAAACCCTGTCTCTATTAAAAACACAAAAATTAGCCTGGTGTGACAGTGCACACCTGTAATCCCAGCTACTTAGGAGGCTGAGGCATGAGAATCACTTGAACCCAAGAAGTGGAGGTTGCAGTGAGCTGAGATCGCACCACTGCACTCCAGCCTGGGTGACAAAGCAAGGCCCTGTCTCAAAATAAACAAACAAGAGACAAGCATAGGCTAATCGGATTGTTATTCTTTCCATTCTCGTGGAAATTTCTGGTCAGCCCTTGAACTTCCGATCAAGTACCTTCTATATCTTAAACTTCAGATATTAGAAAAGAGAAATACACTCGGGTCTGGCTGAATGTTTTCTAGTAGAAGAAAATCCTGGGCTTTTTCTTTCTTTTCTTTCTTTTTTTTTTTTTTCTTTTAGTAGAGATAAGGTTCTGCCAGGTTGGCCAGGCTGGTCTCGAACCCTTGACCTCAAGTGATCTGCCCGCCTCAGCCTCCCAAAGTGCTGGGATTACAAGTATGAGCCACGGTGCCCTGCTTTTTGTTTTTGTTTTTTAAATAACAATTTACATTACAATATAAGGGTAAAGCTAACTTTAACCAAGAAGCGAACATCATCTACTTGGGTTCCCTCAGATTCCACAGTTCTAGAGGCTCTGAGCTCACCTTTCGTACAGTTCCTGGAGAATGGAGATGTTATTAGAATGGAGAGTTGAGTCAATTTCCAAGAAATCCAAGATATGGTGTGGGATTATCGTACCTTCCTCGATTAGCAGGGCCAGGTTAAAAAATCCCTAAAAACAAGCCACAAACCAAACTCATCAAATCCTTGAAATAAAACCTAGACACACACTCTTCATCAGAATGTAAATGTTTACAACCTCTAAAATTTTTTTTAAGTCTCTAGAGCCAGATGGTTTTGTCATCTTCATTGATGAATTGTTTCCCTAAATATATGCATCTGAGAAATTTATTTGCAGGAGAACCAGGAGGCTTTCAGAAGCTGCTGTGTCCCATCTGCTCCGAAGCCAGTCAACCGGGAGATCCGTCCTTTCTCGCTCACTCTCTCAGAATAGAACTTACTGGAAAACGTGCCCTTGTATCATAAACGAAACAAGAATACTGAGTCGAATACCATGTCCATTGCCTACAGACTATGCCCTCAGTTGCCATAGCCCTGTTGGAAATCTGACAAAATATTTCTGTGGCTAGGGCGGCTTCCAATGACTGACAACCCAAGGCGGTGCCTCCCTTGCACGGGATCACCTAAGGGCACTCATCTCAACTTTCCTAGGCTGGTGCAGAAACCTCTTCTCATGACTCCTCTTGGCACAGATTCCCACTATGGTATATTTTCCTACCTCTTCCTCTGACACCTTGTTCTTGATCCTTAGAGGTAAGACCTGTCTTATTGGGCTGTACGGATCCAATAAAATAAACACAGTTAGAGGGCCCGACCAAAGACATGCTTCATAAAGGATGGGTACTATTACACTGCCTGGAGAATGCACACCCTCCATCACAAGCCGAGCAGGTGGCCAGATTAAGAAACAAGCAATAAACGATGTGGTACTTACCATTAGAACTTGACCAATTAAACTGGATTGTTGCCATTGAAAGAACTCAGGATCATGTTTTTTGTGTTTTGTTTTTAACTTCTGTTTCAACTTTAGGGGTACATGTACAGGTTTGTCATACAGATTATTTTGTTACGTGTTATGGGGGTTTGTTGTACATATTATTTTGTCACCCAGGTACTAAGCCTAGTACATATTTGCTATTTTTCGTGATCCTCTCCCTCCTTCCAACCTCCACCCTTAGGTGTAGTGTCTGTTGTTCCCTTCTATGTGCCCATGTGTTCTCATCATTTAGCTCCCACTAAGCGAGAATATGTGGTGTTTGGTTTTCTGCTCCTGCATAGTTTGCTATGGATAATGGCTTCCAGCTCCATCCATGTTCCTGCAAACGACATGATGTCATTCTTTTTTATGGCTGCATAGTATTCCATGGTGTATATGTACCATGTTTTCTTTAACCAGTCTACCATTGATGGGCATTTGGGTTGATTCTATGTCTTTGGTATTGTGAATCATGCTGCAATGAACATACATGTGCATGTGTCTTCATAACAGAACGATTTATATTCCTTTGGGTATATACCCAGTAATGAGATTGCTGGGTCTTGAGGAATTGCTACACTGCTTTCCACAATGGTTGAACTAATTTATACTCCCACCAACAGTGCATAAGTGTTATTTCTCTTTGCAACCTCACCGGCACCTGTTCTTTTTTGACTTTTTAATAATAACCATTCTGACTGGTGTGAGATGGTGCCTCACTGTGGTTTTGATTTGTGCTTCCCTTATGACACGATCACATCTAATGGCTTATATCTTCCCTCTGACCTTGCCTCTGACCGCAATCTAAATGAAAATCATCATTTACCAGGTTGCATACTCCAGGACTTTCACAACCATCGTATGTCGCAATCATGATAAAAATACCAGCAGCTCACGTTTTGAGTGCTTGCCATATGCGAGGCATTGTTCTGCTTTTTATATTTATTCATTTAATCCTCATAACAACAAATCGATATAGGTAGTCTTATCCTCCCTGTTTTATAGATGAGGAAACCGAGGCACAGAGTGGTTAAACAACTTGCCCAAGGTTACACAGCTGGAAAGTGGCAGAGCTGGAGCGTCAAACACAAGAGGACAGGGTGCAGAGTCTCAAATCTTAAACTCCACCATGGTGCCAAGAATAACCTCTAAATAGATGAAGCGTTAAGTATCTTTAAGATGCACACACACACTCACACAACAGCAGAAAATAGACTATTTCTGCACTCTTTGAAAGGAAGGCACTCTTAAAATTTGAGATATTAAGAGAAAAGAAAAAAATGGCTTTATGATTTTTTGTTTTGTTTTGTTGAGTGCAATGGTGTGATCTCGGCTCAGTGCATCGTCCGCCTCCTGGGTTCAAGTGATTCTCCTGCCTCAGCCTCCTGAGTAGCTGGGATTACAGGTGCCCACAGCCACGCATGGCTAATTTTTGTATTTTCAGTAGAGACGAGGTTTCTCCATGTCAGCCAGGCTGGTCTCGACCTTCTGACCTCAGTTAATCCGCCCACCTTGGCCTCCCAAAGTGCTGGCACTACAGGGTTGAGCCACCGCGCCCAGCCAGCTTTATGAAATTTTAAAGTCTCTAATCAATGGAATAATACCAAGATTAAAATAAGTGGGAAAATAGAGTAGGGGAATAGTCGTATGCAATGTAATAGCTTAAGGTTCCTTATCTGCTAGATAAATATATAAAGAACTAATTATGGTTTAAATTTTCAAAAGTGTCAAAATTCCAACAGATAAATAGGCAAAGAATAAGAATACAGAATTTACAAAAAAGAAAATGTAAAAAGTAAATTATCACAAGCTAGTATATGTAAAAGTGTCCATCATCACTAGTAATTAAGTAAATGCAAGTTAAAAACAGTAAGAAAGTATCAACATATCATTATTCAATTAGCAAAATTAAATCATGAAAGCATCCACTTGCTGGAAAGATTTCAGTCATCCTTCTCTACTTAAACACTGATCGGTGAGGTATTAAATGGAAAGCCCTTTCAGAAAGCAAAATGGCAGCATGCTATCATGTAGTCATAAAACCATTTATTTTTTTTTAATTTTTACTTCTATTTTTTGAGATGGAATCTCACTCTGTTGCCCAGGCTGGAGTGCAATGATCTCAGCTCACTGTAACCTCCACCTTCCAGGTTCAAGAGATTCTCTTGCTTCAGCCTCCCAAGTAACTGGGACTACTGGTTTGCACCACCACGCCCAGCTAATTTTTGTATTTTTAGCAGAGATGGGGTTTCACCATGTTGGCCAGGCTGGTCTCAAACTGCTGACTTCAAGTGATCTGCCTGCCTTGGCCTCCCAAAGAACTGGGATTACAGGCATGAGCCACTGTGCCCGGCCTCATAAAACCATTTAGACTGTCTGACTCAATAATACTATTTCTCAGATTATAAGGAAAGTATTCAAACTAAGAGAAAATATGGAAATATAAAAATATTCATTGTAGCACTAGCTGTAATTCCAACACAAGAGGAAACCACCTCCAAGTCTTCCTTGGTAGACTATAAATCCCATATAGGCAACAGTATGATCTATCTTTTTATCTTATGTCCCCACCACTAATCACTGTCTAAGACATGGTAGGACTCTATAGATAAATATGTGTCAAATCAATAAATAAGTTAGTAAACAAAAGGATAAGCATCCACCAATAAGGTAAAGCTTAAGAAATTATAATGTATCAGCTCAACAGAATATGGGGCAGCTATTAGGGTTAATAATTAGAGACTATGTAATAAAATGCACACAATCCTACAATAAATGATAAGACAGATTTTAAAAGTGACCGGTGGCCAGGTGCGGTGCTCACCCCTCTAATCCCAGCACTTTGGGAGGCCAAGGTGGGCGGATCACGAGGTCAAGAGATGAAGACCATCCTGCCCAACATGGTGAAACCCCGTTTCTACTAAAAACACAAAAATTAGCTGGGTGTGGTGGCGCGCCTGTAGTCCTAGCTACTCGGGAGGCTGAGGCAGGAGAATCACCTGAACCTGGGAGGCGGAAGTTGCAGTGAGCCGAGATCATGCCACTGCACTCCAGCCTGGCGACAGAGTGAGACTCTGTGTCAAAAAAAAAAAAAAAAAGTGACAGGCACACTATAGATAACATGACAGATACATCTGCTTGTGGGCAGGGACTGCAAGGGAACATGAAGACATAAAGGAGTAAAACCCCTGCCATAGAATTGTCAGTGCATTCTTTGGTTTATTTTTCTTGAAAAAATTATCCTTTATTGTTTTTGTAACATTGGCTTCCCAAACAGTAAAAATAAAAATTGAAAAAAAAAAAATCCAGGCCCAATTTTAAGTGACAGGAAATATGACCTAAGGGAGTTTATTTCTATAGCAAATGCCTTTAGCAGTAACTCCTTCTTTTCAGAAGAAATGATAACAGAATAGATCATGTCCACTGAGTGTACTTGGCACTGGGCTTAGAGCTTTACACTGAACATCTCATTTAATCCTCACGATCTATGAGGCAGATGCTCTTATTACCCCCATTTACATTTACACATGCACAAATAGAGATTCAGAGATTTAGTGACTCGCCATGAACAAAGAGCTATGGAGTGAGAGAGATGTGGGATTTTAACCCAGGTACATGACCACTGCGATGTTGTACCTCCATTAAAAAAATAAAATAAAAATAGAAAAGATTGGCTGGACACAGTGACTCATGCCTGTAATCCCAGCACCTTGGGAGGCCAAGGTGGGCAGATCACTTGAGCCCAGGAATTCAAGCCCAGCCTGGGCAACATGGCAAAACCCCATCTCTACAAAAACTACAAAAATTAGCCGGACATGCACTTGTATTTCCAGCTACTTAGGAGGCTGAGGTAGGAGGATCGCTTGAGCCTGGGGGACCAAGGCTGCAGTGAGCTGAGTGTGCCACTGCATTTCAGCCTGGGTTACAGAGTGAAACCCTGTCTCAAAAAACCCCACAAAACAGCAACAACAAAAAAATCCCACCAAAGATTGATACAGGGATAAGTTTCCAGTTTTTGCTCAGTGGTCAGACTGTAAAGCACAACACCAGAAATACGTTGCAGCAGAGGGTAACAACTATCCAAACCTCCATCATGAAAATGATTCTGAGGTTCTCAAAAGAGGATTCCAAGTAGCAAATGTAGAAGGAATAAGGGAAATTGAGAATCATCGTTAGAACAGCATGGTAATAATCGTAATAGGCAAAATTCTTGCCCAAAATGTATAACCTCAATCTATTCAAGAGAAAACAGAAGACAGACCCAAATCAACAGACATTCTACAAGGTACCTAACAAGCATTCTTCAAGTATCAAGAGTCATGAAGATGAGAAAAGACTGAGGAACTGTCATAGATTGGAGAAGATTGGAAAGAAATATACAACTCAATCTAATGTGGGATCCTGGATTGAATCCTGGAACAGAAGAAGGATATTAGTGGAAAAACTGGTGAAATCTACATGAAGTCTGAAGTGTAGTTAATAATACTGTCCCAACATTAATATCTTAGTTTGACAATGGCATTGCAGTTATGTCAGATGTGAACATTAGGGGAAGCTGAATGAAGGGTATACAGAAACTCTCACCTCTTTTTGCAACTTTTCTACAAATCTAACATTATTTTCAAATAAGAAGTTTCCAAAAAAAATCACTGAGGGAAAAACTCTGTCGCTTAAGCAAAGCCCAACAGTACAAGCAAAACACTTCCTACTGTGGATGCACTGCTAATTTCTTGAGTTTCTACCTGGTGAGTGAGTTTGATGTAATTTGGTAGAAACACCCTTCTGTTTGGAGCCAAAGATCCAGGTTTAGGAGCTGGGCATTTTGCTTACCATTTGATTATTTGGTCTTGAACAGTTCATTATCTTTGATTATAAATAGGGTATAATAATCCGCACCCCCACAGGATTATGTGAGAATGGCGTGGGGGACACAGTAGGTGTTTAATAAAGGCTCACCCTTATTGTTAGTGTCCTCATAGAGTTGTTTGAGGGGCATGTGAAAATGGATGAACAATGGCTTTGTAAACTGTGTAGTGTATACACACTGAAAGGACGGTTAGGAAGAATTCTGGTTTTGCAAATTCACAAATGGATGTCACCAAGAGCTGAGTTTTTTTCTGAGACAGGGTCTTGCTCTGTCACCCAGGCTGGAGTGCAATGGTGTGATCACGGCTTGCTGCAGCCTTGACTTGACAGACTCAAGCAATCCTCCTGCTTCAGTCTCCCAAGTAGCTGGGACTACAGGCGAGCACCACCACACCCAGCTAATTTTTGTATTTTTGTAGAGATGGGGTTTCGCCATGTTGCTCAGGCTGGTCCCGAATTCCTGACCTCAAGTGACCCGCCCCCGTCGGCCTCCCAAAGGGCTGGGATTACAGGCATGAGCCACCGTGCCCGGCCAAGAGCTGGTTTTTGTTGCGGTTGCTGTTTACCTGGGAGTCTCCATCCAGGGCGGCTTGGGCGTACATCTGCACAGACAACTCCAGGTCTTGTGACTGGTTTTGGTGGCCATAGTAGTAAAGGTCTCCCATCTTCAAATATGCTGCAGGAAATAAAGCACAGATCCATTTGTCAAGTGGTTTTTTTTATACCAACATTTTAAATTATTGGCGCATTCACATGAATGCAAGTTTTTCCTATTAGTATCTGAATACAGAACATCTTTATGTTTCCCTGATGTGTCAAGAGAGAAACAAGCAAAAAGGCTTTTTGCCCAGAGCATCCCTATTTCTAGACATATTTTTTTTCTTTTTTTTCTAAATTTTTTGCGATAGGGTCTCCGCTGCCTAGGCTGGAATACAGCGGTGAGATCAGGGCTCACTGCAGCCTTGACTTCCTGGGCTCAAGTGATCCTTCCACCTCAGCCTCCCATGTAGCTGGGATTACAGGAGTGTGCCACCACGCCCGGCTAATTTTTGTATTTTTTATAGAGACGGGGTTTCACCATGTTGTCCTGGCTGCTCTCGAACTCCTGGACTCAAGCAATCCTCCCACCTCAGCCTCCCAAGGTGCTGGGATTACAGGTGTGAGCCACCGTGCCTGGACTCTAGACAGTTTCTTATTTGGCCAGGTAGCTCTCCTGAATAGCTAAATCTCAGTCTACAACCTTGCTGCCCAAATCAGCCAAGGTTGTTTTGGGTGTTTTACTTCACATCTGAAATTTTGCTGTTCATCTTTGATGTCTGTTTTTGGTAACTCTTTGCTTTAGCCATGTATTTTATTTTTCCTCTGAAGAAAAACTTGTGTTTAAGAGTATATGTATCGGCTGAGTGCCGTAGCTCACACCTGTAATTCCAGCACTTTTGGAGGCTAAGGTGTGCAGATCACTGCAGGTCAGGAGTTCAAGACCAGCCTGGCTAACATGGTGAAATCCCACCTCTACTAAAAAATACAGAAATTAGCCAGGAATGGTGGTGCGTTCCTGTAATCACATCTACTCAGGAGGCTGAGGCAGGAGAATCGCTTGAACCTGGGAGGCAGAGGTTGCAGTGAGCCGAGATAGCACCATTGCACTCCAGCCTAGGCGACACAGCAAGACTCCATCTCAAAAAAAAAAAAAAAAAGGGTGTATGTATTAGTCAATGTCCAATAAGGAAAACAGAACCCGTTTCAAGTGGTTCAAAAGAGGAATTTCATCATGGGGAAGTAGTTACTAGGATGTTGGGAGAGCTGAAAAGGCAAATGGAAAACAATAGGCAGCCCAGAGATCAGCAGTGAGAAGGCTACTATCATCCCCAGGACTTGGGGACCAGAGGGTGCCTGTGATGTTACCAGAGACCCAGAGCCTGGTGCTGAGATCAAAGAGGGTGGAGCTGCCAGGCAGGGGCTGGAACCATGGAAATGTAGCCACTGCCAGAGACACAGTCCAAAGCAGAGAGACAAAGGTAGAAGTACTTGGACTTCTTCTCCCATCCTGCAATCTTCTGCCAGTGCCTCTTATTGCCTGAAAGGAATCAGAAGCCGGTGGGTAGAGGAGTCCAGGAACTGTAGTTCCTGGAGGCCAGTCCCCCACCATGCAGAGCAGCGTAGAGGAATCCGCACAAATGACTGGCCCAGAGAATTGCTCCATAATAGCGTTCTCTTTTACATTTTCATTGACTCAGAAGAAATGTTGGGGGCCAGGTGCAGTGGCTCACGCCTGTAACCCCAGCACTTTGGGAGGCCAAGGCAGGTGGATCACCTGAGGTCAGGAGTTTGAGACCAGCCTGGCCAACATGGTGAAACCCTATGTCTACTTAAAAAATACAAAAATTAGCTGGGCGTGGTCGTGGGCACCTGAAATCCCAGCTACTCGGGCAGGAGAATCACCTGAACCTGGGAGGTGGAGGTTGCACTGAGCCCAGATCATTCCACTGCACTCCAGCCCGGGGAACAGAGTGAGACTGTCTCCAAAAATAAAAATCAAAAAATAAGAAATGTTGGGTCCAAGCACTCCACGGGACAATGGGTGAGGAGTAGTGCATTGTGTGAGGCTGAGAGCAGAGTTTAGCGATCTTAATAGCAGAGATTTTTCACTTTCTTTTCTAATTATTTAGAAATACCTCACTTCACACAAAGCTGTCAGATGTTCCCTGTTACTAAAGATTAAAAACACCTAATGCTTCAATTTTGCACCGTTTTTCTATACATACCAAAGGAAGGAGCATCGATTTGAAAAACAGAGAAATTATAGTATCTCCAAACACAGTTAACACCCAAGTATCTCCTGGCCAGGTCCTAAGGGGTAAAGGGAAGAAAAAGTTAATTCATTAATATTTCGGCCAAGTGACCAACGTTGCCTCCATAAAACCCAATTCATTATCCTTAACCTCAGAGCTTCTACTCTGAGAAGAATACATTTACTTACTGGCCTCTCCTCACAGATGTGTGCTAAATTTGTCTGTGACACTTCAATTCCAGTTTCTGCTGCTAAAACATAATACAGCAAAGCTTCATGCCTAAAAATAGATGATTAATAATAAATTTCATATAGTGGCTCTTACTAATATTCACAGAGAGCTTTACATTCAAACATAAGAGGGCACAAAATAAGCAGTTTTTTTAAAAAAACCACAAAATCGTGAGTTTTTTTAAAAATAAATATTGTTAAAAATACTGCATGCACTGATTTATTTTCTGTCTTAAAGGCTGAACTCACAGACAAGGCTGGGGAGCTAGTTGATGCAACAGCTACCTCTACTGGCTGAAGGGCATGTCGGATGTTGGCTGGGGAGTTGTCTACTAGCCTTCAGTTCTTGAATCCTTCTTGCATCCTCGCTTAGAGGAGATAAATGGTGTTAAGAAAAACCCCTGTGCTTTGGAGTCCTCTGTTTTATAAAAAGCTTTATAGGGCTTAAGATTCTGAACAAGCTTAATTAAAGCTGAGCTTTTGTTGTGCATTAGAAGTTTGGCAAAGGAAAGGCAGTTCACAAGGGAGTTGATACATCAATGGCCAAAACACGTATGAGAAAAGAAACGTTTGACACCACTAGCAATCAAATAATCCCAAAATGAGTGACCACTTTTCATCTGTTGAAAGATTGGTACAAGATTCATATTTGGAATAATGGCAAAAGCTTGGGGGAATGGACATACTCTACAACTACTGCCAGCTTGAGGGCCAATTAATTCAACGGTTCTGGAAGGACAGGCGGGAGGAGTCTTAAGAATGTACATACCATGTGGCCCTACAGTTCTCCCTTGTGGGGGTTTATTCTAAAGAAACAATCAGAGATATGTGCAAAGATTCTGTTGCCACGGAGTTCATGGTAGAGCTGTGTATATGAATAGCAACAAAAAACTGGAAACAAATGTCTGAAAATCAGAGACTAGTGAAATTAACCCATAGTGCAGCCACTTTCAGATGTGGCCATTAAAATGATGTGTGGCAGGGTATTCAAAAACATAGCAAAATATTTATGCAAAAATTTCCATTCAGTGAAAAAAAAAGCAGAGTATAAAACAATGCATCTTATTTTTGCAAAACAAAAATATAACTGAACACACACATGCACACACATATACA
Organism: Homo sapiens; assembly: GCF_000001405.40. Taxonomy (NCBI): domain Eukaryota; kingdom Metazoa; phylum Chordata; class Mammalia; order Primates; family Hominidae; genus Homo; species Homo sapiens. Next base: position 25,768,898 of record NC_000004.12, read on the forward strand.
TGCAGATACAAATAAGCAGAGAAAAAAAAAACCCTAAAAATTATCACTAAAATGCTAACAATACTTATTTCTGGGTGGTGAGAATGCAGGTAATTTTTATTCTATTCTTTTTACTTATCTGATTTCCTCAATTTTTATACGTTACCTAGCTTAAGAGTAAAACTCTATTTTATCCAGAAGTAGTTTCTTACATCTTATTTTTCATTTTAAGGAGTTGATATTAATAACTCTTTTTTAATTTTAGCTCCACCTAGGAACTGGTTTAGGAAACGGTGGGGAAAGGTTCGGTGAGGGGGAGTAAGGGAAGCAGATTCTGAAATTATCTTTTCTAAACTGCTAAAAGCAGCTTCTGGCAGGCAATCCCTTGGAGACCGAGAGGTGCTGGGGGACAAATTAGGATAGTTAGACCTTCAGTCAGACATGCTGCAGGTCACAGGCCACGTGGCTGCTGAGGGAGCCAATTCGCAGGCTCTGAGATACCTAAGGCAGCTGACCAATTAGCCATGACTCAGGCTAAAGAGGGACAAAGTCAGCTAAGCAGCATCCCTTGCAGAGGCAAGCCAGATAACAAGCCTCCAAGTGCAGCTGCAACAACGTCCCAAAGGATGCTTGGGGATTAGCTAACATAGCCTGCAAAATCTATGTTTGGCTACAAGAATCCTCAGAGCAGACCCAAGGCCCCAGACAGAGGGCATGCAAGGGAGGCCCAGCAGAAAGTCCCCCTCATTCTGACACAAGGTCCTCTTCCTAAGGTCTTAGAATTCTCAAGTTTCTTTAGAGACACTCTGGCCTGCACTGGTGTCTCAGTTTCCACCAGGGATTGATGAGGAAAGGAGACAGTGTAGACCTGCAAACCAAGGTCAAATATTGGACCAGTGCCCTCTAACCGTAACTGGCTGGGATGTGGCTCGTGTTTACTAAAATGTAACAAAATGAGGTTTTTTCTGGCCAGGCGTGTGGTTGCTCATGCCTGTAATCCCAGAACTTTGGGAGGGTGAGGCGGGAAGATCGCTTGAGCTCTGGAGTTCAAGACCAGCCTGGGCAACAGTAGAAACCCTGTCTCTACTAAAACACAAAAAAATTAGCTCGGCATGGTGGTGCATGCCTGTAATCCCAGCCACTCGGGAGGCTGAAGCAGGAGAATCGCTCGAACACGAAAGGTGGAGGTTGCAGTGAGCCGAGACTGTGCAACTGCACTGCAGCCTGGGCGATAGAGCCAGATTCTGTCTCTAAAAAAAAAGAATTTTTTCTTAACTGCAGAAACCAATAGGCTGGTTGTCAGAATGGGTGGGGGAGATGGAGGTTGATACTCTCTGCAAGAACATTCACAATGATAAGCTTTATAAAGATAATATCTTGTGTCTAAAGTGATCTGGTGGTGGGGAAGGAAGGGAGGAACAAGTTTTATAGACTTCTATCGTCCAATCATTGTGTAAACCAGGAGGAAGTGTTACAGAATTCTCAAACATTTCCATTGAGGAAACACTGAAATCCATCAGAAAGAGATGTCTAAAAAGGCATGTGAGATCCATAGAAACACTGAACAGAAATCTACCTCTGGGCCGAGCACAGTGGCTCATGCCTGTAATCCTAGCACTTTGGGAGGCCAAGGCAGGTAGATCACTTGAGGTCAGGAGTTCAAGACCAGCCTGGCCAACATTGTGAAACCCTGTCTCTGCTAAAAATATAAAAATTAGCTGGACTTGGTGGTGGGCGCCTGTAATCCCAGCTACTTGGGAGGCTGAGGCAGGAGAATCATTTGAACCCAGGAGGCGGAGGTTGCAGTGAGCCGAGATTGCACCACTGTACTCCAGCCTGGGCAACAGAGTGAGACTCTGTCTCAAAAAAAAAAAAAAAAAAAGAAAAGAAAAGAAAAGAAAAAAAAGAAAAAAAGAAATCCACCTCTATTTTTCATCTTGCACAATCAATCACCCAATGCGTGTACCACCACCATCCATGTTCACATCTACTGAGCAGTGAGCTCTAGGTGGGGGCTAGCCACTCAAGACCAGATTTCTTTAGCTTATTAAAACTTCTGAGACAATGCCTCTGCAGAAACCCTGTCCACATTTAGCCTTCCAGCACTTTGCTCTTGCTTAACTGTGTTTCAACAGCTTATTAAAACTTCTGAGACAATGCCTCTGCAGAAACCCTGACCATATTTAGCCTTCTAGCACTTTGCTCCTACTTGTGTTTCAACAGACGCTATCTGAAAGTATTAATTCCAGATATTCCTACACTTACATTCATAGAACAAACATTTACTCAGCATTTTTTAATTGCAGGAAACCCAAAGACAAGCTGCAAAACTATTGTCCTTCCTTGAATTTCCTCAAGCTTTAGAAAGTCAACCAGAGCTTCAAGCTTTATTTCCAATGCACTCAAGTAAAATTGTCCCTTAGACAGCCATTTTGACAGGGAGAGGGGAATGGGTGCAGAGAGGAAGGGATTGAGAGAAAAGAAAGAATTTAAGGACACATTTGCTATCCTCCTTTCAGACCCAGCAAATGCATTTCTAGAACTTTTATAATGATACATCTTAATAATCAATCCTTTGGCTGCTTGCTGTGAATTACAAATTTGAGTACCCCTGAGCAGTTTCTCCACAATTATATTATTTTGCACGTGCTCTTTTCTGCCAATGGCTGAAGCAGCTCAGACTATAAGGATGAAAAAAAAATTCCTGGGGTCTCAGTGGAATTCAGGACCCCAGCTCTATTGCAAAAAGGTGAATTTCTTTCACCTGGAGCTATGTATGCTTACTTGCCTTGCCTCAAGCCCACTATAATCTGGCTAACCTCCTGGGTTAAGTGTTTTTGGTATACTTAAGACAAAGGACAATAAAACATGTAGCTTGCAGATAAAATAGATAAAACACATGTAGGGGTAAGGCAGAGAGAAATGAAACATGACAGCTGGTCTTTCCTTGGCTAACTTCTTCGAGTGTCCGAGGACAGCCTCAGGCATGACAACATTATCTTCTGTATTACGCTGATATAGCAAAAAGCCCTTTCCTTAATCATGCTCCTCTTTTAAACTATCCCATATAAATCTTGGAACAACATAGAAAAGCACAAGCTCATCAAACTGACACATGTAATTTGAAAATAACTTCTAGAATAAATTCACTCACACAAAAATGAAAAAAGGGGAGGGACTGGGACATCGATGGATGATTTAGTTCTATTACAGCAGAATAGATGGTACCAAAAAAATGTCACGTTGGACGGTGAGGAGGCCAGCAAACATACATTTCCTATTTAACCCCTGGGGAGGGCTTGAAAGCTTGGAGAGCAGGAATGGATGGAAGTACTTTGTCCCAAATATCTTTTGAAAAAGATTTCCTCATTGTAATAGATACAAAACGTTTCTTCCTGTTGATACTAAGAGGTTTCAAATCCAGACTGAGACATACCTTTAAAAATAATTAGCTTCTGTATCAAGATTAGCAAAGATATGGAGAAATAGAAATTTATATATGGTGGGCAAGAGAGTAAATTGGTGAAACTACTTAAGAAAACAATTGACATTGTCTTGTAAGTTGAACATGTTCTCCTATGACCTAGAGTCCCCACTCCTAAGTTTACATTCTAGGGCGACTCTTTCTATTTGCCCTATGAGATACATAAAAAATGCTCATGGCCGCATTGATCTTAAAAAACAAAGGAAAGAAAAGGCAAGGCAAGGCAAGGCAGAAGGGAAAAGGAAAGGAAAAGAAAGAAAAAAGAAAAGAAAAAAAGAAGGGAAAGAAAAGAGAGGAAGGAAAAGAAAAAAAGAAAAGAAAGAGAATCCAAATATTCATTAACAAGAGAACTGGGAAATAAATTGTGATCTGTTACAGCAGTGAATATGAATGAGCTACAGGTACATGCATCAAAATGTGTGAATCTTATTTTTATTTATTTATTTATTTTTTTTGAAAGGGAGTCTTGCTCTGTTGCCCAGGCTGGAATGCAGTGGCTCAATCTCAGCTCACTGCAACCTCCACCTCCTGGGTTCAAGCAATTCTCCTGCCTCAGCCTCCCGAGTAGCTGAGATTACAGGTGCATACCATCACACCCGGCTAATTTTTGTATTTTAGTCGAGATGGGGTTTCACCATGTTGGTCAGGCTGGTCTCAAACTCCTGACCTCAAATGATCCACCCGCCTTGGCCTCCCAAAGTGCTGGGATTACAGGCGTGCACCACCACGCCCAGCAAGATGTGTGAATCTTAGGAGCATTATGTTAAGTAAAAAAAAGCAGTTGAAGAATTATATGTTATATAAAGTAATTATAATCATATAAAGGTCAGAAATAAGCCAAACTAAATCCATTTCTTAGGAATATATTCATATATAGCAAAAATATAAAGAGGGCAAGGGGCAGATCAACAAGAAGCTAGGATGATGGTTACTTCTGGGTACTGGGGGTAGGATGGGATTTAATCTGGGAGGGACAGCAGGGGCTTCACTAGCACTGGCCATGTTTATTTTTTTAAGTAGAGTGATAGCTTTATGGCTGTTCATTTTATTGTCACTCTTTGGAGGTTATGTATGTATCATATATACTTCATACATATCAATGATTACATGATAAAAGAAGAGAAAAGCCACCCTACTGACTCATGCCACATCTTCCGTTCAAATGCTCGGCTCCTTTTGAACTAACTCCCCTTTCAGGCTCTCCCTTCTATTCACCATACACAGCTGTTTGATAAGCATCTAAGAAACAGGCTCTGTCATGTAACTACGCTCTCCAAAATGATCAATGCCTCCCCACTGCTTCATAAATTAAATAAAAAACTATTGATGGCTCCCCACTGCTTCACAAACGCATAATCTGCCATTCAAAATTCCATGAAGTAGCACCTCTTTGGTTTCATTATATATCCCTCTCAAGTTTTACCCACATGGCATAGTATTTTGTAGACTCTCTTTGCTTTTGTTCCTGCAATTCCCTACACCATAAATGCTGTTCCCTGCCTGGCTAAGTGGAAATTCCACCCATCCTTCAAGACCACCTCATCCATTACTTCTATCATGAAGGCTGTCCCAAGCTTCCCAAACCAGGCATCTTTTCCTCCTAAGTACCCCCAGTGATCTTTACATACTGCTCACGGCCCTTGAGCTATAATTGTTCCCTCTATTCACCTTAGTTCATTCAATCAGTAGTTTCCAAACACTTTCCAGGCACCCCAGTGTGTAAGGAACTGGGATAGAAGTTATCAGGCAATTGACATGTAAAAAGCAATCATGATCCATGGAAGAACAAAAGGAAATAAGGAGTTAGGTAGGATTCCGGGGCAGAGGAAAAAGCCAGCGCAAGGGCTCAGAGATCAGATAGAATATGGGCCACATGAGAACCTGCCTGCAGAAGAGATGAGGCAGCAAATTTCCCTAAGCCCTATTTGAGGCATCTCTCGAAACCTGTGGCCAGGCAACCTGCATTTAAATGTACTCAGTAAAATCTGCGGAACTGAATCCAAACTCACAAAGGGTACAGGACACACTTCAGGTCTCCTTTCTCCTTCCCCCAACCAACCAACCAACCAATCAACCAACCAACCACCCAAACAGAAAACCATGATGAGGCTGAGTATTAAGAAAGAGAACAAGCCACAGAAATCTTAATTCATCTAGGCCTTCGCAGCAGCTTTTACAATATGCTAAAGTGCTTTGTGATATTAAATTCAAAAGCAGGGCCCAGGTGAGGTGGCTCATGCCTGTAATCCCAACACTTTGGGAGGCCAAGGTGGTGAATCACCTGAGGTCAGGAGTTCAAGACCAGCCTGGCCAACATGAAGAAACCCTCTCTACTAAAAATACAAAAATTATCTGGGCGTGGTGGTGGGCACCTGTAATCCCAGCTACTCAGGAGAATTGCTTGAACCCGGCAGGCGGAGGCTGCAGTGAGCCAAGATCGTGCCACTGCACCCTAGCCTGGGTGACAGAGTGAGACTTCATCTCAAAAAAGCTTCAAAACAACAAAAGTAGGCAAGAAAGCTAAGGAACTAACAAAGACTCTATGAGAAAAACAGTGTCAGACATCATGGGGGCAGGGGTGGGTTGGGGAGGAGTGTTTACAGGAGTGCTCTTCCTTTGGGAAAACCCCAAAAATAAACACTCCGATATCTGAATGTTTAGTTCATCCTAAGAAGTTTGTAGGGAGCAGAGGGTGGGAGGTTGGGAAAGCGAGAAGCAGAGAATGAGTTAAAGTCAAATTTGGGAGTTTTATGAACTGAAGTTCACTTGAGAAACAAGATAAAGCATCACAAAAATTGTAAGGTACATTTACGATGGGGAAACAGTAACTTTCTGAAAAAAATCTCTTTTTGATTGTGCAAAGTGAGGCCACAGGTAATAAACTTTCACAGGATGATGATAATAAAAATTTGCATTTGGTGCTTTCTTCATTGGCCTCATTTCTCCTACACTTTCTAATTTAAGATTCTTACTCATTGAGATGCTATCTGTTGGTTGCGTGTGCAGCCATGGACTAAAAGGGAAAATGTCATTCTTTTGAACTTACACTTTAATTTTTAATTAAGGTTCAAATCAGAGTATGATCAATGCTGAGTCTCAGCTAATGTCTTTGAGGCAGTGGACTGAGGACTTTTTTTAGTTATTACTGAAATATCCACATCATTTAAGCAATAAAGCAGCCAAGAAAATGTGACCCAAGTTAAAACAACAATGGAATGCTAGAACTGATAGAAAAAAATAAAAGAAAGAAGACTGGTCAAGTTAGGAGAGGGGTCCCTTATTTGTAAAATCTATGAGTAACAGCAAACAGGGAACATTTGTGGGTCCTCATACACCATGTTTCATCCCATAAAGAACAAGATGAGATTTGCTAACTCCACCAGAAGGTTAGGAAGGAGGGCATCTGTTTGTTTGTGCCATTGGATACTGGACTTCCAACAATCCCAGGCTCCTAGTCATGGCAGATGCAGTAAAACATCTATGGAAGAGGTGGCCTGAACCTTAAACACTGATCTCTCTTCTTGCTAGGAACAAGGTAGAAATTCTGGACTTTCTGTGGCCTGGAAATAAAAAGCAGAGAGTCTCACCTAAGATCCCCTATGCTGTCTCCAGACCAGACTCTAAAACCAAGAGGGGCAAGCTTAAAGGAAAGAGAAATCAATGTATTTGTATATCTTTCTCAACTTGATGAGTGTGAACAATTCCCCTAGAGAACAAATTTTTGTGTATAATTAAACATGGAAATGCTATGTTTTCCAATCAACAGCCAATCAGTCCATGATACTCTGAATATCATTACTGGGAGCTGTGATTTCCCTGCAAATTGCTTTCTCAGTTGCATTTTAAGACTCCATTTCATAAGACTATACTGACAGACAGGGAAAAAAGTTTGCTCTAACGTGGATCCCAAGCTTACCATGAACCTTCCAGGTAGGCATTGAGGCCTTTGCGGATGACATGGCCCAAGTAGCCATTTTTCTCAGCTACATGTTTTGCCCATCTGAAAAAAAAAAGGGAAGAGAAAATACGCAAACCATGGCAAATTTAATAAAATGTTTTTCTTCATATGCTCTCAATAAATCCCACTTGGGGAATATTTTGCTAGTTAGAATTTTTATAGAGCAACAAACCAGAACTGAATGTTAAGGTAAAGAAAATGCATTCTGAGAGCTTTTCATTTAGTGCCCTTTCTTATGAATGATTAGGAGTTGTCTTTTATGGAAACAAAGACATGTAAGATACATAATGAAATATATCCACCAATATGAAAAAATATAATCTCTACCAAGAGTTCTAGTACTCTATTAAGTCATGTTTACTGACTTATTATTAGCTTTCCCTATTTTGCTTTGTTCTCTAATTTATTAGGGGTTTATTAGTAATGAGCTAGTCTGTTATAATCTTTAGATTTATAACTACTAAAATAATAGTTTAAGAATGCATAACTAAAAAGCTAACAGAAGGGGAAGTAGAATAATTTTTTTAAATACTTGATTAATACAAAGGAAGGGTAAGAAAAGAGATTAAAAAAAGGCACAAAAACCCCCCCACAGATGTGACAAATAGAAAATAAACAGGAAAATGGTATATTTAAAACCAAACATATCCATAATTACATTAAATGTAAATGGACAAAATACACCAATTAAAGATGAAAATTTAAAAATACAAAAAATAAAAATACAAAATTTTAAAAATTAAAAAATACAAATACCCAATTACATGCTGCTTACAAGAGCCATGCATTGACATTTAAGAATGAAGAAAAGTTGAAAGCAAAAAAATGGAAAAAGATAAATCATACAAACTCTAACATTAAAATCAGGTATAACTATATGATCATCAGAAAAAATAGACTTTAAGGCAAGAACCATCAACAGAGATAAAGAAGACATTGTAAAATGATAAAGGGATCAACTACAAAGACAAAACAATTCTAAATCTATGTGATCTAATAGCATAGATTCAAGATATATAATGCAAAATTGACAGAACTAAAAAGAGAGGTAGGTAAGTCCACAAATATAGTTGGAGATTTTAATATACTTCTTTCAGTAACTGAACTAACAAGCAGAAAAAGAAACATCAGAAAGGATGGGGAGGCTCTGAATAATGTAATTAACAAACTTGATGTAACTGATATATATGTAGATGTTGATCCAGCAAGTTCAGAAAGTGCACTCTTTTCAAAAAGCCATAAAACATATACCAAAATTGACCATATACCAATCATAAAGCACACTTTGACAAATTTCAAAGGATTGGAATCATTCAGAATATATTCTCTGATCACAGTGAAATTAAGCTAGAAATCATTAACAAGAGGATAACAGAAAATCCACAAAACATGAATATTCATGTCAAATATACTAAATAACAATGATAAAAAACTTCAAGTCAGTCTAAGTCAAGTTTATCACCAAGGTCAGGTCAGGTTGAATTTGAACCCAAATGTGTTATGAAGAACAATCTTTTGGAGAGCCAGGGTATCAGTGTGAGGGTGGCCTAAAACAGAGGTCGACAAACTTTTTCTGTAAAGAGCAGGATAGTAAATATCTTAAGCTTTGTGGGCCACATATAGTCTCTGTTGCATATTCTTCTTTATTTGTTTTATAACTCCTCAAGAATGTAAAAAGCATTCTTAGCTCTTGGAGCCATACAAAACAGGTACCAAGCTACATTTCATCTATGGGTCATGGTTTGACAACTCCTGTAAAACATTTTCAGATCTGCAAGACCTCAAAAATGTGCCTCCCATTCACCATACCTCAGGAACCTACTATTGGATGTGCTCCACCAAAATTTAAGTGCAGACCAAGAAAGAGAAAGAAAGGGGTCTGACAAAGAAGAGAACCAAAAAAGACACAGATGGAGGGAAAGTAAATACCCATAATGATGACAGTTAATCTCAGCATGACAGCATTGTCCTGAACAAAGACTCCAGGATGGATGTCACCAAGAAGGTTAAATTAATATAATATTTAGATAGGTCTGGACATACCAAGAGGAAATTCAGGCACCTGGAGGAGAATTTGGAGATCAAATACATAGAAAATGATAAGTATACAGAAAGCTTAGCAAATAAACAATAAAAAATAAGTAGCAATCCATAGAAAAGAAAAAGTTGTGCAAGAAAGGAAAAGTAATCAGAGTATACTACATGGTTCAGTTAGAAATAGCATTTACATGGTCATAATAATGTAAACCCTGATACTAATGTAACCAAAATGATATACTTATTGGGAAGATGAAAGATGGCAGGAAGTATGAGTGAGCTGAGTAGTGGGAGGTGGCAGAGTCAAAGAAAACTACATCTTTATCCTTCGCAGTGGGACATCATTAGACAATGCCTCGGATGAAAATACCAAGAAATAGTGGTATAAGCATGTTATTTAGAAATAGAGACAAATAAAAAATAAATAAAATAAAATAAATCTTTCAAAAAAGATTGAAAGTGATTCATTCTAGGGAGCAGAAAATAGAGTCTAGGGGTGGGATGAAGTGAGGTAGGCAAGGATTTCTTGTTTAGCCTTTGTCAAATTATTTTTAAATTTTTAATTAAAAGTTTTAATTTTGTCTTGTCAAATTACATGACTTTTAAAACTACATGCATGTACAACTGGTAAAAATAAAGAACTCAACTTAAAAAATGCTCAGGCACAGAGAATATAGGATATGGCTTTCCCTTCAAATGCAACGTTTGACAGAGTCTTACACAACAGCTTTCTCAGGATCTCTAGGGAATGTCTCCAGGTTGCCTGTGATATAGTAGAGAGAACACCACAAGGTCCCTTCCATGTGTCCACCTTGCGCAGCCTTATGGAAATATTCACCAGCTAAAGTCTGTAACAAGAGATGAACAAACATCGAGTCATCCTAGCTGGGCTGGTTTCGCCAGAGACAAGGTGATGAGATGCTTTAAGCCTGATATGATTACAGGCTTATAACTTCTGATAGCTTTAAAACCAGGGCAAGCAACAATTCCAGGAAGACAGCCAATCACAGAAGTCAGCCTCTGAGATGTATGACCTTGCCTCATCTATTCTGTTGATTAAGTTTACCCAATAAATAAGACAACATGTAATTATGAATACCATTGCCATCTCATTTGATCCTCACATAACCCCCTGAAGGCTAGATAGAAGACTATATCAGAAGTCAAACCAGGTGAAAATCCAGGCATTTGCTTTCCTAACCCTGCTTAATACCTTTCTTCAAACTCATGTGCGAAAACTGCATTTCCAGTAGGAAGGTGAGAATTAGAATGTGACAATAAGAAATCTTCACTCACAGATGTCTTGGGAGGGTTAGCACACATTTGCTATGCATAAAAATATACTGCCTCTTATGTCATCAGAGACAGGTAGAGGGAAAAAATAAGACAAACATGTAGATGGGTATATTTCCACAGATTACTCTTATTTTTCTGAGGCAGTTGGCTATTGTTTTTTGAAAGCATGGGTGTTGAAGTTAGGCAGGCTTGGTTCAAATCCCAACTCTGCTCCTTACTAGCTGTGTGGACTTGGGCATGTTGGTTAATCTCTCCAAACCTAATTTCCTTCCACTAAAAAATGTGCCTTCAGATAGCACCTAGAGTGAAGGGTTGTTGTAAGGATTAAATGAGATAACACATTCTCAAGGTTTAGCACAGTGCTTCAAAAAGAATAATCTTCCAATTCTTCCCCTCCTACCCCCAAATCTGCTGCTGCCACAATCTTGTTCCTCCCAATAAATGCCACTTCCATTCTTCCAACGCAACAAATGCCAAACACCTTGGAGTCACCCCTGACTCTTCTCCACCTCTCACACCCCACATTCAACCCCTCAGCAAATCCTGCTGCCTCGACCTTCCAAATACATGTAGAACCCAGTTTCAGCCCCTCCACTGACACTGCCCTGGTCTCGCCCACTGCCCTCTCTCACTTGGATCCAATGCATGAACCCCCTGCTCCTGTCCATGTCTCCGGTAGGCAGGATCCAGGAGGAACCTTTTAAAATACAGCCCATCGTTGCCCCATTGAACATTGCCCAGTGGTTTCCCATTTCATTCAGAGCAGAAACTGAGTCTCAGACTGGTCGGCTTCCTCCCTGGTCCTATCTCCCACCCTCTCCATCTCTTCTGCTTTCCACTCCACTCCCCTGGCCTCCCTGCTGCTCCTCTAGCACACCAAGCCTGCTTCCTTCTCAGGGCCTTTGCACTGCCTGCTCCTTCCTTCTGGAATGTTCTCCTAGATATCTGTAAGATTCCTTTAGGAGTCTATACAATATCACCTTATGAGAGAGGCCTTCCTTGGTTCCCTGGTTTCCCTTATAAAATAGCATTTCCCAATCTCCACCCCCTCATCCTACATATATATAAAATATATAAATAATATATATAAATAAAAAATTATATATAAACTATATATAAATAAAAAATAAAATACACATAAATAAAATATATATAAATAATATATATATATTTTATATATATATATATTTTTGAGATGGAGTCTTGCTCTGTCGCTCAGGCTGGAGTACAGTGGCACAATCTTAGCTCACTACAACCTCTGCCTCCGGGGTTCCAGTGATTCTCCTGCCTCAGCCTCTCGAGTGCCTGAGATTACAAGCATGCACCACCACACCTGGATAATTTCTGTATTTTTAGTGATGAGGGTTTGTATTTTTAGAGACGGAGTTTTAAAATGTTGGCCAGGCTGGTCTTGAACTCCTGAGCTCAAGTGATCTGCCTGCCTCAGCCTCCCAAAGTGATGGGATTACAGGTGTGAACCACCACTCTCAGCCCTCCTGAACTTGTTTTAGTTCTCTGCATAGCACTGATCTTCACCTCCCCTCCTATTATATATTTATTTGTTTATTGTCTTTTCCATCTGGTGGAATGAAAGCTTCATAAGATCAGGGACTGTTTTGCCTGCTACTATGTCCTCAGTGTTCAGAAGGGTGCCTGGCACTGGGTGGGTATTCACCACATTTTGTTAAATGTAGCGGAGCTCAGGACCAGGCACAGTGGCTCACACCTGTAATCCCAGAACTTTGGGTGGTGGAGGTGGGCGGATCACTTGAGGCCAGGAGTTCAAGACCAGCCTGGACAACATGGCAAAACCTCATCTCTACTAAAAATACAAAAATTAACCAGGCGTGGTGGTGCACGCCTGTAATCCCAGTTACTCCAGAGGCTGAGGCATGAGAATCGTTTTTATTTTTAACGATTTTTATTATCAACATTATTATTAATAGAGTGGGCTTCCACTGTGCACTAGGCCAGGTCCTCACTCCACTAAGTGTGTGACCCTACGTTACTTAACTTCGCAGAACCTCAGTCACTTGTCTGAAAAATGGACATAACCAGAGTATTAATAGCTATTTCAGAGGAGAATTAGGATTACATAAGAGGGCACATGGTAGGGTGTTTTGCATGGTGCTTGGCACAGAGGAAATGCTTAATCAACACTAAAGATTGCCATTGTGTTTTCATTATTATTAAAACTGGTTTCACACCAGGCAATCCTATCTGGACTTAGTTCTCTTTGCTTCTAGCAAGATCAGTCTCTGCTCCATCTCACGCTTATTCCTGTCCTGCGTCATCTCCCACTCTTCCCTCTAGCTCAAGCCTCCCTCCTCCAAGAAGCCTTCCTGGCTGCTTTGGCTTTCACTGTTTCCCAGCTCCAGAGCTTTGGGTCATGCCATTTGCCACACACTTGGCACTTGGCTAGATGCCACCCTTTCCTCTTCACTATCTTGTTTTCCTACGAGACCCTCTGAGCTCCTCGAGGACAGGGACTGTGTCTGGGGTTGGGTCTGGTGCACACAGTGTACCTTCAACAAATGCTTCATGATCAAGTGACTGACTAGTTGCAGAGTGGGTCTCAAGTCCTACTCACTTGATTCCTTCCAGGAACTCCAGGGAAGATGCCATCCAAATGCAGGACTCCAAGATTGTATGACGCATCTGGGTTCCCCATTTCTTCTGCTTTTAACCAGTACTTTGCTGCTTTGGCGTAATTTTTCTTGAATTTGTGGTAATACCATCCCAGGCCATTGACTGCCTGATGCAATCCCTGAATTTTGGAACAAGAAAGAAATTAACTTTAGAAAAATGAAATCTAGAGAGCTCTGGAAGCAATTATTGTGGAAGCATTCTGCCTAAGTCTGAACAAAACCTTCCCTTTCTCTTATTTTGGAGCAGATGGCATTAAAGAAAAGCTAAGTGCTAGAAAACACAAGCCTGCCTGAGAGTCTTCCCAGGTGTGTTTCACCCGACTGCTGCTGGGATTCTGCCTTCCATCTCTGCAGCAATGTTATCCCCCAAATCATTGTTCTGCTCCTTTGGGCTCTTACGCAACACGCTTGTCTACAAAAGGCCTCTGATTGCCCTGCCGCATCAATAGTGCCCTTGAAATTCATGAACGCTCAACTGAGGCCTGAAACCTGCCCTGACTGGGATGGTTTCTAGGTGATCCGCCTGCCCATCTGTTGATTCCTCTGCCCTGAACACCAACACGCACTCTATGGCAAGCAGCAGCAACATCCTACTTGCACAGCACAGGTGCTCTCTCTTTGCATGGTTCTGACAGTGGGTTCAGGGTCTGGGAGAAGCAGAAGCAGAAGGGGATGGCAGCGAAGAATGAGAATCATATAACACTTTTCAGGCCATGACTATTCCAGATCAATAAAACTGTATTTCCTCATTACTTACCTAAGCTCTGTTAAAATTGATACAGAATAAAGCACATTAGACATCAATTCACTACTAGGATGGCTACAGAGATGCAAATTTCACAGCTTCCAAGAAGCCCCCTTATGGCCCCATTTTAGGGTGCTCTGGAACCAATGATTTCCATGACTACCATTAAGTTACTTTTCTACTTCTGCCCTAGAGTTTCTGTTGGGGTCAGGAGTTGGAGTACAAATCAGGGGGTTCCCTCTTCCTGGGTCATGTGTCCTCTTGACAACACACAGATGGAGGAACAATCTTTTAGGTCTCTCATTCCATGCTACAACTTCCTGCTGTATGCAACTTTGAACTCCTCAAGAGACAACAATGAGGAAGAAAATTCAGCATGGTCATTTTAGGAGTCTTCATCGTTAAGGCAAATATTGGCAGCCTTGGGAGGCACATCCAGCTGCCAAAAGGGCTACAAGGTGCCTTGTCTAGGTGTAGATTTACGGTAGTTTCTGCAAATCTATTTATTTGGACATCGGTATGCATGCACACATGAGTGTGCACATGTGGCTGTGCATGCATTGGGCATATGTGTGTATGTATATGTGTGCATGTATGTGCATGTGTGGGTGGGGGCCCCTCGAAAGCAACATTGTAACCTCCATTCTGTAGAGCTGTATAGGAACTAGCTGACTTGAAGATACCACTTAAATGTAGTGACAAAAGCAAAATAATTCCCAAACCTAGCAATAAACTTAATAAACAGCCCTGTTATCAATGCACAGGAAACAAATGGGAAACGGGCACCACAGAGTTAACCTTCAAAGGAGTTAGGCTTCTGGTTTCCTGAATTCAATGGCATTAATACCCATCCAATTTCCAGGGGTCCTGCTGCTTGTTATCAGGGCAGCTCCTGATTATAATTTTAGCCTTCAAACAAAATCAACCCGAATGCTATTGACTGGAAGGTGAATTCAGCTTTTGAATTTTGCTGCCCCCATTGTGGCAAGTTTCTGTATGTATTGTAACTAAAAAGTGACTAATCACTGCAGTGGGGGTGCCGTGCTGGCGACCAACTGCTCACCACCCCGTTTCCACCTTAGGGCTTTGTAGGAAGAGGCTGGCCATTTCCTCTTTTAGACGTGCGAGAGCGTGTGGGAGTGTGTGGTGGAACTGTTTCCCTCTGACAATATGCATGTGTTACCTTGGAAGCTGCTTTCTTCATCAGCTCTAAGGCAAGCCGTCTGTTCTTTTTTACTCCTTGACCCTAAACATTGATAAACAGCGATGATTACAAAGAAAATACAACCAGACTGCACACATACAGACACTTTAGTGTTGGATATAAAATACTTAAAAATAAAACCCTAACTTTCTTCATTTAAACCCAAGCTTAGGGATTTCTATAGGTAGTGCTATTTCATTATCATCATCATTATTATTTTGCTTATATTTGTGGAGCAGAAGCAACAAACCTCAACTTCGCAGCTTAGCAGTAATCGCTGTGTCAGTTGCAACCCTGTCAATCCACAGGTACTACTGGGGGAAGATATGAATCAGGTTAAATGAGTTTGGTCATCCTGGATGCTTTCCTCTTGGGATTACCTAATTTGCCAGCCAGAAAAAGCACTTTATCTGTGTTGGACAGTCAAGAGTTACCAGGTTGTCGCTTGCAGGCTTCATCAGCCTTGGCTGGGATCTCCAGGGTGGAACATTGTTGCTTCAGAATCAGCTCAAGAACTGGCTCCACAGAAGATAGAAGGCAGCAGAATTGGTTGCCTCAGATGTAACTAACAGAAACTAACAAGGTTCTTCCAGCAAAATCAAGATTTTCCAGATGAGGTGGTTTGTCCACTACAGAGAGACATGGGCTTTGGGGTTCTTGTCATAAGAGAGAAACTCTGTGGAACACACTGAAATGTCTGGAGGACAACTGGGGAGATGGTGTGCTCAAGGGTAGAGTGGAAGGAGGTCCTTGAGTATCTCTTGACATAGATCTGAAAGCAAAGATGCCAGGCAAGGGGGTGGAGGTGACTGTAAACCACTGCTGCTTCCAAACTCAGAATTACTGATACCCCCAATCCCCATGTGCCACATGGGGTCCTCCTGGACTCAGACAACAGTTGACAGGATCGCCTGTGATTTGGATGGGAGAGGGTTTTGCAACAAACACATCTACAAACTCTATTTAAACGCTTAGCTCTATAGTAAATGGAAACAGCGCTAGTTACCGTTCCTGTGTGAATTAACGTTGGCCAAGCACTGTCTAAGTGCTTCATCAACTCTACCTGAGGTGCTGCTGTTATTCTCATCTGAGAAATATGCCCTTAGTCACACAATGGGAAATGGGGGCAGAATTTGAATCCAGACAAATGGACTCCAGAATCCAAGCTTGTAACCACCGCTCTCTATTTTCTTCTGCCTATTTCAGTTCATAACCTCCTTGTAGGATCCAGGAACCATGCAGGATATGCTTGACTGTGTATCTTTCAGGACCCCAAATAAAACTGAATCCAACTAAAGGTTAAATTACATATGCCAAGTTTCTACTTGACTTTAACTTGCTTATTTAATAAAACCAATGAACTGAAGCAAAGTGGAAGATGAAAATATTTTTCAGAATGGCACCACTGCTTCATTTAATTAGGGAGGAAGAGGAGAGGGAAAAGGACATAGAAGGACACTTGGAGTAACTGGAGAGGGGAGGAGACAAGCTTTCTGGACTTCTGGAAAAGCATCAGAAAGACCAGAATCACTGAACGTTAGCGCCTGGTTGAAGTATAATAAGTTTATCTTCTCCAACTCTTTTTTGTTTTGAAGAAATAAAACGGGGGCCCAGAGCAGTTGACTTAGCTAAAGTCTCACAGTTAGAGCTGCAATGACAACCCACACACTCTAGAATAGGGATGTTTACACTATACCCGCTATTGAGTCAAAAGTGGGATGACTTTTCTTGCACAAAGACGATGTACTCTACACGAATCTGAGTAGTATTAAAAGTTGTTAAATGAGAGAAATGTGAAGCCTGGTACATCGTAAGTACTCAGTAACTATCCACTGAGTGAATGGATGGAGGACAGTTGCTGCTGTCAAAGTCAAAGCTTTATCCTCATGTGGCTGCAAGATAAGATGGACTCAACTACCTGGAATGAACCACAGCTGCCATCTTGGTACCATCTTTGCATAAAGCCCAATGCCCCCACACAGTCAAATGCACGTACTGTTCTTTGCATATGGAAAGCCCATTTTCAGCGTGGGGTTCTTTCACACAGAATACACTTGAGGATATCTTCTAGCCACAGGCGGAAATCTTCCCTGAGATGCTAGTAAAGGGCTTCCTTCCTCCCACCCAGACAAAACTTAGAAAGAATGCAGAACCCCCCTCTCTGCAAAAAAGTCTTACGGTGTGAGAAAGCAAACCCAGAGAAGGCATTATATCACTCCCAGAGTCATTTATTTCTGGATTTGCCTCTCCCTGTAGGTTGTGAGATCTTGGTAGGCAGAGATAATGTCTGATTTGTGCCTTTATCTTTGGACAGCGATCGGCCTCCACTCTGGTGGACAGGTGCTGCTCCTCTGTGCTTATTGATCTAGGTCCTCTGCCTTCCTCTCTGTGTATGAGCTCCCTGAGGTCATGGACGTGACTCATGCATCCATATGCCCCTCCATCTAGCCCAGAGCCTGGCATTGGTCAGCCCTGAATGGAATGGATGCTTATTGAACAAACACATGAATGCATTCACATATGGCTCAGATTCAAAATATTTCTATGTTTATTTGACAACTGGAAAGAGAAGGTCTGGGACCTCAATTTGGAAACCACAACAACCAATAGGTTTTCAGGCTTTGATAGGGTAGGGAGGGTTAGAAATGTAGCCACAGTCATGGTTAATTACTGAGTGGCCACAGCTGTGTTCTGGAGATGGGCCTGGCCTTGTTTGAAGATGCTTGCTTTTTGGGGGCAGCTGCTTTCTTTGGATATGGACATAAGTCCACGAATTTCCTTACCAAAGCCAAAGCTTTTTACTTTTCCAAGATTGATGAATTGATGTCTCTGTATTTGGGGATGATGAACACAGACTGTGAAGCCAGATTTCCTAGATCCCAGTCCCAGGTCAGAAACATACCAGTTGGGTGACCTTGGGCAAATTACAAAACCTTTCTCTGTGCCTTTGTCTCCATGTAAATGAACAGCAATCATAATACACCAAGGTACCAACCTCGTAAGTTGGTTGTGAGGATTTAATGCACTAATACATGCAAAGCAGGTAACAACCACTCAATCAGTGTGAACTATTACTAATTTTTTTTTTCTGAGATGGAGTGTGGCTCTCTCACTCAGGCTGGAGTGCAGTGGCACGATCTTGGCTCACTGCAACCTCTGCCTCCCAGGTTCAAGCAGTTTTCCTGCCTCAGCCTCCCAGGTAGCTGGGATTACAGGCACAGCCACCACACCTGGCTAATTTTTGTATTTTTAGTAGAGACGGGGTTTCACCATGTTGGCCAGGCTTGTCTTGAACTCCTGACCTTAGGTGATCCACCTGCCTTGGCCTCCCAAAGTGCTGGGATTACAGGTGTGAGCCACCGCGCCAGGCCATACTATTTTGTATAAAGAACACGGCATTTTATGGTCCCCAAAGTTCATTGGTCCTATTATCTCACTCAATTTGTGGTCATTGCCACTGTCCCATGAGATGAGGTGACTCCAAGGACATACCTGATGGTTGCAGAGGTGGGACTTTCACGCTTGTCTCCTAGGCTCTTCCCACCCCTCTCCTGTTGGCTTAAAACCAAGATCTTTATTTTCATCAGCAGGATTGTTGGGATCCAGCCCAATTACACACTATGTTTAAGCTGTAATTAAAAGAGAACTCTGCCTGGTGGCAAACTTGCAGTGCCTGTGGGGGCTGGCGGCTGAGCGCCAATCAATAAAATACGGGTGTCTCCTCCAGAATGCCGTGGTTCTTGCGAAAGCACAGAGAATCCAGGTGCCAAACATAAGACTAATGATTAAAAATGAGAACAGGGAACTGCTTCTGACTCTGCCTTTTTAGCCAACATTCTTTTCCATCAAGAGTGACAGAAGCATATACTAAATTTCTTCAGTTATCGACTCCCTGTTTGCCAGCCCGCCCACAGGAAACTGCTCAGGAGTCTGATAAGAATTGCACAATTTCAGCACGAATTAAGTGATTCTTACCTTGAATAGCACAATGGCATAGTCATAGATTAACGCAGGATCCTCCGTCTCCAGGGCGCCCTTGGCGTACCACTCAATTGCTGCTTCGGGATTCTTGGCCACACCTTGCTGCCCCCAGAACAGCATCTGGGCCAATCGTTGCTTAAAGATAATAGCAATTTAGAACAATGACTTTTCCTGTATAATGCTTAACACAAGATTTTGAAAGGTGGGAGAGCAAACCTACTTTACGATGTTTTAGATTGAGAACCAAGGATTAGATACACTTTATCTTCCAACTGGAGGCCAGAGCCCTGAATGTGGACTTATGTAAATACAAGCCCTTAATGCAAGCCAGAAATGGTTCGTGTGTGTGTGTGTGTGTGTGTGTGTGTGTGTGTGTGTGTGTGTGTGTGTGTATCTACTGTACCCAGGACCAGGGCTAGCTGGAACTTCGTCAATAATCAGAACTCCTCAAATGGCACTCTTTTGGGAGGTATTGCCCTTTCTTTTGGCCCAGCGATTGGCATGGAGGTCTCTGCACATCTGTATCATTAGGGCATCCTTCTATAGCACTGATCTCTCATCTTATCATTTGTCTACATGGCTGGCTCCAACATCAGACTGGAGGCTGGAAGCTCTTGGGAGGGAGGAACCTCAAGATGTTACTTATCTTTGTCCCTGTCTGTTAGCCCCCCAACCCAGCAGAGCTCAGCAGGTCATAGAAGCTGCTGAACAAAGACTTCTTAGTGAACAAAGGAAGAAAGAAGTGCCTATGGTTAGAAAAGTTAATGCAAGCTCTGGCACACCCAGGAAATGGCTCTGGCAGAGTCATTCCCAGAGCTATACATTGGAATTCCTTCCTGTACTAGAAAGACTGCAGACCAAGGACATATGCCCAGGAACGTGGCCAGAGCAACGTGTGTTAACATTCTAGTTCCACATGGGTCCTTTGTTTTCCTTCCTTCTTTCTGCTTCTCCTCTCATCTCGTTCTCTTCCCTTTTCCTCCCCAATACTTATAACTTCCAGCAAAGTATCGCCTGAAATGTGAGGAAGACCCCTATAGAGAGGAGGGAGACCTGTTATAGAAGAGCCTCTTGGGCCAGGTGTGGTGGGCCTTAATTCCTGCACTTTGAGAGGCATAAGCAGGAGAATTGCTTGAGGCCAGGAGTTCAAAACCAGTCTGGGCAACATAGCAAGACCCCATTTCTACAAAAAAATTAAAAATTAGCAGGGCATGGCATGGTGGCACATGCCTATAGTTCCAGCTACTCGGGAGGTTGAGGCTAGAGGATCACTTGAGCCCAGGACTTTGAGGCTGCAGTGAGCTATGATCACGCCACTGAGCTTCAGCCTGCCCAACAGAGTGAGACCCTGAATCAAAAAAAAAAAAAAAAAAAAGCCCCTGTACTGTCTGCTTTGTCAATGCCTGTGACTCCTTTCTTTTTTCTTTCCCTTTCCCATCTCTGGGCTTCAGCCTCCTTAGCAGCCCCAGAGACTCTTCCCGATGTTGCTGCACTCACAGGGAGCACTAAGCCAAAACTAAATCCTTCCTATGGGAAGGAGGCTTCCTCCTGGTGCAATCAGCCTTCACAGGCTCCCACAAAGGGCTCCTCTTCATAGTGAAATCAAAGCAGGGAAGCAGAGAGGGTGCTTCCCCAGCCGTCTGCCCTTTCTCGTACCTCTTAAAAGTCCATCCAAAGACAAGAGATGTTCAAGAGACAAGGTTGATCCTTTTGGTCCAACAAGCCATAAATGACTTTCTATTGCTCTCCTAGCTGAGTTCATGGTCTTCTGGACGCTGTCTAATTTCCCCTGCACCCCAGGGTGCATCTTGTTTTTCTATCTGATGGATGCATCAGTGCACCTGATGGTACTCTTTAGAGCTGGTCATAAATATTGTGGCTTTCCCTCTTTCTGGGTGAGTGGCAGAACTTGAAGTCAAGAGGGGCCACGTGATTTGCATTGGCCAGTGAAATATCCCACTTGTGGGCAGAAGCGTTAGCCAGCTGGTAAGGCGCTATGGCCATGGCCCGACTGTAATGGTTTTGGAAACCTCTGTCAGCTTGGACTCTTAAGGGACTGTGACAACTATGGCCTGCCCCTGACAACCCCTATTGGACATGCAGTGTGAGTGAGAAATAAACTGGCATTATTTTAAGCCACTGCAGTTTGAGATGTTTCATTACCACGGTATAACCCAGTCTATCATGGCTGACAGAATCCCCAAGACAGTAGCCTGCGTTTTTACCTGAGCTGCTGCATTGCCTCGGGTAGCTTCATGCTTCAACCACATAAAGACATCTCCATCTTCTTTGGTTTGTACCTTGAGTATTTCATCATCTTTTAGTCTAATTGTTTCAACATATGCCTGAGAAGGAAGGAGGGAAAGAAGGAAGGAGGGAAAGAAGGAAGGAAGGAAGGAAGGAAGGAAGGAAGGAAGGAAGGAAGGAAGGAAGGAAGGGAGGGAGGGAGGGAGGGAGGGAGGGAGGGAGGGAAGGAAGAAAAGAAGGAGAGAGGGAGGGAGGGAAGGAAGGAAGGAAGGAAGGAAGGAAGAAAGGAAGGGAGGAAGGAAGGAGGGAAGGAGGGAGGGAAAGAAGGAAGGAAGAAAGGAGGGAAGGAAGGAAGGAAGGAAATATCCAAATGATATAAGCACGCAAAAGACATGACATTATTCTTAAACCAGCAATTGCTCAAGAAAAACTATATGAATAATTGAAATATGAGGTGTGCCTACAATGACATAAGGTCAAATTCTTTTTAAAGGAATGTATCACATCTTCTATATCTAAACGGTTGTTTGTTCCTATCAAAGTATTTGCCTTGAGAAACCGAAGTTATTTCCACATCTACTTCTATTGCTCAGGCTTGTTTCGAAGTCCACTTCGTGCAACTGATTTCAGAGCCAGATTATACACATGCAAAATCAAAAAGGCAAATCAATATTTTCTAAGTATAACCTTATTTTTGATTCTAACGTATTACTATCCTGCATGACTAACCTCTTTTATTTCGCAGGTTCTGCTTCAAATATCTTTTGGCTATTTCCAAAAATTAAATCTACCCTGAAAAGAAGAGGGCATGTTAACTCTGAGGATGCAAGAAAGAATATGCTAGAGGCTTTAAAGAAGAACCCAAAGGGAAAGTTCACAAAATGTTTAGAATTTGCACACAGCCTCCCAGGTATCTGACTCCTTTGAAGAAGATAAAATTCATTTTGATGTATAAACTTTCACTGTTTATTAAAAATCCAGTCCTGTTGTTCCACGGTCTCTCTTTATACATAATGAAGTCGCTCTAATAGTGCCATAAGGGGGATACTAGAGAGGGCTCCCCATGCCCAAAGCCATGCCACAGGCAGATGGTGAAAAAATTGGGTCTGCACTAGTTTGGAAAAGAAGCCCCAGAGAAGAAGGAGCCAGGCCTGATTTTCTTTGTTAGTTAATTAAGAAGAGTATTGAGCACTTTGGGAGGCCAAGGCAGGAGGATCACTTGAGGTCAGGTGTTCAAGACCAGCCTGGCCAATGTGGTGAAACCCCATCTGTACTAAAAATACATAATTTAATGGGTGTGGTGGTACACACCGCTAATCCCAGCTACTTGGGAGGCTGAGGCACGAGAATCGCTTGAACCTGGGAGGCAGAGTTTGCAGTGAGCCAAGATCACACCACTGCACTCCAGCCTGGCGGACAGAGCGAGACTCAGTCTAAAAAAAAAAAAAAAAGTACTGAGAGTCACAAACTTGAGTCTGCAGCCCCGTTCCTCAGAATGTCTCTCAGCTGCCTCTTCTACTGGCCTCGTGAAGCCAGGGGTCCTTTCCAGGGGGACTCGGGGGCTGAGATTTGGTGATTGTGCTAGGCTCAAAACCCAGCCAGCAGCCATTCCTGCTGGACAGCTAACCTGAGGAGGCCACCAAGTTAACAGTAACACTTAGAATAACGACTTTTATTGAAACCAACTATATGCTCAGTGTTTGAGATACGTGGTATTTTTTTCCTTTTTTTCTTTTTTTCCACTTAATCCTCATAACAAAGCTTCGATCCAGGTATCACTGTCCCCAGTTTACAGGCCAAGAAACAGGCTCAGAGGGTGAAACCATGAACTCCAGGTGAAACTATAGAACTGGCCTTGCCAGGTTGGCTTGACTCCAAAGACACAGCTCTCTGGCGCTCCCATGGGATGTCGCCCTCTAGTGAGAAGGTGCTGAAATCCAATCTGGGCACAGACCACTCTATCTGGTCCACGCTTGGCCAAGCTTATGGCCAGTGTGTATGGAGGGCAACCCATGAGCGGGTGCTTCAGCTTAAACTCCAGAGGACACTGTCCTGGGTGGGGAGCCTGGAATTGTGCTGAAGCCTGAGCTGCCCTGAGAAGGAGTTCTCAGCTGAAGGTTTTCTGTTCATCTGTTTGGCAAATGAGTGGTGGAGCCTAGTTTTGAACCTAGGTCTTTCTAGCTTATTGCACTGTAAAAAAGAATGGCTAAAAGGTTGGGTGCCTTTGATGTAGCAGATGCCATGCTAAACTCCACTTATGGATGCAGAAATTGAGTCTCAGATAAAGTAGCTGGCCCAAGGCCCACAGGTGGTTAGTGATCAGTTAGAATTCAGATCCCCTCAGTCTGATATGGAAGGTGCTCTTAATGTTTTGTTTTGTTTTTTATTTTTGGTTGTTTTTCTTTTTCTCCTTGTTTTGTTTCCTCCTTGAATAAAGACATAACTCATGAAGACACAGTTCCTACCCTGCAGTGATTGATATTCTTAGGTCTTTCTGTCAGTGATATTTCATAAGAACCATCATGGATGATGTGCCAGGCACTGTCCTAATTGTTTTGCCCAGATTGACTCATCAAATCTTTGCAACCTGATAAGACAGTCACCATGAATATCCTCATTTCACATATGTGGAAACGGAGGCCCAGAGAGGTTAAGTAACAAGCCCAACATCAGATAGTTCTTCAAATTGAGGAGTCAAATCCAAGCCGGCTGGTTGTGGGGCCCACATCCTTTGCCCAGCCTTACCATCGTGAGAAGTACTCATGTATCTGGGTGGTGACGTAAATGGTGACTGTGAAGAGGAAACATGTTTGTCCTTTTTTCTGAGACAGGGTCTCACTCTGTCACCCAGACTGGATTGCAGTGGCACGATCATGGCTCACTGCAGGCTTGACCTCCCTGAGCTCAAGTGATCCTCCCACTTCAGCCTCCCGAGTAGCTGAGACCACAGGCATGCACCACCAAGCCCAGCTATTTTTTTTGTATTTTTTGTAGAGACAGGGTTTCTCCATGTTGCCCAGGCTGGTCTTGAACTCCTGGGCTCAAACGTTTGCCTTTTGTTTCTGTGTCCTAACCTGGCCTGCCCCACTGCCCTGCTGGAATCACTGAGCTTTGCAGCAGGGTGGGACCATTAAGAGCACAATTTTTCATATCAGATGGAGGGGATCTGAATTTTAATTCACCACTACTTACCTTAGGCCTTGGGCTCGTTACTTTATCTGAGACTCAGTTTCTGCATCCATAAAATGGAGTTTAGTATGGCATCTGCTACATCAAAGGCACCAACCTATGAGCCATTCTTTTTCACTGTGCAAAGAGCTAGAATGACCTAGGTTCAAATCTAGGCTCCACTACTCATTTGCTGTGTGACTTTGGGCAATTTCTGACCTCATAAGGTTGCATGAGGATTAAATGAGATTGTTTGTCTGACAAAAACAAGCAATGGAGAAAGGATTCCCTATTTAATAAATGGTGCTAGGAGAAATGGCTAGCCATATGCAGAAAATTGAAATTGGACCCCTTCCTTATATGTTATACAAAAATTAACTCAAGATGGACTAAATACTTAAATGTAAAACCCAAAACTACAAAAACTCTAGAAGAAAATCTAGGCAATACCATTCAGGACATAGGCATAGACAAAGATTTCATGTGAAAATGTCAAAAGCAATTGCAACAAAAGCAAACATTAACAAATGGGATGAATTAAACTAAACAGCTTCTGCACTGCAAAAGAAACTATCATCAGAGCAAACAACAAACCTACAGAATGGGAAAACATTTTTGCAACTTACCCATCTGACAAAAGTCTAATATCCAGAGTCTATAAGGAACTTAAACAAATTTACAAGAAAAAAAACCAAACAACTTCATTTAAAAGTGGGCAAAGGACATGAACAGACACTTCTCAAAAGAAGACATTTATGCAGGCAACAAATGTAGGGGAAAAAAAGCTCAACATCCCTGATCATTAGAGAAATGCAAATCAAAACCACAATGAGATACCATCTCATGCCAGGTAGATAGTGGTGAGTTAGAATTCAGATCATGCCAGTCAGAATGGCGATTATTAACAAGTCAAGAAGCAACAGATGCTGGTGAGGCTGTGGAGAGATAGGAATACTTTTACACTGTTGGTGGGAAGGTAAATTAGTTCAACCATTGTGGAAGACAGTGTGACGATTCCCCAAAGACCTAGAACCAGAAATAACATTTGACCCAGCAATCCCATTACCGGGTATATATCCAAAGGAATATAAATCATTCTATTACAAAGATACATGTGTGCATATGTTCACTGTAGCAATAGCAAAGACATGGAATCAACCCAAATGCCCATCAGTGATAGACTGGATAAAGAAAATGTGGTACATATACACCATGAAATACTATGCAGCCACAAAAAGGAATGAGATCATGTCCTCTGAAGGGACATGGATGGAGTTGGAAGCCATAATCCTCAGTAAACTAACACAGGAACAGAAAACCAAACACTGCATCTTCTCACTTGTAAGTGGGAGATGAACAATGAGAATACATGGACACAGGGAGGGGAAAAACACACACTGGGGCCTCTTGGGGGGTGGGGGGGAGGGAGAAGATCAGGAAAAATAGTGAATGTATGCTGGCTTAATACTTAGATGATGAGTTGATAGGTGCAGCAAACCACCATGGCACACGTTTACCTATGTAACAACCTTCACGTCCTGCACCTGTACCCCGGAACATAAAATATAATATTTCTTTTAAAAGAAGATTGTTTGTGAAAGAGCTTAGCAAAGTGCCTGGGTCATGGCACACTCTCAGTAAATGACAACTCATCATTTTTTAGGGCCTTAACTCATACTAAAGTGTAAATGGCTAATTGCTGTTTAGAACGTTAACCCTATTGGTATTTGCAGTTTAGTACAACTCAAAGCCTTAGGTTGTGGGGATGAAGATCTAAGAGAATTTTATGCTTTAGAAAACAGAAGGACTAGAACTGGGGGAGGGTGTGTTGGGGCCAGAAACAATTTAGGGAGCTCATCCTGTGTGCTTGGCTGTACTGGATTGACTTATCTGTGCTGTAACAACATGACAGGTGCAGACCATCATGGCTCCCATGTTACGGGTGAGAAACACACAGAGGTAAGCAGAATGATCCTAGAGTCCACAGCCAGTGAGTAGCAGACCCAGGACCTGGACCCAGGCAAATCTGGCCCTGGAGCCACCACACGCTGCCTGCCACACCCAGGTGGGGGTTGCCTTCTCCATAGTTCTGGGGTCACTACAATAGCAACCAGCATCACATCATGGTCACATTCCTGAGGCCTTCTGTGAAAGCAGACCACCTATTAACACAAAGACTTCGGAGGCAGGAATGACCTTTAAAAGGAAAGTGTTCAGTTGTCCATTCATTCAAACAGTTTTGTGGGCAGGAAAAGCCGGGAAGAAGCTGTGGACTGGGAGAAAAAAAAAAAAATCACTGGGCGGGTGTGTGGGGTAGGGGCAGAGCTGGTGGACACTGGCAGGAACCAAGCGTCCCAGCCTGACCAGTTCTGGGATCCTCCATGGCATCTGGGTTTTCATTGTTGTTATTGTTGCCGTTTTATAAAATCCACATCTCTAGAATGAGCAGCTCAGAAGTTTGTATCTTAATACTGCTGAGCAAGTCACAGGAGGCCCAGTGTCTGGAGACAAAGCAATCCTCAGACCACCCAGGACCAAGCCCCAGAGAAGGCTCCACACTGTCCCGGGGATGCTGACATGCCTTTCATTCCAGTCAGCCTGCAGGCCACAGAGGGCGGTGCTCACAACATGTCCTGTCTGTGTGTCATCAACTTCAGGAAAGCTGAAGGCTGGGGCGCAGTGGCTCACGCCTGTAATCCTAGCAGTTTGGGAGGCTGAGGCAGGCATATCACTTGAGCCGAGAAGTTTGACACCAGCCTGGGCAACATAGCAAAACCCTGTCTCAAATTAAAGAAAAAAAAAATATGTGTGTGTGTGTGTGTAAAATTTTAAAAAATAAAATAAAGAAAACCTTAATCAATACAGTAAGTGTGGCCAGGTGCTCATGCCTATAATCCCAGCACTTTGGGAGGCCAAGGTGGGCAGATCGCTTGAGGTCAGGAGTTCGAGGCTAGCCTGGCCAACATGGTGAAACCCCATCTCTACTAAAAATGCCCAAAATTAGCCAGGCATGGTGGCTCACTTGTAGTCCCAGCTACTTGGAAGGCTGAGGTATGAGCCCGGGAGGTGGAGGTTGCAGTGAGCCGAGATCACACCACTGCACTCCAGAGGGACTCTATCTCGAAAAAAACAAAACAAAACAAAAAAACAAAAACAAAACACAGTAAGGTTTTGTGTTTGTTGGAAAATATTTCCTTTCTAAGTCCAACAGAGCATAAAGACAGAAAAAAAAAAAAGAAGAAAGGTAAGATCTGGGACAGTGACGCGGGAAGGACAGGGAATGGAAGAGAGGTAATGAAAGAAAGAAGAAAGAGGGAGAGAGAAGAAGGGGTAGGAAGAGGAAAGAGAGAGGAAGAGAGGAAAAGGAGAGAGGAAAAGACAGGGGGAATAGACAGGTAGTGGAGAGAGAAAGAGGAGAGGGAGGAGAAAGAGAAAGGAAGAGAAGAAAGAAAGGAAGTGGAAAAGAGAGAAAGAGAAGGAGGGAGAGAGGAAGGGGAGCAGGTGAGGGTGAGAGAGGGAGAGAGAGAAAGGAAGGAAGAAAGGAAGACCAAAAAAAAAAAACCCTCTAGTTGTTGCAGCTGAGGAGCGAAGCCTCTCGGCAGCCCCACATTTTCCAGGAGCCTCTGCCTTCTGCCAGCACCCCTGGGAACTCAGGAGCAGGCTCAGCTGGAGGAACAGGCAGTTGTGGAGCCTGCACTTCAACCGCTCACCTCAGGGCCTGGCAGAACCGCCACGAGGAACTTGCCTCTTAGCGTGTTTAAAATCAGCTATAATGTTAGGCTCCCAGTAGGAGTGCGTGT
This sequence comes from Homo sapiens, assembly GCF_000001405.40. Taxonomy (NCBI): domain Eukaryota; kingdom Metazoa; phylum Chordata; class Mammalia; order Primates; family Hominidae; genus Homo; species Homo sapiens. Next base: position 25,797,445 of record NC_000004.12, read on the forward strand.
GTTTTCTTTGTAGAAATTTAACACTTTAGGGACTTGTAAGTCGGAAGGGGAAACATCAGCTGTAAGGGTGGAGAGACAGGGAAGCAAACTGCCAAGATTCCCCAAATATGGGTGTCACATACGATGGTGGTGCTGCATGCAAGAGAGGCAGGGGCTCATGGCAAGGGCTCTGGGTACCTGCCATCAAGAACGAAACACGGGTCCCCTCGAAAAGCACCAGCATCAAGACACTGCAGTTGACTTTCTGTTCATCACTGGGTAACCTCTGCACCCACTTCTAGCCATCTTTCCATCAGTAAACACTGAGCGCCAACTATGTGTCAGGCAGAGTGCTGGGCCCCGGGACACAGAGGTGAACAGATGACGTCCTTGCCTCAGGCAGCTCATAGTCTACTGGGGAGCCAGCTCTGTCACCCTGCACACAACACCCAGTGCAGGAGCAATGGGAGAGATGTGCCTAGATGTGACGGTGGCACAGCAAGGAGAGACCCAGGAAGGCTTCCAGAGGGGGTGACATCTGAGCAAGAAAGAATCAAAGTGGGAAGTCAGAGGGGAAGTGGGAGGGGCATGGAGAAAGCAAACCAGTAAGCAGACAGGCAAGGTCAGGAGGTGGGAACAGCCAGGCCTGGCCAAAAGTTTGGTGTTGCGAGTTTGGTTGGGGAGGTAGCAAGGAACCAGATCGAAGAACGTCTCATACGGCATCCGATGAGCTAGACTTATTCTTCTGGGTGAGTACTGCTCAACCCTGGCTGCAGGGTACAATCCCCTGAGGACTGTATTTTGTTGTTGTTGTTGTTGCTGCCATTTTATAGAATCAACATCTCTAGAATGGGCAGCTCAGAAGTTCATCTCTGATACTGCAGAGTTAAAGCCTGCTGAACAGCAGGCTTATTTTAAAATATACACATACACGTACACATGTATCTGCATATCACATGTATGTGCCTAGGCCACACCCCACATCACTTTCATGAGACCCTCCATGGTGGATTCCGTGCAGAGATGTTCTGTAAGCCCCCAGGTGATTCCAGTGTGCAGTGGTGAACTTGGCCTGAGGGAGAGGATGGGAAGGCACAAGACTGGTGACAGAAAGACCAGGACGGCTGGGCGAGGTGGCTCACACCTGTAATCCCAGCACTTTGGGAGGCCAAGGTAGGCGGATCACCTGAAGTCAGGAATTCAAGACCAGCCTGGCCAACATGGTGAAATCCCGTCTTCCCTAAAAATACAAAAATTAGCCGGGCGTGGTGGCACATGCCTGTAGTCCCAGCTACTCGGGAGGCTGAGGCAGGAGGATCACTTGAACCCAGGAGGTGGAGGTTGCAGTGAGCTGAGATCGTGCCACTGCACTCCAGCCTGGGTGATAAGAGTGAGACTCTGTTTCAAAAAAAGAAAAAAGAAAGAAAGAAAGACCGGGGAGGAGGGGGTCTCCATCTGCTAGGGCTGCCATAACAAAGATCCACAGCCTAGGTGACTCAGAAATTTTCTGATAGTCCTAGAGGCCGGAAGTTCCTAATGAAGGTGTTGGAAGGCTTGATGTCTTCTGAGACCCCCCTCCTTGGCTTGCAGATGGCTGTCATCTTTCTGCATCCTCATGTGGTCATCCGTCTGTGTTGCCTGTGTCCTACTCTGTTTGTTGTTGTTGTTTGAGACAGAGTCTTGCTCTGTAGCCCAGGCTGGAGTGCAGTGGCATGATCTCAGCTCACTACAGCCTCCGCCTCCTAGGTTCAAGTGACTCTCGTGCCTCAGCCTCCCAAGTAGCTGGGATGACAGATGCGCACCACCATGCCTGGCTAGTTTTTGCATTTTTAGTAGAGATGGGGTCTCACTATGTTGCCCAGACTGGTCTTAAACTCCTGACCTCAAGTGATCTGCCTGCCTCCTCCTCCCAAAGTGCTGGTATTACCGGGGTGACCTACCATACCTGGCCTCTAATCTCTTTTTATAGGGACACCAGTCCTACTGGATTAGAGGTCTACCTTAACAGCCTCATTTCAACTTAATCAACTCTTCAGAGATCTGATTTCCGAGTATAGTTCCATTCTGAGGTACTGGGAATTGGAACCTCAACATACGGATTTTGGCAAGACACAATTCAGCCCATCAGCTGTTGTAGGAGCTCAGAGGGGAGACGATGAGCAACAAATTCAGGCAGCAGCAGGGGTGCACGTGGGGAGGAGAGAAAAAGTGGTATGGAAAGCTGTTGGGGGTTGTTGACTGGTGGGATGATGGAGGATCCAAGATGACTCCCCAGGTTCTAGCATGAACAATCGTGCCATCTGCTGAGGTGTTTGCAGGGAATGGAGATGAGGAGGGATGTGTTTCTTTTGCAGTATGTGACAATGACGGCAGATGGGGATTTGTAAGAAAACAGTCAGAGATTAAGGTCTGAGTATTATCATATGCGGAGTGCAGCTGAAACCAGAGGTGTAGATGAGATCTCTGTCCAGAAAATGTAGAGAGAGAACAGAATATTGGCAACCAAACCTGGAGGAAGAGCAGCTTTTGAGGAGTGGGCAGAATGCGAGGACTAATCATTTGTAATTAAGCTGCAGAAACAAACAGAAGTACTAGCCATCTTCTTTCTGTCTATCCTGAAGCAGAGTCCTACTAAAGCATAAAGAAAGCGATGTGAAGGGAGAGCACTAATAAAGATGAAATGATGTGAACCACGAGTTACGCAAAAGAGAGAATGAAACAAGAATCAAGAAAGCAGTTATTGATGGGTCCTTGGTTTGTTAATTAGAGGTCTGGCTTTCTCTGTCTTCTCATTTACTACATTACGCTGGTGAATTAATAGATTTCTCAACAAAAGGACATTTAAATCAACATATGACACCTGTTTAAATTCTTAAGAAGCCATTAATTACCCATTCTTAAGAAAATGAGCTATGACACAACTCTTCTAACTGTATAATTCCTATCTGTGATTCTTAATCAGGTGACTTTTCAGCTGCAAGACGGATCTTTTCTATTCATCTCCTCTGGTTCTGACCAATTAAATGTTTTCTTTCGCAATCATAACATTTCATATGCCAAATCTTCAAAAGAAAAGGAGCTTGTTAGCAACATATCATTTCCTGTTGCTAATTTATGCTGAATTTGAATTCTTAAAAGTATAACATATACATGTAGAACATTATTAACACATCCAGGCTTAGTTAAAAAAAATAGTTTTTTTTGGCTTGGCTTTGTGCAAATTTTTTTAGAACAATTCTTTTTTTAAAAAAAACTTTACCAATTAATAAATCTATTCCTGTAAATTGAGGTTAAATTATACAGACAGAAAATACATGTATAAATTATAAGGGTGTGTAAGTTTGTTCAGAAGGAATCATTATTTTCAAAAGGAATTAGAATGCCTACATAGACAGCCTTTTGGTGTTTTATAGCTTGACTCATGTTCAACATTTACTGACAGCATATCTTCAAGTCATTTACTTCATAGCCACCCAGTAGCCACTCTAGATTTCTTTTCCAGAAACCAACCATTCCCAAACATCAAAGCTTGAATTTTCTGCATTGAGGATTTCTGAGCCCAATCCAGGGGCAGAGCTGGGAACCAGGGGTCTGGTTCCCAGTCAGCCACGCAGCCTAAAATTCAACAATCCTAACCTGGCTAGGCCTGTCTCTCAGAGCTGCTCACTAAGCAGGGGCAAATCAAGTTTATGGCACTTGCCAGGCACAGTGGCTCACGCCTATAATCCCAGCACTTTGGGAGGGTGAGGCATGCAGATCACCTGAGGTCAGGAGTTCAAGACCAGCCTGGCCAACATGGCGAAACCCTGTCTCTACTGAAAATAAAAAAATTAGCTGGGCATGGTGGCACACGCCTGTAATCCCAGCAACTCAGGAGGCTGAGGCATGAGAATCGCTTGAACCCAGGAGATGGAGGTTGCAGTGAGCCAAGATTGCGCCACTGCCTTCCAGCCTGGTGGACAGAGTGAGACTCTGTCTCAAAAAAAACCAACAACTTATAAGAAGCAACCACTTTATTGTCTACCACCATTCGATGCAGATCTGTATCAAGAGGCAGCTTTCTTTTATTCTTACACTATCACCTTTTAGTTGGACCCTATTACTCCCTGTCCTCTGAAAGAAGTCTGGAAGCAAACCATCAGTTGGTGTAATGTAATACATTATGGTCTTTTGGGAGATGTGAGTCACTGATTTTTTTGTCCAATGAATCAATAATATCTGGGAGCCTGCAAAATTGGGGGCTGGAGTTAGTGTCCCTCATCTAGTCCTTCATCTGGGATAGGGTGGAGTCTTCAATCATCACACCCTGTTGTCAGTCACCTGGGAGCACTGGTGTAGCAAGGCTCATGGCATGGGGACAGACATTTCTCAAGCACCCAGCAGGGGGAACATAGCTGGGTAGGAAGCTTGCCTGTGTCCATTGTAGACATTGCTTGCTCATCACACATTGAAAGGAGCCCTTACAGCTTCCTGCCTCCACTGAATTTGACCCAGTCCCACCTAACATCTCCAGACCTCACCATCTCATAGGGTATTGGCACAAAGACAAGATGCCTATGTTTCTGGTAGGTACACACTTTTTTGCAAAATCAAAATCTGCCCAAGGCCAAGTTGACTCTTCACATACCAGTCCTCTCACAAATGAAAAGCTTTTCATGCATAAATGTAGGGCTGCCCCTGCATTCAGCCTGAGAACACAGCCAGGTAATAGGAAATGGAGAGCGCAAGACAGCTCCTCTCTCCATTTGATTATGTTCAACCTCTGAAGGCCAACTACAAAAGCAACCACAGGGGCAGACACTTCATGAAAGCAGGTAAACAGGGCCATAACCATTCCCAACCTTTTTTCTCTCTCATACCTGATCTCCTTGCAGTGTGTGCTGGTCAAGGGGTGTCTTGGTGGCAATGTTGCTGTAGTAGGCATACGACAGTTCCCAGTCCAGGGGGTAGTTGTCAATACCCTGGTAGTGTTTATACCCAAGATTCATTGAAGACAGCCTCTCACTCCCCTGGCCTCCAACCAAACTATACAACATGCCCTGTTAGGAAGAAATTGACAAAGCGTTCATGAGATTGTAGATAGGGTCATAAAATCCTAACACTGAAAGGTTGTCAGGCCCAATTCCTATATACAATCCTAGCCATTCCAGAAATATGTTAACTTGCCTTTTTTTTTGAGACGGAGCCTTGGCCTGTCGCCCAGGCTGGAGTGCAGTGGCACACTCTTGGCTCACTGCAAGCTCCGCCTCCCAGGTTCAAGTGATTCTCCTGCCTCAGCCTCCGGAGTAGCTGGGACTACAGGCGTGCACCACAATGCCCAGCTAATTTTTTATGTTTTTAGTAGAGATGGGATTTCACCGTGTTAGCCAGGATGGTCTCGATCTCCTGACCTCATGATCTACCCGCCTCGGTTTCTCAAAGTGCTGGGATTTAACTTGCCTTTTTAAAAAAATAATAAAATGAAATGGGAAAAAAGCCAATCTAGCTTTCTATTGGTTTACAAATTTCCAGCTAGCTGCCCTTCCTAATGTCAAATAGCTTAAAATGCCCTGACTTTTGCCTCTTCCTGGTACAAACGGGGATCTTTCATGACTTCTATTGCAGCACCTTTTTGGGCACCAGCCAACCATCCTAAGTCCCCTGTTCTGTTTCAGTGACATCATCGATGGACACGGGGTCTGGATGGCGGGCCCATGTCCCATCCTCACACTCTCAGAATGTTTGTGCTGGAAGGGTCTTTGGAGATTGACTGGTCTGACCACCTCATCTCACAGTTGGGAAAAGAGAGGCCCAGAAAGGGGAAGTCGATTGTCCATGGTCAACCAGCCACTTCGTGGCAGAGATGGGACTAGGCTGTTTTCATTATTCCACCCTTGTGGGGACTGCTTCCGGGACTCAGGAAAACATGCTGTCATTCAGGAGCATCTGTAAGCCAGAGGCATCATAAGCAAATAACTGGAAGGGAACATGGAACCATTTGGGCACATCTCAACAGTCTGAGCCTCCCCAAACCACGCATACACAATCACCTATGCAAATTTGAAAACGAAAAGCAATCAGGGAACATTTAGCAGTGCTTATTGCGATGGTTCATTTGGTGTGTCAACTCTACTGTGCCATCGGGTACCCAGATGAAACATCATTTCTGGATGTGTCTGTGAGAGTGTTTCCAGATGAGATGAATATTTGAACTGGTGAGGTAAGCTACACAGACGGCCTTCTCCACTGTGAATGGGCATCATCCAATCTCTTGAGGGCCTCAATAGGACAAAAAGGCAGAGGAAAGAGAAATTGGTCCCTTTTTGCTTTCTGCCTGCCTGCCTGCTTGAGGCAGGAAGACATCAGGGTTTTTTATATGTTTTTTTTTTTGTTGTTGTTTTGGTTTTTTTCCTGCCCTTGGACTGGAATTTATGGCCTCATCTCTCCTGATTCTCAGGCCTTCAGGCTTAGACTGGAATTACACTATTGGCTTTCCTGGCCCTCAGCTTGCAGACGGCAGACTGTGGGACCTCTCAGCCTCCATAATTGCATGAGCCAATTCTTTGTAAGAAACCTCTTCCTATATATATCTAATCCCATTGGTTCTGTTTCACTGGAGAACCCTGACTAATGCACTATGAAAATGTAATTCTAAATGTTAGACTAGTTGCATAATAAATTTGGATTCAAAACCAGAAATGAAGCCGTCTGGTATGGCGTTTATTTTGATGACAGACTGCTGGATGCAGCAATACTTTGCTTCAAGGTCCAAGTGACTTCACTTAGCTAAAAAGTGATGTGGGATAATGGTCTCACAGGCAGAGTAATTACAAGAATTTGGTAAGGAGCACCTGTTCTTGAAGAACTGGTGTTCTGGCAAGCACTGACACTGTTCCTTAGCTGGTACACCAATCATCCCCCCAAGGCCTGTCTAGAAATGGATGAAGTGCCCTTTTTCACTCACTGAAAGCAAAGGATCCTGTATTTAACACAGCCCCAGGACATTTATCTTGAGTGTAAAGATTTTTAAAGGTCTCCAAGGAGCTGCAACATGTCCAGTTCTACCAGGGGCACGAGAGCATTGCTTTGCAAATATAATGCAAGTGACTGATGTTAATGGAGCAATGAAATACTCTACCTGCAGCTGATCCCGAGGAACATTTAATCCAGTCTCATAAAAGACTGCAAGGTAGTAGGATGCTTTATGGTATCCACAGCAGCTGGAATCCGTCAGAAAGGGGACGATAGAGCTAATTTGGTGAAGACCATCAATGCTAGAGAGTCTCTTTACAGCCTTCTCAAATATCTTCCCACCGATTTCTGATACAGATTCATTTTGGTTCCTTGGCACTGTAAATAACACAATTCAGAGCACACACAATTAATTACCATGGGATCGATGTGGCTTTAGAAAAAGAGGAAAAGCCAATTAAATCACCTGAGTTATTGATATGGTCGGTCCTGCAGTGCCTCAAAATATACCACCTTCCAGGGAGGTAAATGAAACCCTTTGGGGATGCCATGGTGTCATTCTGTAAATAGCTTTTTCTTTGGCACTATATGACAGCCTAGTATCCTGGGGAAATGATGTGCTGTATGTAGCTTAGAAATCGCCTCAAGAGAGTAATTTACTCAGTGTAACTCATCACCAAATCAGGACCACTGAAACTTCCAGAGGGACCTTTTCCCCCTCTAAGACTCCCTAAAGAAGAATGTGTTTTATCTCACAAACAGTTCTTAGGTACTGCTCTAAAAAGTTGAGCAAAAGAACCTTAGTTTTAGATGCTTTCTAGACATCTTTTGTCCCCAGTTTTTCTCATGGGTCTCCAAATAAAAAGAATGAGTCAACTTTTATTGAGAGCTTACAACATGCCAAGTACTGGGTTAAGTGTCTTATGTAAATTATGTCATTTAATTGGTACACTTTTATAAGGTCGGTACTATTTTCAGCATCCCCATTTTTTACACGAAGAGACTGAGGCCTGGAGAAGAATAACTTGTCTAAAGTTACAAAGGCTGGCAAGAGGCAGAGCCAAGCAGTGAGCCCTGCTTCAAAGGTCACTAAAGCCAGAGTTCACAGTCACCCTGATGCACGTACCCTCAATGAAAAGTCAATCAGTTGCCTTAATAAGTACTTTACCACGCGGATAGAGACTTGTTTACACAACTGCTTTAAGCTATATGATGCTTCCTTTTACATAATTCTCCCATGAATCTATAAGCTGATCATCATTTAAGCCCAAACAAGCAAGTTTTATGGCCCTAGATGTACTGTTAGAGTCTTCTAAAGTCTATCTTTGTTATTCATATCTCTTGTTAATTCAGCCAACGAATGTTTACTTTCCATTATGTGCAAGGCACTATGCTAGATGCTGTGTTACAAAAGGCCATATAGGATTGCAAAGATACTATTTACATTTAACTTAAGACTTAACTTTTAACTTAAGACTTACATTTAACTTAGGATGTGAGTTAAATGTAAATGTACATGTAAATAACGTTGATGTAAATGTTAAGTTAAATGTCAACTTGACTAAAATTTCACCTGCCTAAAAACTATGTCCAACATGATGTTTCTTTTTTTCTTCATTCCGTGAAAAATTAAAATGTTGTGGGTTTTTTTTGTTTTGTTTTGTTTGTTTTTTTTTTTTTTTGAGATGGAGTCTTGCTCTGTCGCCCAGGCTGGAGTGCAGTGGCGCGATCTCGGTTCACTGCAAGCTCCGCCTCCTGGGTTCACGCCATTCCCCTTCCTCAGCCTCCCGAGTAGCTGGGACTACAGGCGCCCGCCAGCACGCCCGGCTAATTTTTTGTATTTTAGTAGAGAGAGGGTTTCACCGTGTTAGCCAGGATGGTCTGGATTTCCTGACGTCGTGATCCGCCCGCCTAGGCCTCCCAAAGTGCTGGGATTACAGGCTTGAGCCACCGCGCCCGGCAAAATGTTTTTTTTTTTAAAGCTCAGGAGGCAACGAGAGAGACTCACTCTTATCAGCCCTTCATCAGGATTGAACACAGAAGAGTATCCAATGTGGGAAGGCTGGGGATGGGTTTATTTAAGGGCAATTTCCTTGCAGAGGTCCATGCTAAAAATGGAAGTTGAGATCAGAAGGACCCACAGATGAAATTGTGAATGCTGACACGTTGTCAATGAGCGGGAACTGGTGCCTGGGGGTACATGGGTGGGTTGGGTGTCCCTGAGATGGGGACACTGTGCCTGTGCTGGCAGACCCTGAGCTGTGGGGAAGGATGCAGCCACCACCTCCACCAGCTCTAAGGCATCCTCCAGTTACTAGCTTCTGGAACTCTTCCCTGCCTACCTCCTGGTTCTGCTTTTGCTTTTTTGATCCCAAGTACCTGGCACAGGAGGTGCTGAAAACATTCACTTTACTGAACGAATGGAGTTTGTTCCTTTTTCTGTATTTTTTTTAAACTCCCCAGAGAAATAACAGCTTGTCGTAAAAAAAAAAAAAATTCAAACAATGCAGATTTGTATAAAATAAAAACAGAAATCCCATCTCCCTCAATCTTTCTTTAATAACGAAGATTAAAAACTATTAAAAGCGTGGTATGTAGGCTTTGGCACTCTTCCTTCGTATATACAATAATTCGTATCCAAATCTATTTACATATCTACATACACATTTTCTTTACCAAAATGGCGTATTATGCCATTGTAGAGTCTGACTCTCGACTTTCTTTTTTAAATTAACTACACATTATGAATAACTCTCTGGGGCTGTCAGAAGCTCATTCTTTCTAATGCTTCAATAGTATTGCATTCCGTAGCTGTACCATTTTCCCTACCAGGCCTCTATTTTTAGACTCCTGTGTTGTTTCCAGTGGTTTTGCTATAACCAACAACGTGGCATTGAACATCCTCGAACATTTCCACTTCCCTCTGCTAATCTGTTAGGATGACATCTGCATGATAACACCCCTTTTCACCAGCAGCCTGCGGAATCTTGTCTTGGATTTTCCCTTTGCATAGTTAAGAGAAGTCCGTTCTACCCAGTCTTTAGTTGTAATAAGAACGTGGAATACACTGAATTCAGTAGACACTGTAGCACTCAGAGTTGCAAAATAAATTCTACTGCCACTTATTCATGTGTTTACTTTTAAATGTGTGCTCATCTTGGATGCCCCTCTGCACATTCCCAGCAAAGCAACATTAACATTTGTTAAAGATTCATCCCTGCCTCACCTATTCTGCCAAATGCCTAACTAAGATGATGAATTTTGCCAGAGTACCCGTGGACCCGAGCTTTGTAGGCTCAGAGGAGGAAGAGACTCCAAACCAAATGAAGCTTCAAATGAAACACTTGTCCTGCCGACCCCTGGCACGGAACCCCAGAAATCATTAGCAGGAGCGCCCAGGTAGCTGAGATTGCTGGAGAAGAAGGAACAAAAAGGGAATCCTTCACAAAGCTCAAATCTTTAGCACAAAAAAAACTTTGCAGGTTGAAACACAGGCAGTTTGAAAGGGCTGTGTTATTTCTTTCGTATGTGAAATTCAAAACTCCCCCCAAAATATAACCAAACAGTATTTTCTCTGAAAAAGAATCAAATAATTTTCTGCAGTAGTAAATATAAATAAAAATAATAATCCTAAGGTAAAACTGCTCATTTTGCACATTTGGTAAACTTTGAATTCCAACTGTTGCTCAAAAGCAAAGGCATAATGTCTTGGGTGATATTGTGACACTGGTGATTTTAAAGTCAGTTTAATGAAACTGTTAATTTCACCCATCTGGCTTAGCATATGCATTTTTTTCTAGTCAATCTGTAACTAAAAACATGCCTTGTTTATGGAGATTAATGGTTTAATGAAGAAACAAACAAACAAAATAGAAGAAGCAGCCATTTTCCCATTTTCTTTCTTTCAGCGCCCAAAGCTAAGGAACAAAAGCCACCACCACCACTAATTACCCCTTACTATTTTCCATGTAGCCCAGAATCATTTATTTTGCTTTTTTCCCCTTTTTCACAGTAATATCATAAGGTCACCGTTTGTGTGCTCATCTTTAGAAGAGGCAAAAAGCAGAATGTGAGAAGGTAACCACTTGCTAAAGGCCCCGGAGCTGGGACCAGCGTCTGTTCGAGAATTCAGGAGCAGAAAGGCACCTCATTCCCTGTGACAGGAATGTAGACATCAATAGGAAAGTCGTTTTTAGTTTCAAGCTTCTGAAAGGTGTAATGCATCCAAGGTAGAAGTTTGAAAGGGGAAAAAAAGGAAAGGAGAAAATGTCACTTAACTATTAAAAGGAATGATCTACACCAAGTTGACTGGTTTGTAAAAACACAGGGCATTCCTCATTTGCACTCTGACCTGGAGATCCTCATTGGGCTCACAGCCTGCTTTCTTTTTCTTTTTCAAAAAAAGCCTATTTGGGCCATGTGCAGTGGCGCACGCCTGTAATCCCAGCACTTTGGGAGGCCGAGGCGGGCAGATCACGAGGTCAGGAAATCGAGAACACCCTGGCTAACACGGTGAAACCCCTATCTCTACTAAAAATACAAAAAAAAATTAGCAGGGTGTGGTGGCGAGTGCCTGTAGTCCCATCTACTTGGGAGGGTGAGGCAGGAGAATGGCGTGAACCCGGGAGGCAGAGCTTGCAGTGAGCCGAGATCGCGCCACTGCACTCCAGCCTGGGCGACAGAGTGAGACTCTGTCTCAAAAAAAAAAAAAAAAGCCTATTTGTATCTTTCTATGTACTGGGTAAATTTTCTTTTCTTTCTTCTTTTTTATTTTATTTTATTTTATTGAGACAGAATCTTGCTCTGTCGCCCAGACTGCAGTGCAGTGGCATGATCTTGGCTCATTGCAACCTCCACCTCCCAGGTTCAAGCAATTCTCCTGCCTCAGTTCCCGAGTAGCTGGGATTACAGGGATGCACACCGTGCTTGGCTAATTTTTTTTTTTTTTTTGGTAGAGACAGGATTTTGCCATGTTTGCCAGTCTGGTCTCGAACTCCTGGCCTCAAGCAATCCACCCACCTCTGCCTACCAAAGTGCTGGGATTACAGGCTTGAGCCACGGCGCCCAGCCTATTTTATTTTATTTTTTAAATAGAGACAGGGCTTCGCTATGTTACTTAGGCTGGTCTTGAACTCCTGGCCTCAAGTGATCCTCCCGCATTGGCCTCCCAAAAGGCTGGAATTACAGGTATGAGCCTCCGCTCCTGACCCCGTATAAACTTTCTGATTTTACACGTCATTTTTCTCCCTGCCTTCTTCTTTTCCTTCCCTCCTTCCTCCATCTCTCTCTCTCTCCTTTCGGAGCTGTTATTCTCTGAGCAAGAAAAGCATAGCCCATTGTTTGTTTTCTTGGTGTCTCTGTGTATTTTTTTAAAAAAACTATATGTATGCTTTTTTAAAAAAGGTAATAAAGATGATGGTTCTTCAACAAACAGGGAACACAGCTCTTAAAAGGAAACAGTATCCCGATGTTATTATGTAACATAGTTGTATTTCTAACATCTCCACTCTCTGCGTTTTAAGGTCTCCAAATAAACATCGCAATTGTTGGCAAAAATAAAGTCAAAAGCAAGGTAGAGCTTCGCTAGTGCAGCCAGTCACTCCTTGGCGTATTGTGTGGGGACACCTCTGCCCCCACACTCAGCACTCCGGAGCCTGGGGGCAAGAGGCAGGCAGTGGTCCTGAAAGGGGCGCAGATGGTGTCAGCCCAGGGAGCCGAGCCCAACCTTGGACCTGGCCCCATCCCAGAGAACCATTTGTTGGCAGACTTTGGACTTCCTTTAGCCACAGGCACCAACTCCCTTGGTCAGAGGTGCCCAGTGCAGATGAAAGGCAGGAAAGGAATAAATAGGCCTGGCCTTAGGGCAGATGTCCCTGGGGCCATGCTGCCCAGCTCCCCCCTCCCCTCTCTGCCTTCATGTCACCTGTTCAGTGCCTTTGTGTCCTTCCTCATTGCTCCCTGCCACAACCAAGAGCCCGGACTGCCACTGCCATCCCTGCAGCCTCTCACCAGCCCAGTCCTCATCGCATCTCTTCTCTGGATGCCAGAGCCCCATTCAAAGGGTTTTTGAATTCAAACGGCTCAGTTTTGACAGGTAAGGTGTGACAAGAAAGTAAAAGAAGGAAATGGCCAGCACAACTCTTAAATAATGAAAAAACATGCATACTAAAACACCACCGTACTAGCATTAGAAAAAGCCCAAATGCTAATAGGGCAATTTCTACGCTCTGGCAGGAGCCATTTTCCTAGAGAATTGGAGGTTCCCCAGGAAACAACATAGAATTTGACCAATCAGAGTCCCCTCTTCCGGAGTCCTGAACGTGGGGTCTCATGTTGGATGCCACCCCAGAGTCTAGACGGTGGTGAACTACGGGCCACAGCAGCACAAGAGAATCCCTGTGCCAAGCAAGAAAATCAGGATGCAGAGCAGAGGCCCTGGAATGCCCGAGGCAGCAAGGGGACTCGGCCACATCTATATGCGCTGCAGTTGGGCACCCCGAGTAGCCCCGCCATGTTTAATTCAAAGGCGTGCCCGCTCTGGGAGGCGAGGAACGGGTCCTGTTATACATCAGAGAAGAAAACACCAGTGGGAACAGCTGTGTCTTATACCAGGTTAGCGCATCAGCTGTCAACTCTCAATGAGCCTCCCTCCTCTGTACACCCTGGCACTTGGCACAGAGTTGTGTGTGGGCTGGTCCACAATTCTCACTGTGGTCGCCCCAGGGCCTGGCACCATGTGGGATGCACCCAGTACATGGGTCCTGAATTGGGTTTACAGGTACCTCGTGGCTGCTTTACGTCTTGGAACCTGTATATCTCAGCAACTAGATTACAGATCATATGAAAGCAAGAACTATGACGGCTACATTTCTGGGATTCTTTTGTAAATGAGTGTGCACAGACCTGAGCAGGATTCTGGTCTACTGCTGTTGACAGCGGAAAGCTGGCAAACAGCGTCCTGGTAGACCTGAGAAACAGAACGATGTTTTACAGAAGTGTCTACCGAGAAAGAGCAGCCGCTCCTCAGAGGAAACAGGCTGAGGGAGAGTGGGAGAAATGAGGGAAATGTGGAAGGAAGCAGAGTAAGTCCATAGAACTCTTAGCAGTCTGGATTGGAGCTGCAGCTTGGCTAGCGCAAACCTTGAACTTGGGTCTCCTGGAAGTCAAATTCCTCATTCCTTCAGTGATTCATTTACCCAACAAAGATGTTTTGAGTACTAACAGTGAGATCACTTATTCATTTGGGCTGCCGCCATTCAGTTGCTAAACAAATATTTATTGAGGCAAGAGTCTTAAAAAACAAACAAACAAAAAACAACAAAAAAAGCAAAACCCTAGATACTGTTCCTATCTTTGAGGAGTTTTCTTTTCCTGTTTTTTTTTTTTTTTTTTGTTGTTGTTGTTGTTAGTAGCCATCCTCATGGCTGTGAGGTATAATTTATTTTTGTGCAGTAATTTATATATTGGAGAAAGTCTGGTTTAACCGGAATTTAAAATGCAATGCTTTTATAAAGTGACATAATGTCTACGACAGAACTTAGTGAATAGAAAGATAACATATGGACCCGGAGGATAGGTTCGCCTGAATAGAGCTCATCTTACTCTGCCTTGAGTTACACCATTCGATCCTACATGTGTCTCCGTCGCTCACTCCGTGGCAAGCTTGTTAAGGCTGGTGTAAGAAGTGGAAGGATCCAACTTATACTTTGAATTCTAGACAGTGCCTGCAACAGTGCTAGGCATATGTTAGCTGCCTATGCCATATGTTAGTGAAGTGATCCTTCTTCTATATGACCACACATGGCGTGTTTGTGCCCCATACTCACCAAAGAACATACCTCATCCACCCACACTCCTCAGTTTGCCTGCCTGGCAAACAGCTGTTATGTTCCCACTCAGATACCTCTCCTCACGTCATCTCTCCTGTCTCCCCAGGCAGATGGCTCTTCTCTGATGCCCCCCTTGCCACAGTGTAGGCATCCCCTTTACCAGAACTACCATCCTGCATAATGACTGTCGACTTTCCTGATTTCACAGTAGAGCTTGGATGTCCTCAAAGACAGGGTTGGGCACAGGGGCTCACACCTGAAATCCTAGCACTTTGGGAGGCTGAGGCAGGGAGATCAACTGAGGTCAGGAGTTTGAGACCAGCCTGGCCAACATGGCGAAACCCTGTCTCTACTAAAAATTAGCCAGGTGTGGCTGCAGGCATCTGTAATCCTAGTTACTCAGGAGGCTGAGGCAAGAGAATAGCTTGAACCCGGGAGGCAGAGGTTGCAGTAAGCCAAGATCATGCCACTGCACTCTAGCTTGGGCAACAAGAGTGAAACTCTGTCTCAGAAAAAAAAAAAAAAAAGGGTAGGTGCAGTGGCTCATGCCTATAATCCCAGCACTTTGGGAGGCTGAGGCAGGTGGATCACTTAAGGTCAGGAGTTCAAGACCAGCCTGGCCAACATGGCAAAACCCCATCTCTACTAAAAATACAAAAATTAGCTGGGTGTGGTGGCGTGCGCCTGTAATCCCAGCTACTCAGGAGGCTGAGGCAGGAGAATCGCTTGAACCCAGGAGGCAGAAATTGTAGTGAGCCGAGATCTGCCACTGCACTCCAGCCTGGGCGACAGAGCCAGATTCTGTCTCAAAAAAACATACAAACAAACAAAACAGGAAATAACAAGTGTTTCTGAGGATGTGGAGAAATTGGAACCCTTGTGCACCGTTGGAGGGAATATAAAGGGTCCAGCTGCTGTGGAAGACAGCATGGAGGTTTCTCAAAAAATTAAATGTAGAATTACTATATGACCCAGAAATTCTGCTTCTGGATACTGTATATATCTAACAAAAAATGAAAGCATGGTTCTAAAGAGATATTTTTAGGCCTATATTCTAAGCAAAGTTATTCACAATAGTCAAGGGGTGGAAGCAACTCAAGTGTCCATCGATGGATGAATGGATAAATAAAGTGTGGTATAAACATGTCATGAAATACCATTCAGCCTTAAAATGAAAGGAAATTCTAACACACACTGCAACAGAGGTGAACCTTGAGGACATTATGCTAAGTGAAATAAGCCAGTCACCAAAAGACAAATACTGTGTAAAATACCAAGTGGTATTAGATATGAGGTATCTAAAGCAGTCAAACTCATCGAAATAAAAAGCAGGATGACGGCTCCCAGGGTTTGGGATGGGGGCAATGGGGAGACGTTTACTGAGTATGGATTTTCAGTTTTGCAAGAAAAAAGTCGTGGAGCTCTGTGGCACAATGTGAATATCCTTAGCACTGCTGAACTGTGTACACCTAAAACTGGTTCAGATGGCAAATTTTGTTATGTGTATATTAGCAAGAATAAGAATTTTAAAAAGATAAATCACAGCCCTTAAAGAGGAAAAGTGTAAATATTTGGCAAGTCTCTTTTGTAATAGAATAATACGGTTATTCTGGGAACAACTCAAAGGTGCTGACCTCACTGGACGGGAATGTGGAGGACACTCTTTTCCACTTCCCACTGGCTGTTAATGAAGCCAAAGCCTCCTCACTCTCTACCCCCTGCAATGTTCTCATCTCTGCTTTGAAGTGTGTTGTTGGCTGAGATAGTGAGCAGATGATCCACCTAAAATCACACAGTGTGGGGGAAAGAAACGCTTTCAGGTCTGAAACGTGCATATGTAGCGGCCTGGAAGTGGAGTGCTGGCTGTGTCTATGAAGAAAAGCTGCTGGCAGGGAAGAAGATGACTCTCAGACAGAACCAGAAATTACAGCCCATTTTCTCTTGCACCATGGTGTCATCTTATTTGTTAAAAATTCCAGAAAAAAAAAATCCACAAATTAATGCCCTTTGGGGAAACTATGGAAGCTGATGTTTTCTTTTACATTAGCCTAAATGACTCTCATTCAAAACACAGCCCCATTTTGATTCTATCCTGGCTCGTAGGGGGCACTCAGTCAATGCTTGTTCAGTAAATGAATGAATGAAAGGTTGTGAGTGACTTCAGAACACACCCACTCAGTTAAATTCCTTATCTTTGTTACCACGCCTATTCAGTGCCTACAATAAGAATTCCAAGCATCAAACATCTCATGCTTGAATCCATTCTTATAGCTTATCTCAGATATGAAAAATGTAATACAATGAGGATGTTCTAATAAAGTCTATTAATCAACAGGACAGGACAGGTCAGGGCAGCAGCAGAAAATAGAATGCAAACACAGTTCCTGTTAACTAGAGTCATCTGAAGCCCGCCGGAGCCAGCTAGGGCCAGACGCTGTGGGCAGGAAGAACTTGGAACGAAGGGTATTTGAGGAACTGGGAACGGCGATAGCGTCACACTCGTCTTACTACGGTTCTTTTTATAGGAGATCAGAGTAAAGACGTGTTGGAAATATAAACTCATTTTTTTTTACCCTCAATTTACAAAATCAAGGTTTTTTTTTTTCTCAGCCTTGTTAGGAAGCTGGGTGCAACATAAGACACCAGTCTTTCTCCCAGGGTTGCTGGAAGATGTTATGATAGCCCCAAGCAAGGGCACTGTGCCAGGTAGAGAGATGACCTTAAGGAGTGTATGCCCCACCTCTGCAGAAGGCTCCCCAGTCCTTCCAATGTGACCTAGAGAAAGAGGTGCTGAAGGCAAATGGGGCCCAGGGCTTGGTTCTAGAAATTCACCTAAACTTCGGTTCTCCCTCCCTGCCATCTCCTAGGCCAGGGAAAGGCAGGGAGAAGAGGAAGGCAGCTGGCCATGTGCCTCTGGAAGCAGAGGCTGTGGTGGCCGGGGAGGCTGGCAGGTATGGTCCCTCGGGGGAAGCTCCTTGGTGCTGTTCTAATTTGGCACCAGAAGACCCCAATGGCAGGTTAGTCATGAACGGTGGGTCCTAAAGTGGCAAATCCAGCTTTGGGTCCCCCTCTCTCCCCACTGATGGGGGCCCCAGAAGTCTAACGGAGGTCAGCAGAACAGGCTCACTGTGCGGGAATCTAGCGGTTCTGCAGCGCCCATACCCAGGGAGTCTTAAGGTAAGGGGACTTATGATTGGGGTTTTTAATTAGATTTCATTGCCAGGCCTCCATGGAAAACAAATCATTCTAAATTCTTATAAACAGAATTTTGAGCTGCAACAATAACATGAAAACATTCTCATAGACAGTATTTACTTAAAAAAGAATGTTTTGTGGAAAGGATGCACTCCTGTTCCCAATCAGCACAACTATTTTTAAGTAGGATCAGAACTCTTGTAAAGACAATTTTGGTGTGGATGTGGTCTTAGTCCATTTAGCCTAAACTGTCCAACATGCGTCTCCCTCTCCTGTTTGCGGGTCTTGGGGCATGGGGCTTCGTCACCTCCAGACAACCATCCAACGGAAACCTGGAATTATCTCTGCCCAGTAATAAGAGCAATAACATTGACATAGCAGTGGTTCTCAGCTGGGGGTGATTTGGCCTCCCTGGGGACTTGGGAGCATTTGGCAATACCAGGAAATATTTTTGGAGAGGAGGGATATTGGGGGGGGTGCTTTTGGTATCTAGTTGTGGAGTCCAGAAATGCAGCTAAACATCCCGTAACACACAGGACAGCCCCCAACAAAAAAAAATTCTACAGTCCAAAATGTCAATATTGTGAGATTGAGAAACCCTGCTTATGTAGGGCTTACCATGTGCTGATACTGTTCTAAGTATATTGTATATATATGAAATACTTATATAATAATCTATATTATATACTTATATATTATATATTTATATATTATATATTATATGATATATTACATAATATAATATACATATATTATATATGTATATTATATATACATACACACATATGCACACACATATACATACACATATATACCTATATATACATATACATATATAGATCAATTTATTGAACCCAATACTAGAAGACAGATACTATTATCATCCCCATTTTGCAGATGAGGAAACTAAGGCTCAGAGAAATTAAGTAACTTGCCCAAATCACACAGCTAGTGAGTGTTAAAATTGGACCCAGGCCAGCTGGCTCCAGAGGCTACGCCACTCATTACACAACATGACGCAGCCTCCTGCCTACTTGTCCTTTGTGCCCACATCCAAGCAGCCATGGAGTCCCTCAGAGCCCATCTCTACATCCTTCAGCTCTGTTCCTGTCACCATGTCCCACTCAGGCCTGCATCCACTCCTCAAGGGACCATGGCAATATATTCCCTTCTTCCAGCTCCACCCGCTTCTAATTCACCTCCCTGCCATTCACTGCCACCAGAGTGACCTCAAAATCCCAGATCTCACTATGTCTCTTCTTCTTGCTTGAAACCCTTCAGCAGGTCCCTGTCACCTGAAAGGTAAAGCCCAAACTTCAGGATGGTGTCTGAGCTCTCGTTGGAACAATCACTTTGCAGGGCTTCTCCTGCCTCCCCATTGTCACAGCACCATCATGCGACATGCTGTGCTGTTACCACCTCTCAGGGTCTGCTCTGCCTGCAATTCCCACCTCCAACTCTCTTATCTGGCAAACACCTGTTGGCCTTTCAAGAATCAGTCCCAGTGTCTCCTCTTCCAGGAAGCCTTCCCAGAACACCTCAGCCCTCCAGGTAGAACTGACCACTCCCTTCTTTGTGTCTCCACCATTAGCTTCTATATCTTTAATAAAATCCATTACTATTTTTCTTTGCTTTCAAGTCCATTCCTCAAGGACAGAAGCATTGTGTTACTTCACATATCTCTGAAGTCTAGCCAAGCAACTGAGTAGTCACTGAGTAAGCATCAGAAGAATGAATGATAAAATATCCTATATGACTTGAATTCTTTGCAGGATGGTCACTATTTGCAAAGGAAATCTATGCTGTTAGACACTGCCATTCTTAGGCGGTGGGTACAATGTAAGACACCAATCTTACATGAGGCAGAAGTCAGTTTCTGCATCGCCTCAACTCAGGATCTGGTTCTATGCCCAGGACTACGTGGAGTTGCCTCCCACCACTAAGACAGTTGGCAACTCCCTGCTAGGATCCTCTTCACCAGACCGAACATCTCCAGCTGCCTTTCCTCTTCCTAACAGGCATAGTTTTAAGATCCCTCACGTCCCTAGAATATGCACTGAATTACTAAGCAAACCCAAATTGCACTGGGCCTACAGAGAAGCTGGTGGCATCTGGGAAGTTTATGCAGATTCCTGAGATGATGCTTAAAGTGTACTTCAAATCGGAGGTCCCACGTTCAAGTGTCTGTGGGCTCAGACGGGTCAGATCCATGAATGAAGTAAGCAGGAGATGATGAAACAGACAGGAGGGGCTGTGGGTGGACAAAGTATGCCTGGTCTCAGCCTCACCTCCACAATTGCTGCCACATAGGAGAAAGGCCCAGTCTTGCCAGATCTTTGTTTTTTTCTTCTTTTTTTTTAAAAAGCTAGAAATTTGCATTTTCATACAAGCTTTTTAGATAACTGATTTTTTTTAAAACATATACAACAAGGTATTTTCCAAATCAACTGCATCTGGGGCTGGCTCTGGCTGCGGCCTATCCATTTGCCGCCTTGGCTTTCAATAAAGAATTGCTTGAGCGATTCCTAAATTTAAGTTTTTGCATTTAGTGTTGGAAGTGTGCACAGATATATCGAGAGTTGTGGACATACAAAGGCAGAATTTAAATCTGAAATTAAACTAAAACACTAGGGTTAAAAATAACTTTAAGGCATAAATCACCAAAGAGGGTGAGTGAAACAGAGAAAAACAAGGAGCCTTTCTAACCAGCGCCTAAAGCCGAGGCAAAGACTCAATTACCGGTCAGCAGATCCATCTCCAGCAATGCCTGGAACAAGCTGGGGTGTTTGTCTTTCAGCTCCTTCTCCCAGGGGAAGGCTCTGCACATCGAGGGTCTCCCATACCTGCGCTGGAGGTCCAGGTAGGAGTTGTGGAGGTGGCCTACACAGAAGAGGGAGCAGAAGATATCACACCCTTTAGCAGAAGATAAGACTCACCTCCCTAAAGCCCTTCTTCCTAACAGGAACTAGAAAGACTTGCCATTACTGGATGTTGGTTTTGGTCCTTTTGGGATTTGAAATTGGCTATGATGCTTTTGCCTCCAGGTCACAAATTCAGAGCCAAGTCCATGAGAAATGTGCCAAAGTTGCTGATGGCTGTTGAATAATTCTACAGAATGAGCAGCTGGCCTCTGACCGGTCCCCAGGAGGCCAATATCTAGGCCATTTTTTGGCATGTGAGTTGAGGAGCAAAGCACAAAGACCCTCAGGGAGGCAAAGCAGTTCAAGATGATAGGAAAATCTTCCTAATGCCACCAAACAGATGGGTGTGCATGCCTGGCCTTCTATCTCAGGGTATGTCTCCTGAGAGTACATAAGTTACCAAAGTCAGTTTCTTTCCTCTTTGGGTTATTACTATTCCTATATATCTTCCCCCTCCTGTTGACAGCATCATATTTTCCGGATGATTCAGCAGTGAGAGCAGCAGCTGGGGACCAGTATAGCCTATTCTTAAATTGAATTGCAGAAGCACTATCTTTCCACACTCACCTGTCACCATCTGTAATCACTACCTGGGACCATTTCATGTGAACCCTATTGGACTGGGGCATGTTTGAGATGCATCCCTCCCTCCACGACCTGGAATGAGAAGTTCCGCTCTGGAGATAGAGACATATGGGCAGGACTGAAATACTCAATTCGCTTTTGCTGATGGCAAAGGTCCCACAGGAATTTCTCTTCCAGAAGGAACATATGTGAGTAACTCTAGTGCCACCATATCAAACAGCAAGATCCACAGCACAGAGAAATGTGTAAGTGCTAGATCCAAGCTGGAACACTGGCGAACCAGACAGGACCAAGTTTTGTAACTGATAAACACCCTGTGTGAGTAAAAGGATGTCTGTGCAAATATGAGCATGCATGAAAGCAGTCTATTTGAAATTCATTCCTTCTGTTAAAAATTACCGATGTCTTCGAGAATGAGTCAATTTCAAGGATTTAAAAAATAAAACCAAGCTCCAAACAACAAAGTCACCATTCAACATTTCTGAAAGCTAATATTCAGATATCAATGGCCCAAAACAAAAGTGCACTGATGGGGAAACATTTCTAATGATTAATTTATTTTCCAGTTCATTTTTATTTTCTTAGGCTGGCCTTATGGTTGGGAATAACGCCATGCGAAGGCACAAAACACTCGCTTTCATTTGTACTTGTAAACTAGATTTTTATGGTTGGAGCTATAAGATGTTTTGGTTCTTCTTGGCTGTCATTGGTCTTGGTAGAATCCAGGTGGAATGTACAATTTCACCTGTATCCACCAGTGGAGGGCTCAAGGTCACACTTGTCCCATCTGGTATCTGAGCCAAGTCATATATGTTTAATTTTAATCCTGTTATGGAGAAGCCAAACATGTGTTTATGTAAATGCACAGAGCTTAAAACAGCTCCCCTGAAGCTCAACACTTACATGCTTCTTGTCTCTCGCCCCCGTGCTTTGCTGCAGATGCATACACAGATACTATTTCTTGAACCTCAGCACACCTTTCATAATATAACTTGATTTGTTCAGCAAGTTGCTTCTCAAGGAGGGGATTAAAAATCTACAAGAAGGCAAGAAAGTCAAATGAACAACAATTGTCATCAAATATCCATCCACCTCTAGGAGGATGTGTTTGGGTTGACTTTGTTCTCCCATTGACATCTCCAGGTGGCTCGTTTGTACACATATCATCCACTCTGGATTTGCAAAGCAAGGTCATTGGTACTAATTCAAGGACATGCCAGCTCTGATGGCTTCCCTTCAGCTTCTCTTTGTGTCCAGCTTCTTAAATGTCAGAATTTCCCAGAGACTGGGACTCTTCCCTCTTCTTTTCTCTGGCTGCACTCTGTCCCTAGAAAATCACACTCACCTCCCCCTTCAATTCCCACGAAAAGATGCAAGGGTACCCACGACGTGCCTGCTGCATCAAAGAGAGCCCTCCTCCCCTCTTCTGCAACCTCCAAGAGCTGGCTGCAAGGCCATGGCTTCAGGACAGGCCCCCCTAGTGGCTCACCCCATCTCACTTACGGGCCGATGTATCCGTTCCTGCCTCAGCACTCCCAAACACATCTGAATTAAAGCATGTACTGTATTCTTTCATGAATTCCCTGTTTAAGATCCCGAAAGGGAGCGCCTCAGGAACAAGGGACTTAGCTCAGTGTGCTTCAAAATAGAGGCTGGGACCCATTAGAGGGTCACACAGTTATTTCAGTGGGTGGGAACCTCCAGAGTTTTGGTGGTGTTTTTTGTTTCTATAAAGTAGAACACAAAATATCAGCGTGCACTGAATATAGCAAGGGTATGTATTCTTAGAATAATTTTGTTTCCATTTTATGTGTGAATATATGTATGCATATGTATATGTACTGTTCATGATATTAAACACATTTCTTTCTTTCTTTTTTTAATTTTTTTTATTTGAGACAGTCCTGCTCTTGTCACCCAGGCTGCAGTGCAGTCGCACAATCTTGGCTCACTGCAACCTCTGCCTCCTGGGTTCAAGTGAGCACGTCCAGCTAATTTTTGTATTTTTAGTAGACACGGGGTTTCACCTTGTTGGCTGGTCTCAAACTCCTGACTTCAAGTGATCCGCCTGCCTCGGCCTCCCAAAGCGCTGGGATTACAGGTGTGAGCCACCACGCTTGGCTGATATTAAGCAGATTTCTTATTGTGGACAACCTTCAAAACAATTTTAAACCTATCCATCTTGCTTGTCTCAACACCTAGTTCAAAGCCTGGCATACAGTAGGTTCTCAATAAGCATTTGTTGCACAAATGACTATTTCATTTTTTTCCCTTTTCACAAAAGTGTCTCACAGAGGCTGTAAGATATCACCCATGGGCAGCAGGACTCCCCATTTTTCCTGATTATGACTTTGCCTAGTGACCCCTGTTTTTCTCAGAATAAACCCCACAGGGTGAAGGGAATGACAGAATGTTTCTCTTTCAGGTATCAGGTGGGGTTCTTGATCTCCTTAAAGCAGCCCAGAAAACAAGTGCCCTGAAGGCTCCCTCATAGGGAAATAGCCCTCTCCCCCGACCAGTCCAGCTGTGTTGGCTGGAAGCGTTGGACAGTTCCATTCGGGGGCGGGTTATGGATGTGGAAGGCACTGTGCAGAGGATTCAGCCCTGAACACAATGCCCTTTTCGATCCATACAACTGCTGCCAACCGACCCCAGCGTGAGCTGAAGGCCTGTGTTTCTGAAGAGAGCAGCCAATGGAACCAAGATTTTAATTTGCTACAGTATCTCTTCTGATACTTTAAATAATATTATATAAAAGAAGGTTTACCAAATAACTAAGATTCTCTCCTTTCATTAGCTTAATCGCTGGATAGGCAACAGCCTGATGAAAATCTACTCTATAATTAAACTAGTAGTTATTAAAACAGAGGAAGTCAATGGTTTCCATTTTATGAGTACTAAATGAACCAAATGTTAACAGAAATTTTTATTGCATTTGCTGGGGGAAAAGCCTCAATATTAATGATGTCTGATGACAGAGGCGATGCATGGTCTGGCTTGGGTAAACTTTTATTTACACTGGGTGGCACACCCCTGAGGCCCACACCCATCACCCAGGAGTACCGCAATCTTCCTGATCCCCTGGACTCACCTGGGCGGGGTGCAGACTGCGAAGGCGATAGTACTTCAGGGGTCCAAAAAACCCTTCAATGCCAGCCACATACCTGCTCCCTCCAATAATGAAGTACCCAGCTGTGTCATTATAATGGAAATCCTCCCGGAAGCTAGAGAAGAGAATGAAGGATTAAGAGAGCTCCATGCCGGAACTAGATGATTTAAAAACAGTCTCTTTCCTAGACCCTCCTTGACTTAACCCAAATTGCCCCAAGCCCTTCACTCTGAGTTTTAGCAGATGAGACCAGCGTAGGGTCAGGTGGACTTCGGCTAGGATCCCAATTCTGCTGTTTACCAGCTATGAGACCTCAGCCCAGTCACTTAACCTCCTCTCCAGTGCTGTCTTCTCCTGTGTCAAATGATAGTTCTCCACTTACTGGATGGTTAAGAGGATTACGTGAAGTGTAAAGATGTCAAGCATCTAGCAGAGTGCTTGGCCCACAGTAAATAGTCAATATGTGGTATTGATAGTGGTGGTATTGTTCAGAATCAATGGAATTGTCTGGAATTGTTGGTTTTCATTGGAAATATTTTGCTTTAAAAGAAAATAACAAACCTTGTTGAATGAATAGAAGGTGGCTGTGGGGGAAAGCCAAAAGCGTAGACTATTAGATAAGGACTGAGGCAAAATTCAGTTAGGAGGAGGAGGAGGCCACAGCCAGGTCAGAGGGTTTGGCCGGAGATGAGAGGTGAGCACAGGTGATGAGTTGGAGGACCACACTGTCCTGAAGGGCTTGAAACATCAGGAAGGAAAGGGAGGACAAAGTGGGTTGGCATTTATAGAATGCATGAAGGTGTTCCTTGCAACATTGTTTATATTCGCCAAAGATGGGAGAACCCCGGTGTCTGTCAGCGGGGACTGGCCCATCAATTTAGTGTACCTTGAGCTTTTTCACTATGCAACTAAAAAAGGGACAAAGGAACCTGGAGGGATCTCCAAAATATAGTGTTAAGTAAAAAAAATAAAAGTACAGGACACAGAGCATACCTTTTATCTAAGAAAGAGGCTAACAGATTTTTTTCATATTTGCATAAAGAAACTCTGGGCCAAAGTGTATACAAGAAACCAATAGAATTATCTCCCCATGGGGTGGTGGGGGGTTGGGATGAAGTGCATGAGGGTAGGCTTGGGAGCAAGATATTTAACTGTATTTTTACAAAGTTTTGATTTTTTAAAACCATGTGCATCTATTACCTATTAAGAATTTAAAATAATGCTGGGCATGGTGGCTCACGCCTGTAATCCCAGCACTTTGGGAGGCCAA
Source organism: Homo sapiens (assembly GCF_000001405.40). Lineage (NCBI taxonomy): Eukaryota > Metazoa > Chordata > Mammalia > Primates > Hominidae > Homo > Homo sapiens. The sequence goes on from NC_000004.12 coordinate 25,823,284, forward strand.
GGTGGGCAGATCACCTGAGGTCAGGAGTTCAAGACCAGCCTGGCCAACATGGTGAAGCCCATCTCTACTAAAAATATAAAAATTAGCCAGGTGTGGTGGTGCGTGCCTGTAATCCAGCTACTCAGGGGGCTAATACAGGAGAATTGCTCAAACCTGGGAGGCAGAGGTTGCAGTGAGCTGAGATTGCGCCACTGCACTCCAACCTGGGTGACAAGAGCGAGACTCCATGTCAAAATAATAATAACAAAAATAAATAAATAAAATAAAAATAACAAGAATTTAAAATAAGAATGGGAGGATTCTTATTTTAAAGAATAGATCACAGCATATGTGTGATCAGAGCATATGTGAACAGTGAGGGGAGTGAGGGCTAAGACAGGTATCAAGTGAGAGGTCAGGCAATAAGATGGAGCCAGGAACCACAAGGGGCAGATGGAAGCAGAGGGAAAGAAAACAAAGTGTCAGGCAGGCTGCCAGGAGCCCAGGGAGCCGAAGGAGCAAAGGGCCGGAGTGACGATGGATGGGGACAGGGCAAGCTACCCACAGTTGGATCAGGGAAACCAGGCAACCCAGGGTTATTTCAGAACGAGGGATGGACTGTCTGTTAGCAAACAACCCAAGCCCTAGCAGGTGCACCTGGCCAGGGAGGAGGCATGAGACAATGAAGCAAAGCACACAGCCTGGCAGCAACAGCTGACAGCAGCAACATCGAACGTCTAGAGATTAGTCTCGTCTAAACACAACCAAAATGGAAAAGAAGTGCTTCAGCTCCTGATATTTTTCTTTTCAGAATCTCAGTCTTGTAGGACTGTGAAGATGATGGTCTCTCCTGCCTATTTAAGGAGAGGCCATAAAGTTATTATCTCTGAGAGTTGCGAACTGAGTCTGTTTTCCAAGACCTTGAAAAGACATGAACATTCCAACAACCCTCATGAGACAGCACGGGGCACTAGATGGATACAAAGCAACACTTCTGCAGTAGGAAGCCCTCTTAACGGAGCTGCAGCTGAACCAACTCCCCAGCTTACCTGACTGTCCTCATGCAAAACCGACTGACTGATGCTTACAGCATCCGGGATGCTCACCGCCTCACTGCCTAGAGCTTACTGTCTAGAGCCTTAGTCTCCCCATTTAAAAAACGGAAATAGTAATAGTACCTGCCTGTATGGTTGTTATGAAGATGAAATAAACTAATATGTAAACAAAGCATTTCAAACAGTGTCAGGCACAGAGCAGACACCATAACCATCAGCAACAGTGATTATCATCCTTAACCTAGCCCTCTGTTGGACTTTGGCTCCCACATCTTGAGTTTCATGCTTAGCAAGAATAAGATGTGCATACTCTCAAGCCAGTTAATGTTGGCCTGGTGCAGTGGCTCATGCCTATAATCTCAGCACTTTGGAAGGCCGAGGTGGGGGGATCACTTGAGCCCAAACAGTTAATATCAGTAGTATATTTATTGTAATCATACCATTTACTTACATATGTAATTCAATAAAACATGAGTGGGGAAGAAAGAGCTCTTCTTTCTATAAAAACTAAGTTGATTATTTTGGGTAGACGCAATAGAGCTTACTAAAAAATTGTAAAATGTCATGGGAAAAAATTGAGAAAAATCTAGATGGCTTTTGGGCTCTGATTATTTTCACAAGTATCTTTGCTTTCATTTGGAAGAAACAGAAATTGGGTGTTGTTTACAAGTGTGAAAAAAGCCCACAGCAAACGCTAATCTGCAGATTTGTACTCAAAAGAAGGCCCTCTCTAGAAAGATTGGCAAATGAATATATACATATATATGTTTTAATTGAAATAAAATGTTTAAGGGAGTTATCTGTTTTAGTGGATCCTTGCATTAACTGAGTTTTTCAACAAAAAACAAATTACTTGGTCCCTAGGGCACTGAATCGTAATTTTTAAATTGTCATTATTATCAAGCAATAGGATATATGTCCAGCTTGGTCTCCATGTACATTGATGTCTTCATATTTTTCTCCCGCAAAATTCTCAGTGTCTGCACAAAGATTGCAAGAGATTCCTTGTACTGTGCACTGTTTGATGGTCATCAATTTCACTGACATAAAAGCTGAGCTAGACTCTTCCAAAGCCCAAGCCAGCCCCTTTTGAAAACCCGAGACATGCTGGCAAACTATCTTTACTCTTATCTGGACATAGGAGAGTGCCCTGGTTTATTACCGCAGAGCACCAGAAGCCTGAAAGAATCACCGACGTTGTGAAACAGGCCTCTCTCAGAATTAAGAAATAGCTCCAGCTTGAAGTTTCTGTGGTATGAGAACTTAGAGCTTCAAATTGGCTGCCCCCATGTCCCACAGAGTAACCATCATCTTACAAGTCACTTCTTCAGGGCCTGGTCTAAATTCTATTTTTTTTTTTTTTTTTTTTTTTTTTGGAGACAGAGTCTTGCTCTGTTGCCAGGCTGGAGTGCAGTGGCGCAATCTCAGCTCACTGCAACCTCTGCCTCCTGGGTTCAAGCGATTCTCCTGCCTCAGCCTCCCGAGTAGCTGGGAATACAGGCATGCGCCACCACGCCCAGCTAATTTTTGTATTTTTAGTAGAGATGGGGTTTCACCATGTTGGCCAGATGGTCTCCATCTCTTGACCTCATGATCCGCCTGCTTCGGCCTCCCAAAGTGCTGGGATTACAGGCATAAGCCACCACGCCCGGCCGGCCTGGTCTAAATTCTGACCCCCTTGTTCTCCTCAAGCTACCTTATCCATTTCTTTCCTAGCACTCACCACGATTTGTAATTTTAAATTTATTTGTGAATTTGTTTTCTGTTTGTCTCCCCATCTCAATATTTTAGCTCCATGAAGGCAGAGTCTGTATTCTTTGTGTTCATCATTTTATTTCCAGAGTTGAGTGCTGTGTCTGGCATGTGACAGGTGCTCAGTAAACAGGTGTTGAATAAATGAATGAATTTAACGCTATAGAGGCCTGAAGCTGTCACCTGTCATGGGATATTATTGACAGCCTTTCATTTATGCGTTGCACTGCAATCCCGAGCACTTAATTCCTGATCTTCTCACACTATCCTTGTAGGACAACAGTCATTATGTTTACGTTACAGGAACAAATAAAAAGGAGGGGTAAGAGCCTTGCCTGGGAACACCTATAACCAGTAAACTGGAAATATCTGATGTTTAGTTCACTGACTTGGCCCACTCTAAAAGTGGGGTTCCTGGCAGGGATGAGATTCCAAATACCTGACTACAGGAACCCCCGGGGGACTCTGGACAGCTCCCTCTGGGACTAGCTTTACCTCTGCTTATTTCTCTGATGGGGAGGTCTCAGGAGTACAGGCAGGGCAGCTGGGGTGGTGGGGAGGGGCACTCCTGCGTCTGAGTACGGCTAGCTTTTTTGGTTTGTTTTGTTTTTTGTTTTGTTTTGTTGTTTGTTTGTTTTGTGGCAGGGTCTCGCTCTGTCGCCCCGGCTGGAGTACAGTGGCACAATCTTGGCTCTCTGCAACCTTCACCTCAGCCTCCCGAGTAGCTGGGATTACAGGTGCCCACCACCATGCCCGGCTAATTTTTGTATTTTTAGTAGAGTTGGGGTTTCACCATGTTGCCCAGCCTGGTCTCAAACTCCTGGACTTAAGTGATCTGCCTGCCTCAGCCTCCCAAAGTGCTGGGATTACAGGCGTGAGCCACTGTGCCAGGCCAGAGTACTGCCACTTTTACTAAGAAATTGTTTCAATGCTTCAATTGGGATGTAGAGTTGGTGTGTGCCCCCAAATCAGTCTTGATCCCTTGATCCTTCTATGTTTACACTGATTATGTCTTTACTTAAAATTTTAATATTTTGTTCATCATAGATTCTCTGCATTCATTTTGATTTTTAAAAACATCATATTAATATGTTACTTATCATGATTACTGTTGAGTTAAATTGTGTACCCCTCCTCCCACCAAATTCATATGTCAAAGTCCAAATCTCCAGCCCCTCAGATTGTGACCTTATTTGGAAATAGGGTGATCGCAGACATAAGTAATTAAATTGAGGTGATACTGGAGTAGGGTGAGCCCCTAACCCAATATGACTGACATCTTTATAAAAAAGTGAAATTTGGACACAGACACACCCATGGGGAGGATGCCATGTGAAGACTGAAGTTATGCTGCCACGAGCCAAGGAGCTACCAGAAGCCAGGAGAGACCGGGAGCAAATCTGTCCCTTGTACCTTCATGGGAGCACGGCCCTGCCAGCCCTGTGATCTTGGACCTCTGCCCTCTAAAACTGAGATAATACATTTTTGTGTTTAAGCCACTTCATTTTGGCACTTGGTTCTGGCAGGCCCCAACAAACTAATGCAATCCCTGAGCTTTCTGGCACCCCCTTAAGTTTTAGGCTCACTTGCCTCACCCCGGCCCCAGCCCTGGATCATTCTGTGGCCACTCTTTCTCCCATTCACTCATATCAGCCTCTAGATCTCTGGGATTGAAGAGGAAAGGAAACTCTTACAAAGAAAATGAAAAGGAGCCTATGAAATTCAACCAGTGGTCGAAAATGTCCTGGAGCTGGACGTGGGTTTCAGGGGAGAGAGAGGAAGCTCTTATTTTAAACTTCATGTCCTGAAACAAAAACCTTTAATTTCTGGCCAGAGCCCATTTCACAGAACATGGAGATCTGATCTCCAAAGCTGACTCAGATCATCTGTTTCTCCAAAGACAGCTCCCAGGCTTCACTGTCCTTGAACTTTTCAGAGAAGATCTCCTAGCCACCTGTTATATAACAACACTCCTATGTGTTGAACGCCTTCTGGCTGATCTGAATCTACCTCGGTGCTCTTGAAGACATGTGCTCTCTCCCTAGGCCTCAGCCGCTATGTTTCAATGCAGCTATTAAGCCACCCGCACCCTCTCTTTGCAGGCTAATAACACTTCTTTAGCCTTTCTATAAAACTCTAATCCTTTAATCCAGCCATGAAAATAAGAATTGTTCTATATGCCCAGAGCCTAAAAGAAATCAGATGGACTCAAGTGAAAACAGGAATTTTTTTTTAATTTTTTTTAGTTTTTTAATGCAGATTCTGATTTAGAAGCTCTGGAGCAAAGCCCAAGATTCTGCATTTCTTTTCTTATCTTTTCGTTTTTTTTTTTTTGTTAAGATAGAGTATCACTGTCACCTAGGCTGGAGTGCTGTGGTGGGATCTTGGCTTACTGCAACCTCCAACTCTCAGGTTCAAGCAATTCTCGTGCCTCAGCCTTAAGTAGCTGGGATTACAGGTGCGCACCACCATGACCAGCTAATTTTTTTATTTTTAGTAGAGATGGGGGTTTCACTATGTTGACCAGGCTGGTCTTGAACTCCTTGCCTCATGTGATTCACCCACCTTGGCTCCTGAAGTGCTGGGATTACAGGTGTGAACCACCTGTAAAATGCCGGGCCAAGAGTTTATTTATTTTTTTTAAGTAGCATATATGGCCCTCTATTTCTGTGTCTGCCCCTCTTTGCTTCCCTTTCGTTAATAATCAGCATACAAGAGAATTTGGGTTGTGCGGGACTCTGCGTATCCCCAGCCTGTTTGGAGAGGCAGCATTCTGCCTGCTGCAGTGAAATAACAGACTCGAAGAATAAAACACTCCTCATCCCAGACAAAGTGCCTAAAAGTTCTGATGCATTTTTTAAAATTATACATGCGAAATTGGTTAATTTTTATTTCTGATCTTTACACTTATTTTTTTATTTTAAGACAGAGCCTTGTTCTGTCACCAGGCTGGAGTGCAGTGGCGCCATCTCAGCTCACTGCAACCTCTGCCTCCTGGGTTCAAGCCATTCTCGTGCCTCAGCCACCTGAGTAACTGGGGTTACAGGCATGCGCCACCACGCTAGGCTTATTTTTGTATTTTTAGTAGAGACAGAGTTTTGCCATGTTGCCCAGGCTGGTCTCAAACTCATAGCCTCAAGTAATCCACCTGCCTTGGCCTCCCAAAGCGCTGGGATTACAGGCGTGAGCCAACACCCCTGGCCTACACTTGTTCTTAAGCCTTCAATTTCAGATGTTCTTTGACATACAATGGGATTACATCCTAATAAACTCATTGTAAGTTGAAGGTATCATTAGTACAAAATGCATTTATTACCCCAATAAACCCACTGTAAAGTCAAAAAATTGCAAATCAAATCATCATTGGGTCAGAGACCACCTATATACATATATTATCTAGCTATGGCAAGGTATCCTGAATTCCTAATGAAGGTTGCCCCATGGTTCTGACACTATAAAACCCACGATTATACGTGGATGTAGAAGTAAATTAAAAAATTATGAAACACAGGCAGGAAACTCAGTTCTTAGTTTCTGTAACTCTTGTAGAGAATGGTTATATAAAGATGAAAAGTGACACCAATATCAATAGTTGCATACATTTCAAATCCAGATTATAAACATAAATATGAAGACTGTCTGCTTTTATGTCTTATATGAGGCCAAAGTTACCAACCATTCTCAATAAGCAACACTAATACTTTGATTTATTTTTCAGAATCCTTCATAGAAGATAATTTTCAAAGAAAATGAACTATAAAGTGCCATGAAAGGAAGAATTTACAATGAGATCTGGAGAGAGGACTAGTTTTTCTTGCTCAGAAAAAAAGGTTGTGGGGGAAGCAGAAAGAGTTTGTGCATGGTAGGAAAAAAAAAGTACAAAGACTAGCTACAGGGCAGAGAATAATCCATGCTTGGAAAAGCTGAATGAAGAGATGTGGAATAACATTAGGGCTGAGGGCTAAAGTATGAAGATTCCTTAACTCGCATGCAGGCAAATTTTGAATAAAAAGAAAAATCGCACTTACCTAATGGTCTGATTGTGGTAGCTTTTCAAATCCTGTCCAATGCTAGTGGTTACTACTATCTATGATGGGAGGGATACACAAGAATCAGTTATGCCTCATCACCCTACATTACCTATGCAGTCCTTTGTGTAAATTACTCATGATATGTGTTGGAGAGTCTTTTACCTGATCAGTTTCTGCAAAAATAAAATTAACAGTTTACTAGCCCTGTGCATATTTTAAGATTTCATACATTTAACTTCCCCAAATGTGACTTGATGTGATTAAAAATATCTACAATGCAGTTTCCACCAAGTTTCAGATACTTCCAAACTCCAAGCCAAAGGCTCATTTGATGTATTTGTCCTTAAACGCTTGTTGTGTAGAAAGACAAGGAAATATGTATGACACTACAAGGAGTGTTTAAAATCTTGCTCTGATTCCATCAGAGCCTTAGGGGGAAAACAAGATTGGTGTTGTATGTTCTTCACACACTGCTGTTCCCACCTCCCTTTCCCTAAGCACTGGGAATCATCATTCTCATTTTAACAGGGACACTATTTTTTGTCATGAATGCTGTTAGCTGTCTCATATGGGCTCTTCTCATGTCTTGGACTCCAACATAATAAGCCTCTCGACTCAAGGGGCCACTTACATTCTGCTAGTGCCACCACAGAGTAAGTGTTAGGGCGTGTCTCAAAGACGTGGCTACGACACTTGGTCTATGAAAGACAAACTAACCCACCAGAAACCAACCCAATTCAGCCATACAACATGTTGGTTCAGAAAAGAAAATGTCTCACGCCAGTTGTTTGCCTAAACCAACCATTTAAGTCACTTATACATTCAGTCAAGGCAGACTATGCTAGTCCCATCACAGAGGTGGATTTTGGGTGGGAAGCATTATGTGTTGTTTGGGACCTGTATATATTAGACCAGATAGAATAGAAAGAAGAAGGACAAATGGGCTAAAGTCTACACACACCAAAAAAAATTTTTTGCCCCCACTTATCTGGTCTTTCTAATTCTCTCCTGCTTTACTCAACTATGTACTCCACCACTAAGTTTATCTCCTTCATTAAAGGACTACTTTTAATCTTCTGCTCAAAAATCTTCTATGGTGCTTTGCAAGTTGATGTCTAAACTCCCTGATATCCAAGATTCTCTGCATTCTACTCCTAAATACGTATTTTCCCTTCTATTAGCTTTCTATAGTCCATAAATTTTTACTCCAGTCAAACTAGTTTGTCTGCTAACCCCCAATAACATGCTGAAATACCCTCTTCTCCGTTCTCCATCTAAATCCTGTCCAACCAGAGAAATCTTCTCATGATACCTCCCCTAAGCATTCCAGCATAAAATGCTATCTCCCTTCTAGGAATCAATACAAATCATCTGGCAATTAATTATTTTTAAATAATAATAATAATAATAATTATTATTATTATTATTATTATTATTATTATTGAGACAGAGTCTCACTCTGTTGCCCAGGCTGGAGTGCAGGGGCGCCATCTTAGCTCACTGCAACCTCCGCCTCCCGGATTCAAGCGAGTCTCCTGCCTCAGCCTCCCAAGTAGCTGGGATTATAGGCACGTACACCACGCCCAGTTAATTTTTGTATTTTTACCAGAGACGGGGTTTCACCATGTTGGCCAGGCTGGTCTCCTGACCTCAGGTGACCCACCCTCCTCAGCCTCCCAAAGTGCTGGGATTACAGGCATGAGCCACCGCACCCAGCTATCATCTGGCAACTAAGCTCGCTTTGTGACAGTCCTTTACCTGCTTAATGTTACTTCCACAAATAGTCTACAAGCAACTCGAGCATAGTGCCTTGCATACAGTAGGTGCAAAATAAGATCTGTGAATCTGCACTGATGATTTGTTGTCTCAGGGACAACAGCACTGAGCTGACCTTCTCCGTAAGAGAAAGCATCAACCAAGCTATTATGGCCATCATAATTCTCACATACATAGGAAGCTAAAATGTGGACCACCGCTATGTCACTGAACATTTTTAAGTAAACAAACACACATACTAAGAATCCCAGCTAACATTTTACAGACTCTTCTCAGGAAAGCAGCAAGGACTGACCTGATTTCTTTTCTCTTACAGAAAAAGGAAATGTGATCAACCTAAACACCAAGGGAAGACTGTGCATCATCTCATCCACAAGACAAACAAAATGCCTCTTCCAGTTTTGTTACAGGAAAAATCACAGATCAATAAGAAAAGCTGATGAGAAAACAAAGCAACCAGAAAAAGGTGGCAAACCCACACTGTGTATATTGAGAAATAGAACTGTCTTCAATTAGAACAACAGATTTGCCATAATCCATAAAATTCATGTTATGAGAGTTTGAAGCAGTTATGTACAATGTTTTATACTACAAAGTAGATAAAGACCCTCCATCCCACCTGAATTATCACTTATGTGTGTTGGTTATTATGGTCTGTTTAATGCCAAACATAAGCAATTGCTTCACTTGCCAAAAGCAGTCAAATCATTTCTTGGCTGAACTAACCAATCCATTTCCTTAAAAAAAAAGTTGTACATCTGATTACACTATATAAACATGGCCAATATTGTTTTAACATTTATCTCCACAAAGCCTATCTCCCCAGGAGAAAAGGACTGACTTGCTCAGATCAGTATGGCTGTAGAGCTGCCTGTATGCTTTATTCATTCACCCTACAGTCAAAAGCAGCACTTTAAAAGTTAATTAAATGGGATGGGATTCTTATGATTTAAACTTCCATCTATGAAAGTTTGATTTAGCAAGCGTGTAGTTGTAACGAGTCTATCATTTACCACAAATTTGCTTTTGCAGATTTTGTTGCTCCCCGGCTTTATAGCAATGCTTAACTTTAAGCGAAAATGCTCGTATGTCGTGTGATGAAGCGTGCATACAGATACCTGGCCTCCGTTAAAAGAGATATCCAGTCGAAACCACTCCTTCAAAGGTATGATGAATTTAGTTTTTACAGCAAGGTCTTCCCCTTTGACAAGATGCATCTGAATATGCAAATAGCCTAAAAGGAAAATTCGAGCACATGAAAATGAGCAAAAAATATCTACGAGTGAATGAAGTAGCTAGGCCTTTTCAACAATTGTCCTAAGAAGCTACAATACTCCACGAAAACAAAGCAAAACCCAAACACGCATTTATAAATGCATTTCTTTGTAAATAAGACATTGGGTTTAAGCTTCTGGGAAAGAAGTTAAATTTGAAGCCCACATTTGGAAGTCATTGCTCTTGCTGGGCTGCCATGTTGACAGGATCTTCCTTATTCTAGACAGACATATCTGTCACTAGGCAGAGCATTACAAAATTACAATATCATTTTAAAGGTTCTGTTTTATACTCACCCTCTTCCGTAAGAAATACAGAAGGTGTGCCGTACATCTCATTAGAGTCAACAAAGTACAGAATCCCACAGAGGTTGGCCTTGCAATAATGGAGTAAATAAAGCCACAATGAAACAGTAAACCTATAAGAGTGAGGGGGAAAAAAATTCTGCAGATTGATATCATCCAAGAACAGGTAATTATGGTTAACAATGACCAAGTAAATTGCTTTCTTTCCAATGAATGGATGAATTTGCCTTCGCGTTCATCATGGGAGATCAGCTTGCAAAGCTTGATTTTTGAAACAAAGGAGGTAGTTAAAGTAACTGCAAAAGACAGGAGTTAAGCTTCATTGTACAAAACTAGCAGACTTTCTACCTTGCACCAAAAACTCTGTTTCTCTGCCTCTTTGAGAATCTCACATGCCTGCTATTTGAATTCTTGATTAAGGCTTACAAAGTCAGACATAGATTAAAAAAATCTGGATTTTAATAAGAGGTGATATGATAAGAAGCTATTTTAATTTCTATGTTAAAAGAAAAAACATAATTAGAGCCTTTTGAGCAATTTTGTTCCTTTCACAGATAAAAGCCATAAGGTAGAAAAATGTAATCATCTACAAATGGCATCACTATGTGATAATAGGGACACATATATGCTATTTTCATGCTCAGATTAGGTTATTCAGTATCACGGTCCTGGCTGACCAATACGGAACAATTAATCTAATTATCCCATTCCTGGACTGGGGCTATTTTAGTCGAAAAAAATATTGTACATCTGTGACTTGTAGAGTGAGGATAAAATACCAGTAGCCAACTTAACCAGGACACATTTAGCCAAGATATGTGATCCATCAATCATTCAGAAAAGACTTACTGAACACCCCTTGATACCGCACACAATGCTACTGACCAGTAGTTCAAAGATGAGGAAGTGGGAATGATTACATTTTGTATGTGAAACATGGATCAAGGTCAAAATGAATGCATTGATTTCTCTTCATTTACCCCAGTAACCAATTTACAGTTTGGGTTAAAGTGACAGTGGCCCCAGGTTCTTTGCAGATACACACAAGTCCTTTCTGGTCTTTATAATCTGGCCTCAAAATCAGTGGTATGATATGCAAACAGATGGTGCCACACAGCTCCCTCCTGACCCACCCAGCTGAGCAAGCTCATGAAGATAAGTTATTACAAGGAAGCTTAGCAAGAACATACGCTCGGTAAAGTGACTCAAGATCTTTCTACAGCCAGCAGCATGGGAAGAATTAAATCACTCTGCTAAATCCATCTGGTATGAGGTGAACCAGGAACCATTTTCAGCATCTTCAATTCAGCAGAAGGAAAAAAAATACATATATCTGGGTCTTGCTGAAATCAATGGAGGAGATCAGAAGTTGTGAGATTTCAAACAGCTCGTCCAATCTTCCACGACAGAAAGGCAAAGCCAAGGCTGCAATGTGTGCTGGCTTTGGCTGGCTGCACCTGAGACCTTGCAGGGCCTCAGGCTTCAACACCTTGCTGTCTACTCGTTGTCATGTAAGGAGGCTAAGGCAAATTGAGGATTGTTAAATGCCAAGAATAATTCAAGACTCATTTGAGGTTTTCAGGTCCACCAATTCTGTCTAAGCCATGGAAATCTCAACATTTTTGCAAAACACCTTACCAAGAAGGTGTGTCTTCCTAAGGAATTCTTCCACTAGCCTGCTCTGGTCCTCAAATAAAACAAGCACCGCCCGATCAGCTCCCTTCTGCTACCCATCCTTACACTGGGTAATCCATCCTCTGGCGTCGAGTGGCCTCCAGCTCTCGGTTCCGAAACCTCGGGAACTTCTTGACAATGCCTGTGTTTTCTCCACTGGAGGCATAAGGAAAGCCAAGCAGGGCAACCACATCTGCAAACAGCAAAATGGCTCCCTTTCAATTATATCCAGAAAAACATTCCTTCCCAAACCACATTCATCCTGAAAGCCTCTGCTGAGCTCCAATCAAACATTTAAGTGAGATACCCTAAAAATATTAGCAAACATCTGTTGAATAAATGCCAAGCACCATGCTAAGCACTTTACAGAGACCATGTCAATTACTTTTCATAACAACTCTGTGAAGTAGATTCTATTATTAGTTCCATTCTACAGATGAAAAGCCCGAGGCTAAGTTCACAAAGTTAATAAGTGATAGAACCACAATTCAGGTTCTGAACTCAGGCTTCTGTGTTCATAATCATTTCACATCTTGCCCTCTGAATGCTAAGAAAAGTATCTGAATTTGTGTTACAACAGTAAGTTAACACTTCTGTAGTTCTCACTATGGTCCTGACATTTCTGTAAATGTGCTACATAAATTTGTTCATTTCATTTTCATTATTATCCCCAGTCTACAGATGAGAAAACAGAGGCACGGTTGCCAAAATAGTAAGTAATATTTAGTGTACACCGGCAATATGCTAAGCCCAATTCAGGGATAATCTCACTTCATTTCACAACAAACTATGAAATAGGTTCTTTTATTATCCTCATTTAACAGATCGAAAACTGAGCATCAGAGAGGGTTAAATAAGAGATGGAGCTGGGATTCAAACTCAGGCTCTTTGGTTTCAGAATCCATACTCTTAAAATTGCAGTTTTTTTTCTTCTGTGCAAACTTTCCACAGTAAATTCAACATACTACCCTACATAAAAATTACTAACCATATACCTTAACATTGGAAAGTCTTCCATTTTATTTCACAAACACGAAAGAATTCTTCTCTATAGCTCTAAAAAGCATAGGGATGTTCACAACAAATCTTAAAGGGAGAACTGAGTTATTTCATCTATACTTAATACCTAACACTTTCAACAAGCCTAAGTATGAATTTTTGGTTTTCCCTATTCTCCCCAACTAAAGAAAAGAGAATCCACTTAACTCAACCTAGGAATAAGAATACTTTTCTTGGCTGGGCGTGGTGGCTCACACCTGTAATTCTAGCACTTTGGGAGGCCAAAGTGGGCAGATCACTTGAGGTCAGGAGATCGAGACCAGCCTGGCCAACATGGTGAAACCCCATCTCTACTAAAAATACAAAAAAAAAATTAGCCGGGCATGGTAGTGCGTGCCTGTAAACCCAGCTACTAGGGAGGCTGAGGCGAGAGAATTGCTTGAAGCTGGGAGGCGGAGGTTGCTGTGAGCTGAGATGGCACCACTGCACTCCAAACTGGGCGACAGAGCAAGACTCCATCTCAAAAAAAAGGGATACTTTTCTTCTGCTTAAAATACTCCTTAGTTTAGACATTCATGATTAAATGGTGGGAACAGTCTATTTTCCTGGGCCTCTTGGAGAGAGAAGAGTTGATTTATGTGCAATCCATCAAACACCAATATCGGCACAAATTATGGGGGCTTCAGCTTAGGATGCTGGACATCCCAGCTCTCATTTCCCAAAGGAAATAAAAAGTTTTATTATATAGAGAGGTACCTCTGGTTTACTACAATTTGGAAATCGTAAGAGCAGTTTTTAGAATCACAGGCCCTTGTGTATTTTAATAAGATTAAATAAGCCAATTTCTCCCCAGTAGCCACAAATCTTCATGGTTTGTTACAAGTAGAGATGCATTTGGAAATCCAAAAGAGTGGAGTTATCAATTTCAACAGAAGCACTTGAAACCCTTTGTTTTTTCAATTTGAGCTCAATTTGGGCCCACTGGACTTGCTGGTCTATGACGGGGGTGGTGAGAGGGGTGAGAAATGGAAGTACTGCAAAGGTTTTCTTTGGAATCTGAAGGAAAAATTCACCAAGGAAGTTGACATCAGCTCAACTTTGGTTTGGCTTCCACTATGTTGAGTGGAGCAGAAGAGACCAGATGGCCACGTTAGACCCCTAGGAAGCCTTCTGCTGGTGATGGCTGTTGAGTGATCTAGTGTGCAGTGGAAACATTTGTCAAAACAAATGGGATTCAATTCTGCCCAACCTGACTCCAATTAAAAAAAAAAGCTTCATAAAGGAGGTTTCTAAAGTGGAAAGAGTTAAACGTGAATGACAATGAGCTCTTCCCTGTCCAAAGACCAAAATAAAGCAGGTCAAACGGGAGAACTTGCCGCAATAGATTATGAAGGAAAAAGCTCAGCCCCAAAGATCTAAAATAATTTTACAAGAACACATACCGTTTGTACCCAACAAAACCAAAGTAATGGTAGTTTTCTTTCAAATCTGTAGCTTTGCGATGTGTATAATTTGGATTCCTAGTGCAGTTTGCCCTCAGTATGATACTGTCTTTTGATTACAATTAGAGGTAATGAACAAGAATTAATTTTGGAGCAGGAGAAGACTTTAAAATTCATCTGAATAACATATAGGATATGTTATTTATCCTATATGTTATTTATCAGGATAACATATAGATCTATTGTCTAATAACTGGTTATGGCTGAGTGCAATGCTATAATTGACTAGTGATGTCTTGTCATGGGCAGTGGAATGGGTAGCAACAATACCAGTGCCATCCACCACTAAATAATTTACAGGTAGGAAAACTTAGGTCCAAAGAAGTTTACTGCTTTGCCTCTAGGATGTACTCATTAAAGCAGGGGCCTTACTTATTCACTATTCCATCCCCAGAATCTAGAACAGTGTGCAGTACTTGATAAAGACCCCATAAATATTTGATGAATGAATGAATATAGGTGTGGCCAAGTCAGGATTTGAACCTGTCTCCCTTCCTCCTAGTACTGTCCACAATTCTGTAATGTGCACCACACTGCGTAAGCCAAAGAATGACCTTTCTTCTTTCAAATCCTTTCCCCACATTCATTTCTTTAGCTTATTTTGCATGAAGAGCTTAGGTTAAACAAACAAACAAACAAAGACACCATTAAGACATAAACATAGAATGCCAGGAAAACAGTTGATGTTAGGAACCCTTTGCTGTTTTGCTTGTATTATTTCCTCAAATTTTAGAGCAAGAAGAGGCAACAGATATTATATGGTGCAAACCCCTCCATTTGGAGACAAGAAAAGTGTGAGTGTCTTATTGAAGATTTCATAGCTAGAAGAAGCTCTAATATGACTCAAACCTGGCCTCCCCACTGCAAACCAATGGGCTTTTCTTCTCACAAGTCCTCCCAGAGAGAACCTCGGCTGATATTCAGTGGGCATGACCTGTGCGGATATACTGGTTGCTAAAACACTGAAATATTTCTATTTTGGTTTGATAATTGATGTCACCTTGAACCTCCAAGGCCCCGCCACCCACCCTGGCCCCTCCTTCAAGTTAGAGCCTGGCCCAACAGCGGCCTCTGGAGCCGGCTTCAGCACTAAGGCTAGCACCCACTGGAGTTCACCGAGGCCCCCACCCCTCACTGGTTGTTAAATATGTTAAATCTCATCCCTGGGTCAGGTGGGGTTAAGGGACGATTATGTAGCCCATTCTCTGGTTCAGCTGAGTGATCAGAACCCTGACACAGATCCCTTGCTTGGGAAAAGGTAACACTTCCACGTAACAAAGGTAACACTTCTGTGTAACAAAACCCCACTCCAGATGTGCTTCGAACACACAGCAATGAAGCCACTGAGATCATCAGCCCACCTTCAGAGAAGCTGAAGATGGTCTCAATGCAAGGAATCACAATGACTACAAGTCTGTAAGCAAAATCTGCGGGGAAAGAAGCGAAGATTTCTCAACCTGGAGAAATAAAGCCAGAGCACAGGCAGCTCAATAATGCTTTCCAAACACAGGACATTCAAAAGCCAGTGGCCAATAAGGTGTTTAATTTTCTTTAAAGCCAAAGTCTGAGAATAAAAACTCGATTTTCTAGCAGATATGATTTAGGTCAGAACTTCCTCCAGAAAGGATACTAGGCAGTGAAGCAGGTTCCTAAGGAAGTCTGTGGAACATTCGATGGCAGGAATCTTAAGAATAAAACCAGTTCTACTCCTAGTAATTTATCCTCCAAACATGCTTATGAGTGTGCACAGAGATACATGTACAGGGATGTTCAGTGAAGCCTTGTGGTTAAAAGCAACAGCATGATCATCAGCAAAAGATAGGTTAAATAAATTACGGTCTGTCAGGCGATGCAACGCTAAGGAGCTGTTGAAAAGAATGAGGTCGGCAGCATGTCCTGGTACAGAAAAATCTACTGTATTGTTAATGAGCGCAGGTCTGTTTCTAGAATCCTCTCATTTGTGCAGGAAGAAAACGGGACACAACTTAACGCTTGTATGTGCAGAGAACATTTCTAGAAGGAAACACAAGAAACTGTTGCTAATGAATTTACTTCTGGGAAAAGGACCAGAAGATTCGAGGGGGAGGGGTGTGGAAACTTACTCGTTCCCCTAAACCTTTTCACGCTATTTAAATTTTTTTATTGTTACCGTGTACACGTATTACTTTTTCGTCTACGAAAGAAAAGAACAAAAGCTCTGAGCACTTCCGGGCAGGCATATAGAAGGAGCCAGCTACATCCCAAGGCCTCCCCACCCTCGGCCTCCAAGTCTGCCCAATCCGCTTCAAAGACACAAAGTCCAGTGGGTGAAGAAAACAGGATGATTCACATCGATAAAAATTCAACTTTAAAAAAAGTATTCTTTCTAATTTAGAACCTGGGTTAGGACTGTATTAGCATATTTCAGAGAGGCGGCATAGCAAAGTCAAAAGAATCAGGAAGTCTGGACTCCAGTTAAACAAACTCCCTGAGCCTCGGTTTTCCTCTTTGTTAAAGAAAGGTTGAGAATAATACTGTCTTTCCCATGGTACTATTATGAGGATTAAATGAGACAATGTGTGTGAAAAAAGTGTTTCGAAAAATCATAAAGGGGAATGTAGATGCTAGGCATTAATTAGTGTTATTACTGAAAAATTCAGACTACCATGATTAACTGGAAAAAAAGGAACTAGGTCTGTTTTTTTTAATGCCAAATATATAGTTTATAACTACTAAAAGTACTATCATGACATTGACTTGAATAGTCCTGCTGCATAAACCATTTTTTTTCACAAAGACAAGTCAAGGCTGGTTCCAACACTTGACTTAACTTTCAATCATTTTGTTGTAATGAAATTTTGTTATAAAAAATCATACTTCCAGTCCATTGGATCTGAAGATGAGAATGCATTTTTGAAACGAAAAGAGTGGAGAAGAAGAAAACTGCCATGTTGCCCCAGAGTTTCTTATTTAAGAGGGAAGATCAGAGAAGTGTTCATAAAGCTAAACATTAGGGCATTTAAGAACCTTCCAAGAGTGTTCCTAAACTGCTTATCCAGTCTTACTTCTTGAATTGCCCATGTCACACCTGAGATTATACCTTGGAAAATAAACCACAGCAAGTGTGCTGCTAGTCCACATTTCCACTCCATGGCAGACAGTAACTGATGGACATGGCACTCTTTCTCAGTAAGTGCAGACTCATCCTCAGAATCCTACTCAACACCATGCTCTAGGCAGCCACCCCCAAGCAACACAAGCTAGCCTGTGAGATGAAGCCCTTGTTGCCATCTTTCCCGTCAAGGAACAAAGGCTTATCACCATTTCCCAATCCGGAATTTTCTCCTTTGTGTGCCACAGCTTATGCCTTCCCCTCTGCCTGAAAGCTCAATGTCCTTCTTTCATTCCTTTTTTTTTTTTCCTTCTTCTTCTCTTTTTTTGAGACAGAGTCTTGCTCTGTCACCCAGGCTGGAGTGCAGTGGCACCATTTTGGCTCACTGCAGCCTCCATCTCCTGAATTCAAGCAATTCTCCCACCTCAGCCCCCCAAGTAGCTGGGACCACAGATGCATGCCACCATGCCTGGCTAATTTTCTGTATTTTTAGTAGAGATGGGCTTTCACCATGTTGGCTAGGCTGGTCTCTAACTCCTGGCCTCAAGTGATCTGCCTGCCTCAGCCTCCCAAAGTGCTGGGATCACAGGCGTGAGCCACTGCACCCAGCCCCTCCTTTTTGATCCATGAAAACTCTACACATCCTTCAAGTCTCTGTCAAAATGTCACCTCCTCTGAAGAAGCCACACAAAGTGCTTAACACACACAGATTGCTCAGGAACTTTTTTTCAGTGAATGAATGACTTAAAATAAATAAATAGCTTCATGACATCACCTGGTAGTTTAGCCTAATGAATAAGTGTGGGGTTTGGGAACCAAACTATCCAGGTTCAAACTCCAGCATCTTCATTAATAGCTGTGCAAACTTAGACAAACTACTCTATCTCTCTGAGTCAGTTTTCTGTTTTCTCCTTGGTGGAATATTGGGCATATTAAATTAAATAACAGCGGGCCAGGCGCTGTAGTTCACCCAGCACTTTGTAATCCCTGCACTTTGGGGGCCGATGCAGGCAGATCACTTGAGGACAGGAGTTTGAGACCAGCCTGGCCAACATAGCGAAACACCATCTCTACTGAAAATACAAAAATTAGCTGGGTGTGGTGGCACGTGTCTGTAACACCAGCTACTCGGGAGGCTGAGGCAGGAGAATCGCATGAACCTGGGAGGCGGAGGGTGCAGTGAGCTGAGATCGCGCCACTGCACTCCAGCCTGGGTGACAGAGCAAGACCCTGTCTCAAAAAAATTAGATAACCACGTAAACCACATAAAGCACTTTGACAGTGCCTGGCACATAGCAAATGTTCAGTAGCAGTAAGTGACTGTAACTATTGGTAGCCATGTTAAAGAGGGTGGCTTTGTCCTCATCTTTAAGCCTCCACACTCAGTAAAGAAATTGATACATAGTAGGTGCTCAGTCAATCTTTGTTTAATTGAATGAATCATGATACGTGTCATAGGAGCAGTACCAACACAGCATTCTGATGGCCAGCATTTATGAAGTTAATTTCTGGTTGTGGAAATTAAAAAAAAAAAAACTCAACAAAACTTCAGGGTGGGGGCTAGAAAAGTGTTAGAAATTTGAGCAGGCTGTTGAAATAGGGGCATGATTTTGCCAAGCAGACATGGAAAGTGGCAGTGGGGGGCGGTGTTGCTTCGTGGGCAGGGGGAGTCGGGGCGGAACAGGAGCTATTCTAAGGAAAAGAAACTGCTTTAGCAAAGACATAGGGGTGGGGAATCAAAGACTTAAACCACAAAGGGGAAGCTGAGCTTACCTGTGGCTGCAAAGGAGAATCCCTGAACAGGAGGAGCCTGCAGCCTTAACTAGCGCAGCCCTGGTGGGTTTGTCTGGGAAGCTGTGGAGTGTGTGCAGTGGCCCTAGGGAAGGAGCACTGCCACCTCCACCCCCACACCCTCCCTCATGTGGCAACACAGCCCTGCAAGGGTATCAGTGTGTGATGTTCACAAACTGTCCTTCCCTCTTGGTTAAGAGCATTCATTCAATCAACAAGTAGTCATGAGTGCAGGGGCCTATGATCAGCATCAGAACAAAGCAAACAAGTCCCCTGGCCTCATGGAGCTTGTGCTCCAGTGTGGGCCAGGAAATAGGCACATAGGCAACTAAAGATATTTACTGAAACTGTCCAGTGGTGATCAGGCCAGGAAGGAAAATGAAGGTGGACAATGACAGGCAGGGCGGTGGGGGTGGGCCTGCTGTCTTAGATAAGGAGATGGCATTGGAGCAGAGGGGTAGGTGAGGTAAGGAAGTGGCCATGTGGTGATCTGGGAGAAGAGCATCTTAGGTGGAGGGAGCAGTCACACAGATGTCCCAAAGTGAGAATGAACTTGGTATGCTCCAGGAGAAGCAAGCGGGCCCCTGTGGCTGGAAGCAGTGGGGAAGGGTGTGCGTGGTGGGACACAAGGCTGCAAGGGGACAGGGACAGATTCCCACAGAGTAAGGGGCATGGGTTGATCTTAACTGGGATCAGTGGATTATGGGAGGAACTGGGGGGCTTAATCAGGCAGTGATGCAATCACCTTGCACTGGCTGCTGGTGGGGGGTGAGGAGGGTACGACGGGCAAAACTGGGTGGCCACTTGCAGGCAGTGCCAGGAGTCCAGACAGGAGGATGACGGCTTAGACCAGGATGACGGCACTCCACGTGGTGAGAAATGCAAGAAGGGACTGAATATGTGACACATACAGCCAGCACTAGGTGACTCTCAAAATAGAGTATGACAGGAAGAGAAGTCCAGGTGGGTCCCCAGGTCTGGGGCCCAAGTCACTGGCCTGCATGGCTGATTCCTTTCTTTCTGTGACTCCAGCGTGAGTCAGGCACACATGTGATTTGGGAGGGACAACAGAAACGCCCAGTCCCCTCCCTCAAGGAAATAAGCCACATTAGGTAGATCCACAGTCTGCCTATGGCTACATATGCCCCCCACACCCAGAATGCAGCAGTAACACGTGCACCGGGGGCATGTGGCCGAGTCGTGGCACACACGTGTTCCCAATGGCTACCGACTTCTCATCTGGGTTAGGTTTTCCCTGCAGGGCTGGGTAAACGTCTGCTGCGTCTCCACCAAAAATCAGCCTCATGGCCTGGCCGGGTCTGGCCTGGCAAAGGAGATAAGCTGCTGAGAGCCGTGTCTGGACACACGTGGCCCTCGCCTCGGGAGCCTTGGCAAAGCCAGCGATGGAGGCCCTCCAAGCACACTTCCAGAACGCCCGGGCACAGGGACTTTGACTCTTTTTATACATGAAAAGGAAAATGAAAGCAAGTCAGGGAGTACTTCAGTTCAGAGGCAGGGCCATCGTAGGACACCAGGCACTTGACACAGAAAACCTTCCCTGAAACCCCACATCAGTGCTGGCTGAGACAGGGACCATACATGACAGGCCCCCTGTGGCTCAGCTCGGAGCCTCACTAATGCCATCTTGTTCT
Organism: Homo sapiens; assembly: GCF_000001405.40. NCBI lineage: Eukaryota > Metazoa > Chordata > Mammalia > Primates > Hominidae > Homo > Homo sapiens. Next base: position 25,844,166 of record NC_000004.12, read on the forward strand.
GACTTGATTCTTGTTCATCAAGAAGCCCCTGCTAAGAACAAACCAGAGGCTTGGCCCCCTTCTATCCCCACAGCCCAGATCCAGAACAAAGGTCATGGATGTTTTCCATGGGACTGCTGCAGACCCTCTTGTGATCTGTCTTTTGGAGAAGGAAGAATGTGTGCCCCTTTTTCGGTAAACAAATCACAGCCTTGTAATCAGAGCTTATTTTGAGGGTGCATGGAGCTCCCCACCATTTTCAGTGACTTTAACTCTTGGGAAAGGGTTTTCTCTGCGTTATGGTTTAATTCTCACTCCTAAGGTAATGCTCTGAAGCAGGTGAGGAGAAAAATCCCACTGTGCTGTTCCTAAGCCTTGTGAATATGAGAAGAAACAACAAAAGAAGGAAAAGACGTTTCACATTTTAAGGGCATATTCAGGTGCCCTAAGAACTGAGCCAGTTCGTTAAATGATTTCATTTGGAAACTTCCAGCTTGCAATTCAGTCATTCTTCAATCAGAAATACATGATTTGTCAAATATGAAATGGAATCATTAATCCCTGACAAAGTCGGAGGTACAGCAAATTGTGGCTGTGTGTGCCCCACGCTATCTTCCCCTTAACAAATTAGGTGGCCCTGTGGAAGGTATTCCAGACAGATGCCTGCATGGGGCTCTGCCTGGAAGAGGGAGGCACACTGATCATCAAAATGATTGACTTGACTGCTTTCAGACATTTAACTACCCATCCCACCCTCCCCACTATGTGCACACACACAGAAAGGGAATTTACTTTCATCTTCTAGACATCTTTTCATTTAAAGCACTGCACAAATGCAGAATAAACCAGACAGACAGGGTTATTAAAATGTAGGTTAAAATTGTATAGATCTACACAAACACAGGACCCCCTGTAAAAAGTGGTAAAATCTGAGTAAGGTCTGGAGTCCAGTTAACAGTATTAGATCAGCATTACTTCCCCAATTTTGATTTTGCACTGTAGTTATGGAAAATGAGGAAGCGGGGGTGAGGATACACAGGGACCCTGTACCCTTTGCAACTTTCTGTGAATCTATACTTATTTCAAAATAGTTTTAATTCAGCACTTTGGAAGGCCAAGGTGGGAGGACTGCTTGAGCCTAGGAGTTCAAGACCAGCCTGGGCAACATAGGAAGACCCCATCTCTACAAAAAAATAAAAAAATAAACTGGGTGTGGTGGTACATGCCCATGGTCCCCGCTACTCAGGAGGCTGAGGTGGGAGGATTGTTTGAGCCCAGGATGTTGAGGCTATAGTGAGTTATGATCGTGCCACTGCACTCCAGCTTGGGTAACAGAGTGAAACCCTGTCTCAAAACAAGAAAAAGTTTTGAAAAATATCAAATGTGCCAGTTCTAGGGTAAGTGGCTTCTGACCAACTATCATGTATGGTGACACAGGTCCTTTCAGTTTTCATTATATGCAGAGCTGTTTTGGGACAGTACCAAGAAATCGCCACAGTCATTATTTCCCCCAAAGATAGCCCAACAGAAATCACATCCCAGAGATGACAAGAAATTGATCACTAAAGGAAAAACTTAGAGTGCATGTCCTTAAGTCACCTTGTCCCAAACCCATCCTGTTGATGAAATGTCAGGCACTTCCTGTGGAAGGGTCTGTTGCCACAAATCCATGGATGTCCTCTGCCTGCCAAGCCTGGCTGGGGGTCGGGACACGGGAACCATAGCAATCCTAAGTCCAACCAGCTCTGTCCCTGGCCCACAGGTTCTCAAGTTTTAGGGTGCATTAGAGTCGTGAGGAAGGTGTTTAAAATGCCGATTCCAAGCCTTCCCCCACCCCCGCAGATCCTGACTAAGTAGATGAAGGACTGGGCCTAGGAATTTGCATTTGCAACAAGCATTTGTGATTCTGTCACAGGTGGTCCTAGGGCCACAGTTGAGGAAACAACTGGGCGCATGTGTGGGGAGGGCTCCCCACTGAGGGGGCAGAAGAAGAGCTGGCAGGCACTCGGCATCCACAGAGCAAGGCGCTCCTTGCACCAATGGAGAGAACTTCAGAGTGCCGCCTCTCAGCACATGCCTGAGATCTCCAGCCCCACGGCTTAAGGGAGGCTGCAGAAGGGCCTTGGAGCCTCCGGGATTGGTCCTGCTGAGGCTGTGACCATGTGGCATTTAGGATAAAATGCAGAGTGTGGACTCTATCATCATCACAGCTTCTCACTGAGTGCTGATGATGTGCTGAGCAATCACATCTCATTTAGTCCTCACAGCACTGCTCTGAAGGAACTGCTTGTTATCCCCATTTTACAGATAGGAAAACTGAGGCTCAGAGACTTCCAAGGTTACAGAGATAGAAAGTGGCAGGACAGGAATCAGGCCCAGCCAGAGGTTACCATTCTGTGGTACAACCTCCCTTTCTGTTGGAAGGGTTCCTTTAGGTTCTCATCTCCTCCAGGATAAAACACTCTGCTTAAAAATAATAGAGGCCCCGGCATGGTGGCTCACACCTGTAATCCCAGCATTTTGGGAGGCTAAGGCAGGCAGATCGCCTGAGGTCAGGAGTTTGAGACCAGCCTGGCCAACATGGTGAAACCCCATCTCTACTAAAAATACAAAAATTAGCCTGGCATGGTGGTGGGTGCCTGTAATCCCAGCTACTCGGGAGGCTGAGGCAGGAGAATTGCTTGAACCTGGGAGGCGGAGGTTGCAGTGAGCCGAGTGAGATCTCGCCACTGCACTCCAGCCTGGGCAACAGAACAAGACTCCATCTCAAAAAAAAAAAAAAAAAAAAAAGAGGAAACTTTAGCAGGCTTGTTGGAAGGTGAGTGGGAAGATTTTCCCAATCCTTGTTTCGGTGGCATGAATACTCCTTTCCAGCTTAAAGCAGATCTAACCCTCTCAAAGTCCACCTTCCTCAGCTCCTCTGTTCTGTTCTTTCATCTTTGGTCCTGCTCTCTCCTAATCTTTCTCCTCTCTTCCCCTTTTAATTTTTCTCCTTTTGTCTTCAAACTCCAAAGTTACAGACTCATTGTGTCCCTCCATCTTCCCTGTATCCCCCTTCGCTAATAGAAGAATTTTCTCTTGCCATTCGATCATGATACAGGCTATCTGAAAAAATGAGAATTAGGTTCCTAGCAAGATAGATGACCTACCATTTTCCAGAGGACACTGTGGAATCCTGTTTGCCCGAAGGTTCCAAATATAACCCATGTTCCACTCAAGGCACACTTGATGATCTTTGAAAGGGCGTTCAAAAGGCGGGATGGTCTGCAGGAGGGTATAATTCTTTGCTACAGCATGGAGCAAGTTTTCCTCCCATTTAACATTCCAGTCTCTGCCACTGTATTTGTGAGTAATCCAGGCGCGTACTATCACTGCAGATACAGAGATGGAATGTCTGATGAAATAATCATCTCTGTAAACCATAATGCTTGGAAATTTCACATGTACTATTTGTGTCCTGCTGGTGTGAAGATGTTTCTCATTCTTCCACCTTTTTTTGTACACGGGAATGCTACTTCTGAACTCAGATGAAACAACTGCTTCCAAATTGACAACACAAGGCTGAGAGCATAAATACTCAACCGAGACTTCAGAAACGTTGCGAACGTTTCCTTCAAAGACAGTAAAATAAATAAAGTCTTTGTAAGCCACGCTCTGCTCAGCTTTGGGTATCACTGATGTCGTCAGGGAAGTCTGCCTACCCAAAGATGGTACAACATTCTGAAAAAAAGAAAAAGAAAGTAAGAAATACAGAAAGTTTAAAAATCCTCATCATAACAGATACTTGAATCATTATTTTCCTGGGATAAAAAAATATCAATCTACATAAAGCAATGAATGAATGCGGGAGATAAAAGATGTCAAAACCACTACTGAAGAATTGGGGAAAAACCAACACACAAATACAAAGGAAGATGAGGCCACATTAAACTCTCTCCCCAGACACAGTAACATCTGCTGATCAGAATGTGACTGTCACATCTACATGGCAATAATTCCAGAGTTGGTTTTCAAAGGCAGAAGTTGGTTCACAACAAATCCAGTAGCAAGGGAACCTGCCTTAGAATAAAACAGAGACAATGCAGCTTCAGACATTTTCAAACCATTGTCCTGACTTTAAATGGTGGGTCAGACACTACCAAATCAAAGGGTGGCAGAAAAGTGAAAAGTGCACCCTCGAGGGAACATAACAGGGATGCCAACCTGGCCCCTTTTTCTCCCATAAGTTTGAAGCCAGGGCAAGCCTGCATGATATATGGACAGGCAAGAGGCTTCTATTGCTCCTGGTCACACACAAGTAAGCTCAGACGATGGGCTGTGTTGTCTGATTCTTTCACCACAGACAATGCTACATGCACCAAGAAGGATTTTAGCTGAATGTTTATTTATCTGGTCATGAAATCAATGCAAGGTTTTGAGCATGAGGTGCTGATATGTGAGTGCTAAGAGCTCTCCTAAATATGACTTTGTGATTCAAGTATCCAAAACACAATAGAAAAAGGTCACTTTGGACCACTGCATATCCATTAGGGTGGCTATTATTAAACACACACAACGCATACACACAGAGAGAAAATAACAAGTGTTGGTGAAGATGTGGAGAAACTGGAACCCTTATGCACTCTTAATGAGAATGTAAAATGGTGTGGCTACTATGGAAAATAGTATAGCAGTTCCTCAAATAAATTAGACACAGAATTATCATATGATCAGACTGGGCGTGGTGGCTCATGCCTTCAATCCCATAACTTTGGGAGGCCCAGGTGGGTGGATCACTTGAGGTCAGGAGTTCAAGACCAGCCTGGTCAACATGGTGAAACCCTGTCTTTACTAATAATACAAAAATCAGTTGGGCAAGGTGGTGCACACCTGTAATTCCAGCTCCTTGGGAGGCTGAGGCAGGAGAATCACTTGAACCCGGGAGGTGGAGGTTGCAGTGAGCCAAGATCACACCACTGCACTCCACCCTGGGCAACAGAGTGAGACTCCATCTCAAAAAAGAATTATGGTATGATCAGACCCAGCAATTCCACTTCTGGATATACACCCCAAAAATTTAAAGCAAGGACTTGAAGAGATGTTTGTACACCCGTGTTCATAACAGCATTACTCACGCTAGCCAAAAGCAACCCCAAGGGTCCATCCATGGATGAATGGGTAGAAAAAATGTGGTATATACATGGGATGGAATATTATTCAGCCCATAAAAGGGAATGAAATTCTGATGTATGCTGTAAAATGGATGAACTTTGAGGAGATGAGGCTAAGGAAAACAAGCTAGACACAAGAGAACAGACATTATATCATCCGCCTACATGAAGCACCTAGAGTAGTCAAACTCACAGAGACAGAAGGGAGAAAAGAGGTTACCAGGGCCTAAGGGAAGAGGGGATTGAGGAGTTAGGATTTAATGGGTCCAGAGTTTCAGTTTGGGACGATGAAATAGTGAGACAGAAAGTGGTGCTGGTTGCAAAACAGTGGGAATGTCCTTAACACCACTGAACTGTACACTTAGAAATGATTAAAAAGGTACATTTTAATGCTTGCATATTTTTACCACAATTTAAAAGAAAAAAGTCACTTTGGTCTCCTCTGAGGAAAAAAATAAGGACTCCTTTTTTCAATTCTGACTTAGAGCTGCGGGAGAGGCAAAGATGGACAAGACATGAAATTTGGTATCAAGGAATCGTGTCTATAAATAATGGCAATACAGGCGAAACGTGGTCAGTGTTCCCATCAAACTGTAAACAAGCCCAAGGGTGCATAGCACTGAGAGAGAATAATTCTAACTGGAAGGTCTGGGATAGGCTTTATGGAAGAAACGGTATCTCAGTTGGGCTTTGAGGGACGAAAAGAAGTTCTTCACGTAGAGACACAAGGGAAAGGCACTGCAAGGGGTGTGAACAGCATAAGCCGGGCAAGAGGCAGGGGAATGCAGGTGTACTTGGGGAATAGCAAGCAGCTATGTGGACACGCAGGTATGAGGTTAAAAAGAAAAGTAGAGTTTGGCCCTGGAGAACATTGAGTCCCAGCCCAACGAATGTGAACTTTTATTCTACCGACAGCAAAGAATCAACAAAGGTTTCTGTACAAGGGGGTGGTGTCTCCCTTTTAAAGCAACTGATAGTCAATGTCAATTAGAAACAAGGCTAACAATTCATACAAAAATGAGCAAATGACATAGCTAATCAACAAGTAAATGCTCATTCATAGTAAGATAAATGCAAACTGAAACTGCACTGAGATACCATTTTTTCCCTACTAGATTTGCAAAGATCAAAAAGTCAGATAACACATCGTACTGACCAGAGTGTAGGAAGCATGCCCTCTTATGTATTGTTGGTGGCAGTAATCTCTAATCTTTATGAGGCCAATCAAGTAATATCTACTAAAATTATAAATGCACTCACCCTCTGGACCAATAATTTCACTACTAGGAGTTTAACCTACTAATACACTGAAAGTTGTGCAAAATGATGTTTGTGTAGATTTTCACACCAGTACAGTTTGCAATTGCAGGAGATAGGGAAGCCTAAACTCATCAAGAGGGAGCTGGTTAAATAAAAATAGTACATCCACTCATGGAGTACCATACAGCTATTAAAAGGAGGAAGCTCTTCACGTACAGAAAATGGAATGATCGCAAAGGGTTTTCTGTCTGGTTTTTTTGTTTGTTTTTGAATTTTCAGGGTTTTCTTTTTTTTGTTTGTTTGTTTTTTTTTTTGAGTTGGAGTCTCACTCTGTCATCCAGGCTGGAGTGCAGTGACGCAATCTCGGCTCACTGCAACCTCTGCCGCCCAGGTTCAAGTGATTCTCCTGCCTCAGCCTCCCGAGTAGCTGGGATTACAGGCACCTGCCACCACACCCGGCTGATTTTTGTATTTTTAGTAGAGATGGGGTTTCACGATGTTGGCCAGGCTGGTCTCGAACTCCTGACCTCAAGTAATCCACCCACTTCAGCCTCCCAAAGTGCTGGGATTACAGGCGTGAGCCACTGTGCCCAGCCCAGGTTTTGAAATTTCAGGTTTGTTGGAATATAATTCACACCACACAATTCACACACTGAAAGTGTAAATTGCAACGTTTTCTAGTAGATTTACAGAGTTAGTCAACAATCAATCATTACAACAATCAATTTTCAAACATTTCATTGCCCCAAAATGAAACCCAGTACCCACTGGCAGTCACTTCCCATTTTTTTGCTTGCTTTTAAAAAACAGACTCAGAAATACCATTTGGATTAAATACACACTCACACCACACACACACATATATATGTACATGTGTATAGTCACTTGAATACACATATCACTGGTTGCTTACACGGATAAGAATGAGGTGACCAGGAGACAGAATAAGAGAGAAAGATGCACTGTATATCCTTCCCTAACTTTTGAATTGTGTACTACACAATTTTTTTTTAAGTAGGTGAGGAGAAAGCAACTGTCCTAAAAGGTCAAAGTGGGCCGGGCATGGTGGATCACGCCTGTAATCCCAGCACTTTGGGAGGCTGAGGTGGGCGGTTCACGAAGTCAAGAGATCGAGACCATCCTGGCCAGCATGGTGAAACCCCGTCTCTTCTAAAAATACAAATATTAACCGGGCGTGGTGGCACATGTCTGTAGTCCCAGCTACTGGGGAGACTGAGGCAGGAGAATTGCTTGAACCCGGGAGGCAGAGGTTGCAGTGAGCCGATATCGTGCCACTGCATTCCAGCCTGGCGACAGAGTGAGACTCTGTCTCAAAAAAAAAAAAAAAAAAAAGGTCACAGTGGAAACTATGTCTTCTGCAAATGGCAGAGGGAATAGGAGAAGAGCTGGTGATTCCTTTTGACCAGTCATGGGCAACCTGTGGGAAGAGATATATAAAGAAGGGGGTACAATGCAAACTGTCCATGCCACCCCCCCCAGGAGAGGTTTAATTGTTTTATGTTCTCGTTTATGCTGCCAGATTACAGGGAGGAAACACATATAAAAATCATCTCATAATTAGAAGCAGAGAATGTTACAGTGGATGAGTCTGGTGACAAGCCAGTCTACTCTCTTATTCTGCAGACGAGGAAATGACAATCAAGAGGTGACATTCTCCAACACCACCCAGCTGGTGGGTGAGCAAAGGCAAGCCCAGAAACCTGGCTCCTTTTCTAGCCACCCACCCACTCCCACCTTCCCCACGCCATAGCAAATGATATCAATGGTGACTAATGGTCACCATTCCATGGCCTCCTGGAAACTCTAGACTAAATTCTGCTTCCACATGAATAGGGATATACCCAGCATTTGTCCATAAGTGCTGGTTTATTAATTCAGCCAGATATGCCAAGATGTCGCCCCCATTCTCAAGATGCAAATCACAGTGTTAAGTCCACAACAGAGTTTCACCCAAGGCCAGGGATCGCTGGTGCTGGCGGAAGCCGAACCAGCCAATGGGTGGCCAACACGCCTTATTCCAAAGCAATGCCCCGAATGTTTCCCTCACTAATCCCACAAATAAGTCAAATGTCAAATAAGACATTTGCTTATTTTGTGAGACAAAGGGCAGCCCAGCACCCAGGACATGCAGAGGTGTATTAAATATCACACTTTGTTCTTTCCCAAAGAACAACTTAAAACCTCTTCCTCATTCCTTTCATGTATACCTTAAAAACTCACCCAGGCTCAGCTCTCCCACTTTGATAATTTTTTGAGTAGGGATAAGGGGTGTCAGATTTTTAGTGCTGATGCTAGGATCTCCAGTGAAAACCTCTTTTAAACAGAATGCCAGGGTAATGACCATTTGATTTTACTAGAAAAGTGCAGTTCATAATAACCGTGTTCATTATTTTACATCTTACTGCTAAAAATGCAACAGTCCACTTTTCTTCATTAATTAATGCAGCACCCTGAGTGTGGTTTCAGTTTTGTTTGATGGTCCATGCTTATAACATTGTGGATAATGGACATACATACACGCCAGGTGTTGTGGCTCATGCTGGTAATCCCAGTGCTTTGGGAGGCCAAGGCAGGAGGATCACTTGAGCCTCAAAATTCAAGGTTACAGTGAGCTATGATAGTGCCAATGCACTCCAGACTGAGCAATAGAGTAAGGCCCTGTCCCCTCCAAAATAAAAATAAAAATAAGAAGGCATATACACATTTCACCGTGTACTCTCCACAGAGCCGTCCCTTCAAATTCTGTTTCAAAAAAACTCTCCATATACTTATATGAAGATTATTTCATTTTCACCTGTTTCAAAGTCTCAGGTGCAGTAAAAGTTACCCCAAGGTATATAGGTGTTAGACATATGTTATCCAACATGGTAGTCACAAGTCATATTAAGCACTTGTAATGTGGCTGGTCTGATTTGAGATGTCCTGTAAGTGTAAAATATTCATTGAATTTCAAACCCTTTGTATAAAAAAAAGGGCTGCAAAATATCTCATTAATAAATTTTATATTAATTGTATGTTGACATGACAATATTTGGATACACTGAGTTAAATAAAATACATTAATATTCATTATGCCTGCTCTTCTTACCTTTTTTTTTTTTTTTTTTTTTTTTTGAGATGGAGTCTCGCTCTGTCGCCCAGGCTGGAGTGCAATAGGGCAATCTCGGCTCATTGCAACCTCCGCCTCCCGGGTTCTAGCGATTCTCCTGCCTCAGCCTCCTGAGCAGCTGAGATCACAGGCATGTGCCAACATGCCCAGCTAATTTTTGTATTTTCAGTAGAGACAGGGTTTTGCCATGTTGGCCAGGCTGGTCTCGAACTCCTGACCTCAGGTGATCCACCTGCCTCGGCCTCCCAAAGTGCTAGGATTACAGGTGTGAGCCACTGCCCCCGGCCTCTCTTTACTTTTTTAACATAGCTACTAGAGAATTTAAAATGATATATGTGGCTTGAAATTTGTGGTTCACATTGTATTTCAACTGGATAGTGCTATTCTAAATTTGAGGTCAGCTGACTTTCTTGGGAAAAGAAAAATAGCCAGATGGTAAATATTTTAGGTTTTGCAGGGACACTTTGAAACAGCCATAGGGACAACACATAACTGAATGGGTGTGGCCGTGGTCCCATACAACTTTGGTTACAAAAACAGGCAGCTGACTGGACAGGCCCACAGGCCTATAGTTTGCGAACTGCTTTTCTAAATTATCAAGCTTTTTTTTTGAGACTGAGTCTCCCTCTATCGCCCAGGCTCAAGTGCAGTGGCACAATCTCAGCTCACTGCAACCTCTGCCTCCCAGGTTCAAGTGATTCTCGTGCCTCAGCCTCCTGAGTACCTGGGACTACAGGCACGTGCCACCACACCCGGGTAATTTTTATATTTTTAGTAGAGACCGAGTTTCACCATGTTGGCCAGGCTGCTCTCGAACTTCTGACCTCAGGTGATCCACCCACCTCGGCCTTCCAAAGTGCTGGGATTACAGCATGAGCCTACAGCGCCTGGCCAATTATCAAGCTATTATCCCAGATAGAGTTTTGAAGAACAAAAGGTGACAGAAGATATGCTTTGTTAGGAGTTCTCATATAGGAGAAACGGGGTGAATAGCTCAACTGGGCATCATTTCATATGTGTGTAGTTGATGGGGCTTGATTCTGTATTTTTCTAAAAGGTTCCCTGGTGGAGAGTGTTGACATTTTGCTATTGTTTCTTTCAGAAAAGATCTAAGTCAGAGGATAACATGAAGTTAAGCTAGGCAAAGAGATCAAATTTTAAGGACTGAGATGGATTGTTTGACAAGTAGGAGAAGCTTGAATGACAGCTGGAGTACAAGAGAAGAGAAACTTCGGGGTGGGGCAATGTTTCCTTAAGTTAATGAGGGTGTGTTGGCCCCAAAGAGGGCCTCAAAATCACCCTGCATGGCCTGTGCAGAACATGGTCTAAACCCTTCAAGAAGGTGCTTTGAGGCACCCATGCAATGAAGGAAGCTGGCATCCGGTGGCTTGTAGCAGACCTGTGGGCAGCTGATTCACCACGAGTCGTGGCTACCTTTCCTATGCACAAAACCAACACTGATTAGCAACACATCACACTCTAAATATTGATTAAGCTGAAGCTGACTTCCTGGCTCAAGTCATGTGTGTGGTTATAAGCTGTTTCCTGCCAGGAAAATAAGGCAATTAACTTGAAGAGTTCCAGCTACAGGCATGACACGTGTCCAGCCTTCATAGGTATTTTCACATGCCAGGTTGCATTAACACAAGCTAAAAATTTATCTGCATGTTCCTTTGTTTAGAAATTATGAGTTCAGAGTCCATGTCATTGTTATGTTTCCAGCTTCTAAGATAGAGTCTGACACACAGTAAGAATTTAGTAAGTGTTTCTTGCTGAAATAAAGCACTGGGGCTGGGCACGGTGGCTCATGCCTGTAATCCCAGCACTTTGGGAGGCCGAGGCGGGTGGATCACCTGAGGTCAGGAGTTTGAGACCAGCCTGGTCAACAAGGTGAAACCTTGTCTCTGCTAAAAATACAAAAAAAAAGTTAGCCAGGTGTGGTGGCGGGCACCGGTAATCCCAGCTACCTGGGAGGCTAAAGCAGGAGAATCACTTGAAACTGGGAGGTGGAGGTTGCAGTGAGCCGAGATTGTGCCACTGCACTCCAGCCTGGACAACAGAGCGAGATTCCGTCTCAGGAAAAAAAAAAAGCACTGGGCATGGGCATTTCTGCCAGGTGCCTCAGTGGCCCTGAGGGCACTTGCATATAAACCAAATGACTTGATCAGTTTTGAGTCCCCACTGCCTTCTTCTTATACTCGTAAGTTCTCTTGTAAGGGGCCCCCATCATTTCTCTATTTTTCTCCCAGCCTCGTTAATTCCTTCCAAAGAGCCCTTACCCTTTGGCACCTCATTGGTCCCTGGGGATCAGAGCTGAGCTGGGGAACTGTGAGGTCAGAGAAGGTGGCACCTTGGCACCCACCTTAACCATTTGGGGCAAACTTCTCCCAGCTATTTGGTCCCTCTAGACCTTTTCAGACAACTGCCCTACATTCTAGACCGTTTCCATTTCTCCACACCAAAAATACAAATTAAATTTTTAAGATTTCTCATCCCTCGACCCTCTGCTGAATTCCTGTTCATCTGGCAAGTTCATCCATGTTACTGTGATAATGAAAAAATACTGAGGTAAGGTCACGTATCTGTATTTCTACACCAGCTTTGTGGAGATAATGCCTTAAAAGCACAGTCTAAATGCACCGCAACTCTAAGCAAGATATTTGGGGTGAAGAGGGGCATCTGTGCCCCTCAAATTATGTGGTTTAGGCAGCTACAATAGATGTTCCACCTTGAAAGCAACATACTGATCCATTTTGCACGCAACAGAGCTGGGCCCTGAAAAATGCTTGAGCCCTCAAATATGTTTATACCAGATGTGAGCCCTCATCAAAGTCAAATTTGACAACGTCATGCACAGTCACAAAACACAGATTCTCTTGCTTTTGTGTAAATGTGCATGTATTGTAATTAAAAAAAAAAAAAAAAAAAACAAAGAAATGGGCCAGTTAATGTGTGTTCATGATAGAAGACCCCAAATAGGAGATCTAAATGCATTGAACTCAGCCTGGGAATCAAGAAACAGATGAATTTATGTATATTCTGGATGGAAAAATAAAACTATCAATATGACCTAAACTTCTTTTAGGATAACTGCATTTGATTCCTTTAAGAAAATCAATAAGAAGAGATGCTATTCAAATAACCCTCCCTTGCTCAAAGAGCTGAGAAAACTTGGCTTTGTTCTCTATCTGGTCTCCACTTGGTATTTAAGGAAGGAACAGAGAGATTGGGAAACTTTAAATCATCCACATCTTGCTACGGGAAGTTCATTGGCATGTACACATGTCTGTGGGTGGGTATGACAAGAAAACAATAACTGTTTTTCTCATTCCTGACCTTTCTGCCCCATTCTTCTAAGAAAACTGTGGCTCATGAGGGCTTTCTCTTCAAACTGGCTGGATCACATTTTCCCTAGATCAAAAAGGTAAGTGTCTTGCCTTAAAGGGCCTATTTTTGTAATTTCTGTCTACTAGATATAAGCAAAAATTCTGTTTAGGTCAACAAAGCATGCAATTAAGCAAAATGGATGATGATGTCAATACAGACTTCAAAATCAGCATGTGCTTAGGGAAGAACTTCCCAGTTGAGTATTATTCCCTCCTAAACCTGAGAGCTGGCCAGAGCCACACCATCACAGTCATGATCAATATTCCTGGTTGTGTAAGATTCTCCCCCATACTATTTAATATGCTGTTTCTTCCCAACTTACATCACACAAAGCTACCTAAGCTTGGTTTGCTCTTATTTCATTGAGTACCTACTGTGTACTGAGCACTGGGATGGGTGTGTTAAACCTTTTTCTCTCTCTGACTTCTAACCTCCACCTCTCACATGGGACCTCATAGAACTTCTCACTTCTAACCCAATCCTCACAACAACCCACAGAGGGAGACAGCATCCCACTGTTACAGCTGAGGCAATGGAATGCCTTCAGAGAGGGTAAGTAACTTGCCCAAGGTCAACCAGCTACCAAAAAGCAGAACCAAAATTCAAATCCACATTGGCTGACTCCAAAGCCAGGGAAGGTGTGCCTCTTGTCTTCTAACAACACCCAAAGATGATGCCCTCAACTCACGTCCTTGCCTTTATACACCTGTCACCGCTTTCTGGCTACAGGGTTGGGGAATCTCATGACTTTCCTTATTCCCATCTTGAAAGGGTTGGGGCTAAAATGCCATTATGCCGGCATGCCTTGAGTTTGGAGGAGACAGATATTGCCTTAACCACAAACACACAAACACCAGACTCAGCCAGCTCCCCAGTATAACTAAGCCCTTCTCCAGGTAGAGACTGGAAACAAGGCCTGCCAAGGCAGAATCCCATCAGCCATTCCTCATGGGCCGAACACGCCTCCTGCCCCTCGGCTCCTTTCTCAGGGGAATGGCATGAGCCATTAAACAGGGTAACTGAATTCACTTTAGGCTATTTACGGTCTACTCCAGTCTATCCATGTTTCCAGCGAATTGCCTGGGTTATTCTCTCCTACCTGTCCTCTAGCTCTGACGCTTTTGCCAACAGGCAGCCAGAAGAAATAGAAGGCAAGAGGCCAACACCATGGCTTGGGAAATTTTAGGAGCTCCAGTCAGGATGAATATGGAAGCTATTGGTTGATGTGAGGTTTGGGGATGATCTCTATTTTCAAATATTCATAATACCTCTCCCTCAAGCTAGATAACTGCAGATCTCTTTACCTCGTTTTGATCTTCTCATGCTCTGCATTGCACACATAGTGAGGGGTTAATGAATACTCTTAGATGGATGACCGAGGGTGTGTGGCCACTTACAGGGAATCCTGTACAAGGCTCTGTCACAGCCGCTGTCTGCTAACTGTCCCACATGTATCTGTTCTGTTTTTTTGTTGTTGTTGTTTTGTTTTTGTTTTTTTTGATTTTTTTGTTTGTTTGTTTGTTTGTTTGTTTTGAGACAGAGTCTCACTCTGTCGCCAGGCTGGAGTGCAGCGGCGCGATCTCAGCTCACTGTAACCTCTCCCTCCTGGGTTCAAGCAATTCTCCTGTCTCAGCCTCCCAAGTAGCTGGGATTATAGGTGCACGCCACCACACCCAGCTAATTTTTGTATTATTAGTAGAGATGGGGTTTCACCATGTTGGCCAGGATGGTCTCGATCTCCTGACCTCGTGATCCGCCTGCTTCGGCCTCCCAAAGTGCTGTGATTACAGGCGTAAGACACCGCGCCCAGCCTCTGTGCTGTTAATGTCCTCTTACTTCTTTGTCCTCAGTCTGATTGTCTAACAAGTGCAGCTATCCACTCCGAACATTTCAACTGACAGCTGACATCAATACTGGCCATCCTGAGATTTATCTTTTCATATAAGAAAATATTATACTTTGGAGACCAGAGCTTAGAACGAACAAAATTGTTTTCTGGAAGTGCCATTATCACAGATAGAGAGCTGGGGCAGCCTCAGGCTGGTTCTAGCCAAGTTGGAAGAAGGTAAGAGTTAATGGTGTAAGAAAATAGCAAGAAGGCCCGTTGGGCAGGGAAAGTTCTGCGTGGGGCACAGTACTCAGCACCCGCGACCTCAGTGGAAGCAATTTCATTATCTTTTGCTTTCGAGGCCCTCTCCCTCTCTGAGGAGGCTCTCTGCATCTTGGCCTTTGGTGACCTCAGAATTTTCTGGCAGCCACTGGAACCAGGGATCATCTTTTCAGAAATCTGTTTGGCATCGTTCCGTGACTTATCTTTCAGCCCTCATCACAATTATTCATGCTTTGGCAGTATCCTAGCTACAGACACAGTACTCTTTTTGAGCTGATACTGAAGGTTACTCCGTCCCAGCCTATGGAGACGGAAGGCACCCACTCCTCAGGACCCTGACTCCAGGAAGCATGCTCCCTGTGAGGGCAGGTGCTTAAAGGCATCTATTCAGAAGCTGCTCTCAACCTCCAGCCCTTGTGAACAGGCAAATAGGTGAAGATAACACAAAACAGGAACTGGTCCCCAAATCATAGGCAATTTGGCTTTGGAATGCATTCCAAGGCACATTTGCTGTACACTTGTATGCACATTCATCCAAACTCAAATGCTAAACTCTACCAGCTGCCTCTGGACTACATAAAAACCCCAAACCTTTATCTCTTCATTAACGATGGCAAATATTTTCTGGCTTTACCTTTCTTCCCCACTTTAACATCCTGCTTCTATTCTGTGGCCTGCGCTTCCTGCTTTGTATATTTTAGATTACTTTAGACATGACCTCACATCCTGGCCAATTGCACAGTAGCTGCTAATTGCTAGAGCTCTGCTAATGGCCCGTACATCGATGAAGAATGAGTTACAAGCAGCAAAATCCAGAAGACAATAAGCTAGTGTGGTTTAGAGCTGGGGCTCTGGAGGGAGACAGATTTGGGTTTCAATCTCAGACTGTATGGCCTGGGGCAACTAACTTAACCTCTCTGAGTCTCTGTTATCTCATCTAAATGGAGATTATAGTAGCTCCTACCTCAGAGGGCTGTTGCTAAGATAAATACTGGATAATGCCTATAAACGATTTAGCACAATGTATAGCACAATGTAAGCTATCGTTATTACCATGTAGGCTTTCAAATTATGAAAGACCTTTCCTCCTCTAGAGTCTACATATTCCTGGGATCCTGCCCAGCTATTCTGCTCCATCTCTACCCTGCACCTGCCCAGCCCCATCCCCCTGACCAACCACTTCCTCCAGGTAGCATTCCTTGATTGAGCAAAATGCACACAATTATACATTTGCGTTTTCTCTCTATTGTTTTATGTTTTTCAAGTGTTTCATATGGATATTTACATTTTCCCCAATTCTCACACCAAGCTTCTCCAAGATCAAGAAGCCTTGCCTTCAGTAGTATCTTGGGTAGTGTAGACCCAAGAGCAACATCCCTAGTAAACGGCTAGATCTTCAGAACAAAATGTGGAGACTACCTTTTAAGTCGGCCTTTTGTGTCCTTTGCAAAATGGCTCTCTTGTTTATCAAAGTCTGTCTTGTACAGTAAGCGTATCAGAAGTCCATCTGAAGGAAGCATACAAAGGCAGGAAGCACTGACATTTCCCCCCACCATGAGGTCCCCAAATCCATTCCTTCCCCATCTGCCAAGACATTCATCCATGCTCTAGTTATTTTCCACATCACAGTATTTTCTAAAATTACTCTTTCCGGAGCCCTTCCTCACTCCTTCACTATCTCACTTGAGTCTATCCATGGCATCATTTTTCCCTCTGTTCTCTTAATCCCCCTTGGTGTACACAGAACTTTCACAGGAATACTTGCTCCATCATTATCTGTCTCTGTTTCCAGAGTCCACTTAGGCCCTTAGGCTTTGCTCTCCTGACTCTGACTTCCTGAACTGTCCAGAAGTAGTCCCCCTCCTTGCCAGGTCTTGAGATGTCCACGTGGAACTTTTCGGCCCGGCCCATTTGTATATGAATGTTTCACGCAACACTCTACTACATCACTTCTGCTTCTGTGGGTAGCCAGCAGGGCCCTGTGTACAGGGATCATCTGTTTAAACTGAAATCTTGTCATTTGTTATGGCAGTTTTATTTATGAGCCTGTGTGTTGTAACCTTGTGGCATAAATATTAAATAATAATATCTCTTGGGCAAAAAAATATCATTCATGTTAACTGACAACTTCTTATGAAAATATGAAGTAAGCCCAACCACACAATTTGATATTGGCTAATTCTGAAATATGAGTAAAAGCACGGATTGCTCAACAGGTAGATGCACAGGCAGAATTATAATTTGCATTTTTACACCTTCTTGCTTCAAGAAATGAAACATTCAAGAAGTAAAAAACGTTAAAAGAAACGGGCTGAGTGGCAAATTTCTTCAGAATCAAATTCTAATTTCTGCCAGTATCTCCTAAGCAGTTTTTAGCTTCCAAAAAGAAAGACTCCAAATAATGACAATGCCACATAAGTGAAATGAATTCTGGACAATGACACTGCTCTTTTTTTTTTTTTTTTTGGCATTCTGTGAATTTCCTATTACATCAGTTTCATGATTCAGCATTTTCCATTTCATTTATTTACAGTAATATATGGCGAGATAACCCAAGGTTTCTGCAGGATTGTGGAACATAAGTTACTCTGGGCAGGAAGGGTGTCGCCTTCTGTAAATTTACTATTGTTTAGGAGAACTCAAAACAGAAGCAAGCAAGCCCTCAAAGGAACTGAGAAAATTTCTCCCCACTTTGTTCTGAGGGGTCTCAGCTACTCTGGTATTTAAAATAAATGGGTTTTGAAAAATAGGTTACTGCCCTTTAGTTGATGACTAAAACAGAAGCCAAGAAGTGTGCAAATTGCAAACTGACATGCATGAGCCAAACATATTCTCTGAAATGACAATGTTCAAGACGCAGCTAAAGTCACCACTCTGGCGGTAAGCGTGTTACAGAGAACTAGATTTCTTTCCGGCATCCGCAACTTGGCTGGAGTGACCAAGGAGGAGTTGAAGAGCGCTGGAGATGCGAGGTGCGTTGGCAGAAAACTGTCCGGGCCGGGAGGACCCGGTGGAAACTAAAAGGAGGGTCGACGCGGGTGGCGGGCGCCGAGAGTAAGAGGCGAAGTTGGGCACGGGAAGGAAAGGAGCTGCGAGAAGATTGAGAGGGAAGCCCAGGAGGGGTGGGGGGTTGGGGGGTGCTGGAGACTGCGCGCGGCGGGGCGGGGAGCGAACTCCGGGCGGCGAGGCTCCCGGGTGGAGTCGAGGACAAGAAGGGGTCTCGAGGGTAACCCGACCCGGGTCTAGAGAGAGTCCAGGAGGGAAAGGAATGAGCACGAGCGAGAGAGCAGCTTGGCAAGTCCGGTCCAAGCGCCCCTCTCCACGCCCGGGGTACCTATCCCAGGTGCCGGGAACGCCCGGGGCGCAGCGACGAGGAAGAGAGAAAACTAGCAGCGGCGTCCCCGCCCCGCGTGGCGGGTGTCCCCGGCCGCCCCCACCCGCGTCCCCGGGGCCCCGCGCGGAGGGGAAGACCCGGGCAGGGTCCGGCGCTCACCAGGTAGCAGAGCAGGAGCAGCGCGCAGGCAGAGCGGCCGCCGAGGCCCTGGGGGACGCCGCCACTCGGGACCATGGCTGCGGCCCGGGGGCCGACCGCGAGCGGCGGGGGTTGCTGCTGCTGCTGCCGCGGCCACCCGAGCCCCGCGCCGCGCCGCTGCATGGCGAGGCCGCCCGGATCCGGGCCGGAACAGGTCACCTGGTGCAGGGACCGGCCCCCGCCCGAGGCGCCACCTTCCCGCCCGCCCCCGGCCGGGCCGGCCGCCGCGCGCGGGGCCACCTGCCGCCACCTCCGGACCCGCCGCCGCCGCCACTGCCGCTCCCGCCGTCGCCGCCCCCGCAGCCCCAGCCGAGCGCCGGCTCCTCCCCGCCTCCCCGTCCCCGTCCCCTCCCTCCCCTCTGCCTCCCTGCCCAGCCCTCCTCCCGGCCGCTCCCTCTGGCCCCCGGGCTTCCACCCCTCGGAGCAGCGGGCGCCCACGCAGGTGGGCACCGACCCGGGTCCCGCCCCTTGGCCGCCGCCACCCCCCGCCCGGGTCGCTGGGCCCCGGCGCACCCCCCTTTCCCTTTCTCTCTGCTCCTCCCCCGCCCCCCTTCCGCGCTCCTGCTCTCTGCGATCCCCCTCCTCTCCCTCCGGCTCCCTCTTCCTTCTCCCCTCGCGCTCCCAAACCCCCTCTCTTTTTCACTTTCTCCTTTTCCTCCCTTTCCTCTTTCTCCCTTCCCATCCTCTTCCTCGCTTCCGCATTCTTCCTCTCCCACCCACCCCTTTTGCGGGTCGCACAGACCAGTTCCCGCCCGTGCAATGGGTTTTTGTCTGGTTGCTTTTTTGGCCGGGGCGCCATTCCCGCAGGGCGCAGGGCGAGTGTGCCCCCTGGAGTTGTGCCGCGCAGCTGCCCGGCTCCCAGGCCTTCAGGATGGATTTTGACCCCTGCCAACCTCCACCTGTCCACCTGCGGGGTTGGGACTGCCTCCTTGCTGGCATGTTTGCAGCCGGGCTGCGCCCCACCCTGCCGGCTGGTTCGCGGCACGTTCTGGATGTTTCCCGAGGGTTTTGTGTGGTGCCGCCGCCACCGCCACCACTGCGCTCTTTGTTTTAATTGTCCAGAGTATTGGCACCCAGGACGGGTTTGTATTTGATTTGCATCCCTGTGCTCCGGCTTCCACTTTGGACTGAGAAAAAAATGAATTAATTAGGTCAATACAGTAATACTGGAGCCCCAAATGAAAGGGGTGAGGCCCTGGAAGTGCGCAAACAGCTTTTTAAAAAACCAGGACACATCCTCGGCCTTGGGGACGCAGGTTGAGACTGGCTGCTCTCCGACCCGGGTTCTGCGGCCTGGCGGGGAGGGGCCTCCGGCCGGCGGGACCACCAGCTCGCCGCCGGCCTTGGCTTTCAGGGAAGCGCTTGGCTGTGTCTAGCGGCTCCGACAACTATCTGGGCCCGCAGCTGCTGCTCTGAAACAGTTAATCCACCTTCCAAAGTTCGCAGAAGCTTCCCTTTAGCACTGGTAGATTTGTGCGGATTGGAACTAATAATAGCCTGGGAGCCTGAGAGGCCACAGCCCTTTCCCTGTGCCACGAGCATAGGTCAAGTCACAACAGACGTCGGGGAGAGGCTGGTGGTGAGACGGGGTGCCCGGGATGGTTTGACGGGCGTGGACGCGCCCTCAGCTGCTTCAGTACAGGCCTGGCCACACCAGGCATGGTGGCTCCTCAGCTGTCGTCCACTTTTTTTTAGGTCACCTAAGAGCTGTGGCCTTGTGTGAGTTCCCTGGCCTTATTCCACCGGTTCTCAAACTTCAGAATTACCTGGAGGGATTGTTAAAACACAGATTCCTGGACTTCAGCCCTAGAATTTCTGACTCAGTTGGTCCTGGGAGGGACTTGAGAATGTACCTTTCTAACAAGCTCCTGGGTGATGTTAACGCGCTGGTTCAAACAGCCCTCCTCCATTTCCAGAACTATTGGCTTTTAGGGAACTGGGCTCCTGCTCCTCCCAGCCAGCTGCCACCACATTAAAGCATTTTGGGGGTTTTGACAGATGCTCCCACTATCTCTGTTCCACTTCTGCAGAAACAAAGCACTTAACATTCTTCTGTGTGACGTGGAAAACATTTATTCTATCGAGTGTCCAAGGGAACAAAAGATTTGGTGGCTTTGTCCCAGATCCTGTCTATATCTTTTCCATCAGGTCAAAATACAGACTATGCTTTTAATGTATATGGAAGGAAAATTGTCGGCCAGTTCAGGGGGAAGGGGCTTCAACAGGCATTGCAGCATTTCTAGGGTTGCCACCTGTCTTCCTGGGCCACGCTCCGGAGTTTCTCTCCTCCCACATTGTACACAGATTCTGTTGGTCTTCGGGGAGCTAAATGGTTCCTCGGGGTTGTTTGTAATCAGGATTCATGGAATTGGGAGTTTTCAAGGCCTTGTGAGCTTTGAGGATTTGGGTTTACCTAAGTGTAGGTAAGCAGAGTGCCCCACTGGAGGCTGGACTGTTTCTAACTTGCCATATCCAACTGCTCACTTCTCCCCTACTCACTCATCTCCTATTGTGTTCCTACTGTGGACTGGGCACCACCTGAGGCCCCAGGATTCCAGAGGTAGGCAGGAAGGCTCTGTTTCTGCAAGGAGCACCAGGCATGCAGAAAACCGGCCAGAGTTTGGTCTTCTAAGAGGGATGTGTGAGTTGCTCTCTCATCCTGAGCTAGAGGTGGTGGGATTAACTGCTTCATCCTGTGTTGGAGAGGGGGAGAGAAAAAGTCAAGATTTCTTTTCACGGGGGAGTGGGACGTTTTGATCCAGAAGACAGAATCAGCTCTTACTTTTGCGTCTCTCCAGCAGTTTGTGTCAGTCATTGAAAGGGCGTGGTCTGATTTCAGAAGAAAGCCCTTTATTTAAAAAGAAATATATCTTCCCATTGTCCCATGGAAGGGCTTGAAATCTCACCATTACAATTCATCAGTTTAAATTAAGTTTTAATACTCCACTAAAAGTCGAAGGCCCCAGGGGGAGATTGGCCTCCCTTATTACTGCCTTGGTGTGAGTCAGTTTATCACATGCCCTTGGAAAGGGACCAATTCCACACCTCAACACGGGAAAGGACAAAGGCACAGAGTCCTGAGCTCATCATGGCCCGCCCCTAGGAGGAGACTTCAGAGGCCTGGAGGGAGGGGCTGGAGAAAGGACTGCATCTGCATGCCTAGGTGGCACATCATAGCATTCCAGGTGAGATGTTCTGAGACTCTGAAATTTTTTTTCTTTTTTTTTTCTTTTTGAGACGGAGTCTCACTGTGTTGCCCAGGCTGGAGTGCAGTGGCGTGATCTCAGCTTACTGCAACCTCCACCCCCTGGGTTTAAGCTATTCTCCTGCCTCAAGCCTCTAGAGTAGCTGGGATTACAGGCACCTGCCACCATGCCCAGCTAATTTTTGTATTTTTAGTAGAGATGGGGGTTTCACCATGTTGGCCAGGTTGGTCTTGAACTCCTGACCTCGTGATCCACCCACCTAGGCGTCCCAAAGTGCTGGGATTACAGGCGTGAGCCACCATGCCTGGCCCAAAATGGTTTAAGATCAGTCACGTCTCGGGGACCAATGCACTTGGTCAACTATTACTTTACCAAGCAAAAATAGTTTTTATAAACCAACTGCATATACTATCTTCTGTCAGTATCATTTCATTAAAAAGACAAGGCCTTTTGCCATCAAAAAATTAGGAAGGGCCTAACATCCTAAGAAAAGACTGGTTTGGGTGCCATGGCTCATACTTGTAATCTCAGCACTTTGGGAGGCCAACACGGGTGGATCACTTGAGCCCAGAAGTTTGTGACCAGCTGGGCAACATGGTGAAACCCTGTCTCTACTAAAAATACAAAAATTAGTCAGGTGTGGTGGTGTGTGCCTGCAGTCCCAGCTACTCAGGAAGCTGAGATGGGAGGATCGCTTGAGCTCAGGAGGTCAAGGCTGTACTGAGGTCTAATCACACCACTGCACTCCAGCCTGGGCGACAGAGTGAGACCTTGTCTTAAAAAAAAAAAAAACAAAAAACAAGCTGTTCTTTAATCTGAATATTTTATTTCCGTCTTGTCTTTATATGTTGCATTTTGCTGTGGATCAGTAAAAACTTACCTTTGGAGTGGCCCTGTCCATGTCGGCAGTTGGTAACCACATTTCTATATACTAAGGATGTCTGGGGCAAAGAGATCTGCCCCTGCGGAGACAAATGACCTCCAGATTACAGGAGGTGGGTAGGAAGGCATTCTGCAGGAGTAGAGAGTGTTCCTTCCATCCACTTACCCTCCCACATAAATCTTTGAGGCCGAGGCAAATGCTGCCAGTTTTAGGGAATCTTCCCTCATGGCCTCAGGTCGAAACGCAATGGGTCGGTTCTCTGTGCCCCCAGCAGGCATTGCCTGTAATCCTAAGTGGCCACTGGCTAACTCTGCCTTATATTGGGTATGTTAGTTGGCCTGTTCTCCTCCAGTAGACTATATGCCCCCCGAAAGCAGGGGTTATTTCTTAACCGTTTCTCTGTACCCCCATGCCTTGTACATAGAACATTTCTGACATATTCACTGAATAAAGTTGAATCCAACATCTTCCTTTTTCATTTTTTCCTCTCCATCTTTCTTCCTCCCTCCCTTCCTTCTTTTCTTTTTTTATTCATTGTTGTCTCCCCAGTCTCTTCCTGTTAGAACATGGTTATTTCCACACTCAGGTTTCTCTGTAATTCTGCAGTCTTCTCCTTTCTTCCCCCTCCCTCTTTCCTGTAATTTCAGTTATTCAGAATGAAGATGAATGAACCGTGACATTTGCCTTTTATATCAAAATAAAAGAGAAGAAAGCAGAAATAGAAGAGAGGAAAGCAAAAATAGAAGATTGCTGTCAGGCAACACACTCCCCATCCCAATAGGAAAACCATGGTCTTTCTTTCTGCCAAAGGTGACCTCTGGGATCTAGACAAATCCTGCATGCCATTGTTTTATGGGCAGTATTTCCATTTTTCTTGTGGCCCCCTAGCCATTACATTCCCTAAATCTATTTCCTGTCTCTGTTTCTCCTTGTTTCAAATCCTCCATGTTTAACAGTTACTTCTTGCTTCTTCCTTCCATAGAACATCCCATCAGATACCAGCCTCATCTCCTCATCCTCAGACCCCATCCTTTGAGCCTCAAATCCCTGACTCTGCAGACTCTTTCCCTATGGGCCACAGAGCCCTTGCCTTGGGAAGTTGTGGTAAAGGAGGAAAAGGAAGCATCTGTGTAAACTGAAAGCTTTTCCGTGTATTTTTATGGGATGCTGAAGGTCTTGGAATCACTCGGTTTGTAGCCCAGGCATGCTCCAAAATGAGCTCTATTTCTGGGCCTGTCAGATGAAATGCTGTTGCTCCTGGTTATTTTTGGCTCTTTGCCCTTCTGAATAGGTGCATATTCAGCTCAATTCTTTCCCCCACCCTGAGCTGGGGGAAAAAGCGGGCAGCTTCCCTTAGCCAAGCCCTCCCCTGTGTCAGGAGCGCTTTCCCCCTTAAGCAGCAGCTACTGACATAAGCTCTCTGGACAGCGCACGACTTATTTGTGCAGTGTCCAGGTGGGCAGCAGGGAAATCCATTCTCTGGCTCTCTTGGGCCATTGAGGGAAAGCTTTGTGAGCTGAACATTTCCAGGCAGGTGCAACCAGATGTCCAGGGCCTCCTTATTCATACCCAGGTCTGCATCCTGCCCCACCGCCATAGTTGCAGAAACTTCTGCCATCCTTGGGGGGTATCAGGATAAGAAGCAGGGATTTCAGGCTCAGCGACCACAGAAGTCCCTGTATACTGGGTGTTTGGGGAAGGAAAGTACACAGGATGCAGAAGATCAAGGGCATGTGTCCATAGATGTAAGGACATCTTGGGGTCCAGGTGCCGTGGCTCACGCCTGTAATCCCTGCATTTTGGGAGGCCGAGGCAGGTTGATCATGAGGTCAGGAGTTTGAGACCAGCCTGGCCAGCATGGTGAAACCCCGTATCTACTAAAAATACAAAAAAATTAGCTGGGAATGGTGGTGTGCACCTGTAGTCCCAGCCACTCCGGAGGCTGAGGCAGGAGCATTGCTTGAACCCGGCAGGCGGAGGTTGCAGTGAGCCGAGATCGTGCCACTGCACTCCAGCCTGGGTGACAGAGCGAGACTCCTGGAAAAAAAGAAAAAGAAAAAGAAGAAAAGATGTAAGCACATCTTCAATCTTTGATCTTTGAGTGAGGGTGTTGAGAAGAACATGTGTTTGAAAAATGAATAAAGCAGAGAGAAGTTAGGGGTGAATGTGCATATCCAGTTGGGACAATGAGTAAGAGAAGAGTGAATGGGCACCGAGGGAGAGAATGTCACTATAAATAATTGAAAAGAGAGTGAGTGCACATGAGAGCTTGGGGAAAGGCAGGTTGTGCCTATAAGTCATAGGCATATTTTATAACTGCATTCTGCAGCTCAAATCGCAATCTTGGGCAGGCATTAACATTGATTTCGGGCTTTTAGTCCACCTGATACTATGTAATATCGAGCACAATGAAACATCATGATCAGCTGGGATGCTTAGTAAAGTCCATATAAAATCAAGAAACACACAGAGAAGAGGCAGCTAGAACGGGGTCCTCTTAGTAGCCACTTACCTCTACAGCTTTTCACGGAGAGGTTTCTTTTTGAGTTCTTATCAAGTATTACTTTGAGGCCTTCATTCATGTAATTCTCTTGGCAACCCGGAGAGGTAGACACTGTTACTACCATCAGCCTCATTTTACAAATGAAGAAACAGAGACGTAGGAAAGATCCCAGGCCCACAGCCAGGAGGTGGCAGAGCCAGTTTGGATTCTGGTAATTTTGCTCAAGGACTAGTGCCCGTGTCACTACACCAAACTTGCTATGAAGGGCCAATGGAGAGGCAACCAGGTGCATGCTGGTGGGGAGGGGTCACATTTGAGTTTTAGGTTTAGGCCTCTGCCAGCACTTCACCAGGTGCTTGAGAACATAGATTTCTATGTCAGACACATTTGTCCAGGGCAACCCACCTCATCATAGCTGGGCTTGCTTGGGAAGATCACTAATCTTCAGTCCTCAGTCTCTGTGTCTGTAAAAATGGGACAAAGTTAATCTACCTGTTTACACAGTGTTGTGAAGGCCAGGTAAGGTAGCATAGTGAGGGTGGTGGTAAATTGTTGAGCCCTAGACAAGAATAAAGCATTGTTTGTGTATTATTCATATTTCCTAACTTCCAAAAAAGGCTCACAAGGAAAGATATAGCTCTTATAAGACCATGAAAAATTTTAAAAAGATTTATAAATACCTGTGGTGATATGTCTCTAATGATGACCCCACTCGTGAACCACATCTCCCATTATGACCCTAAGGGAAGTGTTTCCTCAGTATTTCCCCGGGAAGTCAGCCACCATACAGCTACCAGCATGTTGTGAGAGGGCCCAAGCTATCCACGTGGATGGAGAGAGAGGTGCTCAGCCAGCCTTCAACCATCCAGGTCAGCCCAGCCCAGGTACCAAACATGAATGAGCAAACCATCTTGAACATCTGTCCCGGTTGAGTCTTCAGATGACTCCAACCCTAGCCACCATCCCACTGAAACTGCATGAGAATTTGAAAGCAAGAAGTGCCCAGCTGAGTCCTGTCAGCTCACTGAACCATGGAAGATAAAAATAAATTGTTGTTTTGAGCCAGTAAGTTTGAGGGTAGTTTGTTTATAGCAATAGATAACTGAAACAGTGCCCTGAGTATTTTAACAGGACAGTATAGTTAGCTCTGAGCTTCTTACTATTCAAAGCAAAAAGGGGAGTAGAATGGATTATAGGCATTTATTATCTTGAGATTCTGTGATTTACCTTAATGCAGGGTTCATCCAACTGTCTCTTTGCAGTCACATCAGAATGAAAATTAAACCATCTTCCTTACGTGAGAATTTCTCCTATCTTCACCAAAACTATTTGTGCAAATTCTATAATCCGCCTTGCCAGAGCAAAACAAAGAATTACAGCTATCACTAATAAGAAAACATCCCTTGTATCTGGCCCAAATCTTTCAAAACTCCAGGTCGAGCCCATTTTCTCCTGTTTGGTTCTCAGCACATCCTCTCCTCCTGCCTCATTCCCATCCCAAATTAAGTCGCAAACGGGCTCGGTGACTCCGGGGTCCTTAGCAGTCAGAATTAATGATTAAAATAGAAATGCTGAAAATAGTTGAAACCGAAGCAGATTGGATGATTTATTCAAACCTTCAGGAAAAATTACTATTCAGGCCAGAATTGAAATTTAGACCTGTGGTTCATAACCAATTAGAATGCAACTCTTCCCTGATGCTACCCACTCCCCCACCCCACACAAAAAAGGAAAAAAATATATAAAATTCATGCATGGCTATCCGGGTGTCCCTTAGAACCCACACTCTGGGATGTCAGAAACCATGTCTGTCTTCTGCGTAGTGTGGTGTTTATGCATTACTGGTGCTTATTAAAGCTTTTTTTCATTAACAGCACCTTCACAGTCTGATAATAAAAGACCTAAAAATGAGGGAATCAGTGATTCCCATTCTCTACAGTGTGGCATCAATAAGCAGGCAAGGCTGGTCTCCTAGGACGTCTAAATTGTCACATGGGGTATTTGCGGTCACCTCCCTCACTTGGGACCCACAGTGGGCCCAGGCAACTCTTTGAAGGTAATGAAATTTGTCTTTCATGACTTGACCTCATTTTCTATACTCTTTCTCCCTCATTAGTCTTCACACCCCTAAATTGGGCTTTGGAGGCTTCTATGCTGAGAGTCTGCAGGTAGCCTGATCATTGGGAGACAGGGCCAGACTCAAATCCCAGCTGAGTTCCTTCTCCTACGTTTGCATAAACACTTTCCAGTCATCAAGACATTTCACATTTCAGTTCATGTTTGCAACAGTTCTGTGAAGTAGGCTGTTATGGGTTGAACTGTGTTCCCTAAAAGGATATGTCAGAGTCCTAATCCTCAATACTTGTGAATGTGACTTTATTTGGAAATAGGGTTCATACAGGTGTCATCAAGTTAAGATAAAGTCATAAGGTGGGCCTAACATGGTGGCTTAAGCCTGTAATCCCAACACTTTGGGAGGCTGAGGTGGGTGGATCACTTGAGGTCAGGAGTTCAAGACCAGCCTGACCAACATGGGGAAACCCCGTCTCTACTAAAAATACAAAATTTAGCGGGGTGTGGCGGCACATGCCTGTATCCAGCTACTTGGTAGGCTGAGGCAGGAGAAGCACTTGAACCTGGGAGGCAGAGGTTGCAGTGAGCTGAGATCGTGCCACTGTACTCCATCCAGCCTGGGTGAAAGAGCAAGACTCTGTCTCAGGAAAAAAAGAAAACAAAAAGGCATAAGGTGAACCCTCACGCAATATGACTGGTGTCTTTATAAGAAGATGGAAATTTGGGGCCGGGCACGGTGGCTCATGCCTGTAATCCCAACACTTAGGGAGGCCGAGGCTGGTGTATCACTTGAGGTCAGCAGTTGGAGACCAGCCTGGCCAACGTGGTGAAACCCTGTCTCTACCGAAAATACAAAAATTAGCCAGCATAGTCGCATGTACCTGTAATCCCAGGTACTCAGGAAGCTGAGGCAGGAGAATTGCTTAAACCTGGGAGGCAGAGGTTGCAGTGAGTCAAAATCGTGCCACTTCACTCCAGCCTGGGCGACAAAGTGAGACTGTCTCAAAAAAAAAAAAAAGAAAAGAAAAAAGAAGAAGAAGAAGATGGAAATGTGGACATGGACATAGACACGTACACAGGGTATGACAGTGTGAAGAGCCAGAGAAAAGATGGCCATGGGAGGCAGAGACTGGAGCCAGGATGCCACAAGCCAAGGTGTGCTTGGGGCACCTAGAACCTGGAATAGGCAGCAGGATGCTCCTCTTGAGGTTTCAGAGGGAGCACAGCCTTGCCAGTACCTCGGTGTTGGGCTCCTACCTTCCAGAACTGTGAGACAATAAATTTCCTCATTTCAAACTGCCCAGCGTGCGTTCATTTTTCTCAGCAGTCCCAGAAAACGAATACATAGATAGTTGTTATTTTCCCGTCCTTTTCCATCTAATGTTATTGGGCCCTTATTGGGTTCCAGGCTCTATGCTGAACTCTGCAGCCTAGACCCAAGGCTACAGGCTGATATAAAGCAATTCAAAGTTCCCGAGCCTTCTCATGAATTTCCGTGCTCATTCTGTTGTGTCTCAGGCTCCCGCCATCATCCTCATATCTAGGCGCCCCCCCGACCCATCACCATGGTTGTATCTGTGCCCCTTCCCACAACTATCAGAGATACACAGTGCTGGGACAGGAAGTGATGTTGGACATCTGCTGATCTAACGCCCTGGTTTCCTGGTGTGCACACTGAGGTTCAGAGGAGTGGGGCAGCCAGTAGAAAGGCAGCCTTGCACTCAAGTACAGCTTCCCACTCCCTGCCTCTGATCAATGCATGTCATGTGTCAATCCAACAAACAACAAATATTTGTCAATGCATGTTATGTGTCAATCCAACAAACAACAAATATTTGTACTGAATTACTAATGACTGGTAAACACAATATAATGTACCTCGCAGAGGTATTTGAATGTGGAACAACGGCTTAACTCAGAGAAGTGAATGTCTAATAGTGGAACGTGGTGCTGCAGGTGGGGTGGGCATGGCAGGGCAGGAAGATTTGAGAGCAAGTGTAGGGTCTTTAGCTGACCGTTTATCTCATATCCCTAGAGCGACTTCTGTGTCTGCTAAGTATAGGACTGGCTACCCTGGAGAATTGTGGAAGTGGGCCAAGGAGGAGCTTGCCCCCTTCTGTACTTTGAGAGGCCATGCGGGCTCTCTCAAAGTACAGGTGGCCAATGGCTTCCTGGATGCAGAAGGAAGCACTGGCCTCATTATATGCAGGTTTCACGACTGCTGTTTTAAACTCCAATACTGCTGAACCATTCAGAAATAGATCCATTATAGGTCTGCTTTAGCCCCAGGGCTTTCACACAGGTCACTAGAAAATCCAAGATTGCACAGTAATTCAAACTCTTAGGAAGGAAAAAACAAATTCTCTTCAGCGCTTCCTCCCTCCCCTCCCAGCTCCTGGCCTAAAAGGAAGCACCTCTTCATTTCTGTAGTGCTTTGGAATAAGTAGCTCTTACATTGAACTTGAAATCTAAATTTTTCTTCAGCTATTAATTGATAAGAGCAGCTCATTTTACTTCTCATGCTCTGAAGTAAGATTACAGTGTAAATAAACTGGGTCAGGTTTAGCAGGATGGACGTGAACTGTTCTCTAATTCCCCTTAATCTCCGGTAAAGGAATAACTAGGATTTGGACATCAACATTCAATAAGCAATTATGCTGCTCCTTCATACTCGATCTAAATTAGTCCACGTTTCCCTCAAAGAGAATCCAACGAACCTCCAAACCCGGCTCTTAAATTGCAATCTCTTTGTATTGTTCTGGCTGATGAGAGACGAGTCGGCATTGTGGGAGGGGTTTGATTTGATTTATATTAATTTTTAAACTATCTGGGATCTCTCGTTTTACTTGAAACAGATCAGGGAAAAGGGGTCGGTAAACAAGGGTTTCATCTACTGCTGATAACCACACCACGCTCAGCATTTCATGAGCCTGGCTTCTCATTTTCTTAGCACATTAGAATCATTATCTAATTATTAATCTCACCCTAGAGTTCCTAGGAGCTTATGATGCCTGTTGAAGTTAATGAAGGCTTTTACCTATAGATCTGGCGTTAAATCATTGTGATTGCCTGAGTGCCCACAATATGGTAGGCACTGACAGGGCTGACAGAAAGGAAAGAGAATTAAGCAGAAGGAAAATAAGGAGGGGAAGAGGGAGAAGTCACTGGAAAGAAGGAGGGGCAAGATACCAAATCTAGATAGTAACTTCAAAACACCTCATTAGGAAAATGGGGCAGTTAAAGAAGAACTCACCAACTAATCTGCTTAAACTTTAATTAATAATTCATTTATATATATTTATGTGGCACGCTTTCTCTAGGGAACCCAATGTGCTTAGCAAACATTTTAAATAATTAACTCTCTCATATCTGAGTGAAGTGGAGAGGCAGCAGAGTTACTCTATAACTCGTTAAGCAGATTGGCAGGTGACAACTAGATGTCTTGCTTGGGAGAGGAGAGACCGACCATCTGTAACTTACCTGATGCCACAAGCAAATGATCTCTCTGGGGGCCTAGTACTGTAAGGCTCTGTCTTAGCACCTTCCCAGAAGAAGCAGTTTTTGTTTAGATAGATAGATAATGAGGATACATAGATGGAGATAAATAGGTATGAATGACTGTAGCAATCAAGAATATTTTGAGGGGGGGATGTTATTAGAAGAAAGTCAAACAGGGTACATTTAAAAAAATACTGCCTTCAAGATAAAAGGAAGTATTTCAAATCAGGAATATTGGTTATGGCATTAAATGAAATGAATTTGCAGAGGCCAAATGCCAAATGATGAGACATAACATTTGCTAAGTTGTGTTTAAACACATTTTGAGTTCCTAAATTGTATCCTCAATGTACTGTTGACAGGACACCATTTAAAAAAAAAATACCTTTAACACGAATGGTATAAATATCTCTCCAAAAAGTACAAACGCATCTGCCAAATCAGGGGAAGGTAAAAACCAAACAAAACTTAGGAAATTTAAAAATAAAAAACAAGAAGCGAAAGCGGCACCTGCTCAGATGCAGTGAGCATGGCTTCAGCGTGAGTTAGGGGGTCACGTACTTAAGATTCACACCTTCGTGGCCTACATCCCCTTGGTCAATTACAAGAACAGACTTTTGTTCACCACATCTTAAAACCAGTAAATTGGAATCGCCATACACAGGAGGACAGACACAATCCTTGGAGACATCATGCTAATTAAAACCACAACCTGCATTGCTTGGACACACATAACCTGGCAGCTAATGTTGAGATTTGGTCAACTAGCCTACAGGAAGTTTCAATGCTGGAGAGAGGTTTTTTAAATCTTTTTTTTTTTCCCTTATGAGACTGTCACCCTAGCTGGAATGCAGTAGTGTGATTACAGCTCACTGCAGTCTCGAACTCCTGGGCTCAAGTGATCCTCCCACCTCAGCCTCCTGAGTAGCTAGGACTACAAGCATAGCCACCATACATGGCTTTTTAAAAAAGAAAAGAAAAGAAAAGAAAAAATGTGAAGACAGGATCTCACTATGTTGCTCAGGCTAGTCTCAAACTCCTGGGCTCAAGTGATCCTCCCACCTCAGCCTGCTGAGTATATAGGATGACAGGCACAGCCACCATGCCAGGCTTATCTTTCTAAAATGAAAAACGAACTTACATCAAGACCACTGTCAGGAAAGTATAGAGGGAAGGGTGGTGAGGTGGAAGAGAAGAAACTTTTAAAAAGCAAACGAAACTACTCTGTTGATTCTTAACTCTCCACCTGGATTCCTGACTGCTTTCTATATTTATTTTATTCTACCTTTTTAGGGGAATTTTTTCTCCTTTTTTTTTTAAGATAAGGAACTTGGCATGTGGGGTAGATTGCTTCTAGCCTAGACTCCACAAATTATCAATCAAAGGCCCTTGAGTAAGGGCCCTTCTGAGCTTCTTGACCCTTCTGAGCTGGCTTTATCCATTGAAAATAATGGTAGCGACTTTCAGGATTGTCCTGAGGATTATTTGAAATGGTGGCCGAGAAAGTGCTTTGCAAACGACACAAGTGTGTAGGGTTATTGGTATCAATTTTGGACAGGGATGAAAGTCTTACAGCTTATTGCGCAGACACTTCTGAGAGTCGGGTCTTCATCCGCCTGCCCTCTTCCTGACAGACACCCCATGCTACTGCCACTGGAAAGTTCCCAAATCACACTCCAGTTTAAAAGATGTTGGTCTTATTTTATTACTTTCTTTACCCTTTGGACTAACCCAAGTTTAGCTGGCTAATTTCAACATTAGTCAGGGATCAGTCTTTAGCCTTAATATAAACCAACTGACATTTTCCTGCTTAATCCTCCTGCTTTAAGTAGCACCGAGCCACAAAGACAAAACAAGATCCCTCTCTCTGTGTTCCTTCAGGGGCTGTAGGTAAATTCTCCTTCACAAGACACACATGCAGGCCGCCTGGGGGGACTTTTCTCTAGAGCTTTCTGACCAACTAAGGTTTTCTAACTCCATTCACATTTTTAGTATACGCTATGGTCTGAATGTTTTTGTCCCTTCTCTGCAAAATTCATTTGTTAAAATCCATTCCCCAAAGCGATGGTGTTAGGAGCTGGGCCTTCAGGAGGTGATGAAGTCATGAAGGCTCTGCCCTCATGAGTGGGATTAGTACCCTTATAAAAAGAGTCTCCAGAGAGCTTTCTCCTCCCCTTCCACCATGTGAGGACACAGTGAAAAGGCACCATCTGTGAACCAGGAAGTGGGCCCTCACCGGATACCAAATTTACTGGCACCTTGATCTTGGACTTCCCAGCCTCTAGAACTGGGAAATAAATTTCTGTTGTTTATAAGCCACCCAGTCTATGGTATTTCATTAGAGCAGCCCCAGTGAAGACAGTAGATAGTTTATACTTTCTAATCTAAAATACCAAAAGCTTTTTCAAATCTTGTAAGCCATGGTTTTAGTGATATTTTTAGGTAATATTTTATTATTCTCATCATGAATCTATTCAAAGATTCATATCCTTATCTACATAAAAATATCTATTACATATGTTATCTATAGCTATATGAATTATATCTCTACATCTATCTATATAATGGGTTCAAATTCATTAATACCTAATCTCAACTCACCAGACTTAAATTTATGGTGTTTAGTGTTTCTGTGAAGCATCCTGCATCTCCAATTATATAAAAGAAATATCTGCAGACCTAACCAATTTACCAAAAGAAATAGGCCAAATAGGCCAGACATGGTGGCTCACGCCTGTAATCCCAGCATTTTGGGAGGCCGAGGCGGGTAGATCACAAGGTCAGGAGATTGAGACCCTCCTGGCCAACATGGTGAAACCCCATCTCTACTAAAAATACAAAAATTAGCTGGGCGTGGTGGCACGTGCCTGTAATTCCAGCTACTCAGGAAGCTGAGGCAGGAGAATCGCTTGAACCAGGTAGTCGGAGGTTGCTGTGAGCCGAGATTGCACCAATGCACTCCAGCCTGGTGACAGAGTGAGACTCTGTCTCAAAAATAAAAAAAGAAAAATAATTAGACCAAATACTGGGAAAGACCTGATAGCCTCAAGGTGAAGTCACACTCCTCAAACCATAATGCCGGACCCCCAGTTGCAATCTCATTAAACCTCACCACAGTCTGGTCAGGGATTCAGCGACTGCTTTTAGTTTTATTTTCAGAAAAAAAAGACCGTGAAGATCCAAGGAGATCTGGCCATTTTTCAAGGTCAGACACCTATAGCATGGCAAAAAGGCAGGAAGCTGAGTATCTTCAGCCCACACATTTGCAACAGCCCCAGTTGGATGGTGATTTCTGTCCGAGCAGAAGACACCGGGCAGTTGACCCCTGTCAGAGAGCTTCACTCTCTTGGGAAATTTTGCAAAGCTTTTCCAATTCCTCCAGACTACAGTTAAGCATCCAAATGATTCTATTCTAGCTTTTAATACCTTCCCATCTCCCACCAAAACTGAGGTAGGAGAAATATTTAAAGTCTCAAGAGCACAGGGAGCAAACAACCGTTTCCTTTTTTGTTCCTCTGCAGATGAAGAAATAGCAAAGCTGTTTTTGCATTTCAAACTTTAAATTAAAAAGTTGACTTGCAGAATCCTAAGCTCCACTTTCCTCACTGAATGAAATGAGGTCTGCCCCTCAGCTGGGAGTTTCTAGTGAGGCTGGAATGGAGGCATTTTAATGTACATGCTAGGCTTTTCAATAGTTTGGAAAGCAAAACTGATCTTAGGTCGAAAACCTCTAACCACATGGTACAGAACTTTTTTCTTATTTAAAACAATCCTCGAATTATTGGCAATGCTTGTTTTTATTTCGCAAAACCTTCTATACCAGGTGTACTAATTACGCATCCTCTACACAGTGTTCAAAAGTCGGGGGGATTTTATCCCCCAGGAGACATTTGGCAATGTCTGGAGACACGTTTGGTTGTCACAACTGGGGATGGGGGAGGTGTGTGTTAGTGGCATCTGGTGGATAAACGTCAGGGATGTTGTTCAACATCATACAAGGCACAGGGCAACCCCCACAACCAAGAATGACATGCCCCAAAATGTCACGAGTGCCAAGGTTGAAACCCAGCTCTGTGACGATCACAGTTAATAATAAGGACAGTTTCCTTCCCCCTTCCTACCCCGTGGCCCCCAGTTCTGCCCCTACGAGTTTTATTGCTATCTTAGCATGCTGTGAATTACAATAGCTTGACCCAAAAAGATTTTTTCAGACCTTTTAAATCTCTAAATGTTGAATATCTGGAGTATGAAAATGCTATTATGATGTATTTTATTATTAGAATTATAAATGGAATCAAGAGCATTTACATTTTAAATTTATCTATATTTAATCCTGGTTGTAAATCGAAGGCCCGGCACGCAAAGGTCACACATCACCTCTCAGGAGAGAGATTATGCCAACTTGGTTGGGTGCCTTGTGTTCTATTAAAGTTGAAACCAGGCTTCCCTGTCAGACTGTTACGGCTAAACACACTTGGATCTGCAAGCAGCAAGCACAGGCTGTTCATTGCATGCAGACATGAGAACCGAGCCAGACTACTGGAGTGTGTCCCTCCGCCACCCCAGCATCCTCCCCATTATCCACTCGGGACTGGGAGACCAGCCGGCTAGGCAGCCAACAGCTATTGGGGGACACCTGTAATTGAGTCAAGATGCCAACCAGGGACTCTGTTGAGGCAAGAACAAGAAATTCTAAAACACTTTCCGGTATGCTTCCGAGTATGCTTCCACAACCCACCCCGAAAAACTGGCTCCTTCCCAGTCCTCCACTGATTCTTCCACGTGGGTCCACTTTGCTGTTAGGAAAAGGACAACACTCCATAAGGGCCCACAAGGCCCTGCCCACACCCTTTGCTCTCCCCCATCCTCCCACACTGACCTTCATGCCAGTCCTTGTGTGCATTATGCTTTCCCACCACAGGGCCTTTGCACGAGCTGTTTTCATTTGTTTTCCATTCCCGCCGCCCACTTCACTTAGGTAAGGCACTGGCTCATATACAGATCATCACTTCCTCAGTCATCATTCCTCAAGGACACTTCCCAGACCTCCCTGATAAGGCAAATCCTTCTAATACACATTTCCACTGCACCAACTTGTTTCTTCAGAGCACTCCCACTGATGCACTTTTACAGTTGTGTACTTAATTAAATAATGTCTGGCTATGACATATCATTGTATCCTAAGCACCAAGCACAACACTTGGCATATAGTAGGTACTGGGTACGTATTTGTTGCCTGGCCATTTAATTTTTTTAAATGAACAAGTGAATGAAAGAACAAATGAATGAATGAATGAAACTATCCTAAGATCTAAAACCTGGGCCAATGTCACAGGTATGAAACTGTGCGTGTGCTTGGGTCCAGCTAACCATTCAGACTGTCAGTTTAGATTATTGAAAGGAACAGAAGAGAAATCTTGCCTATAAAACACGGAACTGAGAAAAAAGTGTATACCTCACTTAGAGCGTCATTAAGTTAGAGAACAACTCCCACACTCTGCTCTAAGATGAGGCCAACATCCAGATTCTCACTGCAAACTTGGCTCCCCTAGAATTCTGTTCTTCTTTCCCCTGTCCCCGCTGCTTTCTAAACGTGAAATATCCACAGCTGCACCGTTTCTTTACTTTTTTTTTTTTTTCTGGAGAGGTTAACCTTCCTTCTTCAGTTGTATGTTGTGCAATACCCAAGAGGCCAACACTACCATTTGAGATATTTAAATATGACTTTGAGAAATGAGTCTGTCTTAGATATAAAAGCCCACAGTCACCATGATGAACATGACTGTAATGTTTAAAATTCCTAAATAAAGAGATGCAGCACTTTCTGCATATTCTTGCTGAAATGAATATTATATATGATGCCTGTTTTTGTAAGCATTCAAATAAAGCAGTAGGAGAGAATGTGGATTTACGTATTTTTATCAATGAAAACAACTCCACTTGACCAAAGGAAGAATTGTTTCCTCTAGTATAAAGAGCAATATGTACACGGAAGGCAGTTCTGTGTATTAGTCTCTGAGCAAAGCTTTATTTTTATATTATTGTGTCATTTTATGCACAGACCCCAAGTGCCTTGTCAGTGACAGCCACTCATTAAATCATTTAAACTATCATATAAAAATAAAGATGGATTTTGAGCTACACTGAGCCAGGCAGTCTGTTAGCAAATACTGATTGCTCCCCGTGGGGTCTCAAGTATTTTTTCAGGTGATGGAAGTACATATGAAAGAAGTGCATGGTCTGTTACCTTGGAAGGACTTAGGCACTAGTCAAAGCCACAATCAGATGAACCTCTAATCAAAGTAACATTATCCAGATAAATGCTGTCTTTTCAAAATGGATTGAAAGTCAGCAGTGAATCAGTCTTCAGACTCAGTCAATAAGATGGCAGGCACCATGCTGGACAGAGGAGGTACGCTGTTCCATAAGTGGTAAACAGTTTAGCAAAAGGTTAGAAAGTCAAGAAACCGAAAGAAGAACCTCCAAGAGGTCAATGTGGTTGATGGATAACTGAACTCCAACTTGGGGCAGCTGAAGGCACAGGAATAAACTCGGTACATCTTCCACAAGATTCATTTCCCCTTTTTGGCAAAAAAATTCTATAAATTTTCAACATGGAAATGAACATGACTGTCTCGTGGAGAAGAATTTAAAAAAAATTCTGAAAATGTGGAACAAGAAAGCATTCCCATAGACTGGAGATGGAAGTGCAGGTTGGTTCAACCAAGGTCTTTGAACTATCAAAGAGTTGAAATACGTTGAAATATGTAAAACCATCATCCAGTAATTCACTTCTAGATATATATGGCCCCAAATTCATGCTCACGTGCACCAACAGATATTTGTAAGACTGTTCATGGCAGGATTATATAGAATAACCAACAACTGGATACAACTTAAACGCCCATCAACAGTGATATGTATAAACAAATGTTGATGTACTCATATAATGGCATACTATACAGCATGAAAACGAGTGACCTAAGACCACGCATGGCACCACAGATGAATCTCACAAACATTATGCTGAATGAAAGAAATCATATACGAAGGAATCTGTAGTGCTTAATTATATTTACATAAAATTCAAAAACAGGCAAAACCAAACAATAGTATTAGCAGTCAGAAGAATGGTTGGTTTCCTTTGGGGAGAAGATAGTGAAGCATTTGTTTATCTGGAAGTTATACATTTTGTGATAATTTGTTAAGCTGTATGTTTATTTTCTGTGTACTTTTTAGAAGGTACGTTATACATAAATAATATTTCAATGATTAAAACATTTTCTCTAAAGCATGTGACCTTTTGAAAATAAAAACACTACAATTCAAATAAATATATTGCTTGTCGGTGGGACTTCTGCCCCAGATTTGCTGAAATATGTGGTCATCCTTTGTGCTTAAGTTCAAGAGCCACTGGCGTGGGTGGCGGGAGTGGGAAGAAGCAGTTTTCATCTAAGGTGCAGGTCAGGGATTATCATATAAGATCCAGGAGCTGGAAGGCAGGTGGCAATTGACCAGATTGTTTTTCCAAGCCCAAGGGTGACTCCATCAGGGACATTATTTTCTGGGGATTGTGCCAAATATAAGCATGAGAGCAGGGATTGCCTGAAGAAGCTAGAAACAAGTTAATCAGAGACAGGAATTGGAGTTAAAGAGAGAAGCTGGAGAGCAGAGCCAAACAAATGGCACCAAATGACAGACATCTTTGGTGTTCAGTAAAGGGGAAGCGACTGGAGACACATTACGGAGCAATCCAGGAGCAGGCTAGAAAACAGAAATAAGGGTTGAAAGTTGGGGGTGGGGTGGGACGAGGGGCTGCTCTCCCACGCTGCCATGTTACAGCATTAAGACTCCAAGGAGTCAGAGAATTCTGATCTTGAACCTGGACTTCCAGGTGGTGAAGAAGTTCTATTTGTCAAGGTAGGAGGATAAGACCCATTTTGTTTAGCTTGTTGACTTGATTTATAACTTCCAGATATTTGGATGTATGGCAGGCTGGTCTCCATTTGTACTCTTGCCCCAGGATCTGAAAATATCAGATATTTTGCTAGAGCCCCACATTCTTCATTTAGGAGAGACTGCTTCTGTGGCAGAGAGTACATTCTGACCACTACTCTAGTTCATCTAGATTTCTTTGGAACATGGATTCTGACGTATCAATGCCACTTTTAGCCATCCTCCATCCTGTCGCTATGGGCAAACTCCGCATTGAGAAACATGGTTTCTGGTTCATGTATGCCAGTAAGAATGCCAAACAGGACAGAAGTAAGTCTGCAGTCTTATAGGAGCACATTAGATATTTCCCTAAGATTGATGTCAACCTATTCATGCGCATGCTGTGGGGGCAGCTGTTTGACTAACACAACTACCTAATCAGTTCTGTCCTGCCAATGAGAATATGATAAAAAGGTTCTTGAATGCTGCTGTAGTCAGTATACTTGGGGTCATGGAAGGCTGCTGACCTCATACATGGGGACTCTTGCAGAGAAGAGATGGAGTGGCTTGACAGGACTTGCCCGGTTTCTAGAACTCACTGTCTCTCTGTCTCTCTCTCTCTCTTTTTTTTTTTTTTATGTGATCCTCTACCCTATGCTCCACAACTGACTTTGTGAGAGCTGTTGAATTTGACCACTTGATAAAGGCAGAGGTAAGCAGTACAGAAGGTAATGAGGCAAAGCTTCCAGGTTGTCTTCCAAGTTTCTGGTCTGGCAATGACTTTGGAGAACCAGAAGTCAAGGGTCAGCAAACTTTTCCTGTAAAGCACCACATCATAAATATTTCAGGTCTTGTGCATCTGTCTCTGTTGCAGCTATTCAACTCTGCTGTGAAGTCAGTCCTAGTGCAATGATCAGCCATAGATAACATGAAATGAATGGTCATGGCTGTGGTCCAGTAAAACTTTATTGACAAAAATAGGTGGTGGGCCAAATTTGATATGGCTATAGTTCGCCAACCTCCGTTTTAAAGTGTAATCACTCCCTGACATTAAGCAAAGGACATTAGGAAATGGGCTAATCTTCTGAGTTAGTAAGTAAAACAATGACAACAACATGTATCATATTAAAGATGGCCCTCATTGAGCTGCCCTGCTCTGCAGCTCAGAGACCATCAGAAGAATCCATGTAAAACACCAATCTCCTTGCACCTTTCCTAACCTGAGAATCTTCTGGGCTCCTTTTCACACTGGCTCTG
Organism: Homo sapiens; assembly: GCF_000001405.40. Classification (NCBI taxonomy): domain Eukaryota; kingdom Metazoa; phylum Chordata; class Mammalia; order Primates; family Hominidae; genus Homo; species Homo sapiens. The sequence continues at coordinate 25,884,069 of NC_000004.12, forward strand.
CCCAAACACTCCTGCTTTCTTTCCCAGCCTCACCCCTTGTCCCTGTCACATACACCATGCTGTCCAGCTATACAAAGCTCTTCTCTGATCCCTCATTAGCTGTGCAGAGTCATGCCTCCAAACCTTACTCCGTGTTGCTCCCCCTGCTAAAAAAACTCCCTTGCTGCTTTCAAACTGTTACTCATCCTTCAAGGGACCATTCAAATGTCTCTGCCTTGAAGTTTGCCAGGCATCCTCAGGTTAGCTTAATTTTCCTTCTTCCATGTTCTCATAGCACTTTGTACAGAACCATACTTCATCAACACAACTTCAGAGTGACCCCTTCTAATTAATCTCCAATAGTTTAACCTTCTTGTGTATAGTATTTAAAAAATCTGTTTGCTCCTTTCTCACTGGGATGTGAACTCTTTTCAGACACAGGCTACACTTCATTAATCTTCGTTCACCCCAGGGTTAGCACTGACTCAGGCACAGACAGGATGTGGAGCACACGTTTGCACAATTGTTTAACTCATGGCAGAATCTGCTTGTGCTCACACCACTGGGGCTCCGTGGAATGATTCACAGTTTAGATTGTCTGCTATTTTTATAAGACACTTTCAGCGGCTTAATAACTGGCTCTTCCTGATAAGACATTTGGGAACTGTGCATAAGTGACAGAATAATATTAAAATCAAATCAAGTTCAGAGATAAATACACAAATCTCTGCTCTACCTACGTGATATGCGCCCTATGAATCACAAAAGATAATTGTTTTAGTTGATACAGCTGTTGTGTGTTTTGTACAAGCATTTTCTCTTTCAAAGACATCTCATGAAAATCTCATTCTCTTATGAGATATGAGACCATGTTACACCTTTTCCCATTTTAAATACATTTCCTACATGTTGTTGATTTGATCCCCAGTTCCATTTAGAACACTGAAGGGGTAATCTATGCAGTGGGATCCCAGTGGCCTCAAAGTATGGCTGCAGTTTTTCAAAGTGCCTGTTCGAAGATCGTTCATAGAAGTAAATCTGGGCAAGATCAGGTTCATGAAATGACACGTGTCCCCGGGCCTACTTCTACATTGTTTATCCAAGGAGAAGGTCAAATGTGTGTTTGAGATGGACACCCTGTTATGAGTTGAAGTCTGCCACATCCTCAGGTTTCCAGCAGCACCCACTTTCCAGATACTGCTCTTCCTGCAAATGAGTGAGTAAGACAACAGGGCAAACAGAACTAGGGATGGGGGGGGCAGATGTGCAGTTATGAGGCCCTCACTCCCTCTAAAATGTGTGAGTGGTGAACCCTCACTCCCTCTAAAACTTCAGACAGCCTCATATATTTTTCCTTATTTACTCCAAGAATTCTTGGGGAAACACTAAGCTTATAAGAATCTCTCAGGCCAGGCACAGTGGCTCACACCTGTAATCTCAACATTTCCGGAGGCCAGGGTGGGAGGACCACTTGAGCCCAGGAGTTCGAGACCAGCCTGGGCAACATAGCAAGAAGTAATATCTGTTATATATATAAAAAAAAAATTAGCTAGGCATGGTGGTGTGTGCTTGTAGTCTCAGCTACTCTGAAGGCTGAGGTGGGAGGATTGCCTGAGCCCAGGAGGTGAAGGCTACAGCAAGCCATGATTGCACCCCTGCACTCCAGCCTGGGTGATGGAGCAAGACCCTATCTCAAAACAAAAACAAAAACAAAAAAAAACCCATAACAAACAAAAAGAATCTTCTCGGCTGGCAAATCCCTGGTTGGGCAGTAGCATCACTGTTTCTTTCCCTGCATCTCAGTTCCTTCCTCTCTGGTCTCGCCTGCTCCTCCAGAATCTGCCTACGTGGACTCCCACATTAGCCTGAAGCACTCCTCGAGGTTAACGAGGCCACGAAACAAGAGAGAGGAAAAGGAGAGGTGGTCAAAATTAGTTTCTTTTAGACTGGATTGATTTCCTCTGGGCCCTGGAATTGGCAGGACATAAATAGATAATCAAAGATTTTTACTTGCCCAGGTAGAAATTATATAATCAGAGGCTGCTTCTTCCTTTGGTTTTTTTGAGACTTCACTGGAAGGAAATTCTCCTTGAGTTCTCAATGACATCGAGCATTCCTCCTCTGCTTTTACTTGGAAATCTTCATTCTCTTTAAGCCAACAGCCTTCAAAGCTAATCAGGTTATTCTATGTAAGTTAATGTACACACTGGGGCTTTAAAAATACATCTTTTATGATCTTTGGCGTGTATGTGTCTTGTGTGTGTGACAAGAGAGATCATACAATGACACAGATAACCCATTTCAGAAATAACCTTGTTTCCTTCTTCAGGATCCACGGAACCCAGGAACATGACCCCCATCCCTGTCCACCGCAGAGTTCAAAGATGAGAAAGCGCTCTGCCCCTACCTCCATTCTGAGCAGGTGAACCTTTCAACTCCTGTTAGCAGAGGGAATGATTTCTTTCCAGTCTCCCCCGTTTCAGCCCCCATCGCAATGACTCCCAACTCTGCACCTGGCTCCAGAGCCCAAACTCTTTTCTCCACTCTCCTCCACCTACTTATGCCCCAGGCATCTCCAGCTCAACTCATCCAAGCTGATCATCCCCTCTGTCCCACACTCAGTCCACCAGACCTGCTGTTCCTCCAGCATTTCCTGCAGCACTGTAAATATTTCCAATCATCCACATGAAAAACCTGCTGCCCGTAGCAGCCAGGAATTCTTTTCTGCCAGGGGAAACAAGTCTTTTGTGCCCACAGCCACTAGCTCAGGCCCGTGACATACTGGATCAGCCAGAGAAGCCTGGCCCAGCAGGACGCCTCCTTCTTGCTTGTCTCCACATTCGGGCACTTTTGCCTGCTCCATTCCCTCCCCTCTTGACCTAGTTTGGCCCTTAGTTTCTTCCTTGGACTTCTGTAAACACCAGGTGGAAGTGGGCTCAGAGCATTGGGCCCCAGTCCAGACAACCTGCGTTCAAGTCCTGCCTCCACCCAGTCTTAGTTCTGTGACCTGAATGACATCATTTCATCCTCCCTCTGCCTCAGTTCCCTTATCCTTAAGAACAATGCCTAGCTGGGCGTAGTGGCTTATGCCTGTAATCCCAGCACTTTAGGAGGCCGAAGTGGGCAGATCACTTGAGATCAGGAGTTCGAGACCAGACTGGCCAACATGACGAAACCCCATCTCTACTAAAAATACAAAAATTAGCCAGGCGTGGTGGCAGGTGCCTGTAATCCCAGCTACTCGGGAGGCTGAGGCAGGAGAATCGCTTGAACCCAGGAGGCGGAGGTTGCCATGAGCCAAGATCGCTCCATTGCACTTCAGCCTGGGCAACAGAGTGAGACTCCATCTCAAAAAAAAAAAAAAAAAAAAAAAAAAAAAAAAAAAAAAAAAGGAAAGAAAGAAAGTAAAGAAAAGAAAGGAAAAGAAAAGAGAAAAGAACAGGGCTGGCAAGTTTTTGCTACAAAGGGCTAGATAGTACATATTTCTGGTGTTGCAAGTCAAGAAGCAAAATTGAGGCTACTATGTAGGTATTTATAAAACTAGAGAAAAAATAAAGATCCACAATGTTTTTACTGGTAAAATTCAAAATACAATAATAATTGGAACTCATAGAGAGTAGAAGGGTGATTGCCAAGGGCTAGGAGTGGGGGAATGCTGAGATGTTGGTCGAAGGGTCCAAACTTTTGCTTATAAGATGAGTAAGTTCTGGGGTTCTAGAGTACAGGATGTACTGTAGCTAATAGTACTGTATTGTAAACCTGAAATCTGCTGAGAATAGATCTCTAGTATCACCACTACACACACAAAAAAAATAGTTACTATGTGAGGTGATGGACATGTTAATTCGATTGTGGTAATCATTTCACAACGTATACCAAATCGTCATATTGTATATCTTCAATATATACAAGTTTCATTTGCAAATTGTACCTCAATAAAGCCAGAAAAAAGTATTATTAATTGAGGACAATTTTATTCATTTATTTATGGAATAGAGGTGGGGTCTTGATATGTTGCCCAGGCTGGTCCCAAACTCCTGGAATCAAGTGATCCTCCTGCCTTGGCCTCCCAAAGTTCTTGGATTACAGGGGTGAGCCGCTGCACCTGACCAAGGACAATTTTTTTTTTAATTCAGGCCTACTAATGAGAACAACAGAATTCTTTGTGAGGAGGATAACATTTTCTTTAATTAGTGTTTGAAGTTAGTATTCCCTATCATCAAAATCAATTTCGAGTGTTACACCTGTAAAAATCATTCTTAGCTCACCTGCCAGCAAAAACAGATGGTGGGCTTGATTTGGCCTGCAGGCCACGGTTTGCCCACTCCAGGGAAAGAATAGAAGTGATATTGCTAAGTGCTTAACACATCATGACTACTGAAAGGGTGCTAGCCACTACAATGATCTCTCACCATCCTACCCACCTCCACCGGTGGCTTCAGATGTGTACATGCTCAGGGTTTTCTTAGGCTGTCTCATACCTGAGCCTTTGCCCAGGCTGTGCTCTCAAGATCCCACCTCCCTAGAAAACCTTTCCTGCTCCCCTCCCTTCTTCCACATCTTTCCATCCCTAAGGGACTCACTTAATCCCTCTTCAAGCTCCTGATCCTTCCAGAGCCCCCCTCCCTTCTCCTCTCCTATTTGATTAATTTATTCTTCTTCCCCTTGCAACTTCAAGGTGACACCACGCATCACTCACGATGTCTCCAGCTCTATGCTTAATTGTACTATGTGCTCAATAAATATTGACTGTAATGAATGAACCTCCTACCTGCAAATGGAAGACTCAGCAGAAGCCCTCCTCCATTGCTTCACTTCCCAAGGAGCTCTTTGTTCTCAAAGTATCTGAAACACTTGGTCCTCATTGGTTTTCTTATAAATGACACATTATAGAATAACAGCTAAGTGCCTTGGCCCTGGTTACAAATTCCAGCTCCATCACTTCCTGGCCTTGTGGTTTTGTAGAACTTACTTAACTTGTCTGAGCCTCAATTTGTTGGTAAAATGGTGATAATGGTGGTACCCACCTCATATGTTGTTTGCAGATTAGATTACATAAAGCATACAAAGCACTTAGCACAGTAAATACTCTATAAATATCTGTTGCTTTCTTCACAATTATTGAGCAATGGCCATGTTTTAAGCTCTTTCATTAATTTTTTTTTCTTTTGAGACAAGGTCTCACTGTGTCACCCATGTTGGAGTGCAATGGTGGAATCACAGCTCACTGCAGTCTCGAGCTCCCAGGTTCAAGCGATCCTCCCTCTGCAGCCTCCTGAGTAGCTGAGACTACAGGTGTACATTGCCACGCTCAGCTAATTTATTTTTTTATTTTATTTATTTATTTTTTGTATATTTTGTAGAGACAGGGTCTCAATATGTGGCACAGGCTGGTTTCAAACGCCTGGCCCCTAGCGATCCTCCTGCCTCAGCCTCCCAAGGTGCTAAGATTACAAGCGTGAGCCACCATGCCTGGCCATTAATTTGTTATTTTCTCACAAATATGCTGTGAGGCAGGTATTACTGTCATACCTATTTTAAAGATGAGAAAACTGAGGCAGAGAGACATTGTTTGTGTAAGGTGACACAGCCAGTGTGGTAGAGCCAAGATTCAAATCCAGGCCATCTGGTCTAAAAATGTGTTGCTAACCACAGTTGCTGGGTGTCTTATAGAGATATGCCCCTTCAGCAAGATTTGAGGCTCTTTGAGGGTTAGGAATGTGTTGTAGAATTCTTCATACCCTTCCTAGCGGCCGGCACGCACCCTGCACATGGTGCTCCTTGATACAGATCTGCTAATTCATGTACTCATCCCTCCAACACCCTAATCCAGAAGAGGGTAAGAGTGTTCCACAGAGATTTCCTCCCAGCCAGGCCTGACTGCCCATGAGCACCTTTGTGTCTTATAGAAGGGGACACAAAGGGAAGCAGAAAAGGAGGAAAATATAAGAAAAGAGTGCAGGTGGGGTGTCTGGGGAGAATTTCACCTGCTCAGAAGGCGACAGTGGAATTAGAGTCGACCTCAATGAACTCCTATTTCTTGCTGTTCCGTAGAGCACCAGCCCCATCATCAGTGAGCGGCTGTGAGGACACCAACCAGCACAGGCTGACTCTACTGATTGTCTGTAACATGATTGTCCCTCTTAATCAAAGTGATGTCATCCTCTGATTTTAGAAAGTGAAGGATAGCAAAATTAATGTTGGCTCAAGTGGGCTTCTAATGGCCGTGGGCCGCCGAGGGGCTGCAGGCCTGCAGGCCTGCTGCATCTCAATGATGTGCACTGGGATTTCTTTGCTAACAAGGGTGCCATAAGTCTTAATTATCCAGAACCAAGGCCTCACCTTGCTGTGTGTCCCCCGGGAGCTCCCTGTGAAGTCAGTGGTAGCTTTGCCTGCGGTTCAGCCCGGTGAAAACTTGCCTACAAATGTTTGCAAATTACCTCGTGCACCTCTGAAGGAAACAGGAGGGAATTATTTATTTTTAGAAGGTTGGCGCAGCCTTGCCCCTGCCTCGCCTGTCACACTCTGTGTTACTCAAATCCTACTCCCTTCCCTCTGATTAATTCTGAACCCTGGGTCTCTTTTCTTTACAGTTGATGGATACACCTCTTAGGTCTTGCCCTCAGCCAAACTGCTGGTAATGTCCTGTTGCTCTTTCTCCTTCCTTAGGGGGCTCTCTAGAGAAAGCCTAATGCATTTTCCATTAGAGGAACTGATTTGTCCTTTCCTTTCCAGCAATGGAAAGCAATCTCCCCCATGTGGAGGATGTCAAGAGCCCCTTAAATGGCTCTTCCTGCCTGGACTGAGGCACCCATGCCCCCGCTGCTGTGAATGCTGCCTGTTAACAACACAGCTGTTCCCTTCTCCTGAGACTTGCCCTGGGAGAAAAGCACCACTCACTTGGAAAAGCTGGGGAGGTTTGCCTTCCCGCTGGGGCCAGCACAAAGACTAGCCCTCTTGCCTCGCTCAAGAGGGCAATCTGTGTCCCCATACATGCCCCAGAGCTACCACAGGATCAGGCTGAGGCCAAACCTCCTCTGAGCCTGTCCTATTTGCGTTTTCCTCACACCCTTACAGGTTTCACTTGAAAGCACTCCCTCAAGAAATTGCTTGCCCAAGGAGCCCCGTTTCTGGCTCAGCATCTTGGCAAACCAATCTAAGCCGCCTCGCTAAGCCATCCTTCCCACTGCAAGCAGAATAGTCTTTTCAAACTGCAGCCTGATCATGCCACTTCCTTTCTTAAGCCTTCAATGCCTTCCATTGTCCAAACTCCGAAGCTTGGGTCTTAATCCCCCGAGACCTGGCTCTCCTTCCACCTTCATCCTCACCTCCCAGAGAGGTCACTTCCTCCAGAGATGCCTATCCAGACCCCCTACCATAAATACTATCGTATTGAGACTGCCCGCTTGCTTTTCTTTCTTCTCCTCTAGACTGTAAACTCCTCTGGAATTCCAGAAACCTACCATGCATGCATGTGGCACATATAAGACCTTCAGTAATTATTTGTTGATTGACAAAATTGAACTGATGAATGATTGAACTAGATACTTCATACATGTTTAATAATAACAGCCAAATGCCAACTTCAAGTTAATGTTATATCAATATTTGCCTCCTTGTGATTTATCTAAAGTTCTCCTAAGTGGCAGAATTCACTGGGAATGTATTAAAATAATTACATGTTTTAACACATACATATATGCAGGTTGATTAGGGTGTCCCGTACAATCAATGTACAGATGTTCTCTGATGTTTCAGGTTTTCATTTCTTTTGGACACTTAGTTTGTCAATCAAAGCCTTCCCAGCCCCCACTGACCAACCTCTGACTTTCAGCAATTCTCTGTCGAATGTTAAATACCCTTGCCTTCTCTCTGCATGTTCCCAACAACAACAAAGAAACAAAACAAACAAACAAAATACTCTGCAATTTCAAGTGCCAGAATAGCTCTTCTTATCGGAGAAAGAAAGCCTTGAACATCAGTGAACCATGCTTATAATCTGCCATTTCACTGCTGACTTTTCAGAAAAGCATCACCCTGCAAAGAAGCTGCTCTTGAATGCAGGCCTCATGATTGCCAGAGTCATCGAATGTTCGGACTTGCCTAGTTCTCACTTTGGAACTGGGTGTATCAGCTAGTCGAGTGCATTAATTCTGGGCATGACCACAGACTGAAACACAAGCAGCATTAACAAATTACCAGTGATAGATATGCAAATGGGCCAAGGACAAGTGTTAAAACAGCCCTACCTCGCTTTGCCGCTACTTTGTCCTGTCCAAAATTTGTAGAATTATTAATCCTCCTGGAACGCTTAGTAGTGCGTATAGGGTAATATTCTTGAGGAAGCTAATAATTATCTCTTGTTAGTAACATCAGCTTACTACAGTCTTTCACTGCGGGGACAGAAAAATATTGTGACTTTGTTATGCTAAACGAAACACAGTGGCAGGATAAATTAGGACATTTAAACTAACAATAATAACGTCACACAGCTATAGTTCCCCTCTACATATCATTGATAAAATTAACAGAAAACAGGCACGGTGATAATAGAAGAATATGCATTATGATAAGACACAAAGGGACAAACTTTCTTCTGTTGCTTATGTTGTTATAGCTAATATTTATTACGCACCCACTTTGCAAGGCATAACTCTTATCAAGGACAATGATAATAATAAATTACTATCTGTCAACCATAGTAACTTCATTATGTAACCAGGCAGCACTCTTATTAAGGCTTTAGAACCTATTAAAAGTTTCATTTTGAAACAATGAACCAAGAGGAACAAATTTATGAATTGTGCATCTGCGATATTAACCCAAAGACTGAGCCTTGGAGACAAAAAAATTCTAAAGAAAAAAATTAATTTCTGCCAAAGAAAATCTAAGAACGTAAGTTAGCCGGCCCTACCAGCTGCCTCCAGCTGTGCTGTAGCAGAGATGAGGCAAATATCTAATTTCGCAGGAAAATATTTGTAGACTAGACTTTGAATCAGGCAGAGTCCAACAAGCCTTCCCTGCCCGGTTCTCAATCAAATGGTATAATAAACAGCAATGTCCTCACATGTCCAAGATTCCCCTCTGATCTCTGGATCTGATCACGATTGTGTTCATCACCTTCCCTGATATATTCAGACATAACTCACCCACTGCATTTGCTAGTTTAATTTGCTTAGTGTGCATGGTAGACCGTTTACAAAGTTGGCTGTAGTAAATCCTCACATCAGGTCGAACATCTCTTTGCAACGTGACTTTGTACTGCTTCCCATCAAGTGATGGAATCTATTTCTCCTTGCCTTTAATCTAGGAAGGCTTTGCAACTTTCTCTAAGAAAAGAATACAACGGAAGTGATATTTTGGCAACTTCCAAGCCCAGTCCTTAAGATACCTTGTTGCAGCTTTCATTTCTATCATCTTAGAACACAGGGCCACCAGGTAAGGAAGCCAGGGCTAACCATCTTGAAGATGAGAACTCGCATGGAGACAGGCGGCCCAGCCAATAGCCAGTACCAACTGCCAGACATATTGGCCATCCAGAATGATGGTTCCAGTTATACTCCTAGGTGACAGTAGCTGCATAAGTTACTCCAAAAGAGACCAAGCAGAAGAACCACCCCGTTGAGCCCAATATAAATTGCTGACCCTCAGAATCGTGAACAAATAAAATAGTTATAATTTTAAGCCACTGAATTTTGGAGCAGTTTGTTACACAGCAATTGGTAACCACACATGAACAACGTGATAGACACTTTAGAATTCTACGCAGTACTTTAGAGGAATGGCTCTAACTCCTACACAACACCAGCCTCCAGGACTGTGTTAACTTGGGAAGCTAAGGAATTCTTCTTGTTTCTTTCCCCTTCATCTCTCAAAGCAATTCACACTGAGACTGAACTGTTCAACCTTCCTTTGCCAAGGGATTAATAAAAAATTGAAGGCTCAGAAATGCTTCTTCAGTGGTTGACTGATAGTTTGTTTACAGTAAGGTGGGTGGAAAGGCAACCCCAGCTATCCTCCTCTGTCTAGGGGAGAAATTGCCTCAGCTCTGGCACCACTGCCAAGACCCTGAGGCCTAAGGGAGGACCTCTGGTGACTGGGACCAATGAATGGTGTATTATAATGCCAGCGCTGGCCGAGGGCTATGGCTCAGGCCTGTAATCCCAGGACTTTGGGAGGCTGAGGCAGGTGGATCACCTGAGGTCAGGAGTTCGAGACCCAGCCTGGCCAACATGGTGAAATCTCGTCTCTACTAAAAATCCAAAAATTAGCCAGGCTTGGTGGTGGGTGCCTGTAATCTGAGCTACTTGGAGGCTGAGGCAGGAAAATCGTTTGGACCCAGGAGGCGGAGTTGCAGTGAGCCGAGATCATGCCACTGCACTCCAGCCTGGATGACAAGAGAGAGAATCCATCTTAAATAATAATAATAATAATAATAATGATGATGATGATGCCAGGGCTCTCCAGAGGAACAGCACCAACAGGATGTGTATATGTAATCTGTAGGGTAGGCTGGCAGGCTGGAGACCCAGAGAACGGTTTCAGCTTGAGCTCAAAGGCAGTAAGTATATTGGCAGAATTTCCTGTCCTTCTGGATTAGTCTTTTTCCATTAAGGCCTTCAACTGATCGGAGAAAGCCTGCCTAGATTATGGAGAATAATCTGCTTTATTCCAAGTTTACTGTTAATCTTATCTAAAAAATACCTTCACAGAAACACCTAGAACAATGTTTGATCAAATTTCTGGGTACTGTGGCCTAGCTAATTTGACACATTTTTTTTTTTTTTTTTTTTGAGACAGGGTCTCGCTCCATCGCCCAGGCTGGAGTACAGTGGCATGATCACTGCTCACTGCAGCCTCACCCTCCAGGACTCAAGCAATCCTCCCCACTCAGCCTCTCAGGTAGATGGGACTACATGACTGGCTAATTTTTTTATCTTTTGTAGAGACATTGTCTTGCTATGTTGCCCAGGCTGGTCTCGAATTCCTGGAATCAAGCAATTCTCCAGCCTCGGCCTCCCAAAAGTTCCAAGATTACAGGTATAATTACTGAGCCCATCCTGACACATGAATTAACTATTACAGATGGTTTTATGAATTGAATTGTGTCTCCTCAAAGAAAGATACGCTGAAGTCCTACCCCTAGTACTTCAGAATATGACCTTATTTGGAGATAGGGTCTTTACAAAAGTAATCAAGTTAAAATGAGGTTGTTAGGATGGGTCCTAATCCAATATAATTGATATCCTTATCAAAAAGGGGAAATTTGGACACAGAGATAGACTCACACAGAGGGAAGACGATGAAGACACACAGGGAGGAGGCAGCCATGTGACTGATGTAATGTGTCTACAAGCCGAGGAAAGCCAGGGGTTGTCAGCAGAGACCAGGAGCTAGAAGAAGCAAGGAAGGAGTCTCCCGTGAGCATTCAGGGATAGCGTGGCCCTGCTGACATCTTGATTTTGGACTTCCAGACTCTAGAACTGTGATGCAATAGATTTCTGTTTCAAGCCACCCAGTTTTGGGTCCATTGTTAAGACAGCTCTGGGAAATGAATAGAGGTGGAGAGCTAAGAACCTCGTTTCCAGGTCTGAGAGGGGACCACAGGCACCTGCCCCGCTGGCAGGGGGAGGAGAGGGAGCTGAAGAAACCTTAAGTGGGTCTTCCCTCCTTGAGCTCCTGACCTCACAACATGGACCTTTGAGGAGCCCTAGGAGACAGGTCTGAGGGGAGTTGGGAAAGCGTCTACTTCCTCCCAAAGAAGCAAGTTTTCTCCTTCGGTACATGGATCACCAAGTAGAGTGGGAGGATGGAGGTTCTTGGCTGTGAACTTGTGGGTGGAAGGGCCTCAGCCCAGGTATTTGGCTGCTGGTCCTGTGTCCCATTACAACAGCTCACTCCATAGAGGACAGCCCTGAAGAACAGTCCAGCAGAAGTCACACTGAGCTTCCGAAATGGCCCCTGGAGCTAGAGAAACCTGGGTTAGTTCTGGCTCTGCCAGTCACCAGTTCATAATAATGGCTGGCTTTTTATGGAATGCTAAGCACTTCAGTTACGTGGTCTCATTGACTCATTTAAACAACTCATTTTGCAGAAGAGAGACTAAAGCTCAGAGAGGTTAAATGAGCTCCCCCAAATCACACAGCCAATGAAGATTCTAATTGAGGTAGTCTGACCACCAACTCCCCATGCCCAAATTCTTAATCACCATACCTGATAAAAGCATGCTAGGGACACTATGGCCTGGAGTAAACCCCTATATTTAATCATGCCAACTAGCAGGCCAGAAGCACTCTCTCTGTTAGACGCTATTAAAGGTGGCCGGGCATGGTTGCTCACACTTGTAATCCCAGCACTTTGGGAGGCCGAGACGGGCAGTTCACTTGAGGTCAGGAGTTCGAGACCAGCCTGGCCAACATTGTGAAACCCTGTCTCTACCAAAAATACAAAAAGTCAGGCATGGTGGCAAGTGCCTGTAGTCTTAGCTACTCGGGAGGCTGAGGCAGAAGAATTGCCTAAACCCAGGAGATGGAGGTTGCAGTGAGCTGAGATCACGCCACTGCACTCCAGCCTGGGCAACAGAGTGAGACTCCACGTCAGAAAAAAAAAAAAAAAAAAAGATGTTATTAAAGGTTCCAGAAAAAGCTAGACTGGGGCCTTGTCCTGGAGGTATTGATGGTCTAGTTGACAGGACACCCACTTGGGGATAATTATGACTGGCATTGCCTCCTTCTTTGGGAATATGGAAAGTTTAAGTTTATCCACAGGGAGGGCTTTAGCTACTGGAGACCTCACCATTTTTAATGAGTTGGCATTTTGCTCTCCAAATACATCAGCAGGTGAATGCATTTTATCAGACTTCTACTGGCATAGCAACAGAGTTGAAAACTAAAGGAAGTTGGACCATTGCTCAAAATGCTAGGCAGCAGGCCCAGATTGTAGCTAATCAGTACCCTAGGCAAATCACTGATTAATTCAGACTTGCTTCCCCTCATTGTGTGTCTTCTTCTGCATCTGTGCTACCTACCTGACTCAAAGGAATGGGCAGGGTGAGGGCTGGTAGGTAAAAGTGCTGTGACGGTCAGCAACCAAAGACTGTGTGATATTAAGACAGTACGTCAAGAGATGGCTTCAACATTAATCACAAAGGAGAAATCATGAGACTTTTATCCTGGAAACAGAATGGCCTTGGAATGAATATTAAGAAAGGGCAACACCCTGGTATTAGCTGCCTGCTGTCTCTGGGTACTTGCCTGTCCAAAGCAAACAGTGGAGCAAACACCAATAGCCACCGGGGCCAGAGTGTGTTCAGAGGAGAGTGTTGTTATATAGGGCAGGTCCTGGTTTCAGGTATGCCAAGAACTGGCTGCATCACACAGCTGTGGGGTTAGAGAGTCAGGAGCTGCGTCCAAAAGGATCTCCTCTGCAATGTGTCATAGATGGGGAGGGCAGGACTCTCTGGCTGCAGGGGGTTGTTCAGCGGGTAGCTGCAATTGTAGACAAGATTTAAACTTGCATAGGTTCCTGGAAGCATTACCCTGGATGACTGTATTGATTTTCTAGGGCTGCCATAACACAGTAGGAAAAACTAGGTTGCTCAAAACAATACAAATATTTCTGGAGGGTAGAAGTCTGAAATCTAGATGGCGGCAGGGTTGGTTCCTTCCAAGGGCTCTTAGGGAGTGTTTGTTCTGTGCCTCTCTCCTAGCTTCTGGTGAAGGCTGGCAATCCTTGGTGTTCCTTGGTTTGTAGATGCATCACTCCAGTCTCTGCCTCTGTCTTCATATGGCATTCAAACAGTGTGCCTTTGTGTTTAAATTTCCCCCTTCTTATAAGGACACCAATTATATTAGATTGGGGCCTGCCCTAATGACCTCATCTCAAATTGATCACATCTGCATAGAACCTATTTCCAAATAAGGTCACAATCACAGGCACTGAGGATTAGGGCTTCAATATATCTTTTCGGGAGGACACAATTTAATCCATAATAATGACCCTGATGGAGCCATTAGACCCCATTGGATTGAAAGCATCTGAAAATTGGGCACTATTTTATTCATTTCATATCCTCGTTGCCTAGAACCATGCCAGGCAAATAGCTAGTGCCCAGTAAGTGCTGACTGAGTGAATAAGCAATAATCTCATCCAGATCTGTATAATGTGGGTTATTTGGCCAAGACTTTGAATGCAAAATCTTGGCTTTACTAATTCTTACCTGGGTAGTCTTTGGCAAGTCTCTTAGCAACTCCGAGCCTCAATTTGCTCCTCTCTAAAATGGGTGTAATGCAACATGCAGGTTGGTGGCCAGGTGCCAGGAAGACAGCACACATAAAATGCCTGGCACATAGCAGGTGCTGAGCAAATGGACATTTTTTTTTTTTTTTTGAGATGGAACCTTGCTCTGTTGCCCAGGCTGGAGTGCAGTGGTGGGATCTCTACTCACTGCAACCTCCACCTCCCGGGTTCAAGCAATTCTCATGCCTCAGTCTCCTAAGTAGCTGGGATTACAGGAGCCTGCCACTATGCACAGCTAAGTTTTGTATTTTTAGTAGAGACAGGGTTTCACCATGTTGGCCAGGCTGGTCTCAAACTCCTGACCTCAAGTGATCTGCCTGCCTCGGCCTCCCAAAGTGCTGGGATTACAGGCATAAGCCACGATGCTCGGCCAGAAATTTTTATTTTAAAAGGTGATATGGTTTGGCTCTGCATCCCTTCCCAAATCTCGTCTCAAACTGTAATCTCCGCCAGTCAAGGGAGGGACCTGCTGGGAGGTGATTCGATCATGGGGGCAGTTCCCTCATGCTGTTCTTGTGATAGTGAGTGAGTTCTCATGAGATCTGATGGTTTTAGAAGTGTTTGACAGTTCCTCCTTCACATGCACTCTTTCTCGCCTGCTGCCATGTAAGATTTGCCTGCTTCCCTTCCACCATGATTGTAAGTTTCCTGAGGTCTCCCCAGCCATGTGGAGCTGAGTCAATTAAACCTCTTTTCCTTATAAATTATCCAGTCTCAGGCAATTCTTTATAGCAGTGTGAAAATGGACTAATAAATATAAAAGGAAAAGTTAACTCTACATGCTACCATCTAGTTTATATTTATACCATATTTATTTCATCATATCAATTCTTTAAGATTTTTTTTTAAAACCCTAATACATATTAGGCTAATCTAACCATATTAATCAGAAACGCATTCAGTTCACAGTAACATAATCCTCATTTAAACATCATTCAAAAATAGCAGGGTGGAGGGCATTTATTAGCTCACATAATGCCCTGCAGTTCTGGCATCAGGGTTGGCTTGATCCAGAGTCCAGACAATGCTACTCAAGTTTGCCCTTTGTCTCTTGGACAGGCCTTCATCGCGTGGCTACTGGTGGCCTCACTGAATTTTACCAACCTAACAACCCTAGGGGATAGAGATAGCCTTTTCTGATTGCAACCTCAGAAGAGATCCAAGGAAGATACTGATTTGCTTGACTTGGATCATGTGCCTATCTTGGAATCAGCCACTACGACCAAGAGCATAGGATAGGTGCATTGCCAGTTCTGGGTCATGTGAATAGGGAAGGGCAGAGTCAGGCTCCCGTGGAATGGGTTCCCTACAGAAAAAAAAGGGGTCTATTTCAGAAAGACATGCTGGAGAGGTTTAATAAGAAATGCCTCTGGCCCTTGAAATGGCCCACAGGACAGAAGATAAATGAGGCTTAAAAAACATCAGGTTTCTAGAAAAGTACTCAGTGTAATTTCTGCAAAAATAAAAACAGAAGCTATATCTTATAGACAAGAGCTTGCTGCTCCAATTTTTAAAAATGCCTCACTGCCTTTATGGTCCTTACACCTACATCAATTATTACAAGAGATGAGGAAGGCTGGCGGGAGTCACGTGGACTGAGAGGGCCTATCATTATGTCAGCTGATAACACTGGGATGTCCCTGCAAGGAAGACCGGAACATGGCCAAGTGAGGTAACTCTTTATGGATATACCTAGGTCCCACTATGTACAAGTGGGGTAAAGTGGGAGTGAAAGCGAGTTTAGGGGCAGGAATGCCAATGTGCAAGGGGCCCTTCCATTGAGAAGAACCCTGTTTAAATCCACTTAGGTTCATGTCACAGTAGTTTTTTCTTTTTTCGCTTGTTAGTTTTATACTCTGATTTTATGAAAAATACCCCACAACTCAGGTTTAATTTCCCTGGGGGAGATAGCTTTGAAATAACTATTAAACCTCTTTTTCCCTCTTTTTGCTACACTAAGCAAACTGGGAAATATTTTCCCTGAGGACAATAGCCCAGTCATTCATGCAGTAATCATTTTAATGCTATTTGTTTCTTCTTCCTTTTTTTAAAAAAAACTTTCCAACAGTGTTTGCATATAGCCCTCCCAATTTTATATTTCTACATTTTCTTTTTTATGAGTAAGACAGATGACATATTCATGTGTAGGATTCTGTGAGAAATTCAACTTAATTTCATGGCCAGGGGTAAATGTGAATGACTCATTGATGAAATTAGTAAGCCCTTTGCACAGCAATTGAAAATTTATCTATCTGGCACATTCATTTCATTGTCACACAACCACAAGAGGCATTATCCTCAATTTATAGATGAGGAAACTGAGTCTCAGAGAGATGAAATCTTGTTAAGGTGCCGCAAGTAGATTTGAACCCAAATAACCTGACCCAAACAAAAACAATCAACATTTCCTGTTTAAACCCCTTGCGTGCCGTGTGCTATTTAATCTCAAAAAAAATCTGTGAGCTAGGTTATGATTATCATCTTTATTTTACAGATAAAATTGAGGTTTTCAGGATTAAATAAATTGATGATTCAAACCCAGATCTGCCTTATTGCAAAGCTTTGTCCAAACACAGAACTTTTCCCGAAGCCTCAGTTAGCTCTGAAAACTCCAAATCTGGTGGAGGTAAGAAGTGAGGGCTGGATCCGAGGCCACAGAAAGGAGAGCAGGCAGATCGAGCCCCCTGCTTGGGCTGAGAAGCCTTCGCCTGCCAAGCCAGCTCTGTGGATGAACTATTTGCAGGCCATGTTCATTCAAAAGAGCTGAGGCAGCCTGGATGGAAGCCCAAATGCCAAGATAAAGGTGCCCGACTGACAAAATGCCAGTGTGAGCTGTTGCCTGCTGGCTTCACCCGCTGAAAACTTGGGGACCCCCATGTTCACAAAGGCACTGCAGACAGAAAGAAATGTCTGGTAAGCAGAGAGGTCTCCGCAAGCCCAATTATCCACTCTAGCCCATAATCGTGATTGTGGTGCATACCCAGCCCTACCACGTCGGGGGTGGCCCCATGCAGACATGGAGGCGCCAGCTGGTGCACCGCCAATTCTTCATCAGCAACGAAGGGCAGCCCTGACATCTCTCATCTGCCCCAAGCACCCTCCTTTAACCTCCTTTACATGACAAAATTTCCACTTACAAGTTAATCAAAACCCTGACCATGAATGAGAAAGAAAAAAAAATACTCCGTTAATTAAAAATCTCAAAAGATGCCAATGGTAACAGTCTGCAGATGCCTTCTTCCTCTGCTAATCCTACAGGAAAACCAGACATCAGTGATCAGTTTAAGAATCACAGGTGCTGTGATTAGGCCTGAGAGCATTTAGCTGTGACAAGTGGAATGAGAAAGATTTTTAATCTTCCTGAAATCCCAAGCTTTGAAAGTAATTAAATAATTAATGAGAAGCAGGGCTTCCCCTTCCTTCCCAAGAGAAGTTAAGTTCCCAAGTTTCTTCCCTGTGCAATACTGTCTCTTAAATGCATAGACGAAGTATCTCCAGTCATTCAACAAATATTTATTGAGCACCTACTCTGTGTCAAGTCCTCTGGAAGGTGGTGGACACACCGCAGGGAGGTTGACAAAGTTCCTGCACTTACCTTCTAGAATGAGGGACAACAATTAACATGTAAATGGGTAGTTTGAGGGTGTTGGAATAAAAAGCAAGATGCATACAGCGTGAAAAGGGGGAGGACCCCTTTAGACCATGTGGTCAGGTACAGCCCTATGAGGTAGTAGTACCACTTGAAGAGATACTTAAATGACAAGTGTCTTTGTCTTCTCTTGCTTATAACTGAATACCTGAAACTGGGAAATTTGTAAAGAAAAATACTTCTTATGGTTATGAAGGCTGAGAATTCCAAGGTCAAGGGGCTGCACCTAGGGTCTCTGCAGTTTCAAGGCAGCTCAGGGTATCGCGTGGCAAGGTTGCCGTGTGTGCTAGCTCAGCTGTCTTCCTTTTCTTGCAAGGCCACTAGTCCCACTCCCGTGATAACCCATTAACTCATGAATAGATTAATCCACGCATGATCCAATCACCTCTGAAAAGCCCCACCTCTCAATACTGCAACATTGGGGATTAGGTTTCAACATGAGTTTTGGAGAGGACAAATATTCAAGCCATAGCAACAAGTAAAGCCAGGCCAAGAGCACAGAGCATTTCAGGCAGAGGAAACTGTAAGTACAAAGTCCCATAGGCTAGATCAGACCGGATGTGCTCAAGAACAAGCATAATACTTGTGTGAGGTAGAAGAGGTCAGCAGGGACAAGTCCCCTAGAACCTTCTAGGACATAGTAAAATGTCTGGATGTTATTCTAAGCGATCGAAAAGGCTTCATTACTATTTTTTTCGTGTGTGTGTGTGTGTGTGTGTGTGTGTGTGTGTGTGTGACAAGGTCTTGTTCTGTCACCCAGGCTGGAGTGCAGTAGAGGAATCATAGCTCACACAGCAACCTTGATCTCCCAAGTTCAAGCGATCCTCCCACCCTCCCACCTCAGCTTCCAGAGTAGTTGTGGTGGCACAGGCATGCGCCGCCATGCTTGGCTAATTTTTTTTTTCTTTCTCTCTTTTTTTTTGGTAGCGATGGGGGTCTCAATTTGTTGCTCAGGCTGGTCTCAAACTTCTGGGCTCAAGCAATTCACCTGCTTCATTCTCCCAAAGTGCTGGGATTACAGGCATGAGCCACCAATCCCAGCCTGAAAAGCCTTTTATTGGGATGTCTTAACAAGGGATCATAAATCAGATTTCAATTTCTAAATGTTTGCCCTGGCTGCAATGTGGGTAATGTTTATGGGGGTGGGTGGTGGGCAAGGAAGAGGACAAAAATATTCAATAGGACCCATAGTCCATATAAAATAATGCTGCCTTTGATAAAGCCCCTGTGACATTTTTTATTGACCTTACACACATAAGCACACTCATGTGTCACTTAACAAGGATACATTCTGAGAAATGCATCCTTAGGTGATTTCACCATTTTCTGAGCATCAAAGTGTACTTACCCAACCTACATGGTATAGCCTACTACACACCTATGCTATATGGTGTGGCCTATTGCTCCTAGGCTCCAAACCTGTATAGCACGTGATTGAACTGAAAACTTTAGGCAATCATAACACAATGGGAAGTATTTGTGTACCTAAACATATCTAAATATTAAATAAAAAGGTATAGTAAAAATAGGGTAATCTTACGGGACCATCATCATATATGTGGTTCGTTGTTGACCGAAACATTATTACGTAGTACATGACTGTACCTGGTATTTTCAGAATGGATTTATATTAGACAGGGTTTTCCAGAGAGACAAAACATAGATGGATGGATGGATAGACAGAGATGAGAGGGGATTGATTAGGGGAATCAGCTCACACAATTTGGAAACTGAGAAGTCCCATGCCAGGCATTTGCAAGCTGGAGACCCAGGGCAGCTGGTAGTGTGGCTCAGTCCCAGCTGAAGGCCTCAGAATTAGGGAAGCCGATGGTGTTACTCTCAGTCCAAGACAGCAGGTCTGAGAACCCAGGGAAGCAACGGTTCAGATCCTGGAGTCCAAAAGCTGAAGAACTTGGGAATTCTGCTTCCAAAAGCAGGAGAAGAAGGGTGCCCCAGCTCCAGAAGAGAGAGAAAAAAATTGTCTCTCCTCTGCCTTTTTGTTCTATCTGGGCCATCAGCCAATTAGATGGTGCCACCCACACTGTGTGAGGGCAGATCTTCCTCACTCAGTCCACTGCTTCAAATGCCAATCTCCTCCAGAAACACGCTCACAGACACACCCAGAAATAATGCTTTACCAGCTATCTGTGTATCCCCTGATCCAGTCAAGTTGACACCTAAAATTAACCATCACAGGATTTCTCTATTGCTTGGCAGAGTTCCAACATTTCAGACTTTCTAATGTCTTAAAGTAGTACTTTTAATAAATGGATGTATCGTTTTACTCTTCTAGGAGCTAAGGACTGGCTCAATTGACTATAAAGAATCGAGAATGTCAGCTGACCAGGCAACCAGGAGACGCTTTCCTGACTTCCACTATGCACGTGGGCTGCATAATTGTGTCTGTGAAGTAATGAAGAACGTGCTTGCTCTGTAACATCCAAACGCGTGGCCACCATTCACAGATAGTGTCCTTTGGGAAAGGTGTGGGTATAGATGGGGAATGGTCAGTCCTATGAATATGGGGCTATAAGACAGCAAGGCTAGAAAGTATCTGTGCTTTCATTTTTTAATTTTATCTATTTTTTTTTTTTTTTTGCACTAATGGTTTGCATTCACATTGAGGAACTGAGACTGTTTTCAGACTTTTGGCCTACTGATGACCTTATGTTCATAAAAGGATAGAAGTATAATAAGTTGTTTAATATAAAACATACTGAAATTTTATTTTCTGTCTCCTTGGATATAAAGTTTCCACTTATCTTGGGTTTAAGTACCTACTCCTCCACAGAGAGGGACCTTGTGCATGTAGATTGATATTCTCAGGATGAAAGCAGTACCTACTACAACTAGGAACTCACAGAACAGGAAGACGATGCTTGTTCCTGATGGCATGTAAATCTAGATTCACTTCTAGCTGGAAGGAGGCAGGCCAGAAATTCAGAGTTGTAGGTCCTTGGCCTGGGTGGATGTGCTACAACATGAACCATAAACCTCCATCACTTATCTTGGCGGATAGAAAATTGGAACTTTGGAGGAAAGTTTCGCATCAAGCACTCAGACCCAATAAATACTCCCACTCCTTGCAGAGCTACCGAACATTCTGCACTCCATTTATCAGGCTACCCAAGGATGCTTGGAATGTGCTGGCCGGAGCCACCATCAGCACTTGCTGATGACTCTTTGTGGTACCGCCACTCACTTTCTGTACTGTGTTCTTTCTTCTTCCTTCTCTTTTGTTCTTCTGCCCAGCGACACACTTGTGCAGACTGACTTGGTGCCTTGGTGCCTGTTATGGACTGAATGCTCGTGTCCTCCCACATTCATATGTCAAAGCACAATCCCCAATGTGATGGTATTTGGAGATGGGGCCTCTGGGGGGTGATCAGGTTTAGCTGTTGTAAAGGTGAGCCCTCCGCGTCTGGATTAGTGCCCTTATAAAAAGAGACACAAGCGAGCTTTCTCATTCTCCTTCCACCATGTTAAGATACAATGAGAAGACGGCCATCTGGAAAACAGGAAGCAGGCCTTCACCTGCTGTAGGCAATCATAACACAATGAGAAGTATTGTGTTGGCACTATCTGGTCCAGGAGCAGCTGGACCTCCCAGAAAGACATGGGGTCAGCCTCCACCTGGATCCTGAACTTCCCAGCCTCCATAAGCATGAGAAATAAATGTCTGTTGCTTAAGCCATCCAGCCTATGGTAACTTTTTATAGCAGCCTGAAGCTACTAAGATGGTGCCAAGACTGTGAGATGGCACTAGAAGAGAGAGAATAAAAACACAGGCTCTTAAGTGGTTCAAATCCTGGCTCTGCCACTTGTCCATTATGTGGTTTTTGGGCAAAGCTGAATCTTTCTGTGCCTCAGTTCCCAATCTGGAAAATGAGACGTCTATTCTATCAGGGTAGGGATGAGATAAGATCATGTGTTCAATTAGATGGGATCAAACACATGGTAGAGGAACTTAATACATCTTTATTGTTATTATAGCTATGTCACTGAAAGAATTGGGTTAAATAAAATGCAATCTCTCGGCCGGGCGCAGTGGCTCACACCTGTAATCCCAGCACTTTGGGAGGCCAAGGTGGGTGGATCATGAGGTCAGGAGTTCGAGACCAGCCTGGCCAAGATGGTGAAACCCTGTCTCTACTAAAAATACGAAAATTAGCCGGGCGTGGCAGGCACCTGTAATCCCAGTTACCCGGGAGGCTGAGGCAGAAGAATCGCTTGAACCCGGGAGCGGAGGTTGCAGTGAGCCGAGATCGCTGCACTCTAGCCTGGGTGACACAGCAAAACTCTGTCTCAAAAAAAAAAAAAAAAAAAAAAATGCAATCTCTCACCAGAAGTTGAAAATCTAGCCTGTGAGATAAAGAGACACTTAATTGTAATACGTGGCGCTTGGCAAAAGGTGACAAATACTATTATATAATCAGTATATGGAAAAAACACCATGAAAGCTGCAGTAGATCAACTAGAACTGCAAATTCCTTATCACTGCTTTCATCAAGAGCTGGAGTCTAGTTCCCCTCCTCCTTGAAACAGTGACCTGTTGACAAACAGAATGAGGCTGAAACAACTCTGGGTGTCTTGTAAGGCAAAACCATGAGGAACCTTGCAGCTGCTTCCTGATTCTCATGCGGCACTCCCTCTTGGAACAGAGCTGCCATGCTGGGAGATGTTACCTATGGGGGCTCCAGTTGACAGCCCCAGTTGAGCATCCACTGTCGTAGGAGTGAACCATCCTGGACAGTCCAACCCAGTCAGCTCCCAGGTGACTTCGGCTGTTCCAGTGCCCAGCCACACCTTGTGATGCAGAATGCCCAGTCAACTCACAGAACTGCAAGAGATAGTACAATTGTTGTTTTCATCTTTAAGCACTAAGTTTTGGATAGTTAGTTATGCAGCCATAGATAAACCAAACAGGAGTTTAGGAGAGGAGAGTTCTTTCAAGTCAAGTGATCATGGAAGGGTTCCTAGAAGAAGTGGGATTTGAAAATATCCTTGGAAGGAAGGTCTGTGACAAGAGACTCACAGGAGAAGGTCATTCTAAAGAGAGGAATGAGTTGGAGCAGAACCCAGAGTGGGGTAAAGATAGGTTGCGGGCAGCACCTGGCAAATGGACCAGAGCTGCCTGTGCAGGGGGCTGGGAGAAATGGGCTAGAGCCAAGCTGAGATGGTTGCTCATTCCCAATCATGGCGGCTTTGGGGGCAGGCTCTTTTCATTGCCAGGAAGGAAAACTCATTTCTGCTCTTCCAGGTAAAGGGGCTTTATGGGAAACAATGGGATTTTTATGAGTTAAGGAGACAAGAATCTGTGGATAGAATAAAAACTAAATTGCAGCTGGACCTCCCAGAGAGACGCTGGAATTGGAAGTTGCTCAAGATCCCCCAGTGGCTTCCTATCACAGGCACAGCAAAATCCTAAGCCCTTCACATGGTCTGCGAGGCCCACAGCATGGTGCCCTTGCCCTGGCTACCTCAATGATCTGATTTCCTTTCACTGCCTCCTTCACTCACTCTGTTCCGGCCACACTGGATTCCTCGCTGATCTTTGAACAGCACCCTGGGCTCAGCACTTTTGCACTCATAAGTCTTGCCACCAGGATTGTTCTTCCAGATATTTACATGGCTCCCTCCTCTTCACTCAGGTCTCTGTGGTCTCCTCAAGAGTGACTGCTTTCTCCTGCCATAGTGCTCTTGCCTGCTCTATTTTTCTTCCCAGCATGGTATTATTGCCTTTTAAAAAAATCTGGCCGGGCATGGTGGCTCACAACTGTTATCCCAGCGCTTTGGGAGGCCAAGGGGGGCAGATCGCTTGAGCCCAGGAGTTCAAGACCAGCCTGGGCAACATGGCAAAAACCCATCTCTAAAAAAATACAAAAAATTAGCCAGGTGTGGTAGCGTGCACCTATGCTTCCAGCTCAGAGGCTGAGGTAGGAGGATGGTTTGAGCCCAGGAGCTGGAGATTGCAGTGAGCCATGATCACACCACTGCCTTCCAGCCTGGGTGACAGAGTGAGTGAGATCCTGTCTCTTTCTCTCTCTCTCTCTCTCTATCTATCTATCTATCTATCTATATATATATCCCGTCTCTACTAAAATACAAAAAATTATCTGGATGTGGTGGCTGATGCCTGTAGTCCCAGCTACTTGGGAGGCTGAGGAACAAGAATTGCTTGAGCCTGAGAGGCGGAGGTTGCAGTAAGCCAAGATCTCGCCACTGCGCTCTAGCCTGGGCAACAGAGTGAGACTCTGTTTCCAAAAAAAGAAAAAAAGAAAAATGATATATATAATTATCATTTGCCTCTCCAACTACAATACATGCTCCATGATAACAAAGATTTTGTATAATGCTTAGAAGAGTTCCTGGCATATAGTGGGTGCTCCACAAAAATGGTAGAAAATAGTGAATGAATAAATGAATCCCAGGCAATCGTAGGGCTTGAGGTATCTTGTTACTTCTCAGCAGGAGGAGTTTGTGGATCTTCATTTTAATTCTCCTCCAGTGTTCTCTGCTTCCTGTATTCCCAGGCAATTCCCACCCCATCTACTCGCTAAGAGCTTTCCTCTCACAGCTCCTGCTGACTCATAACCACGGCTTACTCACAGCTCCCCTCGAGCTGCTACTGTGTTTTTTTGTGCATCTGTCCACCGTCTGTTCCTTCTGCTGACCTCCTGATTCTCCCTGGTTTTCCAGTTGAAGTTCCAGAAACAGAGAATCTGATTAGGTCAGCCCATTCTCCATTTAGGCAGAGGTTTTGACCTTTAACTCTGGTCTGGGTCAGACATCCACATGGCTCCATCAGCTGTGACCACAGGCACAGAGCACAGCAACCTAGACACAGAGACCCATTGTTTCACTCAGCAGAGGCGCATGGATGCAGTGGGTGCCTTTAATGACCTGTTGACAATAGCTTGAGGCTCTGGTCAGGGCAGTGATGGACCAGATCTATGTCTTCAGAAGGTAATTTAAATCACCCTGTGTATTAGTCTGTTTTCACACTGCTGATAAAGACATACCCAAGACTGGGCAATTTACAAAAGAAGGAGGTTTAATGAACTTACAGTTCCACGTGGCTGGGGAGGCCTCACAACCGTGGCAGAAGGTGAGGGGCTTGTCTCACATGGCAGAAGACAAGAGAAGAGAGCTTGTGCAGGGAAACACCCCTTTATAAAACCATCAGATCTTGTGAGATTTACTCACTATCACGAGAACAGCACAGGAAAGACCCGTCCCCAATTACCTCCCACCAGGTCCCTCCCACAACATGTGGGAATTGTGGGAGCTACAACTCAAGATGAGATTTGGGTGGGGACACAGCCAAACCATATCACCCTGTGAATAAGACAGTTTACTGATGGAAGAGGACAGACAAGACCAGTTAGGAAGCCATAGGAAGGGAGAGCTGATGAGGACTCAAGTCAAGCCAAGGTCAACGACAGTGAGGAGGAGTAGGAGCAAGTGGGCCTTGAACCTGAAGCTGTCCACCAGGCAAGTGACGCTGGAGTTCAGCAGAGCAAATAGTCTGGAAGTCATAAAGACATGAGTTAAAATTACGGGGTGCAGAGCATAGCAAGAGATTAGCTGAGATGGACATTTTGGGGAAATCTCTTACATGGAAAGAGTCAAAGAAGAAAAACCTATATATACTTATACAGATGGGCAGAGACTCAGCAAGTCACAGAACCCCATAAAAACAGAGAAGCATTTTCCCCACTTACTCTCTTATTCTCAGCAGCACCAGCCCAGAGGTTCTGCATGAGATCCCACTCTGTTCCAAGCCCCAAGCTTCAAGTCTGTTTTTCTACAGCCAGTAACATTATTTCTTGGGAATCCACAACATTCTAAAAATACATTCGCTAGGCTGCAGTGCCACAATTAGTAAAGCTGCTGTCCCAGGAAACCCTCATCATCATTTTGCTTAGATCAGACAGCGGATTAACTTTGATGTCTGTCTGAACCCTGTGCGATACACCACTGGCAGTCTGCTCCCTGCAAGCATTCAATCTTCACATCCAAGGGAAGAGGGAGAAAGTGCCAGAGAGGAGCCCAACCCAATTCTTCCCCCCAGTGATTGAGATGAAAATATGCACCCTAGGACTGCCGACATATCTGACTTGCATCCTGTCTCCCTACATCCCTGGAGCTCTCTCTCCCTTTACACAAATACGTTCCCCCAAACTCAAACTTCCTTTGCCTTTCCCAAACATTAGCACAGTGATGAAGCCCCAAGTGCTTTCATCCATGCCATGTGTAGGAGGTAATTGTGTTAATTTCTGTATCTATTAGCACTCCTGGTGGCATGCCACTGAAACTGACTCTAACTTAAGTCCAAAGGGACTTTATTGGAAGCATATGGGGTGGCCTGCAGAATATAATGAACGCTCAAGAATCAGACTGCAAGGGGAAACAACCAGGGAAGCTCCAGGATTACAGGCAAGTGGGAGGTATACGATGATCACATCAGAACATTAGCAATGGAAGACAGCTACTCCAACAATGCTGTCCGTCTTTGCGTCACTGTCTTCATCGTCCTTATTTCTGGGAGAAAAAGAACAATTGGACCAAATGATCCAGCTGGATCATCCCCACACCCAGGCAACCAAGCTCCCTGACATCATAAAACATTGTAGATTGGTGGTTAAGAGCAGTATCTGGAACTAGCCAGGCTCGGTTTGAATCCTGGCTCCACCATTTACCAGCCATGTGATCAAGTCATTCTCAGTATGCCCCAGCTTCCCCCTCTGAACATGAGGATACCTATCCATAGGTATTGGTGAGCACAAAGTGAGCAAACCTGTGATACTGACTATAGAGGGCAAGTGTTCTACAAATCTTGATGTTAGCATTGATTAGGAATACACAAGGCCCCTGAAATTGCAGTCTATCCAAAAATGCCAAGATAAGAGGTCATTCTCCAAAAGACATCAGTTTTTATCAAGGCACAGTGGGTGGCCAAAAAACAATTACTATCCTCTACTACATCTTATCCCTCCACCAGACTGTGGACACCATGAGGACAATAGATTCTGCTGTTTTCCTCACCGCTGTGTTCACCAGCACCTGAAAAGCATCTGGCATATTGTGCCTGGCTCAATGAACCATTACTGAATTCACAAATATTGAATGATTCCTTCTGTGTTCCCAATCAACTAGTACAATGTTTTGCATGGGAGTAGGCACACAATAAGTATTTGCTGATTTAATTGATAGGTCAGAGGGAAAAGAAAAACTGGAGGAGTGTGGTTTTCTCAGAAATGGGGAAAACACGGGAATCAAAGAGATGAGCTTGCATTTGGCAGGACTCAGTGGCAAGTAAGTGATAGGTAACTGTTTTCTGGTGTGTTGATGTCAATTACCTATACAAATGATCTAGATGGCCTAATCATTTCTGCTGGTCAACTAACGCCTTTAGATCAGCATCAAGGAGACAAGAGAAACCACGAGTCACTTGGCACATCACCTTGGAGAGGGAGAGGCTCATCTGCCACAATGGACTTGTCCTTGCCTTAGAGGCACTCCCAGTACCTCATCACGATGCTCTGTTCTCCTGGCAACGCTCCTTACTGGCTTGCAGGTGCCCGTGAGCAGGGCTTGGCTGGCCATCCTGCCAAGCTTGCTCATGGAGACAGCAAGATCTCATGGAGGAGCATTTCAGATCAGACATCACAAGAGCTAAGACCTCGGCCAATGCTGTGTGACCTCAGGAGAGTTCTGGTCTCTGGCTGTCAGTGACCAGATCTATAAAATAGAGTAATCCTTGCCTTGCAGCTCAGTAATCCTTGCCTTGCAGCTCCAAGTGGAGTCACATCCTCAGAGATTTTATCTGGAACTCCTTCTGTTGTAAAAGACAGAACCCAACTCAAACTGGCTTCAGAGAAAGGGGGACTCTATTGCTCATGTTACTGAGCAGTCTAGGGGTAGAGCTCTTCTGAGATACAGCTGGCACAAATGCAACACTAGCATCTGATTTCTCCCCACCTCTCAGCCCTCCTTCTGCTGTACTGACTTCCTTTTCAGTTCCTAAATGATGGCCCCCAGTAGCTCGAGTCTCATTCGCTCAAGTTCAAATCCAACTTTCCAGTAGCTGGAATAGACTATGGTTGGCTCAGCTTGGGTCATGTGGCCAGGAGGATGCAACTACATTAGGTGTTCAGGACTGACTCCTAATCAATACTAACCTCAAGACTGAGTCCTGGGTGCCAACCAATCCCTGTGACGAGGAAGCTTGGTCAGGCCCTTATGCTTAACTTTCAGAGCTGGGAAGAAGTAGGATGAGGATGGGGAGTCCTAGGTTATCTCATGGACCAAGAGTGGGAAAAGAGTGGGTCCCAGAAAGATACTTGGGGTACTATTCACAGAAAAAAGGGAAGTGGCCACAGGGCTGATAAAACGACGATGCCCACTACACCTGGGTATTTTCTTTCTTTTTGTTTTTTGTTTCTTTTGAGACGGAGTCTCACTCTGTCACCCAGGCTGGAGTGCAGTGGAGCGATCTCAGCTCACTGCAAGCTCTGCCTCCCAGGTTCCAGCTATTCTCTTGCCTCAGCCTCCCAGGTAGCTGGGACTACAGGCGTGCACCACCACGCCCGGCTAATTTTTTTGTATTTTTAGTAGAGACGGGGTTTCACCATGCTGGCCAGTCTGGTCTCGAACTCCTGACCTCATGATCCACCCACCTCAGCCTCCCAAAGTGCTAGGATTACAGGCGTGAGCCACTGTCCACAGCCCTCACCTGGGTATTTTCTATCGTGTGATATAAAGCTGGTGTCACAGTTCCCTCTGTGCTATGAAGTCTTCTGTCCTCATCCTAACAAGCTCCTGTAAGTGCCCGAGGAGCAGCTGCCACACTGCAGTCATCTGTCTTCCTCCTCTGAATTTCTGTAGCCCGCAGGACCATAACACGTGTCGGCAGCACGCAATGTCGGTCATTAGTTATCTTTTTATGGATATGTTCTATCTCTTCATCTATGCGACAGGATCCTAGAGAGCAGGGGTCACATCTTATTCATCTTTGTGTCCCCTTAGCACTCTGCCTGGTGTTTGGGGCATGGCAGATAGTCCATGAATCTGGGGAGAGATTGAATAACTGATTTACATGCTTCTAGAGCCACAGAGGTAGACAGTAGCTTGATGCAACTACAAGATTACAAAGAAAGAGGAAACCTGTCCTCTCCAAGCTATTTTGAAACGCTTGTAGATCTGTTGTGGCCTAAATAATGCTGCTAGGGTCAAGACAGATATCCTCTTTGCTCCCCAGGCCCAGCTGCTGGCATGATTCCTATTTATAAAGGCATGGAGGCCCAAGGAATCTGTGTCTCAGCTGCCCAGTATCCCTGGGCAGGTCATAGTCAGGCACAGCCCACTTGTAAGGGCAGTGTGGTGCAGAGGGCGGAGGATGGCAACTTGAGGAGGAGGAAACAGGTATCTGTTCTCGGTGGCCCCCACCCAGACAATACGGAAGCGCCCCGTGGCCCCATGGATGGGACCGGATGCTGGCTCTCTGCCTTGGCCAAGGCATCCCAGCACAGGGAACAGGGAGAGAGGATGGGATGGAGGGAGAGAGGATGGGATGGAGAAAGAGAGTAGCTCGGATGCTGAAACAACGTTCCTCCTAGGCTAGTCTTGGTGCAGAAGCCCCGCAGCTCCGGTTTTAGAATCCCCCAGCAGGCCCTCTCGGGCCAGAGATTTGCCCCTTTGTCTCTGATACGTACAAACCTCCCTCAAGAAGGACGAGTGACTCGTCCAAAGCCGCGCAGCGGAGCCGCGGTTCCCTCTCCTGTAAACTAAGCAGACTGATAAAAGGATTAATTGCGCGAGCGACAGAGAGCATCTGGCGCACGGCGGACAGTCGCTAATTAAGAAATTAACGGGGGATGGACGAGAAAGCTGGCTGGTAAAGAAGGCGATGGTAAAGGAGGTCTGGAGGGTGCTGAGGGAGGAACCGGGCCGAAGGAAGGAAAGTAGACAGAACAGGGCCCGCGGGAATCGAGTGCAGCAAAACAGCTCCAACCTCAATCCAACGCCAGCGCCCGGCCCGCACAGCACGGAATCCCGGGGAAGGCGGAGGGCGGGGTCCGAGGCCCCGCCTGTGACCCCACCCCTTTCCTGGCCCCGCCCCCAGCCTTGAGGCCCCGCCTCTGACTCCACCCCTGTCTCTTTCTCCGCTCCGCCCCTCCTCCTCGTCCCTCCCTCAAGGCCCGGAAGCGAAAGCCTCTCCACCTCTTCCGAGCGGGGTCACGGCCCGGCCGTCGGTAACCTGGTTTCCGAGAGTGCCGGGCGGTCGGCGGGTCAGGGCAGCCCGGGGCCTGACGCCATGTCCCGGAACCTGCGCACCGCGCTCATTTTCGGCGGCTTCATCTCCCTGATCGGCGCCGCCTTCTATCCCATCTACTTCCGGCCCCTAATGAGATTGGAGGAGTACAGTGAGTGATCTCTAACCCCTTGCGGTGACCTGACTCCCCAACACACACACCTCCCCTCTGTGAGCTCCACGTGGTGCCGTGGAAAGAACTTGGCTCGAGGGTTAGGGAGAGCCGGGTTCGAATCCTGCCATGTGCAGCTTTGTGACCGTGGACAAGTTGCTCAACCTCTAGGACTCTCAGTATCCTCATCTGTGAATGTTTGTGGCTACGTCATCTATGCTAAAATGCCGAGCCTCCTGTGAGACTCAGGTGATCATGTATATGAAAGCAGTCCTCACATAAGTCGACGCTAAGTACCAGTTCATATTTACAGTTAAAATTCACTGAATGCCTATTACACGTCAGGTTAGGCATATGTTGGATCGTTTCATTTGCACAAGCTCACCTTGAAGTATATATGTAAAACATGCCCATTTTACAAATGAGGGAACTGAGAGGCTCAGAGGTTTTATAACGTTCCCAAGGTCACACAGCAAGTAAGTGACAAGGCAAATATATCCAACCCCAGGCCTCTGTCCAGAGCCTCCTCCAAGCACCCAGGCTGAGAATGGTGACTGGGGGAGCCAGATGGAACCCTGATCCTTCTGAGTGGAAAGGTGCTTTTACTGCACTTCATTTCCACTCCCCAAGATGTTTTTTGAGTGGGACTGTTTCAAACCCAAACTGTTAACCTGGGGTTTGTAGTGTTTTCTCTTCTTTTTCCTCAAATTGTTTTTCCGATTCTGCTTGTTTCCTTCGTTTTAAGCCGATTGCTCACATGGTAATGGTGAAATCCTGGGAGTAATTTTCCTTCTTAATCATTCCAGTCCTATCATTCTAAAAGCCAAACTCTTCTTCCTTGAGACCTATACCTCAGCAAGGATTAGCACTTTGATACATCTGAAACCATCTGTCAGACAGAAAATATTAGGCATTAGAGGCTCATTTTGTTCACCAGGAAACCCGAATCATCTTGAAGATGGAAGAGGGCCAACCCTGTCCCTTGGGAATATTAACGGACACTGAAAGCTTGGCGAATTGAAGGCGAAAGCTCCGTGTAAATGTTCTGCCCATTACAAATGTTGCAGCAGTCGATTTCTGGAGGCAGAGCGTTTTAAGTGCACACTCAGATTTCCTTGTAGCTTCTTTTCATTAGCCAAGACTGAAATGGCCACTGTGTTCTGCCTTCCAGCTTATCTGCATGCACCATGCGTGGGAGTAAGGTGGGCTGTGTGAAGCCCTGCGGGATCTGTTTCCACCATCCTTCTTCAGCGGACGCCTGCCCCAGCGATTATATTGAGGCCACTAGAACTTGGGACAAAGGGTCTGCTTTGCATCCCATTGGAAAAGTCAGTTCTGAAAACTAGAGCTGTGGTTCTCATCTAGGGGTGATTTTGCCCCGCAGGATATTTGGCTCAATCTGGAGACATTTTTGCTTGTCACAACTTGGGATGGGGCGGGGGGGGGGTCGAGTGTTGCTACTGGTTTCTTGTGGATAGATGCCAGGGATACTGCTAAACTTTTTGCAGTGCATACAAGACAGACCCCCATGACAAAGAATTACCCAGCTTAAAATTCGAGTGGTGCCTTGGTTGAGAAACCCTGCTTGAGATGAAATGGTCAAGATGGGGACTTGTACTGTGTATCCCAGCAACAGTCTTTTAGGGATACTCCAGAATCTGTGGTTGTCTGAATGTCTTGAGACAGACAAATCAGGTGATGTTCATCTGTGGGTGAACATTTAGTGAATGTAACTATAATATCTGCATTTTTAACTAGAAGGCAGGCAGTCTGTGCCTTCCCACTTTTCTGGTTCCTTTTTGTTTTTTTTTCTTTTTTTCCGCTGTCACCCAGGCTGGAGTGCAGTGGCCTGATCTCGGCGCACTGCAGTCTCCATCTCCCAGGTTCAAGCAATTCTCCTGCTTCAGCCTCCTGAGTAGCTGGAATTACAGGTACCTGCCACCATGCCCAGCTAATTTTTGTATATTTTAGTAGAGACAGGGTTTCACCATGTTGGCCAGGCTGGTCTCGAACTCCTGACCTTAGGTGATCCACCCGCCTTGGCCTCCCAAAGTGCTGGGATTATAGGTGTGAGCCACCACGCCTGGCCTCTGGTTCCATTTTGATTAATTTGGCCAACTCTTTTCTGGGGATCGTAACTGATTCTTTTTTCTGAGACAGTCTCCCTCTGTCGCCCAGGCTGGAGTGCAGTGGCATGATCTCGGCTCACCGCAACCTCTGCCTCCCAGGTTCAAGTGATTCTTGTGCCTCAGCCTCCCAAGTAGCTGGGAATCCAGGCATGCACCACCAGTCCTGGCTAATTTTTGTATTTTTAGTAGAGACAGCATTCTGCCATGTTGGCCAGGCTGGTCTTAAACACCTCACCTCAAGCGATCCTCCTGCCTCAGCCTCCCAAAGTGCTAGTGTTACAAACTGACTGCTGTAACATTTGTAATGGGCAGAGCGTTTACACAGCTTTCGCCTTCAGTGCCAGCAACTGATTCTTTTAAACAGGTAAATATTGCTGAACAGGTAATATTTGTGGGAAGTTTACTATATGTTTGGCACTCTTCTAAGCACTTCCTATATATTAACCCATTTAGTGTTGATAACAGCCCTTTGTGGCAGCTGCTATATGATCATCATCCCCATTTTATATGTGGACAAACTGAGGTGTGAAACAGTTAAATTACTTACACAAGGACCTACAGCTGATGAGTCACAGATCTGGGACTTGAATTAATATCCTTAATCCCTAAACCAAGACAGCATACTGCTTGTCTAAGGGGGCAAGAAAAGGCAATGGGGGAGATGAGTGTCTGCATAGCCTACTAGATGAATGACCCTCATCTAAGTTACTTCACTTCTCTGAGCCCTGCCTGTTTCCTCATCTGTAGCAGTGTAGTTCACTGGATTGAATTTACAGGGTTTGGGGTGAATTAAATGGGGTAACAGGTGTGGAAACACCTACTATAGTCTTATATTAGATATTTTATTAAAATGTTTACAAAATAATGAGCCACAAGGGCAGGAATGTGAGACATGGAGATTTTAGCAGGTGGATAGGCCTGGAGCTGGCTGACCTAGCAGTAAACTGGGATGAGGTGTTCATGATCAGGTCATGGAAACCCACTGTGTGGTCGGATCTTCAGCTCATTCCAACACATTCAACTAGCATTTATTTAGCACTCTCTTTTTTAGAAGAAACCTGGATTCTAGCAATCGCTGGGTGCCTGGCACTGTGCTGGGTGTGGACTGCACCTAACCAAACAGCATGGTCAGTCACTTCCTTCCATCATGCTCTTCCTACCCTTGTCCTGTCCACCTCGCTCCACCCATTCCTGGGACTGAGCTGCTTCCATTGTGTCCCACCTACTACCCATTCTCTACCTAGCAGCCACAGTGGTCTTTTCTGGTGACTTTTGGTTGCTGGTTTCTATCTTATTTGCATTTATGGTCAGAGAATGTGGACTATATGATTTTGATTCTCTGACACTGGTCAAGACTTGCTTTGGGGCCTGGTACAGGTCAGTTTTTTTTTTTTGTTTTTTTTTTTTTTGAGACAGAGTCTCGCTCTTTCGCCCAGGCTGGAGTGCAGTGGCGTGATCTCTGCTCACTGCAAGCTCCGCCTCCCGGGTTCACGCCATTCTCCTGCCTCAGCCTCCCAAGTAGCTGGGATTACAGGTGCCCGCCACCACGCCCGGCTAATTTTTTGTATTATCAGTAGAGACGGGGTTTCACCGTGTTAGCCAGGATGGTCTCGACCTCCTGACCTCGTGATCCGCCTGCCTCGGCCTCCCAAAGTGCTGGGATTACAGGCGTGAGCCACCGCGCCTGGCCCAGGTCAGTTTTTGTAAATATTCCCTGTGTGCTTGGAATGGTGGCTGTTCTCTTGTTGGGTACAGAGTTCTGTATCTGTGTATGTTAATTACAGATCAAGCTTCTTAATTCTGTTTGTATTTGGATGTCCTGTGGCCATGTTATTAGGTGCATACAATCTAGAAAATTCTGGATAATTTTTTCTAATTATCATTATATAAGAATTATCTTTATCTCCACTGTTCTTCCCCATCTCTATTTTATCTGATTTTATTGTGCTACCAGATTCCTTTTTTTTTTGAGATGGAGTTTCGCTGTTGATGCCTAGGCTGGAGGCTGGAGTGCAATGGTGTGATCTTAGCTCACTGCAACCTCCGCTTCCCAGGTTCTAGTAATTCTCCTGCCTCAGCCTCCCAAGTAGCTGGGATTACAGGTGCCCACCACCACGCCTGGCTATTTTTTTGTATTTTTTACTAGAGACGGGGTTTCACCATGTTGGCCAGGCTGGTCTCGAACTCTTTGACCTCAGGTGATCTACCTGCCTCAGCCTCCCAAAGTGCTGGGATTACAGGCATGAGCCACTGCTCCCAGCCCAGATTTCTTTTAATATTTTCCTAGCTTATCTGTTTCTCTCCTTATACACGCAGACTTTGTCCTTATGTGAATATCTTTTTTTTTTTTTTTTTTTTTTTTTTGAGACGGAGTCTCGCTCTGTCGCCCAGGCCGGACTGCGGACTGCAGTGGCGCAATCTCGGCTCACTGCAAGCTCCGCTTCCCGGGTTCACGCCATTCTCCTGCCTCAGCCTCCCGAGTAGCTGGGACTACAGGCGCCCGCCACCGCGCCCGGCTAATTTTTTGTATTTTTAGTAGAGACGGGGTTTCACCTTGTTAGCCAGGATGGTCTCGATCTCCTGACCTCATGATCCACCCGCCTCGGCCTCCCAAAGTGCTGGGATTACAGGCGTGAGCCACCGCGCCTGGCCTGTGAATATCTTAAAACCAACATAAACTAGATATTTTAATCCAACCTGATAAGCTCTTTTAACTATTGGATTGGATTAATTTTCATTTATTCTATTTACTGATATATTTGCATTTATTTTTCTCACCTCATTTTGTGTCTTCTTTTTTTTTTCTTGAGACAGTCTTGCTCTGTCACCAGATTGTTAGTGCAGTGGCAAGATCTCGGCTCACTGCAACCTCTGCCTCCTGGATTCAAGCAGTTCTCCTGCCTCAGCCTCTCAAGTAGCTGGGATTACAGGCACATGCCACCACGCCCGGCTAATTTTTTTTTTTTCCTGTATTTTAGTAGAGATGGGCTTTCACCATGTTGCCCAGGCTGGTCTCAAACTCCTGAGCTCAGGCAATCCGGCTGTCTCAGCCTCTCAAAGTGTTAGGATTACAGGCATGAGCCACTGCACCCGGCCTTCTGTTCTATTTCTATGCTTCCTTTTTTTCTTCTTTTCTGCCTCAAGCCTTCTTTATTCTTCTCTTCCCGCTACTAGTTTGAAAGTTTTAAATTCTATTTTTGTTCTTTTATAAAGTTTAGAGTTAGTCAGTGTCTTTACCCTTGAACAATACAAGGTCCTTATAATGCCTTAACCTTTGTCCCATGCACCTGACATAATATATTTGTCCTGCCTGGTGCCTGTGACTCAGCAAATCAGTTAACACCATCACTATTGTATATGGTCACTGACTGTTTATCTTCACCCGCGTTCTTTACTCACCGACGCTGCTTACATTTCACTCCTTTCTAGCTTCAGTTTTCTCCCTTCTGACATACATCTGTTACTACTTCTTTGGTAAGAATTTGTAACTGGGAACCTCTGTTTTTGTCTATTGGAAAATGTATAGAACTGCAGGTCTTCTGCCATGGTTTTTGAAAAGTTTGTCACGCCATCCAAATTTAATCATCTCACTTGCTTAATTACAGTGCTCCAGTAACCCTTTGGTGTCTTGGAAGTCCAGCCAGTGGAGGGTTATTGAAGTATAGTCATGTGCTGTATCATATTTTGGCCCGCGATAGACCATGTATGACAGTGGTC
The DNA here is from genome assembly GCF_000001405.40 of Homo sapiens. Taxonomy (NCBI): domain Eukaryota; kingdom Metazoa; phylum Chordata; class Mammalia; order Primates; family Hominidae; genus Homo; species Homo sapiens. Next base: position 25,920,269 of record NC_000004.12, read on the forward strand.
CCATAAGATTATCATGGTGCTGAAAAATTTCTGTCGCCTAGTGATGTCCTGATGATCCTGACCCTGTGTGGGCCTAGGCTAATATATATGTTGTATCTTAGTTTCTCACACAAAAGTTTAAAAAGGAAAAAATAATAATAATTTTAAAATAGAAAGATGTCTATAGAATGAAGATATATAAAGAGAAAATATTTTTGTACAGCTGTAGATGTTTGTGTTTTAAGCTAAATGTTACTATAAGAGTCAAAAAGTTTTAAAAATTTAAAAGTTTATAAAGTAAAAAAGCTAGCTGAGGTTCATTTATTACTGAAGAAAGAAATTTTAAACAATAAATGTAGTGTAGCCTAAGTGTGCAGTGTTTATAGAGTCTGTAGTAGTGTACAGTAATGTCTTAGGCCTTCACATTCACTCACCACTCACTCACCCAGAGCAACTTCCACTCCTGCAGGATTCATTCAAGGTAAATATCCTATTTGGGTACACCATTTGGAAAATCTTTTATACAGTGTTTTTACTGTACCTTTTCAAGTTTAGCTATGTTTAGACACACAAATCTTTACCATGTGTTACAGTTGCCTGCAGTATTCAGTACAGTACCAGGCTGTACAGGTTTGTAGCCTAGGAACAATAGGCTATATCACATAGCCTGGGTGTGTAGTAGGCTACACTGTCTAGGTTTGTGCAAGTACACTCTATGATGGTTGCACAACAATGAAATCACCTAAGGACGCATTTCTCAGAATGTACTCCCACAGATGAGTGACACAGGACTGTATGTTAGTAAGAGCAGTGATCATATTCACTCTTTACAAGCATCACTCTGATTGATTGTATGTTAACTAGAAGGTGGAAAAGTCAAATCTGGGGACAGGAAGGCCAGGTACGGGAAGGCTGTGTTTCCTGTGACCTCAGGGAGACCAGAGTGGTGGCTATGGGAGTGGAGATAAGTGACTGCATTTGGGAGCCATATTTAAGAAGCAAACTGGTGGGCATGGTGGCTCAAACCTGTAATCCCAGCACTTTGGGAAGCTGACGCAGGAGGATCGCTGGAGTCCAGGAGTTCAAACCAGCCTGAGCAACATGGCGCGACCCTGTCTCATTTAAAAAAAAGAAAAGAAGTAAACTCTACAGGGGTCTGTGGCTGATTAGCCACGGGGCAAAGAAGGAGAATGGCACCCAGTGTTCTGGCTCCAGCAGCTGAGGAGATGGAGATGCTGGTCATTAGCTAGAAAACACAAGAAGGAATTGGTTTTAGGGGTGAAAAGACAAGTTAGTTTGCTTTTGGGCATTTGGGTAGCTTTTGAGGCTGAGGTAGCTGATGTGCTCTTTGAGATTTCCCATAGACAATGGAATATACCGATCTGGGGCTGAGACGCCGGATGTGAGCTGCAGCTGGAGATGGGGCATCATCAGCACGTGGCTGGGAATCAGGTCACTGCAGTAGGTAAGGGTTCCCAGGCAGCATTCAGAGATTGTAAGGGGCAAGCTGGCCCGGGGCAGTGTGCTGGGGAACACCAGTGTCAGAAGGGCTGAAGCATAGGGGGTCAGAGGAAGAGAAAGGCCCTCTAAGGAGACTGAGGAGGAGTGGCTAGACAGGTTTTAAACCAGGAGAGGCTGCAGTCACAAGCCCCATAAAGACAGCTCTTCATGAAAAGGGAGTGTGGTCAGCAGGGTTAGGCTGCTTAGAGACAGTAAAAGAGATAAGTGAAAATATGAATTATATTTAACAGAAATAAGTTAGAAGTGATTGGTTATATTGTTAAACATGCTTTCAGTGGTTTGGAAGTAGGCAGAAGGCAGGTTGCAGTGGATTGAAGTGTATTAAGTTGACTATTAATAGTGTATTAAGTTGACTATTTATAGATGTTTAGCTGTATGGAGAGGAGAATGGCAAAGTTTCCAGCAGGTCACAGGGTCTGGGAAGAGTTTTCTTTTAGTTTTGGCTGGAAGAGATGGAGGGCCAAGAAAGTCTTAGACAGAGAAAGCTGCTGGAGAGAGAAGACAGTCCGTAGAGTGGGAGGTGACATGAGATCCTGAGCTCAAGTAGAGGAAAGAGCCTTGGACCAAAGGCAAGGCACCTCTTCCACCAGCTCAGGAGGAAGGATGGTGTGGATGCTGCCATATCTAGGTTTGATGTTGGCAAGTTGTGGGCACTTCCAGGTGATGGCGTCTATTCTCTTTGTGACACAGGAAGTCAGGTCATTTATGAGTAAGAGGCACCAACTCTAGGCCATCCTCTCCTTCCTTGGAGCACTGTCTTCCCTGGGCCTCTCCACCGTGGAAGGTCCTCCTGGGTTTGCTCTTTTGCTCCTGCCTTTCAGCCACTCCTGTTAGCCTTTCTTGTTAGGCCTTCTCTCCTGACCGTCCTTCATACATTTCATTCCCCAGGATCCTGAGACTGTGGGGCAGAAGCCCATCATTCTTGGATGGACAGGGCAGAAGCCTACTCCCTGAGAACTGGGTTACTGGTAAAAGCAAGACTTAGGGCTGGCAACTGGCAAGGCAGTCCATGTAGAGCCAAGTGTCAGATCAGTCCGGGCCCTTCACCTGTGCCAGCATGGATATGGGGACAGGTACGTTCCAGGGTCTCTGCTGGAACAAGCATACAGGCAGCAGAAAAGAAGGGGAAGCCTGCTTAGGTAAAACAAAGCCAAGGAGATCTTCCATGGTTGCAGAGCAGGCAGCCACTATCACCAGACTGCCTTATTGGATTTCATTTTGGCGTTCAGCATGATCTTCAGTTCTTTCGTTAACTTAGCAAGGCTTTCCTAAGTGTTATGTGGAGTACAAGGCAGTTCTGTACATGATACCTCAAGTACTGAAATGAGCGCTGGACAGATGATGGCATCAGTGGGTCAGTGACCCAAAACCAGAAGTCTGGGTACAGTTCTGCTGTACTTCTGGAGGGAGTCCCAGACACTTTTTAGCTTTCACCCTGTTGGCATAGCATGTTTGGTCTGAAGAGGCCACAGTTAGGGAAGAGTACAGATGGCTAATCTGTCTTTGTTTCCTAGAACTAGACAGTGACCCTGAATATGGCCTTTTACAAATAACATGCATTTGAGGCCAGCCTGTGAAATTAGACAGAATAAGATCATTTTCTGTGATCCTTTTCATTTGAAATTTTAATTGGATGTTCAGAAGCATAAAATCATAGGGTTTGACCAGAAGGGGCTTGAGCTCATTTCCGTCCCCTCATTTAGTGACTTGTCCAAGGTTACTCAGCACATTAGTTGCTGGGTGGACACTAGGCCCTAACTCCTTGACCTTGCCTGTACTTAATGCCCTGCCTCATGATGCCTTCAGACAGTGAAGAATGTTCAACAGCCAGCCAAGTGAAAGGCCACAGGGGAGAGCTGTGAGACCTCAGTTCTGCTGCTTCTCAGTCCTGTTGATTTCCGCTGCACCTTGCTGCCCCTGCCCAAAAGGAGGCTATGCCTAGGCAGCACACGGTACTGGAAATCACCTGATGCAGAAAGAATTCTTACCTTGTCAGGGCATTTTCCTTGTGACATGCCAGGTGCTTAGAATATGCTTTTCAGTCCTTTCACCACATAATCGAATGAAATGCGCAGGCAGACTGGGTCTTGTTTTCTAACTGGCATTACACAGTTCCCTGGATTCAACCAGGCTCTGGTGAGGAAACAGACCTGTTGACACTGTTGGGAGGAGTGCAGTGCTTCAAGTGGCTACTTGGTCCCCTTCAGCCAACTGGGTCACACTTGCTCCTGTGGTCATATGGCTTCCCCTCCGTCCCTGGTTCTTTCTTGTCACCACGTCCATTTGGTCCCCTTCAGCCAACTGGGTTGCACTTGCTGCTGCGGTCATATGGCTTCCCCTTGGCCCCTGGTTCACACTCACCACCAGTGAACCTCCAGTTCTGGAATACCCCAGAGGCAGATGGTGTATGTATCTAGGTAACAGCAGCAACAAAAGCAACTGAAAAGCTTTTGAAAAAAATTTTATATTTGCTACTTTTTAAAAGATAGCTTCTTTGAAATAATCACCATGGAAGAGTCAAAATGGTGTTGGACTTTTCGTATGCATGTTGTACAGTTATGTGGTTTTTGTTAGTGAAAAAAGAAACTCAAACTTGGGGAGGCTGAGGCAGCAGAATCACTTGAACCTGGGAGGCAGAGGTTGCAGTGAGCCGAGATCACGCCACTGTACTCCAGCCTGGGTGACAGAGCAAGACTCTTTCTCAAAAAATAAATAAATAAACAAAAGAAACTCAAACTGACAAAAGATCCAAGAACAGTGCAGTAAATTCCTATATTGTCCTTCACCTTGATTTACCAGTTGTTAACATTTTGCCACATTTGCTTTCTCCCCCTATATATAACATACAGATACATACATATATACAGATATAGTTATATGTACTATATATTATAATTATTACTGTTATTTTGTTGAACCATTTGAGAGTAGGTCAAAGACATTGTGAGCTTTCATTCCTAAACACTTCAGCCTGTATTTCCGAAGAACAAGGGCATTCTCTTATGTAATCACAATGCGGTTTTCCAATCTAAGAAATTTAACGTTGATACAGTGCTATTACAGTTGGAGCATTTCTAATCTGAAAATGGAAAATGCTCCAAAATCTGGAATTTTTTGAGTTCCAAAATGACACAAGTGGAAAATACCACACATAAGTACTTAATATAAATTTAGTTTCATGCACAAAATTATTAAAAACATTGTATAAAATTATCTTCAGTCTATGTATATAAGATGTATGTGAAACAAATGAATTTAATGTTTAGACTTGGATCCCATCCCCAAGATATCTTGTTATATATATATGTAAATATTCCAAAATCTGAAAAAAATCCTAAATCCAAACCAATTCTGTTCTCAACCAATTTCAGATAAGGGATATTCAACTTGTATGGAATATACAGCCCACGTTCAAATTTTGCCATTTGTCACAATTCAAGTTGTGAGTTGCTTTTATTTTATTTTATTTTTTTATTTTTCTTTTTTGAGACAGAGTTTTGCTCTTGCGCCCAGGCTCGAGTGCAGTGGCATGATCTTGGCTGACTACAACCTCTGACCCCCAGGTTCAAGCAATTCTCCTGCCTTAGCCTCCCAAGTAGCTGGGATTATAGGCGCCCGCCACCATGCCTGGCTAATTTTTGTATTTTTAGTAGAGATGGGGTTTCGTCACGTTGGCCAGGCTGGTCTTGAACTCTTGACCTCAGGTGATCCACCCGCCTCGGCCTCCCAAAGTGCTAGGATTACAGGTGTGAGCCACTGCGCCCGGCAGAGTTGCTTTTAAGTATTTATTGGCAGGAAGAAATAGGGAGGTAGGTTCCCAAGGTCATACCTTGCACCAGCTTTCATTTGCTTTTTTATTTTAGGTTTCTGTCTGCTGGTCCTCCACTAGAGCACCCTCAACGAATAATCCTGAGACTGCTGAGGGAGCTGGGGCTTGAGTATCCTGCAGTGTTTGCATTGTTGTGAATGTTCAAGTAACAAGTCACACAGTCGATGTATTTTCCGGTGTGGACATTTAATATAAGGATATGTTTTTGTTTTTAAAGACTTCAACATTATTAGGTAGATTCTTTTACTATCGTACAAAAAATCAGCCGGTCTGCATGTATTACTAGTTTTAATAATACACTTTGGCCCCTGGACCAGAGATAACGTCCTCAATTAAAACTACAAATCACACCACTGCCTTAGCACCAGGGGGCAGAGTCGGGCTTGCTGAGACACTGGAGTGGGGAGTTTTTTAACCCGGTGTGCCATATTTGGGTTTAAATTATTTCACTCCTGATAGAAATGTGCTCACTAGTGAAATTGGTAATAAGTTTATCCTGATTTGTTTACATAGTTAAACCCCTGACTTCTGCCATTTCCCTTTTCCTGAGGTTTATATACATTTGCTCTTTTCCAAAGATAGGGAAATAGAAGCTTACTGTCAACCTCAATCAAGATGCACTGCTAAATCGTGAGGGACTCGTTTCTGTTTTCCTTTTAGAGTATTCTGCATTCACAGATAAAGTGTCTTTGTGTTACATCATGAATTTACATAAGACTGCTTTGGCCTTAGAGTATTTATAAAACATTAATGGATTAAAGAACCAGGGGATGTAGATAGGATGCTAATACCTGGTTATCATTTGGTAGGAACTGGCTCAGCAAAGTGGTTTAAATTTCCTGACCAAGCCAAACTACAGAGGTGTTTGCATTAGGACAAGGATTATAAAGAGATTATGGTCTATTTAAAATAAATCTTCAGCCTTGCTTCAGCCTCATTAGCAATTAGCAAGAAAGTGTGAAGACAGGGATTTCTTTCTTTTCATTTGGTTCTCCGTTGCATCATAAGAGGTTAGAACCCAATTAGGCATTCGGTCCTTGCCACCAAAAGTCAGCTTCCTTTGATGCTTGGCAGTCTGCCAGCTTCTTTTGCCTTGCAGTACCTGCCTCTGGACAATGTGTTTGGTACACCAGGATGTCTGATTTTATGAAATCTCTAAGTCTAGAATGCTTTCTGATAGTGATTTTTTAAAACTCAAATCTTCCCTCTTCCATAGTATCAGAAAATAGACCTTTTAGTTAGATACAGAAAATTAATTCTATTTTTGTTCCTGCCAAGACTGATGACTGTGGGCTTTTACATGTTGGTATCTTCCAAGAGCATGTTCGAGACATCCATACTTTGAGACTTACATGTCTATAGGATGGTGGGGCTCAGTTCTACAATGATTTAATGTCTTAAGAAATGAGGACACCTTTTGTGTTATTTCAGAAAGTCTAACACTTTAGAGGCTCCATAATATCCACTCTAAATGGAAGAAATCTTTTGATATATCTTGAGAGAATCTTGGTTGCCATTCATCCGCTACTTTTCAGAGAGGAGCAGTGAAACCATCAGGCCGCTTGTTGCCTGGAATAGGCCTGAGTATCCTATGTGTTCTCTCCATCCCTCTTAGACTTGGATATCAGGATTCCCATAATCCCCATTGCCCAGTGTTTTATTTGCCACAGCAAAACTTAGTATTGATAAAACTATCAGGTCGGTCATTTAGGATTGACTTTCTGTCACATGACTAGAGAAGCAAGTTCAATGAATATTAGATTTGGCCAAACCCTGTTTCTTGTACCGTTACGTTTGTGTAACTTTATGAGAATCCAGAGGCCAAAGTAAAGAAAATGGCCTGATACTAAATAAGAGCTAAATGTGGATTTAAAGAAACACTGTCAGCCTGATTAAAACAAAGGTCCGATTATGACATTTCATTACTATAATTTAGTGGTAAACGTCCTTTGGCTCTAAGGCTTTCTCCTGAAAAGCTGTCATTTGTTTGTCAAGATACTTAAAATAATAACTCTTTGTTTTTACAGACCTTGGGTTTATTCTAAACCACTTAGAAAAATGTGTCAGAGTGCTTCAAGCCCACAGATATGAAATGCCCAATTTCTCTTGGCCCTTGCCTGTTGGACATCTCCAAAGAGACTGGCTTAGTTGCTGTCGCTACAATGTGCTAATTGGCGCAGCACCTGCAATCAATTAGGGAAGCTTCAATTATCCAAACCAAAGCCACCCACCCAAAGATTAATTTTCTGCTCTATTTCCTATCAAAAACATAGCATATTTAGCTCTGAGTCTAGTCCTTTGGTGGAGTGCATTTTAGACATATAAACTACATCGTTTTCTTAATTGTACTTGTTCCTTCAATTCAGCAGCTTTCCCCTCGTGATATCACGCCCACCAGTTCTTTCAAAATTGTTCTTTTTTTGTTGTTGTTTTCTTGTCTTTCCAAAATGCTGAGATCACAGAGAAGAGATGTTAGTTGGGGAGCTTTTCTTTTGAAGTATGGATTTCTTTATTCTTTTGAAAATACCCAATCTCTTTTGCATTATAGGATCTAACTTCCACAACCTAAAAGCTTTGCATAATAGCGTATCTGAATTTAACAGCACTCATAAATACTGTTTTCTAATTGTCCCATGTCATTGGCCCATGTAAATACAAATATTTCTCTCTCCCCGCCCCCCTTCTAAAGAATGATTTTTCTCTTATGTTTCTCAGAGAAGGAACAAGCTATAAATCGGGCTGGAATTGTTCAAGAGGATGTGCAGCCACCAGGTAAACTGAAAAAAAAAAATCAAAACCAAATCTTATTTGTACTACTGTGTTGTGCGGGTTTGTGTGTGTTTGCCTTGGCGTGGAGAGTGGGAAAATGCCTTTTAGCTTAGAGACAAGATTGTGATTTTGCTATTTATTTCTCAACAGTTGCCATTTATAGATGCCACCCAAGGCGTCATTCTAATATTTCACTCCAGAATACTTTTTGCACGTTTGCCAGGTTCCTCTTTTCCATTTTATAAGTGGGCATAAAAATGTTAACAAGTGCGTGATTCGATATGAGACGTGAATAGCTGTTTGGCAGACTTATTTACCAAGCACCTATTTAAACACTCCCCTCATGGGAAAATAGTGTTTACTTGTTAGCTGTTTGAATTGATGTGGGGTTCTGCTTTGCACAAGGGCTAAAAAGCTCCCTTTATGGCTGAATGGTTAGTTCCTTTCAGAGGATCCAAGTTAGCCAGGAATGAGAGGTTTCTCATTTATTAACCAAAGCTCTTATAATCTGTGGCAACATTCTTTTTTATTTATTTATTTTTTAACTAGGCCAGATGTCGGTCTTCCTGCTATGGGGTACAATTCCTGAGCCATTTAAAAGTCCCTTATGGCAGCCATGGCTTCCTGGCCATTTAATGCCAAGGTTCCGGCAGCCTGCTCACACCATCTCAAACTACACTGTAAATTGCACAGCTCAGTTCTGATGTCATTTTGTTTGTTTGGGGTGGAGGAAAGTGGAAGGACATTTAAAAATGAATCCTGTTTTTGTTCCTGTTTCTTTCCATAGGGTTAAAAGTGTGGTCTGATCCATTTGGCAGGAAATGAGAGGGCTGTCATCAGCTCTGATTAAGAAAGGAGATTTCTTCATGCTTTCGATTCTGCATGGGGTACAGCCAGTCACCTCACCAGAGAATGACGGCTGGAGAAGAAAACTCTGTAATACCATAAATAAGAGTGCTTGTAATAAAAGACTGTGCACAAGGATTAATATTTCCCTTCTTAAGTATCAAAAGAACTCTGGAACAAATTATACCATTAGGAAGGTTTTCATGATTCAGTTGATTTTCCAAAAATGAAGCTATCTCACCCAGCTGGGTTTGGAGGAGCAATCTGCTTATTATTCTGTCGTTACCACTTACTCAAGCGAGCTGTGATATGAATACAAGCAACCAGTGGGCTCGGGAAGGTCCGGGTCTCTTCTGCCATCTTCCAGATAAGAGATTTCAGTAAAAAACTGCCATGCTGAGCTGCCTTATAGAGCTCTTCGAAAATGTTCGAGTTGATAAAGCTCTTTGAGGACAAGGTACTTCGTGCACCTCATGCTGAAGATTGCACCGTGTTGGAAAATAAATATGAAGCAAGTCAAACTAGATGCATACACTTGTGTAGAAATCAATAATCAATTAATAGAAGTGAAAAAATAGACATTAAAATGATTTATTTCTACTTTGCAGTGGTGTCTTTTTGTAAATCATCTTTTGTAAAGCAATTAAAATTATAGTGCCGAGAAGTACAATTTGACTACATTATATTTGACTAGGTATCTGTGTGCGATTCATCTGTTTGTACTCAGGTAAACGTTTTAGAGGTAAATAACAAATTTGTTGAGACAAATATTGAATGGTGATTCTCTACCAGGTACCTCACTAGGTGCTGCAAAGATGAAAGTGAGAAGACTAGTTGAGTATCCCTTATCCAGAAAAGCTTGGGAACAGAAGTGTTTTGGACTTGAGATTTTTTTGGATTTTGGAATATTTGCATATAAATGATGAGACATTTTGAGGATGGGACCCAAGTCTAAGCATGAAATTTATTTGTGTTTCATATACTTTATACACATAGCCTGAAGGCAATTTGATATAATGTTAAAATAATTTTGTACATGAAACAAACTTTTGACTAAAACCATCACATGAGGTCAGGTGTGGAATTTTCCACTTGTGTCATGTTGGTGCTCAAAAAGTTTCAGATTCTGGAGCATTTCAGATTCCAGATTAGGGATGCTCAACCTGTCGTCTTTCCTTTCCTCCCTCCCTCCCTCTTTCTTTCCTTCCCTCCCTCCCTTTCCTTCCTTCTTCCTTTGCTCTGTCTAACCTCTTACTAGATGATACGCTTCTGAAGTGGCACACTTTTTTCATTTTTATATCGGAGTGTCTTGCACATTACTGTAAGCTGTCTATGAGCTGCCTGATGACATAATTTTATTATTGTGAACCTGGAGTTTTCTTAACAGACAGCTGGCCCAATTTTGTAATTACTGTCAAGAAGACTTAAGGTTGATAGTTCTAAAACCAAAGTCAACATTTTTGGTAGGCATTCCCATTCCCTAACATTTAATTGACTTACAGTTCACAATCCAGTAAAAGAAGTTGACTCATTAGGGGTACATTTGACCACTTCTTTTTTTTTTTGGAAAGGGCACCAGGAAGTTATATAACTTAAAGTCAAACATTCTTTGGGAGCATGATTGAGATTTCTTTATGACCGAAGCGAGCATGTGGTACCATCTGCTTTGGAAGATGTCCAGGCTAAAATGACTGTGTCTGAGTTCTGTAGAGAAGAACTGTGGGGACTCGATTGACTGTCTTGGATGGAACAGACCCAGATTTATCTCCTGAGTGGAGTCTTTGTCCCGGGCCTGTTCCTGCCCTCAGCCCACCTCTTTACAGAGATAAAGGGGCTGTCTGTCCTGCTCAGTTGCCTTGACATTTATAAAAGGATCACTCTTCATGTTGCCAGAGATGTTAACTTCAGACTCTCTGCTGTCCACACGTGACAGAGGCCAAGTTGTAAGAGATGCTATTTATGAGGACTGACAGAGGGCCTTGCGATTTATCCATGAGTTTCCCAGGTGTGCCCCTAAGATGATGACAGAGCACTTGAAAGAGGGGGTCCTTAGTCAAATCCATTTAAGAAACAAAGTTGATTATGTTTATTTGCTTCTAATTTTTCTGATTTCCAAGAAAGGCATAACATTTCCCAAATGCATTTGATCACAGGACAGTTTTTATAGATTATCTCTTGGGAGTTGGGAACAAGCAGCAACTTTTGGGGGAAATCTTCCTTTATGTCAGAGATTCTTAAACTTTTTAATCTCAGGACACCTTTACACTCTTAAAAATCAAGAAGTCCAAAGTGATTCTGTTTATGTGGGTTACATCTATAGATACTTACTGTATTAGAAATTAAAGCAAATTTGAAAAATGTTTATTAAGTCATTTCAAAATATTAATAACATATAGGTTAATATGACATTTTTGTGTGGAAAAATTTATTTTCCAAGACAAAAAATAACTTGCAAATCTCCTTAATGTCTGGCTTAACAGGAAATAGCTGGATTCTCACATCTGCTTCTGTATTCGATCTGTTGCTCTATCACACATCACATGGCCTCTGGAAAACTCCTCTGTACACATCCATAAAAGGAAGAGTGTAAAAAGGGCAAAAAAGCTTTAATCGTTTTCTAAAAATAGTTTTGACCATGCAGACCCCCTGGAAAGGTTTCAGAGACCCCTAGTGGTCCCTGGACTATACTTTGAACCCACTTTTTTTCCCTCTTTAGTCACGACTTTTGAGAATTGTGTATCTGGATTGTGTTGATTCCTTTAAGGAGTTAGTTGTAATGAACTGTGCTTGAGCATGTCCATATTCAGCGTGGTTAGAAGGGAAGGGGAGAAACTAACATTTGTTACTGCTATTACTGCAATGAAGTCGGGATCTTCGTTTTCAATGTCAAATAACATCCCCTGTAGGAATACTTGAATTTACATTTTTTAAATCTCAGAACCAGAAATAGCAACATTGCTGAACAGTTGGTACTTTTATCTTGTGAACATTTAATTGTGTACCTTCGTTCCCTCTTTGTACTGGCTGTCAGGAAGCTCAACCACACTTGTAGATTAGCTTTTATTTTTTATTTCTTTTTATTTGTATTTATTGAGACAGGGTCTTATTCTGTCACCAAGGTCAGAGTACAGTGGCTCAATCACGGCTCACTGAAGCCTAGACTTCCTGGGCCCAAGTGATCATCCCACCTCATTCTCCCAAGGAGCTGGGACTACAGGCTTGCACCACCACACATGGGTAATTTTTTTTTTTTAATTTTTTATAGAGACAGGGTTTCACCATGTTGACCAGGCTGACCTCAAACTTGGGTTCAAACCATCTGCCTGTTTTGGCCTCCCAAAGTGCTGGGATGACAGGTGTGAGCCACTGCACACGGCCTGTAGACCAGCTTCTTAAAAAGTGTTGAAGACCTTGTGGAATGTATCTTGGCCATTACCTTATGTTCACTTCATCCCCCACACCCCACCTCCCGCCCTTATTTTCCTTCCTGCTTTTCACTTCAGTTTTCTATCTTATATTGCATGTTAGACCCCTTGTTTTAAAATGAGGCAGGGCATAAATAATATGTACTCACTAAATCACGCTCTGGTAAGGAAAATGAAGTAAGTTCACAAATATGTTTAACATAATGTAGAATACTAAAAGTGCCTTTAAAGAGGTCAGAGTATCAACTAACATTGGACATAGGCAAACCCCATGTTCCTGCAGTCCTGCTTCTGGCTACGCAGCAAGAGTGCATCCACAAGTTTACCAACAGACATGTTCTAGAATGTTCATGGCAGCACTGGAAACTACCCAAATGCCCATCAGCAATACAACGTATGAAGAAACTGATGTATTCACAGGATGGAGTAGGATACAACAGTGAGAATGAACAATATAATCTCACCAGCAATGCTGAATAAGCTAAGCCGGTTGCAAGAATACATACTTTTAGGTTCTAGTTAGATGAAGAATAAAAACAGGCAAAATTAAACCCTACAGGTAGAGGTCAGGATAGTGGCTCTTCTGTTTTGTTGTTGTTTAGTTTTTTGAGATGGAGTCTCGCTCTGTCACCCAGGCTGGAGTGCAGTGGCGCAATCTCAGCTCACTGCAACCTCTGCCTCCCAGGTTCAAGTGATTCTTCTGCCTCAGCCTCCTGAGGAGCTGGGACTACAGGCACGCACCACCACACCCGGCTAAATTTTTGTATTTTAGTAGAGACGGGGTTTCACCATATTGGCCAGGCTGGTCTCAAACTCCTGACCTTCTGATCCACCCGCCTTGGCTTCCCAAAATGCTGGGATTACAGGCATGAGCCACCACACCTGGCAGGATAGTGACTCTTCTTAGGGAGGGATAGAGGTAGGGACTGGGAAGGGGTACGAGCAGGGGTTCAGGGTTCTGTTGGGTTCTATTTTTTTACCTAGGTGCAGGTTACATGGGTGTGTTGAGTTTCTGAATATTCATTGAGCTGTACAAATATGTTTACTTTTCTAAATGTATGTTACACTTCAATAAAAAAAGTTGGTTTTTTGTTTTTGTTTTTAAGTGCAGAGGCTGGGCGCAGTGGTTCATGACTCTAATCTCAGCACTTAGGGAGACCGAGGCGGGCAGACGGCTCGAGCTCAGGAGTTCAACACCAGCCTAGGCAAATGGCAAAACCCCATCTCTATGAAAAATACAAAAAAAAAAAATTAGCCAAGGTTGGTGGCTTGGGCCTGTTGTCCCACCTACTTGGGAGGCCGGGGTGGGAGGATCGCTTGAGCCTGGGAGACAGAGGTTGCGGTGAGCTGAGATCATGCTACTACGTTCCAGCCTGAACAACAGACCAAGACCCTGTCTCAAAAAGAAAAAAAAAAAGAAAGAAAAAGAAAAAAAGTCCAGAGATACACTTTAGAAGAAAAAGAGGTTGCATCTAATTGTAAAATCAGGGAACTTTCCGGAGAACCATGTTGTTTGGTGGCAGGAGGGATAGTAAGTAAGATCCTGTAGAGTTTTGGGGAAAATTAGGAATACTGTATGTAGGGTGCCTATTATAGTATCTGGAACACGGCAGGGGCCAGATAAATGACAGCTGATCATAGATGGAGTAGCTGACACGAACAGAGCCATAGGAAATGAGAGTCAGACATCCAGTGGGTGACAAAGGTGCAGAGTTTGAGAGCTGCTTTGGTTTGGATGCAGGTGTGGATGGGGAAATCACTATACCGTGGGCTTTACCTGTCCTGTGCACCACTGTATCCTGCCACCCGGTGCGGGCTTGGTGTAGAGTGGGCACTTGGTCAGTATTTGGAGGGATAGAATGATTAACTGATCAACTGAAAGAATGAGTGAATGGAGGAAGGGAATGTAGTTTAGGACTACGTGGCGGACTCCCTTAAATGTCAAGCTGATAATCCTTACTTAAGTTAGGAGACATGAAGCATTTTAAGTCGACGGTGTTCTGAAAACTTTAAAACAAAGCCAGCATGCTTTCCCCAGAGCAGTTCTAATGATAGTGGTAGCCGGAGCAGTTCAAGGCTGTTTGTTAACTGTCCACAAAGAGCTAAATAAAGAAATGAAGAATAAGCATTCAGAAATTTTGATTTCTGATCAGATTTTGATTCAGATTTTGAATCTGATAGAGCAAAACTCAGACTTGCATTTTGTATTTTTTGTATTGTCAAATTTCTAATAACGTTACTTTTTAGCATATTTTACAACGGTCAGCATGGATTGGTAGCTAGAAACAAAGAAAACTGTGCTCAGCCCCAGGTAGTTTGAGAAGCACTAACCTCAAGGATGGATCCCAGATGGTGTTTCCAGGTCCACGCCAGTCCGAGGCTCACAAGTCCTGTGTGCTCAGCTGGCTGAAAGAGTTCCCTGCCTCCTAGAGGCTCCTGTGTTCTGAAGCATCAGCAGAAGAAAACCCCTTGTTGCTTAGCCTTGGGTGGGACTTCATGGACATGCAGTTTCAGTCTTCGCGGCTTCACTCACACCTGCTGCGTGCAGTGAGGCCTTCTGCCATTCATTCTACCTGTTGGTAACAAAGCCTACAACTCATTGCGTCCCCTGTGCATGGGAAGACAAGCAGACCACCCAGGAGGCTGCAGTGCTGGTCCACGGACCGTGCCTGGCGGTGGCATTCACTCTCCAGGGAGCTCTCCTCCCTGGAGCCGAGATCTCAGCCAAGAGATGGCAGCCAGGTCATCCTTCCTGGGATCGCCAATTGATGGTAGCAGCTGGGTGACCCTCACTCTTAAGTGCTTCGGCTCTGCTTAGTGATCTTCCTCCAGCTGTGATCACCTGAACACACTGAGAAGAAACAAGGAGTCACTGCTCCCCAGGAGACCTGAGGAAGCCAAATACAGAGACTCCAAAGTCTTCTCCTCTCCCTAAGAGTCTCTCTGTCACCACACGTGACTACAATAAGATACCAAACAATGAGGTGAGTTTTCCAGACTCTTTTGGTTGCAAGTGACAGAAAACGCAACCCCAAAGGGTGCAAAAAAAGCGCATTTACTCATATGATTAAAAACTCCAGAGTCACGATCATTTTTTATTGTCACGATCAAACGTGAAATGAAAAAAGTAATTATATCCTTGTCAGTGGTCTTAAAATGTCCACATTTTTTCACTTCTGAGACTGTTTCATAAATTGATAATCTTGTTTTTTTTTTTAAAAAGCTTTGTGTACAAAGATGTTCATCACAGAATACTAACAACAATTTGGAAACAATTTAAGTCTAGAACTATGGTAAATGTGTTTGATGATCTATGAGAGAGTCATTTAAAATTATGTTTAAATCTTACTTGTACATATTTTCTTTTAAAATATTTTTAAATAAGTATGTATTATTTATAATGATGTGCATATATCCTAACTACTCCTAAAAGTATGTTTACATGTACATGTGTGTGTTGTACGGTGTTAGGCATCTCAAAACATTACCAAATACTTGTTCATTCATTAACCTATCTACTTCTTAAACATTTACTGTGTTTAATCAATCTCAAAATTGATTGATGAAAATCAACCTAAAAAAAGGGCTGGGCATGGTGGCTCACACCTGTAATCCCAGCACTTTGGGAGGCAAAGGCAGGCAGATCACTTGAGGTCAGGAGTTCAAGACCAGACCGGCCAACATGATGAAACCCCATCTCTACTAAAAATACCAAAAAAAGTTAGCTGGGCATGGTAGCGGGCACCTGCAATCCCAGCTACCTGGGAGGCGGAGGCAGGAGAATTGCTTGAACCTGGGAGGCGGAGGTTGCAGTGAGCCAAGATCATGCCTTGCACTCCAGCCTGGGCAACAGAGCAAAACTCTGTCGAAAAAGAAAGAAAGAAAGAAAAAGGAAGGAAGGAAGGAAGGAAGGAAGGAAGGAAGGAAGGAAGGAAGGAAGGAAGGGAGGAAGGAAAGAAAATAAATCAACCTTAAAAAAATCAGTAAAACGAATTATACCCAGAGCCTTCAAGAAAGAGTCATGCTGGGTATCCTAGATAGTCACAGGCTTGACCTGCCCTGGTAGACATTTTTCAGCTCTCTCTGCCCAACATCTTTTTCCCTCGCTCATGGACACATCTACTTCTACCCTCCACTCCCACTTTTGCTCATCCCTGGCCCATTCTATCTCCCTGCTTGGGTGGAGCTGACTTCACCCCATGCTCCAGGAGGAAGCATGTGGTCCAAGTTTGGCCAATCAGAATACTGCGCAGACTCCTGCCCACATGGATTGGATCCAGGATGAGCATGTGACTCAAACCAAGCTAATCAGGTCTAGCTAGAGTTAATGTTCCCTGCTGGCTTTGTGGTTGACTGGAGGAGCTCTTGTTTACCAAAATTTGGAGCTGTTGGCAGCTATCTTGCCACCATGAGGGCACAGCTAGTTTGAGACTAACATCAAAGTAGAAGGGAGATAGAAGCTGGGTCCTGATGTTATTCAGGCCTCCTGGATTCACTCGTGTCTGAAGCAAAGATATCTCTGAATTTAAAAACAAAGTCAAAAAGTCCCTTTTTGTACCAATTTGGATTTTTTGTCACTTGCAATCAAAAAATTATTGACAGGTGTCTTAGTTCATGTTGTGCTGCTATAACAGAATGCCTGAGACTGGGTAATTTATAATGAACAGAAATTAATTTGGCTCACAGTTCTGAAGGTTGGGAAGTCCAAGATTGAGGGGCCAGCATCTGGTGAAGCCCCTGTGCTGTATCATCCCATGGTGAAGGCAAAAGGGCAAGAGAATTTGGGTGGGGGACAGGGAAGGGGGCCAAACTCATCATTTTATGAGGAACCCACTCCCAAGATAACTAGCCCGCTCCCATGATAATGACATTAATCCATTCATGAGGGCTCTGCCTAATCACCTCTTAAAAGGTCCCACCTCTCAACGCTGTTGCACTGGGGATTGAGTTTCCAACACATGAACCCTAGGAGGCACATTCAATACACAGCAACAAGGCATCTCCATTTTATATTTTATTTTAACTATTTTTCTGAAATGTAATCCACATGGCATATCTACCTTAAATAAAAGATGTTAAATATAATTTAGTCTTCTCTTTATGACTTGGGCTTATTGTTATTGTACAGTGTGCCTAAGGGCTGTTGAGGTGGGTCAGACAGTTACCCCTTCATTCTGTGCTGGGGTACATTTCTGTGCTTGTGAAATTTCTGGCTTTTCTGGTTTTCTTATCTCTGCCCTGTCTCACAGCTGTAGGGAGCAGATTCTGACTTTCTCTGATTTGCTCTTTCTAGTCTGCAGTGAGATTGGAAAGCAGTTGGCCAAAATGCTGGAATCTGGCATCAAATGAAAGCAAATGCTTTTAATGCGGGTTTAGAGGCTCTGGTATGGGTAAACTACAATGTTTTTGTGATGTTTTGGCTGCCTTGAGGTTTTTTGGTATTTGCTTTCTGTTTCTGCATTGTTCTGGATAGATGAGGTTTCCTGATGTTTCTGTTGGTTGAGTTTTTTTATTTTTTTTTGTTTTTTTTTTTACCCTAACAAGATTTTCACCACTAATGGATTGTGCAGTGTGAACAAAACAGCTAGGGTTGAAATGTTTTATAACTTGGCAAAGTTATTCAGTTTTCTTCAAAGAAGGAAGAGTAACCCACAGCAGTTCTCTGAACATCAGGCTAATCTTTCACTTGTTTTTTACTTTCCTAAAACATCCCCTTTATTTTTCAACGTCTAATATAGCATACACTGTCTTGCAAGGGGAGAAAAAGCATAGTTGTATCAGAGGAAGCAGTCCGCTTAAGGCAGATGTGGAATCAATTTGGGCAAATGCAAGTTGCCAGCGTCTGTACTTTTCTGCTAGTATCTGTGCCCTGGAAAACATCGGAGCCACTTAAGCCTCATAAACGCGATGCTGGTAAACATGTATAAGGGGCACACAGCTTGCCACCTTTGCTGGGTTGAGTGAAAACCCAAAGGGGCACACTCCCTCTGAGCAGCCCTAATGAAGACAACTGTGTTTAGAAAAAAATAATAACCAACGTCTGGTTTTGAAATTACTAGGAAAATGGCAGCTCTGGTGATTCATCTTGTGAAATAAGCAAAATCTGCTTTCTAAGATGGATTTTTTTTATTTTTATTTTTCCTCTCCCTCGATATGGACTCACATTACAGACATAAAATGCCTGAGCACAAAACCATTCTTTGGTTTTTATAATCAAGAGAGCAGCACTGGTTTTTGATGGTCTCTGCCCTTTGAAAGTTAGGTCCGTGGGTTGTGGAATAAGTTAGGTAGTAGACTGAGAATCCCCAAAGGGTTGCTTCTGTTTCTTCAATGACTAAATGTGTGACTCGTTGTTCAGTTTCAGCTCCCCATTAACTCTGCACCAGCTCTTGCCAAACACAGTGGTTTTCAGGGACAATGTGAGTAATTGCAGGGAGTGAGTGTCAGAGGCCTTGCTACAGCTGGTCCCCAAGGCCCTGGCCTCCTGGATGTGTTTTCAGTAAAGGAACAGGAAGACAAATGAGAGCAGTTGCTTCTCTAGTCTCTAGAATCGCCTAACACGATCACACAAATATGGTAGGTATTAGGGGCTGAATTGTGTCCCCTCAAAATCCCTATGAATGTGACTATATTTGGAGATAGGGTCTTTAGAGAGGTAATTAAGAAAAGAAAAAAAAAAAAACAAGGTCATTAGGGTGGGCCCAAATCCAATGACTGGCGTCCTTATATGAAAAGAAAATTAGGACGCAAACACACAGAGGGATGACTGTGTGAAGACATAGAGATAAGACAGCCATCTACAAGCCAAGGAGAAAGACCTGAGAAGAAACCAACCCTGCCAATACCTTGATTTTAGACTTCCAGCCTCCAGAATTGTGAGAAAGTAAATTTCCATCGTTGAAGCTACCCCAGTGGTGGTTCTTTGTCATGGCAGCCCTAGCAAAGGAGTAAGTAGGTGCATGGCAATGTCTGTTGGTAACACAATCACAACACAACGTAGCCATGCCATTTCATGGGAAATGAACAGTATACACTTATAAAAAGCCAAAGGGGGAAGTGATCCCTCAAAGCTGGTAAGATCAGAGGAAGCCATTTGTGGAGGAAAAATTTTAAATTGGTCTGGAGGCCAGGCGCAGTGGTTCATGCCAGTAATCCCAGGTGGGAGGATCGCTTGAGCCCAGGAATTGAAGACCAGCCTGGGCAACATGGCGAGACCCTGTCTCTACAAAAAATAAAAAAAAATTAGCTGGTGTGGTGGTGCATGCCTGTAGTCCCAGCTACTTAGGAGGCTGAGGTGGGAGGATTACTTGAGCTCAGGAGGTTGAGGCCGCAGTGAGCCATGGTCATGCCGCTGCACTCCAGCCTGAGTGACAGAGTGAAACTCTGTCTTAAAAAAATAAAAGGCCTGGAAATAATTGTAGTGTTTAGCTAGGTGAAGAGAAAAGAGTGTCCTACAAGGATTGAAGATGGACAGAGGGATGGAGAGGTGCAGGAAGGCACTAATGGTGTTCTGAGGGCCATGCGTAGATACGCTGGGCTGACATTTCCTTCACAGGTTTATCTCTGCCCACCTTCCCACAAGGGTAAACCTGAGGAAGACGTTCAGCCTCTAGCTAATGCCATCGTCCTACGAGACAAAGAGATTTTATTTTAGAGAAACATTCACAGAAGGTGATAGAACAATTGTTAAAAGTAAGTAATCCCAGTACTTTGGGAGGCCGAGGCAGGCGAACCACTTGATATCAGGAGTTCCAGACCAGCCTGGCCAACATGGTGAAACCTCGTCTCTACTAAAAATTAAAAAATTAGCCAGGCGTGGTGGTGGGTGCCTGTAATCCCAGCTACTTGGGTGGCTGAGGCAGGAGAATCGCCTGAACCCGGGAGACAGAGGTTGCAGTGAGCCGGGATTGTGCCACTGCACTCCAGCCTGGGCAACAGAGCGAGACTCCATCTCAAAAAGAAAAAAAAAAAAAAAAAGAAAAGAAAAAGCAAAAGCAAAAAAAAAGGTAAGAACTCTGAAATTAAGACCACCCAAGCACAGATCCTGGCTCTGCTTACCAACTCTATGACATTGGAGGAACTCCTTAATCTCTTCTAATTCAATTTTCTAATCTCTAAAATGAGGAAGCCCCTTTCCTTCCCTTCCTTCCTTTACTCAAAAGAAAATAAAATGAGGATAACGCCTCCCCACTCCACACCCTTCTTTGAAGAGTCCATGAGCAATAGGGGAGGAGCACCCGGTGACTGGTACATGGGTGCGAGGGACGCTGGCTACACCCAGTCCCGGCAAGTGGTGACTCCCTCCCACCTTCAGCTCAGGCTAAAATCCTCACATCATCCTTTTTCTGCTTTTCCTCACACCTAAGGGCCAATCTGGCAGGAATCCAGGGGCCTCTACCATCCGAATCCACACACTGAAGCCTTCTCATCACCTCCACCATTATCCTCGCCACCTAAGCCCCCGGCTGCTCTCGCCTAGATTTCGACAACAACCTCCCGACAGAACTGTGCTTCTACTTTGTCTGTCCCTGTAATCGACAGAATTCTGTCATGGCCCTGTGTCTTGGCCTCCCTGAGTGTAGGGAGAACTTTTAAATCCCATGAATGTTCCATCCATGATTAAGTTACTAATCGGCTGACTTTGAGGAATATCCTGGTTGGTCTCTGCCTAGTCAGGTGAGCCCTTCAAAGGGACTCGGTCTTTTCTGAAGGAAGAGATTTGAGCTATAAGAGGAATTCCGTTAGCCTTGTTAACTGTCTATGGAGGGGACCACATGGCAACGACCTGAAAGTGGCCTCTAGGATCTTAGAGCCATCCTCAGACAGCAGCTGGCAAGAAAATGGGATCTCAGTCCTACAGCCACAAGGGATTGGATTCTGCCAACAGCCAGTGAGCTTGGGAGAGGATCTTGAGCCTTAATTTCAGTCTGGAGAGGCCTTGAGCAAGGACCCAGCTAACCCATGCCTGGACTACTGACGCAGGAAACTAAAACAATGAATTTATTATATAGTATGCTGCTAGCCCAGTGGTAATTTGTTATGCAGTATGGATTACTCACACATCCCACTTCAGCCCATTCTGTGCACAGTAGTAAGAGAGATCCTGTTAGAACACAAGGCAGATCCTGTCTCTTTTCCTCCCAGAAGCCTTCAATGTCTTCCATTGCCCTTGCAAGAAAAGCCAAAGGCTCAGAACATCTTCCATGATCTGAGCTCTACCATCTCTGACTTCAGATCCTATTACTGTCTCTTGTTCTCCCTGCTCAGGATGCAATGGCCTCTGGACTACTCCAGAAATTCATCCAGCATGCACATTTCCCCTCAAGGAGTTCGTTCTCTGCATCTGGAGTTCTCTTCTGCAGATCTCCCCACAGCTCATTCCATTACCTCCTTCAAATCTGTTCTCCAAGAGGCTCCTTAATCACCATATTTAAAATGGTATTTAAATTTAAATCACCATAGTTAAATGCCCTCAATCCGGAAACTGCCACTCCTGATTCCCTCAACCTCTTATAGTACTGTATAGTTTACATATTTAATGTGAACATTATTCTGTAACACTGTATAATTCACTTATTTATTGTGTATATTACTGTTTCTTTCTTCAGCTGTTAAAATGTACATCCCACAAGTTCAGGAATCCATGTCTCTTCTGTTCATTGGTGTATCCAAGACATCAGAACAGAGCTTGGTATTCAATACTTGTTGAATGAATGGATAGATACTCATCATGAATTTTATCAGTGAGATGTTTTCTGTTTAGACTCTCTGGAAAATGTTATTGATGTCCCACCCACATCCCCTCCACCTACCCTGGAGGTCATCTAGGGGTAGGTAGAGGGGATGTGAGTAGGACATCACCCACCAAGAAGATGCATCCTGGGTCTCTCACCATGTACTCATAGGGCAGGTCAGAATTGCTGGGGAGTTAACCCCAAGTGACAACCTTCAACCAGCTGGGATGGAATTTGATGGAGGAACACCCCAGCTTCCTTGCCCCTTGTGGGACTGAGCCCCAGTTGTGCACAGCGGCAGTCCTCTGACTTAACTGACTTTCTCCCCTTTCCTGTCCCTCCTCCACCTTTCTGCATCACCTCCCAAGTAAACAACATGGAACTCCAGCCTTGTTTCAGGCTCTGCCTTCAGCTCAAAGGCACCCAGACCAAGCTAGTCTCCTGGTTTGAAGTATTAGGATTGCAAGCCACGTTCTTAGAACTAGGCTTTAAGATTGACTAGTAGGTGAAACCTCAAATATTTACCCTGAGGAAGCTTGCAGGGTTCACTCACTTAAGAATTTTAGAACCAGAGGGACTATAGAACTCTCTTCGCCCAGTAGATCTCAAGACATCTTGGGGTGGGGTGGGTTATGAATGGTGTTCCTTCAAGGTAGTAGGGATATCTAAAAACTGTTCTCAATATTCTGAAAGGCTGAGGGAAATCATCCATTTGCCTATGACAAAACTGTGTGGGCTAAATGTTAAAATTCACTGTTTTGGGTTGGAGGCATATCACCTTCTTGTAGTATATTATTCTGATCAAAAGCTATTACAGTGGTGGATGTGTGATTAATTTTTACGAAGAAGCAAGACAGTGTGTTAATTAATCAAAGGCACTGGTGTTTGAAGGAATCTATAAGCAGAAACTTTCTGTGTAAGCACATTTAGAAACCGCTAAACTAATCCAATCCCATCATTCTACACAGGAGGCATCTGAGGCTGGGAAAGGCCAAGGGGCTTGGCCAAGGCCAATGGGCTGGGAGTGAAGGATGAGGCTAGAACTTGGACCTCAAGACTCTCAGTTTCATGTTCTCACTTTACACTGGAATGGAATGAC
The DNA here is from genome assembly GCF_000001405.40 of Homo sapiens. Taxonomy (NCBI): domain Eukaryota; kingdom Metazoa; phylum Chordata; class Mammalia; order Primates; family Hominidae; genus Homo; species Homo sapiens. The sequence continues at coordinate 25,943,471 of NC_000004.12, forward strand.
ATACTTTGGGGAATATGGGATTGTTGTTTCATCTGGAGAATATTTTGATAAAGCCAAAATTTTCCTTAAAAAGCACAGTGAATAGGATTTTATCCATTAGAAGATAAATTAGCTGCAATGAAAAAATGCTGAGTATTTACAACACCAAAAGAGCTTCTCTGTGGGAAACAGCTGTGTGGTATATGAAGAATAGTATGAAAGACATATTCACTCATTCTGGAAGCAGTGTGATGTAATTACACGCCAAGCATGGGACCTGGCATGTAGTAGATTCTTAGTGCCTAATTCTTCCATCATGGACCAATCTCATGTCCCCTTCTGGACCTCTTTCTCCTAATGTGTAAAGAGTGAGGGAGGAGAGGTCTTGATCTACTGGGAAGACCCCATATCAAGTCTCAACTTTGCCATGGGATCTTGGGTAAGTCCCTCCATCACCCTGAGCCTTGGTTTCCACATCTGTAAATAGGGGATTGATTATAAGCTCTCTATAATCCCTTTTAGCTAACAATTCCAAGTCTCATGGCCTAGATGTTCCCACATATCCCTTCCAGCTCTCACAACTTCTGATTTTATTGCATTTGGAATTGATTTGTTTTTGAGATTGATTTTTTTTAACCTAAGTAAAAATAAAATGACATCTTCCTTTCAGTCTAGCTAATCCTAAGCAAGCAGCTCAGGGAAGAGCAAAGAAGTGTCAACTAGACAAATAGAAGTGAGGGCAGCCTCAGCAGGGGATGTTCTAAAGCCTGTTTCCTTTCAGCCAAAGGTGATCCCTGGGCAATTACTCTCATCCATATGACAGCAGGTAGGAAAGAAAGATCAGGGCCTTGCTCTGACAAATCCAGGAAAGGTTATGAGCAAGGGGATGTTCAAACATGGACTCCTTCAAAGCCTAGTTCTTAGCTTCCCTTTTGAAGGGATAAGATTGTTTCAGGGGGTGTGCTGTTCTGACCATGGTCTTTCCAGAACTCTTAGCAGGACCTCATGTCACCACAGCCACCTGGTCTCTCTCCTGGTGGGTGTTCCAGGGGCATAAGCTTTTGAAAGAATGTTACCTACAGTAAACTCTGCATTAAATCAAGATTTAATTCTTGATCTGTTTTGCAACATATGTGTGCATATATATATGTGTGTGTGTGTATATATATGTACATATATATATATATTTATATGAGGATATGCTGATAAAACAATGCAATTGATTTCTGTTTTAAGCAGAACTTTTAGAAGTTATACATCCACATGATCAGGCACCCCAGACAGGCAGGTACATACACTGGCAAGGCCACCCCGGTGAGATAATTTTTAGAATTCCTCTCTCAGACTTGCTTTCAGAATTGAAGGCACAGTTTTTGGACTTTCCTGAATGACAGAGAATCAAGGTTTTTCAGGGGTGAATTTGAGTTTTGAAAGTAGCTTTAAGTCATTTAGAGCAAAGATTTGTGTATAAGGTGGGTTCTCTGGCTGTTTAAAAACAGGCAGGAGAATTCTGCCTGATATATGGGGATGGAATGAGAAAATTAGAAAATCACCATTTTGCAACTTCTAAAGAAACAATTGATCCAGACAGTGATCATCGATGAACACATTAGATGAAAGGTTAATGAGGAACTTGACCTCAGAGGGATCAAGCTGTCACTACCTGAAACGATGATCAATCTTAGCATCACTGAAAATAGGACATTGTATGTCTCCTGCTGTAATGCAATATGTAGCACAAAGTCCCACCCGGAGGTGTTTCTGCCAAAAATGCCAATTGTGCTCCTAGAGCTGGCTTCCATTCACAGGGAATATGGAGGAATGGGGGAGCAGTAAAATGACTTGAATGTCACATCAAAGAGGCAAAGACACAAATCCAGAGTGTGGGAAATTTTCCAGGACAACAGACCCAATTTCTCTAAGTCAGTGGCGTGAAATAAAGATGGCATTGGGGCTATTCAGGATTAAAAGAATGAAGAGTTGTAACTACCAAATGGAACATATAGGTCTTTTTTTTTTTTTTAACAAACCAGCTGTAAAAGGAATTTTAACTTTTTTATTTGTTTGTTTTTGAGGAGTCTCACTCTGTTGCCTAGGCTGGAGTATACTGGTGTAATCTCGGCTCACTGTGACCTCTGCCTCCTGGGTTCAAGCAATTCTCCTGCCTCAGCCTCCTGCATAGCTGGGATTACAGGCATGCACCATCACACCCGGCTAATTTTTGTATTTTTAGTAGACATGGGGTTTCACCATGTTGACCAGGCTGGTCTTGAACTCCTCACCTCAGGTGATCCCCACCATGGCTTCCCAAAGTGCTGGGATTATGGGCGTGAGCCACCGCTCCCAGCCTGGAATTTTTGCTTTTGAGGCAATTAGGAAATTTGTGTATGAACCAGGCATAAGACAATATTAAAGAATTATTGTGCATTTTGTTAGGTGCAGTCATGACTTTGTGGTTTTATGAAGACAATATTCACATGTTTTAGAGCTGCATATTGAAAAATGCAGGGATGAAATGACCTGATGCCTGGGATTTGCCTTAAAATACAAGAGCCATGAAAAAGAAATAAGGAGAACTTTTAAATGGATAAAGATAAAGTAAATGTCACAGATTCTTGATAATTATTGTATCTGGGTGATAGGTAAATGGGGCTCCATACCACCAGTCACCCTATTTGGGGCAGAAATTTTTAAAAAATAAAAAATAAAAAGAGAAGTAGCAGGGACTTAAAAGCTGGTCATTCTGAAGGTGGGCATCAGAGCACAGGCCCATGATGGTCCCTTGTCTTAGTCCATTCCTGCTGCTTCACAAAATAACTGAGGCTGGGCAATTTGTATGAGCAGAAATTTATTCCTTACAGTTCTGGAGGCTGGGAAGTCCAAAATCAAAGCACCAGCAGATTTGGTGTCTACTGAGGACACTCTGCTTTCAAGATGGCACCTTGTTACTGCACCCTCACATGGTGGAAGGCAGAAGGGCAAAAGGGCATAAACTAGTTCCCTCCAGCTCTTTTTAAGATCACTAATCCCATTAGATACCACACGGGGTTTGAGTTCCAACATGAATTTTGGATGGACACACACATTCAAACCACTGAACCCCCTTTACATGAATTAATAAATATATCTTTACAAGGGAAAGAAAAGGAGAAGAAGAGGTGGAGAAAGGAAAGGAAGTAGGCAGAGGAGGAGAAGGAGGGGGAAAAAGGAGAAGAATGAGACACATCTGTACATATACCAGTATCTAATGATCTCTAGGAGACAGAATAATGGGTTTAGAATGCTACCATTTAGGTAAAAGAAAAAAAAAGGTAGGGAAGAGGGGGTAAATCTACCTTTCTCTGGAAAGATGCAAAAGAAATCAGCAGTTATCACAGAGGAGAGAAGCTGGTAGCTGGGCTGGGGTAGGAGGGACGTTGACTTTTATGCCATATACTGTTTTATACCTTATAAATTTTGCACAATATGTATGTATTACCTCTTTAAAAATGCAATTTTAAAGAAAAACAAAACAACAAATGAAAAGAGCTGGGCATTCATTCCTCTATTGGTACTCAGGGCATTTCTAGTCTAGATCAGGTCCTAAGCTTTGAAAGATTTTAGGTTTGTTGAGGGGATGTTCACCTCATTTATACCTTTCTTTTTCAGGAAACTCCTCTCACAGAAAGTGTGTGCTGAAGGGACGGACCCAGGTGGCACCATTCTACACCCAAACTGTGGCTTGGCGTATGGTTAATGGCCCACCCTATTCCAGTATAGCTTCACGAATTACATCTGCAACCACCCTGTTTCCAAATAAGCGCTCACTCTGAGGTACTCAGGGTTAGGACTTTAACATATCTGGGGGGGGAGTACATTTCAACCCATCACAAAGAGCAATACTTTGTTGAACTAGAGAACTAAAAAAATGTATTATCTAACCATAATATAGCAGAAACTCACATTGGAGAAAGACTCAGCAATCGTAAAGCTGCAGCCTCTCTAAGCCTAGTAGTTTAAGGGTCTAGGAGTCAGAAGGATCAATGAAACTAGGAGATGAAGGCCAAAGGAACGCTCGATGAGCCCACTGTGAGGCTGGTTAAGGCTGAATGGAGGAACCAGTCTCCTCAAGGCCAGGAGCCACCAGGATTTTCATATTTTAATTCTTTCTTTCTCTCTCTCCACTTGCACACACATGTGCACACGCATATTGGTCACGTTTTTTCTTTCTTTGAAAAAAATTTAAAATTGTTGAAATTGTAGTGAAATATGCATAATATAATATTTACTATCTTACCAATTTTTTTTTTTTGAGACAAAGTCTCACTCTTGTCGCCCAGGCTGGAGTGTAATGGTGCAATCTCGGCTCACTGCAACTTCCGCCTCCCGGGTTCAAGCAATTCTCCTGCCTCAGCCTCCTGAGTAGCTGGGATTACAGGCGACTGCCACCATGCCCGGGTAATTTTTGTATTTTTTAGTAGAGACGGGGTTTCACCATGTTGGCCAGGCTGGTCTTGAACTCCTGACCTCAAGCTATCTGCCTGCCTTGGCCTCCCGAAGTGCTGGGATTACAGGCATGAACCACCACACATGGACTATTTTACCAATTTTTAAGTATGCTGTTCAATAGTGTTAAGTACATTCACATTGTTATGCAACCAATCCCCAGATTTCTTTTCATCTTGCAAAACTCTGTACCATTGAACAACTCCTCCTTCCCCTCTCCCCTCAGCCCCTGGTGATGACCATTCTCTTTTCCTTATGAATTTGATGTTTCTATGAATCTGACTATTCTGAGTACCTCATATAAGCGGAGTCTTGCCAAATGTGTCATTTTCTGACTAGCTCATTTTTCTTAGTGTAATATCCTCAACATTCATCCCTGTTGTAGCATGAATCAGAATTAATCTTCCTTTTTGGCTGAATAATATTCTATTGTATGTATATACCACATTTTAAAAATCCATTCATCCATTGATGAACCCTTGGGTTACTTTTAGCTATTGTGAATAATTCTGCTACGGATACGGGTATACAAATATCTCATTCAGATGCTGCTTTCAATTACTTTTGGCATACCCATAAGTGGAATTGCTCAGTTATATGATAATTCTATGTTTAATTTTGTTCAGAAACCACCATACTGTTTTCCATAGCAGCTGCATCATTTTACATTTCCATCAACAGCACACAAGGGTTCCAATTTCTTCATGTTCTTACCAACATTTGTTTTTTTGATAGCAGCCATCCTAATGGGCATGAGGTGGGATCTCCTTGTGGTTTTGCATTTCTATAAGTCATGTTTCTTCTTGGCTTGATCCTTTATCTTTAATCCTGTTCTCTTGCTACAGCTCTGAACAAGTCTGTCACTTTCTTAAGGGTTTTGTGTTTTTCAAGTGTACTGAGATATTCATTATTGACTTCTCTTTACAAGTTCTGGAGGCCAACAGCTTTTCTGATAGACATATTATAAAGTTTCCAATTCCAGACAGTCAGTTTCTGACACGAAGCAGTGCAACAGATAATCAAAGAGTGAAGGTGGTAGGGCCAATTCAATCTAGCTCTAGTGTGTATGCTCCTCAGTGATGTGTTTGCAGAAGGTTTGCCTTCTAGTGAGTATTTGTGGAGATTTTAGGTATTACTTTTTAATAGGCATTCCTTTTATATTGGGCAGAATTCATTAATTTCCAAGAGGGACACAGTCCCTGAAGGGTGAGTGTGTTCTTTAAAATGTCACCACCCCTCCCCCAATAAAAATGTATGACTAAGGAAAGGCCATGTGAACATAAGGGAGAAGAGGGCAAGCAAGTGCAAAGACCTTGAGGTGAGAACTTGCTTGGAACTCCACTCAAACCCCAAGGTTAAGGAGGCCAGTGGCACTGCAGAGCCGCTGTGGGGGGTAGGAGGAAAGGGTTAAGGGGAGAGAGAGAGAGAGCGCTAGCAGGAGAGGCCGTAACCATGGTGACGGAAGGTTTATTTGTTTGCTAGGGCTGCCAGAGCAAAGTACCACAAACTGGGTGGCTTCAAACACACATTTATCTCCTCACAATTCTGGAGGCTAGATGTCTGAAATCAAGGAATTAGCAGGCTTGGAGGAGAATCTTTTTCATGCCTCTCCCTAGCTTTTGATCAGGGCTGGCAACTCTTGGCATTCCTTGGCTTGTAGATGCATCAACCCAACATCTGCCTACGTTTTCATGTGACATTCTCCCTGTGTGCCTCTCTCTTGGTGTCCACATTTCCTTTCCCCCTTATGAGGACACCAGTAATATTGGGTTAATGGCCTACCCTACTCCAGTATGGCTTCACGAATTCATCTGCAACCACCCTATTTCCAAATAAAGGCACACTCTGAGGTACTCAAGGTTAGGACTTTAACATATTTGAAGGGGGAAATACATTTCAGGCCATCACAAAGAGCAATACTTGGTTGAATTAGGGAACTAAAAAATGTATTATTTAACCATAATTTAGCAGAAATTCACAGCGGAGAAAGATCCAGTGATCATAAAGCTGCAGCCTCTCTAAGCCTATAAGTTTAAGCATCTAGGAGTCAGAAAGATCAATGAAACTAGGAGATAAAGACCAAAGGAACGCTTGATGAGCCCACCGTGAGGCTGGGGCTCATGGTTCCAATGTGCCTGAGGGTCTGTTCTCTGTCCAGTGGGTTGGAATGCGGCCCAAAAGGATAGATGGTAAGAACAAGGGCTCTGAGCTGGACCACCTGGGTACAAATCCAAGTGCTCTCGTTCACGGCTGTGTGATCTTAGGCAGGTTACCTACCCTGTCTGTTTCTTTGTTTGTTTGTCTGAAAATTGGGGAAAATAATAGAATCTGTTGCAAAGGACAATCATGAGGATTAAATTTGTCAATATAGAAAAAGAGCTTAGAATGGCACTTAACACCTAGTCACAGCCCCACGGACGTTAGTGGTTATTATTATTGGGGTAGAGCGGGGGAATAGTCCTGCTCCAATGATCCTCTCCAAGCACAAGGATGGTTCATTCAAATGCAAATAGAAAAGAAGTTGATGAAGATCCTATTTTCAGAGGCTTGGGTGGAGTTCAGGGAACCAATAAAGGATGGTGAAGCAGGAGGGTACTAGCAGGAAGCCAGAAGGGGCATGGGGAGGAAGTGGAGTTAGCTGGATCTGGTGAGAGCCTGGGGAATGAGGCGCGTTACAAGCACCATAGCTGCAGCGAGAGGAAGCAGCTGCTGCCAAACCCAGGCTTAGCAGGGAGGGAGTAGGAGTCATGGAGCCTTTTTTTCCCCTGTTTTCCAACTTCCCATCCCTGCTGCTGATTTCCCAGTGTTCATTCTCCACTGACTGAACCCATCTGGAAATCAAAGGGCAGAGCAATCTAGCAGATTGCAAGTCCTAGAAGGACAGAGCGTGGATCTGAGGGGTAAGCAGAGAATGAACAGCATCCCCTTCCCCCAACACTGATCTTACTGGGGAATCCAGGGCAACACCATGAAAGTGGTGTCCATTCTCTGAGCCACGTCACCTGGGAAGGGAAGGTACAGCAGACAGTGCTCATCCGGAGTTCTAGGTGCTTCCTACAGTCACGCTGGGGCCACACCAGTGCAAGCCAATGAACTATGAGCAGAAATGACAGGGTCACTTACCGGTCAAAGCAGTTAGAAGCCAGTGTGCCTCCTCCACCCCTTTCTTCCTCTCACACAGTCACCTTGGAGGCTACCGTTTAAAGGTAGCACAACTTCAACATGGAGGAGGAATGCCCAGCTTGCATCAGACTTAACAGAAGTGGGAAGAAAACTTTGACTGGGTGAAGCCTCTGAGATGTGGGGCTGTGTCTGCTACAGCAGCATGGCCTGTCATGCCCTGACTAATGCAAGAGAGGACCTTGGCCTGGAGATGCCCTGGGCAGTGGAGAAAATGTCCCGGCTGAGACTTGGAAATATGTTTGAAATAATGTAAAAGGAAAAAAATGTCCTCACCCACCTCCATGTCTGGAGGCAGCTGGAGGCCGACTATACTTGTTTCCAAAGGGCCCCAGCTGTGTCATCTGAGTGAGTGGGTCTGTGGGAAGAAGCAGGTAAGGGGAATGAATGGGGAAACCAGACTGAAAACACAGCGCGGGTTGGCAGGGGGGGTGGGGTGCGGCGGAGCGGGGCTGTGCAGGAGGTCAGCCAGGGTCTGAAGCAGGGGAGGGGTGAGGAGCTGGGGAAGGAGATGGGGGAGGAGTACTTCTCACAGTATCCCCAGGCTGGCAAAGGCTCTAATTAGAAATGATGCATTTTTTATTTTAAGGAGCTGAAGTGCTAAGGTAAGTATTACACCCTTTGATGATCTGTTTATGTGGTGAACATCAAAGAATAAGGAGGCTTCCTTTCTGAAATTTAAATGTAAGGCTTCACCTTTCAGTGTCTTGCTGGTGTTTTAAATCCATCCCTAGCACATCACAGGGCTCACAGAGGGGCTGGAAAGAAGCAGAGGCCAGACTTGTGAACCAGGCCTGGGGCAAGTCCAAGAGGCAGCCCAGTGGTAGCCATGGGGACAGCTGGCACCAGGTAAGGGCAGAGCCTGGAGTCCAGGGGGTCCAGCAGTCAGTGACGGGACGCCTAGCCCTGGAAGCCCAACACAGACAGAGATTAGAACCTGGAGAGCCATCAGCAGGGAACCCACTGCCTCAGTCAGCCTTGGCCTGGACTTGGGGCTGAGCCTTTGGTTGATGGAGTCACAGCACCCAGATATGGCCAGCAGGAAATGGCTGAGGTGGAAAAAGTAAGGTGAGCCAGACAGAGGCACCCAGGAGAGGAAATTCTCAACTGTGCATGGGAGCTGGACTGTTTCCTCTCCCAGGAAGATGCATGGCTGAGCGGGTGGGATTCCTGATCTCCTAATGGGGATGTTGTGAGCGCTGTCCATCACCCTACATGACCATTAGAACCTCGGTTCTCCACTGGCTGCATGTGGGGAAAATAGGAAGCTTTAGAAAATGATGCAGGGCGTGCGCGGTGGTTCACGCCTGTAATCCCGGCACTGTGGGGAGGCCGAGGAAGGTGGATCATCTGAGGCCAGGAGTTCAAAATCAGACCGGGCAATGTGGTGAAACCCAAACTCTACTAAAAAAAAAAAAAATAGCTGGGTGTGGTAGCACATGCCTGTGATCCCAGCTACTCGGGAGGCTGAGGCAGGAGAATTGCTTGAACCCAGGAAGCAGAGGTTGCAGTGAACTGAGATCGCACCATGGCACTCCAGCCTGGGTGACAGAGCAAGACTCCATCTCAAAAAAAAAAAAAAAAAAAAAGACAGAAAATGCCAGTGCATAACCCACACCCCAAAACACTTCAACAGAATGCTGAGGGGGGTTATAAGCTCCCCGGTGATTCTAAGGTGTAGCGAGGGCTGAACACTGTTGCTTGAGAAGAGTGGTTCTCAAAGTGTGGTCCCCACACTAGCAGCATCAGTATCACCTGCCTGCTGCTGTGCTCTGGACTGAATGTGTGTGTTCTCCAAAATCCATATGTTGAAGCCCTCATTCTCAATGTAATGGTATTAGGAGGGGCCTTTGGGAGATGATTGGGTCATGAGGGTGCAGCCTGCAGGAAGTGGATGAGAGTCCTTATAAAAGGGACTCCAGAGAGCTCTCTTTCCCTCTTTTCACCACAAGAAGATATCATGAGAAGACAGCTGGAAGCCAGGAAGCAGCCCGCACCAGACACCAAACCTGCCGGTACCTTGATCTTGGACTTCTCAGCCTCCCACACTGTGAGAAGTAAAAGTGTGTGGTTGAAGCCACCCAGTCTAGGATACATTTGTCATAGCAGTTTGAACTAAGACACCTGGGAGCTTGTTGGAAATACATATTCTCAGGCCTCACCCCAAACCTAGTGCATCAGAAACTCTGGGGACGGGGCCTGGCAATCTGTGTTTTAACAAGCCTCAGGGGGTCGCAGGCACAGTGAAGCTGGGGCACCACTGCCCCTCCCCCATGCCGACTGGCCATCACTCGGAAGCAGCCATCCTAAGGGGCACAGCTCCCACTGACTGAGTGCCTGCTGTGAAGCCAGTGCTGTGCTGAGCACTTGCATGCTTTCTCTTGTCTAATAATCCTCCCAACATAACCAAAATGGAGATACTATGATCCCCATTTTACAGAGAAAGAAACTGAGGTTTCTAGATGCTGCCCAAAGACTTACCAGCTGGTCAAACAGGGAGTCAGGGTTTTCTGACTTTTCTACCAGGTCTGACTCCAGAGCTCCAATAGTCCTGGCTATTCTATGAGGCAGGGACTTTATTTTTCTCTGACAATCTGGAAGTACCCTGAGCTGGTGATGGTGCAGAAAAAGGAGAGGATGGAAGAGCTGGGCTGCTGTGGGCTCCCAGGATCTCCCTTCTCCTCAAGCCCCTGCTGTCTCTAAAGAGAAGTAACACTCTGTGAAGCTCTGGGCAGGTTGCTAAGAATGACTAAACCATTGTGCTTCTCCCTGATGGACCGCGCCTTTGAAAGTGAGCCAGCTGTGTCTTTCATCTCAGCCAGTTTCCCTCCCAGCCTTGCTGCAACCCTGCACTATTTGGAACAGGTGTTCCGGGAGCCAAGGAACTCTGCACGCCCCTGCAGGGCTCCAGGCCCCCTTTGCCTGCTGAGTAACCTTAGCATCATAGCATCATGTCCTGAGAAGTAAAGATGAAAGGCGATGCCTTAGAGATGAAAGATGATGCCTCAGAGCATGGGGAAGACCTGGAAAAAAATTCCTGTCAGTTTCTCCACACACTGAATGCACAGGGAGGCAGCGTAAGGGCTGGTAAGAGGGTGGTAGGAATCCACCTCCTCAAGGAACTCCTATCAGCACTGTGATATTACTCGGGGTTCCCTAGAGAAACAGAACCAATAGGAGAATACATAATATATATAAACTTCTATTGAAAGATTTATGATAAGGAATTGGCTTATGTGATTATGAAGCCTGAAAAGTCCCAGGATCTGCAGTCAGCAAGCTAGAGACCCGGGACAGCCCATGCTGTAATTCCGGTCTGAGTCTGAAGGCCTGAGAACCAGGAGGGGAATGAGGCGTGTTACAAGCACCATAGCTGCAGCGAGAGGTGTGAAGCTCGGGTGTGAAGTCCAGCATGCTGGAGACCCAAGAAGAGCTGGTCCTTCAGGCCGAGTCCGAAAACAGGAAAAGATGAGCGCAAGCAGTCAGACAGGGGGCGTTGCCTCGTACTCAACCTTTTTCAGGTCTATTAAGGTCTGCAACTGATGCGATGAGGCCAACCCATATCAGACAGGGCAATCTGCTTTACTCAGTCTGCTGATTCAAATCTCACCCAGAAACATACTCACAGATGCACCCAGAATAATGCTTAGCCAAATGTCTGGGCACCCCATGGCTCAGTCAAGTTGACACTTAAATTCACCGTCGCACAGATTGTAAGAGTTTTCCTGTGGGGCCAGTTTTCTTGATCTCAGCGCTGTTGACAATTTGGGCTAGATGATGTTTTGGTGTGGGAAGCCACTCTGTGCACAGTGGGATGTTTAGCAACATCCCTGGCCTCCACCCACTGGATGCCAGCAGCCCCCTACTCCCCAAGTGGGACAACCCCAAAAATGTCTTCAGACATTGTCCAATGTCTCCTAGGAGGGGGGCTAGATTTTGTCCCCTGGTTGAAAGATATCCACTGCTGTAGAGCTAGAGGCTGAGAACCCACTCCTTTCTCTAAGTGACATTTGTCTGCTCATTAGTGGCTCTCAGCCTGGCAAGGGGTTGCTCAGGGCAGAGGAGGATGGGTGCTTAGAAGATTGGCAGTACTTCACCAGCAAGCTACCTAAGGGAACTGGGCAATGATGTTACCACTAGATCACAGTGACAGTTCAGAGGTCTGTGTTTTGGAGGAGCTTGGTAAGAGTCAATTCTGGTGGTCTTTTAGTCACAAGGATTTTCCTGGGGCCATGATCTATGCTACCTCCCCGTCCTTTCCTCTAGTAATGGACCCCAGACCCTGGTTACACGGGGAGATACGGGATCTAAGCTGAGCCAACCAGAGCACTTCCTGCCTCTGGCCCCTTCCCTAGGTCTTTCGCATTGGAGCTTGCAAAGAGAAGTGGCTTCTCTTCCTGGCTGAGGCAGTATTAGAATGTGAGTGCAAAGTTTATAGGCAAATTTGTCTACTATATGAAGTAAGCTGGTCTGAGAGTGAGGAAAATGGAGAAGAGAAACAGAGTGTTTTGATAGTGTTGGAATTCCTGCTTCCAGGAGCTCCTAAGCCATTTTCCTGTCCTGCCTTTTCTGTGGCTTTATTATATGAGACAATAAATTCCAGCTTTTGCTTAATAAGTTTTGCTATTACGATTTATAATAAGATGTATTTATATAGTCTTTGTCCAGGTTTCCTGGCATGTGGCTTCTAAAATCCTTGGAATCTCCAAGGTGATAAGAGTGTCTTTTGTATGCTAATGAGATGACCGGTGGCTGGGATCCCCAGGTAGCTTCAGGATGGGGATAGGTCACGGAAAAGACCAAGGCATATTAGAAGGTTGGAACTTTCAGCCCCACCCCTCAACCTCCAGGGAGGGGAGAGAGGCTGAAGGATAAGCTGACCACCAATGTCCAATGATTCCATCAGTCATGCCTACGTAATGAAGCTTCTGTAAAAACTCAAAAGGACTGGGTTCAGGGATTCAGGGGGCTTCTGGCTAGCTGAACTCACGGAGGTTGCCGGAGGATGGTGTGCCCTGAGAGGGCATGGAAGCGCCGTGCCTCTTCCCATGTGCCTTGCCCTACGTATCTCTTCATCTGGCTGTTGGTTTGGATCCTTTAAAATACCCTGTTAATAAATGGGTAAACATAAGTAAGGTGTTTCCCTGAGTTCTATGAGCAGCTCTAACAAATTAATCAAACCAGAGGAATCATGGGCACTCTGATTTATAGCTGCTTGTTCAGACATTGCAGAGGCCTGGACTTGTGACTGGCATCTGCAGTGTGGGATATCTTGCAGGACTGAGCCCTGAGCCTGTGGTAACTGATGTTATCCAGGTAGATAGTGTCAGAATTGAATTGAACTGAATTGAGTTAGAGGACATTCAGCTGGTGTCTGCCAGAGAATCTGCTGCAGAACTGCTTGCTGGCTTGTTGGTGGAGAAAACCCCCACACATCTGGTCACAGAAGTCTCTGTGTTGTGTTGTGAGAGTATAGTAGGAGAAAAACTATTTTTTCCCCACACATAAGTATATGTTAGATTTCTTTTGCCTACATCGAGAGGCTTGAGTTATATAAGGAGGGAATGGGGACAGGCCTGGGATTAGGGTGAGGCAAGCGAGGTACTCAGGGCCCTCAATTTAAGGAGACTCTGACTTTCAGGCCTGGGTAAGGGCAGGGTTGGCATCCGAGGTGAATGACTTTTAAATTTTGTGTCCTTCACTGCACACGTATGTTTATTGCAGCATTATTCACAATAGCAAAGACTTGGAACCAACCCAAATGTCCAACAATGATAGACTGGATTAAGAAAATGTGGCACATATACACCATGGAATACTATGCAGCCATGAAAAATGATGAGTTCATGTCCTTTGTAGGGACATGGATGAAATTGGAAATCATCATTCTCAGTAAACTATCGCAAGAACAAAAAACCAAACACCGCATATTCTCACTCATAGGTGGGAATTGAACAATGAGAACACATGGACACAGGAAGGGGAACATCACACTCTGGGGACTGTTGTGGGGTGTGGGGAGGGGGGAGGGATAGCATTGGGAGATATACCTAATGCTAGATGACGAGTTAGTGGGTGCAGCACACCAGCATGGCACATGTATACATATGTAACTAACCTGCACATTGTGCACATGTACCCTAAAACTTAAAGTATAATAATAATAAATAAATAAATAAATAAATTTTGTGTCCTTGTCACTTGTCTTGCCTCATACTTCCTGGCCCTGGGAGGTAATCACGGCATTTGGCCACAAACGGGAGTCTTGACTTTCTGTAAAGTGCTTCGGGGAACTCAAAACTCTAATTGTCCACTGACTCCTTTGTTTGTTCACTTGTTAAAGAAACATTGAGTACCTACTGGACGCTCAATGCCATGATAGGTGCGGGGAGGGGCAGCAGATGAGTTTCCGTCTCCAGGAGGTGGACAGCCTGCAATAACTTGAGTGATGTATCTTAGGGAAGGGGAAGTATGTTTTGCGGTGAGCATGTGCAGCAGGAAGACCTGCAAGTGGATGCTGGAGCTCAGGGCTGGAGCAGAAATACAATTTGGATTGCTGTGTGTGTGTGTGTGTGTGTGTGTGTGTGTGTGTGTGTGTGTGTGTGTGTGTGTGTGTTGGAGACTGAAAAGAAATCCCAGACCGAGGGCCAGCACATGCTGAAACATTCTCCATATTCACTCAGTAGACACTGTTCAAAGCCCATCAGGAACCAGGGGATGAGTTAGCCTCTGGGGAAAATCACCACCCTACCCTCAAGGAATTCACCCTAACAGTGAAGGAACCAGACAAGTTAGCCAACCTTGACCATGCAGAGTAAGGCATTCTATGGAAGTACAGTCAGGCACGCAATTCAACCAAAGTGGGCAAAGGAAGGCTTCCAGGAGGGCTGATATTTGCTCAAGCTGGGTCTTGAAGGATGAGTTGGCATTAGAACAAGTGAAAGAAGAGAAATCAGGGCAAGCTGAGAAGAGACCAGGCAGCAAAAGGCACCTGGCCGCGGAGGTGAAAGAATGCGGTACGATGCTTTCAATGATGATTAGGTACCCAGGATAGCCCGTGTGATCCAATATGGCCCCGAAGTACTATACATTTACAAAGAAAAACAGTAGAAATAATAATAAGTGGAGTCACATCTATCTCATCTTTCAGGAAGTCCCACGCACCAGCTTTTCTTCCAGCACTGGAACAGATAGCTGTTTTTTTAGTTGAGCACAGGATGAAGCAGTTGGCTTGCATTTAAGGATTTGTGCTGCATGAAAAAATACGTATCTTTAAACTAGAATGAAATTCAGTGCACCAAGATTTTGCACCATTAGAGTCTGAGAAACTAGAAGAAATTGAGATGGACCAAGGCAGCTCAGATAGCACACTCCCTCCAGGGCATTGATAATTGAGGAGAATGGCAGACAACTGCCTACACTTTTAATTGTTTCTCTCCCTCTCTCTCTGATTACATAGATTTGAAAATTCACATATAACTCAATAGTACTATTTGCAGGGAGCAAAGCCACTTAGGAGAATAGATACTGGCACCAGAATGCCTGGGTTTGAATCACAGCTTCACTTTCTAACTGAATGCCCTTGGGCAAATTACTTCTCTTTGCCTCAATTTCCTTATCCATAAAATAGGGATAATAATACTGTTAGGAGAAATAAATGAGTTGAAGTATTTAAAGGGCTTAAATGCTTTTTAAATAAGAGTTGTTTCATTGTTTTTATTGGTTATATAGACTTAGAGCACAAGTCTTACCAACATTTCAGACTGTTTCTGTGGGAAAGGCAGGAGGAAGCCTGTTTCCCACCCACAAGGGCCATTGCTGAGGGGCTGATGGGGTGTAGGGAAGATGTAGGAGACCAAGGCTGGGGTGAGGACAGTTGGGACAGGGGCAGGGAGTATGAAGCTCAGGCTGAGATCTCACCCCCACACCACCTTTGCATCAGGCCTCCTGTACAGATACCCAAGTGTGCACCGTTCTTTGGTGCTAAGGAGAGCAAAGGGAGGGCTGGAGTGGGTAGGTGAGGCCAGACGCCTAGGGACCACCAGCAACTCTCCAACTGGCCCATAGCTGGCTGGGGCAATTCTGGCCAGAAGAAAACACTGAAAGCTTTGTCGGGGCTGGCCCAAGGTAACTGATGTGAGGCAGATTTGTCTTTGATTGGCTCCCCAGCCCCCCAAATCCTCTGATGTCCTTATTTCCTTTCTGCCTGGTCTTAGCCCCACAAGCCCAGGGTCTTTGTCCCATGAACTTAGGCCCGACTGCCCCAGACATGTTCTTCCCCCTTCCTAGGCCATCATGGCCCCAGGTCAAATCCTTCTTGTGCTCTTAGACTTCTTCAGCCCACAACTTTGCTACTCAAGGGGTGGTCTGCAACCCAGCAGCCTTTGCATCACCTGAGAGTTTGTTAGAAATGCAGAATCCAGTCAGTCATGGTGGCTCACGCCTGTAATCCCAGCAGGCATGGGAGGCCGAGGCAGGCAGATCACCTGAGGTCAGGAGTTCGAGACCAGCCTGGCCAACATGGTGAAACCCCATCTCTACTAAAAATACAAAAAAAAATTATCCGGGCATGGTGGCACAAGCCTGTAATCCCAGCTACTTGGGAGGCTGAGGCAGGGAAATTGCTTGAACCTGGGAGGTGGAGGTTGCAGTAAGCCGACATCGTGCCATTGCACTCCAGCCTGGGAAACAAGAGTGAGACTCCATCTCAAAAAAAAAGAAAGAAAGTAAGAAAAGAAAAGAAAAATGCAGAATATGGTCAGGCATGGTGGCTCACACCTGTAATTCCAGCACTGTGGGAGGCCAAGGTGCGTGAATCATCTGAGCTCAGGAGTTTGAGACCAGCCTGGGCAATATGGTGAAACCTCATCTCAGTAAATACATACATACATACTTACATACATACATAAATGCAAAATCCGATTGAATGGAATCTGCATTTTTCCAGAGTCCCCAGGTGACTCGTGTGCATGTGACAGTTTGAGGAACGCTGGCCTAAGCCTATTTGATGGCTTTCTCTTCAGACTGCCCTCCCGTGGCCCTCGTTAACCGCCTGAGAACTGACTTTATCAGCTGTACAGAGAGCATGGTCCTCCTATGATTGTTCTGATGGGTTTTGGGATTGGACTTGACCATCTCATGTTCCGTTCTCTGGCAGCTGTTCCCTACCAGTCTTGAAAACACTCCTCTCCTTTGAATTTCCCACAGCAGCACATACAAATTTTACTAAAGGCTTGGGCTGGCCGGGCGCAGTGGCTTACGCCTGTAATCCCAGCACTTTGGGAAGCTGAGGCGGGCAGATCACAAGGTCAGGAGTTCGAGACTAGCCTGGCTAACATGGTGAAACTCCATTTCTACTAAAACTAAAAAAATTAGCCAGGGCCGGGCGCGGTGGCTCAAGCCTGTAATCCCAGCACTTTGGGAAGCCAAGGTGGGCGGATCACGAGGTCAAGAGATCAAGACCATCTTGGCTGTGAGGGTAAAACCCTGTCTCTACTAAAAATACAAAAAATTAGTCTGGCGTGGTGGCGGGTGCCTGTAGTCCCAGCTACTCGGGAGGCTGAGGCAGGAGAATGGCGTGAACCTGGGAGGCGGAGCTTGCAGTGAGCCGAAATAGCGCTACTGCACTCCAGCCTGGGCGACAGAGTGAGACTACGTCTCAAAAAAAAAAAAAAAAAAAATTAGCCATGCATGGTGGCTCACGCACCTGTAATCCCAGCTACTTGGAAGGCTGAGGCAGGAGAATCACTTGAACCCAGGAGGCGGAGGTTGCAGTGAGCAGAGGTTGAGCCACTGCACTCCAGCCTAGGCGATAAAGCAAGACTCCATCTTGGGAAGAAAAAAAAAAAGGCCTGGGCTAGTACATTGCAGCACAGCCAAAACATTTTATATATATAATATATATATATATACACACACAGACAAAAATGCCTCTATATATGTGTATGTGTGTATATATATATATATAATGTCTATTTTTAAAAATCAAAGTATTTTATCTGAGTTTAAAAAGTCATTAGAAGCTAAAAATTACATCAATGTGTCAGTTCATGACAGGGATACGTGCTAAGTGCGTCACTGGGCAATTTTGCCATGCGACTATCGCAGCGTACTTACACAAGCCTAGGCTGTATAGTATAGCTTATTGCTCCTAGGCTAAAAACCTGTGCAGCATGTTACTGCACTGAATACTGTGGGCAGTTGTAATACAAAGGTATTTGTGTATCTAAACATATCTAAACAGAAGAGGTACAGTGAAAATATGGTATAAAAGATTTAAAATGGTACACTTATATAGGCACTTACCATGAACAGTGCTTGCAGGATGGGAAGTTGCTCTGGGTGAGTGAGTGAGTGAGTGAGTGAGTGAGTGAGTGAGTGAGTAGTGAATATGAAGGCGTAGGACATTGCTTTATAAACACGGTAGACTTTACAAACACTACACTTAGGCTACACCTAATTTATAAAACATTTTCTTCAATAATAAATTAGCTTACTATAACTTTTATACTTTATAAACTTTTTAGTTGTTTTAACGTTTTGACTCTTGTAATAACACAGCTTAAAACACACATTGTATACCTTTCCAAAAATATTTTATTTCTTTATTATATCCTTAGTCTAGAAGCTTTTTCCTATTTTTAACAATGTTTTCTTTTCAGAGACAAGGTCTCACTTTGTTGCCCAGGCTGGAGTGCAGTGATACAAACATAGCTCACTGCAGCCTCAAACTCCTGGGCTCAAACGATCCTCCCACCTTAGCCTCCCACGTAGCTAGGACTACAGGTGCACACCACCATGCCTAGCTAATTTATTTTTATTATTTTTAGATACGAGGTCTCACTATGTTGGCCAGGCTGGTCTCAAACTCCTGGCCTCAAGTAATCCTCCCACCTTGGCCTCCCAAAAGTGCTAGGATTGAGTCACCATGCTTGGCCAACACTTTTTTTTTTTTTTTTTTTTTAACTTTGAAGACTTTTTTCTTGAAAACCAAGACACAAACACACACATTAGCCTAGGCCTACACAGGGTCAGGATCATCAATATCACTGTCTTCTCCCCCCATATCTTGTTCCACTGGAAGGCCTTTAGGGCAATAACGCACATGGAGCTGTCATCTCCTGTGATAACAATACCTTCTTCTGGATACCTCTCAAAGGACCTGCCTGAGGCTGTTTCACAGTTAACATTTTTTAATAAGTGGAAGGAGCATACACTAAAAGAGTGAGAAAACATACAGTATAGTAAATACATAAACCAGTAACATAGTCATTTATTATCATTTTCAAGTATTATGTACGGCAGCAGTCCCCAATCTTTTTGGCACCAGGGATTGGTTTCATGGAAGACAATTGTTCCACTGGATGGAGGGAGGAGGATGGTTTCAGAGGCATTAGATTCTCATAAGGAGTGTGCAACCTAGATCAATCGCATGAGCAGTTCACAATAGGGTTCTCGCTCCTATGACAATCTAATGCTGCTGCTGATCTGACAGGAGGCGGAGCTTAGCTTCGCTTGTTTGCCCACCGCTCACCTCCTACTGTGTGGCCCAGTTCCCAACAGGCCACGGACTGGTACCAGTCCATGGCCTGGGGTTGAGGATCCCTGATGTACTGTACATCATTCTATGAGCTTGACTTTTATACAACTGGAAGCACAGTAGTATCATCACAGCAGCATCACCACGAACACATGAGTAATGCATTGCACTACCGTACAAAGGCCATAACATCAGTAGGCAATAGAATTTTTCTGATCCTTTATGATCTTATGGAACCATCGTCATATATGTGTAAGTCATTGACCGAAATGTCATTATACAGCTTACGACTGTACAAAAACAAAGAACAATAATCTCTTCATCTCGATCTTTTAGGCAACCATTCTTTTAGGTTTTTCTTCTACTGTAAATACAGTGCCAATTCTTGATTCAATTTTAGACTTTATCTCTTGGCTTTCTATTTTGGTACATGAAGATTTAGCTCTTTAAAAATGCCTTATGCCCCTTTGTTAAACCTCTAAATATAGTTTTATCACAATTTATTGGTCAAACCAATATTTAATGCTTTCAATATTCAATGTATCCCTAAAATCAAGAAACTCAAGCCTTTCAGTTTGAGCAAAGTTTCTTACCTTATTTCTTTAATAATTTCCTCCTCTGCACTGGATTCATTATTTCCTCCATCTCTGGGATGAGTATTTATTCATCTCATTATATCGTATTAGTTTCACTCACTACAGAGACTTCCAGTGTCCCAGATAACATATTTACTTTTGTGCAACTCTTTAAGTTTCTGTAGTTAATAACTGCATTATTCGCTGACTTTTTTGAGCCTGTGACTAAGTTTCCTGTATCCCACTATGGCTCTGTTTAATGTCTTTTTATACAATTTTCCACTTGGTCATGTCTGCCAGATAATTTATTGTTGTTATTTCTCACCTTTCTCCTCTCAGACAGCCTCCCATCTTCCTACTCCCTACTCAGGCCCAGTTACAGCCCTGAGATTTTTCTTCACCCTCCTTGAAGGAATTCCCTTTGCCTCTCTCCTGTGGCTCTCATTTTCTAGATCTTTCTCTTTTTGACCAAGAAAAGAATTAGCTATTGCTAGTAGCTCCTTCATTTTGACGAAGAAATATCTTTCAGTAACTTCAAGGAATATAGAAATAACTATTTTGAGACTTTGAATATCTGAAAATATCTTACTATATGTATGCTCACAGGTATTGACAGTTTGACTGGATATAGAATTCTAGGTTGAAAATTATCGTTTTTCTTATAATTCTGAAGACATTGCTCTATTGTCTTTAAGTTCCTAGGGTTGCTGTAAAATGCCATCCTTAGTCCTCATCCTTTGTATATGACCCTTTTTTCTCCTCTGTCTCTCTCTCAGGAAGCTTTTAGTCTTTAGCCATTTCACAAAGATGCATTTGTTTTCACCGATTGTGCTGGGCATTCAGTGGGTCCTTTTGATCAAGAAGCTTATGAGTCTGGGGAATGAGCTTCAGTATGGGCTAAATTGTCTGTAGAAAAAACATAATCACCGGTAATTTAGAACAGGTGCGTGCCATGTTTGAGCTGAGACTTAGAGAATTAATTTAGAACTAGTAATAGAAGGGATTAGAGGTAGATATACCATAGACAGGAAAATCAATTTGAAGCTCACTTTTCAATATCTGGTTTAATCAACAAATATTATGCCTTCTTTACAAGAAGTGCTGTTTTTTGTGTTTGGGGGGCATATGAATGAGAATCAACAAGATATTTCCCTCAAGGAAAAATTCATTAAAGAAACAAATCATAAGAATAAAATATATTAATCAATTTATGTAAGCAAGTAAATTTATATAATATATAATATTTACATTATTATAGATGGGCAAATTATATTATTTCTTTAGTAATTTCCACTGTATTATAGTCACTATTTTCTCTTTCTCAGGAATTCACTGGAAGGTGATCCTTCTGGGTTAACATTTCTATTTTTTTTTAACTTTCTGATAAATATATTTGACTTTCTCTTTTAATTAATTTTAAATTCTGGCCTTCATATTTTTAATTTCCTAGAGCTCCATTTGACCAATCAAAATGTTCTAATGACCCCTGATTCCTGTTTTTACTTAATATCAAGGATCTCAAAAACTCATTGTAAGCTCAAAGACTATTAGAATGTCTGTGGTTAAAGTGGAATAGGATAGTTGTCAACTAAAGGGCCTTATTCATGAGTGGTTAAGGGACTAACTGATTCTTTCAATAGGGAATACCTAACGTCAGTATCTATAGGCCTCTTGTAAACACAGAAAATAGAAGAGGCCTGGGGATAACACCATTCAACAGATTTTCATTTTCCCCCTGTTTTTAGTTCAGCATCTCAGCCCCACCTTCCTCTGTGCCTGGTGTCCTTGAGTCTAGGTCTTCTCTGATTCATTTTTTCTAGAATTTATATCTCACGTCTACACTGGAGGTGTGGTTGAGGATGGCTGCCTAACTGGTAAAGCAGGAATGGGGACCTAGAAGGTCTAACTGCCCCTTATTCATTTCTTCAAAGATGTCTCTACTTTATTCAGAGTCACATCTTCCTTTTTGCACACTCAATGCCCCCCATTCCAGGGTGGACAAATGGATTCGATTCTCCTCAGTATCCCCTCAGGCAATCAAGTTTACCCTCCTTGGTTCTGCCAAGAGGTTGGTCATTCCTCCTTCAATTTCCTCCATCTATTTTCTCATATTGTAGTTGAGGGTCACAGAGGGTCTCCATGCTGCATCAAAGATGTATTTGTTTGATGGTTTTCATCTTGTTGTTTGAGGGTGATTTTTGAGAAAAGAAGGAAGTGCAAATGTCATTTACTCAGCCATCGTAAAATTCAGCAAACAAGTTAAACATTGCTTTTCTTAAAGCCCCTCAGCAAATTGTGTTGGTGCGGATTCCAGCTTAGCTGTGTTTTCTCCTAAGATGCTGGCTTCCTGCTGTGGTGTTGACCTCTTTTTCCCCTTAACTCC
The DNA here is from genome assembly GCF_000001405.40 of Homo sapiens. Taxonomy (NCBI): domain Eukaryota; kingdom Metazoa; phylum Chordata; class Mammalia; order Primates; family Hominidae; genus Homo; species Homo sapiens. Next base: position 25,965,612 of record NC_000004.12, read on the forward strand.
TTACAATTCTCTCACCCCTCTACTTCCTCTGCTTCTCTTCATTTTCTCATACAGAAAAGTTCAGACCTCCCTTTGTTCAGCTTCTTTCAGATTTTGTCCAGGGTCCTTTCTTTTCACTCAGATGGTGTATTAGTTTGCTGTGACAAATTGAGACAGCCAGATGGGAAAGAGTCCCCAGAAAAACTCCAACCAGCATGCGCACTGGAAGGAGTGTGCACTGGGGTGGAGCCACAGAAGTTCGCGGGGAGGAGCCTGCCCCCTTCTCTTCCTGGGTGGTACCTGGGATTCAAGTTGCGAGGTGGAAAGCATATACTAGCAGGATTCTTGCTCTGGCTTTGTGGAGGGTGCCTGTTTCCCTTTCTTTTTTTTCTTTTTTTTCTTTTTTTTTTTTGGTGCTTTTCACCCAATAAACTCTGCCCTCCTCACCCTTCAAATTGTCTGTGAGCCAAATTTTTTGTGACCGTGTGACAAGGACCCCCATCTTTAGCTGAACTAAGGAAAGAGTCCTACAACAAAATTACCACAAACTGGGTGGCTTAAAATGACAAAAATGTATTCTCTCAGTCCTGGAAGCTAAAAGGCTGGAATCAAGATGTCAGCAGGGCCATGCTCCCTTGGAAGAATCTAAGGAAACATCCTTCCTTGCCTCTTCCTACCTTCTGGTGACTGCTGGCAATCCTTGTCATTCCTTGGCTTACAATTGCATCACTCCAATTGCTGCTTCTGTGGTCACAAGGCCTTATTCCTGTAGGTGTGTCTGTGTGTCTCCAAATCTTCCTCTTAATCCTTATTAGGATGCGAGTCTTGTTAGATTTAGAGCCCATCCTAATCCAGTATGATCTCATCTTCACTTGATTACATCTGCAAAGACTTTATTTCCAAATAAGGTCACATTCTGACGTTCCAAGAAGATGTATATTTGAGGGACACGCTATTCAACTCACTATTCAACAAATGGTTTATACAATGTTCTGCTGAACAAAGAGTAGTTCTCTCCCTAAAAACTCCTCCTATAGCTCTTAAGATAAATTATATATATTTGCCCCTCACCACAGTAACTCTTTAATCTTAGGCCTATTGGGTTTGTCTCTCCAGTTATTCTTTTTTTTTTTTTTTTTGAGACAGAGTCTCCCTCTGTCACCCAGGCTGGAGTGCAGTGGTGCAATCTCAGCTCACTGCAACCTCTGCCTCCCAGGTTCAAGTGATTCTCCTGCCTCAGCCTCCTGAGTAGCTGGGATTACAGGCACGCGCCACCACGCTTGGCTAATTTTTGTATTTTTAGTAGAGACGGGGTTTCACCATATTGGTCAGGCTGGTCTCGAACTCCTAACCTCATGATCCGCCCACCTCACCCTCTCAAAGTGCTGGGATTACAGGCATTAGCCACCACGCCCGGCCTTTCTCCAGTTATTCTTAAGTGGCATTAGCTGGGTATTGGTGCATGAGAACTCTTTGCATTCCCATAGTGCCTAGTCAGTGCTATGTACATAGCAGGTGCTTAGCAAATATAAGAAAAGAAACTTTTGATATGATGTTTGCTCAGTGCTCTGGTGGGAAAGTATCTCTAAGAACTGATGATTACCTTTCCAGGGATTTTGCTCTTTATAGTTCCCATGGACAACCTTCTGTGGGTCCTCAGTAATCACTGAATACAGTTAACACTCAGCTCAATATGTAAAGCCCTTCACCACCAGTGCGGGGGCCTCCCTAGTCTCACCTCTCTTTTAGCCTTTGCTGTCTCTGTCCGTGCTCCAAGCCACCAGACTCTTTCCTAGCCCAGAGCTTTTGCTTGGCTATACCTCCTGCCTGACTGGGTCTCACTTCCTATATCCCCCAGCCTTCCCTCTTGCTAAACATTTACTCATCCCTCAAGACCTGATCCAAAAGCCACTCCTTCCGTGAAGCCTTCTTGAATTCCCATAAGCTGAATTCATGTGTTCTGCCTTAATGCTCCCCACCATGTCAACACAGCTCCATTTTAACATTTGCCGCATTCTGAGGAAATTCTTAATGTATGTGTCCGCTTCCTTCCAGACTGAGATGTCTCTTAGGTATAGTGTCTAGCATAGTGTAAACTCAATGATGTTTGTCCAATGAAGCCATAATGGTGGAGTTGATGATAAACAGACATAGGAGTTTTCTGGGTCTTCTTAACCCATGCCTGGGAAGCTGTTGTAGAATTTCTTAGCATGGTCATTGGGTATTAGGGGAGGGAATGTTAGGGGTCTATATGAGAATCTAAAATCTGTATTAAGAATCCGTCAATGCCTATAATCCCAGCACTTTGGGAGGCCGAGGCAGGAAGACTGCTTGAGTCCAGGAGTTCAAGACCAGCCTGGGCAACAGAGCAAGACCTCAACTCTATTTAAAAAAAAAAGAATCAATCCAAGGTGACAATCTTTTATGGCTTGTGACCCTAGATAATATAGAACAGTTCTTTCCCTGTGGGAGGCTGGGGAGGGTGTGGAGTCCTAGGGAAGAGGGGTGCCTCTTCCCAGGTTCTTCATCTTAGTTGGGGTCCCTCCACTTGGCTCAAGTCTTGGGGACATACTGTATGAAGCTGAAGAACCAAGAAGCTGTAAAAAAGAAAGTGCTCAGGGGCTAGCACTCTCTCACCATCTCAAATGGACTGTAGGATCCATCTATCTGTGTATGGGTCCTCTCTCTTGATGAGGCAGACATTTCCAGAGCCTCATCTGTATTCCTCAGAGCTTTCCGTGTGCTTCTGATCATTGCAGCTGCCAGTATATCTGCATCTCTGTGTCTAGGGAATTTTTTCCTGGAGCCGTGGAAGGCAGCTCTTTCCACAAGCACAGGGTTTGAATTCCAGGGAATCAAGTGCTATGGGAGCAGTCCTCAACCAGACTCTCAGGAGTTGCTATATAAATATCCTAACTCCCTCACCTCCTGGCTGGGGAGAGTTCTGAGGTATGCATATGACACAGTTTCCCCCTGGGTTAAGCTCCAGTCACTGCCTTCTGTGGCTGGCTCAGTAATGCACCACTTACTGGCTGCCTTCCCTTCCTGGTATCACTTCCCCAAGTCCTCTTCTGCAGTTTCCTGAGACCACTTCCCAAATAAACCACTTGCACGGAAATTGTTGTCTCAGAGTCTGCTCCTGAGGGAACTCAAATGAAGAAACGGGGCCACCCTGGTCTCTTTCACTTTTGTTCTGTGCTCTTCTTGTTACCATTTGACTTATCCTTTCCTCTAATCTCTATATCCTTTTAAAAAATCTCAGCCGGGCGTGGTGGCTCATGCCTGTAATCCCAGCACTTTGGGAGGCCCAGGCGGGTGGATCACCTGAGGTCAGGAGTATCAGCCTGGCCAATACGGTGAAACCCCGTTTCTACTAAAAATACAAAAATTAGCCGGGCATGGTGGCATGTGCCTGTAATCCCAGCTACTCGAGAGGCTGAGGCAAGAGAATTGCTTGAACCGGGGAGGCAGAGCTTGCAGTGAGCTGAGATCCGCCCCTGCACTCCACTGAGATATCTCTTGGGTATAGTGTCTAGCATAGTGTAAACTCAATAATGGTTGTCCAATGAAGCCATAATGGTGGAGTTGATGTTAAACAGGCATAGGAGTTTTCTAGGTCTTCTTAACCCATGCCTGGGAAGCTGTTGTAGAATTTCTTAGCTCTGGGCAACAGAGCAAGATTCCGTCTGGAGGAAAAAAATCTCATATCTCTGCCTTTTTCATGCTTTTTATTTAGTCATTTTAGTAATTATTTCTACTGTTCCATGATGCACACCATCTGTATCTCCTCATGGCTCTCTGCTCCTGCTGTCTCTCCCTACAGCCCTTCATTTACTATTCCCACTGCTAACTGTCTGGCACTTGCCTAATTTCTCAGTTCAAATCCGCCAGGGATGAATTTAATGACCCGGCCATCTTTTTTTGCATAAGGCACAGGCTCCTGGGTGGATTGGCTGCACTCGGGTCAGCTGATCACCCCCTGTCCAATCAGAAGGGAGATGGGGCAGGAGCATAGCGGAAGGTTTAATGGCCGACCCCAAGGAGAAGAGTGGGGAAGCTGTAGCCTGTCTCCTATTCCTTCATATGGACAATTGACATTGTCTTAACTTTATTTTAAATATAACTTCAATTTCTCCTTTGCAATCAGATTGTCTTCTTAAGTCTCTCCAATACTGAAATTTCGAAGCTGCTATGGTTGTGCATAAATTAAGACTTGGCCGCCTAAGGACTGGACCCTCAGTAGAGCTGTGGGCAGGACCTTCCCCGGGAAAAGGAAGTGTCCGTGAGGCCAGTGTATTTGGCAGGTTAATACGCCAAGCATTCTGTGAAAAAAGTCTTTTTTGAATCATTACAAAACCTTGGAAAATACAGAAAAGCACAAAGGAAGAAAATAAAAGCCACAGGAAATCCCAGCACCCCGAGATAATCACTCCTTGAATTTTAGGGCCTTTTCTTGTGTGTGTGTGTGTGTGTGTGCGTGTGCGTGTGTGTGTCTACTTTAGAGGGAAATATTTCTTCCCCATAAAGAGGATTGTCCTACATATGCTGCTTTTTATAACCTGCATTTTTTTTAACCTACCACTGAACATTTTTCCGTGTCATTAAATATGCTTCTACCATCCTCATTTTGGTGTCAGCCTCGTCTTCCGATGCGGGGCTTCCTGCCTGGCTGAGCTGCCTTCTCAACCCTCCCCTCCCCAGGACACTCAGCTGTGAAAGGCGCTGATTTGCACAGGTGGATCTAATGAGCTCATCTCGCTTCCCCCTACACATTTCAGTTGATCCGAGGCCCAGGGCTGCCAAGTGGGGCCCGGGCTGTCTGTGGTAGTGGGAGCTTCCCCAACAGCCGTAGACTCTCCGGGGAAATCACCAGTCAGCTCTCTACAGCTTCCTCATTCCCCACATGCCATCTGCAGCTCAGGACACCGGAAACTCAAATCATCAAAAACCGGAGCTGGAAGCTCCCTTAGGAAGCTGCTCCAGCTCCTCCAGCCCCTCAAAAACCAGGCTGAGAGAGGGGAAGTGGCCCATCCACACTCAGCCAGGGAGTCGGTGGCAACGCCAAGACTCAAGTTGTGTGCCTTTAACCAAGCCCGGTCTCTTCTTGCCACCACCCCAATGCCTGTCAGGAGCTGGGGTTTTCCTTCTCCACCCATCAGCCCTGCAGGGTGAAGTCTCCATGGCATTCCTGAGCCCCAGGATGAGCCTGCCAACTTAATAGCCCTAGCCCAAGGCTTGACCTTGGGGAAGGTAACTGCCCCACCAGCCTCCTCTGGATCAAGTCCCAGTTTCACATCCCGGGACATGGTGCGGTTAGAACAGCTGCCTTTCTGACTCTCTGAGGTGGCTGAGTAAACATTCCCACAACATCAGGTCTTCCTGCCACTGGGGCCTATGTTGGTGAAGTGCGCTGGGCTTTGGAGACTGTCACTAGCCGCTGAGACTCTGCTTCAGACCTCCAGGCTCTCAGTCCATGGAGCAGATTCTGGTGGCTGGAGCAAGACCAGGAGTCTGGGACAGCCCTGCCCTTCCAGTGGGCAGTCACTTGGAGATGCCCTCAGGGCTAGCCTGGAGCCCACGTGAGGAGTCTGGTTACCAGGGGAACCTGAAGGAGACTTTGCCTCCATGGTGATTAAAGGAGTCAGGCCCAGAGTGTGCCTTGGGAAGCAGTTCTTCCAGCTGAGAGCCAGTTCACTCATTGTGAAATGGAAGGAGGATTATCCCAGTGCCCTATCTGCAGTTCTTAGGAGTCTCGGGCTCTGTGCCTGATTGCAAGAACCCTGGGGGCCTGGCAGTCAAGCAGCATGAAAGGAATTCCAAGGCCTCATTTCCCCCTTTTTACTGAGGCAATCTTGGCTGAGCCCCAGCCCCAGGGATGCCCCCATGGCACAGGCAGAGCTCCGGATGACCCCTTTTCTCATCCTGCCAGCCAGTGAAGTGTTTCCAGCTCTGCATCGCGGCAGGCCGCTTGTGCTTTATCTTCCTGGCATCTTTCTTCCATTTGGTGGGACAAGAGTCTTCTCCAAACATAAGTCCCTTAGCGCTTTTTCTGCATCTTAAAGAACACACTGCCTTGTTTCATCTTGAATCTACTTCCTTTCTCCTGCAGATTTTCTTAAGCAGCAAGCAGGACCAAACAATTCCCGGTGGTGGCTGTGTCTGCTAAGAACTAATGCCGTTTTATGTTAGACACTAGAGAAGGAGAGAATGTCATCCTGGAGAGTTGTCCTCATGGAAAAGATGGGGAGCAAACTCTCCTGTTTGATGCATGAGAACAGATTATTCTTATTCCCTTGGTGACTGAGAGCAAAGCCCCATGCCCGCTGATCCTTCACTCAAGCAGCTCTCATCAGGAACCCTCTGCTAACCCTTACACCCCACCTCTAGGCCAAGAAACTGGAAATCTTACTCTATAACTTTTATGAGTTCCCATTCCTTCAAAGACAGTGTCATTCTCACCATTGCAAGCCAGCAAAAAGATTTCCACCATCACCAGGGGAAGGAGAGAGGCAAGCCAGAAGAAGGAGGTGAACCCCTCTGGTGGCCCAGGCCCTGGGTCTGGAGCAGGGCAAACACCTCTGAGCTTGGCTACCAAGCAGAAGCAGCAAGAGTTGGAAGGAAGGGTGGAAACCAGGGGACAAGGAGAAGAAAGGTGGGTGGGAGAAAAGGGAGGGGGTTACCCGAACAATGGAGCCCCAAGATTACCAACCTGCTGCACGGAGTGGAAGAGCTACGAGGAGAACAAAGCTCTGCTGAGGCAGCCCCTGCTTCCTAACCCTGCTCACGCATGAAGGCAAGAAACCAGCGATACCAGTATTCCAGGGAGGGCCAGTTATAGAATTTTTGAGGCCAGTGTAAAATGAGATTGTGGGCCACCTTACTCAAAAATTATTAAGAACTTCAAGATGGAGACTGAAGAGGATTAAAGCAAGAGTGGGCCCTTGAGCACGGGGCCCTGGTCAAGGGCACAGGTCACATGTCCATGAAGCCATCCCAATTCCAGGGCTGGGGCTGGTGATCTGATGGTCTCTGGCCTAATTCAGATGCAGTTTATTGAAATTGAAAACAAATCTTGGGGGGGACATAATAAGATCAAATCGAGGGATGGAAGTTACATCAATAATACCTAGTTATTGAGTACCTGCTGTATGTCAGGCTTTCTTCTAAATGCCTTATATATGTTCCCTAATTCAAACTTTATGACAACTAAATGGGGTAGGTACTACCATCATCATCATTATCTGCCAGCTTAAGACACTGAGGCACTGAAAGGTTGAGTGATAGAACCATTGTGACCATTAGTTACCGGAAAGGCTAAGTAATTTGCTCAAGGACATCAAGCTTCCTAAGTGAAAGAGCTGGGATTTGAATGTAGGGCTAGGGCCCATGCCCCTAATCATTTAACAGTGCTGCAAACTTAGTGGGCAATTTCATCCAAGGGAAGCTTCTTTACAAGGAATCATCTTCCTGCAGCAAAGGAGGTTCTAAGTAGAGGTGTTCAGAGAGCCATGGCTGGCAACATTTGAATATAGGCAGGATCCCCTTTACAAAGGGGAAGCCAGCATTGCTATGGAGTTGGATGAAATGACAACAATCCTCATAAGACCTACCACTTTCTCAGTATTTGTGATAAGTCAGCAACTATGCTAAGCATTTTATAAGCACTTTTAGAGCCCAGAATATTAGTGCCTTGTCCTGTTTTACGGAAAAGGAAACAAGCCCAAAGGCACAAAACTTAGAGCTGTCATTCCCTAGAGTCAAGGAGCCAGGATGCAACCCCAGATCAGTCTTCCTCCAAAGCCCTTGCTTTCAACAGCTGTAAGATACAGGTTGGCTTTTAAAGTCCCTTCCACCCATAAGATGCAATAATTCTGAATGTCCATGGGGAAATGATATTGCGTCTGCCTGTGCGGTTTTATTTTCGCCAGTACTGATATTTTTATTGAGAGGTGGGAGGCTGCCAGGGGCCCGTGGAATCTGTTCCCTGTCTTGTGTCAGTCCTCTGGCACGTAGGACCAAATCCTGGCCAGATCCCACCGATTCTTCCTCGCACTCTACAATCTGAGCTTTGTTTAAGTGATGGTGAATGCCTGTATTTCTGATTTCATCTGTGCTTAACAAGATAACTTCATAAGTGCTGGTGTGATGTCCAGAAAAGTTCGTGAAGTCTCACTTTCTTTGAGCCAGGAAGCTTGTGACAACTTCTGTACCTCACACTGACCTGCAAGATGCCCTCTAGAAGTTTCAGAGTTAAAGCCACAAGCTAAAGGGCTTTAAGCCCAAGCACAGGCTAAGGGCTCTTCCAGTTTCCTGTCTCTGCTTCCAAACTGGCCCGCAGGAATTCTGTCTTATGGTTCTGGAACTGTCAGCACCAGCAGGCCCCTAAGGATATTGGAATCCTAAAGGGCACGTGCCAGGACCCAGACCTCTGCCGCTGTAGACACCCTGCTCTTCAGAAGAGCAATACATGTCACCTGTACTAGTGCCTTAGGGCTGCTGTAACAACAGAAAGTTATTCTTTCGCAGTTCTGGAGGCCAGAAGTCTGAACTCAGGGTGTCTGCAGGGCTGCGCTCCCTCTGAAGGCCCTAGGGTAGAACCTGTTCCATGCCCTCTTCTTAGCTTCTGGAGTTCCCAAGAATCCTGGTGGTTCCTTGTCTTGTGGATATATGGCTCCAATTTCTGCATTTATCATCCCAAGGACTTTTTTCTGTGTCTCTGTTTTTTTCTCCTCTTTTTTTCTTCTTTAAGAGACAGGGTCTCGCTCTGTCACCCAGGTTGCCGTGGTGCCATCATAGCTCACTGCAGCTTTGAACTCTTGGGATCAATTGATCCTCCTGCCTCAGCCCACCAAGTAGCTGGGGCTACAGGTGCATGCCACCATGCCCAGCTAATTTTTAATTTTTTTGGAGATGGAGTCTTGCTGTGTTGCCCAGGCTAGTCTCAAACTCCTGGCCTCAAGCAATCCTCCTGCCTTGGCATCCCAAAGTTCTGGGATTATAGGTGTGAGCCACCACACCTGGTCTCTTCTTCTCATTTTATAAAGACAGCAACCATATTTAATTAGGGCCTATCCTAATCAAATATGACTTCATCTTAACTTGATTACATCTGCAAAGACCCTATATCCGAATAAGTTCATGTAGGGGAGAAACTATAATTTCTCCCCTCCCTTTTATGTTCTTATTTGAGACACTCTGGAAAACAAAAGTCAGATTAACAAAAGAGAAACAAGCAGAAATGTATTAATGCATGCTCTGCCTATCATGCGGAAGAGGCCTCAGTTCAAAAGTATTTCTCTCTCAAGCTAGTGGCGTAGAAGCCTTGCTTAAACAATATTTTAACAAAGAGCCATAAATCCTATCTAGTGACAAGACAAAGGAGAGAGCAGTTTCAGTGTTTGAAAAAGTGGGAAAATGTGGGAAGAGAGTAAAATCTGTTCCTAGATTTTCCTGGTGCCTGCAGGTGCTTTCTCTGGGCTGATAAGCAAGTGATGTGTCTTAAGTAAGGAAGGATTCGTGCCTGTCATCAGGCAAGTAGAGGCCAAGGCAGTGTTCCCCTGCATTTTCAGTGTCTTTAACTTAACAATCCTCACTATTTTGAGAAGAAATATTTTGGTTTCCTGCATTCACAGGGACCTCAAGTTAGCACATCAACATATCTTTTTAGGGAACACAATTCCACCCACACATGGCCCATACCTCAGTGAACACACGTGGTGACTGAGGATGTGCGGTGTGTATATTGCTAGGGACACTTATATAGCATTTCCTGTTTGCCAGCACTGTTCATCATTTAATCCTCACCATGGCCCTACAAGTAGGTTCTGTGAATATCCCCATTCTACAGATGAGGAAACGGAGGGCCAGGGAGGTTAAGCAGCTTGCCCAAAATCACGGTGTACTTCACACTGACCAAGCTACCAAGAGCAGACCTGAGCTTCACACCCAGGGTGGCAGAGCTCTGAAGTCCCAGGTGATTCACCAGGACATTGTGCAGCCTGCGGGGAGGAGAGGGAAAAGGAAGTTGAAGCTCTTATATCATCAAGAGCTTTAGACCCATTGAGACCAAAGCACTCTGCAACAACTGGGCAATTCTACAAAGGGAAGCTGTGGGCTCCATGCTGGATGCCATGGCTTCTGATGGATCATTTCAGGTCATTTATCTGAAGCTGAGTTTCTTCATCCATCAGACAAGACCATGGAAGCTGCCCCACCATTGCGGGAAGTCAGGGACCCCAAACAGAGGGACCGGCTGAAGCCATGGCAGAAGAACATAAATTGTGAAGATTTCATGGACATTTATTAGGTCCCCAAATTAATACTTTTATAATTTCTTACTCCTGTCTTTCCTGCAATCTCTGAACATAAATTGTGAAGATTTCATGGACACTTATCATTTCCCCAATCAATACCCTTGTGATTTCCTATGCCTGTCTTTACTTTAATCTCTTAATCCCGTCATTTTCGTAAGCTGAGGAGGACGTATGTCGCCTCAGGACCCTGTGATGATTGTGTTAACTGCATAAATTGTTTGTAGAGCATGTGTGTTTGAACAATATGAAATCTGGGCACCTTGAAAAAAGAACAGGATAACAGCAATGTTCAGGGAACAAGAGAGATAACCTTAAACTCTGACCGCTGGTGAGCCAGGTGGAACAGAGCCATATTTCTTTTCTTTCAAAAGCAAATGGGAGAAATATTGCTGAATTCTTTTTCTCAGCAAGGAACATCCCTGAGAAACAGAATGCGTCCCTGAGGGTAGGCCTCTAAAATGGCCCCCGTGGGTGCAGCCATCTTCTATGGTCAAAACTGTAGGGATGAAATAAGCCCCAGTCTCCCATAGTGCTCCCAGGCTTATTAGGACGAAGAAATTCCCGCCTAATAAATTTTGGTCAGACCGGTTGTCTGCTCTCAAACCCTGTCTCCTGATAAGATGTTATCAGTGACAATGCGTGCCGAAACTTCATTAGCAATTTTAATTTCGCCCGGTCCTGTGGTCCTGTGATCTCGCCCTGCCTCCATTTGCCTTGTGATATTCTATTACCTTGTGAAGCACATGATCTCTGTGACCTACACCCTATTCGTACACTCCCTGCTCTTTTGAAAATCACTAGTAGAAACTTGCTGGTTTTAAGGCTCAGGGGGCATCACGGAACCTACCGACATGTGATGACTCCCCCGGACGCCCAGCTTTAAAATTTCTCTCTTTTGTACTCTGTCTCTTTATTTCTCAAACTGGCTGACGCTTAGGGAAAACAGAAAAGAACCTACATGAAATCGGGGGCAGGTTCCCTTGATACCCCACCCATCTCAAAGAATAGCCGTAAGGATCAATACCAAGGCTTGTGCTGGCCCTCAGACGCCCTCTATCTGTAAACTGCTCATCCACCTGGCCCCCACCTCCTTCAGGTCTGCCCAAATGCCACCGCGGTAGAGCGTGCTTCCCTGGCTGCTGTATCTACACTAGTGTCACTCACTGTACCATCTCTTTTATGTCCTTCCCTGAAATTCTGACTACCTGACACCTTAGATTTATTTGTTTATAGTCTACCTTAACCCCTTTAGAAGGTAAATTCCAAGGGAGCAAGAGCTTTGTCTGTTTTCTTTCTGTTGCACTCCCAGTGCCTCCCCCAGCGCCTGCCATGTAGCAGGCTCTTGGCAGTACTTCTTGACTGAATAAGTGAGTAGCTTCATGTGAAGTGGTGGTACCTTCTCCATTACATGACTGGAGTGGAGGAGGAACAGCTCTTCTGCTAGAATGGAAGTTCCACGAGAACAGGAAACAGGAGAGTACTCAAGATACGTATCTGTTACATGAATGGAAGAGGAAAGGGTTGATGGGGAGACAGAAACCACGCTGTCCCCTCCTCTGGCGCCCAAGAAGTCCAGGAAAGTTGCGGTTGGACCTGAGCTGGGGGACTTCAGAAGACTGGGCGAAGGAAGAGGAGCCCTGTAGCCCACAAGGATGGGCTGTGAGCAGGCGACGTGAGGGGTGGTGGGGAGGAGGCAATGGCAAGACTCAGTGGAACGTCAGGACTTAAACAAGGCTGGCATCATGGGAGAGAAGTGGACTGGTGGCCTCTGACTATGAATTATTTAGACGCTGGGTGAAATGAATCATATTTTCTTCCCAGCCATATGCCTCAGAGACTTCACTGATAAAGAATTTTAAAGTATGGAATGATGAGAGCTATTGAGTTTAACCTGTCCTCCCCCAGCTCCCCTCCCTGCGCCTCCCCACCTCCTATCACCAATGATCTCAGGCTCCACTCAGGCCGGGGCTAGTCTATAATAACTACTCAAGCAATTAAACCACATCCAATTTGATAAGTCTGAATATTTCAGAGGATCCTGTTACCTCCATCTTTGGGCCTGGAGGCCTACATTTTCTCATTAAACCTAACTGGCTTGTAAGAGGAGCCGACATCTGGGTGATAAAGCAGGCAGGGCCTCTACCTGCTCCTGTCTCTCTCTGATTGTTGGTTGCTAAACAGCTTCAGCCTGTCTCCCTGGGGGTGCTGGGGTTTCAGGGACCGGGAGGAAGCTCCCTCCCCTCCAACACCACTCCTGCTGCTGAGAATCTCCTTTAACACTGGCCAACACCTTTCATTCCAGCTCAGAACGACAAGGCTGAAAATTCAAAATGCCCCAGGAGAAGCAAAGTACTGGTTTAAATGAATACTAAAATGCAAGTGACTGAGCGCAGACCTTTTGTCCCTGGAAGGCAGATTTTAAAAAGCAAGGAGAGGAAAGGTGGTGTGGGGAAAGAGAATGGATTTTTTACCATCTCAGTCCTTCCACTCACTACCCTGGGACTTAGAGCAAGTTAATTAACCTCTCATCTGTAAAAACATGAGAAAGCTGCAGTGGCCAGAGGAGCTGCGTGCAGCTTCCAGGCTATGCCAAACCCCACCCTCTCTCTGTGCCATTTCTCAGCGATTTCCTCACCTACCTCCTCATCTTTCCACTTCCCTGGACGTCTTCCCAGGGTTGGATGGCCATCATCGAGTTCACATAGTAAGGTCAGTTACAGTTGACCTTCAAACAACATGCGTTTTAACTGCACAGGGCCACTTATACACGGATTTTTTCTTTCAACCAAACGCAGATCAAAAATACAGTATTCTGGCCAGGCGCGATAGCTCACTCCTGTAATCCCCACACTTTGAGACGCCAAGGCGGGTGGATCACCTGAGGTTAGGAGTTTGAGACCAGCCTGGCCAACAAGGCAAAACCCCGTCTCTACCAAAAATACAAAAATTAGCCGGACGTGGTTGTGCGCAACTGTAGTCCCAGCTACTCGAGAGGCTGAGGCAGGAGAATCACTTGAACCCAGGGGTTAGAGGTTGCAGTGAGCCGAGATCGCGCCACTGCACTCCAGCCTGGGCGACAGAGCGAGACTCCGTCTCAAAAAAAAAAGACAATAATTTTTTTTTTTTTTTTTTTTTTTTGAGACGGAGTCTCGCTCTGTCGCCCAGGCTGGAGTGCAGTGGCGCGATCTCAGCTGACTGCAAGCTCCGCCTCCCGGGTTCATGCCATTCTCCTTCCTCAGCCTCCCGAGTAGCTGGGACTACAGGCGCCCGCCACCACACCTGGCTAACTTTTTTTTTTGTATTTTAGTAGAGACGGGGTTTCACCATGTTAGCCAGGATGGTCTCGATCTCCTGACCTCGTGATCCACCTGCCTCGGCCTCCCAAAGTGCTGGGATTACAGGTGTGAGCCACTGCACCCAGCCAAAAGACAATAATTTAAAAAAATATTAAATAATTTAAAAAATAATAATTTTTAAAATAATTTTTAAAAAGAAGAAAAAGAAAGAAAATACAGTATCCTCTGGATTGGAAACCCGCAGATGCGGAGGGCCAACTTTTCATGTATACGTGGATTCCGCAGGGGCCACGATGTGACTTTGTTATGCACAAATTTCAGCATATGGGGGTACGGGAACAATCATTCCTTTATACCAAGGGGTAACTGTATTTACTTGTGAAGTCACTCTCCCTTTTTCCTGCCGCATCCACCCCTGCCCACACACACATACCCCAGACAGACAGTGACAACCTAAGCGTACGAACCCTTCCTTATTCTCCTGCAGGTCGCCATTAAGAAATCAGCAAATGCCTCTTCAACAATTGAGAATTACTTCTGTTAAGGAAACATTTTCAAACTTGGAAATAGAGCAAGAAAAAAGACTACATGCTTTTAAAACACTTTACTTTTAATTGACAAATCATAATTGTGTATATTTATGAGCTTTTCATGTGTTGTTTGTTTGTTTGTTTTAAGGCAGAGTCTTACTATGTTGCCCAGGCTGGACTCAAATTCCTGGGCTCAAGTGATCCTCTAGCCTCAGCCTCCAGTGTAGCTGAGACCACAGGCATGTGGCACCATGCTGGGCTTTTATGCCATGTTTGGGTGCAGTCTTCTGCATTGCCCTTTCAGTGTCATGCTGACACATCCAGTTTCACCAAGGATCACTTAATTCTCTAGGAGAACTTATCTACATTTGACTTTGCTATTTACTATTAAATACTGAATATCACATGTAATTATCACACAGACTTTCATTCTGCAGAGATGGAAATAATTTCTTCCTGGTAGAAAAGATAAGCTATGGCTTTATTGCCATGTAGACCATTAACCATTTTTGTACCTAACTACCAATCTTATTCGAACAGCCTCTGTCTTTTTTTTCTCTTACCTATCAATATCTCAAATATTATTGAAATCGGCTTTGCCGTCTTGAGTAATAAGACTTTGATATGTGTTCGTTCTATATTTTATAAAAGACATGTTTTTAGCTTTGTGAAAATATTTTGATCTCCCGCAGGAACTTAGGGAGTCCTAAATAATAGCAGCCCCACTTGTTGTGTTTTCATTTTTTAAAAAAATTTTTCTAGAGATGTGGTTTCACTCTGTTACCCAGGCTGGAGTGCAGTCATAGCTCACTGCAGCCTCAAACAGCTGGGTTCAAGTGATCCTCCTGCCTTAGCCTCTGAAGCAACTAAGACTACAGTCACATACTACTATGCCTGGCTAATTAAAAATAAAACTTTAGAAACAGTGTCACACTATGCTGCCCAGGCTGGTCTCAAACTCCTGGCCTCAATTGATCCTCCTGCCCCAGCCTCCCAAGTAGCTGGGATTACAGGCACAAGCCACAAGCCACCATGCCTGGCTATGTTTTTGTAAAAGCTAAGCCTTGTGCTAAACACTTTATATCCATTAGCTCATCTAATCCTCATCACAAACTTATAAAGCAGATCTTTATTTTATCAATGAGGAAACTAAGGCTCAGAGACACTAAGTAACTTGGCAAAGCTAGAGACACAAACTGCATACCAGGAACTTTATCTACTCTCTTTAATCCTCATAACAATTCTATGACACAGGTATCATGATCCCCATTTTCTTTATTAGAAAACTGAAGTTTAGTTACTTGATATCACCATTCGTAAATGAATTAAATTAGGATTAGAGACTCTACACTTACTGACTCCTCTACATTTTTTCTTCATTGACTGGGTGACTTAGCTAATGGGGAAGTTTATGATGCCCAGCACATTACAGAAAATGTTCATTTCTCTTCCGTTGGAAAGTTTGGTGGTGAGGAGATGTGGTTCAAATTGTTAGATAGCCCCATGAAAATGTTTCAATTTTCCCTTTCTTCCATAAAAATAGATCCCACAATTTTTAACTGGGCCCTGACCATCCCAAATAAGGATTACGTTTCCCAGCTTGCTTTGCATCTGTGTGGCCAAAATGATTAACTTTATTAACTTTTGGCCAATAGGAAGTAGGCAAAACTGTCATAAGGCTCTTTCAGGGACCTTCCTTAAAAGTTGGTTGATAAGCACCTTCTTCTCTATGCCTTTCTCCCCCACCCACCTATTAGGAACATGAATGTGAGGTCTGGTGCTCTAGCTGTGTCCCTGTCCCCCACAAGGACAATACTGGATCTGGGGAAGGTAGAAGTCTGAACTGGAAGGAGGCTGGGTTCCTGAGGGCTTAGTCAAGCACCCCACCAACCCCAGAATGCTGACTTCTGGGACTTCATATGAGGAAGAAATAAGCTGCAGTCTTGTTTAAGCCACTATTTTTTTTTTTTTTTAGGATCTCTGTTGCTTGCAACCCAAAGTATCCCAACTGATACAGCACAAAGAAAGTAGAGAAGAAGCCTCAGAGGCAAAATTGGCCTTCTGCAAAGAAGTGCCCAGGAGTGGTCTTGACACTAAGAACCAGCCAGAATTGCCCTGGAGAGCCCAGCAGAAGGAGCTGTCAGGAAGACAGATATTGAATGAGTTCTGACAGCCACGACTCACCCTGACTTGCGTCACTGCACCCTCTGCCAGGCCTGCTATTTTTGTGGCATTATCAGGAGCCACCTGTGATGACATTACAGCTCCATGCCAGTACCCACTGTCCATCCTCTTCTGAGTGGAAAGAAATGGCACATCACCAAAACTATCACGAGGCAATCTTATAAGCACTGGCCTCTCTTCTTGTGAGCATGAGGAAGAAATACCTTCTGTTCTGCTTCTCTGAGATTTGCCCATTGGCCCTGCAAGAACAAAATATGTTGGTCTCTTCAACAGTGATCCACAAGGCAGGGCACAGAGCCTTTGAACTTGCTAGAAATCTAACATTTTGCATTCTCCCAGGCTGCTGGAGGAAGAGTAGGATTTGACTCCCCTGAAGATTTGGGCCGGACTTGGGAGAGCTGAGGAAATGGCAGTATTTGGCCAGGAGTTTTGAGACTTCTCCCATGAAGATCCCAACAGAGGTGTCCTCTGCTGGGTCTGCATCTGCCTCTGCTGCTGGGTGCCCACTCCTGGCATCTGGCTGCCTTTGTCAATGTCCTGGCTTCGTTATATACTTTGCTATGTGATTTTGGACACAATGTTCCTCACCTGCAAGATGGAATTTATGACAGTTTCTGTTTCAAAAGGCTGTTACAAAGACTAAATGAGATATTTCAAGTGAAGCTTTCAGATACCTGGCACATAGTAAGTGCTCAATAAATATTGCCTGTTATTGTTATGGAGTAATAATAATACAACAGAGTTCCTTATGTGTGCTAGACATTGTACTAAGTACTTTACATATATAAACTTAAAAAAATTTTTTCGAGACAGTCTCACTCGGTTGCCCAGGCTGGAGTGCAGTGGCATGATCTCAGCTCACTGAAACCTCCACCTCCTGGGTTCAAATGGTTCTCCTGCCTCAGCCTGCCGAGTAGTTGGGATTATAGGTGTGGCCACCATGCCTGGCTAATTTTTGTAGTTTTATTAGAGACAGGGTTTCACCATGTTGGCCAGGCTGGTCTCAAACCCCTGACCTCAAGTGATCCGCTCTCCTCGGCCTCTCAAAGTGCTGGGATTGCAGGTGTGAGCCACTGCGCATGGCCTATATAAACTCTTTTCGTCCTGAAAATGACTCCATGAGGACTACTATTATTACCACCACAACCCCCATTTTATAGATAAGAAAACGGCAGCATAGCTGGGACATATCTTAGTCCATTTTCTTCTGCTATGACAGAATACCACAGAGTGAGTAATTTCTTGAAAAAAAGGTTTATTTGGCTCATGATTCTGGACGCTGAGAAGTCTAAGGTCGAGGAGCCTGTATCTGGCGAGGGCCACCCCATGGTGGAAGGTGAAACGTGAAACAGGAAAATGGAAGCTAGCACACCCCATGCTGGAAAAGGAGCAGGAAGGAGGAGATCCTGCCTCCTTACATGACTGCAAGCCTTTTGATTCCCAGCACACCTGGCTTCTTCTCTGCTCAGGCCTTTTAAATGCTGCTGCTTCTGCCTAACTTTTTTCTCTCCCTGACCTGCCTCCACTGTCTCCTGGACACCTTCTCAGCCCTGGCCTGACCCTCTGTTTCTCTCGCACACAGCTCCTGCTCTATTTGCTCTATTTTCACTCCGGGTTCCTATGGTAGGGGATTCTTTACTCCATGGTCCCTTGTCCTCTGTCCTTCTGCAAGTTAGACTGTAAGCTTCAGGAAGGCAGCGGAAATGCTGGCTTTACTCCTTGCTGTGTTAACACCCAGCACGCAGGCAATGCTGGGGCACAGTGGACATGTAGTAATTTTTTTTTTTTTTTTGAGACGGAGTTTTGCTCTCTCTGTCGCCCAGGCTGGAGTGCAGTGGCACAATCTCGGCTCACTGCAGCCTCTGCCTCACAGGTTCAAGCGATCCTCCTGCCTCAGCCTCCCAATTAGCTGGGATTATAGGCACACACCACCACACTCCGCTAATTTTGTGTTTTTAGTAGAGACAGGGTTTTGCCATGTTGGCCAGGCTGGGTCTCAAACTCCTGATCTCAGGTGATCCATCTGCCTCGGCTTCCCAAAGTGCTAGGGTTACAGGCATGAGCCGTAGTACCTGGCCTGCAGTAAATATTGAATGTGTCATTGGGTCTGAATAGAACTAAGAACAGGGATTTCCCTTCTGAGGCAGCATGTCTCTGCTGATCCCTGCAAGAATCAGGCCCTCACTTGTGATGAGAGGCTGCTATGTGTTAGGCACTCGCTGTATACCTGGCCTATTCCAAGCACCTCACATGCATCTTCTCATTTAACACTCACAACCGCCTAGTGGGGTGTGTGGTCCACTGAGGCTGCTATCACAAAGGACCACAGCCTGGCTGGCTTCCACAACAGAAATCTATTTTCTCACAGTTCTAGAAGTCCAACCTGAAGGTGTCAACACGGTGGGTTTCTCCTGAGGCCTCTCTCCTTGGCATGTAGATGACCCTCTTCTCCCTGTGCCCTCACACGGTCTTCCCAATCTGTCGGCGTCCTAATGTCCTCTTCCTATAAAGACAACAGTCATACTGGATTAGGGCCCACCCTAATGACCTCTTTTAACTTCCTCTCTTTAAATACAGTCACACTGTGATGTACTGGGAGTTAGGACTTCAACATACGAATTGGGGGTGGGGGCGGGAGATAGAATTCAGCCTATAATAGGGTGGTAGCTATTATTGCCCCATTTCAGCTGAGGAAACTGAGGCACAGAGAGACTGGATAACTTACCTAAAGCCACAGCTAACAGAGGGTAGAGCCAGGATATGAGCCAGAATAGCCTGACTCCGAGGCCGAGGTGGGCGGATCACTTGAGGCCAGGAGTTCGAGACCAGCCTGGCCAACATGGTGAAACCCCATCTCTACTAAAAATACGAAAATTAACCAGGTGTGGTGGTGTGTCCCTTAATTCCAGCTACTCAGGGGGCTGAGGCATGAGAATCGCTTGAACTTGGGAGGTGAGGAGATGGCACCACTGCACTCCAGCCTGGGCAACAGAGCAAGACTCTGTCTAAAAAAAAGCCTGACTCCATAGCCGGAGCACAGAACCACTGCCTGGACCCCACGGCAGCCTGCAGAGGAAGATCTCAGACCAGCCGAGGAATTCAAGTCTCAGAGGTCACACCTCTTGCCCAAGGACATTGGTGGGACAGATGGCAGAGCAAGAACTCCAAACCAAGTGTTCTGGCTCCCAGCCCAACCCCAGCCCAACCTCCTTCCATCGAAAAGGGAACAGCAAAAGCTTCCAGGAAGGTAGGAAAGGGTTTGAGAATAGGAAGCAATTTGACTTTCCCATGACATTACTGGGAGATTAATGAAAAAATGGTTCCCTCTAAGAGCCTCTGAGACATGCCTTATAGGCAGGGCACCTGTGGTTCAGAACAGCCCCAGACAAAGCTGGAGAAGAAAGCAGCAAGCTCACCACCCCACCCCCCCAAGATTCCCACTCTCCCCTGAATTCCCCTCTCTGTATCCTGCAGCCCCTTTCCCTTGCAACAACAAAACAGCCATAATAATACTCACACTTACCAAATGTCTACTGTGCTAGGCCCTATTCTAAGTGCTTTTTTTTTTTTTTTTTTGACAGAGTGTTGCTCTGTCACCCAGGCTGGAGTGCAATGATGTGATCTCGGCTCACCACAACTTCTGCCTGCTGGTTTCAAGTGATTCTCCTGCGTCAGCCTTCTGAGTAGCTGGGATTACAGGTGCCTGCCACCATGCCTGGCTAATTTTTGTATTTTTAGTAGAGATGGGGTTTCACCATGTTGGCCAGGCTGGTCTTGAACTCCTGGCCTCAAGTGATCCGCCTGCCTCGGCCTCCCAAAGTGCTGGGATTGCAGGCATGAGCCACCATGCCTGGCCCTAAGTGCTTTTATATACTAATTTATTTAATCCTCTCAACAACCTGTGGGCAGAGCATGGCATTATGACCCTTTCTATTTTATATATAAAGAAGTGAATGCACAGAAGTTTGCCAGAGGTCACCTGGGAAATACTTGCTGCAGGCTGAATTTGAACCTAGGCAGTCTGGCTTGCAACCAACCCCTCATCCATTCTTCACACTGTGGAGTGGACGGCTGGTAGGGAGTTCATGGGTTAGCTCTCCATAGCTACCCCTTCACTTGTTCATTTGCTCATCCACCCAAGGAGAATTTAACACACCTATTTTGCTGACTCTGCCCCAGCCCCACACGGGATTCCCCTGTCTAATGCCTCCAGTCTTGCAGGGCAGGGAGACACTTAGAAATGACAGGGACCCTATATAATAGGATTGTGTCCAAGAGGCTCTGAGGCAAAGAACAGGGGGATTCACAGCGTAAGACAGTCAAGATCGGCTGGATAAAGGCAGTGGTGGATATGCAAGGTCTTGAAGGGCAGGTAGGTGTTTCCCAGGCAGATAAAGGGATGTTGCCTTTGGAAAATAAGAGAGAGCTATGGTGGGTATATATGGAGATGCGAGTGGGGTGAGGCAGGAGGAGAGCACAGAGGAGAAGCTAGCTGGGTGCTGTGCTGAGGAGGTGTTTCATCCTAGAGGCTATGGCATTTTAAAGCCCCTTTGGGGCTGGAAACAGCATGGTCTTCAAACTCCATAGTAGCTTCCCATCATACATAGTCTAAAACCCAAAGTCCCCACTGTGGCCTAGAAGGCTGTACATGATGTGGCCTCCCAGCCCAGGATCTCATCTTTGCTCTCATCTCCCCCCAACTATTCCTATCTTCCTGCTCTTCCTCAAACAAGCCAAGCCTATGACCTAGACATTGAACTTGCTGCTCCCTCTGCCTGGAACTCTCTTTAGCAGAGTTTGGCTTAATCGGCTAATTACATTCAGCAGAGCTTTAGCATGGCTCTCAATAAATGCTTACTTGTTAAATGAATGAATGAGGTCTATTTTATGATATTTCAATTCATTGAAAGTAAGTATACAGACAGCTCTCAGCCATCTAACTGGGCTGAATAATGAACCAGGACACACTGTCGCCCTTCGGGCTGGCCTGATGGCCCTGTTAGGTCTGGACTGTCACTGGGTTGCTAGCAAATCCTCCTGAGCGGGTGTGGGCTGCAGTCAAAGCGAGGCTGCTTAGCAATTTGGCTCCTCAGCCTGTGGCTGCAGCTAACAACACTGCTGCCACAAACACGTCTCAGTAGCAGAAAAGAAGCCGTGAAATTGCCTGAATTGAGGAGCTGACGGGAAAGTAAAAGGGGCCTGTCAAAATCCAAGTAAACTAAAAGGCAATTCCTCCTTGCCACTGATGCACTTTTGACACTTGGAAAAGGGGAGAGAAAAGTCTCTTCCACTTCGCATCCAACCTATACCCTCCTTTCCTCTGTCGTCTCCCTGCACTCATAACAGAGAGGGACGGAGAGTCCTACAAGCTGTTGGGTGACCGTGGCCCTAGGGCGAAATGAAATCGCTGGCCGCATTATTAGGGAAACATGGTCTTGACAATTCTGGATGATCAAAATAGCAATAAAGTCTTTGATGGGAAAGACAAAAAGCACCCTACTTCTCTCCCGGGTAGCAGAGTGTCCAAATAAATTGTTTCGATAATTAGCAATTCATTCATGTTCATCCGTACTCAGTACTCGCCTCTTGTCTTTGTTCTTGGTTATTTCAGAACAAAACAAAAAAAAACTAAGGTGGGCTCCCAAATTTTGCCCCCTAACTCAGTGCTCAAGTTTATTTCTCATGTTATTAGTCTTTCCTGTGAATGATAACATCAGCTGATTATAAATAAATCAAGGTCCTTTTCTAGCAGTTACTGCTAAAAGTTAATGTCTCAGGCAGGATAGGGCCTATTTCAATATGCCTTAAACATGGGATGGAGCAGCTAAGCCATTTGCGCTCAGAATGCTGGTGAAGAAATTAGGGCTTAATGAATCCTGAAACAACCAGCCTCTCCTCTCCTATATGGAGAAAAGAAAACATGGCTCGCAATTTTAAATGTGAACCAACAACTTGTTTAGAAATTGTTATTTAGAGATAGTGGCAGTGGGGGACTCTGGAAAGCAGATGTCTTCACACCTCATGAGAGACATTGTTTTCTTAGGAAAGGCTGAGGTCGCCCCTCAGAGATTCTGATGATGAAATTTGGAGCCCACGTTTCCTACAATTCTGTGCATGCGGATGGCGGGTTTTAAATGCCCAGAATGTCCAATTTGCTAGGGGCCTCTTGGGGGTTAGGTAATTGCCTGGCAGCTTCTGCGGGTTCTACTGGCAATGGGCTCAGTAGAGTTACTCCTTGAAGATTTCAAGGCAAAGTGACTTCCCAATATTTGCAAATTGGCAAGCTATGAAGGTTTTGAAAAAAGCAGATGGAGGTTGGAGAGCTCGGAGCAGGCGCCGGAAATCTCAACTCAGAGAATGCGCGGGAGCCAGTTCTCCATCGGAGCGCTAGATGGCGCCAGCAGCCTGTCCGGGCTGAACCGCCTTCACCCTCCTCGTTCTCAGGGCGAGGCTGGCCCATAAAGAAGTGACTGTGGAACAACAACAACAAAACACCCAGAAAAGGCTTCCCGTTGCTTCAGGAGCACCGAGGGTGAATGTGGAAGGTGATTGGTGACACGTCTAGCTCTGGACGGCAGCACGTGGGCTGGCCGACAGGTTAGGAACCACTGCTGTGTGCTGTGTTGCATTGCTCTCCAATTGTCAGTACCGGGACTTTCTGATGACGGAGTCTCACTCTGTCACCCAGGCTGGAGTGCAGTGGTGTGATCTCTGCTCACTGTGCCCTCCGCCTCCCGGGTTCAAGTGACTCTTCTGCCTCAGCCTCCCGAGTAGCTGGGATTACAGGCTTGCGCCACCACGCCTGGCTGATTTTTGTATTTTTAGTAGAGACGGGATCTCACCATGTAGGCCAGGCTGGTCTTGAACTCCTGACCTCAGGTGATCCCCTGGCCTCGGCCTCCCGATTAGCTGGGATTACAGTCGTCAGCCACTGTGCCCAGCTTCTGATTGTCTTTTTACTCTTTTCTATCCCTGTTCTCTACTCCAAAGGCAGCTGCTTTAATGTGATTCATGCATATCCTTGAATTCATATTATCCATAGAAAAAAATCTGTGATCTCGAGCACGCATGCATGCATGTGCGTGCGCGCGCACACACACACACACACACACATTCAAAGAGTTTGAGTAAGAATGTACTTTTTAAAAAAAGCACCTAATCCACATTAACATTGCAAATTAGAAATCCAAAATCTAGGCTGGGTATGGTAGCTCATGTCTGGAATCCCAGCATTTTGAGAGGCTGAGGCGGGAGGATTGCTTGAGGCCAAGAGTTTGAGACCAGCCTGGGGAACATAGCGAGACGCCATCTGTACAAAACAAATCAAAACAGATGTGGTGGCGTGCACCTGTAGTCCCAGCTACTCGGGAGACTGAGGTGGGATGATCCCTTGAGTTCAGGGCTGCAGTGAGCAATGATCATATACCAGTGTACTCCCACCTGGCAACACAGCAAGACCCAATCTCTCTAAAGTTAAAAAAAAAAGTTTTCATAAAAAAAGAAAAGCATGCAAAGTCTAAGAAGGACAGACAAAGAGCTCGAGGTTTCACATTGGGT
Source organism: Homo sapiens (assembly GCF_000001405.40). NCBI lineage: Eukaryota > Metazoa > Chordata > Mammalia > Primates > Hominidae > Homo > Homo sapiens. Next base: position 25,989,471 of record NC_000004.12, read on the forward strand.
TGGGACAGCACTTGGCCTCCATCCCAGGCATCTTGATTCACAGGTCAGTACTTCTTCCACCAGAGCACGCATAGATTTTTAATTCACACAAATGAGTTATTAGTCTGGATCTAGCAAGAAAATTAGAAACCACTCTAGGTCTTTCAAACAGAGAAAATTTAATATAGGGAATTGGTTACCCAAGTTGATAGGCAAACTGAGAAGACAAACAGGTGACCCAGAGATTATCAACCTCAGGAAGCCACCATGACCCCTAGGGCTGGAGCAGCAATAGGAAGGATGATGCTACTGCTTTATGGCTGGGACTCCAATGTAGGGACCGCTGGCAGGATCTGAAACAGTCGAGGAGGGGCCATCTGACAGAAGGCAGAGCCAAGGAAGAGAAACAGGGTTGTGGGAGCTACCGGAGGAAAGACATAGAGAAACACCCTGGCTCTCCCTTCTTCCCCTCTCTAATCTTCTACCAGTTTCCCATTCCCTAAACCAACCCACAAGCCAGAGCCATGAGAGCTGGCAATTGTAGTTCCCTAGGATATAAGGAAGAGCAGAGGAAAGGCAGAGATGGATTGAGAACAAACTGGCAGTTTGGCATAGGCAGAATGGTGATGTGCTGAAGGTCCTGCTGTTATAAATGTTCATGTGTGAGGCCAGGCGTGGTGGCTCACACCTGTAATCCCAGCACTTTGGGAGGCCGAGGCGGGCGGATCACCTGAGATTGGGAGTTCCAGATCAGCCTGACCAACATGGAGAAACCAACATGGAGAAACCCCATCTCTACTAAAAATATAAAATTAGCGGGGCGTGGTGGCAGGTGCCTGTAATCCCAGCTACTCCGGAGGCTGAGGCAGGAGAATCGTTTGAACCCGGGAGGCGGAGTTCGCAGTGAGACGAGATCGCACCATTGCACTCCAGCCTGAGCAACAAGAGAACAAGAGTGAATCTCTGTCTCAAAATTAAATAAATAAATAAATAAATAAATGCCCGTGTGTGTGTGTGTGTGTGTGTGTGTATGCATGTGTATGCATTTAATACGGAATTGAGGTGAAGCATGTAGGCTGCCTGGTTGAAATCTCAGCTCCTCTGCTATGTAAGATGATAAGCAGTTTACTGAACTTTTCCATGCTTCTCTTTGCACATTGGAGATAATGATGCTGTGTACCTCATGGGATTTGGTGAGAACTGAATGAGTTACACTGTGTCAAGTACTTGGAATGGGGCTGGGTACAAAGTAGTATTCGATGTCCTCTATTATGTTTTTTAAGATCTGCCCATGTTACTGTGTATGTGCATCCAGTTTGAGGCTCGTAATTGCTGCACAGAGCCCCATAATGTGTGAGCACCACATTTTATTTATCCAAGGAAGCACGAGGCAAGTCACTGATCCTCTGTCCACTTTCATTTGGGATGACCGGAGTGGTAGATATTGAATTCAGGCAACAACATATTTCGGAAACAAAATTAGATGGTGCGTGTAACTGGTGCATGAGTTTACTGAAATCCAAGATGGTGCTTTTGCTTCACTTGACTTGCTTCATTTTTGACTTTTCATAAATGAAGATAACTTGGCTTTTTTCTTCTGAGTACAGTTCCATAAGGGTAAGTGCATGTCTCATAATAGTTTTACTAATGGATCACCTGCCCTGATCCTCACAGCTGCTTTGTGAGTTAGGTATTGTTATCAGCTGAGAGAAGTGAGGCTTGGAGGAGTTAAAAAAAACCCTCCCAGTCGCTGAGCCAGGACTGAACCCAAGCCTGTGGCTGGTCACTCTGCCATACCGCCTCCTTAAGGCAGTCACAGAGAGCCTGGCCCATGGAGTGGGAATTCATCTTTCACTATTACCAGGACTGGGGATTGAGTCCATGGGCCTGAAATTTGGGTGAGAAGGGGCAGAATCTGTTAGCAGACAGCCAAAGAGCCACAGGCAGGACCTGAGATGGGGTCAGAGCCCAGAGTGTGAGAGAAGTGACTCTAGGTCTGGAATTACCCAGGGGGATACTGGGAATCCTTGCCTAAAGGCGGAGTTGGCTGGCGGGAGAGGCAGGCTCAAAGGGCCAAGATCTTGGTGGCAGAACACAGAGTTGGCAGCTTTATATGATTTCAGTGACGGATTACTGTAATGCCCCATTGTGTCATTGTAACTGATGGCATTTTGTAATTGAAAGCTCAGCCAGTGTAGAGTGTGGTTCATTTGGACAATTGCTGTGCACTTTTAAGGATGGATGTGGACCATTTATCTATGCCTTGTTGTCTCAGCAGGACTAGAATCAATGCTAATGAGACCAGACTCATTTTTCTAAAGCACCATTTCTATCATGTTGCTCCTGGGTGAAAAACCTGCGATGACAGCCCATTACCTTCAGGGAAAGGCCAGTGCCACGTCTGGAATGGCTTTGGTGACTTCCACACTGGCCCCAGGCTGCCTTTCCTGCTTGGCCTCCCTCTGCCTCCCAGATGCACCCTATACCACCAGGCTGATCTACATACGGCCCCCTGAACCCTCAAACCTTCAACATGCTTTGCACCCTCCCAATTTCATATCTTTGCCCGTGTCATCCCTCCTGTCTAGATCACCCTCCTCCACAGCTGTGTGAGCACATCAGCCTGCTCAGTGCAGGGGAATGCTCTCCAAAGTCTTTTCTACTATCCCACTAAGAAAGCAAATAAAAGTATGCACATTTAAGTATGTCCTATCAGGCACATACAAATAAGTACATTTGTTCTTTTTTTTTTTTGAGACTGAGTCTCACTCTGTTCCCCAGGCTGGAGTGCAGTGGTGCAGTCTCAGCTCACTGCAATCTCTGCCTCCCAGGTTCAAGTGATTCTCCTGCCTCAGCCTCTGGATAGCTGGGATTACAAGTGTGTGCCACCATGCCTAGCTAATTTTTGTATTTTTAATAGAGACATAGTTTCACCATGTTGCCCAGGCTGGTTTTGAACTCCTGACCTCAGGTGATCCACTGGCCTCGGCCTCCCAAAGTGCTGGGATTATAGGCAAGAGCCACTGCGCTCAGTCTGCCCAGGCTGATCTTAAACTTCTGGCCTCAAGTGATCCGCCTGCCTCGGCCTCCCAAAGTGCTGAGATTACAGGAATGAGCCCCTGTGCCCGGACCATTCATTCATTTAATTTTATTGTATGTCGGGTGCTGCTAAGTTACAACAATTAGGATTTGGGTTGCAAACAGAAAATAACCTAACAATACAGCATGTAATACTTTTCTGTGGCTGTCTTGACAAGGTACCACAAACTTGGTGACTTAAAACAACAGAAATTTATTCCCTCACACTTCCAGAGGCCAGAAGTTTGAAATGAAGGCGTCAGCAGGGTTGGTTCCTTCTGGAGGCTCTGAGGGAGAATTGCTTCATGCCCATCTCCTAGATTTTGGAGGCTGCTGGCAATTATTGGAATTCCTTTTTTTTTTTTTGAGACAGAGTTTCGCTCTTGTTACCCAGGCTGGAGGGCAATGGCGGGATCTCAGCTCACCACAACCTCTACCTCCCAGGTTCAAACAATTCTCCTGACTCAGCCTCCTGAGTAGCTGGGATTACAGGCATGCGCCACCACATGTGGCTAATTTTGTATTTTTAGTAGAGATGGGGTTTCTCCATGTTGGTCAGGCTGGTCTCAAACTCCTGACCTCAGGTGATGCGCCTACCTCAGCCTCCCAAAGTGCTGGGATTACAGGCATGAGCCACCGTGCCTGGCCAATTCTTGGAATTCTTTGGCTTCTAGGTGAGTCATTTCCATATCCACCTCTATCTTCACATTACCTTTCCTCTGTGTCTTTCTGCTCTTCTTCCAGAGGACAAGTCTCTATAAGAACGCTTATTGAGTCATTGGACTCAGGGACCACTCTAACCCAGGATTATTTTTATCTCCTTTACTTAACTACATTTACAAAGACTCTTTTTCCAAAAAAGGTCACATTTGCAAGTCTCAGGGGAAGGACTTTCTGTTGCAGGGGCGGGGCCGAGGGGACACGACACGCCCACCATTCAACCCACTACACAGTGTGTTAAATAAAAAGGGCTTTATTCTTTTCACTTAACAAGGAGTCTGGGGGCCAGCAGCTGCCAGCCCTGGTTTATTCCCCGCCCCTCTCTGCAGTTCTCTTGGGTTTTCCTTCATTATGCAAGAAAGCAACCTCAGCTCACTTTGTTATGTGAGTGGGCGGGGGTGTGTGACAGCACCAGTCACATCCATCCCTATTGTCACCAGATCACGAGTTGTCTTAGACCCCACCCAGCAGACATCTCCTTTTCTGGAAGAAAGGCTGCAACAGGGTGGAGATGGATGAAGTGTCTGTCATGGGTGGAGGATACGGTGACCAACACACAGTCCCACCCTCAGGGAGCTGCCAATCATTGTTTCACTTCACCCCCAGGACAGCCCCGCCTTCAAGTTCGTTCAGCTGCAGGACACAGAACCCACCTGGTGGTGGATCCTGAAAGTACCGCCCTCTGGATCCTGAAAGTAACGCCCTCTTTGATGCAGGATCCGATGCCCCAGCTGCTGGGGGAGCTGACCACAGACAGCCTTCAGCTCTCAGATCCCTTAGGGACCGACTCAGCTGCAGAGTGTGGCCTCGCCCAAGGTCATGCTCTTCCCAGAAAGTTCCATATCCAATGACTGATCCTTACAGACCTGACCTTTTTGGCCTGACTGGGATGATTTTGAAGGGCCGTTCTGACTCCAGAGCTTCCCATGCTGTCAGAGTTCAGCTGTGCTCTCTCCTGGCCCCTCCAACTCCACAACTGATAGGTGGAAGTTTAAACCCCAGAACCTCAAAATAAGACTCTATTCAGAGACAAGGCCTTTAAAGGTTAATTAAGGTAACATGAGGTCATTGGGTTGGGCCATAATCCAATATGATAGGTGTCTTATAAAAAGAGGAAATCGGCCTGGTGCAGTGGCTCACACTTGTAATCCCAGCACTTTGGAAGGCCAAGGCAGGGGGGATCACCTGAGGTCGGGAGTTTGAGACCAGCCTGGCCAACGTGGAGAAACCCCGTCTCTACTAAAAATACAAATTAGCCGGGCGTGGTGGCACATGCCTGTAATCCCAGCTACTCGGGAGGCTGAGGCAGGAGAATTGCTTGAACCCAGGAGGTTGTGGTGAGCTGAGATGGCACCATTGCACTCCAGCCTGGGCAACAAGAGTGAAACTCCGTCTCAAAAAATAAAAATAAAAAAGAAGAGGAAATTAAGATGCAGACACATGGAGGGAAGGCCAGAGGGAGACACAGTGAGAAGACAGTTGTCTACAAGCCAAGGAGAGAGGCCTCAGAAGAAACCAGTCCAGCTGGGTGTGGTGACTCACTCCTGTAATCTCAGCACTTTGGGAGGCTGAGGCAGGCAGATGGATCACTTGAGGTCAGGAGTTCAACACCAGCCTGGCCAACGTGGTGAAACCCTGTCTCTGCTAAAAATACAAAAATTAGCCAGGCCTGGTGGCACTCGCCTGTAATTCCAGCTACTCAGGAGGCTAAGGCACAAGAATCGCTTGGACCCGGGAGGCAGAGGCTGCAGTGAGCTGAGATCACACCACTGCACTACAGCCTGGGCAACAGAGTGAGACTCTGTCTCAAAAAAAAAAAAAAAAGAAAGAAAGAAAAGAAGAAACCAGCCCAGTCAACACCTGATCTCAGACTTCCAGCCTCCAGAATTGTGAGGAAATAAATTTCTGTGTGAAGCCCCTCAGGTTGTGGTCCTTTGTTATTGCAGCCTAGCAGATTAACACACATGGGTTGGCCAAGGCTGTGGCCCTGGTCCCAGCTCAGCTGCTCTCTCCGCCCACTCCTGCCTCCTTCCCCTCCTTTCCATAGGTATCTATCCCAAGGGCAGTCTTTGGTCAACATGGAGCAGCCTAATGCTCTCAGAGGCACCTTCCAGGGGACCCAGACTGTGCCTCCACTCCTGCAGCCTGCTCTAAGGGGAGCCTGTAGGGAGGGCACAGGAGACACTTGGAGACATGGAGGGCAGGAATGCACAGGCCTGGGGAAGGACCGTACCTGGGGCTGGAAGCTGGAGAGGAACAGCCTCTCCCTAGCACCTGCCTGTGTGTCTCTTGTCCCCTTTCTGAGTGTCTGTTTCGTGCTGCAGATTCCCCAGGAAGACTTACCCTCTCTGTGGCATCCTCATTGCTGGTTCCTTCAAGAGAACCAGCTCGCCCCAGCCTGAGTCTATGTGATTTTCCATTTCCAGGTCACCCCTGACCCTCCTCCTCTGGGATGCTCTGCTGAAATTCTCAGAGAATCTGATTGGCCCCATGGTTGCGCATGTGGTCAGATGGTCACGGGTACGGTCTCTCCCGGGCCTCCGGGAAGTGAAGGCAGTGGGCACGTCCACCCTCTTTTGAGGTCAATGTCTTCCTGAGGAAGGAGTGGAGGCCCACAGGGCTTGCTTTCTTTTACCACTGATGGGGAGATGCTTGTCCTGTGTCACCTGTGTTGTTATGGCACATTCCTCAATCTGATGAGAGTTCGAAGGCCTCTGAAGCCTGAGTCTGGGTATTAGACCTCTGCATCCTCGCCTCCTCCCTTACACCTGAGCTGTGGCCCTTGGCCAGGCCTAGCTCAGAGCTGGAGCTTAATGAATATTTGTGGATTCAAGGATGGAGGTCAGGATTTCAGATAAGTTTAATTCAGTTTCTTTTACGATAATAGCCCGTTCCTGGAATTGTGCCACCGGTCTCCAAGAGGTATGAAATGAGGGGCAAGGGAGCAGCTGGAGGCCGCAGTCCTATACAACATTAATTTATTTAACAGCTGTTTTGCCTATTGTGGTAAAATATACATGCCATACAATGTATCATGTTTGTATTTTTAAATGTACAGTTTTGTGGCATTCAGTACATTTACATGCTGGGCAACCATCACCACCATCTAACTCCAAAGTTTTTTTGTCTTCCCCAGCTGAAAGTCTGTATCCATTAAACAGTAATTCTTCATTCACCTCTCCCCATAAGCCTCTGGGAACCACCAACCTACTTTCAGTCTCTATGAATTTTTTTTGAGACAGAATTTCACTCTTGTCACCCAGGCTGGAGTACAATGGTGCGATCTCAGCTCACCACAACCTCCGCCTCCCGGGTTCAAGCGATTCTCCAGTCTCAGCCTCCCAAGTAGCTGGGATTACAGGTGCCCACCACCACACCCGGCTAATTTTTGTAGTTTTAGTAGAGATGTCACCATGTTAGCCAGGTTGGTCTCGAACTCTTGACCTCAGGTCATCCTCCTGCCTCAGCCTCCCAAAGTACTGGGATTACAGGTGTGAGCCATTGTACCCAGTGGTCTCTATAAATTTGTCTACTCTAGGTAACTTATATAGAAAGAGTCAGGCAATATTAGTCCTTTCATGACTGGCTTATTAGCATAATACATGCAAGAATCACCTATGTAGACTATGTCAACATTTTCTTCCTTTTGGGGGCTGAATAATTTTCTATTGTATGGATATTCCACATTTTGTTTATCCATTCATCTATCAAGGGACTCTAGGGTTATTTCCAGCAATAGCTTTTTTAAGAAAAAAAATTAATTTCCCATTCACCATTGTACTTAATTCTTTACATATCTTACTCAGTTAATCTTCCCTGTAGCTTAGGAGGTGTCATTATCATTATCCTCTTTTAGGATGAAAAAACTGAGATTTGGAAAAATTAAGGAATTTTGTCACTGTTACCCAGCAAGTTAGTTCCAGAGCCTGATTCCCTCCAGGGCTGTGTGAGACTACATGCTTCCCACCCCATGGTAAATGGCACCTGGGTAATGCAATCAGCAAAATTCCAAATGAGGAAGTTCTACATGGATAATGACCTAGTTTTTTCAAAAAATAAAATAGAAGAAACAAAAGAAAAGAAAAGCCAAGGAACCTAGAAATTAAAAGAGGTTTAATAGAAAAATCAACCAAAAGCATGGGCTTGTTTGGATCTTGATTTTAACAAGCTGTGACTTCACTGTGAATTACATCACTTCCAAACAGTGATAATAACTGGGGAAATTTAAACAATGGGTATCCAAGCATGATTATTATCATTGTGGTGTATTAATGGAATAGTGGTTTTGTTCTAATGTGAGAGAGAGTGAGGGTGTTAGAAGTACAAACAGAAATATTTAGAGATGAGGCTTAACATTTTGGTGTCTAGGCCAGGTGTGGTGGCTCACGCCTGTTATCCTGGCAATTTGGGAGGCCGAGGTGGGTGGATCACCTGAGATCAGACGTTCAAGACCAGCCTGGCCAACATGGTGAAACCCCATCTCTACAAAAAAAAAAAAAAAAAAAATTAGCCGGATGTGGTGCTCATGCTTGTATTCCCAGCTACTTGGGAGGCTGAGACAGGAGAATCGCTTGAACCCAGGAGACAGAGATTGCAGTGAGCTGAGCTCGCGCCACTGCACTCCAGCCTGGGCAATAGAGTGAGACTCTGTCTCAAAAAAGAAAAAAATTTTTTTTTGGTGTCTGGAATTTGTTTCAAAATATTTCAGAAGTAGGGGACAGGGAGTGAGGTGTAGGGAGTAGATACAGATGAAGTAAGAATGACCTATTGGGTCAGGCATGGTTGCTCTCACTTGTAATCCTAGCATTTTGGGAGTCCCAGGGAGTGGATCACCTGAGGTCAGGAGTCCGAGACCAGCCTGGCCAACATGGTGAAACCCTGTCTCTACAAAAAAAATACAAAAATTAGTCAGGCATGGTGGCAAGCGCCTGTAATCCCAGCTACTCAGGAGGCTGAGGCAGGAGACTCACTTGAACCTGGGAGGCAGAGGTTGCAGTGAGCCGAGATCATGCCACTGCACCCCAGCCTCGGTGACAGAGTGAGACTCTTCATCAAAAAAAAAAAAAAAAAAAAAAGATTGACTTATTGATAACTGTTGGGACCTAGAGATTAAATGAAACTCAAGAGGCGTATCAACCAAATGGAATGTAATAGGCCTTACTTTAATCCTGACTCAGATAAATCAAGAGTGAAAAACGATTTATGAAACAAAAAGGACGATTCAAACTCCACATTTTTGAATGATATTAAGGAACTATTGTTAATGTTTTAGGTGTGATAATAGTAAAGGTTAAATTTAAGAAAAAAGCGATTATATTTTGCAGATACATACTGAAATGTTTATGAACAAAATTATATCATATCTGAGATTCAGAATGTTCTAGGAGTAGGGTGTGGGGAGAAGGAGAGACACAGATCAGAGATCAGCTGTGTTGATAATTACTGAAGCTGGGTGATGCTTACCTGGATTCATTTTACTATTGACTGTTCTGATGAATGTGCTTGAAAATTTCTATAATAAAAATCCTAAAAGCAAACACTTGTGAAGAAATAGCATCCCATTTCTCTAAGTGGGGAAACTGAGGCTTTGAGAGGATAAGTAACTTGCTTAAGTTTCCACAGCCTGTTGTGGGCAGCAGTGGAGGACACAGTCATCAACTTCAACTCTGGAGCCAGGCGGTTAGCCACTGGAACTGTTCCCTCCTGGGCACAGCCCATGTTTTTACCCTGTTACTAGCATCTTGGTTTTTCTTAGGGAGAGCACCCTCTCCAATTCTTAGTCCATGTGGGAAGGAGATTGACCCCACGTCTGGCCCCAGCCCTAGGGGAGGGGGATATTCCAGGCCCCATCAGTCTTATTAGTCTATCCCCTCAATCATGCTGATTGCCTCAGGGATGGACAGGAGGCCTGCATTGATCCAATGAGACACAATTCTTGGAGTTTTCCAGAAGTAGAAGCAGCAGTTCCTTTTTCCTCTGGAATTGCTAAAGAATAACAACAGCAATGACAATAATACGTATCAAAGGCTTACTATAGGTGCTATTATTATCCCCCTTTTTACAGATGAGAACACTGAGGTGCAGAGAGGTTAAGAGACCTGGTGACAATCTGGAGCACTGGAGGCCACCACATAGACAGGTCTCCTCAAGGTAAAGTCAACACCTTGAAGTCAACCATGCTCAAAAGAAAGAGTTTCAAGGAGATCAAGCCCCGATGATGTCATTTGAGTCTCTGGATTCAGCTAGACCTAGGACTTTTCTATTTCTTGAGCCTGTATTGTAAGTGTCAGCCAACTTGAGTTAGGTTTTGGCACTTCGCAACTCAGAAAGGCTTGGCATGAAAAATTATGGAGGACCTTGAATTTCAGGGGTAGGGGAATGGAGAAAATAGAAAGGAACCAACAGAACTTGCCTATTGTTAAGACAGGCATTGTGCTAGAGGCTTTCCATACGCTATCTCACTTAATCATTACAACAGCATGTTTGATGAGTAATAGTCACATTTTATAGATTAGGAAAATTAGGTCATAAAGGGTTCAGTCCATTGGTTCATTCACCATATATTTTATTCTGGATCATGTACTCTACTAGATATTGAGCAGTCAAATAGCAATAATAACAATAGCTAACATTTTATTGAGAACTTACTGTGTGCCAAACACTGTTCCAAGCATTTGACATTCATTGTCTTGTTTATTCCACTGAACAACCTTGTGAAGGTAGTTATCATCATCCCTATTTTATGCATGAGGAAATTAAGGCACAGAACCATTTAGAAATGTGCTTAAGGGCAGGTGGCTGGGAAGTGGTGAAGACAGAGTGGCTTCAGGGGCCAGGACTCTGACATGATACCATGCTGCCAAGCTTCTCTCTGGAAGTTCAGGGTAGCTTGCCTCAGGTCACACAACAGCAGTCCAGGCTGGTTCACCTGACCCAAAGCAAGCTCTTTCCTCAGCATCATAATGCAATTGCACATAGTGAAGTTGGAGTTCTATTTTGAAGAGGATTGGGAGCCAACAAAAGGTTTTGGGAGGAAAATGATGTGTTCCCATCAAAATTATGCCATATTTCAAAGAAGGGATGGGTCCTTCATTGTATTTATTCTGACTACGAGACAAAAACACATCCCCATAAACACCTCCCAGAGGCCACACATTAGTGTGGTTTATACTGTGTGCCATGACATACAGAAATGGGTTTCATTTCTGTTTTTAGGGAGAAAACTTCCTGCTTGTCCTGGCACAGAACCCCTTGCAGCAGGACACACTGTTGGCCAGCATAGGAACTTGACTCTTGCATGTCTTTTCTTTTGAACTGCCAACAGCTCTTACTAACCTTATTTTGGTAACAGCTCCCTTCTTTTGTTTCAGAACTGACCCTCCTCTATTCCACATGAGTCTGTTAGGATCCCCTAACTCTGGCCAGAGGGTCACTGCCCCTGAGCTGCAGTGATGAGCTCATGGATCGGGAATGCCATTCTAGTAAGAGCAATCAGACCCTTCTGGGAGAAGAGTCTGGCACTAGAAGAGAAAAGCTTACTTTTTATTGAGAGTGAATGATGTAAACTGGAACCTGTCTGTGATCATACTCATACCCTCCTCTCCACAATCCCTAAAGTCACAGGGAAGAAGCTCATCTCTTGCAATAGGAGTAAGCCTAACATCCCAAGAAAAGCACAGCTGAGAAATGGGCAGAGAGAGAGAATATTACTGAGTTTCTGCATCCAGTCATGCTGGAGAACAATTCCATTCCATGAACTCCTAGTTTCTGGAATCAGTAAATATCCCCTTTGCTTAAATTGGCTTGACTTGAGTTTCTGTTGCTTGCAACCAAAAGAGTTCTGGCTAAGACTTGGTTTGTTACCCAGAGGCTTTATTATCTATTGTTTGTTTTTGTTTTTAGCTTTTCTCACTTTCATCTTCACAAATGGTAATAAGTTGAGAATGTGTGTGAAGATCTAACTGTAAGCTAATACTGGCTGCTGAGTTATTTGTTATGGTAAACATTTAGAAAAAAACTTAGATGGCTCATAAGGGATCATTCACCTGTACAATAACCTAGTGTCCCTAGGTCTGATGACTGTGGATAAAAAATGACATCTAGTGATGTTAATGGCTTGACTGTGGTACGCAGGGGTTCAGCTCCACCCAGAGTCCCCACGGTTTTGTCTGGGGGTCCCATGGTAATGTCTCACATAAGTTCAAGGACAGGCTCACTTGTATTTTTCAACTCTGGCTTCCTCCTTGAGACATTTCACCACTGCCCAGGGCTGTCTGGGAAAACTGCTACTCTGTGTGAAGCTGTCCTTTGGGGTGGCTTGAGCTCTGGAGTATCAGAGCTGGGCTAGGCCAATGGGGGTGGGAGGACCAGTGAAGGAAATCGCCCTGCAGTGGGCTGTGGCATCTGTGCTTTATCTTTCTCTCTTCAACAAGCTTCTGTATGTTATTTCCTCTGTTAAGAAACCCGGTGATCTGGGAGGAACCAGGCCTGGCCAGTCAAAGTACTTTCTCGCCCTGACAATGAAGACTTGCCAAGAAGTGACATGGGACCCATGCAGGAGGACAGATCCCCAGAACCGGGGAGAAAGACACTCTCTTCTTTTCACTTATGTTTCTAAGCTGGAGCTCATGGACTAAACCTATAATAAGAAAACCCAAGAGCTGTTGGTTGGCCTCTACCTTTCACCCTGTGGCCTGAGGCACAGGGAAAGCTGGCTTGCAGAGAACAGAGAATAGAGCAGATGGACAGGGAGCAGCAAGGAAGAAACAGAGTCTTGGCAGCCTCCCATCCAGGCCCTGATTCTAGGTCATTCCTAAGGTTTTGCTGCATCCCTGACCTTGTGCTTCAGGGAATCCATACAATTGCTCTTGATATTTGCTAAAACTCACTTCAACTGGCTTTTGCTTTTTTGCAACCCAAAGGGTCCTAACGAATACATGCACTGTTCTTTTTTTCTTCAGATACCTGTGCATAAAGATACCTGTGCATAAAACTGTTCCCTTCTCTCTAGTCTCATAAAAGCAACTGCAGCCGGGTGGGGTGGCTCACGCCTATAATCCCAGCACTTTGGGAGGCTGAGGCGGGAGGATCACTTGAGGTCAAGAGTTTGAGACCAGCCTGGCCAACATGGTGAAACCCTATCTCTACTAAAAATACAAAAATTAGTCGGGTGTGGTGGTGGGTGCCTGTAATCCCAGCTACTTGGGAGGCTGAGGCTGAAGAATTGCTTGAACCCGGGAGGCAGAGGTTGCAGTGAGCTGAGATCTCGCCACTGCACTCCAGCCTGGGCAACAGAGTGAGACTCTGTCTCAAAAAAAAAAAAAAAAAAAAAAAAAGCAACTGCCTTTAAGCAAATGAACATATGCAAACCAATCCCTGGGCTACTAGCCCTAAGCCTAGCCCCAGACTTGGCCAAAAACAAAGTCCCTTAAACACAACCTATAACTCACAACTTCTATATTGAGTCTAAATGCAATAAATAGCAATTGTGAACGCGAACTTGCTCAAGGTTGTCAGATATGATGAGAAAGGAAGGGCCGGAATTCACATTTATGTCAACCTGTGTAGAAAAGTGTTTCACCATTTTGCTGTATTTGCATATCAACCAATCTTTCAGAGCTTGGTCTCAAAGAAGTAATCTGGGACTCATTTATAATCCTTAAAGTAAGAGTCTTAGCTGCAGATTCCAGCACCTCTCTGCTGCTTTGGCTGGCCTTTGCTGCCATCAGCCAGGCCAAGCAAGAGGGGAGGTGTCCTGCACCCTGCACCACCACCTCTCACAGTTGGAGGGGCACTCAACACAGATGCAGATCACACAGGCTCAGATGCTCACCAGCTAAGCTCCAAGGCCTCTCCAGGACAAGGATAAATGAAGACAACTCTGAATGAGAGGACACAGGCCTGGTGTTCAGCCCAGGAGATAGGCCGGCTCAGAGCATGGAGGAGGGTGGTCACAGCCAGAGAGCAGGGACTCTCTCAGACAGCTGTTTCCTGCTGGGATCTGCTTCACAGAGGCTGGACTGCCACCCCACACACCCCTCCCAGGGACTGCTGTCTTGACTGCTGTCTCCAGGCAGTTTTTACCCCATAACCCTTCAGATTCAAGTCCAGGGATTGGAACTATGATTCCTGATTCTATGGACTTGAGATTCCCGAGGCCTGGATCTTGCTGGTGACACTTCACTGGCCTTTGCTTCCAAGGACTTCCACCTCCAGCTGGATTTGTGTGATTGGGTTCTCCTTGGCTCCATAACCTCAGAGTCTCTGGCTCTCCACACCTCTGCTTGCACGTCACTAAAAGAAGCCTATAGACAACTTTCCCAGATTGTGGGTGAGAGAAACAGCTGGGAAATATCTTGCCTATGCTGAGAATAAACACAGCCATTGCCTTTCAGTGGAAATCTTTGTTCTAGTTCTCCTTTGATGCCAAGGAGTAGGCAGGTATTGAGAACTCTGATGAGAGGCCTTCACACTCTTGCCAGTGTTGGTTCTTCACTTGCTAACAGGCTTGTGATTCCCTCTGCTGTAGAGACCAACCCTGGATTTAGCCTGCTGTTCTCTCCCACATCAGGCTTCCTGGTCCTACAGATGGGTGCATCGTGGATCATGGTCTTCAACCTCAGCAGGACCTCTGTGCTCCCCGGGGTCCTTTTCAGCACTAGCGCCCCTGATTTCCCACGGTCCTTTAAAAGCTGCCTCCCTTTAGGCCATGATGTGACCTCACTTTCTATATCCCAGAGAGAACAGTCATCAGAGAAGATGTCCTCAGTCCTGCTGCACCCTCAAGCCTCCTCATTTCCCCTCCATCCCAGAGCTCTATCTAAGGAGCCCCTCTTCCTAAGGTATATATGCTCTGCCTCCTCAGGAAGTCAACTATTATTTATGTCTCCCTTTAAGCAAATGAACATATGCAAACCAATCCCTGAGCTACTAGCCCTAAGCCATCAATATTAGTTAGCCTTCTCCACAGAAACAAAGCCAATAGGATGGATGGATAGGTAGATAATAGATAGATAGATAGATAGATAGGAAATGATAGATAGATACATAAATAAGATAGATAAGAAATAGATAAAACAGATAGATACAAAAGATATATATAGTATAGATTAGATAGAAGATAGAAAGATGATAGATAGATAGATAGATAGATAGATAGATAGATTAGATAATAGATAGATATGAAAGATGATAGATTAGATAGATGGATAGATGGATGGATAGATGATAGATAGGTAGGCAGATAAATGGATAGATAGATAAGAAAGATGATTGATCGATGGATAGATTAGATAGACAGATTAGATAGACAGATGGATGAATGGACAGATTGATAAGAAAGAAAGATGATATAAAAACAGATAAGAAAGATGATAGATTAGATATATGGATAGATGATAGATAGGTAGAAGAATGGGTAGATAGATAGGTGGATGGCTGAATGCATAGATAGATATGCAGACATGATAGATAAGAAAGATGATAGATACATAGCTAAGAAAATAGATAGATAGATAATAGATAGATGATAGATAGATAGATAATAGAAAGATAGATAAACAAATTTTAAGGAATTGGCTTATGTGATAGTGCGGCTGGCAAGTCTAAATTCTGCAGGGCAGCTCAGCAGTCTAGAAACCCTGGGAAGACTTGATGTTGTAGCTCAAGTTTGAAGGCAGAGTCTGCAGACAGAGTATCCTCTTGCTTGAGGGACCTTAGTCTTTTCGTCTTAAGGCTTCAGCTAATTGGAGGAAGCCCACTGACATTATAGACAATCATCTGCTTTACTCGAAATCTACTGTTTCAAATGCTAATCTCATCTTTAAAATACTGTCACAGCAATGTCCAGACTGGTATTTGCCCAAATAGCTGGGCACTGTGGCCAAGCTAAGTTGACACATGAAATTAACAGATTACGCAAGTTATAATTGTGGTCAAGAGCTCTTATATGTTTACTGTTAGTCTTTGTGCTAAATTAATCACATACAGTTTCTTATTTAATCCTCTTGATGCCCCAAGAGGTAGATCCCATTGCTGTCCCCACTTTACAGATAGGAATTTTAAGTTACACAGTGAAGGGCAGAGCTCTTCTTCAAACTCAAGTCTAGCTAACTCAGAAGATTATATTCTTAATCACTGATCTGTGCCACCTTCCAGCTGCTTTCCCTATTCTGGCTTTTTATTCTCTGATTATAAACATATTAACATCTCTCTGATTCAACAAAACAGAACTTCCCATGATCTGTTTTCTCTCTTTCTCAGGGAACCATCTTTGCAAGAGTGGCCTCCTCTTGGCGGCTCCAGTTCTTAGTCTTCTTTAACCCACGGCATTCTGGTATCCGCTCCACCAGAACAAGAAAACAATGTTGACCAAGGTAACAAATGATATCCATGGATATGGTTATTTTATCTTGGCATTTATTGTAACACAGAAGCAATTGTCCATTGTTTTAAAAAATCAGAAAAGCACTTCTGGTCAAGATAGCATTTGTGTAGATACACATTTGTGTCACCCATTCTGCCATAAACACGTAGTAGCTATAGATAATTTTTTTTTAATGGAGCATGTAAAAAGGGTATAACTGAGCTCACAAATGAGATAGTCAGTTTTGCAGACCAGAAACAGAAGAGAAACATACAGCAGTTAGTGGGCAAGACTTTGGCTTCTGGGTGTAACTAAGCTAATCTGGCTCCAAGGAAACAGGAACTGAATACGCTGTAGATGAGGCAGGGTTCAGGGCTGAAACTAAGTCTGGTGGATTCTCCACTTAGGACGAGAGATTGCTGAAAACGCCTGCAAACAACTGCTTGAGATTTTAGCTTATGTGAAGCTGAGGGACTAGGTGGGCAGTGATCAAGACAGAACAAGAAGCAGAACCTGAACTAAGCCACTTGCTCACTGAGTGAGACACCCACATTGCCAATAAGCAAGAGCTACCATCATCAATATAAGGTTCAAATAGCAGGCAGGCTGATAGAGGAAACTCAAAACTCCTAGACAAGAAAAGAAGAATAGACAGAAAAAGAGGGAAAGAGAGAAGAGTGTAAAGGATCAAGCTTTAAGTGAACCTGAAAATTAGAAGTCCAAAACATAAAAAGAAATCTATCTCCAAGGGATAATAGCTAACAAATCAATATTGATAGATTTTTTTGCTTCAAGTGAAACTAAAATAGTAAAACAATCTGAAAAAGAATTTAAAAATACATGTGTTCCAGATATTTAAAACAGAAAGTGAAGGAATAAGATGAAATAAATAAGAATATAAAATGTGAAACAAAAATAGACAGAAATGAACTTTCTTTTCTTTTTCTTGAGAAGGAGTCTCGCTCTGTCACCCAGGCTGGAGTGCAGTGGCACAATCTCGGCTCACTGCAAGCTCTGCCTCCAGGGTTCACACCATTCTTCTGCCTCAACCTCCCAAGTAGCTGGGACTACAGGTGCCCGCCACCACGCCCAGCTAATTTTTTTTTTTTTGTATTTTTAGTAGAGATGGGGTTTCACCATGTTAGCCAAGAAATGAACTTTAAAAAAAATGAATATGGCCAGGTGTGGTGGCTCACGCCTGTAATCCTAGCACTTTGGGAGGCTGAGGTGGGTGGATCACCTGAGGTCGGTAGTTGGAGACCAGCATGACCAATGTGGAGAAACCCTGTCTCTACTAAAAATACAAAATTAGCCGAGTGTGGTGGCACATGCCTGTAATCCAAGTTACTTGGGAGGCTGAGACAGGAGAGTCACTTGCACCCAGGAGGCAGAGGTTGTGGTGAGCCAATATCATGCCATTGCACTCCAGCCTGGGCAACAAGAGTGAAACTCCATCTCAAAAAAAAAAAGAAAAAAATGGAAAAGAAACAATTATTAACCTTGGAAATATAAAATACAGTTCCTGAAATTTTAAAACGTCTAATAGATTGGATAAAATTTCAGACTTTGTACAGTCATAAAAATAATTGAATTGAAAGATGATGCCAGAGAGTTCACCCAAAAATATGGCACAGACAGCCAAAGTTTAAAGTTATGTAAGAACAATTGAGAAAGATGGAGAATAATTGGAGAGGCTACAACTTACAGCACATGGAAGTTGCAGAGAAGGAGAGTAAATAAAAAAATAATAAAAGAATGATGGTTAAGAACTTTCCAGAATGGTAGAAAGACCAAACTCTTAGGCTGAAAGTGTATTCTGAGTGAAGTTGCAGAATGTCCAAATAAAGAAAATATTTTTTTTTAAATTATACTTTAAGTTCTAGGGTACGTGTGCACAACATGCAGGTTTGTTACATATGTATACATGTGCCATGTTGGTGTGCTGCACCCATTAACTGGTCATTTACATTAGGTATATCTCCTAATACTGTCCCTCCCCCCAAGAAAATCTTAAAGGCAATCAGAGAGAAGAATTAGATTATCTAACAATGAAGCACAGTTAGACTGATGGTAATTTTCTCATGAGCCACAATGAAGTCAGAGATAGTAATAACAACAGCTAACACTTAAATGGTACTATGTCCCAAGCATAATGCAAAGTACTTCATGCATATTAACTAATTTAATCTTCACAACAATTCTGTGAGATGGGATTCTTATTATCCCCTTTTTACAGTTGAGGAAACTGAGCCAAAAGGAAGTTTAATGGTTCTTGTCCAAGGTCTTGCATCTAGTAAGTAGAGAAGCTGGGACTCAAACTGAGCTGATCTGGCTCCAAATGCTCATACTTACTGCTCTGTAATGCTTCTCACTGTAGAGAAATATGTTCAAAGTAATGAGGGAAAATAAATGACAACCTAAGATTTTATTTCCAGCTAAATTAAGAAATGTTTTGGTGCACGAAAATTAAAAGACATATATTACCCATAGACATTCATTTTAAAAATTATTAATGTATGTATTTCCACAAGAAGAAAAATTAACTAAAAGGGAAGGCATAGGAGTCAAGAAACAGTGAGGACTTGATCATCTGTTTGGTAAACTTAATTATGAAGTATAAAAATTATTAATTTTTTTCTTTTGTTTCTTTCTTTTTTTCTTTTTTCTTTTTTTTTTTTTTTTTCTTTTTTGAGATGGAGTCTGACTCTGTCACCCAGGCTGGAGTGCAGTGGCACTATCTCAGCTCACTGCCACTATCTGAGCTCACTGCCACCTCTACCTCCTGGGTTCAAGGGATTCTCCTGTCTCAGCCTCTCAAGTAGCTGGGATTACAGGCGTGTGCCACCACACCTGGCTAATTTTTGTATTTTTAGTAGAGATGGGGTTTCACCATGTTGGCCAGCCTGGTCTTGAACTCCTGGCCTCAAGTGATCTGCCCACCTCGGCCTCCCAAAGTGCTGGGATTACAGGCATGAGCCACCAAGCCTGGCCAAAAATTATTAATTTTTAAAGAAGAGATAAAACTTAGCTGACAATAACAAGATAAGTAAGATGATAATTATAATGTGTTTATGTTTCTTTTCATGATTTAAATGAGCACAGAAATATGGAATGACTTCAGATTTATTTTGTGTGAATTATAAAGGTAATAGAAAACTTTATCAATGCAGCAGAGTAAATGGAAGGAAAAAAGGAAACAAAGAAAATGAACGGCAAATAGAAAGTGCAAAATAAAATGGTAGGAATTGCTTCAAGTAGATCAGTAATTACAATAAATGTAAATGGAATAAATTCATTGATAAAGATGTAGGGATTATCAGATTAAAGTTTTTAAAATTCTGGGGCATACTGTCAAAGCCACATAGCAAAATTGTAGTAGAGGTAGAGAAAAAGATATACAATATTGTACAAATACTAACAAGAATAATGCTGAGATTATAATAGTTAAGTCAGACAAAATAAAGTTTAATGTAAAAAAAGTAATAGCAACAAAGGGATGATATAGAACATTAAAAGAAATGACTTTCTAAGAATGTATAGTAGTAATAAACTTACATGGCCTTACCAATGTAACCTCAAAATATAAAAAGCAAAACTGACTAAATTACTAGAAAAAATGGGAAAAAATTGTTATAATGGAAAATTTTAACTGATCTTTTAAAAATGTTATATAAAGCTGACAAAAATATTTAGAATTTAAATTTAAACAAAAACATTAAACACTTTAAAATCTATATAAAATGCTGTATCCATTAAATGAAGAATACACATTATTTTCAGATACATGTGGAACACTTAAAAAGTGATCATATGTTAGATCACAATATTTTCAAAGAGATAAAATAATAAGGTCTACATTCTCTGTTCACATTGCAATTAAATTGAATGTCAAACTTCCAAAAGTTTGGAAACTAAAAAATGCACTCTAAACAACAGATGGGTTAGAAGGGAAATCATAATGAAACAGAAAATATTTTGAACTGAAGAGCATTCAAATGATTACATATCAAACAAGTATACAGCTAAAGTGATACTTTGAGGTAAATATAACCCCTACTACCCGCCACATACACACACTCCACCTACCCAGTTCCTTCCCTGGAAATTGCTTATGTTTCCAGTTTCGTTTGTATTCATCCACAGATATTCAAACCGTATGCAAGCATATATGTATAGGCTTAGTAATGTGCAAAACAATGTGTGCAGTATGCTACCATTGGTATAAAAATGTTATAAGAAATACATACAAATTTCAGTTCATACATCTTGAAGATTTTCTTTTTTATGACTGCACTATATTAATTGTGCAACCTGTGAATCATTTGCATTAAAATCAGAAACAAGACAAGGATGCCCACTCTCAGCCAACTATTCAGTACTGGAGTTCCTGTCTAAGGCAAAGCTGGAAAATAAATAAGCAGCTTAATACTTGGAAGAGAAGAGGTGAGACTTTTTATATGCAGGCAATACAATTATCTGCATAGAAATCCCTCCTCCCAAACCCCAGGAATATTCACTGTCAGATTATTCAAATGAATATGTGAGTTAAACAAGATTGCTGGATGCAAAATCAACATTTTAAAAATGGTTATGTTTTTATATGCTCTAAATTCAGAATTTTAATTGAAAAATATCTCATCATACCATTACATGTCACATCCTCCAATCATCATGAAAAACAAGAAAAGAACATGGCACCTGCAGACTAAAGCTTGAAAAATCCCAATAAAGATGTTCTCTCTCTCTCTCTCTCTCTTTTTTTTTTTAATCAGATTGCTTCATTTGCCTGTGCCTGAGCCAACGATTGTGGTGCAGAGAGAGATAGGATCTGTGATTAACAGTCTTTGGTAAAACAGATGAATGAGGCAAGGAAGGAACAATTATCTCCAAATAGGTGGGGATCTTCAGTAGCAAACGTGTTTTTTATCTACCACACATCTCTCTCCCCAGTAAACAGCTCATTAAGGGCAAAGACTATGTTGAATTGTCTCTTCAGCACCTAGGCTTAGCACTGTGCCTTACATATGACAAAGTCTCAATAAGTAATCAGTGAATGAGTGAGTGCATGTGAGCCAGGACCAACAAGACTGGATCAGCCTCTCCTTTTGCAAGACCACCCAGAACCCCCACAGCTGGGGACAGAGACTCTTCACCAAGCCCCAGCTGAGTGAGTGGGAAATGAGGGAAGTAGCTTTTGATTGATATAAATGGGATCACTTAGAGGACAAATGTGACTGCCACCCAAGGCACTGATGTAGGACCCTTGAAGGGAAGTGATCACATTGAACTTGGCTGTGTCCAACATGGTTAGTGGTTTCCAGGAGTGTAGAGTCTTCTGTGCATTGGGAAATGAGGACAGCCTCTCATTTTGCCCAGCATTTTTTGGGACTGGTTCCCTTTTATTTCATGACCTAAGAGAAATAAGTGATCCTGTCTTTTTTTTTCTTTTTTTGAGACAGGGTCTTGGTCTGTCATCAAGCTAGACCGTAGTGGCATGATCATAGCTCACTGCAGTCTCCAATTCCTGGGCTCAAGAGATCCTCCAACCTCAGCCTCCTGAATAGCTGGGACTAGGTAAGAGTCACCATACCCAGCTAATTTAAATATATATATATATATATATATATGTGTGTGTGTGTGTGTGTGTGTGTCTGTCTGTATGTGTGTATTTATATGTATATATGTATATATATATATACACACACATATATGTATTCGTAGAGATGGGGTCAACACAGTTAATGTTGCCCAGGCTGGTCTCAAACTCTGACCTCAAGTGATCCTCTCACCTCAGCTTTCCAAAGTTCTGGGATTACAGGAGTGAGCCACCATGCCTAAGTGATCTTGCCTCTTAAGTACAGACAGAACCCCCAATGCTGCTCTCTTCAGCCTCAATACCACCATTAATTAAGCACACAAAGGGACAGTGAGAGGAAATTGACATTTGAATATAACCAGAGATTGGTGGAAATCTTTTAGGA
This sequence comes from Homo sapiens, assembly GCF_000001405.40. Lineage (NCBI taxonomy): Eukaryota > Metazoa > Chordata > Mammalia > Primates > Hominidae > Homo > Homo sapiens. The sequence goes on from NC_000004.12 coordinate 26,011,593, forward strand.
GCAAGGACTCCTGCAGTGTCTTTGCCCAAGCCATGCGTTTTGCTGTAACACCACATTGTCTCCTCCCAAGACCCAAGTTCTCTTTGCCCTTTGAGGCTGAACACATATCACACTTCCCTGGGGAAGTCTTCCATGACTATTCTCCTTAGAGAGCATTTCTCTGGACACTGAACTCCTGTAGCACTATCACCAATATCTAACTCTCTTTTCTGTGCCACATTTTTTCCTCTTGGAGACTTTTCTTCCTCCCAACACTTTGGAAATCTGATGGGCTGTCAATCAAGGGGAACTGCCTTCCCACCACCTGAGGAGCCATAAAACTCAGGTTGGCCAACCCGAGTACCCCATTTACCTGACACAGTGATGGGTCCAAGAGTGGGCAAAGGAACAAAATGGGCTTTGGGAGAGGGAGGATTTCTCTCCTTCTGACGGACCATGGCTGGAGACAATGAGCATCAGGTTTTCTGCAACATGGAAAAAGTGTCAAGAAGTGAGGGCACACTGAGGAAAGCAAATTTGAGATATGGGCAAAGAATATCCTGATTATATCACAAGAGTGCCCTGGATTGAGCTGTGCCTGAAGCGAGACTACTCTACTACGTGAGCCAGCGCCTTTCCCTTTTGTCTTGAAGTGCTCTGAACTTGAGTTCCCTCAAACCAACAGTCTCGACCAATTCTCTCTCTTATAATTAGGACCATTTATTTGGCACATAAAATTATTGCAACCCAGTGAAGCTGGTTCCTCAGAATGTCTCACTTTTTTACAGAAAGATTTGACTAAACTCTGCTATATATCAGGGCCATCAGGCCAGACTCTTGGTTTCTTTCTGTATGAGCCCTTGTTTCTTTATTTTGTAAAAAAATGTTTTTCAACCTTTCTTTTTGCACACTTTTTTCTCTCCATATGGTCTATCATGCTTTGGTGCCAAAATAATTTAGACTCACATCAAATTGCTTAAGATAGCTTATGCAGAATTTCCACTGCTCTCTGGCTTTGTCTGAGCCTCCCCCTCTGGGGTGTGTGTGTGTGTGTGTGTGTGTGTGTGTGTGTGTGTGTACTGTCTCCTTCCCTCACTCACTGCTCCATTTAGGAAACAGGTGTGCACAACCTCACAACCCCATTCTCCAAATGCCTCCTTCTCAGCCCAACACCTCACTTGAAGATAGCTTTTGCAGAATCGGGTGCCAAGAAAGGATCCCTCCCCTAAGGCCTCAGGGGACCCCCAGATTTAGGACACTCCTGGGTGTTCTCTGGTGCAGTCTCTCATCTGTTTTCAAAGAGCTGGAGAGCAGGGATCTGGCTAATTCTCCTGTCACCATCTCAGGCTCTACCTTAACTTAATCACCCTTTATCATGTGAGTACTTGCTCTAGAGCCCACAGTGGCTCCCTTGTGCTACCCACACCTAAACCAACCTCGTGCCAGAACCTGCCCTGCTTAGGCTAACTTCCTTCCTGCACGTTCTCTCTCCATCCCCCAGATTGGTGGGCTGACCCTCTCCCTGCTTCATAAAAAAATATCAAGCTCATTCTCCCCTCAAGACTTTTGCTCTTTGTGCTCTTCCTGTCTGGAATACCCTTCTCTCTTCTTTCTCCCTCCTCCAAATCTTACACAGCCCACTTCAAGTCCCTCCTCTTCTGTGCAGCCTTCTCTGATTTTTCTAGTTCATGATTTACCCCTTTTCTGAATTGTTCCATAGTTAGGACTATACAGCTTGTTATTTAGCTGTTGCACACTTTGGTATTTGACTCTATCTTGCCCCCTTACTGAAATATGTGTTTTTTGAATTTAAGGACCATTTCTTAAGCAGGTTTTATTCCTCTCACTCCATCAAGCATGGAAACAGTTGCTCACACATTGTAGCTCATAGGCGTCATAGGCATCATCCTGGGAATTTGTTTTAGAAATACAGATTCCCTGGATCCTCCCTTGGAGAGTCTGACTTTTAATAGGTTTGGGGCAAGATGCTTGGATCTGTGCTTTTAAAAGCCCCATGACGTAAGGCATTGCTGAAGCGAGTTTGGAAAACAGTTTGGGTGAATATATTGTCAAACCTCAAATCAAGATACTCATCTGACAAGCTCAAGTATTTTTATGACAAAAAGCCACAGGACATTTTAAATGTGTAGGGACTTGGAAATCCCAGGATGTGTGGTTCTCCTGCACTTGGTGACGGGGCTCCATTTTGGAGGTCATATGGTGTGATGGCTAAGAGCATGGGCTTGGAGTCTGACAAGGGTTTGAATCCTGGTTCACTCACTCATTGTGGGACTTTGAACAATATAACCTCTCTGAACCTTCGCTTCCTCATCTGTTAAACAGAAGTAAAAATAGAAGCCACTTTCCAGGATGACTGTGAGAATTAAACAAGGTCCCATATGTAAAGCACTCAGCTCCATGCCTGGCACAGAATACATAGTTGTAACAAGTACTAGCAGGTGTTAAATTATTGAAGTTGGAAAATCTGCCAGTTTGTAGGAAGTTTTTGATCCAGGAAACTCTATGTTGGTGAGGCACACTCTCTATTGCTTTTGAGAGGGAGCACTCGGGAAGACCTCTTAGTCCTAATGAAAGTGCTTACCCACCACTGGGGAGGAGGGGTCCAACATCATGAAGCAGCTGAAAGGCAGACTGAGAAGTACTCTATCTATTATGCAAATTGGGAGTACTCCCAGCACTATCTCCTTGCTGAGTTAGAGAACCTTTTCCTTCCTCAATCTGTATTTATGCAGCATCACAACTGGAAATCATTGTTTGTTTCTTGGAAGTACTTGTGCCCTTGCCCTTTCTTTGCCCACAGGAGATTGAGGGGACATCCGTAGCAGAGGGACGGAGAGCCTGGACTTTTCACTCCTAATGTCAGAGGAAAAACTATGACCAGGACTTAGCCTGGGCCAGGATGTTGTGACCACCATATGGTGTCATTTAAGACCAGCAAACCCAGGCTTTAGAAATGCATTAGCTGTGTCTTATATGAGGCAGGGGGACAAGCCCAGCAGGTGGAATGGGGCTTTGCATGCAAGCAATAGATCAGCAGATCAATGGATCAATGGGCCAGTGAATCACTTGCTGAATGGGTTTCTCCTACAGGCCGTGAATACTCCCATGGGTCAAGAAAAGAACAGGGTCTTAGTTTGGGCAGACGGAAGTTTTCCTCCCCTCTTAGGGACCAACAGGCACTTGGATCTGTACTATGAGAGGACAAGAAGCCTGGAAAATGTCATTCTGAGGGAGGTTCATGGCCTCTGGTACCATTTTCGAGACATGGGTTCAAAGGTTCTGTGTCACATGGCATTCTGCCAGGGAGGTGGGAACTCTCAGCTCAAGCAGTAGGTGAAAAGCCCTCTCTTGTTTAAGCTTCAGTTTCCATAATTTTTGACAGGATCTCATGGGAAGAATTTAGTGGCAGAAATAACTTAGCGGAGATCATCCCTTCCTGGGGTGGGAGTCTTAGTGGCAGTTACCAGCAGAAAAGCTAATGGGGTAACCCGAGAAATCTTCCTGGAGGAGGAGATGTTGGCTGAATCATCGATCAGCTCATATCACTGAGCCAAATGCTTGTCATTGGCTTTGGGGGGGCAACGTAGGGCCCACAGTTCCCCTCATCATCCTCAGAGTTGACACTCCCCAGTGCCTCACAGAGATGATTTCAGGGTTCAGAAATTCTGACTCCCAACCCCCTTGGGTCCACTTCCCCTCTTATCATGCAGGCCATCTCCCCGGTCTTGGCTTACCCTGTGACCACACTGCATTCTCCTTCCACATGCCCTGACACACGCTCTGAAATGCCAGGGTTCTCATGAGTCCAGCCTGCCAGGAGCAAGGCTTGCCAAAGCTGTGTCCCAGCCAAGCGGGTGGCCTGCGGAGTGAGCCATAGGACTGCATTCAGCCCAGTTCCAAGCTGGAAGGTGAGGGCAGCCTCCCAACTATTTCTTCCAACCTCAGAAACGATTCAGTGCTGGCAGTTCACACGAGGTCCCCCTGACATCTCCAGTCAGGAATGCAACTTGCTGTGGATTCTGAGGCAAAGAGAAGACCATTAGGAAGGAGGGAAGTCATTAGCAGATGGGATGACCGGCATGCATGAGAGACACATCTGCCTTTCCCTGAGGTGCCCAGGGGCTTGTGTGTGGAGCCTTCTGGGACTCTCTGACCACTTGAGACCCAGAAGATCAAAGGTCTGGTAGCCACGGCCCGCTTTGAATCCATAATTCCTTGCCTCTCACAAATGAAGGGAAGAAAAGTTGTCAGGAGGCAAAGCTGTAGCTAGCAGTTTGGCCAACATGCATGGATTGTAAACATTATTTAGTAAAAGCCTTCAAGGATGGAAGAGAGGAGTCAGGAACTCTATTCTTGACCATCTCAAAGCACTCTTGACCTCAAGGGAACTCCTGCTGCAGACTCCCTGCCCTTAACCTTCAGTCCTGCTCCATACATTTTTGTATCCTCTAACACGCCCCTGATGTGGCCTGGCTGACAATTTCTGCTGGCTGCTACCCCCCAAACCAGGGCTGGCTTGGCTCAATACACAGAGGGCACTCTGGGTTCTAGAGCATGTATTGGCTGGATATATAGTATATATAGTGATCCCACTGGTGGGTAGAGGGTACTCGAGCAGTGCTTCTCAAACTTTCATGTGCCTAGATTTATCTGGGGCTCTTGTTGAAGTGCAGATTCTGATTGAGTAATTTTGGGTGGGCCCAAGATTCTGCCCTTCTAGGAAGCCCACAGTTGAGGTCAATACTTCCAGTCCACGACTATACTTGGAAAAAGAAAGTGCTAGAAGGCTCAGCAGCTACTGCTGTGAGATCAGGACTTGCAATTCTTGTACAGAGGTCCAAATAGCACCCTCATTAAAAAGACCAGATGCCTCCCTGCCCTCATAGCTGCAGTCACTTAGCTCCCACCAGAAGGCCCAACTCCTCCCCAAACTCAGGTACCCAATATCTTGAGAGATACAAAGGGGCTGTGGGGGTTGTTATTCCCCCTCTATCCACTTCACCCTCCTATTCTCAGTGTTAGATTCTCCTCTACAACCTCCCAGCTTCCTGGGTTGACCAGCCTCTCTGCTTCACCCTCCAGTGCCAGGCCACAACCTGCCTGCTGGTGCTATGGGATGAATGTGCATCCCCCAAAGTCATATATTGAAGCTCTAATCCCCAATGACTGTGATGATGTTAAAAGGTGGGGTCTTTGGGAGGTAATTAGGTTTACATGAAGTCATGAGAGTGGAACCCCTATTCTGAAATTAGTGCCCTTATAAGAAAAGAAGGAGACCTTCTCTCTCTGACATGTGAGGACACAGCAAGAAGGTGGTCATCTGCAAGCCAGAAAGAGAGTCCTTACCAGAAAACTGAATCAGCAGGCACCTTGATCTTGGACTTCCCAGCCTCCAGAATTGTGAGAAACTAATGTTTGTTGTTTAAGCCACACAGTCTATGGTATTCTGTTATAGCAGGCTGAGCTGACTAGGATACTTGGAGTGCCTGGTCCCTTCATGGGCAGCACTAATTAATGAACACAGAGTTCTCCTCATTCCTGCAAGACTACCAGTGCCTCCTTTTCTGGCCCCGGCTAGAAAGAGCAATCTCTGCCTTTTCCATGCTGCTACTATTACCTGGAACATATAACCATAATATTAGTCACGGTGTGATTGCGATTCTGCATCTACATAATTGTCACTTCTGCTATCCTTGAGGGAGGAAATAATAATGCAGAGCTGAGCACATAATGTATATTCATTGAATCAATGATGCTGTTATTCCTGGTCCCTCTTCCTTGGGAGGCCCCTCCCTCAAATCCTTGGAGACAGTCACTATGTCTATCCTGTAGGGGACTTTTCTGGTTTAATAGCTCCAGTTTCTCCAACCCCAACCAACTTCTCCATTTAGAAGTGTTTAAGACACTAATTCTCAAGTTTGGCTGCTTGTTGAAATTAACAGGGGAGTTTTAAAAATACTGAGTCTAACCCTCAGAGATTCTGATTTATTTGGTTTGGAGTGTGACCTGGCCATCGGGATTTTTTTTAAAAAACCCAATGCTGCTAATATGCAGCTAGGTTTGAGAGCCACTTGGAGTCAGGAATTTTAGGTTCCTACCCAGCACTTTAGTCTCCAGACAGCAATGCTGTCCGGCCTGTTCTAATCATAGGTCCCCCAGTGTGAGTGAACAAGCTCTTACCTTGATCTTGAAACTAGTTCTTTCTATGAAGAGAAGGCACAGGGCTACACTAGCAAGGGACCAGAGGCTGGCATGAGACAGACCCACCATTTAAATAGGCATGACTCGAAGCAATTGTCTCCACCTCTCTAAGCCTTCGTTTCCTTACCAATAAAATGGGATCATGGTGTAGTCAGTTTCTACTGGATAACAAACCACCCCAAAACTTAGTGGCTGCGTTAGTCCATTTTCACACTGCTGATAAAGACATACCCAAGACTGGGCAATTTACAAAAGAAAGAGGTTTAATTGGACTTACACTTCCACATGGCTGGGGAAGCCTCACAATCATGGTGGAAGGCAAGGAAGAGCAAGTCACGTCTTACGTGGATGGCAGCAGGCAAAGAGAGCTTGTACAGGAAACCTCCCCCTTACAATAACCGTCAGCTCTCATGAGACTTATTTGCTATCATGAGAACAGCACAGGAAAGATCTGCCCCCGTGATTCAATTACCTCCCACCAGGTGCCTCCCACAACACATGGGAATTCAAGATGAGATGTGGGTGGGGACATAGCCAAACCATATCAGTGGCTAAAAGCACAAACATTTATTCTTTCACACAATTCTGTGGGACGGCTGGACAGTTCTGGTCTGGATGGACTCACCTGGAGCTAGATGGTCTAGGAGGGCCTCCTGCAGATGTCTGGCCATTGGCTTGACATCAGCTGGGGTGACACAGATGGCTTGGCTGGTGTCTGTGTCTCTCATCATCAGGCAGGCCATCTCAAGCTTGTTCATCTGGAGGTCACCAGGTTCTGAGGGAGTGAGCCTCAAGATACTTTTCAAGCCTGTTTGCTAATGTTCCATTGGCCAAAGCTAGCATAGGGACCAAGGGGAAACTTCCCTTTCACTCTCTTGAGGCCTGCTGAAAATCAACTGACAAAGAAGGCAGATTAATAGGAGAAAAGACATACAAAATTTATTTTAATGTGCACAGCATGAGGGAATTGCAGAATATTACTCAGTATCTCCATGTGGTCCAGATTCTTATATAACTTTCTCCATAAGGAAGGGGGGAGATGGGAAATGTTGGTAATTCTTTTGAGGAGCAGTAAATGATTATTAGGGAGAATGAATGGACCCAGGAGACTGAAATTCAATTGTAAATTATTCTGTTTGGAATCTAAACAAACCTGAGAGACAGATATTATCTTATAAAAAGGTCTGTCCAGTTGTTGTTACATTACTCAGTCTTTGTTTCTTGATAGATAATGAGATTTCAGGGATGGGACGGGAAGCAATTGTTCCACTTGGTGGGTCAAGTCTTCATGCAGCTAAGGGAAAAGCCTCCTCCAGCATCCACTGGTCTCCAATGGCCTTGAATTTGAAATATTCATCATACCAGGATGCCATATTTTGGGGTGAAATTCTCTGGGCGTCTTCATTTGTCAAGGCCAGCCCAGAGCCATGTTTGTTGCAGATGTTTCCCTGCAAGTCATGCCATTAATTCATTGATTTCTCCTAGAGATTAATTCATTCATTCATGTATTCATCATAGAGGTGCTGGGTGTCTGCTACATGCCAGGCATTGTACCAGGTGCAATGAATTTTGAAACAAGCAAAAATAGACCCTTACTCCCAGGAGTTTTATCATCCACTGGGAGGGGCATGCAGGTAAATAGAACCCAGAAGTCAACTTGAACTTCAGATTTGTATTTGCATGTGTTTTCTCTGCTTTTGCCCGTTTCAACTTGCACACAGAAATCCTTCTCTTTAGAGTTCCGCATCAGACAAATGTGTCTGTAAGCAATATAGACTTTATGGGCAGCTTCGCAGGGGAAACAAGAAAAGGTAATATGGTACCCAGCACATCAATGGGCCATCGGGTCAAACAACCAGTCAGATGTTTCTGTTCTTCCAAAGTAAAGGTGTCCGAACTCTCTCTTGGAGGAGCCCCACCTTCAATAGTTCCCTCTCTCCCCTTCCCAGAACCTCCTTCAGAAGTACACCCCTCTCCTCTCTGTTATGCAAAGCAAAGCAGCTCTCTCCTGGCTCCCCCACATCAAAACATTTCTTCTCCAATTTACAAAATTAGATCCACCCTGCTTAGAAGTCAGGGTTGGAACCATCTTGTGCTATTCAATCAGGCACTTTGAGATCTTATCTCTTGCCTCCTGTCACCCAAAACAATTTATCAAATTGTTTATTCCAGCGTTCTCCCCAAGAAGATGTTTTGGAGTAAAAATTTTCTCCATCTTCTTCCGTTTACAACTATGTCTAAAATCAAGCATGTTGAATTTTGTGCAAGAGCAACAGGAAGGACTAATTTTTTTTTTTTTTTTTTTTTTTGAGGCAGGGTCTCAATCTGTTGCCCAGGCTGGAGTGCAGTGACAAAAATGACCTCTGGTTGTCCTCACTGCTTATTATATGCCAATTATAATGCCTTAGCAAGCAAAAGACACACCCACGAATGTCACGACAGTTTACAAATGCCATGGCAACATCAGGAAGTTACCCTATATGGTCTAAAACGGAGAAGAACACTCAGTTCCAGGACTTGCCCACTCCTTCCCCAGAAAACTCATGAGTAATCCACCCCTTGTTTAGTATATAATGAAGAAATAACCATAAGTATACTCAGTCAAGCAGCCCACACCACTGCTCTGCCTATGGAGTAGCCATTATCTGTTTGCTTTCTTAATAAACGTGCTTTCACTTTACTCTATGGACCCGCCCCAAATTCTTTCTTTTTTTTTTTTTTTTTGAGATGAAATCTTGCTGTCGCCTAGGCTGGAGCACAGTGTCGTGATCTCGGCTCACTGCAACCTCCACCTCCAGGTTCAAGCAATTCTCCCTGCCTCAGCCTCCCAAGTAGCTGCGGTTACAGGCGCCCACTGCCACTCCTGGCTAATTTTTGTATCTTTAGTGGAGACGGGTCATGTTGGCCAGGCTGGTCTTGAAATCCTGGACTGAAGTTATCTGCCCACCTTGGCCTCCCAAAGTGCTGGGATTACAGGCATTAGCCACTGCACCCAGCTCCCAAATTTGTTCAGGAACCCTCTTTTGGGGTCTACACTGGGACCTCTTCTGGTAACATTACCATAAGTGCCTTTTCTAGTTAGCTAACAGGAGGATAAAACAGGCCAAGCCTTCACCTATTCACGGCACATAGAACAAGAAAGAAAAAACAGTGGCCGTACAGTTTCCATTGTTCCCCCCAAATGTCTGTATGTCATTTATTACCTTGGTTTTGTTTGGCAGGGATGTTGTTGTTGCCTTTCACATGCTTTCGATCTAGACTAATCTCGGCACTCAGATGTCCCTTTGGCCTCACAGAGTAGGATGCCTGGAATCAGAACAAGCCGTGGAGTGCAAAGAAATTCCTCAGTCATGACTACATTATTTTGTTCTTCGTATCAAAAGCAAGCTAGGTGAGAGAATTCATTCATCTTTTACCACACTGCAAGGGACAGAGGCAATTTTTCTCCCAGGATTCAGGACTAAAGTAGATGATCTTCTGGACTTCTCTGTGACATTTCACTGAAATTGCATTTCACCGAAAACAAACAAGCAAACAAAAATCTTCCTTTTGAGAAGATAATCCCCAGAAGTTAAAAGAAAGAGTAGTAGTCCAGTTGGAAGTTGCAAAAAAATGTAAGTACACATGTCATTTGAAGGGGTGCTTGTGTATGTGTGTGTGTGTGTGTGTGTGTGTGGACTCTTTCAGTTGCAAGATAGAGCAACTCAACTACAAGTGGCTTAAACAAAATGGGGGTTTTATTTGTATTATAGAAAAGTCCAAGATAGATCAGTCTTCAGTCATGGCTGGATCCAGGTGCTCAGATGATGTCATATGAGTTCTTATCCCTCTCCCTCACTCATCTCTGGTTCAACATGACCACCAGCAGCCCCAGACTTACATTCTGCCAGCTAGACACATCCCTGGGGGAATGTGTGCTTCTTTCCCAGAAGTCTTTTTAAAAGTTCCAGGTTTGCATCTCAATAGCCCAAATTGGATTTAGTGTCCATCCCTACACCAATATGGGTGCCTCCAATTGGCCAGGCCTTGATCACACACTCCTGAAGCAGGGTGGGTTAAGGCAGACTCCAACCAAACTACATGGACTTTAAAAAAAAAAAAAAAGGATGATATTACCAGAAAGGAAAATGGTTTGGCAACAGCAAAGGATGCCTGTTACAGTGGAATGTGTATGTAATGGTGAAATAAATAAGAAGAAGAAAAGAAAGGCAGCTGGTAGGATGCTGGCAGAGGGCAATGAGCAGGTCTGTCCTAAGTGAACTCGGGTCGGCAGGCTTAGTTCTCAAACCGGTTGCCTTGATTAATGGTAAAAACAATAACATTTCAAGACCTGAAACACATCTCCTTAAATTTCATCAAAGTGTCCAGTAAGTGCTGATGTTTACGGATGTCACCGTCACCCAGGGTTGCTGTTTCCCCTGGACAGCCGGGTAAGCAGGCAGCTGTCTATCAGGACTAAATGAAAGAGGTTCGAAAGCCAATGCAGAAAAGTCGAGAACTTGGCTTGTGCAGTGCATCATAAAGGAAGGAGGGAAGAGGGAGAAGCCTTGGCAATTTGTTTTTAATATTTTTGCTTGTTTTGGATGCCACGAAAGCCTCATATATTGGCTCTTGACTAATAAAAACAGAGGAGAAGCCAGGCTGGAAACCTGGCTGTGTTTCCGTGCACAATTAGGTTTGTTTGTTTAGGTCTCTTTTTATTTGTTTTCAGATGACTCAGATATGAATACTGCAGGCCTTTCAAAGTGAAGTGTTCATATGTGTATTTTAGGTCTAGGGCTTCGCCAAGTGCAGAAAGACTTGGCTCCCTGAGGTTATTTTCCTATCCAGGGGTTTTTCAAACTTTCAAGTGGAGCTGAAGAATGCTGCTGCAAGCCAGGTTCTTTTTCTTAGCAGATCCCAGCTTGGGGTTGTAGGGGGGACAGGGATTGCAAACATACAAACACAAAAATCCCCAAACAGTGCACAAGGGCACCCATTGTGCTGATCCCGGCACTGCCTCTCCCTGATGGCTTTACCATCTGCATACTTCCGTCATCTCTGGAAACCTCTTCACGAGTCTGCCTCCCTTTCACCAGACAACCAAGTCCAGAGGTGGACTCTCCTTTCCTCTCTATCTGGATCTGTGTATAAACTGTTCTGCTTTCAAGATTCTCCTTTTTCATCGCTATAATTTGGAGTCTGAAGCCTCCTATAAAATGCAGAGATATTTACAATCTGGGAAGCTGCCAAGCATCTGGCTGAGCTCCTACCCCTAAGGGTGGTGTCTCCTGCAGGAATGGTTTGCTTCTGGCCAGTTGACCCAGCTTCCAGGGCCCTGGGAAGGGTCTAGGGAGAGGTTGAGCAGTAGTCTTTCTCCCCAGGATGAGCAGGATGCAAACCAGGCAATGATGAAGACCACTCTGGTCTCCTTTCTTGGAGATGAGACTTCTTTCCAGTATCCCTGCCTCTGCATTGATGAATCAGAGAATAGGGACAGCCTGAAGTGGTCCCAGCTGTGTTCAAATACTCAGGATCTATATAGGCACCAGAAGCAGGTTTCCTAAGCTCCCTGGAAGCTGGTCACAGCCTAAGAGTCTCTGACAGCCTCCCTAGCTCACAGACCACGTGAAACGGAAGACACTGACCAATGCATTAGCCAGAGAAGCACTTTCCTATGTTATTCACTCCAGCAAAACGTCTGGTAGCCAAGATTGCATTTTTCAATGCTCCTCTCCCTCTGAATTTGCCCCTCAACTCTTCTGCTTTTAAGACGCTCCTCTTTCAGTGTTGCAGCATAGAGGCTGACGCATCTGAAACTTTTAGGAGAAAGATTTATTCTGTCAGAATTCACATATTTCAGGAATGTCTTTTTTTTCCCCAAACCACTGTCTTCCAGAACTGTATCCTGGGGTCAAAGAAAAAATCGGTCCAATCTTGCACCTTCCACACCTACACTGCTGTGTCAGCACAGGCAGTGATTGGAATAATGGCCCTGTGTCATCTCAGCAGACACTGAGATAAGGATTTGAGTGCAAACAGTTTAGTCGAGCGGCGAGCCCAGGAAGCAACTCAGTGGGGAGATGACCCTGAGCGACTGGACCTCAATCCTGCTGGGGACCCTCTAAGAGGAGGAACAGTGGAATATGCCCGTGATTGTCCCACTGAGGGACAAGGAAGCTGGCTCTTAATGGTTGAGGGTTTATCTTGGCATCTTAACTCCTGGGCACTTCCAAGTACACTGCCAATCAGGGAACATCTTCAGGCAGAAGAGATGTAGAACTTTCCAGAGGCCACTTCCAGGGTAGGCTGAGGGGATTTGGGAAGGGCACCAGCCATGTCTATGGAGTCTTCTATACCCTAAGATGACATAAGGAAAGGACCAGTCATCAGAAAAAGACTGTGCAGTCCTTACTCCACCGTGCCTGCTGAGGCAGGGAAGTGGACTGCACTAGTTGAAACAACAGGGCTAGAAAGCAAAAGGTTTGAGTTCAACTCTCAGTTTGTTGTCTATTGATTTATTTAGCAAATATTCCTGGGCTGCTTGCTAGTAAGTGGCGAGTAGGGATGGTGACGGTTAAAGCTGGCGGTGAGCAAAGGTGAGATCGTAGGATCTAGAAGGCCATACTATGTTGCATAGCCAGGGCAATGAGGTATGCTTTTGATTATTATTCAGTTAATATTTATTTCATTGTTTCTTGTATCCCCCGTCTTCTTTTTAGGTTCAACTTCTTTCTGAAGATCCCCCTTTTAGTGGCTTTTCACTGATGTCTGTGAGGGGTAAACTCTCTCAGTCAAGAATGGATCCATTTTCAAGACTATTTATTCATTCATTCATTCATTCATTCATTCAGAGATAGGGTCTCACTCTGTCGCCCAGGCTGTAGTACAGTGGCACAATCATGGCTAACTTCAGCCTCCACCTCCCTGGCTCAAGCAATCCTCCCACCTTAGCCTCCTGAGTAGCTGGGACCACAGGCGCCTGCCACCATGCCCGGCTAGTTTTTTACATTTTTTGTAGAGACAAGGCCTCCCTGTGTTGCCCAGGCTGGTCTCAAACTCCTGCGCTCTAGCAGTCCTCCTTCCTTGGCCTCCCAAAGTGCTGGGATTACAGGCGTGAACCACTGCACCTGGCCTGGGTACATTTTTCTTGGGGCCTGAAACTGATGCCATTTTGGATCCTCTTTAGGAAAAATAATACAAACTATGAATATAAAATTAAGAATGAAAATATTGACAATGAGAAAAAAATCACTACAAATTATAAAGTTGGAAATGCTGACAAATAAAACAAACATAAAAAAATCCAGAAAGAATACTATTTTTTATTAATTAACTTGACTTTTTCCAACTTCTCATATTGGTGCCACTGGAGTGACGATGGTCATTTTGGAGATTTGACTAGTGGGAAGATGAGATGGTCTACATTTACTTTGGATTTCATGAGATACATTAGGTGATCTGCAGTCCTTTTCATATATAGCTCAGTTATTCAGTTATTGCTGGGTGTACAGATGTTGGAATGGCTTCCAGAAATACTCCTACCATCCACAGGCTGACTTGCCTGGCACACAGCATCAGAGATTGGATGGAGATGCAAATAATTCTACAATGTCTGGCACCAAAAATATGCGGATAGTGAAGAAACAAGATTTAAGATGTATGGAATCACAAGGTAGTCTGTAGAAAACTCTTCCACTTATCAGATATGTAAAACTGTAAGTAGAGGACTCATTCATATTCAATGCCTAGTCAAATGAAAGACTTTTTCCCACCAGAAATATATTTGAGAATGTGGTGCATACAATTATAAACACACCATAAATTTGCAGCTCATATGTGAAAGAAATTCATAAAGGTCTTCCCAAAGTCAACAACAATTCTAAACATGTATATGTTAGTACCGAAAGTGAGCTGTAAAGCTGAAAAAAATTTTTTTAACTTTCAATAACTTAAAAACAAAGTTTGATCTGCCATGTTAGAAAGAAGACTGAATTATCCTTCTATTCTCTTTATAGAAAGTGATATTACAAAATCATCATATTAAGAGATAATTAAAGGATACGTAACTAAAAATGAAAACAGTCTAAATGAAATGTAGTATCCTTGATTGGATCCTAAAACTCAGCACGTTCAGCACAATTTCTCTTGTGAGAGAGCAAAGACACATAAACAGAAATCATTGGTTGGAACTTCTGGGAAAACTTATGAAAGGAGCCAAGCCAAGACTGAAGGACACATAATCTTGCCCTTCACCTCTCCTCCTTCCTGCTGCTAGGAATGTCATTGTGATAGAGCTGCCGCAGTCATCTTGCAGCCATGAGGTGATATTAAAGGGAGAAGCCAATGTTAGAAATGGTGGAGCAGAAAGAGGAAAGGATCCTGGGTCATTGGTGATACGACGTAGCCACCATACCAACCCTGAATGGCCTATTCCAGACACGTTCAGAGAATGAATTAACTATCTCTTTTAAGCAAACCATTAATTGGGATTGCTGTTACATGTAACTGAATCTAGTCCTAACTGATAAATCACCTGACCCCATCTTGGGGATCCAGGGACAATTTCCTGCAGATCATGAAAGATAATTAGGAAATAGGTCAGGTAAAGGGTAGTAGGAGCATTAGAGGCTCCAGAGTACAGGTTTTATTTAAAGAGCAGCAGAGAGCCACTGATGGGGTTTAAGGAGAATTTCAGTATTGGATTTTAGTACTGGGAAACAACAAATATAATTATCTCATTGGTAGCTATACTGAAGAGAGGGAAAGACTGAAGTCAAGAAAACTAGGCCAAGAGGTGATGTGACAATTTATGCCAGGAATAAGATCCTGAAATAATGCTGCATAACAGTACTGAACGCCAAGGGCTGTGCCATCAGCAAGACCCGGGGGCCTATCTGGGCTTTGTCACTCATTAGCCATATGAACCTGAGCAAGTGACTTAACTTCTCGATGCCTCTGTTCCTTCCTATTTCCATGATATTTCTAAAAGAATTGAATGAGGCCGTGTGTGCACAATGCTTAGGACAGTACATGTAAGGACTCACTAAATTATTGCTGTTATTATTGTTGCTGGGCCTGTGGCAGTGAAAGACAGGTTCTAAGCAATAAGAAGAAATCAAGAGAATGCTGAGACCAGTTGGATGGAGAGAGGGGTGGATGAGACAGAAAGGAAGTAGAAATGTCTCTCGAATTTCTGTAGAAGAAACAATTTGGGGAGAAAGATAATGAGTCCAGTTTTGGACCTGTGGAGTTGGCAGTGTCTCTGGGCCATCCGCATGGAGATGATGGGTGTTCACCTGCACTGGCAGATACAGAGGGAGTGAGGATCTGAGTTGGAGATAGACTGGAGAGTCCTGGGGGTGGATGAGATCACAGGCCTAAGGTGAGTGTGGAGAATGAAAAGAAGACGGCAAAGAGGGAGCCCTGTGGGTGGTAGGGATGGATCAGAAGGAGCCAGCAAGGAACCAGAGGACGACAGGACAGAAAATCCTAAGAAAAGCCTTGGGAGTGGCCCCAGGAACTTCAAAGGAGACAGAAATTAAAGAAGTGTTAATTGCACTAAATGGAGACCTATGGCTCACGCCTATAATCCCAGTGCTTTGGGAGGCTGAGGCAGGAGGGTCACTTGTGCTCAGGATTTTGGGACCAGCCTGGGCAACATGGTGAATGGTGAATCCCCATATCTACAAAAAAAAAAAAAAAAAAAAAGCTGGGCATGGTGGTGCTCACCTGTAGTCCCAGCTACTCAGGAGATTGAGGTGGGAGGATGGCTTGAGCCCTGGAGGGAGACAGAGGTTGCAGTGAGCCAAGATCGCACCACTGCCCTCCAGCCTGGGCAACAGAGAGAAACCCTGTCTTAAAAAAAAAAAAATGCACGAAATGCTGCAGAACCGTCCAAAAAAAATCTGTGATGTGAACATTGGGCTGAAGGGCAAAGAGGTCATTGGGGACCTTGGCCCCTGCCAGCTGGAGGTTATGATGGGGCTGGAAGGCAGAGTCTGGTTGGGGACAGGGGGCAGCGGTGGGGGAAAGTAATTAGAACCAGGGATCAGGAAGAAAGCTTGTGTGAAGGTGGGAGAGAGTTCCGCAGTAGCCAGAGTTAATAAGGAGAGGAAAACGAAAGGAAAGTAAGGCGGAAGAAAATGGAAGGCAAGAAACCTAGGAAGACAAGAGCAGGCTTGATGTCCATGACAGGAACCCAAGCTGTCCCCGGGTCCTTGCCATGTGCCCAGAGTGTAGAAAATCGCCCCCCGTGGTTTGGGAAAGCCTGGCTGCCCAGCAGGGATAGGCGGAAAATTGGTGGGGAAAGTCTCCAACCTGAGCATGCATGGACAGAGCTCAGAGAATTCAATGAGGCCAGAAGGAAAGAGAATCATGGCTCCCATTTTCTGAGCACTCAACATAGCCAGGCACCTGGTGCCAAGATGTGGCAACCTACGAGGTCCTACCTATTTCACCAGTGAGCACCTGAGGCTCCATGAGGTTAAGGAACCGGCCAGCGCGGGCGGAACCAGGGCCTTCAACCCTGTCTGAGCCCACAGAGGTAATCCTTAGTCACCAAGCGCCGCTGTGTAAGGGACAAAGACCGCACAAACGGCCGGAGAAGACGCGAGAGATGTGGCCCAAAGAGAGGGGACGGGCCTGGGTGATTTTACACAGAGAGGGGACGGGCCTGGGTGATTTTACATAGAGAGGGGACGGGCCTGGGTGATTTTACATAGAGAGGGGACGGGCCTGATGATTTTATATAGAGAGGGGACGGGCCTGGGTGATTTTATATAGTGAGGGGACGGGCCTGGGTGATTTTATATAGAGAGGGGACGGGCCTGGGTGATTTTATATAGAGAGGGGACGGGCCTGGGTGATTTTACATAGAGAGGGGACGGGCCTGGTGATTTTATATAGTGAGGGGACGGGCCTGGTGATTTTACATAGAGAGAGGATGGGCCTGGGTGATTTTATATAGAGAAGGGATGGTCCTGGGTGATTTTATATAGAGAGGGGATGGGCCTGGGTGATTTTACGTGCGGATGCAGAGGAGGGGCAGCGTCGGGGCGGCGGAGTCCGACCTCGGGGGATTCACCCTGAGGGTTACAGGCAAGGCCGCTCCAGGCACGCAGCACCTGCCGGGCGCCACCCAGGAGGGGGCAGCAGCGCCATTCGCAAAGCCGGCCCGCTCCGCTCCGCTCTCAGGCTCAGGGCTGCGGAGACAGGAATCGCAGCTTCCCCTGGAAGGGGCGTCCCAGGGGACCTCCGCCAGGCCAGGGGAACCCGGCCTCCGGGCCTGGGTGAACGTGCCTTCCAGACCATCCTGGCAGGCCGCTGCTCCCTAGAGGCCTAAGGCGCTTGGGACAGCCTCCCACTCTACTCCTGAATCTCTCCTCCATCCCGGCCGGCCCCCACCCACCCCTGGTGGAACGGAGACCCCACGTCTTGCTCAGGACCTTCGCCACAAGGCCTCCCTACTCTGCCGCAGTGAGCCCTGCCAGGGAGGCAGAGCAGCAGAGCCCACCCTGCCACCGCCGCAGGGGCCCTCCCCAGGCTGGCCCTGCTGTCCCAAGGACTGATAGTCACCAGGCTGTACAAATATATCTCCTACAGCACATCGGATGCGAAGGGAAAACGGAGGATCACTATATTGCTTAGAACTAATCTGGTCTTTCTCTTCTGAGCCTCACCCACTAGTTAGTGGGATGGGAGGATAAATGAGATGTCCAATCCAGTTAAACTTTGAGCTGATATTTTAAACCCTGCAGAAAGTGCTGGGTCTTTAGGAAAAGCGCTCAGTGTCTCTGAGAGCTGCTGCTTGCTCTGTCTCTCACTGCGGAGGCAGGGATATGGGGAGCGAGGGGGCTTTCCCCGCCGTGGCAGCAGAGCAGTGGGTTCCTTGGTCCCATGAAGGTCCCTGGCTGTGTGCCAGCTGCTGCCTGCTGGTCTTTGGGGAGACGTCCTTTTGTGGCCTGTGTCGTGCTGGACCTCCTGGCCTCCAGTACTGAATGTGTGGCCCATTCTTCCAGCCCAGGCAGTGCCCCGAGTGGGCTGCAGCCCCAGAGCTCTCCCCGTATCCCCCAATGGCTCTCCAGTCTGTTCCTGGGGAGGTCCAGCCCTTGGGCGTGACCGGGCGGTCACCTTGTCTCATAACAGCAAGCTCACTGGTGGGTCCACTGGTTCCCGACTCAGCATCTGTGCCCCGTGGGACTGAAGGGAGCTCTGGGAAGCCCCCAGGCTGACCATAACGCAGCTCCTTTCCGGGGCTGCAGCCTGGGTTCTTAGGGGGCAGCTTGTGAAGTGGCTTCCTCTCGGAGTCCTGAAGGGTGACATCTCTAACGCTGTCCCTCTGCGGGCCCAGAGATGGGAAAGCCAGGTCTTCCATCAACTCTGTTGATGTCTTGGCTATTCTCAGCCAGTCCACGTCCTTCTCTTTTTAAAAGATTCCCAGGTACAGAAAAAGCACGGTGGGCTTTCCCTTGACTTCTTTCTCTCCACATTTCCTCCTTCCAGACTCCCCTGAACCCTTAGTGACTGGCTTTGGTATCCAGCTGTGTATTTTGGAAATCCCTAGCTCAGCGCTTTAGGATTCACCTTGAAATACCAAGGGAAGAGGAAGAAGAATTTGAAAAATCCCGTCTCAGAATAATGGTCTGGCCTCTCAGGCAGGAACTTTCTGCATAACCTTATTTTGAATGACCAAAGCTCAGCATTGCCTGGGTGTCTCTTGGGATTCCTCCTGTAACCGAGTTGAATCTGCCCACAATTTTCCCCTCTCCCCATCTCATCACGCCTCCTCCCCCTGCAGCCAGATATCTAGGGAGAACAGGGAGAGTGGGAACCGGAAGAGAAAGCATGTTACTGCCTTGAAATGGGATCCCCCTTCCCCTGTCTTGCAGTCTGAAGAACTCTGTTCTCATCAGGTCCAAATCACTTAGCTTTTCTTCTTTCTCTTATTGTTCTGTTAAAGCTCCAGCTATCTATCTCTACTCTCATCACTCCCCAGCACACCTCAGTCCACCCTACATACAGTATCGTCTCCAGTCCTGCACCTTCAGGTAAGGACCACGCTTTGTCTGATTCTTCGGATGCACAGCCCATGCTTTCACACTGCCATGCCATTGCTGCGCCGTGTCCCCACCTGAATTTTCTATCTTCCAGTCCTTTTTCAAGGCTCATCTCAGTATCACTTCCTATGAGAAATCTTTCTCAAGTTTACTAAGTCAGATGAGACTTCTCCCTCCTCTAACGCCTGCACCACTCTGAATCTCTCACATCCTGCCTTGTATTTAGATATGTGTGTATTTATTTCCCAGCTAGGCTGGGATCACTCACTCAGCTACATATCTTCTGTACGGTTGTGGATTAAATTAAATCAAATATGACGCTGGACATGGTGGCTCAGGCCTGTAATCCTAGCACTTTGAGAGGCCGAGGTGGGCGGATCACCTGAGGTCAGGAGTTCAAGACCAGCCTGGTTAACGTGGTGAAACCCTGTCTCTACTAAAAAAAAACACAAAAAATTAGCCGAGCATGGTGGCAGGCGCCTGTAATCCCAGCTAATCAGGAGGCTGAGGCAAGAGAATCGCTTGAGCCTGGGAGGTGGAGGTTGCAGTGAGCCGAGATGGCACCACTGCCCTCCAGCCTAGGCTACAGAGTGAGACTCCACCTAAAAAAAAAAATAATAATTAAATCGAATATGGTTATCAACAGGAATAAACCTAGATCCAGCTTTTAAGTAGGCCCAAAGCCCAGAGCACAGCACTTTACACAAATTATTGAATTTCTTTGGCCTCAGTTTCCTCCTTCGTTAAATAAATGAGTTGGTTTCCATAATGTCTTAGGTCATCTCTTTTTCTGACACTCTATATAATTTCATCCACTCTCTTCTGTGGTCTGTGCGTGCATGTGTGTGTGTGTGTAGGGAGGCAGGGCTAACTAACTGGAGAGGAAAGGTGGAGTAGTGGAATTGACACAAGCTTTAGATTCGGACAAACTTGAGTCTAAATCCAGGCTCAGGCACCCACCTGCTAGGTGACCTTGCACACTCTTACCTGCTCTGAGTTAAATGGAAAATAGGATTGTTCACCCACTCAGTAAGCATTTACTCAGTCCTGCTAAGTACACACATCGCGTTGGTTATCAGAGGATATTGAGTAAATAAGACGTGTCCCCTCTCTGTAGCAGGCCAGAGTTCCTCAGAAGGAGATAAACCTATATCACAAGTAAGTGTCATAACATGCAGAAGTACTAGATGGGAGAATGTTCCTGATACAGTGGGGCCCAAAGGAGGGAGAGACTAAATGGATAAACAGATTATAGGGACTGATCTCACTGGGAAGGTGACAGGGAAGGTTTCCCTGGAGAAGGGAGACCAGGAGGGAATACTCCTGGAACTTGTAGGTGGACGGGGAGACGCAAACCATGCCAGGTCTATTCCTGTCATCGTGAGTCTTCTTTGACCCACCTTGGTGAGGCCTAGGAATCTTGGATCCTGAATGCATTTCCAGAGAGGTGGTCACAGCTGACATCAGTCCTGTGGCTTGGCCTCTGAATCTGTTGATTCCATTCTCAAACCTCAGTTCCTTTCCTCGTTGCAGATGAGTCGCCTCCAGTGCCCGAAGCAGCCTCCTCACCCTCTGTGTATCAAGACTGACCTGTGCCCCAGCTAATCTCTTGGGGAAGAGCAGTGCCTGATATAAGGCAATTATTACCATAAGAAGTGACCCCTCCCCTAACTGCCCCCTTTACTGGGTCCAGGGGAGAAGTCTTCTGCACAGAACCCACAAGAGTTTCTACCAAGGGACCATCTGAAAAACAACTCTAGCCAAAGGAAGCTGTTCAAACACCATCCATTTTGACACTTGGCTGGATTAGCAAGCACCTCTTCCCTCAGAGAGTGGGAAAATTTCCAGAATTAGTCTGCCGGCAGAAAGGGAGGTTGAGCAAACAGGCATATTGTTTTTTCATAGCTGTCTCTCTTGCTAATGTTTGGTCAGCCAGCCGTGCATTTTTGCAGTGTTACATAGGCTTACGCTCAGCCTTCATCAGAGAACAATTAGGACGAGTGTGGGGGAGGCCACAGGGTCAGGGATGACAGATGGGCCTCCACTTAAGCAGGTTAGAAGTTCAGTTGCTCAGGAGGAAGAAGACCCATCTTTGTCTGGGGAGCACAGGGTTGGGTAGAAAGGGGAAGAATGGAAATAAGGCAGAAGGCCTCTCTTTTCTGAAATATCCCTTAGGGATAAGTCCCTATATCTTAAGCAGTTGTTTTAGTTTTCCCTGAAGAAGCATCAGCGGCCCTGGCTGAATCAAGAAGCCAGAGGCCTGGTGCCATTCTAAAATAGCAGCATTGCTATGCTTTCCAACTGAGGGATTACTCCTTGGTGAGCCAGAGAGCTTTGGAACATCGTTTGGAAGCAAAACCACATTTTTTTCAAAAAGAATTTTTTTTAAAGGAAATTTTACATGCAGTGAAGTCAAGGCTTAACTCTTGAGAGGAAGCAGTACAGGGACAGTCATTGGGTCTTTGCTGATGGAACGCTTGCTCTGAGTGGAGGGTGAGTTTTTCTTTGGTGAAAGGTCAGTTGAGGTGCCTATGAGAGGGGAGGGGCAGAGGGTACTGTTTTTTAGAAGGGTTGGTTAGGAGGAGGAAAGTACTGGTAGTTGGTAGAAAAGTACAGAAAGTAGAAAGAGAATTCTGTGAGTTAGCCTTTGCAGCATAACAAACTGCCTCGAAACTATGTGGCTGAAAACAACCATTTTATTTGCTCAGGGTTCTGTGGGTCAGGGATTGGGTTTGGGCTCAGTTAGGTGGTTCTTCTGCTCATCTCACCTGGGGGTCATTCTTCTGGCTGCAGTCATTTGACAGCTCAAAATGGGGTTGGATAGTCTAAGTTAGCCTTACTTCTCTAGCAACAGATGCTGGCTGTTAGCTGGGCCATGTGTCTCCAGAGACCAGCCTTGGCTTCTTCACATGGTGTCTGGGTTCTAAAAGCAGCAAGAGAGAGGAAAAGGCTGACCTCACAATGGTTTTTCAAGTCTTGTCTCTTGTCCTGCACCCTCAGGTAAAGGCCACACTTTGTCCCATTCCCCTGATGCACAGCACATGGGATATTTACTGTCCTATTAGCAAAAGCAAGTCGTACAAGCTCCAAGTCAATGTGGGTGGGGACTGGACAAGAGTATGGATACAGGAGGAAGCCCTGGCTCCATTGGAAGCCATCACTGTAACTGCCAACCCACAAGGGAAGTACATCTTAAATGGACTTGGACACCCTAAGCTCAGTGGGATGCAAACCATGTGAATCAGAGTTATGAGCTAAAGTTGAGGAAAAAAGACCAGAGAATCATCTTGTTGAGTTTTGGAACAAGCCAGCTCTGTCCTGGGGATGCTGGGGTAGGGAGACACTGGGATTAGTAAGACTTGAATAACTCTAGTGAGAATCATTTTTAGCATCTCATAAAATTTATAAGTGTCCTCTTCTTCCACATTTACATTTATATCCAAATAGATATGACCTGAGACTCCTCAGGCCTCCCCAGACTATAGGAAAGATGGTAGTATGGCCATAGAGTCTAAATGGAAAAGCAGACACCATTTCCAGGTTTTACAACAGAAGCAATGGTTTATGCTGGTGATGGAAGGGCAGAGGACCAAAGGGAACAGTGCAACAGCCCAGGGATGAGCAATGGCAGGAGGTCACTACTTCTCTGAGATTGGAGAGGCAAAGAGAAGACACCAACTAATAGAGTCCAGAGACCAGGGTGACATGGTACAAACTACAGTCATAATGGACCTGTCTGATGGGAGCTGGAGCCATGGAGAAGACAGAGCCACTGAGGGAGAAGCCACCCAAGACTGAGAGGGAGTAAGAGCAGAAGCCTGGCTTCTTCCTTCCTTCCAACCCCTCATCTCCTGCCAGTGCCTTTTATGGGCTGCACCTGGCCAGAACCCACTACTCTAGGAGCCTCTGAAACACAGCCTGCAAGGGTAGCCCCCTGTAATAGACAGTAGGAGCAATTCAAGGAATGGATCTGGGGCGGAGAGGCCCAGGACCAGCCCATGGAGCACATTCACAGTAATAACCCAAATATTACCCCTGCTTTATCAAGTAAGACTCTTTCCTCCCCACACAGTCCCACTGTAATTTCTGTGCATCTCTGTGGGTATTTCTTATGAGCATAAGAAAAACTTTGAGGTTGACATCCAAAAGCCATTGAGAAGGGGCGTCTCCCAGCCTGAGAATGCTGCTCTGCCCAGGCTGCTGTCTTCTGCCACCCTGAGGCTGAAAACACTGATGTGTCAATGTGGTACTGAACACTCCCACATCCTCCTTGAGACTGAACCTCACTAGCCCACTCAGAAGTGGAGAGATGCCTTTTCCACCCTGCCATTCTCTTTATAACAGTCCTTTATAAAAATAATTCATTCAGCCCCTCCTCAGACACTATCTCTGAGACCAGGTCGAGGAGCACTGTACAAGGCTGACTCCCCATTCCCCCATCTGGTAGCATCTGACCAAACCATTCCCACATCCACCTTCCACCAGCATACCTCCCTGCAAATCCACTCCTGGATGTTCACCTCCCCTTTACCAGACACATCCAGTCATACATGGATAAATCCCTGATGGGTTTGAGCTGGGACCACACACTCAAACACACATGCGTGCATGCATACATATGTACACACAAGTATGTGCTCACATCATTACTACCACAACCTCTGCAAGAGTGCACAAGAAATGAGAAAAATGATCACTGATTAACACCTCCAATGTGTCACATAGTTTATACTTAACTCCTTTACTCCTGAAGAAAACCCTACAAATAGGCCTGATTCTCATTTACAGGTGAGAAAACTGAGGTGCATATTTCTGTGACTGGCTCTAGCTTACACAGTAAAGAAACAATAAGATCAAGATCTTAAGTCAGGTCTACAGAATACCAAAATCCATATCCTTCCCCTACCACGTTGTCTTTCAACCTATATGAACAACCTATATGAACAGCATTTTATTCTTGTCTTGGCACTATTTCTTATTGTCCTAGTAAGATTGAATAAACTGTTATTTCTAAGCCTTCTTATATATTTGAGTGCCAAAGAGTACCGTCTTCTGGTGAGTGGCCCCTAGATTTCAGCTTAGAGACTACCTAAAAATAATCATAAGCAGTGTGCTGTTTCATGCTTCTATATTGTTTTCCAAAGATTTACATTGTTATTACAAGAGGGGCATACTGGAGGATAGCCCCTGGAGGTGATATCGTCTGGGATCTGGAGGCGATTGAGCATTGCTGTTGAGAACACAAACTTTGGCACTGAGCACAGCCTTGGGAAAGGAATTTTCCATGTGCACATTGTAGCTGCATTGTAGCTGGGAGTGTGGGTAATGGCCAGCACACGACTCACGGCCAAGCCAGGCCAACCCTGTAGAATCTTAGCAGCAGTATGGATTTGGAGAGGAGGGAGAGGTTGGGGAAGGCAGAGAGATTAGCCATTGCAATGAATGGTCCCCGTGAGAGGTGATGGGTGGTGATTCTCTAGTTCTGGGTCAAGGCTTCCCGTACTTGAAGGGCAAATGTGAGTAGCAGAGCTGCGGGAAATGAGGAATGCTGTTTCTAGGAAATGAATGTCCTCCTGGCATTCCCAGTCACTGTCCTTTAAGTTTGATGAGGCTGCCCCATGTTCTCAGACAACCAGGTCTGCTCTCAATAGCTGAGCCTTCAGCTACCTTGTTCACCACTTCATCCCTGGTGTCTGTGCATAGTAGGTGCTCAATAAAGACTTGCTGAATGAATGAACAAATCAAATAGATCAATTTAAGAATATATTATAAATTTCACCTGCACAAAGTCTTTCTTCTAATGACCATGTTAATACGGTGCAAGGCTGAAAACTTCAATGCATTTTATTTAGAAAATATTTTATAATATTAAGAAAACAGTATTACAGAATGATTAGGAATTGAAGGAGAAATAAATACTCATAATCACCCCTTTCCAGAGCAACTATTATTACACCATGTTTCCCTTGAATATTTGGTCAAGTGCTCCTGTAATTTTACATGTGTCCATTTATATGTGCATTTCATTTTGTTTCTTCTGTGTGTGTGTGTGAGTTTCACTGCAGGACATTGTACCATAGTATCTCCATGTCACAACCTAATCTACATAAACATTTTACATTACCTCATTGCATAGCCTTAAAGTGAGGCCTTCGCAAATTCAACTCCTGTATCATCTCTGTTTCTCTTCCAAGGACTTTTTGGAACATGCGGGAATTTCTGCTTTTCTTTTTTTTTTTTTTGAGACGGAGTCTCACTCTGTCACCCAGGCTGGAGTGCAGTGGCGCAATCTGGGCTCACTGCAACCTCCACCCCTCCAGGTTTAAGCAATTCTCTGCCTCAGCCTCCGGAGTAGCTGCTGAGATTACAGGCGCGTGCCACCATGCCCGGCTAATTTTTTTGTATTTTTAGTAGAGACGGGGTTTCACCATCTTGGCCAGGCTGGTCTTGAGCTCCTGACCTCGTGATCCACCTGCCTCGTCCTCCCAAAGTGCTGGGATTACAGGCATGAGCCACTGCACCCGGCCCATCTTTTAAACAAAACTCTCTCTTTCTATATACATTTCCTTCTGCTTCCATTCACAGCAGAACTTCTCTCAACTGTTGTCTATCTCCCATTCATGGTCTTCCCCATTCTTCTCCTCCCCTTCTCTCTTGAACTTATTCTATGCAGGTTTTTGTCCTCACCATTCCACAAACTGCTCTTGTCAAGGTCCTCAATGATGTTAATGATGCTAAACCCAATGTTCAGTTTTCAGATGTCATCTTACTTGACATCTGTCAATAGCATTTAACATCATCCCTCCCTCCCTCCTTCTTGAATCCTGTTCTTCTCTTGAGTTCCAAGAAAACTCACCTGGTTTCTTCTCATATCCTTGACTGCTTCCTTTCAGTCTCCTCAAACTCCAGATGTTGGCATGTTCAACAGTTAAGTCCACAGAGCTCATCTTTCCTCTGTCCATACTCACTCCTTTGAGATACTATCCATGCTCCTGCTATCTGTGTGCCACCAAAGACTCCCCATTCTCTATCTGCACCTAGATCTTTCCTCTGAACTGTGGACTCTTATGCCAACTGTCCACTCAACATGACAACCTGGATCACTAATAGGCATCACAACCTTCATGTGTCCAAAAATGAAGCTCCAGGCTGGACATGGTGGCACATAACTGTAATCCCAACACTTTGGGAGGCCGAGGCAGAAGGATCACTTGAGACCAGGAGTTTGAGACTAGCCTAGACATCATAGCAAGACCCTATGTCTACAAAAAAATATATATAGCCAGGCATGGTCGTACATGCCTGTAGTCCTAGCTACTTGGGAGGCTGAGGTGGGAGAGTCACTTGAGCCTAGAAGGTCGAGGCTGCGGCGCGCTGTGATTGCATCACTGCACTCCAGCCTGGGTGACAGAATGAGACCCTGTCTCTAAAAAAAGTTTTAAAAATAATGAAAAATAAAAAGAAAGAAACTCCTGACTCTTCACTCTTAACCTTCTCTCATAGTCTTCTCCAGCTCAGGAAGTGGAAATTCTGTCTTTTCCAGTTGCCCAGACAGAAGCTCTTGTCATGTTGATTCTTCTCTTTTTTTTTTTTTTTTTTTTTTTTTTTTTGAGACGGAGTCTCGCTCTGTCGCCCAGGCTGGAGTGCAGTGGTGTGTTCTTGGCTCACTGCAAGCTCTGCCTCCCAGGTTCGCGCCATTCTCCTGCCTCAGCCTCCCGAGTAGCTGGGACTACAGGCACCCGCCACCGCGCCCGGCTAATTTTTTTATTTTTAGTAGAGATGGGGTTTCACCATATTAGCCAAAATGGTCTCAATCTGACCTCGTGATCCACCCGCCTCGGCCTCCCAAAGTGCTGGGATTACAGGTGTGAGCCACTGCACCCAGCCAGTCCACAGATTTGTTGATCTGTCAACTAATCCAATGGCTCTTTCTAAAAATACATGTAAAATCCAACCATTTCTCATCTCCTCCACTAGTTAAAGCCACCATCCTATCCCACCTGAATTGCTTCAAGAGCATCCCAATGTCATTTAGCTTTGTCCCCCATAGTTTATTCTCAATGCAGCAGCCAGAGTGGGTGCCTATTAACCTATGTCACATTTTGTCATTTCTCTGTGCAAAAGGTTCCAGCGGCATACCAACACACAAGGAATGAAGCCACTGTCACCCACAGAAGGAAACCACTGTCCCCACGATGGCCTGCAAGGCCTCCACATCCAGCACCCCACAGCTAGACCTCATAGACCTCACTTACTGCTCCCCTCCTGGGTCTCTCCACTGCCCTCAAACATTCTGCTTCTACCACAGGACCTTGACACTTGCTGATTTCTCTGCTTGGAATGTTCTTTCCAAAGACCTTTAGAGTCTTTTGGGTATTTGTTCAAATGTGAGGCCTTCCCTGACTATTCCAGTGAAAACTGCAACACAGTCCCTGGCTTCATATTCTCCTGGTTCACCTCGTGTGTCTCCATGTGAGCTACTGTATAATTTACTTATTTTTCTTGTATTCTGGGCCTCTCCCTGGGGCAATATTTTTTATTTTCTTTCTTTCTTTTTTTTTTTTCCCACTGCTTTCTACCCAATGCCTAGAACAGTGTCTGACATGCAATGTTTGTTGAATGAATTGATCTGAGATCTGGTGTCTGAGAGTTGAAAGTCTTGCCCACGAGATGTGAGAAGGCAGAGCACGATGAGAGGATTGCGGGCTGCCCCCTGTGCCTTGCCTGTTTGTTCATCGCAAAGCAATCCAGCTGTCTCCATCTGTTCACAGGACACACCTGTGAGTGCCACATCGGGGAAGAATGTTTGACATCCCTGAACTCATGCTACTCAGCAGCAGAGGGCCTGCAGCATGGTCGTTACTTATTAAATATTTAAGTTCATTAACACACAAGAAAAGGGCTCCTGAAAATAGTCTGGAAGCACTCAGGACCGACTTTATCTCTTTCCCAGTTTTGCCTTGGGCCAGCTGTGTGCTAAATTTATTCACTTATTTACTCAGCCAGTCAATAAATGCAGCTCTGTAAATCATGTGATTGTTATTATTGTAAACAGTGTTTCTCAAAAAGCAAGTGGAAAGGGCAATTCCTCTAATGCTTTTTCCCTAAGAGTTTTTGTTCCAAGTAGAAACTTCAATGCCCTTATCCAATCAGCACAAATCCCAAATGCACTATCTGGCCAAGCGCATCGAGTTTTTAGCTCGCCACCCCCTCCAGAAGTTTGGAGAACATTTCCCTGAAGAAAGCCCTACCTCATCCCTTAAGTGCATTGGCAGTTGCTTACGGCCCAGGGCAGATGTGTGGTCATTCACAGTTAAGTGGGTGCAGGCCGGTTAGTGGACAGACAACATGAAATATGCACAAATGAGCCAACAAGCCAACAGTGGAAACCCCAGAGTGGTGCAATGGCTGTGTCTGCCCCAATCACTCGCTTTTTTCTTCATTTCCTAGCACCTCTTCATAGCTGCACTAACCATCTGATTCGCATTATAATCTGTGCTTTATACATCAAACAGCAAGAGATAGGCTGAGAAGCTCATCCTGCCCATCAGTGAGTGGTGTTGCCCTTCATGATTGTATTAGTCTGTTCTCACACTGCTAATAAAGACATACCTCAGACTGGATTTCAATGGACTCACAGTTCCACATGGCTGGGGAGGCCTCACAATCATGGCAGAAGACAAAGGAAGAGCAAAGCGACGTCTTACATGGCAGCAGGCAAGACAGAATGAGAGTCAAGCGAAAGGGGAAACCCCTTATAAAATCATCAAATCTCCTGAGATTTATTCACTACCACAAGATCAGTATGGGGAAAACTGCCCGCATGATTCAATTATCTCCCATGGGGCACCTCCCACAACACGTGGGAATTATGGGAGCTGCAATTAAAGATGAGATTTGGGCGGGGACACGGCCAAACCATATCAGTGGTCATCCACATCTTGTCACCTTTTCAGTTGTTGGCTCCTGAGTGTGGCCGAGTGTGGCTACTTTAAGGGAAGTTCAGTAGCAGGAGATAGTTTGGCCACCGCTTTCTACTTAGATTGAGAGCAGTTGACTCCATCGTTCAAGTGTCCATCTTGGGGAAGAATTGATTTCAGAGGCAGACGAACCTGCCATCTTCATACCTGTTCATTCCTTACACCAGAAAAACCCATTCCAACTGTGCTTTTTGTCTGTGTCTATTTGGTTCTTTGGGACTTACTTTGAATTGTCGTATTTTGCAGGTATGCAGTACCTGTGATTGTTTAAGTAAAAAGGATTGTGTAAGTAAAAAAGATGAAACTGTGGATATATGCGCCAACGTGGATGCTCTCAAATGCATTAAGCCAGGTCAGTGGTCCTCAATCAGGAGTGATTTTGCCCCCCAGGGGGCATTTTGCGATGCCTGAAGACATCTGTGGTTGTGACAACTGGGGAGAGAGGTGTTACTGGAATCTAGTGGGTGGATACCAGAGATACTGCTAAACATTCTATAGTGCACAGGACAGGCCGGCACAGCAAAGAATGATCTGGCCCACCATGTCAACAGCGCCAGGGTGAGAAACCCTGTGCCAAGTGAAAGAAGCAGACTCCATTTATATGACATTCTGGAAAAGGCAAAACCATAGGGATAGAAAATCCATCAGTAATTGCCAGGAGTTGGGGATTAAGTCCAAAGGGGTATAGGGGAATTTGGAGGGTGATGGAAATGTCCTCTCTCTTGACGGTGATGGTGTTTACATTCAGAACTATACAGTTAAAAGGGTGAATTTGACCATATGGAAATTAAACTTATACCTGAAACAGCAAACAAAAACCCAGCTCTGTCTGAACCAAAGAAATTCTGGATAAGGTAGGGAGAAAAAGTAGCCACGAAAGAAACAAATGTGGGTGGGGGAAGAGAGGCTGAAGTGTAAAGAAGAATAAGGGCCGGGTTCAGTGGCTCTCACCTGTAATTTCAGCACTTTGGGGAGGCCAAGGTGGGTGGATCTCTTCAGCCCAGGAGTTTAAGACCAACCGGGGCAACATGAAGAAACCCCATCTCTACCAAAAAAAAAAATTTTTTTTAATTAACCAGGCGTGATGGTGTGCGTGTGTGGTCTCAGCTACTCAGAAGGCTGATGTGGGAGGATTGTTTGAGCCCAGGAGGTTGAGGCTGCAGTGAGCCGTGATCTCACCACTGCACCCCAGTCTGGGCAACAGAGTGAGACCCTGTCTCAAAAAAAAAAAAAAAGAAAGAAAGGAAAAGAAAAAAGAACCATAGAAAGACAGATTTTTGTTTTTCAAAACTAAATTAATTGATTGCCCCTCAGCAAATGATACCTCATCAAAAGCTACTTCTTGTTGTTGCCCGATACTTTTATAAAACAGCTTCAATGAGGTATACTTACCATGCAATGAACTGCACAACTTTAAAATGTTCCATTTGGTCAGTTTTGACCTATGCATATACCTGTTAAACAATTATCACAATCATAATAAACATATCCAACATTCTTAAAAGCTTCTTCTCGTCTTTTTGCAATCTTTCCCTCTCATTCCTCCCCTAAAAACAGTAGTACTGATCACATTGGGTTGTTGTGAGAATTTAAATAAGATTCAAGCATAGAGAGAGCCATGTTATATACACACTTTGTTTTCTGTCTTTAGGTGGGGGAAGCCATTGTCTAGTGAAAAAGACCTGAATTCCGTGCCCAGATCACTGCTTACTCTTGGTACAGGGCTGGAGTGGAGTTGAGGATTGCATAAGTGTTGCAAGCAAAGAGAATGTGCTAATAAATGCATATTGAATGAACAAATGAACAAATCCACCAGATCTATGTGCTCAAAAATCTAACTTAGAGACAAGAACAAGTAAAATAAATTGATACAAATAAGAGGCATTATATAATCATGTGGCACTACATACATGTACATATTATTAAATAGGTCTCAAATTGATATTGTTTTCTTTCCCACAAAACACATTCTTCTTCCTGAAGATCCTTATTTGTGGCTGGTGTCCATTTAGCCACCCAAACCAAATCACCCATCCTCAATTTCCCATTCACCCTCAACTAATCTGGCTCAAGTCGATAGGCACACAGTCCTGTTTATTTGACTTCATCTCTTGGTTTTTGTTTTTGTTTCTTTTTTTGTTTTTTGTTTTTTTGAGATAGGGTCTCCCTTTGTCACCCAAGCTGGAGTGCAGTGGTGTAATCTGGACTCACTGCAGCCTCCACCTCTCCAGCTCAAGTGATCCTCCCACCTCAGCCTCCTGAGTAGCTGGGACCACAGGTGCACACCACCACACCTGACTAGGTTTTGTCTTTTTTGTCGAGACAGGGTTTTGCCAAGTTTCCCAGGCTGGTCTCGAACTCCTGGACTAAAGAGATCCTCCTGCCTCAGCCTCCCAAAGTGTTGGGATTACAGGCGTGAGCCACCGTGCCTGGCTTTTGACTTCATTTCTTGATGCTTCTATGTCCTCTTCATCTCCACGGCAGTTCCAGCTCCCATTACATCTCACAGCACTGAAGCTGGCCTCCACCTCCGGCCTTTCTACTCTGCAGGATAAGTCTTTCCTAAAAATCCTGGTCCTTCCCCACTTCTCCAATAACTCTTTATTACCCCCCTCCAAGGCAAAGCGCCACCTCCCCAAGTACAAAATATTTTATTACCTGGACTAAATCTACCTTGTCAGTCTCTCACCCACACTTGAAGTCTTAGCCAGGCCTATGAATTCACCTTTTCCTCAATATACCACAATTGTTCCTCTCCCCACATCTTTTTTCTTGTTAATTTTAAAAAATTGTAATAAAATATACATTTCATAAAATATATCATTTTAACCATTTTTACGTAGACAGCTCAGTGATATTAAGTACATTCACACTGTTGTGCAACCATTCCCACCATCCATCTCCGGAACTTTTTCATCTTCCCCAACTGAAATCTTATGCCCATCAAACAAAAGCATTCTCCCTTCTCTCAAGCCCCTGGAAACCATTCTACTTTCTGTCTCTATGAATTTTACTACTCCAGATAATCCATATAAGTGGAAGCATACACTATTTGTTTTTTTGTGTCTGGCTTATTTCACATAAGGTCTTTGAGATTCATCCATATTTAACATGTGTCAGATTTCATTCACTTTTATGGCTGAATAATATTCCGTTGTAGGCATGGCCCATATTTTGTTTATCCAGTCAGCCATCGATGAAAAGTTGGGTTGTTTCCATCTTTTCACCCTTATGAATAATCCTGCTATGAACATTGGTGTACAAACCCTGTTCAAATCTCTGCTTTCTTTCCCCTGGAACCTTTATTGCATGTTCCTTCTGGCTAGAGAGTCAGCCTGGAGGCATCTTCCACCCCTCTTTCTGAAGAACTCCTATTCATTAAACAAAAACAAACAAACAAACAAACAAAAAACACCTCATCTCTCAAAAGTCCATTTTCTAATTTAATCAAAGACAGGTAGCCTTGACTTCCTCTGCATCTTCCTAGCCTTACATACTATGCCCTCTTATGGTCCTTATTTCACTGAATCACAATCACTTGTGCCATTGCCTTCCTCCCTTGCTAAACTGTACTTTAGTGAAAAGGGAGCTTACCTTGTAATCTTTCTCCTCCAGATATCATGCCTAGGCCACTGTCAGAACTTCATAAATATGTGAGAAGAAATAGTTTAAGGACTACCTCTGGGTTCTTCAGTCCCAACCTCTCTAGGGACTCAAGGAATATTATCAACTAATGCTGATTTTTATTGTTTGTTGGCTCCAGGATAAAGATCTAGCACAGATTTCTGACCTTCGAAGTATTTTCTGGCTGCCACAGGGTCTTATTTCCCTGGAGGTCACTGAGGAGATGAATCACCATGGTTAGACCCTCTGAAATGCAACTTCTTTGAATCCTATTACTCATCTACCTACACAGCCCTGGTGGGAAGGCTCGAGCCAGCTGAGCTTTCATTTACACCTTCAGCCAGGCAGACTGAAACCTTTCTAATCATGCCAAAGTGGAGGACCAGGGGAGCAGAGTGAACATGAGTTGAAATGAGCTCTCAACTTCAGAATTAAAAAGCATTTTCTCAGCCTTTCTAAGGACCATGTTGCTAAAGGTACAGACTTTAATAGTTATAAGAAAGCCATTGAGAAACCTAAAAGACAGGTCTTGGCTCCCCATCCACTCCCCTCTTTCCCATTTTCTTGGCTCTGCTCCTTCCCTGCCAGCTCCATCTTTCTTTCCTGAGTATCCTAGTGTGTGGCCTTGGCCTTCCTTTTGCCTATGATCCCAACTCACACAAAGGAGAAAGCATCTCTCAGCTGCCTTGGATGATGATGTGTTCAGCACATCACAGTGTGTGGCTTTCATTTGTTTATCCTTTTGTTCATTGACCTCACCTCTTGTGCTCCATGCTGGAGGAATCCAGATATCTGCTCACATTTGAGAGGTGGGAGCAGGAAGCTTGTGCTGCCCCCCGACAATGAGGGAAGCACACGCATGCAGGCATGTGCACGTGCACACTTTGAAAAAAGTTCAGTCACGTCCTAGTAAAGTTCAAGTGCAATTTCCCATCTGGATCTATTTAAGTCCAGAATGGGTTGAGGAGTTTAGTGTAGACTCCTAGGATAACTGAACTCATCCTCAGATCATATTAACCTCTAAAATATTGGGACTAACCCCACAGTCACCTTTCAGCCTGCAAAGCGCACCTGAGAAGGTAGTCTTGTGTCCTGAGCTTCTGGCTTCCTCTTGCTGCCCTCCCCACCCCACTCCACAAGGGGACTGCCCTTTGGCTGTTGGTCACTATCTGCTTCATCAGCCCCACAACTGGATGGGTCAGAAGGAGGAGGAATAAAATGCTAAGATGGAAGTTTGTTCTGAGATTGGAATGTCTTCAAAACCTTCTAGGTATGTCTCCAGGTGTAAAAGACAAATCCACTAGCAGAGTTTTGGCACATAAGCGTGCCATAGAATCTTTTCTTGAGTTCTATTACAACAATATTCAGTTCCCTTAGCCCTGGAGGCAGCAACTCCAGGAAGTCAGGGAGGAGAAGCAAGAAGGGAAGAAAAGTCCATTCTCTTCATGAGGAAGACAGAGTGCAGGGAGACTGGACTGAGACGAGGAGACCATCTAGGAGGCAGCCGTCAAAACTGTGAGGCTCTGAACTAAGGCAGGGGCTCTAGGTGTCAGGTCTAGATAACTGGGTGATTGGCTAAGAAAGACTAGAAAACATTTTAGGAAAAAATAATGACCAGTTTGTGCTATGTTGAGTTTGGGCTGGCGCCATCAAATCTTAACCTATCTTCTGCCTGGGCATGTCCCTGCTCTTGTCCCCTATGGTCTGTTTTCCACATGATAGACTGATCACCTCTAATCAGGG
Organism: Homo sapiens; assembly: GCF_000001405.40. Taxonomy (NCBI): domain Eukaryota; kingdom Metazoa; phylum Chordata; class Mammalia; order Primates; family Hominidae; genus Homo; species Homo sapiens. The sequence continues at coordinate 26,046,178 of NC_000004.12, forward strand.
GCTTCCCAGTCCTCTAGGCTATAGTCCAAAGTCCTTAATGTGGCTTACGGTACCTTGCATGCATTGCTCCTGCCAACCCTCCAGCTTATTTGTTTATAGTCTATCTTTCCTATAGGAAGCTCCATGAGGCCAGGAAGGATGTCGCTCTTATTCTTAGATTCATTTGCAATGCCCAGCACATAATTGGTTCTAGAGATAAAGGGAGAAGAGAGAGACTGAGAGAGAGAGAAAGTAAAGAATGAATAATGTCCAACTGGAGACTCTGGCAGATAATTTGAGCTATAAATTTGGGGCCTTTAACATTAAAAAGGTATATGAAGACATGGAAGTAAACGAATTTGTGTATTTTCAGAAAAGATGAAACCTTGGGGAACAACGACATTCTAGGTGGTCACATGAATGAGGAAGGATAAGCAACCCTAAATGAGGCTGCCTGAGAACAAGCTGCTAAAGACACAGGCGGGGAACTGGCCAAGAACACAGGGCAATAGGAAGGAGTGCAGTGTGGGAAGGACTGACAGGAGGCCACATGAGATAGAAGAACAAGGCCAATGACACCAAAAGAAAATGGTCAAACAACTTCAGAGCACGGGACACTCTACAAAACAATCAGGATGATCTCTTTATTTATGTATTTGAGATAGGGTCTCACTCTGTCACTCAGGCTGGAGTACAGTGTATGATCATAGTTCACTGCAACCTCAAACTCCTGGGCTCAAATGATCCTCCCAAGAAGCTAGGACTACAGGTGTGCACCACCACATGTGGCTAAATTTTTAAATATTTTATAGAAATGGGGTCTCAGTTTGTTGATCAGACTGGTCTTGAACTCCTGGCTTTGAGCGATCCTCCTGCCTTGGCCTCCCAAAGTGCTGGGAATCCAAGTGTGAGTCCTGGCCAGGACTTTTTTTTTTTTTTCATCATTGTTATTTTTAAAAAGAAGCTAAAAAGGGTCAATCACAAAAATATTTTTGATTGGATCTTGGTTCATAAAAAAATTAAACTTAAAGTTAGCTGTGTGGATATCTGCAGAAAGAGCCTTACAAAGGAGAGGAAGAGTCAATGCAAAGGTTCCAAAAGGGGACCCTGCCCAGCCTGTTCAAGGAAAGGCAAGGAGGCCAGTGTGGCCAGAGGAGGGTGAGCAAGTTGCCGGAAGGTAGAATTCATAAGGTCTTGGATGCAATTGGTAAAGACTTTGAACTTGACTCAACTTTTGGCATATTTAGTTTGAAATATCTATGTAACACCCAAGTGGAGATGTTGAGCAGACAGCTGGGTATGCAAGTCTGAAATTCAAGGGAGGTCAGGTGTGGTGGCTCACATCTGTAATGCCAGCACTTTGGAAGGCTGAGGTGGGCAGATCGCTTGAGCCCAGGAGTTTGAGACCAGCCTGAGCAATATAACGAGACCCCATTTCTACAAAAAATTTAAAATTTAACTGGGTGTGGTGGTGCACACCTGTAGTCCCAGCTATTTGGGAAGCTGAGGTAGGAGGATTGCTTGAGCCCAGAAGGTCTTTAGTGAGCCTCATGCCACTGTACTCCAGCCTGGGTGACAGAGTGAGACTCTGTCTCAAAAAAAAAAAAAAAAAAAAAAAAAAATCAGGGGAGAAGCCATGAAAGGAGACAAAAAAATTTGGGAGTCATCAGCAAATTAGATGATTTCAAAGCCATAAAACTAGATGAGATCACAGAGGGAATGAGGATAAGGAAGAGAAAAGGGCCAAGGAGTGAGCACTGGGCCTTCCAAGGCAAGAGGTCAGGAGAAAAGTAGGGATCAGCCGAGGTGGCTCTGAAGGACTGGCCAGTGTGAGGGAAGGGAACCTACAGAAAGCGGTGCCCTGGAAGCCGAGTGTGGACTGGGGAGGTGATCATCTGGGTCCCCTGCTGGGTCAAAAATGAGGCCTGAGGCCTGGGTTAATCCACACAGAGGCGCAGCTGACCTTGACCTCGGCAGGGCAGTTTTTGAGTGGAGGGAAGTAGTAAAGGCCTGCCAGGATGAGGCCTGGGAGAGACTAGGAAGAGAGCCATTGGAAACAGTGCGTAGAGCAGAGTTGTGGGGGTGTCACAGACAAAGGGGGGCAGGGGGTCAAGAGAAGTTTGGGGCTTTTTGATTTCTTCCTCTTTTTGCTTTAAGATTGGAAAAGAGATGGCCAGTCCATAACGTTGATGGGACTGAGTGAGTCAATGAAGGAGCGCATGAGGGAGTGAGTGACTGAGGGCAGATACAGGGTCAAGCGAAGTTTCCGCCATCTGAGAGAGGTCTGAGCAGGAGTCCCAGGACATGGGAGATTGCCCTGGAGAGTGGATTCACAGAGACGGGTGGGGGTGCTGTCTGTCCGCAGTCGTTGCCTTGAGGGGCCCTTTGTTTGCTACCCTCTTGTTGAATCTGGCTGTCCCCACAGCTACTTTGCCTGGGGCCCAACTAGGGCAGAGATACAAATACGCCAGGCCATGGCCCCATAAAGTCTGGCCTCAAGGCTGCAGCCCATTTGGAAAACGTTTTAATTTCACTTGCGTGTTTTTTCAATTTGATTATTAAGTGCCGTTTACACATGGACGGGGAAAGCCTGTTTTCATTCGCTGATTCCCCTTCCTCCCTGGCCTGCGTGCCTCCCTGGTGAGTAATGGGGAGGCTGCTTTTCTGGAACACAAGGGAAAACTTCCAGCAAATTGCAAAAGCATGTTCCTTCCTTGAAAAATCCTTTCACACTTGTTTTTTACTCCGTTTGTAAAGTTCATGAAAAGCCTCCATAAAAGTGCTTTAAAAAACCTAAACTTTCTTTGTTCTCCACGTTCAACTTTCTTTTTCTCTCTTAAGAGGGTATATAATTTCAAGGGATAACAAACAAAACATCAAACCTAGGGAGCAAGTGGCGAGATGAAGGAATGAAGCAAACTTTAGAAATGTCGGAGGATCACAGGTTGGAGGTGCCAGTGAGGGGGAAATTTCCACATGTGTTTTCAGAAGATGAGAATCCGGCACTCCCCGACTGGCCCCATCATCGCTCAGATTTGTTTCTGAAGTTATTAACATTTCACGCAAGGCTGGGGCAGCTGGGCAGACAGAAAGACTGAAATAATAAAGGCTCAGGAAGAGCGACACATCCTTTTAGGTACATTTCAGCAGCCTCAACTATCAGGGGTGCAGGAGATGGGAGCATAGGAAACGGTGCTGCCAAGAATTTGCAAAGAAGGTTTCCCTCCTGAAGGCCAGAGTGGGGTCATCCGATCAGAGAAATACAGAAGGTTCTTAAAGGGGATGGAGGCCATATAAGGAGTTTCCCTCTGCAGAGACAGACTCCATTCTGGTTTGGGTTTGATGAGACAGCTAGAAAAGAGCTGAGAGGATGGGGTTCCCACCAGCCTCGAGGGACTGTCCTGGAGAGCCTCATGGGGGTAGCCAGGGGAAGTGCCGTGGGGTTCTGTGGGCAATGTTTGGGGACTGGGTGGCATGCCTTAGCCAGCTATTGATCTAATTCTGGTCACTGTCCTGGTGTCTGAGTCCATCTAGGGCTGCATGTCTGGTGTATCTGTCCCTAGCCCTCTGGGCTCCAACGTTGGCAAAGTAACACTGGTGGGCTCCCCTCCCCACTCCCATTTCTCTCTCTGCAGCACCTGCTTCCCCCCTGCATACCCCCTCCTCATCTGCCTCTCTCACCCGCAAGGAAGGACTTCCAAGAAGGGACTGAGAAGAGGCAGAGAGCTGTATTTTCACAAAGGCCTGAGAGGGAGAAATGCTGTTTGTTTGCTTGGTGGGTTCAAGATATGGAGGATGGGCAAGAAGCGGGAGGAATGGAGCCATCTTCAGCTCCTGAAATCCTGGGATGGACACTGTGATTCCAAAGGCCACCATGCCTACCTAACCCAATAATGAGCTCTGGGTGGACAGGGGCCCAGTCTTCATCAGCGCTGTGGGCCCTGGGTTCTGGGATATTGCAATTAGGATGGTGCTTTCCCCAGTAATGGCCACGTGATCAGCAAATAGATCCTTACATCTCTTTGAGCCCCAGATCCCTCCTCTGCCGCAGAGAAAGAACCAGCAGTGCACCCTGCACACACCCTCTTCCTTAGGTACTGGGCTGACCATAGGACTTGCTGTGCCTACTGCTGAGGAAGCTGCCCTGTGGCTCCTCCGCCCTGCCTGGGTGGCCTCCTCTTCTTCCCCAGCTGGCACAGTCGCCTCCTCTCTGTTCCGCCTTTTCCTCGCCCCCTTTCTTTCCCTTCCTCTTTCTACCCCTCTGATCCTCTCTGATCCTTGGATTGCCTGGCAGAAAGCCAGGGGGTAACCCGGAGTTCACCTCAGCAGCCTCAAGCTCAGAAGCGGTTTCATGCTAAGCCATGGCTACCCCAAAGGCCTCTCACCTCATTTACATCCAGGGCTTTTCCTCAGCCACACCCTCGTGGGTACTCCGGAGAGGATGTGACAATCACCATGTCTTTGTGTCAGCCCTAAGTATAACCCCAGCCAAGACAACCTGCTTCTTCCAACACCTGATCTTCTATAGTTACTTCCACTTTGCACATGGAGAAACTGAGGCTCAGAGAGATGAATTTACCTACTCTCCGGAGCATGCACTGCCATAATTATACTCAAGTAAGGAATCACTTGTTAAACGCATCTAATCCCATCTTCTTTCGAAGAACAATGTGGTCAACAGGGTTGCATCAGGGTTGTTAATTAACCTGAACTTCTCTGACCTGGCTTCCTGTATCCCCTCCCTGAGACACCAGCTTCCTCATGCTTCCACTGTTCCTGCTCCACCCCAATTTAGCAAAAGCCTGGCCATGCTTTGGATCTTTCCCTATCCCGGGCTCTACCAGAACCTACTGAGAATGAGCGAGATTGACATAGCTCCCAGCTCCTTGGGTTTTCCTCTTCAATCACTTGAATACATGATGCATTTTTATGTGCTTGCAATGGGACGGCTTCAGCTTTGCAAAATCAAGACTGTCAGCCCCTTTACAGAGAATCTACTCCCTCGATTAACTTGAGGGTATGGAGAACCTAATAAATAAGTTGCATTTAATGCAAAGAAGATCATCACTTTTAACTGTCCCTGTGGAGAAGCCCATGCCAGATCTCTGATTCTTCTCCTGAACTAACTGGTTCTTTGCTGGGAGATGAGTGAAAGCAGAGTTTGTTGAGGCAACCGGGAGGAACTGTCCCCCCCTCCTCTCCACTCCTCCCCCAACCCCCCACCCCTTGGCTCCTGGAAGGCTCTTTTTAGGGCATGCTGGTTTTCATGCACACGATGACTGTTTTGTATCTGGGCTGATAGGCTTGATTGAGCGGTTGCCGCACAGCTGGCACACGCTGCAACACGGCTAGGAGGGGGTGTTTATGGGGCTAGCTGCTAATGATTCCCATTTATGGAACATGTGTGCAGCAGCTGAGTGGGGCTGGCTAAGATAGGACATCAATAAGAGCCCTGCTGCACACACAGGATCTCCTGGACGGCTGCAGGAATGGTTCCAGTGCAAGCTTTGGGGGAACCTGAGGCTCCCCAGAATTCAGGCCCTTCAGTGCTAATCATGCCCTAACAAAGACAGCTATGCTGGGAAAGCTGTGGCCAGGCTGACTGTACAAGGCCAATGAGAAAAAGGATTGCTGGCCGGGCGCAGTGGCTCACGCCTGTAATCCCAGCACTTTGGGAGGCTGAGGCAGGTAGATCACGAGGTCAGGAGATTGAGACCATCCTGGCTAACACAGTGAAACCCCGTCTCTACTAAAAATACAAAAAATTAGCCGGGCATGGTCGTGGGCGCCTGTAGTTCCAGCTACTCGGGAGGCTGAGGCAGGAGAATGGTGTGAACCCGGGAGGCGGAGCTTGCAGTGAGCCCAGATGGAGCCACTGCACTCCAGCCTAGGCGACAGAGCAAGACTCCATCTCAAGAAAAAAAAAAAAAAAAAAAAAAAAGAAAAGAAAAAGAAAAAGGATTGCTGTGATAAGAATTAAAACTCACATTCACTGGGTGCTCACCTTACACCTCGTGCCAGACATCTTGGGAAGCTAGCACATGCGTATTTTTTTCCTTTTGTTTGAGCCTCACAACAAGCTTATGAAGTTGGAACTATTTTTTTGTTTGTTTGATTAATCATGGTACAGAAGAGGAAACACTTGTAGAGATGAAGGACTTCGCCCAAAGCGGCAGAGTTGGGATTTAATCCTGGTGGTCTAACCTCAGAGCCCTGTTCTATAGGTGTGGAAAAGTGAATTCTAGATGTTCACTCAAATCATTTTAGATCATAGTTGACATAAGAGTAAAAGACATGCATTTTGGTATTAGAAAGACCTAGATTGAAGCTCCAGCTTTGCCACTTACAAGTTATATAAACTCCTTAAGCCTTGGTTTCCTCACTAAAAGAGAAGATAATATAGTGTTACCTAGTACTAGAGTGTGGAAAGCCATAGCCCAGTGCCCACCATCGAATAAGCCTCCAGGAAATGTGTAACAATGCGTTCACACCCACAGACCCCAGGGGTCAGTGCACCTGGGGTTCTGAGTATGGACCCCAAGATGCAGGAGCATGCTGGATGGAGCTCAGCTTCTACAACTTTCTCACCCCACCCCTGCCCCACCCTGAGCCTTAATTTCCTCATCAGTAGAATGAGACGGTAATAGGGACTGCTAACAACAGGTGTGTCAGGGACCACACAGAGTGGGATGTCAGGAACAGAGGAGCTTGTATGTACAAAACACATTTTGCATCTTCCAAGGCTCTGGGAAAATGCTACTTGTTGTCTTTGGAAACAAAATCCTATTGGATTTCTCCCTTTTGAGCACAGCCGCCCTGCACATGGCACGTAGTTATAAGCAGAGGGGAAAACAGAAACCCAACCTTCAAAGTTCTTATGTGCTCCAGGGGGAAGATGGGATCAACAAAAATAAAGCGTTCATTAAAAACAAAGTGGCATGTCCACATACACACATGCTTTCAGATAATCACTTACAGCCATGCAGAGACGTGTGCAGGGCCTTGGGGATTTTGCTCGAGTGCCTGGGATGACATCTGCGCGGGTTTGTAGAAGGAGGGGCCATTTGGGGCAGAGGAAGGAAGTTCCCCCCTAGAGAGGGAGCTCCACTTCATTTCCTTCTCATCTTGCCACCAATGCCTCCAGCACACAGTTGGTGCTTAATGTGTGCTTGTGGAATGAGAACAGGAAGTGGAGAGAGCAGGATCCAAGCAGGGGAAGTGGACAGGGTGGCGTGATTCAGAGGTGGGGCAGGCACACCACTAAATGCTGAAGGCATGAGTTTATTCTTCTTGAGTGTTTTCTGCCAGAGGTTGGCCCATGATAGGCCCAGAGGACCTTATTCTCCCCAAAGATATCCTTTGGGGATAAGGAGAGAGAGAGAGGAAGAGAGAGAGAGACTGAGGGAGACAGCGTTCCATTTATGCGTTTTGTTTTATCTCATCTTCGTGTGAACTTTACACACACAAACCCCTCCTAACACTAGATTCCAGTACGAGCAAAAACTGATCCTCTTGGGGCACAGACACTTTGGGTGGCCTCACCCAGATCTATTCTCCCCTTCCTTCTTGTTTACAGCACCCCAGTCTTGTTCAGGAATCACTCCTCAGGGATGGTCACGATGATGGCTTTGTCATGTATTGGTGTGGCTAGGCTGATGGTAGTTTTCTGGAGTCCACTTTCTTGTATGTTTCCAGTTCTGCCACAAGAGATATCTTGCCTGAGATTTGGAGGGCAGAAGTCAAGCTCCAAAGGTCAGGCAGTGTCGCCAGGCTCATTTCATTGTCAGAGTGTGGTGGGCGGGCCTGCAAGTGCTTTGCCTCTGCCTGGATCCTTCTTCAGCATCCTGAAGGCCGTGGCAGAGCTCAGTGACAAAGGACACCCATTTCTCCTGCAGCACATGGAGATCATCCTCATGGGGTCCAGCTTGTCCTTGCTCTTTTCCACTTGACATCCATCTCCTCTTCTCCACTTCCCACCCCATGGACTTCCAGCCACAGCCACAGCACTGTAGAGACAGTTGAACCTGTTCCCACAACTGCAGAGGGTCAAACCTCTGTAACAAATCTCTCATTGCATGTTTATATGTAGAGCCACTTTCTGTCTCTCTATCAAACTCTGACTTATGTAAATACCATATTCCCAGCTTGAGAGTGAATCCTGGTTGGTCTGAGCCAGTTGTGGTTCATTCCCCTTGATGGTGACGGGATCAGGGATGGACATGTGACCTGGGACTCCAATAGTGGAGCCTGGGGGAAAGGCTTCCTAGATCTGAAAAAAAGACACAAAGAAAAGATGGTGCTACTGACGCAGTATCCAGATATCATGCTTGGAATTGAGGCAGCCATTGTAACCAAGCCAGGGGACTACCCAAAGAACCAATCTGAGGACCAAGATAGAAAAGATGGAAACAACCAGTGTTCTCCATGGTATAGTTCAGCTGGGGAGTTAACCTTCCTTGAAACTGCCTACCCCAGCGTTCCAGGTATGGGAGATGTTATGCAGTATCCCCCGTTATGTGTAGGTGATATGTTGCAAGATCCCCCGTGAATGACTGAAACTGCAATAGTACTGAACCTTATATATGCTATGTTTTTTCCTATACATATATACCTATGATAAAGTTCAATTTATAAATTAGGCACAGTAGGTGATATGGTTTGGTTGTGTCCCCACCCAAATCTCATCTTGAATTGTAGCTCCCATAATTCCCATGTGTTGTGGGAGGGAGCAGGTGGGAGATAATTGAATCATGGGGGTGGTTCCCCCATCCCCTTCTCATGGTAGTGAATAAGTCTCACAAAATCTGATGGTTTTATAAGGGGAAACCCCTTTTGCTGGGCTCTCATTCTCTTTCCTGCCTCCATGTAAGATGTGTCTTTTGCCTTTTTGCCATGATTTTGAAACCTCCCCAGCCATGTGGAACTGTGAGTCCATTAAACCTCTTTTTCTTTATAAATTACCCAGTCTTGGGTTTGTCTTTATCATCAGTGTGAGAATGGACTAATATGACAATAATAATAAAATAAAGCGAGTATAAAAATATGTCAGCATCACTGCTCTTGAATTTAGAGCCATTATTAAGTAAAAGAAAAGACACAAGCGCTGTGCTACCTCGAAGGTTGTTCTGATCACCAAGATGGCTACTTGGGGCCATCTGATCACCAAGATGGTGACTAAGGGGCAGGCAGCATCTACAGTGTGTATATGATGAACAAAGGGATGATTTATGTCCCAGGCAGAACACAGCAGGACTATGAGAGATTTCATCAGCTACTTAGAATGGTGCAAAATTTAAAACTTATAAATTATTTCTGGAATTGTTCATTTAATATTTTCAGACCACAGTTGACTGTGGGTAACTGAAACTGCAGAACTTGAAACCGTGGATTGGGGAGACTACTGTATTTTCTCATTGTTTAAGCCAATTGAGGCAGGCTTTCTGTTTCTTGTAACCAGAAAACATCCTCTTCCGATTCCCACCCCAAGAAGGAGCCTCAGGTTTCCTCTTGCAGTGGGTCCTGAAGTCTCCTTGCTCTGGGAGCTTTTCCAGAATGGAAGTGGTCAACTTGGAGTGAAGCTGGTATCTGGCCTCCCTGAGCTTGGTCTTCTCATCCAAGAGGCCGGAAGATGGGCGCCCCAGCTATCCACAGAAGATTTGAAAGTAAATAGAATTTAGGACGATCAAAATGGTTTCCAGATTATGGCCCAAGGAAAAATGGGCTAAGGCTCTAATTGCGGTAATTATGATAATCAAGTGTACCAGCCGGATGCAAGGAATGGAAGCCCAGTGGGAGCTGGTGAGACCCGCCCTTTACCTCTCGGCTGTCATGTCTAAGCTCACCCTACTGCCCTGTGATGCCAGAAGGGTACTCTGCAAGCCACAATTGACAGACTATGCCCACAGGAGGCACTAGAGGGAGACTGGGGCAAGAGAAGAGGAGAAGGACCTCATTGTTGTCCTTCAGCTCCTGGCAGTGTCCCTCTAGCAGGAGCAGACGGTGAGCTCCACTTGCCAGCTCCATTCAGCATTCCCAGGTGCCCCTCACCATGCACCTGCAGAGGTGCTGGAGCCCACCAACAGCCTGGGACCTAGGGGGTGGAGGAGAAGCTTGACAGCTTCCTCACCTACTCACTGTGGGCATCAGAGCAATTCCTGGCCCACCACCCTGGGGGTGCGAGCATCTGTCAAATCATGCCCCCTCCTCTTCAGTGGTCTGAACACAAGCTATGCAGTTTCCCCCCAGGAGCCCGGCACCAGCATCATGAGACCCTCCTCTGGTAATCACCCTCTCCCCTCTTTTCTGCCAGCCCTAGGAGTAACCTACTCCCGAGTTATCGCAGCATCCTCATTTTCATCTGTCACTGTGTAAAATTCTTTTACTAAATCTCCTGTTTTGAAATATCTACTGTGGTTTCTCTTTTCCTGGCTGGGGCTCATCTGAGAGAGTACATTGATTAGGTTATGTAATCCACAAGTCCAAATTGAAGGTAATCTCAGGCACAATTTGTTCCAGAGCGTCTAAATATGATTAGGGCCAACACTGAATTTTTTGTTGTTTTTTTTTTTGAGATAGGGTCTTGCTCTATCGCCCAGCCTAGAGTGCAGTGGCATGATCACGGTTCATTGCAGCCTCGAACTCCTGGGCTCAGGTGATCCTCCAGCCTCAGTCTCCCAAGTAGCTAGGACCACTGGCATATGCCACCATTTCCAGATAATTTTTTCCCACCCTTTTTTTTTTTTTTTTGAGATAGAGTCTCACTCTGTCACTCAGGCTGGCTGGAGTGCAGTGGTTCAATCTTGGCTCGCTACAAGCTCCGCCTCCTGGGTTCAAGTGATCCTCCCACCTCAGCCTCCTGAGTAGCTGGGACTACAGGTGCCCACCACCATAACTGGCTAATTTTTCTATTTTTAGAAGAGATGGGTTTTCACTATTTTGGCCAGGCTGGTCTCGAACTCCTGACCTCAAGTGATCCGCCTGCTTCAGCCTCCTAAACTGCTGGGATTACGGGTGTGAGCCACTGTGCCCAGCCATTTTTTCCCACTTTCATTTAGAGATAGGGGTCTCCCTATGTTGCCCAGGCTGGTCTTGAACTCCTGGCCTCAAACAATCCTCCCTCCTTAGCCTCCTGAGTAGTTGCGATTGCAGGTGTGAGCCACTGCACCCAGTCCACTCTCCTTCCCAACATTTTCTCAGCACCAGTCTCTTCCGTGTGTGAACTGTTTTTAGGGTGGCCTCCTTCTGGGTAGCAAAAATGACTGCAGCAGCTCTAATCCTCACATCCAGAAGCCAGACCTCATCTGAAGAAGACAGAGAATGCCTTTGTCCCACATTTCTAAACACGAGCCCTGAACTTCACTTTGCTTAGATTAGGTCCTGCCATTTTAACCAATTCCTGTGGCCAAGGCAGCAGCCCACTGATTGGCTTGGTGTGGATTGCATGCTCTCTTCCTAAAACTGGGGTGGGGCCAACACCTATGGGGTCACTGGACGCACAGATGGAAATCAGAGCTTCCTGGGAAGCTATAGTCAGATGCTGAGGAGATCAAGATCCCCTACACTTAATCTCAGATTGTCCAGGGAAGTCCAAGCTTCCTATCACTATTGCTGCTGTTTTTAAAATACAATACCTTTAAAAAATATATAACTACATTAGTCCATTTCTATGTTACTAGAAAGGAATACCTGAGACTGGGTAATTCATAAAGAAAAGAGGTTTAATTGGCTCATGGTTCTGCAGGCTGTACAAGCATGGCACCAACATCTGCTCAGCTTCTAGGGGGAGCCTCAGGAAGCTTTTACTCATGGTGGAAGGCAAAGTAGGGGCAGGCGCATCACATGGCAAGAGAGGGAGCAAGAGAGTGACGGGGGCTCACATCAACCGGTTACAACATATGTGCTGAGTGTGTCATAGAACAGTTCCTCCAAACTTTTTTTTTTTTACATTTATTTATTTATTTATTTTTAAAAAAGAGTCTCACTCTGTTTTCCAGGCTGGAGTTCAGTAGCATGATCTCAACTCACTGCAACCTCTGCCTCTCAGGTTCAAGTAATTCTCATGCCTCAGCCTCCCAAGTAGCTGAGATTACAGTTGTGCACCACCACACCCTGCTAATTTTTTGTATTTTTAGATGGAGTTTCACTGTGCTGGCCAGGCTGGTCTCGAACTCCTGGCCTCAAGTGATCTGCTTGCCTCGGCCTCCCAAAGTGCTGGGATTACAGGAATGAGCCACCATGCCCAGCCCAAACTTCTGATCTTGCATCTCTACCATTTAAAATATTTGAGAGCACAAGCCAGTCTATGAGTACCAAAAACACTCCTGATCATCCATCCTGGTCCCTGGAATGGGCCCCTGACCCGGTTAAAGGACTTCCCTCGGACCCCAGCTCAATAGTTAGTATCTTATGGAGGAGATTGGGTCTTTAACAAGGCTTCTACTGTCCCAGAGCTATCGATAGTACTGCTGCAGAACCTTCCCAGATGACTCAAGGGTGTCGCACAAAGCCCTGCTCAGTGCGGGTGCCAGGGCATGCTCGCCCTTAGGGCCCCACTCTTGGTCTAGAGGAAACCAGGTGGTTTCCCCATTCGACATTCATTTTCTCTTTTTTCTTGTTATAGCCTGGGAGGCAGAGTGTGGCGTGCCTGCCTGTTCACTCACACACGTTTCTTCTGCTTGTTCCAGCTGGCTCAGAGCCCAGCTGTCATGGAGCATGTTCTCTGGCATCCATGCACACACACAGGCCAGTCCTGTGCCAGGGAAACACCATCCCAACTTTCTGCCTGCTGGACCAACTACTCACCTGCAGGGTCTCAGCCCAAATATTAGCTCCTTCCAAAGCCTTCCATGGCCCCCTTGCCAATCTTGCCACATAGCTCCCTTCAAGATGATGATCTGATTTTGTAAGAAAATGAAAGAGGACTTTAAGTGACAATGTAATTCTTTGACAGGAAAGCAAGGCATTCAATAAACGAAAGTAGCACATTTGTGAACAAGCCTGGATGAATATTTAGTTATTTTTCAAACGTGAAATGAATGCTTTTTAAAAAATGAACTATTTTAAAGTGTTCTGAAAGACAGGTTTAAATACTTGTGCTGGTGAACTGGCATCATGTTTTCTTTTGCTTTGAATGTGAGGATGCTCAGAGCTCATGGATGTGCTTGATTCGGTGGCTTTCCTCTGCCTGGGCTTTGAAGAGAATGCTGGCCCTCTTGGTTTTGGCTTTTGTCTTCTGTGAGAGCCCATGAGGACAGCAGCTTGATGGGGTGGACAGAGCTTGGGCTTTGCAACCAGCACTGGGTCAGTCCCTGATGGCTCACTCACTAGAGATGTGCCTTTGACTTGGGCTCGGTTCTCCTACAGGCAGGCCTGAGACAAGATGGGAGAGCAAGTAGCTCCTCTGGACAGGATCACGAGAAATGCCAGGAGGGGAGTCAAGAGGAGACATGGGAAAGAGAAGACAGAAAAGCAACCCAGAGAGCTTGACTGAGCAGGTTAGGTCACCACGGAGGGCAACTGGGAACTAATCCCAGTAGGTATCTTTGAGAGACTGTGGAGCACACCTCAGAGCTGTCCCACCCAAGGGGGGAGGAAGCATGGGGATTTAGCTACCAGCTGCCATCAGCCACAGGGCAAGGGCTGCTCCTAGAGGCATTAGCTCCTTGGCACCTCTGGTCTGTCCCTAGCACAGGCTGAGCCAGAGCCTGTGGCTGAAGAAACCTCTTAGGCATGTTATGGGCTGAATGTTTGCATCCTTCCAAAATCCCTGTGTTGAAACACTAGCCCTGCATGTGATTGAATTAGGAGGTGGGCCTTTGGGAGGTGATTAGGTCATGAAGGTGGAGCCCTTGGGGTGGGGTTAGTGCCCTTATAAGAAGAGACGCAAGAGTTTGCCCACTCTTTCTGCTTTTGAGCATGTGAGAATACAATGAGAAGACAGCCATCTGCAAACCAGGAAGCGGGCCCTCATCCAACACCCAATCTGCAGGTGCCTTGGTCTTGGACTTCCCAGCCTCCAGAGCTGTGAGAAATAAAGGCTTGTTGTTTAAGCCACCCAGTCTCTGGTGTTTTTTCTTTTTCTTTTTCTTAAATAGCAGCCAGAACCGACTGAGACAGGAAGGGACCACTGGTGCTTACAGTAAGGAGCCATCAGGGATGGTGAGAACCCAGGGCGTAAGGAGGGGCAATGACAGTGTCTGCTACCGACCATAAAAGTAAGAAGAACAATAAAAACGTGAATGCTAACTTCAGTGTATGGCTGGGAAATCCAATGAGGTGATACATGTGAAATCACTGTGTAAACTAAGTCATCATACCAACATTCCATTTGATACTAGGGATGGTGATGATGCCAATGACAGCAATGAATCACATGCTAGATCACTTGCTCCATCTCCCTCATAGGAATCCCTGACCATAGATTGGGTTCCAGTAGCTTTTTAAATTTCTTTGTAAATTTCTCAGTCTTTGTAAATTTCTCAGGTGGCTAGAAGTGGCATTTCCTCAGTTTGTTGGACCTGTCCTAAGAGTCAAAAACGAAACCCTGCACAGAAGTCCCTCTCCTTCCAGCCCCGGACCCTACAACTTTCAGCAAATAAATAGAAATGCCTTTTGTTTTATTTCTAGCATTTTGAAATTCAACTTTTTGAATATATTTGCATGGGGCAAAATTCTGGGAAACATTAAATATATTAAGAGGCATACAGTGAAACCATCTCTGGTTTTCACTCATTCAGTTCCCTTTCTCCCAAAAGTCAACATGACTACTATTTTCTCATGCAAATTTACAAAGTGTGCATATTGTGTATTCAGATTTATTTATATTTATGTAAACCAAATTTGCATTTTCCTCTTTTCTTTTAAACAAAAGATTTGAAATAGCACAAATTGTTCTTTGCCTTCCTTTTGTCACTGGGCACTATATCCCAAGTTGTACATGAAGAGTTTTCTCTTTTTTTGTTATTATTATTATTTTACCACCCCCAGAAATGCTACGTGGGTGTTTTCTCTTTTTTAACAGCTCTGTAATATTCCATTCAGCTTTTGATTCTAGAAAATGTGAATCATCAGCAATGGGTGAGCCTGCTATGGGGTTTAAACACACGATCTTATTAACCCTTACACAGTCCCAGGAGGTAACTAGGGCCTGTAGTTATCACCGCCATTTTGCTATAAGGAATTGAGGCCCATTGAGAGATTAAGTCCTGGCCCAAGGTCATAGAGTAGGGAAGCGGCAGACCAGTCTTGGGCCTGTTGCACTACAAGTGCATCCCTTAACCACTAGATGGCCTCCCTCTCACGGACAGACTTTGGACTATCACTAAGACAGTGAACTGAGCGGTATCCTAAGGTGCTTGGCAAAGGTCTTGGATGCCAACTTGGGTATTTCTTTGGCAATAATGCCATATTGCCTTGTGCATGCTGTGTTTTATTTCAATGCATATTAATATGATTTCCTGCATTTTTGCCTCTCAAGAATCCCATTTGAGGCATGAATTATTGGAGGAAGTTGGCGGGGGGCATTCTTAAGGACAGGCCCAAGAATTTGCAGCAGTGCTGGCAGAGTGCAGTGGAGCACTGTCCTCAGTGAGCTGAGCCCTGGGGAGCCACTGTCAACAGTAGGGGTCAGGGGCACACACTGCAGGGCCTGGAGCTGGGCCTGGGCTGGAGCCCTGCTGAGGCCAGGGAGGAGTCCAGGGCTCTGGGCCAGGAGGTAGATTTAAGGGAGGAAATTGGGAGGGGAGCTGGGAACTAAGAACAATGGGGGAGCTGGGAAGGGTGTCTGGAATCATTTGGTACAAGGCCACATTTTTCGGGTGAAAAAAACTGAAACCCAGAGCAAGGTGGTGGCAGCCCCAAGTTCACAGAGACTGGAGCTGAACAAGAAGCCAGGCCTCATGACCCCTAATCCATTGCCCCTTCTACCAACGCTCTGAAGACACATGCACATACAGTGTGTGTGTGTGTGTGTCTGTGTGTATCTATGTTTGTGTGTCTCTGTGTATGTGTGTTTGTAGTCTGGGGAAAATAAGTGTGCATGTGAACCTCTGTGTATGTGAGTCTGCAGCACAAGCTGAGGAAGGGAGAGTAAGAGGAACTCAGGGACAGGAGGAAGAACAAGGATAAAACGAAATAAAATCCAGGAATCCTTCCAGTATGCATGCAAGTCCCAGGACTTCCAATTTGGAATTTTGCCATCTTTAATTCCATGACAATGTGTGACCATATAACTGGTATTCATCTGAGGGGTTGTTGTTTATTTTTATGACTCTAGCAACTGCAGATGTGAGAGTTCTCATGCCCTTTGGCAGATTCTCAGAAGCTCTCAGTTATTAATGGTCTTGATCACACACATATGCAGGAGACGGTTGCTGTCCTTGGCTCAGCCTTCACTGCACTTCTTCAGGTGAAGCCCCACAAAATGATGGGGATTGACAGTGGAAGAAAGATGGTTCCCTAAAGACTTTTTGCCAGAATTTGGCCGGGCGTGGTGGCTCACACCTGTAATCCCAGCACTTTGGGAAGCCACAGCAGTTACATCACTTGAGGTCAGGAGTTCGAGACCAGCCTGGCCAATGCGTGAAACCCCATCTCTACTAAAAATACAAAAATTAGCTAGGCATGGTGGCGGGCACCTGTAATCCCAGCTACTTGGGAGACTGAAGCAGGAGAATCGCTTGAATCTGGGAGGCAGAGGTTGCATCGAGCCGAGATTGTACCACTGCACTCCAGCCTGGGTGACAGAGCGAGACTCCGCCTCAAATCAAAAGAAAGACTTTTTGCCAGAATTATTGGGGAAGAAAATTTATCCCCCCTGTAGTTGCTACTGGAAGCAAGCCTGGAGAGGTGGAGGCCTCTTCATTGGAAAAGCATGTGAGGATGAAGGCAACACAGAGAAAAAAGCAGAACATAGAGAGTGATTCCAATTGATACCTTTTTGAGCACCTGGATCCAGCGTGTCCAGAATTGGTGGGTTCTTGGTCTCACTGACTTCAAGAATGAAACCGCGGACCCTCCGGGTGAGTGTTACAGCTCTTAAGGTGGCGCGTCTGGAGTTCGTTCCTTCTGACGTTCGGATGTGTTTGGAGTTTATTCCTCCTGGTGGGTTCGTGGTCTCGCTGGCTCAGGAGTGAAGCTGCAGACCTTTGCGGTGAGTGTTACAGCTCTTAAGGCAGCCTGTCTGGAGTTGTTGGTTCCTCCCGGTGGGCTCGTGGTCTCGCTGGCTTCAGGAGTGAAGCTGCAGACCTCCGCGATGAGTGTTACAGCTCAAAAAAGCAATGTGGACCCAAAGAGCGAGCAGCGGCAAGATTTATTGCAGAGAACAAAGTTTCCACAGACTGGAAGGGGACCCCAACGGGTTGCCACTGCTAGCTCGGGCAGCCTGCTTTTTTATTCGCTTATCTGGCCCCACCCACGTCCTGCTGATTGGTAGAGCCCAGTGGTCTGTTTTGACAGGGTGCTGATTGGTGCGTTTACAATCCCTGAGCTAGATACAAAGGTTCTCCACGTCCCCATCAGATTAGTTAGATACAGAGTATGGACACAGAGGTTCTCCAAGGCCCCACCAGAGCAACTAGACACAGAGTGTGGATTGATGCACTCACAAACCCTGAGCTAGACACAGGGTGCTGATTGGTGTGTTTACAAACCTTGAGCTAGATACAGAGTGCCGATTGGTGTATTTACAATCCCTGAGCTAGACATAAAGGTTCTCCAAGGCCCCACCAGACTCAGGAGCCCAACTGGCTTCACCCAGTGGATCCCGCACTGGGGCTGCAGGTGGAGCTGCCTGCCAGTCCTGCGCCATGTGCTCCCACTCCTCAGCCCTTGGGTGATTGATGGGACTGGGCGCCGTGCAGCAGGGGGCGGCGCTCGCGGGGAGGCTTGGGCTGCACCGGAGCCCACGGAGGCGGGGGAAGGCTCAGGCATGGCCGGCTGCAGTCCCGAGCCCTGCCCCGCAGGAAGGCAACTAAGGCCGGGCGAGAAGGCAGCTAAGGCCGGGCGAGAAGCGCCGGTGGGCTGCACTGCTGGGGGACCCAGTACACCCTCCGCAGCCGCTGGCCCAGGTACTAAGCCCCTCATTGCCCGGGGCCGGCAGGGCCGGCCGGCTGCTCCGAGTGCCGGGCCCGCCAAGCCCACGCCCACCCGGAACTCCAGCTGGCCGGCAGGCGCAGTGCGCAGCCCCGGTTCCCGCTGGCGCCTCTCCCTCCACACCTCCCTGCAAGCTGAGGGAGTGGGCTCGGGCCTTGGCCAGCCCACAAAGGGGCTCCCACAGTGCAGCAGTGGGCTGAGGGGGCTCCTCAAGTGCCGCCAAAGTGGGAGCCCAGGCAGAGGAGGCGCCGAGAGCGAGCGAGGGTTATGAGGACTGCCAGCACGCTGTCACCTCTCACCAGCTGTGCCTGAAGCAGGTAATACCTGGACTTTTAAATTACAGGAGTCTTTACATGATCTTTTCTGTGATATACATGATGAATGAAAACTAGGCTGCCTGGGTTTGAATTTTGGAGCTGCCACTTCCTAGTTGTATAACCTTGGACAAGACACTTAACCTGTTTGCCCCTCCACCATATTATCATCTATAAAATGGGATAATACTAGTATCTGCCTCATAGGTTGATATGAGAATTAAATGAGTTAACAAATGGAAAGCATTTAGAACAGTGCCTGGCATAGAGTCAGCATATTGTCATTTTAAAAAATTATATGTATCAGACCGTATACTGCAATAACAGCCCCAAAGTCTTTGTGGCTTAAAATAATACAGTTTTTATTTTTGCTCATATTACATATTCAGAAATTCAGGTTGATGGAGCAGCTGCCATCTCTAATGTTGCTGGCCACCACGACAGAGGAAAACAGAATCTAGAAAAAGCCACGCTGGCTCTTAAAGCTTCTCCCCAGGATGGATAGAGGTTGCTTCTATTCATGTTTCATTGGCCAAAACAAGTCATGTGGCCACACTTAACTTCAAAAGGGAAGAAAGGGCAATCCTGCTGTGTTCCCAGAAGGAAGAGCCCTATTGACCCCACATTATCATTGTTATTTTGTAACTGATTGAATATCAAAAAGATGCAGAAATAATTTTCTAAAAAATCTGTTTCCCTGTTTTTCTCGGGTTTTATTATATTTTATTTAAAAAAATTTTTAGAGACAGGGTCTGGCTGTCACCCAGGGTAGAATACAGTGGCACGATCATAAGTCACTGCAGCCTTGAACTTCTAGGCTCAAGCCTTCCTCCCACCTTAGCCTCCCAAGTAGCTAACACCCCAGGTGTGCACCGCCATGTCCAGATAACTTTTTATTTTTTATTTCTTTTGGAGAGGCGGAGTTCTCACTATGTTGCCCAGGTTGGTCTCGAACTCCTGGCCTCAAACAATCCTGCCTCAGCCTCTCAAAGTGCTAGGATTATAAGCATGAGCCACAGCGCTCTGATTTTTTCTGGTTTTATATTCCCCAGGGACCAGGAGACATGACTGAGCCATACTCTATTTACCCCACTTTTCACCATACTACGCCAATCACTTTAAAATCTGTTGGTCCTGGTGTCCATGACCCAGGGGCCAGGACCAGGTCACTGACATTTTCAACAATCTCTTGCTGGTGAAATCCCAGAGAAGAGGAAAGAAGCTGTATCTTGGGCCCAGAGTCACAAGCAAACAAGAGAAAGAAAGAATTGAGGGACAAAAGAAGAAAAGCTCTCCTTGAGAGAGGGTGGTGTCTTGGGTCTGGAGCAAAGGGCTGCGAGGGAAGCTGGACGGGGCAGGGGAAGGTGCTAAACAAGGATGTAGCATCAGCTGTGGTCTTGTTCAGCCTGACTTCATGGGCAGCTCTGAAGTGTGAGTTGCACACGGAGTGGGTCCTGCCCTGAGGCAAGGGAGCTGACCTTTTGTACCCCATGACTATGAGTCATTGGCAGTGAGCTACCTCTTGAAGGGGGGCATTCACCTTCTGGGTCAGGCAGCTCCTGTTGGGTTGGTCAAGGGCAATTCTTGGAGAAGGGGGCCACTGTGCGCTGTTCGCATCTAACCCTAGCAGGCGCTAGGGGATGCGTGCAGCAGCCCCATCAAGGGACCTGGGTGGGGCACCAATAGCATCTACTACGGGTGGTCAGAAAAGCACTAGAGGGCTCATCTGCCATCTTTCCCACCCATATAACTGCACTTTCGAAGCATGAGATATATTGACATTAGTGGGGTAAGTAATGGCATCCAATGGCTTCCCATTTACCTCCTGGATTAAATGCAAATTCTGCCATCAATGTATATTTCCAGGCTATGTCCCAGTGCTCTCCCAAACCCAGCCTATATGAAAAGTCACCTGGAAACTTGCCATCTTCTGAAGAACCTCTGTGCCTCGGATCAGGCTCTTTCTTCTGCCATGAGTGCCCTCTCTACCCCAAGACCCATGAAATTGTATCCTCACTTCAAGGCCCTTTCAAATACTAACCAATTCATAAAGCCTTTCCTAATCACTCAACGGGATGTGAGCTTTTTTTTCTTTCTCTCAAACACTCTTTGAAACTTCAGAGTCCTTATTTTATGGAGTGGGTCCCATTCCATGAATTTGAGTCGTTTGATCAGGTTATTCCCCCAAGTCTTTTGTGAACTCTTTAGGAAGAATTGAGTCTTTTTCTCTTTGCAGCATCTGGCAAACACCCTGAAAGACAAAGGCACTAAATTAATATATGTGTAATTGAATTGAGACTTTGCTGAGATTAAACGTCTGTGCTTAATCAAAGCCTTGTCTTATACACATCACCCATAACAATAACAGGCATGTACTGAGCATTCGTTTTGTGCCAAGAACTGTGCAGAAAGGATTTTCTTCACATTAATTATCTCATTTAATTGTATTATTAATGATCTCCACCCAACAGATGAGAAACTGAAGCTCAGAGAAGGCAAGCAACTCACCCAAAGCCACACAGGTAATAGGTGGTAACAGGGTGGAGACTCGTATGTCTAAATTCAGAGCTCATACCCCTAACCTCTATGAAGCAGCTGTGATAGGGACAAGCACAGGTTTTCAATCAAAGACATGGCTTCTGATTGGGTACATCAGCAAAACTGGCAGAGACTGGCAAGCTCTGTATCCAACCCATCCCCTTTTCCTCCTGGGCAAAGAGACCAGCGATTCTCAGGTTTCAATGTGCATGTGATTCACCTGGTGCTCACTGAGAATAGAGGAAACAAGCAGAAAACACACACGTGCACCCACCGTAACACAATGTGAGAAAGTCTATTATAGAAATATGCTCACAGTTGGGAGAAGAAGGCCGGAATGCAGACAGAGGTGCAAGGGAAGTCAGGAAAAGTGTCCCAGAAAAGGTAACCCCAGAGCTGAGTTTTTTTTTGTGTTTTTTTTTTTTTTTTGAGGCAGAGTCTTGCTCGACCCAGGCTGGAATGCAGTGGGTGCGATCTCGACTTCATGCAACCTCCACCTCCCAAGTTCAAGCAATTCTCCTGCCTCAGCCTCCCGAGTAGCTGGGATTACAGGCGCCCACCACCACGCCCTGCTAATTTTTTTATTTTTAGTAGAGACGGGGTTTCAGCATGTTGGCCAGGCTGGTCTTGAAATCCTGACCTCGGGTGATCCACCCATCTCAGCCTCCCAAAGTGCTGGGATTATAGGCATGTGCTACCACTTCCAGCTCTGAGTCTTAGGAAGTAGGGAGTGGGAAGAAACTGCATTACAGGTGGCAGCTTCAGCACAGACAAAGGCAAGAGAGGCGAGAGTACACGAGGGCATTTGGAGAACTGCTAACAGCTGAATATAGCTGGAGGGTAGAGTGAGGGTAGAGTGAGAGAAAGAGCCAGGCCTGGAGAAGTAAGAAGAGGGCAGGTCCAGGAAGCATCATTTGAACCATGTACCAAAGGTAAGGGGAACTGCTGAGGCATCTCAAGGTGAGCGAGAGTGTCGGCCTGACCTTCAAAACTTTCCTCTGCCTGCTTTTGGGAAGACTGGATTAGAGGGGCTGAAGTTAGGGGCCGCTCAGTTTATTTTTAGATGAGGAGCTTCCTGGGTCCCAGCAAGCCTCACTGCCTGGGACCCCATAGCGGGAGGCTGTCCCTAGGATTCAGATGATCCATGCAGGGCATTTCAGAGGCCAGGGAGTCACAGAGCCATACAGCCCTGGGGATGCGAAGCAGGCACCTTGAAGAAGGCCACCAGCAC
Organism: Homo sapiens; assembly: GCF_000001405.40. NCBI lineage: Eukaryota > Metazoa > Chordata > Mammalia > Primates > Hominidae > Homo > Homo sapiens. The sequence continues at coordinate 26,068,330 of NC_000004.12, forward strand.
ATGGAGTAAAGGGGAAAGGAGGCTGAAAGTTCAAGAGGGGTGGTCTAAGACAGACCCACACAGACATCTTTTCCCTGGGATCAGTCTGCTATCTCTTCACCAGGCCATTAGTTCTCAGCCTTTCTCCTGTTGAACATAGAAGGCACATGACCTTTGCCAGCAGGACCCATGTCTTTGATACACCCAGGGTCATACACACTCCCTGGAGCCACCAGTACTTGCAACTGAGAGTGACATTCACAGAGGGATGACCATGAACTCACTTTAATTTACAAAATAAGTAATTCACACAAAACCATTGATGTCTTCTCCATTGTTAGAAGTAGACTATAGGCTTGGAAGTCAGACAATCTCAGATTCCCATTCTGACCCCCTCACTTATAGGCTGTGTGGCGCTGGGTGAGTTACTTACCCTCTTTGAGTCTTAGCATTCTCATCTGCAGAATGGGTATGATAATAGAACTCCTATGCTGGAGGGTCCGTTAGGATTGGATCTGATTATGCAAACTAAATGCTTGGCAATGTGCCTGCTAATGGTAAATACTCAGTAGGTGATAACTGCCTTATTATGAATATTTTCTTATTCTTGTCATTAGCAATATGCCTCACGGCCGATGGGAGCACACCTGTGGGTAATAACACCGTGGCTGCCTCTTAGCCTATTAGAGAAAGGAAAACCATTTACTCCTAATTGGTTCACCTTTGTCCTTGAAAGTCATCATGCTGTGTTTTTTTTTTTTTTTAAAACATGCTGTAATTGAAAATTCAGTCTAATTCACCCAGCCCTCCCCTCCGTTCCCAATCAGTGGGACTTTTGCTGGATAGGGAACTGGGTTGTTCATAGGTTCTAAGCCAAAACCCAGCTTTAATTTCCTATTATAGGCCTGTCCTTTTTAAGATATGCTGGATGAAAACAACATCAGTGGTGGGGCAGAAGGAGCTAGGAATGGCCTCCTGTGCATTGACAGGGGAAGTATTCAGTCCCGTAACAATCTTTCAGCAGCCCACATACCTGGGCTCCATGTGGCTTGTACTCTCTGCCTCTCCAAGAAGCTGTTTCTCTTCACCACCCGTAGGGGGCAGAAATACCTTGATTAGGGCCCCCTCTAACAGTGTTTCCATCTGAATAAATGGGAATGCTGCCCGCTCAACCCTACAAGAATTTAATTAGTTTGGTTGTTGGCAGGTCCCCCAAAGATGAAAAGAGCAAGAGATTCCACTGTCTCATCCAAGCCAGTGTCCTCTCCGGCCCAGACCCAGTCAAGAGCCCCCTAACTAGTCCTGCTAAGTAAGCCCACTCTGACCCCGCCAGCACATTCTATGATAGAGAGATCCATTTAAAAATGCAATCTCATTCCATCACTTCCCTTGTCAAGCATTCTCAATCGCTTTCTCAATCAATGCTAGGACTCAGATTTTAGCCCCCAGGGCCCACGTCTGGCTTCTGCTGGCTCGTCCAGCCTCATCCAGGCCCTTTCTGCCTTTCTGTGCCCAGTCACACCAGGGCTTAGGCAGTCCTTTGAGTGTGGGGAGCTCCTGCCCACCTCTGCCTAGCTGGCATCTTTGCTGGGAGACCATATCTTCCTTCCCCACCTCCCACCTGTACTCAACTTTGCTCCTATGTTCTCAAGGTTTCTTATTTTTCTCCCCTGTGGGCTTACCCCTGCCTCCCCCAGTGGGATATCAGCTCCATGAGGGCAAGAACTGTGTTTTATTTACCTCTTCATTCCCAGTACTGACCACGGTGCCTGAGCGGCATGTAATAGAGAGTTGACAAACTTTTTAAAAATGACAATCTTTTTTTTTTTTTTTTTTTTTGAGACAGAGTTTCGCTCTTGTTGCCCAGGCTAGAGTGCAATGGCATGATCTCGGCTCACCACAACTTCCGCCTCCTGGGTTCAAGCAATTCTCCTGCCTCAGCCTTCCGAGTAGCTGGGATTACAGGCATGCACTACCACGCCCGGCTAATTTTGTATTTTAGTAGAGACTGGGATTCCTCCATGTTGGTCAGGCTGGTCTCGAACTCCCGACCTCAGGTGATCCGCCCGCCTTAGCCAAAATGCTGGGATTACAAGTGTGAGCCACCACACCCAGCCTCAAAAATGGCAATCTTTTATTATATTGGAATTGCACATGAAGAGCTCTGTTTTTGCCAAGGGAGATGGAGTGGAAGTTGGTTTATCCATTTGATTGCTGTAGACTCAATTATTCAAAGGGCAAATGCAGATCTGCCTATTCCTTCAGAATATTATGCTGTCAGGAGTTATTTCCCTTAATCTTAATGTTCCCTTTATGTCCTTCAAACTCCTTCTCAATTAGAAGATGCTGTTTATTACTTCCTTATCCATGAAGCCTCAGGCTTCTTTGGTGGTTATTATGTCACAGAGAGGAATCTTGTCAAAATCAAATGGAATGGAGGCAATCGGGGGAAAACGATTTTATTTTTCATCTGATTACCATCATTTTCTCTCTCTCTCTCGGGTCTAAGAGTGGGATGGATGTAGGAAGAGGAAGGAGTTGTCCTAATATGGGTTACTGAAATGTTATTGGCCCATGTTAAATACAGAAATGGAGGGTTTAGAAATGTTTAAGGTGATTTTACTTTGCCACAGTGTCCAAGCACCTGATCAATGATCCTGTCTTGATGAAGAGGGCAGTGGTGAGCATTTGGGGTGCTGTTGAATTTGTGTGGTGGCTCACACACACTAGGACCACATATCCTCCCTCAAAATTTTGGAAATTTTAAAAAACTCATCCTTAACTGCAGAGAGTTTATAAAATATGTTGTCAAAGATAACATAGCCCTAGTCACATGGTAAGGAAAAGCCAACATTCAAGAAATGCTTGGAAACTGAGAAATGTTAAAGGCAGGAGTACAAAGGAGGTGAAGAGAATGGTCACTGTAGGTTGAGGTGAAACAGGAAGTCGATCCTTGGAGATGAATCCTCAGAGGGTCTTGAAAAAAAAAGTTGGCAAATATTAAGGGGTAGAAGGATGTTTCAAGAGAGAGGAAGCCGTGAGCGAAGGCATGGAGGCCTATGCAGAAGATGTGAAGGCCATGCACATTATTTGCTGATTGAAATAGAAAGGTCAAGAGTCTGGGTTCTACCATTTGGCAACCGTCCTAATGATAATTGATTCAAGTAAGAACACTAATGGATGCTAAGGAGTGGGCAAGTTTGAGAAATAACAGACTATTTAGATAGTCTCAAAGTATCCGCCCTCCAGATTCTTAATGACAAAGCAAAACTAATAACCCTCCAATGATAAAACCTAGCAGATACCACCTTAACTAACTGATCAGTTAGTGTTACAAGAGATGAGAAAAATCCACAGCATTTGCCTCCTGATGTGATGCACTGGGGAAAACACAACAACACAACATCATATTTGTGTTATTCCTGCAAAAAAAAAATAGCATAACCTAAATCTACTCATGAGGAAACATCACGCAAATGTCACTTGAAAAACATTCTACAAAATAGCTGGTCCGTATTCTTCAAAAATGTCAATATCATGAAAGACAAAGATTGAGGAAGTGTTGCAGATTAAAGGAGACTGCAGACACGTGACAACTGAATGCAATGCATGATGTGGGATTATCTTTTGCTTTAAAGCAAAATGCTGTTCTTTAAAGGACAGTATTGGGACAATTGGTGAAATCTGAATAAGGCCTGTTTACTAGATAAAGGTATTGTATCAATGTTAATTTCCTGAATTTTGTCATTGTACATTCAGAGAATGTTCTTATTTTTAGGAAATACACACTGAAATATGTAAAGGGACATTGTGTCTCAAACAGTTCAGAAAAAATATAATACTAGTGAGGATGCAGATGTGGAGATAGATCGAGATACAGGATAAAGCAAAGTGATAAAATGTTAACATTGGGGGAATCTGGGTGAAAAGTATGTAGGCCTATGAGAATTATTTTTATTATTCATGTAACTTTTCTGTGAGTCTAAAATTGTATCAAAGTTTAAAGTTAGGCTGGGTGTGGTGGCTTATGCCTATAATCCCAGCACTTTGGGAGGCTGAGGCAGGCAGATCATTTGAGGTCAGGAGTTCGAGACCAGCCTGGTCACCATGGTGAAACCCCATCTACTAAAAATACAAAAATTAGCCAGGCATGGTGGCATGTGTCTGTAATCTCAGCTACTTGGGAGGCTGAGGCACGAGAATCGCTTGAACTTGGGAGACAGAGGTTGCAGTGAGCCGAGATCGTGCCACTGCACTGCAGCCTGTCTCTAATAATAATAATAATAATAATAATAGTAAGTTAAAGGAAGAGAAGAGAGCCATTAGGCTCTGGTCCCTTCTTTGCTCTGTATAAATGTGTAATTTTGGCTAAGTCTCTGCACCCCTGGGTCTCCTCCTGCCCTTCCAGTTGGAGGCCTCGTGGCTTGCCTTTCTTGTTCTGCCTCCTCCCAGCTAATTTCCAGATTGACACCTTGTCTCCTCTTCCTGAGTCAATGTTTCTTTCGCACTGCGCCCTGATAGCTGATCTCTTTGGCTTAATGCCCCTTGAGATCTGGGCCACCATGGAGGTTTTTGTCCAGCATCCAGGACATTTTTTGCCGACTTGGGCTTGTACTCCAAACACATCAAGGTAATTCACATTTATTGAAGTCCTACTCTGTGCCAGCACTGCTCTTGATCTTTTCAATAACCTAAAAGGTAACTTCTCCAATGTGTGTGGTCTACTCTCACTATTATCTCCACACAAATTTCAGTGGCTCCAAAGCCCTACTTCCTTGATCAGAGAAAGTTCAATATTTAGTGGATCATACCTTCATATGAGAAAACTCAGGACCACCTAAACACGGATCCTACTTGGTTGTCCACTTATAGCTATGGATCACAGAGCTAGGATTTTTGGCTTCAAGTCCTCAATGTTCTATTGAAGGGGTCACTCAGGGTTCCAGCTGTCTCCATTTCTTGGGTACCATCAGAGCTGAACCTCAAAGCTAGATATCTTGTCACCTGTGAAATAAAGAGGAAAATGCAGGCCTGGTGTGGTGGCTCATGCCTATAATCCCAGCACTTTGGGAGGCCAAAGAGGGAAGATCGCATGAGGTCAGGAGTTCGAGAACAGCCTGGCCAACATGGTGAAACCCCGTCTCTACTAAATATACAAAAATTAGCCAGGTGTGGTGGCAGACGCCTGTAATCCCAGCTACTTGGGAGGCTGAGGCAGGAAAACCAATTGGACCCTGGTGGCTGAGGCTTCAGTGAGCCAAGATGATGCCATTGAGCTCCAGCCTGGGTGACAGAGTGAGACCCTGTCTCAAAAAAAAAAAAAAAAGAGGAAAGTGCTCTTTTCATGTTACAATCAGTTGCAGTCGATGTGAGGGGGTCCCACAACCAGTTCCAGAATTCTAGTGCAATGGCATTTATGGCAAACCTGTTTAAATTCTGGGTAAGGCTGAGATCCAGTACCAGCCACATTATAGTACCAGGGCCATTCTGCCTCCTGAACACTCAGGCCTGGCTTTGGAGCCCACCTCCCCACACAGGACCATTTCCTCAGTGTGAGTTCTTTCCCAACCCTTGTTGACTCTGTCTGCAAACTAAATTTTTAATATATCTGAGACAGAGATTGTGGACTTAAGTCAATATGTAAAGGGTATTGCCTATTGCCATGGGCCACCAGGAAACCCTGGGCCAGATCCTGCCTCATCAAGAGACCCTGTTGACACTGGAGGCTCAGAGAAGTTACCCATTTGAGGCTGGGGGTCCCGCAAGTCATAAGTGGTGGGGTCAAGATTTGAACTCATATCTCTGGGGCTCTTTCCAGTCCACTGTCTTGTTTTCTCCTCAAAGTGCAGCAAAGACAACAATTAGGTAAATGGAGGCCTTCCTACTTGAGGCTTTGTTAGCAAATTGAGGTTTTTCTGGCCTGGCCTGGGATTCCGGAAGTACAGGGGACAATTGTTTATGCTGCTGTTGGTGATTTCACATTTAGATGATGCAGACTGCTTGTTTTTCTTTCTTCATAGTACCTTTTCCCTCCCAAGCACTTAATCACCCAAAAGACGGAAACATCAAGGGTAGCCCATTTTTATACAATTCTGGAAAATGCTTGGGGCAGGTGGGAGGAAAGGGTGAAACGACTGGCAATGTGGTTTTATAGAAAGAGCGTGGGCATCAGAATCAGACAGTTCTGGGTTCAAATCTGGGTTTGTCGCTTCCTATTTGAGTAAACATTTAGAAGTTAAAGGTCTTCATCTGTAAAACAGAGACAATACCGTCTACCTCTCAGCGTTACATGAGAAACCTTATTTAAAATCATCAGTCTTGAAGAGGGCTCAATGACACTTAGTGTCCCTCACTTTGGCTGATCCTTTTTGGATTATATGAGAATTTTAGCTATCTATATTTTGCTATTCATTCCTCTTACAGACAACCCTCAAGTCAACTCAGAAGCAGGTCTTGTTTCCATGGAGATGTATTTAAGGTAAACAAATGTGAAAAGGGGAAGCACAGACGCCCATCCCCTACACCCACTCACGGCCAATGCACCATCTCAGCAGAAATGTTTCCAAAGAAATGTTTCACAAAGCTTTCGGGGAAGGCCAAGGGCTCTTTCACAGTCTTGACATGCTTTTTCATTGTACGGCTCTTGAAATGAACAATAATTCGAAACAGATAATAATGAACTTCACACAGCAATGGATCAAAAGTGGAATTACTGAGCTCAGCATTGTCTAGTATAATTAGGCTGACATGCTGCTGAATCCAAATGGATGGCTTTCCGACCCCCACTTTTGCATGTGCACATTTATTTGCAGAAGAACTTTTAATGGGCAGAATATTACAAGATTTCTGGACCCCATGTGGTTTCAGTTCTAATCCAAACAGCTTACTTTCTTCTGAAACTCTGATTTTCCTTCCTCGCTTTCTTCTTTTTTTTTCTTTTGGCATCACTATTTTGGAAATTTCAAAGGAGAATTGGTTCCTTGAATGTGCATGGAAATATAAGCACATAAATCACATGCTGAATTTACTTAACAAGGAGCAATAATCCCACTGTCACTTCCCACTGAACAATGCCTTTTTAGGAAAAAATGCTGCAAATCCTTTAGAAGTCCAAATCCGATGCATCCAATCAACTCACTTTTTTAAATTCCACAAAATAATTTCTCTGTTTTAAATAGCTTATTAAACACAACAGCAATCAGATAATAGATATTTCTTAATTAGACCTAGCTTTAGATCTCTCTTCAATCATGGCAGACAGCAGACTAGCTAGTCACTTTATAGGGCCATAAACATTCATTTCAAAGTCTAATAATAGAGTGGTTTCCTCTATTCTCCCTCTAACACAAGGGCCAATTTTTGTCGAGTGAAAATCAGCCCATGTCTTACACAAGACATCTGTCCTCAAGATGTGACACCTAAAATGATAAAGCAGAAATATATCACCAAAGCCAACAACTTATAAAATTATGGCTAACAAGACTAGACAATCTTGTTGTTGCATCAACCACAAAAAAGAAAGAGAAAGGGCATTTAATATAGCCTTTATTAGTCACTTTATTAGTCACTGGTACCTGTCTTGAATTTTCCAAAGGCTCTAACAGAAGAATTAACTTGGCCCATTTACAGAACCACAGGCAGAAGATTCTGCACTATCAGGGATATCCATAGTGGTAGCAAGAACGATTAGCAGAATGTCTAGATGTCCCTAAGCAGACAGATTAATGCCGCCATCCTCAAGGTAGGCTCTGAGCTGCTAGCTAGAATGATATAAGGAGCTCTGGTTAATACAGAGAGAAGGTCCCAGCCAATAATTACTAGCATTGCTGGCCCCATCCATCCACATTAGATCCAGAGCGGAGAATGAAGTTGAACCTTAGAATCCTTCCCATTGTCATGCAAACAAATCTGTTAGATGAGATCTTAGAAGCATTGAGCAGCCCCCAAACCATAGAACTGCCAACCTTAGAGGTGGAAAATTGTAGAAGAGGAAACTGCAGCTGAAGGTGGTGAAATGACTCGCCTAAGGTCACAGAGAAACCACACCACCCTTCACCACTTGTGACTTGAATGGAAATAGTCTTTTTCTGACCAAAAAAAAAAAAAAGAGTGAGTACACTGTGTGTCAGCAAATGTTATGCCACATGCAGCTAGATCATTGCCCAACAAAGGAAATGTGGATTCACAGAACTAGCTTCCTACTTTGAACACTATTTTTCCTGTAATCGGGTAAGGCTGGGGGCAAATTCTGGTCAAACCCTACAAAGATAAAGGGAAGCTCCATGTTTATAGATGCATGAACTGTAGGCCTAGTGAAGACTTCTCAATCATTTATCAATCCAGTATTGATTGGGGCATGCCCAACATGGGGCAGGTGTTTTGGAAAATATAGAAAAAGCGTAAGACATAGCCTTTTCCCTTAAGAAAAATTTAAACAATGTAGATGATTCTTAGAGATCAAGTGCAAAGATTAGATATTGATGATGATCCCAAAAGGCATTCAAAGATGGGAGAAATCGCAGGGTTTTTCACAAGTCAAGGATGGCTTGACCGACCTGAGATCTGTAAGGGACCTTGAAATCTGGATTGTGTAGAAGGATAGATGTAGGGGAGAGAAAACCTGGGGATATCTAAGCAGGAACAAAATTTCTGAGGTTGGAATTAATATGGCCCCAGAAAGTCTGGTCAAGACACCTAAGTGGCCTAGAAGTTGGTTTTAAGGGCACAGTGAAAAACAACACTGAACCCCGAGGGAAAGCCATAACAAGTGACTCACCAAATCATTTGGCCAAAGCAACACCAAACAAAGCTCAAGAGTCAGACCCATTTCCTTGAAGACTCGTCTCTCTGGTATGCTAAGAAAAATTAAATTTGCAATTTTCGGATGTACATATGCCAGAATTATCAAAATGTCGTGGATTCTCCTTCATATCATGACTAATATCCTCACCTCTGTACAAAATAGAAAGTTGGCCTGAGCTGTAAGAGGAAGGATTGCCCCTTTCTACCACCGCTCCCCAAGAGGAAATTGACTAAATAGTTTTGGAAGCCATTTCTAGACCCACAAGACCCTAATTCAAGAAAATAAGGTGTTGCCAAAGGTATTAAATATCCAAGAAACTATCCGAATACCTTTCTATGCTTTTGAACATTCCTTCTCTCTGACCTTAAACATGCGCTTAAATATATCAACTCCTTTCATCTGAAGGTGTGCCCGCACATGGCCTTTCTAATATTACCTCCAATTTGGGGGGGCAGAGGATAAACGGACAAGCTGAGGAATTATAGAGCCACCTAAATGGGAGGCTACTTCAAGGTTAAAACATGGCATGCCCAAACGCTTGCTGTACACAAAGGCTATTTATAATAGTTCTGATTTTAAACTTGGATTTATAATGAAGTTCAAGGCAGAAAGAGCAAAATTCCATACTGAAGAAAAATTACAGCTGGAAAAATCATTTGAAAAAAAAAAAGAAAAAAAAAAAAAACAAGAAAGCCTTCCAAGTGGTTACTCAATTTGGGAATTTAGAGAAGATGGCAGTTTGTGTCCAAGAAGAAACTACTTTTGGGGAAATGGAAGAGTGGAAAGTCTTGCCTTCAGTCTATTTTTGTAGCCCTGCCTCCAGCCATGCACATAACTGAGTCAAGGAAGGGCATTCCTCCCCACAGCTTCCAAAAAGGCGCATGTGAACAGAGGCACCTGGTCACACTATGGTGAGCCGAGTGCAAAAGCTTCAGGCAGCGAAGGGCAGTGGGAGGGGAGATATTAACTTGCCTCTGGCCTTTGGTGCCCAGCAAACCTGTGCCCTGCCTGCCTGTCCAGCCTGCCTGTGCCTCTCCAATCTGTGTTCCAGCATCTAGCTCCAGGTCACTCAGGAGTTGCGTGTGTTAGAGGGGGTGGGACAAGGTGATGTGATGGATAGAAACTCTCTTCCTCTTCCTCTCTTACTTTGTCTTAAGTGGGAAGGAGTTTTGGGCTTGCGGGGAATCGTTGCTCAGCATGCTTGCTTGTGCTCTGTAGGTTAAAGCGTTTAACTATAGGGTGGCAGGTGGTATCTATCTATGTACCCACTTCTTACCTCTCTCTAGCAGATGAGCCTCCAGAGCACAGCACTCATTTACTCTGAGCAAAGACTCAACTCCAGAATCCTTCCCAATCCAGCAGTCCAGGCTGTCATTACTAATCAGAATGGGCAAGTGGTTTGCAACTCATTTGCCAAGGTAGAGAAAAGAAGAGCAGGAAGAAAGAGGAAAGTAACATTTTCTGAGCACCAATCATATGCCAAATAGTGGCATGTCAAGCGGGTGGGGAAGTCAGCCTCGATGGGGAGGGGACAGGTTATCACTGGCATTGCATAGTGAATATAAAATGACTTCGATCATCTTTACACTGGGCTCAATACTCCATGGACAATGCACCCTCATTGCCACTCCCACTGTCCCCTCCGCCTTCCTGACTGCACCACCAGGACCAAGAACAGCTGGTGGCCCTTTCACAGGGCTTGCCTTTCCCAACAGCCTGGTGGTGTGGCAAGGACTTGGAACCATCCCTCTTATACTGTTAAATCCCCTGTTGAGGTCAGACTGTGCCTCAGTTTCCTCACTTGTAAAGTGAAGATAACAAAGCTGTACCTTTCCTAGAGGGCTGTAGTGAGGGCTAGTGCTTCTGCAATTGTGAGAGGGCACAAAACCTGGCATATAGGAAGAACTGTTAAATGTCAATTTTCCCTTAAGTTACCAGCTGAACTGGGCTGCCCCTACCTGAGTTTTAAGATCATTACAATAATAATAATAACCAATTGTAATATACCACATAGGATTGTCTGGTTTAGAAAAACAGACAGGATACTCAGTCAAATTTGAATTTCAGATAAGAAATGAGTAATTTTTAGTATGAGTATTTCCCAAACATTGCATGGAACATAGTTATACTAAAAATTTATTTATTTTTAATCTGAAATTCAAGTTTAACTGAGTGTCCTATATTTTATCTGGCAACACTAACATCAAATCTTAAGGTGTGTGGAATAAACAAAGGCATAACTCTTTGGAAATAAAAATGTCACACTGAAAGAAATGTTTCTCCAAATTGATTTTCAAACTTTTTCCAGCCACATTCCACAGCAAGAAATACATTTTGCATCACAGTGCAATACACACAAATGTGTATTAACTGAAATCAACATTTTACAAAACCTTTTTTGTGTACAGTATATTCTGATATTTTGTCTCCTTCATTCTACTTTATCTTATTTCTTTTTAAAAAAATTCTTTGTCCAGTATCACTTAACTGATTTCATGACCCCCTTAATTGAGGGGTCAACAAATTATGGCCCAGGGCTAAATCTAACTAACCACCTCTTTTTGTAAGGCTTGTAAGCTAAAAATGTTTTTTACATTTTTGGCCAGGCGCGGTGGCTCACACTTGCAATCCCAGCACTTTGGGAGGCGAAGGTGGGCAGATTGCATTAAAACCAGGAGTTTGAGACCAGCCTGGCCAACATGGCGAAACCTTGTCTCTAGTAAAAAGAGAAAAATTAGCTGGGCATGGTGGCACATGCCTATAGTCCCAGCTACTCTGCAGGCTGAGGCAGGAGTTGCTTGAACCTAGGAGGCAGAGGTTGCAGTGAATTGAGATCACACCACTGCACTCCATACAACTTTTTGAGACTCTGTCTCAAAAAATAAAATAAAAAAGATAAGATAAAAGTTAAAAAGATAAGATTAAAAATTTTCTACATTTTTAAGTGGTTGGAAGAAATCAAAAGGAGAATGATATCTCATGACTGGTGAAAATTATATGAAATTCACATTTTAGTATTCATAAATAGTTTAATTACAGGACAGACACGCTCACTTGTTTACCCATTGTCTTTGATCATTTTCGCACTACAGTGGCAGAGTTGAGCAGTTGCGAGTTGAGAGTTGCGTGTTGAGTACAGCCCACAAAACCTAAAATATTTACAATTTGTGCCCTTACTGAAAAAAAATTGCCTACCCCTACCCTAAAGGGTTGCAATTTGCAGTTTGAAACGCTCTGTTCTAAATGGTTTTGCCCCAAAAGGATTCATTTCTATTCATGTGAGTGAGCAGTTTTTTTAACAATGTCAAGTTAACCTTACTCTTCTTATTTCCTCATAGGATAAAGACAGAGGAACAAATACCAGACCAGCAAACTTACCTGAATCCAGCTGCCCTCAGAGTATGGCTGAGGCTTGGTCAAAGCCCAGAACTTAGCAAGGGTTAGAGGACATCATGGGACCATATTCCCAGTCACTCCAGGTATCCACTACTCACAGGGAAGGGAGGGATTATGAAGAACACAGAACAAATGTCAAGTTCTTGACTTTGAATCATTTAGGCTCTTGACTCTTATTACAGAGATTGGGTGGGTCCTCCATAGCCAAGGTTTGTGATAGAAAAGTGTGATCAAATCTAAAGGCTAAGCCCCACGTAAGCACGACATAAAAGTTTATACTACAAACAAGAGAATGGAAAGAGAGGAAAGGATGGTTGCTCTAGCTAGGGAAAGAGGAGAAGGGAAGAAGAAGATGCTGACATAGCCCTGAGGGGTCCTGCACTTTGCCTGCTCCCTCGTCTTGTGATTTTCTGAAGTGGGGTAGCGGGTGATAAATCATCAAGATAGGTTTAGTAATGCCAAGACCTGAGAATGTGTGCCCTGATCTACGGGAGACGCCTGGAGTTAGGGGAGAACAGCACAGATACATACCGAGATCATCAAGGGCCCTGAGGGCCAAATGCAGCATGCCACTTCCTTTTGTAAGTGAAGTTTTATTGGAACACAGCCATGCCCGTTCATTTATCTATTGCCTGTGGCAGCGTTTGTGCTACAGTAACAGAGTGGAGTACTCATCTAAAATACGTGCTGTCTGGCCCTTTACAGGGCATAGTTTGCCATCCCCTGCGTTGTATGCTGGCCATAGTGGAGAAGAGAGCGCAACAGAGCAAAGCAGTGGGGAGGCCCCAGGAAAGCCCCCGATCTGTCACAGCCAGGCCCATGTAAGAGAGCATCCTAAAGTTTCCCTTGCTCCTGCCTCCAAAATGGGCACAAAATGGCCAAAAGAGGGCCGCAGACCTGAGCAGAGCTTGAGGTTGGGACAAGAAGATACAGTGGAGATGGAGGGCTTTCTAACAATGGAGGACTTGGCAGCCTCCAAGTATGGCCCCTGGGTGCCACTACGCATAGGTGCTGATGGCCAAAGACCAGGTCTGCTTCAGGCTAAGGATGCCTGTGGACCATACCACCCCATCCCTCTCTCAGTCCCCCAGAACCCCGTTTTCTACACCTACACCATCCTATATTTCCAGGATCTTACCAGCAACCCCAAGAAGAAGGGAAGGGCATGAAATTTTGAATTGAGTGACTGAAACCGGCATGACTGCATAAACACTGAAGTGAGTGATTTTTACCAGGAAGACACTATATATTAAGTTTCCTGCCACTAGAAGAATGTAGACTTAAACTAGAAATTAGGTTATAGAAAAATGAAGAGGTTTACATTCTACATAGCCGATAGGAAGAACAGGAAACTGACTTTGTTGCTGCAGGAAATTGGAACTTCATTCACAGCAATTCTGAGACCACAGAAGTTGAAGTCCTTATGGTTCATGACTCAATGACTCCATACCTACTCATTTTTCTACCGACTTCTTTCTAGAATAAGACAGTTTAAAGCAGTCCAAATCTTCCGGAGATTTTTCCCATTCTACCTGCAACTCCATAAAAGGAATCCTGTACAAGTCTAAATTTTCACCAGTAGGTGGTGCTAACACAAACACTACACTGTACTTATCTGAGGATGAATTAGCCAGACACTAATTAAAGCTCTCTGCATTAGCACTTTTCTCTACAGCGCCTTCCCTCTGGTCTAATTGAACTTTGTTATTAAGCAGTCCCTGAGTGGTTTCACCTCAGGGCTAACACTCTCTCTCTGGAGTGGTATAATGGAAAGAATTCCAGCATTAGGAAACATGGGGTATGGATTTTGGCTGTCTTACTAATTAGATGAATTCGCCAAGTCACTTAATCTCTCTGAGTCTTAGGATCTTCATTTTTAAAATAAGTGAGTTGGGTTTGTGGGATGCTTGTTTTCCAGGTTTGAGAAACAATTCCACAACCGCTCTTCTCCCATCAAGCTAATACATTTTGAGGAAAAACTCAAGATTTCAAGAAATAGGCTCTCGGACACAATTCTGTGGGGGAGGTAAGAAGTCTGTGGCACAGACTTTCTGTCAGGCAATTTGGCAATGTATAGCGGCAGTCCTAAAAATGTATGTACCTCTTGACCACGAATTCCATATCTGGGAATTCATCTCAAATAAATAATTACAGGCATGTGCAGATATGGAGCCAAGAGAACACTCTATAATGCAGTGCATGTTGACTTTGTTGAGAGCTCAGTGTATCTTCGCTAACCAGTTTCTGAACTTCAGATAATCCTTAGAACTATATTATAATCCTTGTATAAGGCAACAAAGCAAACTATTGCTTAATCATACAATGAAAGGAAGAAGTAATGAACGTATTTTGTGTGCCACACACCAAGCCAGACACTTTTCTTAAGTTCTTTCTTTAAATATTCTTACAATAACCCTATGGCGAAAAGGTATTATTAATTCTATTTTATAGCTAGGGAGTCCAACACTCAGACCAGTTAACCTTCTTGATCAAAGTCACCCAGTGCTGATTACTGGGAGAAGAATTGCATCTTCTACTTTACAAAGATCAAGTTCTCTGAGGGCTTGGGGAAAGCTTTCCCTGTCATGGAAGTAAGAGGAGGGAAATTCAGTAGGTGAACTTTGATTCTGCCTCAGAATTGGATCTGGGCTCTTGGGCGTCTTTGAGGAAGAACTGCAATTTCAAAGCTTCTGCCAATTCTTTGTGCTGCTAAAAATGGAAACCCAAATTAGTCTGTGGGGGCCCCGCTTTCTGGTGGAGAAAACGTTCTTAATTGAGCTTTTATTTGTGCAAAAGGAAATTCCGTTCTGGGATGGGAAAGCCTAGACAAGGAAACACTCAAGCTCTGTGTCTACCAAAGTAAAAGAGTGAGGATTGTACCGATGTTAATGGATTTGGGGCTTCCACTGGTAGACAGAGGGAAGAGGCTGTGGGGGCACGGCATTCAGGGAAAGAGAAACACAGTCAATGCAAACCCCGGTGTGGAGGTAAAGACGGCATAGGAGCACACCTGGCAATGTGCTGGGAGCCTGAAGGTGAAGGAAGACCAGTAGGAATTGGGTGGGATGAGATTTGACCCAAGGACTTGGGGTATGGTTGGTCATGGCTGACACTGAGCTTCATTTTTCCCTCTCTGCACTGAAATTTTTTCAAGCTTTCAGTTGAGCCAGAAAGCCTCATGTTAGCATTGTCTTGGGGTGAAGGGAGGCACTGAATCCATTGGATCAGGGACACACATCCAGGTGGAGAAATGGTAAGTGAATGCCAAGACTGTGTCTACATTCCTTGGAAGAACCCTGGGCTTCCTGAAGCCTCCTGGTTTGGAAGCTGGAGTTCTTTTATTTGCATATATATATATTTTTTACAAAAAGGATGGTCTTGGAAGGTTGTCATAAACTCAGGGACACAGGAGTTCCGTCTCATTGTTATATTTCAGGGACTGAGACTTAAGATGTTCTGCAGGACAGCTGAAACCATGGAGAAGGGTGCTTTTTAACAGGGTTCACCTGTTCTGAGGACTCTGCGACCACAAGCACTTGGCCGCTGTCAGCAGGCTAGGTGATTACAGCATTAGATCATGCCTCTAATGGGAAAAAGGCTTCTCCTTTCTGGCTGACTAATCAGCTTGCCATTTTTATTGCATGATCAGTATCAAGAGCCAATGATTTCTGTCAGCTCCCCGGGTGCACACTAGCATGACAGAAAGAACAGCTATATTAGCAAAGAAAACAGGTGGAGAGATTAGCAAACTCACTTAAAAGGTCAAGACAGCTTGGTCCCTTATGGCACAGTGACAGGAAGGCTGAAGGGGCCCCTTTCTTAGAACAAGAATAGCTGCTAGTACGAAACTCCCATACTTCTAGTCATCTATCTAGTCATCTTGCTATTTTCCTTTTTCTTATTATTTTAAAGTCCAAAGTATTTCATGCTCATTGTCAATCTGTAGCAGTTCCCTAGGGCTGCCATGACAAATTACTACAAACTTGGTTTCTTAAAACAGCAGGAAATTATTCTCTCATGGCCCTGGAGGCCAAAAAGTCTGGAATCAAGGTGTGGGCTATGCTCCCTCTGGAGGCTTTATTGAAGAATCCCTCCTTACCTCTTCCAGCCTCTGGTGGCTCCAGGCAATCTTTGGCATTCCTTGGCTTGTGTCTGCGTCACTCCAATCTTTGCCTCCATCTTCGCACGGCCCCCTCTTCTCCCTAAGTGTCCCTTCTCTGCGTTTCTCACATAAGGACACTTGCTGTTGGACCTAGGGCCCACCTGGATCAGCCATGATGACCTCATTTTGAGATCCTTAACATAATTACATCTGCAAAGACTCACTTTCAAATAAGGTCACACCCACGGGTTCGAGGAAGACATGAATTTCGAGAGGTCAGTGTTCAACCCAGTTCTTGGGGATGTTCTTTTGTGTCAAAGTGCTTTCAAAGCTCTTGAAAATTCATGTTCAAATTCTCAAGTGCGAAGGGCTGATCTGTGAAGAGCAGTGCCAGTGTATCCATAGCTGCCTGAAGGTGGACGATGGGCAGTGCTGGGGCCAGGACACCTCCGGAATAGTGCTCCCTCCCCACTCAGCTCACATCAGCCACCAAGTGCTGTGTGTGGTCCCCTCTCCTCAGTGTCACACCATCATAACCTCTTCTCCAAAGCTCAGGCCACCAAATTCCTTACCTGAGGAAGAGCAACATCCTCTGGAAGGAATTTCTTCACCTCCTGTCTTGCTGGCCTCCAGTACATTCTCTAACCATCAGCCCACGTGATCTTTCTAGGTTAAAATTAAAATTTTGCAAAGCTTGCTTATTGCCTTTGGGCTGTGGTTCAAGCCTCTTGGCTGGGCACTCCAGGTCCTCTGAGACCAGCTCCTTGCTTCCCAAGGCAGTCTTAGCTCCCCACCACACCTCTGGCAGCCTAAGCCCCAGGCAGTCTTGCCACTGAAGAACGAAGCAAGTCCACAAACACCTCCTTGCCTTTACATCCTCTGCTCTTCCTGTCTGAAAATACTTTTTTCCTTATTCACCTGGTCTCTTGGGGTGAGTAGTGGCCCACAAAAAGATATGCCCTGTCCTAACTTCCAGAACCTGAGAATGTGACCTTATTTGGAGAAAGGGTTTTGCAGATGCAAGCAACTTAAAGATCCCAAGATGAGATCGTCCTGGATTACCTGAGTGGGCCCCCAATCCCATGACATGTGTCTTTATAAGAGAAAGGCAGAGGGAGATTTGACACAGAGCAGACAGTCCTGTGAAGACAGAGGCAGAGATTGGAGCAATGCAGTGCAACCTGAAACCAAGAATTGCCCAGAGGAATCACTGGAAGCCGGAAGAGGCAAGGAAGGATTCTCTCCTAGAGCCCGCAGAGGGAGCATGGACTTGCCAACACCTTAATTTTGGACTTCTGGCCTCCAGAACTATGAGAGAATAAAGTTTTGTTGTTTTAAGCCACCCAGTAGGTGATAATTTGTTAAGCAGCCCTAGGAAACTAAAAGGCATGGATAATCCCAGGATCCCATGGAAGGTTGTGCAGGTTGCTGACTTCTCAAGGGCACTACTTGAGAGGACGAGGAGAGACTAAATACAGCTCACACTGGGCCTGCCAACCTGCATGGCCTGCAGGAGACTGCTCCTGGCCAGAAGGGGTACCTCTCTCTTATTTACAGCTGGCCAGCGCCAGCTCTCATTCTTGGGTTTTCTTCAACTCTCTGCTCCTGGGTAGACCTTCCAGGAAGGCTTTCTTGAGCCACACTTCTCCCCAGGACTAGTCTGGACCCTTCTTCTGCTCCAGTAGATATATTTATCCTGCTGTAACACAATTGTCGGTTCACATTTCTATACCCTCCTCCATATCTCAGAAACAAGGGCTGCTCTTAGTCTCCTCTTTCCACTGTGCCTAGCACATCATAGGTGCTCAAAAGAGACCTGTTGAATGAATGAGCAGGAGCCAGCTATGGAGCCTCAGTGAGCCTGCGGCAGCAAGAGGCACAGTGAGCGGGAGCAGGGATGAGATGCCCGTCCCAAGGGGCTGCTGAATCAAGGCAATTTCATGCTCGTCACAATTTGCCTAAACTAGCCATCAAACAGAACCGGAAAAGTGGCTCGAATAGAGAGCACCACCAGGACGTTAACATTTTGCAGATGTGTTATCTGAGCTTGTGCCTTTATCTTTTCCCTAACTGAGGCATCGGTGCCTAAGGATATTTCCACTGGGGCCAAACACATGCTCACACATCCAATGGGACCCAACGTACTGCATTCCACGCAGATACACACATGAGCTCATGCAAGTCCCAGGGTGCTCATCTGGTCCAGATTTGAAGGAAACTATTTAGCTAGATGGAGAAAAACACATCATGTACAACTTAATACCAAACAGATTTTATGACATACTGAAACTGCTTTTGATAATCTACTAATATATCAGAAGAGCTAATCAACTAAAAAAGAACCAGCTAATGTCATATCTCTGAGGTCTGGACAATGTTTATGTGAGTTGCAGGGATGACAGAAAATACAAAAAGATGCAGGGAGCTTTAGGGAGAGTTATCCAAAGGCTCCCCCACCCCCTGCTGAGATGCAGTCCTGTTTATTGTAGCAAGAAATGTATTTTGCCAATTTATGAACATAGACAATTATTTTCTGGCTGAAAGTCAGAGTGGACTTTTCCAGAGATGCAGAAACACTATTGCTTGGCCACTAAGATCCCTCGTGGGAATGCTGCTAGGGAATGCTGCTAGCCATGGATGCTGCTAGGGAAATAATCGGTGCAGGACAGTTTCACTTGGGACTATCTCAACCCATTGGTGGTTTCCTCGTCAGTGTGGGGAGCCCCTTCATTAACTGGTCACTTGACCACGACGGCATTCCTAAGTGATTCCTAAGACTTCATGAAGTCTCTCGATAAATGTTTTAAATTAAAACCCACATCTGTGCTTGTCCTGGCACCATCTGGGGTTATAAGAGGCAGCACAACATACTGAGATAAGAATGACTTTGAAATTGCAGTTCAATTACTTGATGATGTGAGCTTTGACAAAACTGCTTAATTACTCTGGCCTCAGTTTCCTCATTGGAAAATGGAGAACAAAATGTTGACAGTCTCACTCTGTCATCGAGGATGGAGTACATCCTGGAGTACAGTGGTGTGATCTCAGCTCACTGCAACCTCTGCCTCCCAGGCTCAAATGATTCTCATGCCTCAGCCTCCTGAGTAGCTGGGATTACAGGCATGCACCACCACACCCAGCTAATTTTTCTGTATTTTTAGTAGAGATGGGGTTTTTGCCATGTTGGCCAGGCTGGTCTCGAACTCTTGGCCTCAAATGATCTGCCCGCCTCGGCCTCACAAAGTGCTGGGATTACAGGCATGAGCCACCGCGCCTGGCCTTGCTTAACTTTTCTCAGTGCAGGATATTCAAATGGGGCAAGTGCGAGCAAGGATTGTGGTACTGTGCCCAGAGACAGGGGATGTGGGATGGTGTTTGGAAATTTGTGGAAGTCTATCTGACTGTTGCAATACCTGGGGATAGGAAGGCAGGGGAGCCGAGCATTACTGGTCCTGAGAAGGAGCCAGAAAGCCTCAACTTATTATAATACCCTCACTGAGAAGCACTGCATTAAAGTAATCTCAGGCTGTTCCTGGCTGAATCTGTATGAAACCCTGTGATTCTATGTGATGAAGAGAAGGCGTATTACTTCTTGTGTTTGCTTTTGTTTTGATATAGGTTATCATTGTAGGGAAGTGTTTTAATCTTATTATATTGTATTTTTTAAATAACCAAATCATTTTGTTGGCATTGTATAAAGAGACATATTTTCTAAAGTACCAAGAAAAAGGAGCAGGCCATTTAGACTGATGGCATCCTTTCAGATGCTGCGCTCCCATGAGGAGCTCTAGGAGCCAGTCTTCTCCTTTTGGGCTCTCACAGGAGATCTTAGGAAGAGGTTCTCAGAATAGGGCTGTAGGAAAACGTCCCGACACCTGGCGCAGCCAGGCTGGTGGGGATTAGGGAGCAAACATGATTCACTTCATTTTATTTTTATACAGGAAACTAGAGACATAGCTAAGAAACAAACTCGCTATTTCTGGTTCTTGGCTAGTTGTGGCTCTTAGGGGACACTCCCTTCCTCTGAAGAGCTGTTTTTATGGCAAGGGACTCACATGCTTTTTCATTGCTACATTATCTTTGAATCATAGTTGGCAATTAGGCATTGAAATTTGACTATTTACCTTAGGGACTCCTCTGGGTATGTGAAGAATTCCCCTGTTTTGCTCAGGATGTGGGCAGATGAGGAAGTAGTAGCAACTGACTGATATTATATCTCCATTTGGCTGGTGCTGGGGAAGAACCTTTGAGTCAGCCAAGGAGACATTCCCCAGTGCAGAGATGGCAAATAGAAGTGTATCTTTGGATGTCATCTACTTCTTCAGCTGTCCCCAGGTCAGAGGGAATGGGGGTGGGTGGAGCAGGTGTGGGGGGTGGAAATCCCACCATTCAAATGTTCAAGACAATCTGTGACTTAAACAGAAAATTGTGGGACTTGGTGAAAAAATGGAAGGTTGCACTTTAGAGTTAAAAAGAAAAAAGAAGGAATTCAAGCCAACAACCATAGATAGTCCCAGGCTCACAATGGTTCACTTCTGATATTTTAATTTTGGTGGTGCCAAAATGATACATAATCAGTAGAAACTATACTTGGGAGTACTTATACAATATTGTTTTTCACTTTCAGTACACTGTTCAATAAATCGCCAAGCTTTCCCACACTTTATGATAAAATAGGCTTTGTGTTAGATGAGCTTGACCAACTATAGGCCATTGTAAGTGTTCTGAGCATGTTTAAGGCAGGCTAGGCTAAGCTATGAGCTTCAGTAGGTTAGGTGGATTAAATGCATTTTTAGTGTATGATATTTTCAGTTTATGATGGGTTTATCAGGAAGAAACCCCATAGTAAGTTGAGGAGCATCTGTATTTATCAAGCATTAGGTGCTGAATATAAAATCATCGTTAACATTAAGAATAGCTCATTTCCTATCCTCCTTCTAGATACCAGACACTGTTCATTTAAAATATATATATTAACTCATTTAATCTTCATAACACACCTTTAAGGTACTTACCTATTAGTATCAGGAGCATCTGTATTTATTAAGCACTAGGTACTGAATAAATCATCATCGTTAATAAGAATAACTTGTGTTTCCTATCCTCCTTCCAGGTACCAGATACTGCTTATTTAAAATAGATGTATTAACTCATTTAATCTTCATAACACACCTGTAAGGTACTTACCTGTTAGTATTATGCCTATGTTATGGATGCAGAAACAAGGCACCAAATGGCTATGTAGCCTTCCTGGAATTATCCAGATAGTAAACAGTAGAGATGAGATGTCAATGCAGACACTACGCCTCCAGATTATGGGCTTTATATCACTATAACATAGCTTCTCTTAGGATGTGATTTCTTTTCTCAAGGACGTTACAGGGAGCTGGCAGCCTGCAATTAACGAAAGCTTGGCTGCCGTGGTTGGCTGAGACTCAGCTATTTGTTACAAGAATATACTCTTAAGTTAGGTTGCAATAGGATTCAAAGTGTGGAGGACGCTTAAGGCCAAATTTAATTTAACAGGGACATGGTTATGGATTGGCAGAATAATTGGTGAAATGTTGCCCACAGTGACAGGAAAGATAGAAAGAACACCTATAAATGTGTGTATCTGGCTAAGAAGATTTCCAAGCAGAATGGCAGCTTTTTTTTTAAGTAGGGAGGAGTGAGATGAGCTTAAGAAAGAACTGATTGGTTTTCAAGCAGAATTTAGAGGCAATATTTCCAAGGCAAGGCTTGCTTGATGGGAATCTTTTTAAACAATTTTATATTCACAGATTATCTGGAAAACAAATGATTCCCAAAGTAAGAAATGACCAAAGGACAAAAATCAAATCCAAGAAAACATAGCTTCCAGGTAAAGAACAGATCAGGGCTATGGTTGTGAGAACCTTTGTTGAAATATCAGCAAGATTTAAAGTGATGCCTCATGGACCTCCCAATTAGACAAATAGCTAAAGGGATTTTCTAGACCCTCCTAATCAGACAGTAGCACTTCTGAGAATTATAAATGTTTTGCCTCACCACACACTGACTTGAGGGTTCTGTCTCAAAGAGACTTACAGATATTCTTTTGTCTTAGGTATGGATTATAATTTGATACACAGGAAGCCCACAACATTTTTTAAAGGAATTATATCGCTTTAACTCAAAGGGAAAGATAGTGGAAAATAAAAAGAGGTCCCAGGACCCTAGACTTCCTAATGAAAGAAGCAGGCTACAAACACAGGGCATTTCTTATAGGAGAGGAAGGGCAATTTAGAAGGAGAAGTCAAGATTCCAGAGGGAAGAGCTAACAGCCATGGAAAATCACTCACAAGGAGCAGAAACAAACGCTTTCTTTTCATTGTTTATTGATTTTATTTGAAACTATGTGCATCTTACATGTTTTAGGTTCTTGATAACATTGGAAGGGGACATAACGATGTTTGCTGACAAACAGCTTTCTGAAAAAAAGAGTTTATACGCTATTCCGCGTGGATCAAAGACTTCCAGATCTTTTCAAATTATTATTATACTTACTGCTTAAATTTTTAAAAATGTTTATCTCAATAGTTTTTGGGTGCAAATGGCTTTTGGTTACATGGATAAGTTTTTTAATGGTGATTCTGAGATTTTGGTGTGCCCTTCATCCAAGCAGTTTACACTGTACCTAATACATAGTCATTTGTCCCTCACCCCGCTCCCACCCTTCACCCGGAGTCCCCAAAGTTCTTTATATCATTCTTATGCCTTTGCGTCCTCACAACTTAGCTCCCACTTGTAAGTGAGAATTTGGTTTTCCATTCCTGAGTTACTTCACTTAGAACAATGGCCTCCAGCTCCATCCAAGTTGCTGCAAAATCCATTATTTCATCTCTTTTTATGGCTGAGTAGTGTTCCATGGTATATATACCACATTTTCTTTATCCACTTGTTGGCTGATGGGCATTTAGATTGGTTCAGTATTTTTGCAATTGTGAATTATACTGCTATAAACATGCATTTTCCTGTGTATTTTTCAAATAATGACTTCTTTTCCTTTGGGTAGATACCCAGTAGTGGGATTGCTGGATGGAATGGTAGTTCTACTTTTAGTTCTTTAAGGAATCTCCATACCGTTCAGAAATGAACTCTTAATTAGGGAATGTTCTCTACCCCTGGAATCAGAGAAAATGGCCATATGTGCCTAATTGAGTTTCAAAATTGCTAAGAACAGTAGGGCCATGTGTCTCCTGTTTTCATCTTTTTTTGAGCAGAAACATTGTTGCTTTATTCTCTTTTTTCCACAATTTTATGTTAGCTTCTGAGATCACTGGGACTTTTTTTTTTTTTTTTTTTTGTGAGAGTCTCATTCTTTCACCCAGGCTGGAGTGCAGTGGTGTGATCTTGGCTTACTGTAACCTCTGCCTCCTGGGGTTCAAGTAATTCTTGTGCCTCAGCCTCCCAAGTAGCTGGGATTACAGGCATGTGCCATCACACCCAGCTAATTTTTTTTTTGTCTTTTTAGCAGAGATGGGGTTTTGGGTTTTGTTGGTCAGGCTGGTTTCAAACTCCTGACCTCAAGTGATCTGCCTGCCTTGGCTTCCCAAAGTGCTGGGATTACAGACGTGAGCCACCGCGCCCAGCCTCATCTGATTTTTTTGTTTCATGGATCTTCACATCCAAGAAACCACAGCTGAAAAGCTATATTCAAGGAGTAGACCAGGGATGCCTCATCCTCACTAATGCCTGTTTGAACTGATGTTGTCCTAAACTTTGAGCTGATTCCTTTTTTTTTTTTTTTGGAGCTGATTCCATATGGAATGAGAATTTGAGGGAGGAGTGAATTTTGCACATGAGAGTACATAGTAGATAATCTCCAAATATGTCCACTATCAATTGCTTCCCTCCTTGCATACAAATACCACTCCCTATCAATAAATGTAGATTATTTCCACTGGGCTGGCCTTGTGATTTGTGTTGACCAATACAATAGCGCAGAAGTGTCAGATGGAACTTTAAAATCTGTCTTATGAGAACCAGCAGCTTCCACAGACTCCTTCCTTTTGGAACACAGCCCTCATCTGTAAGGAATCTCAAGCAGCCATGAGGAGAGTAGTATATAGAAGAATAATGGCTGCCTGTGGTGGCTTATACCTATAATCCCCAGCACTTTGGAAGGCTGGGGTGGGCAGATAACTTCAGCCCAGGAGTTTAAGACCAACCTAGGCAACATGAGGAAAACTGTCTCTACAAAAAATACAAAAATTAGCCAGGCATGGTGGCGTGTACCTGTAGTCTCACCAGCTACTTAGGAGGCTGAGGTGGGAGGATTGCTTGAGCAGAGAGGTCGAGGCTGCAGCGAGCCAAGATCACACCACTGCACTCCAGCCTAGGTGACAAAGTGAGACCCTGTCAAAAAACAAAGAAAAAAGAAAAAGAATAGTAAGGTCCTCAGTTGTCTCAGTAAAGTGGCCAGCACCAATTTTCAGCTATATGAGTGAGGCTATTTTTGAGCAATCAACCCTGTTAGCACCTTAGCCAATACTGCACAAAGAATATTCACCCAGGTAACCCAAAAGATTGTGAAGATACTAATTTGTTACTGTTTGAAACCACTAAATTTCAGGTGGTCTGTTGTAGCAACATATAACCAAAACAGATGAAGATTAAAACATTGAGGTTGACTGAAATATCTCCAAGAAAGCAGTAAAATAATAAAACAAGAACAAGTCTGGGGTGAACAAGAATTTTAGGTGGTTAGGAGGTGACTGCAAAAGGAGACAGAGAAGAAATGTTCAAGGAAATAGGAAGAGAGCAAGAAGCAACCTCATAGGTAGCCAGGGAGGACCTCTGCAAGGTGGAGGAAAGACCAACAGTAGCACATGCAGCAGAGAGTTCTAGAAAAAAAAAAAGGAAAGGTATGGAAATCTGCCATCATCTCTGGTAATTAAAACCGTCGATGACCTTTGCCAAAGCAGCTTTATCAAAGTGGTGAAAAAAAGAAGCCAATTTACAGGGGGTTAAAGAGATGTCTAGCCAGGAAATTTTACTTAGTCATAGACGGTGAAAACAAGAGGAAACAACAGGTACAGACATCTCTTGTAACCAAGTGTCTAAAAAAGGAAATAGAAGTAATAGGACATTTGGTAACTGGGAGCATGAGATCAAGAGGAATGTTCCATTACCACATTTGTGCTTTTTAGTTAAGCTCTAGATGGGCTTGGCTTTTTACAAATGACCGTCTTTGGGCTGATGTGTGGCACCAGCTATTATTCAGTCCACATGATTCTGCTGGAACGCTGGGTGAAATCAAGTTTTTGTGATGAGTGGCATCTTGTGGTGCAAGGGGCACTGTATTGGGTTTTCTGAGGCTTAGTTTGCCACCAGCTAGCTACAGCAAGTCAGTTTACTTCCAGATCTCGCTCTTCCTCCATTTGGTAAATGGACAGCATTGGAAGACCTTGAAGGGCTTTCCAAAGTTAACATTCTATAAAAATGATTTCATCCTCAAAAATTTCTACATTTGATTATTATGCTTTGTTATTGTTTCCCAGAAATCCAGAGTATAAATATGGTCTAAATCACCCAATTTATCAAGTGAAATACTTGCGGCTTAATGCCTTTGCCTAAATAAATGCAATACTCTAGTTTCTAGCCCATATACTTGACAAAATGCCAGGTCCCTCCTGAGCTGCTCAGGCTTATCCAGAGCAGGTCATTCTGGGTCCCACGGTTGATGAGCTAAGACCTTCCCTTTGATCATCACATCTAGAGCTAAGAGGTCTGTGGGCATGCCCAGGGACAAACCAGGCCACCAAGCAAAAGGCCAAGGGTGGTAGGATGGGAGTGGTGGTTACCTAGGACAGCTTATTTCCTAAACAGATAGATGTTCCTCAGTTTATGTGGGTGGGGGAGACATGTCTGTGACTTAATGTGTTTCATAGACAGGAACACATGCCAAGACCTTCAATATCCCTCCTTCCCAAGGGTCAACATTTTCAAGCATTTTTTTTTCACACTTAATGGTTACTAGAGGATATTATTTCTGTGCCAGTTTCTTTTAAAAAATTTTTAAATAAATTTATGGGGTACAAGTGTCATTTTGTTACAAGGATCTATTGCATAATGGTGAAGTCAGAGGTTGTAATGTATCCATCACCCAAATAACATACATTGTATCCATTGAGTGATTTCTCATCATTCACCCCCAGCACCCCCAGCCTTTCAAGTCTCCATCGTCTGTCAGTCCACACTGTATGTCCATGTGTACACATTATTAACCCCCACTTATAAGTGAAGACATGCAATATTTGTCTTTCTGTTTCTGAGTTGCTTCACTTAAGATAATGGCCTCCAATTCCACCCATCTTGCTGCAAAAGACATGCTTTCAGTCTTTTATTTGGCTGAATAGTATTCCACTGTGTATGTAACACATTTTCTCTATCCAGTCCTCCATTTATGAATACTTAGGTTGATTCCATATCTTTGCTATTGTGAATGGTGTTGCAATAAACATACAAGTCTTTTTTGTGTCATGATTTTTGTTTCTTTGGGCAGATACCCAATCGTGGGATTGCTGGTTTTAATGGTAGTTCTATTTTTAGTCCTTTGAGAAATCTCCATACTATTTTCCATAGAGGTTATACTAATTCCCACCAACAGTGTATAAAACCTTCCCTTTTCTCATCTTTGCCAACATTTGTTGTTTTTTGTCATTTTATTAATAGCTATTCTGACTGGTATAAAATGATATCTCATTGTGGTTTTAATTTGCATTTCTCTGGCTTCTTCCTTTTCTAATTTACGCTTTTGTCTTTATTTTATGGGATACCTTTGTTTCTCAGATACAACTAAGGACAAAGCCAGAGAGTAAACAGTTTTTCTGTGGTCAAGAAGTATATTTAAGCCAACCACGGTGGCTCATACCTGAATCCCAGCTATTCAGGAGGCTAAAGCAGGAGGATTTATTGAGTTCAGGAGTTTGACATCCTGGGCAATGTAGTAAGACCCCATTTCATATTAAAGAAAGAGAAAGAGAGAGAGGGAGGGGGAGAGAGAGAGAGAGAAAAGAAGAAGAGGAAGAAGAAGGAGGAGGAAGGAAGGAAGGAAGGAAAGGAAGGAAGGAAGGAAGGTGAGAAGGAGAGAAGGAAGAGAAATTTAATTGGAATTACGATACTTTTTTGTTTAGAGGAAGAAACCAAACTAGAAAGATAAACGTTATTACATCTCTCACAACCACAACCCCGAATCCTAATACTTGAATATCATTATTCTTGTGACAGTGGAATAAACAAATTTGTGTTGGGAAAAGTAATTT
This sequence comes from Homo sapiens, assembly GCF_000001405.40. Taxonomy (NCBI): domain Eukaryota; kingdom Metazoa; phylum Chordata; class Mammalia; order Primates; family Hominidae; genus Homo; species Homo sapiens. Next base: position 26,095,895 of record NC_000004.12, read on the forward strand.
ATCATCCTCCACTAGTTCTAAGGGAGGATCCTTTGAACATCCATACTAAGTGGAATGATGAGTGTGATTAGTGTGATTAGAAGGCAATCGTCCCCATCAAGTGACAGGGTCCATTTCGGGGAGCTGATGAGGCAACAGAGCAGCTATTGGCTGAAACGAAACAACACAGGAAGAATTAAGAGGGTTAGCAGGGATTTCTACTACTGTGCCTTGTTCCGTGTGATGGACCACTCTCCACCATTTCTCTCCAGTGTCTTCACTAGCTCAGCCCTTGGTGTGGTGGCTAAGAACACAGGTTCAGGAGCCAGAGTGCCTCATTTCCCCCCCGCCCCGGCTCCATTCCCACCTCTGGCTCGGTGACTTTGGGCTATGCAACTCTGCATGATTTAATCCAACATCTTCATGCTTTGGTTTCCTTATCTGTACAACAAAGATAATAATAGCACCTACCCCATAAAGTTCTTGTGAGAGTTAAATGTGTTAGTGCATGCAAGAGGCTTGTAATAAGCCTGGCACATGCCGAGTGCTATATTTACTGTTACTGACTAAAACTTGGTAAAATTTGATTTTTTTTTTTTTTTCTTTTTTGGTGGAGGGAGGATGTGACAAAAAACCAAGTTTTCTTTCATGGAAAATGAGATGACAATGAAGATCGCTCCCAGAGACTAGTCATATCTGATATTTTTATAGTAGTTATTACTATGGCTACTATTACTATTTCAGTCCTTCCTCCTAATGTGGATCTGAGCCCACACACTTTGCTTTACTACTTTAGCATGTATGCCCATTCATTTATTCCTTCATTCATGCAACAAATACCTTATTGAGCACTTATTACTTTCTATGTGCTAAGCACTTGTCCAGATGCTGGGAAATAATACAGTTAAGATCCCTGCTCCTGTGATGTTTATATTCTCAAGAAAAAGGTAGAGTATCACTATGACAACCAATTAAACAAACAAGATAATTTCCAAACTAACAGCTGCTGTGATTGTCATCAGACAGGACCATGGGGTTGAAATGGACTTGGAGAGAGTCTCTCCATTAGACAGCATGGTAAGGAAGGCCTCTCTGAGCATGTGATAGTGGAGCTGAGAAGTCCCTAATACAAAGGAGGTAATCACAAGAAGGTGTTGGGCTGAATGTTCCAAGCAAGAAAGGATAAAGTTGAAGAACACTGAAATGAAAGTCAGCCTGGTGTGTCTGAGCAATTGAAGGAAAACCAGGGAGCTGGAGTACAGGAAGTAAGGAAAAGAGTGGAAGGACAGGAGATGTGAGAGGTAGAGAGGGGCCGCATCAGCCAGGCCCTCAGGGGCTCTGGAAGGGAAGCCACTGGAGGGGAATAGGCAGAAGAGTAACAGAAGTGTATTTACTGTGTGTAAGTAGACATTGATTAAACATCTACTATGTGCAAAGCACAGTACTAGCCTTGGTGGAGGATACCAAGTAGAAACCAGTCTTTTTATAACCTAAGACCATCCTGGATGCTGTGGGGAGAACAGAAGATGGAAGGGTAAGGCAGAAGCAAGAAGTCCATTGGGGAGAATCCTAGAAGAGAGAAGCAGGTGTCTTGGGCTGGAGTGGTAGCAGTGCAGCTGGAGGAAAGGGCACAGATTTTAGAGCTAGAGCTGAGAGGTTCTCCTAATGACTTGCTAATGAATATTGGTGGGTGGGCAGAACAATAAAGGAATTAATGACGATGAGGAATACAGACTTGACAGAATTAATTCAGAGAAGTCACAAAGTGGAGAAACAATATGTATTAGTCTGTTCTCACTCTGCTAATAAAGACATACCCGAGACTGGATAATTTATAAAGGAAAGAGGTTTAATGGACTCACAGTTCCACATGGCTGGAGAGGCCTCGCAGTCATGGCAGAAGGCAAAGGAGAAGCAAAGGCACGTCTTACATGGTGGCAGGCAAGAGAGCTTGTGTAGGGGAACTCCCATTTATAAAACCATCAGATCTCATTTGACTTATTCACTACCATGAGAACAGTATTGGGAAAATGGCCCCCAGTGATTCAATTATCTCTACCCTTGACACAAGGGTATTATTACAATTCAAGGTGAGATTTGGGTGGGGACATAGCTAAGCCATATCACAATACAACAATGTGAATCCAGGGGGATGGAGGAGAATGTGATTTCCAGAGTTGCCACATTATATTATCTAAAATGCCTAGTTTCAACAACAAAAAAATACAAGATGTGCAAAGAAACAAAAAAGTATGGCCTACACACAGAGAAGAAAAGTAGTCATAGAAATTGTCTCGGCAGAAGCCTAGATTTTGGACTTACTAGACCAAGCCTTCAAATCAATTGTTTTAAATATGTTCAAAGAACCCAGGAAATTGTCTAAATAAGTAAAGAATAATATGTAAGAACAATTTCTCCCTAAACAGAGAATATCAGTAAAGTGATAGAAAGCAGAAAAATATTTTTAGGAGTACTAAGTCCCTTACATCTTATAAAGAGTTTAAAGAAATGTCTCAGGTGATGAGTGTGGTTTTCAGAAGCACAGCTCTGTAGGTTTAGTGATGTGCTGTTTTATAATTTACTGCAAGTTGGAAGTCTTCATTGAAGTATTTTCTTTCTCTTTCATGTATCTCTGTTGATCTCCCCTTCTTTCTATATGTATTAGTTATCTATTGTTGCATAACTATCCCACACCTTAACGGCTAAAAACAACATTTATTATTTCACAGTTTCTGTGAGTCATGAATCCAGTTAAGGCTTAACTGAAGTCTTCCAACTCAGGGTATCTCCTGAAGCTGCAACCAAGATGTCAGCTGAGGCTGCAGTCATCTGAAGGCTCAGCTGGGGAAGGGTCCACTTCCTTGCTTACCCACGTGACTGTCGGCAGGCCTCAGGCTCTTGCTGTCTGCTGGCTTGAGATGCCAGCTCCTTGCCACATGGGCCTCTCCATAGGGCTGCTCACAACAGGGAAGCTTGCTTTCCTTATGCCAAGGGATCTAAAAGAGAGAATGAGAGAGTCTGGAAGCCAGTCTTTTTATAACCTAATCTTTTCATAACTACATCTCATGACTTTTGCCATATTCTATTTGTTAAAAGTTAGTGAGTCCAACTCACACTCAGGGGAAGGGGATTGTCCAAGGGTGTAAGTACCAGGAAGTTGCCTATCACCTGATTGTAACCATTTTTGGTGGACTAGACTCTCCTGGGTAGCAGTGAGAAGCAGGAAAGGTAGTAATAGCAGCAAGTTATCCTATCCCATAACTTTTGGGATAGTTGCTGATACTTCAGGCTGATCTAATAAAGTCATGAGAGGAATAGTTCCTGGTGCCCTCTGTACAGGAAAAACACAATGTGGAAAAAGTGAAGCAATGTGTATTAAGTTTATACTGCCTGCGACCGAGTCAGCAAGAACCGTACCAGGTCTGCATTGTTCAAGAAGTTTCTGAATCTTCATCCTCAAGTACAATTATTTGGATTTGCACTATAAGATTCTTGTAATCTGATCCTGTGCTCATTACATAAACCTTCCCTAAATTCATCAACAGACCTTTCCCAAATTGATGTTCCTGGACTCCTTGTTGCCCGCTCCTAATGAGAGCTTCCTTCATTTGCAGGTGGCTTTTCTCATGACAATGTCATTCACACGAGGGGACAGTACCAGGCATGCTCCTTCTAACTGAATGCCCATTGTGTTCTTGGCTCTTTGCACTGCTGCACTCAAAATAATGCGAACATCCAACAGCCTCTTCTCTGCTCTCCCACAATGTCTTGTTCTTTGGTGCAAATTTTCCTAGATTCCCAAATTTAATACATTCCATCGCTGTAATCTAAGCTTCATACATTTTCCTTCTGCAATGAAATGTTTATCTTCTGATCAATAGTTCGCAAAACCCTACCTGTGGATATCTTCCTGGGATAGGTTCCCTTAGAACCATAGATTTCCATCTATGATGGTTAGCTTTATGTGTCAATTTGACTGGGCCACAGGGTGCCCAGTTATTTGGTTACACATTGTTCTGAGTATGTCTGTGGGGGTGTTTCTGGATGAGAGTAACATTTGGATTGATAGATTGAGTAAAGCAGATTGACCTCCACAATGTGGGTGAGCCTCATCCAATCAATGGAAGACCTAAAGAGAACAAAAGACTCAATAAAGGAGAATTTGCTCTCTGTCTGACTGTCTTCAAGCTGGAACATCAGTGTTCTCCAGCCTTTTTTCTGGGACTTGGACTGGAACTTGCACCAGTAGCTCTTCTGGTTCTCAGGCCTTCAGACTCAGACTGAAACTTACACTATCAGCTCTCCTACCTCTCAGGGCTTTGGACTTGCACTACAACTATACCATCAGCTCTCCTGACTCTCCACCTTGCAGACAGCAGATCTTGGAACTTCTCATAATTGTGTGAGCTAATTCCTAGTAATAAAAGCAACTCCCTCATTTATATATATCCCATTGGTTCTGTTTCTCTGGAGAACTCTAATACACCAATGTAGGTTAAAAGGTGAATCTCACAAAGTCCAGTAAATGTCACTAAAGAGCAATGAAGTCATATCAGTGTAAACCAGATGGTAACTGAAGGGTTTTCCTCATTTGCATCCTGAATTTCCACAATACTACTTCCCCACTTCCCAGTACCACTTCATGGAAAATGTTGGACTTTTCTAGGTCCTAGATAATTAGAATTAAATTGTAAACTTCCAAACCTTTTATGTCTGTGACCTAAAGTAGCTCTCCACTCAGAGGCTTCAAAAACTGACAACTATATCCTAGATATAGTTTCATTCTCCTGTTCTGTATCCTACCTAAAACATCATCTCCCAGCAGTCAGAGTGAAGAATTGTCAACTTTTTGATCTTGTAGTGGTGTTCTGTATTTTTTAAACTGGTATTTCCATAATTTCAAAAAGCATGAAATCCCCTACCTAAAATTATATTTACATTGCTCTAAAGAACTATCTATGGGCTTCCAGAAAGAAAAGCATGATGGAGTGGTGGTACCTCACTTACTACATTAATCAAGTGACTTGGCCACTCTGTATATGTGGGTAACAATTCTTAGCTCTGAGGGCTTTATGGGTCAATATGAGATCATTGTCATTCATTTAGCGACTGTTGATTGAACACCTCCCAAGTAGAAGGCATAAGGCTGTGAGCTCTGGAGGAAACAAAGATCAGTTAGAGAAAGACAGTGCCCTTAAGGAACTTAGAATCTAGAATGGAAGATTAAAATTAATGGCTGTGATTTAAGGTAGAGAGTGACAGAATACCTTCAACCAGGTCCCAGAGCAAACGTCACCTCCTCCGAGAGGCCTTTGGAGCACTCCAGCTCATGTGACCCTCAAACACTCTTTACCACCTTATCTTGTTTCACTTTCTTCTAGCACTTTTATGATCTGCTATTATCATAGTTTTTTACTTTTCTCTTTACTCAATTTCAGTCTGTCTCTTTCTTCAACACATGAGCCATGTGAGGGCAGAGGCCTTCTCGGTCCTGTTCATCACTGCAAAACCATGATCCACGGATGCTCATGGAGGAGCAAATGAGAAATTCAAAATTAGAAGTGAATATAATGCAGAAGTGAGAAATTATTTTGATGTGTAAAAGAACTTGGTAAAAAGCTAGCAACTTTTCCAAAGGAAAAAATCTGGTTTGTAAGTTTTACGTCGTTTCTGGTGAACTCTACAGAGAAATTTCTTTCCCAAGATTGGGCCTAGGCTCCAGGCCCAGGGAGGAGCCACCATTGAATAAGGCTTGAGGAGAGAGGGGAGTCCAACTTCTAACCAACTCCTGGGAGTGATTACCCCGATCTCACCCTAGGTATGGAATGACTGACTGAAGTCATCTTCCTGGGGAATAAAAAAAATAAAATCAACTCTATTGGATGAAGCAGACTTTCACATTGCTCCTAGCAAATAACTTAATACAATTTGATTTAACAGATGCCAATGCCTTGTGGGAACAAATATATAAACTTACATCAGGGAGGCTTTACCATTAAGAGTACACTTTATGGCCAATATACGAAGCACCTACAGGGCAACTCCCCTTCAAAATAGAAAAGAAAAAAAAAAGAACACTGCAAATGCTCTATGATAATTTTTACATGATTAGACAAAGTTTAAACACCTCAGAAAACATCCATGCTTTGTCTGAAAAAACTATAATTGCCTAATAAAAAGAAAGTCACCTATAATTCCTATGATTTCTTTTCTTATAGTTCTTGTAGGATCAATAATAAAATGCAAGTTTTTACAACCTCATTATAGTTAAATCGCATTTACTAACAATGACCTCTTTCTTCATTAAAATAATGTTTCCTTCGATAACTACTGCAAGCGTCAAGCCAATTTACCCAGGGCTGTTTGATTTCCATATTGCTTAGTGCTCGCCACACTGGACTCAACTCTTCATGTTTGCAACCTCAACAGAACTTCTCTCCACTGGGTGACAGTGAAAGAATACTCTTTCTTTGCTGTTGGATTTGTTCCTGTCCCAGGAAAAAATTAAAGAAATCATCTTCCTATATGTTTCAGCCTGGGACATGAGTTTGGTGGTAGTTTAAAAATTAATTTGGCTTTGATGTTAGATATAAACCAGGAACTCAGGACACAGTCCACAGGTATTGAAATTCCCCTGAAATAGGTGTGACAAATGACATCAAGAGCCTCTGCAGGAAAACAACTCACATTTTTAAAATGCCTACTGTATGCTAAGCATCTACATGTGCTATCTTGTTTGATCTAATGCCAAAACATTTAACTATGTGTTATTTACTACCATGCTTTATATCCTGCTGTCTGGGGATTTGATGGTGTGAAGAAGTGAGAACCTACACTCAAAGGCCATATATTTAAGTTTCATAACAACCTTTTGGGATGAGTGACTACTATTCCCATTTTATATATAATGTAGGTTTCAACTTGGATAGGAGCTCTCTCCATCTTGCTATGCCCTGTGGAATCTGTTTGCATGAAAGAGTGAAGAAATTTATGACAGGAAACTCACACTAAGGGAAGGGAGAGCTGAGCACAGTGATCTTGACCAGGTTATGAATACCCTATTTTAGAGGTCAGCAGAATGTGGTGCCTGCTATTGACATCCCTGGACCTATCCATAGGATTCATGTCTGGGTCCTGAGACGGCAAGGGAATGTAAAAGAAAACAACAACTACATTAATAAATAACACAAAGACCCAGCCTGGGCAATATACCAAGACCCCATCTCTACAAAAAATTTTCAAAAGAGAGTTGGCCAGGTGTGGTGGCGCCTGCCTGTAGTCCCAACTACTCAAGAAACTGAGATGGGAGGATTGCTTGAGCCTGGAAGGTCAAGGCTGCAGTGAGCCATGTTTGGGCCACCACACTCCAGCCTGGGTGACAGAGTGAGACCCTGTAAATAAATAAATAAATAAAACTTTAAGAGTCATTTCTCTGGAAGCTGCATGTGCCCATGAGCCAGAAACAGTGGGCTTTAGTGCCACCCTTCTCTGGCCCAGACCAGAGAGTCCCCTGCCCAACATCTATTCTCTCTCTTTGTTTTTCCTAACATAACCCCAACTTTGTTCAGTTATCTACTCTTCCTTTTTGACCAGGAAGCTTACTCTGGGGAAACGGGCCCCATCCCCAGTCAGGGGGTGCACTTGACCCATCTAGGAGTAATCTTTACCCCTTTGCCATTGACTGGCTCAAAAGTGAGCAAGACTCCATCCAGCTTTGATAGGGTCTTGTGAGAAAATTATCTCACATTCCTTTAGGAGAATGTCTGGAAGCCACCTCTTCTCTCTGCACACAGTCACAACGGGCATGTTCTGAAACTGCTTCAATTGTTTTGTTACCAAATTAAAACAAAACTGAACACTGAGTAGGCAAAGCCAAGAGACTCACAAGAAAACAGAGTTGAAGTCCATGGTAGTCAACAACCTGAAAGGTGCTTTGGCAGAAACAATTCCACCCAAAACTGTTCTCCCCATTTTCCATGGGGTTTTGCTAAGCTGGTTTTGCTGAGCACCTGGCCATCCAGAGTAAAGATATCATCTCTCTGCAGTTTGGTGTGTCCATGTGCTGAGCTTTGGCTGAGGGAATATAAACACAAGAGTCATGTGGCAACTTCTGGGAACCTCCATTACAAGAATGCTGGGTCACGAACATCTTCATCTTTCTCTTCTTTCAGTTGCTGGGAGCATGAATACAATGGCTGGAGCTCTAGTTACCAATTCAGCCCATGGGGACAATGCCACACTGATTTAGGAAATGGCAGAGCTGGAAGGAGTCTAGAAGAAGACGAAAGTTTCTCCAGATTCTATTGAGTGCTGTTATTATAGAAGCCCTGGCCTTCCTATCTCTGGCCTATATGTGAGAGAGAAACAAAGCTTGTTTAAGCCACTGTTAGTTTCAGTCTCTGTTTCTTGCTACCTAACCTAATCCTCACAGATACATATACTTTCTTACCTTTGGACACCTACTTTATTGTTCAACAGACAATTTCCACTTGTTTGAGCCATATTTGGTTGAGTTTTCTATTAATTCTCAACCACAAACATCCTAAGTAATACACAGAATGAGGTAGTCTTATCTGCACTTAGCTACAAACCACCTTATAGTTTTGACACATCAAGGCATGCAGTATATTGATGGCCACACCAGGACAAATATACCATTGGAGAGGTGCTGCATATCACGAGACAGCACTGTTCACTAGCAGCCATCAGAAATAAAGGTACCCATCAAAAATTAAAGAGAAAAGTGCATTCCACATGATGTTTGACGTGATAGCTAAGTGGATTTGTATAGGGGTTAATGAAAGGCACCCTAAGACTCTCAGAAATATTTGAGGAATATTCCATTGGCTTGATGGAATATTCTTTATCATCCTTAAATTCAGCTGTTTTAAGCAACATGTTGGTGAGAATAGAAAAGGTTGAATTACATACTGATTAAGAAATAAACTCAGAAAGAATGTATAACATTCACAACTTCATATAACTAGTCTCACAATTTGAACCAACATCAAATCCTTATGAAGAGATACTTTAATATCATGGGTTTTTTTTGTAATAAATGTTATTACCTTCCTCTAAACAAATGCATCCTTGTGTTTTGCCAAGAATTTTCTAACATTGGATGAAAACCCAAATCATATTTGCAGTAACACCCACTTACCCAAGATAACAGAAGATAACCTATCGGGAATATTGGAACCCACAAGTTCCCTTCTAAATACAAATACTTTGACTCTATGATCCAATCCCTGATGTTTATTATAAATTTTAAATTATATTTTTCTTTTAAAAAAATCCAGCTCCTGCAGAAAAGTGTATTTTTGGGCTCAATCCCTAAAATTTTTAATAATCCACATATTCCCTTTAACCTTAAGTAAGAATAAATAAACTTTAGTCCGGTATTGAAATAATTCAAATAATTTTCACTGTTGTTCAATTGTTAAAAATTAGCTCTCCAGTTTCAACCAGTTGGCCTCAGCTTTGGAGCACATGTAAATTGGTAAATCTGGCAGAGAAAAGGCAGACATTTTTCCAAGGATCGGCCAGAAAATGTGTGATTTTTTTTTTCCCTGCAGGCTGTTGGCTTACCAGTTGCAAGGGGTGAATCTCAAGAGATTCAGAAGCTCAATCTGAATAAACAACCAAAACTTTGGAGGCTTATCAAAACTCTGGCAAAACTAGGCCAGAAGTGGACTCTGTTTTCTAGTGAGGTTTCCAGTATTTCCTGTTTCCAGTGGAACTGGACTAGCTCAGGAAGATTCTACTAATGACTAGAACCAACTGGACATAACTGGAGAACACGGAAAGATTGAAACAAAAAAACAAGAACAAAAACATGAGAAAAGATAGTGTGTGCTGTTTCCAGCTGCAAGAGAGATGAAGATCATTCAAACATGGTGCTGAAAGTAAGTTGACCTGTTACTTTTATTTTCCTAGAAAAAAAGTCTGAAGGGTTTTATTCTTTCTGATTTTGATCTCTGCCCCAAAAAGAGATCTACAAGGTGGCCGCCATGCCATCTATGGTGTGGACTGCAAGCAAATCTGTGCAATGGTCCAGTGTCATGGAGTGCGATTTATCTACCCTTAGCCATTACTAAATTTGTGGCAACAAGTTGGAAGAGGCTATGATGCAATCTGTGATAAATAATAGCCTGATTATGAGTCATCCTTCCCAGAGCCAAACAGGACTATCCTCTGTCATTCCAAAGAGGTGGGCAATAAATCTATTTAGAGAAGGGGATCCAGAAGAGCCACTGAAGAGCAGAGATAACCCACTGTAGTAAACACAATTCATTCAAACATAACATCCCTTCCCGCCTTTTTGTGTGTCTGCCTGTACAGCAGAGGGTCAGAAAGTCAAACAGTATTTTCCAGGCTATCTTGCAATAGAGTTCTAGATATTTGGATTCTACTAATTGGAATCACTAGTGAAAGCTTTGAGATGGTTAGTGAGATGAATGCCTCACTTCTGCTTCTGTTATTTCTGGAGGCAAACACCACTACGGCAGAATTAGTATAGTCTCAGTACCCAGGCCTCAGCCATCTATTTTACAAGTGTGGATTGTAGCAGATATGTCAAAATTCTGAAGCTGCCAAATAGCAGGGACTTCCTTATCATGGCATATCACCTGGTCATGTTGTTGTCTGTGTATCCCATTTCTACTGCCTTCCTGATTGTGGCTCGGATGGGGTATTTCTAGAGCACGCAGCTTTTGCAGGAGCTTTCAAATTTTGTGAGTAGCATCATGTTTATGGGAGATTCTGTGGCTGCCTTGGTGTCGCTGTTTTGTAGTATGCCTTTGCTAGCTGGTCCTATAAACAACCTCCCCAGTAATTTGGTAAGTCACTGAATACCCCTTAATCCCTTTCTCCTTTAAACTGGCTAGAATGTATTCTGCTCTCTGCAGCTGGACTCTGACCAATGCACCCTCTCCCTTACATCTACAGAAATTCCAGTTTCTTCCCAGTTTTGCACATGGACCTGGGAGAGACTGAATGAGGAGTGAGGGTGGAGAAGGAAACAGAAGGGGGGTTTCCAGGAGCTGACTGACCTAGGGGAAATTTTTTATCCAGGAAATCTTTTTGAACTGATGAGTTGCAAAGGAGAGAGAAAAACAGAAGCCAGGAAATGGAGCCAAGGTTACAGCAGAGGAGAAAGTAAATTCTGTGGTAAATGGGAGAGGCTTATGAAGGCAGAGACTGAGAATGAGTTGAAAAGTCAGTAGTAAAAAAGAATTGAGAGCATGGGGTAAGGAGAGATTCAACTCTGGGCAATCCCAAGTACTTCAGGTAGCTGAGGTCAAGTTTAGTCTGGTATTGAAATAATTCAAATAATGTTCACTGTTGGATTGTGAATTAGGTAAAAATAGTCTCAAGTGCCCATCCCACATGCCCTAACAAATTCAGGACTCCTCCTAACACACCAAAGTGCCTTGGAAAGGAGAGGTAACTCATGTTTTCTCAAATCCTCTCAGGGCCCTGCTTCCACTCTATCCTCCATCTCAGCTTCCACCCTCCAGAAGAGCAGTGCCTCTCCCCAAGGTACTGCCTGCAGGACACCACTTCAAATGTTTGGCTTCTCAAAGTGCCACCAGTTCAAGACAACACACAGCAGACTTCACGCAAGGGTTGGGAAACAGCGGATATTATAGCGTAGCTTGTTATAGAAAACCGCAGCACTGAATGTGAGTCTCTTTCTTCAAAGTCCCTTGGCCAACGTGGCCCTCAGATGCTTCTCTTTGGGTCCAGGTGTGGGGGCTCACAACTGTAATCCCAGTACTTTGGGAGGCCAAGGTGGGGGAATCACTTGAGGTCAGAAGTTCGAGACCAGCCTGGCAAACATGGTGAAACCCTATCTCTACTAAAAATACAAAAATTAGCCAGGTATGATGGTGCACACCTGTAGTCCCAGCTATTTGGGAGGCTGAGGCAAGAGAATCACTTGAACCTATGAAGCGGAGGTTGCAGTGAGCTGAGATCACATCACTGTACTCCAAGCTGGGCAACAGAAAGAGACCCTGTCTCAAAAAAGAAAAAGAAGATTCCCTTTGGTTCTTTCTCCTCCTTGGGCTCCTGCTTCATCGTGTAATGTGTCAAGACCCTCCTCTTCCCCAACAGCTAACCTCAGCAAATTATTTTTTATTTCTTCTGTTGAGCCATTTACATTTTTATGTCTCTCCTCATCCAGTGTGGCTGCCCAGATGACATTTTCTCCAGGCAAAATGGGCCATGGAGACAGTTTGTCCTCTAAGACATTTTCTGCCACTAGCTCTTAAATCAGAGTAGGAGGTGGTTTTGAAGACATGGTAGAGAGGGTTTATTTGGATCAAACTCCTAGAGGAAGAATGGGGAATGGCATCCAGGGCTCAGACGGAAGTGACAATTCTCCTTGAACCCTCCCACGAGGTGGGAGAAAATTGCAGAGGTAGGCAAGAGAAGAAGGGACAGAAGAGAGAAGACTTCCCACTCTCTTCCTGGAAGGCTGAGAATCAGTGGGCAGTTCCCTTTGCCTTTTAATTCAGCCTTGGTGCATTCCATGATGTCAAAGCCTGGTGGTTAGGAGTCTGCACTATACTGAGAAAAATGACAGAATTCCAAGCCAAAAAAACAAAGTCTGCGCTAGAGCCAGGTTGCCTGAAAATAAACCCTCACTCCACCACTTACAAGCTGCATGGTTTCCAGGCAAGTTTGCCTGACTCTCTGCATTTTGTAAAATGAGGAGAGGAATATTACCTATCTTATAGGGTTTATGGGAGTATTAAATGAGAAAAGCATAAAATGCATAGAACAGTGACTTAAATATCAAGTGCTCAATAAAAACCAGCTATGTTCTGGTAAGGGGAGTGGCCTCTTAAAGGAACCAGACTGGGATAGACACATCTTCTAAGACTCAGCAAGAATGAACTGGGCAGTAAAGTAAGATTAAGGGATTGAGTCCCCCACTCCACTGTTGAAAGCTATGTGGCTTTGCACACAGTGTGTAACCTGTCCAAGCTCAGTTTCCTTACCCACAAAGTAGGGGTGATTATATCTACCTCCTGGGGCTCTTCTGGGGATAAAAGACACTAACACTTATAAAGAGGATGGCACAGTGGCACTATAAAGTCTGTCCTTGTCTGGAAAGTGAGCTCCACACCCAGGCTGATCCCTCATTCTTACTCTTCCTCACTAGCCAGAAGGGATTAAAAACACCAGCAACAAGAATTTAGGAATGTCTCTCTTGCCTTCCTCTTTTTTTTTTTTTTTTTTTTTTGAGACAAAGTCTTGCTCTGTTGCCCAGGCTGGAGTGCGGTGGTGTGATCTTGGCTCACTGCAACCTCCACTTTCCAGGTTGAAATGATTCTTGTGCCTTAGCCTTCCAAGTAGCTGGGATTATAGGCATGGCCACCATGTCAGCTAATTTCTGTATTTTTAGAAGAGATGGGGTTTCACCATGTTGGCCAGGCTGGTCTCGAACTCCTGACCTCAAGTGATCCACCTGCCTCGGCTGCCCAAAGTGCTGGGATTACAGGCATGAGCCACTGTGCCTGTCCACCTTCCTCTCTCTCTCTCCCTCTCTCTCTCTCTCTCTCTCTCTCTCTCTCTCTCTATATATATATATATATATATATATATATATACACACACACATATATATATATACACACACACATATATATATATAGCCACTGTGCCTGTCCACCTTCCTCTCTCTCTCTCTCTCTCTCTATATATATATATATATATACAGCCACTGTGCCTGTCCACCTTCCTCTCTCTCTCTCTCTCTGTCTCTCTCTCTCTCTCTCTCTCTCTCTATATATATATATATACAGCCACTGTGCCTGTCCACCTTCCTCTCTCTCTCTCTCTCTCTCTATATATATATATATACTTCCTCCTGTATTCTCAATTGACATTATTAAAAAAAACGATTAAAGTTGAAGCAACAATAAATATATCTTTATAACAATAATTCTTATAACCAACTGATTGAATAAACCAGACTTGCCAGAAAGCAGACAGAATCACCTTATTCATTCTCCCATTGCCCAATCAATGTGCTCTTTGGCCCTCTTCTTCCCTACTCTGGGATGAAACCTTAAGTGAGATCCCATAGCTTTCTCCGTCATTCTTAGATAATAAAATGGTCTTCACATCATGTTCAAACATTAAGGAGATCCATCCAGTGTAATAACCAAATAATCAAAACTGCAAGCTCCTCCCCTAGTTAAAACTTACCCATTCCCCAACACAGTAGAAATTTACCCCTACCGTAGGCAAGGGGGTCAATTTCTCTGTACTTCTTACAATTCAATTTCTCTGTACTTCTTACATTTCAATTTCTCTGTACTTCTTACTCCATCTCCTACCCCATTCGTTAGTTTCTGATTATGGACCTTTGGGGTCCAGCATAGGGGGACAGGAGGAGGGGATGGAGGACACGACTTACTTGAAGGGAGAAGCTACTCAGGGCATTGGTGCCCTGTGGCATGGCGAATGTCCCTGCAGACTCTTACTCTCCTGTAGCTCTGTGGCTGTCTCTTTGGAAAACCTCCTGCTGGGCACCTCCACATCTAACCCTTTTGACATAGGGTTAGATTCCTGTCCTTCAGCTGGCCGCTTTGAACTCTCCACTCAGCTCTGACTTCTAGCAGCCAAAACCTGTCCATCAGGATAAGTGGGCAACTGTCCTTTGCACATCCTCTTATAATTTGGCATGCACAAACAGTATGAACTCAGCTTCCCAAAGAATAACCGGAAACACAACATTTTCCAGTTCTCTTAGTGCAGGGCATGAACAAGTGACAAAGATTCTATGAATCAGAGGCACCATGTTGAGGCTTTCACACTGAAGTTAAACGTGAGCAAACAGGCAGGTGGGCATGGCCTCCACGGTGCTGGTGGGTGTGTCCATAGGTGGGTGTGGCTTCCATAATGCTGGTGTGGGTGTCTCCAGGTGCCGCTCAGCCCTGGAGTCAGTGGAGGGCCGGCATCAGCTGCCTTCTCAGGACAGTCTCTCTGGTGAGGTTCTGACACTTGGTCCTAGGGGAGCAGACTAGGAACTTATTCCCAATATTTTGTTAAGTCACTAATGCCCTCTGATAAATTCCTTTCTAGTTAGGCTGACTGGCAGTGGTTCTGTCATCTGCAACTAAGAACTCTTACCAAGGTAGAATCCCTCTTCCCCCATGAGAAGATTGTTGAGCCAGCTCCCTTTGAGGATGACTCTAGGCTGGCTTCCTTCCAGAAGTCACATCCAAGGGGTTCACTATCGTCAACATGCAGCTTGCTCAGACAACCACCACTTGTCTCCACTCTACTGTCAGAGAAAGGTGATTGGCCCAGCCCCCCTCCTTCAAACTCTTCTCATTGAGAGTCTCAAACTGGTCCCTGTCCCCCCAGCCCCAAGCTCTAGGAGACTCTTACACATCTCTGCAAGCAGCTCTCCAAACACTTTCCTCACTAGGTTCCAGGTGAAGGGAACATGCTCCCTTCCCTATCTCTATATAGTGGGCACAGAAATGCCCAGCACCCTCATGGTGTACCCCAACAGCTTCTTACTCTTCACTGGACTCCTCATCTCTTTCTTCTCTTCTTCTATAGCCCAGGCAGGGCTGATGGGCTAAAGCTGGCCAAACAAGCTTTGCAATTTCACAGCATGTTCTGCATGGCTGGCTTTTGGGGCTTTGGGGAAAAAAACTCTACGATATGCATGTGCATCCCTGGCTTCCCCCAACTTCCTGGCTCATCCTTCCCCAGCCTCCAGTCCCTCATGGGAAACAATCCCTGGCCTCTGGTCGCACATGACAAGGGAGTGGTGGGATCCTGAAGCCATTGAAGTGTGTGTGCAGGTGAGAGGTCTGGAACAAGTTTAAGAGAGAGAACCTAAATTGGTAGTAAATTAATAAGAAATAAATGTTTACATTCACTCATTGAAAAGGGTCATTTCTAAGCTCAACACATATCAGAGTGACACATGGAGACCTCTCTCTCCTCCACTACACAGAAAATGAACAAATCCCAAGAACAAGTGTCATTCAAGGATGTATGCATAGACTTTACCCAGCAAGAGTGGTATCTGCTGGATCCTGCTCAGAAGATGCTGTCCAGAGATGTGATTCTGGAAACTTACAGCAATCTGGTCTCAGCCAGGTGTTGCATTACTAAGCCAGACGTGATCTTCAAGATAGAGCAAGGGGCTCCGGAATATTAGAGGAAGGATTTCCAAGCCAGTACCACCCAGAAAGGAACTGGAAAGTTGATGACCTGTCAGAGAGCAGCCAGGAAAACCAAGACAAGTATTTTTGGGAGCTTGTGTTCACCAAAAACAAAACAGTAAGCATAGAAAGTGGTAATAGAGTAAGAAAAACTTCCAATTTGGGTACAAACCCTGTTTCTTCAAGAACATTTCCTAATAAAATATGTGACTTGTGTGAAATGAGTTTGAAAGATACTTTGCGTTTAATTATTGATCAAAAGAACTGTTCCAGAAAGAAGCCTGATGCATTTAATGTACGTGAGAAATTACTCCTTGGTATTAGGCTTGAGAAAATTCCTATTGGAGAGAAATTGTATAAATATGATCAAAAGAGGGATGTCATTAATCATCACCAGGCTCTCACTCAGATAATTTTTGACCAACCTTTTGAGTATAATAAAAATGGACAAGGCTTCTATGAGGAGGCAGCCTTTTTTTTTTTTTTTTTTTTTTTACAAATAAGAGTTAATCTTGGATAGCAGAGACACTTTAAATATAATGAATGTGGAAGAACTTTCACTGTTGAAAGCTCAAAGAACTCATTTGGAAAAGGAGCCATATGGAGGCAGTATTTGTGAGAAGTCCTTCTGTATTGATTTTAGATTTGGACATCAGATCAGATAATTCTTATAAGGGAGAATCTTTTTTTTTTTTTTTTTTTTTTGCAGAGAGTTTTGCTCTTGTTGCCCAGGCTGGAGTGTAGCAGTGGGATCTCGCTCACTGCAACCTCCACCTCTCAGGTTCAAGCGATTCTCTTGCCTCAGCCTCCTGAGTAGTTGAGACTACAGGTCTCACACCCGGCTAATTGTTTTGTATTTTTAGTAAATATGGGGTTTTGCCTTGTTGGCCAGGCAGGATTCAAACTCCTGGCCTCAAGTGATCCACCCACCTGGCCTCCCAAAGTGCTGGGATTACAAGTGTGAGCCACCGTGCCCAACCTATAAGGGAGAATCTTTGTGAATGCAATGAATATGGGAAATCTTCTGTGACAGTTCAACTTTCATGATCTGTCAGGGAGCTTACACAAGAAAGATTCCCCATGAATATAAATTGAGTGACAAAACTTGGGAAAACTCAACTCTCTTTAAACATCAGATAGTACACATGGGGGGAAGCCCTCTGACCACAATGAAAATGGGAATAATTTCAGCAAGAAGTTACATCTCACTCAGCTTTGGAAAGCTCACTGAGTGAGGATAAATAAACCTACGAATGTGGTGAATGTGGGAAAACCTTGTGGGAGAAGTCAAACTTCACTCAGCTTCAGAGAACACACACAGGAGAGAAACCCTATGAATGTACTGAATGGGGAAAAGCCTTTTGCCAGAAACCACACCTTACCAACCATCAGCAAACACACACAGGAGAAAAGCCCTATGACTGTAAGCAATGTGGAAAAACGTTCTGTGCGAAGTCAAAGCTCACTGAACATCAGAGAACTCACGCAGGGCAGAAGCCCTATGAATGCAAAGCACATGGGAAATCCTTCTGCCCCAGGTCAGCCTTCACTGTCCATCAGGGAACACACACACGAGAGAAATCCTTTGCATGTCATGAGTGTGGAAAATTCTTCTGTGTGAAGTCAAATCTCATTGTCCATCAAAGAACTCACATGGGAGACAAACCCTATAAATGTAGTGAATGTGGGAAAACCTTCTGTGAAAAATCAGCTCTCACCAAACATCAGAGAATTCACACAAGGCCAAAAGGTCTTTCCACATCCTGAATGTTAGAAGCCTTCATACACCTGTCAAATTTTTGTTCAACTTTTAAAAATTAGAGAAAGCAAAGAATGTCAGAAATTACTAGAAAATGACTTCTTGTTTGAATATGTGAAAGCATTCAAGAAAAATTAAACCTTTTCATTAGGAAATTTGTACTGAGGGGAATTCTAAGTAATGCAGCAAAAACCTTTATCTAAAATTTATGTTGTTTAGTGTCGTATTCCAAATGTAATACCAAAATTTTATTGTAAATATAATGGACAATATTCATTTACTCATCTTCATAGTAGAATCTGAAGCATATAAAAGTTGAATGACACAGAATTAAACATGTATGTGGGCCTGGCGTGTTGGCTCATGCCTGTAATCCCAGCACTTTGGGAGGCCGAGGCAGGTGGATCACCTGAGGTCAGGAGTTCGAGACCAGCCTGACCAACATGGCGAAACCCCGTTTCTACTAAAAGTACAAAAATTAGTCGGGCATGGTGGCGTGTGCCTATAATCCCAGCTACTCAAGAGGCTGAGGCAGGAGAAGCTTGAACCCGGGAGATGGAGCTTGCAGTGAGCCAAGATCGCACCACTGTACTCCAGCCCAGGCAACAAGAGTGAGACTCCTCTCAAAAAAAAAAAAAAGAATGTACATATATATATATATATATATGTATGTGTGTGTGTATGAAAAGTCCCTGATGTTTGTAGACCTTATGAGTATGCTAATGTAGCAAATTTTGGTATATTTCATTTCCATATTGCAACCCAACATGGTTGTCAGGAGAAAATACGTACCTTTAGTTTAGTAACTATTATGGTACGTGTTAACGTTTTCCACACAAACTACCACTGGTATCTTTATACGTTGATATAATTATATGTGTGTATGTACTTATGTATGTGTATATATATGGGTGTATATGTAAATATATTTGTACACACATACTAAAATATAGTGATGTGCTAGCGTCACCTCATATTGACTTAAAAGTGCTGCTGATTGTTAAATTTTCAGGAATTTTGTGAGGCAGTTATTAAACAGTCATTATTTAAAATACACAAACTTACTATTATATTAAAAACAAAGGTAATAAATACCCAACACTCATCACTTCTAATTAGGTTGCTACATTTCACTATGATCTTTGTTGTTTAGGTTACTTATATTATTGCCTCTGTATGGTGAAAATACTATCCACATCTACTGCTACTGCACGTCTCTTCCCGACTCCACATTCAGTACTATTTTGTTGGTAGCTTGTGGCAGTATTTACACCATCAAAATCGGCAAACTATAAATCAAGGTTTTCATTTTCTTCACAGAACCTGCTGTCAAATATTTACCAGCACATCATCATGTACATATGAAAACATATTTGATAGTACAAACCACATACCTCTTTTTATATTTCCTGACATAAACAAATGCCTATCGTCATTACCGCTGAACTGCCTCTCCAATAAAGGAGCTAAAAAATGTTTTTGTGAGGTTTTAAACTACCTCTGAGTCAGTCCTATTCTAAATACTATCACACTAGCTCTGCAGGTTGGCCAGTATAAGTTTTTTTTTTTTTGAGACGGAGTCTCGCTCTGCAGCCCAGGCTGGAGTGCAGTGGCGCGATCTCAGCTCACTGCAAGCTCCGCCTCCTGGGTTCACGCCATTCTTCTGCCTCAGCCTCCCGAGAAGCTGGGACTACAGGCGCGTGTCACCACGTCCAGCTAATTTTTTGTATTTTTAGTAGAGAAGGGATTTCACCATGTTAGCCAGGATGGTCTCGATTTCCTGACTTCATGATCCACCCGCCTCGGCCTCCCAAAGTGCTGGGATTCAGTATAAGTTTTAAGTGAGATATTATTTCACAAGGAACTGTATTACATACCTTGCCTCTGACTGTTTGCTGGCACATGTGAATGGGTATGGCTGTTATTACTAACTTAGCACTTCAGTAAAGAAGAGCGAAACAGTATTTTTCTGAGGTTTTTCAGCTACCTCTGGGTCAGTCAGTAATGTAAATGCTGTTAATAAGGATAGTATTTACATAAATTATGCAAAGGTTAACATCAGTTGAAATACAGTAGTACTCACTGCACTCTACAGATGAAAAGTGGTGGTATGTTAAAAAAAAAAACTCTACAATAGTCTTTAACTTCCTATTTAAAATAAACAGGCACCATGAATTGAATTTGTCAAAATAAAACCATACCAAAGTTAGCATTTAGTTCAAGATTCCAAGTTTGCATCATGTTCTCATTCAATAAAATTGACCATTTCTCATGTTCTCATTCAATAAAATTGACCATTCCAACATTTTCTGTTTGTGCTATCAGCACTGAAAATGCACATCCACCGTGTTGACAGCAGCTAACAGAGTGACTCATGTGGAGGCATCGCAGGCTGCATTGAGCTGACAGGTTGTCAAACCAATTAACGGGCAGGGATGATGTCAGAAGACCTTTCTATCATTGCTGCCTGCAGCTGGTCCTCATTATATGGAATGCCCGGTATGCTGTGAAAAACCAGAAAAAGAAAATCTTACCTGTTCTTAACCTGTATGGAAGCCAAATCTCTCAAGGAGTACTGGCCTGAGGGCAGCATGTTCACACACTATTTCTATCATTTTTTTCCCACCTGCTATTGCAGAAACCTTGACTTTCTCCATCTTCAAAGTCCGCCCAGCAGTTTCTGGAAGTCCCCTGGAGATATGTGGCATGGACTCATGGGACTGTCCTCTCAGCTCCCCGGGACATGCCATGTTTTTCCTCTGCAGCCCTGGATTCCTAGGAAGAACTATAGCAAAAGCTTCTTATGCCCATGAAGGTGCACCAAACAGATTGCAAAGGTCTGATCAACCCACACAAGGTGCTGTAAAGCCACTGCACAACAGACCTCCTGCCATTGTGGATGCCACTGCCACCTGTGGCTGCTGCCACCCATGCCACAAGCCCAAAGTGGCACCAAAGCTACTCCACCTTCTCTGTCACTAGGGAGAATCTTCTGCCCCTCCTGGGGTGGCAAGCTGCAATGCAGTTCCCAATGCTCATGTGCCTTGGGTCCCTGGAGTCTCTATAGATTCCAGAGAACCTGCTCTTCATTGAGATGCACGGGAACCTTTGTGTAAGCCCAGGTCTAGATTAAAGCCTCTGGTAAAAATGGCTTCGACTCTAACTGAGAAAACTGACTTTTCACAGATTCAAAGCCACAACCATTCAGAGGAAAAGTCATATAGGTTGGCCCACAAAGTTGGCCACTCAATTTATAACACTTAGTAAATGTTAACGGAGGCAGGAGAGTTGATTTTTTAAGTGAAGGGCTATCAACGTTGCTGGACAGAACATAGTGGTCTTTCAAAATGGAAAGAACTCTTAAGGAAACCCTGTCCTTGGTACTCCTGCCCCATGCGGCTACCCCCGCTCCCCACCCTCTGGGCATCTCCCATGACCACAAAACAGAGTACACAAATTCCTGCAGCCCAAGCATCCTGCCCTGGCTTTTCTGGCCCCAGATATCCCATTTTACCTCCTCCTGGGACCCCAAGTTCTAACAATCTCCCTCAATTTTATCTGAACTATCACTATACCTAACAAAACCAAGACCCTCCACATGTCATATTATACAATAGGTAATATGACGTATTACATGTTGGCCAACTTGAGAAAAGGCAATTAAATTCTATATTGCACACACATGCTGACCACCTACTAAGTGACAAGCAGAAAACAAACAGATGAGTCAGATTGACTTCATGGACTTTACTGTCTATTCTGAAAGGGCAGTGTAGCATATAGCATTCAGGGGACAAACTAGGGAGAAGCTGGGTTCCTCCACTTAATTGACTTTATAACCCTTTGACAAATGAATTAACTTCCTTGTACGTTTACTCATCCTGAAAATGGAGTTAAGGAGAGATACTAATGCTTGGTATTTCTGTGAAGAAGTAACAAGTCA
The DNA here is from genome assembly GCF_000001405.40 of Homo sapiens. Lineage (NCBI taxonomy): Eukaryota > Metazoa > Chordata > Mammalia > Primates > Hominidae > Homo > Homo sapiens. The sequence goes on from NC_000004.12 coordinate 26,117,775, forward strand.
ATACACATAAAACACTCAGAAAGTGCCTAACACTATTAGCACTTAAAATAATTATTAGTGGAGACAGATGTGGACATAACTGCTTATGATATAATAAAATAAAATATTTGGCAGTGATTTAAAAGTACAAACAACTATACACCACAAATTATATATATATATTTGTGCATGGATATATACATATTTGTGTATATATATATATTTGTGACATTTTAGATATATTATCCATATATATCTCCATATATATCTGTGAAATATATATCACAAATATGTATATTTGTTTATAGTTGTTTGTATTTTTACTTCTACAAACTTGCTTGAGCCAAAGCTATGTCCACCACTAAGATTCAAATATATATTCACCCATATATATTTACTGACTGCCCACAAGGTTTCAGATACTGAGCTGGACCTGGAAGACAGAGGGATGCAAAGGGTTCATAGAGATTCAGTCCTGCTCTGGAAACCCTGGCTGTAGTCAGAGGCTTGGTCTGGAGAATTAGAGACACGGATCTGCCAGGTGTTTATTTGTGTGAAGAACTAAAGAATCTCTTTGGTTAAAAGAAAAGTTCATCCTACAGCATTAATCATTCACCAGGTGAGGTATGGGTTATCAGTCCATCCGTGGTTTGGTTATTCTCCAGCCAACTGTGGCCAAACAGGTGGGATCATGTGGTACAAAACAGGTGCTACCTCCTCTCCAGGACTGTAGGCAGGGAAGGTAGGTAGACTGGGCCCATTGTTTAATACCAGCAGGCAGGTATGAAAGATCACTCGGGCTTGCAGGGCAATGTGGCAGAGGTCCTGGGGAACAGAGTGGTCATTCACGTCAGTCTGAATACAAGAGAATGGATGGAGTAATTGATTGGTCATTTTTGTAACACTATGTCTTCTGACCTCTTTATGTCCTTTAATTTCTACTGTTGCTTAGTTTCATTCATATGTTACACCTTGAGGGAAGGTCAAAATAAGCTCACAATTTTTCTCATCTCACAAAATATCCTTCTAAACTTCCAACTCCCAAGAAAAAGGTATTCTTTTGACTTCCCCATTTCTGTCCACATAACTATTTGCACTCTCCATCACACACTCTTGAAAACTTGAGGCTTTCTTTGACACCACTCTTTTTCTTTCCCCTTCTATTAGGTCAATGGCTAGTCCTTTTGGGATGTGGTCCAGAGTAGTCAAAGGGGCTTGGCTTTTGGAGTCCTCCATAGCTGGGTACAAAGTCCAGCTCTACCATTCACAAAACATGTGATCTTTAACAGGGTATTGCATTGATCCGGGTCTCAGTTTCACAATCAGTAAAATAAGACTAATCTTACCTACCTTATAATATCACTGTGGGTTAAATAAATAAAATACTGTAAGGAAAGCCCCTAGCACAAGGCTGCATATAGTGAAATCTCAGGAACCATAAGCTTTTATTTTCTACTTCTGACAGGTATTTCACATCCATTGTCTCATTTCTCTGACACAGCCTAGAGTGACAATAAAAACCTCTGTCTTCCATTGTTTTCCTCCCCAATCCATTATATGCCCAGCTGTCAGAAGGCTCTTCCTAGGAACAGTTCCAATCCCTTCATTGAGTAGATTGGAAATCTTTAATGACTCTTCCAATGCCAACCCAATAAAGAAAGTATGGACCCTTTAGCTTGGCATTTCATTTTTCAGATTAGCTCCCCCTCCTCCCTTTCTGTGAAAGTCTCTGACCTTCTCTAACTGGATGTGTCACCAATTCCCCCAAAACTGTCCATGTCTGTGCTTTTCTTTACACGGTTCTCTCCACCTAGAAGGCACTAGCCCCCTCCTTCCTTTCTATCCACATTCTACCCATCCTTCCGTGTTCAATTTTATTTTGGTTCACCCATGATGTTTTTCCAAATCACCAGCTGAAATCAACTTTCTTTCTGAATTTCCACAGGACATTTTAGCACCTCTCATAGGGTATAGGTCACCTTCTATATTACAGTGGCATTATCAGTGTAACGGCCTCAATTCTTTCATGATACAAAGCAGAACATAAATATATTCAAGTCCTAGATGTGGCCTGAGGCCTTAAAATGGCTGAGAGTTACAAGAACCCTTTCCTTCATAGCTTATAGATAAAATACCATGTTTGGGATCATAAGACCCCACCATTGTGGCTACAAATGATTGAATAGGGCTTTGTACCTGAGGCAAAGACATCCACTTTATAGGTAGGTTCTCTTTCTAGAAAAGTCTGAATTTGAGCCATATCAAAAGAGAGTAGTTGGAAGAACTAGAATTTGAAAGATGCTAAGAAGCCACATGAGACACCAGTAAATGGACACCTTGAGGCAGAAGCTGGAAGTGAGCAAGACCAAGAGGTCGAGCAGAAAGTAGAGAGAGTGGAAAGTCAGCAGTAGTAGTAGACATAGACTCCGTCTCTCAAAAGCAACAACAAAAGCAAAGGCACCAGAAAATCAATAATAAAACTTGTTGCTGAGACCTGGAATCATGTAATGCCCTGAACAAACTTCCAGATCTCCGCTGGGCAGGCTTTTCAACTGATGTTGACTTTCTGTGCTTTTTAAATAGCTAAGTACCACTACAGTAAACACCCATCACCTTGGACAAGCAAGTCTTTGTTCTGAACAGTCTAGAAGAGCCTTCTATAGAACACCCATACCTGAAATCGTTCTCTCGGTACCTCTATTTTTTTCTTGAGAGACAAATTTAGTCCTCTCTGTCTTGGCCCATAGCCTGTTAGTGAAATGCATACATTCTCATGGCCTTTCATACTATCCAAACAGCAAATATCCTGGTAAATTTCTGAGACCTGTTTGCCTTCATCCTAACCTTGGCACCATATTGCTCAATACCATATTGTTTCAAAGTTCTGGCTCATCTCATGTTTCCTAATAGCCATATGTCAGCTTCATAACCTAATAGGTTACTCAAGACCATTTTCTCAACTTTTTTTTTTTTTTTTTTTTTTTTGCACACTGGAAAATAAGCAATATCCCAGCTTTATAGATGAGACCATTGAGGCGTGGACAGAATGAAGCCTGGCAAGAGTACTGTAGTTTAGAAGCAAAAGTGTAAATTAGAATTCCTGAGATGCCCCAGCTATTCTTATCTAGCCCTATGTGATTAAACCAAGATAAATGGACATACATTTTTCAAAATAAGGAAGGAAGGAAGGAGAGAGAGATGAAGGGGGGAAAGGAGAGGGAGAGGCAGAGGGAGAGGAAGAGAAGAGGAAGAGGGAGAGGGAGGGGTAGGGGGAGAAGCAGAGGGAGAGGGAAAAACTATCTACCATTCTCAAAAGTGGGCAGTAACTGAAGCAGCAATTTAGCAAAATGATTGACTTCCTCCAAGGAGTCCTTTCAAAATTTTCAGAAAATGATAGATTCCAAGCACTCACCTGATGCATCAAGCTCCCTGGGCAGAAGCAAATATTTAATCTCATAATGGAAAGAATCTGAAGCCAGTGGGCTGCCCTGCTTTTTCACCTCTGAATCTTACTTTGTCAACAAAAATTATCTCTATTCAAGTGCTCCTGCGTGGGTTTCTCAATAACTTGAGAACCAAATAGGCAGAGACAAGTTTGTGCCCAAATAATTAAAACCCTAGAATGGAAGCATCTGGCAGAAAAGATTTAATCTTCAGAAAAAATCATGAGATCAGTCTTATCCCCATTTTAGAGAAGAGTAAACCAAGTCTCAAAGAGACTAAATAAGTTGTTCATGACCCCCTAAGAAGGAGAAGATCAGAGCCTCAAGTCTCCATCATCTAACTCCTATTTCCACCCTTTGTCCACTGCTTCCTGACACTGCCTCTTTATAGCCTGCTTTTTGGAGGAAACTAGTTGTTACCTACACTTCAGTTTTCAACCAGACGTAATTACTCTGTAAATCATAGTCTTAACCAAAATGGAAAAAAAACAATTATCCTGAGTTCACATAGGTATTGTGATGTGTTGAGCTTGACACAGTAATTTAACAATAATCAAGTAGCATCCAATCAGAAAATGGAACTGCACATTAATCTTCAAATAAATGTTACGTCACACACCCAGAAGCAATTAAGATTACACACAAGAACCTCAAGTTGCTTGGAGTGAGTATCTCTCTTTTTTTTTTTTTTTTTTTTTTGTATTTATCTCCTGTGTCCTCTTTTTTCTTTTTAGGTAGTAAAGCCACTTTTTCATGGGAGAAACACATTCCATTGTTGACCTTGAACTTCTTCACCTAGCCATTCAAATGATTACATTCTCCTATGCACATGATCGGTTCAGGCATAAACTTTGACCCAAGCAAGGCTAATCAGAATCATCTCTGAAATTTTATATATGGACACATTTATAAATTATTAGCCAAAGGATGCAAGCTCTGGCCTTCCAGCAGCCATATTTTTAGGGCACATAAACCCCAATGAGGATAAAACAGATTATTAGAGATAAGCAAAGTGAAGTGATCAAGAGAAAAACAGAGTCCTGATTTGCACCCTAGATCAAGCCATATCTGATGTGAGTCCTGTCTTTGGACTGTCCAATAATAACAGCAAATATTATTCCCATTAAGTTGATTTGGGTTACAAGGAACCAAAAGCATCCTACCACAAACAATACCAAATTCCAGTATTTCTGCACAAACTGGTGAGTGGTTCATATGTTTCTGGCAGGCCAGAGAGCGACAATTAGAATGTGGGTATTGTAGGTTCAAATAGGGCAGACTCTGGAGTAAACTCACCCATTCGAGGCAGAGATATTTGGAGGAAGATATAGTGATCAAAGTAATGAGAACTGGTTAGGAGGAACGCTTAAACATTTTAAATTAACATTTCTTGGAATTTTTTGGAGATGATTAATGTAAAACACATTTATTGGAATAAAGTTGGAAAATATAGAGAAACATAAGGAAGGAGTAACATATCCTGAAGTAAACACCACTAATATTTTGATATACATATGAATGAGTAGGATCTAGTAGGAACTGGCAAACTTTGGCTGCAAAGATCCAGAGAGGGAACATTGTAGACTCTGTGAACCATATGGTCTCTAATGCAACCTACCATTGCAGGGAGAACACAGCCATAAATAATACAAAAAGGAATGGGTGTGATTGTGTTCCAATAAAACTTTATTTACAAAAGCAGATGGTGGGCCAGATTTGGCCATAGTCGGCCGACCCTCCTCATTAGAATTAGCTGCTCTAACAGAAACTCAAAATGGCAGCAACATAAACAAACAAGAAGCACACTCCCCTCTCAGGAACAGATTGGGCATAAATACAGTTATGCATTGCTTAGTAACGGGTTTATGTTCTGAGAAATGTGTCATTAGGGGAGTTTGTTATTGTGAGAACATCATAGAGTGTACTTATATACTAGTGTACAAACCTAGATGGTGTAGCCTACTGCACACCTAGGCTATATGGTGTGGCCTATTGCTCCCAGAATACAAACCTGGACAGCATGTGACTGTACTTAATACTACAGGCAACCAGAGCACAATGGGAAGCATTTGTGTATCTAAGCATACCAAAACATAGAAAGGTACAGCAAAAATATGGTATAAAATATTTTTTAAAAATAGTACATCTGTATAGAACACTTACTATAAATGGAGCTTGCAGGACCGCAAGTTGTTCTGGGTGAGTCTGAATAGGTGGTGAGTGGATGCGAAGGCCTAGGACATTACCATCTATACTATATGCTGTAGACTTTATAAACACTGTACACTTAGGCTACACTAAATTTATAAAGAATTTTTTTTCTTTCTTCAACAATATATTAACCTTAGCTTACTATATATAATTTTTTACTTTATAAACTTTTTAATGTTTAAAAAACTTTTTGACTCATAATAACACAGCTTAAAATACACATCGTACAGCTATACAAAAATATTTTCTTTCTTTATACCCTTATTCTATAAGCTATTTTCTATTTTTAACATTTTTATTTCTTTCTTTAAACTGTTAAACTTTGTTGTTAAAAACGAAGACACAAACACACACATTAGCCTGTGCCTCCACAGGGTCAGGGTCATCAATATCACTATCTTCACCCTCCACATCTTGTTCCACTGGAAGGTCTTCAGGGGCATGGAGCTGTCATCTCCTAGGATAACAGTAGTCTTCTGTACTTCCAGAAGTACCTTCCTGAGGCTGTTTTACAGTTAACTTTTTTTTAAATAAGTAGAAGGAATACATTCTAAAATAACAATAAAAAGTATAGTAAATACATGAACCAGTAACATAGTCATTTATTATTATCATGTTTTATGTACTGTACATAATTGTATGTGCTAGATTTTTTATTTCCATAGGTTATTGGGGAACAGGTGATGTTTGGTTATAGGAATATGTTCCTTGGTGGCGATTTGTGAGATTATGGGACACCCATCAGCCGAGCAGTATACCCTGCACACTATTTGTAGTCTTTTATACCTCACCCCTTTCCCACCCTGTCCCCCTGAGTCCCCAAAGTCCATTGTGTCATTCTTATGCCTTTGCATCCTCATAGCTTAGCTCCCACTTATGAGTGAGAACATGCAATGCTTGGTTTTCCATTCCTGAGTTACTTCACTTAGAATAATAATCTCCAGTCTCATCCAGGTCGCTGTGAATGCCATTAACTCATTCCTTTTTATGGCTGAGTAGTATTCCATCATATATATATATATATATATATATATATATATATATATATATATATACCAGTTTCTTTATCCACTCGTTGATTAATGGGCAGTTGGGTTGGTTCCATGTTTTTTCAATTGTGAATTGTGCTGCTATAAACATGAGTGTGCAAGCATCTTTTTCATATAATGACTTCTTTCCCTCTGGGTAGATACCCAGTAGTGAAATTGCTGGATCAAATGGCAGTTCTACTTCTAGTTCTTTAAGGAATCTCCACACTTTTTTCCATAGTGATTATACTAGTTTACAGTCCCACAAGTGGTGTAGAAGTGTTCCGTTTACCGCATCTGTATGTGTTATATTTTTATATGCCTGGCAGCATAATAGGTCTGTTTACATCAGCATTACCACAAACACGTGAGTAATGCATCGTGCTATGATGTTGATTTTTCAGCTTCACATAATCTTATGGGACCACGTCCCATATGCAGTTCATCATTGACCGAATGTCCTTATGTGGCACACGACTGTAGTTCAGGACTGCTATGGCAACAGCAATGTGTCAGAGGCCCGGACACTTTCTATCCTATTCTGCCACCCCTAAGATGTTGTCTTCGGGCACATGGTCTGAGATGACTGACTACCATGTCCACAATCCAGCCAGTAGGAAGGGAAAAAGGGGGAAGGGAAAAGGGGAGAGGAAAGACACATCTCTTCCCTTTAAGGACACCAGTCAGGAATTGCAGTCATCCCTCTTGCTCACATCCTATTGGCCAGAACTTAGTCATCTGGCCACACCTAGCTGCAAGGGTGGCTGGGAAATGTAGGCTATATTCTGAGCAACATGTGGGTAGCTGCTGAAGGCTATGGAGCCCCTCATGGGGCACCCTGTGATGTAGGCAGTGAAGTCCCCTCTCCACCACACATACTTTTATAGGAAGTGGATGGAGCCAGCCTGGGAGTGCAAAGGTTGATTTTTCTACACTACTGACTGAGGAATGTTTTTATGTATCCTGTAATCTCTGAGTAAAAGGCTGTTTAACCTTTCTTGGAAGGCAGGTTTCACATGTAATTCCTTTGGAGAAAGCAGCCAAAAAGATATCTGGAACAGGGAGAAAAATGGCCCTCTTGGGTCAGGTGCAATGGCTCACACCTGTAATCCCAGCACTTTGGGAGGCCAAGGGGAGTGGATCACTTGAGGTCAGGAGTTCAAGATTAGCCTGGCCAACATGGTGAAACCCCATCTCTACCAAAAATACAAAAATTAGCTGAGTGTGGTGGTGCATGCCTGTAATCCCAGCTACTCAGGAGGCTGAGGCAGGAGAATCGCTTAGACCTGGGAGGTGGAGGTTGCAGTGAGCCAAGATGGCACCAGTGCACTCCAGCCTGGGCAATAGAGCAAGACTCCATTTCAAAAAAAAAAAAAAATCGTCCCTCTTCTTTAGTTACCAGCAGGCACCCTCATGGCGGATTATAGGATGCCTGAGGATTCCACCCATAAGAACAATGCAGCTGGAGAGGCAGCATAACAGCTCCTCCACATGCTCTCTCCAGGTGTGCGGATGGGGATACACCTCTCCTCTATGGTGTCTGTCACACACAATGTGTATGGATATAGATGTATCACTGCCTGTGTGCTCCAACCTTACATCTAGATTTTAAAGCCCTTAAGAATTGCTTTAAAAAAAAAATCCATCTTTGCATTCCTGAAGGAGCAAACACCAGCCTTTCCAGATGTATTCAATTCCTTGAATGGAAAAGATCAAGCACTTTAAAAAGTCTGCACTTTTTAAAGAAACACCTATTTAGTGCCAGGCACTAGGGATTTGGGATACAAAGATGAAAATTGGTAGTCCCTGCCTCTTATGGAGGCTTTTAGCCTAGGAAGGAGACAGACACTGCTGAAGACATCTGTTGTTTTTTGGCTTCCCGCCCCCAACCCCAACTTCCTCCTAGCCCATCACTCCCCTTTTCGGGGAATCCCCCATTGTGTATTTTGAGGTGGGTAGCCTGTCTCCCACTACAGTAGCCAAAAGAGACAGATACTCCTCTCTCTTTCCCTTTTCCATTTCTGGTACGGCACAGGTGGGCATATGACTAGGCTTAGCCAATCAGATGCTTTCCTGGGACGTGGACTCTTGAAAGTGCTGTAAGAAACTTGGCTCTAGCTGTAGGTTATAGTCATTATGATACTGGTGGCAGGTCAAACTAATGCCCTGCTCATTTTCCAAACTTGTTCTGCAGCCTTTCTTTGATTTTGAGAACCTCTAATATCATCCCAATATATTCATTTATTTCCCTCAAGGCGGCCAGCATTGGTTCTGTGGGTTGTGGTCAACAACCAAATTCCCTCCTAATGCAAAAATGATCATCTACTTAGGTGCTTTTGAATGCAAAGGTAAGAAGTCTACTCCAGTTACATCAAATAAGTTGAGTTTATTGTAGGAACACAGAGAACCATATGGACAGTGGAAAAGCCTAAGAATTTAAGGCCAGCTGCCATTACAGGAGAGTCTTCATGAACTTCATGGACTGAGCTTAAAAGGTCATTACGCCTTAAAGGACAACTCTATCCCAGTCACACAGGGATGTGTGGTGCCCCTAGTCTTGATGAAGGATTCAGCCGACCACACACGTCACTCTGAAGCTGAGATAGCACTGAGAATTTCAGCCAGTCATTGGATATGGGCTTCCCTGGGAAGGGTGCATGATCTTGGGTGGGGTGACTTTCTTTAAAAGAGATGCTTCCTGAAGACAGCTGGCAACTGAGGGCTGTCTGTTGGCAGCACTCCCAGTGGCACAGAGAAGAAATCTATCATTCCTGAAGAGGAATCCGGGCAGCACATCACAGCATCTGCTACATCAGATCTTTCTGTATTTCATGACCTTTCAGCTTCCGTTGCTGCTGCTCATTGCTAAAGTCTTTCCCAATTCAAATCACTGACAGTGAGAATCTGATCTGACCTAGTCCACATCAAAGGTCACCAACCATATGGAGATTGGCTCTCCTTGGCTATGGTTGGGTAGCAGGATCATGTGGTAGAAATGCACTCTCTCCCAGCCTCACCAGTTTGACAGGGTCTGTGGGCAGAGCTGGAGGAAAATCTTTTGGTAGGCATCAGGCATGATGGCATGTCTTGCCCATATACCAATAAACAATTGTAATGTGGTACAGAGGATGGAGTATATAAGTATGTAAGATGGAGTATATCAGCATAAAGTGGGTGGAGTAAATATATAAGTACAGTTTGTATAGGGAACAAAACACCTAAATCTACCTATTAGATCCCAGGAAGGTTCCCCATAGACTTGAACTAGGACTTGAAAGATGAGCTAGGAATAGGGTTTTGCCCAGCAGGTAAGTAGAGTAAGACACTCCAAGTAGAGGGAAACATATGTACACAGAGACATGAGATAAATCATTGTGGCCCTAAAGAGGTTGGCCTCCCAGCCACCCCATGTACTCACTGCCTCTTAACCAGATGCCTGAGAGGCATTTTTGGCAGCTGCTCAGAGGGAAACATGCCACCCATTGATTCATCTGGGGCACTCCCTGCTCCCACCTTTCATGAGCTGGTGTCAGTGGGTTCTCTGGGCCAAGTTATGCCCCACCCTGATCCTGTTTGACTTGTGTGCTCTGCCAGGATCCCTGCAAGAGATGGCATGGCCTGGGGCCCCTGCTGCCTTTCAGATAACAGCAGCAGCCAGGCCAAGGCAAATACTAGTCCCTCCTCATATAGGTGAGGCTCCCACTGATGTCAGCTGGGCCTTGGGAAGGCAGGAAGCAGGTGGGTTTAGTTGCCAACTTGGCTCTGGAAGGCAGCTCTGTTGTTCCTATTTCTTCATACTAAAAATGGAAGGATTCCCAGAAGAGGTGTGGAGGTTCTACCTATGGCCTCCAGGGGCACTGAAAGTTTGCTGACTTTTAAAGCACACACAAATGTGACAATGAATAACACCTACAACAAAGAAAAAGACATCACCATCAGCAAGTTTGCAAGATAATAATAATGGCAAACATTTATTGAGCACTTTCTATGTGCCAAGCAGTAGTTTACAGGAATTAAATTATATAGCCATCACAAAAACCCTGCAAGATAGACCCTCTGATTATCCCTATTTGACACATTAAGAAATAGAGGAACAGAAGAAATGAAGTAGCTATGCCCCAAATCCCACACTTTGTAAATGGATTTGAGCTCAATCCCCTCCTTCTCAATCACTATACAGTATGATATACAATATACACTATTCCAAATTAGCCTATATTCTGATGACTAAACGGGCATCTTATGAGATGATGTCTGATATGGTTTGGCTGTGTCCCCACCCAAATCTCATCTTGAATTGTAGCTCCCACAATTCCTACATGTTGTGAAAGGGATCTGGTGAGAGATAATAGAATCATGGGGGTGGTTTCCCCCATATTGTTCTTATGGTAGTGAATAAGTTTCACAAGATCTGATGGTTTTATAAGAGGTTCTCCCTTTTGCTTGGCTCTCATTTTCTCTCTTGTCTGCCGCCATGTAAGATGTGCCTTTCACCTTCTGCCATGATTGTAAGGCCTCCCCAGCTACGTGGAACTATGAGTCCATTAAACTTCTTTTTCATTGTAAATTACCCAGTCGTGGGTATGTCTTTATCAGCAGATGAAAGTAGACTAATACAATGTCTGAAAATGCTCAACAATTTATTAATACAAATTCTTTCACTTACATTGTCTCACTTCATCTTCATATTAGTTCAATGAGGGAGTCAAGGCAAATGATGTCATTCCCATTTTACAGATAAGAAAATGGAGGCTCAGAGAAGTAAATTAATAATCAGTAAGTGGCCAGCTTAGCACCTCAAATAGGTGTTCTGTTTCCCAGCCCAGTGATTTTTCCATCCTACCCTGCCGTGAATCATTTCAAAGGAGCCTAAGAGTATCTGTATCCAAAAATATGTCCTTAAATATGTGGACCCTAAAAGTACTTCAAAGTGACTACACATTGGTGTTGTACATCTATTTCATATAGTGGATATTTTCTAAAGCATGAACATTAAGTAAAATTGGAGTAAAGTTGAGTGGAAAGAGCTCTGAGCTGCAAGTCAAGAGTCCTGGGTTCTCATCTTTGCTCCATCCTGCATGCCAAATAACCTTAACTAATAACTTACTTTGGGGGACCTCATTTTTCTCATCTGAAAAACCAATGAGTTTTTATGAACTTACTGTCCCTTACAACTCTTAAATTATAGATATGATGATGCTATTGTAAGACGGGGTTACCTATCAATCTCCAAATCCACCTAGTTTACAGTTGAAGACTTTCAGCAACCAGCATCTGTATAATGGCAACCCGGCCTGTTCATTCCTGGGTGTTCCCTATCTAGCCTCCAGACAGCAGACTCAAGATGGTCTATCTAGGATGGAGGTGGACATCACCTGAATTTTTTTTTTATTTCTTTAATATTGATGGCAGAGAGATTAATTTATTTTTATTTTTATTTTTTTGAGATGGAGTCTCTCTCTGTCTCCCAGGCTGGGGTGCAGCAGCGCCATCTCAGCTCACTGCAACCTCTGCCTCCCAGGTCCAAGCGATTCTCCTGCCTCAGCCTTCTTAGTAGCTGGGAGTACAGGCGTGCACCACCACGCCCAGCTAATTTTTGTGTTTTTAGTAGAGACAGGGTTTCACCATGTTGGCCAGGCTGGTCTCAAACTCCTTTCCTTAAGTGATCCTCCTGCCTCGGCCTCCAAAGTGCTGGGATTACAGGCATGAGCCACCATGCCCAGCCTCAGAGGGATTATTTTTAAAGAATCAAAGCAAATCAAGAGGTGGTACCTACCTAAATACATACACCCGCACCTTCTTGAACAGGCAAGTTAGGCCAGCACATAGTTCACCTCGATAGATACAACACAGGAGTTGAGTGCTCACTGCCCATCCTCCTCCCCAAGGAGTGGTTACATCTTCTCACTATGAGTAATTAAGGACAGGCCTCAGTTTTGGTCCATTTTTGAATCATTCTCTTACTTGAACTCCAAATTTGTCTGCTTGGGTTTGTCAGCTTCTGTGGGCAGGGACGTCTTGAGAAGCATGCCGGCTGCAGCCGCTCCTCAGGTCTCCCCTGCCTGGTCTCAGTCCTTATTTTTTCAAGCTTCACGTCCTCTACTGAAGCTGCAGCAACCGAGTCCTGCCACTTTTCCTGTTCTCTTTCTCACTCATTTTCTCTCTGTATTTCCACATTCACGACTCCCATTACTCTCCCCGTAACACCACAGTGTTTCCTAAACTTCAATGATCTACTCCTTTTTCTATGAGAAGAAAAAAATTCTGTGCACTCCTTTACCACCGTCACTCTGTGAGAGTTGATGTGAATTATGTTTCTTTTTATCTCATCACCTGAAAATGTACAAATATAAACCAGGTTTTTAAAAATCCTTAGGTTTACAGCTCTCACATGATTTTTAAAAATGAATCTTACAAATAGAGTACAAGCAACACTACAAAATCCTCATTAATTTAATGTGTTAATTTAATGTGGCAGATGATGCTGTTTGAAACTGCTAAAATTACATTTCGGCGTGGAATGTGACTGTGGCATGGGCCACGATGGCTTGGGATCTTCTAAGCTTAGCATGCCTGTGCCATCATGTACCACGTGAGGATTGATTCTCCCATCTTTTTCTGCCATCCAAGCTACGGTCTAGTCTTCATTTGTGCAACATGCCAACTGGCCTCAGCTTATCAGAAACGCATCATTTACATATCGAGGCTCCCTGCGTTCTTTTCTCATTAGCCTGTGATAATTTAGGTTGAGTGCCATTGTGATAAAAACACAGCACAGGCGGCGGAAGCTGTGGCACTAGTAGGTTACTAGGTTACAAGGTGGTTGCCATGTTTTTCAAACTGGGTCACATCCCTATGCAGTCACATCCCTGCATCATGAGATCAATTTAGTAAGCTGTTACAAGCAATTTTTTAAAAAATGTTACAGAAAAGAGAAAATATCAAGTATTACGTGGTGTCAGAATAAGTATTCAGAAAATTGTTTTACACACACACACACAGACACACACACTCACATAACCAATCCAAACAGATGCCAGTATTGCTTCTGGGGAAGGTCCGTGGAAGCCCACTGAAATAGGCTAAATAGTGACCCCAAAAGATATCAGGTCCTAATCCCTGGAACCTGCAAATGTTGCTTTATAAGCAAAAAGTGTCTTTGCAGATATGATTAAAGTAAGGACAATGAGATGGATAGATTTTCCTGGATTATCCATGTGGGCCCTAAATGTAATCACAGGTATCCTTATAAGAGAAAGACAGAGGGAGATTTGATCAAGACAGAATGGTGGCCCTGTTGACTCCTTGGTTTTGACCCAGTGAAACTGACTTCAGACTTGCGGCTTCCCAAGCTGGGAGAGAATGAATTCTGTTTTTGAAACCACCCCATTTGTGGTTGTTTGTTACAGCAGCCACAGGAAACCAATAGATCCCACCTCTCCCCTCACCACCACTGGTGGGTGCTTTCGGGGGTAGTTGAAGGCAATCCCCGAGGAAGTACCAAGACTATTAGCGGGGTAGGGTGGTGACACGTAGGCTCAGAGCCATTTCTCAAGTGGTTTGGAGTATTATAGTATTTTCACAACTGGTACACCTGGACTGGTCTAGACTGGCTGTCTGTCAGTTCTATTTGTGCATGGACATCAGTGACGGAAACTGGGCCACTGTGTAAGATGGATTCCTTCTGTGGGTGGCTGCCAAAAAAAAAAAGTTTGAAGGTCTCTAATTCATATGACCCAGTCTATGCTTAGACTGACTAACTATTTTTTTAGGTCACCATCCATATGAAAACACAAAATTTAAATATTCTCACAGAGACTCTGTGGACTCCAAGATTCACCTGCAGGCACTCAAGGACCCTTGGGCCCCACTTTAAGAAACTCAGTAAGAACCCTCTTCCCCCAGCATCAGACAATTATTGTATCTCTTGGACCTTGAGCCTAATTAGGGTGGGCTCAGCCACCCCCAGGTGTGCCCACCTGAGCTCCCTTCCAGAGCTGCTCATGGCACCTGCTCCTCCCAGAGCTGCTCATGGCACCTGCTCCTTCCAGAGCTGTCTGCCCAGGAGTGTGGGTTTGAGGCTTCTGGGAGGCCCCACCCTTGGCTGTGGAAGCTGGGAGCCACTGGGACCACCTGCCCTCCCGCTGCACTGTACCTCTCTCTCTGCCCCAGGACTCATATACCCTTTTCTTCCAGGAAACCCCTGGGTCTTCGCTGGCCATAGCCTCAGAGGACTGACTTAGCCCTACAGTCTAAAAGTAAAGATTTGGAGCAAAAACTGCTTCAAAAACAAAACAAAACAAAACCACTGTCACTGGGGTGTAACCAACTTCTTTCTCTGGGGCCTCTTTTCTGTTACTCTTTACTTCTCAACCCCCCCACCCCACATCCCAGCCCTGATGCAAGAGGGGGCAGGGTCCTTACCTAACAACCAGAAAGCCCGTGTCTGTGCTTCTAAATCCCTAAGGCCCTGCTCCATCATAGGTGGGTTTTCGTACTGTTATTGGTAGCTCTGCCTCCCTTTGTGGCAGAAAAGCCAAGAGCCACCTCCCTTTGGGTTCCATGAGCCTTCCTACGTCTTTCCCAAACCAGGTCACACCTGAGCTTCAGCTCCACCTTGAGGCCACCAGAGGTGCCTGCCCTGAGGTGAAACCTCGGTGTGACCCAGGCAGGTGTCCTCTCTGGCCAAACCATTTCCTTGCACATGCACCAGTCAACTGTCATAGCAATAGCCATCATCTGAGACAGCCCTTTACATACTGTTTTCACGTATGTCTGCTCATTGGACCCTCATCTTGACTTTGGGAATTCGTTGTGTTTCCATCACCCCAGTTTACAGATAAAAAACTGAGACTCAAGGCCAAGTGCAATGGTTCATGCCTGGAATCCCAGCACTTTGAGGTGAGGGCAGACAGATTGCTTGAGCTCAGGAGCTCAAGACCAGCCTGAGCAACAGGCAAGACCTCATCTCTACTAAAAAACAAACAAACAAAAAACTGAGACTCAGAGTTCAAGGGACTCATTGCTCTACTATTATTCACAGGGGGCCCCTAACCCCAGGCTGCAGACCCATATGGTCCATGGCCTGTTAGAAACCAGGCCACACAGCGGGTGAGCAGTAGGTGAGCAAGCATTACCACCTGAGCTCTGCCTCCCATCAGATCAGCAGTGGTATTAGATTCTGATAGGAGCGTGAACCCTATAGGGAACTGCACATATGAGGGATCTAGGTTGTGAAGTCTTTGTGAGAATCTAACTAGTGCCTGATGATCTGAGGTGGAACAGTTTCCTTCCTCCCCTCCCCGCCCCCAGTCTATGGAAAAATTGTCTTCTACCAGGTGGTCCCTAGTGTCAAAAAGGTGGAGGACCGCTGATCTAGTAGGTAACAGAGCTGGCTTTAGAGCCCCCTCTTCAGACTCTAGATTCTATCCACTCCTACTCTGCTTCTTTGCCTTATTTTCTCTGAATAGCAAAGCTTTAAAGATGAAGGAAGGAAACAGAGGGTTTCTCTACCCTAGCTCTCCAACAGGGACTGTCAGAGGGAGCTGCATAGAAGCTTCCCTACCCTAAAGTTGAATACGTTTATAAATCATCATTATCCTTATGAGTAACCTACCTGGTATAGTGTGAGGGTTCCTGGAAGAGGTCCTCCCCTCCCCCTGAAATTTCCTGGGTCCTGACAGGATGGTTGAAATCTGAAACACTACTATTTAGAGGGTTTAAATGAACCCTATTTAGAGTTCATTCTTTTTGGGTCTCAACGTCATGGGATAGCAGAGCTTTGGAATCAAACACAGCAGGATACCAAACGCCTTTTCACAACTTAGCCCTGTGGTCCTGGGCAAGTCTATCCTTTCTGCAGTTCTCATCTATTTAGAGGACATGACCTGAGACATAATTTGCAGGAAGCTCTTGTTCAAAAGCTATTAAGAATTTCAAGATGGCGACAACAGAGTATTAAACCCTGGCTGGGACACTTCTAAGCACAGGCCCCGTGCAAGTGCTCCAGTCTCACACCCATGAAGTCAGCCCTGAGAGTGGAGGACTGTCTCATGGAGAAAGTGTAAGGAGAGTTCAGTGGTTAATAAAATGTTCATTTATTTCCTTTGGCCAATGGTTTTCCTGCCAGAAGACCCACATGGGTGCTCCCTGCAAATGCAACTTCCCAGTGCTTCCCTAGCCCATTCTCATTCCAGGATGGTGTCCAGAAATGTGCGTTTTACCAAAGATCCCCAGGAGATTCCGATAGAAATGGAAGCTACCCTTTGAGGAGCTTAGCTCCTTCAACGAGCAGGTAACTCGTTGAAGGAGTTGGTTTTTACAAACCCAAGTACTTGACACACACAGTGGCCCTGGAACTCTGGGTGTGCTGTGAGGAAATGGCTGCAGGTGCATGAACTGAAAGAGCTGGTCACCAGGAGCTTTGACATTTGGGATCTCAAGATCGTCAAGTCTCCATGATGGCATGAACGACCATCATCTAAAGGAAACTCGCCCTGAGACACAGCAACTCCAGCAGAGGCAGTGGCAGGTCTTCGGTACCACAGTTCTTTCTGCAGCTCGGGGGCTCACCTTGCAGCATTTCCTGAAGTCCCCAGGGTAGGCCTTGGTCTGCCTCCTTCCTCACTGCATTCCTCCTTGACATCCTTAGACAGCTTGCCTTGCCTCTTGAATTCTGTACCCTGGGGATCTGTGGTCCTATTCACCCCTCAACATCCTCAATGTGCCCCACAGGGAGACTTGGATTTAAGAGGGTCTACATCTCTCTCCATTACTAAAGAAAACTGCACCTTCTTCCCTAATTCCAGATCTTAGCACACCTTGGAACTTACCAATGCTCATAGCCCCATTGTGATGAGCAACTTGCATCCGTCCCCTCATTTCACCCTCACCACAACCCTCTGAAGGAGTGTGTGTATCCCCACTTTACAGATGAGAAAGCTGAGGATGATTTATGGCTACTTTGATAGGAAGTGGTGGACATGGGATTTAAACGCAACAACCCTGTGAGGCAGATGAGGCCAACATTAGCAATCCTCGTTTTACAGCTGAGGAAACCGAGCTCCAGTGGGTTGGGCAATTGCCCAAGGTCATAAATCCTGCAAGCAGAAGAGCTGAGATATGAACCCAAGTGGCTTGACCTTAGGCCTGAGGCTCTTTCCAGCCTGCCTCCTCGGAGCTTCTACCAATAAACTTCCCTCTGTCCTGTTTGGCAGAAACCTAAAAGGCCTGGCTAGGTATTGAGGAAGAAGGAGCTGCATTCAGCTGTGAGGAGGAAGGGATGCTCATTACTTGTTGACCATCACGCGCTGAACTTCACAGCTCGCCTGGGAAGTTTGCAACAGCCTCTGACATAGGAACACCCAAGCAATGGGAGCTGAAGAGGTCAACCCCACATGTGGTGGGTCATACCTGGCAGCTCTGCTTGAAGAAGAAGCTCAGAGATGGACTGTATTAGTCTGTTCTTACGCTACCAATAAAGACATACCTGAGACTGTAAAAGGTATGTCTATAAAGGAAAGAGGTCTAGTTGACTCACATATGGCTGGGGAGACCTCACAATCACAGTGGAAGGCAAATGAGGAGCAAAGTCATGTCTTACGTGGCAGCAGACAAGAGAGCTTATGCAGAAGAACTCCCATTTTTAAAGCCATCAGATCCCGTGAGACTTATTCGCTACCACAAGGACAGTATGGGGAAACCATCCCCATGATTCAATTGTCTCCACCTGGCCCACCCTTGACACATAGGGATTATTACAATTCAAGGTGAGATTTGGGTGGGGACACAATGAAACCATATCATGGACCCAGCTTCACAATCCAGGGAGCTGAAAGAATCCCTTCTCTCCCAGGTCACAAGATCTTGGCTCCCCAGCCCTCCTCTCCCATCTATCCCCAGCTCCATGGGCACACCCCCAATGCTGAACCTCGGGTGCAGTCCAGTCCTGCCCCAGGAGCCCTTCCTTGTTGACTCCCTCATCCCAGCCTCCACATCTCCTGCCATGGCGTGGAAATTGGGTGGGCAATGCCTCCTTGAATGACCCAGAAGCAAGAGACTGCAGGGAAGTAACAGAGGGAGAGGGAGGAAGACTTTGGATGGAAACAGTCAGCTACCCCCATCCCTGCCCCCATGCCTCTCCTTGGATTGCCACTGGCAGCATCCTGGCAGTGGTCAGGCCTGACAACAATTTAGATTACTTACACAGAAAAGAAAAGTTATCATAACAGGCCCTTAGAAACATCATGATCATCATCATTATCATTGGGAACTTTTTTTTAAAACCAGGTATTTTGTGCCAGGCACTACTGTAAACACTTTCACATATGAATCTATTCACTGAGCACTTAGCATATCTAACTTCCTTATTTATCTTTTCCCCAATGGCACTGAGGGGCTGGGACTATTATTTGCCTGTCTCATAGATGAGAAAGGTCACACAGCCAATAAGTGGTAGATCTGAAACTGAAATCCAAGTACTGCTGATCCCAAAACTTGCCTTTGTACCACGTAAACATCTTCAAGAGTCACTTGTAGAACTAGACAAAATTGCGGAAATAAACAAGCCTGTCTATTCAGCAGAAGCTTCACAAATGGGGGACAAGACAAAAGTGGAAGAAGTGCCCCTGCCTTCTGGGATGCTCCACTAGGTTCCCAGGTGTAATTTCCCCACAGGAGCAGTGGGAGAGGCGGATGGTGGTGAAGGGAATGCCTGTGGGCTGGGAGGGTCAGCAGCCAAGCTCAGCAGAGAAGGCACAGGCTTTGGAAGTCTCTCCTTCACAAGCCTCTGGGATGTTTTCCCACCCCAGCTTTATGTTCTGCAGCTCACAGGATTTGGGGGAGATCTTGTCCCCCAAAGTTGTATGCGTGTGTCCTGACCCACCCTCTCATTGTAGAGTCTGCTGATCCCACTCCCTACCCTCTGGTAACCTTGGTTTCTGAACTGTCCGTGTGTAGGCCTTGAACTTCTTTCTTGGCTCTAAACAAATCCATCATCAGGGATGCAGCAGATGACACTGCTTTGTGACCTCCCTGTGCCCTGCCAGCTGCTAGCTGCCCATCAGAGTACTATGGAGAGAAGCAGTGTGGGGTCAAGTCCAGGTCCTACCAAGTATGGCTGGGGGTGTGCTGCAGGCCACCGTACCTCTCCGAGCCTCTTCGCTTCATTTGTAAAACATGGAATATAATGCCTGGCTGCTGTAGTTGACACACAGGTTTTCCTGAGGATCTAACAGAGGAAAACAGAATGGCTTTGGAAAACATGTACCTCATTTCACTGTCAGGCACAGCTGTCACCTGGATGCTCTCAACCTGGCCTATGGGTCATCAAATGATGAACTGCCTCCCTCCATCTGTCAAAATACCCTGATTTCCATTTGGGGGATTCAGCCCTCCCTAGTCTCAGGAATGCATATTGACTGGAATTGGCCCTGCCCCCCTTCAGGGACGGGCCCCAGTTAGCTTAACCTAATAAGGATAAACCCTCCTCCTGACACAGTGATTGACTTGGGGAAGAGCATGCAACTCAGTCTGAACCAATGAGGGAGTGTGATTTCTCAAACATATCTAGAAGCTACCAGAAGACATGATATCTTCCCTTAGACCATAGAAGGTCTGGCACTGTCATAGCTATCTGCTGCTATAAGTTGAGACCCTGGAACTGCCAGGAGACCACTGTGTGAGGCCCCAGAATGAAGCCTACACTGTGGGAGGCAGACAGAGAAACATGGCCTTGGTGACCTCAGTTTGTTGCTGGAGCAAACCTTACCTGATATCATCCCAACCTCCAGACATTTTGGCTCATGCAAATAAATACCTTCCACTGTTGAAGCCAGCCTGAGTTGGGTTTTGTTATTTACAGCAGGATGCCTGGTTACATCAATCTTCTGCTGCCCCTGCCTCTCCCTGTCCGATGCTGGGGCCTCTCTGGCACTAGAGAAAAAAAAAAAGGCAGAGCAGGGATGAAAAGAGGAGAGGATGCGAAAACCAAGCCCACATGTTTAACTTCTTGGTAGCTGCTCTGGAAAGAGGCTCAACAGAAGAGCCTCAGAGATGTTGGCGGAACTAAGTTCCAGGGTTACCTGGGGATGTCTATCCTTTCCCTTCTCCCACAGATAATCAAGAGTTGGCTGGGAGTGGTAATCCCCACCAAACACAGCCAGAGAAATGTCGCTGCTCTGGAGTCTGAGTCTTTCCAGAGAGCATGTTTAGAATGAGCCCCAAAGCTGAGGGCAGAGGCCGTCCCATGTTAGTGACCAATGTGGAGTACATGAACCACTTCATAGACACTAGAGAGCAGCTTAGAAGCAGCCTCTTATCCATCTGTTCCTCATGCTCCAATCCTGCCCCAAAGAACAAGAAGGAATGAGGCCTGAGGGCCAATCTTGCTGACCTGGGAGACAGTATATGACTTCAGCTTGTCTTGGTAGCAGGACTGGAGAAGAGCAAGGCTTAGGGGTTCCATGAAGTGCTAGGCAAGAAGCTGGGGATAATTAGGACCACCTGAGATTGCTCTGCGCTCAAGAGGAAAGAGGGAGGTGGGCCAATGGAGTAACAGCCAACAATCCCGGACATCCAAAGGGCTGGGCCAGCTCAGGACAACCCAGGCAGCTGCCAGCACCTGAGGTTCCGAGAGGCGGGAGCCCATCACAGCAGCCAGAAGTTAGGGAGACAGCCCTGCCCAAGGCATAAGCTCACAGGCACACGGCCACAGACCCAATCTCTGGTTCCAACACATTCCAGCCACTGCCCTCTAAGAACCTCTTGGAGACTCAGTTTCCTCATCTGGGCAGTGGAAGTAATAATTCCTCCTTTATAAGGTTTTCTTGAAGAATAAGTTCATGTTAAGTGCTTAGTGTAGTGCCCAGCCCATTGTTGAGCTCCTTCGTTATTTATTGGGTACTAAAAAAAAGCTGGGATTCTGCGAGGGACCAGTGGGTTGGGTACTGGGGCAGGGAAGGGGCCAGGAACAAAGTAGAAGCTCAAGGCTTCCCCTTTCTTTAATTCAACACTTAGCATCCACAGTGGCATGCGGGCTCCCAGCTGGAGATGCAGACAGAATGAGAGCCAGTCACAGCCTGCAGCTCAGTGAAGCTGTGTCCCCCCTGGGGCTGTGCTGAGGCCTCCCAGCAGGTGAGCCTTACCCAGGAGCACTCAGTGGGCCTCTGCTGGGTTCTGGGCAAGGCAGAGCCTGGAGAAATGAGGCAGAGACAGGCAGAGGCAAATGGAGCCTGGCATTGCACAGAGTGGGGCCACAGGGGCCTCTGTTTTCTGTTCCTCTCAGTGACATGGGTGGATCAGTAAGTCAGACTGAAAGCCAAAGAGATGAGCGTCTTTGCCTGTGCTCAGTGGTTAAGAATTTCCTTAATCAGAGGCTGTTGAATTTTCACTCATGTTTCTGTACTTAATTTTTAAGAATTAAAGAAATTTTTAAGAAGACTCTATATTCTACAAAGATGCTCCTGTGTCCCACAGACCCACCTGGAGCCTCTGTTCTCTGGCTGTAGGTCATGAGAGGGGTGGGACAGAATGCTGAGAGCATACCCCTGATGATGGCTGCCTTAGAACCCAGCCCCACTACACCCAAATTTAGGAGCTGTGTCATCTTGCATACGTTCTCCAACCTCTCTGGGCCTCCAGTTCCCATTTAAAAAATTAGAGATAGTGGTGACTTCAGTGAACTCATATGGATAAAAGCACTTGGAACAGTACTACGTAAATGTCACACAGCATTTGCTAATACTGTTACCACAGCCTTGATTGGCATCCCCTAGGCTGCTGCATGCTGGGAAGAGGACACAGGGGCCTCCTTAATTGCCCAGTGACAGCCCAGGCTGTGGCACAAACCACAAATGTACTGAAGGCTTCATGTCTCTACTAGGATTCTTTTGGTTACAAGCAGCAGTAAACCTGCCCCAAACTGACATCAGCAAAAATAACATTTTATGAGCACACATAACTGAAGAGTACATGGCTTGGTTCAGATGCCCAAAGGATGAGGTCAGGATCTGGTGTCACTCTCCCCCAACTTGGCTCTCCTCCCTGCGTTGATTCTATTCTCAGACTGGATCTCCATTCGTGGTGACAAAATGGCTCCCGATGGGCAGGGGCTACATCCTTCCTCCCTGGCTCACAGTCAGTGACAAAAGAGCAAGACTACTGCCCTGGAAGCTCAAGCCAAAGCCGCCCCACCCCCCCACCCCCCAAATCACATTGCCTCTGATTGGCCTGACTTCATCCCAGGATGGTCACCAGCGTTTTGATTAATTAGGTCTGGGTCCAGCACCGCCCTAGTGTTTTGATTAGTTAGGTCTGGGCCAAGGACCGCTCCTGGAGGCAGAATTGGAGCCACAGGGAGAAGTGGATGCCCGAGCCCAATCTGGGACACTGACCCTTCCACAAATAAATAAATAAATAAATAAATAAATAAATAAAATATTTGCAATATTTGAGAATGGCAGAGGAGAATTCTAACATAGCAAGGAAAAGCTCTGCTTTCTTTTCCCTTAACATCTCTGAACAATTCATCTCCTCTTTCTGCTCCAAGAATGAGAGCCAGGCAGGTTGTTAAGATGGTTAAGAATCCACACTCTGGAATAAGACTGTCTGGGGTAGATCCTGGATTTGTGTGACCCAGGGCAACTCCCTTTACTATCTTGGGCCTCAGCCCCTTTGTCTATAAGACAAGGCCAATAATCCTACCTACTTTCTGGGCTGTGCTGAGAATTAAATGAAAGGATAAGTCCTCAGAGGGTGTGTCCAGCCCACAGTAAATAATCAATTTGCTCTTGCAGTTGTTATTCATGCGTGGATGTTCCTGCTCCAACTCTGGCCTCTCTAACCCAGCACTAGGCCTTGGGCTAAAAGCCTTCAGGAGAAAGAATGTAACGGCAGGCCAGGGACGAGCCCAGCACTCAGATACTTCCTACCCCACTCCTGCGGGTGGGAAGAAGCTCTAAGTGCAGGACCCAGGAAGGCCAGGCTGCAGCACAGGCCCCAGGGCAGGACCCAAGCCAGGCCCGGAACGCCCAGGAACACTTCCTACCCCCAAGTTAATAAGAAAACCACAGCATCTATTTTTTTTAACTGACACATAATTGCACATATTTATGGGATACAGAGTGACATTTCAATCTATGCATACAACGTATGAGGATCAGATCAGGATAATTAGCATTTCCATGCCCTCGAGCATTTGTCATTTCTTTGTGTTGGCAACATTCAAGTCTTCTTTTCTGGCTATTTGAAAATGTGCAACAAATTGCTGCTAACTATAGTTACCCTACAGAGCTATAGAATACTAGAGCTCATTTCTCCTGTCTAGCTGTAATTTTGCGTTCATTCACCAACCTCTCCTTATCCTCTCCTCCCCCTTTCCCTTCCCAGCCTCCAGTTCCTGCCATTCTACTCTACTTCTAGCAGAATCTCTTCTTGCCTTCAGAGCCCCTTCCCCCAAAAGAAGCAATCAAAAACACCATCCAAATAAGGCAAAAAGCTGTGCCGGAATTTGCATGCAGAGTGTTTATATAGATTAGAACATCTTTGTTGACTCGCAGCTTAAACCTCTGAGGCTTTGCAGTTCATCAAAGTTTAATGTTCTGTTTCACGATGTTCCTTGCCGTGGTTAAGTGGCTCCGTCAGCTCTTAGAAGGGAAACTTCCCCCTTCAGGGTACATTTCCCCTGCCCTGAGCCCAGGAGCCCCACTGCTAAGGGCATCTGTTCTGTTTGCTTTTGAGAAGTACAGATGTGAGTAGTCACCAACTTGAATCTTCTGTTCATCTGGCAGCTGGGCAGCTGGCTGATGTAACAGCTGCAGAACACGGAGTCTCCCAGAAGGGAGAAAAAGAGAAAAGAAAAAAGACACACATAGCCCAGGATGATATGCCACCACTCAGAGGCCTCCAGGAATTGGATCTAAAGAATCTCACTCCACATCATTCCAGCCAGAGTGGAGGCCAGTGGGATGCAGTTGAGCTCAATCCACATTTGTTGGGCCTTCACTGGGCAGCTGGTGAGAGGAAGGTGGCGGCTTAACAGGATCATTAGGAAATGGTACACTCTAGTTGGGAGTAGAAGGCTCTTGGATGGGGAAGAGCTGGCTCTATCGTGAAGGAATCTAAATTGCAAAGTGTTCACAGGTATCACACATGCCTTATCAGAGGACATGACCAAGGTCTTCATTTGTAGATGCTCAGATGTCACCTAAGTTAAGTGAACTGTTGGGGTCAACCTACAGACACTTCTTGTGTATCCAGTGAGTTTCCTGCACTGTGCAGGCACAGGAGAAAGAATAGGCATTCAAGAAGCATTTGTCTATTTTGAGTGTGTGTGTGTGTATGTGTGTGTGTGTGTGAGAGAGAGAGAGAGACAGAGTCTCGTTCTGTTGCCCAAGCTGGAGTGCAGTAGTGCAATCTCAGCTCACTGCAACCTCTGCCTTCCAGGTTCAAGGGATTCTCCTGCCTCAGCCTCCCAGGTAGCTGGGATTACAGGCAGGCACCACCATGCCCGGCTAATTTTTGTATATTTAGTAGAGATGGGGTTTCATCATGTTGGCCAGGCTGGTCTCAAACTCTTAACCTCAGGTGATCCACCTACCTTGGCCTCCCAAAGTGCTGGGATTATAGGCGTAGCATTTCACTATGTAATGACTACCTCAAACCTTACACTGAAATTAACTCATATTTCATAATAATATGATTAAATAAGGAGAAGCCAGCATAGATGCATGTTAATCCAAATTCAATCCCATCTGATTATCTCTCTGCTCCCTCAGTGGTCCAAGCCACCTTTGTCTCTCACCTGAGTTATGGCAGTCACTTCCTAACCAGTCCCCCTGTGCCATACACCTCATCCCTCTTTCAATTTATTCCCAACACAGCAGCCAAGGAAATCTTCTTAACAGGTAAGTTGTATCACGTCACTCCTGTGCTCAAAACCCTCATCTCGCAAAGCGTAAAAGCCAAAGTTCCTCCAATGAATGACTTCCAGGGCCCTGTGTTACTTGTAGTGGAGCCATCTTGGAAGTGGTTCTTCCAGCTCCAGTGGAGCCACTGCAGCCAGCATCATGTGGAAAAGAGATGGGTTTTTCTTTGCTGAGCCTACAGAAATTACAGAATCATGAGTGACTAAAAGATTGTTATTTTTGTAAGCCACTAAGTTTGAGGTGGTTTGTTACACAGCAATAAATAACCATTAAGCTTTCACATTAAGGCTGGACGTGGTGGCTTATGCCTGTAATTCCAGCACTTTGGGAGGCCAAGGCAGGTGGATGGCTTGAGCCCAGGAGTTCAAGGCCAGCCTGGACAACATGGCAAAACCCCGTCTCTACAAAAAAATAGGAAAATTAGCCGGGCATGGTGACACACACCTGTAGTCTCAGATACTCTGGGGGCTATGGCAGGAGGATCACTTGAGCTCTGGAGGAAGAAGTTGCAGTGAGCCAAGATGGTACCACTGCACTCCAGCCTGCGCATCAAAGCAAGACTCTATCTCAAAAAACAAACAAAAAACAGATTCACATTAAAAAATAGTTCATTGCTAAAAACAGTCAAAAGACATTATTGTAGAAAAATATCTAATGAAAAGATAAACTTTATATTATGTGTTAAATTTCAAAAGGCCACAAAACAGTGTATATAGAATAAAAATATTTTTTAGTGTACAAGATATCTATAAAGTTTTCATGCAATTTGAATTTTTAATAAAATCACTTCTATAATAGGTATAAACAAGTTGCAAAATGCAACTCAAGATTTAAATAAATTGTCAATGATTTATTTGTTTCAATTTTTTTATAGAGGGGAAGAGAGCATAAGAGGGAGTAAGAAAATTCTTTTTTTTTTTTTTTTTTTTTGAGACACAGTCTCACTCTGTCGCCTGGGCTGGAGTGCAGTAGTGCAGTTTTGGCTCACTGCAACCTCTGCTCCTGAGTTCAAGCAATTCTCCTGCCTCAGCCCCCCGAGTAGCTGGGATTACAGGCATGCACCACCATGCCCAGCTAATTTTTGTATTTTTAGTAGAGATGGGTTTTCGCCTTGTTGGCCAGGCTGGTCTCAAACCCCTGACCTCAGGGGATCCACCCACCTCAGCCTCCCAAACTGCTAGGATTACAGATGTGAGTCACTGCACCCAGCCTAAAAATTCTTTCATTTCTTTCTATCCTCCAACCTTCTAAATTCCAGAAAGAGGATAGGTATGGCTGAAATGCAAAAAGAGAGTAAGTTCATTCCTAGGCTTAGCCACCCACACCCCAGTAGCTGATGACTTGGGAAATTTGGACCTCAAGATTTGTAATATGTTTTCTTTTGTTGTTGCCTTTGATCTAGTCCCACATGCAATGCAGTTCCATTGTATAGCCTGGGTGACAGACTGGGGAAGCCTGACTTTGATTCCGGAGCCAGTGAAATTGATTCCAGTCTCCCTTCCCTCCCTGTGATTTCTTCACTCTTTTATATGTGTCTTCACTCGAATTTATGTCACTGTGCCTTGCAGACAGAACAGGTCCAAGTCAAATCAACCATACTGGGTTTTCAGGCAACTGAAAATTTCAGATTCTTTTTAGTAAGTCTCCCTCAACCTGCCTTCTTCTTCTTCTTTTTTTTTTTTTTTTTGAGACAAAATGAAAATGTAGTAGTTTACATTTTTCTGAGTTTCATTTCATCTTCCTGGTTTCAACAGTTTTTCCAGCCTGTCAAGACCAATTGAACTTTAATTGGATCACCTGTCATACAAGCTGCTCGTCCCAGACTTAGGTCTTCTGGAAATTTTACAACTATGCCTTCGGTGTCTTTATTGAGAAAAATGTTGAACTTTTAAACTCTGTTGGAGTGGGTGGAGTCTTCTGCAGAATTTCATAGCCATTTAGTGTTTAAAAACCCCACAACCACCATCAGATTAAGATGGTGTCAGACAAACAGGTGGGAGTGATCTGAGCAGAGGCTGGGTGACTTTTAGATTAAGTGTCCACAGCCCCACCCAAAGTAAACATGAAACTCCCCTGAGAATCCCTTCATGTCAGTTACTGTTCTACAAATGCACTAATCTTCGAGTCCAGTGCAAATATCTGTCCTATGTTTATTGTCCTAACATATCAATGTCCTCTTCTGTAATTGCCCACGTAAGCTCTTTAGAGGCAGGGACAATTTTTGTCATTTGGTTAAACAACACAGGACTGGGGACTTCTAAAATGCTGGGTGGGAAGAACTGGGACCAGTCAGAATAATACGGAGGAGGTTTTGGTAAATGTCTTTTAACCATTGATAAATGGGGCAAATCAATGGAGAAAAGGACGATTATTTAATAAATGATGCTGGGATCTTCATTAGCTCTTTTGAGGAGAAAAACCTCTAGTTGGGCTCTAAACTTCTACTATGAGTCAAAATAAATTTCAGAAGGATTAAAGAGACAAATGATACCAAAGAAAATCATCAAATAGACACATAGATCAATGGAACAGACTTGAGAGTCTAGAAATAAGTTCTTTTATTTTGGTCAATTTTTTGTTTGTTTGTTTGTTTTTTAGAGACAGGATCTCACTCTGCCACCCAGGATGAGTGCAATCGTATGATCATAGGTCACTACAGCCTTGACCTTCTGGGCTCAAGTAATCCTCCCACCTCAGCCTCCTCAGTAACTAGAACTGTAGGCACATGCAACCATGCCCGGCTACTTTTTAAATTTAAAAACATTTTTTGTAGAGGTAGGGTTTTACCATGTTGCCCAGGATGGTCTCGAACTCCTGCCTTCAAGCAATCCTTCCACTTCGGCCTCCCAAAGTGCTGAGATTACAGGCATGAGCCAGTGCACCCAGCCTTGGTCAACTGATTTTCAACAAAAGTGCCAACATAATTTACTGGGGAAAAGAGAGGCTTTTTAACAAATGGTTCTGGGACAATCAGCTATCCCATGCAAAAAGATGAACTTAGACCCTTGACTCACACTATATACAAAATTTAACTCAAATCGGATCATAGACTTACATGTAACAACTAAAACAAGAAAACATTTAGAAGTCAGTACAGGAGAAAATCTTCAAGACCTTGAGTTAAACAAAGATTTCATAGTTATGACACCCCAAGTGTGACCTGTAAAAGAATACATTGATCAGTAGGACCTCCTCAAACATTTTTGTGCTTCACAAGACACCATTAAGAATATGGAAAGACAAGCACAAGACTGGGAGAAAATATTTGTAAACACAACTCCTGCTCTCATGGGGTTTATCTTCTTTGAGGAGTATGAGGGGCCCATAATAAACATTAACACATAAGAAAAATATCCAACAGTGATTCCTGCTCTGCAGAAAAGCAAACTACTGTGATATGTTGACCATGTTGGATTGTGTAGTCAGTCAGGAAAGAGATCTCTACAGAGATTGCTCATTTAAATTGAGCAATCTGAGCTCTGAATGAAAAGCAAAACAAAATAAAACAAATCGAGCAATCAGGCACCTGAAGATCCAATGGGAGCACCCTCCAGGCAGAAGCAACAGCATGTGCAAAGGCCCTGAGTGTGGCACGAGCTTGGCATGTTTAAGGAAAGGAACAACGGCTCCGTCAAAGTAGGAAAGGAGGAGGGAGTTGCCCAATGAGGTGGCCGCAGAAGGGAAGGCATGGTCCTGGAGGGCTTTCTGAGCCGAGGTGAGGAGGTTGTGTGCCCTCAAGCGTGATTGAATCAGACACGTGTGTGAGTTCCATTGTAGAAAATGCATTCCAAAAAATGTACCACTCAGAGTTCTTAGTTGCAAACAGTAAAGCTGACTCTGGCTTGTTTAGCAGAAAGACAGTTATCTTAAAAGGACATTGGAAAGCTCACAGATCTGAAGGCCCTGAAAAACAGGACTCTGGGTCAAGGGTCCAGAGACAATTCCTAAAACCACAAGGAGGATACCCCTGCTACTGATGCCCTGTTGCTGACACTTCTGTGTGTGGAACTCTACTTCGGTCACTTTCAAAGTCTGTTACCTCTGCTTTTGCCCCCGCAAAACAAGGAGTTTGCAGTGATCTTCCTTCTTCAAGTTGCTCACCATTGCCGAATCAACTTCTCCCAGGTATACCAAGTGGCAGAGCCTCGGTCACCAGCTTACATTCTAGTTGCAAAGGAAGCTGGGAATTTGAGTTTTCTAGGTTCAAATTTCAGAGAGTGAAACTCCCAAAGGAGGAATTTTCCCAAATATAAGAAAAACTTTTTTTTTCTGTTTTTTCTGAGACAGTGTCTCGCTCTGTCGCAGGCTGGAGTGCAGTGGCGTGATCTCGGCTTACTGCAAGCTCCGCCTCCTGGGTTCAAGCCATTCTCCAAGAAAAACTTTTTAAAAAGTACTGGGAGGTCAGAAAACACAATAAAAATCCATGAAATCAAATAAGAGTAAACATACAGATCCCAATTAGGAGGCTGTTGCAGTAATTTGTTTAGGTGAGGGATCATGGAAGGCCTGATAGGGCTGGTAATGTTGTATAGGACAGTGATTCTCAAAGTATGGCTCCTGACCAGCGCATCAACATCTGCAAACTTTGTTAGAAATGCACATTTCAGGCCCCACCTTGAACTTACTGAAACTCTGAAGTTGAGGCTCAGCAAGTTGGTTTTAACAGGCCCACTCAGATGATTCTAGTGTATACTAACATTTACGAACCACTGGTAGAGGACATGGAAAGAAGAAGAAGATTTGGAAGTAGTCTATAGGACTTCTTGATGGATTGTGGAACTTAAGGGAGAGAGAGTGGAATCCAAGAGAACACCTAGATTTTCACTTAAGCAACTGGCTAGATAGTAGTGCCTTTTACCAAGAGGGAGAGACTGTGAGATGAACTACTTAAGGAAATTAAAATTTGGGATTTTTTCCAGTGAGCATTCAAAGTTCATTAGGCTCACAGGAGGAAATGTCAGGCAGGCAGGTGGCTATGAGTCTGGTGTGTTTCGGAGAGGTCAGCGTTGAAGAACTAGGTAGGAAAAGCATGTAGAAGGTACTTCAAACAAAGGACTAGTGGGGTCACAGAGAGGATGTATACACAGAAAAGAAAATGGGATTCAAGACAGACTTCAAAGTAAAAGGCAAGTGTGAGAGGAGGATTCTGCCAAGGAGACTGAGATGGAGAGGTCAAGTGAACATGGCAGACAACTCTTATAGAATTGGGCATCAGAAGAAGCAAGAAGAAAAAAGTGTTTAAAGGAAAAGGACATGGTCTACTCTAATCCAAATGAAAGATAGACAGAGGGACCTGCCAGAAATAGCAAAAAAGCAGTGCTATTCCTGGCAGTTTGTCTGGAGACTGGAGAAGATTCTGTCAAAGACCCTGTTGGGCATCTGAACACCTTTCTCTGATTGAAGACCTAGGGATAAACCATCTTCCAGAAAATGATTTGGAGTCCCAAACCACAGGTCTGTTTCTACAGAGAAGCCAAGATGCCTGCCTCCAGAGAACAGGATGCTCTGAAACTGAGCAATAAAAGACCATCAGGACCACTGTGGGAAGACCTTTCCCCTGAGAAATTTACTTATCTTTCTAGGAAGAAAGAAAAAGAGAGTGGTAAGTAGCAGAAGTGTTTCTTCCATATATTTCTCTACTGGGAGTGTGGTGAAGTCTCCCCACAACATGGAAACATGAAGAGTGGGGCCACATTTCCCTCACTGGCCCTGCCATGAAGTGCTTCAAGAAGGGCTGATATTAGCAGAGCCCAGTTTAAGAAGGAAGTGAGAAGCAGTTTTTCCAGAGTCATAAGGGAAATGGAAAAGGTCACATACATGACATTGTTGAGGGCTGAGAAGAAACCTGAATTAGGGAGTTAGAATCTCAAGTTTAAATAACTCCCCAACTTCAATGTTGTGAAAAGTTTAGCAAGTCACTGAACCTCTCTGAGCCTCTCTTCAGTGATTTGTCAAGTGGAGGGCAATTTATTACTGTCCTGCCTCTGGTCAAGTGAGATAATGGTAGAAGGGCTGGATGGACTTGGCAAAGGTTACTATCATCGATAATAGTACTAAGCAGTGTTACTTTCAAGGTATCCGTGAGTGGGGAATCCAAGCTGCTATTGTTCGGATGTATTCCCCAAAATTCATGTGTTGCAAACTTGATCCCCAATGTGGTGGTACTAGGAAGTGGGATCCTTAAGAGGTGATTAGGTCACATGAATAGATTAATGTCATTATCTTGGGAGTAGGTTTGTTACAAAAGTGAGCTCAGCTCTCTCTCTCTCTCTTTCTCATGATCTATGCCCTTCCACCTTTCACTATGGGATGACACAGCAAGAAGGCCCTCTCCAGGTGCCAGCACCTTGTTATTGGACTTTCCAGACTCCAGAACCATGAGAAGTAAATTTCTTTTCTTTGTAGATTACTCAGTTTTTGGTGTTCTCTTATAGCAACACAAACCAGACTAAGACATATGTCTTTGCCACACTGGTGGCCAATTCTCCTCCATCAACTTTCTTCCCGACTTTTCCTCCAGGTTTGCCAGCTTTACCAAACTTCTCCAGTGTCAGCTATGCCCCAAGACTCCAAGAGGCAGAATTTACGTTTCTTAGCCTCTCCAGTGAGATTGCAGTTAGCATTTAAAAACTCCTGCACACTGTAACATTCTTGAACCATACCTCTGATGTTATCACTGCCTCTGGTTACAAGGTTCTAGAGAAACACATGTCTCTGAAATGAGCTCCTTTTTATCAGATAAATTTCTGAATTCAGTAGGAAAAACTCTTCCATTTCACAAACAGGCCCCCATCCCCAAGGCTGTTCCAAAAATTGGATGTCCATGGTAAATTATCTAGTGATATTCCCTATGCTTGCATTCCCTATCACGTGTTGCACAACCAGTAATGCTTTGACCTGAGAAAGCCTACCTAATCATCAGATGCATCCTACAGATGAGAACCACAGGTCCTAGAGGGGCCAAACAACATGGCCAAGATCTCACTTCAGGGCAGAGTCACAGTGGTAGGCTGGAAACCAGGCCTTTTCACCCCCACTGGGTGCAACCATGTTTAGCCCCTTAGTAGTATGGCTTTGCCTACACTCTGCATATCTACTTAACAAACACTTGTAGAGCACTTACAGTGTGTTGGGCGCTGCATAAAGCACTTTGCAGACATTAACTCACTTAATTCTTAGAGTAGCCCTAGCTGTGCAGCCTTACGGAAGCTACTCAACCTCTCTGTGACTCAGTTTTCCCATCCGAAAAAAAGGGATTGTTGTAACAGTCTCATGAGTTAACACACTGAAAGAACTTAAAACAGTGGCTAGTACAGGGCAAACACTTACATGATTAAGTCCATAGGGTACACAATGGGCCAAGGACAGTGATGGACACAGAACACAAAGCAGGAGCACATACCCCGGTCTCATGGGGTGAGGGAAATGTTTGTAGGAAGCCACCTATTTGGTCAACCCCTGAGCCATGTTTACACTAGTGAGAAAGCTCATCACATCTTTGCTCTGGTCCTCTCCCATGGTTCAGTATGCCATGCAGCATCAGACAAGAGTAAATGTGCCCTCCAAGATGTAAAGATGCATTTGCTAGTCTTTATTTACGGATATACTGACAATGGAAAACATGTTCCCCTATATGAGCAGCCCTGAGAACAACGCCAAAGATTTCCTGTAATGAAAGGCTCTAAAAATACTTTTTGATGATGGAGGGAGTGGAAATTGAGCAACACCAACTGAGTGAAATACGGAAATGATACCAAATGGCACCGAAGCAGCAGAGCAGGCAGCCCACCTGGCCTTTGATCCCTCAGTCTTGCCCGAAGACTCAGTGCATTTGGGGTTTTTTCCAGGAGGCTGTGCTGTGCCTTTGTGTTTACATGCTCCATCTAATTTTCTAGAGAAAAAAATTAGTCAGCCATGACTAATGCTGAATTATAGCATAAAATGGTTGCCAGCAAATTGAACACCCAAGTAATCTAACTTTCTCTTTTTTGTGATCTGCTGAAGATCTCCAAGAAATGGGAATATGTTCTGTGTTTTGGGCCCTCAACTCCTTCCATATTTACTACCAAATTATTGTTAAAGTCAGATATATTGCATATCCTGTCCTATTTTTGTTAGATTTAACCATTTTGTTAAACTGTTGTGGAATAGTGTTTATAGTTTGTGACTTGGTCATGGATATGATATTTTACTCTCATCTCTGCTCTTTGAGAGAGTCACTGTCCCCACCACCACCACCTCCCTTTTACAGAGGAAGAAATTGAGGCACAGAGCTGCAAAGGAGTTTGTCTGAGGTCACACCACCGGCCGATGACAGCCTTCCGACTACCCAGTCCCTCTGCTGGGTTGATCCTGTGGATTTCCATTTTACTATCGGTTTAGGGTATCCTAGTCATTACAAATCTCTGTTTGTTATGGCCCATCTCCAAAGGAGGCCTTGGCCTGGCCAAGAGGAGCCTTCTCTTTTTCTTCGCAAATAAGTTTTTCCTCTTCTCCTGTCTGGAAAAGGTGGGTCGGCAGCCAATTCAGTGAGCAACTCAGTGATTTAGGAACAAATATGTGGGACAGCTGAGCCTCTCCAGATGTTGAACTAAATAAGGCACAATTGGGCTTTTGGGGTCTGACGCCTCTTTATGGCAAACTGGGAGCAGAAGGGGCCCCTAGAACAGTTGACAGTATAATAAGATTCTCATTCAAAAGTGCCTACGTTGTGCCAGAAAGTTTACAGAGTGGTAGGGCTCAGAATAAATAGCTGGCAAATTATACACTATGATAAAACATTACAATTTTCTTCCTTTCAATACCCCACTCTGGAGGAATACTATCCACTCCTGCACTGTTGAATTCAGGAGTGGCTATGGGACTTGTGTTGGCTAGTGACGTGTAGACAGAGTTGACACATGTCTTCCAGCACGTGGTTTGCCATCT
The DNA here is from genome assembly GCF_000001405.40 of Homo sapiens. Taxonomy (NCBI): domain Eukaryota; kingdom Metazoa; phylum Chordata; class Mammalia; order Primates; family Hominidae; genus Homo; species Homo sapiens. The sequence continues at coordinate 26,152,287 of NC_000004.12, forward strand.
GTCTTTTTCATCCACCACGTAGACTGGCAATGTTCCAGGTACGCCCTGAACACTAGAGAGAATGGGAGAAGCCAAGCTTCAGTCAATCCGCAATGGACCCTCTTTGTTGTAAGCCACTGATGCTTTCAGATTGTTGTTACAGCAGCATGGCCTAGCCCCTTGTGATGGGAAAACTTGCATGAGATCCCATAACTGGTACATAGTAAAGCCAGGATAGTTCATCTGCAGCATTTAATAAGTGCTTACTATGTGCATAAACCATGCTAAGTACTTTCTACATATTATCTTCATTAATTCTCACAATGAGCTCATAACTTGTATAAAGAATTCTTACCTCAATTTTTAAATTGATGTTTCAACTCACACAGCTTGTAAGGAGCAGATCCAGGACTTGAACCCAGGTTGTTCTGAATCCATAGCCCAAGCTCTTAATCACTAATCCATATTGAATCCTTGTTCAGTTCTTGAAGACAGAGAGCTTGAGAAGTTGAAAAGAGTGGAATGAATTTGCCAACCACTGTGAGACTGTCAGATGTTATGTATGCAACTTACAAAGTTAAGAAAATAGTATGAACTGCCCCAGTTTATGACCAATCATCTAATGAACACTCTGGGAGTGGGCAAAAGAGGTAGAAGTGCAGGTTAAGTGTCCTTTATCCAAAATGCTTGGGATCCAAAGTGTCTGGGATTTTGGAATATTTGCATATATATAATGAGATACCATGCGGATGGCACCCAAGTCTAAACAGGAAATTATTTTATGTTTTATATACACCTTATACACATAGCCTGAAGGTAATTTTACACAGTATCTTAAATAATTTTGTGCATGAAACAAAGTTTGTGTGCATCGAACCATCAGAAAGCAAAGGTGACCCTAGCTCAGCCACCCATGTGGACAATCTGTGGTTATTTGGCATCACCATCATTCCTGACTCTGAATGTAGATGCTACTGAGAAGCAACTGTTTTCTTACATTTATTCACACATAAGTGTGAATTTTAAGGTAAAAAACATGACAAACCGTTAATGCAGTGAAAAAATAGAGTGTTCAGGGTAACCAAGCAGCACAGTAGCATGCCCAGAATACCTGCATCAGCTGTGAAACAACAGCAAGAGATAACAGCAGGCGTTCAGTCTCCACCTGTGATGCTGTGTTTTGATTAAAAGATTACTGTACACTGTATTCTATTTTTTAGGTGAGGAGAAACACTGGAAGCAGTTGAGGGACCAGGATGTGGGTCCTCCAAGGATGAAGAGGCATGCTAGTGGATAGCTTTTTTCAAATGTTTCCTCCAGTGTCACTGGCCTTAGTAACAGTGGTTTTTGTCTTAGGGGGTCTCTCTTTGATTTTATAAGCTGACATGATTTCTTGTTCTGTTATGAAGGCACACACAGCTCTAGTCCTTCAACAAACCCATCATACATTTTTACCATATTATAACTTAGGCCGTTTTTCTGCAGTGTTAACATCATCTTCACCATTGTGCACCTGTGTTTTGACTGCAACTCATAACATGAGGTCAGGTGTGGAATTTTCCACCTGTGCATCGTGTGAGACTGAGGCAGGAGAATCGCTTGAACCCAGGAGGCGGAGGTTGCAGTGAGCTGAGATCGTGCCACTGCACTCCAGCCCCGGTGACAGAGTGAGACTCCCTCTCAAAAAAAAAAGTTTCAGATTTTGGAACATTTGAGATTTCAGATTTTTGGATTAGGGACTCCAAATCTGTATTTGGAACTTGCTTGATATTCCCCCATTCATTGTTAACTCCTTCCCCAATTAAGAACTCCCGCTCAGCTGCTGACCAGAGTTTCTGCCATCTCTCCTTTAGAGGACAAACAAAGATACAAAGAGCTCCCCTCCACTCTGTGGGTGGAGGCAATCATAACACGGGGAACAGAAAGAACAAAAAGTTTGGAATGATAGAGACCTGAGTTCAAGCTCTGGCTCTGCCACTTACCAGATTTGGGACTTCGGGCAAGTTGCTGCATTTTCTCCATCTGTAAAACAGGATAAATAAGATAATGATGGTTACCTCACTGGGTAATTCAGGGTATAAAAGGCATCATTCTGACAAGTGTCTGTGCAGGGTCTGGCATGTAATAGGTACTCAATGAATATTCGTTCCCGTAGGAATTTACCAGGGAAACACCGTGTGGACTCACCTGCTTTTCTGCCTGCTCTTGCCCTTTGCTCCTAACCTCCCTATCCCTTCCATGCTGCTGTGGTCCCAGATGGAAGTGCTATCTGATCTTATTCAGACCTGAACACACATCTGTTCTCAGGAACATGGTTTTAAAATGAAGATTGGTTGGCTTGAAAACAGGTTTTGTGTTAGTCCATTTATGTTATTATAAAGGAATATCCAAGACTGGGTAATTATAATTGTTCTTTTGGCTCAAGGGTCTGCAGGTTGCACACAAAGCATAGTATCAGCATCTACTTCTGGCAAGGCCTAAGGAAGCTTATAATCATGGAGGAAGGCAAAGGTGAGCCAGTGTGTCCCATAGCAAGGGAGGGAGCAAAAAAGGGGAAGAGGTGCCAGGCTCCTTTTAAACAACCAGCTCTTGCTTTAACTTATCACCCAGGGCATGGTGTGAAGCCATTAATGAGGGATCCACCCCGTGATGTAATACCCCCCACCAGGCTTCACCTCCAATACTGAGAACACATGAGATTTGGAGGGGACACACTTCCCAACCATATCAGGGCTGGACATAAAGAATATTAAGAGTTAAACAAGCCACAGGCTCAGTCTAGGAAACTACTTTTTGGAATATCATTAAAAGAGGAAAATGTAAACAACTTCAAATACTCAACTCCTAGCAAACATATGGATCACTCTCTTTTGGAAAGGAGGGGTGAATACCTGTACTTGTATGCATTAATCCCAACCATTACTTATTACATGAAATCATGAAAGAAAAAGTACATATTTTGACCATTTCCAGCTAACTCTTACAGATATAAAAACATTTTCTAAGTGACCAGCTGAGCGCCATTTCCATCTTCTTCTTAGCCTCTCAGCCCTTAAGCCCTTCATGGCTGAGGTGGGGAGCCAGGGGACCTAAGATTCAGCCTCAGGCACATGCCCTCTGGGTCACTGAGCTGCTCACCTTTTTCTCTTTTTAGTTTTCTCTCTCTCTCTTTTTTTTTTTTTTTTTTCAGACAGAGTCTTGCTCTGTTGCCCAGGCTGGAGTGCAGTGGCACGATCTCAGCTCGCTGCAACCTCCACCTCCTGGGTTCAAGCGATTCTCCTGCCTCAGCCTCCCGAGTAGCTGGGACTACAGGCATGCACCACCACGCCTGGCTAATTTTTGTATTTTTAGTAGAGGTGTGGTTTTGCCATGTTGGCCAGGCTGGTCTCAAGCTCCTGACCTCAAGTGATCTGCCCACCTCAGCCTCCCAAAGTGCTGGGATTGCAGGTGACCTTTTCTCTTAAGAGGGTTAAAGTAAGGAAAGTTTGTCAAACATACAACTCCTTCCATAGTGGAAGGTTGAAGGTCAGAGAGAGAAAACCTGCAGGTTCAGTGAAGGTACAGAGGAGAGAAGTTTCATTTCACTATTGGCAGTTTGAAATTTTCTCTCCAATCACGAAATTGACCATGTTGAGAAGAAAGCATGGTAGGTGTTCCTTTCCCATTTTATCTGTGTAATCCAGGTCTCCTGGAAAGAAACATACATCACTGAGAGGCAGAAAGGGGCAGTGACAGTGCCCATAGAGTCAGACAGAGCCAGATTCAAATACTGTGTCTGACATAAACAACTTGTTAATGGAGGCAGGAAGCTTAACCTGTGGGTTGCAGTGCCTCAACCATCAAATGGGAATAATAACTCATATTTGACAGAGTATTGCAAAAATTAGAGGTATTGTATAAAAATACCTAGTGCACAGTAAGTATTCAATAAATGATTACTGTTATTGTTAATGCAGTGTAAAGTCAAGTTGACAATCTGATATTTATGAATACCAGCTGAGCAAGAATTACATTTCAAAACCTGTCAGACTGAGTCTCAAGCAGCAGGCTAAGGATTTATCCAGGCTTGTTTGTTTGTTTGTTTTTACTATTATACTTTGGATTTACTCCAAAAACTATAACTATATAGGTTGGAATTTCTTTTCTTTCTTTTTTTTTTTTTTTTTTTTTTGAGACAGAGTCTCACTCTGTAACCCAGGCTGGAGTACAGTGGTGCGATCTCAGCTCACTGCAACCTCTGTCTCCTGTGTTCAAGACATTCTCATGCCTCAGCCTTCTGAGTAGCTGGGATCACAGGTGCCCACCACTCATGTCCAGCTAATTTTTGTATTTTTAGTAGAGCCCATGTCCAGCCAATTTTTGTATTTTTAGTAGACATGGGGTTTCACTATGTTGGCCAGGCTGGTCTTGAACTCCTGACCTCCGGTGATCCATCCACGTCGGCCTCCCAAAGTGCTGGGATTACAGACATGAGCCACCATGCCCAGCATAGGTTATAATTTCTAATTAAAACTAAATCCAGGGCCAGGCACAGTGGCTCATGCCTATAATTCCAGCACTTTGGGCAGCAGAGGCTGGCAGATTGCTTGAGCCCAGGAATTGGAGGCCAGCCTGGGCAACATGGTGAAACCTTGTCTCTACAAAAAAAAAAATACATAAATTAGCCAGGTGTGGTGGCAGGTGCCTCTGGTTTCAGCTACTCAGGAGGCTGAGGTGAAAGGATCACCTGAGCCCAGGGAGACTGAGGCTGTGGTGTGCCAGGTTCACACCACTGTGACTCCATCCTGAGTGACAAAATGAGACCCTGTGTCAAAAACAAACAAACAAACAAACAAAAACAAACAAACAAACAAAAAAACCCCCAAAACTAAAAACTAAATCCAGCAGGGTGAGGTGGCTCATAACTGTAATCTCAGTGCTTTGGGAAGCCAAGACGGGAGGATTGCTTGAACCCAGAAGTTCAAGACCAGCCTGGGCAACTCATAATGAGACCCCACCTCTCCAAAGAATTTTTTACATTAGCCAGGCATGTTGACACACATCTGCAGTCCCAGCTAATTGGGATGCTGAAGCAGAAGGATCACTCAAGCCCAGGAGTTTGAGGTTACAGTGAGCTATGATCACACCACTGCACTCCAACCTGGGTGACAAAGCAAGACTCTGTCTCTAAAAACTAAAAATGAAAAAGATAAAAAGGAAAACTAAATCTTCCTATAGATAAATTTGATTAAGCAGCTTATTTACTTTCAAAGAAAAATCAAAAGATTTTTAAAAATTAATTATGCTTTAGGGAATATATATAGATGGAAGCCAGTATAAGGTTGTTTGGATTGCAAAACTTTCCATAAACTTTTTCAGTCCCTTTCTACATTCCTTATTGTAATGTGATTTCAACTCTTCTCCCATTAGGATGGTTTATTTCTCAACATCTTGACTTTAGGCTTGGTTGTATGACTCACTTTTACCAATAGGACAATGGCAAATGTGATATAAGCATAGGCACACTGGGGTCTGCCCTCTCTTGCTTCCCTGAGACCACAATGTAAGCTTAGGTTAGCCTACTAGACAATGAGAAGTCACATGGTAACAACAGGTTTTTTCCAGCTGGTAACAAATGCCAACTTCCAGACATGTTAGCAAAATAATCTTGGATGATCTAGCCTCAATTGAGCTACCAGATAGCTACAACCTAGGAATGACTGCAAGTGAAACCAACAGATGAACTATCTAGCTGAACCCAGCCCAAATTGCTGACCCAGAGAATCATGAGCAAGTAAAATGGTTGTTGTTTAAAACCAGTTTTGAAGTGATTTTTTATGCACAAAATCTACAATGGGTGATTCTGTGGGTGGCTGCTTGGTTCATAATAAATACTCATCCTATAGGCACTATCTCCTATGTCACTGGTGTAGGCTCCCAGCAGCCCTGCTACCTTGGCCATAGTCACTTGATCAAGGGTGGAGACTGTCTAAGGATGGACCAGTCACATTCCCTGTCACATCAGGACAGTGTTCTAGGTGGATGGCCCATGGACTTCAGTTGCTGAGGTCTCCAAGTTTGTCTTGATTCTAGTCTTCTCAAGGCCTGGTTATTCTACAGTTCCTCAGATTTGATGTTTTTCCCTGGTATCCTTCGGATAAATTGCATTTACCCTCAAGATAGCTAGAGTTGGTTTCTGTTACTTGTACTACAAAATTATTGATTAATAAAAGCCCCCTATGAAGAGCTTTACCCTCCAGATGAGGAAAAGGGAGTCAGTAAGTATGCTTAAAACCTTCCTTGTGCACAGAGCACCATGCTGGCTTTTGCAGAGGAAGAAAAAGTGAAGAGAAGGCGCCAAATTTACCCTCATGGAGTCTCCAATATATGAGTCCTTCTGGCTCAATTTTCTGCCTACTTTCTCTCTTGATTTGCAGACCTGGCAATGAAAGAGAATTCTGTCAATGGTGTAGACTTTGAATTATTTCTAATTAACTTGAATTGTAAAACCATGTGTCATCCTTGGCTTTACCAGGAAAACCCACAAGCAGTTCTGATTCTTCACTACTTGCCTAAAGCCATTCAGATCCTTGAAAGATGAGGAACTAAAAGCCACTTCTCTTCCTGAATATCCTGCAGCCCAAAAGGGAGCTAATAATTTTCCTTGTGACTTTTAAGAAGACTTTCTCCCTCTCTCTCTTTCTCTCTCTCTCTCTCTCTCTCTCTCTCTCTCTCTCTCAATTTAGTCCCTTTCAGAATGCAGATACTATGAGGAATAGTCATTCCTTAAAATGATCTATCATTTTACTTTTACTTGGGAAGAAAGGGTTTAGAGACCTCAGGATGAACTTTGTTAGAAGGACTGTGAGACCCTGATGGGAAGTACATGGAGAAGGCAAAAAGAAACAGGAAGAAGGTAGGAGATACTCATATGCTAGACACTTTCATGTATAAGATCCAAGCAACTCTGTGAAGTAGATATCAGTGTTCTCATTTTACATCTGAGGAAATGGAGGCCTGGAAAGGTGAAGGAGGAGGTCTAAGGTCACAAGAGTCTTGATTTGAGTCCAGACTTGTTGCACAAGTTCCAGTTTTTCCACCACCTGGATGCTTTTCCAAGAAGAATGGAGGAGAAGCTGAGTTGGGGTGGGGATAGATGATGCCATGCCCCTTATTAACAATGATTAGAAATGATAACTCCACAGCCTTCTCCAGCTACCAAGATGTCTCTATCCCAGTACTTCCCAAAGAACAACTATGTGTTAGGACTATCTCTGTGAGAAAATTTCCCAAAGTGTGTATATCAATAAGTTTTACATAAAAAGAAGAATTTCTTCATTCAATAAGATTTGAACTGTTTACCTTGTGCAGGACACCTTAGAACCTTCAGCGTGTTTATAGTACCTCCATGAATTTCCAAGAGGAAGATATAGTGTGATATTAATTAGGACATACCTTGGGCCACTATAACAAAGATACCCTAAAGTACAGTGGCTAAAGGAGGGTAGAACTTATCTTTCATATATCAGTACAGAGATGAATGGTCCAAAGCTGGCCAAGTGGCTCTTCCATCTCAACCCATGGCTTTCAAGATGGTACCAGCAGTTACCATTTCTCAGGCAGAGGAAGCTGGAAGAGAGAGAGTCCAGGGCAAGAAGCTTTCTCTCTCTCTCTCTCTCTTTTTTTTTTTTTGAGACGGAGTCTCACTCTATCGCCCAGGCTGGGGTGCAGTGGCGCGATCTTGGCTGACTGCAAACTCCGCTTCCCGAGTTCACGCCATTCTCCTGCCTCAGCCTCCTAAGTAGCTAGGACTACAGGCGCCCGCCACCGTGCCCGGCTAATTTTTTGTATTTTTAGTAGAAATGGGGTTTCACCGTGTTAGCCAGGGTGGTCTCGATCTCCTGATCTCGTGATCTGCCCGCCTCGGCCTCCCAAAGTGCTGGGATTACAGGCGTGAGCCACCGTGCCCAGCCAAGAAGCTTTCTCTTTAAGGAGATAATGTAGAAGTTACACACATCACCTGCAATTCATTTCACTGGCCTGAATTCAATCACATGAACACAGATACAAGGGAATCTAGGAGATGCAGTCTCCAATTAGGTGCCCAAGTGTCAGGCTGAAACTCCAAGTGTTTTTTACCAAAATGCATCAGGGGAGGACAAATACCAAAGGACAACTGGTAGTTTGTCATTGTCCCCAGATTTATTTACCCACAAAACTCTTTTTTTATGCAATGTCCCCTAGAGCTAGTATCTTATTCTATAATGTATCTGTCAGGATAAGACAGTTAATGATGCAGTAACAAACACCCCCACATCTCAGAGGCTTAAAACAACATAAGTTTAGTTCTTGTACATGTCCACGGCGTGGTAGGGGAGATGGTCTGCTCTTCTCTCTGGTAAGGAGGTTGATGGAGAAGCTATCAACTAGAACAAGACTGATTTCCAGAGTAAAAGGAGAAAGAGTGTGGGTGAATCAGGCACCATCACATCCAACTTCCAAGAAAGCTGAGTAGGGTCTAATGGCATTTCATTGCCTTTGTCACATGCATCTTCCTCAAACCAGGCCTTTGTTCTCAGAATGAGGAAACAAAGGGATATTATCAGACAGATCCCACCCTGGTTCTCCCACAGTCTATTGAGGGGAAAGGGGCCTCTTTCTGTTTCTCTTGCCCGGTCTCCCACCATGTTACATCAGCTGGAGTACCAAATACTAGCTCTGGATGATGATGGTAATTGGCAAAACATGTTTCCAGTTACTGTTCTTGGCCCATACTGCCAAGAGGCAGAGGTTATTTCTCCAGCCATTAAATCTGGGCTGGGTTTGTGACTTGCTCTGATTAATAGAATGGGCAGAAGTGACATCGTGACAGTTCCAAGCCTCGGCCTCAAGAGGCCTTATACACATTCACTGTCTCCCACAGGTTGCTGCCACCAGTGTGTAATCACTATGTGATCAAGCTTGGGGTCGTCTGCTGGAGGGTGACAGGCTACATGGGGCAGAAATGAGCCATCCCAGCTAAGATCATCCTACATCAGGCAGCCCCAGCCAAGCCCAGCCCAGAATAATGGCCCATGGTAGATAAATGGTGATTGTTTTACACTACTTGATTTTAGGTGATATGGTGTAGGCAAAAGCAAACTGACATAGTGATTTAAGCAGAAATGGGATTTATTAAAAGGTTGCAGCCCCTGAAAGACTAGGGCACTGTGAGGCTTAGAGGCTGTACCCAGAATCATACCACAGAATCAGCCTAACAAAGATCCCACTGGGTCTGCCACTGTGAACACCAACACTGCAGCTACACACTGACCCAGATCCCAGTCACTGCTATGGGGTCCCTTGTCCTCAGGAAAGTGGATGGAGCTGTTACTGCTGCCACCTATAGCCAGAAGTAGGTCACACAGAGGCAAGATAAGCTATAAAATAAATAACAGATACAAAGGCAACAGCACTGCACCAACAAAGGAGGAGGCCTGAAGCTGGGGTCCAGGAGGCCCCAGTGGTACTAGACGTTCACCCTTTAGTGGCTGCATTATAAGAGCCTTCAGCACAGACGTCCTGTGGTAGGGAGGAGGGGGCATGTGGGCAACATCCCATTATTGACCGTCACGACAACATCTCAGTGCTTTAACAACTGGTGATACCATCCCAGTGCATAGCACTTCCCTCTGCTAACCAGTCTCTGGTAAGGAGAATAGAATACTTGGCTTAGATTAATCAAGATCTAGCCCCATCTGGGTGAACTGGAGTTAGTGTCACCTTTTCTGGGCATATGGCTGTTCAGTGAGTGAACAAAAGATAAAATCAGGACTCTGCCAACAAGCAAGGAGGTGATGGGGGAAGCTAAAATGGCATAAACAATCCATAGTGTCTGTGATGCATGCCCTGATTCACTCCCAGTGGTGAAGTGGGATGGGGGACACAGGACAGAGAAACTCAAGGCCCAAGGGGTTGGGTGTTAGTGTACCCTGGAACACAGGGTGGTCACAGAGGCCTAGGACAGCCGACCGTCTCACTTTGCCTGTGACAGGGGATTCCCTGGATGTGGGACTTTCCATGCTAATATCAGCAAAGCACTGAGCAAATCAGGACAAACTGTTCACTCTACGGCAAGGCCAGTGAGTTCATGATCTCCATAATGTTACTTAAGAGAAGCTAGAAAGGGCCAGAGAGGTCACGTGCTGTGCCCAAGGCCACTCTGCTAATTCATTCATCCCTTTTCTTCATTGGTCACTGATGCATTCAATGTTACTTTACCAAGTGCTTATCATTGTAGAACTGTGCCCAGCACAGCTCTAGGCACTTCACATGTATTGATCTATTTAATCTTCACAAGAATCCTAGGAAAGAGGTGGCATATTATCCCCATTCTACAGATGAACAAATTGAGACATAGAGAGGTTAAATAACTTGCCCAGGTCAGACAGCTATTAGGTGGCAAGACCACGATGTCTTAGGCAGTCAGGCTCCGAGCACATGTCCTCATCCCATGCTGCACAGTTCAGAAACCATCTGAAGAGGCACAGCCTAGAGGTGGACCTAGACTGTATTCTAGTTCACATCCATCTAGGCCCCCCACTACAGATGAAGTATGCTATCAGGCTCACAAGTGTCTGGAGGAAGAGCGGCAGGGAGACCAAGAAGGGCCTGTTATAGATGGTTGTCACCAGGGCTTATGTTACAGAAGGCTGAGTCTCTGCTCAAGAGGTTAAGCTTGGAGATGTGGCACTGTAGGGAGTATGACATTATGGATTATTGGGCTGGTGACATGGTACATGACATCACCGTACCTCAACTTTCAGAGCTAGGAGATTGGGAATCTGGACCAAATGATGGTGAAGGCCTCACCTAGGATTTGGGGTATTAAGTATTTTAACTCATCAGAAATAACATCTGAGGTCAGGAACATCAAGGCAGTCACTAAACATGAAAGAAAGTCAAATTAGCCTAAAGCAGCTGTAACATCATTTATTTCCTTTTGCCTTTGGTGATTTGTTTTGCATGCTGCTATTAGTAAAAATCAGGCCTCTGATTTCAGGATAAGCCAAGGAAAAAGAAGAAGCAATAAATATTAATTTATGTTGGTCTTTACAGATACCCTTTGTAATCAAAGCACATCCAAATCCTCTACCCCACACACAAAAAAAAAAAAAGACTTGTGTCTGCATTTTTTCCCTTAGAGAGAGAGAATGTTGAATCTCTTCCTCTTCATTCTGACATTTTTACTTCCTTTGTTGCCAGGCAAAGTGGCCACCAGATTGGGTGGAAGGGGCTCTTTCTACGGCATTTCATGACTGAGCCTCCAAGAACAACCTGTATTGAGTTTCTCTTTGAGATGATTGGACTGCTCTATCCAGCATCATTGAGGTAAGTGAATTCTCTAATGAGTTATTTATGTTATGTTGCCCATAAAAATACTTAACATGCTTTAGTTCGTGACTTATGAATAAGTAAATTGCTTTTTGCTACTGCCACCTCAAGGGGTAACAAGTTAACCAACTCCTTTACCATTGAAATCTCTGCATGGTAGTGTTCTGGTTATACTGCCTTCTTTCTGATAAGGCCTTAGATCACTCAGCAGATGATCCGGCCTAGGCTGCAAAAGATAAGCTGTGCAGTCCTAGGACAAGGTGCTTTTCCCCGTGCCTCCAGACCGGTAACACTGCTTCCTTCTTAGGACCTTTCATGTCTCCTCATAGTTTTCTAACTCCATACTTTCTTTTATGTGCCCTTGCAGAGAAACAAAAAGAATTTTCTAGAATCAAAAACATCTATAGTCCCTCTAGGTATTTAAATTTTTAGATGTTTTCTTTTAAATAAGCTCCTCCAAAAATGCTTCTGTTGGTAGGTGATACTGATCACGTTGGTTGTTTACATCTGAAAGCAGGATGTTGTCTCGAAACTCACCGCTGGGATTTTCAGGGACAGAGAAAGGCCCACAGCATACCAGCTGTCTTCAACATTGTAATTTAGCTGAAAGACAACAGAAATGTTCATGCATGCGTTTATTCACTTGTACATACATACACTATTTATTCACTTATACATTACATATACATTACAATAGTATGTATACTATTCACTTATACATACACTTGTACACCTATACACTATTATTGAGTGCCTGCTGTATATTAGGTATTTCAGAAACAATACAAGTGGTTTCTGAGCTCTGAGCTCTGGCTCTCAGAGCAGGGGCCAAGGAATGGAGTTATGACAGAAGGGTCACAAGTCCCCATGTACCCCAAGCACTGTCTGCCAATTTTTATTCTCTTCTTATTCGGGCACTCACTTGACAAATATCTACTGCATGTCTACAACATGGCTGGTAGAATAATGTTTCACACATGCCTGTGTATTTTCCAAAAGTACTTGGATGCAGTTGTGATCAATTAAATATAAGTCCATTTGAAAGTTTTACTGAAACTTTTAATGTTCTTTTGTCATTATTTTCTCAGCCAATGGATTCCAAAAGTTCATTGTTGTCATAGAACTGCACAAAAAGAGTTAAAAATGTGTTTTTCTACTGGAAAATGGGGGGGACCATCTGCTAGTTCTGTGTCAGAAGCCTAATGCAGAATTCACAGCAATTCCAGAAGGTGTGGGGTTTTGTAGACCACCAGAAGTCTAGAGGCCAGAAAACCAGGGAGGCCTGGGGAAGCTCAGAAAGGATTTAACTAGTTTTTATGCATAACTTAGACAAATGTCCTTTTCATACCATAGACAAACAATGGACTAGTTAAATACATATAGTGTAGTATTATACTGTATTTAGCTAGTATAGTATTTAACTACAGTATAATATTATACTGTATTGAACTAGTCTTTATGTTTGTCTATGGAATGAAAAGGGCACTGCTCTTTATTATGCAAAAAAATTCTCTTTTAAAATAATTTAATGACTAATTAGATTACTTTATGTCATTATTACCTCTTATATATGATAAATAGTACAGAAATTTGGACATCCAATCTCAGCCTTACTAAACAATCCTGATTATTTGGCTCCATTTCTGCAGTTTAGCTTTTTCTAAAGCAAAATATGCTATAATTATCTATGCTGATGGTTCTTTATACCTTTCAAAGTGCCTTCCCTATATACTGTTTTGTTGAATGTCACCAAAACTATGAGATATGGACAGGACAGGAATCACTGTCCTCATTTCATAGATGAAGTTACAGATGTTAGTTATAGAATTTCCATGAATGAATTATGCAGATACAAAATAGGCAAGGGTTACCTAGGTAAGATGGCCAGAAAAATGGATTATGAATAAATGTAAAATGATTCTAGGATATATAATCTGAATGAGGGAAGGGGGAGGGAAACTAGAATCCTTTTCTTCTATTGGACATCGTTCAAGTTCTAAGACCACCATGCTCACTTTAAATTCCCATCATTAATGATGAAGTAAAGCTATTTTAAGGGGGTCCAGAAAAAACATATATTTTTTCATTTTTTTTCTTTTTTTTTTATTATCATTATACTTTAAGTTTTAGGGTACATGTGCACAATGTGCAGGTTAGTTACATATGTATACATGTGCTATGCTGGTGTGCTGCACCCATTAACTCATCATTTAGCATTAGGTATGTCTCCTAATGCTATCCCTCCCCCCTCCCCCCACCCCACAACAGTCCCCAGAGTGTGATGTTCCCCTTCCTGTGTCCATGTGTTCTCATTGTTCAATTCCCATCTGTGAGTGAGAACATGCGGTGTTTGGTTTTTTTGTCCTTGCGATAGTATACTGAGAATGATGATTTCCAATTTCATCCATGTCCCTACAAAGGACATGAACTCATCATTTTTTATGGCTGCATAGTATTCCATGGTGTATATGTGCCACATTTTCTTAATCCAGTCTATCATTGTTGGACATTTGGGTTGGTTCCAAGTCTTTGCTATTGTGAATAGTGCCACAGTAAACATACGTGTGCATGTGTCTTTATAGCAGCATGATTTATAGTCCTTTGGGTATATACCCAGTAATGGGATGGCTGGGTCAAATGGTATTTCTAGTTCTAGATCCCTGAGGAATCGCCACACTGACTTCCACAATGGTTGAACTAGTTTACAGTCCCACCAACAGTGTAAAAGTGTTCCTATTTCTCCACATCCTCTCCAGCACCTGTTGTTTCCTGACTTTTTAATGATCGCCATTCTAACTGGTGTGAGATGGTATCTCATTGTGGTTTTGATTTGCATTTCTCTGATGGCCAGTGATGATGAGCATTTTTTCATGTGTTTTTTGGCTGCATAAATGTCTTCTTTTGAGAAGTGTCTGTTCATATCCTTTGCCCACTTTTTGATGGGGTTGTTTGTTTTTTTCTTGTAAATTTGTTTGAGTTCATTGTAGATTCTGGATATGAGCCCTATGTCAGATGAGTAGGTTGCGAAAATGTTCTCCCGTTTTGTAGGTTGCCTGCTCACTCTGATGGTAGTTTCTTTTGCTGTGCAGAAGCTCTTTAGTTTAATTAGATCCCATTTGTCAATTTTGGCTCGTTGCCATTCCTTTTGGTGTTTTTGACATGAAGTCCTTGCCCATGCCTATGTCCTGAATGGTAATGCCTAGGTTTTCTTCTAGGGTTTTTATGGTTTTAGGTCTAACGTTTAAGTCTTTAATCCATCTTGAATTAATGTTTGTATAAGGTGTAAGGAAGAGATCCAATTTCAGCTTTCTACATATGGGTAGCCAGTTTTCCCAGCACCATTTATTAAATAGGGACTCTTTCCCCATTGCTTGTTTTTCTCAGGTTTGTCAAAGATCAGATAGTTGTAGATATGTGGCATTATTTCTGAGGGCTCTGTTCTGTTCCATCGATCTATAGCTCTGTTTTGGTACCAGTACCATGCTGTTTTGGTTACTGTAGCCTTGTAGTATAGTTTGAAGTCAGGTAGCGTGATGCCTCCAGCTTTGTTCTTTTGGCTTAGGATTGACTTGGCGATGCAGGCTCTTTTTTGGTTCCATATGAACTTTAAAGTAGTTTTTTCCAATTCTGTGAAGAAAGTCATTGGTAGCTTGATGGGGATGGCATTGAACCTATCAATTACCTTGGGCAGTGTGGCCATTTTCATGATATTGATTCTTCCTACCCATGAGCATGGAATGTTCTTCCATTTGTTTGTATCCTCTTTTATTTCATTGAGCAGTGGTTTGTAGTTCTCCTTGAAGAGGTCCTTCACGTCCCTTGTAAGTTGGATTCCTAAGTATTTTATTCTCTTTGAAGCAATTGTGAATGGGAGTTCACTCATGATTTGGCTCTCTGTTTGTCTGTTATTGGTGTATAAGAATGCTTGTGATTTTTGTACATTAATTTTGTAT
Source organism: Homo sapiens (assembly GCF_000001405.40). Taxonomy (NCBI): domain Eukaryota; kingdom Metazoa; phylum Chordata; class Mammalia; order Primates; family Hominidae; genus Homo; species Homo sapiens. Next base: position 26,167,571 of record NC_000004.12, read on the forward strand.
CCTGAGACTTTGCTGAAGTTGCTTATCAGCTTAAGGAGATTTTGGGCTGAGACAATGGGGTTTTCTAGATATACAATCATGTCGTCTGCAAACAGGGACAATTTGACTTCCTCTTTTCCTAATTGAATACCCTTTATTTCCTTCTCCTGCCTAATTGCCCTGGCCAGAACTTCCAACACTATGTTGAATAGGAGTGGTGAGAGAGGGCATCCCTGTCTTGTGCCAGTTTTCAAAGGGAATGCTTCCAGTTTTTGCCCATTCAGTATGATATTGGCTGTGGGTTTGTCATAGATAGCTCTTATTATTAGAGACTAGGATTGCAACCCCTGCCTTTTTTTGTTTTCCATTTGCTTGGTAGATCTTCCTCCATCCTTTTATTTTGAGCCTATGTGTGTCTCTGCATGTGAGATGGGTTTCCTGAATACAGCACACTGATGGGTCTTGACTCTTTATCCAATTTGCCAGTCTGTGTCTTTTAATTGGAGCATTTAGTCCATTTACATTTAAAGTTAATATTGCTATGTGTGAATTTGATCCTGTCATTATGATGTTAGCTGGTTATTTTGCTCGTTAGTTGATGCAGTTTCTTCCTAGTCTCGATGGTCTTTACATTTTGGCATGATTTTGCAGCAGCTGGTACAAGTTGTGCCTTTCCATGTTTAATGCTTCCTTCAGGAGCTCTTGTAGGGCAGGCCTGGTGGTGACAAAATCTCTCAGCATTTGCTTGTCTGTAAAGTATTTTATTTCTCCTTCACTTATGAAGCTTAGTTTGGCTGGATATGAAATTCTGGGTTGTAAATTCTTTTCTTTAAGAATGTTGAATGTTGGCCCCCACTCTCTTCTGGCTTGTAGAGTTTCTGCTGAGAGATCTGCTGTTCGTCTGATGGGCTTCCCTTTGTGGGTAACCTGACCTTTCTCTCTGGCTGCCCTTAACATTTTTTCCTTCATTTCAACTTTGGTGAATCTGACAATTATGTGTCTTGGAGTTGCTCTTCTCGAGGAATATCTTTGTGGTGTTCTCTGTATTTCCTGAATCTGAATGTTGGCCTGCCTTGCTAGATTGGGGAAGTTCTCCTGGATAATATCCTGCAGTGTTTTCCAACTTGGTTCCATTCTCCCCGTCACTTTCAGGTACACCAATCAGACGCAGATTTGGTCTTTTCACATAGTCCCATATTTCTTGGAGGCTTTGTTCGTTTCTTTTTATTCTTTTTTCTCTAAACTTCCCTTCTCACTTCATTTCATTCATTTCATCTTCCATCGCTGATACCCTTTCTTCCAGTTGATCACATCGGCTCCTGAGGCTTCTGCATTCTTCACGTAGTTCTCAAGCCTTGGCTTTCAGCTCCATCAGCTCCTTTAAGCACTTCTCTGTATTGGTTATTCTAGTTATACATTCGTCTAAATATTTTTCAAAGTTTTCAACTTCCTTGCCTTTGGTTTGAATTTCCTCCTGTAGCTCGGAGTAGTTTGATCGTCTGAAGCTTTCTTCTCTCAACTCCTCAAAGTCATTCTCTGTCCAGCTTTGTTATGTTGCTGGTGAGGAACTGCGTTCCTTTGGAGAAGGAGAGGTGCTCTGCTTTTTAGAGTTTCCAGTTTTTCTGCTCTGTTTTTTCCCCATCTTTGTGGTTTTATCTACTTTTGGTCTTTGATGATGGTGATGTACAGATGGGTTTTTGGTGTGGATGTCCTTTCTGTTTGTTAGTTTTCCTTCTAACAGACAGGACCCTCAGCTGCAGGTCTGTTGGAGTTTGCTAGAGGTCCACTCCAGACCCTATTTGCCTGGGTATCAGCAGCGGTGTCTGCAGAACCTCGGATTTTCATGATCCACGAATGCTGCTGTCTGATCGTTCCTCTGGAAATTTTGTCTCAGAGGAGTACCCGGCCGTGTGAGGTGTCAGTCTGCCCCTACTGGGGGGTGCCTCCCAGTTAGGCTGCTCGGGGGTCAGGGGTCAGAGACCCACCTGAGGAGGCAGTCTGCCCATTCTCAGATCTCCAGCTGCGTGCTGGGAGAACCACTGCTCTACTCAAAGCTGTCAGACAGGGACATTTAAGTCTGCAGAGGTTACTGCTGTCTTTTTGTTTGTCTGTGCCCTGCCCCCAGAGGTGGAGCCTACAGAGGCAGGCAGGCCTCCTTGAGCTGTGGTGGGCTCCACCCAGTTCGAGCTTCCCGGCTTTTTTGTTTACCTAAGCGAGCCTGGGCAATGGTGGGCGCCCCTCCCCCAGCCTCGCTGCCGCCTTGCAGTTTGATCTCAGACTGCTGTGCTAGCAATCAGCGAGACTCCGTGGGCGTAGGACCCTCTGAGCCATGTGCGGGATATAATCTCCTGGTGTGCCATTTCCTAAGCCCGTCAGAAAAGCGCAGTATTTGGGTGGGTGTGGCCCGATTTTCCAGGTGCCGTCTGTCACCCCTTTCCTTGACCAGGAAAGGGAACTCCCTGACCCCTTGCGCTTCCCAAGTGAGGCAATGCCTCACCGTGCTTCGGCTGGCGCACGGTGCGCTGCACCTACTGTCCTGTGCCCACTGTCTGGCACTCCCTAGTGAGATGAACCCGGTACCTCAGATGGAAATGCAGAAATCACCCGTCTTCTGCGTCGCTCACACTGGGAACTGTAGACCGGAGCTGTTCCTATTCGGCCATCTTGGCTTCTCTAAAAATATATATATTTTCAAAAGAATGGAAAATAGGCCAGTCATGGTGGCTCCTGCCTATAATCCCAGGGCTTTGGGAGGCCGAGGCGGGTGGATTGCTTGAGGCCAGAAATTTGATACCAGCCTGCGCAACATGGCAAAACTCTGTCTCTACAAAAAATACAAAAATTAGCTGGGTATTGTGGTGCATGCCTGAAGTCCCAGCTACTTGGGAGGCTGGGGTGGAAGGATCACTTGAGCCAGGGAGGCCGGCCAAGGCTGCAGTGAGCCTTGCAGTGCCACTGCACTCCAGCCTGGGCAACAGAGTAAGGCCCTGTCTAAAAAAAAAAAAAAGGAATGGAAAGAAAATCCAGAAAAGAATATCTCAGAAGCAGAATGATACAAACAGGAAAATTTAAGAGCAGTTAAGTGAGATGTAAGTTGGCTGAATGTGATTCAACCAATCAGTAATTTTTGTTAACTGTATTTTCATGAAATGATAATTTATGCGACCTTAAGAAATAAGATTAAATGATATTGGCTCTCATTTTAGGTAATGCATATTTAAGCAATAGGCAGCACTATCAAAAAACAGGCTTGGGTTTGAATTTTACCTTCAGTACACGTCAGCCATCAGACAAATCTTAATGCTTAATCTTTCTGAACTTCAATTTTTCCATCTCTAAACTGAGGATGATAATGCCTCCTTTGCACAATTGCTTCAAGGATTAAAGGCATTGTACGCAAAGCACCTAGTAAGGTGCCATGTAGCAGAAACTCAGCTAGGGGTGGCTGTTGTTTTGGCTGGTGGTGGTGGTTTATATTAATACGTGATCTTGTGGCTTGAGCATTAGACTTGGAGTCGAAGGACCTGTGTTTGCGCTGTGCCTCTTCCATTTAGTAATGAGATATTGTTGAAGATATTTAGACTTATTCATCCTTAATGTCATCACTTGTAAAAATGAGTATAATTTCTCTTCCTATTTTTGTTTTGAGTTTCACATGAAATATTTCTTAAATATAAATGTCATATAAAATAGAATATCACTACCACTAAGTCCTTGAAAACTAATCGCCTAGGTTAAAACATAGACATGTCACTGTACAGTATACAAGGTGTCACTGTACAGTATACAAGGTATCACTGTAATGAGAATATGGGGTAGAATTTTATCTATATTTTCAGAAGTCCTGCACAATAAAAAAAAGTCTCAAATTAGTTGAGCATGGTAGCATGTTCCTATAGTCCCAGCTACTTGAGAGGCTGAGACAGGAGAATCTTTTGAGCCCCAAGAGTTAGAGGCTGCAGTGAGCCGTGATTGTGCACTCCAGCCTGGGTGACAGAGTGAGACAAATTTCAAATTAAAACAAGAAATGTATAGTTAGCATAAAGGAATAATTCTCAATTTTAAGGAAGAGGACACATTTGAACAGGCTTACGATAGTCACAAAGGACTGTCCACTCCTGGGTGACATCAGAAAGGATCAACTGCCATCTGTCTGGGTCCTTTATTAGAGCATCCAAGATTCGTAAAGCTCAGAGGGAGTAGAGATAGTACAGCCACCCGCTGTGTGACAGAAGAGGAAACTGAGGCCCACAGAAGTGCAGTGACTTCATCACAAGGCCACCACAGCAAAAGGGGGCTGAGGAGTGGACCTGCCACCTGCCCCTGTCATCAGCAGGCTCGGGGTTTTGCATGACTACACTGTTAGGTCCGTTCTGATGTATATGCCATGGGCTTTAGGTCTCTGGATCCGGTAAGTGGGAAATACTGGAGAGCAAATCCAAGGCTGCCTGCTAAGCTGGAGGTTAAAATCGCCCCAGACTGTTTCAGTGTAAGGCCGGAGGGCAGCGAAGGCTGGAAATCCACATCGTCAAGCTCCTTCCATCCTTGTGCATTGATGATATCATCCAGGAAACATTTCAACAACATGGATGGAACTAAATGTCTTGCCAGGTGGTAGCTCGTGATATATACAGACAGCCCCTGAGTCACAAAGAAAGACTACAGAGGTCCCATACATACAAACAGCTGCCGCCATCCGCCTGGCCCCCACCACCCTGCAGCTGCCGTGGGCTGTGTGAAAAAAATTAAAAAAGAAAGAAAGGGATAGAAAAAAAATTTGGACCACTTGCAGATTCTAGACATTCAGAGGCAGAGGAAGGGGAAAAGCTGTGGAAACAGGAACAGCATAAGGGAATAGACTCTTAGGATAAATTTTCTGCCACGGGCGATCTAGCAGCAATCCCCTCTGTCTCAGCCCTGAAAAGTCTCCTCCTGGGAATAACTGTCATTTCCTATCCACACTGCCAGAAATTTTATCAATGTAGCGTTCTTTCCTCAAAAGCCTTTTTGGAATAAGGAAAGTGGGGAATAAATTATAATTAATTTTAACTTACCACTAGAAATCTCTTTTGGAATGTCACTCTCCTTTATAATAATTAATATCTACCTCATGGGGTTGCTGTGAAGACAAACTGGACTTTTAAAGTCCTTAGAACTGTGCCCGATAGATGGTATAACTCTGAGAAGTGTTATAAAAGCACTAGCTCTCTAGATAATTACAATGATTCCCATTTTACAGGTGAGAGAACTGAGGTTGAGAGAAGTCATGTTACTCTGCCTAGACTACATAACTTATATGTAGAACTGGGATTCAAATCCAGGTCTGTCTTTCAATCCCACAATCCTAACCACTGTGCTACACATAGTCATATGCCTGGCTTTGGAGGTGGGGGCAAGTGAAAGGATATTAGGGGCAGTCGTTCACAGGTTAGCAAGAATTAACTGTCAGATTGTTTTCCTACTGAAAATCAACTGAGCTCAGCCACACTCAGAAAATGGGAATTTTGTTGAGTGAGCAGGACAAGTAGGTTATTTGGAAAAGAACTGGGGTAAGGGACTACAGTAGGGTATGTTGGGATTTTTTCTTTCTTTTTTTCTTTTTTTGAGACAGAGTCTTGCTCTGTTGCCCAGGCTGGAGTGCAGTGGTACGATCTCGGCTCACTGCAACCTCCATCTCCCAGGTTTGAGCGATTCTCCTGCCTCAGCCTCCCGAATAGCTGGGACTATAGGCATGTGCCACCATGCCCGGCTAATTTTTGTATTTTTAGTGGAGATGGGGTTTCACTATGTTGGCCAGGCTGGTCTCGAACTCCTGACCTCAAGTGATCTGCCCACCTCGGCCTCCCAAAGTACTGGGATGACAGGCATGAGCCACTGCGCCCGGCTTGCAGTAGGTTTTGAGTAGGAAGTTTGGAGACGAAGATGCTCATAGGTGGGAGATACAGACAAAAAAGGGCAATTTGGAGAAAGCTGAAAACCAACACTGACCTATGTGAAATTTTATTTACGTCTAACCTTACACCCAGGAGATGGGGAAGATTTCTATCTTTCATCCCACCCACGACTCCAGATAACTTGGTAGGCTACAAGATGGGTTAAATAAACTTTTGTGGGCTGGCTGGAAACATAACGCTTCCACTCCCATTTGTAATGCATTTCTTTGGGGAAATGCGTGCTGAGTTCCAAACAAATGACTTGTAATTTAATACAACATGTGTATACTCTGCATCTCCACGGGCTGGGCACTGGACTAGGTGCTGAGCATATTAAAATAAATAAAGCAAGGTCCCTGCCCTTGGGCAGCCGGAGCCCTGTGAAGGAGGGAGATATGTGAGTAGCTAAGAGACAACGTGATAAGCGCAATAGGAGAGGTGTGTACAAAGTACCGTAGGGAAGCACTGAGGAAGGAGACTGGGAAATTGCTTTTAAATGAACTTTTGGAATCCAACTCCTCTGAAAGCTGGTAGCTGCAAGCAATGCGTTAGAAGTTACAGGAAGGACGCACTTACCATTTAGTACTGAATGAATTCATTCTTCAACAGGACGGTTGCTTGCTTTTTCCTTGGCAAGCCGTGGTATCAACACCTGTGTTTTTTCCCAAGAAGTGGGAGAAAGTGATGATTGTGTGGACTCTGAACTCAGACAGCTCGGGCTTGAATCTGACTTCCACTTACTAGTGAGATGACCTTTACCTAAGTCTGCTTCCTTATCTCTAAAATGGGGCCAATGCAAATACCTTATTTCTAGAGCTTCGGGGAGGACTTCCTCTGGTGACTGACACGGCGTAAATTTCTCACTCAGCTCTGGCTACTGTTAACCGAATGATAAGGCAGGAATCCCTGGCTTCAGATAACTTTATGCATTAGAGCTGTGTTTCAGAGACATAGTTTTAAGTGATACACAGATGAGCATTTTTATTTTTACTTATTTATTTATTTGAGATGGAGTCTTACTCTGTTGCCCAAGCTGCAGTGCAGTGGTGCGATCTCACCTCACGGCAACCTCCGCCTCCCAGGTTCAAGAGATTCTCCTGCCTCAGCCTCCTGAGTAGCTGAGGCTACAGGCACAAACCACTATGCCTGACTAATTTTTATACTTTTAGTAGAGATGGGGTTTCACTATGTTGGCAAGGCTGGTCTCGAACTCCTGACCTCAGGTGATCCGCCCAACTTGGCCTCCCAAAGTGCTAGGATTACAGGCTTGAGCCACTGTGCCCGGCCCAGATGAGCATTTTAAAATTTCAGAGCCTATATTAATTTTCATATATTGAGGGAGAAATGTATATATATACACACATATATGTACACATATATATGTGATCACATCAAACCGTAGATTTCATAAATATTGCTGCTTAAAATAAATTTTTCTTAGAAAATTATGGGAAATGAATTCACTTAAAGAAAGCTAGTAAACAAGAGAAGGGAAAGGGATATGAGAAAAAGACATGGCAGAGATTTGGAAATGCAGCCTATGATGGCCCCTCTTCATGTGTTTTCTCATTGTAATGAAATCCAAAACTTTCCTCTATGACTCTGAGTAAAGGCACCATTTTCTAATGCCTGAACTAAAGGGAAAGTGCATCTGAATAGCAGAAGAGAATGTCTTCTACAGAGCCACGCTTTCTTGGCCCCAGTTTCAATCCTGGTGGAAAAATTTCCTGAAGCCGACGACAGCTGAGCTCCCCGCCTGGAATTCGGATGCTCAGAGGAGGGAAATTATACCCTGAGGTTCTGAGGGCTCCTGGGCAGCTTGTGATGTGCATGACTCGGGAGAGCAGACCTGCCACCTGCCCACCTCCACCCTACAAGCTGGGGGAGCTTGAGCTGGGGGGGGGATTTGAGTCTGGGGGAGGCAGCAGGGAGAAGCCACAAAGAGGGAGCAGAGAAACAAAGAAAGGAGCAGGAGTACAGACCCGCATCACATCGCAGGTTTCCCGCAAGTTGCAGGGAGGTTTCTGGGGCACCCAGTTACGTTTACCCCTTTTGTGTAAAAATCACCTCCAGGAAAGTCCCTGTTTCAAATGTGCACCACAGTGGCCTCTGAAGTCAATGGAATGATCGTGCCTAGATGGGGTTTCCCTGGGGTTGGTGTCCCCATTAGGGCTCCTTCTGGCCCTGTGGTGTCACTCCCACTGACAGACCTACATGCAGCAAACACAGCGTATTCAAGCACACACACCAAAGGACACTATTCTCCATGGTCTTTGAAGGTGTCCGTGAGGCAGAGGTTTAGCAGTGTGCCAGCGCTGTGTTTTGTACTCTCTTACTGTTATTGGGTAAATGCTCTCCCTATCTGAGCATCCTGACCTTCCCTCCACCCACCTGCTCACAGTCTTCATTCCCTCTGATATGCAAGGGGCAAGGTGTTACGCACCTTCTGGGATCCACCCTAAGAGGGAAAGGTGTGGAGAAAAGTGAAATCACTGAGCCCCTGGGCAGGGCTTTCGGGTAAATCTCTTCATTTTAGCCTCAAAAATAGGGTTGTCAGATAAAATGCAGGACACCCAGTTAAACTGGAATGTTAGATAAACAACAAATAATTTTTTAGTGTAAGAATGTCCTTAACACTACATGGGACATACTTAAACAAACAAATAAAAAGTTTGTTTATCTAACATTTCAGTTTAACTGGGTGTCTGTACTTTTCTTTGCTCAATCCAGCAACTATACTCAGAAACACCCCACTGAAGCTGGCTCTATTATTCCTATTTCAAAGGCAGGGAAGATGGGTCTTATGGAGACAAAGCAACTTGCTTGTGAGTGATAGAGCGGAGACGGGATTTTCAACCAGACTCACTGAGTTTAAAACCAGTGCTGGTTTCACAACACCACACAAGAATCCAAGTCTTAAAGTAAGGAGGTTGATGGGATGCTAATGGGGGAAACTGAGGCATGCTCTAAGGAATTTGGGGGGATTCCTGAATGCCTTGTTCAGAATGTAGCTAATCACTCAGTAAACAGCTGCTGGATGTAATTGAATTTAATTATCACCGTGCTTGCTAACTAAGACTGCTCCCCTCCTGTAAACACTCAAGAAAAGCCTTGTTTCTCAAGCCCAGCTGACGTCCCCCTTCAACACTATGCTTCAGCGCTTGGAGGCAGGCACTTCCCCACGTATATAGGCAGTGGTAGATGAGATCATGGGACATAGCTCCAAGAGAAGCTTCGAGTCACATTACATTCGTTTAACACAAGGAGGAAACCCACAAGGACTGAAGGAATGGGCTGGCCCAAGGCCTAAGCCAGGCCTGTCTTGGCTGGACCACCTTCAGAGCTCAGCGTGTGCAGCCCAGTTGCCTTGCTTGAACCAGGCTGCCTTGCCAGACCTTGAAGATGTCTATCTGCACTTCAGTCAACATTCTTTTAGGGGTGCAGAAGCTGCAGTCATAGGGTGAGGGAAGGAGTGTCCTGCTAGAACCTTTTCTTGTCTGAAGATGAGATGATTCAGTAAATGTAAAGTTGCCATGAGTCTGGTTTCTTTCCTTCTTAGACTTGTGACACTGTGAGTTTACACACAGGAATCTGGACTGGGTGTGTGCCGCTCCTAGATATTCATAAGCCTTCATAAGCTCCTAGATATTCATAAGCCTCCCGGGGAGAATTACTGTGACTTTGTGCATAGGAGAGCATCTCATCCTCCTCATCTTAAATTCAAGCCTTTCGCTCTAGCTCGTCACTGGAGGAGACATGAGAGGGTGAAGAGCAGTGAGGACCAAGGAAAATGGTATCTAAAGAAAATGTGGGCTGGGCGCAGTGGCTCATGCCTGTAATCCCAATACTTTGGGAGGCCAAGGAGGGCAGATCACTTGAGGTCAGGAGTTCAAGACAAGCCTGGGCAACATGGTGAAACCCCATCTCTACTAAAAATACAAAAAATTAGCTGGGCCTAGTGTTGTGCACCTGTAGTCCCAGCTATTTGGGAGGCTGAGGTGGGAGGATCGCTTGAACCCGAGAGGTGGAGGTTGCAGTGAGCCAAGATTGCACCACTGCACTCCAGCCTGTGCAACAAAGGGGAGACCCTGTCTCAATAAAAGAAGAAAGAGAGAAAGAGAAAGAGAAGGAAAGAAAAAAAGAAAAGGAGAAAGAAAGGAAGGAAGAAAGAAAGAAAGAGAAAAAATGTGAACCCCAATCCATCACCACTAAGAAAGTCAGCTACCTTGTAATCATTTTATTTTCTGATGATCAGAGTAATATATACTTATCTTAGAAAAGTTGAAAATGCTGAAAAGTAAAAAGAAAGCAATAAAAACAACCCATAATGCCATCATGCAGGGATATAACCTCTCCTAAAATTGTAGTATATTTTCTAAGTCTCTGCACATGTAATAAACACCATTGGCCTCGTACGTCATATGTGACTTTGTGTTCCACTTTTTGTTTTAACCTAACAAATCATAAACACTTCCCTCACATCATTAAAGACTCTGCAAAGAATCTTTATGACTTGGATGGATAGATTGAAAATGGCCACAATTTATTAGCTACTCTTGCTGAACATTTAGATTGTTTTCAGTGTTTTTCCAGGTAGAAATAATATAGCAATGAACATCTCTGAAGACATTTTTATCAGACCATTGGCACATGGTCTCCCCATGTCTAGAAACTAATATAAAGTGGCATCTGATCTGACCCAAAGATATATCTTAGGTTTTCTGTTTTACCATGCTCTGAAGAGCAGGTGTCTTCCAGAGGCCCCAGCAACCGAACTAGCTGGAGAACCACTGGACTCAGTTATAGAACAGGGACTCCATGGCCCCTTATCAAATGGAGGGGGCTCCAGTGCTGCAGAAGTCCCAGGCCCAGGCCGGGCATAGTGGCTCACACCTGTAATCCCAGCACTTTGGGAGGCCAAGGTGAATTGCTTGAAGCCAGTAGCAAGTCCCTGTCTGTACAAAAATTTTTTTTAATTAGCCAGGTGTGATGGTGCACGCCTGTGGTCCCAGCTTCTTGGGAGGCTGAGGTGGGAGGACTGCTTGAGCCTGGTAGGCAGAGATTGCAGTGGGCTGAGATCACACCAATGCACTTCAGCCTGGGTGACAGAGCAAGACCCCGTATCAAAAAAAAAAAAAAAAAAAAAAGAAGTCCCAGACCCCCTTAGCCTCAGGCCAGACTGCATGGGGCAGAGGAGGGGAGTGAGAGTGAAATCCCGGGAACAATTTTGAGAACCCACCATGCGATGTAATTCCACCGAGAACGGGATGCTCAAAGTCCACAGAACTGTGCCGTTTGGAATTTTTACAAAACCGTTGCTTGCTGATTTAGTTAATAATAATGTTGGTTTCCAAATTTTTTCTAAAAGGGAATCTTAAATGTTCTCCACTTGGACAGGGCTGGCTTAAAAATAAACAAATAAGTTATATAAGCCCACGTTTTGGAGGATCGGGTTTGGAAGCCAAGGTTCCTGTCTTGTGGTTGGGCCTCACGTGCGGCCTGCAGGGTGGAGAAGCAGGGGAGCTTTCCAGCCATCCCTGAAACCCAGCTGCTAATTGACGTCACAACACTCACCAGGGACCCATGCAGCGTGCACCCTGTGGTGCCTAGAAGACAGTCCCAGTGGTTGGAAGATAGTGAAGAGTAACAAAAAAGCAAGCACAACCACTGGTAGCTGATGACAGACTCCTTTTTCCTTTACTCTCTCCTCCAGTGTTAGATGTTTTGAAAGGTTTCATGGTGTTATCTGAGAGCTGTCATCTTCTGCTTGAGATCTGGCTGCATTTTGGTGGGAAGTGAGGTGATTACTGTGTTTTTTTTTTTTTTGAAAGCTCCCCCAGAAAGAACCATGTCAGATTCCCCAAAGAGTTACTAATGCGGATGGAGCCCCACTGTGGTCCCAGCTGTCATAGCCACTGCAAGGAACAGAAGAGGTCCGGGGCTCTGGTGGGCCCCAGAATCCCCCATGCATTCCTAGAGTAATATGAATAAGTGAACTGTCGCAAATGAGTCCATTCACGCAAGTACTTATGTAATGTAATGAGTGTGATCTTAGAAAGTAGGACAACAAACATATGAAAAAATGCTCAGTATTACTGATCATTAGAGAAATGCAAATCAAAACCACAATGAGTTACCGTCTCATACCAGTCAGAATGGCTATTACTAAAAAGTCAAAAAATAACAGATGCTGGCAACGTTGTGGAGGAAAGGGAACAGTTACACACTGTCAGTGGGAGTGTAAATTAGTTCAACCACTTTGGAAAGCAGTTTGGTGATTTCTCAAAGGGCTAAAGACAAGAACTAGCATTCAACCCAGCAATACCATTGCTGGGTATATACCCAAAGGACTATATTAATAAATCATTATATCATAAACACACATGCATGCAAATGTTTATTGCAGCACTATTCACAATAGAAAAGACATGGCATCAACCTAAATGTCCATCAACTACAGACTGGTTAAAGCAAATGTGGTACATATACACCAGGAAATACGATGCAGCCATAAAAAGAATGAGATCCTATCTTTTGTGGGAATGTGGATGGAATTGGAGTCAATTTTTCTTAGCAAACTAGCACAGGAACAAAAAACCAAATACTGCGTGTTCTGACTTATAAGTGGGAGCTAAATGATGAGAACACATGGACACAAGGAAGGGGACAACAGACACTGGGATCTTTTTGAGGGTGGAGGGCGGGAGAAGGGGGAGGATCAGGGAAAGTAACTATTGGGTACTAGGCTTAGTACCTGGGTGACGAAATAATTGATATAACAAACCCCTGTGACATGAGTTTACCTATAAAACAAACCGACACATGTACCCTTGAACCTAAAATAAAGGTTAAAAAAAAAAAAAAGAAAGAAAGTAGGAGACCCTGAGGGCTTCTCTTTGTTGGGGCTGTTATAACAAAATACCATAAACTGAGTGTTTGTAAACATCAGAATCTATTTCTTATAATTCTAGAGGCCAGAAAGTCTAAGATCAAGATGTCGGCAGATTCAGTGTCTGATGAGGGCCCACTTCCTGCTTCATAGATGGGGTCTTCTATCTGTGTCCTCACAAGGTGAAAGGGGTGAGGTATCTCCCTGGGGCCTCTTTTATAAGGGCACTAATACCATTCACGAGGGTTTCACCCTTGTGACCTAATCACCTCCCAAAGGCCTCATCTCCCAATACCTTGGAGATTAGCATTTCAATGCATGAATCTGGGGGGGACACAAACATTCAAACTATAGCATTGTGGTCCTAAGGGTTAAAAAATAAAATATAGTATGCCCTACCCTCAAATTGTTTATACTATTAATAGTTAAGGAGAATAGATGTGTTCACAAATAGCAGTAATAACTAGAAAATGCTACAAGACCATTATGCAGGGCAATGTAGACTAGGGATTTACATGGGTCAGGAATGCAAGGTAATTGAATCATAGAGGCGAGTATTTCCCATGCTGTTCTCAAGATAGTGAATAAGTCCTACGAGATCTGATAGTTCTATAAAGGGCAGTTCCTCTGCACATGTTCTTTTGCCTGCCACCATGTAAGACATCCCTTTGCTCTTCCTTGGTCTTCTGCCATGACTGTGAGGCCTCCCCAGCCACGTGGAACTGTGAGTCCGTTAAACCTCTTTTCTTTATAAATTACCCAGTCTCAGGTATGTCTTTATTAGCAGCGTTGGGAACAGACTAATACCGTGTGTTTTTAATTATTGCTCGGATTTCTCTTCTGACTTTCCTGAAGCTGTTTCTCACTGTAAGTCTGCGTGACCCATCAAGTATCAGCACAAGTTCACCTCCAAAGAAGCACAGTCTAAACAAAGGAAATTTAAAAACAAAATTTTAATCTCTGATTTACATCTTCCAAAACAAAATTAAAGAAGACCGCATTCAGAACACTCCAGCAACACATAACTCCTAAATTCTGCCCTATCTAATGCGATAGCCTTCCTCCCTCTCCATACCTCCTTGGGCCACAAAGAATATCCTCTCCCCTTTCCCTTCCCTTCAGTCTCTCAACTTTTATTATAGTCATGTGTCCCTTAATGATGGGGATATGTTCTAAGAAATGCATCACTAGGCAATTTCATTCTTGTGTGAACATCGCAGAGTGTACTTACACAAACCTAGATGGTACAACCTACCACCCACCTAGGCTATATGGCTCAGTCATAGGCTACAAACCAGTTCCTAGGCAACAAACCAGTATAGCATGTGACTCTACTGGATACTGTAGGTAATTGGAACACAATGGGAAGCATTTGTGTATCTAAACATAGAAAAAGTACATTAAAAATATGGCCTAAAAGATAAAAAATGGTATACTTGCATAGGGCACTTACCGGGAATGGAGCTCACAGGACTGGAAGTTGCTCTGGGTGAGTCAGTGAGTGAGTGAGTGGTGAGTGAATGTGAAGGCCTAGGACATTACTGTACACTACTGCAGACTTTGTAAACACTCTAACTTAGGCTACACTACATTTATTTAAAATTGTTTTCTTCAATAATCAATTAACTTTAGCTTACTGCAACTTTTTACATGTTAAACTTTTTGATCTTTTAAAACTTTTTGACTCTTGGCTGGGTGCGGTGGCTCACGCCTGTAATCCCAGCACTTTGGGAGGCCGAGGCAGCCGGATCATGAGGTCAGAAGATCAAGACCATCCTGGTTAACACGGTGAAACCCCGTCTCTACTAAAAGTACAAAAAATTAGCCGGGCGCCGTGGCGGGCGCCTGTAGTCCCAGTTACTCGGGAGGCTGAGACAGGAGAATGGCGTGAACCCGGGAGGCGGAGCTTGCAGTGAGCCGAGATCGCGCCACTGCACTCCAGCCTGGGCAAAAGAGCAAGACTCCGTCTCAAAAAAACAAACAAACAAACAAACAAAATTTTTGACTCTTTCGTAATAACATTTAGCTTAAAACAGATTGTATAGCTGTACAAAAATATTTTCCTTATATCCTTATTCTAAAAGCTTTTTAAAACTTTTTCATTTATTTTTACTTTTTAAACTTTTTTTTTTTTTTGCCTGAGACAGAGTCTTGCTCTGTCACCCAGGCTGGAGGGCAGTGGCCTGATCACGGCTCACTGCTGCCTCAACCTCCTGGGTTCAAGCCACCCTCCTGTCCCAGCCTCCTGAGTAGCTGGGACTACAGGCATGCCCCACCACATCTGGCTAATTTTTTAATTTTTTTTTTGTAGAGATGGGGGTCTCATTATGTTACCCAGACTGGTCTTGAACTCCTCAGCTCAAACGATCCTCCCACCTCAGCCTCCCAAAGTACTGCGATTACCGGTGTGAGCCACCACCCGGCTTACTTTTTAAACTTCTTTGTTAAAAGCTAAGACACACACACATTAGCATAGGCCTCCACAGGGCCAGGATCATCAGTATCACTGTCTTCTCCCTCCACATCTCTTCCTACTGGAAGGTCTTTGGGGCAATAACATGCATAGAACTGTCATCTCCTATGATAACAATACCTTCTCCTAGGTACCTCCTGAAGGACCTGCCTGAGGCTGCTTTACAGTTAACTTTTCACGTAAGTAGAAGGAATACACTCTAACCTAACAATAAAAAGTATAGTATAGTAAATACAGAAACCAGTAACACAGTCAATTTATTATTATCAAGCATTACATACTGTACATAGTTTATGTTTTATCTGTAGATTTTTATAGGACTGGCAGAGCAGAAAGTGTGTGTACACCAGCATCACCATTCATCAATGCATTACTCATAAACATGTGAGTAACACACTGGGCTGCATTGTCACTAGGCGATAGGAAGTTTTCAGCTCCATTATAATTTGATGGGACCACCCTCATATATGTGGCCCATCATCCACAGAAACTGTGATGCGGCACATGACCGTACTCAATTCCTTTTTACAAGGCAGATAACAGGGAAGAGTCAGAGCACACGTTCTTGTTAGTAACCGTCCATTCTTGTTAATAACCACCTGCCCCATTACTCGCAGACAGGGCTCTCCCATGCCATTCGTAGGGCCTGACACTGGTGCAGCTCCCCTAAAGCCAGTTTGTTTTTCACTTCAGTTCTTTTGATGCTCCCAACTCAGACAACTAGAAGACAATTTAATCTTGCGCAGTAAAATGGAGGTGTTGGGAAATTTTTCTAACAGATTTAAGTCTGGTTAGTGGTGGGCTAGGACCTGGCTGATCCCAGCAGCCTTCTTACCAGGACTGATAATAGCCCAGATGGTCTGTCCTGTTAAAGAAAAAATGTAGCCGGGCGTGGTCGCTCACGCCTGTAATCCCAGCACTTTGGGAGGCTGAGGCGAGCAGATCACTTGAAGGTCAGGAGTTTGAGACCAGCCTGGCCAACATGGTGAAATCCCTTTTCTACTAAAAATACAAAAAATTAGCCAAGCACGGAGGCACGCACCTGTAGTCTCAGCTACTTGGGAGGCTGAGGCAGGAGAATCGCTTGAACCCAGGAGGCGGAGGTAGCAGTAAGCTGAGATCGCATCACTGCACTCCAGCCTGGGCGACAGAACAAGACTCTGTCTCAAAAAAACAAAATAAAAAAAATTAGCCAGGCATGGTGGTGGGTGCCTGCAGTCCCAACTACTCTTGAGGCTGAGGCAGGAGAATCGCTTGAACCTGGGAGGCCGAGGTTCCAGTGAGCTGAGATGGCACCACAGCACTCCAGCCTGGGTGACAAAGTGAGACTTCATCTCAAAAAAAAAAAAAAAGAAAGAAAAAAAATGTATCCAAACACTTGTTAAAGACAAGTGGTGGACTATTCAAGGTGGACTATTCAA
The DNA here is from genome assembly GCF_000001405.40 of Homo sapiens. NCBI lineage: Eukaryota > Metazoa > Chordata > Mammalia > Primates > Hominidae > Homo > Homo sapiens. The sequence goes on from NC_000004.12 coordinate 26,184,266, forward strand.
GGGGCCCGTGGCCATAGGTACAGGGATCACTGCAATGGGTTCTTGCTACTGGGGAGAGAGACTGGACTCAGCTCCGACTGTAACAGCAAGCAGGGATTGACAGCCAGGGAGCAGGGTGGGGGCAGTGGATGAAAAATTACTAAAACGAAACATCAAGGATGGAGAGTTCCTGTCTTGATAGGATTTTTGCTGAAGGCAGGCCAAGGTGATAAGCTATCACGGAGGGTGGTCAGATACCAAGGGTGGGGGACTTTCCTAAACTGACTTAGTAGGATTCTTGCTCAAACTGGATTCTACAAGGACAGAAAGAAAGGCCCAAGGTCAAGACCTCAGGACCAGTCAAGCAGAGGACTCAGGGGAGGCTGAGTCAAGTTTTGGTCAAAGGACATGATCTTTGTCAATCCTCATAACAGATTGGAGTGGGAGGCCAAGTCCGGGATGTGGGGACTGGCTCAGAGCTCCAAAGTATCCTACGTAATATTAAGGGCATGGAAAAGTCCCATAGTTGCCCAGAAGTATAGTTTGTCGGAAGGCACAGTAATAGATACCAATCTGTCTATAAATGAAGAACTTTTTTTGAAGATAGTTATGTTGGGCCGGGTGCGGTGGCTCATGCCTGTAATCCCAGCACTTTGGGAGGCCAAGATGGGCAGATCACCTGAGGTCAGGAGTTCGAGACCAGCCTGGCCAACATGGCAAAGCCCCGTCTCTACTAAAAATACAAAAATTAGCTGGGTGTGGCATCAGGCACCTGTAATCCTAGCTACTCGGGAGGCTGAGGCAGGAGAATCACTTGACCCTGGAAGGCAGAGGTTAGAGTGAGCCGACATTGCGCCACTGCACTCCAGCCTAGGGGATAGAGTGAGACTCTGTCTAAAAAAAAAAAAAAAGAAAAGATAGTTATGTTGTTTTGCATCAAGGAGGGATTTTTTTTTTTTCCAAGAAGGGCTTGTATTTTTTAAAGTGGTTTTTCTTTTGCAAAGTGGCAAACTTCTTACGGTATTTCTCACCCTCTAAGTTCTTGCTATCTCTTTTGCCACCCTCTGCCTGTGTCAAATGGCAAATTTAATGGAAGTTATTTGGAAGACAGTGGCAAGAGATGGAAGAAAAATGGTTTCTCTCCTCAACACCACGGTCAGGGTAATGCGTTTTCCTCACTGCTGCAAAGGAAATCGTAAGAGCATTTTGCCCACTCCAAACATCTGAAACTGGAATTACGAGGTTGTATGGAGAAGGCCAGGAAAAATAATTTTGGGGATGGTTTGATGCTTTCTGAGGCCTTTTACTAGTGACCTGCAATATTAATTATCCAGAGTCCCTCGGTCTCCACCTCAGCTTCTGAATAAGGCATTTGTATGGTGATTCATAGGCTGTGAAAGCCAGTGTCATTAACCAGGCCACTGAAATTCAATCCCAGTGCATCTCAATTCTGTACTAGATTCCTAGGATCCCCACAGGTAAATCTAGTCTATTTGTAAGCCAGGCAAAGGTTGGATATAGAAACAGGACTGGGGCCGGGCACGGTGGCTCACATCTATAATCCCAGCACTTTGGAAGGCCGAGGCCGGTGGATCACCTGAGGCCAGCCTGGCCAACATGGTGAAATCCTGTCTCTACTGAAAATACAAAAATTAGCTGGGTGTGGTGGCACGTGCCTGTAATCCCAGCTACTTAGGAGGCTGAGGTAGGAGAATCACTTGAACCCAGGAAGCAGAGGTTGCAGTGAGCTGAGATGGCGCCATTGCACTCCAGCGTAGGCGACAAGAGTGAAATTCTGTCTCAAGAAAAAAACAAAAAGAAAAAGAAAGAAAGAAACAGGAATGGAACTACTACTGCATGTTGAAGACAAAGAATTCTGATAGGCCTGATAGACATCCACTTAAGTATAGAGAATACCGTAACTTCTTTCTGCTCCCCCCTTTTTTTTAAAAAAAAAAAAAAAAAAAAAAAGACCAATGTATAAGAAGTCCTGGTTCTACCATTTATTAGCTGTGTGACCTTTAGCATGTTACTTAATCTCTCTATGCCTCAGTTTCCTCATCTGTTAAATTGGGATAACATTGTTACTTAACTCATAGGGTTTTTATGATGCTTAAGTCAGTTAATATTTGTAAGGCAATTGGAACAGTGCCAGGTACACAGTGAATACTACATGGGTATTTGGTAGATACACTTTGAGAAAAGAGTCATGTTTAATAGAATTGAGCAAACTAGTCTGAAGGGCAATGTTGCCTGCCTGTGCCCTGTGGACCCAACCACTCTCTTTCTTGCAGTGCCTGAGCGAGACCCTCTGAGGTCAGGGTTGGGCAGCCTCTCTAAGACAAACCAAGCAGTGAGGTGCTGAGATGTACAGGCCAAGGCTTGGCCATTTGCTTTCACAGACCTGCTGAGGTCCACTCTCAGAAACTAAGTGGGATTCAAAAATGTTCACTCTAGTATTCGCTAAAAAACAAGTCTGAAAACTATACTTCTTTATACATTTCTAATTTACCTAAACTTTAATTTACCATTTCTATTTAAGATTAAATGATTACAAAAGATTCTCAATGTGTTATACCAACTTATACTTGAAAATAAAACAGCTGCATCACTGTTTTAAGTGACTTTATTATCCACGGAATACCCCAGCAATTTGCCCCTCACTATCACCCATTTTAAAAAATACACAAACAAGGCCTGGCGCAGTGGACCACGCCTGTAATTTCAGCATTTGGGGAGGCTGAGGTGGGCAGATTGCTTGAGCCCAGGAGTTCAAAACCAGCCTGGACAACATGCCAAAACCCCACCTCTACAAAACACACAAAAAATTAGCTGGGTGTGGTGTTGCATACCTGTAGTCCCAGCTACTTAGGAGGCTGAGGTGAGAGGATTGCTTGAGCCCGGGAAGTGGAGGCTGCGGTGAGCCATGACTGCGCTACTGCATTCCAGGCTGAGCAACAGAGTGAGACCCTGTCTCGAAAAAACAAAAACGAAAACAAAAAACACAAACAAGCTTTTTCTTTTACGGTCAGAAATCTTACATTATTCTTGTATCTCTTTGAACTGTTATTTCTGTTTTTCTTCCCCCTCAGGATTTTATTCTAATTTTTTTTATGTGTTAAAGTCTTTTGTTGACCATCTTATTGTACTCTGTAACATATATGTGAGTGAAACTTTTTTCCTCTGACTACTAGGCTCTAAATGTAAAAGAAAAACATCTTCTCGAAGTAAGTATCACAAGTTATTGGTAGTACACAATTGAACAGAACAACATAAATATATTTTAACTCTGAGATATAATTATAATATTTAAAGTAATTTTAATACATCTCAATTACATGGATGTAGATATTTACTGCCAACAAGTTCATATATTCATGAATAACTGTTACACACTACTGGAAAGAGAGGAGGTTTAGAACAATTTCTATCCTGTTTTTCTTTTTCATAGATGTGAACACTGAGAATTTTCCTTCCTATAAATTAGTAGATGGGGGCTGGGCACTGTGGCTCACACCTATAATCCCAGCAATTTGGGAGGCCGAGGTGGGTGGATCACCTGAGGACAGGAGTTCAAGACCAGCCTGGCCAACATGGGGAAACCCTGTCTCTACTAAAAATACAAAAAAAAAATTAGCCAGGTGTTGTAGCACACTCCTGTAATCCCAGCTACTCAGGAGGCTGAGGCAGGAGAATCACTTGAACCCAGAAGGTGGAGGCTGCAGTGAGCCAAGATCATGCCACTGCACTCCAGCCTGGGCAACAGAGCGAGACTCTGTCTCAAAAAATAAAATAAAAATAAAAATACAAAAAAATTAGCTGGGCAGGAGGGTGTGTGCCTGTAATCCCAGCTACTTGGGAGGCCAAGGCACGAAAATCCCTTGAACCCAGGAGGTGAAGGTTGCAGTGAGCTGAGATGGCACCACTGCACTCCAGCCTGGACGACAGAGCAAGACTCTGTCACACACACACACATACACACACACACACGTAAAAAAGTAGATGAGAAGAGAAAGAATTTTCTTAAAGCACTGACAAACAATTCTTTGAACTCTTTTTAATAAAAGGATCTTAATAAATCTTAAGGATCTATCGCTTTGGTTAGGTCTCCCTACAATTTTGTCAAAAGCAAATAATTAGAAATCATTCAACTTGAGAACAGATTTGTTGTTTAATGTCTCATTCTCTGAAGTATACTAAAAAGGTCAAGACTTTTAAATAAGTATTATTTTACCAGTTATCCTTACACTTAGAGGCATATTATTAAATCTGTCACAGAACAAGTTGAGAAAACAAAAATTTTTATTTCCATACATCTTTTGTAGTAGAACTACATTAATGCTTTTACCTTGTGGACCTTAAATAAAATTTTGTCAAAATCTTGGAGCTGCTGATTTGGCTTATTCAACTGATGAAAAATGTTTCATCATATAACCTAATTTTCAAATCAGTCAGCCAAATTAGATATATTCCTTGTCATTAAAAGTGTGACTTTATTGTTCAATTTAAGTAAGTGTCTTAATATTCATTTTGAAGAATATTATAAAAACCACTGAGGAATAAATTATGCATGCATCATATAAGATAGATTACTAAAGAGCAATCAAGTTTACATTGATATAGATCTGATTTAATTAATTTTATAAGTATTAAACAGGGTAAGAATGCTGTTTCTCATAACTTGATTTGCAATAAAATGATACAGTATGTTATTAAAATTATGTTATCTATGAAGCCAGAAATGTGATAGAAGGCAAGATAGTCTTTCCTTAAGCTGTGTGTGTGACCTTGGGAGTAAATGAGAATTATGTTTAAAAATAAGAAATAGCTGGGCAAAGGGCTCACATCTGTAATCCCAGTGCTTTGGGAGGCCAAGGTGGAAGGATCACATGAGGCCAGGAGTTTGAGGCTGCAGTGAGCTATGATCATGCTACTGTACTCCTGCCTGGGCAACAGGGCAAGACCCTGTCTCTATATTAAAAACAAATCATAAATAATTTTATTAGCCCTCATGCTCAAACTTTTCTATTTAATAAAGTTATTTAATGGAAAACAAACTACATCTCTATACTGCAAAAACTGATCCAACCTGCCACATGTATCAAATAAGAAGTAGAAAATGTATGATTTTGACTGGGCACAGTGGCTCACACCTGTAATCCCAGCACTTTGTGAGTCTGAGACAGGCAGATCACTTGGGGTCAGGAGTTTGAGACAAGCCTGGCCAACATGGTAAAACCCTGTCTCTACTAAAAATGCAAAAATTAGCCGGATGTGGTGGCGCACACCTGAAATCCCAGCTACTTGAGAGGCTGAGGCAGGAGAATCGCTTGAACCCAGGAGGTGGAGGTTTCAGTGAGCCAAGATTGCACCACTGCACTCCAGCCTGGGAAACAGAGCAAGACTCCACCTAAAAAGAAAGAAAGAAAGAAAATGTATGATTTGATAAAAACAGTATAGATTTGATAAAATCTCATGGAATAGTAGACATTAAATCTGGAAGACATAACCTAAAATTTCTATCTGTAGGTTTTATCATGGAAATCTTAATAGTTCCAGAAAACATTGCTATGTTCATTGAAGAGTCAGCATCATTAATTAGCCTGTAGGGCTCAGCTGTTGTCAGGTGCTTTCCTTAACAACTAATAACAAGTCCTAGGAAGAAGACTTTTCTTAAACACACAAGTTCCCCCAACACACCCAACACACACACACAGATACACACTTGACAGATGCTGCCATTCATAATAAAATTCAAACACAGGAGCAAATGGATTATACAATACCTGTGCATCAGATAATAATGGTCAATATTTAATGAGCACTTACTACATGCAGTCACTGTTCCAATACCTGAATACAGTAGCTAGAAAGAATCACTTGCTCTCAAGCATATGGAAATCAGCTACTTGTAGCATTTGCTGCCTGCTTTGCTTTGTTCTCATGGAAATCTCCCTTGAGAGCAGCAAATCTTTTGAGAGCAGTGCTGGTTTAGAAGATGGTGCTGCCTTTCCATTCTACAATTGATCTTGATTGAGAACATCCCTTCACGGACTAAGATACCCAACTTCTAAGGCAAAACCTGGTCCCTATGGGAAACATAAGAGGGGGAAAGGCAGGTCCTAGACAGATTTATGGGACTTGGATTAACAATTACATGAGGGTTTCCCAAAATGATAACTCAAGTTTGACCTGAGTTTGGTACCCAGAAGGCTTTCAAACCATGGGTAATGTACCATGATATGATTAGAAATAGGTGAGGGCATCTGCCTTCCCTTTATACAGTGAGAGAAAGGAAAAGGACTTATGGAAAGGGAGAACCTGCAGGGACATGCATGCCTCTCTTCGAGGGCTCCAGAAGGGGCCTCAAAACTATCCTTACCCAAGTACTTTGTGGACAGTCTTCAGCGAGTTTGAAGACCATTAGCCTATGTGTAATTTCCTTGAATACAGGGGACCCTCTTTTGCTGTTTGACCCTTCTCTGTAACAGCAAAAATATTTATCTAGAGTAAGCTGTCAATCAATGCCTGTTGCACTGAGAAATGATGTCAGCTTTGTTTGGGGTTTTGCAGATCAGTTTCTTGAGAAGTAACATACATACATTGAAATGTATAGTGTGGCCAGGCACAGTGGTTCATGCCTATAATCCCAGCACTTTGGGAGGCTGAGGCAGGAGGATCACTTGAGCTCAGGAGTTTGGCACCAGCCTGGGCAACATACCGAGACCTCGTCTCTACTAAAAGTCAACATAAAAACAATAGCCAGGCATAGCAGCACACACCTGTGGTTCTAGCGACTCAGGAGGCTGAGGTGGGATGATCACATGAGCCCAGTAGGTCAAGGCTGCAGTGAGCTATGACTGCACCACTGCATTCCAGCCTGGGCAACGGAATGAGACCCTGTCTCAAAAAAAAAAAAAAAAAAAAAAAAAAAAAATATATATATATATATATATATATATATATAGAGAGAGAGAGAGAGAGAGAGAGAGAGAGATAGAGAGAGAGAGAGGGAGAGAGGGAGAGAGAGATCGTATCAAGTGTATCACTCAAGGATGATTTTTTGATTTTTTTATATATATACAGACTCCTCTACTACCCAAATCAAGAGAGAGAACAACTGCAGCTCCACAGAGGGTTTTCTTGTGTCCTTTTTCAATCTATTATCTACCCCCATCCCAGGTAACATCTGCATTGGGAGTGACCAAGACCACCCCAGGTTCAATGACTCACCAGGAGGACTCATGAGACTCAGAACATAGTTGTACTCATGGCAATAATTTATTACAGTGAAAGGATAAGAAGCAAAATCAGCAAAGGAGAAAAGTGCAGGGAGCAAAGTCCAGAGGAAAGCAGGAGCCAGCTCCAAGAGTCCTCTCCCAGCCGAGTCATGCAAGACCCACTTAACTCTCCCAGCAATGACGGGAGACTACATGTATAAAATGTGGTCTACCAGGGAAGCTCATTAGAGACTTAGTATCCAGGGTTTCAACTGGGGGCTGGCTGGTCATAAAGGCACTCTTTGCCTACCACATAGCAAAATTCAAGGCAGATACTCAGTATAAACCATACTGCCTAGGCACAGTGAACCACGCTTATCAGTTAAATATTTATGGAGAATACTCTGAAAACCAAGTTCCCAGATGCCAGCTAAGGGCCAACCTTACAAGCAGGCCTTTCTAGGGATACCAATCTCAGGCCTGCTATGTAAACTCTTCCACAAACCACTATCCTGACTATACATTTGTTTGTCCCATTCTTTAAAATTTTTTTTTTTTTTTTGAGGCAGAGTCTCACTCTGTTGCCCAGGCTGGAGTGCTGTGGCACAATCTCAGCTCACTGCAACCTCTGCCTCCCAGGTTCAAGTGATTCTCCTACCTCAGCCTCCCAAGTAGCTGGAACTACAGGCTGCGCCACCACGCCCGGCTACTTTTTGTGTTTTTAGTAGAGACAGGGTTTCAACCATGTTGGCCAGGCTGGTCTTGAACTCCTGACCAAGTGACCTGCCCGCCTCGACCTCCCAAAGTGCTGGGATTACAGGTGTGAGCCACTGTGCCCAGCCCCATTCTTTAACTTTATAAATAGAATGACATAACACACATTCTTTTGTGTCTAACTTTTTTCACTTAAAATAATATTGTGATACTCATCTAAGTATTTGTCCTGCACACACAAATTCCCCCATATACACAACACAGATGTTGCTATTAATCATTAAATGCAATCACAGAACAAAAGGATTATGCAATACCCACTCATTAGATTAAAATGGCCAGTATCTAATGAGCACTTACTATATGCCAGTTACTACTCAAAGTTATTGACATATACTAGCACTTAATTGGTTCTCAACTCTATGAGGTGGGTCTGATTAACATCCCACTGCTGGATGAGGAAGTGAACAGAGACCAGTGGGCTGGCAGTTGGAAGACACAGCATGCAAACCCGGGAAGCCTGGCCCCACCAGTTTAGGTTTAACCATCACCACACATTGCCTCGCTGCCATGTAAGCCCATTTCTTATTATTTCCATTCCATAATAAGCACAATCACCATAATAGGCAGGATAACAGCCCTCCAAAATGTCCATATCCTAGTCACCAGAACCTGCAAATACGTCACCAAAGGGACTTTGCAGGTGTGATTACATTAGAGATCCTGAGATCGGGAGAATATCCTGGATTCTACAAGGGTCCTTATGAGTGAAAAAGGGAGACAGAAGAACCAGAATCAGAGAAGGGGATATGATGACAGAAGCAGAGGCTGGAGTGAGGCAGTTGCTGGCTTTGAAGATGGAAGAAGGAGCCATGAGCCAAGGAATTCAGGTCCCTAGAGGCTGGGACATTCAGAAAAAAAAGTGCAGCCCTGCTGACGTGGCACTTTTAGCTCCATTAAGATCCATGTCACCTTCTGACCTCCCAAACTGTAAAATAATAAATTTGTGTTCCTTTAAGCCACAGAACTAATGGGAAGTTATCACAGTAGTAATAGGAAATGAAAAGGCATGTATCAGTGGAGGGATGAATATTCACAAAGCGTTTCATACAAGCTGATCACAGCAACAGGTTGCCCAGAGCAACAAGGAGGCTCTTGCTTCCATATTGAAAATGAAGGTGCCTCTTGTCTCAGTTTTGGAATAAGTAAAGGTTATCCACAGAGACGCGTTCTCATTTTTACTTTTACAAAGTTGACTTTGGTGGTTCTTTTTATGAAAATTTCCCCTTTCTTCTTTGTTTCGGTGTCAATTTTTTTTTTAGTTGAAGACTTTTTAAAACTTTCCCTTCCTGAACATTTTCCACTGGGTTTGAGCCCTGAATCTGCCTTTCAACTTGCTCCAGAACACTGGCATCACCATAATCGCTAGTATAATAAATCATGGAACTATTACCCTTGCTCAACATAAGCACCTTCTCCACTCCCACAGAATTGCAATCGCTGCTGTCAGATTGTCTTCACACAGCTCAAGCTTCACACGGCAGCCAGAGGGAGCTTTTTAATCCAAAAATCTGACACTGCCTTTCCTGTTCTCCAGCTCCTTCCATAGCCCCCTCTTATGCTCAGAATGATGACCAGATTGCTAAGCCTGACCTCCAGAGCCTGCAATACCTGGCCCCTATTGCCTTCTCAGCCTCTATCTCCCTGCATAGTTTCCCATTCTCTGGTCCTACCAAGCTGCTCATTGCTTCAAAACATGGCAGGTTCTCCCAAGCCTCTCTCCCTCACACATCTTGCTTCCTTTACGTAGGGCAACATTCCCTCTCTCTTCCTTCAGGCTAATTCTATCCATTCCTTCCTTAGCTGATTATTACACCCAATTATCCCAGTGTCACCTGCAAAGACACGGGTAATAGCATTTGATAGACACACAGGTGTTTATCCAGAACATTCATCCCGTTTACTTCTGAACCATGGTTTCCTATGTCATCTATGTCTAATTTCTTGGCTGGATACTGGCCTGTCAGCCCCTTTCTCTGGCTCTTGGGTCTTGACCTTTCCCATTGGATAGTTGACACTATGAAACTTGCTCTGAGAATCTGGTACATTTGAGCCCCGGGTAAGAAACACTCCCAAAGGCTCTAGTCTCAGCCAGATATAAACATGCACATGAGCACACACACACATTTAATCCAGAAGAGAAACACTAAGGAGCACTGATATAATAACCATAGATAATATCTATTGAGCACTTGCAGCATGCCAGGCACTGTGCTAAGCACTTTAATAATCTTGTGCCCATTGTCAGATGAGGAAACTAGGTTCATGAAGATGAAATAACTTGTTCCGTGCCACACAGCCTATCAGTGATGGAACCACCAGGTCACATGACTTCAGAAAGCTCAGCCATCCCCCCAGAACAGATTTCTGGGCCTGTAGGCCCCCACCTATCACCACCACACTTCACCTCTCCTCTGAGCTAGCACAGTTACCTTTGCATTTTGTACCCTGGGTTCTAATTGTGTGGACCCGTGTGTCTCCACTAGACCATGAGCTTCCCAGAGGAAGAAGCTCAACTTTCATCTCAGAGCACACGATACAAATGCAAAATAAAATGTCTCCCTCAGAGAGTGGCTGTGACCAGTGGTCCTGAAGTCTCTGCTGCCCTGGTTTTGCACACCCTCCTAACCATATCTATGTGTGCACCTGCTAGGGAGCAAAGAATAAAATGTGAGACTCCTACTAACCCTCTCTGCCCAGGTTCCTGTATGGTGATGAGCTCTCTTTCTGAACTGATTCATAGCTGTCTTTTCAGGTTTATACTGTAAGCCACCTCAAATCTCTTGGGAAATAAAAGTGAGTTTATTTATAAATGAATACGTGTTTATCTGGGAGATTAATAAAAACTAGAGCCAGGCATGGTGGCTCATGTCTGTAATCCCAACACTGGGAGGTCAAGGTGGGAGGATCCCTTGAAGCCGAGAGTTCAAGACCAGCCTGGCCAACATAGCGAGACCTTGTCTTTACAAAAAGTTTAAAAATTACCTGGGCGTGGTGGCAGCATGCCTGTAGTCCTACCTACTTGGGAGGCTGAGGCAGGAGGATCACTTGAGCTCAGAAGTTCAAAGCTGCAGTCTTTTATCTATCCAGTTGTCCATCAACTGGTGAATGGATAAATGAAATGTTCTGTACAGCAGAACATTATTCAGTAAGAAAAAGGAATAAAGCTATGATCACACCACTGCATTCCAGCCTGGGTGACAGAGTAAGATACTGTCTCAAATAATAATAATGATAAGTTTTAAAGCTAAAATGATCCATGGTGGTCAGCTGCTTTACTTCTCCCCTTTCTCAGACAAAATAACTAAGGTCTATATCGAACTTCGAAAACTGATCTCTGAGTATGTTTTTTTTTGTTTTGGTTTTTGTTTTTTGAGACGGAGTCTCACTCGGTCGCCCAGGCTGGAGTGCAGTGGTGTGATCTTGGCTCACTGCAACCTCCGCCTCCCAGGTTCAAGTGATTCTCCTGCCTTAGCCTCCTGGGTAGCTGGGATTACAGGCGCCCACCACTACACCCAGCTAATTTTTTATATTTTTAGTAGAGACGAGGTTTCACCATGTTGGTCAGGCTGGTCTTGAACTCCTGACCTTGTGATCTGCCTGCCTCGGCCTCCCAAGGTGTTGGGATTACAGGCGTGAGCCACCGCACCTGGCCGTGTGTTTTGTATTTTGACCCACATGACTTTTTAGAGTGTCGTTATTTTCAAATTGAGTGCACACACACAAACATATACACACACACAAAGAGGAAACAGAGAGAGAGAGAAGAGAGAAAAGAGAGAGAGAGAAATCTGTTAGCTCTGGTTCTATTGAAATGTTGAAACATCTAGCAGCCTCTGGGTACATACCCAAAATAAATGCAAACATCCATCTACACAAAACTTGTAAGTGAGTGGTCATAGCAGCATCATTCATAATAGCCCCAAAGTAGAGGGAGCCCAAATGTCCATCAGCTGGTGTATGGATGAATGAAATGTTCTGTATCCACAGAGCAGAATATTATTCAGTAAGAAAAAGGAATGAAGTATTGATACCTGCTGCAACATGAATGAACCTTGAAAAACCTTATACTAAATGGAAGAAGCAAGTTGTCAAAGGCTCGATATCGTATGATTCTATTCATATGAAATGTCCAGAAGAGGTGAATTTGCAGAGACAAGAAAGTATATTAGTGGCTGCCTGGGACTGAGGGGAAAGGAGGAGCAGGTGTGACTGCTCGTGGGTATGGGATTCCTTTTAGGGGTGATTCTAAATTTACAAAATGCTTCAAATGTTTTATCTTGCCTGAGAATCATAACAAACCTATGAATTGCTTACTGTTATCTACATTCGATAGATCTGCACAGTCAGAAACTGAGTAGCCTATCCAAGGAGGTGAAATTTGAGCTCAGATTTTCTGACTTCGAATTCCACACTTCTTGATTTAGTATGAAATATTTCAAAAATACATAAAAGTACAAAATCACATAACAGACAGCCACATACCCACTGTTGAGATAAAACAGATGTCGGCATTTTGCTGCATTTGTTCCGGAGCTCCCCCAGCCCTTCCTGACTGTGTCCTGATCATGACACCATTCTTCTTTATCCTGGGCCAAATCTGCCATGCTGGAGAGGCTTGGATTGCTCCTCTGTCATGGAGGCTTCTTCTTCCTTCACTTTTAAATTAATGTTCAAGCGGATTTCCTTGGATCATAGGAATAGTTTAAAAGAGAATTGAGACCCAAAAGAAGAATGATGTAGAAACACTTGAATGTATTTCTCTTATCATCTGCCATCTGTATCAATCTTTCTCTCGCTCACTCTCTCTCTTTTATTTTTGTAATAACTGGTTAATTCTCCTTTCAAAAGCTCCAGAGGTTGTCCTGAAGGTTTAATTATAATGTTCATTATAATGGAGTATAGCTGGATCAAGTAAGTGGACTTCAACCAAGGTCAGCAGTGGCAAGGTTGTGGTGACCAGTGCTCGGTTGTCCTAGGACTGGTTATGATAAGATCTACTCAGCACTTGGGGAAACAGCATGTTGTATAGTGGAAGAATTGGGGACCCAGGACCACCTTTCCATCATGTGTAAAATGGGGATAATAACACAGGCTGGACCTCTGCCCCATCCCGGTCCAGATGTGCTCTACCATCCAGTACAGCTAAGGAAGAGTCACACTGGGTCAGGAAATTCAAGTCATTTCTTGAGCTGAATGCAATCAGGAGAAAGTGGGCCAAGGAGCCAGCTCAAGGTGAGTCATTTGGCTCAAGAGAACTTTGTCAGTGGTCCCAGCAACACACTCTGCTGCTAATAGCCATCTCGTTTGATCTCGGCACTGATGCTCAAACCACAGATTTCCTGGGCCTGCAGCCTCCCAGGAAATGGAAACCAAACAACAACGGATGATTCATATTTCCCCTAAAGCGGCAAGAGAGAAACTACCTGCCGCAGAAATTGCAGCCAGCTTTTGGAGGCCCTGGCCTGAACTGTTCCTCCAGCCTCCTCTGCTGATGTGTATGGGCACCCCTGGCCGCTTGTCTTCTGACTGGTTTCTCTCCAAAGAGAGAATAGGTAAAGGAGAGGAGAGAGGAGAGGAGGGGAAGGGAAGGGAGGGGAGTGAAGGGGGAGCAGAGAGAAAAGGAGAGTTAACATTTATTTATTAAGTGCCCATTTTCAGACAGGTTCTGACTATATCGGCCACTTTCCATATATTACTTTGTGTAATTTTCATTATAATACTATGAGGCAGGCCGGGCGCAGTGGCTCACTTCACACCTGTAATCCCAGCACTTTGGGAGGCCGAGGGGGGTGGATCACCTGAGGTCAGGAGTTCGAGACCAGCCTCAACATGGAGGAACCCCGTCTCTACTAAAAATACAAAATTAGCCGGGCGTGGTGGTACATGCCTGTAATCCCAGCTACTCGGGAGGCTGAGGCCGGAGAATTGCTTGAACCTGGGAGGCGGAGGTTGCGGTGAGCTGAGATCGCGCCATTGCACTCCAGCTTGGGCAACAAGAGCGAAACTCCATCTCAAAAAACAAAAAAACAAAAAAACAAAAAAACAAAAAATACTATGAGGCAGATATTAACTACTACCTGCCATACTATACATTTCCTTATTTATTGTCTATTTTCCCCTCTAAATGGTAAGCTCCAGGAAGTCAAGGGTTCATTGCTGTATCTCCACCTTCTAGAATGGTGCCTGGCACAAAATAGCAATAATAATTATAGGTAGCACTTATTTTATGCTGCATACTGTTTACATATTTTATACATTAACTCAAGCAAATAGTAATAATAATAATGATAACAGGTAGCATTTATCTTGTGCCAGACCCTGTTCTATTTGAATATATTAACTCAATTATTTCTCACAACAATCCTAATGACAGAGGAACTACTATCTCCATTTTCCAGATGAGAAAACTAAGGCACAGAGAAAAGTTTGGCTTGCCCATTTCCCAACAGTGAGAGAGCCACAGAATCAAGATTCAAATCCAGGCCACCAGCCTCTAGAGTTTGAGTTTTTAACCATAATACCATCTTGTCTTCTTATAAGGGATGCTTGAGAAGTATTTGTTGAATGAATGGTTCTTCCTGTTTCACAGAAGAAGAAACTCACTTTTTGCTAAGTCTCACAGCTTGCAGGATCATAACCACAGCCTGTAAAATTATTGTTTTGTTATTGCTCTAAAATATACACAACATAAAATTTACCCTTTTAACCATTTTTAAGTGTACCGTTCTGTGGCATGAAGTACATTCATTTACATTGCGATGCAACCATCACCACCATTAATCTCCGGGACTTTTTCTTCTTCCCCAACTAAAACTCTGCACCCATTAAACTCCTCATTCCTATAAAATTCCTAGCAAGGAGAAATGCAGGAAGCCAGCTGTGGGAAGTCATCTGAGAGAAGTGATTAAGAATTCCTGCCCTTGGCCGGACACGGTGGCTCATGCCTATAATCTCAGCACTTTGGGAGGCTGAGAGGAGCGGATCATGAGGTCAGGAGATCGAGACCATCCTGGCCAACATGGTGAAACCCCATCTCTACTAAAATACAAAAAATTAGCTGGGCATGGTGGTGTGCGCCTGTAGTCCCAGCTACTTGGGAGGCTGAGGCACTTGAACCCGGGAGGTGGAGCTTGCGGGGATTAGAGACAGTGAGGAAAGAAAAGGTTGATAAGAGAACAAGTTAACTGCGAGATAACAAGTATTCACTAACAGGAGGACGAGAAAATACACACACATGTCAGAAACACAAAACAGTGTTGGAACACAGGACAACGCCTCTGTGGGGCAATTCTTCGAGGTCAGTAGAAACTAAAAGTCTAGATTGAGCCTGGAGTGGCTGGGGAGGGGAGAGGAAGAAAATCCCTGGAAATGAGCTTTACCGTTCAGATCTGAAGCGGAAATTTTAAGTTTCTTTATCACAGAGACTATTTCTCCAACAGCAACTCTGGCACAGATTTGCCCCTTTCAAAAACCTGGCAAGTGGTTTCTTTTTGGGGGTGTTGAAAATGTCCTGGAATCAGACAGTGATGTTGGTTGCACAAACTTGGAAATGCACTAAAAACCACTGAATTGTACACTTTTAAAGAGTGAATTTTATGGTATGTGAATTATTTCTCAATTTTTAAAATTCTTAAAACACATGCACAGAAATCCTGGCCAGAACCGTTCAGTCGAGGTGATGCTATGGCTCGTTTCTTCTGTAAATGCTTCTTGGGGAGCTGTGCCATGTGATTCAATCCTGCAGTTGATGATGGAGGCCGGTGCCATCTTCGCTCCAGCAACGTTTCCACGTTGAGTTCTGCCAGTTCTCATTCTCACGTTCACCTCTGGCCTCTCTTCGCCACCTCAAGGGCAGAGTCTGCAGACCTGGTGGGAGGTGTGTTTGCCAATGAGGAACTTAAATCGTTGTAGAGAAAATAGGACTTTGAGTGAAGTTAGCAAAGTCCTTCGTCCTTATTTTTACAGTCACAGTTATGACACAAAACTTTAATTTTAGAAGATATTGTTGGCATTTTACTCTATCATAACAACTCCTTGAAATAGTGGTATTATTAATCCAGGAGGTTATTGAGGTATAGAAAGATGACTAACTTCACCAAGGTCCACAACTGGTGGCAGAGCCCAGATTTAAACCCAAGCAATCATGGCCAGATACGGTGGCCCATGCCTGTTATCTCAGAACTTTGGGAGCCTGAAGTGGAAGGGTCACCTGAGCCCAGGAGTTTGTGACCAGCCTAGGTAACATAGGGATACCCTGTGTCTACAAAAAATAAGAAGAAATTAGCTGGGAATGGTGGTGCATACCTGTGGTCCCAGCTACTTGGGAGGCTGAGGTGGGAGGATCACTTGAGCCCATGAGGTTATGGCTGCAGTCAGCCGTGACTGCATCACTGCACTCCAAAGCGAAACTTTCTATCTGAAAAAAAAAAGAAAAAAAAACCCAAGCAATCAGATCCAATGCCCACTGTACTATCCTCCCGTGTAATAGGTGCCCACAAATCTCCTCAACTTCAGGTCTCAGATTAGACATTGTTTCATCTCAGGAGCCTCCTTGACCCCTTACTGTGATTAGGTGCTTCTTGTCTCTGGCTATCTAGTTCCTGTATTTCACCCCTTTCATGTTATTTATCACATCAAGCTGTAAATTACTTGTTTACCTGACACTACCTAGATTGTAGATAGTGTGAGTGCAGGGATCACATCCACCTTGTTCTCTGATATACCCCCATGCCTGGCATATGGATGCTGTTCCAAAACCAAATTGAATGAATGAATGCATGAATGAATGAGTATCCATTCACCATCTCTTACTCTTAAGATAATCTTTGGGGTCTCTCTACTCTGTAATTTCCCAAAAAAGGTTTGGAAATTTGTTCCGCTTTGTCACCAATAATGCACATACTATAAAGCTCCCCTCCACAAATGGGTTTCTTTCCAAATGTTTGATGCTTTTCTAATTTTGTGACTCAGGCTTGTTGACTGGTTTTTGCCTCTGGGATCTGTCCTCCTGGTTTTAATTGTGGTCCCAAACTTGTGGTATAATTAGGATGTTGGAGACGGAAAAAGGATGGTGTAACTTTTACTTAACTGGGTGACATAGCTGAGTCGGTATTTCATAACTCCCTCTGTGGTACTCAAGCATAAAGAGCTTTAGCTCTATTACAGTGACTCTTTGTCAAAAACATGTCATGGACCTCCCTTTACAGGTGCCACAATTTCCCTCCTCAAGATGGTATCAGTGTGACTCCAAGGACCAGGTGGACTTTATCCTCATTTTCCATTTTTCACTCCACAGCTTCATTGCAAAACCCCCACCGTTCTCCCACTTTTACCTCTACCTCTCATTTTCACCCTCAACACACATGACCTGCAATTCACAATCCCTGGAAGCAAAAGGTACACTGATGTAAATCTCAATGCATTTACACTGAGAGTTAGGTAGACTGTTCTGTCATACCCTGCAGTGCAAACAGGCTATATTTTTCTAACGTTCTAAACCAAGTTACACCTACTTCATGCCCTCCACTCAAAAGAGCCAAGAGTTGCCAAATCCCAGAAGTTTCTCTTGGTTTATTCTTGCCCCCTGAGTCACACAAGAAACTCAAGACTTATACACAGATCAGAAATTTGCAGGGAGGGCCCTGGCCCTCCATCCATCATTTCAATGATACCCACGAGCTACCTGTTACAAAATTCAATGCTAACTTTTCAGTCTTCATCTTACTCCAACCATCAGCAGCACCGAACATGGTTGATTTCTCCCTTTTCCCCAAAAAACTTTCTTTCCCATTCTCTGGCTTGTCCTTCCCTTTTTCTGGCTGCTTCTTCTCAGCACTTTGCTGATTCCTCCTTGTCTTCTCTCATTTTAAAGTTGGCATATCCCAGGCCTCCACTTTTAGCCCTCTTCTTTACCTTCACTCATTCTCTAGAGGAGCTCATCTGGTCCACAGCTCTAAATGTCATCAACCTACAATGATCATTTCCAAAGGAATCTCCAGTTCCAAATTGTATTTCTAAAAAAAGACAACCAGATTTGCTGTGGATTGAATGTGGGATTTTTAAAAAGAGGGAATTGCTAGTCAAGAATGACTCCAGGGTTTTTAGCCTAAGCAAACAGTGGCAATAGGCTGCCTACTTGACACCTCCACTTACATGTCCAATAGACAACTCAAATTTCAACATATCTAAAACCTGATCTTTCCTTCCCCCCAGCCCAGCTTCATCCTCACTCTTTCCTATCTCAATAAATGACGATTTCATTGGCACTGTTTGCTTAGGCTAAAAACCTCAGAGTCATTCTTGACTATCAATTCTCTCTTTTTAAAAATCCCACATTCAATCCACAGCAAATCTGGTTGTCTCTTTTTAGAAATATAATTTCTCAGCTGGGCACGGTGGCTCATACCTGTAATCCCAGCACTTTGGGGGGGCCAAAGGGGACAGATCTCTTGAGGGCAGTAGTTCAAGACCAGCCTGGACAACATGGCAAAATCCCATCTTTACAAAAACATACAAAAACTAGCTGGGCATGGTGACACGCCCCTGTAATCCCAGCTATTTGGGAGCCTGAGACAGGAGAATCGCTTGAACCCAGGAGGTGGAGGTTGCAGTGAGCTGAGATCACACCACCGTACCACTGCACTCCAGCCTGGGCAACAGAACCAGACTGTCAAAAAAAAAAGAAAAAGAGAGAAAGAGAGAAAGGAAGGAAGAAAGGAAGGAAGGAAATAAGGAAGGAAGGAAGGAAGGAAGGAAGGAAGGAAGGAAAAAAGAAAAGAAAAGAGAAGAAAGAAAAGAAAAGAAAAATAATTTCTCACCTCCACCGCTGGGTCAACCCTATCTAGTCCAAGTCACCAGCATATTTTGGCTAAAAAGGGTCTATCTGTTTGAGGTCCAGTCTTATCCCCTTAGTCTAGTCTTTACATAGTAGCCAGAATGATCATTTTAAATCAAAAATCAAATTTCTATGCTCAAAATTACCTAATAGTTTTTCATTACTGTGAGAATAAAATTAAAGCACTGCACAAGGATCTGCACAATATCTACATGGCATGGCTCTCTCTTTCCGGAACAGTCTTTGCCACATGCCCACATGGCTCATTTCCTCACCTTCCTCATCTTTATTCAAATGCAACCTTCTCCCCAGGCCCTTCCCTGACCACCCCACATACAGTAGGGTCTCCATACCCCTATCTCTCTGTCCCTTTGCCAGCTTTATTCTTCTTCATGGCCTTTAGCATGATCTGTCATAAATTTATTTATCTCTGTGCTGTCTGTCTTCCTCCCCTAACAAGTAAGCTCGGTGAGAGAAGGGACTTCTCTCTATTGTGTTCATGGCTCTGTCCTCCACTCCTAAACAGGAACTGGCTCAGACCAAAGGCTCTGTTGAGTGAAAGAATGATTGGCCACTGCTGCTACCTGTGGGGTCCACCACATAAAGGCATTAGCTGCCAGCAGACCCACCATACCCCCAACATGCTTTCATCTCAACAAAGTGAGGAGGTGATCAGCAGCAATGGGGCCACGGAGGTTGGCCTTTAAGTAATTGCTTCATTGCCTCACTCTACCTGAGTACATCCATCAGATCAACCGGACCAGAATTTATTGTGCCTGACAGTTAGGAACCTGAGGTTCTGGTCCTGATGCTACCTCTGTCCTGCTGCATGGTCTCAGCTATGTTGTTTAAACTCACTGGGCCTTAAAATGAAGCCAGATGATCAAGTGACCAGGGTCTCACTCTCCCACGGGGCTGGAGTGTAGTGGTGTGATCACAGCTCACTGCAGCTTCAACCTCCCAGGCTCAAGCTATCCTCCCGCCTCAGCCTCCCGAGTAGCTGGGACCACAGGTGCGTGCCACCATGCCTGACTAATTTTTGTATTTTTTGTAGGGATGGGGGGGTCTCACCATGTTGCCTAAGCTGGTCTTAAACTCCTGGGCTCAAGTGATCCTTCCGCCTTGGCCTCCCAAAACACTGGGATTACAGGTGTGAGCCACCATGCCTGGCTGAAGTCAGTGATTTTTTTTCTTTAATGTGAAAGAAATAGAGTACATAGTTTTTGCACTCAAAAAATGCTGAATCTAGCAGAGGAAGTTGTCCCCACACCAATGAAAGAGGTGTCGCCTTTGAAGACAGGACATACTGAGTCTGCTCAGTAAAGGCTGTCAGAGTTCAGGAAATGATTTGCAGAGGAAGGCGCCTTACTGGTCCTTGGGGACGGGTCTATGCAGCCCAAGCATCTGTGCAGTTACACAATGTGCTTATGAGCGTGGGTGGCCCTTCTAGCCATCCGCTGGGGATGGGACTACTCGTGGGTAGCCTGGTAGATGTGGCCATGCAGAGGGGTAGCACATTGAGATGAGATGACCTGGGTGAAGCTCACTGTTGTGTCCAAGTTGGAAGTGACACAGCTCAGCAGTGGGACACACGAGGGGAATCCCAACACCACCAGCTATGAGATGTCTGGCCTCAGTTTTCTTAGCATGAACATAGCACTGCTCTCGTAAAATGGTTATGAGGGTTCAGTAAAATACAGCATACAAAGTGCTTAGCATAAAGCATGGTAGACAGTAAGTGCTCAATAAAGGTTAACAGTAGCCTTGTTTTATTACTGTTAGTGTGTGCCCTGGAGCATTCTTTCTGAGTTGGGCTAAATATAGTCTCACCCCCTGCACTCATTTCACTGGAGACACCGGTCAGAAAACTGTGAGAATCTGGCAAGTGTGGAGTTGGCCACCTTTCCAAAGGGATGTGCCAAGGTCCTGGCCTCGGCGCCAGGGGCCACGTGGCTGGAAGGAGCTGCCTCTGGGAGCAGAGTTACGACTGCAGGATGGGGGAGGGGCTCAGTTAAGGGCCCAGGGCTCCCGCTGGCCACCAGGAGCACAGGAAGAGGGCCAGCCAACAGGTTCTCAGAACAGGCATGCAGTGACAGCTCTTGGCTGTCTTTCTCAAGCAGTGGCAGGTGTGCACTTATCTTTAGCAAGGAGAAGAGATGTGGGAGCAGCTCCGGCCCTGTGCCATCTTTCACTGCCAGCTGCCAGTGTGGAGTATAGGACATTGCCTCACCCTCTGCACAGTGTAGAAGAACCCAACACAGACCATGGAGGGCCCATGAGGCTGGATTAGCAGCTGCAATTCTGGAGTCAGGCTCCTGGGTTGACTATGTGGGATTCCTTTTTAGCTTTTCTTATTGCCCTCTCCTTGCCCCACCGCACAGTCCTACATTGCTGCAGTTGTCAAACTTTCAAATGGGAGCTGGGCGGCATGGCATGAGCCTGTAATCCTAGCTACTTGGCAGGTGGGGATTCCAGACCAGCCTGGGCAACATAGAGAGACACCATCTAAAAAAAATTTTTTTTGTTTTGTTTTTGGAGATAGAGTCTTACTCTATTGCCCAGGCTGGAGTGCAGCGGTACAGTCTCAGCTCACTGTAACCTCCACCTCCCAGGTTAAAGCAATTCTCCTGCCTCAGCCTCCTGAGTAGCTGGGATTATAGGCATGCACTACCACTCCTGGCTAATTTTTGTATTTTTAGTAGAGACAGGGTTTCACCATGTTGGCCAGGCTGGTTTCAAACTCCTGACCTCAAGTGATCTGCTCACTTCATCCTCCCAAAATGCTGGGATTACAGACATGAGCCGCCACACCCAGCCTAAAAAAATTTTTTAAGAAAAAAAAAACTTCTAAATGAAACTCAAGTTACAAAGAATAAGTAATCCATTCAGTCTGTTGAGTTGAGTAAATATGATATATGCGTATTTTTTTTATAAATTACACATAGATGAACATGTGGCATATAGTCTTATACCTAAAATAAGTGGATAATATGGTAGTCTACGTGAAAACACTAAAAGCTTTACTACCTCTCTTCTAGAAAATCCCAACTGCCACTACTGCCTCCCACTTCTCCCCAAAATGAAAAGATTTCGAACATTCTAATGTACACAGTTCCATCATGGCTACAATGATTATTTTCTTTCAAAGCAATGGTTTTCATTTGCCAAGATTGATTTATTTTTGTTTAGTGTTTTTTCGCCCTTGGTGTGACAAGTCTTGGTGATAACTTTAGCAAGAAGAGGGACTGTGACTATCCTTGTGAAATTAGCAGTTGCTTCAAATCATCTTCTTCCTCCATAGATCCAGATTTATTCCTCCCCCTCCCAGGAGCTCACTGTGGTGCTCTGCTTTCCGAGAGTTTATGTGTAACTTCCTTTGCTGTGGAGGCCAGGCTCTAGGTTAACTTCTGGAAGTATCTTTGGAAAGTAATTCTCAGGCATAACTCCAAGAAAAAGAGACACATGGTGAGGAACTGACATAATTTTTTAACACCACAACCAGCATATTTCTGCAGGCAACAGCAGCCAAAATGGGTTGCCAAGACCAATATTGATCTAGTCCTTCATCCAGTCAACAAATGCCATTGTTTATAAGATATAATTTTTTTTGGTTAAAGTTCAAAGTTAAACTCCAAGGATTTTCAAAACTATAAAAACGAAAGGCTTTCATACCCTCAAAAAAAAAAAAAAAAAAATCCTGGCCAGTTTTCCTCCTTCACGGGTTTTCGCAGTCACTACAAGAAATACAGCCAAGAAAACACTTTTTTGGTCTTTTTTTTTCTGAATTCTGGTAGTTTTTTAAAGGAGGATTGTACTAAATGCCTAAGTAAAGGTCCCCTCAAATTCTATACCTGTTCTGAAAAATCATGAACTCCAGTTGCACAGGTAACTAAGGTCTGCTTTTCTGCTCCAGGGCTGCCCACCTGCAGAATTCCATAAATCAATTCCCCCTTTTCCAGGTTTAGATTCAAGCAGTGCTCTCCATTCCCACCTCTCCTTTTAGTATGGAAATGACAGAGTTTTACTAAGCCCCTGGAGTAAGGCACAGGGTTTTGTGGTTCACGTCTGATTCTGAAATGGAAAACCTTAGCAAATAAATGGTGAGCAGATGGTGCTTTGTAAACCAGTTCCTCATGGTTTTTCTATATCCACTTCTGGGAGCTGTTGTCAGCAATGAGCAAGCCGGGTTTAGGATGGAGAACCAGGGTGGGATAATAATGAGATTTATGAGATGTCAAGTTGGACAGTGTCTTTTGTGTGTGTGTGTGTTTCTAAAAAAAAAATAGGGTTAACAGAGGTCACACCTTCTTCTCCACGTCAGTCTTCCCCGCAAAGCACCTAGCCAAGTGGATTGCACACACACACGGTGGTGTTAGCTGATGGATGGATCGATTGTTCATTTTGGATGCCTATGTTATACTGATTCATTCCTGTGGAGATGTCTTAGTTCACTTTTCTAGTTTGGAGAACATGTGAGCTAAGGATAAAGATGAGCATTTGTTCTGGACACAGACGTGTGTTGAGCTCCTATCCTATGCCAAGCTCTCGTTTAGGCACTTGGGGTACATCCCTGAATACAACAGAGAAGCAATGCCTGCCCTTGGGGAGCTGATGCTCTGCTGGGGAGAGGGGGTAAATTACAAACAACGATTGCATTTTTAGAGGAGATGCTTTGAGTATATTTATATGTCATCACAGAAAAGTCAGGCAAGTCATGACTCTGCACTTGGACACAGCAATGGGATTCTGGAAACCACAACAACACACCAAATGCATGAGCCGTCAGGAGGCCAGGAACCGAGAAGCTCATTTTGAGCAGAGACTTGTTGTGGCAGCACTGACAGCTCACACCTGTATAGAACTTTCCAGTTTGCCAAGAGCTTTCCACAGACACTGTTTCCTATGGTCCTCACAATTGCCCTGCCAGATGGGCAGCAATTAGCCTTTCAGTCCTGCAGATGAGGAAACTAGGGTTTCAAGACCAAGAGTGACTTGCACAAGATCTGGCAGGACTGGGCTTCAAGCGCAACAGAATAATAGCAACAGTGTTTGCTACAATAGTGTTTACTACGTGCTTGGTGCTACTCTAAATGCTCTATATGAAGTAATCCATTTCAGTCCTTAAAACATCCCAATGAGATAGATACAACTATCTTCCCATCTTGCAGATGAGATATTTGAGGCACAGAGTGGTTGAGTCATTTACCTAAGTTCCCACTGATAAAAAGTGCAGAAGTTTGGATTCAAACGCAGATCATGCAAACCTAAGCAGCCTCCTGAAATGGTAGCTACAGATCTGGGCCCAAGGGCATTGCACTCTCTCTAGTGCAGAAGAGAAGGCTGATCCATTAATAGGCTGGCCAGGAACACATGAATAGCCACACAGTCAGAGATGTCACCATCTATCACAAAGAACAATAGTCTTTCTGTGCTAATAATATATTTCAAGAGTGATAATGACATTAAGTAAGAGGGAGACAAACTGAAAGGATTTTTAAATTGTCTGAAGATCCCTTTGCCACAAGCCATATATCCTATTATGATGAACCCAGTTTATCCATTGCTCCTTTGAATTAACAGACCACGATTTGCACAATTTTCTTGCTTAATTTTGACCACCCTGTGATTTTTTTTCTGAACTCTTGTTGTACTGAGCCTTCACAAGACAATATTCCATGTAAATAGACATTGCTCTGTACTCTTACATACATTGTCCATGTGTGCCCAGCCTGTCTCCCCAAACAAATTACAAGACACTCAGTGACTGGGAGCTCTGTCATATGACTTCATTGGCCATTTAGCCCTAACCTAGGGTGGCAGGGATAAGATAGTAGATATTCAATATTTGTTAACTGCTTAAATTATAGTCTTTCAGTTGAATTCTCAGTAGCTTCTGCAGAAGTATTTGTGCTTGTTCCTTATTCATTTTTTCTTTGTTTTGTTGCAGCTAGAACTGTAAATATTCAGATATAAAGACAGTATGCTAGAAAATGTTTAATAACCAGCATTACAGAAGAAAAAAAATATATATATATATATAAAAGCATTTACCATAGTAAAAATACTCTCAACATGGCCTATTTCAAGCTACCGGCATGATGTCAACTGGCTTGCAAAATGCCTGAAAGTTAAAATGTTGATTCTATTAAGTTGGTATGGGTGGCTCTAAAACACGGCAGTTTCTTCCAAAATATGATCTTTGCTGATGTGGTGACTTTTGGTTTTCTTTCTCAATAAAGGCTTTCTTAGTGAAGGATTATACCCAGGTTTGCCTAAAATACAAGATTTTCGGTTTGTGTTTATGATAATTTGAAATACAAACCTAGTAAGTAATGCAGCAATTACTTAGTCATTCCAGGGTCAAGTTGTGGAAAAAAGTTTTGTGTTTAAATTAATGAAGCTTAAAAAACAATCAAAATCTACACTCTTAAGCCAATCAAACAATCAAGTGACATCCTATCTCCTTCCTTCCTCCTTCCCTGTCTCCCTCCCTTCCTCCTTCCCTGTCTCCCTCCCTTCCTCCTTCCCTCTCTCCCTCCCTTCCTCCTTCCCTCTCTCCCTCCCTTCCTCCTTCCCTCTCTCCCTCCCTTCCTCCTTCCGTCTCCCCCTCCCTTCCTCCTTCCCTCTCTCCCTCCCTTCCTCCTTCCCTCTCTCCCTCCCTTCCTCCTTCCCTCTCTCCCTCCCTTCCTCCTTCCCTCTCCCCCCTTCCTTCCTCCTTCCCTCTCTCCCTCCCTTCCTCCTTCCCTCTCCCCCCTTCCTTCCTCCTTCCCTCTCTCCCTCCCTTCCTCCTTCCCTCTCTCCCTTCCTTGCTTTTTCTTTTCCCATTCCCTCACCTCCTTTCCCATTCATATCATTTTCATTTTGGGTGGGAAGTTTTGCTCTTTTGGTAACATTTCTGGGGTAAGAAAACACTTTCAAGACCAACAATCTTGCCACCCTAAAACCATATGAGGACCCACTGTAGAGTTTTAAACAACTATTGGATTGATTTTGCTTCTAGCTGTCTTCCAGGAAGTCTTTCTTCTTCTACTTCAGCTTTTCATTCAGAATTCCTAATGTGTCCTTAATGGGATACAAAACCACAATCGTTTTAGGGGATAAAAGATAACTCTCAACACAGATCCAAGAGTTTGACAGTGTTCTACAGTGGGAATATAGTCTTCCCTGAATTTAGGAAGATTGTAACTGCCGGTTCTTTCCCTTTCCGCACAGGATCCCCTCCTCTTCACTAAACCTCTAGTTAGGAGAATTTCTATTTGGTGTGTGAGTTGAGGGAGGGAGAAGAGGTTGAAGTCTATCCACATGTAGAAACTAGCTCCTTTACAACTTGTCTAATGGGGCCCACCTGGGTGCAGAGAGCAGCAGAGGGCAATCGCATCAATTTAAAGCCATTCCCATCGCATCAAAAATCATTGTTAGTATTATTTAAAAGAAGCTATATGACGTTAATCATTTTTCAAAAGGAAGCTAACTAAAAACATTTTTATTTCAAATATCAATGAGGCTTTTAATTAAATTTGTCATGGCAAAACTCATTTGTTCTTGATTACACTACTTTTCAAACCCTTAAGCCAGCTTTCTTTCTTTTTTCTTTCTTTCTTTCTTTCTTTCCTTTCTTTCTTTCTTTCTTTCCTTCTTTCCTTCTTTCTTTCCTTCTTTACTTCTTTCCTTCTTTCCTTCTTTCTTTCTTTCTTTCTTTCTTTCTTTCTTTCTTTCTTTCTTTCTTTCTTTCTTTTCTCCTGTGTGTCTGGCTCTTTTATTGGTGTGCCAGTGAAAAGCCTAGTTATGGGTACTTTCAACCGAAGAGCCTGGATGAAAGCTTTTTCTGAAGTACTAGGCATTCTCCACTTGGTTTTGTATTGTGATTTATTTTTCTCCTTAAGTAGTCCATAAGCTTCTTGTAAGCAGAAGCAAAGTAATTTCATTTTTCCCACAGAGCCCCTGTGCTGTGCAGAGCACAGGTGTATAGACTCCCATAACTTTCAAAGCTAGAAGGGTCATTGGTGAGATTTTCCAACCCAGATTATTGTTACTTTGATCCATGGAAATAGCCTTACTCAAGGTGTCTGTAAACCCTCTGAAATTATATAGAAAGTACCATATGCACGTGTATGTGTGCAATGTACATATGTGTAGTAGCACTTTTCTGTACATATGCCTAGTAGCACTTTTCTGGGGACAAATACTCATCAGATATTCAAAAATGTTAAAGATCTATCACTCTACTCAAGGCCCACACAGCCCCAAAGACAGTACTGTGTCGTCCATAAACCTCCAGGGAATTGGAAAGTATTAGAGAGGAACTGAGTTTCTCTGGGGAGAAAATAGATATTTACACAATAAATAATCATTGTATCTCTACAGGGATTGTTTATTATTTGCTCATTTATATTTGAGATGTATTTCACATACCATAGATTCACCTCTGTAAATAATTCACCTCTGTAAATTCAGTAGTTTTTAATATATTCATAAAGTTGCACGACCATCATCAATTTATCATAAGTATGATTTATTGAGAGCCTTCGCACCAAGCACCATCCTTAGTGCAGTGGATACAGCGGTGGGAACATGAGGGACAACATGTCTGCCCTCCAGAAACTCACCTTCCATTCGGGTAGACAGCAAACAAAGAATCAAATAATTATACCCTACCTGTTATAGGTTAAATTGTGTCCCTCTCCAAATCCATATGTTGAAGTCTGAACCTCTAATGCCCCTTAATATGATCTTATTTAGAAATAGGGTCATTATAGAAGTAATTAGTTAAGATGAGATCATACTGGAGTACAGTAGACCATCCAATATGACTGGTGTCCTTACGAAAAGGAAAAATTTGGACACAGAGCGAAGTCCACCTGAAGACGAAGGCAGAGATGGGGGTGATGCGCCAGATGCCAAGGATCACCAAAGATTGCCAGCAAGCACAGAAGCCAGGGGAAGTGTGGGAACAGAGCATCCCTCAGAGCCCTCAGAAGGAGCCAACTCTGCTGATGCCCTGATCTCAGACTTCTAGTCACCCAGTTTGTGGCACTTTTTGTTACAACAACCCTAGCAAACTAATACACACCTCATTTCAGCTTGTGATCCTCCCCGCTACAATGGAAATTATAATAACCCATATGACCGATGGAAAAAGTGGCTAATTTTACTTTTAACATAGGGTGGTCAGGGAAGATGTGATATTATTTTATTATATACATATGCAGGTTTCTGTCCATGGTTCCTGGCTCATAACTTCCATGGCTCTTGTTACAGGCTATTATTACAATGTTGGGGCATTTTAAGCCTCAGAAACAGGCCTCAGAAAACAGATTCTCCCTTTCTCATCTTCTCCTGCCTTTTTCTTTTCTTTTCTTTTTTTTTTTTTTTTTTTTTTGAGACAGAGTCTCACTCTGTCACCCAGGCTGGAGTGCAGTGGTGCAATCTTGGCTCACTGCAACTTCCACCTCCCAGGTTCAAGCGATTCCCACCTTCTTTTTTCACATACTGCTTTTTCTCCCCAAGGCAGGACTTTAATCTTTCCCTGCCTTTCTGCCTTGGAGCTGGCTATAAAGAAATTCTCTGACCTACCTTGTCTGATTGTGGTCAGAAGACCTTCATTTCAGAAGGGGTCTTGCCCCATACGCAGCAGAAAGGAATGTTACACAGAGAGGCCAAGCAGAATCTAAACAGACAGGCTTTGCTGGGTTCCTCACTTGGTCTTTCAGTATGAGATCATACCTTTTTTGTCCAGTCACATTTCTACATCAGTGTCCATCCTTCATGTCCACTCAGTGAAGTTTCCATAAAAGGCCCAAGAGGACAGGGTATGGGAGCTTCTGGACAGCTGAAGTCCTGGAGGCTGCAGGAAGATGAACAAGAACTCATCCCCATACCAGGAGCGGGACACATCTCAACTCCACAGGAATGGAAGCTCCTGCACTCAGGACCTTCCAGACCACGTACTATGTGTCTCCTCTTCGAGCTGCTTATATCCTTTAAAATGTCCTTTATAATAAACTAGTAAATATAAGTGTTTCCTTGAGTTCTGTGAACTACTCTCACAAATTAATCAAGCCTAAAGGAGAGGTCATGAGAACCCCAACTTGAAGTCAGTAGGTCAGAAGTTCCAGAGGTCCTGAAATGACAGGACACCTCTATCCCAGGTGGCTAGCATCAGAATTGAATTGAACTGGGGAACAACCAACTGGTGTCTGCTGCAGAATTGATTGCTTGCTTGCTGGTGGGAAGAAAATCCCCCAAATTTCACACCAAAGTCCTCTGTGTTCATTGTTATAATTCAAGGGCAGAGAAAAAAACTGTTGTTTGGGTTTTTTTTCCTCTAAGAATAAGCCTGGCTTAGGAAAATGAGAAGGGGTCAGGTATTTGAAAGTCATAAAAGAGCATTCCTAACAGAGGACACAGTAGATGCAAATGCCCTGAGGCAGCAGTGAGATGAGAAGATTAGAAGAACAGCAGATGGTAAGTGAGGCTGCACACAGGAGTCATGGGAGAGAGTGACTGCCCATGAGAATGGAAAGGTAGGCGGGGGCTAGATCCAGCATGGCCCAGGAGGCCATGGAAATGGGTTTGGATTTGCTTCTAACTGCAATGAAAAGCCACTAAAGGATTTCACACAGGAGACTGCCAAGATCAGATTTATTCCTGGAAAGGTGACTCTGGCTGTTGGATGGAGACTAGGTTGTAAGAGAACAGCTGTGACTTTATGGGGAGAGGCCATTGTAGAAGTCCAGGAGGGAGATGATGGCAGCTTGAACTTCAGTGGATGCTTGGAGCTGGAGAGAGGCAGACCACCCCAAAATGTGTTCTGAAAATAGATTCGACAGGATTTGCTGATAAGGGTGATGGCAAAGGGGAAAATAAGGGTGTGGCTCAAGTCAAGTCTTGGGTTTGCACAATGGAGTGGATGGAGGTATCACTTAGCAACATGGAAGAACTGAAGAAACCTGTAATCCCAGCATTCTGGGAAGCCGAGGTGGGAGGATCACTTAAGCTCAGGAGCTCAAGACCAGCCTGGGCAACATAGAGAGACCTCATTGCTAGGAAGGATGGATGGAAGGAAGGAAGGGAGGGAGAAAGAGAGAAAAGAGAGAGAGAGAGAAAAGAAAGAAAGAAAAGGAAGGAAGGAGAGAAAGAAAGCAAAGGAAGGAGAGAAAGAAAGAGAAAAGGGAGAAAAGAGAGACGAAAGAAAGAAAGAGAAAGGAGGAAGGAAAGGAAGGAAGCAAGGAGACAGAGAAGGAGGGAGGGAGGGAAGAGAAAGAAAGAAAAGGAAGAGAAAGGAGGAAGGAAGGAAGGAGAGAGAAAGAAGGGGAGGGAGGGAGGGAAGAGAGAGAGAAAGAAAGAAAGAGAAAAAGAGAGAGAAAGAGAAAGAAAAAGAAAGAATGAAAGAGAAGAAAGAGAAACAAGGAGGGAAGGAGGGAGGGAGGGAAGGAGGAAGGGAGGGAGGGAAGGAGGAAGGGAGGGAGGGAGGGAGGGAAAAGAGAGAGAAAAGAGAAAAAGAAAGAAAGGAAGGAAGGGAGGAAACAGAGAGAGAATGAAAAAGAAAAAAGAGAAAGAAAAAGAAAAAAGAAAGAGAAAAAGGAAGGAAGAAACAAGGGAGGGAGGAGAGAGGGAGGAAGGATGGAAGGAAGGAAGGAGAGAGAGAGAAAGAAAGAGGGAAGAGAGAGAGAAAGAGAAAAAGAGAGAAAAAAGAGAAAGAAAGAAAGAAAAAGAGAAGGAAGGAAGGGAAAAGAGAGAGAGAGAAAAGAGAAAGAAAGGAAGGAAGGGAGGGAGGGAGAGAGGAAAGAGAAAATGAAAAAGAAAAAGAGAGAGAAAAAAGAGAAAAAGAAAGAAAAAAGAGAAAAAAGGAAGGAAGGAGGGAGGGAGGAAGGACGGAAGGAAGGAGGGAGGGAGGGAGGGAAGGAAGGAGGGAGGGAGGGAGGGAAGGAAGGAAGGAGAGAAAGAAAGAAAGAAAAGAAAGAGGGAGGGAGGGAAGAGAGAGAGAAAGAAAGAGAAAAAGAGAGAAAAAAGACAGAAAGAGAAAGAAAGAAAAAGAAAGAAAGGAAAGAGAAACAAGGAAGGAAGGATGGAGGGAGGGAGAGAAGGAGGATAGGGAAGGAGGAAGGAAGGAAGGAAGGAAAAAGAGAGAGAAAGAAAGAGAAAAAGAGAGAAAAGAGAGAAAGAAAGAAAGTAAGAAAGAAAGGAAGGGAGGGAGGAAAAAGAGAGAGAAAGAAAGAGAAAAAGAGAGAGAAAAGAGAAAGAAAGAAAGAAAAAGAGAGAGAGAAAGAAAGAAAAAAAGAAGGAAGGAAGGAAGGAAGAAGGGAGGGAGGGAGAGAGGAAGGAAGGGGGGGGAAGGAAGGAAGGGAGGGAGGGAAGGGGACGACTACATCAAAGAGGGACAAAAACAACTGGAAAAGGAACAAATTTCAGGGAGAAAATCAACTCATATAAAGTTTGAAGGACTCTTACAGATGCTAAGCTATATTTGCTAAACGACTGAAATGTGCTTTTTAAATTCACAACTACCTATCTAGAAGTGAACGATTTTGCCGCAAGAATATTTCTGAGATTTCACAACACGTCCTGAGATAATAGGAGAAACACTGGAGTGTCACGAAAACAGGGTGGCAGATCACACACTCTCACGCTAGGGACCCTCCTCAAAGCAGAGAGCGACACCCATAAATTGGAGGTGCCTCTAGAAATGGCTAACCTTCAGCACCTCTCAGTTCATCTCCCCACTCCCGCCTCCCGCATCCCTCTCACCTCCTTGCCAGTCTCTGGATTGAATTTGTTCAGTGCCGGGCAGCACATTGGGGGTGAGGGGCATGGCACTGCATTGGCTTTCTAGGGCTGATGTAACAAATTATCACCAGCTGAGTGGCTTAAAACAACAGAAATTTACTCTGTCAGAGTTCTGGAGACCAGAAGTCTGAAATCACGGTGTCATCAGGGCCACCCTCCCTATCGCCAAAGACCCCGGGGGAAATTCAGTTCCTTGCCTCTTAGCTTCTAGTGGCTCCATGTGCTTTTTGGCTCATGGCTGCAAGGCTTTAATCTCTGCAGCCACCATCACATGGCCTTCTGCTCTGTGTCTCAAATCTCCCTCTGCCTTTCTCTTGGTTTTAAGGCTCACCTGGATAATCTAAGATGACTTTATCAGGATATCTTTAAGTTAATTACTCCTGCAAAGACTCTTTTTGCAAATAAGGTCACATTCCCAGGGACTAGAAGAACATATCATTTGGGAAGGGGGCCACCATTCCACCCACTACAAGTAATGAATGAGAGATTTGCTCCCTCTTCTCATGGAATAGTAACTGAGACCCAAAGGGTAAATGTGAATAAGCACAGTGAAGGACAGAGGGAAAGCTTCCAGAGATGCTGGCAGGTTTGAAAACCTTGAAGAGAAAGCATGGAACATCCGAGGATTTCCACCAAGCTAGAAATGGGGCAAGGTGAAGCCAGAGGGGTGGGGTTGGGCCAGGTCACTGAGGGCTTCCTAAGCTCTGGGGTGATGTTTGGACTTGGAGACAGTGGGGAGCTCCTAGAGGGTTTTAAATAGGGGAGGATTGAGGGCGAGCATAGTGGCTCATGCTTGTAATCCCAGCATTTTGGGAGGCTGAGGCTGAGGTCTGGGTGGATCACTTAAGCCTGGGAGTTTGCGAGCAACCTAGGCAACATGGCAAAACCCCATCTCTACAAAATAAATACAAAAATTAGCTGGGTGTGGTGGTGCACACCTGCAGTCCCGGCTACTTGGCAGGCTGAGGTGAGAGAATTGCCTGAGCCCAGGAAGTTGAGGCTACAGTGAGCCATGACTGCACCACTGCACTCCAGCCTGGGCAACAGAGTAAGACACTGTCTTAGTCAATCAGTCAAGGAGGATCATGACCAGGTGTGTCTTTGAAAAAAATTACACATGTGCTTTGTGGAGAATGGATGTGAAAGGGGAAAACTGAGGGTAGACAAGTCAGATAAGGTGCTCTTTGAGATTCTAGGCAAAACATGGAGGTGGTTTGGACTAGATGGCTGGCAGAGGTAGAGTGGAATGGGTAGGTCAGAACCACCAAATGTTACTGAACCTTGTCTCTCCCAACCAGAGATTTAATTACTCACATTGACAAAGGCAATATGTAAAGACCATGCCTTAATGTGGCCTGGTAAAACCATGTCAAAAGGGACTCAAACTTTATCAATTATTCTGAAAGGCTGCAAGATGATTTTTTAGGAGGATAAATGAAAGCTTATACTGATGGGTGCTGAACTCACCCTGAAAATGCCCCTTCCTTTTCCATTCAGCTGTGTGCTCCTGTGGCATTGAAGAGCAGCACCAGTGTCATGTGGAGGTTTTAATGGCCTCTGCTTGGAATATGTGGATGTGAGGTTGCTGCAAGTATTCTCATTCTGGTATTTTTATGGCCTGAGCTATTTTAGCCAGGAGGATGCAAGCAGACCCCGAAAGCCCAATTACGTTTCTAGAATCTGAATGCCCAGCAACTTGGAAGGTCATGAGAAGCAGCTACCCCAGGGTTCAGAACTGTGAAGCGGCCTCCTGATTTGAAGGTAGAACATTGCCTCTTGGCAGCGCTGTTTGCACTCAATATAAAACCCAAAGTGGGTGGAAATGCTGCCCAGTTGGAAAAAAACAACAAAAATGCAAACCGAGTATTTGGAATTTTTATCCAATTCCTTCCACTATGACAAAAAAACTTCTAAATTCCCTCCCAAGATCCAACCTGCTATGTAGCTGGGGCTGTCTTCAGAGTCAGACCTGGGTTTGGACAGTCCCTGCGAAACAGGTCTTTAGATCTCTGTAGCTCCTACAGGGCTTCGCAAGTGCCAGAGACATAGACGTGTTCAGTAAACACTCGTGGATAAGAAGCTCTGCGCTCAAAGGTTTTGGAAAGAGAGAGGAAAAACAAAACAGACCGGGGCATTTCCACCTTATTAAAATGCAGCAGGACCGTCTTGCTAGGAGCAATGTTGATTTTCCACGAGCCCCGCACAGGGAACAAGAAGATCCAAGTCCCACTTCACATTGTTTCTCATTGTGTGACCTTGAGCAAACCCAGGGCCACAGTTTTGTCTTTGTTCATGTGAGGATCTGGGTTGGGAGACCCTATGCGAAGGCAATCAGGGTGCCGTTATCCACCCAGCTGTCGCCGGTGGGTACGTGCAAACACAGACTCTCTGTTGTTGATGGGGAAATAATCAGAGACAGATTCTCAGTGATGTAACCAAGAGAACCGAGCAGATGACTATAAAGACAGAAGTGAAAGTCCATTCCAGAACCGTGGCCGCCTGAGGAAACTCCCCAGGAGACACCCTGATGGGCACTGAGGAGCAAAATGCATGGTCCTGCTCACATCCCATCCCCTCTACCCCCCGAAGGGTACCTAATCCCCAAAGCACTAAAGTGTGAACATTCCTACCAGGACGTACTCATGGGTCAGACAGGGTCACAGCTCTGGAGCCTGCCATTCTACTGGTTCCTAGTTGGTCCTCTTGCCACACTGTTGTTATTACTGTTGTGGCTGTGGCTGTCGCTGTTGCTGTCTGTGCCAGGCGTGCAAATCCCCAAGGGCTGGGCCTTTCTTTTCTCCTGCCATACCCCCTCGGCCTCGCCACTGTGGTCCCCAGCCTGGTCTCTGCACACAGCAGGCATTCAATAACCACTCGCTGTTTAACCCTCATCATGGCAGGAAAATAAGCCGTGGCTGGGTGCTCAGAGCCTGGAATAGCATGTATGGGGGTGGGGCAGGGAGGGCACAGAGCCACGTGGAGCCAGGGCCCTAACGAGAAACAGGCCTCAGCACTGAGGAGAAATTGATTACCCTGCCTCTCAGTACCAGGCCTTCTCTCCAGAGCTCCTGCAAGAGACACAGACCTAGGGTGGAGGCCCCAGCCTGAGCCTCTTCAGGGCTATCCAGCCCCTAGTCCCCAGCATGGAAGCTAATGAGTGTATTTATAACCCACCTTGTCCCAAAAAGAATTACAAGCATTTTTCAAAAAGGGAAGCAATACCGTAAGAGGAAGTAAATTTAGAAGAAAAAAAATGAGTCAAAGGGAAATAAGGGCAGGATTGTTTTATGGTGGAAATTCAGGTTTGGGGTCAGATGGAGGGAGAACCAGTTCTGGACCCTTCGTTATGTCACCAGAGGAAGCTCTGCCCACCAGCCTACCAGCCACGAGTCTTATTGGGGGTGGCAAGGTTACCTGGGGATGATGATGTTTGTTGTTTTCTTAACCTCAAGCATGGTGATTGTGACAAGGATCAGGGCGGAATACTTGGAAAACATGGATCAGGACAGAAATACTTTGTGAATCAAGGAAAATATGTTGGTGCTATCTCCTGTCACTGAGGAATGGGATGGTTAAGCCTCCAGGCACTGGGGTAGAGGGATAAGAGTTCAAGTTCCAGTTCTGTAGCTGACTAGCTGCTTCTAACCTTCATTATTTAACTTCTCTAAGCTTCAGCTATACAAGAACTGAGTCGAGCATCCGAAGTCCCTATGAATAAAAAGTGAACGTGAACTCTTTGTGTAGCAAAGGCTGTCATAAGCATTTCCATATCTGAACCCCTTTAATACTGTTAAAAACCCCTGAGGTAGGTGGGTGCTGATATCATCCATATTTTGCAGACAAAGAAACAGGTTAAAATGACTAAATCCAAGTCACATTAACTGGTATATGGCAGAGTCAGGTTTTTTTTGTTGTTGTTGTTGTTTTTTTTTGAGACGGAGTCTCACTCTGTCACGCAGGCTGGAGTGCAGTGGCACAATCTCGGCTCACTGCAAGCTCCACCTGCCGGGTTCATGCCATTCTCCTGCCTCAGCCTCCCAAGTAGCTGGGACCACAGGCACCCACCACCACGCCCAACTAATTTTTTTTTTTTTTGTATTTTTAGTAGAGACGGGGTTTCACTATGTTAGCCAGGATGGTCTCTATCTGGTGACCTCGTGATCAGCCCGCCTTGGCCTCCCGAAGTGCTGGGATTACAGGCGTGAGCCACCCTGCCCAGCCAGAGCCAGGGTTTAAAGCAAGGGACTCTTCTTCAGAGTTTGTGCTCTGAGCCACTACTTTACACTATGTACATGCTCAGTAAATGATAGCTACTACTATAATAGGCAGGGCTAGTTAATATGCAGATGAGCTGTAGTAATATTTAGTTGACTACCTGGAGCATAGAAATTTATATTGTACCTGCAAAGATGTATGTGTGCATTTTGAACTTGGATAGTTTCTGCCTGATTGCACCTCAAAAAGCTATTGCAATAGTCATTCTCCCTAGCAATGTCTGAGACCTAGGTTTCAAAGGCACCAAAATGTATCTTATACTGCAACATAAAATTTGTTTAATTTACCAAATACCTACTGGGCTCCTACAATGGGCCAGGCATCATTGTAGGCACTTGGGGTATATTAGTGAACAAAAAGGACAAAAATCCATGCCCGGACAGAGTTTATATGTTTGGTGGGTTTCGGTTACTTTGTTGCAAAACAGGTCTTGAACTCCGGTCACAGCATCGCTTGCCTCTCCCTGGGTCCCACTCATAAAGAATTTAGAACTGAAGGATTCAGACTGAACAATCATTCCCTGAGCTCTGAAGGGCTAAGTGTCCATTATGTCACAGAGCCTCCAAGCTCTTCTCATAGGAATACTGCTAGTATAATCATCCCTATCTCCACAGATGAGGAACCAGAGGCTCGAAGAGTTAAGGTGTTTGTTCCAGATGACCCACCCAGGGCTAAGGGACAGAGCCAGGAGCTGCGCTCCCCTGGCCTGAGGTCCAGGATTTATTTCACTGCACCGCAGTGGTGAGATCACTATGAGGAAATTCATCTGGGGCCCAAACACATATTTTGGCCCTTAATCCTATAGCATCTACTGATTGCATCATCCATTTGGAACTCAGAATATGTTTGCCCTGATTCTTATTTTTGTGTGTATACGTACTCATTAATGTATAACTAGGACAAATATTATTAAAATATTAATATCCACAATCTTCCCCTTCTTCTTAAATAGTTTTTTGTTTTGTTTTGTTTGAGACGGAGTCTCGTTCCGTCGCCCAGGCTGGAGTGCGGTGGCGCGATCTCGGCTCACTGCAACCTCCGCCTCCTGGGTTCACGCCATTCTCCTGCCTCAGCCTCCCAAGTAGCTGGGACTACAGGCGCCCGCCACCACGCCCGGCTAATTTTTTGTATTTTTAGTAGAGACGGGGTTTCACCGTGTTAGCCAGGATGGTCTCCATCTCCTGACCTCGTGATCCACCCGCCTCCGCCTCTCAAAGTGCTGGGATTACAGGCAGGAGCCACCGTGCCCGGCCTTAAATAGATCTTAAAGGGGAAGAATTCTAGTTTGCTGGGTCCATTTCTAGACTACTGTTTGTTCAGGGGAATCCTGTTAAGGGACCAACAGAGATAACTCAAGAGTGCAGAAAGGCTATAATGATCTTTGGAATATGATCTTCAGAATAAAGACCAGCATAGGTATAGAATGAGAGAGACGGCGAGACCCTTGGGCTAGATGTCTGGACAGAATGTTGAGATTTGAAAAGTGAGAGTAGGAGAGAAAGAGAGCATTTTGGAAGAAACAATACTTACAAAGAGTAGAATACTAAAAAGAGCACCCAGTTGGTTCTCAGTGTTTGCTGATTGAGTAGACGAGTATGTTCAATAGATCGGTAGGATGACCATAGTTAACAATAATCCGTTGTACATTTCAAAATAGCTAGACGAGAATAATTCAAATGTTCCTCGCATAAAGATAAATACTTAAGGCTGGGTGCGGTGACTCATGCCAGTGCAATGCTGTGTCCCCACTCCCAATGTGCGGCCCAGCGCTGAACGAATTCAATCCAGAGACTGGCAGGGCGGTGAGAGGGATGGGGGGAGGGCAGGAGTGAGGAGACGAACTGAGAGGTGCTAATGGGTAGCAATTTCTAGAGACACCTCCGGTTTATGGGTGTCACTCTCCACTTTGACGAGGGGCCCTAGAGTGTGTGATCTGCAACCTTGTTTTGATGACACTCCAGTGTGTCTCCTATCTCCTATCTCAGGACATGTTGTAAAATCTCAGAAATGTTCTTGCCTTGCAGCAAAATCGTTCACTTCTAGATAGGTAGTTGGGTATTTAAAAGCACATTTCAGGCCGGGCACGGTGGCTCATGCCTGTAATCCCAGCACTCTGGGAGGCCGAGGCATGTGGATCACCTGAGGTCAGGAGTTCGAGACCAGCCTGGCCAACATGGTGAAAATCCGTCTGTACTAAAAATACAAAAAATTAGTTGGGCGTGGTGGCGGCCGCCTATAATCCCAGCTACTCAGGAGGCTGAGGCAGGAGAATGGCTTGAACCTGGGAGGTGGAGGTTGAAGTGAGCCAAGATGGCGCCACTGCACTCTAGCTTGGGCGACAGAGTGAAACTCAATCTCAAAAAAAAAAAAAAAAAAAAGATAAATATTTAAGGTGATGAGTTTTCCAGTTATCCTGATTTGATTTTTATACATTATATAAATGTATCAAATTATCATATGTACCCTGAAAATATATATACCTATTATGTACTCTGAAATATATATATATATATATATATATACCTATTATGTATCAACAAAAGGAAAGAAAGAAAAAGAACAGATGAACAAACAAGTGAATGAATAAATGAATGGATGAATGTAAAGCTGCCATCATTATGGAGGCTACAAAAGGGGCAGAGGAAAGGAGGAGCATTTGTAAGCGGTTTTACAGTGCATAAAACATATAATCCTTTGATGTTTCCTCAATAGATTGAGTAAGAATTATACTTTAATTGGCCAGGCGTGGTGGCTCAAGCCTGTAATTCCAGCACTTTGGGAGGCCGAGGCGGGCGGATCACGAGGTCAGAAGTTCAAGACCAGCCTGACCAACGTAGTGAAACCCCGTCTCTACTAAAAATACAAAAAATTAGCTGGGTGTGGTGGTGTGCACCTGTAATCCCAGCTACTCAGGAGGCTGAGGCAGGAGAATCGTGTGAACCCGGGAGGCAGAGGTTGCAGTGAGCCAAGATTGCGCCATCGCACTCCAGCCTGGGCAACAGTGCGAGACACTGTCTCAAAAAAAAAAAAAAAAAGAATTATACTTTAATTAATGTTTGATGGTGGATGTGCTGCTTTGAGGAGCACTCTTTGAGACTGGAATGAGGCTCACTGGCTTTATGTGGGTTGTGCACTGAGGGACACTCATGTGATAGGCACTCTCCCTGACACTGAGGTGTATCACAGACACATGAACAGATAGGAATGTACATCCCACTTTATCAAGGACTACAACAGAAAAATGAATCATGCATATGGGTGCTCAGAGATGGGAACGACCAACTTTGCCTGAGGGCTCAGGGAAAATCTGCCTGAAGGAGGTTATGCCTGAGAGCGGTCTTGAAAAGTAAAAAGTAGAAGTTTTCCAACTAAACAGAGGAAAGACATTCCAAAAAGAAGATGTCCTAATACAGCAAGCCAGAAGCAGAGAAGAGTGAAGATTCAGAGAGGCTGGAGTGAGCTAAGAGAGGAGCCAGTGCTGGAAGATAGCTGGGCTGGCTGACCAAGGGCTTTGTGCTCTCAGCTGAGGATTTAGGTTGGCCCTATAGGAGGCATAGTCAGTAGAAGTCTTCAAAGAGGTGAGTGACAGAAGCACAGTCTTTCTTAGAGAGATAGACAGAGTGGCAGTCAGAGGATAGACCAAGGCCAGGAGAGAGTCCGGGCTGAGAAACTGTGATCTTCCACAGGGTTTAGTCCAGTGCTTTGCACAGAAAGGATCATCACATTATCATAATAAGATGATTGCCCAAGTTGGAATCCATGCTCTATAATTACGGAACTCTATGACCTTGGCAAATTACTTGATTTCTCTGTGCTTAATTTTCTAAATGGGAATAATTGTCTCCACCTAATTGAGTTGTTGTGAGAACACAAGATTAATAGCTAAGATAATAGAGAGAGTTTAGAAGAGTGCCTGCCACTCTCAATAAATGTTAATGATTGATATTATTAGTATTGATATTGGTTAATTGTCTTGAATTGATCTCCATTTTTTTCTGACACAGAACATCTATCTTGGACACCAATCACCATCATCCCCTCCCCTTCCCCCTGTACTCCCATTTACTCCCATTGTGCATTCTGTTCCGTAAGAACACAAGATTCTTTTTTTGAGATGGAGTCTTGCTCTGTCACCCAGGCTGGAGTGCAGTGGCACAATCTCGGCTCACTGCAACCTCTGCCTCCCAGGTTCAAGCTATTCTCCTGCCTCAGCCTCCTGAGTAGCTGGAACTACAGGTATGCACCACCATGCCAAACTAATTTTTTGTATTGTATTTTTAGTAGAGACAGGTATCGGGGGAACCAGCTCCCAATATTTCAACGTAGGTTCTTTTCTATTTTCCCTAAGTGTCGGCTGGTCTGAGAAATACAGAGAAAGAGTACAAAAGAGAGGAACTTCCCGCAACAGACAGGGTTTCACCATGTTGGCCAGGCTGGTCTCGAACTCCTGACCTCAAGAGATCCACCCACCTAGGCCTCCCAAAGTGCTCGGATTATGGGCATGAGCCACCGCACCCTGCCCAGAACAGAACATTCTTGATGGCAGAATCCAAGTAACATGAGCTTCTACTGAAGCATGGTGTTAGCATGCAGTAGTTGCTTAATACATGTTTGCTAAATGTATGCCAGTCAGGGCAGCGAAAACAACGCTCAGTAAATTGACAAACAGTTTTCCAGAAGCAGTCACAAGATACTGGCTTTAGAAGCCTGGCTATAGCTCCAAATGGAACTTCATCCTCAAAGGAATTCCTGTCCCATCTGGTCTAGCTCTACTCACCCAGCCCCAAAGAGAGCTCTAAAAATGTTAGAGACAAAACAAAGACTAAGGAAGGAAAGACGTGGTATACATGAAACAGTGAAAACTGAAAAGAACCAGGGAGGCATAGAGCAAAATCCAAATGACTGATGGCAGTGGACTTGTTGAACTTCATATATTAAGAAAAGATTTCCTGATATAAAATGTATAATATAAATGAAAACTTCAATACCTATCGGGAACCAAAATTTTAACAGAACCAGAGTTGGAGGTAGCTGGTATAAAGGAAAACAGAATTTAAGAGAACTCATTGCTTTGTGGTAGGAAAGCAGAGTGGGCTGTACTGATTAAGTCTTTACTTGGTAGGCAAATATAGGTTAACCTGTTTGTTAAAAAATCAAGGGCAATGAAAAGACATGAATAAAAAACTTAATTGCTTATAGTTAAGTGAAATAAGCTAGCCCGAAAAGGCTACATGCTGTGTGATTCCAACTACATGACCTTCTGGAAAAGGGAAAATAATGGAGACAGTAAAAATATCAGTGTTTGCCGGGGAAAGGGAGACGGATGAACAGGCAGAGCACAGAGGATTTTCAGGTGGTGCAGTTATTCTGTATGATACAGTAATGGTGGATATGTGACATTATGCATTTGTCAAAACCCATAGAATATACAACACAAAGAGCGAACCATGATGTAAACTATGGACTTTAGTTAATAATAATGCGTCAATATGGGCTCATCACTTGTAACAAATGTAACATATCAGTGCAAAATGTTAATAATAGGGGAAACTTGTAGGGTGGGGGAAATATATGGGAACTCTAGTTTCTGCTCAATTTTTCTGGAAAATTAATGCCATTGTAAAAAAAAAGATCTATTAATTTTAAAAATTCAAGGGCAAACACTAATAAAATAGAAGCAGGATATTTTCCACTGCCATGCTACTAAATAGGGGGAAAAAAAAGGAATAGGCCAGGCATGGTGGCTCATGCCTGTAATCCCAGCACTTTGGGACGCTGAGGTGGATAGATCGCCTGAGGTCAGGAGTTCAAGACCAGCCTTGCCAACATGCTGAAACCTTGTCTCTACTAAAAATACAAAAAATTAGCCAGGCATGATGGTGGTTGCCTGTAATCTCAGCTACTCGGGAGGCTGAAGCAGGAGAATTGCTTGAACCTGGGAGGTGGAGGTTGCAGTGAGCCAAGATCATGCAATTGCACTCCAGCCTGGGTGACAGAGCGAGACTCTGTCAAAAAAAAAAAAAAAAAGAAAGGAATAAAAATTTCTGACTGGGTATGGTGTTTTACGCCTGTAATCCCAACACTTTGGGAGGCCAAGGAGGGAAGATCATTTGAAGCCAGGAGTCTAAGACAAGCCTGGGTAACATAGCAAGACCCTGTCTCTACAAAAAAGAAAAAAAATTAATTAATTAGCCAGGTATGGTGCTTCCCACATATAGTCCCAGATAACTTGGGAAGCTGAAATGAGAGGATTGCTTGAGCCCAGGATTTCAAGGCTGCATTGAGCTGTGATTGTACTACTGCACTTGAGCCTGAGTGACAGAATGAGGACCTGTCTCAAGGAAAAAAATAAATCTGGATTCATGCAGTGAAAATTGGGGATGGGGAAGGAATTAGAGATGCTAACACCCAATTTCCTCAGTTCTAAAATGGGGAAATTAAGGCTCATCTGGCTTTGTGATGATCATCTACTCAAGTTGGGTTACACGGAATGTAATCTGATCCTTTCTAAGATCCAATAGGCATGTAACTCTCAAAATTGCCTTAAAAATGTGTTCACTTGCTTCTGTGTGTGGTTAACTCATTTATCTAGAATGTCAGAGGCACAGAGTGGTCTGGTTAATTTTATATTCTGTTAAAGTGAGGGTTACCATGGATACCACACATAACCAATCAATTTTCTCAGAATTAGAATGCATGCAATAAAACTGGTTTAATGAGAAGACTAGGCTGAACATCACTGAAATTTATTTGATGATGAGTCCTTGGTAATGGGGAAGGCACTTCAAAGACACAGAACTGCAAAGACACAAGGCCGGGAGAAGTGGATGAGTCTTTACTGATCATAAAATAAAGCCCTGTAAGTGGCTCTTTTGTATGACTCCCAGGATATTCACCTGTGCCTTGGTCATTTGTCTCTGTCTCAAGGAAGT
This sequence comes from Homo sapiens, assembly GCF_000001405.40. NCBI lineage: Eukaryota > Metazoa > Chordata > Mammalia > Primates > Hominidae > Homo > Homo sapiens. Next base: position 26,227,069 of record NC_000004.12, read on the forward strand.
GGAGGAGAGAATGTTTGCACAGCAACATTAGAAGGATACAAAACGCTTCACTGGAGTCGTCTGAGGGTTGGATCCAGCATGATTGGCAGCCATGTAATTTGATTTGAATCCTTTCCGGTATCCTTTGCCATTGCCAAGACTTGGGTAATTTCTTAACTAACAGAGAGTTCAAAACCTCAGACCTTTGGGCAGGTGGTTAAGTGGACTCTGGAGTGAGTAAAACCTGCTGTTTAGATCCCAGCTCTGCCTCATCCTGGCTGTGGCAACCCGGCTAGTTGCCCAACATCTATGTATAATAAATGGAAAATAATAATGGCTACTTCAAAGCGCAGTTGTAAGAAGCTAATAAGACAATGTAAAGAGCTTGGCACATGATAAGTGACAATAAGTATTAGCAATTATTATGATCCTTATTAGTACTCCACTAGTCTAGGGAAAAGGGCCCAAGATGGGACTCTATATGAAGATCTAAGTGAGGTTAAATTAAGACCCTCCACAGCCTGAGTGGAGATGAGTTTTGCAGAGTCTGAATGCATGCATTTATTCTTTTTCATTTGAAGTTGCTGCTGTTTCAGAACATCTGAGGCAGTAGGCCCAGGGTACATGACCATATATCCACCTCCTTTGGAGAACTCCCTCTCAGAATCTGCTGCTCTTGATGTAGAAATTCACCAGTGAAGAGCAGACTTTGCTTGAGTCGCGGAGCGTCCGAGTGCCGCTGACACATGTCAGATGTCAGCACGCTTGCTCCATGTCTCCCTGCCAGCCTAGTCCTTCTCCGGTTGAGTTTTTCACTCCTCATTCCCAAGTGTCCTGTGAATGCTCCTTAACATCCTTGGTTTCTGTGCTTTCTGAACTGCTGCCTGTCTCCAGGCTTCACGGGCAGTTCCTGCCTCTGTGCCAGCGTCACCGTGATGCGCAAGCCATTGGTCTAGGGCCCCTCAGGGACAGCTCAGGACCTCCCTGCTGCGGCAAGTCACTAGGAACACATGGCCTCAGCCCTGCGCCCCACCCATCCCTTAACCATTTCACCTTTCTTCTGGAAGGGAGGTCTGGACATTGTCTCACAGGTACTCTCATGAAAGCGAATCTGCCACAGGGGTTTATTTGTTCGAGCTTATTTGCTTTTCAGAGGCAATCTGGTTGTAATTTCAGCAGCAGACCTGGTTTGGCTACTTTATCCATTGCTCCCCATTTTGCCATTTTCTCTAGTTGCTGTTTTGCAGACTGTCCTTTTTGTGTTTGGGTTATTCCTTTTAAAATACAAACCCAAGCATGCTATTACATACATATGCACACTCACACTCACACCCACACATAGACACACAAGGCATGTATCCGGTCTTGATGTTATTGCTGCAATGTATCTGTCATTAATATGGTAGCCATGTTTTGTTCTGATAGCCATGATTTATACCACTCTCAGTTTCCCTTCCAATTCCGATTTCATTCTACATTTTTCAAGGTTCTTAATTCAAGCCTGTATTTCCTGATTTGCATCTCGTTTTCAGGTTTCTATAACATCTTCCAAAAAACAAGATAGGAAAAACACCACCCAAGAACACAACGTGTTACTAGTCAACAAAATTCTAGGTAAAACTGAAATGAAATTGGACATAATGCAAGGAATTCTCCCGTAGGGGATAATCTGGAGCTAGCTAGCAGTGGAAGCCATGAGTAATGGGTCTCTTCCCTCTTGCTGGATCTCTATAAATCGTTTGACTGGATGGATGGAGAACCATTCCCTTTTCATTCATACAGAACTTGGACCTGCAGAGCTTGGTACAGAAACTCTCTGTTACCTTTATGTTTTGAGTACGACATCTGAATGGCTCCTTGTTTCGGGCCTGACTTTTTTTCCCACCTCCATTTACTCAGCTCCACAGGGGGAATCAGCACTTAATAAAACAACTATTGGCTGATGGTGCAAGTCACAGGAGCCTTAGAGCTCTTCTTGGCTTTGTTTTTCTAAAAAGTACCCATGACTATAGCCAAGCAAATCATTATATACCCATGGCCTCCCTCAGGAGAAATTAAAACCCCAAGTTAGGCAACAGGATAGAGAATCAGGCAGGAAGCCTAAAGGAGATTTAATAAACACATTCCTCTCTTCTTTTTCCTTTTGGGTAGATTTTCCTAAATGTGGTGGAAAGTTCTACAGATGTTTGTGAAGGGCCAATCACCTTCTCAGTTGAGTTGAGAAGCAGTGAAGAAATAAAGATAGCTGAGGGAAACAGGAAGGATTCCTCTGGAGTGTATCAGTGTGTATGATCTATGGGGCTGAACCCTGGCACAACTCAGAAATGGGCAAAGATTTCCATAGCTGGTCTCCATTTTAGCATTTTCTTCCTCCTGTTGGTGGCCCCACAGCACCCTCTGGTCTGTGCTGCTCTGGACTTGGCTATTTCATGAAAGGCCATACCGTCCCCAGTGACCCCTCCCATCCAGAAGTACCTGCCCCTTTAATTTTTCCATTCTTACTCCATGCATAGAAGCGTTCCCCTCACTGAGAGGCAGAATAAAGTAATAGTGAAGTGCACAGGTTTCAGTGAGACCAGAGCTGGGTTTACATCCCATCTCTGCCACTTACTGGCTGTGTGTCATCTAAGCTTCAATTTCTCTCATGTATAAAGAGTGGATTAATAATAGTTCCAATGTTTATGGGTATTATTATAAGACGATAATAGTAGGATGAAAAAATATCAACAAGATAAAATAGGATAATAAATGGAAGGTACTGAGCCAGGTTTAGAACTCAGATGGTCTGACTATAGAGGCCACATGTTTGACAGCTGTGCTACAACACCTCCTATAAAATTGATTAAAAATTCAGTCATCGGCCAAGTGCAGTGGCTCACACCTGTAATCCTAGCACTTTGGGAGGCCAAGGCGGGAAAACGGCTTGAGCCCAGGGGTTGGAGACCAGCCTGGGCAACATGGCGAAACTCCACCTCTGCAAAAAAATACAAAAAATAGTTGAGCATGGTGGCGTGCACCTATAATCTCAGCTACTTGGGAGGTTGAGGTGGGAGGATCAAGGGAGCCCAGGAGGTCAAGGCTGTGGTGAGCCCAGATTGCATCACTGCACTCCAGCCTGGGCAATATAGTGAGACCCTATCTTAAAAAAAAAAAAAAAGTCATTATGACACATGTTCATAGCAGCACTATGTATAATAGCCAAAAATTGAAAACACCCAGGTTGACTGACCTTCCTACATGACTAGATACCATAATTCAGGCAAACTTCGGTTTTAACTTACACACTCATAAAAACAAACCAGTGCTAATAATAACGATAACATCTAACTCTTATGCAGTAGATACTGTAATATGCTAGGCATTGTTCCAAGTGCTTTACATATATTAACTGCTTTCATCTTCACCAAAACCCTTGCAGTTAGGTCCTATTTTAACCCCCATTTTATAGATGAGGACACAGGCATGAGGAGGTCAGTAACATGTTTATGGACACGTAGTGAATAAGTGGCAGAGCCAGGGTTGGACCTTGAAAGACTAACTCCAATGAGTCCCATTCTAACCACCAGCCTCTACTGCCCACACATAGTTGCTTGTGTTATATAGATTTCTTTGTTTCATTAAGTGATCTTTATTTCTGATGCGACCAATGGCATATTTTTATTTCCTTACAAATCAGTTCAGTTCAGTTCTCTTCTATTTTTTTTCAAATAACCATTAGCTTTCCACACTTTCGACCTAGCATCAAAATAGCCCACAAAATATATTTATAGCAAAATATAAATGACAAGCATAGCTTTAGGATTCTGATCCCTTGTCATGAAGTGTGATGAAGTATATCCACTGATATATTTTGACATTTTGAGTAAAGTACTCCAATTGACTGTCATTTTTAGCACGTCACCCAGAGATAATGGCAAGAATAAACCCCTCCCCCAGGCTCTCTGACAACATCAAACAAGGAAACGCATAAGCAGGCTCTATAAACATCAGCAAAAGTGATGGATTCTGAACATAAAAATGTGGAGGTAGAAGAAACAGCCATTTCTGCGATCTGACCTATTTACCAAGTCTGTTTATTCACCGAAGGAGCAATTTCAACATTTTAACTGTGTCTTACACTCAAAAGAGCCATAAAACCATAGGAGAAAGGCTAGAGCCTCAAGGAGCTGACAGGTTGATTACTTTAAATGGAATTAAACAATTGATTTAGCTGGGCGATTAGCTTGAACTGCTATCTGCATTTAAGGGAGCAGTTTTTTGACTGAGATGACTAATCAGTTCAACCCACTTGTAAATCTAGAACATATGATCCAAAAGGAGATGTACCTAATACTTTTTTTTTAACTTTTTACTTTTTTTAATTGCACTTTTTTTTTTTTTTTAGACAGAGTTTCACTCTCGTTGCCCAGGCTGGAGTGCAGTGGCAAGATCTCGGCTCACTGCAACCTCTGCCTCCCAGGTTCAAGCGATTCTCCTGCCTCAGCCTCCAGAGTAGCTGGGATTATAGGCACCCGCCACCATGCCCAGCTACTTTTTGTATTTTTAGTAGAGATGGGGTTTCACCATGTTGGCCAGGCTAGTCTCGAATGCCTGACCTCAAGTGATCTGCCCGTTTCGGCCTCCCAAAGTGTTGGGATTACAGGCATGAGCCACGGCGCCCAGCCTATTTTTTTGTATTTTTAGTAGAGATGGGGTTTCACCGTGTTAGCCAGGATGGTCTCGAACTCGTGACCTCAGGTGATCCACTCGCCTCAGCCTCCCAAAATGCTGGGATTATAAGCGTGAGCCACTGCGCCTGACCTTATGCTTTATTTTTTTTTAATTTTAATTTTTATTTATTTTTATTTATTTATTTATTTTTTTAGACAGAGTCTCACTCTGTCGCCCAGGCTGGAGTGCAGTGGTGCGATCTTGGCTCATTGCAACCTCCACCTCCCGAGTTCAAGCAATTCTTCTGCCTCAGCCTCCCAAGTATCTGGGACTACAGGCATGCATCACCATGCTCGGCCAATTTTTTTTTGTATTTTTAGTAGAGACGGGGTTTCACCATGTTGGTTAGGCTGGTCTCAAACTTCTGATCTCAAATGATCCAACCTCCTCAGCCTCCCAAAGTGCTGGGATTACAGGCATGAACCACCATGCCCAATCAGTTGCTTTATTTGTAAATGAAGACATTTTAATATCTTTTTATTTTCCAACTTATATATTTAAGTTCAGGGGCACATGTGCAGCATGTGCAGGTTTGTTACATAGGTAAACACGTGCCATGGTGATTTGCTGTACAGATCATCCCATCACCTGGGTATTAAGCCCAGCATTCATTAACTATTCTTCCTGATACTCTCCCTCCTCCCAGCCCTTAATTACTTTTTGTAGAGACAGGCTGGTCTCAAATTCCTGGCCTCAAGCAATCCACCTCGGCATCCCAAAGTCCTCCTAGGGTTACAGACATGAGCCGCTACACCCAGCCAATTAAGTTTAAAATTTCTGTTTTATTAGTTCCAATTTCTCTCCCATCTAAATGCACTTGGGAGTCTTAGTGGAGCAATCTGTAACAGAATGTTCTTAAGTGTAAGAACAAACACATCTCTTCTCTATAACAACAACAACGATAATAATAATCATTTACTGAGCACTTACTATGTGCTTTATCTCCATTATTAGAGAAAGATTTCAGAGTGGAGTTCAAGTATGTGGTCCCTGCAGCCAGTTCCACAGTTGTGTGGCTGGGAGCAAATGGCTTGGATCTCTCTGTGCTTCATTCCCTCATTTGTAAATCATGAAACCTGTGTCATAAGACTTATTACAATTAAATAAATCCCTATATGTAAAGAGAGTGCGGGGAACCTGCTATAATTTGACTATTGTAATTTATGTTCCTAAACACCATCTAAGTTTTGTAATATTATTTCTATGTTGCAGTTAAAAGAAGTAAAGTTCAAAAAGATAAATAATTGGACCAAAGTCTCACATGCAGAGAGAGCAGCTGCTTTTCCTTCTCCAGATGTACAAGTAGTGTTGTATGCACTGCAGAAACAGTAAACACAACCTCTTTTTTCTATAGCTGACATCCTGAAATGATTAAGATTTGGGATAGTTGGTACTTGATTGCACTTTTATTTCCCCAGAGGATAAATAAATCATTCATGAATACATTTGATAAGAGAATGTATGGAGCTATAAATTAAAATACTGGGGGGGAAAACTATAAATGATTATCTCCACATTATTCTAATATCCATTGTTAGAGGCATTTATACAACCCACAGGTGTCCACATACAAGCTCTTCTGTTTCACATTTTCTGTGTCTTATTACCTACCATCTGATTTGGTAACAGGTTTCCTTGCAAAAAGTTTCCTTCTTCACTTAGGGCTGAATTCAATTATCCTTCAGAAAATCATATACCCTGATTCCCCAGTCTCTTCAGTTTCGTTAAGATGTTGCCTTGTCTCCACTTCGTATGCGTCATGTTAGTTTATTACTCAGCTGCTGACACTACCTTCTCATTTTAGTTTTCTGTTTGATTTCTCCCAGTGTCGTTATTATTGGGATCCTTAGTACCTTCACCATTGTTATAACTCCTTTTCATTTTCAGTCTGTCTCTTCAAAATAAAATCAGAGCAAATAAAACAGGCACAGGCTATATGCCGTTATGCAAAGCACTGATATCAAACAAGATCAAGATCTCATTGATATAAAAACTGAGAATCCTTTTCAAAAGGAAATTGGAAAGCAGATCTGTGAAGTGTCTCTTTTTGCAAAAATCAAAGAGGAACAAGTGATTAGCCATGAATGGTTCTGTTCTTATGAATTCAAGACACCTTAATAGTAGGTGGCATAGAATATCATTAAGAATAACAGGATGTCTCTAGCTTAGGCAGGAAACCATTTTCAAAAAATGTCAGAGCTCATTGTACAAAAAAAAATTCATAATTGCAAAGAAGTAATGGTGGATTCTAGTTTGGGGTTTGGAGGTGAATAAACATAGCTTAGAAACTATAGGGGCTTCCTGTTTTGAATTTAGGAGAAGCCACGACTTTTGCAAATATTTTTAGATGTAATGTTTATGGAAGGCAAAGAATGTTAACCCAGAATGTTGGATAGTACAGCTAGATGTTGGTTTGTACATTCTAAGTCATTTAGAATATTGGACAGAGTACTGAACTACTACTGTACTTTTTCCTTCATTTCTTGCCTAAAAAGGGCAATAGTGAGAAAATGACTTTAACCAAAATATTCAACAAGCATTTATTAAGTCTGTGGTACAAATAGCATTCTGCAGAAAGCAGTCCTATTAGACCCAAAGGAAGCAGAAGATGAAATACACACGCCTGACAATTTAATAGGGGATGGAGAATAATAAACATATAAGCCTGAAAGAACCAGAGAATGATTCCGTAGTAATACTAAAATTTGTGGCATACTCTTCCCCCAGATAACCACAGGCTCATTTTCTTACCTTGTTCAAGTCTTTGCTCAAATGTTACCTTTTCAGTGAGAACTTCCCTGGCCACTCTCTATATAAATTGTACCAGTCTACTCCACAAACCCTGTCTCTGTCCCCCGTTCCTGTTTACTTTTCCTTATCACCTTGTAGTTAATTACATAATTTTGTTTTTCAACTATCTTATTTTCTTATTTATTTATTTATTTATTTATTTGAGATAGAGTCTCGCTCTGTCACCCAGGCTGGAGTGCAGTGGTGAGATCTAGGCTCACTGCAACCTCCTACTCCCTGGTTCAAGCGATTCTCCTGCCTCAGCCTCCTAAGTAGCTGGGATTACAGGCACATGCCACCACGCCCAGCTAATTTTTGTATTTTTAGTAGAGACGGGGTTTCACCATGTTGGCCAGGCTGGTTTCGAACTCCTGACCTCAAGTGATCGCCCACCTCGGCCTCCCAAAATGCTGGGATTACAGGTGTGAGCCACTGTGCCCGGCCTGTTTCTCAACTATCTTATAACTCCACCCTATCCACTGCTGAATAAAGCCTTCATAACAACAGGGGAATTGTGCATTTTGCTCATTACTAAATCCTTAGCAGGTGATAGAGTACCTGGCACATAGTAAGTGTTCAAAAAAAAACCTTGCTTAATCAAGTATCTAATATGTATGTCAGACTACTTATTAGTGCTGAAAAAATTCAAAATAAGTAACCTTTGGCAATGTTAATGAGAAAAAGTTTATTGGAAGAAGGGATGTGTGTGCTTTTCAAGCCAAAACAAATTGATTTGATCAAACATAATGATTACAACGTAGGTTTTGAGTTCTAGACCAAACTCTGCCTCTATTTAGCTATGTGACCTAAATAAGATGTGTAACTTTGTTTTTTTGTGGATCTCTGAAGGTATTTATACCTGGGCCAAGAACTTATGTCTTTACATGGATTAACATTTAAAAACAAAAACAAAAACACTTCTAACAGAATTACAACTTTTTTTTCTTAGCTTCTCCTGGCCAAAGCAGCTATTCTTGACCATGCTTTATACCATGATCATCTTTGGTGATGCAATTTAGGAATGACTGGCCTTAGGCAAATCAGTGAAAGAAAGTTCCCTCCCAATTGCAGTTACTGGGCCCCATTTCTGCCTTCTCCAGGCTCTCATGATGCCCTCTAGCTGTTCCAGAGCTCTCTGGGGCACCCAGCCAGGCTTGCCTGCTCCCAGTGTAAACCATACTCAGAAATTATGTTTTCCTGTCCTTTGCTCTCCAAGCAAAAAGCCTGCCTCTTCAGTCTCCTGCCAGTTAGGACTGGATCCTGATGAGCTAATTCCCTTTAGGGTGAGAATGACAGATTGTTGGCTAAGCTAACCTTCTGTTTTCCTCACCACCAAAGTGAAGCCCAATGCTAAAGAAGGAATTGGAAGGGAAGGGAACTTCCAAATATCCAGTGCCTAGAATCTGCCTGAACTTTCAATATATTCAATCATTTTATCCACAACCAGGTAGATGATATTTACTCTCTAAGGAGCTGAAGTTCATGAGAGGTAAAATATGGACAGGTTCCAAAACTTTCTGTATTATCACATCAGCACACTGAATAAATGAGCCCAGAAATAGAATTGTGGATACTATTGCAGACTTCTGGGGCAATATTTTGGGGATTGAGGAAAGAGGTCCTTTGTGGCATCCTGTATCAGCCACGTAAACTCTGGCTGTGACCTTGAGTGAGTAGGCCCTGTGACCTTCAATAAGCAATTTAACCTCTCTTATAGCTTCGATGTCCTCATCTGAAAAATGGGGAATACTAATAGTATCTGTAGTCATTATTTCCTGCTTGTAACAAGTCGCTCCACAAATTAGTGGCTTAAAACAATAGTCATCCCTATAGTTCAGGAATTCAGGAGTGCCTCAGGTTGGGTAGTTTTCATTCAGGGTCTCTCATGAAGTTGCAGTCAGATGTTAGCTGGGGTCTGCATTCATCTGAAAGCCTGACTGGGGCTGGTGGAACCACTTCCAAGGTGGGGCACTCACATTGGCTGACAAATTAGTTCCTTTCCACATGGGCTCTCCACAGTACTGCTTGAGTGTCTTGGCAAAATGGCAGCTGGCTTCATCCAGAGCAAGCAATTCAAGAGACCAAGATGGAAGCTCAATGACTTTATTCCTAACCTTGGAAATCTCACAGCATCACCTATGTGATAGTGTATTAGTCACACAAGACAGTCCCTAACTCAATGTGGATGGGACCACACAAGGGCCCTTTTGGAGATTTCTGCAACAGTATCTCTATTATCAGGAAGATTAAATGAAACAACCCATGTTAAGCCCCGTACATTGTAAACACTGACTAACCGGTAGCTATTATTACAATGGCCCTAAAGTGCTCAATGCCTGCCTATACTAAGGCTGGTGCTGATTCTGATGTCTACTCTGAGTTTGATTTTATTGGATTTTAACAACAGACTCCCTTGTGAAATGCTTGAGCCCACATTAGAACCCAGTAGGAAGAAGCCAGAAAGCCGTAGAGCTCAGGCAAAACAGCAGCAACAACAAACACCAGTTCAATGAACCCATGAAGCAAATGACATCTGGGTGCCGGGCTCCTGAGTACCAACAGCAGCTGGTTGGCCCTGGCAGACTCGATAGCTCTGGGAAGCACCTGGAGAACCTTATCACTACCTGATCACGAAGTCAGGAGATCAAGACCATCCTGGTCTCCTGAATAGCAACAGCAACAACAATTTCTCTATCTGTATTCTTATCTGTGTGTGCTGTCACTTAAGTATATAGTGCAATGTTTTTCAAATTTGTGTCCTGGGAAACACTACTGCAAAAAAAATATTAATAGATGGGTCTCAAAAAAAAAAATCATTATGGTCGAATAAATTTGAAAAGGCTGCCTATTAAATCCTTTCTCGAAGCCTCACAGTGCATATTTTGCACGGTGTTAAAGACTCTAGGAAGTCCTAGGATTAAATAATAAGAAAAATTAGAAGGAAAATGTTTGTTTAGTTGGATTTGACTCAACATTTCCATCATCTTGCAAACTTGTCAGTGCAAACACACTATTTTTCCTTCCACTACAGGTATAAGCCTTCTATCTGGAAGATGCTTGTGATAAGTGAAGAAACAGGGTTTTAGGGGGTTGAATCCAGCATTGCCTACTTACTAGAGCCATGATCACGAGAAAATCACTTCAATTTTTTGACCCTCGGTCTCCCTATCAGTACAATTTGGACAATACACACTTAATTGGGCTGTTGAGAGAATTAAATAATAAAGATACCTAGCCTGGTGTTTGGATCCCAATAAGAGTTTGGACTTGCAGCTTGACACTTTGAGTTCCAATCCTAGCTCTATCATGAAGGAGCTATTTGAGTTTGTTTTGTTTTTTGTTTTGTTTTGAGATGAGGTCTCACTATGTTGACCAAGCTGATTTTGCACTCCTGGCCTCAAGTGATCCTCCCATCTCAGCCACCCAAAGTACTGGAATTAAATTACAGTTATGAGCCATCATGTCCGGCCATTAAAGAGCTATTTGATCCTGACCAAAAATTTTGTGTGTGTTTGTTTCATTTGTTTGTTTTGAGACAGGGTCTCACCCTGTTGCCCAGGCTGGAATACAGTGACACAATCACAGATCACTACAGCATCGACCTCCCAGCCTCAAGTAATCCTCCCATCTCAGCTTCCTGAGTAGCTGGGACCACAGGCGCGCACCACCGTGCCTGGCTAATGTTTTTATTTTTTGTAGAGACAGAGTTTTGTCATGTTGCCCAGGCTGGTCTTGAACTTCTGGGCTCAAGTGATCTGCCTGCCTCAGCCTCCCAAAGTGCTGGGATTACAGGCATGAGCCACCATGCTTGGCTCAACCAAGTTCTTAACTTCTTTGAGCCTCAGCTTTCTTGTCTGTAAAACAAGGAGAATCATTGTATTAATGTATCTCATAGCTTCTATGCAGGGATAAAATAGAAGGAAGTATGGAAAGTGTAGTAAACATGCTTGGCACACTACAAGAGTTTTATAGTTGTAGGGTATCATCATTACTGTTGTGGCCAAAGGTCACAGAGCTGGTAAGTGACAAAGTCAATAAATGAATCCCAGCCTGACTCAGTGTGTGTGCACCTTCCCCTCTGCTGTGACATAGAAACAATCAACAGAAATGAGATGCAGTCGTTTTGAGAGCAGCTTTGGGGAGAGGGTTGGGCCAGCAGTTGGAGACAAGTGGGTGGTCATAATTCCGGAGAGCTTCCCAGAAGTGGTGGGGTCGCGGGAGGATATCTAGAGACAAGGAGGCAGGTGGCTGGGCAGATGGGGATGGCAGGGTTTACACAGTCAGGACAGCCAGGACAACGGCTTGGAAGAGTGAGTGGCGGCGGCTGTAAGACGCCAGCTTTGTTGGAACAAAGCAGCAGGTGAGAGAGCCACAGAGATCAACGCTCCAGGCACCCAGGGAGAGCAGACGCAGAAGAAAACACTTGGCAGGAACAGGGCGGCACCATTTGCCTTTTTCAATCAATCAGACAACAATTGAGGGATGGCCTATGAAGCAAAGCCCTATTCCCCAACCCCCACACACACCACCAAAGCAACGACTGCTCAGATAATAGCCTAACTTCCAAGACCTGCTCCTCCCTCCTCAAGCCAGCCGGACCATGATCAGCCATATAGAAATTTATTTTTATTACTGAGCTCCTATTTCTGCTTTTGCCATCACCACAGATCAGTTCGGGTTTTGTATCCCAGCCAAGTGCTTTTCATATTTTCCAGATCACTCAAAAGTCTGTATCCGCTGCCTGGAGCAGGTTTAAGGAACAATCTGAGATTTCTTTCTGAATAAGCAGTTATTTGTACTTTGTTTTGCTTTTCTTGGTTACTGAAGAGAAACAGTGACATAAAGAAAGCACTGGTAACACTTTGCATTGAGCAGCACAAATGTCAATGGTAGTGACTCTGCAAATAAATAGTTACATTGTCAGGCGCACAAGAGTCTCATTGAGGAAATCTGTGCTGTGACTGCTAACAGGGTTAACACTTTAAGCACAATGTAATCAAGAAAAGGCTTGTAAACTTTGCTCCAAGTGACCTCTGCCTGTACTAAAAGCAAATGTCAACCAAGGATCCCAGGATACATTTTCAGAGCAGTCATGGTGTAGTTAATGCATCCTTTATAGTGCACTGGAGGGAAGGGAAGGAAAGTAACAGAGAAGAGAAGAAAAAAAGGAGAAGAGAAGAGGGGAGGGGAGGGGAGGGGAGAGGAGAGGAGAGGAGAGACCTGGGTAGAGTTAAACTTTGTTTATGGGGAAATGGCAAAGTCCCCTTGTTTCAGTGATGACAGTGAATTCCGTTATGCTGTTTCATTCTCTATTTTCATCACAGTTCCACTCAAAGCCAAAATATATTTTTTAATGAATTGTAAAATGTAGTTTTCCACTTTGCAAAATTTTTCTTGTAAAGGATGTTTTATAAAGAAAATAAGATCCTGTTAGCAGAAATTTAAGTGACGAAATACTTAGGACTCCCAGCACCCCGTCCTCTGAGCCTTGGCAGAGCAAAGTTCCGTGTGAGCAAAACTTCCCTGTCATTCCCTGTTTAGAGTTGCCAGATTTCACAAATAATACAGAATGCCCAATTAACACTGAATTTCAGATAAATCACAAATAATATTTTTAGTGTAACTATACCCCAACATCGCATGAGGCCTACTAAAAAATCATTTGCCGTTTATCTGAAATGCAAATTTAACTGGATGTCCTGTTTTTCATTTAACAACTCTACTTCTGTTAGTTACTCTTCTTTCTTACCTTGACTTTTACTTTTTGCCATTCCCTGGGATACCCCGTCTGGGTCATTCATTCCTCCTTTCAAATACTTTATTCTCTAAACTATACCCTCCTCTCCAGATCAATAACATTCACACAGTATGAATTAATCTGGGACAGACATTTAGAAGAAATTCGTCTGAACATATAATTATTAAACACCCACAAAGTGCCAGATGTAGGATTAGAGGGAGAGAAAAGCAACCAAGCTATACCCGTGCTGAAGTAGGGAAGGACGTATTTAAGAAGAACATGAGGAAGAGCATGTTTTAGTGGGCTCTTGTCTATGGAAGGGGGTCCTTGATGTCTTCAGAAGGTGAAAACCAAAATGATCATTTGGATTCCAGATTCATCTGTTGAACCCATACTGCATTCCAGGTTTAATGTTAGATAGACCTTTCATGTTTATCCTGCTGATTTTCTTCTTGAAATTTTCACACAGAAGATGTGAAAAGGTTTTGGACTCTCAAACTGCCTTCGTTTTGTGCAATATCCTGTGACCCCCAATAGTTGATGAGAAAGAGGGAGAAAGGTCTCCAAGTTGAGAAAGGATTCCTGGGGTCATTCCTTATTATGGGCCCTCATCTCCAGGACAAAGTGGGGTGCAGAAAGCAAATCAAGGCTTTACTAATCCATACTTTATAATTGGCAACAACATATCACACGTATATAAATGAGGAGTTGTGAAGTTGAAGCCTGAGCAACAAGCCAAAACCCCCGTTTCTACAAAAAATTAGCCAGGCATGGTGGTGTGCACCTGTGGTCCCAGCTACCAGGGAGGCTGAGGTGGGAGGATCACTTGAGCCTGGGAATCCGAGGTTGCAGTGAGCCAAGGTCGCACCATTGCACTCTAGCCTGGGCGACAGAGCAAGACCCTGTCTCCAAAAATAAAAAAAAAAAAAAAAAAATTGAGCACTTTCCACCACACAGATAAAAGTTAAGCAGCCCTGTTTTACTCTAGAATCTGTTAGCCAAGTTAGTGCTGGTGAAATCTTTGTGTGAAAAAAAGAGCTGACATTGGAGACTTAAGCAGAAGAAAAATTATTTTGATGAACTGACTTGGAATCAAGCATGAAGAAAATTCCAGGCAAACTCAGAGGTTGAGGAACAGTTTAACGTGATTTATACATAAGGAAAGACCATTCAGAGCCAGAACTTCTGACCTGTCTTCTTTTCACTTTTTTTTCTTTTTTGTTTTTCGTTTGTTTGTTTTTTGAGACAGAGTCTCCCTCTGTCACCCAGGCTGGAGTACAGTGGCGCGATCCCTGCTCACTGCAACCTCTGCCTCCCGGGTTCATGCCATTCTCCTGCCTCAGCCTCCCAAGTAGCTGAGACTACAGGCATGCCCCACCACACCCATTTATTTTTTTCTATTTTAGTAGAGGCAGGGTTTCGCTATGTTGGCCAGGCTGGTCTCAAACTCCTGGCCTGAAGTGATCTGCCCGCCCAGACCTCCCAAAGTGCTGGGATTACAGGTGTGAGCCGCTAAGCCTGGCCCTAACCTTCTCTCTTAATAGTATGATCATTAAACTCCTCTTAAGGGGGAATTTTTAAAAAAATTGTACTTCCAATGAGAATTTGAAGCAGTACTTCATATGTTTCACTGATTAATGCTACCAGTAGCTCTTGAAGTGCTCAATACCGCACAGTCTAACCAAAGAGAGCACAAAGTTGGATCCTCTGTGGGATTTGTTCATATATTCATTCAACAAATACCCATTGAGATCCTCCTTTCTTGTCCAGCCTTTTTCTCATGTCTTTAGGACACAGCAGTGAACCAAATCATTAAGGTCCCTACACGCTGCCCTCATGGCCTTAGAGTTCAGTGCAGAGGTTCTGAGAGTGTGGTCCAGCCGGGAGCGGTGGCTCACCCCTGTAATCCCAGCACTATGGGAGCCCGAGGCGGGCGGATCACGAGGTCAGGAGATCGAGACCATCCTGGCTAACATGGTGAAACCCCATCTCTACTAAAAATACAAACAAATTAGCCGGGCATGGTGGCGGGCGCCTGTAGTCCCAGCTACTCGGGAGGCTGAGGCGGAGAATGGCGTGAACCCGAGAGGTGGAACTTGCAGTGACAGGAGATTGCGCCGCTGTACTCCAGCCTGGACAACAGAGCGAGACTCTGTCTCAAAAAAAAAAAAAAAGAAAAGAAAAGAAAAAAAGAAAAGAGAGTGTGGTCCACAGATCCTCAGGAACCACTAAGACCCTTTGAGGTAAGAAGGTTATAACTATCTCCATACCAAGATGCTGTTTGGCCTTTTGGTTGCATTGACATTTGCCCCTGTTAGCACAAAAGTAATGGTGGATAAAGTTGCTGGCACCTTAGCACAAAGTAATAGAATGCATTAGTCATCATGGAATTTTTCACCAACAGACCCACTCATAGTTAAAAAAAAAAAAAAAAAAAAAAGTCCAAGTTTATTTTATTTAAGAGTCTCCTTGATTGAAGTGGTAAAAATTATTAATTTTCTTAAACCTCCATACTTAAATACATGTCTTTTTACTATTCTGTGTGATTAAATAGAAAGAACACATAAAGCACGTGTGCTGCATGCTGAAATATGATGTTTGCCTTGAGGAAAAGTACTTTTGCAATTATTAGAATTGTGAACTAAGCTGGCTACTTTTTAAAAGCGCGGTGGCTCATGCCTGTAATCCCAGCACTTTGGGAGGCCCAGGTGGGTGGATCGCCTAAGGTTGGGCGTTCGAGACCAGCCTGACCAACATGGAGAAACCCCGTCTCTACTAAAAATACAAAAAGTAGCCGGGCATGGTGGCCGGCGCCTGTAATCCCATCTACTCGGGAGGCTGAGGCAGGAAAACAGCTTGAACCCGGGAGGCAGAGGTTGCAGTGAGCTGAGATCACGCCACTGCACTCCAGCCTGGGCAACAAGAGCAAAAAAACTCCGTCTCAAAAAAATAATAATGATAAAAAGTAAAAGAACACTCTATCAACTGACAAACTATTGTTATTCAGAGATGATGGGTATCTCGCAGAAATTTTCTTAAAAAATAAATGAAGTGAGTCTGTCACTGACAAAACAACTGACTGTATTTGTTGCCAATGATAGAATTTGAGCTTTCAAGAGAAAAGTAGAATTGTGGATTGCTTGTATCCACTATGGTGAGTTTGACACTTTCTCAGTATTTCTGGACTTTTGAGTGAGAATAATTGTGATATTAATGAATAAGATGTTTTTTGTATGGAATTGAAATAGATCAACATTTGGATGATCTGCATAATTTAGTAAACCAATATTTTCCAAATGACAAAGCATGATGCTATAAAATCATGCATGGGTAAAATATTCATCCAAAGTGCAAGGTGGGCTAATAATTTAAATTTAGCAGAATATGGAATTTCATCATTATGGTTTCAGATTCCACATAAACATGATCTTCATCTTCAAGAAACTATAACTTGTCAGATTTTAGTGTAATATCAAGAAAGAATATCCATATTTATCTTAAAAGCTATTAATATACTCCTCCCTTGGCCAGGCACAGTGGATCACTCCTTTAATCTCAGCACTTTGGGAGGCCAGTGTGGGTGGGTTGCTTGAATCCAGGAGTTCAAGACCAGCCTGGGTGACATGGTGAAATTCGTCTCTACAAAAAAATACAAACATTAGCCGGGTGTGATCGTGCTTACCTGTAGTTCCAGCTACTAAGGAGGCTGAAGTGGGAGGATCACTTGAGCCCAGGAGGAGGAGGTTACAGTGAGCTGAGGTGAGGTGGCACCACTGCACTTTGGCCTGGGCAACAGAGTGAGACCCTGTCTCAAAAAAAAAGAAGAAAAAGAAACTTTAAAATGTATATATATATGTGTACACATATATGTATATATATATGTATACACATATATGTATACATATATGTGTCTATATATGTATACACATATGTGTACACATATATGTGTCTATATATGTGTACACATACACATATGTGTACACATATATGTGTGTATATGTATACACATATGTGTACACATATGTGTGTATATGTATACACATATGTGTACACATATGTGTGTATATATATGTATGCACATATGTGTACACGTGTGTGTATATATGTATGCACATATGTGTGTATACATATGTGTGTATATATGTATACATATGTGTGTATACATATATGTGTGTATATATGTATACATATGTGTGTATACATATATGTGTGTATATATGTATACATATATGTGTATGCATATATACTGCTAAATGTAAATGGTTTCTTATTGTTATTTTATATGACTATATTTTAAAATTATAATTTTGTAAAACAATATTTTTAGTGTTATCGATTTTAATTTCTTTCTTTCTTTTAAGATGGAGTCTCGCTCTGTGGCCCAGGCTGGAGTGCAGTGGAGCAATCTCAGCTTGCTGCAACCTCTGCCTCCCAGGTTCAGGCAATTCTGCCTCAGCTTCCTGAGTAGCTGGGATTACAGGCACACACCACTTCAGGCCCACACACCCGGCTAATTTTGTATTTTTAGTAGAGGCGAGGTTTTGACATGTTGGCCAGGCTGATCTCAAACTCTTGGCTTCAAATGATCTGCCTGCCTCAGCCTCGCAAAGTGCTAGGATTACAGGCATGAATTTTAATTTCTAATAAGAATAGTTTAAAATAAATATTTTAAATGCCGATTGTTATTTAATATTAATATTTTATTTTATTAATATTAAATAATACTAAAATTTACATACCATAAGAATCACCTTCTTAAAGTATACAATTCAGTGGCTTTTTTAGTGTATCCTCAAGTTTGTACAACAATCACCTCTAATTGCAGAACTTTTTTATTACTCCAAGAAAGAAACACTATCCATTAGCAGTCATTCCTCATTCTTTCTTCTCTCCAGTCCCTGGCAATCACTATTGTATTTTTTTTTTTTTTTTTTTTTTTGAGTTGGAGTCTCACTCGCTCACACAGGCTGGAGTCCAGTGGTGCAATCTCAGCTCACTGCAACCTCCACCTCCCGGGTTCAAGCAATTCTTCTGCCTCAGCCTCCTAAGTAGCTGAGACTACAGGCACGTGCCACCACATCCAGCTAAGTTTTGTATTTTTAGTGGAGACGGGGTTTCACCATGTTGGTCAGGCTGGTCTTGAACTCCTGACCTTGTGGTCCACCTGCCTCAGACTCCCAAAGTGCTGGGATTACAGGCGTGAGACACTGCACCCGGCCCACTAATGTACTTTTGTATGGGTTGTCTTTTCACTTTTGTGACAGTCTCCTTTGAAGTACAAAAGTGTGATTTTGATGAAGTTCAGTTTATTTTTTCTTTTGATGCCTGTGATTTTAGCTTTATATTTAAGAAATCATTGCCTAATCCACAGTCATGAAGAGTTGTTCCCAAGTTTTCTTCTATGAGTTTTATAGCTTTAGCTCTTGCAGTTAGCCCTATAATTTTCTCTTTATTCTTGTGTGACGTAGGGGTCCAACTTCATCCTTGCATATGTGAATATGTAGTTGTTGAAGCATCATTTGTTGAAAAGACTATTCTTTCCTCCTTGAATTATCTTGGTACCCTTGTTGAAAATCAATCAACTGTACATATCTAGGCTTATTTCTGGACTCTAAATTCAATTCTTTCACTCTATATGTCTGTCTTAATGCCTATGCCACACAATTTTGATTACTGTAGCTTTGTAATAAGTTTTGAAATGGGAAAGGGTAAGTCTCCAAACTTGTTCTTCTTTAAAAGATTGTTATAGTTATTCTGAGCCCCTTTCATTCCCACATGAACTTTAGGATCTGCTTTTCAATTTCTGCAAAGAAACCAGCAGCCATTTTGATAGGCATTGTTTTGAGTCTGTGGATCAATTTGGGAACTATTATCATCTTAATTGTAGTAAGTCTTCCAATCTGTGAACATGGGATGTCTTTCCATTTATTTAGGTCTTCTTTAATTTATTTCAATGATGTTTCATAGTTTCTGGTGTTTAGGACTTGCACTGTTTTTGTTAAATTTATTCCGAAGTAGTTTATTCTTTTTGATGCTGTCATAAATAGAATTGTCTTTTTAAATTTCATTTTCAGATTTTTCATCACTAGAAATTTGACTTTGGTATATTGATCCCCATAACATTTAAGAATGTAAGGGTCCTAAAACCAAAAAGTTTGAAAGTCACTGTCCTAAGAAGATATAATTCACATTCCATTTTTCAGCTGCAATTATATTAATTTTACTTTTCTGGGAATTGTATCAGCTTGGCTCTTTGGGAAAATGCCACTGACATTAACCAAGGGATTATAAACATAACCTGTCAGATTGTAAGCTCAGATAAATCCATGAAACTGGGGAGAAGCAAGCCTGCCACCAGCAAATATGCTATTATTCACTACTGTAACTATCAGGTTCTCCCACTGGACTTAAAACTCTCTAAAAGCAGTAACAAATTCTTTTGCACAGTTCTCTCTCTATAGCCTAGTCTAGTGCCTGCTTTAAGTCTGTTGCCTGACCCCCTGACTAAATGGAGGGAAAAAAATGGAACAGCTCAGGGCAGCTGAAATCAATGAGATCTTATCTTGCTGAGGGGCCGCGCACCACTACTGTACTCAGGTGTGCCTTATTTATAAGCTTCTCATTCATAGAAGAGTAGTTTCTAGAACTATAGAAGTATTATCTATTATCTATGGAACATAATACGCTTTTTTTTTTTTTTTTTTTGAGACAGGGTCTCCCTCTCACCCAGGCAGGAATGCAGTGGTGCAATCATGGCTCACTGCAGCCTCAATCTCCCAGGCTCAAGCAATTAATATACTATTTTTATTGCAGTCACTTTATAGTACTTTTTTGTGGTGCAGCAAATTATCCTTTATTATTCTTGTTCAACATTTTCTTGACACTTTTGAAAGTTTATTTTTTTCATTTTTTTATTACTGGATTATTGATAGAATTTTGACTGGATTTAATAACACTTTTAAATTAACTTATAAAGAATTTTATTTTAATGATAATTTTCCAATCTATGATTTGGGTATGTGTCTCCATTTATTCATGGTAGGCTTTATTTTCTTCAATAAAATAGTATTGCTTTCTTCATATAGATTCCAATATTTTCTTGTTAAATTTTTTCATAATACTTTTTTTTTTGGGTGGAGGGGGACGGAGTTTCGCTCTTGTTGCCCAGGCTGAAGTGCAATGTCACGATCTTGGCTCACTACAACCTCCGCTTCCTGGGTTCAAGTGATTCTCCTGCCTCGGCCTCCCGAGTAGCTAGGATTACAGGCATGCGCCACCGCGTCCGGCTAATTTGGTATTTTTAGTAGAGGCGGGGTTTCTCCACCTTGGTCAGGCTGGTCTCGAACTCCCAACCTCAGGTGATCCACCCGCCTCAGCCTCCCAAAGTGCTGGGATTACAGGCATGAGCCACCGTACCCAGCCTTCATAATACTATTTTTAAAGAATTTACTTTGTAATTTCTATGTATAATTCACTATTACTAATATAAAGACAAGTTACTGATATTTTAAAATATTTATTTTATAGAAACAGTAGACACTGGAAATTCCAAGGAGTAGAGAGGAAGGAGTGCAATAGTTGGGAAACTACCTATTTGGGTACTATGATCACTATTTGGGTGATGGATTCAACAGAAGCCCGATCCTCAGCATCACACAATATATTCATGTAACAAACCTGTACATGTACGCTGTGAATCTAAAATTTTAAAATAAATAAATAAAGGCGAGGCATGGTGGCTAACTCCTATAATCCCAGCACTTTGGGAAGCTGAGGCGGGGCATCATGAGGTCTGGAGTTTGAGACCAGCCTGGCCAACATAGTGAAACCCTGTCTCTACTAAAAATACAAAAATTAGCCAGGTGTGGTGGCACACACCTGTAGTCCTAACTATTCAGGAGGGTGAGGCAGGAGAATCGCTTGAACCTGGGAGGTGGAGGTTGCAATGAGCCGAGACCATGCCATTGCCCTCCACTCTGGGTAACAGAGCAAGATTCCATCTCAAAAATCAATCAATCAATCAATAAAATATACCCAGTCATTCTGCCAATTATCTCTTGGTTTCATATTTTTAACTGACTCATTTGGAATTTCTAGGCATACAATCATATTGTATATAAATAAAAATAATTCCTTTTTAAATATGTGAAGTTCTCATTTGCTTTTCTTGTCTTATTGTGTATTAGAACCTCCCAAATAATGCAGAATAATTGTGGTGATATTTGTTTACCTGTTGTTGAAGTCAAGAGTATTTGCTCTTGAACATTTTGTAGCCAGTACAAATTTTAATACAAAAAAGGGAAAATAAACTATATCCCTTTAGGATACAATAATTATAGTTAGACTATATAACAGTGAATAATTCCCTAAGAGCAGAATAAATCTGAATCTCCACAGGCTAGTAATAGGGACTTGTGGAATTTTTAATTCCATAAATTTTTTAAGGAAGTGATGGGAGAGAGGAGTCAGTAAGAATCTGATATATCCAAGATGTCAGATTAAGAGTTCAAATATTAGAAACAGCTGAGGAGAACAAGAGACTAGAGATCAGCAAGCAGGATTTTCTTGGGCAAAAGCCAAAAACACCAGCTGGGAGGTAACCATTATGTCAAAACAGTTTTATGCAGAAGCCAAAGAGGGAATATGAAGCTCTGATAGGAAAGAATCTTACAGACTAATAGAAAGTCTTGATAATCAACTCCTAGAGACAGTTTTTCAAGGTTTCAAAATATGAATTGTCATCTTCCTACAGGTGTAGTAGTAGTCTTTTGCCTAGCACAGTGCCTTGTATACAGTTGGTATACAATAACTATTTGTTGAATGAATAGAAAAGAAGAAAGAGAAGTGATAGCATCTCGAAAGCAAAAGCGGGCAAAGTCTAATACCAAAACAGATGACTTTTTTAAGAAGTCTCTTAAGTAAGCATTTTATTGAATTATAACGTGCATACAGCAAAGTATATAAATAATTTATGAAACACACAGCTCCATAAATTATTACTTTATATGCTATGGTCTGAATGTCTGTGTTCCCTCAAAATGTTTATGTTAGAACCTAATCTCCAATATTATAGTATTAAGAGATGGGGTCAGCCGGGTATGGTGGCTTACACCTGTAATCCCAGCACTTTATGAGGCTGAGGCAGGCAGATCACTTCAGGTCAGAAGTTCAAGACCAGCCTGGCCAACATGGTGAAACCCTGTCTCTACTAAAAATGCAAAAAATTAGCCGGGCATGGTGGTGGGTGCCTGTAATCCCAGCTACTTGGGAGGCTGGGGCACGAGAATCTCTTGAACCTGGGAGGCAGAGATTGCAGTGAGCCGAGATCCCGCCACTGCACTCCAGCCTGGGTGACAGAGTGCGACTCTGTCACACACACACAAAAAGTAATGGCAAAAACCACAATTACTTTTGCTGCACCAACCTAGTAACTTTTTAAGTGTACAACTCACATTGTTGTGCAAACATCACTACTATTTTCAGAACTTTCTCTTTTTTTTTTTCTTTTTTTTTTTTTTTGAGATGGAGTTTTGCTCCAGCCCAGGCTGGATGCAATGGCATGATCTTGGCTCACCACAACCTCTGCTTCCCAGGTTCAAGCGATTCTCCTGCCTCAGCCTCCCGAGTAGCTGGGATTACAGGCATCTGCCACCATGCCTGGCTAATTTTTGTATTTTTAGTAGAGACGGGGTTTCTCCATGTTGGTCAGCCTGGTCTCGAACTCCTGACCTCAGGTGGTCCCCCCGCCACGGCCTCCCAAAGTGCTGGGATTACAGGTGTGAGCCACCGCGCCTGGCCTTCCGAACTTTTTCATCATTCCAAATAGAAACTCTGTACCCATTAAGCAATACTTCCTCATTCTCCCCATCCCCGAACTTCTAGTAATATCTATTCTACTTTCTGCCCCTATGAGTTTGCCTTGTCTCAATCCCTCATGAAGGTAGAATCATACAACATTTGCCCTTTTGTCTCTGGCTTATTTCACTTAGCCTAATGTTTTCAAGGCTCATACATGTTGTAGCATAGATCAGACTCCATTCCTTTTTTTTTTTTTTTTTTTTTGAAATGGAGTCTCACTCTGTCACCCAGGCTGTAGTACAGTAGCGTGGTCTCGGCTTACTGTAACCTCCTTCTCCTAGATTCAAGTGATTCTCCTGCCTCAGCCTCCCAAGTAGCAGGGATTACAGGTGTGTGCCACCATGCCCGGCTAATTTTTGTATTTTTAGTAGACCATGGGGTTTCGCCATGTTGGCCAGGCTGGTGTCAAACTCCTGACCTCAGGTGATCCACCCACCTTGGCTTCCCAAAGTGCTGGGACACAGATGTGAGCCACCGCACCTGGCATTCCATTCCTTTTTAAATAATATTTCATTGTCTGTATATACTACATTTGGTTTACCCATTCATGTGTTGATAGACACTTAGGTTGTTTCTACCTTTGGGTTATTGTAAATAATAACTATGAACATTGGTGTGCAAGTGTCTGTTTGGGTCCCTGTTTTCAATTCTGATGTATTGCTTTGGTCACTTAATACACTGTGGACATCTTTTCAAGTCAGTATAAATAGAGCTACCTCATTCTTTCAGCCAATTGCTTTGTATTCCATCGTGTGATGTGAGTATTATATTCTGTGGAAGTAAACTTTATCCTTCCTGAGTCTGGGACTATATGATGTAAACGCATTTCTTAAAGTGGAGTTTGAGGACACCTAGGGTAGACGTAGTGTTGTGGATCTACAAATTTCCTTTACAATGTAAAATTGTGTGCTTTCATTTTTGAGATATCTAAAATATGATTGTAAGGATTGTCTGGATCGTCTACATGACCAGCTTCTAACCAAATATTACCAACCAATGTTGGTGTCCCTATGTGCTGTTGTGTTTATTATTGCAACTGTCCCAAGTCAAAGGGTAACAAACAAAGAGTAGTGGCAAACCTAATAAGTTTGCCAAAATTTCACACCAGATGACATCATGTGCACCATGGAATGAAGATTTTTAAGTAGATAAAAGTGGTAGCAAAACTGGACCAGCACAGTAGCAAAAAGCCAAATAAAAAGACTCCAGGCAGGGTGCAGTGGCTCACACCTGTAATCCCAGCCCCATGGGAGGCCGAGGCAGGTGGATCACTTGAGGCCAGGAGTTCAAGACCAGCCTGGCCAACATGGTGAAACCCTGTGTCTACTAAAATTACAAAAATTAGCCAGTGTGGTGTTGTGCTCCTGTAATCCCAGCTACCTCAGGAGGCTAAGGCATGAGAATTGCTTGAACATGGGAGGTGGAGGTTGCAATGAGAGCGGAAATCATGCCACTGCACATGAGCAACAGAGTAAGACTCTTTCTCAAAAAAAAAAAAAAAAAAAAATCCTGGCTAACATGGTGAAACCCCATCTCTACTAAAAATACTAAAATTAGCCAGATGTGGTGGCAGATGCCTGTATTCCCAGCTACTTGGGAGGCTGAGGCAGGAGAATTGCTTGAATCTGGGAGGTGGAGGTTGCAGTGAGCCAAGATTGTGCCGTTGCCCTCCAGCCTGGGTGACAGAGCGAGACTCCGTCTCAAAAAAAAAAAAAAAAAAAAAAAAAGAAGAGGAGGAGAATAAAAAAGACTCAGCCGCAATGGAAAAGTCAATAACGTTCTCACAACGGGGCTATCGACTGACTTTCAGAAAGACTATAATGATGTGAACACCAAAATTTTAATATGTTCTAATAGCTTTGTTTGAATGTCATTTTTAAACTTGTTTTGGGTTCTATCATTGCATATGTAAAAACTATAACAAGTTTTAACTAGTTTTTTTTTTTTAATTTAAGGGTACAAGGGCAATTTTATTGCATGGATGGATATAGTATGTCGGCATGAAGTTTGAGCTTTTAGTGTATCCATCATCTGAATGATGTACATTTTGTACCCATTAAGTAATTTCTCATCATCCACCGCCCTCCCACCAATAACTAGATTTGTGTGACTTTTTAAAGTCACATGCTAGTTTATGTTTTATGTGACTTTTTAAAGTCACATTCTTTGACTGGGTGCAGTGGGTCATGCATGTAGTCCCAGCACTTTGGGAGGCCGAGGTGGACAGATTACTGGAGCCCAGGAGTTCGAGACCAGTTTGGGCAACATGGCAAAACCATGTCTCTACAAAAATTTGCTGGGTGTGGTGGCACGCACCTGTGGTCACAGCTCTCAGAAGGCTGAGGCAGGAGAATCGCCTGAGCCTCAGAGGTCAAGGGTGCAGAGAGCCAGGATTGTGTCATTGCATTCCAACCCAAGTGACAGAGGGAGACCGCTGACTCAAAGAGAGAGAGAGAAGAAAAGCCACATTCTTTGAAAACTGACTTAAATCAATAATAAATCTTAACATTTAAGAGTTGCATACGTTGCTCGAGTCTGGAAAACATTAACTTAGCAGGTAATTCAACACAGAATTTTCAGACCAGGTTCATCATTATGGGAAAATGTCAGCACAAACAGCCAAATAAGTCTTTTGCTGGAGAAAATCAGCTTTTGGATTCGAGTTGAATGCATTTATAAATGTTTCTCTACTCCAATGTCAGAGAATAAATGATTCATAAAAATGGGCATATTAGAAAGCCTGGGCCTAGGAACTAGGCTGGATTTGCTTCCTGACCTGGCTCTACTATATAAAAAACCCAGCTGCTTTTTCACTAGAGATTTATAATAATACCAAACTTACATGTTTGCTATAAGCATTATATTTGACATATTTAAAGCATCTGGGTTATCTTAGGGGTATTCAATGACAGCCACTGATATTACAGGGACATTTGAGCTGTAGGTTTTTGGCATGTTCCATGAGTTTTATGTCATGCTTAATCCTTTTCCACATTTGGAAAAATATCCTAAACCGGGTAACCCGGTATTACTCATATAATCAAAGTAGTCTGTGCTAAGGCAAAAATACAAACAAAACAAAATTAAAATGCAAAAATATAAACAAAATTAAAACTCTTAAACTTTAACTGCATTTTATCAGATATCTTAATCTGCTATTTCTTTTTTTTTTTTTTTTTTTTTTGAGACGGAGTCTCGCTCTGTCGCCCAGGCTGGAGTGCAGTGGCGCAATCTCGGCTCACTGCAAGCTCCGCCTTCCGGGTTCACGCCATTCTCCTAGCTCAGCCTCCCGAGTAGCTGGGACTACAGGCGCCCGCCACTACGCCCGGCTAATTTTTTGTATTTTTAGTAGAGACGGGGTTTCACCGTTGTAGCCGGGATGGTCTCGATCTCCTGACCTCGTGATCCGCCCGCCTCGGCCTCCCAAAGTGCTGGGTTAATCTGCTATTTCAACCCTCAATGCTGAAAATATTTCTAAAACCTTTCAGCCCATTTTTAGAGAGTATATTTTGCTGATTTTCCTCCCCATACCGGTCATGATAAAATCATTGAAATGTCAATATCTATGTGGATGTAAATATATACACTGTATGTAAAATAGAGCTAAATCTACGTTGACTTCAGATCATAAACTGGAAACTTGTTTTTGTATTTTATGAAAATCCTGGTATCTTCTTTGTTTTCTTGTGATAAATTATTTTTACACTAAAATTGGGGTGTAATGAGGGTGGAGATTTCACTCTCTCCGTTTACAAATAGCCTGTGTCAA
The DNA here is from genome assembly GCF_000001405.40 of Homo sapiens. Taxonomy (NCBI): domain Eukaryota; kingdom Metazoa; phylum Chordata; class Mammalia; order Primates; family Hominidae; genus Homo; species Homo sapiens. The sequence goes on from NC_000004.12 coordinate 26,253,915, forward strand.
GCACTTCCAAGTCCTAAAACAACATTGGTGCAAAGTGATGATAGTCATGTTTAAAGGTTTTGGAGTTTTGTTTTACTCATACATTTTTTCCTTCACATTATTAATAATAAGAACATTGAGTAACAAGTTTGGGAACATGCCCCATTGTATCTTCTCTGAGCATCAGTCTGTCCACTTCTTCCCTCTACTGCCACCATCCTGGGTCCACATCATTCTGCACCTAAACAAGGACAATAGCATCCCAGCTGGTCTCCTGCTTCCACTCTAGCACTTTCCAATGTGTCAATCAAATCATGTCACAGCCCGCTGAAAACTCTCCAATGGCTTCTACTGCATATAAAATAAAATTCAATTCTTGCCTGTGGATTATACAGCCCTACTTAGTCGAGCCCAGAGCTCCTTCTCCTACCTCCATGTACACGACTATCCCTCTTGTTCACTGTGCTGCAGCTTCACAGGCCTGCTTTCTTCAAATACTCTAAATGTATTCCACTCAACTTTAGGGTCTCAGGGCTTGCCATGTCCTCTTCCTAGAAGGTTCTGTTCCACAATCTTTGCATGGTTGCTTCCTTTCATGGCCCTTGGCTAACTTCTCAGAGAAGCCTGTGTCCAACACCCCACTTTATTTTCTTTAAAGCACTCAATACTTTGATTTTATCTTTGCCACATAACTAGTTTTTTTAATGCTATGTAAATGCTATACATGCTACGTGAATGTTATCGATGCTAGATATGCTGTAAAAACATGCTATATAGCATGTTTATTTTTAATTATTTTTTTAAGACAGAGTCACACCCTGTAACCCAGGCTGGAGTGCAGTGGTGCAATCTCGGCTCACTGCAGCCTCTGCCTCCTGAGTTCAAGCAATTCTCATTCCTTTGCCTCCAGAGGAGCTGGGACTACAGGTGCATGCCACCATGCCCAGCTATTTTTTTTTTTTTTTTTTTTTTTTTTTTTTTTTTTTTGCAGAGACAAGGTTTCAGGCTGGTGTCGAGACCAAGCTGGTCTTGAACTCATCTGAAGTGATCCACCGGCCTTGGCCTCCCAAAGTGCTGGGATTACAGGCATGAACCACCGCACCTGGCCAACATGTTTAAAATGTTAAACATGCTATATAGCATGTTTTAAAATGTTATAAATGCTATACATGCTATATAAACACTTCTGTTACACGTATAACATATCCTGCCCTAGAATGTAACATCTAGGCCGGGCGTGGTGGCTCACGCCTGTAATCCCAGCACTTTGGGAGGCCAAGGCGGGTGGATCACGAGGTCAGGAGATCGGGACCATCCTGGCTAACACGGTGAGACCCCGTCTCTACTAAAAATACAAAAAATGAGCCGGGCGTGGTGGCGGGCGCCTGTAGTCCCAGCTACTCGGGAGGCTGAGGCAGGAGAATGGCGTGAACCCAGGAGGCGGAGCTTGCAGTGAGCCGAGATCGCGCCACCGCACTCCAGCCTGGGCGACAGAGCGAGACTCCGTCTCAAAAAAAAAAAAAAAAAAAAAAAGTAATGTCTAATGTGACCCCTGCACATAGATGTTTTCCAATAACGTTGCTTGAAGGAATGATTAAATATCCAGCTTCAGAAATCACCTAAATTCGGCCGGGCGTGGTGGCTCAAGCCTGTAATCCCAGCACTTTGGGAGGCCAAGGCGGGCGGATCACGAGGTCGGGAGATCGAGACCATCCTGGCTAACACGGTGAAACCCCGTCTCTACTAAAAATACAAAAAATTAGCCAGGCGTGGTGGCAGGTGCCTGTAGTCCCAGCTACGCGGGAGGCTGAGGCAGGACAATGGCGTGAACCCGGGAGGCAGAGCTTGCAGTGAGCCGAGATCGTGCCACTGCACTCCAGCCTGGGCAACAGAGCAAGACTCCGTCTCAAAAAAAAAAAAAAAAAGAAAAGAAAAAAGAAAATCACCTAAGTTCTAGTCCTGGCTTGGATTTTGAGAAATGGAGAAACCTCTGGCAAGTACTGAATCCCTTTGGGCCTCAAGTATTCCTTATGAATAACCAATAAGCTGGACTAGATGATCTTTAAGGGTACTTCTTGTTTTCTATTTCCATGGTTCATACTTAAGCATTATTTTTCCCTTCCTTTTCATTTCCTCTCCCCTCTCCCTTTCTCACTTAGCAGCTCTCTCCTGGATTCATGAATAGTTTTAAACCAGTTGGAGATATTTTATGCATAAACATAGAACTCTCAAAGATATATGGTCTCTAGACACTAAACTGTCATCACAACCACATGTTATAGTGTTTATTTTCCCTTGCCTAGCCAACCCCATCGAAACACACCCTCCTCTGCCAAGCCACAGCCCCACCCTGCCTTTGGAAATAGAAATGGAATAGGAGAATCTCTGGCTTCTGGAAAAAAAAAAAAAAAGATTTTTGACTAGCATGATGTTTCTGGAGAAATCAGGATACAACTGACAGGATTGATGAAAACTTTATAAGGTTTCTTCACATAATAAAGCCCATGGAGATAATAGGAGATAGTGATATCAAATTGTACATACTGTCAGAGACAATTTTTAAATGACTATTTCTAGTCCATACCTAACTAAAGTGCCTATCCTTGTAAATGTTTAACTTTTAGCCATTTAGTTTATAATATTCCAGAAATCTACATTAAAAATAATATAAGAATGATCAGATAGCAATGTTACACTTGAACTTACATCATCCCTTATTTCAGAACCTGTGAAAAATGGTCTTAAGAAATAAAACAGGAAATTTCTTCCATAGCTAGAAGAATTGAAATCAGTATCAGTTGTAAGGACGTAAGGACAAATTTTAATTTGATTTTAAATGCACACTTACAAATCGAGTTTGCAAAGTTTAAAACCACATGAAGACTTACAATCACCGTATTTATGAGCTGGAAGAACATTGAGAACTTCATTTAACAATGAAGCGAAACTCAGAAAGATCAGATGACCAGGCGAAGGTCACATTAGTGCTGGAGCTTAGAACTAAACCTCTGGTCTCCTGGTTGATGGTTCCATGCTTTTCTCATCACTCTATGCGTTTATGAGACCCTGTAATTACCTGCAGCTTTCAATCATATGTGCCAACCCAGTCATGTGGTAGACTGGAATACAAAACGATCAGTCCATTAACTGAGACACTGCTTCAGGAATCATAGTATTCATTGTTACGTTGTTGTTGTAGTAATTGCTAGTATTTGTTGAGTATATGTATCAGGTACTATACTATATGTATTACTTGCATCAACCTATTTAATACCCACACTAGTCTGATGGGGTAGGTAATAATAACAATCATGATTGCTATCACATATTATTTTGTTACAGGCACTTCTCCAAGCCTATTATATCTAGCAAGTTATTGAATCCTCAGAACTATCCTATAAAGTACTATTATTCCCATTTTACTGGCGAAGAAACAGTCATAAACAGGTGGAGTCGCCGGGCACGGCGGCTCATGCCTGTAATCCCAGCACTTTGGGAGGCCAGGGCAGGTGGATCACCGGAAGTTGGAAGTTTGAGACAAGCCTGACCAACATGGAGAAACCCCATCTCTATTAAAAATACAAAATTTGCCGGGTGTGGTGGTGCATGCCTGTAATCCCAGCTATTCGGGAGGCTGAGGCAGGAGAATCACTTGAACCTGGGAGGTGGAGCTTGCAGTGAGCCAAGACTGTGCCATAGCACTCCAGCCTGGGTAACAAGAGTGAAACTCTGTCTCAAAAAAAGAGAAGTGGAGTCATGCCCTTAAACCAAGACATATGCTGCCCCTCTATGCTACATCACCTACTCATTTGTCTCTTCTTTTCCATCACCAAAATGTTAAAAGAAATAAGCAGCTAACTTAGTTATCTTCTCCCTGCATCCCCTGCCTTCTTGATACTAGTTGGCATAGAGATATTTAAAGACAGAGGAACCAAAAAGAAGAGAAAATGGTCCTGGGGCCATCTGTAACCCAAATAACCTGGGCAACCAAGATTTGATGATGATATCAGCAGTGGTTGAACTTCACCAGGTTATGGCTATGACCCATGAAAGTGTGTGTTTCTGCACATGGTGGCTCGGTATGAGAACATAATCTGTAAATTACTATGTGAGTTAGATTATTTCTGCAGAAAGAGGCAGACACAGGCTCACATTATGTCAGATAGTCGGGAAATGTGTTGTAAGAATACCAGGGGAAGTGAGAAAGCACAGAAAATGGTCTCAGTGGCTGCACAGCCAAGCCTCATAGAGCATCATTCATTTTGCTTCAGATGGCAATAGAAGCTGTAGTCATTCCACAGTGGTCCATGGTTATGATTTGGCATCTCTGCTTATTTCCTGTCTCTCAACTTGCTCACTACCAATTGACTTTTTTCTATTCTCTTCTCCTACCTGTCTCTCCTGCCTCTGTTCTGAATCTCTCTTCTTCACCTCTGTATTTTCCACTATGTATTTTCTGTAGGGCTCACAATCAAACCTCCATTAATAAAATAGGATCTGTTTGGGTGCGTGAATAGATGTACTGGTGCATCTAGTACATTGTGCAGAGCTCTCATCAGTCCATCTCAAAGTTTACAGATGGCTGCCTTTTCCACTCCCCATTCCCCTGGGGGAAGCAGGGAACACCTCTGGGTTCATTAGCTGTGGCCATGATGGTAGGATCATATACAAAGGGACTTCAAAAAGTTCATAGAAAAGTGCAATTAAAAGATAAAAACAAAATAAAAACTTTACCTTTCAACATAAGCTTCATCAAATTCAAGACACCTTTGTAAGTGTAATACTAGTCGTTTAGTCCATTCCTAAAGAACTGAGGGTTTCGGGAATTTAACCCTATCGATGCAGTCTTTTTTAGATTATTAACTGAAAAATATCTGTGCCCTTTAAACATTTTTTTATTATTTATTTATTTATTTATTTATTTATTTTGAGACAGAGTCTTGCTCTGTTGCCGGGCTGGAGTGCAGTGGTGCGATCTTGGCTCACTGCAACCTCTGCCTCCTGGGTTCAAGCGATTCTCCTGTCTCAGCCTCCTGAGTAGCTGGGACTACAGATGTGTGCCACCATACCCGGCTAATTGTTTGTATTTCAGTAGAGATGGGGTTTCACCATGTTGGCCAGGATAGTCTCAACCTCCTGACCTCGTGATCCACCCCCCTCAGACTCCCAAAGTGCTGGGATTACAGGCGTGAGCCACCATGCCCGGCCTAAACATTTTTTTAAGATTAGGAAACAAAAAAAAGTCAGAAGGAGTCAAAGCAGGACTTTAAGGTGGATGCCTAGTGATTTCCCCTCAAAACTCTTGCAAAATTTCCTTCATTTGATGACAGGAATGTGTAGAAGCATGATGTATTGGAGAAGGACTCTCTGATGAAGCTTTCCTGGGCATTTTTTCATTAAAGCTTTGGCTAACTTTCTCAAAACACTCTCATAATAAGCAGATGTTATTATTCCTTGGCCCTCCAAAAAGTCAACAAGAAAAAATGGCTTGAGTATCCCAAAAAACTGTCACCATGACCTTTGCTCTTGATTAGTCTGCTTTTACTTTGACTGGACCACTTCCATCTCTTGGTAGCCATTGCTTTGATTGTGCTTTGTCTTCAGGATTGTACTGGGAAAGCCATGTTTCAACTCCTACAGCAATTCTTCAAAGAAATGCTGCGGGATCTCAATCCCACTTTTTAAAATTCCACTGAAAGCTCTGCTGTTGTCTATAGTCAATCCAGGTGCACCAGTTGTGCCACTCAGACAGTGGAAATTTGCTTAACCTCAATTTTGTAGTCAGAATTGTGTAAGTTGAACCAGTTGAGAGGTCTATGGTGTTGGCTATTGTCTCTGCTGTTAACCATTGGTCCTCTTCAGTTAGAGCACAAACAAGATGAATTTTTTCCTTGAAAATTTATGTGGAGGATCTGCCACTGCAGATTTCATCTTCAGTATTATCTTAATTCCTTCTTGAAATGAGTTATTCATTTGTAAACTGCTGATTTACTTGGGGCATTATCCCCACAAACTTTTCATGAAGCATCTGTGATTTCACCATTCTTCTACCATAAGTTTGATCTTTATTCTTGCTTCAATCTTAGCAGAATTTCATGTCATGATAGGGGCCCTTTTCAAACTAATATATTATGCTTCTTACTGCCTCAAACTAGATCTTGTTCAGACATATTATAGCAAGTTAGTACAAGTTAATTTTGGAGCAAAACAGATTTGAAATCCATGCATAGTTTTTTCATAATATACATTTTCATAGTATGCATTTTTAAAAAGGCTCTTGTGGAACAAAGCATGGACCTGTATGTTTAGAAGGGAATTGTGAGTTTGATAGGCACTTTGTGTGGCTTGTCTAATACAAATACATATCTTGTTTCATGTACTAATGGCCCTAATCAGGACAAAAGTTCTTGCTGAGATAAAATAAATTAACCTTAAGTGTAGAAACTGAAAAATAAAGGGTCACTACTAACTATTCTTTCATTGTAGATTTTGGCTAGAGTTCCACTTTCAGCTGTGTTATACTCAAAATTAGGCATGATAAACTTTTTAATGCTCTTGATCTTCAATTCTCTTACTTGCTGAATCTATAGTCAAAAATTTTAGTTGACTGAGAATATAAAAAAAAAGCAACTGTTACCTGTCCATTCTGTTGTAACCCAGGGGCTCTGATAAATCTAACCTTTCAAAATGGCCAGACAACGGAAGATTTTGAAGTTGCTTTGTTGATGGCAATGACTTATAAGGGAATGGAAATAATAATACCGTGCAGTTGCAGATTATTTTGTATGTTTGAAGTACTTGTCATTAAAATGCCACTCTCTTACTCCTTTGTAATTCCCCTGGAGCTGCCATCTCTGCCTAACCAGAAAATGCAAATCAGCATTTTCTCAAGGCCCCACTCAAGTCTCCTCTCCTCTTCCATGAAGCCTCCTTCCTCTGAACTCACTGAATCTACCCTAATCCCTCCTTCCTCTGAACTCACCATCATTCATTGCCTATGCTGTTCATGTGATACTGCTTGCTATAATTACTTTTAAGAAACCATAAGTTTTTACTTGTTTATGGTAAATAGCTTGAGGGCAAAGAACATGACCAATGTTATACTCCCTAAACGATGTAAGACAATATCTTACATATAAAAGGTATGAAGAAAATGAGGGAGACACATAGGAAGAGGCATTATCATGCCCACCTCATAGATGAGGAAATTAAAATACACGGTTTGGGAATGGAAGAAAATATTGCACTGATTAGTGATGGCCTAAACTGCAGGAAATAGAACAAGATGCAACAGTAAAGAAAAACTACTTAAAGGTAGAAGTAAAATGAGATTGCCAAAAAGAAAAGTGAACAGGAAAAGAAAGAATGAGAAGGAATAGGAAGAAAAGAGACTCCTCAGCTGGAGGGCTGAGATGAATTAATGAATGGATTCTTTTTTTTAAGGTAGAGGTTAAAAAAAAAGGCAGAGGAGCATTCTTACATTCTCCTTAAGAAAATATGTTATGCCAACCAAAAAAGCTAATTTGGGCTTTAGGAAGTAGAAAAGAAATGAGGAAGGCTATATCCCTTGGTCAAAGGTAAGAGAACTGAGAAAAGTAAATATCGGATAAAGGGGAAGAAGAGAGGGAAGTGGTCAGGCCCCCTTTGGGTTATTAAAATTATTCCAAATGAAATCAGTTTTTGACAACGTTGCAAAATTGAAGGGAAGAAAAAGTAAACCACAATAAAAGGAACTTAGAGTCCAGATGATGCTTTTCTTGCTACAGTGGAATATTGTATTATACTTTTGAAATTACATCTGCCTTCTGCTTTATTCTAAGAGTGATGTAAGACAGTGAGTGCTCTATCAGGACTAGTTATGTGATATCACAATACTTTGAGTCAGAAATTATGTGCAGTTTGGATAATTTTAGCCAGAAGTTCAAAAACATGTGTTTAATTGATTTGCCATCATAAAAAAGGTTCTCAGCCATTTATACCAGAACTTTTAAATGACTGTTTAATCTAGCAATGTCTTATGACTATTTTAAGTTTTATTTTTTATTTTAAAATTTTTATCTTTTTGTGTTTGAGACAGGATCTTGCTCTGTCTTCCAGCCCAGAGTGCAGTGGCACAATCAAGGCTCACTGCAGCCTTGGCCTCCTGGGCTCAAGCGGTCCTCCCACCTCAGCCTCCTAAGTAGGTGGGGCTACAGGTGCACACCACCACACCCCACTAATTTTTTATTTTTTATGGAGATGGGGTTTTGCCATGTTGCCCAGGCTGGTCTTGAACCCCTGGACTCAAATGATCCACCCACCTTGGCCTCCCAAAATGCTGGGATTACAGGCATGAGCCACCATGTACAGCCTAAAATTGTTTTAAGAAATGAAGTCTCACTATATTGCCCAGGCTGGACTAGAACCCCTAGGCTCAAGCAATCCTCCCACCTCAGCCTCCTGAGTAGCTCAGGCTTCAGGCACACACCGTCACACCCGGCTTTTATCCTAAGTTTTTAAACGCCAGAATCTCTCCTATTATGCAAGATTATCAGAGCAAAATTAATTCTGTTATTTAAATCAAAAATTCAAAATAGAGGTGTGATGTCTTTCCCTTGGCTTCGAGGATAACTTTCCTGTCCAGTTTTCTTCTTACCACCCTGACTACTACTCCCACATCTTCTTTGAAGATTCTTCTTCCTAGATTCTTCCTTTGTGTTGGGATTCCTGGAGAGTCCATCCCTGAATGTCTGCTTTTTTGACATTTCACAATCTCCTTGGAGTATTTGCTCTATTTCCCTTGTTTCAACTATTGTTCAGAGGCTAATGACTCCCAAGACTCTATCTGCCACCTAATTCCCCTCTATTGAGCTTTTCAACCATAATTCCAACAGTTGGGACATCCCTTTTATGGTCCTCAGACACCATAAACCTCACACATCCAAAATTGCTCTTATTTTTTTCCCCAAACTTGCTTGTCTTCCAGTATGCTCTTCTTCCAGCCCTATAATCAATCCATCAGGCTTCCCAGAGCAGAATCCTGAATGTTACCATTCATTTATGTTTCAGCTACATGTCATCTGGCTCCACAGAGTCTACCTATTGAATATTTCTTGAACTGTCTATTTCTATCGATCCCAGTTAACCACCACCCCAGAATTCCACAATGAAACCTTCCCAGTTTTCCTGCCCCAGATTATGTCAAGTTCCCTAGGTTCGCACTTTGATTGTACCCTATGGCTCTCTTTTACAACACATCTTAGTTTTAGCGAGCTAAGCTGATGTAACAAATAAACCCGAATATAAAACTGCTCATCTATTTGGTGTTATTGTCTGTTCACATGACACTCCTGAGCTACCGTCCAGGTTGTCAGAGCCACTTTCATCCACACACTTAGACAACCAGGCTCCTCCCAGTTTATTACTCTAACCACCCAGCCCCCCCGCCCCACCCCGTGCATCACTTCCACTTAGAGAACATTGGCTAGGCCTTAGTCACATGACCGTCTCCCACTGCAAAGGAGTCTGGGAAATGTAGTGCAGCTATCTACCTGGGCAAAGAAGCAAACAACAGATTTTGGGGGAAAGCAGTCTCTGCCACAACAGCACCTTGCTACAATTGTTATTTTCCAGTTATTTGTGCAATTACATGATTGTTTCCTCCACCAAATTTTAAGCTCTATGAGGACATGTGCATGTTTTTTGGTTGTTGTTTTTGAGAAGGAGTCTCGCTCTGTCACACAGGCTGGAATGCAACGGCCCGATCTCTGCTCACTGCAACCTCCACTTCCCGGATTAGAGCAATTCTCCTGCCTCAGCCTCCTGAGTACCTGGGACTACAGGTGCGTGCCACCACGCCCAGCTAATTTTTGTAGTTTTAGTAAAGACGGGGTTTCACCATATTGGCCGGGCTGGTCTCGAACTCCTGACCTCGTGATCTGCCCACCTCAGTCTCCCAAAGTGCTGGGATTACAGGCGTGAGCCACAGCACCCAGTCTTTTTTTTTTTTGTTTTTGTTTTGAGATAGAGTCTCGCTCTGTCCCCCAGGTTGGAGTGCAGCCGTGCGATCTCGGCTCACTGCAACCTCTGCCTCCCAGGTTTAAGCGATTCTCCTGTCTCAGCCTCCTGAGTAGCTGGGACTACAGACGTGTGCCACCACGTCCTGCTAATCTTTGTGTTTTTTTAGTAGAGACGGGGTTTCACTATGTTGGCCAGGCTGCAGGCTGGTCTTGAACTCTCGACTCAGGTGATCCACCCAACTCAACCTCCCAAAGTGCTGGGATTACAGGCGTGAGCCACGGCGCCTGGCAGACAGATTCATTTGTGTTCACAACCTGGTCCCAATTAGCTTCAACAAATTATGTGTTGAATTAATCAATGAATACTTATTAATTCAAATCAATGAATACTTATTAATTCAGATCTTAGTAATTAATTATTATTAATACTTATTAATTCATTAATCAATGAATACTTTTTAATTCAGCATATGTAGTCTGGAGCACTATGACAGCCTTCTGACTAACCTCCCTATCTCTCTTCTTTGCCTCCTACATATTGTAGCCATAGTGATCTTCGTAAACTGTCCATTTGATCCTTCCATTTTCTTTAAAATGGAGTTTCTTTCAAATTCTTCAATGGTCCTTTGTTGCCCTCACAATTTCTTATCTTGCCATGTAATTCCCTCCTGTTCATCTTTCCAGCCTTACTTCTCACCATATAGGCACATACACTCACACACACTTGCTGTCTTCCTCTCTTCCCCATCTAGCCACACTGAAACACTGGCACTCGTCCCAAAAGCACCATGCCCTTGACCTGGCTAACTGCTCATTGCTTTGAGTCTCAGCTTAGTTGTCACTTTCTTGGCCCCTCAAGATGACGTTGGTGCCCCTGCACTGTGCTCCCATAACCCTCTGCCTACCGTAGCAGGCATTTTATGGTTTGCCTTAAGTTATTGTAGAGGCAAAGAAAATTTCCTTCTCCTTTTGAAGGTTCAAGTCTCCTAAACAAACTGACAATAGACAGATTAATAGGAGAAAAGGCATACACATTTATTAATGTGCACATCACACAGGAGTCCTGCAAATATGAGACTCAAAGAAAGGACAGATGGTTGAAGTATTTATACCCTATTCATAGGGAAGAGAAAAATAGGGGTATAGGCAATTTTGAGGGGTAATAAATTATTTTCAGGTGAATTGAATGAGCCCAAAGAGCAGACAATAGTTTGTCAATAATTTTCTTTGGAAACTGAATGGGAAAAGTTACTAGAAGGTGAGGGGTGGAACTACACTGTGAACAAAGGTTGTCTTACCATGCATATAAAGTCTCTTAGATAATTTTTCCGAGCTGCCCTCTAAAGAGCGGATGAGGCTGGGCTTGGTGGCTCATGCCTACAATCCCAGCACTTTGGGAGGCTGAGGCCGGCCGATCATTTGAGGTCAGGAGATCGAGACCAGCCTGACCAACATGATGAAACCCTGTCTTTACTAAAAATACAAAAATTAGCCAGGCGTGGTAGTGGGCATCTGTAATCCCAGCTACTCGGGAGGCTGAGGCATGAGAATTGCCTGAACCCAGGAGGAAGAGATTTCAGTGGCTACTGCACTCCAGCCTGGGCCATAGAGTGAGACAGTCTCAAAAAAAGAAAAAAAAAAAAGAATAGATGAAAAGTCTATGTGGGCATGGTGATGACTTCTATTTCCTTTCATCTCTGGTAGTTAATCATTCCCGATTATTTGATGAGATTCCTAAGGAGAGAGTCTTAACACAATTCAATTTCTTTTGGAAGTTTTCCTCAATCAGATAAGGGAACTGCTAGAGAGAGCCCTTCTCTGTACTGGATGGGAAGGAAACAAAAGAAAGAAAGTTAAAAAGTTCTGGCCAGGCACGGTGGCTCACGCTTATAATCCCAGCACTTTGGGAGGCTGAGGTGGGTGGATCACGAGGTCAGGAGTTCAAGACCAGCCTGGCCAACATGGTGAAACCCCTTCTCTACTAAAAATACAAAAATTAGCCGGGCCTGGTGGCACATGCCTGTAGTCCCAGCTACTCAGGAGGCTGAGGCAGAGAACTGCCTAAAACTGGGAGGCAGAGGTTGCTTCACGATCGCACTACTTCACTCCAGCTCTGAGCAACAGAGCAAGACTGTATCTCAAAAAAAAAAAGGATCTTGGTTCCAAGGCAGTTTCTAAAGCCTTCCAATTTCCCTTAAATTCCATACTTTGGGGTATCTTTCTCTGTGCCCCAACAGTATCAGGTTCTTTTTCCCTGGCAGACTGTCCTGCCACATCCTATTCCCTGCAGTGCTCTAAACACTGGTTAGCACATAGTCTACATCCTGGAAAAGAGGCTTGTTGGATGTGTAGGGGAGAAAAAAAATATTTTCCTCACTCATCCAAAGGACAGATTAATAAGAAAAAAGCACACAGGCTTACTTAATTTATATTTTACATGACACGGGCATCTTCATAAGGAAATGAAGACCTGAAGAAATGGTTAAACTTGTGTATTTATTAATACATGCTAGGTTTGATGAATAAGTAGACTGTTATGGAGAAATAGGATTGCACAAAGGGTATAATCCAATGGTAATAAACTAGGGGAAACTTAGCAAGGCCTATTTGTTCAGATTCTTCTCTGTGGCCTTTTGTCTTATAAGATAAGGATGTTCTTTCCACTGGGTATAGGGAGGGCACTTCTTACATGGGGGTGTTATGACCTGCTTCAGGAGAAAGAAAAATTCCTCCTTGGTTTTTATGACGTGCTTTAGAAAAGAAAGGTGGGGAGTAGGGGTGAGGGTGAGTGATCTTCCTGCTGTTTTCTCAAATGTTAAGGCGCCATATTTGGGGGTAGCATGTCCTGAGCCCCATTAGGTGGATGGATGGATAGATAAATGACATTTAGGAGAGAGCTGGGTTCAAGAGCAGATATTACTGGTGGCATCTGCTAAGAAAACCTCAGTGCTAGAAACACCACAATTCCCAGGCAAAATTGTGTTAAAAGTTATTAGTGTTAGTTATGAAAAAGGCTTTCCAAATTTACTTCCATAATCTGAGTCTCTTGTCACCTTATTGCAAAAGCTCTATAGAGGTTCTTTTCTTCTCTTCTATAACATTAACTTCCAAAACACAGATAGCCTAAAAGCTTGCACTTTCTAGAGATGCAGATGATTGATAAGTTGTCTCCTCTTTATTTCAAGGTAAAGAAGAAGATGGGGTTACACAGAAGCCCAGTATTGACTTCGCCTCTTCTTCCTGGGGCTCAGTTGAGTTTGATGGATTTCAAAATTCAAGCTGTAAAATATGAGAGGACTTGATTTTCTCCAAGTCATATTTCCTTGTGTGTGCTCCAGAGTCTTAGAGTCTGGAGGGGGTGGGGCTTGGAGATGGGACAAGGCTTGACTACAGTCCAGCCTCCCAGAGTAAATGCAATTCAGCAGCCAGAATAACAGACTCCCAATTTAGGAATTTGCCATGGATGCTGCCCAAGGATCATTCCTGGGTTCCTCTGAGTATATTTGACTAACTGAAAGAGAAAAGCAACTTGTAGTCACATATAACAGTCAGGATTCTCTCATCACCAGAGCAAAAACAATAGATTTTTAAGTGTATCTTATTGCTGGAGGCAAAGAAATGAATTTAACGAGGTATTCACCTGGCAGGAAACTTCACAATTTGTGTGTATATATGTGTATAAATACACATATATACATATATATGTAATTTTTAAATTTATTTATTTATTTATTTTTTGAGATGGAGTCTCTGTCACCCAGGCTGGAGTACAGTGGCACGATCTCGGCTCACTGCACCCTCCACCTCCCAGGTTCAAGCAATTCTCCTGCCCCAACCTCTTGAGTAGCTGGGACTACAGGCACGCACCACCACACCTGGCTAATTTTTGTATTTGTAGTAGAGATGGGGTTTCACCATGTTAGCCAGGCTAGTCTTGAACTCCTGACCTCAGGTGATCCGCCCACCTCAGCCTCCCAAAGTGTTGGGATTACAGGCGTGAGCCACGGCACCCGACCCACAATTTCAATATAAGAGTAACAGCTATGTGCCGAAGTCATAAAAAAAAAGATATTCCAACTTAATTTATCTGCCCAATTACATCTAGTATTACTATAAAAATAAAAATGATTTTTTTTAAGGTATAAGCTTTTAAACCAATACTTCTATTTCAAAAATTTTAGCAAATCTAAATTTCCTAACAATTAGTCGTGTAGGATCTGTAAGTTGTTTTGATTTCTATATGAAGGGAAGAAGAAAAAGGACACCCCATGTTACGATTTAGCTTAAACTTCCCTCTTTGCTTTATATTCAACCAAGTCAGAAAACCATGTTCTTTGTTTGCCTCATTCCTTTATTTTTTTTCAAAAAAAACAAAAAACAAACAACAAAAACCAAGTGTCCTCTTTTTCTGTGTACGGTTCTGGTCCAAAGTAATCAGTATTGGAAATTGGGCTGTTTTTGCTTCATTTCTGGGGCCTGAGTCCTTCTCTCCAATACCAGGATGCCCTTAGGGAAGATACAGGGGAAATGATGTCATTCTCTTTGGTCTCTTTTCAGGCTTTGGGCTTTTTCTTCAGGCCCAACCCTTAATGAACCTGCTTTCTAATTAGCCAGCCAGGAGTACAGTGAAATGAAATGTGCATCTTCTGCTTCCCTTTTCTCTTCAATAAAAGCACACGCATTATTTGCTCCTTCAGCCAACTCAGGTGATTTCACCAGAATGTGTGCATAAATCTTCTCAGCATCATTGTCAAACAGCTGGAAGCAAACCTTTTTTTTTTTCCTCTCTCACAACTTGGAAACTAAAAAATAGAAACTGCCTTGTCTAAGGTCAAGCCTGGCTGAGGGGGGAGGGGCAGCTGCAGCAGAGGCGGGAGGAAGGGGTTCAGGTGAATATTCATCCCCCAAGTCCACTTCATCATTCACTGAGTGATGCCCTTTCTATGAAATTAGGCAAAACAAAAATCTAAATTTAGAAAATCTGTTAGAACAAATTTCATATGTTAACTTGATAAATGTATGTTTACTCCCTGGATATTTGGAATACTCTATGATTTCATAATGAACACTTTGAATTAATTTTGCTCTTTTTCTCTAATATTCGGCTTCTTTGGCTGTTCTCCTGATACACTGGCAACTGGCAAATGCATGTGCTTTAGTTTGGTGGGGATTGGAACTGAGATTGGTCACTGAGCCCCACTTCAGCTAGCTGGAAAACAGTGCTGTTGAAAGCACTTTCTCCAATTCCCTTCCCTCTGAGCCCATCACTCATTCAGGCAGCTGCTGCCCAGGCCCTCTCCTTGGCTATTATTTTATTTTATTTATTTATTTATTTAATTTATTTTTTATTATTTATTTATTTATTTATTTATTTATTTTTTTGACACAGGGTCTCGCTCCATCGTCCAGGCTAGAATACAGTGGCGGGATCTAGGCTCACTGCAACCTCTGCCTCCTGGGTTCAAGTGATTCTCCTGCCTCAGCCTCCCGAGTAGCTGATATTACAGGCATGCACCACCATGCCCAACTAATTTTTGTATTTTTAGTAGAGACAGGGTTTCACCATGTTGGCCAGGCTGGTCTCGATCTCCTGACCTCAAATGATCGGCCAGCCTCGGCCTCCCAAAGTGCTGGGATTAAAGGTGTGAGCCACCTCGCCAGGCGTCACCTTGGTTATTTTAATGTGTGGCTCTCCCTGCTGAAATGATCTGTTTTATCTACCTGCCTCCCCCACCGGACTTCACCTGCTCAAAGACAGGGACTCTGTCTCAATTCATTCTTACAGCCTCAGCCCTTTAAGCTTTAGTGGAAGCTCATTAAATGGCTTCTTGAACTAAAACTAAGGAAAAGGAGGAAGCGGTGAGCGGGTATGGGCAGAATAATTTGAGGGAAGGGAGTGAAGGGGGAGGGAGAGGGGTAGAATGACAGAGAAAAGAGTCAAAACTGGCAACCCAAATTACTTTGAGGCCAAACTAGCATTTATTTTTAGAAAGGACCCAGGCCTCAGTAAAAAGCAACACACTTAGGAAAGAGTTAATGAAACATTGTGGAAGAATCTGGCTTATAGGGTAAACTGGTGTTCCTCGCCATGGGAAATTGCTGGTATGGGGCCAGGCACGGCGGCTCAGACCTGTAATCTCAGCACTTTGGGAGGCTGAGGCAGGCGGATCACCTGAGGTAAGGAGTTCAAGACCAGTCCGGGCAACATGGCAAAACCTCACCTCTACTAACAATACAAAGCTTACCCAGGTGTGGTGGCAGTCACCTGTAATTCCAGCTACTTGGGAGGCTGAGGCAAGAGAATCGCTTGACCAGGGAGGCAGAGGTTGCAGTGAGCCAAGAAATCGTACCACTGCTCTCCAGCCTGGGCAACAGAGCAAGATTTTGTCGGAAAGGAAAGGGAAGGGAAGGGGAGGGGAGGAGGGGAGGGGAGGAGAGGGGAGGGGAGGGAGGGAGAGAGCAAGAGAAAGAAAGAAAGAAAGAAAGAAAGAAAGAAAGAAAGAAAGAAAGAAAGAAAGAAAGAAAGAAAGAAAGAAAGAAAGAAAGAAGAAAGAAAGAAAGAAAGAAAAGAAAAGGAAAGAAAGATGAAAGGAGGGAGGAAGGAAGGAAGGAAGGAAGGAGAAATCGGTAGTACACTGGTTACAATGCCAACTCCTGTCTCCACCCTGGACAACTGACTCAGAATCTTTGGGGTTGGGAACCTCCAAAAGTTTTTATTAAGTATCGCAGGCACTAGAGCTTGAAAACCATCCATGTAGTCCTTCCTAGGTGTACTTCATCCCCCTTGATCTACCCAGGTCCAGTTAGCATGGAGGGTTTTTTGGAAGGGGAGGGAGAACTTTCCCTCTACCCTCTGAAGGTTTGATAATTGAGTCTATGATGTAAACTGACAGTAGACAGCTTGACAAGAGACAAGATATACAAATTTATTACATGCACAGGGGTGTCACATGAAAGAAACATGAATAAAATCCGCCTCCCCCCCACCCTTATCCACAGTTTTGCTTTCCTCTGTCTCAGTCACCCACGGTCAACCATGGTTCGAAAATAGGTGAGTACAGTACAATAAGACATTTTGAGGAGAAAAAAACCATATTCATACAACTTTTATACAGTATATTATTCTAATTATTCTATTTTGTTATTAATTATTGTTAAATCTCTTTCTGTGCCTAATTTATTTTTTAAATTTGCTTTAGAGATGGGGTCTCACTATGTTTCCCAGGCTGGTCTCAAACTCCCAGGCTCAAGCTCTCCTCCTGGCCCAGCCTCCCAAGTAGCTGGAACTACAGATGCATGCCACCTTGCCCAGCCTAATTTATAAATTAAACTTTATCATAGGTATGCATGTATAGGAAACATCAGACTATAAGGTTTGGTGCCATCTTTGATTTCAGGCATCCACTGGAGGGCTTGAGACTTATCACCCATAGATAAGGAGGGGACTACTGTACCTCAAAACCTGGTGGATCTAGAGTCTTATATTCCCTCTTCATAAAGGAGAGGGGAGGGGAGATGTAGGTAACTCAGGAGAGATTGATTTGGGGGAAAGATGAACAGGACCTCAGAAGAATAGGTGACAGCCTGTGGCAAAGTCTGTCTGGCTATGGTGTCGAACTCCAGTCTCCTCTCCTGTGATCCCAGTTAATCTTCTCTGCTTGATGAAATTCCCCAGGAGGGGATTCATGACAACTGAGTTCTTTTTAGAGGATCCATCAGTAGGCAGATAGGGAGTTCTGAGAAAGCCTCTGCCTGCATATGCTATGTCCCAGGTGTCCTCAGTTCAAAGTAATCAGCATACCAAAGTGTCATTTTGGGGATGATATTTCCTGAATTCCTTTATCTTCATCTAAGACCTCGCCTTCTATGTGAAAGCCAGATTTATCAACTTTGAAAGACCCATGAGTCTTCAACATACAAACTATGATGTCCTTTCATTCATTCTGCACAGTGTCACTGCCACACACACACGTGCATGCACACGTGTGAGCAACCACATACAGAGACACGTGCGTGCTTGAACATGTGCACAGTGGGCACAGGTATATAGGCACATGGGTGCATACATGCTTGTACCAGCTTCCAGATTTCTGTAGGGCCAGTGCCTTGGGTCACTTGCTTTGTCTCTTAAAAATGTCTCCTGACTAGGGCAGCCTTAACCAGGACTGGGTTGGGAATATTAGGTATAAGAATCAATAGGGAAAAAAGCTTTTAGGGCAAAAATGCTTTGGATAAAATTCCAAAGGTTTAAATTTCACACCTTTGACAGAAGTCAAAGGTCTAGATAAAACCTAGATATATGCAGGAAAGAAAAAGATCTTCTAGATAAAACTGAGATATTTGCAAGAAAGAAAAAATGAAGACGTCATTTTTATTTTCTAAAACTCACTACAGGCCGGGCATTGTGGCTCACACCCATAAGCCCAACATTTGGGAGATCAAGGCAAGAGGATCACTTTAGGCTGGGAGTTGGAGACCAGCCTGGGCAATGTAGTGAGACTCCATCTGTACAAAAAAAATTTTTTTTTAATTAGTCAGGTGTGGTGACACATGCCTGTAGTCCCAGCTACTTGGGAGGCTGAAGTGGGAGGATCACTTGAGACCAGAAGTTCAAGGCTGCAATGAGCTGTGATCATGCCACTTCACTCCAGCCTGGGTGACAGAGCAAGACCCTGTCTATCTCTACAATAAATAAAATAAATAAAAAATAAATAAAAAACAAAACTACAGATTTGGTTGCAGATGAACTTGCATTTTGTCTTCATTTTTTCCAAAGTGATTCATTCTTCCTGGTTCTTGAACACCTGCTTAAAAATAGGGCTTACTTTTCTCTGTCCTTGGGGTGCACCAACCATATTTGAAACCATGAGGTAGGTCTAACACCAGGAAGGGGGTGATGGGATGGAGGAAAGTCCTATTGGATCTGCATAATGTACTCATTGTTTAAAACCATACATTGCGCAGAAAGCTGTGGTTAGATTTGTGGTGTGAAACAGGGAACTCTGCAACTCTCAAGCAAGAGTTTCCATGCCTAAGGTGAATGTTTACATTACAGACGCTGGAATCCCTGTTAATACCTTAGGTGCTTTTTTTTCATGAAGACTGTATTAAGTTTGAGATTTTCTTTCACTCCAAGTTTTTCAAAACAACAGACCATAAAAAGGAAGTTTCAACCAACAAAATTGACTTGAAATAAAAATTGGCCTGTGTGTCCCAAGTTTACTCATTTGCAGGACTACCTTTTGCTGTCTCCCACTTCCCTTCCTCTCATTGCCTCAGCCTCTTTTTTAAGTTCCTAGTCAGTTAAGGCACATTTCCTGATTTGGCAAACACCACCCCTCCACCTCCTTTTTCTTGGGTAAAACTTCCTGAGCTGACATTAAAGAGAACTGTTACCTCACCCGAGAGCTTTAGGAGGAAAATGGCATTTAGGTTTTATTACATAAAGCCCCACAGTAGTTACCACTTTATAAAATTCAAATGACTTTTTTCCAAGCTCCCAGTTTTCCAAAGCTGTCTGCCTGGCGACCTCCCAGAGGGCGAGATGCCTCCGAGGGAGCGTGGAGCGGGCCTCCCGGCCTTGGCAGGCAGCTAGGATGAAGATCTTTCCAGCTCTAGCTGCCTGGAAGGAAACTGGCAGCAGAGAGCAGTATCTATGTCCGAGGCCATTCTGGAATCTAAGAGGAGGGCACAGATTCCAATGGCTCAGGGAAGAACCACTCTGTATCCCACTTGCACCTAGGGGTACTAATCTTTCTGCAGAAGAACCTAGCAGCGGGGCCTGGGAGCTCTTTTCACTCAACTGCCTCCCTCCCCTCCTCCACTTTCAGGAAGAAGTGGGGAAGTGGGAGGTCTGTTTGCATCACTGGTAACCACAGCCATTCCCGGTGCCCCTTGCCGCCACCCTTCCAGTGCTTGGTATGCCAACGGTTCTTCCCTCTTCTTCTTTGAAGCTGAACGCAGCCAAGACACAGTCATCGCCATTTGCATCTTCCTGGGAATCCGATTAGGCCCGGCTTTACTTCTCCTGGAGGTGTCTGTGTCTTCTCTGGTGTAGAGGAAAAAAAGTTTGTTCTTCTTCCATTCCCCTGCTGCCTATGGGTCTTTGCTCAGATGTCACCTTGTCAGAGAAGTCTTTCCCAACCACAGGTGTGGCCTCAACCCCAGATATATGCTTTTCTACTTCTCTGCTTTATTGTTCTCCATAACACTTCTCACCTCCTAAAATACTTTGTACATGTGTTATATTTTACTGCTTCATTTGATTTTCTGCCTATCTTCTGCCATCTGCCCCATGCTCACACCCACACCCTGCATCCCGAGCACCCACAACAGTGCCACATACATAGTAGGCGCTCGATAAGTATTTGTTAAATAATGAATGGATTTGAGACTTTCTGAAACCCTAAGGAAGATAAGAGAAGGTATGATTTTTGATTAAGAAAAATGTTTCTGGCCAGACACGGTGGCTCACCCTTGTAATCACAGCAGTCCAAGAGGCTGAGGCAGGAGGACTGCGTGATCCCAGGAGTTCAAGACCAGCATGGGCAACACGGCAAAACCCTGTCTCTACATAAATTTTTTTAAAAATTAGCCTGGCACAGTGGCATGTGCCTATGTTCTCAGCTACTCAGGAGGCTGAATGGGAGGATCCCTTGAGCCCAGAAGTTTGAGGTGGCAGTGAGCTGTGGTCATGCCACCGCATTCCAGCCTGGGTGATAGAGCGAGCGAGACCCTGTCTCTCAAAAAAAAAGAAGAAGAAGGCTGGGCACAGTGGCTCACACCTGTAATCCCAGCTCTTCGGGAGGCTGAGGCTGGTGGATCACATGAGACCAGGAGTTCAAGACCAGCCTGCTCAACATGGCAAAACCTCGTCTATCGAAAACACAAAAATTAGCCAGGGGTGGTGGTGCACATTTGTGATCCCAGCTATTCGGAAGGCTAAAGCAGGAGAATTGCTTGAACCCAGGAGGCGGAGGTTGCAGTGAGCTGAGATCACGCCATTGCATGATCCTAGCCTGGGTGACAGAGCGAGACACCGTCTCAAAAAAACAAAAAAAGAAAAGAAAAGAAAAAAGAAAGGAAAGGAAAAAAGTTTCTAAAGTACCAGGGCTAGAGGAAGGGATTAGAAGCCATAAAGGAAGATAGCATTCATGGGATAGGGAGATGGCCACATTGTCAACTAATATTTGTAATAGACTAGTGAGATGTCATCGTCCCTATTTCATAAATGAAGCAACTGAGGCACAGAGCATTTGCATAACTTACCCAAGGTCACACAGAGGGAAAGTGAGAGACGGCATCAAGGTGTGGAACCGTGCTCTTTTCACTGCTGTCCCCTGACTTCTGCTTAGACCAAAGCCTGGTAATTTGACATCCTCAGCAGAATCAGATGCATAAGCCCCAGATTCAAATCGCAGCTCTGCCACTTGCTGGCAGGGTGACTCTAGGCAAGGTTCTGGGCTCCTATGGGTAACTGTTTTCCTAGGAAGATAATGAAAAGGGAGGACCTAGCATGCTATGAGTCTACTTATGCCTCCCAACAGGCCAGTGGGGCAGGAAGGGAACAAGTATTACTAACACCGGAAAAAGAAATTAAAACCCAGGGGGACTATGTGACTCGGGTGTGGCTAAGCAACATGTCAAGTCAGTCGCCGGAGAAAAACCATCCAGGAAAGAGGTATCTTGACATAACACAACTGTCAACTTCTCTCCAAATCATAGGTTTTTTGTTTTGTTTTGTTTTGTTTTGTTTTTTGAGACGGAGTCTCGTACTGTTGCCAGGCTGGAGTGCAGTAGCGCGATCTCGGCTCACTGCAACCTCCGCCTCTTGGGTTCAAGCGATTTTCCTGCCTCAGCCTTGCGAGTAGCTGGGACTACAGGCGTGCACCACCACACCCAGCTACTTTTTTGTATTTTTAGTAGAGACGGGGTTTCACCATCTTGGCCGGGATGGTCTGGATCTCTTGACCTCTCTGCCCACCTCGGCCTCCCAAAGTGCTGGGATTACAGGCGTGAGCCACCGCAACCGGCCCAAATCATAGTTTTTATGGCTGAAAAAGGATACTTAGTGACATGCTAACAGCTTTAAAGCTATTGTAGGCTGGGCGTGGTGGCTCACGCCTGTAATCCCAGCACTTTGGGAGGCCTAGGTGGGTGGATCACTTCAGGTCAGGAGTTTGAGACCAGCCTGGCCAACATGGTGAAACCGCATCTCTACTAAAAATACAAAAATTAGCCGAGCATGGTGGCACATGCCTGTAGTCCCAGCTACTTGGGAGGCTGAGGCAGGAGAATCACTTGAACCCAGGAGGCGGAGGCTGCAGTGGGCCAAGATTGTGCATGCAATCCAGCTTGGGTGACAGAGCAAGACTCCATCTCAAAAAAAAAAAAAAAAGAAAAAGAAAACATAAAATAAATACATAAAGCTGTTGTAAATTTTAAGTTTCTACTTTTAAGGTCTCTGATTTTAAAAACACTTCCCTATGGTAACTAAAACAAAGCTTCAGAAATTGTGGATGTTAGATGAGATCTGGGTTTTTGCTTGGGCAAGGCTTGGTGGTTGTGACGTTGCATGCTACATGTCCCAATGAAATCGCCTCCTTGAAAAAAACACAATCCACAGAAATCTATTGAAATGCAATCTATGGAAAATCTAACATGGCCTTGGGCCTCAGGCTTGTTCTTCCATTGCTGTCAACACAGTGAAATTCTGTCCCTGTTGATTACTCTTCTGTTTCCATGGGCTTGCTGATTAAATGCTATATGTATAACACTTTGAATCATTTAAATGAGAAAGAAAAAAAATCCTTCTCTTTTCTTCACCATGACATTAGAGCTACAGGAGTGACTGTCTGATATTAACTGAGCACATACTATGTTAAGAAAGCAACCTTAAATAAGCAAACTCAAATTGTATCTTTGAAGAAATTCTTCTTTCTGTCTGTTTCCTTTGTAGCAAGGGCGGAGTCAAAAACTGCCTTTCTTCTTCAACCTGTGAAATCAGATTTAAATGTATTTATGTATTTATTCTGGCTAGATGATATTCTCTTTGCTGGCACGGAATAAACTAGTCATAGAATTTTCTGTAAGTGAAAAACCTGGCTGGGTGCAGGAGAATCACGCTCGCCTATAATCCCAGAGCTTTTTGAAGCTGAGGTGGGAGGATTGCTTGAGGCCAGGAGTGGGGACCAGCCTGGGCAACATAGTGAGACCCCATTTCTAAAAAAAAAAAAAAAAATTTAAATTAGCCAGGCATGCTGGTATGAAGACTTAGAAGGCTGAAGCAGGAAGATGCTTGAGCCCACGAGTTCAAGGCTTCAGTGAGCTGTGATCACACCACTGCATTTCAGCCTGGGCGACAGAGCAAGACCCTGTTTGTTCAAAAAAAAAAAAAAAGTCAAAAGTCAAAAAAGCTGAACTTGAAAAAATTTGGTTCTGATCCCTCTCTGTAATGCTAGCACTCATGAAAAATTCAGCATTTGTGGAATTCCTTAGTTTATGATTTAGGAATCTCCACCTGGCTCCTCACCCCCACCAGATACAAGCCTCTCTCTTCTCTTGGGACCAGGACGAGGCTGCAAGCCTGAGCGCCACAGGGCTGGGTTCTTCAATGCATGGCCTTGGTGAGTTATCCTGGGGAGTTTTGTAGGGAAAGTGCCAACCCGGCCAAGCTATAGGTGCCCAGGAAAGCCCTGATTTGTGAGTGGATGGTGTGTTGGACACACAATCTCGAAGGAGTGGCAGGGGCCTATTCATTTCCTTTGCAGGATTTAAAACTAAGATGGCAGTGATGGAGGAACAGATGGCAAGTGTTAGTCAGAGGGAGAGACTTAGTATGCTCATATGGGCTCAAATTTTTTCATGAGAGAAATGCTCTCCTGACCCTCTCTAGCCCCAAAAGTCCAGAGGAAGAATTTTGCAAGCATGATTAGTGTTTTTAAATGTATTACTCTCTCCCATAGGTTTCTATCGGGCTTTAAAATATTCGATTCAGTGTCCATCTAATCTTTACAAGTTATTTTCACATGTGTCAATCAATGCCTTTTTTCCAAGTTGCTGCTTATTCCTCATGTATATGTGTGTGTTTGTGTGTGTGTCTTGCCTTCTAAGCTAGCTCCTTTGCTGAATATTTATTGAGCACCTATTATGTGCCAAGGACAGTATATAGTAGTATGAACGCAAATGCCGTGGCATTGACATTCTGATTAGGAACTCTTCGCTGATTCTGCTCCTTTACCTTCTCTGTGCTGCCTTTGCTTCCCAGTTACTTTATAACATATACTTCATATTCATCTTCAATTTTTCATCTAAAGATAGGATGCTACATAACATTTTCAAAAAAGTAAAGTCACGTCTGTCATGAAGATATAAAGTGAACCTATGCCAAAGATTTTAATTTATTAATTTATGAGGGATCCAGAAAAAATGTTAAAACCAATTCAAAGGACAATTTGAAAAACAGATATATATGTAGGCAATCTGGAATGTTGCAATGAATTTACTAATAGGTACAAAATTGGCTGATATCTGATAGAAAAAATATGTAGTGTTTTGGGTCATTTACTGGGTAGAAATCAATTGCATTACTATCAGATAAAATTGATGTGCATATTCAAAACAAGAATCATTTGAATAACTATGGACAGGACACATCTGCATTGCTATCGGTTTTCTACAACTTAACTTCTACACCTATAGGATTATGAAATAGACTAATCAATCCAAGATAATCAAAAGTTTCTATTCCTATAGAAGCAGATAATTCCCAGACTATCTCCTAAGACACTCAGGGACTCTACTGAAATAACACTCAAAAATCTCTTTTGCCCCTTTACAAGTCTTTATAATTTTCCTGACAGGGGCTTTACAAGGAGAAAATTAAGCTCAACTCTTGTCAGTTTCTAGCAGATTTGAAGTAACAATGATTAGTCCGTTTTAAAAATAGCTTTTGGTGGGAGTTCCACTTACATGATATCTGGCAGGCATCAGGAAGTTTGGCTATGGGATGGATATATAAGGTTCTAAGGAGGCCACAGTGCCTGGTGGCTAAGGGTGCTGCCGTGGGAGCAGGGTGGTTGTGCTCCTGTATGATCTTAGCTTTCTCTGCACAATTTCCTCCTTTCTAAAGTGGAGAAAATAACAGTAGCTATTTCATAGGATCATGTTGAGAACTAAATAAGATAATACACATGAAGCACCCAGCACAGTGCCTGGCCCACAGTATGTACTCAATAAATGTTAACTATTTGTTTGAAGAAAATGTCTGTTACAGGTGGTAGTTTCAAATGAATACCAGTAAATTCAATCCAGTTGGGCAGAAGAGAGGATGATGCTGTGAGCCTAGCCACTTATAGAAAAGGGCAAGTTTTGCTGCACTGGCTGCTGTTTGATATTTTCTTTTTTTTGGAGACAGAGTCTTGCTCTGTCACCACGCTGGAGTGCAGTGGCACAATCTCAGCTCACTGCAACCTCCGCCTCCCAGGTTCAAGCAATTCTCCTGTCTCAGCCCCCCGAGTAGTTGGGACTACAAGCGTGCCCCACCACGCCCAGCTAATTTTTGTATTTTTAGAGACGGGCTTTCATCATGTTGGCCACGATGGTCTCAATCTCTTGACCTCGTGATCCACCCGCCTCGGCCTCCCAAAGCGTTGGGATTAAAGGCGTGAGCCACCACGCCCGGCCTGTTTGATATTTTCAATGTTTACACAAATTCCCGTGGTTGCTTACATTTGCTTTTAATGTAGGATGATTCTAAGACCAGTCCAGACAAGCGGTGACGAATTTCAGTAAAACTTCCTAAGAAGATGGCAGGTTTTTGCATGCCACAATTAAAACTTCTCATTTCAGGCAGAGGGAGGTAAAAAGGTTTTTGTGAGTGAAGTTGAAATTGTCTTTTTTTTTTTTTTTTTTTTGAAACAAGGTCTTGTTTTGTCGCCCAGGCTGGAGTGCAGTGTCTCGAACAAGGCTCACTGCAGCCTCGACTTCTTGGGCTCAACCAATCCTCCCATCTCAGCCTCCCAAGTAGCTGGGACCACAGGTGCATACCATGACAACTGGCTAATTTTTGTAATTTTTGCAGAGACAGGTTTTGCCACATTGCCCAGGCTGATCTGCAACTCCTGATCTTAAGAAATCCACCCACTTTGGCCTCCCAAAGTGCTGGGATTACAGGCATGAGCCACCGTGCCCGACCAAAATTGTCTTTTAAGAGAGAGCCTTGGCCGGGCACGGTAGCTCACTCCTGTAATCCCTGCACTTTGGGAGGCCGAGGTGGATGGATCACTTGAGGTCAGGAGTTGCAGACCAGCCTGGCTAACACGGCGAAACCCCAACTCTACTAAAAATACAGAAAATTAGTCAGGTATGGTGGCAGGTGCCTGTAATCCCAGCTACTCAGGAGGCTGAGGCGGGAGAATTGCTTTAACCCAGGAGGCAGAGGTTGCAGTGAGCCGAGATGACAACATTGCACTCCAGCCTGGGTGACAGAGCAACACTTCATCTCAAAAAAAAAAAAAAAAAAAAAGAGAGAGAGAGCCCCATTCCATCCCTGGACAATGGTGCTTGTTCCAGCCAGTTAATTTTCTGTGCCTCAGATAACTTAAGGAGACCATACTTTTTAAACTGTTCTATGAAAATGCCTTAGGAGCTTTGCAAACATTTTATTCAAATTTCAATTTTAACTATTTACAAATTTATTATTAAAAGCAAATGGCTTGGAATAATGAAAAAGTTCTGGAAATAGACAAGAGTGATGGTTGCACCTTGTGAATGCACTTAATGCCCTTGAATTGTACACTGAAGCATGGTTAAAATGGCAAATTTTATGTTATAAATATTTTACCACAACATAAAAAAAATTTAAAGCAAATACAGCTGCATTAAAATGTACTACATTTTAATAAATTGGAGACTTCCCATGTGCTATCCAGTTTATGCAGACTTCTGGATAAAACTTTTTTTTTCATGTTTGTTTACTTGAAGAATATTTTGAAATTGAAAGGTAACTCTTTAAAAACTGCTACCATTTGCAACTATATTTCTATCCAAATAAGAATTTTCTTATATATTGAGTAACCAAAACGAAATACAGAAACAAATCAGATGATGAGGCTCTAACTGTTTTCCATTGGGTTCAATTTGTAAACATTTGTGTTAAACAAAAACAGCCTGTTTGAATGACATTATAAGGAGTTGTCTTAATTTTACCATATAAAAACAATTTATACTAAAAATCTCATTTTACTCATTTTTTATTTATTTTTATGAAGAAAGGAGGTTTAATTGACTCACAGTTCCGCAGGCTTAATGGGTAGTATCTAAAAATCTTATTTAAATTTGTTGTATTTTAGGATACTGTTTGAGAATCCCTCTGCAGTTTTTTTGTTTGTTTGTTTGTTTTTTTGAGGCGGAGTTTCGCTCTTGTTGCCCAGGCTGGAGTGCAATGGCGTAAACTCGGCTCACTGCAACCTCCACCTCCTGGGTTCAAGCAATTCTCCTGCCTCAGCCTCCCTAGTAGCTGGGATTACAGGCACCCACCACCACACCCAGCTAATTTTTTGTATTTTTAGTAGACATGGGGTTTCACTATGTTGGCCAGGCTGGTCTCGAACTCTTGACCTCAGGCGATCCACTCGCCTCAGCCTCCCAAAGTGCTGGGATTATAGGCATGAGCCACCATGCCCACCACTCTAAGATACGACCTTTAAAATTCTCTCTGACTTATTATTGTAATTATAAAATGTTTGGTGTTTGAAAAGATGTGTATTCTTTGCAGTCACTTTTAGTAGCCAATGAAAAAAATAATATAAGCAAAGCAAGCTGTGTATTAATCTTCAGAGTAGGCAAAGCAAAAAGGTGGAATTGTCCAGCAAGCCTTTCCCCCATTTACAATGAGCTACACGTAAATAATCACAGCCACTGGAGTTCTAATTCCTTGAAGATGTCTGGACAGAAGAGTTACGCTAATTTAACAGTTCTTAGTTTTAGTCTTACAAAGTTATTTCTTAAAACTCCTTTGTTCTAATATAACACTCCTATTCTATTTGAATTATAGAGCTCTCTCAAATAAAGTGCTTCATTCTTTCCAAATTATCTAGACCAGGGGCAACTTCCCCTGACAGATTTTCATGCAAACTTTATGTGTATTTGTGTATGTATGTGTTTATCTAGGAAGAGAGTCAGTTTCTCAAGGGATTCTACAAAATGTAAATAATTGCCTTCATTCGTAATCCTCTCTCTCTCTCTTTTTTTTTTTTTTTTTTTTGCTAATGTAAATCTTGCCTGTGAATCATCTAAAAAGGAATTTTGCTATTGATAGTAGGATCATGTCACCAAGCAAAATAAATCCTTGAAAAAAAAATGTCCATTTCTGGTGCATTTATTTTTTTTCTGGGATAAAGTGCCAACACCATGTCAAAATCCGCATGCTATTATGAGACTATTCTTGAATCTTAATTTCCAGTTTAGCATTAAATATGGGAACATGAAAATTAAAAAACAAAATTATCTGATAAAAAATAAACTGGTGCACCCACATAACAGTTGAATGACACATTTCATATTCGAATAAAGATCTAAGAAATTTAAATTACAACAAATCAAATGAGCTTCATGTATTTCTTTTTTTTTTCTTTTTGTTTTTTTTGAGATGGAGTTTCACTGTTGTTGCCCAGGCTGAAGTGCAATGGCGCGATCTCTGCTCACTGCAACCTCTACCTCCCGGGTTCAAGCAATTCTCCTGCCTCAGCCTCCTGAGTAACTGAGATTACAGGCGCATGCCACCACTCCTGGCTAATTTTTGTATTTTCAATACAGACGAGGTTTCTCCATGTTGGCCAGGCTTGTCTGTTACTCCTGACCTCAGGTGATCCACCCACCTTGGCCTCCCAAAGTGCTGGGATTACAGGCATGAGCCACCACACCTGGCGGAGCTTCATGTATTTCATAATAGCTTTATATTATATAATAATAAAAGGAAATACAGAGTTGAGTCCAGGAAAATACTGTCCCTTTGTGTTTTAAGTGTAGATTCTTTTTTTTTTTTTTTTTTTTTTTTGGGATGGAGTCTCGTTTTGTCACCCAGGCTGGAGTGCAGTGGCACAATCTCGGCTCACTGCAAGCTCCTCCTCCCGGGTTCACACCATTCTCCTGCCTCAGCCTCCCAAGTAGCTGGGATTACAGGCACCTGCCACCACGCCCAGCTAATTTTTTTATTTTTAGTAGAGACAGGGTTTCACCGTGTTAGCCAGGATGGTGTCGATCTCCTGACCTCGTAATCCACCCGCCTCGGCCTCCCAAAGTGCTGGGATTACAGGCAGGAGCCACCGCTCCCGGCCTCTTATTTTTAAATTAAAGATATAGGATTTTCTGGGCCAGGCGCAGTGGCTCACGCCTGTAATCCCAGCACTTTGGGAGGCCGAGGTGGGTGGATCACCTGAGGTCAGGAGTTCAAGGCCAGCCTGGCCAAGATGGCCAAACCCCGTCTCTACTAAGACTACAAAAATTAGCTGGTAGTGGTGGCAAGTGCCTGTAATCCTAGCTGCTCTGGAGGCTGAGGCAGAAGAATCACTTGAACCCGGGAGGCGGAGGTTGAAGTGAGCCGAGATGGCGCACCTGCACTCCAGCCTGGGCTATAGAAGGAGACTCTGTCTCAAAAAAATAAAATAAAATAAAATAAAGATATAGGATTTTCTAAAGCAAAAGGGGCCTGAGGCTACTGATTTTCTCTTCTTTCCTGCTGAATACATTTAACTAAACTTTTTTTTTTTTTTTGAGACGGTGTCTTGCTCTGTCGCACAGGCTGGAGTGCCATAGCATGATCTCAGCTCACTGCAACCTCCACCTCCCAGGTTCAAGCGATTCTCCTGCCTCAGCCTCCCGAGTAGCTAGGACTACAGGCATGTGTCACCATGCCTAGCTAATTTCGTACTTTTAGTAGAGACAGAGTTTCACAATGTTGGCCAGGATGGTCTCGATCTTTTGACCTCGTGATCCATCCGCCTCAGCCTCCCAAAGTGCTGGGATTACAGGCATGAGCCACCACGCCTGGCCTATTTAATACAATGATTTTTATGGTTTGGAAGGTGTCCAAAAGATTTAAGCTGGAGGCAAATGCTATTGGGTAGGTCAATAACCCCCAAGTTTCCATTTTCTTACAATATCCAAAATACACGATTAAATATGGTAGTGGTTATTGAAAGCACCTCTCAAGTTGCAAAATTCTTCTTAATAGTATTTATCTTATTGTTATATGTTATACTGCCTGACTACAAAATCTAAAAGTGAGAAATAAGCTGTGAAGAGAATAAAGGCTAGGAAATACAGGACTGCTGACTTTACACCCTATTTCATCTGAACATGCTCTAATGTATTTCCTTAACAGCTTCTTTGTTGCATTTTTAAAGGTTGTCTTCCACTTACTAACTCTCCCATAATTGAGATTCTTCAGCCTCCAACTTCATACTTAGTGAAAACAATTTTGGTTTTGCAATTATTATTGGTAAGAAACTGACATTACCAAGTTGAGTGTGTCTGCAAAGCATCTTTTCTGGTCCATATGAACTCTATTTTAATTTTTATTTTATTTTATTTTTTGAGACTGAGTCTCGCTCTGTCACTAAGGCTGGAGTGCTGTGGCGTGATCTCAGCTCACTGCAACCTCCACCTCCTGGATTCAAGCGATTCTCCTACCTCAGTCTCTCGAGTAGCTGGGATCACAGGCATGTGCCACCACGCCTGGCTAATTTTTCTATTTTTGGTGGAGATGGGGCTTCGCCATGTCGGCCAGGCTGGTCTCCAACTCCTGACCTCAAATTCGTCCACCTCAGCCTCCCAAAGTGCGGTGATTACAGGTGTGAGTCACTGTGCCCCCGGCTGAACTCTTTTTAAAGTCTTTTGTTTGAGATTAAAAACAACAACAACCAGTCTGTTGTGTGTCCTCCATCCCCAGAACAGGTTAAACTTAACTTTTTTTTTTTCTTTTGAAATGAAGTCTTACTCTGTCACCCAGGCTGGAGTGCAGTGGCACAATCTCAGCTCACTGCAACCTCCACCTCCCGGGTTCAAGTGATTTTCCTGCCTCAGCCTCCTGAGTAGCTGGGACTACAGGTGCCCACCACCACGCCTGGTTAATTTTTGTATTTTTAGTAGAGATGAGGTTTCACCATATTGGCCAGGCTGATCTCGAACTCCTGACCTTGTGATCCGCCCACCTCGGCCTCCCAAAGTGCTGGGATTACAGGTGTGAGCCACCACACCCGGCCAAACTTAACTTTTTATTCAAACATATATCTCAGTGTCCAGACTCCGGAAAGGCATTTCTGTATAGCAGGCCCAGTCTCAGATAAATATTCTAAACTTCCACCCCTCCGCCCCCACCCCCGCCACTTACCATGGTGATAACTGGGCCCCAGTGTTATGGAACTAGTAGCATCTGCCACCTCCATTCAGTTATCTATTAGGGCATAACAAGTTACCCCAAAACACAGCCGCTTCAAACAATAAACGCATATTATCTCTACCCCATTTCATTCCTGCCACCTCTAGTATAAGAACAACTATCTACATCCGGTGCTGGTAAAACCCCTACTGTCATTTCAAAGAGTCTCCTCCAAGATCTCTCTGCCTCAAAATTTTAATAAATGAATATTACAGTTTGAAAAAAATAGAATGTGAGAGAAGGGAGACAAAACATTGGTATCAATAGTGACTGCCATCAACTCTACACCTCACACCAAAACCCTTATGTAAAAATGGCATGTTACCTGCTTAATGATACTGATACGTTAAAAAAAAAAAAAAAAAAAAAAAAGTGGCACATTATCAAATGCATTCCAGACAAGTTTCCTGAAGCATCTTCCAACCAGAATGCAATCCTTTTAATTCAATCTTATGCAGAAATTCTCGAGCCATCCCTGTCTGAATATAAATTACTATGTGTATACCCAAAGACTAACAGCAAATTGTTGGATATATGAGTGAAATTACCCACTGAGAGAGTATTCAAAATTTTAGTCCAGACCAGCCTGGGCAACATAGGGAGACCCCATCGCTACAAAAAATTATTTTTAAAAATTAGCCGGGCTTAGTGGCGTATGCCTGTAGTCCTAGCTGCTCAGTACACTTGCTTGAGCCCAGGAATTCAAGGCTGCAGTGCGCTATGATCGTGCCGCTGCACTCCAGTCTGGGCGGCAGAGTGAAAGCTTAGGCTAAAAATCTTTAAAACATGTTTTCATCCTACCATATTAATTTGGAAGACTGGCTTTAAATATCACGTGGGACAGTAATTATAGAACATGTACTGTGGGCTGGGCATGATGACTAGCGCCTGTAATCCCAACATTTTTGGTGGCCAAAGCGGAAGGATCGCTTGAGCCCAGGAGTTTGAGAGCAGCCAGGGCAACACAGTGAGACCAGGTCTCTTTAAAAATAAAAAATTAGCCAGATGCGTGGTGGTGAGCACCTGTGGTCCCAGCTACTTAGGAGGCTGAAGGATCACATGAGCCAAAGAAATCAAGGCTCTCGTGAGCTGTGGTCGCACCACTGCACTCCAGCCTGTATGAAAAACCGAGACCCTGCCTCAAAAAAAAAAAAAAAAAAAAAAGAGACAAACAAAATAATTCATGTACTTTAAGCTCTTGGCTTAAAGCTTTGAATCTCACATGTGATCTCTCTGTCCTTCAATATCCTATAATTCATTGTTCTGACTGCACATAGAACATCCCATTCTTACCAGATTGGGGGAACTTCAGGACCAGAATTTAGGCTTAAATTTTTTGATTCCATACAGCATCTTACAAACAGCAGGTGTTCATGTCAATATATATTAATTATGTGCAATTTCTTTATCTGAGGGGCACCCTTTCTTTTGTAAAATGATGTTGTAAAGTAAAACCTCTTTTTTTTTTTTTTTTGGTCGGAGCCTCCCTCCGTCACCCAGGCTGGAGTGCAGTGGCCACTATCTCTGTTCACTGCAGCCTCCGCCTCCTGGGTTCAAGCCATTCTCCTGCTTCAGCTTCCCAAGTAGCTGGGATCACGGGGATGCACCACCACGCCTGGCTAATTTTTGTATTTTTCATATAGACGGGGTTTCTCCATGTTGTCCAGGCTGGTCTCGAACTCCTCACCTCAGGTGATCCGCCCACCTCGGCCTCCCAAAGTGCTGGGATTACAGGCGTGAGCCGCCGCACCTGGCCTAAACTAAAAGCTTTAGGTTGGCACATTTTCAGGTGAAAAAGACAAAGGAAAGAGCTAGCATGCTACGGTAAAAAGAGAGTATTGATTTTAAACCATGTCACTGTTCTGAGATCTGTGCTCAAAAATAAAGGAGTATTTTAGGTCATTGGAAAAAGAAGAAAGAGAGAAAAGATTGGGCACAGTGGTTCGTGCCTGTAATCCCAGCACTTTAAGAGGCCAAGGTAAGAGAATCACTTGAAGCCAGGAGTTTGAGACCAGCCTGGGCAGCATAGCGAGACCCCATCTCTAGCAAAAAAAGTAAAAAATATAATAACAATTAGCCAGACATGGTGGCATGCTCCTGTAGTCCCAGTTACTCAGAAGGCTCGAGTGGGAAGATCGCTTGAGTCAGGGAGATGGAGGCTACAGTAAGTTGTAATCATGCTGCTGCAGTCCAGCTTGGCTGACAAAGTGAGACCTTGCCTCGGAAAGGAAAGGAAAGGAAAGGAAAGGACAGGAGAGGAGAGGGGAGGGGAGGGGAGGGGAGGGGAGGGGAGGGGAGGGGAGGGGAGGAGCAGAGAAGAGAAGAAAAGAGAAGAAAAGAAAAGAAAGGAAAGGAAGGAAAGGAGGGAAGAAAAGAAAGAGAAAGAAAGAAGAAAACGAGAAAGGGAGGGAGGAAGGCAGGAAGGCAGGACAGAAGAACGCAGGCAGGCAGGCAAGATGGAAGGAAGGAAGGGAGGGAGGGAGGGAAAGAGAAAGAAGGAGAAAGAAGAACTCCAATAGAAGAAGACCAGGGAAGGGTCTAGGCCTAATTTTGTCATTTATTTAAATGTCTTTGAGCATCTCATTGAACTCTCTCTGCTTCTCTGCATTTGCATCTGCAAAATGAGGAAACTGCACATGACTCTGAGGTGATTTCCCACTCAATGATCCTAAGATATTTGAGTACTTGAATATCCTTCAATGATAACATCTGGGAAGAGTATAAAGTCTGATATTAGTCCTCAGTAGTGCTCTCCAAAAGGATGGGTAGATAACTACAGACATTTTTAATTACATATCACTGAGTAACAAATTACCTCCAAATTTAGGAGCTTAAGGCAAGAATAAACATTTATTCTCTCACAGAGTTTCTCAGGGTCAGGAATCCAGGAGTGGCTTAGCTGGGAGGTTCTAGCTTGGGATCTATAAAGGGATTGTAGTCAAGAAGTTGGCTGGACATACAGTCTTCTGAAAATTTGACTAAGGCTGAAGAATCTGTTTCCAAGGTGGCGCTCTCATGGCCGATGGCAGAGTCTTCAGTTGCTTATCACAGGGACTTCCTTGCAGAGCTGTTTGAGTGCCCCTCTGGCATGGCAGTTGGCTTCTTCTGCAATGAGTGATCTAAGAGCAAGAGCAAGGAGGAAGCCACAATGCATGTAATGACTTATTCTCACGGGTTGCACATTGTCACTGCTGCCACATTGAATTCGCTAAAACTCAGTTACTGACTACAGACCACACCCTAGGAGAGAAGAATTAGGCTCCACTTCTTGAAAGGAGTATCAAAGAACTTGCAAATTTATTTGTGAGTTTATTTTAAAAGCCCTCACAAACACGTATTCTTTAAACTAGAGTGGCTCAGCCCTGCAAGACAGGGAAGTTATAACAACCAACATTTCTAGAGTGACTCACTGTTTAGAAAGTATTTCCCCATGTTTTCTCATTGGGTTGTCACAACCCCCCAGTGGAACAACAGCATTAATATCCCCACTTAAAAATGAGGAAATGGAAGCGAGGTCACTTTTGTACAGTTATTTAACAAGTAAGTTGTATAGCTGGGGATTAAGCCCAGCACAAAGCATAAGGCCTTTTCACCATCCTTCAAATGAGAAACTTGGCATGAAGGCCTTTGCACAGAAAAGTTTCATTAGGAAGATTGACTATTCCTTACTTCCTACCAATTGTTTTTACCTATTTTATTAAATTTTTTTATGTTTAACTTACATACTTCCAAAATTACTTGAAGCAGTTTACAAATAAAATGTTTAAGAAAGAAAGAGGAGTAGGGCTGGGCCTGGTGGCTCATGCCTGTAATCCCAGCACTTTGGGAGGCCGAGGTGGACAGATCACTAGAGGTCAGGAGTTCAAGACCAGCCTGGCCAACATAGTGAAACCCCATCTCTACTAAAAATACAAAAATTAGCTGGGCACAGTGGCAGGTGCCTGTGATCCCAGCTACTTGGGAGGCTGAGGTGGGAGAACCACTTGAACCTGAGAGTGGTATGCAGGTCAAACCACTGCACTCCAGCCTCAGCGACAGAGTGAGACTTGGTCTCAAAAAAAAAAAAAAAAAAAAAAAGAAAAAGAAAAAGGAGTAAATAATTCTAGGCACCAGAAATGATCATATTACAACACTTGGCAATAAATTTGGTTCAGATCTTTCTGGCAGCAGAGGTGAAAAGAGAAGCGTGATAGGCTGCAGAGATTTCACTTTCTGACAAGAGTGAGCATGCATGCTATCATTGCCTGAAGCTAAATTCAAGAAGGACTTTATCACGTGGAGTTGTGTAGAGTTAATACCGCTTAACATTGTGGTCAGTATCTTCAATCACACGCTTGCAAAAGATGTACTCATATTAACCCTGAATGTAAACAGAGGACACACCTCACCTGTAAGTTGGTTAATATATTTGAGGAAGAAGCTGAGGAAAGGTGGCCCAGGTACCTTTCTCTCTAATGTCTTTACCAAATTAAGGCATAGAACTTGGAGAATATACAGGAATTGAAGGTTGATCTGTCTGGTGGACTGTCTCTCAAGTATCAGAGTTGTGAGAGTGCTTGAATGACCTGCTAAATCTTGTTAATTTGTCTTGGCATCTTGTAACAGGTACCTACCTGTAATATAAATATTCTATATTGTCAATTAATTAAGGACTTTGCTAAAAGAGAGCAAGGAATGCCAATATAAAGTTAAAGAAAAATATAAAATAAATAAGTTAGGCTGGGCATGGTGACTCATGTCTGAAATCCCAGGACTTTGGGAGGACATGGTGGGAGGGTTGCTTGAGGCCAGGAGTTCGAAACCAGCCTAGGCAAAACAGCGAGACCCCACCTCCCATCTCTACATGTGACTTAAAAAACTTAGCTGGGCATGGTGGTACATGCCTGTAGTCCTAGCTACTTGGAAGACTGTGACAGGAGGTTCACTTGAGCTCAGGAGTTTGAGGCTGCAGTGAGCTATGATTGCACCACAGAACGAGACCCTGTCTAAAAAAAAAAAAAAAAAAAAGTAAAAAAAGTTAGACCGCATGAGCTGTAATAACCCTTTTTGGACCAATATGCTGTGACTCTGTGGCTTTAAGGATGAGATGCCAATATGCATTCTTGTCCCAGTAGAGAGCCAGCCCAGTTTGGCCTGGGTGTGAGAAGCAAAGCTATCAAAAGCTTTGGCCAATTTTTTCCCCCAAAAGGAATTCCAAATATATCCAAGCTTCTATGTTAGTGACTGATTGAAACCAAAGCTTTATACCATATGACATAGAATCCTGGAATAGATAACTTTAGGCTGAAGAAAAAAGAAAAGTTAAGGCAGGTGTGAGCAGCTGTCCAGTTCTGCCATAAAAGAAATCAAGTTTAACTTCAGCGATAACATGCCTTCTTTTAAGCACTCGAGTTTTGTTAGGTTCTCTCCAGTTGGCTGAAAATTACACCCTAAATATTCCTCTAAAAGTAGATAACTTAGTGCACTTTTATTTAATATTACAGTACTTATAAAGGTTTCTATTAATGGGTCTCCTCCTTCGAGAAGAGAATCGTAAATGAAATACATAAAGATTAATAGCCTTTATTTATTTCTTAAACCAGCTGGTCTTCCTCTAAGAAAGCAGATATGCTAAAGTAAATAATCCTTCATTTTAAAAAATAGAAAGCATTCCCCTTGAATGCTGTTTACTGGCTGTGAGCAAATAGGTATTCACTTAGAAGGCTTTGCTCTCTGTTTATTACCCATATTTCTATAATACCTGCTTCAGAAGTGTTGCAGAAAGACAAAATTAATGTGCATGGAAAAAAAGCAGAGAAAATGAGTGTTAATCTTTGTGGAACAATCCAGAGTCCAGAGAAAGAGGCGAGTAGGGGGAGAAGCCACTTGTTGGAATGACTAGTATATTAAGATTCTCTTCTGGGTTATGGGTTAACATCTGCATCATTGAGGTCTATTCACAACAGGATATTGTTCAGTATAACTTTTTGCATCCAACAGAAATACAAATATTAATTTTCATGGCATAGAGAAAACTTCAAAATTTGGGAAAGTACTGAAGGATGTTATCACAAAGTTGTCATTTAGAGTCCAAGAACAGTCTTAACAATTGTACAAGCTTCAGAGCAAGGGCAGAAAATCAAGACATCAAATTGTCATGTGGGAAATCTATTCTGGGGAGTTGTAGAATAAATACTCACTAATAAGAAAAGGTGGGGAAGGTCCTTCTAAGCAAAGGAAATGAGTGACAAGACAAGCAGGTATGAATGACTTTTTTTTTTTTTTGAGATGGAGTCTCGCTCTGTCGCCCAGGCCAGAGTGCAGTGGCACAGTCCCTGCTCACTGCAACCTCCGCCTCCTGGGTTCAAGTGATTCTCCTGCCTCAGCCTCCTGAGTAACTGGGATTACAGGCATGCGCTGCCATGCCTGGTTAATTTTTGTATTTTAATAGAGACAGGGTTTCACCATGTTGGCCAGGCTGGTCTTGAACTCCTGACCTCCGTTGATCCACCTGCCTCGGCCTCCCAAAGGTCTGGGATTATAGGTGTGAGTCACTGCGTCCAGCCCTTCAGTTTGTTTTTTAAGGTTTTACATATATTTTTATTTTTTCCAGTTTTATTGAGGTATACTTGACAAATAAAACCATACAAGTTTAACGTGTACAATGTGACGATTTGATATATGTACATATTGTGAAATGATTACCACAATCAAGTTAGTTAACACATCCCTCACGTCACACTTTTACTTTTTTTAATGTGTGGTGAAAATATTTAAGATCTAATGTCTTAGCAGATTTCAAGTGTGCAATACAGTATTGGCAATTATTGCCACCATGCTTTATATTTAGTCTCCAGAACTTACTCATCTTATAACTGAAAGTTTGTACATTTTGACCAACATCTTTCCATTTTCCCTACTCCTCAGCCCCTGGCAACCTCTATTCTATTCTCTGCTTCTATGAGTTCAACTTCATAGATTTTACATAAAAGTGACATCACACAGTATTTGCCTTTCTCTGTGTGACTTATTTCATTTAGCATAATGGCCTCAAGTTGCATCCATGTTGTTGCAAATGGCAAAATTTCCTCACTTTTTTTTTATGACTGAATAATATATATATTTTTATGAGATGGAGTCTAGCTCTGTTGCCCAGGCTGGTATGCAGTGGCACAATCTCGGCTCACTGCAACCTCTGCCTCCCGGGTTCAAGCGATTCTCCTGTCTCAGCCTCCCGAGTAGCTGGGATTACAGCCGCCCACCATCGGGCTCAGCTAACTTTTGTTATTTTTAGTAGAGACGAGGTTTCACCATGTTGGCCAGGCTGGTCTCAAACTCCTGACCTCAAGTGAGCCACCTGCCTTGGCCTCCCAAATTGCCGGGATTACAGGTGCGAGCCACTGAGCCTGGCCAAAATCCTAACAGAATAACATTCTATTGTGTATGTATTAAAAAACTGTGGTGTGTGTGTATGTGTGAGGTATATACATATATATATATATGGTGTGTTTATATATATATATGTGTATCACAATTTTTTAATCCATTCATCCATCAGTGGACACTTAGGTTGTTTCCATGTCTTGGCTATTGTGAATAATGCTCCAATGAACATGGGCATGCAGATATCACTTTGATATATGGTTTCCTTCTGATGTTATACCCAGAAA
This sequence comes from Homo sapiens, assembly GCF_000001405.40. Lineage (NCBI taxonomy): Eukaryota > Metazoa > Chordata > Mammalia > Primates > Hominidae > Homo > Homo sapiens. Next base: position 26,292,980 of record NC_000004.12, read on the forward strand.
TGGGACTGCTGGTTCATTAGGGTAGATAGCATATTTGGATCTGTATACTATGGACACTTGGATATAGCTGGAGCACAAGGTACAGGGAGGGGAGTGAGAATGGGAGAGTAGGCTGGAAAGGTAAGCAGAAGCCACACTCTGAAGGGGCTCTTAGGCCAGTTGGGGTCCTTCTACTGCATAACCCAGGTTCCTCCTCAGGCCCAAGTAGGCTCTTAGCATTCCCTTTTCTTCCTCAGCTGCAGGCCTCAGGGCTTTGCTAGGTTTCCCCCCTTTACTAGGTGTTACCACTCACCCCATCTCTTGCATCTGGAAGGTGGTGCCCTCAGCTTCCTTTTTTTTTTTATTTTGTTTATTGCAAGACAGCACAGAGTCAGCTTGGCATGATGGCTCACACCTGTAATCCCAGCACTTTGGGAGGCTGAGGCAGGAGGATTGCTTGAGCCCAGGAGTTCAAGGGCAGCCTGGGCAACATAGTGAGATCCTGTCCTCACAAAAAATTTTTTTTAATTAGCCAAGTCTGGTGGCACATGCCTAAAGTCTCAGCTACTTGGGAGGCTGAGGCAGAAAGTTTGCTTGAACCCAGGAGTTCGGGGCTGCACTGAGCTGTGATTGTGCCATAGTACTCCAGCCTGGGTGACAGAGTGAGACCATGTCTCCAAAATAAGAAATAAAAAAATAAAAAGCACAGAGTTTTTATATTAAAAGATTTTCCAATGCTAATTATGATGGCAAAACAATTCAGGAATGACAAAAATAATAGACATGTATATGAGAAGTGTTTTTTTCTTCTTTTTTTGAGATGGAGTCTCGATTTGTCACCAAGGCTGGAGTGCAGTGGCACGATCTCTGCTCACTGCAACCTCTGCCTCCCAGGTTCAAGCAATTCTCCTGCCTCAGCTTCCCCAGTAGCTGGGATTACAGGCATGTGCCACCACACTCAGCTAATTTTTGTGTTTTTGGTAGAGACAGGGTTTCACCATGCTGGCCAAGCTGGTCTCGAGCTCCTGACCTCAGGTAATCTGCTCACCTCAACCTCCCAAAGTGCTGGGATTACTGGCATGAGCCATGGCACCCGGCCAGGAAGTTGTTTTTGTTTTTGTTTTTGTTTTTGTTTTTGTTTTTGTTTTTGTTTTTTTGAGATGGAGTCTCACTCTGTCGCCCAGATTGGAGTGCAGTGGCACCATCTCAGCTCACTGCAACCTCTGTCACCCGGGTTCAAGCAATTCTCCTGCCTCAGCCTCCCGAGTAGCTGGGATTACAGGCACCTGCCACCATGCCTGGCTAATTTTTGTAGTTTTTAGTAGAGACAGGGTTTCACCATCTTGGCCAGGCTAGTCTTGAACTCCTGACCTTGTGATCCACCCGCCTTGGCCTCCCAAAGTGCTGGGAATACAGGCATGAGCCATCACGCCCGGCTGGGAAGTTTTAAATTTAGGAGTAAGATGATCTGATTTACATTTTTAAAAGTACTCCAGATGTCGTGTAGAGAGTGGATTGTAGGGGACGGGAGTGGAGTAGAGGTCGGGAGAAGCAGGGAAGGTAACACAGGTACCTAGAAAGAGGTGATGGTGCCCCGGACTAGGGCGTAGAAGGAAGATGGTCAAAATTTTTATATGTAGGCTGGGTGCAATGGCTCATGCCTGTAATCTCAGCATTTTGGGAGGTCGAGGTGGGTGAATCACTTGAGGCCAGGAGTTCAAAACCAGCCTGGCCAACATGGTGAAACCCTGTCTCTACTAAAAATACAAAAAAATTAGCCGGGCATGGTGGTGTGTGCCTGTAATCCCAGCTACTCGGGAGGCTGAGGCACAAGAATCACCTGGGAGGTGAAGGTTGCAGTGAGCTGAGATCGCGCCATTGCACTCCAGCCTGGGAGACACAGCAAGACTCCGTCTCAAAAAAAAAAAAAAATTATTACATGTGGGCATAGTTTAACAATAGGACTAACAAGACCTGCCACCGGGTTGGATAGGGCTGATGACGGAAAGAGGAATCAGGGATAAACCGTGAACCCCTGGAGGGTATTACTCTGTTCACCAGGCTTTGCCCTTCTTAGGAATGATCCCTTCTGGACATTTCCTCTGGATTAATGGGTTTTGGGCTTTGGGACAAAGAGCCGTAAATCACTGAAAACATTTCAGCAGGGAAATGACAAGACATTACATTTTTCTCCCCTCCACTAGGCTTACATTTCCTCCAATGAGAATGACTTTGTGGAATGAAATGACAAGTATATGGCCGTTGTCCAGGAAGAAAGGGTGCATCAGTGTGTGTGTGTGTGTGTGTGTGTGGGTGTGTGTGTGTGCATGGGTGTGTGTGGGTCTTCCACACATGCACATACGTGTGAGGGAGAAAGATGCTTCTTCCCTTCCATTCACGGCATGAATTGTTTTATCTCATTGTAAGTAGTTAATGCTAGTAGTTGTTGCAGTAGTAGTAGTAGTGGACATATTAGTGCCCAACTCTCTGCTTCTTAAAAAAGTAGCAGTCTGCTTTTTAGGAAGCAGAAAGTTGGGCACTAATGTGATGGAGTGTAGGATCAAAACCCTGATGAGATGTGACTGGAAGGAAGATACTAATGGCAGTAGAAGAGAGGAAAGAATGGGTAGAGATTTCAAAGGCACACTCTACCCAACTGTACCCAATTCTCAGAATTGGTCCTGTAAAGGCAGCAGGTTTTCTGGAGGTCACCTCCTTCCCCATAGCCCTGTGGCATCAGGACATCAAGCTCAAGGCTGATTTGGGACTTGGATGAGGGCCGTTAATTGTGGATCTTCAGCCACTCAGTGTGGGCTGGTCCAATAATCATATGATTCAAGGATGTTTAGGGATTTCCTGCCTCTACAATCTGAGCCCCTCTGCTGAATCCACTCTCAGATTTTGATGCTGTAGTTAACCCCTGGGGTGAAATTAGAGGAAGGATATAATTGTATAACCACAGTAAATCACTTCACTCCTGCAATGCTCATTTGATATCAGTAATGGAGAAAACAGATTCCTCCCATTTAGAACTACTATAAGAGCACCTGAATTAATGAGCCCAAATGAGTTCATAAATGTGAATGGAGAGAAAGCACTTCCTCTACCTCCACTGAATGTCTTTCCTTTGGGCCTGTCTTAAGTGGAGTTTAGAGGGACTATTGGATTCCTTGAACTGGCAATTTCTGTAATTACCAGTAGTTGCTGAGCTTCCTGATGTAATTTCTTCTGTAGAACAGAAAAGTTCCTAATATTTGGCACAGCAATCTCCCGCTATAATTACAGGAACACAAGGCTGTTAGTCACATCCCTACCTACCCCACCTCTAACAATGCTCTTTTTTTCTTTTTTTAGCATTAGGTAGCTGGGAGAAGACTTGAGCTTAAAACTCTGCTGTTGAATGTAGCTGCTGAGCATAAAGCTACATTCAACAGCAGAATGTGGCTTTATGGACGGTGGATGGTGTCCTTAAGTTAGGGTGATATTAATCAGGTTCAATGTCAATCAAATGGTTTAGCAAAGAAGGACAATACTTAGGGCATTTATTTAATGATTTATTCGCCGCTCTATTTCATACAAGTTTTAAGGAGGTTGGCATATATGACTATTAAATATCTTATTCTTTACTTTGATGAATAACAAATAGTTTTATTTTAATAAGTTCCATTCATGTTTATATTCTATTTTTGACCAAGTAGAATAGTTTTCTTTGTACCTAATATACGCTACATACTTGTCATTGGTTACCTACCACACCCTCTCTGAAGAGCAAGGTCAACAATAAAAGAGCTTAATTCAGAGGCCATAATTCATTCTGTATTCTGTTAATAAGCAACATCCATTTAAAATAGCAATTGCGCTTTCAAGGTCCTGGTATTATTCAGGCAAAGACTCAAAATGATCACTTTCTTGGCATACATAGAAGCCCAAATGTTAAGATGTGTTCTGTGGGCAACTCTCTGCTTGTTTTCTTTCCTAGACAAGTGGTTAACCCGTGTTGCATATCCTGTGTTTATAGAATTCCAGAAAGGTCGTGTCATGTAAATCACTTGTGGACTGGGCACGGTAGTTCATGTCTGTAATTCCACCATTTTAGGAGGCCAAGGCAGGAGGATCGCTTGAGCCCAACAATTTCAGACCAGCCTAGGCAACACAGCGAGCCCCGGTTTCTATGAAAATTTTAAAAAATTATCCAGGCGTGGTGGCAGACACCTGTAGTCCCAGCTACTTGGGAGGCTGAGGTGGGAGGATCACTTGAACCTGGGAGGTCAAGGCTGCAGTGGGCAGTGAGCACACCACAGCACTCAGCACTCTAGCCGGGGTGACAGAGTGAGACCCTGTCTCAAAGATAAACAAATAAATTTAAAAAATCACTTTGTGTGTGTGTGTGTGTGTGTACGAGAGAAAGAGAGAGAGAGAGAGAGAGAGACAGAGAGAGACGGTGTATGGGGGGGATGTATAGGGAGAATGTAAACAGAAACATCTTGAGGAGAAATCCAGCAGTGACTGAGAATGTCGATGGAAGATGCTGGCCTTCGCTTCCACGTGTTATTGTGTTTCTGTGTTCATTACCTGTTACCTTTTTTATAAGTAGCAGAGGGTAAAATAATATGTCCAAGTGGCGACTGGCTAAAGAGACAGAGCATAAAACAGCTGGTCAGACACCCTGGTTTAGTCTATCATTTATAAAGTTGAAAAACTTGAAGTTGAAACCAGATGCAAGAAAATTATAATTTATCAAAGAAAAAAAGAAAGAAAAAGAAAAAAGAAAATTTTTATCTATTTTTAAAAAACAATTCATTTTGTCCTAAAATCTCTGCCAGTTGTTTAATGAGCAGCAGCTTCTAAAATAAACAAAGAATATGAGAAAAAAACAAAAAACAAAAAAAAACCACCACCCAGAATTGATTAGTAGGAAAAAGTCCCAGGAGAGCTTTCTAATGTTGCCTTAATTTTTTTTTAAATGCTATTATACTGTTCATCTCCATTAACTTTTCTTTTTTGGAAGGGAGGTACTATTTTAAAATTCAGGGTTTTGTCTCTAATTTTAAAATGACAATTAGCACAATCACTGATACAAATGTTTCTTCTGATTTCCATGAAACGGATTAATGTTTTAATTCACCTGAACCACCAACTGAATGCCGTAGGCCATTTTGAAAACATTCACTAATCCTTGAAAATAGCATGCTTTCCCTCATATTTTTTTTCAAACACTAATCCTTGGGAAAAAAAAATACCTTCTCTCATTTTCTATTCAATGTTTGCTATTGTTGTAACCTAAGTAGGACCTCTTTGAACAAATGCAAAATTAAGTTTAACTCACAATTGAGTCTCACATCCTGTGGTCTTGGAATTTTAAAATTTCATTCAAAACACACATTATAAACAAAGTCTCCCAAATGACCATCTAGAGAGGAATGTGGCAAAAATCCAGAAACTATTGTAATATTTGGAACTAGCATAGCACAAATAATCAGTGTGTTTTTTTGAAGAGGAGATTATGGGTTGCAGTTTTACAAACTCCACGGGGGATCTGCACGAGATGGGCAAAGTTAAATTAGTTGTGTGCCTCCCAGAGAACCTAAACTCTTTACAGTAAGTGAAGAGGAAGAAGTATTAAAAGGATCTTTTTAAAACCTAGTATTTGTTCATTATAACCATAATTGGAGCAAACATTCTGGCTTACAAATTCCTATAAACTCAAGATCAAAGCAGTGTGCTTGACAAGCCTGTTCTTTAGCACATTAGTTTGGTATTATTAACAGTGGAGACTGATTCAGGGCGGGTTGTTGGGGGGATGTGGAAAGGACAAAGGCCAACGCCAAAACTTATGTCATCAAGCCAGGAAAATCCAAATTTTAGAGGCAGGAAGACCAGAGGAGTTATCAACGTACAAAATAATATTCTGAAGAAGTGCTTTTGAATGAAGAAGTAAACCTGTGAAATCAATTTAAGAACTAAAACTAACCATTGAAGGCACATTTAAAATTTACGCTTCAAAGAAAAAAGGTAGGTCAGAGAAAGCTGAATTCGTACCTCCGAAAATGCACGCTTTCCTGGGGCAGCAACTTGTTTCTCTCCGATTCCAAAAGAATGAAATAAAAGAACTCCAAAAAAGGAATGTAGCAAGGACATACTTTCTACCTCAAAAAAATAAAGGAGTTGGGGTCAGGGCAGAGCCAACTAAGAAGATGGAAACCAATCACATTTCAAAATGATTCTTACTTTCTTAGGAAAGTTTAATATGATGATATCCTATGCGTTTCTCATTTTATCCCTCAGTTAATTTTAATGGTTTACAAATTCATCAACTTTTCTAAATCTGTTTAGAAGAACACCCCTATCTAGAAGATTCACCCAAATTTCATGCTTATTTTTAATATCAGTATTAACACATCATGTAGATCTGTAGCCACTGATATGGTAGCTAATATTTTTCTGCCCTTAAGTAATTGAGTATAAGTAGATTTCACCACCTCTGTAATGTTTCAGTTTCAGTTTTCATACACCATTCTGAGAAATTTTGTGAACTAATATAGCATTTTAGGCTGTTTTCCTCTTAATCATCATAAAAATGCCTCATGTGGGAGAAAGAAAGGAAAAAGATTTTCGGCATATAAATTGTATTAAGTTTATAATACACAAATAGGAATTGCTTTATCCTGGCAAATAACGAGCAGATTTTAAGAAAAGATAGTTAAGACTGTGTGCTTTTTTTTTTTTTTTTTTTTTTTTTGAGACAGTTTCGCTCGTGTTGCCTAGGCTGGAGTGAAATGGCGAGATCCTGGCTCACTGCAACCTCTGCCTCCTGGGTTCAAGCGATTCTCCTGCCTGAGCCTTCCAAGTAGCTGGGATTACAGATGCCTGCCACCACGCCTGACTAATTTTTTTTTTTGTTTTCGTATTTTTAGTAGAGACGGAGATTCACCATGTTGGCAAAGCTGGTCTCCTCACCTCAGGTGATCCACCCGCCTCGGCCTCCCAAAGTGTTGGGATTACAGGCGTGAGCCACCGCGCCTGGCCCAGTTGTTGTTTTCAACACAAACCTCTTAATGAAGAAGCAAGGTTTTTGGAGGAGTGGAAATGGCATGAAATTGTTGGTTAACAGATATAAATTAAAAGATTCTTGACTTGGAAGCAGAAAGATGGCATCGCACCTTATCTGCCCACTTCTGACCAGAGTGTCCTTGGCCAAATCACTTGAATTTTGGGAGCCTTGTTTCTTCCTGCTTTAAAATAGGGATAAAAACATCCACCTTGCAGAGCTGGAGGTGTGTGTATGGGCAGGGGTGGGGGTGGGTGGTCTTGATGATAAATGTTAATAGTTGGCAGGAGGCTTTGCCCTTTTATAACTGGCATTCAGAATTTGAATGCTCATCACTTTTCTTTTCCAATCTAGACTTTAACTAAAGGAAGGAAGAAATATCCAAGTCTATACTCCTGAAAGACCTTCGTATCTACATAGTGCTAGAGCCTAAACGGCAAACTTAAAATTGTAAATGTTGTTGTATTGTTTGAAACCTTCCTTCATGAAATGCAGACTTAAAGCAGCTTAAGAAGGTGGAATGTACTACTAAGCAAAAGGAATTTACTATTCAGAGGGCGGCTGACCTGAATAGAAGTCCGCCTCCCTCCCTCTCTAGCACTGATCACTCCTGTTTAATTTTCTGGCATAACCTTTATCATTATTTAAAATGTCTGACTTGTTTACTCTTTCATTATCTGTGTCTCTATACTCGAATACTTGAATGCAAGTCCCCTAAGGGCCTTGACCTGTCTCTCCAGTGCTTAGTAACAGCCCCTGGCTCATAGAGGGTGTTCAGGAAATTCTTCTTTTTGAATCAACGGATGACAGATGAAGATTTAATAAGATGAAAGTGGGATAGGATAAATAAAGCCATTAGAGCTTGAGTCATATAAGTATTAAATATTTGATAGAGTAGAGGCTTTAAAGAAACAAATGAACTACCTGATGGCAAATTTAGAAGATTACACTGACACACTGTTCATCTGACCTGTGGTTCTAGACAGAATTCTTCACAGTTAATTTCTTAAGAAAGTTACAGATGAACACCCTAAAACATCCAAACAGGGAGGGGACTGCTGATCCAATGACTACTTTGTGCCAGGCATTTTGCAATGTATGTTACATGTGTTACTTATTATTAACTACAAATGGATGAGGTGAGTATTTTTATCCTCGGTTTGCAAATGATCCCAGAAGTTAAGGAACATACCCAAGGATTCCCAGTTGTTATGAACTAAGATCTGACCCATCCTCCTGCACCACGTGGCCTCTGTTTAAATTCCTTTAATAACTGTTCTGGGTCCAAATAAAAAAACAGGGATAGCCGGGCATGGTGGCTCACACCTGTAATCCCAGCACTTTGGGAGGCTGAGGTGGGCGGATCACGAGGTCAGGAGATCGAGACCATCTTGGCTCACACGGTGAAACCCCATCTCTACTAAAAATACAAAAAATTAGCCGGGCGTGGTGGCGGGCGCCTGTAGTTCCAGCTACTCGGGAGGCTGAGGCAGGAGAATGGCGTGAACCTGGGAGGCGGAGCTTGCAGTGAGCCAAAATGGCGCCACTGCACTCCAGCCTGGGTGACAGAGCGAGACTCTGTCTCAAAAAAAAAAAAAGAAAAAAATTTAAATTTTTTTTACATGCATGCAGTAAATACATGCAGTATTGCCCATTTTTAAAATAATAGAAAATTTCAATAAAAAGCAGTTTTGCAATTTGTCACATTTTTAGAGGCAATTTGGGCTAATCCCTGGAAGTAGGCATGATATAGGCTGAAGCTAAATATGAAGCCTAAGGATAATTTATATTTATTTATTTATTTGAGACCATGTCTCACTCTGTTGCCCAGGCTGGAGTGCAGTGGCGCAACCTTGGCTCACTGCAACCTCCACTTCCTGGGTTCAAGTGATTCTCCTGCTGCAGCCTCCCGAGTAGCTGGGATTATAGGTGTGCGCCACCAGGCCCAGCTATTTTTTTGTATTTTAGTAGAGATGGGGTTTCGCCATGTTGGCCAGGCTGGTCTCGAACTCCTGACCTCAAATGATCTACCTGCCTCGGCCTCCCAAAGTGCTGAGATTACAGGCATGAGAAATGAGCCCAGCCAGGATAATTTTTAAAAATAAGTATAAAAGGACAAAATTTGCACAGATTGTTAGAAGAGTATAACAACAAGGAGAAAGTCTGATGACACACTTCCTGATGGAACCTTAGCCATTGGAGCTGTCAAGGAGTTACCTCAATCATGGGTCCCAGCACAAGGCTAAGTCAGAAGAGGAACTTCTCTGAATTGTAGGGTATCTTCAGCTCCATTAAGATAGAGCCTTAAATTGGCTGAACTTTAGAGCTGGAAGGAACCTTTAAGGTGTTCTTTTCTATTTCTTCATACTTTCTTCTACATTTGAAAACAAGGAATTTCTATTTCCAACTCCATTCTTTCCCCTCTCCCCAGTCCCGTTTCTCCAGCTCTCTGGAATGGCCTACAAGTAATGTACTAGATCTTAGGTCCTCCAGGTAACATCAGCATGCTTATTACCCTTCAAGTCTCCCCAGCGTTGGGGTCCTAATTCACAATGGTAATAAGGGAGGAAGTGACCCAGCAGGCCTAGCATAGGGCTGGTTATAGAGAAATGTCAGAGGAGTATCCAGCATTCGCATTCTAGCAATGTCTGTAACTGTGAGTATGAGCTAGGGAAAGTTTCTTCATTTTTCTGGGCCACAGCTTCCTTAGCTATAAAAAGGGAAGTAGAAGTCCTGTTCAGGGGTGTGGAAGGATCAAATGAGATCATCTCCATTTGAAGTCTCTTGGACTAAGTTGGCGCTCAATGATTCCAGCTATTATTTTTATCTTAAACTAAGATCATTCTACATCTGAAAGGCTGAGGAATCTTATCCTTGTCAGAAACATAATCTGGCTGGGCGCAGTGGCCTACATCTGTAATCCCAGCACTTTGAGGGACCGAGGTAGGCAGATCACTTGAGGCCAGGGGTTTGAGACCAGACTGGCCAACATAGTCATACCCCGTCTCTACTAACAATACAAAAGTTTGCTGGGCATGGTAACGCATGCCTGTAGTCTCAGCTACTCAGGAGGCTGAGGAAATAGAAACGCTTGAATCTGGGAGGTGGAGGCTGCAGTGAGCTGAGATCACACCACTGCACTCCAGCCTGGGTGACAGACTGCAACCCTGTCAAAAAATAAATAAATAAATAAATAAATAAATAAATAAATAATAAATGAATAAATATATATATATATAATCCATATGAAATATATATGTAATCCATATGAAATATATATATATATATAATCTTTATGAAATATATATAATAATCTCAGAGCCGAGTGCAGTGGCCTACATCTGTAATCCCAGGAGTCTGAGGCCAGAGGATTTCTTGAGCCCAGGAGTTCAAGGCTACAGTGAGCTGTGATTGTGCCACTGCACTCCAGTCTGAAAAAAAAAAAAAAAGAAAGAAAAAAAAGAATATAAAGAAATATAATCTTGAACTTACTATGAAGCTAGAAGGTAAGTCAACTAGCAAAGAAATGATTATTTGCTTATTTTCTATAGAGTTTATTTTATCATTTAGTTGCCCCCACTTGAACATTTATAGAAGTATATGACTTATTAATATGAAGTTTATAATCATACTAATTTGATTTTTAAAGCATCTAGGCTGGGCGTGGTGGCTCATACCTGTAATTCCAGCACTTTGGGAGGCCAAGGCGGGAGGATTGCTTGAGCCCAGGAGTTGGAGACCAGCCTGGGCAACATACTGAGACCCGTGTCTCTATTTTTTTAAATACTATATAAAAAGCAAAGCATGTAATTGAATAAAGTTAAATTAATTTTTTCTGCTCTCTCTCCTGTCTTTGCTTAACAGTTTCATTGAGATGCACTTCACATACCATATAATTCACTCACCTAAAGTGCAAATTCAGTGGTTTATAGTATATTCAGAGTTGTGCAGCCACCAACACAATCAACTTTGAAGACTTTTATCACTCCAAATGAAGTCCTATATCCTTTCACAGTTATCCCCACATACACACTGCCGGGCCCTAGACAGCCATTAATCTGCTGTCTCTATAGATTTGCCTTTTCTGGACATTCTAGAATCCCACAAGATCTTTCATGATTTGCTGCTTTCATTTAGCACGTTTTCAAGGTCCATCCATGTTGTAGTGTGTTTCATACTTTATGTCTTTTTATAAACTAATAGTATTCTATTTTCTAGATATATCACATTTTATATCTTCATCAGTTGATGGACATTTGCATTGCTTCCACTTTGGGGCTTCCATGAATAATGGTGCCATGAACATTTATGTTTCTGTATGGACGTGTTTTCGGTTCTCTTAAGTTTACACCTAAGAGTAGAATTGTTGGGTCATAGAGTAACTCTATCGTTACCCTTTGAAGAACTGTTAGGTTGCTTTTTAAAATGGTTACATCATTTTACATTCTCACCATCAATGTATGAGGGTTTCAATTTTCCACAACCTTGTCAACATTTGTCATTATCTGTCTTTTGGCTTATTGCCACACTAGCAGGTGAGAAATGGTATCTCATTGTGGTTTTGATTTGCTTTTTCCATGATGGCTAATGATACTGAATATTTTTTCATGTGATCAATGGTCATTTGCACATCTTTGGAGAAATATGTATTCAGATCTTTTGCCCATTTTTAATTGAACGATTTGTCTTTTTATTATTCAGTTTTAAGAATTCTTTATATATTCTCGATACTAGACCCATTTCACATATATTTGATCTACAAATATTTTCTCCCATTCTGTATTTTTTTTTTTTTTACTTTCTTGATAGTGTCCTTTGAAGCACAAAAGTTTTAAATTTTGATGAAGTCCAATTTATCTATTTTTTTAATTTGTTGCTTGGGTTTTTGTGTCATATCTAAGAAATCATTGCTAATCCAAGATTATGAAGATTTACCCCTATACTGTCTTCTATGAGTTTTATAGCTTTGGTTTTTAGATTTAGGGCTATGATCTAAGGTAATTTTTTAATATGTTGTGAATTACAGGCCCAATGTCATTCTTTTGCATGTAGATATTCAGTTTTCCCAGCATCATTTGTTGCAAAGACTGTTCCTTTTCCCACTGAATTCTTTTGACACTAGTCAAAAATCAAATGACCTAAATGTGAGGGCTTATTTCTGGACTCTTAGTTCTATTCATTTGATCTGTAAGTCTGTCCTTATCCAGCACCACACAGTCTTGATTACTGTAGCTCTGTAGAAAGTTTGAAATGCGGAAATATCAGTCCTCCAACTCTGTTCTTCTTTTTCAAGATTGTTTGGCTATTGTGGGTTCCATAAAATTGTGGCTGTCCTTGTCAGTTTCTACAAAGTGGCCAACTGGGATTTTGATAGTGATTGCATTGAATCTGTGGAATAATTTGGTGAGTGTTGCCATCTTAATAATAATACCTTTTGATCCATAAACATGGGATGTTTTTCCATTTATTTAGATCCTTTAACATTTCTTTCAACAATGTTTTGTAGATTTCAGAGCATAAAGCTTGCACTTCTTTTTAAAAATTTATACCTAAGTACTTTATTTATTTAATTTGATACTCTGGATATTTAATACTCATGCTATTGGAAATGGGATTGTTTTCTTAGTTTAATTTTCAGATGGTTCCTTGAAAATATATAGAATACAATTTTTTTATATTAATCTTGTATTCTCCAACTTGGCTGAATATATGTGTTAGTGGTACAGATAATAATTTTTTAGTGGAGTTCTTAGAATTTTCTTTTCTTTTTTTTTTTTTTTTTTTTTTTCTGAGACTGAGTTTCACTCTTGTCACCCAGGCTGGAGTGCAATGGCATGATCTCAGCTCACTGCAACCTCCGCCTCCTGGGTTCAAGTGATTCACCTGCCTCAGCCTCCCAAGTAGCTGGGACTACAGGCGTGTGCCACTGCCCTTGGCTAATTTTTTTTTTAATATTTTTAGTACAGATGGGGTTTCACCATTTTAGCCAGGCTGGTCTCGAACTCCTGAGCTCAGGTGATCCACCCACCTAGCCTCCCAAAGTGCTGGGATTACAGATGTAAGCCACCGCACCTGGGCGAGTTCTTAAAATTTTCTATGCCTAAGATCATGTCAATATACAAGATCATGTCATCTGAAGATACAGACACTTTTACTTCCTTCTTTCCAATCTGATGTCTTTTACTTCATTATCTTGCCTAATTGTCCTGGCTAGAACCTTCAATACCATGTTGAATAGAATTGGTGAGAGTGGAAATTCTTGTTTCATTCTTACGATGTTGGCTGCAGGTTTCCTATGGATGACTTTTATCAGGTTGAGAAAGTTCCCTTCCATTTCTAGTTTGTCGAGCGTTTGCCAGTATTTTATTGAGGATTTTGTGTCAATATTATAAGAGGTATTGGTCTGTAGTTTTCTTATCATTTATTTGGAGAATTATTATTATTATTATTATTATTATTATTTGAGACAAAGTCACTCTGATGCCCAGGCTGGAGTGCAATGGCGCGATCTCCGCTCACTGCAACCTCCACCTCCCAGGTTCATGCCATTCTCCTGCCTCAGCCTCCCGAGTAGCTGGGACTACAGGTGTCCGCCACCATGCCCGGCCAATTTTTTGTATTTTTAGTAGAGGCGGGGTTTCATCCTGTTAGCCAGGATAGTCTCAATCTCCTAACCTCCTGATCCACCCGCTTCAGCCTCCCAAAGTGCTGGGATTACAGGCATGAGTCACTGTGCCCGGCTGAGAATTATTTTTTAATTAATAAATGTGTCAGAAAATTCAAATGGGTTAAAATTCAGTAGCCCCTGTCTTGGTCACCCATTTTCAGCCACTCACTGTTACTTGTTTGTAGGATTTTTTAAAAATTAAATATATTAACTATTTAAAATATATTTTAAAATAAATCTTGTTGCATTTCTCATCATTTTATACTTTCGTAAATCATTTTTGTAACTTTAAATAGTTTATTAAAATTATAATTTGATACTCTGGGTACTTCACATAAAATATTCTCTATCAGTTTATAATAATAAAAATAATTTAAATTGTTATAGCCAAAAAAATAAAGAACTCACTAACAATCGTAAATCCCACTTCTAGGAGTATGACTTGTGTAAATCATACCCTCCGAGGCACATCTGTAAAAACAGGAATAAAATTACCAACTGTCAGCATTGTCCTGAGGACTGACTGAGATGATTGATGTCTGTGAGAGGGCTTGAGACAGTGCAGACTCATAGTTACCGTCACTGTGGAAATTATACATCACAGCATCCCTTTAACTAGAAAGCTGTTGCATGTTAGACAGGCATACAACCTTTTGAAAACCCTCTATTGCATAAAACTAAATACTTCTGTATGTGCTCTGTTTTTCAGAAGTTATTTTTCAGTTCTTAAATTATCTTTTTTTCTTTTGCCTAGATTCTGTGTTTCATTGCTTATTTCGGAAAGTTGGAAAGTATCATGCAAATACAGATATAGCTATGCTATTTAAAAATAAAATACTCAGTGTTTGCTGGTGAAGGAAAATATGATGCTACGTAGGTAAAACTGCTGATGAAAATCAGATTTGCATTTCATAAGAACATTTCTGGAGAACTTTAGGCTTGAGAAAAGTAGGAGCCAAATGCTTCTCCCAGACGATAGTTTATAACTCTTACTGAAGTCAAAAGTTATTCTGAGGGTAAAATTTAGGCCACATGTTTGGAAAGCTGGAAGAAAAAAAACAAACCATGCATCAATGTCTAAATTTTTCCAAAGTACTTAGATGAAAAATTATTTGTAGTTAAGATCTTGAGAAATGTTTTTATCCATTAGTGAAATATTAACAATACCTTAATATAATTTATTAACCATCCTTCCATAGGATGCTAATCATGACAGAATTTAGTCATGAAAATAATAATTTAAGTAGCAAAAGCACAGGATAATACGAGTTATAATATCTAACATGGAGTCTTGAAGATTCCTTTAAATAGAGTTTCTCTAGGCCTGGAGCGGTGGCTCACGCCTGTAATCCTAGCAGTGTGGGAGGCCTGGGCAGGCGGATCATGAGGTCAGGAGATGGAGACCATCCTGGCTAACATGGTGAAACCCCGTCTCTACTAAAAATACAAAAAATTAGCCGGGCGTGGTGGCGGGCGCCTGTAGTCCCAGCTAGTCGGGAGGCTGAGGCGGGAGAATGGCGTGAGCCCGGGAGGCGGAGCTTGCAGTGAGCCGAGATCGGGCCACTGCCCTCCAGCCTGGGTGACAGAGCAAGACTCCATCTCAAAAAAAAAAAAGAGTTTCTCTAATGCATTTTACAAATGAAATACATCATTATTAGATTGAGATAAAACTTTTCAGACAGACCTATTGTATAAAACAAAGTATGTACTTAATATTTATTAATAGAATGATTAGAAATTACCTTAAGAGACTTTTTTCTTGCAGTAATTTCACAATGTGCTTTTTAAAAATTCCCACATGTTGAGATAATGACAATAACATTTTAAAAAATTAATTAGAATAAAAATTGTTAACCTAATTACAGCAGCAACTATTGAAAGAGACAATGTACAACTTTGCTTTTGATGTTCAAAGGGATTATTAGTCAGCTGTCTTTCACAAAGCTAGGTACTTAACAAGATGTGAATTGTTTGATATACTACTATTTGTCAGTGCTTAAATAAACAGGTTCCAAAGTGGATCTTCTTAGTCCTTAGTGTGGTCTGGACAAGGGTGCTAGCCACAAAAGTTATACCTACAAGTTGATGCTTATCATTACACTATCTCTGACACCAAGCAATACAGATGCAAAGAGTGAAACCTTTCTGGTAGGCTTTCTTTGAAAGAGTGATAAAGGCCATCTGTGTTCAAGGTTAATAGTAACATAGGCCAGAGAAGAAAATAAAGGGATCTTTTTTTCTGTTCTATTGATTTCCTGTGTAACCACAGTCAAAATTTTAAAAACAAATATGCCAACCAAAATTAAATACCATTATTTTATTTAGGATTCTTTCAATTTATTATCCACATAATTATCTAATTTTTTTTTTTTTTTTTTGAGACAGAGTCTTGTGCTGTCACCCAGGCTGGAGTGCAGTGGCACGATCATGGCTCACTTGCAGCCTTGGCCTCCTGGGCTTAGCCTCTCGAGTAGCTGGGACTACAGGCACATGCCACTACTCCCGGCTAATTTTTGTGTTTTTTGTAGATATGGGGTTGTCCTATGTTGCCCAGGCTAGTCTCAAACTCCTGGGCATAAGCGATACTCCTGCCTTGGCCTCCCAAAGAGCTGGGATTATAGGCCTGAGCCACCGTGTCCTGTGCCACCGTGTCCTGCGATTATCTAATTTGATTCATGCAACAAATCTCTAAGGCAGTATTATTAGTCCATCTAACAGATAACAAAACTGAACATGGGTATGGGTAAAATAATTTCCTAAGAAATTTATTGAGTGCCTACTATGTACCCAGTTATTTTATGTAATACCTCAATTAATTATCAAAGCAACCCTATGCAATAGGTTTCATATTCCCCTTTTGCAGGTGAGGAAAAATAAACTTGCTCAAAGTTGGGCATTTGGTTTGTGGTAGAAGTACTAGTGGTGAAGCTAGTTCAGTGTTCTTTCATTCATACCACAGCTGCTTTTTTAAAACTATGGATGTTTAACATTGGCTTATTACAGAACCCAAAACCACTGCAATATATGATGCATGACAAACGGGCAAAGTTTAGGAAATAAAAATTTAAGTATATTCCCTTATAAATAGATAACTGGAATTTTATTATTCATATGGTGTTGTCATTTCTTGTGTAGGTAGTGTTAACTGGCTTTAACTTGTTCATGTTATAAAAAGAACAAATCTATCAATCACACATGGAAACATTTTCCTCCAATTACATTAGCTACAAAAACTTCTGACAAATTATTAGATTTGTACACATTCTTTTCACCAAATGTGCATTTGATTCCATTCACGTTCCACATCACTAGAGTAAATGGCCCATTCATTTTCTTGCTTTACCTTCTTGAACTGCTGCACATATTAACAAGCTAAGCAAAACTTAACCCAGGCCTGCAAAAAACTCAAATTGCCAGGGCCAAAAAATCCTGTGAAAAATTAAACACAATTGGACAGAAAACGGTGAATATTTATTTTTGTTTCTCAAGTTCTCCTGAAGCTGTGATTCATTTTCAGTGTTCTATTTCTTTTAATCCTGGAGTTCGAGCTTATTTTCTATATGGAATTGCAGAGTCTGATGGAATCCTTCTTGGCACTCTTTCAATTTCCTATACATTTTATTAACCTTGATGAACACGTGGTAGAAAATGACAGGGATAATGTTATGAATATAAGAGAACCATAAAGATGAACAAAAAAAACATGAGTTAAACATTTGTAGAGTGAGCGGCTCCTAGTTTCTAACATGGGCTATCAGCAGGGCTGTCTTAGGCCCAGAGCCCCTGCACAATCTGATAACAAGAAACCTTGCTTTGTATTCTCAGAAGCTCCTATCAGCTATCTACAGTGGGTTTCCCAAACATTTTGTACATCTGATCCTCTTGGAAATTAAATAACAAAAATAATATTGTCATTTCTGAGTGGGGATATGAGAAAAAAATGAATTAACACCAATCAAGATAAAATTATGACTGTATTTGCCTGTTTTAACTTTTTTTTTTTTTTTTTTTTGAGACAGAGAGTCTTGCTCTGTCACCCAGGCTGGAGCGCAATGGCACGATCTTGGCTCACTGCAACCTCCGCCTCCCGGGCTCAAGTGAGTCTCCTGCCTCAGCCTCCCGAGTAGCTGGGATTACAGGCGCCTGCCAACGCACCCGGCTAATTTTTATATTTTTAGTAGAGACAGGGTTTCCCCATGTTGGCCAGGCTTGTCTTGAACTCCTGACCTCACGTGATCCGCCCGCCTCAGCGTCCCCAAGTGCTGGGATTACAGGCATGAGCCACTGTGCCCAACCGATGTTGATTTTTGAAGTACAGCCATTTTGACATGCTTTGCAAGAATTTTGATGAGATGAATGCAAGTTATGGACTTGTTGAGTAATGATAAAAACTAATATTACTATAACAATTGTGTTATAGCACTGTTCTATGTACTTGAAACAGTAATACTTTGAATTCTGACGATCCTATGAATTAGAAGCTACAATCTCCATTTTATAGGTGAAGAAACTGAGGCACTGACAAGTTAAAAAACTTGTCTAAGATCACACAGCTAGCAATGTTGAAATGCATCACTGTGGGGCCAGGCGCGGTGGCTCACGCCTGTAATCCTAGCACTTTGGGAGGTCGAGGTGGGAGGATCACTTGAGGTGAGGAGTTGGAAACCAGCCTGGCTAACATGATCAATTCCTATCTCTACTAAAAATACAAAAAAATTAGCCAGGCATGGTGGCAGGCACCTGTAATCCCAGCTACTTGGGAGGCTGAGGCAGGTGAATTGCTTGAACCCAGGAGGTGGAGGTTGCAGTGAGCCGAGATTGAGACACTGCACCCCAGCCTGGGTGAGAGAGAGAGACTCGGTCTCAAAAAAAAAAAAAAGTGTCACTGTGTTTAAACCACCACAGCAAACTGTAATGTCCGCCTCTCATGAGCCACTAGCTGCTTCACATGCCTTTGGATACACACCTAGGAACTCCCAAACTCATCCCTTTTACTATTTAAATATTTCATTTATTGATTTTTAAAAAAGAAACTATGTGCCATTACTCCCTTTAGTGAGAAAGTCCCAGAGAAAGGTTATACTCAAGTTCTATATCAAAGAATGATTCTCCCTGCATGCAGTGACTCACACCTATAATACTAGCATTTTGGGAGGCCAAGGTGAGAGGATCTCTTGAGCCCAGGAGTTCAAAGCTGCAATGAACTTTGATTGCACTACCACACTCCAGCCTGAGCAACAGAGCAAGATCCTGTCTTAAAAAAAAAAAATCTTAAAGCTCAGTTCATGGACAATTTGCATCAGAATCTCTGAGCACCCTGTTATAAATACCTGCTATAAATGCTTCAGTCCAAATTTACTCATTTAGCGTCTTAGGGAGTGGAACTCAGGCCCTTAATTGATTTTGATGCCCACTAAGTTCTGAGGACCACAGCTCTACCAGGGCCTTCTTATTTTATTTTATTTTATTTTTTTTTGAGACAGAGTCTCGCTCTGTCACCCAGGCTGGAGTGCAGTGGCACGATCTCAGCTCACTGCAAGCTCTGCCTCCCAGGTTCACGCCATTCTCCTGCCTCAGCCTCCTGAGTAGCTGGGACTGCAGGCACCCGCCACCACGCCTGGCTAATTTTTTGTATTTTTAGTAGAAACGGGGTTTCACTGTGTTAGCCAAGATGGTCTCGATCTCCTGACCTCGTGATCCGCCTGCCTCGGCCTCCCAAAGTGCTGGGATTACAGGTGTGAGCCACCATGCCCGGCCACCAGGGCCTTCTTATGACCCTGCTTAGAATGCCTTTCCCTATTCTATGTACATCAACCCCCCACCTGGAGTTCCCCTGAATAGCAGATGCTCTTTCACACCTCAGAGCCTGAACGTGCTGTTTCCTGTGCTTGTCATGCTTCCTCCTATTCTTGTCTTCTGAACTCCCACTGCAGTAAGTCAGCTACCAAGTCATCTCTGCAAGGACTGGGCCCATGAGGCAAGAGTTAGGTCTTCCTTCATTGTACCCCCAAGCTGTTAAACTCTTTTATCTCTTTCCTATCATAGAATTCCACTGCAACTGGTCTGTGTATTCTTTTAGACAGGGAGTCCTTAGAGGCTGGGTTCTTTGTGCTGTCTATTTTTGTAAAATATCAAGATGATGCCTGACCTGCAGTGGTAGGTAATCTAAACATGCTGTTTGAATGAACCACGAGGCAGTTCTGCTGTTTTAATTCTACTAAGATGATAGGTCACATACGTAACTTTTTCTCTGTGTGTATGACAGATGACAGGTTCTCTCTCTGTCTCGCCCAGGCTGGAGTGCAGTGGTGCAATCACAGCTCATTGCAGCCTCAACTTCAGGGTCTCAAGTGATCCTCCCACCTCAGCCTCCTGAGTAGCTGGGATTACAGGCATATGCCACCATGCCCAGCTAATTTTTGTATTTTTTGTTGAGACAGAGTCTCACTATATTGTCCAGGCTGGTCTTGAACTCCTGGGCTCAAGTGATCTGCCTGTCTTAGCCTCCCAAAGTGCTGGAATTACAAGCATGAGCCACCAAGCCGGAACCATAACTTCTATTAGAAAATAATTCTATGCCTGGTGCAGTGGCTCATGCCTGTACTCCTAGCACTTTGGGAGGCCGAGGTGGGCGGATCACCTGAGGTTGGGAGTTTGAGATCAACCTGACCAAAAGGGAGAAACGCCATCTCTACTAAAAATACAAAGAAAAGGCCAGGTGTGGTGGCTCACACCTGTAATCCCAGCACTTTGGGAGACTGAGGCAGGCGGATCACGAGGTCAGGAGATCGAGACCATTCTGGTTAACACAGTGAAACCCCGTCTCTACCAAAAAAAATAGAAAAAGTTAGCTGGGTGTGGTGGCGGGCGCCTGTAGTCCCAGCTACTCAGGAGGCTGAGGCAGAAGAATGGCGTGAACCCAGGAGACGGAACTTGCAGTGAGCCAAGATCATGCCACTGCATTCCAGCCTGGGTGACAGAGTAAAACTCCGTCTCTTAAAAAAAAAAAAAAATTAGCAGGGCATGGTGGCATGTACCTGTAATCCCAGCTACTCGGGAGGTTGAGGTAGAAGAATTGCTTGAACTTGGGAGGCAGAGGTTGTGGTGAGACAAGATTGCACCAATGCACTCCAGCCTGGGCATCAAGAGCGAAACTTTGTCCCCAAAAAAATAAATAAATAAAAATAATTCTACTAAAGTAGAAGGAAACAATTTTATTTGGTAAATTTTTGTCTTCTTGCACATTTATTCCATTTCTTTCTTTTCCCTCCTTTCTATGTTTTATATTTATAGGAAATATATATACATAGTACAAAATTCAAAGGATCCAAGATAGACTGTGAGGAAAGCCACTCTCTCACCTATATCATCCAGCTGTAGAGTCCTTTATAAGAAAGCAGTCATTCTTACAATTTCTAGTGTGTCCTTCCAGAGACATTTTAGACACATATACGCAAATAAGTATATATATATCACTGTTTTGCAGTTTTTTAAACTTTGTGATCTTTCCGCAAAAGTACATAAAAAGCAGCCTCTGCTTATTAATAAATATACTCTTTCATTCTATGTATAATTTAAAAAAAAAGACATCTCTTGATGTTTGTTACCAGTATTTTTTTTTCCACCATCAGTGATGCTGCAAAATATAGGTAATTTTACATGTGTGGGCATATTCATAGGATAAACTTCTAGAAATGGAATTGTAGGATGAACAGGTAGTGACAAATTTTGCCAAATGGTTTCTGATATGCTTTGGATCTGTGTCTCCGCCCAAATCTTAGGTCAAATTGTAACTCCCAGTGTTGGAGGTGGGGCCTGGTGGGAGGTGACTGGATCATGGGGGTGGATTTTCTTCTTGGTGCTGTTCTTGTGATAGTGAGTGAGTTCTTGTGAGATCCGGTCATTTAAAAGTATGTGGCACCTCCCTTCCCCGCCTTGGTCCTGCTGCTCCCATCTAAGTCGCCTGCTCCTGCTTTGCTGTCTGCCATGAGTAAAAGCTCCCTGAAGCCTCCCCAGAAGCAGATGCTGTCATGCTTCCTGTACAGTCTGCGGAACCGTGAGCCAATGAAACCTCTTTTCTTTATTACCCAGTCTTAGGTATTTCTTTATAGCAGTGCAAGAACAGACTAATATAGTTTCCATAGATGTTATATCCATTTTCACTCCCACTAGCAGCTCATGAAGATATCTATGCCAGGTGCGGTGGCTCACGCCTGTAATCTCAACATTTTGGGAGGCTGAGGTGGGCAGACCATGAGATCAAGAGTTTGAGAACATCCTGGCCAACATGGTGAAACCCCGTCTCCACTAAAAATACAAAAATTAGCCGGGTGTGGTAGTGGGCACTTGTAATCCCAGCTACTCAGGAGGCTGAGGCAGGAGAACTGCTTGAACCCAGGAGGGGGAGGTTGCAGAGCACGGAGATCGTGCCACTGCACACCAGCCTGGGTGACAGAGCTAGTCTCTGTCTCAAAAAAAAAAAAAAAAAAAAAAAATATATATATATATATATATATATATGTATGTATATACTGGGGAACCCACCCCCAATTTCAATGTAATGAAATTTCAATGTAAGTTCTTTCTATTTTCCCTAAGTGTTGGCTGGTCTGAGAAATAAAGAGAAAGAGTACAAAGAGAGGAATTTTACAACTGGGCCGCCGGGGGTGACATCACATATTGGTAGGTCTGTGATGTCCACCTGAGCTGCAAAACCAGCAAGTTTTTATTAAGGATTTCAAAAAGGGAGGGGGTGTACGAACAGGGAGTAGTTCACAAAGATCACATACTTCAAACGGCAAAAAGGAGAACAAAGATCACATGCTTCTGAGGAAACAGGGCAAGGACAAAAGCAAAGATCACAAGGCAGAGGGCAAAATTAGAATTACTGATGAGGGTTTATGTTCAGCTGTGCACGTATTCTCTTGATAAACATCTTAAACAACAGAAAACAGGGTTCGAGAGCAGAGAACTGGTCTGACCTCAAATTTACCAGGGCAGGATTTTTTCCCCACCCTAATAAGCCTGAGGGTACTGCAGGGGACCAGGGCATATTTGAGTCCTTATTTCAACCACATAAGACAGACACTCCCAGAGCAGCCGTTTATAGACCTCCCCCCAGGAATGCAATTCTTTTCCCAGAGTATTGATTATCAATATTCCTTGCTAGGAAAAAAATTTAGTAATATCTCTCCTACTTGCAAGTCCATTTATAGGCTCTCTGCAAGAAGAAAAATATGGCTTTTTTTGCCCCACCCCGCAGGCAGTCAGACCTTATGGTTGTCTTCCCTTGTTCCCTAAAATCGTTGTTATTCCGTTCTTTTTCAAGGTGCACTGATTTCATATTGTTCAAACACACGTTTTACAATCAATTTGTACAACAGTGGTCCTGAGGTGACGTACATCCTCAGCTTATGAAGATAACAGGATTAAGAGATTAAAGTAAGACAGGCATAAGAAATTATAAGAGTATTATTAGGGAAGTGATAAATGTCCATGAAATCTTCACAATTTATCTTCCTCTGCAGTGGCTCCAACCAGTCTCTCCGTTCAGGGTCCCTGACTTCCCGCAACATATATATATATATATATTCATATATATACACATTCATATATACATATACACATATATACATTCATATATACATATTCATATATATACATTCATATATACATATTCATATATACATTCATATATACATTCATATATATACATTCATATATACATTCATATATATACATTCATATATACATTCATATATACATTCATATACATTCATATATACATTCATATATACATTCATATATACATATTCATATATATATTCATATATATTCATATATATTCATATATATATTCATATATATATTCATGTATATATTCATATATATACACATTCATATATATACATTCATATATATAATATATATATACACATATTGATATATATATACACATATTGATATATATATACACATATTGATATATATATATATACACATATATATATATACACATATTGTGTATATATATATATACACACACACACATATCCGGCTAGTGGTGTTTTTGTTGTTTTTTTCCTGAAGTTCTAAAATGGAGAGTAAAGGAAACTCTTAAGTGCAGCCTCATCTACTGGTCTAACCCAGACGACTTTTTTTTTTTTTTTTTTTTTTTTTTTGCAAAAAACCAACACAGGTGGTTGCTCCATATGCCTTTTTCTCCTCCCTAGGCAGGCTAGTACTCACTGCTAGTCTAGTCCTAATATTGTTTTGAACCCTAGGAGGCTTAGTCTTCAGAATCATTTTTACTCTGCCCTAAAGTGGAAGACACCCCATTCATTCTACAAATATAATACAGCAGGCATTGTTCCAGCAGCTAAGGCTTGAATAATGAACAAACTAGACAAAAGTCCTTGCCCTTATTAATATTACATTATAATGGAAGGAGGCAGATAGTAAACACAACACACAAGTATGATAAATGTTATGTTAGTTAATGATAGGTGCCATGGACAAAATCAAGCAGAAAGGGGGATAAGGAGTATGGGAGTCCCTCTTGGGAAGGGTGTCAGGGAAGGCCTCCCTGAGGAGGTGACATCAGGCAAAGACAAGAAAGGAGTGAGGGAATGAGCTATAAGGTATATGAGGGAAGAGCATTCCAGGTAGTGGAAAAAGCAAAGGCTTGGAGCTGAAAGTGTGCTTGGGGCATCCCAGGAACAGTAAGGAAGGCAACTGGTGAGAGCCCACAGAGTGAGAGGTAGAGGAGGAGGTGAAGGCAGATAGATCAGGGGGGGTTTGGCAGTAGGCAAGATTGTCTAAGTCCTCATAGTGAAATGGGAAAGTCATGGAGGAGTTCTAGAGGGCCACTGAGAATGCTCTATTAGCACAGACTGCGGGAAGACAAGAACGGAAGAAGGGAGGACCAGTTAGGGAACTTCCTTAAACCAGGTGGGAAATAAGATGGGTTAGACTAGGCTAGTAGCTAAAGAGGTGTGACAGTATTTGGAATGTGAGTATATTCTGAAGGTGGAGCCAATAGGATTTTCCGTCCAATTGTATCTTGGGTGTGAGAAAGGAGGCAAGGACTCCAAGGTTCTTGACATAAGTGGAAGAATGGAGTTGTCCTTTCCTGAGATGGGGGAGGGCTGCAGATGGAGCATGTTTTAGGGCAAAAAGGGGGAGCTGTTATTCCCTTTGTGGTTACCATGGCTTCCCAAGGTCGCTGGGGCTCTCAGAAGGCCATGATTCCAAATTAGATCAGTGGTCTGGACTAGGCCATGACTGAAATACCTTCTTGGGATGACAGCTCCAAGGAATATGTGCCCCAAGGGCTTTGTCCTCCTCCTGAGCTATCCTGTTCCAAGCCAGACTTGCACTGAGATATTGCACCAAATGGTTTTAAGTCTGTTTTTTTGTGTATATAATCAATAGGCAAACACAAACACACACACACGCACACACACACACACACACACCCCTAAAACCTTGAAAACAACTTAAAAACCAGGGTTTCCTATTAGAGAACTCACTGTCCTCCAAATATCAAAATTCAATTCAACTCTACATTTGCGGGGCTGTGACGTGAGCAGGAAGACACTGGTTCCTAGATAATGCCAGGCTAAGGCTGGTATAGAAACCACATCAGGGCCAATCTGAAACGTGGCTGATTGAAGAATTTACGTAATCAGGAACTCATTGGATGAATGATCCAAAAGGAAGGGCTGCATTTAAAACAGTAGTCACTATAGCACCTGCCGCAGCCATACGTAAAATGGAATATTGCAATAAAAATACGGAAAGGTGACGGAAAGCAAAAAAGCCATATTAGTGGGAGGAAAAAACAGAAACTGATTTGTAAGATTACTTCAAAAGGCTAAGAAGAGACTGACAAGAAATTTTAAAAATCGTGTCCTTAAACGGGAGCAAGAATCTATACAAGGCAACAAGGCGAGAGCGCAGAGCTGTTTATTTATTTATTTATTTATTTTTCTACCCAGCTCACAGGGCCAGCGGGTAGATTAGAAAGAAAACAACCAATTGCTGCCAGGCGCGGTGGCTCACACGTGTAATCCCAGCACTTTGGGAGGCCGAGGCGGGCGGATCACGAGGTCAGGAGATCGAGACCATCCTGACTAACATGGTAAAACTCCGTCTACTAAAAAATAGAAAAAATTAGCCGGGCGTGGTGGCGGGCGCCTGTAGTTCCAGCTACTCAGGAGGCTGCGGCAGGAGAATGGCGTGAATCCAGGAGGCGGAGCTTGCAGTGAGCCGAGATCGCGCCACTGCACTCTAGCCTAGGCGACAGAGCAAGACTCCGTCTCAAAAAAAAAAAAAAAAAAAAAAAAAGAAACCAATTGCTAAAGTAGAGTAGCTAAGGAATCAGAACTTGTTTCAAAGTAAGCGAAGTAGTGGCCAGACTAGGTGACTCAAGGCATGACTCAAACCCGACTCTGGAGGCTGTCTGTCAGCTCCCGGAGGCGGGGGGCGCGGTGTCTAACACGTTTTAGGAAAGTACCAGGCTTGTGGAGGGCGACAGGAAACCTCCCCGGGAGATCGGCCTGGGGCTCCTCCTGCCCTAGAGCCTGACCTCTCACTCTCCGTACCGGCAGCGACTTCCAACCTCCTGGCTTCCCCTTCCTCCGTTCGAGGCTCCCCACCCCTCGTCTTCCATCCAGCGTCACAGGGCGTGTGCGTGTTGTGTGCGAGACGCGGGTCTCCTCCCCCGCCGCCCTCCGCCCCGTGCTCCCAGCCACGCGCCTTCCCGCCCCGCCTCCGCGGCAAGCCGCTCCCTTCCCACCCCGCCCGCGCCCGCCGCCCGCCGCCCGCCTCCCGGGCACGCGCTGCACGAACGGCGCCCGGAGCTGGTCTAGGCAAACACCTGTCCTGCCTTGGCTCCGCGAGATTTGGGGCGAAAGCTTAGGCAACAGGGGCACGTTCTCGCGAGGTTTAGGAAATTTCCCACGGCCGTGTTGTGTCTGAGCCGAGTAGTGGAAGGCGGTGGGAAGGAGGTGTAGCGTGAGACTGGACTGCCCGCATTGGGTACATGCGCAGTGCCGCTCGCGCGGGCCGCGCCAATCCTGCAGCGCCTTCAACAGGTTTCGGGCGGCGAATTCCAGTTCTCCGGGTTTTGGGGCTCCCTGCGGGAGGCAGTGCTGGATCTGGGAATCTCTAGGAAAGGAAAGAGCAAAGGAGGGGAAAGATGGGGGGCTGCAGGTAGGAGGAGGGGGCGGGATTCGGGCCCTTCACCCTGCTGTTCCATGCCCGGTGGGGCCAGGTTTGCCCGGGGGCTTCCGGGATCAGGCCGCCTGAAGCGCGATTCGGGCAGCCGGCAGCGTCCTCGGCTGTGCCAGGCCCTCGGGTGGCCCGGTTCCCTGTGCAGTAGTGGTCTCAACACACACCTGGGCTCACACACGGTGGTGGCTGCGATGGGGTCTTAGAGAGGCCATGCAGCACGCGAGCGGCAAGAGCTTTGATCGGGTCCTCTGGGCAGACTCGGAGGTGGGAGAATGTGGCTCTCAATTCCAAGGCAGTTTTCCCTTCTGGAGAGAACTACTCCGCGCTCTGGCGTGTGTCTGCGAGGTGGCCATTAGGGGTGTCTTTGCTAGAGGCCTTGGCTTGACCTCATTTCACACCCAAGGAGAACGCTAAGGCGAGAGAGCTCAACTGCAAAAGTTTTCCGCTTGAGGAGCTCTGGAAGGGCCTCCTCATTAGCATGGGGGGGTGTAATGAATGAAGACAGTCCCCGACGTGTCACTTGCCCGAACCCCAGACATCTCTGGCGCTCCTGCACCAAACGCCGAGATTAGCATAAAGGAGGCGCCCAGGGAACGTTTGAATGAATGAAAATAGCTGGGAACCCAGAGTGAGCGGGAAGCCGCTTGGAAAACACCCATTGAGGAGGTGTTTCATCTAGGCCTGTGAAACGCAGCCCATTTTCCCAGGACCCCTCCTCCCTTCTCCTCGGCCCCGCCTCCTGACCCCTCCATTCCTCGTCCCCGTAGTAATCCCCTCCGGTTTTCCTCAGTCTCCACGTACGTCCCTCAAAGCGCGTCCTAAAACCCGGATAACCGGAGCGCTCCCCATGGACCACACGGAGGGCTCGCCCGCGGAGGAGCCGCCTGCGCATGCTCCATCGCCTGGGTAGGTTTCCAGGGAAGGCAGCGAGCAGGATCCCCTACTCTGCGGGCGGCGCGAGGCGTCTGGCTCTTCGCGGCGGCGGCGAGGGGAAAGGGAGCGCGGGGGCTGGGTGGAATCGAGGAGTGAGGAAAAAGGGAAGGGGCGGGGGAGAGGGACCAGGGAAGGCGTCGGGGGGAATCTCGCGAGGGTTGGAGTTTTGGCGAGAGTTTGTGGAAGATGGCGCCTGTTGTGACAGGGTAAGTCTGAGGGAATCGGAGCGCCGGGAACCGGGAAAGTTGCGGGCGTCTGGCAGCTCACGGCGGGCAGCGGGTTCGGGGGCCGCGGCGCGCTTGGCGTTCGGGGGCCCGCGGGGGCGGCGTCGCGTGCGCCGAGCGCGGCGGCGGCGGCGTGTGGCCGTGCGCTGCCGCTCTGCGCTGCCGTGGCTCAGGCTCCAGCGCGTGAGGGCGGGCGGCGGCGGCGGCGGCGAGGCCGGCGGGTGCGGGCGTGAGTGCGGCAGGGCGCGCGGGGCCCTCGGGCGCCGTGCCTCCCGCGCGCCTCCAGCGGGCTCTGCCTGGGGGCCCCGTGCATCTTTGTTCCTCGCGGCCGTTGTCGCCGCTTCGCCCCGCTAGTGCCCCCGGCCCCGGGCGCTTTGTCTTTCACCGCTACCCGCTGCGACTCTCTACCCCCGGCCCTTTGTTTCGCCGCCTTGGGCGCTTTGTCCGACCCGTGGCGTCCCGCATCCCCTCTCCATCTCCTCCCCTCCGCTGTCCTTCCTCCCGTGCCCCTTTGTTGTGCCACACTCTTGTCGTTAGCCCAGTGACCTGCCACAGCCCGGGCACCAGATTTCTGCCTTAATTGTTCTTCCATTGTCTTTCTCCTGTGGGTCCCCTCTCACCTTTCTGTATGGTCCTGGATCACCCCCCGAGGCTTTGTCTCCCCCATCCACGGGCTTATTCTCTCGGCACCCCCTTCCTCTCCCGTCATCGGTTGATTTATCCACAACCCACGGTGTACGTCTGCTGAACTGTCTCAGCCCCGGGGACTCCATCTGCTGCTTCTAAGTGCACACAAGACTCTACGGTTTGTTGTTTTGTGGGTCTGAAAGATGCATGGGATACTTAGTTTTCTCCTCCGCACCTCTTTTTCTCGGGATTTCTTGTACCCTCCCGCCCCCCTATCGCCACCCCTTTCTCTCGGGATTAAAGCGTCTCCAATTTTCATCGCCGTCTTTTTAGTGCCGTGGGTTGTTTTGCTTGGAAACAGTAGCCTTGGAAAAAGATCTGGTCTCTTGGTGGTTCTTGCGCCCCCCGGCCCCCGCCCCCCTCCTGGTTCCTGACGGCGTAGGCCAAGGGCAGCTGTCTGTCGAAGCTTTGCAATCTAGGCTGCCTGAGGATGATTGGAGGGTATCGTAGGACGGTTAGAAGGAGGCTCAAGATGTATATATGTGTTTTTCTGTTAGTGTTTGAGAATAGTTTCAGATAGCCACAATGGATATTCATTTGGCGTGTGAGTAGGAGTTGAGTGAATTTCCATGTTAAAAACTTGTGAGTGTTGGGGCGGAGAATTTCAGCATTTTCTAGAAATCTGGATTTAGAATTTATCAGTAACTTCTGCCTCATAAGGAAAAGGAGAGGCATTCCGCTTGGGAATTTTATATAAATGTTTTATTTTTTCTTAATCATTAGATAGTTTACAGTTATGTGCTTTTTGCTGCCCTGTAGATGCGTGACAACCCTTCTGTCCCATCATTGGGGTTGAAATGAGGACAGCACCGAAGAGTGCAGTTTCTGGTCGATGAATACTGCTTCTAAGATCTTTGTGGAAGATATTAATCAAATGCAGTTAAAAAGTATACGTATAATATGTATATTATATATATATATACACACACACACGTAATAGCCTGTAGTGAGATTATTTTAAAGACACTTCCTAGTGTTAAAGAACCCTTGAAGTGTTTCGAGTTCTTATTGTTTTGGTAATGCTAAAAGCTTGGGGTTGTGTGAATGGGGGTGGGGGGTGTGGTGTGATGTATTCTAATGACTTGAGTTATTCTGGGTGCTAGGAATAAGAGTTATTATATTTACCAGGATTACTATGCTGAAGGTATTCTTCAAGAGTTTGTTTTTTTTCTACTGGTTGATCTCTACTTTTAGAAGGTATGTTACCCATAAAATCATTTGGAGTGTCATTTCATTTACAAACTGAAGTTCTACAATAGTGAAGTGTTGTTGATAGGGGACATACGAGATCTACTCTAACGAGTATTGGAGCATTGGAAAATACTTTTTTTTCTGGCTGTGATTAGAATTAGTAGTTTGAGTTTTAATTAATGGAAAACCATGTTTTCATGATTGATACATAAGTTTTTTTGTGAAAATCTGCAGTCTGGGTCGCTTGAGTGGGTTTTACCAATAATCTTATGTCTCCCTTACTTGTTCTTGTACATAATCATTGTTTTGAAGGTAAAATCTTGAGCTCACTGGTTCTCTGACTGGGAGCAAAGTGTAAATACTGTGTAGTAATGGAAGGTATTTTGCTCTGACTTGTACCTGTAAGAATGATTACACAGACATGATAAAAGCGCTTTTACCATTTGAGTTGCGTTTTTCTTTCTAAATCGTGTAATACTTTTACTTACATGATTGGTGAAATAAAACTGCTTTTAATTAAATTATAACAGCAGCATATTTCGAAATCTGGATGCGTTGTGGCTGGAGAACTTTCATTCTGAGTATTAACTGTTAAAGCTTTAAATTTTATTATCCATGCATATTGCTGATGGATCTGTGAGTATATTTTCAGAAAACAGGAGACTTGCAATATTTTCAAATCTGTACTAATACACACTTGTAGGCATTAGATTTTAAGCAGTTAGGTTTGTTAAAAAGTTATCTGTTGTCCTATACCAACAGATTTCTATCAATGTTTTTTTTAAGTGGGTAAGATCAAAATTGGTTTGGTTGACAGGCCATTCTTGCCAGATGTAATTCATTAAATAACCTTTGGCACCCTTGATGGGTAAGGCATTAGGAAAAAATTGTTTCGTTTGAAAGTTATTATACATCTCATTCTTCTGTTCATTTTTAGAAATAAGACCCAGGACTTGGCTTTAAAGCATTATTTTGCATTTTGCTTCCTCCTAATACTAAATTTCATGTTATCTCAACTAGGGGCAGTATTTTCTCATGGATTGACTAAAAGTTGTTATTTTTGGCATCTGGCTTTGTGATTATTTCCAAGTTACTCTACTTCCCCTGGGCCAGTTTCCTAACTATGTAGTAAAATGGGAATTATAATAACTTGCCACATCTGCACAGGATTGCTGTGCCTTAAGATTCGCAGAGAGCATCCTTGGATGAAAACTGTGGGGAAGGTCTAGGAATTGTTACTGAAATAAGCTAATGTGAAGTAGGTCATATTTTATAGGAAGTCAAATAGGAGGTTTTTAAGTTCTTGGCAAGACACAGTAGCGATAGTGGGATTTTTTAAAATCCCAAATATGTATTATAATATGGGTAATAAAACAGATACCTTTATTCCTGCCCCCCATAAACTTATAGGGAAAGGGACAAATAAAACAAATTACAGGGTGATGTGTCGTGTGTGAGTGTGTGTGTGTGTGTGTGTGTGTGGTGTAAGAGATTGAAGTTCTGTCAAACTCAAATGTAATAACATTATAAAATTATGGGATGCCTTTCCTCTTTTGTTTTCTGCATGTAGCAATATTCTATTTATTTATTTTATTTTATTTTTTGAGACAGGGTCTCACTCTGTGGCCAGGCTGGAGTTCAGTGGCACAATCTTAGCTCACTGCAACCTCCACCTCCTGGGTTCAAGCGATCCTCGTGCCTTAGCCTCCTGAGTAGCTGGGATTACCAGCGTACACCATCATACCTGGCTAATTTTGTATTTTTAGTAGACATGGGGTTTCGCCATGTTGGCCAGGCTGATCTCAAACTCCTGACCTCAAGGGATCTGCCCACCTTGGCCTCCCAAAGTACTGGGATTACAGGGGTGAGCCACCATGCCTGGCCTGCATGTAGTAATATTTAACAAATGGTAGTACAACATGCTTTCACTGGACTCTAAGCCAAGTCTGTTAATAGCAGTGATTAATTTTAAATATGCCTTATATTTTTTAGTGCTTTGTTATTTGCTCTTAAGAATAAATTCTAATAACCATGACTATAATTTCAGATTTGACTCTTGGCCTTAGAAAAGTGTTTTGCATTTGAGGAGCACTCTGTAGATACGTATTGACTGAATGAAACCTGTTGCTTCTCTGTTCTTGGTAGATGATACCATATTCCGTTTGGTTCCCAAAGCCACGATTCCTAATTCCTCTCTCACCAGCCTTTACATTTAATTACTGAGAACTGATCATTTTTCCTTCTAAAAAATCTCTTGAATTTGTTTCCCTTATCCTCACTGCCGAAGTTCATGCTGTCATTTCTCACCTGGTTTACTATGACGTACTGACAGCCTCTTTCTGCTTCTAGAGTCACCACCTTTATCCAGCTTCTACATGTAGCAGAGCAGTCTTTCTAAAGAGCAAATCTGATCACTGCTTAATCTAAAAACCTTTCAATGGCTCCCCCTAGCAGCGTTCATTAAGAGAGGCAACAGAGTGGAGGGTTATGAGCTCACATTTAGTGTTTAATCTGAACTGGGTTCCAATTCTGTCTCTGGCACTTAAAACCCCTGCCAGTTAAAACCCCTGTAACATTGACAAGTTAATCTCTTTATCAATTGCAAGATAATTATTCCTAACTCAGAAAGTTGTTGTGAAGATTAAATGAGATAATGTATGAAAGCATTTAGCAGAATTCCTGGCATGTAGCAAGTGCTCAAAAGATGTTAGCTACTGTGGCGCATAGGATCCTCCATAACTATTTCATCTGTCTCTTCTCCAGCTGAGTTGTTTGCCATTTTCTCTCCATAATCAGTGCTTCAGTCATATTAAAGTATTTTGACATCTCTGCATGAGCCCAGCAGTTTAATGCGTTCTTGTGTATGAAAAGTAATGATCCTTAGTAGGTTATTTCTCAAGACTAAGGGAATATTCTAACCAGATCTACCAGACTACAGTTGGTGCCTGGCTGTATAAATACTGTATATTTAATACAGTATTAAATGCTGTATATAATTCTCTTGGAAGCATGATACTAAGTTGTAATTATCACACCCAAATATTGTCACTTGGTGGCAGGTATCATTTATATTCTTATACTTAGAAGATTGTCTATCACATGATAGAGACTCAGCAAAAAGAATTTTTGAACATAGGACTCAGTGCTTTGAAATCTTGGTGCAACATGGTTCATGTGGCACAATTTTAAAATTGTGTGTGTGCTTGTGTGTATACAGTATATGTGTGTCTAATTCATATATATGTATAATTTATATATAGGTATTTGACTTTGGTTCTGTAAGGAGTAATTGCTGAAGTACCCAGAGGAATTGATATTTTCAGCCACAAGCAATCTCATAGCCCCTGAGAACATTATAGTAAGGCTCTTAGGCAAAAGTTTTTTTTTTTGATTATTAGAAAATACTACATTATATTTGTATAAAACTGACAAGTTTAAATTTCACTTTTGTTTTTTATATGATTGGCTGTCAGTGTTTATCAAAAGATTCCATTATTTTTAACTGTTTTCAGTACTAGATGGCTAGGGATGTATGTTAGATTAAACCGTAGAACACTGTAGACTGCTTTTTGGGGAATCCATGCCATAGAACCAAATAATAAGTTGATAATTTACATGGAGACTCAGGTCTCATGGACATATTACTGACAGATAATTTCTTTAAGCTTCAGGTTCTACCTCTATAAAATAGGGGATGATAATTATATTTTATCTGTCAGGCACATTGTGACTGTCAAATAAGGTAAATTTTGTGAAATAAGGTCAAATGAAACAGTGTATGTGTAAGTGACTTGTAAACAGTAAAGCGTTCTATACAAATATTTTAATTACTATAAGAATCAGTTTCCTCTGGTAACCTTTCATCTTGAGCAGGGCTCAAGATGGACTTTTTATACTGCAAGCTGTGGTTTTGTGGGTCATGTTTTAGGAAGGCAGCAATGTATTTGGTGCAGAGGACCGCAACCCTTGAAATATGTGCTTTGGCATTTTAAGCAGACATATTTGTTAAATTACTGCTTGACCACGAATGTTGTCATTGAGTCACCCCCAGCTTTTTGGGGTCTATTTCTTACTGCTCTCTTCTCTGCTTGGGCAGCTGTAACAATGTAGGAATGTTGAATGTCTAGCTGCTACTATCTCTCAGACTCTTATCCTGCCCACAGTTCTGTATGCCTCTTAGGCCTGGCACAACATCATGGTGTTGCTTATGCCTCATTAGACCTGCTGCTTAAGGGAATTAAATGATACCCTAATGGTCTAAAAAGGGTAATGTATTTCCGAACATGTCATATTTACTGTAGGAGGTTGGGGAAGGCGTCACAGGCACTGTAAGTGGTAGTAATTACCTATCCGTATAGATATTTGTGTAATTTTGTTGTGTTGAGACAATGCATAATGGTAAGTTTGAGAGCTTTTCAGTCATATTGGTGAAGTTTACGGCAATCTTGGGAATATTTATACTATTTTAAGTTTACAAAAAATAAAATATAGAAAACACATTTTTTTAATGCATTCTGAGTTGCAAAAGCCTTGCAATGAAAACTGCATCTATTTGATGTGAAGCAGAATACACTAGAGAATCAAGTTGACCCTGGAGGTTTTTTTTTTTTTTTTTTTTTTTTGTATTCAGTAGTCTTAGCCTAAGAGCTAATGATTATCTGTGCATTGTTAATGAGATGATAATCAGAGTTGTAAGTGATAAGAGTAGTTTCTCATAAAAAGTTTACATAACAGGAGAAAAAATATTTAATGTTGGGCGCAGTAGTAGCTCAGGCCTGTAATCCCAGCACTTTGGGAGGCTGAGGTAGGAGGATGGCCTGAGCCCAGGAGTTTGAGGCTGCAACGAATGGTGATCATGCCACTG
Organism: Homo sapiens; assembly: GCF_000001405.40. Lineage (NCBI taxonomy): Eukaryota > Metazoa > Chordata > Mammalia > Primates > Hominidae > Homo > Homo sapiens. The sequence continues at coordinate 26,327,809 of NC_000004.12, forward strand.
TACTCCAGCCTGGGTGACAGAGAAAGACCCTGTCTCAAAAAAAAAGTTTTTCACTCTATAAAACTTTTTTATAAGTATGATATTGTGTTATAGAAGTACAGTATTGCTTTATGAAATATAAATGTAATATTGTAGTTTTTTTAAAATAATGTGAACAGTCTATTATGGACATAGCTTAATTTCCTCCAGTACAAACTAGCTTTAGACTGGTTTGCATAAATAGAACAAAGGTATATGTTCCCTTTTGGAAAACTGCAGATCTGCAAAGATTGTGCCTGATTTTGCCAGCATGTTTTTTCACATCTTTTTTTTTTTTTAATTTGATAACATTTTTCATGCAAAAAATTACCTAGATCTGTACAAAGCTCCTAATCCATACACCATTTGGAGTAAGCAGAAACACTGGGGTCCTAAGACATGTAGGAGGGGTGTTAAGGAAAATGTTAATAGTATAACCATGCTTTAGTGGCTCTCCTTTTAGTATTGTTTTAATAACAATATATTTATTAAATAAGCAGTTGAACACTTATTAGGTATAAGACACTCTTTGTGCTGGTCCTATAAAGATGGCTAAGAAATGGTTTGGTGAAGCTCATGACTTGGTAGAGTGTACACAGGTAATTATTGTGTAAGGGAGATTATGGTAAGTGCTGTAACCGATATTTAGTGTTGGTGGGAACACAGATGTAAATGATTATCTTCATTTGGAGTTCATAGAAAAGGTGAGAGTTGATAGGGAGTGATGGGAAATTAAGCTGGAAAAGTAATTGGGAGCCTCTTGGAAGACCTTGAGTGCTAACCTGATTATTTGGTTTTTTGGCTGGTTGGTGTTTTTTAGAGACAGTCTCATTGCTCTGTTGCTCAGCCTGGAATACAGTGGCAAAGTCGTACTTCACTGCAGCCTCAACCTCCTGGGCTCAAGGGATCCTCCTGCCTCACCCTCCCCAGTTGCTAGGACTATAGGTGTGTGCCACCAAACCCAGGTGTGCGCCAGCAACCCCAGCTAATTTAAAACATTTTTTTTGTACAGACAGCCTTGCTATGTTTTCCAGGCTGGTCCAGAGCTCCCGGGCTCAAGTGATCCTTCTGCCTTGGTCTCCCAATGTGGTGTGATTATGGATGGCCTAAGGTGATTATTTGAATATTAATCAGGGATACAGAGGACAAGGGTAAGGTATTGAGGTTTTTGTTTGTTTGTTTGTTTTGACGGAGTTTTGCTCTGTTGCCCAGGCTGGAGTGCAATGGTGCGATCTTGGCTCACCGCAACATATGCCTCCCGGGTTCAAATGATTCTCCTGCTTCAGCCTCCCGAGTAGTTGGGGTTACAGGCATGCGCCACCACTTTCAGCTAATTTTGTATTTTCAGTAGAGACGGGGTTTCTCCATGTTGGTGAGACTGGTCTCGAACTCCTGACCTCAGGTGATCCACCCGCCTCAGACTCCCAAAGTGCTAGGATTACAGGCATGAGCCACCGTTCCTGGCGGCATTGAGGGTTTTAAGATGAGGTAGGGCTGGATGTAAACAGTGTAAAATAGATTGGAATTGGTGGACACCATAAGAGAAATATAATCAAAATCTGATTTTGGTGGTGGGCCTAGGAATGAATAGGCCAAGAAGCTCTTTTTGAGGCAGGGTGATGTAGGGAACTTGGGAATAATTGTACTGTAAGTCACTAAAATAAGTTTGTGGCTATGAGCATTTCACTTAAGCTAGGTCTTTTCCTTTGTCTAAAAAATGGAAGAAAATAATACCTCATGGTATTGATGTGAGGATTAATAAGAGATAGAAAATGCCTACTGGGCCGGCTGGGCGCGGTGGCTCACGCTTGTAATCCCAGCACTTTGGGAGGCCGAGGCGGGCGGATCACGAGGTCAGGAAATCGAGACCATCCTGGCTAACACGGTGAAACCCTGTCTCTACTAAAAATACAAAAAATTAGCTGGGCGTGTTGGCAGGCGCCTGTAGTCACAGCTACTTGGGAGGCTGAGGCAGGAGAATGGCATGAACCCGGGAGGCGGAGCGTGCAGTGAGCCGAGATCACGCCACTGCACTCCAGCCTGGGCGACAGAGTGAGACTCTGTCTCCAAAAAAAAAAAAAGAAAATGCCTAGCTTGGTTCTGGTAATAGTAGGTGCTCAATAAATAGGTTCTCCTTACCCCTTTTCTGAAGTGTGGAATTTAAAGGGTAAGATGGGAGTGGGGTACACCCCCTTCAGAAGGGAGGGTAGGAAAAAACCTGAAATTAAAACCTGGTGATAAAATAATCAGAAAAGGGAAAGTTCTGAGTAAGGTGAACAGATACAAGAGAACCTTTTTAACAAAGTGTTGTGCTTATTGTAGGTCTTTAATAAATGCTGGATGCTTATTTTTGCATACTTCTGTTACACTTAACATTGTTCTGCAATTATATAAATTTATCTGTAATTGATTGTTTAATCTGTCAGTGAGCTTCATAAGAAAAGGAGCAATTATTTTACTTACCTTGCACAATTGTGGAGCACCTACCATCTGCCAGAATGTTATTTGCTGGATGAATATGGCTTGAGCAGATTTGGTAATATATAACACTTGCCACTAGGTGGCTCTTGGTCTTGATAAAGCTGACATTCAGCATAGATAGGTTTTTCTACCTAGAAACCCACGTAGAAACTGACCCCCGGATTATATTCACTTTTTTGCCTTTTCTGTACCTATATTTTTTGAAGTGGAATATGAAACACATATCATATAGAAAACTCATTTAGACTGTTGAAAATTAGAAAAGTGTAATGCCTTTAGAATATGTCCTGTAGAAAGAAGCAGAATGGAAGCTCAATGAAATTCACAAGTGAACAAAGCACATTTCCCCATCTCTCAATGTGCTTAAAGTGAGGCATGATGGTTTGATTTTAGGCATTGTTTTTTGTTGTTATGACTGCGTAAATTGCTTTAAAGGAAGATATTGTGAGGATTTGTTTCTCAGAGGATTTGATGAACGATGATGAAGCGTGGTGTGTACTGATGCTAGGCTATGATTCTGTGTGCTCTTATTTGTATTGTACTCTTCCTATTGAGAAGTAACATACCATCTAATGGTAACTTACATAACATAGAAAGGTAACTACATCCTGTGTGACACGTGTGATATATATTATTAAATCCATTAGATTCAGGAAATTTTAGAGCCAGAGAAGACCTTACTAATCATATATTCTAAAAGTACCCATTCATTTACACAGACAGGTTAGATAATGGCTGAGACACATTCAGTGACTGAGCTAGTTCCTGGTTTGTTTTAGGGGGAGGGGAAGGCCTGTGTTAGTCTTTTGTTTTTGAAACAGGGTTTGCTGTCACGTAGGCTAGAATGCAGTGGTGCTGTCATGGCTCACTGCAGCCTCAATCTCCCGAGCTCGTAATCATCCCACTTGAGCTTCCTGAGTAGTTGGGACTAGGTGCACGCCACCATGCCTAGCTGGGTTTTGTAGAGACGGAGTTTTCCATGTTGCCCAGGCTGATCTTAAACTTCTGGGCTTAAGGGATCTGCCGGCCTCAGCCTTCCAAAGTGCTGGGATTACAAGTGTGAACCCCTGTACCCAACGTTATGTTTTTTTTTTTCCCATACCTTTCTATTTATCTCACTCAGCTGCCTTTTAATGTTACATGCATTTTTAAAAAATAGCCCTTTTTCTCATATGTGCAGACTTAGAGCAAGACTGTAAATCCCTCAGCACCCAAGCCTTGATGGGTAGAGTGCGGCGGCCAGTGTTGCTTCATTAAATGGTCAGCTCGGAGCCTGCCTGCTCTTTCCTCGTTTGCTGTGTTCCTGTTTTTGGTGCTGCTTATGATCTTTGTCTTGTATTTCTAACTGACCAGGTGGCCTCTTCAGGAACATAGTTGTCCTCCTCACTGCACACCTCCTTATCCACTCTGCTTCAGTTGCTCCTACTCGAGAACTGGCTGGACGCAGTTACCTCTGGCTTACTCCAGTCTCTGCCTCTTTTCTCTCTAGCTTCTTGGTTATGCCACCTGCAATAAATTGCAGCTGGCTGTTTCCACAGCCTCTGGAAGGGAAGATGGAAGGACAGAGGAGAGTGAAAAGAAAGAAGGCTGTCATACAGAGAAGAGAGGCTACAACTTGAAATTTTATACTGAAAGATGATCTGGTTTATGAACATGATGATGATGTGTGTAGTGAATTTTTTCTAGTGTATATGCCAAGGCAATATTATTCTCTTGACTATGGGATTCATTAAGTCTGTTGTATCTGTCATCCATGCTTATCCACATGTCAAGGAAGTGAATTAATTTCAGCATTCCCAAGATAGAAGTGATAGTATATGGTAATTTACTTACAGCTTATAATAATGAGTGTCATTATTTGATTAAATGGATATTACTAATTAATGGGAGTTGCCATGTCACTATTGTAATGTTAAAAAAAAAAAGACCTTTCAGAGGTTATTTCATAATTATTGGTAAGTAAGCCATTCTTTGTCCTGGCCTTCCTCCCATGTATTCAATGTGATATGTACACTTTGCACACAGGATTTACTGACATGTCATTTACTTAAACAGCAGTTTCTTAGGTACCCTAAGTCCTGGAAATTGTCAGTTGCTTAAATAATTAAATACAAATAAATCAGCTGTCCACCTAAGCTACCATATACATTTTTGTTTAAATTCTAATGTAATTTAAAAGGCATTTATTTAATTTTTAGCTTGTTTTCATAGTTATTTCAGGGAAATGACCATCTTGATATGGAAATTTTTCTTAGAAATTAATTGATTTCACATCTGTATAAAATAATCATCTTGATTATTTTTCTTGTTGGAAAAGTAATGTTTGTTATAAGAAATTCAGAAGTTATTTATTTACTTCTTGAGACAGGGTCTCGCTTTGCTACCCAGACTGGAGTGCAGTGGTGCCATCATATCCCACTGAAGCCTGAAACTCCTGGACTCAATCCTTCCATGTCAGCCTCCCAGGTAGCTAGGGCTACAGACACTCGCCACCAGTCTTGGCTAATTTTTGTATTTTTTGTAGAGACGGAGTCTCTCACTGTGATGCCCAGGCTGGTTTCAAACTGCTGGTCTCTGGTGATCCTCCCACTTTGGCCTCCCAAAGCACTGGGATTACCAGCATGAGCCACCATGCCTGGCCTCAAAAGTTACTTAAGTATATTGTGTAAAGTGAGCCACTATAGTCTTATACCAGGAAATAATCACTGTTAACAATTGGGAGTACCTTTGACCCTTGAACAACACAGATTTGAACTGAGTGGGTCCACTTATATGTGGATTTTTTTCCTCCAAACTTGGATGGAAAATACAGTATTCATGGGATGCAAGAATAGTGTATATGGAGAGCTGACTGCCGGTCTTGAGTATGTGTGGATTTTGATGTATGGGAGGATCCTGCAAGCAATCCCCTGCGGATACCAAGGAACAACGATATATTTCTTAATTTAAAGAAATGGAAACGCTGACATTCGATTCTATTTTAAAAATTTCAGTAGTTTTGCAAACATAATATTAAAGGTGCCAGGGAGCTAACACTTTGTTGAATATCTACTCAGTCCTCAACTACAATGTGAGGGAAGTGGTATCTCTATCTATTAGATTACTTTAAATGAATTTCCAGGAAATAAACTTATTTTTAAAGTTACACTTGATTAGACTAGTCTTTGGGCTCAAAGTTTCTCTGAAGTAGCGTAATGTATCTTTAGGTAAAAATTTTGTATTTCATTTTTAAAAAGTTTTTTAAATTAAAAAAAATTTTTTTTTTGAGATGGACGTCTCACTCTGTTACCCAGGCAGACTTGGAAATTTTGGGCTCAAGCATTCTTCCTGCCTCATCCTCCTGAGTACCTGAGATTACAGGCATGCATCATTGTGCCTGGCTTAATTTTATTTATTTCTTGGGATAGGATCTTACTGTGTCACCCAGGCTGGAATACAGTGGCAAAATCACAGCTCACTGTAGCCTCGACCTCCCAGGCTCAAGTGATCCTCCTGCCTCAGCCTGCCAAGTAGCTGGGACTACAGGCTTGCACTACCATGCCTGCCTAATTTTTATTTTTATTGTAGAGACAGGGTCTCCAACACCTGGGCTCAAGCGATCCTTCTGCCTTGGCCTCCCAAAGTGCTGGAATTATAGTTGTGAGCCACTGTACATGGCTCGGACATAATTTTTAAAATAATTTTGTCAGGGCATCCCTGGGATGTTGTTCTATCAGTTAATCCAACTTTTCTGCCTTTTCTTTTTTTTTTTTTGATGGAGTCTCGCTCCGTCGCCCAGGCTGGAGCGCAGTGATGCTATCCTGGCTCACTGCAACCTCTGCCTCCCAGGTTCAAGCAGTTCTTCTGCCTCAGCCTCCCGAGTAGCTGGGATTATAGGCGCCCACCACAATGCCCAGCTAATTTTTGTATTTTTAGTAGAGGTGGAGTTTCACCACGTTGGCCAGGTTGGTTTCGAACTCCTGACCTCAAGTTGATCTGCCTGCCTTGGCCTTCCAAGGTGCTGGGATTACAGGAATGAGTCACCATGCCTGGCCCAACTTTTCTGCTTTGTATTTTCTTTTTTTTTTTCTAATATTCCTTTTTTGCCTACAGACCAATTTTTAGGTTTTTAAATTCTGTATACATCCTGTGTGGCCTTGGGCAAGTTACTTAATTGCATTGCAACTTAAGTTTTCCCTTTTGTACAAAGGAGAGCATACATGAGAATTCTTCTGAGGATCAAACGTGTGTATGCAAAGGGGCTGCAAGACTAGGCCTGGTCTATAAGGATTGCTTAACGTCCGTTTCCTTTCTTAACTCAAGCTACTGCCATGCCTTTTATTCATCTCTTGACTTGGTCTTGTTTTTATTTTCCCTTATGCTTACATATTAAAACCTGATTTTCACCCCAGGCCATCAGTAAATAACCTCCTTTTACCAGACCCCCAAACCTCATTTCAGTCATCAGCCTATTTCATTTTTCTGCATCTTGTGTTTTGTTTTGTTATGTTATGTCTTTATTCTTGACTAACAAGCTACTATCTCCACTTCTTGATTATTCCATCTTCTCTTTGCTACTTCTCTTCCAATCTTAAGTATTGTGATTTGCAGTTTTTGTCTTCCTCTTGCTGTATTCTTTGACTTTATGTCTGTGTCATTAGTGTGGATGTTTAGATTCGCATTTTAAAAATTCCTACTGGTTGTTCTGCAGGCTCATTAAACTTGCCTTTTCCAAAACAACTTGTTCTTTTTACCACCTGTATCTGTGATACCATCCTATAAAATAGACTTGATATCTGTTATAGTGCTGTTGTCCATCTGGCTGCCACAGGTAAACGTTAACTTCAGTAACTTCCTTATTTCCTCCCACTATCAGTTTTTCTTATTTTCTTATTATTATTATTATTGTTTTCGAGATGAAGTTTTGCTCTGTCACCCAGGCTGGAGTGCAGTGGCGTGATCTCGGCTCACTGGAACCTCCGCCTCCTGGGTTCAAGTGATTCTCCTGCCTCAGCCTCCTGAGTAGCTGGGACTACAGGCGTGTACCACCACGCCCGGCTGATTTTTTGTATTTTAGTAGAGACAGGGTTTCACCATGTTGGCCAGGATGGTCTCGATCTCCTGACCTCGTGATCCACCCGCCTTGGCCTCCCAAAGTGCTGGGATTACAGGCATGAGCCACCGTGCCCGGCCTGCATCCATTATTTCTTATCAGATATTCTGCGTTCTCTTCTTTTTGCTCGCTGCCATTGCCTTACTCTCCAGGCTGCTTCATCTCATAGACTATTGTCACAGCCATGTCAACTTCCCCAGCCCACATATGCTTACTTCTTTTTTTTTTTTTTTTTTTTGAGCCGGAGTCTGGCTCTGTCTCCCATGCTGGAGTGCAGTGCTACGATCTCGGCTCACTGCAGCCTCCACCTCCTGGGTTTTACGCCATTCTCCTGCCTCAGCCTCCTGAGTAGCTGGGACTACAGGCATGCACCACCTACGCCCGGCTAATTTTTTTTGTATTTTCAGTAGAGATGGGGTTTCACTGTGTTAGCCAGGATGGTCTCGAACTTCTGACCTTGTGATCCACCCGCCTCGGCCTCCCAAAGTGCTGGGATTACAGGCATGAGCCACCACGCCCGGCAATGCTTACTTCTTTAGTCTGTAGTTTTGGTGTTTGTTCTGCATGTGAGTATTTGGGGGTTTGTAGGGGGATCTGGTCACCTAATTTTGTTGTAAATGGTGCCCACAGATTTTGATTTTGCTATCTTAGTTATGGCTCTTTTATGTGGGAAGAGATTGGAAAGCTATGCTGCTGCCAGTGTTACCCTAAAATCCTGTCTAAATATCATCAGACAAATACATATTAATTGTAGGCTAAATCGATGCAAAGTGAGTAAGACAGTTCGCTAGATCCCAGCTCCCAGAGATATGCATGCATGTTTACAATGGGGTAAATTTCCTTCCAAACTCTAGTTCTTTTCTTGACATGCTCATGTCTGTTTCTTGCATTGAGAAAGGAAGAGTTATGGTTACTATTTCTATGAAAGATTATTTAGAGATCTAGGTACTGTGGCTTGTAATCCCAGCCATCCCAGAGGCTGAGGTGGAAGGATTGCTGGATGGCAGATTTGGAGGCTGAGGAAGGATAGCTGGAGATTAAGAGTTGGAGACCAGTCTGGGCAACATAGGAAGACCCCATCTCTTAAAACAAAACAAAACAAAACAAAACAAGTGTTGCGTGTGTCTGTAGTCCTACCTACTTGGGAGGCTGAGGCTGGAGGATCACTTAAGCCCAGGAGTTTGAGATTGCAGTGAGCTGTGATTAAACCACTGCACTCTAGCATGGGTGGTAGAGCAAGACCTTGTTTCTTTACCAAAAAAAAAAAAAAAATTTCTTTAGAAATTTAAGTAAGCTTTTGATGTTTTCACATACATTAAAGGATATGGGTAGGTTTTTCTCTTTAAAACACTGTATATGTAGTTTTTTTCTCCTGATAACAAAAATAACAAAATATAAAAAGGAAAAAACGTAATTCTACCAAAACACATTAACATTTTAAGGTATATTTATCCTTTCAAAGTTAAAAATAACTTTTACCACCTCCCTAAATTATAAATATATTGTAAAAAAGCCTAAATGGTAGCGTAGTGCTTCCTTGCTTCTGCCCCTGATGGTCTTTGTTTAGCGTTTTTTGTTTGTTTGTTTGTTTTTTGAGACTGAGTGTCGCTCTGTCGCCCATGGGCGATCTCTGCTCACTGCATCCTCCGTCTCCCGGGTTCAAGCGATTCTCCCGCCTCAGCCTCCTGGGTAGCTGGGATTACAGGCGACAGCCACCATGCCCAGCTAATTTTTTTTTTTTTTTTTTTTTAAATAAAGACAGGGTTTCACCCTGTTGGCCAGGATGGTCTTGAACTCCTGACTTCAGGTCGTCCTCCTGCCTTGGCCTCCCAAAGTGCTGGGATTACAGACGTGAGCCACCGCACCCAGCCTGTTTAGTGTTTGATGCATAGTATTTTTTAGATGGCTATTGAATGCATGTAAATGCGTACATAATCTTTTTTAATCTTGTTCTTCCATCTGTCCTTCTGTTGGTCCTCCTTTCCTCTACATAAATTGAATTATACCAATTCAGCAGCATATTGTTCTTCTTGTTGCTTGGGTGGTTAAACAGTATCTCTTCTGTAGCTCTGGCTATCCACAGGTGTGGCTCCCCATGCTTACTGGCTGCTTTGAGGTTGTTTCCAACTTTTTTTTTTTTTTATACTGCTGCCACAAACATATCTGTGCATGTGTGAAGGTAACCAATATCTTGATACCTTTAAGTGGAATCACTGTTTTTTCCATGAGGTTATTGGCCATTTGTATTTTCCTTGTGAAATATATACTTATAATTCTTTATCCTTTTTTTTTTTTTTTTTTTTGAAGGACAGGGTCTCACTCTGTCACCCAGGCTGGAGTGCAGTGCTACAGTCATAGCTCACTGCAGCCTCAACTTCATCGGCTCAGGCAATCCTCCTCCCTCACCCTCCCCAGTAGCTGAGACCACAAGCATGTGCCACCAGGCTTGGCTAATTTTTAAGTTTTTGATAGAGAGAGCAACTCACCACGTTGCCCAGGCTGTCTATTCATTTATGTCTTTTCTCATTTTGTATATAAGCACTTTTATTTTCCACATATTACTTTTGTCAATTCTATGGTTTTTTCCCTAGTTTTTCATTTGTCATTCATTTTTATTTATTTTTTGTCATACAGGAGTTAAAATTTTTAGGTAGGCAGGTTTGTAGTTTTTCTTTTGGCTTTGTGTTTTTTTGTTGTTTTTTTTTCATCTTCCTCACCCTAACATTATGGAAACATTCTTATGTGTATTTTTCTTTCTTTTTTTTTTTTTTTTTTGAGATGGAGTGTTGCTCTATTGGTAGGCTGGAGTGCAGTGGCGCAATCTCGGCTCACTGCAACCTCTGCCTCCCGGATTCAAGCAATTCTCCTGCCTCAGCCTCCCGAGTAGCTGGGACTACAGGTGTGCGCCACCATGCCCAGCTAATTTTTGTATTTTTAGTAGAGACAGGGCTTCACCATGTTGGCCAGGATGGTCTCAATCTCTTGACCTCGTGATCTGTCCACCATGGCCTCCCAAAGTGCTGGGATTACGGGTGTGAGCCACTGCGCCCGGCCTCTTACATGTATTTTTCTTCCATGTGCTCTTTTATAGTTTAAAAATCGGTGTATCTCTTTAACCCTTCTGGAAGTTTGGCTTTTTTGTTTGTTTTGGTGTGTGTTACATAATGTAGGCTCTAACTTTTTTTTTTTTTTTTGAGATAGAGTCTCACTCTGCCTCCCAAGCTGGAGTGCAGTGGCACGATCTTGGCTCCCTGAAACCTCTGCCTCCCAGGTTTAAACAGTTCTCTGCCTCAGCCTCTTGAGTAGCTGGGATTACAGGTGCCTGCCACCCTGCCCGGCTAATTTTTGTATTTTTAGTAGAGATGGGGTTTCACCATCTTTCCCAGGCTGGTCTTGAACTCCTGACCTCGTGATCCACCTGCCTCGGCCTCCCAAAGTGCTGGGATTACAGGTGTGAGGCCTGGCAAAGTTGGGTGTGTGTGTGTGTGTTTGGAGACAGAATCTCACTCTGTCTCGATCTCAGCTCACTGCAGTCTCAACCTCCTGAGTAGTTGGAACTACAGCTGTGCGCCACCATGCCTGGCTAATTTTTTGTATTTTTTTTAGAGACGGGGTTTTGCCATGTTGCCCAGGCTGGTCTGGACCTCCTGGTCTCAAGCCGTCTGCCCACCTTGGCCTCCCAAAATGCTGGGATTACAGGTGTGAGCCACTGTGCCAGCCTTATATTTTTATATTGTGTGTTTCAAATATAATTATATTGTGTGTTTCAAATATAATCTGTTACTTGAACGTGGTGTTTAGTACCCAGGAGGTCTCTAGTTGCGTTCAGACCTTGCCATAGTTTGGTGAGGGAGGTAGTATTACCTTGTTTTACAGAAACTTAACCAAGTTTACCTGCGAGTTGGTAGGAGAATTGGAATTCAAACCCGTATCTCCAGATTTCAATTTCGTTGTTAACAGTCCGGGGTTCATGCCTGTAATCCCAGCACTTTGGGAGGCCAAGGCGAGCTGATCACTTGCGGTCAGGAGTTCGAGACTAGCCTGGCCGACATGGTGAAACCCCATCTCTACTAAAAATACAAAAATTAGCTGGGTGTGGTGGTGGCCGCCTGTAATCCCAGTTACTCGGGATGCTGAGGCAGGAGAATCACTTGAATCTGGGAGGCGGAGTTTGCAGTGAGCTGAGATCGTGCCACTGCCCTCCAGCCTGGGTGACAAAGTTAGACTCTGTTTCAAAAAACAAACGAACAAAAAAAACCTCTGTAACATACAGTGTGTAAAAGTAACACTCCAAATCAGTGAGAAAAAGAGCATTCAAAAAGTTACATTAGAACACTTCTGGTCAGGCAGTGGCTCATGCCTGTAATCCCAGTACTTTGGGAGACCAAGGTGGGCGGATCACCTGAGGTCAGGAGTTTAAGACCAGCCTGGCCAACATGGTGAAACCCTGTGTCTACAAAAATACAAAAATTAGCCGGGCATGATGGCGGTTGCCTGTAATACCAGCTACTTGGGAGGCTCAGGCAGGAGAATTGCTTGAACCCGGGATGCGGAGGTTGCAGTGAGGTGAGACCACGCCATTGCGCTCCAGCCTGGGTGACAGAGCAAGACTCCATCTAAAAAAAAAAAAGAACATTTCATTCATTCATTCAGCAAATACCTATTGAGTACATACTACTTACCAGTACTATATGCTAGTAGTAAAGACAAAATTTTAAAAGTAATTAACATTATGTTAGAAGGTGATGCATGCAACTGAGAAAAATAAAACAGGGAAAGGGTATAAAAGGTGGAATAAAAAGCAGGCAAGATGGTCAAGGAAGGCCTCACAGAGGTGATATCTGAGAAAGACGTGGAGGGAGGAAGAGATTCCTGTGGGTATGTGGGAGAACAGCATTCCACACAAAAGGAATAACACCTGCCAGGTTGGAGCAGAGTAGTAAGAGGAAGAACAGTAAGAGCTGAAGTCAAGGATAAAACGGTGGTCCAAAATGTGCAAGGTTTTAGACAAAGAGGAACTTAGTTTTTATTTTGAGATGAGTAGCTACTGCACGATCTTGAGAAGGATCTCTCAAGCAACTTTACTAAGAACAAGAGCAGAGCTAAAGAAAAGTTAAGAGGATTCTGCAACAATTCAAGGTAGAGATGATGCTGATAGTAAGAAATGCAGCATATTGGGGCCGGGCGGGGTAGCTCATGCCTGTAATCCCAGCACTTTGGGAGGCCGAGGTGGGTGGATAATGAGGTCAGAGGACTGAGACCATCTTGGCCAACATGGTGAAACCCCGTCTCTACTAAAAATATAATAAATTAGCTGGGCGTGGTGGCGGGCACCTGTAATCCCAGCTGCTTGGGAGGCTGAGGCAGGAGAATCGCTTGAACCCGGGAGGCGGAGGTTGCAGTGAGCTGAGATCACGCCACTGCACTCCAGCCTGGCAACAGAGTGAGACTCCGTCTCAAAAAAAAACAAAAGAAAAAAAAAAAAGAAAGAAAGGTAGCATGTGAAAGCCTTGAAATAAGTGTCATAAAGGAAAAAAATCATTTTAGATGTGCTAGTTTGAAATGCTTTTTAGACGCCCAAGAGGAAATGTCTTTTGAGACAGCTGGATATAAAGTTTGGAGTTTAGAAAAGAGGTCAAGGCTGGGAATAAAAATTTGGGAGTCATCAACATATTAATAGTAGTTAAAGCCATAATCATCAAGATCTGTGTTGGTGGCAACGTAATGCTAAAACCCAGGGGCTACATTCTGGACACTCCAAAGTTTAAATGTGGTGAAATGAGAAAACACTACAAAGGAGACTGAGAAAGAGGTGCCAGTGGGGTAGGAAGGAAAACAGGAGTGTAGTATCCTAGAAGTCAAATAAAGAAGATGGCTCAACAAGAAGGGAGTGATCCAGTCAGATAACATGTGGTAAAAGACAGCTGACCACTGGCTGGCTGCGGTGGCTCATGCCTGTACTCCCAGCACTTTGGGAGGCTGAGGCAGGCAGATCACTTGAGGTCAGGAGTTCGAGACCAGCCTGTCAACATAGTGAAACCCTGTCTCTACTAAAAATACAAAAATTAGCTGGGCATGGTGCTATGCTCCTGTAATCTGAGCTACACGAGAGGCTGAGACAGAAGAATCACTTGTTACCTGGAGGTGGAGGTTGCAGTGAGCCGAGATTGCACCACTGCACTCCACCCTGGGTGACAGAGTGAGACTCCATCTCAAAACAAAACAAAACAAAACAAAAAAAAACCAAACGAAAACAAAACCAAACAAAACTGACCACTACATTTAGCTGCGTGGAGGGAACTGTTAAGTTTTGTTGAAGTGACGGAGACAAAAACCTAAATGGAGTGGGAGAGAAATTGGAGACAGAAAGAACCCTTCAGAGGTCTGTTGTAAAAGGATGCAAAGAAACAGGGAACTAGAAGGGATTGTGGGGTCCAAAGGAGAAATACCAGCACGTTTGTATGTTGTCAATAATGTTTCAGTAGAAAGGTAAAAATTGAGACAAGAGAGAAGAAAGTGTAGCTGGCTAGTCCAACATCCTAGAATAGCCAAGAAGGGATGGGACATAGTGCAAAACTAGGCTGCCCAAAGCAGAGTTCTCACAGTGGCTTGCAAAATTCAGCAGGCATCAGAGTCACCTGGAGGGCTTGCTGAAGCACAGATGGTTGGACCCCATCTCCAGAGTTTCTGACACAAAAGGTCTGCAGTGGAACTCCAAGAATTTGCGTTTCTAGCAAGTTCCCGGATGATTCTATTGCTGCTGGTCCAGAAACCTCATTTTGAGAACCACTGCTCTGTATCAAAAGGAGGGAAGACAGAAAAGATGAGTATATACATTAGTACAAATGCTGAACACCTGGGTTATCAAAAAAAAAAAAAAAAAAGGGAATGTGGTGTTTAGTAGCCAGGAGGTCTCTAGTTGCATTAGACCTTGCCATCGTTTGGTGAGGGAGGTAGTATTATCTTGTTTTACAGAAACTTAACCAAGTTTACCTGCTAGTTGGTGGGAGAAATGGAATTCAAACCTGTATCTCCAGATTTCAGTTCCATTGCTGCTTTGTAGTATGAACATCTGCTAGCGATAGTGTAATTTAGTATGTGGTGATCCTACTAGCATTTCCCCTCCTCATTCCTTTCTCCCATGCGTGGTTAACTTAGTCATCTGACAACACATGATTGAGTGTGCTCACTAACCAGACAAGCCTCTCAGTCCAGGCAGATTATAGATCTGAGGCAGGAGAGTAAAGTTGAACAGGGAATAGGTTTATGTGGAATTTTTTTTGTCTCCCTGTTTCACTATACAATTTTGGAAGAAGGGTTTGTGCAAAAAACACAGGTTGCTAGTCATGAAACACATTCTGTTCACCACTAATTAATTTGGGTAGTATCTCTGCTTCACTTTTCTTCAGTGTAATGGTATCTCTGACATGCTAGGGAGCTTAGGAAAATGGTTCTAGCATTATATAAATGACAGGTATTGCTATTAGCAATGACTCAAGATTCTCATGTTTTTTGGTATTCTACATGTCATCCATTCTTTCTATTATACTGGAGTACTTTTGTTTTATGTAAAACTGTTGTATAAATGTCATTTTAAAGTCTCTGCTGTCAAATTTTGTTGTTATTCTAAGACAGCAGCTGTGGATGTGGCTTAAAAACTGATGAGTTTCTACAATGATGAGCCTTTATGGAGCAATGAAAGGCTGCTTGTAAATTGTAGCCACACTTGCAATGAATTCTGTGTTTGTTATTGTGAATCCCTAAGGGTGACTGTTTTTTCAGCAGGGCGAGTTAGGACGGCACAAACTGAGAGTTTCTGTTCTGGTAATCTTTACTTCTTATGACTTTAAGGAATTTGGAATATTTTTGCTTGACTGTTGTAATGAATCTCTAAACATATTATTTGGATATGTGGGCAGATAAATTGTAAGATATGTTATAGACGTGGTTTCTGTCATCAAATATTTTTGCTCACAGTAGCTACTGTGTGTAATAGCATTTATAGATGATGCTTTACCTCTAGTTACTGCCTAAAGATATAAATATTGGGTTATTTGAAGCTACATATTTCCAGCTTATACATATGAATAGTTTAAGGCATAGTGTATGTACCCACTTTTATTTCAGAAAAATACAGGTTGTTTGTTTGTTTATTGTTTTTTTTTTGAGATAGAATCTCGCGCTGTTGCCTAGGCTGGAGTGCAGTGGTGTGATCTCAGCTCACTGCAACTGCCACCTCCTGGGTTCAAACGATTCTTGTGCCTCAGCCTCCTGAGTACCTGGGATTACAGGTGTGTGTCACCATGCCTGGCTAATTTTTTTGTACTTCTTTCTTTCTTCTTTTTTTTTTTTTTTTTTTTTTTTTTTTGTGACGGAGGTTTGCTCTTCTTGCCCAGACTGGAGTGCAATAGTGTGGTCTCGGCTCACTGCAACCTCCACCTCCTGGGCTCAAGTGATTCTGCTGCCTCAGCCTCCCAGCTAGGTGGGATTACAGGCGCCCGCCACCACACTCGGCTAATTTTTGTATTTTTAGTAGGGAGAGGGTTTCACCATGTTGGCCAGGCTGGTCTTGAATTCCTGGCCTCAAGTGATCCACCTGCCTTGGCCTCCCAAAGTGCTGGGATTACAGGCCTGAGCCACTGCCCCCAGCCTGTACTTCTTTTTAGTAGAGATGGCATTTTGCCATGTTGGCCAGGCTGATCTTGAACTCCTGGCATCAAGTGATCCGCCAACCTCAGCTCCCAAAGTGCTGGGATTACAGGTGTGAACCACCACACCTAGCTAGGAATATGGTTTTAATATGTTATTGAGACATATAGCTAACTATAATTATTTTTTATTTTTTATTTTTTTGAGACAGAGTCTGGCTCTGTCACCCAGGCTGGAGTGCAGTGGCGTGATTTCGGCTCACTGCAAGCTCTGCCTCCCGGGTTCACGCCATTCTCCTGCGTCAGCCTCCGGAGTAGCTGGGACTACAGGCGCCTGCCATCACGCCCGGCTAATTTTTTTGTATTTTTAGTAGAGACGGGGTTTCACCATGTTGGCCAGGATGGTCTGGATCTCCTGACCTCGTGATCCCCCCGCCTCAGCCTCCCAAAGTGCTGGGATTACAGGCGTGAGCCACCGCGCCCGGCTGCTAACTATAATTATTAAAAGTAGTTTTACTCAGAAAGACATCACCTGGAGCTGACCTACAAATAATAAGGGAGATGTGGTAATTTTTTAATCAAAATATACCTAGAAGATAAATTTCTCAAAATAATCCTAGAAATGACTTTTAAAGCAGAAGAGAAAAAAGGAAGGGTGGAATAGCAACAATGGAAACAAATGAGGAATCCTGCTCCCCACCCCACCTCAAAGCCCACTGTATATGTGGGGTTATGGTCAGTATTTCTGGTGTTAGAGTGTATATTTGCAAATCTCTGAACTGTTTATATGTATGAATCTCATCATAATAGATTCACATTCTTCTTAAAGGCAATGCTTAACATGTTTCCTGATCATAAGATGTTCATATTGAAGATTTTAAAAAAATACAGGTTGAATGTGCTGCTTAAAATGAGCTGCTGCTTTATTTTTAAACATTTAAAAAATTTTGTTAAATTTAGTCTCGTTCTTCCTACAAAAGAGCTTAAACTTTGACAGTAACAGCTGTTCTTTTGTGTGGGACATGTTTTCATGAGGATTTTTGTGCACATTAAAAATAACCATTTTTGTGAATCGTAGTTATTATTCATAGTCACTTTATAAGAGATATAAAGGTTTTCCAGTGAGTTACTTCTGATTCATAACCAAATTATAGCAGAGCAGATGTAGACTACCAGTGGAATAATTAGCCAAAAAATATTAGGGGGCTAGAGATCTCTTTGTGTAACATTTAACTTTAATTTCTTGGACAGCTTATATGAATAATTAAAGTGTTGAGGCAGTTAAAATTTATTTTCCTCTCTTGGGATTTCCCAGTTGTCATAGATAGCTGTAGTCACTAGGGAAGTAGAAATATTATTTCCAGCAAACAGATGGCTTTCCTCGTATTGGTCCCCAAAAGCGCCTACTGAGGTTTGTGTTTCTGTTGGATGATTTCCTAATCACACCAACTCAGTATACTTTTGAAAGATCACACCTGGTAACAGAATATGATGTAAATATTAATATGACTTAGTGAACTTGAGAGCATCCAAAATTGTAAGTTTATATAGTTCCTACATCCCTGGGGAGAGTAGTCTGTCCAATGAGAGGAATCGCCTGGTAGCTAGTACTTTACTTTTCTTATCACAAGTCCCCTTTCTGCCTCAGTTGTACTCTCAGGGATTCCCAAGCTGCTACTTCTGCTTTTTAACTCTCATTAACTCTGTCATCTACGTGCTATTTTCATTTCTGCTTAGTCAGATGACTACCCCATCCCGTACTTTGAGGCATTGGTAGGTTTTTGTTAGAATTAAGGATAGGATTCTATTATGTATGGGGAAGATTTTCAGAGAATACAGTGATGCTGGGGCTTAAAATGACAAAATCACATCTTTTCTAAGCTCTATAATGAAGCTTTTTTGGAGATTTCACTTGTTACTAATCTTTCTCTTTTTAAAATGTCTGTTTTTCTTCTCCCATTGGAAATTAAAACACACACACACACACAAACACAAATTGGGAATCTACATGTATATTTATGCTAGTGAAATTTCAAAAATAGTCAAGTATTAGTGAAGTGGCCACATTGTTGGAGTAAATACTTGGGGGTTCATCATCTCACTCCCAAAAAATTTAGGACATGGACATGCACGAGGAGTTCAGGAGTGGAGGTTTAATAGGCAAAAGAAAGAGAAAGAGAAAGGAAAACAGCTTTCTCTCTAGTGAGAGAGAGGGGACTTCCAGAGAGGAAAAGACTGGCGACTGCGGATGTACTGGATTTTATAGTCAGATTGGAGGAGGGGATATCTGATTTACATAGGGCTCACAGATTGGTTGGGTCAGGTATGACGTTTACAGCGGGGAAGGCTGGCTGCCTAATCTTATTATGCAAGTAAACTTTCCCCTTGGCAGGTGCCATCTTATCTACTCCTTACTGTACACATGGCTGACAAAGAGAAGGGAAGATGGAGCCGCTATCTTGAACATGATTGGCACAACTGCTGACATCTATGTCTGTAGCTCGATTTTACAGTCTGCTCTTTGTGAGAAAGGAAAATGATTTGGGGCTGCTTTTCATTAAAAGGAAAACCTTACTGAGGACTTCCATACCCTCACTATCTGCCTAAGTAATATCTTCTTAACTCCTTTATCATTAGGATTCTAAAAACAGGCTGTATTGGCCGGGCGCTGCGGCTCAGGACTCCTGTAATCCCAGCACTTTGGAAGGCCGAGGCGGGTGGATCACCTGAGGTCAGGAGTTTGAGACCAGCCTGGCCAATGTGGTGAAACCCTGTCTCTACTAAAAATACAAAAATTAGCTGGGCATGGTGGCATGCATCTGTAGTCCCAGCTACTTGGGAGGCTGAAGCAGGAGAATCACTTGAACCCGGGAGGCGGAGGTTGCAGTGAGCCGAGATTGCGCCACTGCACTCCAGTCTGGGTGACAGAGCGAGACTCCATCTCAAAAAAAAAATAAAAAATAAAAATAAAAATTTGTCAAGAAGGAAAAAAATTCTGATGCTTTACACGTGTTGCCAGGGGAACAGTGGCACCATTTGTTGAAATGAGATGGCCTTGAGGTAAAAGGCACAGTAGAAGAGTTGAGTTAGTTTGGGGAGAAGATTTCGCTTCTGAACATGTCGACTTTGAGGTTCTTGTGAGAAAGCTAGATGAAGATATCCAGTGGCCAGTTATACGTGGCGATCCTGGAGCTCAAGAGAGAGAGGTCAGGGTCGGAAATGTGTACTTGAAGACTGGTAGATGCTAATTAGAACCTTGGGAGTGGGCAATATCTCTTGGATAGAGTTAGGCAGAGACAGACTTGGCAAGCACCAAAATTTAAGGAATGGGTAGAGGTATAGAAGCAATTAGAAGAAAACTGTTAGCAAACAAGGTAGAATAAAAGCCTCAATAGTAGAGCATTACAACAATGAAGACAGAGTTCTAGAAGGAGGTACACTGGTCAGTGGTGTCAAATGCTGCAGTGAGGGTGAGGTAAGTTTAAATGTTCATTGGATTTAGGATTTCAGAGACCCTGGCAAGAACTGGTGAGATCTTACTGTGGTTCAGGAGTTGAAGGTGAGGGAGTATGCAACTCTTTTAAGAGCAGTTCTTTTAAGAACATGGAGAGTGGGAGTGGAGCCATAGGTGTTAAGGTAGAGCTTTGAAGATGGAATAGGCTCGATAGGTTTAGATGCTTATTGGAAGGAACACACGAAGAGGGAAGAGATGAAACTTTTATTGTTAACTCCTGTTGCTGCCTTTTCTGTAACCTTGTGCTGCTTCTCATGTGTTAATGAAAAGCCTGAATTAAAAGGGGGTAACTGAAAGTGGCACACATTCAGTAATTCTGTGACCAAGAGGACATTTACCAATTTGATTCTCTTTTAGAGTCTTTCTACATCTGCTGTTTCCTTTTTTTTTTTCTTTTTCTTTTTCTTTTTTTTTTTTAAGATGGAGTTTGGCTCTTGTTGCCCAGGCTGGAGTACAATGGCACCATCTCAGCTCACTGCAACCCCTGCCTCCCAGGTTCAAGTGATTCTCCTGCCTCAGCCTCCTGAGTAGCTGGGATTACAGGCACACGCTACCACGCCTGGCTAATTTTGTATTTTTAGTAGAGATGGGGTTTCACCACGGTGGCCAGGCTGGTCTCGAACTCCTGACCTCAGATGATTGACCTGCCTCAGTCTCCCAAAGTGTTGGGATTACAGGCCTGAGCCATCATCGTGCCCGGCCTGCTGTTTCATTTTAATCAGAAAAAATATTCTGTGTTTGTCTCCTGGAGGGGTGACGTTTGTGTTTTGATTGTTTCATGTTTTTGCTCAGTCCTTCTAATACTAAATGAGGTGATGGACTTGGTTTATTACTGTGAAGCCAAAGATATTACTTGTCTTTGGGATCTTTATCCATATACTGTAAGAGCTATGTGGCACATACATCAATTTCTTTTTCTTTTCTTTTAACTGATTGCCTCTAGACTTTTGATTGCTTGCTCTTATCAGTAAGTAGAAAGTTAGCATGTACCCCAATATATGTGATTATCATATTGTACTGTACCAATATACTGAAATATGTACATAAATTTGAAATGTTAAAAAGTATTTTGATAAAGTTGAGGTAAGCAAAGCTTTTCACCTCAACAACAAAAAGTTTGGTTGTTTTTTGATTTTTGTTTTTTGTTTTTTTTTGTTTTTGAGACAAGGTCTCACTTTATCACTCAGAGTGGAGCGCAGTGGCGTGATCATAGCTCACTGCAGCCTTGAACTCCTGAGTTCAAGCCATCCTTCTGCCCTAGTCTCCCAAGTAGATAGGAGTTACAGGCATGTGACATCATGGCCCACGAATTTTTAAAATTTTTTGTAGACACAAGAGTCTCACTATGTTGCTCAGGCTGGTCTTAAACTCCTGGCTTCTAGTTATCCTCCTACCTAGGCCTCCCAAAGTGTTGAGGTTACAGGCGTGAGCTACCATGCCTGGTCTGTAAACAAAGTTTTAAAGATGTTTTTAAAAGTTAATGGCAGGAACTCATTTTATCATCACAAGTTTGTGTGTGTGTGTGTGCGCGCGCGCACGCACTTGCCAGGCTCTAGAGTGCAGTGGCGTTCTCACAGCTCACTGCAGCCTTGACCCCGGGGGCTCAAGCCATCCTCCCACCTCACCCTCCTGAGTAGCTGGCACTACAGGTATGAGCCACCATGCCTGGATAATGTTTTTAAAATTTTTTTGTAGAGATGGTGTCTCGCTATGTTGCCCAGGCTGGCCTCAAACTTCTGGACGCAAGTGATCCTCCCACCTCAGCGTCCCAAAGTGCTGGGATTACAAGCATGAGCCACAGTGCCTGGCCAATCTTCACATGTAGCTTTTAGTGAGAACAATGTGTTTAAATATCACTTCTTTTTATCTTTTTTATTTGAATATCACTTCTTTAATACTTTGCGATAGAGTCATTCAAAGGACTGGGTCCAAGTTCGTTTTATTTTGATATAAGTAAGTGATTTTCTTAGCTGAAAAGCTATTGTTTAAATGCCATGCTTAAGTGTTTTGATTTACAGACATGTCTACTAGGTAGCATACTACAGGCAGCTATTTGTCTTCACAGGAAAAGTAATTGATTTGGGGACCTTTTTGCATAGAGAAAATGAGTAACTCATCAAGTTTCACAACACTTTTACTTCTAAGTGCTTTACCAGGAGATAAACAGCAGACCTCCATGTGGTATAAGAGATTTTCATGGTTACTCTCTGTCTCATGATGATGTATTGTTTTATAAAAGTAACTGTCTATTACATCGGCAGTACTTTGTGCCATTCTGCCTTTAATTTCTTCTGTTGCTAATGTAAGATGGAATGAATGAATGTCTTGTGTGATGGAATTTCAGTACACTTTCTACAGAAATTTGTTTTATTTCGGTTAAAGCAGCTACTTGCATAGCAGATAATGCTCTCACTGTTATTTCATAAAATGCTTTTATTAAAGAAGTCAAGAAGCTCCCTCCATGAAGACAGAGACCTTGTCTTTTTGTTCAGTGCTCTAGCTCTGAACCTACAAGAGTGCCTGTCGTGTAAGACATAATAAATTTTAACTGTGAAATGAATTTGTAGTTGAGAATGTTTTCCTGTAGATACTTTCTTACAAATTTTCATATTTCATTAAGAAGCCAGCAAAGACTATAAGCTAAGGTATATTAGAAAAATGGTTTGTACTACCAACTTTATGGCAAATTTCTCACACTAGATAATTTTTCTAATACTAGTTTCCCCACTCTGCCCTATGATCCTCAACAGCTTTTTGTGTGCTTATTTATACAGTAATTTGCACACAGAAAAATACATTTTGGTTTATGTCCATATGATTCCCCAAGTCATATTTCAGTCTTTCTGCCATGACAGGAAGGACAAGTCTTTCCTCATGGTATTTGGCTACTTATCTTACACTATTATATAAAATAAACCTTAAAAGAGACATCTGAACATACGTAGTTAAATTTAGTGAAGTTTTCCAAAGTACTGAATTGAAAATTATGACTTTAAACCTTGCTCGGGACAAAAAACCTACAACCTATAGACATATGATAGGTGAACAGTTCATTAAAGGACATTAAGAGGTGAGGATGGAGGGCATATAAGGGAGATAACATTCTAGCAAGAAGAAACAGCAAATGTAAAGACCTGTAGGCAGAGTATGCCTGGATTAGATGTGGCATGTGAAGTAAATACAGAATTCAAAGATGATTCCCTGGTTTTTGGCCTGAGCAATGGTAATTACAGGGTTGCCATCATTTAATATGGGAAACAAGTTTTAGGTATGAGGTTGTGAGATGAGGCTACATATAAATGAATGATTTGCTTTTATGGCTTCTGGATTTTGCATGGTGACAGGTTAAAACAAATCTCAGGTTAGCCAATTCTTGGTAGGAAACATGATTTTAACCCATTTATGCCATAGGTTGCAAAATTTTTTTTGTGTGATAGCCTTGAGCAGTTGGATATAAATAACTCACAAGCTTAGCATTCCAATAATGGAACACTATATTATATACGTTATATATTATATATTATATACATTAAGTTTGGGTTACCTGAAAAAATTACTTGAGACTATTTTGCTCTACCTTAATATGCTTAATTACTATGCTAACTCCCAGGCCCATCCTGTGGATTTCAAAAGTATATGTGGAAACATTGTGTACATTAGTGCGTGATCTCTGACACTTGAGGAACATAGATACCTAGAATATTGAGATAGTAAAAGGGAATTAGGGAGTCCTGAAGGCAAATATTCATACTAACAGGAAGAAGACACAGAAGTTTTTGATCACATACTTAGGTCTCCAGGCATCACTTGAGAGAATTTTTCTGAGAATGCTTTGTTTATTTTTTGGTGGGGGGTGGGTGACTGGGTCTTGCCCTGTCGCCCAGGCTCAGCTCACGGCAACCTCTGCCTTGCAGGCTCAGGCAATCCTCCCACCTCAGCTTCCCAAGTAGATGGGACTACAGGTGTGTGCCACCACACCTGGCTAATTTTTGTATTTTTTGTAGAGAGAGGGTCTCACCATGTTGCCCAGGCTGGTCTTGAACTCAGGAACTCAAGTCTTCCGCCTGCCTTGGCCTCCCAGAGTGTTGGGATTACAGGCCTGAGCCACTGTCCCTGGCCTTGAGAATGGTTTTTATGTTATGAACAATACAGGACAATGGTATCTGTCAAAATAGCTGCTATATATTACTTGTTTTCTCTACAACTATGTATATCTTCCTGTATGAGCTTTCTGTTTTGATAGTACGTTTATGTACTTGGAAATATGTGCATGCCAAATAGGCCCCACTGCTAGTTTCATACAGGTTATGCAGTAGGGTCACTTTCCATGGCTATTAACTTCTAGATGTTCTATTAAGAAACAGTGTGTGCTAAGAGCTGCTTTGGGTCGGGGGGAGGTGTGTGGTTATGGTGGGGAGTTCCCTTTCATACCTACTTTGGGATCACAGTGAACTGACATTGATCTTTGTGTATTTAAATTGTTTTCAATTCAGAGTAGCATTAATGTATACTCCTGCAGCCTTGTCCTAATGGTAGCAGTTTTAGCATTATTTTCTCTATATAGTGGGAGTTTACCTTACTGTCTTTGTCTTTTTGGGCTACTGTAACAGAATACCGTAAACTAGGTAGCTTATGAACAATAGAATTTATTTCTCACAGTCCAAGACTAAGGTGCCAGAAGATTCAGTGTCTGGTGAAGGTCCCTGCTGTGGTTCATAGATGGTGTCTTCTAGCTGTATCTACACATGGTGGAATAGGGGGTGAAGGATCTCTCTCAAGCCTCTTTTATAAGGACACTAATCCCATTCATGAGAGCTGTGCCTTTATGACCTAATCACCTCCCAAAGGGCTTCCCTCCTGATATTGTGACGTTAGGGGTCAGGATTTCAATATATCTCTTGTAGGGGGACACAAACATTCAAACCATAGCACTCACATCATTAAAAATTCAATCAAGGCTGGGCGTGGTGGCTCACACCTGTACTCCCAGCACTTTGGGAGGCCGAGGTGGGTGCATCACCTGAGGTCAGGAGCTTGAGACCTAGGAAGGAGAATCACTTGAACCTGGGAGGCGGAGGTTGCAGTGAGCCCAGATCGCACCATTGCACTTCGGCCTGGGCCACAGAGTGAAACTCTGTCTCAAACAACAACAACAAAAACCTCAAACAAAATCAAACAAAATCTATCCGTGGCGTTCTGGTAGGACCATGGGTACTGAAGGTTCATAGGGCTTGTTTTGTCTAATGCCTGCAGAAGTCTCTTATACTGCCATGTAAGTTCTGGGAGGACATTGCTTCTTAGAGACCATTTTCATTAAAATTAAAATCTAATCCAGCATGTAGCCTTCATCATTAATCCATTGTTTTAGTAAGCTTTGTTTTTGTTTTCCAGCTTCTTATGTACCGGTAGCTTTGTTAAATAGTGGAAAGTGTAACAATTCCTAAAAAATCCAGTGGAAAGGAAAGTATAGCAAAACCCGGTGGAAAGTGTAGCAATTTCTGAAGCTACTACATCAGCTACTACTTGCAACAAAGAAAGGCACTTGTATATTTTCAGCCTTTTTTCTTAAAATATTCACCTGTTGCTAAGGTTTTTTTCTTTAATCATGAAAGGTTTATTTCCAGTTGCTTCAAAACATTAATATGCTAGGAAAAATTGTCTATGAAGTAACATGATTTTCATTTATGTCAACCTCATTCCCCTATGCTGCCTATGCAGCAGATCACAGCAAGGAAACATACATTGTATCAGAACAAACTTTTTGTTTTGATTTGATTTGTTAAATGCATGCAGAGGCAGGTATTTGTTTTTGGGATCAGAGAGACCAGGCTTTGAATTCTGGTTCTGCCACTTAAATGTCTCTTCCTGCAAGTTACTTCACAACTTTAACCTCAGTTTGTGTGTCTATAAAATGTAATTATTATGCCTATCTCATAGGTTTGGTAGTAAATAAGTGAGATAATACATTTAAAATATTAGACAACCTTTTTATACTTCAAATATACTAATAAATCTTATTTGCAATTGTTCTTATAATTCACAGTATTCTTTTTTTTTTTTTTTTTGACAGAGTCTTGCTCTGTCACACCCAAGCTGGTGTGTAGTGGTGCGATCTTGGCTCACTGCAACCTCTGCCTCCTGGGTTCAAGCAATTCTCCTGCCTCAGCCTCCCGAGTAGCTGGGATTACAGGCACCCACCACCACGCCTGGCTAATTTTTTTGTATTTTTAGTAGAGATGGGGTTTCACCATGTTGGTCAGGCTGGTCTTGAATTCCTGGACCTCAGGTGATCTGCCTGCCTTGGCCTCCCAAAGTGCTGGGATTACAGTTGTAAGCTACTGTGCCCTGCCACAGTATTCTTTTGTTTTTTTGTTTGTTTGTTTTTGGAGACAGAGTCTCGCTCTGTCCGCCCAGGCTGGAGTGCAGTGGCGTGATCTCGGCTCACTGCAAGCTCTGCCTCCCGGGTTCACGCCATTCTCCTGCCTCAGCCTCCCGAGTAGCTGGGACTACAGGCGCGTGCCACCATGCCCGGCTAATTTTTTGTATTTTTTAGTAGAGACGGGGTTTCACCATGTTAGCCAGGATGGTCTCGATCTCCTGACCTCGTGATCCACCCGCCTCGGCCTCCCAAAGTGCTGGGATTACAGGCCTGAGCCACCCCGCCCGGCCATATTCTTTAGATCATGAGATAATTTATACAGCCACCGGGGACTGTTTTCAGCAAGCTTAATGTTTTCATGTTACTTTTATATCCTGATTTTATTTAAATACAAAATATTTACTAGAAGGCAGGATTTTTGTTTCACCATCAAATATAGATCACAAGGAAAACATAAAAAATGTAGTAAATTAGCAATTTGTATTTTTATTTATTGGCAAAAAGATTTCTGTTTTTTTTTTTTTTTTTTTGATACGGAGTCTTGCTCTGTTACCCAGGCAGTGCAGTGGTATGATCTCAGCTTATTGCCACCTCCACTTCCTGGGTTCAACCGATTCTCCTGCTTCAGCCTCCCAGGTAGCTGGGACTACAGGCTGCTGCCACCACATCCAGCTAATTTTTGTATTTTTAGTAGAGACCGGGTTTCTCCGTGTTGGCCAGGCTGGTCATGAACTCCTGACCTCAAATGATCGGGTCGCCTTGGCCTCCCAAAGTGCTGCAGTTACAGGCATGAGCCACATGCCTGGCCGGCAAAGAGATTTTACGTGGGAAACTGATCAAATAATTACAATATACAGAAACTGTAATTGTATTTAGATTATTGTGATGTAAAGGGGATACAGGCTTTTTTCCTTTGGGTACAAATAGAGATGGACTGTTTTCTATTTAAATACCATTAAAAATTGTTATACTTTTCTACTTTGCCTGTGACATGTAGTGGTTTTTCAGGCTTATATTCTCTCTTCCAGCTCAAAGCTCTCATTTAATGAAATAATTTGAAATAAAACTTGATTTAAAACTTGTTTTTCTTATTTGATTTAATATTGTCTCCTGCCGTATTTTTTTGGTCTTGTTTTCTCTTGTATAGGGTAGAGGGCAGTGGTGAGATCATGGCTCACAGCAGCCTCAACCTCCTAGACTCAAGCAGTCTTCCTACCTAAGCCACTGCCCACCTCCCCCTAATCCCCCAGGAGCTGGGACTATAGGTGTGTACCATATGGCCCGACTATATATATATTTTATTTTTTGTTGCATAGGCTGTGTACTAACATTTTTATTCTGAAGTTAAATACATCCCATCTGTGAACTTGTCAAACATCATGCACTGAACTATTTTAAATTCTACTCAGGAGACATTTCTTAAAAACCTATTATAAGGCTAAGTGTGGTAGCTCACACCTGTAATCTCACAAGGCCAAGGTAGGATTGCATGTGTCCAGGAATTTGAGACCATCCTGGGCAACATAGCAAGACTTCATCTCTACCAAAAAAAAAAAAAAAAAAATGGGTGTGGGGGTGCATGTCTGTAGTCCCAGCCACACAGGAGGATCCCTTGAGCCCCAGGAGTTCAGGGCTGCAGTGGGCTATGATCTGTGCTACTGCACTCCAGCCTGGGCAACAGAGCAAGACCCCATCTCTTAAAACATCAAAACCCTAACCCCTCTCCTGCCAACAAAAAAGCCTCATTAACAGATAAGAACTTTGAACACCTTGAGTTATATAAAACGTAAGTGAAGACAGTCTGGCCCTTGATAGTTTGTGCCCCACTGGGGACTGCAGGTACACTCACACAAACTGTAAGGAAGAACACCATAGCTCATGTAACAGGCATTTCCCAAGGAGCATTGAGGTACACAAGAAGAGGGGATGGTTAATTCAGACTGGGGATTCCAGTGAAAGCTTCAGGAAGGGATTTCTTCTTCCACCTCTCAGTTTTAAACTTTTTAACTATGTTAGAGGAAGATGAATTCTGGAAATTTGGGGGCAAGAGATTTTGTTAAGGAATACCTGAGTACTGACTGTCCTCTGACCCTCCTGCCAATTCAGGATGTGGTTCTTGTTAGAGATGAATTTGTTCAAAAACCACGAGTGCCCATGTTGGTAAACATTCCTTTAACTGGAAGAAAACAGAACATCAATAGAAAGGTAAGCCTGAGTAGAGTCCCAGTAAGAATGTGGCTATTTTCTCACCTCTGCTAGAGCTGGACCTGCAGAGTGTGTCACTGGCAGCTGTGAGTACTTTTAGCTAGGGAGCTTGTGGCCTAGGTAAGCCTGCCAAGACAGGCTGCACATGCACTTGGGCTCTGTGTAGCTACTGCCATTCAGCTTAAGTTTTGTATCAGTAGCTAAGTAGAGTCAGAGCTAGATCAGGCCAAATAGACTGGGAGTGAGAAAGTAGGAGAGTGAATCTGTTTAGCTTCTTCCTGTCTGTTTGTAACCCATTTGAAATGTTGCACAAATTTCGTTTCCTTCCCCAGAGATAACCACTGTTACAAATTTGAATATATTCTCCCAGACAAATTCTTTGTGTACTTAAAAATACATAAAAGTGTATAAATACAGTTTGGGTTTTCTTTATCTTTACTTTTAAAATTTATAATTCTTCTTTAGTTCTTTTCTTATCAGTGTATATTTAGGGTTGCCCCCCTCATAATTTTGTGTAGTATTCCATATCCATAATATAGTTGTAACAATATATTTAGCCAGTTCCCATTTGGTGCCCAACTAGATGTTTTTCTCTTTTAGAAACAACACTGCAGTGAATATCTTCGTGTCCTGTATGTTTGAGTATTTTTGTAGGACCAGACACTTAGAAGTGAAATTGCTAGTTGCAAAGATATGTGCAGTTATACTTTTGATAGATACTGCCAAGTTGTTCTTATGTTTCTTTTATCATATAGCAGTGTCTGAGAATCGAATAGATATCATTCGAAGTTGGAAGGAAGAGGATTCCACATAGAGAAGTGTGCATACAAGCATGGAGGTAGCAGAGCCTGGTGGGGATGGTGAGGAAAAAGGGAGTAAAGAATCTGGTGTAGAGTATGGGAAGCAGAAGGGTCTTGTGAAGGTGAGCCCAAAAGGGTAGGTTAGATCAGACAAAAAAGTATTTTTTAATGTTTTGCTTAGAACTTTAAACTTGAAGAAACAGTGGAGCCCTTTGTAAAGGTTTTAAAACTAGAGCTTTATTTCAAGAAAATAGCTAGTGATAATTGTGAAGGCTAGGCTTTTGAGGATAGGTGATTGACTATAGGACTGTTACAGTGATCCTGTGCTGTAAGGAAGAACTTAATGAAGGCCGAGGCATTAGAAATAAAAGAAAGGCATCAAACTCAAGTAGTGTTACAGAGTTAAAATCAGTTTGTAAGACTTGGCTTAGGATGGGAAGGAAAATGGTTGAATGTTGTGGCTGTCTGGGAGGATGAGTAGTGCCACTTAACGAAGATAGAAATAGGTTCGATTTATAAAACAAAGGAAATATTTAGAAAATTTGTCAAAATATAAGGAAAAAAGTAAGTTACTATCCACTATTTGTGTATCTCATCAGGTGTGTTCAGTTTATTTATTGTAGCAAAATATACATAAATAAAATTTACCATTTAAACAATTTTAAATTGTACAGTTTAGTGGTAGTAAGTACATTCACGGTGCTATGCAACTATCACTACCATCCATCTCCACAGCTGTTTTCATCTGCCTGAACTGAAACTCCTAACCCATTAAATAATAACTCCCCATTGCCCCCAGGTCCCTGGTAACCACCATTCTTTTTGTCTCTATGAATTTGACTACTCTAGGCACTTCATGTAAGTGGAATCATGTAGTGTTTGTCTTTTTGCGACTGGCTTACTTCACTTACCATAATGTCTTCAAGGTTCATCCATGTAGCGTTGTCAGAATTTTGTTTCTTTTTAAAGCAGAATAGTATTCCATTCTATGCATATACCACATTTAAAATCCACTCATAAGTAACTTGGGTTACTTATGCTCGGGTGTTTTTTGTATGTTTTTGAGGGGGTATTCGTGTGTGTGTGTGTGTGTGTGTGTGTGTGTGTATTTAATGATCAGAGAGTGAATTGCCTAGTTAATAAAGAATGAATATAATAAAATTGAGTTTGATAAAACTCTACAAACCACTGCACTCTTATATAGATCCATTGTTACAAAATAGTGTTGGTTGTTAAAAGGATGATTACAGAAGACCATACGTTGTACTGTGCAAATATATCATGACCATTGGAAAAATAGCATAAAATATGTATCCTACTAGTAGTAAGTACCATAATGGTCAAAGGTTTAGTATAAAGTTAATAGAAGACCTGAGATTCTTAATATATGGTAATTGGATTACCATAAGGAAGTGTAATAGGCACAAAATTACGTGCACTTTGAAGTGTCCAAAACAGTGAAGGTGTAATATATGTTCTAGTCTTTGAGTTCCCACACAGGTGACTTTACTAACATTTCTTTTTGTATTTTAAAAATAGTCCACTCAGTCCAGGTGCAGTGCCTCATGCCTATAAGCCCAGCAGTTTGGGAGGCCAAGGTAGGAGGATCACTTGAGGCCAGGGGTTTGAGACCAGCCTGGCAGCATAGCAAGACCCCATCTCTGCAAAAAAAAAAAAAAAAAAAAAAAGTTAGTGGGGTACGTGGTGCATGCCTATAGTTCCAGCTACTCAGGAGGCTGAGGCATGAGGATTACTTGAGCCCAGGAGGTTGAGGCTGCAGTGAGCCATAATTGTGCCACTGCACTACAGCCTGGGTAACAAAGCAAGATCTTGTCTCTTAAAAAAAAAAAAAAGTCCATTCATTTATTCAGGTTTGAGGCAGTGGGTTCACTGCTGCCCATTATCCCAGTTCACTGTGTCATCATTATGTTCCAGATATTGTTCTAAGTGCCTTACATGTATTAAGTCTTTTCCCCCTTCCACTGTTTTTATCCCAGTTTTTCAAAAGGAGAAAGTAAGTCACCTAGAAGTTAAGTAACTTGCCTGAAGTCTCATAGCTAGTGAGTAGAGGATCTAGGAATCAGATCCAGACAATCTTCTCTTAAGCTTTGCTGCCACTCTTAACACCTTTGTCAAGGTGCTGTCATAAGTGCTGGAGGTACAGGAATGTACACATCTGAAAATTTTTCTTGATCTCACGGAACGTACATATTTATATTTATTAAATGTATTTTAAAATTTCTGTCCTGATTAAAATGTATAAATAGACATACAAAAATATGTAGGAAAATACTGTATGTAGTTAGGTAATCATATGTCATTAACATATTACCATGTTATTTCAGTAATATTTAACGAACGTTTCCATTGTATGGGTGTGTCATAATTTAACCATTCCCCTGTGTTGGAAAGAAATACCCAAACCTTTCCTAATAATCAGTATTGCAATGACCATTATAACACCTTCATTTTTTTTTTTTTTTTTTTTAACATTTTGTTGTATTTACTTTATGGAGCGGCTGTGTGTCCAGTATGTCCGACCCTCTTCCTCGGTTCTGGGCTCGGGTGGGGGTTCCCTTGGCAAACTGCAGGCCCCTGGCTGGGACGCCCCTGCTGCCGGCGCCGGCAGCCTCGAGGCCTTCCCTGCTTGCGCGGTGCGCTCCTCGGGGTCGGCACAGGCATAGCCCCGGGGGACGTGAGGTTCCCGAGTGCTCTCCCACCCCGCCGACAGGAGGGATGGTGGCCGAGCGGGCCGGGGCGGGCGTGGCGTGGGTGTGCCAGGAGCTCCGCGGTTGCCGCGAAGCGAGCTGGAGCTGACCCTCGGCGTCCCGTGAGCACCCCGCGGATCAACACCTTCATTGTTGTCGTTTCAGATTATTATATGAGGCTGTTTAGAAAAACATTAGTTATTGGCATCTGTTTCTAACTACTTTCCTGAAGTTTATGCTTTAGCAGTAGTTTGCTAGCAGTTATTTGATCTCATAATTTCATAAATATTGTGTGTTGTAAATTCAGTAGTCAAAACCAAAACAAAATAATCAGAATTTAGTCATCAAAAAAGTGGGCCTTATTTATGTTAATTTAATTTTTCTGCTTTCAGAGCCTTTGCTCTCCTTGATACTGGCATCACAGTGTATTTTTAGTGTATTAATATATACAAAGTTTTGAATTATAAATGTGAATTTTGATGTAAATACAATTCTCAAAATATTAATATAATCCACCAAATAAGTTAATTTTAAAATGGAAAATTGGATATACCAAAAATCATTTTAGATTCTTAATATCATTTAGCGGTGAATGTGTGTTTTTCCCTATCCTGCCTGGAAAAGCCATTCCTAAATATTTTCTTCCATTCATTCAACAAATATTTGTGTACCTACTGTGTTTAATGGCATATCAGATATACCTGCCATCATGAACTTTCTATATTTAGCTTATCAATCATATATTCGAAGTACAGTCGTAACATTTTCACATATTTAGTAGTTTCTAGTGCCTATTGTGTTGCGGGCTTTGGTGGTAAAGTGATGATAGGTTTACAGAGATGAAAGACAAAAGTTATACCCTTGGGACCTCACAGCATAAAGGAAGGAGACTGTAGTAACTAGCATGGAAGCGGAATGTTTTCTAGACAGTTTCATAGGTGCTTTTTTTTTTTTTTTTGAGACAGAGTCTCACTTTGTCACCCAGGCTGGAGTGTAGTTGTGTGATCTCAGCTCACTGCAACCTCTGCTTCCCAGGTCCTGCCTCAGCCTCCTGAGTAGCTGGGACTACAGGTGCGCGTCACTATGACCAGCTAATGTTTGGGTTTTTTTTATTTTTTTTTTCTTTTGGTATTTTTAGTAGAGATAGGGTTTCACCATGTTGGCCAGGCTGGTCTCAAACTCCTGACCTCAGGTGATCCACCCACCTTGGCCTCCCAAAGTGCTGGGATTATAGGCGTGAGCCACCGCTCCCGGCCTCATAGGGTTTTTAATACACATTACTGAAGATAAAAATAGAGTGCAACTAGATAAAATAAAGATTTGTAGTTCTGTGAAGGATACATTTGTCTGGAGGAGCAGAGTGTAGGAAACAATGTGATATCCTTTCAGGAGTGAGTGTGTGTGCGTGTGTGTGTGTGTGTGTGTGTCACATTCAGAGCCATTAGGTTGTTTTAAGGAGGAATGGGAAGGGGCCAGAGGGATGGACTAATGGGCTAAAATCATCAGTTTGAAAAGACGGTTGTGGCTACAGGCAGAGATTTCACTGGATCAGGTCTCTTGTTTCTGTTCTTCATTAGTTTCTTCCCACCTACTCTGGTAGAGTTCTTTCACTATATATAATTCTGTCGCCATTATCAGCTTTCTGAAGAGTGACCTACATTTTATAGTCTGCATTCCCCACAATCTACAGTAAATCTAAATCTTAAAAATACATAATTTTTTCTGACAGTGGATTGAAAGATTTTCATCAGTTACATCTACTCTTTCAACCAGGAAATAGTTTCATTTTCTCCTTAGCACTTACTTTTTAGCCCTAGCTGGGAAACTTTCATCTTTATTCTTTACACAAGCTGTTCCACATGCCTAGAGTGGAACAGCTTGTGTAAAGCTGTTTTCATCTACGTCTTTCCTAGGAAGCTCTTTTTATGGCTTGCGTGTATTAAAAATTTGCCTTATCAGTCATCTTAAAGTAATTTAAATTGCTTTATGACAGTAAATGAATATATTTATTGATCAGTTATCAGTTTTACTTTGTGTAGCTTGAGTGTTCTTTCTTGTAGCTACATGATGCCACACTTGTGGTAAAAGCAGTGTGAATTCTTAGTAGATTTAAAATGTGATACATACACTTCTTACTATACCATTTCTAAAAATGAAATATTTTTTATGTTTTTATGTAAGAAAGCTGGGGTGGGGTTAGGAGGAAAGGAACAGATACCTGCCAAGTCAATCAGAGAATGGCGGTAAAACTTGATGGTTAGCCGTCTGTCTGTTCATTTTTATGAATGCCACTATAGAAGTAATCTTTAGAAACTGGAGCTGTTTTCAGTTTAATGACGTCCATGGAATTAACCGGATTCATTAATAACGGCATCAGGAAGAGCATTGTTTGAAGGATCCTCTGCCTAGTCTATTAATCAGTTTCCTTTTAGACAGGTGTACAGGTGATTTCTGGCCCTCATTCACAGAATAGAATAGTGGTCGTTGAGAAGCAGACCTAGCACCTAGCAAGTCTTCAGACCAGTCTTTTAAGTAATTTTTATTCCCTGAGAAGAAAATTGAAGAAACAATTGGGGCAAAGAGATTTGTGGGGTTTTACTAGAAAGATCTCGATAAAGCAAGGACTGTCACTCTATTCCTCATTCATATGAGGGTTCACATTAAAAATGACAGTGTTACACAGGGTAGCAGCAGCTTTTTTGTTTTTCTTAGTCATGGCAGCAGTTAACACAGTGCACTAGCAGTTTAACATACCAACACTTAAGGCCTTATTTTTTGTTTTTGTTTTTAAGTCATTGAAATTATGAGACTATCATTCAAATGGAAGCATTATAGTTCTTCGGAACCATTATGATCTCAAAACGAAAGGAGAATGATACAGATACACTGGCTGAGGTGTTTTGAGGTGCATCGAAGTGTTCCAAGCTGTGACTTACCTTAACATGTTCTTGAAGTACCATGGCGTGGATTAAAAGGTATGCTTTAGAAATCTCCCAGTGACCCCAAGGTCATGGATAGAATGAACACTCATGATTCTGTATTTAGTTAATGCATATTTAAGATATTCTGTATTTAGTTATTACATATTTAAGTTATATAACTTTTGATTATAGATGTGGTTATGGATTTATGGTAGTATTTTTTGTTACAAAAACCCATGGATTTTCTTTTTCCTTTATGATACATGGTTGTGGAGGATACTGTAAGTATTTTCCCTAAGTTTTTATAGTAATGGGCTGTAATTTCATTCACCAAATAGTTTAGGGATTATTCATGTATTACTCTGTAATTATCTTTTACATCATAGACTAGTTCTCTACAGAACTGTCATTTTATGGTAGCCTGTACAGGAAATAGTTGGATGAAGTCTTCAGTTGGGTTACTAATTTGATCAAACAAAACAATTTTTATTTGGGCCATTTAGTACAGTTTTTTTCTTTTCCAAAGAATTTTCACTTAAAGGATAATGAGTTATTTATTTATTTTTTATTTTTATTTCTTTTTGAGATGGAGTCTTGCTCTGTCGTCTGAGCTGGAGTGCAGTGGCACTATCTCGGCTCAGTGCAACCTCCACTTCCTGGGTTCAACCAATTCTTCTGCCTCAGCTTCCTGAGTAGCTGGAACTATAGGCACTCACCACTATACCTGGCTAGTTTTCGTATTTTTAGTAGAGACAGGGTTTCACCATATTGGCCAGGCCGGTCTCGAACTCCTGACCTCGTGATCCACCTGCTTCGGCCTCCGAAAGTGCTGGGACTACAGGCGTGAGCCACTGTGCCCAGCCTATTATTTATTTTTTTGTTGAGACCGATTCTTGCTCTGTTGTCCGGGCTGGAGTGCAGTGGCACGATCTTGGCTCACTGCAGCCTCTGCCTCCTGGGTTCAAGCAATTCTCCTGTCTCAGCCTTCCGAGTAGCTGGGACTACAGGTGCCCGCCACCACGCCCTGCTCATTTTTGTATTTTTAGTAGAGACGGGTTGTCACCATATTTGTCAGGCTGGTCTCGAACTCCTGACCTCAGGTGATCTGCCTGCCTCAGCATCCCAAAGTGCTGGGATTACAGGCATGAGCCACCACACCTGGCCAAAGATGAGTAATTTAAAAAATTAATATTGTGATTATTGTTTATTTAACAATGTATGTATGCAGTTATTCATGTGTTTGTGGTATATAGTTTTGCTGTTACTTGTGGTTACTAGTATAGTAATTCTAGTCTTCGTAATACCTACTTAATCAAAAACCTTTTAAGTTTTTATTTTTATAAAATTTTGAGTGATGTAATGAAAATTTTCTTAATTATATGAAATCTTGGAAACCTGATTTTCATACTGTGTGTTTGGTATTAAATGTTCTTTTTAAAGAGTAGTAGAAGTGAGTGAAGAATGCTGAATTCATTAATGTTACATCAGATTCAGAACTCTCTTTTAGGTAATAAAAGAAACAATATTGGGAAGACAGGTTTAAATAAATCATGGGTAGATAAGTGTAATAGAAATACACTGGTATAGTCCATGATTTTTGTCAGTTAGTCTACCTTAATGTTAAAATCCTTTTGGTATGTTAGCAGTTATATTCTTAATGGAATTTAGTTGTTAAAGTAAGATGAAACTGCTTTATATTAAACTCTAGTCTATAACAGTGATCTAATCAAGTTCCAAGATAGAATCATCTGCTTATTAGCCAAGGCAATCAATTAGTTCAATCAGGAATTTTATGTCTGATGGGACAGAATAGTATCCACCCTCCAAAAAGATATTCTTGGACATAATGGTTTCAGGATAGTGTTCAATGTGTTGTTTACAAAATTGTTTCTTTATAATACTTGCTATCTCAACTTTAACATTTCTTTTTGGGGTAGCACTTGAGAATCCATTTGTTTTGTTTTAACTCCGCAGAGGTTTTTGATGTACAGCTAGATTGGGAAGTCCTGTTCTATTTGGAAGACTTTTTTTTTTTTTTCTTTTTCATTTTCTTTTTTTTTTTTTTTTCTTGAAATGGAGTCTTGCTCTGTTGCTCAGGCTGGAGTGCAATTGTGTGATCTCGGCTCACTGCAACCTCTACCTCCCGGTTCAAGCAATTCTCCTGCCTCAGCCTCCCCAGTAGCTGGGATTACAGGCGCGAGCCACCATGCCCAGCTAATTTTTTGTATTTTTAGTAGAGACGGGGTTTCGCTATGTTGGCCAGGCTGGTCTCGAACTCCTGATCTGCCCATGTCGGCCTCCCGAAGTGCTGGGATTATAGGTGTGAGCCACCGTGCCCGGCCTGGAAGTCTTTATAACTTTGTGGTTAAGAGCTTACTTAGATCCTGGGGTCACCTCACCTGCATTTCAAATCTAATCCTTCCCTTATTATTGTGACAAGTTCTAAGAGTGACTTGAAGAAACCCATAAATTTATATATTAGAAAAATAAGCATATTGTTATATAATTATATAATATGATTTATATATAGATAATTATATATATACACACAGTGCAGGTTTGGGCATGTAGGAAGCCAGTGTCAGATTAAGTGTTGATGATTATTAAATGCCAGATTAGATTTTTTTTTGTAGAGGGTACGCTATTACATTTTTCTTACCCTGACTGAGTCTTGTACTCTTCTATGCTATTCCTAGAGTAAAATAAGCCATCACTATTTGACTGATGTTTTCAATTTTTTGGGCTTTTTCTCATCAGTGAAAGAAGGTGGCCACTGGAGTCTGCTACTTTATCCATGATCATCTTATCCTGCTGGGGTGATGTGTGTGTTTTCTAAAGCTGTGTTTTTCAAATTGCAGGCTTCAGCACATTCATGAGTGGGTCAAGAAATAAATTCAGTGGGTTATGACCAGCATTAAAGCATGTATTAGCATAGAAAATAAAATATCAGTGCATTGAATATAGAAAAGAATGTATTTCTTGAAACTTCTGTTTAGTTTTATCAAAAGATTGAAATAAAATATATCCACATTTATGTGGATATTGTTTAGTTCCACTAAGTGTATGTTTCCCTTAGTCATAGACATCCTTTAAAAGTGGTATTAGTTTTATATTATTTTGCCTTCTGAGAGGAAGTGACCAGCATAAGTTTCAGTATGCTTTCTAATGGTATGCCATATCCTCTACATTACTTTCAAGGGTCCTCCTACCATCTTTTACTTTTATTTTTTGAAGTAAAGGTTGTTAGAGAGTATCTAAGGAATAGAGAGTAGAAGAACATAGCAGCAGTGGCTTTTGAGTAACATTAACCAAGGCTGTTTTATTAAGTAGAGTGATGTAGTATCTTGCCCCTTGGCATGTATTGTGATGGTTATCAACTCATAGATCAGTGGTTTTCAAACTGCCAGTGGTAGCACACTCTGGAATCAATTTAGCAAGTTGCTGCCTCCCGTGAACCCCCTACCCCCTAATGAAACAGAAAAGAACAAAATAGAAAATATTATGAATGTATCACACAATATATACCTTTCTAAAACTTCTGTGTCAGTGGCATGTGTATGTATGGGATTGCAGAGACCTAATTTCTAGTGATTATCAACTGGAAAACTATGAAACTCAGTCTAATAAATTCATATTGCCAAGCTGACCTCAGCCACAAAAGCTTCAGATATTTAAGACAAATATTACCAGATCAGTAGTTTTTTTTTGTTTTGTTTTGTTTTGTTTTGTTTATCTCTGATGGTAGAGAACAGTTAGTTTGCTATAAAACTTTGGTTTTGTTTTTTTGTTGCTATATTGTTTTGTGATGTGTATGTGTTTGTTTGCCCTGGTAAATATATATGTGTATTTATTTTTATTTATTTTTTTGAGACCAAGTCTTGCTCTGTCACCCAGGCTGGAGGACAGTGACATGATCTCAGCTCTACTGCAACCTCCGCCTCCTGGATTCAAGTGATTCTTCTGCCCCAGCCTCCTGAGTAGCTGGGACTACAGGCGCGTGCCATCATGCCTAATTTTTTGTATTTTTAGTAGAGACGGGGTTTCACCGTGTTAGCCAGGATGGCCTCAATCTCCTGAAATCGTGATCTGCCTGCCTCGGCTTCCCAAAGTGCTGGGATTACAGGCATGAGCCACCGCCCCCAGTCTGTCTTGGTAAATATTTAAAGGTTCATACATAGGAAATTTACAATACATCCTAGTTGTGGAAGGATTTACCCTTGCTTTGCATTGATGTAAGAGACTCATGCAGTTTAAAAAAAAATACAAATAGGCCGGGCGTCGTGTTTCACGCCTGTAATCCCAGCACTTTGGGAGTCCGAGGCAGGTGGATCACAAGGTCACCAGTTTGAGACCAGCCTGGCCAATATGGTGAAACCTCATCTCTACTAAAAATACAAAAATTAGCCAGGCATGGTGGCAGGCGCCTGTAATCCCAGCTACTCGGGAGGCTGAGGCAGGAGAATCTCTTGAACCTTGGAGGTGGAGGTTGCAGTGAGCTGAGGTCGCGCCACTGCACTTCAGCCTGGGCGACAGTTGTGAGACTCTGTTTCAAAAAAATAAATTAATTAATAAAATAAAAAGAAAATACAAATAAAATGATGATGCACGCTAAAACCTATCAGTTCAGGCCAAGTGCAGTTGCTCACGCCTGTAATCCCAGCACTTTGGGAAGCCGAGGTGGGCAGACCACCTGGGGTCAGGAGTTCAAGACCAGCCTGGCCAACATGGGAAAACCCCATCTCACTAGAAATCCAAAAATTAACCAGATGCAGTTAATCTCAACTACTTGGGAGGCTGAGGCAGGAGAATTACTGGAATCTAGCACACGGAGGTTGCAGTGAGCCAAGATCATGGCACTACACTCCAGCCTGGGCAACAGAGCAAGACTCTTGTCTCAAAAAAATAAAAAATAAAACCTCTCAGTTTCACTTTTTATATGTTAGGACTTGTTTGTATAATAGGTGCTTCTTCAATTCAGAAGGCAAATATAAAATTTAAAGTTGCAAAAAATTAAGCATAAATCCAATACATTACAAATATTGAAGGCAGTTAAATGTTCAAATGTTAAAGCTTCTGTTTTTGTGAAGATTTCAGTAACATTTTAAATTTTATTTTTCTTGGATTAGTTCCTGTGCCTACTGCAGTGTCCTCATAACAGCAGATGTTTGCTTTATAGATTTATTGAGGATGATCACAGAGTTTCTGGTGAATATTTTAAAATAAATAAGGCTTCAAAGCAGGGTGGTATCAGCATATGTATATTTTAAGATTGTCTAAAATATAGTTTCTTTCTCCTTAGAAAACAGTGAAAAGATGAAGACTTCTGGTAAATTGTTTCACAGCAGTGGAATTTGTACATTAGTTTTCTACACTTGGGAGTTGAAAAATGGAAGAATTATTTGCCAAAAGAGGAGGACAAAAGATAATATGCATAATTCATCTTTTTCTGCAAGTTCTTGGAAATTTAGTCAAAGTACATAGTTCAGTTCTCTGAATTGGGCATGATATGCTCTTCAGAAATCACGTTTTGAAATTACAGAAGATAAATAACCTCTCCCAATCAGTGTGTTAACTACCCTGATGATGGTTGCTTGTCTTTGTACAGATGTGTGCAGGCATACATCTTTAGTGGTGGAGGCAGTAAATGAAAACATATGGATTCAGAGTATGGAAGAATTGAATTCATTTTTTTCTGTTGCTTTGTTTCACCAGATTCCCCCTATTCCACATTAACCCCTTGTCTTCTCCCAGATTATCCAACTCTTCCTACTCTTTTCCATAGCGTTGTTTTGGCTTTTTGGCATTGTAAGAGGATTGCTTTTTTTCCCCCTTAAGTTATGTTTACTCACTTCATTGTCACTGCTTTCCACCTCATACTGGTTATCCTGTTGGAAGCACGAGGTTTTGTGTTGTCTCTCTGTGGAATTTGTTTCTTCAAAGCTTTGTGTCTTTCCTTTGGTTGTCATCATGCATGATAGCAGCGTGTATTCTTTTTCTTTGGTAAATTTCTCCGCCTAGAGTGTACTTTAGAAGGAAACTAAACTGCATTCTAGTTTAGTTGGCCCCAAACTGAGATCAGTAGCCAGAGATGGCACCCAAGGGTGGTGAGGGGATTAAAAATGCCTGTAGAAGTGTTGGTGGCAGCAGCTAAGCAGCTAGATTAATCAAATGTGCATGAAATTTAACTTTAAATAAACTCCTTTGTTGTTGAATTTTCTGTGGAAAAACTAACTTGAGTGAGAAATTCTAGCCCTGGGGCAGGGATAGGCCAGAGATAAATGACACAAATATGCTTATAAAATGGGGGGTGACTGGGTGCAAGCAGAACACACTGAAAGCATTCATATTTGAAATAAACAGTCACTATCTCTGTAGGGAGCCAATTTTCAATCCTTGGTCTACTTTCCAAATCTGTTCTTTCCCCTACCCTCATTAGCAGATTTTGCTTATTTTGTTGACTCCTGTAACTCCATCCCCTGGGACAGTGAATAGTCATAACAGGTATTCAGCAAATATTAGCCAAATGAATGAACTTTTGATACTACTAGGTTTTTAAGACATGCATCTATCTTGTCATGGCAGAACAGGTCATACTCTTATTTACCAACCTCTTAATTTACAAACTGAGAGAATAGCTAGATATATAAGAAGGTAATCTTATTTTGAAATGATTTCAATTTCTAGAAATTTGTCATCACTGAACTCTTGTGAGGTGGGGATTGGTACATCTGAAGGCCAAGAATATCTGAGTGTGTTATGCTAACAATGAATCAATATTGCGCTTACAAGATTTCCCTTACCAAATGATTTACCCAGTCTTCACAATAGCTCTGCAGATTGCTAACAATTAACATTCCTATTTTACAGAGACGGAAGCTCTAGAATAACTATAAAAGTGTTGGGATTTTTTCTTTGTTTGTTTTTGTAGAAAAACCTGGATTTTGAGGAAGCAAAATGTGGAAAGAGTTTATGTAATAATTCACCAGATTTTTCTCACAGTGGTAGATATCCAAGTGTGAGATTATTTGATTGTGATCTATGCTCATATTCCACAGAAGAAAAGCTCTGTATTTCAACTAAAACATTTCCATATTTGGGGCTGACCAGATTTGGTTTGTTAGGAGGTGGACAGTTGCCCTTTTATGGTCACTAGATACTCCATTGCTCTCTTTTATTTCTCTTCAACTTGGTGGCTGTGACACTCCCTCAAACAATCTTTTCTTTCTCTTTTTTTTCACTGCTCTTTTGTACTCCAGTGTTCTCTGCTTTCCTCCCTCTCTCTTCCAACCTACCAGCCCCTTTCTCTCTCTTCTCCTCCCATTCCTCATTTACATGCAGCCTGAACAAACCAAAGAGTTTGCTGTACATTCTGCCTGTAAAAGAATAGTATGTGAACATTGCTTTTGAGTCAGCGAACTGGGCAGGTCAAGTGAGAAGTTATCTGACCAACAAGGATCAAGTCAGGAGGATGCTGGGAATAGCATAAATCTTAGATCTTAGGAGATTGTCCAAAAAGGAGAGAGCTGATCCAGGATGAGTAGTAGTTTTCAGAATAAAGGCCTTGTCAAATATAATAACTGGACCAGTGGTTTTAATTTTGGAGAAATGCTAGAACCAAACCAAAACATTGATAAATAATAGGAAAAATTAACAGTTAGAATGACTCCCTTTCAACTTGATTTTTGTTCCAAAGTTCAAATTTTTACTTAGAATTAAGGTTTTCTTTTCAATCTGAAATTCTTCTTTATATCCTGAGCTCCTAACATTTTAAAAGCACAGGTAATCAATTTGTTAACTAATAACATTATGTTTAATAATGTCATTA
This sequence comes from Homo sapiens, assembly GCF_000001405.40. Classification (NCBI taxonomy): domain Eukaryota; kingdom Metazoa; phylum Chordata; class Mammalia; order Primates; family Hominidae; genus Homo; species Homo sapiens. The sequence continues at coordinate 26,370,400 of NC_000004.12, forward strand.
TTTTCTTAAACACAGTGGTATATTATTGTTACTATAGTAAAGAATTGCCTGGGTGTAATTGCTGGAGATCTGAACATGGTGTATCACATTTTCCAATCAATTAGTTTTAGACTCAACAAAACTACATCAGGGAATTTGTAAGGTGTATTGAGAGACTCCCATTTAGATCTTGATACCACTTCTTTATAGAATCTTTCAAAAATGTGGATTATCACTTCCTTGAAGTGGCACCATGCTTCATTAAAGAACATTGCTTGTGGAGCAAGTAATAACAGTAAGCTATAGTGTTGTATCTTTGTAGGGCATTCTCCATAGGAAAGATAGTTCTATCAGTTTTAGCTACCTGAATTTGGTAAAATAGTTCCCTTTTCTCTCCATTGTAAAATTTGAAAAGTTAGGGTCTGGGTACACTGGCTCACGCCTGTAATCCCAGCACTTTGGGAGACCGAGGCCGGCAGATCACGAGATAAGGAGATCGAGACAATCCTTGCTAACACAGTTAAACCCCGTCTCCACTAAAAATACAAAAAATTAGCCGGGCGTGGTGGCGGACGCCTGTAGTCCCAGCTACTCTGGAGGCTGAGACAGGAGAATGGTGTGAACCTGGGAGACAGAGCTGGCAGTGAGCCGAGATTGCGCCACTGCACTCCAGCCTGGGCGACAGAGCGAGACTCCATCTCAAAAAAAAAAAAAAAAATTGAAAAGTTAATGTCAACTTACAATTTTTTTCTCCATCGTGGAAATTAACTTAAACATTACAGATCAGTTTTTTTAAATCATCATTTAACTGTGCTTTAATCATGTTAAATTGTAATTGATCTAAATAATAATGTAGTTTAATAGATAAAATTCCATAATAATCTTTTTGTTTTGGTTGCATGTGTTTTAACAGATGACTTGCTATTACAGTTTATTCATATAGTGAGCACCTACTGCATACAGATTTGTATTTGAGAACTCAATATTGTACACACATGAGTCATCTTGAACGTGAATAATACAAGCTTATAACTTTGGCCATATTTCTCTAATGGGCATGTATGCTATTAAGAAAAAATACTGCCCAGGATTAAAAGTTATAGCCTAAAATATTGAGTGTGCATTTCCAGTTTATTGTGGAAACTAGTTGGCATTTTTTTTTCTCAGCACAAATACAGTGGTATGACATTTTCTTCATTGCTAGGTTACTTAGTTATAATTCTTTAGGAGTCTGAATTTGAGTGATCTCTACAGCTGTTAACACAGATTTCCCTGGTTTATTTCACCTTATGCTATTGCTTCATATTCTCAAATTGGAATATTACAGTATTTCATCCTTGGGATTCAACAGTTTTGGTTTGCTGAGAAATCAATTACAGGTTAAGAAGTGATTTCTTTGAAACATTAAATAATGATAGGTGGTTTGTTTACTGGGAAAAGAGAATAAATGTTATCAGTGAATTGGGATAAAGTCATTATTTTGGAAAGGCAAAGAATATAAGTAGTTTATGGAACAGAATATGGCTTCCTTATTTGTTTTATATGTGGGGCTCATTATCTTTAACCTTTGTTGATCATTGTAGAGTCAGGAATGAGGGAAACCCTCACCTTGTGGCTTTCCGACCTTCGTTTTTCCTTTTTAAATTAGAAATAATGCTGCCTCTCAGGATTGTTAATGATACTTAAATGAGAATACACATAAGGAGATGTATTTTGTCTATTGCTGTCTCGTTTACTTTGCTATATGAAGCCAGTTGAGGAAGCTACAGGTATAAGTGGCAATGAGACTTCATCTAATCTTACAGATTTAGAGAATGGAGATAGAGAAGATAATTTGGAAATCCAGTTGATGGAATTTGTTAGTGAACTGCCTGTGGTGGAAGGCAAGATGAGGGAGGAGATCAGTAATACTAGTGCTGTAGACAGTAGAGACACCACATGACTTTAGGAAACATGCCTGTGCAGAAGTTGGTGAGAGGAGGAATATTAAGAATTAAATAGCTACAGTGGAGCTCATCTTTAAAGAAAAACTAGTCTCTTGTTTCTTAATTAAGCAATTTGACGTAGGGCGATTGACTAGACAGTTAACTAGTAAATTAACTGTAACACAACACCTTTGCAGCTTGTACAATTTGAGTTCATACATAGCATAGCAAAGTATCAAGTAAATACATAACATGAATGACTCAAAACTCTGAAAATCGTGTCCACTTCCTAGGGGCCTTGTTCTTGTCTTCTGCATTGCCACCCCGACTCACTCTCTCAAGGCTTTCCCTCCTATACTAGTGTTTCCATAAGTTACTGATGATGTGTACTTTAATCAGTGCTTGGTGATCTGGCCAGTCTCAATTCCAAACCTTTCCAAAGGCAAACATTGTCAGATGTTTGTAGAAGCATTAATGAGCTTGTAGTATTACCCAAGGCAAAGCAGCTTGCAGTTAGATCTTGCACCATCAAGCCTTGTGCTCCTGTGCTGTTTTTTTCCCTTTCAGAGCCTCATGGCCTCCTGTGAGGCTTGAGTGAGCAGATACTAGCTGGTGGGCCTGCTCTTTTGGTCCTAGCAATGCAGGAAGGCAACGTGACAGCTTAATGGCTCAGATACACGTTGGCAGAAAGCCAGTAAGCTTTGTATTGTGGTTAAGACCGCTTCTTCAAAGTGGTTTTCATTTTTACCACAAATGTAGGTTTGATCATTATAATGTAAGTTACAATTCAAAAGAAGAAATGTATTGCTTTGTATTAACACTCAAGCAAAAAAGGCATTTCCTTTTTCATGTAATGGTGTTACATAAAATGTTTTGGAAATCTCTTCTCCCCCATTCTGAACATAGGAATTTTGATTCCCATCATTTTATTTTAGTTTATTGCATTATTTTTAAACTCGTGTAGAATATCTACAATGTCCTATTTTATATGTGTTTAAAAGTGGCAATTGTCATCTTTAATTTTTTCCTTAGGGGCAGGCTTCTCTGAAGTAGCTTAACCCCTTATAAACCTGACTGATGGTCTTTCCTTTGTGCATTAGGCCTTATTCTGAAGGGCTCCATAAATGCTCTGGTCTCTGTTATTGAAAAGGAAAGATGCACTGCTGGATTCAAGTACATGAAAATACCAAACTGTGTGTCAAAGGCTTGGCTGCTAAGAAATTGGCCAAACATGGTTTGATGGAGGCTGGACTGGTACTGTGTCTGTGTAATTTCTACCAACAGAAAAAAGAACACAAAACCTCTTCATTAAATGGAACTCTATGTAGATTCATGTTCTTTTTCAATTTAGAAAAAAAGCGTTCTTTGCAGAATTCTGATTGATAGTGTAAGCCGTACATTCAGAAGACTGTCACAGTCCCTACTGCAATTGTAACATAGTGCTCTTGTGCAGGAAAAATGCAAGAGAAATTGTTTCAGCATCAGATTTATGACATACATATATGTGCACACACAAGTGTCTTTATGTGTGTATGTATGTAGTCAAGGTGTGGCACCCATAACAGATGTCTTTAGATTTCCTGAATTTTGTGTTTACAGCTTTATTTTTTACTTTTTTTTTTTTTTTTTTTTGGAGATGGAGTCTTGCTCTGTCACCCAGGCTGGAGTGCAGTGGCACGATCTTGGCTCACTGCAGCCTCCGCCTCCTGGGTTCAAGCGTTTCTCCTGCCTCAGCCTACTGAGTAGCTGGGCTTACAGGTGCCCGCCACCGGCTTACAGGCGCACACCACCATGTCCAGCTAATTTTTGTATTTTTAGTAGAGACGGAGTTTCATCATGTTGGCCAGGCTGGTCTCAAACTCCTGACCTCAGGTGATCCACTCGCCTCGGCCTTCCAAAGTGTTAGGACTACAGGCGTGAGCCACCATGCTCTGCCATGTTTACAGCTTTAGAAAACATTTTCTTACTTCTAGTAATCAAGGAAAAATTTACTCTTTACCCTTGCAAAATTTAGTCAGTACTGAAGGTTTGGGAAGGTAATGAAAGAAAGTTTCCTTTCAGATTTTTTGTTGCCTCCCTCACTCACACTAAATCAGTGCTATATCATAGAAGGTTTTAGGTCAGTTAGTGCACTTTACAATTCTGTCATAAAAATTCATATCCGGTCACCCTTTTCTTTTTTTTTTTTTCGAGATGGAATCTCGCTCTGTCACCAGGCTGGAGTGCAGTGGCACCATTTCGGCTCACTGCAACCTCCATCCCCCAGGGTTCAAGCAATTCTCCTGCCTCAGCCTCCCGAGTAGCTGGGACTACAGGTGCGCACCACCATGCCCAGCTAATTTTTGTATTTTTAGTAGAGACAAGGTTTCACCATGTTGGCCAGGATGGTGTTGATCCCTTGACCTAGTGATCCACCTGCCTCCCAAAGTGCTGGGATTACAGGCGTGAGCCAGTGTGCCCGGCCCCTGGCACTCTTTTCACAACATAGTGTCCATAATTGAAATGCAATTAAATTCTGTCCTAATGCAGAGTACGTGGAAAATCATGAACATTATAATCTAGTTAACAGAGTACGTGGAAAATCATGAACATTATAATCTAGTTAACATTTTGAACTGAATTTACCAGTATATGAACTTGTGCAAGGTAGTTTCTAAGCTGGTTTCCTCATCTGTATGATGAGGATAATAATAACTACCTGGTAAGATTGATGTGAGGGCTGGGCACGGTGGCTCATGCATGTAATCCCAGCACTTTGGGAGGCTGAGGCAGGGGGATCACCGGAGCTCAGGAGTTTGAGACTAGCCTGGGCAATATGGTGAAACCCTGTTTCTGCAAAAAAATACAAAAATTAGGTGGCCATGGTGGCTCGCACCTGTGGTCCTAGCTACTGGGGAGTAGGATCACTTCAGCCTGTGGAGGTTGCAGTGAGCCGAGATCATGTCACTGCCCTCCCGCCTGGGCGACAGAGGGAGACCCTGTCTCAAAAAAAAAAAAAAAAAAAAAGAATAATGTGGGTATGATGTGAGATACGCATGCAAAGTATGTAATATAATGCCTGCCCTCCAGTAGCTGCTATTGTAATGTACTTCATATGGATAGGGACAGTGTTTCTTATTTGCTGCTATCTGTTCCAAGTGTCTAGTGTGGTACCTAACACCTAATGGGCACTTACATGTGTGTTGAATAGTGAAAGGGAAAAGGAACCAGAATCTAGGAGAACAGTTAATTATTACCATTCTCCCTCATTCCTCTTCATCTCAGTTTTAGGTGAAATAGGCAAAAGAATTTCACTACTTAAACAATTTGAAGTGAGGGTGAGAAATAAGAGAGAAAATGCAAGGAAGAAAAAACTGTGTGACGTCTTCTATGTACAAGCCAGTTTTCCATAATCACATTGTGGATTTTCCATGGAAGATGTTCAGTCCCCATCAGTCTTTGTTGGGACGCACACAAAGCAGGCACGAAGCCCATCATGTAGCAAGTCAGGGGAAAGGGATGCTTGCTGCGTGCTCTCTGGCCGCCCTTCCTAGGGAGGCGTGGATTCTAGAACAGACTTCACTATGCTTCTCTCTCCTTTTGTATCCTTACCTTGATGGTAATAGGAACCATTTATATTCATACATATACTCCTCAGGTTCCTTTTTATCTCCTTTTTATTGCTAGTTTTGACAACTACTTGTCTGTTTTTTCTGTTACTGGGCAGCTGGAGCCACCTGACCTGGCACTAACATAGGACCCTTCACAGCTGAGCTTAGTTATCCCTCTCTAAGCCATAGTTTAAGGACAAACTAAATATATTTTTTTGTGGTAAAATATACATAATGTAAAATTAACCATTTTAACCAATTTTAAGTTTGCAGTCCAGTGACATTAAGTACATTGATGTTGTGAATGTACTTAACCATCACCACCATCCATCTCCAGAAATTTTCATCCTCCCAAACTGAAACTCTGTGCTCATTTAACAATAACTCTCCATTCTCCCTTCCCCCCAGGTCCCTGGTAGCCACCAATTTTTCTGTCTCCATGAATTTGACTACTCTAGGACCTCATATAAGTGGAATCATATAATATTTGTCCTTTTGTGTTTGGCTTATTTCGCTTAGCATGTCTTCAAGGTTTATTCATGTTGTGTTGTAACATATCAGAATTTCCTTTTCAGGCTGAATCATATCCCATCATATGTATGTATGTACCACATTTTTGTTATCCATTTGTTCATTGTCAGTGTACATTTGAGTTGTTTTCCACCTTTTGGCTATTGTGAATAATGGTACTATGAATATTAGTGTACAACTGTCTTTTAATTCCAGCTTCTGTTTTTTCTGAGTATATGCTCAGGAGTGGAACTGATGGATCATATGGCAATTCTGTGTTTAGTATTTTGAGGAACCATACTGTTTTCCATAGTGGCTGTACCATTTTACATTCTCACTAGCTATATATGAAAGGTTCCACTTTTCCCCATATCCTTGCCAACCCTTGTTACTTTATTGTTATTGTTGTTTTTTGTTTTAAATCAGAGCCATCCTAATGGGTATGAAGTGGTATCTCATGGTTTTGATTTGCATTTCCCTAATTAATGAGGTTGAGCATCTTTTCATGTGCTTATTGGCCACTTGTGTATCTTCCTTAGAGAAATGTCTATTCCTTTGCTCATTTATGAACTAAGTTTCTTTGTTGTTGAGCTTAGGAGTTCTTTATAAAATCCTGTATCGATATTTGATTGTATGTATTTTTAAGGCAGTATAAATATATACTTGTTTTGAAGGGACCATTTCGGTTTCACAGTATTCATTAGATTAGGTATCATTCAGTAATCCAGCCTTGAAAGAGTAGTAGTGGGCTTACTCAGTGCTGGACACTATTATAGTGCTTTACATATATGAACCTTTTTGATTAGAAGTACATTTATCTGTGTTTTCCATTGAAGAAACTGAAGCACAGAGAGTTTGAGTAAATTTCTTGCTCCAGGTCACACCGCTAGCTTGCAATAAAGCCAGGATTTCAATTTAAGCAACCTAGTTCCTGAGTCCATGCACTTAGCCTGTATGATAAACTTTGTGTGTGCTCTCATCAAGTGACACTTTTCAGGTCTTGAACACTGCTTTCCCTCTCCCAAAGATTTATCTTACTTTTTCCAGTGGCCAAACTAGAAGGCAGACAAAATCATCAGGGAACTGTGACTGAAATTCATAAAGGCATGTGTGCCATTTTAAAGGCAGTTCATAAGATGAAGTGAGGCGTCTGAAGGAGTTATTAGTAACAACTGAATAAACACTTGGAACCTCTTTAAAGTTTCATTGTATTTCTCTTTGTGGAAAACCCTTAGGTTTGATGTGATTCTTTGTTTGAGTCAGGCATATATTTTCTAAAATGGTTTCCCTAGTGAAATTTGCTTACTGAGACATTTTTTTCTGTAAATTCTTTACTTATCTGCCTTTCTCTGTTTTTATTTTAAGCCACTTGTATTCTAGAGTTGGTGCTTGAGTGGTCATCAGTTGATGTGTAGAGAATGCAATTTTATCTTGTGTCTTGTAGTTTACCTAAGCCAAACTTAATTGGTAAGACAAAACAAAACTTCTTTGTCAAATTATATAATGCATTTTAAAGCAAAATACAATCTTTGCTGCTGCCCATTATCACTAATAATCACGTGTAGGGTGTGTGGGTTTTATGTATACACTGCGGAAGGGGAGATGAGAAATGTAGACCTCATTTCTCTTTCGAAGTTGATGTTACTAACTGGGTGACTTTTTGCTGTGTGTCCTTAGTCTCCTTTAATCTGGGCCAGTTCCTCAGTTTTTTGTTTCATTTTGTCAACTGTTCCACAGTTGGGGTTTGTTCCTCAATTTGGCTTGTTCCTTATGTTTAGATTCTGGTTCTGTGTTTTTGGCAGTAATAGAGTATGAGAGAAGTGATGGTGTATTCTTCTTAATGTACCATATCAGGAGGCATTTGATGTCAGTTTGTCTCATTCAGTCTTGATATATGAAATTGGAGTAGTTTGCCCCAGAGTCTGATTGCCTCTCTTTTTTTGAGGCCATAGATTTAAAAAAATTCTTTTTGAGGCCATACTCTTCATTTAAGGCTTTCATATGAGAAGTTAATGGAGACCCGTATTCTCACAGCTTACTTGTGCTGTCTGGGTAGTGGGGCTTGTGTTAGAGATTTAACCCAGGGGAATCCCTCTCCAGGTATGGATATTTGGAAAGACATTAACTAAACCTGGAAACAATATTGGAGGTACCTAAAAATCCAGATGCTGAGGGTGGCTGCAGTTGATGCTGTTAGTTACCCTCATTTAGATCTTTTCATTCTTCCTGCTTCTTTACATAAACTGCTGGCAGAATGTTATAAAGAGAAGTTCATTGGTGTTTGTTTGTTTTTTAATTGAAAAAGGTAGAATAAAAGGACTTTTAAAAATTAAGTAAATGAGGCTGAGTGTGGTGGCTCAGGCCTGTAATCCCAGTACTTTGGGAGGCCGAGGCAGGTGGATCACCTGAGGTCAGGAGTTCAAGACCAGCCTGGCAAATATGGTGAAACCCTATCTCTACAAAAATACAAAAATTAGCTGGGCATAATGGTGGGTGCCTGTAATCCCAGCTACTCGAGAGGCTGAGGCAGGAGAATTGCTTGAACCCAGGAGGCGGAGGTTGCAGTGAGCCAAGATTGTGCCACTGCACTCTAGCATGGGCGACGGAGTGAGACTCTCCGTCTCAATAAAATAAATAAATAAAATAAAATAAGAAAACGGTGCTTTTCAGATGTTTCTGTACAGCAAATATAATGAGAAGGAAGTACATTTCTTCACCTGTAGTGGCCAGTTGCATGGCATGTCTTTGAAATCTACCCCATAGGATGTGGGTTTTTTTGTTTTTGTTTTTTTTTGCCACCAGGTCTCACTCTGTTGCCCAGGCTGGAGTACAGTGGTGGGATCATAGCTCACTGCAGCCTGGTACTCCTGGGCTCAAGCAATCCTCCCGCCTCTCAAGCAGTCCTCCTGCCTCAGCCTCCTAAGTAGCTAGGACCACAGGTGTGCAACACTGTATTAGTTTGTTCTCACACTGCTATAAAGAACTGCTTGAGACTGAATAATGTATAAAGAAAAGAGGTTTAATTGCCTTAGTTCTGCATGGCTGGGGAGGCCTCAGGAAACTTACAAGCATGACAGAAGGCAAAGGAGAGACAAGTACCTTCTTCACAAAGCTGCAGGAAAAAGAGCATGTGTGGAGAAGGAACAGTCAAACACATGAAATCATCAGATCTCATGAGAACCCACTCACTATCATGAGAACAGCATGGGGGAAACCTCCTCCATGATCACCTGCTACCAGGTTCCTCCCTCGACACATGGGGATTATGGGGATTACAATTCAAGAGATTTGGGTAAGAACACAGAGCCAAACCGTATCAACCACCACACCTGCCTAATTTTTAATATTTTTGTAGAGATGGGGGTCTTGCTTTATTGCCCAAGGCTGGTCTTGAACTCTTGGCTTCAAGTGATTCTCCTGACTTGGCCTCCCAAAGTGCTGCAATTACAGGTGTGAGCCATAGTGCCTAAGAAAGAAACATCTTATAGGATGTTTCTTCATTAAAAACATGTTTAATAGATGAGATTGTCCAGAACACATCTTGCTTTGATCACCTTTGTTAGTGGCCAAGGACAACTGGTTATACCTAGCCAAGTTTCGAGCAGCATTGCCATTAAATGTGGTTTTTAAGGTAAGAGCAGGTTCGAAACTAGAAATTGAAATAGGACAAAGGCTGACATAGTGTCTTATTCTTCTTGTGTGACTTAAGCTATTTTCTGCACCTGTGGGTGGAGAATGAGTAAACTTTTAAAAGTAAAATTACATATTTATTTAATAATGTATTTTCAAATATTAACCTCTTCAATCATATTCAATAGGTACAATATTTAAGTAGTTTCTGAATGTTTTGTTTTTATAAATTATATAGATGAACGTCTGTGAAGCTACATCGTTGTTCATTTGTTGTAATAGCATATTAGGTCCATAAGGAGATAGATTTGTGTGTCTTGTTCATTGATGTATACCAGCTACCTATAATTGTCCCCCTACTAGAGGTGCTTAATACTATTTGGTGAATGAACAAATCTGGACACAAGGAGCAAAAGTAGTCTTACTTACTAATGAGCCTGTTATGTATTTTTTTTGTGTGTGTAAATTACTAAGCAGCTTCTTAGTATCATTTAACTTTTCATACTATTTGTTATCATAGAATATAGTAATAATGTATATCACCTATTTGTTTTCTTCTTCTGGTTCATATTTGCCTTGGGGGTATGGATCAGGTGGCCTATTTTTTCTCCAATCAATTGCTGCTTCATGGTTCAGAAATCCCAGTACTTTTGAGCTGCCTAAAATTTATATACTGTTTACAGCAGATTGGTGTAAAGTTTAGTTTAATTATGAGTTTGGATTGTTGATGCTTTTTTAAAACTTCTCTCCAGCACATACTTCACCGTGTTTCTTGTCTTATTTAATTTTAATCCCATTATTTTATTTCATTTTCTGTGTTAAATAGAAGATTTGTGAAATAGAGAAAAATAAATTACTTCTAGTTTCACAACCCAAGGGCAAGTAGGGTGTCCCTGTGAGCTTGTTTTTTCAGCCAGCTATGTTTTTCGAATCAAAGTTCTACTGCTGTTACTAGACAGCATTCTAGATAGATTAGATTTTTGCTTTTTGGTTTTTTTTTTTTGGTAGCAGTGTAATTACTATATTTTTCTGTATTCAAGAAAGTTTTTTCTTGTTTTTTTTTTTCCTTCTTTTTGTGATTTTTGAGTTGGTTTTCTTATGTGAAGCATCTGTTAGCCAGAAAAGGTGTTAAGATGGTGTAGTTTTGATAACTTTTATCACATTTGTCCTCAATACATTTATGGTCATATTCACCTATCTATTTAAGGAAGTATATAGAAGCAAATTATGTGGTTTGGGAGAAAACAATACCTCCTCTGTGAGCAAAACAGAAGTATATATATTAATGTGTATGCAGGTTTTTTACTTACTTGAAAATTCTAATGGATTGGAGGATATGTGGGAACCTCAATACTATTTACAGGTAGGAAGCACCATGTTTAACGATAGATTGCAGCTTAAAAAAAATCTCATACTTCCAGGTGTATGAAATCAGATTTACCTACACTAACTAGCATTTTCCCCAGCTGTTCTTACTTTGAATATAAAATCATTGTTTTCTTAGAAGAGGAAAGCTAGTGAAATTAAAGTAAAATGAATTTGCTAGTTTTAAATTTTACTTATGACATATATATGGTGAAGAATGTAAATTTTCTTGAGCCATGGTATTATATGAGCCTTACTGGGTGGTGATGGTAAGCAGATGTTTTCTTTCTTCCCACTATCAGCCTGAGGGAAAAGTATACAGAACATAGAGCAAGAAGGAAAGGGCATTTTACAAATCAACTATATCCTGGTTCATTTTTGCTTTGTTTTTGTTGTTGTTGTTATTAAAGCCCAGAATCATAACTTTTTTCCTTTAAATGTATGCCAGGATTATTACATTTAATTAAAACTAGATTTTATATAGTATGCAGAAAATTTGAGAATCCTACTCATGCAAGTGAGATATTGACAGTCTATACTTAGCAAAAAGATAAGTTGGGTAGTAGCAGCGATTCTTTGTTACAATGAGGAATTAACTCATTTCATGGAGTTAAAAGGGCCCCTAGACACATAAGGATTGATTTTTTTTCCCATTGTTAAATACACCATATACCTATTATCAAAAATGTTTTACATAATAATTGCCTATACATGATTGGTCCAACTTATTTCTGGTTTGATTCTCAACAAGATTATGTCAGTAGACACCTTATTTTTAAAATAGAGTGCAAATAAAGATAAAAAATGTGTACCTTCTTTCCCAGTATCCCTACTTCAAGATGGAGAGACAGTATAATCAGTTATTGATTTATAATTCATTAAATTATAATCAATCTGTGAGTAATTGATAGCTGACTGCTGTCATTCTGCTGAGAAATGATTATTTTGGTTGCATAAAATAAATACCACATTATGAATTTTGTTTAATCAAATTAGTAGTGGAAGTGGACTTTGGTAAGTGCAGGATGCATGTAGTACCTTAGCATAACTTGACAGTTTTTAATGTGTATCCCTATGGAGATTTATTAAGTAATTAGAATTTAGTTTGATTGTGACCTCGGAATTATGTATTGTCTTTTTTTGTTTTATTTTGTTGTGTTTGAGATAGGGTCTCAATCCTGTTGCCCAGGCTGGAGTGCAGTGGCTCAGTCACAACTCACTGCAGCCTCCATTCCCAGGCTCAGGTGATCCTCTCACTTCAGCCTTCAAGTAGCTAGGACTACAGACTCCAGCTGCTACACCCAGCTATTTTTTGTATTTTTAGAAGAGACGGGGTTTTGCTATGTTATCCAGGCTGGTCTTGAACTCCTGTGCTCACGCAGTCCACCCACCTTGGCCTCCCAAAGTGTTGAGATTACAGGCGTGAGCTCTTGCGCCCAGCTAAAATTATGCATTGTCAACCTGCCTCATTCCTTTTGAGTTTTTTCCAGAAAACTAATTTTCTTATTCTTTCCATACTCCAATATATACAGTAACCATTAGCTTTAATGAGATAAATAGGAATGTGATTGCATATGCATTAGAAAGATCAGGATTGCATGCAATTAATAGAAATGTCTTATTATATACAGAAGAAGCAATTTGATCTTAGTAACATTTATGAGATTTGTAGCCTTAGGATGGCACCTAGAAGGATGTATCATTTTGTGTAAAATACTGTCCAGACTCAACAGGCAAATATATTGAGCTCTTTTGCACATATTTTCTGTGGGGCAGGAGTGTTGTTGCACAGGCGTGTTTTGTAATTGTCGACTTGATCTAATGGGCATTTCCAAAAAAGGACTTAGATATTTTAATTAATATTTACTTGTTAATCTAATATTGACAGAATTTCAGAGCATCAAGGAGCAAAATTTACAGTTGAATTTTGAGTGCGATGAATCTCTTACTAGCCATGTAATTAAACCTGTGTTAGAGCCTGTGTTGCATACATCCCAAAGGGCACTTGCTGGTTACATATTTAGTATTTGTAGCTGGTATGATGGGTGGCAGCATCATTAAAATGCTTTATCTCATTTGTTAACTGTGTGTCTCTAAAATTTTTACTATTTTAAGCCTTAGGTAGAATTTGGTCATACCTCACTTTGCCTCTCTTTATAAAGTATAATACTGCATATTCACATATGTATAAATATCTATATCTAAAGAAGTATTTTAAAGAGTATCTTAAACTTTCTGGCTTTTGTACACTATTCTATATATAACCTTTAATGAAGTTTTATTGTAATCGTATGCTACAGTGGTACATTTAATCGGTGTAAAAAATTGTTTTGTGGAAAAAGATTCAGATTTTTGCATTTAATTCCATAGCTGGAATTCGTGGGTTGATCAGTAGTTCAGTGTTTTGAAATCTGTGTTCCTCAGCTACTTTGCTGATGTTACCAGTAAAACATTGTGTTTTGTTTCTTTCTTTGTTTTTGAGACAGGGTCTTGCTCTGTCATCCAGGCTAGAGTGGACTGGTGCGATCTCAGCTCACTGCAGCCTCGACTTCCTGGACTCAAGTGATCCTCTTACCTCAGCCTCCTGAGTACCTGGGATTAGGGGCTCACACCACCATGCCGGGCTAATTTTTGTACTTTTTGTAGAGACAGGGTTTCACCATGTCTCAAATTCCTGCAATCAAAACAATCCACCCACCTTGGGCTCCCAAAGTGCTAGGATTACAGGCATGAGCTACCATGCCTTGCCTTGTTTCTTGATTTTAGAAATTGAATATCATGTGGGATAAAATCAAGCAGAACTAATTATACATCTTCTTTCAAAAACTTGGGTTATTTGCCCATTTTTTGTGCTATTTCAATTAAAGCCATTTTTCAATATTTTAGGTTTAATGAAAATACTAAAATATTCCAGTCACAGATACTTAATTGCTTGTGAATTATCAATTCATAAACAGTATCTTAGGACAAATGAACAAAATGAACTAAATGGGATCCTATGACTTTTATCATCAAAGTTAATAATCTTGTGGAACATTACAAATACAGTAGAGAAATCTTTAAGTCAAATAAGACTTCATATCCTATAACTGTGTTTATGAACAAGTTACTTAACTGTTTATAATTGTAGTCTTGCTTCAAGGTCTTTTTCAAGTGCTGTGTCTTCACTGTCTCAGAAGTTTACACTTCCTATTTCAGAGGAAATAACAGGTTATCACATAGAAACCACAGTTTATTCTCCATATACTTATTTATCTCTATTAAAATCGTATTTAGTTCCTTTAGTTATTTTGGCTTAACTACTTATAGCTAAAAACGATAATAATTACTAGCTATTATTGAGTATTTACTGTGTTTCAGGCACTATTCCCTCTCCTCCTCTCTCCTCTCCCCTCTCCCCCTCCCCTCTCGCCTCTCCCCTCTCCCCCTCCCCTCTCACCTCTCCCCTCCCGCCTCTTGCCTCTCCCCTCCCGCCTCTCGCCTCTCCCCTCTCCCCTCTTGCCTCTTGCCTCTCCCCTCTCCCCTCCCCTCTCTCTTCCCCTCTCCCCTCCCCTCTCCCCTCCCCTCTCCCCTCCCCTCTCTCCTCCCCTCTCCCCTCTCCTCCCCTCCCCCCTTTCCTTTCCTCTCGTCTTTCCTCTTTTTGATGGAGTCCTGCTCTGTCTCTCATGCTGGAGTGCAGTGGCGTGATCTTGGCTCACTGCAACCACTGCCTCCTGGGTTCAAGCGATTCTCCTGCCTCAGCCTCCCAAGTAGCTGGGATTACAGGCGCGTGCCACCACACCCGGCTAATTTTTGTATTTTTAGTAGAGGCAGGGTTTCACCATGTTGGCCAGGCTGGTCTCGAACTCCTGACCTCAGGTGATCTGCCTGCCTCGGCCTCCCAAAGTACTGGGATTACAGGTGTGAGCCACTGCGCCCAGCCTTATGTGTTTTCTGTATATTAATTAATATGTTTAATTCCCTCAACAACTCTTTGAGGTAAGCACAGTCACTGTGTCCTTTTTACAGATGAGGAAACAGGTCTAGAAAGTCAAGTAACTTCAGGGTTACACAGCAAGTAAATATGGAATCATGGATTTGAACCCAGCCAATCTTACTCTAGAGTCTTTATCTTAACTGCCATGTTGTACTCCAGTTCCAGCCTGAATTGTGCTTTCTTGCCTTTGCTCTTGCTTTTCTCTTTGCCCTCTCCCAACCAGTTGAAATGCTTCTATGTTAGGCCATTTTAAAAATAGGCAAATTAAATAGTTAAAATCTGGGAAGTCTCATCTCTGCCTAATGCTTAATTACTTTGTGACATTGGGCTTGTTGCTTTTTACATTTTTAAAATGAAGCCTATGTATACCCACTAGAATTTTCTTTTTCTTTTTCTTTTCTTTTTTTTTAATATATTATTTATTTATTTTTTTATTTTATTTTTTTGAGACAGAGTCTTGCTGTGTCACCCAGGCTGGAGTGCAGTGGCACGATCATGACTCACTGCACCCTTGAACCCTTGGGCTCAGTCTCTTGTCCCACTTCAGCCTCCTGAGTAGCTGCAACTACAGACAAGCACCACAACACCAGGCTAATAGAATTATTTTATAATGATTACATAGGGTATATAACGAATGTATAGCATAGTGCCTGACACATGATAAACTTTGTGAGGGTCTTTGGCTAGCTGTTTTATTGGTAAGTCGTCTCTAAAAGATACCTGTCCTCCCCATCTAATCAGTGTGTTACTTGTTCAGAGTGCATTTGTAAGGCTTACTTAGGGCATGTTGTTTGCATGTTTAAATGTGTGTTTTGTAATTTTGGGATACAGATGCTTACCAGAGGATTTCTGTCTTCATGTTCTTCAGTGAGATTGAAGTATAAGTCATAAAAGAGATTTTATGATGCCTGAAAAGCTTTCTGTAGAGTGTATCATAAAGCTTACTTAACTTTATTTTCTTTATTTTTTTTTTTCCAGGAAATTTGGTGAGCGGCCTCCACCTAAACGACTTACTAGGTGAGTATTATATTAGTCAGCTTTTTACACATACATTTTATGAAAGTATAAATCTTATTGTTTTAGATATTATATTAATAGGTACCCTTAAAGTCATTCAAATATTACTGTCTAGAGCATAAACTTATTCTCAAACTTCCTTTCCCTCATCTCTCCTCCCGTCCCTCACCAAAAACAGGAACAAAAGGATATAGTTGAAAAGGGAAAATGAAACCTTTCTTAGAATTAGTCTTGAGTCTTATGTAGTGAATACAACATGGACGGCAGTGCAGGTAGCTTTCTATATCTAGCTATGGTTAGCCCATCACAATTTGTTGATTGCAGGTAAGATTTGAAAGTAAATGCTTTTAGGAAAGAATTTTAAGGAAAACAGTTTTTACCCATTTTAAGAAAACACACGTTTTATCTATTTTTAATGAGTATAAGTTGTACAATATACATTTTAATTATGAATGTTGAAAGTATTGGTCTTAAAAATGATTTTTAAAATTTCTAGCAGCCAGAATTGTAAAATAAAGAGACCTAGTTCTATGGCCATGTCCTAGAGTCAGTGCAAACCTTGCGTTTTTAGCAGTTTATTTTTGGTGTCTTTCAAGAAAATGAGATATATATATATATGTATATGTATGTATGTGTCTGTCCTTTTTCTTCATAAACTCAACTGAGATCACACTCTATCATTGTTCTACACCTTTTCACGCCACTTAACAGTACATCTTCTACCTTGATATTTCCCCTTAATGGCTCCATGGTTTTTCATAGCTTTCATACCACTTTTAATATTTCACATTGATGACCATTTAGGTCATTTCCAAATTATTGCTATTATTTTAAAAAGCTGTTACACTTAAAGAACGATGGGGACCTACAGAAGGATACAAAGGACAGTTTGAAGGGGAAATCTGGGACACTTTGGTTATCAAGGTAAATAATGATAGTAATGGATTAAAACCTGTATAATAAAACAACAGCTTTGAAGTCTATACTGAGATAATTAATCTCAGGATAAATATTATTTATATAAATAAAAGTCATTTATAATTAATAAATGGGGCAAAGAGGATAGCTTTTCCTTACAGATGCATGTCGCCTAATAAATGTAGAAGGACAAAAACCTGGACAAAATATGTAAAAACCGTTTTCCAGGTATTGAACATCAGGTATAGAAGGATAAGTGATTCCTGAGAAACTGGGAGTCCACAGAGGGCAAGACAGTTAGCAGGGCTGCAAAGTGGAGAGGAATTAACTGTATAAAGAGGTCCAGAGATCTACAGAGGTTTCCTTTCAGTCTTCAGCTGCATATTGATCAGCATGCGTGTGTAAGAAAACTACTCCGTGGTGGGGATTGGGGAAAAATATCCCAAAAAATCAGAGGAAACAATTTCTAAAGTTCACTTAGGGCTATGAATTGTGCCTGTTAACAGTAGCCAGAGTGGAAAAATCTCATAATTTATGGGGCATTCGCTAGAGTGCTCAGAAGGGTTTTGTTTCAGTAGTGATATAAAATTGGGTCCAGGCATGATGCTCTGTTTTCACTGGCAAACTTAAAGAAGGATTGAAGGGAACAAACTTAATTGTGTACCAGAACACAGCTCAAGAATACAGGAATAGAAAAATATCCAGCACTCCCTCAGAAAGGCAAAATCAAAATATACCAGTCATACAAAGGAGCAAGAAAATATCCATAACAAGAAAAATCAGTGAATCAAAACCAACCCAGAAATGACACAGATAATAGAATTATTAGATAAGAACATTAAAACAGTAAATTTTTTTTTGTTTTTTTGTAGAGACAGGGTCTCACTATGTTGCCCAGGCTCATCTTGAACTCTTGGCTTCAAACAATCCTCCTGCTTCCTTGGCCTCCCAAAATGCTGGGATTACAGGTGTGATCCACGGTGCCCAGCCTAAAACAGTTATTATATTTGTGTTCTATATGTCCAAGATGTCAAGATCAAGAGCTGGGAAACTTTAAAGAGTCAGATGGTACATATTTTAGGTTTTGTTGCCCATATAACCTCCATCATACTACTCACTTCTGTTGTAGCACAAAAGCAGCAATAGACCATGTGTAAACAATTAGAGTGTCTGTACAGTGAAGTATAGCTTTATTTGTAAAATGGGTGGTGGGTAGGATTTGGCCTACAGACTGTAATTAGTAGAACCTGAGCTAGAGGAGAGGTTAAATAGAGACATAGAAGATTACACACACACTCTCTCTCTCTCTCTCTCTCTCAAATTAAATCTCTAAAGATGAAAAGTTTAATATTTAAGGTGGAAAAGTACACTTGGGATTAATTTCAGAATGGACAAAGAGGAGATTAGTAAACATGAAGACATAGCAATAGATACTATCTAAAATGAAGCACACAAAGAAAAAGTCTGAAAAAAGTGGTGAGCATTAGTGAGCCATGTTTTATTGTCAGGTGACCTCATATATATGTAGTTAGTCATCGTAGGAAGAGTATGAATAAAACAATATATGAAGAAATAATGGCAAAAATGTTCTAACTGGAAAATTAGTGAAAACTGTAAAACCACAGATCTAAGCTGGGTGCTGTGGTTCACGCCTGTAATCCCAGTACTTTGGGAAGCTGAGGCGGGCAGATCTCTTGAGCTTAGGAGTTCAAGATCAGCATGGGCAACATGGCGAAACCGTGTCTGTACCAGAAAGTTAGAAAAAAAAAGTTAGCCAGGAGTTGTGGCACGTGCCTGTAGTCCCAGCTTCTTGGGAGACTGAGATGGGAGGATCACTTGAGCCCAGGAGACGGAGGTTGCAGTGAGCTGAGATCACACCACTGCACTCCAGCCTGGGTGACAGAGTGAGACCCCATCTAAAAAAAAAATCAGTTAATCCTGAGTACAGAAACCACCCAGAAGCACTTTATAATCAAATTGATTAAAGTCAGTGATAAAGAAAAAAACAACAGAAAACCAAAGACAAATTATGCACAGAGGAACAAAGAGAGGATGACAGCAGGTTTTTCATCTGAAACCTTGCTGTGGATAAGACAGAGCAAGTGCTTTGAAGTGCTCAAGGGGGACCTATACTTGTCAACCTAGAATTCTATACCCAGTAGATATATACCGTTTTAGGCATATTAAAAATTGAAAGAATTTATTGCAAATAGGCCTTAGCTACAGTGTTAAAATTCTTCAAGCAGAAGGATGATCATACTAGATAGAAATCCGATTCTGTACAAATTACCAATATCAAGAACAAGAAAGGTGACATCACTATAGAGTCACAGATGTTTGAAGGATAATAAGTGAATATTATAATTAACTTTTTGCCAATAATATTCAACTTTTGAAGAAATGCACACAATTTCTTGAAACTAGCAAACTACCAAAGCTTACTCAAGAAGAAACAGGTAACTTGAATAGTCCTATATTTAAGGAAATTGAACTTGTAAACCTTCTGACAAAACTGCAGGCCCAGATGGCTTCACTGTTGAATTCTACTGTATATTTAAGAAAAAAATTATCTCAATTCCATACATACTCTTTCAGAAAATTGGAGAGCAGGACATACTTCTCAGTTCATTCTGTGAGCATAGCATTACCCTGTTGCGAAAAGTAGGCAAGACATTACAAGAAAATGAAATTACTGTCCAGTATCCCTTGTGAACATAGTTATAAAAAGTCTTAACAAATTTTCAAATGGAATCCAACAATATATTGAGGGGATGATACATCTTGACCTAGTGAGCTTTATCTCAGGAATGGAAAACAGTTCATGTAATTCAGTATATTAATAGAACAAAAAAGGAAAATCATATAGTTATCTCGGGATTTAGAAAAAGCTTTTGACATCCATTTTTAATAGAAATTCTCAGCAAACTTGGAATAAAAGAGAATTTCCTCATCATAGGGTGCCTGTGAAAAAACTACATTTAACAACATGCTGATTGGTGAAACACTGGATGTTTTTCCTCTAACATTAGGAACAACACAAGGATGTCTGCTTTCACAGATTTCATTTAACATTGTATTTTGAGGTACTATAAGGCCAGAAAAAGAAATGAAAGACGTCTTGATGGGAAAGAAAGAAGTGAAACTGTCTTTATTTGCAGATATCATGATCATATGTATAGAAAATTCTGCGGAATCTTGCTACTAGAACTGATAAGTGAGTTTAGCAAGGTAGTAGGATACATGATTAACATACACAACTAAATTGTATTTCTGTATACTGATGAGCAATGGGAAATTGGAATTTGAAAGCAATACAATTTACACAGTAGTATAAAAATATATATCAGGAAAAGTCTGACAAAAGGTGCAAAAACTCTACACTGAAGACTACCAAACATTACTGGGAGAACTTGAAGTCCTAATTAAATGTTCTTCAGGTAGAAGACCTAATATTGTTGAAATGGGCTGGGTGTGATGGTTCACACCTATAATCCCAGTACATTGAAAGGCCAAGGTGTGAGGATCACTTAAGGCTAGGAGTTTGAAACCAGCTTGGGCAACCAAGTGAGACCTTGTCTCTACAAATAATAAAAAAAATTAGCTGGGCATGTTGGCACGTGCCTGTGGTCCCAGCTACATTGGGAAGCTGAGGCAGGAGGATTGCCTGAGCCCAGGAGGTTAAGGCTGCTGTAATCCATGTTTGTGCCTCTGCACTCCAGCCTAGATGACAGAGCGAGACCCTGTCTCAAATAAATATATATATGGTTAAAATGTCAGTTCTTCTCAAATTGATCCTGTGGATTCAACACAATCACAGTCAAAATCTCAGCAGGCTTTTTTGTAACAGTTGACAAGCTGTTTCTAAAATTTATATAGAAATGCAAATAACCTTGAAAAAAAGAAAAAAGAACTTACACTGCCTGGTTTCAAAGCTTACTATAAAGCTATGGTAATTTAAAGTATTGTATTGGCATAAAGATAGCTAAGTAGACCATTGTGACAGAATAGTGGCCAGAAATAGTTCTTCAGATACGTGGTCAGTTACTTTCCAGTCAAGGTGCGAAGGCAATTTAGCTAGATTTTTTTTTAAATGGTAGTCTTTCTAACAGTTGATTGTAGAACAATTGGATATCCATTCCTCCTTCAACCCACCCCCCACACACAAAGTAACTACAGTCTATACATAGTACCATATTAAAAAAATAGCTCAATGTAGACCTAAATGTAAAACTTTAAAGTATACAGCTTTTAGAAGAAAACATAGGAGAAAATGTTGTTTATTAGGCTAACATTTCTTAGACACTAAAACACAATCTGTGGAAGAAATTGATAAATTTTACTTCATCAAAATAAAAAACAAAGATGAAAAGGACTCTGAAAAGTAAATAATAAGGAAACAATCCATTTTTAAAGGGTGGAAATGGTCTGAACAGATACTAATCCAAAGAATGTGTGAATATGACAAATACCCATTAAGGAAGTGCAAATTAAGACTACAGTGAGTGTGTTAGTCCCACTGGTTTGCTATAATAGTGTACCATTAACTGGGTGGCTTATAAGCCACAAATTTATGTCTCATAATTCTGGAGGCTGGGAAGTCTAAGATTAAGACACCAGTGTGTTTGATGTCTGTTGGGAGATGCTTCCTGGTTGATAGATGACTGTCTTCTTTATGTGTCCTCACATGGCAGGAGGGACAAGGGCACTGATCCTATTCTTGAAGGCTCCATCCTCATGACCTCATCACCTCCCAGATGCCCCACCTCCTATTAGGTTTCAACATAGGAATTTTGGGGGGACACATACACTTTTTAGCAGTTAGATACTATTAATACTGTATACCTGTTAAAATGTCTGAAATTTAAAGGACTCATCATGGGAACAGCTAGTACTTTTCATACACTGGCAGTGGGTATATAAAGTGGTACAATAATTTTAGAAAATAATTTAGCACTTTCTTAAAATGTTAAACCTCTACCATATGGCCTAGTTATTCCATTCCTACATATTTAATCAAGGAAAATGAAAACATCTGAATACAAAGCCCTGAACACAAATGTTCATGTTAGCTTTAGTTGTAGTAGTCACACATACATAACCCCAATATCCAGCAACAGGTGAGTGGATCAACAAATTGTAGTGTATTCTACAGTGAATTTCTATTAAGCAGTAAAAAAGGAATGAACTTGATACATGCAACAACATAGATGGATCTTAAAATAATTATATTCAATTTTCTAAATATATCAGGAAAAAAGAATACGTACTGAATGATTCCACTTACATAGAATTATAAAAAATGCAAACTGATCTGTACTGACAAAAACTAGATCAGTGGTTTCCTGGGGATAGGGGGAGGCAGGAGGAAAGATTACAAAAAGGCAGAAAGGAAACTCACAATTGTGAATACCTTTATTTTGATTTTGGTGATGGTGTATATATACATGCCAAAGCTTGTCACATTGCACACTTTAAATAAGTGTATTTTACTATATTTCAATTAAATCTCAATAAAGCTGTTAAAAACTTAGAAGCTTTTATACTTGAAAAATATTCTAAAATATTCTGAAAGGGATTAGTGTATCTTCTTGGGTAAATTAAGGTAAGTTTTGTTTATTTTTTTGTTTTGTTTTGTTTTGTTTGAGACGGAGTCTTGCTCTGTCACCCAGGCTAGAGTACAGGTGCCTGCCACCATGCCCAGCTAATTTTTAATTTTTAGAAGAGATGGGGTTTCACCGTGTTGGCCAGGCTGGTCTCGAACTCCTGACCTAAAGTGATCCGCCTGCCTTGGCTTCCCAAGGTGCTGGGATTACAGGTGTGAGCCACCACGCCTGGCTTCAGGTGAGTTTTATTTCTTTTTAAATCTCTGAAAGAGAGCAAACTACAGATTTATATTGTTTATTATTGAAGCTAAAATAAGGCAAATTTAGCAAAATTTGTATAACAGCAAATGGAAATGTAAAATCAATGACCAAATCTGTGATAACATTTTATTTTATTAAGCACAAACTTGGAAATCAGAAATTTTCCCCTTTGATAATATAATTTTAGGTACCATCTGGCCTTTTTTTGTTTTGTTTTGAGAGACAGAGTCTGGCTTTATCACCCAGGCTATAGCGCAGTGGTGTGATCTTGGCTGACTGCAACCTCCGCCTCCCAGGTTCAAGCCAGCCTCCCACCTCAGCCTCCTGAGTAGCAGGGACTACAGGTGCACACAACCATGCCTGGCTAATTTTTATATTTTTTGTAGAGACAGGATTTCCCCATATGGCCCAGGCTAGTCTTGAACTCCTAAGCTCAAGTGATCCGCCTGCCTCGGCCTCCCAAAGTGCTGGGATTACAGGCGAGAGCCACCACACCCTGCCTTGAGAATGCTTTTTAAAATGTTTTTTTTTCCTCCATTTCTCCTTTAAAGAATATTCAAGTTAGGAAAATTTTAGTATCTTTTATTTTATTTGATGAGAAATATTTTAACATTTTTTCTCTCCATTGGGGTGCAGAGAGTTTAAAATTGGGCAGATTTTATTCCTTAAAAAAAAAAATCTTTGAAACACTATTCTTACTCCCATTTTCCAAATTAAGCAATATTGAAAAAGCATCCTGTTGTGAAGGTCATCTTTTAGGTAGTGTTCTAAACATAGTTCTGCCTACACAGAGTTTAAACTTTTGATTAAGGCTCGTTAATAATATATACTATTCACTGTTACTATGGATTCATTTTTTTTTTTTTTTTTGAGAATGGAGTCTCACTCTGTTGCCCAGGCTGGAGTGCAGTGGCGCGATCTCTGCTCATTGCAAGCTCGGCTTCCCGGGTTCGCGCCATTCTCCTGCCTCAGCCTCCGGAGTAGCTGGGACTACAGGTACCTGCCACCACACCCGGCTAATTTTTTTGTATTTTTAGTAGAGACGGGGTTTCACCGTGTTAGCCAGGATGGTCTTGATCTCCTGACCACGTGATCCGCCCTCCTTGGCCTCCCAAAATGCTGGGATTACAGGCGTGAGCCACCACGCCCAGCCTGGATTCACTTTTTTTCTTTTTACAAAAATTACATTCTTTCAGGATGTATATGATAGGAATAGAGTGTTGGCTTTTAAGGACGTCCCAATCTCTTGAAATACTCCCTTTAATATGGCCCACAAGTATAACTTGACTGTCAGTTCAAAAAAAAAAAAAACCAAATAGAATAATCAGATGTTATATAATGCATAGAACAATTATTCTTGTACTGTTGAGGCTTTTAGAGCCTCAAATCATTTTGTCATTTAGAGCCTGAAAATCTTAGTTGCAATGCAGTTATGCATTGGTCTTCAGGAGTGCTTAGTGTGTCGAGTGGAGGTGCCTGTTTCTTAGATAAGAGTAGGCCTGAGCTCTGAAGTGCTTTTTTTAAAAAAGAGATATTATTCGACTTAATACTCTGTTGTACTAAGTGATTCTGCTCTGCTGTTAACCAAAAGGTAAGACTGGAATCCTGAAGACTTCTAAAGAACGTAATCTTAACCTTCTCCCCTACAACACTCCAGACTAGTAGCCATTACCTCATGCTTTTGCTTGAATCCGTTTAATGTCATGAGGTTTTCTTCATAAAAGTTTACCATTTCTTCAAGGTTTGTTGTAATTGTTGTAACTATTTTGTAGTGTTCTCTCACTAAGAATATTTTTTCTCTGTCACTTGGCCTAACACTTTTTGCAAAGCCCATCTTCTGTTAGCCTCCCTGCCATACCTCTCTGTTCTCACATGTACCTCCATTGTGGCCATGGTCAGATATGGAAATAATCAGTTTCTGAAATTCTGTTGGCTTGCTTTGAAGGTTGCCTCAGAGTAAGTAATAATACCTTAAGGTGAAGGTTAAGAAACTAAGCTCCAGGCCAGGCATGGTGGCTCAAGCCTGTAATCCCAGCATTTTGGGTGGCCAAGGCAGGAGGATTGCTTGAGTCCAGGAGTTTGAGACTAGCCTGGGCAGCATAGGGAGAATTAAAAAAAATTAAAGAATTAGCTAGATGTGGTATTGCCCGCCTGTGGTCCTAGCTACATGGAAGGCTAAGGTGGGGTGATCCCTCTAACCCAGGAAATTGAGGCTGCAGTGAGCCGGATTGTGCCACTTTACTCCAGCTTGGGTGACAAAGTGAGAATCTGCTTCAAAAAAACAAAAGAAGAAATGAGCTTTATATCTATTGTCCACGTTAACATGGGTGCTGTGGTTTGGATATTTGGACCCACTAAGTAGCATGTTGAAATTTGATCCTGAATATTTAAGGTGGGGTCTAATGGGAGGTGTGAGTCTGGCACCTCCCTTCCCTCTCTTCCTTCCTTTGTTGCCCTGTGATCTCTGCCTGCTAGCTCCCCATTAGCCATTAGTGGAAGCACCCCGAGCCATTCACCAGATGCCCAGTCTTCCAGTGTGCAGAACTGTGAGCCCAATAAACCTCTTTCTAAAATAAATTACCCAGCTTCACAAACGGACTAAGACGATTATATGTTCATATTTGTCTACTAATTTAGGGATTGCATTGTCTTTGAGAAAACCCCTGTTCTTTTTGAATCTCTTCTCTTCCCTATCCATAGCATGTAATTTTTAGAAGCATTTTACCAGTGCCTAATGAGAAACTCTTAAAACAGTGTATTTTCTTTGTCTCCTCTGGATTATGGTTAAAGTTTCTGTTTTCTGTGCCTGTTTCTCTTTATGATTCATCTCCTCACTTTGAGACAGGAGAGCATCCATTTTAAATTGTGAGCATAGGTAGACAGAGGTTTCTTTGCATGACAGGTAAAATATTCATGTTTCAACCTAGTCATGTATTTTGTTTCATCATAAGACACCTATGAGTAACAAACACCATGCAAAGTAGGTAAATGTAAAATGAATTTAAATTGATAGTCAAATTAAAGCCTAAGGTTGATCTGCTACATGAATAGTAATACATGAACTTTGCTGTTAGTCAACTAATTAGTCCATAAATGGGTAAATAATTCATATTAAAAAGGGTTGCAAATAAGATTCAACTTTATTTAGACCAGTCACATGTTTATAGGGCATCTTGAGGGAATAAGAGAATGGAGTAGAGTAGGAAGAGACTATGCGGTCTGATCCCTGGGATTCGAAGAGTTAAGTTTGCATCAACCAGGATTAGAAATAGAAGAACCAAGATGGTGACTTGCCTTTGATTGTCAGCACCTCATACTATTTTATGTTCTCAGATTCTTCTAGTCCCAAATTTTTCTCTACATAAGAGGTAAAGCCTTAAGTAGCAAAATGGCTTATTTGTACAATAACCTTTTAAAGCTAATAGAACACAGATGTGTTGATGACCCATTGCTCTCAATGTAACGGCCTATGCCTATTTGGGAGTGGGAGGCGGGGAGGGGAAAACCAAGAGCTGGTCAGAATTTGAAAGAATGTGTCTCATAGCTGTGTGACAGGATTTGAAGCAATTTACTTACTTATCTACAAAAAACTTTTTGTGGAATTTTGGGACATTTTTACTTCTGCTATAAAAAGAGAGGATTGAAGTGAGGTTTGCAGGTGTTTCCTTAGGAACAGGACCTGTACTGTTGTTTAGCTTTGGTCACTGGTAGATGTAGACACTTAGTACAGCAGCCTCAATGTTTTATTGTGTTACAAGGGCACCAGGACCTTGTTGACTATTGATAGTATCCCTAGATTGTCATTTTCAAAACTGGTCCTCAGGCAAACAGTAGTTCTCAGGAAGCTTCCTTGGAAGAAAAACAAGGAGATCTTAGTCTGGTCTAATAGCTTGGAAAATGAAACCTACAAATATCCCTCTCTTGAAGATTTTGCTTAAGGTTCTGAGTAGTTCTGCCATGAATTAGTTTCACTTTATTTTATCTGATTTCACTGAAGCATCTTGGATTGAGACACGCTTCTTTGTAAACCGTAAGTATTGTGGAGCTCACTTTGAGAAGTGTCTGAGGCAGTGTAAAAGGCGAGACTGCCAGAGTCTGACAAAAATAGGGCAGTTCTTCAAGGTTTTGTGGGGGTGCGTATAAATCAGGATGCCTTTTGGCAGCATCCCCAAGTAGATGTGAGAAGAGTTGAGCTGAGCTTTCTGAACCCTCAGTTGTTCATAAGTCAAGTTTTGAGGAAGAATTTTATAAAAAAATTCTTGATTGAATGTCAGCCGTGCAATATACTTAATTGATTTAATTAGAATTCTGTTTTGCAACTTTTCCTTAAAAACTTTTAAAAATTGTCTGCAGGGATCAACAAGCATTTTCTGTAGCGTCAAGTAGTATATATTTTAGGCTTTGAGGGCCACATACTATCTCTGTTGCATATTATTAGTCTCTGTTTTGTAACTCTTTTTTTGTTGTTGTTGTTTTTTGAGACAGAGTCTCACTCTGTTGCCCAGGCTGGAGTGCAGTGGCGCGATCTTGCCTCACTGCAACCTCCACCTCCCAGGTTCAAGCGATTCTCCTGCCTCAGCCTCCCAGGTAGCTGGGATTACAGGCGTGTGCTACCATGCCCAGCTAATTTTTTGTATTTTTAGTAGAGACAGGGTTTCACTGTGTTAGCCAGGATGGTCTCAATCTCCTGACCTTGTGATCCGCCTGCGTCGGCCTCCCAAAGTGCTGGGATTACAGGCGTGAGCCACCTTGCCCGGCATTGTAACTCTTTGAAAATGTAAAAGGCATGCTTAGCTCCTAGGGGGCACAAAAACAGGCTGCTTTGTGATTTGATGACTGTGGCCTATTGTGTTTCTCAATATGCTCTTCAGTTCTCTAAAATGTTCACGAGTGATATTGTGTGTGTGTGTGTGTGTGTGTGATTACTTTGAAAATTCTTGATACAACAAAAATAAGTTTCTTCATTAGAAGACAGAGTTCATTTTGGACTTTTATTATTTGGATTTTAAAGTGACAGTAGTCCAATTTGAGAAGCGCAGAGAGTGAGCCTGGAGGTAAAGATGACTGGACCTCCCATCTTTGTGGTGGTTTTCTCCTCTTCCCTCTCTCCCACACTCCCTCCACTTACCCCTTGGACCAATCACAGAGGTGTGTAAGAGTGTGGTGAGAAAGTGAGGAAGTCTGTTTTCAGAAGAATGGCGATTAGCACCATAAGGACACCGCAAACTCACCGCTATAATTAATGTCCTAGCGGGAGATGTGGTTTGTAGTGTTTTCCATATGTCTTGGCCCTCAGAACTCCGTTTTAAGGAGGATCTTGCCTCCAGGAATTTACTTTGAGAAACACTAAGCTATGGATTAAATGTACACTTTACTAGCATGACATTTAAGGCTTGAGCCAATCTCACCCCACCCTGTCTTTCCAATCTCATCTTTCAGAATTCTGTTTTTCTTTTTGGAAACAGAGTCTCGCTCTGTCGCCCAGGCTGGAGTGCAGTGACGTAATCTCAGCTCACTGCAACTTCTGCCTTCCACGTTCAAGTGCTTCTTTTGCCTCAGCCTCCCAAGTAGCTCAGACTACAGGCGTCTGCCACCACACCCGGGTAATTTTTGTATTTTTAGTAGAGATGGGGTTTCTCTATGTTGGCCAGGCTGGTCTTGAACTCCTGACCTTGTGATCTGCCTGCCTCAGCCTCCCAAAGTGCTGGGATTACAGGCGGGAGCCACCTCGTCCAGCCCGTCTTTCAGAATTCTGTGTGTTATATACTTCAGCTACTTAAAAGTACTCAGTTTCTAGATACTAGGTTTTTTTGCAGTGCATCTTTACCTTTTCTTCTTGGCTTTTTTTGTTTTAACAAACTTAGGAATTAAAAACTTCCCTTTATATCCAGAATTTTAAAAATCCTGTAAAGAGACAAACTTTTCTGCCGTAACCTTAGTTATTCCCGCCACCACCCCTTTTCCTTATCAGCATGACTTACGTTCATTGCACTTTCTTCCCTTCCTTTCATTTTGTAGCTTGCTTCAGTGGTGTTGCCTCACCACCAGCTCACTGAGAAGATTCTAATTAAGCCGTTCCATTTATGAACTAATTGTCAAATTTATGAAGAGTTTCTAATCTTTATTTTTCTTGACTATTCTGTAATATTTAATAACATTGATTATGTTCCCTTAACTGAAGTTCTCTTTTACCTTTACGCGGGGACCAGGTTCTTCCCTTTTTTTGCAGACTCCCATTGCCTCCATTGGCATAACTAGTAAAAGTAGATCCATTAGAAACAGCACATGAGCTTATCTTACCATTCATGGATGTTTCACTGTAGTATTCTCTTTGTGGTATTTTTCTTTCCTTTTTTTTTTTCTGTATAAAAAAAGTTTGAATTTTATAAGGCAAACCACAGTCAAAAAATTGACAGAGGTAATCACAGATTAAGCATGTTGAACCAGAATGGCATTTGCCATAATTCCATAATTTCATGTTAGTAAAATTATTTTTGATAACAAAATCTCCTTTTTTTGTTTTGTTTTTTTTGTTTGAGATGGAGTCTGTCGCTCAGGCTGGAGTGCAATGGTGCGATCTTGGCTCACTGCAACCTCCGCCTCCTGGGTTCAAGCAATTCCCTGCCTCCTGAGTAGCTGAGACTATAGGCGCGTGCCACCATGCCTGGCTAGTTTTTGTATTTTTTGTAGAGATGGGGTTTCACTATGTTGGCCAGGCTGGCCTCAAACTCCTGACCTCAATTGATTTGCCCACCTCAGCCTCCCAAAGTGCTGTGATTACAGGCGTAATCCAATTGGTTTTCATTTAGAATGAAAATTTTATGTAAGAAATCATTAAATGAAATTAGTAAACAATAGACTTCAAAATTTACCTTATGTTTTAAAGTATTCAAAAAAACAGTTCAATAATAAAACAGTAATTCTACGGTCAAGGATTCTTCAGCACCTGTAATATGTTTTTCCAATAATAAAATTTTTGGTATTTTTTAATTAAAAAAAAACCTGGATGATTGTGATATCTTACCACTGAAATTTTTTGGGTTTATCCCAGTAGTTTTCATTCCATGTGACCATCTCACTCCATCCTCTTTCTTGACATTTGGCACCATCTGGAGACATTTTTAGTTGTCATAATTCAAGGAAGGGTGCTACTGGCACCTGCAGGGTAAAAGATAGTGATGCTGCTACATAGTCCTACAATGCACAGCGCAATCTCTCCACAGCAGAAAATGATTTTGCCCAGGATGTCAGCAGTGCTGAGATAGAAATCCTATTTATTGACACAGCCTTCCTCTATTTGGATGAAAAGCATATGGGCTATTATTTGACAGGCTTTTTACTATTTATTGTGTTTCTTTAGAGTATATCGTCTTGTTTTATGGCTCCTTAAGATGCAGAAAGTCAATGATCAAGCTTTAATTGCCAGAGAACATAATTTTTAATGTTTTAATATTCTGTTTAATAAAGTGAAATTTATTTTTACTGTTGAAAGAAGCTATTTGGCAAATTACTTTTACAGGACAACTATTGTTCATGATTACCTTGAGGCTCTAGTTACTTTTTCAGGAATTTGTATTCTAAACATGAAGGAAAAGACGAGGAAAACCAGAGCTGTCACCCTGCATTCATCATAAGCACTGTGAGGTCTTTGAACTGTGAACAGTTACATCCAGTAGTAGAAGCCAGTAGAATGCCCAGTGCCTAGAATATAGTAAGCTTCCAATAAATCTTCAGTGGGAAGATGGATAGTTGTGCACTTTACCTGGTGTACTTGCAAAATTTGTGCTTTGCACATTGGGTAACATGCCTGATCATTCATTCCTAGGTCATTTTCAAGTTTGCTCTCAAAGCCTCAGTGGAAGTCCCATTTTCCCTCCCTCTGCATTTTGTGTACTGTTGAAGGTTGAAGTCTTCTTTCTAAGGAAATAATAGTAATAGCTCGAGGCTACTGACACTTGCTTTCTGTCAGTTTGTGGGACTAACTTACTTTAAAGTGTCCCCCTGCCCCCACCACCAATATGAGGCATTACTGCCTTTATCTTACAGGTGAGAAAACTCAGGCTTAGTGATTGACAGACCCTTAGTAACAGACCCGGATCTATTTCACACCAAAGCTATACCCCTAATCACTAACGGTATGATTTTGTCCTCACAAGCTAGGCTACGCAGATTTGAATCCTCACTCTTCAGTATCATCTTGGGAAAGTTACTTAACCTCTACCCAGTTTCTAAAATGTACATAATAGTGTTACCCTCAAGGTCATTGGTTATGTTAATACATGCTTAGAAGAGTACTGGAAGAGTGATTGCTTAATTTTAGCTCGTTTAATGATTATAATTAAAATCTTTGTAGAAAGCATTTGTGACTGCCTCGGATATTATCAAATACCAAGTTTGTGTCCTGTTTTACCCGAGTTGTCATGAAAGGGATAGAAATGTAAAATATGGATCTTGCCTTTAAAGACTTTGTAGTCTATTTGGGAAGACAAGAAAAATAAACATGAAACCTGACAAACACAATGCAGTTACTGCTAAATGATGTAATAGAGACTACAAATACAAATAGAATTTAGTATCCGGAAATACACTTAATGGCTTAAAACTATTCAAATATATAGTAGCTCTTCAAGTTTTGTGCTGGGAAATTTTGTGCCAGTTTTGTCAGGATATTGGCCTTCTCTTGGCTTTGCTTTTGTTTTCTTTTTCTTTCTTTCTTTTTTTTTTTTTTTTTTGAGAGGGAGTTTCACTCTTGTTGCCCAGGCTGGAGTGCAATGGTGCAATCTTGGCTGACTGCAACCTCTGCCTCCTGTGTTCAAGTGATTCTCCTGCCTCAGCCTCCCGAGTAGCTGGGATTTCAGGCATGTGCCACCATGCCTGGCTAATTCTGTATTTTTAGTAGAAAGGGGGTTTCTCCATGTTGGTCAGGCTGGTCTCAAACTCCAGACCTCAGGTGATCTGCCTGCCTCAGCCTCCCAAAGTACTGGGATTACAGCCGTGTGCCACTGCGCCCAGCCTGCTTTTGTTTTCTGATTCACCCTGAACTCTATGTTCAGTCACCTGACTTTGCAACACCTCAAATCCCTCATCATGTTACCCTCTCCAGACTGCATCTCTGGTACCCAGCAGTTTGGTCTCCCTATTCCCTCCCTTGGAATGTTAGTGGGAATCGGCACCATTAATTTTGGATTCCAACATTAGCTGGTCCTTTGATACCAATCTTCAGTTGTTTTATTTGTCCATAGTTAGCTTCCTTTTCCATACCCTGGAAGGTATTTCCAGTATTGTTTTCTTATCCATTAGACATCATATGGCCTCTCATTTTACGAATAAAATAGAGACTTTCATACTTGACTCCTGCTTATGTCCTTCCCCCAGCTGGCATCTGTTAGACTTCTTGCTGAAATTAAAGTGACCTTGACTTCTGTGGCATTTCACCTTTGATTGCTCCCTTCTTTCGAGGTTGTGTCTTTCTGCAGCACCTGAGGCTGGTTTCAGTTCTTCCTCTTATCAGTTCTCAGTTTCCTTTAATACATTTTCTTCTTGACTCTCCTGTCAATGTGTTTTTGTTCTGGGAGAGTCCATTTACTTCCGTGGTGTTGTTTGCCAATTACATACTAGTGAACCCCACCTTTTCAGCCCAGACCTCTCTCTTGAACTATGCATAGATACTTCCAACAGCCTACTGAATACTTTCAACTTGGAGGTCCCAGGGGCACTTCAGAGTTGACTTTTGTCAGCAGAACCTAGTAATAATATATACCCACTTCTCCCAAAACAAAAGATACATAGAGTTATTTTTCCTGTCCCCTACTATCTTCTGTTACCGTCTTCTTAGTGTGAGAGCCTTTTTATAAGTTTGTCTTGTCTTCTCTGCTTTTGAATCCTTTCTCTAGAAATAACTAAAAAGTAAAATTAATTACGTATTTTTAAAAAACCTTAATGAGATCTCTCATTGCCTTTCGTTTAGATTGAAAATTCAGTTTCTATAGTATTGATTTTCTATAATGGGCTTGAGAGAAAATTGACTGGTGATCTTGTCCCAATTCACAAAGGGATGGATTTTTTTTTTTTTTCGTTTTGAGTTTTTCTCTGGATCTTTAAAGATTTTACTACACGCTACCACTTTTTTTATACTTAAAGGTTTAATCATAATGAATAACCATATAACAATACTTCCCCTAAAAGTGCTTCAAATAATTTTCCAAGAATTTTTTTTAAAAACTTTTATTTTAGGTTCAGGGTTACATGTGAAGGTTTGTTACATAGGTAAACTCATGCCATGGGGGTTTGTTGATTATTTCATCACCCAGGTATTACGCCCAGTACCCAATAGTTATTTTTTCTGCTCCTCTCCCACCTCCCAAGCTCCACCCTCAAGTAGACTTCAGTGTCTGTCATTTCCTTCTTTGTCTTCATAAGTTCTCATCATTTAGTTCCCACTTGTAAGTGAGAACATGCGATATTTGTTTTTTTGTTCCTGCGTTAGTTTGCTAAGGAAGACAGCCCCCAGCTTCATTTATGTTCCCACAAAAGACATGCTCTCATTTTTTTTAATGGCTGCATAATATTCGGTGGTGTGTATGTACCACACTTTCTTTTTCCAGTCTGTCACTGATGGGCATTTATGTTGATTCCATGTCATTGCTATTGCAAATAGTGCTGCAATGAACATTCCTGTGCATGTGTCTCTGTGGTAGAATGATTTATATTCCTCTGGGTGTATACCCAGTAATGGGATTGCTAGGTGGAATGGTAGTTCTGTTTTTAGCTCTTTGAGGAATCGCCATACTACTTTCCACAACAGTTGAACTAATTTACGCTACCACCAACAGTGTATAAATGTTCCCTTTTCTCCACAACCTCTCCAGCATCTGCTATTTTAGTAATAGCCATTCTGACTAGTGTGAGATGGTGTCTCATTGTGATTTTGATTTGCATTTCTCTAATGATCAGTGATACTGAGCTTTTTTTCATATGCTTGTTGGCCACTTTTCATATGCTTGTTGGAACACTTTTGAAAAGTGTTCATATCCTTTGCCTACTTTTTAATGGGGTTGTTTGTTTTTTTTCTTGTAAATTTAAGTTCCTTATAGATGCTGGATAGTAGACCTTTATCAGATGCACAGTTTGCACGTATTTCCTCCCATTCTGTAGGTTGTCTGTTTACTCCATTGATGGTTTCTTTTGCTATGCAGAAACGTATTACCACTTTTATCATCACCTGTTATGGGGTAATATTTGAAATAGCATAAACTTTTATACTTAGTATTTAAGTATACAAATGTCCAATTTTCAAAGCCTTTCATAGTTTGACTCTATCATTGTCAACCTTATTCACTGCCGTGGCTCACCTTAGAATCTCACAAAATTTGTGTGAATTCCTGACTGCCACTGTTCACTATAAGAGCTTGGGCATGACAATCAAAATGGTGTTAGCTGTATAGCAGTACTTATCTTTTTGGATTATGAGGATTAAATAAAATAATGGAGTTAAAGTGCTTAGTTCAAGGCCTGGCACATAGTAAACACTCAAGAAACATAAGCTGCTCTTGTTTTACTGTTGTGGCTGCCTTACTCCTTAGCCTGAATGTGCAGTTATTGATGCCTTTATTCACACTATTATCAGGCCCTGTAACGCCTTATGCTTTCCTCCTCCCACTTCCTGTGTCTACTTCTCGCTCAGAATTAGGGCTTCTAAGAACTTTTCCCAGCATGTAGTCCTTTACCATCTACCCCTGTCTTTACATAGGCGTTCCCTTATTGGTGCTTTTTGTACATATCTCTACTTGGATTATTGCATTTAATTACAATTTGGACTTTGAGTTTCTTTTCAGTGGTAGGGATTAGTTCTCAGTCTATTTATATCCTGGTATTACTGCCCTGCCTTGGAGCTAACAGGTTTTTTCAGTTGGTAAATATAAATGCTGTTATTAGGTTATCTCCTTTAATCCCCTCAGCCACCCTGTGGTAGGGAGGTGTTATTATCTTCAGTTTCCAGTTAGGGAATCAGAGGCTGGTTGAGGTTAAATGATTTGCACCAGGCTACTTAGTGTGTAAGTGCTGTAAACCTAGAAGTCCTCACATTTAATAACGTATTACTATTGTATAGCTATGCTCTTATACCTGATATTTGTCTTTATAGTATCAGGAAAATAACATTTAAGTTTGGGATGTGTAAGACATCTCAAGAATTGGGATTCTGCTTATTCAGAATTGTTATAGTTTCATCTGTGTAGAGCTTGCTTTCTTTTTACTATATAATATTGCTTAGCAAAACAATTGAGTATGTAAATACATTTAAGATATTGAACTTTGTATAGACCATTTGCTCAATAAATATGTAGAGTTGTTTTTACTTGAAAGAATTAACATTGTATTTTTTTCAAAATTCAGATTTTCACCGATTTCAATTACTTTATTAAATTTTATTTATTTAATAATATCCTTGAGATAATTATGTATTCGTATGTGAACTATAGGCCTTTCTTGGTCCTTATAGGATTGTCATTTTAGGATCATGTAATAATAAATTTGGATGGCCTAAGGATTTGTTACAGCTTTTGTATTCAATGAAAAACATTGCTTCCGATAGCTGGGGTAGGGAAACTGAGGAAGGGAATTACATTATTAAACTACAAAATTACTGCATTTTATTAACTTTATAATATTTTAGAGCCACATTAGCAGTGTATATGTTGATTCTAGTTATTCTGGAAGGTGTAATTGTGGTTTGAGTTACATCATAAATTCCAAAGAATGAGAGACAGTTTCTTATTTTTAAAGAACAAGGAATAGAATTGAAAATGAGCAGTATTCATTGTATCATTGTATAATCTTCCAATTTAATTTATGGATTTACTTTGCTTTATTGTTTTTGTTTTTAAGATTTGCTTATTTAAAAAATATTTATAAGCATTCCTCTCATTACAGAGCGTAGTAATGATGAAAGATTTCATCAAGAATTTCACCTCTGTAACAGTAATATTTGTATTTGTTTTTAGGGAAGCTATGCGAAATTATTTAAAAGAGCGAGGGGATCAAACAGTACTTATTCTTCATGCAAAAGTTGCACAGAAGTCATATGGAAATGAAAAAAGGTAAGATTATTTTTCTGGTGGATAGTTAATTGTAGTTACCACATGAATTTGCCAATTATGTATTAATATACATGTCAGAGGATGGCTTCTATTACTGGGTTCATTTGCTAGTACAAAATAAAAAATAGGGGATTTGTCTCCTGAAGGGGAGAAACAAAGTGAATTGTGGTATACTGTTAGGAATAGATAATTGGTGCTGTGAAGAAAAGTCAGCATGGAGACAGAGGACCTCTCAGCAAGGCAGTCTTTACTTTCTGCAGAAAGGGTGCCCCTCGCAGATGGAACAATGGAGAGAGCACACTTGAACAAAGGAAAAGCAGACATATTTGTCCCTTACGCATTTGGGTCATCCTTACTGCTGTGTCCTGCATCCATTGGCTGGAGCTGGACCTCACAGTATTAAACTGATACCTGATTTGCTACTAACATAAAACTTTCCTAAATACGTTAAGTGCAAGGGAGAACAAAGAAGAGAGGAAGTTGCTTACAAAAGGTTTAAGAAAGCAATAACATTTCCAAATAAGGAAGGGGCATAAGCTATGAGCTAAGACTTGCCTGGGCCTGCCCAGACATGCCTGAATAAGCCAAAGCAACTAATTGGGCTAAAGTGTAAGAACTGATAGTTGATAGGAGGCTTTAGAGTAAGAAGCTATGATTTCTAGTGTCTGTTATTTTATTTTCAAACCAAGACGAGCTTTGAAGGTGGAACTTTTCTACTTTCTACATACACTCAAGCCAGAAGGGTAATTTAATAAAGGTCATCTGGTTAATAAATCCCTGATCTTACAAAATGAAATAATCCACAGTTTTTCTTTTGGGCTACATAATGTCCCCGAAATACTTATGTGATACATTAGCTTATTCACAAAGAAGCTTTCTTTTTGGTGGAAAATGTAGTTTTTTACGCAAATGTGACCCCAAAAGTACCGTTTTGCAAAGGAAAAGGCTGAATAAGCTCTTGATCCTAAAACTGTCTTGAGCTTAGGTTAATTGAGCTATGGAATGATTATAAAGAAAACTCCTGGCCCTCTCTCTTGATCCTATTCTTGTTTGGGTTGCTATTAAGAAGAAACAGCAAAACTGGGTTCATACTCTCATACTACTTGAATGTGGACTCAACAGAAATTACCTATAAAGTAGATTAACCAAAATTAAATTACAACAAGGTGATTTTTAAAAAATTATTTATTGTGGTATTCTATAAATTTCCGCATTTTTTATGTTTAATTGGGGACTTTCATTGTTGTTTCTTCACTTGGTTCCTGGAATTTTCTTTGAATAGTTTCTTGAGTCTGTCTTTCAAACAGCATTTTTTGGTTAAGCATTCCATGGAAAAAGCCTGCTTATGGAGAAAGATCAAAGGTTTTTTAATTGGCTAGAAAGGTACCCAACTGAAGAGAAAAGGAATGAAAACTAAGGTTTTGGGATTGTTGTGAAAGGAATGAGTAGAATTCTTAGAGATTGTGACATAAAGGAAACCTCAGCTTATGCTTAAGAGAAGGGAAATGTAATATGTATGTGATTAAATTAATTTACATGTTAAAAGAGAATTTTTAGGAAGTTCCTTGAAGCTGACTAGATCTGAGCTGAAAAGAGGGGTAAAGCTTTCTTTCTTTTTTTTTTTTTTTTTTTTTTTTTTTTTGAGACAGGGTCTCTGTTGCCCTGGCTGGAGTGCAGTGGTATGATTTCCACTTACTGGGCTCAGGTGGTCCTCCCACCTCAGCCACCTGAGTAGCTGGGACTACAGGCACTCACCACCATGGCCAGCTAATTTTTGTATTTTTTATAGAGACGGGGTTTCACTATGCCGTCCAGGCTGATCTCAAACTCCTGGGCTCAAGTGATCCGCCTGCCTCAGCCTCCCAAAGGATTACAGGCATGAGACACCGTGCTTGGCCAAGAAGGTAAAGCTATTTAATTGGTAGTTTTAATCCTCAAAGATGAACAAGTGAAAACAATATTTAAGATTCATACTGCCAGGTACTGTTATTCAGGCTTACTAAATTTCTGATTATTTTATCGTACTTTACTAATACAACTTAAACACTGATTTAGGGTTAAAGATGGGAAGAAGTTGGTATCTGTAGTTTGGGACATAGCGTACCAACTCAAATTAGTGGTCCTTTTTTTTTTTCCCACGAAGTTGATATTAGAAATTCAGTATTTTTTTTTTCATAAATAAAATTTAGTGTGTGTTTATAGCAAGTTTTCTGCTTTTTAAGCAAAACAGAAAAAGTTAACACCCATCATTATGGAGGAAGAATCTAAAAGGCCAGCTGTGCACCTCATAGTGAATCCGAGGTAGAAACAGTTTCATATTGGCTCCAATCATGAGCCAGACATGATTCCCAAAGTGCTTTATAAATATTTTAAAGTTGTAATCCTCGTAACAATTTTGTAAAGTAGTCATGTTATGATCCAAATTCTGTGGGCAACGAATCTGAAAATCAGAGACTTTAAATGTGTCCAGGTTGACATTAGTTAGGAATCTGTGGAGCTAGGGTTGGAACTCTTGAGGGCCTAATTTTAAATATTTACCCTTTTTACTACCCTAATTGCCATACCATTCCATTTGCGTTTGAGTGTTGGTTATCTAGAGCAGGGATTGAGGAGGAAAAGATCCTTTAAATACTTAAACTTTGTAAACTTAACTTTGCCTAGGACTAACCCTTTTCCATTACCTAGGTGAGATTGGGCTAGCCCAATTGAATTATGAATAGATGTGTGTTTATCATATAGCTTCAAATTTAGGCAAGCTGCTTTTCTTTTCTCTGGATTTTTGAAGATGCATTTTAGTACAATTGAATTCACTTATTCTTTATTTCTGATTGGCTATTGTGTGCTAGGTTTTATGCAAAAGGACCTTTACTAGGAGTTTTAAAAGTCACTGTGTCATTTAATACCGGGATGTATAACTGAGGCCCGTTGGAGATAACAAAAGGGGAAGACCTATTTAGAAAATTGTGTTAAAGTCCAGATAAGGTTCCTGTTTGTTAGTTACTGTTAAAAAATACGGCCCGGCATGGTGGCTCATGCCTGTAATCCCAGCACTTTGAGAGGTCAAGGTGGGCGGATCACCTGAGGTCCGAGGTGCCACTGCACTCCAGCCTGGGCGGCAGAGTGAGACTCCGTCTAAAAAAGAAAAAGATCCAACATATATAGAGAGCTGTAGTGGTTTGTCAAGTTAAAATGGAAAATTTAACCA
Organism: Homo sapiens; assembly: GCF_000001405.40. Lineage (NCBI taxonomy): Eukaryota > Metazoa > Chordata > Mammalia > Primates > Hominidae > Homo > Homo sapiens. Next base: position 26,409,476 of record NC_000004.12, read on the forward strand.
TATCTTTTATTGTAGTAGCTTTTATTTTTCTTTTTTCTTTTTGAGACAGAGTCTCGCCTTGTTGCCCAGGCTGGAGTGCAGTGGTGCAATCTTGGCTTACTGCAACCTCTGCCTCCTGGGTTCAAATGATTCTCCTGCCTCAGCCTCCCAAGTAGCTGGGATTACAGGCACCCACCACCACGCACAGCTAATTTTTGTATTTTTAGTAGAGACGGGGTTTCACCATGTTGGCCAGGCTGGTCTCGAACTCTTGACCTTGTGATCTGCCCGCCTCTGCCTCCCAAAGTGCTGGGATTACGGGCGTGAGCCACCGCACCCAGCCTATTTTCAATTTCTGTGTATTATTTGGGCATGGCCTAGCTGGTCTAAAACCCCAGTCAAAAGAAAGCTTTAACAATCTAAGCTTTGAAGTCCTCTAAAAAATGAACAAAAATGATGAAAAGGCCAGAGTAACTACTTTCCTATATTTTTACTGATTTGTATTGTTAAAAATTTCAAAGTAGACCTGCATTACTTTATGATAAAGGGGAAACCCATTAAATTTACTTGATTTTTTTAAAAAACAGGTGTTAGTAGTAAAGGACTGCTAATGCTAATCTAGCCCTCTGGATGTCTGTCAAACTGCCCTGGATTCAGAGAAGTGTTCTGGGCTCTTACTTGGTGGTGGAGTGCACAGTGGGAAGAGGATCTGTCTTCTTTCTTGCCGATCCTGGTTCAGGCCTTTTTGAAGAGTTGCAAAGGCGTAAGGCGTGAGGTTACCTGGGGGCATGATCACAGTCCTCTTGGCTGTGTCTTTTTGGCATACAAAATAACTCCAGTGAGTGATGCTTAAAAATACTTGGTTAGGAAATTTTATCTCCAAATTTAAAATTGTTCTTGATGTTAAATATGGTGCCTAATAACTAGTATTTATTTGCATGGCACATCTAGTACCCCATTTATATTAGTGATTAATTTCTCATTAAGTAAGATCTTAGGTTAAAGAATAAACTTTTTAAAAGATTATTTTATCTAGAGCTTTCTTGAAGGAAGTAATTAAGCAGTAGCAGTAATGATGCTGTTAAAACAATGAACAGTAAAGTCATTTAGACTGATTCTGAAGTCATATTGAGATTTGTGTTAATTGGCCAATTGTGGCATGCAAAAAGTTCCTAAATATGGTCCTTGTGAACTGAATAATCATCAAAGGTTAGTGATGATTCTGCAAAGGTAGCAAGATAATGCAAATATCATGAGTTTGGATTCTGTTTAACCTAATTTATTTTATATATTGGAATGGATAAAAAGCCTTCTTTGAATCTGTAAGGCAGTTTTCAGACATCATCTCAAGATTTGAGGAAATCAGTGGTTGAAACAGTCTCTGAAAATAAAGACAACTGTGAAAGGAGTAAAATTTTAAATGTGTGCATATCGCCACCAAGTGGCAGAGAAAGTATTGTTTGTTATAGTTGATAGAGCTGCTAGGGAAGATGAGAAAATAAAGGCAACGTGTTTTATAGGATATCTTTTTATAGCAGCAGTTAAATTCTGTAAGCTAACCACTTTTCAGACTTTTCACTGAGTGTTTGATACATATTGACCAACTGCCCAAATTTTAAAAAATAGTCAGTTTCACACACCTGGCCTAAAATACACCACATAAGATATATTTTAGGCCAGGTGCAGTGGCTCATGCCTGTAATCCCAACACTTTGAGAGGCCAAGACAGGAGGATCCCTTGAGACCAGGAGTTCAAGACCAGCCTGGGCAACATAGTGAAAGTCTGACTCTGTCTTTAAAATTAAATAAATAAATAAATAAATAAAGATGTATTTAAGTTTTCTTCTGTTAATTTGGTGGCCTTTTATTTTTACCCCACTCCCTTTAGTTTCTTTTGCGTGTATTCTTGCCTTTTTTTTTTGTATATATGCTGACTTTTATTCAATCACTAGATTTTTACGAAGTATGGGCAACAACTTGATTTGTTTGCCGTATTTTAGGGGATGATGATATTGGGATGTTTAAGGTATGATTTTATCAGCAATATAGAAATAATTTGAATGTTTAGATTATATTGGATTTGCTACTTCCATCATGGCTTTTTGAAATAATTTAGAGTTGACTTTTTTTTTTTTAAAGACTCAGACTATTGAAAAGTCTTCATTTTTCTTATATTTATTACATGATTGGAAAGCACTTTCAAGATAGAACCTTGGTCAGTGTTTTGAATAGAGAATTTTTTATCAACCTGATTTTTACCATTTCATGCATTTTGTCACAGTACTTTTGAGAAAACCAGCACTACTCATTCTTTTATCAGTTTAGCTCTCTTTATATTTTTCAGATGTGAAATTAAGAAGTACCATTTATGGGCCAGGCGCGGTGGCTCACGCCTGTAATCCCAGCACTTTGGGAGGCCGAGGCGGGCGGATCACGAGGTCAGGAGATCGAGACCATCCTGGCTAACATGGTGAAACCCCATCTCTACTAAAAATACAAAAAAAAAAAAAATTAGCCAGGCGTGGTGGCGGGTGCCTGTAGTCCCAGCTACTCGGGAGGCTGAGGCAGGAAAATGGCATGAACCTGGGAGGTGGAGCTTTCAGTGAGTGGAGGTCGCGCCACTGCACTCCAGCCTGGGTGACAGAGCAAGACTCCGTCTCAAAAAAAAAAAAAAAAAGTACCATTTATGATAACTCATTGAGATTTGACTACTGTATTTGGCATATAGGTTGCGCATTCCCAATCCAAAAATTCGAAGTGCTCCAAAATCTGAAAACCCCGAGTGCCAACATGACCCTGTAAGAGTCTTGCTCTGTCATCCAGGCTGGAGTACAGTGGCACTATCTTGGCTCGCTGCAACCCCACCTACTGGGTTCAAGCGATTCTCATGCCTCAGCCTCCTGAGTAACTGGGACTACAGGCGTGCGCCACCATGCCTGGCTAATTTTTGTACTTTTAGTAGAGACAGTGTTTTGCTATGTTGGCCGGTCTGGTCTTGAACTCCTGGCCTCAAGTGATCTGCCTGCCTCAGCCTCCCAAAGTGCTGGGATTATAGGCATGAGTCACTGCACCCAGCCTGGAGCATTTTAGATTTGGGATGTTCAACCACTAAGTATAAATGCAAACAATCCAAGGTCTGGGGAAAAAAAATTCAAAACACTGTTGGTCCCAAGCATTTTAGATAAGGAATACACAACCTGTACTAAAACACAGCTCTTTTGAGTTTTATAGCTGATACACCAATTTACTAAGGAGTCTTAACATCAATGTTCAATTAAAAAAAACAGGAGATGTGTTTCCAAAATTGATGCCTTCTCAACCTCCTGAGAGTGTGCCAACCTAGGTATTTGACTCTGTGCCATAGTAAGCATTGGGTAGCTCCCAGCATTAGAAGCCAGAAAGCTCCCCTTTGTAGACTTGAACTGAACCCACTCCAAAACTAGCCCAGCTAATCCAGGCTTCCCTCCAAATTTAGAGTGACCTGGAACTGGGCCCACTAACTTGGCTGTGACCTTTATATCCTTGGCCTCAGTGTAAGTATACAGGCATGAAAACTGCTCTTTTCTATTGGATTAGATAAATGTGAGAGGACTACAGAGACTTCCCTCCTCCCTCAGTTAAATCCGTAGGGCCTCCTTGGTCTACTTGTCCGCTACCTCTGGCTTCGCTGCCTGTTAATCCCCCTCTTGCTCTGTACTCCAGCCGCTCTGGTCTGTTGGTTGTTTCCCCACTGTTGGTCACAGTCCTTCCTATCTGAGAACCTTTGCACTGGCTCTTTCCTCTGTGGAAATGCTCTTGCCCCAGGTGTCCACATGGCTTTAGGTCGTGACTCAAAGTCACCTTCTTAAGGAAACTTTTCCTGACCACCTTGGGCCGTCCCCATTTCAAGTACCCCTTGCCTGCTTTATTTTTTTCTCCCCATACTTATCACCAGCTAATGGAGTACATATGCATGTTATTTCACTCATTTATCTGTTTTTATTATCTCTCTCCTATTAGAGTGTAAGTTCCATGAGGAGAGGAATTTTGTCTAATTTTTTTGTTTATTTTTACTGCTATATCCCCAGTATCTGTTACACACTCAGGATATAATAAATAATTTGGAGAATTAATGAATATTAAATAAACCCAGCTTACTTCTTGTAAGTCATATGTAAATTGCCTCTAAAGTAGTCTGGTTAGGGTTGAGCAAAAAGTAGGTTCCATTAATATATTTTCAGTCAGTTCAGTAGATAATATTGTAGAGGCTGAGGGGGAAGCAAACAAGAAGTAGATACTACCACCTTCAGGAAGACCTGAGCACCAAATCCAGCCTGCTGGTGTCTGCTTGTGTGTGCACATATGCACATAAAGTTTTTTTCTTTTAGTCTGCACGTTGTTGGCCTACAGAGTGTTAATAAGTGTAAATTAGTTGCCAAATTTAAAAAAACAGTATTTCATATAAAATTTGATTTCAGTCATCTATTGAACAATTGGAGGACGGGACCAACACTAGGCCTGCATGCCCATAGTTCAGCCACGTGAGTGTGAGTGGGTATATATACACTAGTGGCTGATTATCATTGCATTTAAGCTCTGGGTTTTCTTATACTAGGATTAAGAAAAGTAAGCCATTTTCTGTACTAATAACAGTACAAGAAGTGAGAATGACAATGGAGGCTGTGTGTTTCAAGAAAGAAGAGAAGGAAACTACTTCTTTGGGTAACTAAAGGATATTCCTAATTTTTTTTTTTTTAAGACAGAGTCTCACTCTAACCCAAGCTGGAATGCAGCTGCACTATGACAGCTCACCACAGCCTTGACCTCCCAGGCTTAGTTGGTCCTCCCACCTCAGCCACCAGAGTAGCTGGGACTATAGGCGCCTGCCACCACGCCCACTAATTTTTGTATTTTTTGTAGACATGAGGTTTAGCCATGTTGCCCAGGCTGGTCTCAAACTCCTGGGCTCAAGCAGTCCGCCTGCCTCTGCCTCCCAAAGTGTTAGGATTACAGGTATGGGTCACCGCGCCCAGCCTGGATATTCCTGTTTATTGTACGCGCCGTTCACCCATTTATATTACTTATGTGGCTACTATAGTTAATTCGAGTTTTCAGGCCCTCTAGAGAGATATGGCATAGATGTTTTAAAGTGTGTACAAGTCAACATTATAATTGAGCAAAGGTGAATTTACACCCTATATAAGGACTGGATTGATGGTCTGAACTATGTAAAATATGAGCCTTGAGCTAGGCTTTGCAATAGATAATATTTTTAATTGCTAAATAAAAGATTATAAGAAAATCATTCTCAGAAGAACTTGTGAAGGTGGTTTTTGACAACTAGCAAAACAAACCTGTCATATTCTGTGAGTTGAAAGAATACAGTGTATTGTTCTTTGAGCATGAGATATTTCTCAGATATCTACAGCGCACCAGGTGTTCCAAGTGTGTATAAAATTCAAAGATATATAAAACACAGCACTGCTCATAATCAGGAGATCCATGTATTTTTGGCTCTTTTGCTTAGTTTTATTAATATTTTGGATGTTTCTACTATGGACAATGCTCTAACACAATTTTCCAGGTTAATTACCACATTAAGTTAAATGCAGTATCCATAATAGTAATGTCACTCATTAATGATTGTGTCATTTTGAATAGGCCTTAATTAGTAATTACAGATTTTTGTGGTGGTTTATCGTGTTTTGTAATATGTTAGAGTACACTGGATTTGCTGAACTCTGGTAATTTAGAACTCTGAGCCATACAAAGAGAAGTTCTGTACTCTAAAAAGTATTTAATCTAACTGTATGCATAACTCCAATATTTTGCCTGAACAGATTTAGTCATTGTGGAAGTCCCGATTTCTGTCCTGTGGGCATGATTATTTGCATTACAAAAGGCTTCACCAAAATTTTTCATTGGGGAATAGGTGCATTTCAATATGATTTTGTATTCATAATGTTCAAGGAAAGGAAATGCTTTATTGAATCTAATTGATTTTTGCTTCTTGTTTTTTTTTTTCCCCTATTATTCTTCAGGTTTTTTTGCCCACCTCCTTGTGTATATCTTATGGGCAGTGGATGGAAGAAAAAAAAAGAACAAATGGAACGCGATGGTTGTTCTGAACAAGAGTCTCAACCGTGTGCATTTATTGGGATAGGAAATAGTGACCAAGAAATGCAGCAGCTAAACTTGGAAGGAAAGGTAAATCAAGACTGCTAGTTCACCAGAAAGGGGCACCATGGTACCAGAATGTAGTTTTCATATTCATTTTTGTGGTGGAGATTTTTTTCTTTAATAACTATTGGTAACAATTTCTTGAATATATAAACTAGGACCAAAAAACATGCCTCTCATAGCTTTGGTCTAGTCACTCATGAAGCTTACGCTGCTGACATTGGAAGGTGGCATGCAGTAAGCTTCCCCAGCTTGCAAGCAGTTTTAGCAGACTATAAATCAGATTTCTATTGGAAGCCAGTAATAAATTTAGGAGGCTGATTGCTCATCTTCTGTTTGACAGAGGTTTATCAACAAAAATACATTGTTCAGTAATGTTTTACTCTGCTATTTTAATCTTAGTTTTATACTAGACACGATGATATATACATTGTGGAAAGCATTTATCTGGGTTATAACGATCATAAACGTTTACTTGACATCAGAGTGAAGCAGAGTGATACTGTAGACAAGAACAGCCACAGTTGGCTTTACTCAAATTTTAGTGCGTGGCAGGGGTTCTTCAATTAATTTTCTAGAGAAAACAATCTATCAGCTAGTTTTACTGATTATATTGTATGAATTTAGAAAGCAGTCAATCTAGATCTTTTTTTTTCTTCCCCCGGGACAGGGTTTTTACTCTGTCACCCATGCAGAAATGCAATAGTGCAATCTTGGCTGACTGCAACCTCCACCTCACAAGTAGCGGGACCATAGGTGTGTGTCACTATGTCCAGCTAACTTTTTTGTATTTTTTTGTAGAGATGGGGTTTCGCCATGTTACCTAGGCTGGTCTTGAACTCCTGAGCTCAAGCAATCCATCCACCTCAGCCTCCCAAAGTGCTGGGATTACGGGTGTGTGCCACCGTGTCCAGCCAATCTATACTTTTAGTATTGAAAGATAGTTTTTTATTCACTTAGAATTTAGCTATGGTTTTATTTTTCCTTGCTACTGTACTTTGGAAAATGGTTAGTTCTGATCTCAATGACTAAACATCTTCTAAAATAGCGCATAAACAGCTGTTTCATTATTTGATACATCCTTGTTGAATATTTTAGTGTTTGCTATGTTGTAGTTGGCACTAGGTATATGGGTTGGGAGTAGTGTTGGTGGAGGTGAGCTAGGGGATTTGTACTCTCAAATTGAATTTTAGTGATTTTACAGATAGTACTACAGGTCTTAATGTCAACCTCCTTCAAATTTAGCTGTTTGTATGTCATTTATATCTTTATAGTTTTTGTAAGTAAGATTTGTTGACTATGTATTTTAAATTAGATTTGGGATAATACTTATTACAATAAAGATTGTTTCATCTTAAACCACTAAAACTATTTCTAAATTATGATCCCTGAGCTAAAGTAACGAATATATTTAAGTGGTGGGTTGATCTAATAGATCTTAAGTCTTGTCTCATCTGTTTTCTTGTTACCTAGGAAGTCTCAGAGTTATATGTCTCCAGGCTTCACATGTAGACATTCAGTACTATGAATGAGTGGATCAGATAGGTAGTGAGAAGCCAGGGATTCTAGCTACCTGTGTGTATAACTGTTTAATCCTACTTCATTGCTCATTTTAACCAGTTCCAGCTTCCAGTAATTTTAAATGAGGTGATACCAAATAAACCAACCAGTAGTATCACTGCTTGCCTTTCGCAGCATTGTGGCTTAGTAGTGCCACATCCTAATTTTGTACCTTTAGGGGCTGCCTCAACATGGAGATCTTTCTGCTGTTTTTCATTATATCTTTCTTCAACTTCCACTAGTATACCCTTTCCCCAAGGCCTAGAAACTGGCAGAAGAGGAATAGAATACCTGAGAGCTTGAGCATTTAACTAGTATTTAAAATACCTAGTAATAGGTTAGTACAATGTCTGTAAGCCAAAATTATATGTTAATATTTAATTTTAAGGAAAAATTCTATTAGGGAAGTTTATGTAAAGCAAGACTGGTGAGAGTTAGTAGAAGGCATCCCAGGCAGAAAAAAAAACAATATAATCATGTGCTTAGAGCATAAAGGTATAAGAACATGGTTTTGACCAAGGTAGGCAAAGATGTCCTGAGCAGCGGATTCTGAGCTTCAGTGAGAGGCACTTTGCTCTTGTCTGCCTCACTTAAACTCCATTCGTGTAAGGAAATAGTCTGTTCATTGAGTGGTACAATTAGTTATTGAGAAATATGGGATATTCATTTTGCAATTTTTGGTGTTTATACTTATTTTAAATATTCACTGCAACAAAATTCTAGTATATCTAGCCCTTTAAATTTATGGTCATGACATTTGGCTGTATGTAGGTAATATGTTGGATCTTAGATTTTGTGTAATGTTTTTAATTTGTTAAAAAAATTTACATTTTTTATAGTCACAGCTAGGTAAGCTACGCAACAAGGATGACTTAGTTAACACTCTTGTGTTTTTCTTATTTTTAAACATCATATACTCTTGGTAACATTTTGTTTCTATAATTTAAACATTTCTGCAGTATCACTTTGCAGCATTAGATTTGGTATTTCTTCTTTCTTTCAGGGAAATGTCTTTTATTGCCTAAAGATCTTGTTTTCAAAGAGTATTTCTAGAGAGATGATTATATGCCATTTTCTCTTCTAGAATTCCGTTAGCTAATTTAACCTTTTGCAATAGCAAGGCAAATGTAATTTTAGTTTTATTTGCTTATTTTCTATGAGTCAGTGACTTTTTCCTTCTTTTCTTAATGGAATTTGAGTAGTTTGTGGTCAGTGGCCTTATAGTTTTTTAAAACTAATAGTTCCCATAAAATTATCTTGATTATGATTTTTGTGGATTCAAACTACTCATTGTAATTAGGGATATATTTCCTTTCTTTCCAAGGAGATATATGTGTGTTTGTTTTTTCCGAACAAAATGCAGTTCTTTTTGTGTAGGTCTTATGATCCAACCTTCTTGGTTCTTTTTTTCCGTTCTTGTTTGCCAATATGTCTTATTTATGCTGGATTTCAGTATTTTCTCTTTCTGATATGGATCTTACCTTTTAATTTTAACACTCAAAAGCCATCTCAACATTTTTAAGCTTTCCCATTAGAATGTAATTACCTTCATTTAGATATAAATTTCATTTTTGCTTCCCATGACTGTCTGCTTTAGTACATTGATACCCATTTTCATAGACCTCGTCTTATGTTGCAGAAGAATTTCATTGTTTAGGCTTAATTTGACCTTCAATGCTGTCTGTCACTTTTAAGAGTATGGCCGACCTATGGGTATAGCAGCTCACAGATGCCATCTCTGAGTGCGTTAGAGATCTTGGGTGCAAGGAGTGATGTGACTGCAAAGTACTGTTGTTTTTTGTTTCTTTATCTTTATTCATTTTGAGACAGGGTGCCACCGTGCCGCCCAGGCTGGAGTGCGGTGGTGGGATCACGGCCCATTACAACCTCTGCCTCCTGGGCTCAAGCGACCGTCCCACCTCAGCCTCCTGAGTAGCTGGGACTACAGGCATGCACCACCATGCCTGGATAATTTTTGTGTTTTTCGTAGAGATGGGGTTTCACCATGTTGCTCAGGCTGGTCTCAAACTTCTGGACTTAAGCAGTCTGTCCACCTTGGCCTCCCAAAGTGCTGAGATTACAGGCATGAGCCACCACCCTGGCCTGTTTTTATTTATTACTATGATTGGCTTTATCTTATTTTTGCCTTCTACAGAGCAAAACCTCTCAAAGCTTTTACCAAACTTTTGATTTTTAAAAACTTAGTTAAATGTATAATGTTCAAGATGGCATCTAAATTTTCTTATATAGCTTTGCTATGAGAAATACAATAAACTATTGCAGTAGTTTTGTCTGCTACCGAGGCTGTCTGTGAATAAAATTTTAAAGATAAAAACCTAGAAGTCATTAACTGTTTCCTGAGTAGCATTTGCTCTGCTTTTTAAAAGGAAGATACAGGAGAGGCAGTTGAAGAAACTTGTTTAGCTTAATTTTAAAGTGGAATGTTGATCCTTTAAAAAATATAATTCGATACTTTAGATACTTATGCTGTGTTTCAGCATCATTTATCTTATCTGGAAAAGGACAATAATTTAGACCCCTCCCTGATTCACAGGGATCAAGAGAATAGGAAAGATTTTAGAATTGTTATATATAATATAAGCAGTAGCATTTTGAAGGGTCTTTGCTGTTTGTAAAGTGCTATATCTCTTTATCTTTTCAGTTATCAGAATTTAAATTCTGGTAAACTGACATAATGCCTTGAGCATTTTCTCTAGTACCTTTAAATTCAGTTCTTCTGGTGATACATATGAATCGTCCTTTTGGGCAAAGTTAACCATTTTAAAAATAGTTCTTTAAAGTAATGCTTATATAATCTCTTTCTGGTTTAAGATATTTTATAATCATCCAGTTTGTCTATCATTGTTTTCCTCAATCTTATAAGTGATTACTCTAGTGTTCAGCTATATAAAGAAAAATATTTTATGCACTATTTTGAGAAGAACTACTGCTAAAATCTTTTACATAATTTCTTGAATTCTGATAGCTTTATTATTATTTTTTTTTTGGAGAAAGTCATTGATTTTTTTTAACTGTAAAATTTATTTTAAAAGTTACTGCTGTAACGTTGAGTGATAATTCCATGATACAGTTGTAGAGCTATGTAAAACAAGAAAAGGCTGTTTTTTTAAATGGTCTTTTAAAGAGGATACAATAGATGACAATGTTTGTGTTCTACAGACTTTATAAGGAAGACTTTGTACTTTTCCGAAATCAATTTCAGTAATTTTTATAGTTGATAATTTTTAGAGTTGGTTTTATCAGCTATCCCTTGGAATTGTTTTACTTATTACTTAAACCATGGCCATTCTGAGTTTTAGGTACTACATAAACAAACAAGGTTTTGCTGCTGTTAAAACTTTACTTTTCTTTCACAGAACTATTGCACAGCCAAAACATTGTATATATCTGACTCAGACAAGCGAAAGCACTTCATGTTGTCTGTAAAGATGTTCTATGGCAACAGTGATGACATTGGTGTGTTCCTCAGCAAGCGGATAAAAGTCATCTCCAAACCTTCCAAAAAGAAGCAGTCATTGAAAAATGCTGACTGTATGTATGCTTTTCTTATTTATCCCCAACTGCCACCATGAATTAATAAGACAGACTCTTTTTTAAATTAAAAATTGCCTTTTCAATAGCCAATTAATTCTTTACTAATATTTTTGTGGCCCTCTTTATTGTCTCTCTTTTTTTAATCGTAAATCGACAGTATGTGGTCTAATGAAGCAGTTCTTAACCAGAGTTGGTTCCTTAATGCTCCCAGGGACATTCTGGGGAAATGGGAGATTTTCTCCTTCTGTTGTTACAGTGACTGGAGGGGGTGATGTTGGCTTTGGGTGTCTTGAGCCTGTGGTGCTGAATTGAATGTCCTGCAGTGTCCAAGGTAGTTCCCATTCCACAAAGAATTGATCTACCCACAATGTCAACAAGTACCCCTTTGAAAAACGCTACCAACTAAATGGGCTTTGGCAGGCCTTCCTGAGAATCTAAACACAATTTTTAATGTGGTTGCTCTGGCAGAGACTGCTGTCTCATCAGCCTATTTTTAGACTACCAAACAAGTATGTTTGAATTATAAATTTAACCTCCACACCCATTTTTCTTTTTTTAACTTTTTATTATGGAGACTTTTCTTTTTTTTTTTGAGATGGACTCTTACTCTGTCGCCCAGGCTGGAGTGCAGTGGCAGGATCTCAGCTCACTGCAACCTCCACCTCCCGGGTTCAACCAATCCTCCCTGCCTCAGCCTCCTGAGTAGCTGGGATTACAGGTGCCCACCATCACGCCCGGCTGATTTTGTATTTTTTAGTAGAGATGAGGTTTCGCCATTTGGCCAGGCTGGTCTTGAACTCCTGACCTCAGGTGATCCACCCACCTCGACCTCCCAAAGTGTTGGGATTGCAGGCGTGAGCCACCATGCCTGGCTGAGACTTTCAAATTTATATAAAAGGGAGAAATTAGCCACCCAGCCTCAACAGGTTTTATCAATTCTGTTTCATTATCTCCATCACCACCAACACCTCTTCGTCTTCTAATTGCTGGAGTATTTTAATGTAAATCTCATCCTATCCTTTCAACCAAAATTTCTGCAATAGTGACTAATACATGCCCTTTTTTTTGAAACATCATTATACGTAACAGTTGACAGCAGCTCTTAAGTGTCATCTAATATCCTATTTCATGTACAGATTTATCAGATTGACCCAGAATGTCTTTTTATAGTTTTTTTGCTTTGTTTTGTTTTACAGTGGTTTGTTCAAACATGGATTCAGATAAGGTCCACACATTTTAGTCTGTAATAGTTTCTTCTCACCCTCTCTCACCTTTGTTTTCCTTCTATGTCATTTATTTGTTGAAGAAACTGGATCATTTTTCCTGTTGTGGAATTCCATATTCTGGGTTTGGCTGATTATATGTTTCTCTGTCTCTCTTACTTTCCATGAACTGGTGGTTAGACATAAAGACTTTCAGAACTGATTGGTAAGATATACATTTATTTCCATTGGATTGGAAGTCATAATATCTGATTATCCCCTTTTTTTTTTTTGGTCATGTTGAGATTGATTATAGTAGTTCAGCTGTTGTAAGTCTATTCCACCCATAAAGTTCCTCAGCAAACTTTAACCTAATGGTTTTAATAGTCATTGATGATGTTTAAATCCATTTCATTAAATGCTGCAAAATGGTGATATTCTAATTTTTTAAATTCTAACTTCTGCATTCGTTAGCTGGAGTTTTTTCTACAAAGAGGGACTTTGCCATATCAGCTATTTGCTTCAATTGTAATATGTAATGAAAAGGCAGGATTAGGTGCTTGTTTACTCATTTGCAGAATAATAACATTCCTTGAAAGTGACCAGTGGGGTTTTAGGGTTTTTGTTTTGTTTGCTTTCTTTTCATTTTGTTTTATTATGAGATCATGGTTTTTGTTGTGGTTGTTGTTATTGTTGTTGTTTTGTATTGGTTATATTTTAGTCCACTCAGTCCACTAATATCACTTAGTTTTTATTACGGAAAAATTTCAAACACTCTCAAGTAGACAGAGTTGCACCATACAGTGAAACCTCTTATGTTCATTCTCTAACGTCAACAGTGATCTTAACATTCAACCAATCTTATCTTCATCTATACCTGTACTCCAGCCCCACTTTCTTCTGCCCTTATTTTAGTTTGATGCATATCCAATCAGTGTTCAAATTTAAAATGGTCTAAAATATTTTAAAAATCAGATTGCTTGAATCAAAATTCAGATCTACCACTTAGTACAGTTTATATTGTGATATGTCCTTGAGTATAATCTATGGACACCCCCTCAACTCTTGCAATTTATTTAAGTAAGTTGAAACATTTAGTCACTAGAGATTTCCACGTACTAGATTTTGCTGATTTCATTTATTTGGTATAGTTTAATGTATTTTCTGTAAATTGGTAGAGTCAAAAAGAAATAGAGCGTGGGCCTAGTTGGAAAGACAGATTTCATTCAGTACTATTGCAATAGGGGAAAATAGAACCAAGTTCCATTTCAGAATACAACAAAGACACTTGGGGATGAAGCAGAGTGAGAGGGTCAATGGATGGAAACTTTCTAAAAGGAGACATCAAAGGTAGAAGGTTTCTTTCTGACCTGACTTAGGATTCCTGCTAAAGGCAGGCCAAGGTGATCATAGATCCAGAGTGGGAGATAGTTTAGGAGGATTCTTACTATATATAACTGAGCTAAACAGACTGATGACGGGGCTCAAGGACAAATACTAGTTGATTGCTCAGAGCAGCCTGCTTAAAAGTATGGTCAAGGAGAGAATCTTTAGTGTAGAATGGTGATCAGATTTAAGTTTGTTGTCCTTTGGTTCTTGTTTTCTTTCTGAAAAGCAAGACCTGCTTCAAAGGTGGTGGTGTGCTCTCTTGCACTAGGAGGTATATTATGTCTTGTATTCAGGCTATTTGCATTTCAGATTACACAGTTTTATGTAACTGCTTTAACTTTGTGTTTGTACTGAATATTAGTTTCTTGATGGCAGAGAACATATTTCACTTTCAGAATGTTTTTCTGCTTACATGGATTTATTTTCAAGAAATTTCATACAATACTTTATTTAGAAGAAAGCAGAATTTTCTGAAATCACAGTATGCAGAGGCATTTACCATCAACTCTGACAAACATCCTTCTGGTCCCTTTTCTATGCATGTATTCTGTGGAATTGGATGCAAACACATATTAAAAATATATACATTTGCCTAATGGAACCACAGCATACAGAGTATTTTATAGTCTGCTTTTCCATTCAGTGATATTCCAGGAAAATATTTTCTTATCAGTGTGTTTAGATACACATCCTTTCAATAGGTCATCATTTAAATTTCTACTGTCTAACATTATTTTAAAAGTAAGTTTTTCTCTAATAATCAGCACCACATTAAACATACTGTGTAGCTTTCACTTTAAAATTATTTTTATGGACATTTGATATCATTAGCTTGACATTATTAATAACAGTTACCTTGACTTTTTGATATCATCTGTACTGTCTTGGAAAGTGAAAATATTTGTCAAACTGTTAAATGATAAGAAAGAATAATTATACACTGCCAAGCAGAATTTCCTTCTTTTGCTCCCTCCCCACCTTCTGCTCCAATCACATAAATAAGAGCTGTTTTTTCTTTGCAGTATGCATTGCCTCAGGAACAAAGGTGGCTCTGTTTAATCGACTACGATCCCAGACAGTTAGTACCAGATACTTGCATGTAGAAGGAGGTAATTTTCATGCCAGTTCACAGCAGTGGGGAGCCTTTTTTATTCATCTCTGTGAGTATAAAAGTGTGCATTTAATGTTTTTAGTGTGAAATTGTTAAAATCTTTTGATGAGATACATGGATATATTAAGTTTTGTCATTTGCCTAATCATAAAATAAATTTAAAAAGATGACAATTTGATTTATTTTTCCACCTACTGCAGTGGATGATGATGAATCAGAAGGAGAAGAATTCACAGTCCGAGATGGCTACATCCATTATGGACAAACAGTCAAACTTGTGTGCTCAGTTACTGGCATGGCACTCCCAAGATTGGTATGGCTCTACTTTTGCTTTAGTGATAATGTGAAGTAAAAATTAATTTCTTAAACAGGAAAATCACAACATTCAAATGGAAAAACACACCTCAGTTTTATGCTTTTTAATTTTAAAAGGTATGTTAGTAATCAGTGCTGTTTATAATTGACAGTTATGCTCTACCTTATTTCAGAAATGCTTTAAGGTAATAGCCAGTTTTTACAAGTACATT
The DNA here is from genome assembly GCF_000001405.40 of Homo sapiens. Classification (NCBI taxonomy): domain Eukaryota; kingdom Metazoa; phylum Chordata; class Mammalia; order Primates; family Hominidae; genus Homo; species Homo sapiens. Next base: position 26,424,958 of record NC_000004.12, read on the forward strand.
CTTAATGATTTTTTCTTAAATGATTTCCAATATATTTTGGTGGCAATTTCCTTTTTGGCTGTTTATCTGAAGATGTTCAGTAGAGGGCACTATAAATTACATTTCTTTTCTTTACTAATGCGGATAAACCGTATTCATTTTTTTGTGGTACCTGCCATATCCCAATGTAGGACCAAGTTTGCAAACAGAAGACATTCTTATTTCTTTTGAAATATAAGCGTAATTTTTGTTAGCTTACTCTCTCACAAGAAGATAGATTTATTAAAACTGAAATAAAATTGGTATTTCTAACTGGGAGCAGGGCATAGGATTTAGGGCTTTTGTTCAATAGAAGACATTGAAACTCGGCCACGCATGGTGACTCACACCTGCAATCCCAGCACTTCAACAGGTGAAGGCAGGAGAAGGAGAAGTGACTAGCCCTGGCATCACTTGAGCTCAGGAGTTCGAGACTAGTCCTGGCAACATGGTCAGACCGTCTTTACCACTGACCCCGCCCCCCCAAAAAAAAAATTAGCCAGGCATGGTGGTGCACACCTGTAGTCTCAAGCTTAAGTGGGAGGATCACTTGAGCTCGGGAGGTCAAGGCTGCAATGAGCGGTGATCGTACCACTGGACTTTAGCCTGGGCAACAGAATGAGATCCTATCTCAACAACCACAGAAAAGGAGATCTTGAAATTGTAAAAACTACTTTTGTTAGTAAAATGAAAACAAAAGTCCTCTATAGTGCCACCACCCTCCCAATTTTCCCTCTCCTTTTCTCAAACAATATAATTTACTTATATTCAAGATGAAGGGGATTTATGAGTAAGTTTGATTCAAGGTCAGACTGAAGAGGTTGGGTGAGTAGAAGAACATTTAGTATTAATGTTCCTAAACATGCCTCCTATTTATCTTTTTGGTGCAATATTCCACTGGCTTATATTTTCTGGGGTCATTTCAGCAGAGGCTGGTTTGATCTACAGTTTTCTAAGCCAGTGATTCATTTCTTTGTTACTGTTTTTTTTTTTTACCCTCTGTCATGATTGTACAAGGTGATTTTATTTCCCATGTCAATGCAATAAGCTAGAAGACATGAAGTATAGTAATAGTAATCTGTAAAGCTTTGCAGCTGAGACAAATTATAATAAAAAGGGTAACGTTAGGGAATGAAGGGCATGAAAAACAGAGCAGGAGACAGAAGCAAGCAAAAAATCTGAATCAGCATTTATTCATTTTTTTTCTCTTCTCATTCATTTCCTCTGTTCCAAGGATGATGTTCATTTGCTTTGGTGTTAAATGCTTGTACTGCAGAAGCACAACTTAGGAGGATGATTCTGATCACCAATAGTTTATAATACAAACCACTTAGAAGACAGACCCAAATTTAAAACAATGTTTTCATTTACAGTTGTTTGTAAAGTACCAGTAGCCTGCCTTGCTTGAAAGTCATTAATTGAGGTTTTTACACTCAAAACTGTATGGCTTTATATAAAAATGTTGCAATGAAAAATTAACTTATTAGAAAAAGTTGCAGTACCATTATTAAGACGCTGATACATAAATCTTTCCAGGGGTTTCATGACAGGAATTCTGACATGCAAAGTCGAGTGCCTCTCGTCATTGAGTTTACATTTTGATAGAGTGATAAGCCAAATACCCATGTAAAGGATTTATGTAGTGATGAAAAAACAAAACAAGATAATAAAGGGATAGAGAATTGGAGGAGCGCTTAGAGAGGTCAGGGAAGTCTTTTTGAAGTCGCAGTATTTGAAGAGAGCCCAGAATGAAGTCAAAGAACCGGTAATTGAGTGAGGAGCATTTCAGGCAAACAGAACAAGTACAGAACTGAAGGCAGGGGATGTATGATGACTAGTAAAGAAACCAGTGGAGCTGGAGCGGAGGGAGGAGAGGTCAAGTGGCAGGAACTGAATCTGTAAGGTTAGCACTAAGCAAGACCTTGTAGGATCCCTCTCTGTATCTAGGGTAAGGACTTCATATTATCTCTGCATGTTAGAAGGCCACTGGAGGATTTTAAACGGGGCACGATGGCCTATTTTTGTTTAGAAGTATATGTGTGGCTGCTGTGTGGAGAAGAGAGCATAGCAATGCGGCCGTGGAAGCAGAGAGACAGGTGCTTGGATTGTTGTCATAATTGAGGCAAGAGTTGATGCTATCTTAGACCCAGGATCATAGTATTAAGGTGGTGAGGGGTGACTGATTTGTTGGAAAGTGGACCTGACAGAATTTGCTGGCAGATTGGATGGTTGGGTGTGAGAGAAAGCAAGGCATCAAGGGTGACTCTTAAGGTTTTTGGATTGAGTGAATGCTAGTGCCATTTATTGACCTAGATGAGTTGGGGAAGGATCAAGTTTAGGAGGAAATCCAAAAATCTGTTTTCGATATGCTAAGCTTGAGGTGCCTGTTAGACATCGTAAGTGGAAATGTTGAATAGGTAGTTAAGTGTACATACAAGTTGAATGCAGGAGAGAAGTCTGGAGATAATAAATTTGGGAGTTGTCAACCTTTAAATTTTTAAACAGTATAGATTATAAAGAGAGGAAAAGAGGGCTGAGAACTCAGCTCTGGGCATTTTAAAGGTCAGTTGGAGCAGTTGTGGTCCTGAAAGCAAAATGTGTTGAGAGCTTCTGAGAAAATGAAGTAAAATGAGGACAGAAAAGTGCCGTGAGATGCATCTGTCTGGAAATCCTTGGTGGCTTTGAAAAGCAGTTGTAGTGGCGTCTTTGAGATAAAAGGTTGGAGAGATTGCAGGAGATTGGACAGTGAGGAAGAGGCGTTTGCAGAAAAACAGGTAGTGAGAGGGAGGGACAGGAGCATGTAGTCAGTGTTTTCTTTACTTTTGATTTTGAGATGAGAGATAGTTATGTTTGTATGTTGTTGGAAGTGATCAATAGAAAAGGAAACAGAGTAAAAGTTCTGTGTCAAATTTTGCTCTTCATCATGATCATCTACTTAGCCATTACCTTCTAGGTGTCAAGTGTCATATAGGGTTTGATAGTATTATCTTTCAGATATTCATGTGTTTTGTAGACTAGTTGCGTTATAAGCTTTAGAGATCAGTTGGACAGGCAGCCAGCCCTGGGATCAGGACATATTCTGGTCCTTCAGCTACTAAACTGGTAATTTTGAGCAATTTGTCTGACCTTTCTAAGCCCATTTTGTAATCTGTAAAATGAGTTTGATTTTGTTATGTTTTTAAATACGTAAGTTTTGGATAATAGATATAAGACGTTTGCACTGACAGTAGCCTTCTAGAGATTTTTCCCTTTGATGTTGGAGTATTTGTCATTTTATGCATATTATTGGAAAATATCATTAGAACTTGCTGTTCAAAATATGGTCTGTAGGCCAGCAGCATTAACATCAACTGGGATTTTGTTAGAAATGCAGAATATCAGGCCCCACAAGAGTCCTGCTAGATCAGAACCTGTGTTTTTCACAAGAACCCCAGCTCATTTATGTGCACATTAATGTTTGAAAAACACTGATCTAGAAAACAAGTGCCTGCCTGCCTGATTTTTTTTTTTTAGATGTTCAGGGAAGAGGGTAACAGTTTCTACATTCTGACATGCTTGCAATCTAAAAGTGTTTTTTATTCCTAGTCTTTTTGTTTGTGAATGTTTTTATATATGTAGGCATAGGACAAATAACTGTGATGTATTATTATGCAGTATATAGCTTCTATGTACTTTTGATGTTTTACACAAGGAAAATCCTTTCCATGTGTGGATGACCTTTTATTTCTTAATTGTTAAATATAGATAATTAGGAAAGTTGATAAGCAGACCGCATTATTGGATGCAGATGATCCTGTGTCACAACTCCATAAATGTGCATTTTACCTTAAGGATACAGAAAGAATGTATTTGTGCCTTTCTCAAGAAAGAATAATTCAATTTCAGGTATGTTTTTAAATTACTGGTGAAATCTAAAATGTACAAACTGTGAGGTTAGCAGCTTGCAAAAATATGAAATTTTCATTTGCTGTTAATTATATACAAATACATGAAGCTATACACAGATATTTATCTCAGGTATGAGCATCCTTAACACACAATCCTCAGACATGCAAGCAATCCTTCCTCAAGGAAGAACTCAAAATTATGAAAATGTTCTCAGAGAAAACAGTTAACATCTAGTTCCAGGGTTCTTAATTGAAGAACAAAGAGCCCCTCAGGATATCCAAAAATAGATTTTCAGTGCTCATTGAATCCTCTGAAATTGTGTGCAAACATTGTATAGACAAAGCATTTTTCTGGGTGAAGGCTCAAAATCTCATCAGATTTATGTCGTGGTTTCCGAAGATAGTAATGATGACATGCTTTGAAAGCTAATGTTTTACATTTACTCAGAAGGCTTTCATGAGGTTATGACATGGGCAGATGATTTAATAAGACAGTTATGGTTTCATGTGAAACTCCTTTGCAGAGAGATGCCCATACACACTGATGGGCATGCTGAGTCCCTGGTCTAGGTGTGTTAAGGTAGGGGTAGGGGCTTTGCCTTCCCATCTTGATTCCCTCCCATGGAACATGCATAAGCTTCTAGCTGTTGCCTAAGCATGAGGAGTCCCATTGTCTTTCTTAGGAGTCCTTGAAGAGTTTTAAACAGCCATTTACATCACAGATATTGATCTGCTGTTAATGAAATTGTACCTGCATTGGTATACTCATAATGGTTGTTCTGAAAGGTATTATTATTTAATATGTCACTGAAATAGTTTGTATTATAAGAAAAACTGCTGTCTATGGGGTTTCTGTATTAGCATTCTGTTTGTGTTTATGTAGGGATTGGCAAAGCACCATACTTTAGAAAGTTTATAAGTTTTTACTGAGTTATCTTCTTATTAACTCTTGTCTGAGGGTTACTTGGTAAAATTTTCTTATCCTATTAATACAAACTGTATAAAACTTAGTTTCTAAACTTCTTTCTTTATTAGGCCACTCCATGTCCAAAAGAACCAAATAAAGAGATGATAAATGATGGCGCTTCCTGGACAATCATTAGCACAGATAAGGCAGAGTATACATTTTATGAGGGAATGGGCCCTGTCCTTGCCCCAGTCACTCCTGTGCCTGTGGTAGAGAGCCTTCAGGTGAGAACGCCTAGTCCAAGTTGGCCTTCAGCTCTTTGCAGCTACTCTCAGCTGTGACCTGGCATCATTTCATTTCATGGGAGTTTTGATTTTTCTCCAATCGTCTGATTAGGGGATTTTTATATACACCATTTGTTGATTTAAAGAAAAAAAAACAAAATTAGGAGGAGCGTACTTGCCAGAAAATTTAAATGTAAATAAACTTGTATGTTATCTTGAAATGTTTTTAGCTAGCTTTGTAATAAAAAACATTTTAATTGCCCTTTTTTAAAAAAAACAAATGAAAGTTGAATGAGAATCTAATTTGTGTACTTTAATGAAAAATGAAAAGTTTTCTCAGTGTTGTGATTTTCTGTGAATTGCAGTTGAATGGCGGTGGGGACGTAGCAATGCTTGAACTTACAGGACAGAATTTCACTCCAAATTTACGAGTGTGGTTTGGGGATGTAGAAGCTGAAACTATGTACAGGTACTTGATAAAACTTTTTGCATCATCCAGAGGTTGTGAGGGGTGTGGGTACAGGAGATTCTTTCCTGGCACTGATTGTAATGTATTAAACAACCTTGTGTTAAGTCTCATTTTTAACATGTACTTTGCTTTTTAAAGTGTTTTTAAGTGATTTCTATTTCCTCCTCAGGTGTGGAGAGAGTATGCTCTGTGTCGTCCCAGACATTTCTGCATTCCGAGAAGGTTGGAGATGGGTCCGGCAACCAGTCCAGGTTCCAGTAACTTTGGTCCGAAATGATGGAATCATTTATTCCACCAGCCTTACCTTTACCTACACACCAGAACCAGGGCCGCGGCCACATTGCAGTGCAGCAGGAGCAATCCTTCGAGCCAATTCAAGCCAGGTGCCCCCTAACGAATCAAACACAAACAGCGAGGGAAGTTACACAAACGCCAGCACAAATTCAACCAGTGTCACATCATCTACAGCCACAGTGGTATCCTAACTACCGTCTTTTTGCTAGGACTTAAACTGACTTGAGTGTGGCAAAAAGTTAACAAAAAAGGAGAAAAAATGAACAATCGTTTGTGGTTTCTTGGGAAAACTTTTCATACCAGGTGATACTATTCAAAAACCCCGTTGTCTCCCTGCAAGTGCTGATTTGAAATGCAGAAGCCACAGTAAAAAAAAAAAAAAAAAAAAAAAAAAAGAAAAAAAAATCAAAATGTATAAATATTGGAAATCAAGTTTTTCAGCTGTTTTGTTGGTTGGTTGGTTGGTTTTTGTTTGGTTTTGTTTAAATGGGCAAGAAGTAAATAATGTGGCTGGAATACAAGTTGAACAAACTAGAAGACACAAATCTAACATAGTTTTTATGGACCAAGGAACTTGTATATTGTATAAGCTTTAGTAAAAGGTACATTTTCACCATACCTTTTTTTATATCACGGTATTATAGTACACCTTGTTACCAAATAGGTTGTTCTCTTCCCCACCCACCTTTGAGCTTTTGCTCTAAAATACATTCAGGTTCCAAGCCTGACCATCCTTGTTTAATCTATCATACTCTTCCAGGTTTTTTTTTTTTGGTCTAAGGCTGGAACTTTTTTCTTTTTTTTCAGCTGAAGTCTTATGACTTTTCATGAGTCAAAATTGTTTGGATTTCAGCAAGTCAAATCTTGCAAAGGCCTGCATATTTTTTTTAAGATTATATGAAGTCTGTGCAAAAGCTTTAAAAAAATGCCTCTGCCTTGCCTGCAATACATGCAATGTATGTTAACTTAGTCTCTCTTCTCAGACACTGTTGGTAGTTATTTCTGTGTTTTCCTTTTTTTAAAAAAAAATATGGACTTATTGTGGTTATCTGAGAGGTTCTAACATTCACATGCAATTTGGTGTGGCCATTTAGCTATTAATGAGTTAATGGCGCAGAACTTGTTGATATTTGAAGTGTTCTCTCCCCTTTTCCCATGACGTAAATACATAGGTGTGTTCCAGGATTTGTTCAGGTTTTTCCCCCCTCCTAATCTTGTACATAACTTGTATTATGTGTAAGTTAAACATTTTATTTTGAACTTGGAATGTTCCCAGTGATTTCATTCAGCAGGGTATTTTCTGCCTTGTTGGCAAGTGACAAAAAATATGGGAAGTATTTGCTACCAGTTGGTAGATGGTGCCCTTAATGGTAGAATGAGGAAAATGTCCGCAAAAGCATGTTTTATTATCTTTACTTTTTTGGGGGGTTGGAGGGGGTAGCCTAGCCAGAACATCATTGTAATCTTAAAACATAAGATGCTTTTATTAGATGATCAACTAAAATAGCTGGAAGACAGTACTTTAGAAACAGATAGTTGTAAGATTATAAAATGCAAATGTAACTTATGTTTTCATTTTTTTCTCTGCCTTTTTTGTTTGTTTGTTTTCTCTTTTCCAGTACTGAGCATCTCCACAAATGTCTCCTAACTCAGAAAATGTTTCTTTTCTTTTCAGTTGAGATTTGGTTGCATTCAGGGTTGTAGGTTGGCCTTGCTTGCTAACCCCGCCGGTTTTACCGTGCTTTCATTCCTGAACTTTGTTTATGCCTTTGTTTGGTTTCTTCGAAATTGCAGCAGACTCATTGGGCTACATTTAGTACAGGAACCACGTGTGTAATGTTATACAACACAGTCTAGTAATACAATCATCCCTCTTAGAGTAAAAACTACCTCTAGATTGTGGTAAGCTTTTACTGTCCCATAAAACAGGAGCCACAGTACCTTATGAATGCAAAACTGTAACTTCCTACAGTGTTTCCCTACAGAACATTGTCTTTCTGGTGTCCTGGGCTGTTTTGAAAAAGTTTCCATTAATAGACTTTTTAGAAATTATTATTAGTAGCATTTTTTTTCCAGCTTTGCTGTCTTCATCACTCACTCTATGCTCAGACTATGCCACTGTAAATATTCTTCCTAACATCTTTAAATCGCCTTTTCCTCAGTTTTCAAGGGGAAGGTCATTTGTAAAGCACGTTAGGTGGTTAAATCAGTTATTGCGGTTTTCTCTTACTGCAAGCCTTTTTAATCACCCCCAGGCTGCATTTTATTCTATATCGCCTTTTTTCTTCAAATCTGCTCCAATCACTCACTTCTCTCTTATAAGCTAATCCTGCCTCACACCTTAAATCTGTTTCAGTGATCAAGGGCAGAACTCATTGTGGCCTTATCTTTCTTTGTTGTAATTGTTCACTGTCTCTTTCTTACAGACCACTTATTTCTGAGTAGTAGTTATTCCTCTCTATGGAGTCATGGCAGGAATCATTACACAGTGCTTTTGTTCAGAGCATGGACATGTTCCTAGTGCTGCTTTGCTTTAACGGCCACAAGTTTCCTCCACTTCCTAGGTTTGGTATTTAGTTAAGGAATCATATTAAATTAACCAATAACAAAAGAGATACTTTTGAAGAACAAACTATTCCTTACCCATTTTTGTAGCTCAAAAATAATTTTTCAAGTTCATGACCTTATTAAAATGAACTTGTGTTTTTTTAACAAACATGTATGTTTTATTTTGATAGTTTCTTTCCGTAAGATAATTGAAATATTATACTGTAAACCCTTTTCTTTTCTTTTTTTGAAAAGTCCAAGAATGTACTTATACAGGCATTTTTCCCCACCTATTTTTGGCCATTCTCATACCACAGACTAAAGAGTGAAATGATTTGTCCATTGTAGCTTATTGTTTATCAGTAGTTCTTTTGTCAGCTGCTTACATTTTTTCTTTCATGGTTTTGTGAATCATTTTCAGTATGTAATTTATAGGAACCTTGTCCTCTGGTTATAGTAGACTGTGTGCCCTCCTCCAGTGATGGCATTATTAGACATGCTGGTCATTTACCCTCAGAAAGACTCTCTTATTAGAATGGTGAGTGCTTCAGTTATAGTATGTTTGAATTTTTAAAAAATTCTGTTTTAGAAATGTATCTTATGCTCTCATGACTATGCAGTTTCTAAACATACACATAGAAGCTGAGTCTCTGATCCAATATGTTTTTATTTGTTCCATTTAATTTATCACATAGATTGGGAAGGCAAGCTAAAAGCCTTAAAAATGCCCTTTATATTTTGAGTGATTTCAGCGTTGAACACTAGTATACTATCTAAATTTGCTGCTCACTTTCTTTAAACTGTGGCAATTAAAGGCATGTTTATACATGACTTAATCGTGAAATGTTTGTCACTCTTACTGCACAGACTTATCTGCAATCATAACTGGTTAGTTTTTTTGTTTTGTTTTGTTTTATTGTTTTTAATGAAACTGGTACCATCTGTGCTTTCACAAAAAACTTCCAATGCCATTTTTGAGAACTAACCTAACTAGTCATGCTAACCAGAAAATCCACTGGGGAGGAGGTTCCTTTTGAAACAAAATGCTGTTCAGTTAGTAACCAAGTTACTTTGATTGCAAAAGCAGCTGTGTTTCTGATAAGTACTGAACAAATGTGTGTAATTTTCTGTGCCAGACTTATGACTTTGTTTTCAAGCACTGTAATGTGGGATGGATGGTTAGAAACAATAATATATTAGGGTTTCTGTTTAACCCTTTCAGGACTGAACTGTATCTCCTTTTGTTAATTTTCCCCTGTGTTGTGATAAATGTTTGCCAGCATTCAGTACTGTGTTGGTCCAGATGTAGGTTTATATGCTCATTTTTAGCTTATTTCTTGTACCTTGCAGCATGCTCTACGCATTCAGTCCTTAAGGGGTTTATTTTACAAACTGTGCGCCTGTAAGGTTTATTAGCAATAAGATAGAAAATTGAGCAAGTTTATACCATAATTTTGTAGAAAAAAAGAATCTGCTCAGTTCCATATTTCATCCGTGAAAAACTTGCAATACGAGCAGTTTCAAGGAATAAATAAAAAGGAAATGTAAACCATTGTAAAAGTCTTCTGTCGAATGTGCCTGATGCATGTATTATCGTCTTTTATTTCAGAATACTTCATAAAGATAAAATTAAATTCTATATTATAGTTGGTGTATTTACAATCTTACCATGTACATCACATCAAAGTGATAGCTCTACTAATTTAATTTCCTTGTCAATGTTTTTAACTATATAGTGCTTTAAAGAGATTTTTTTTCCCTGTGTAAATGGTGAAATGGGCTTTGTCACTCAAGGGTCATATCTCTCAAATCAGAATCATTTAAAGCTGATTGCAACAAAATTTGAGAATATTACTTAGCAATAACTTACTTTTCCAATATAAGATGGTCATTTTGTCTGCTATAGGAAGGAACACATAATCGTTTGCCTTTGAGGGGTGGGGGTGGGTCCTAGAAGTGGGGATAGTATTCTTTAATATGAAACAAAGTTAAATGGGGAAGTTACATAAGTTTTTTTTTTTGAGACGGGGTCTTGCTCTGTCGCCCCTGAGCTGGAGTGCAGTGGCACAGTCCTGGCTCACCACAACCTCTGCCTCCCGAGTTCAAGTGATTCTTCTCCCTCAACCTCCCCAGTAGGTGGGATTACAGGCATGCGCCACTGCGCCTGGCTAATTTTTGTATTTTTAGTAGAGACAGGGTTTCACCATGTTGACCAGGCTAGTCTTGAACTCCTGACCTCAGGTAATGTGCCTGCCTCTGTCTCCCAAAGTGCTGGGATTACAGGCGTGAGCCACCGTGCCCGGCCCATAATTTTTAAATCATAGCAAGTTCAGTTGTTATTGACCTACCCAAAGAACGAATCTAAGTTATGAGGATTTTGCAAAAGACATCTGGCTATAAATACTCATTGTTAAGTTAGAAACGAACATTTAGTTGGGGTTTGAATTGTGAGGCCTCCAGAGGTTGAGAGTGATAGTGAGTCACTCGATTTAGAATTTAGAATAATCTTGTACTCCTTGCTATAAGTACTGCATGGTCACTTTAATCTTATTAAAAAAATTAAATATATTGGTTTTTTTGGGTCATTGAACCCCTAGATGGCCACCAGTTATGATGATGTGCAAGCCAATTTAGTTTCCAAATCTAGTGAGTCAGCACAGAAGGAAGTTTCCACCTCTAAAATAACAACAGCAACAACAAACTAGAAAGATACACTAAAAAGGAAACCCTAACAGAAAGTTTGGTGCTAGAAAACATTTAAGGAAGACAGATGAAGCTGTTGTATATAAAGTACAAATAAGACCATTTCATCAAAGAGGTCGAGCTGTAAGCCTCAAGCCCTGTCAGGACCTGTAAGACTGAACGGTTATGCCCATGGTTCTTTGTGTTCAGAGTAAGGCTGTCCATATGCCTGGCACATAGGCATTCAACAGAGTTAGGTGCACCTGTAATGTTCACCTATATGGAACTCAGGACTAATCTTGGTTTATAGAAAATGCAGGTAAATACTCTTTAATACAGAACAATGAAAAGGTTGTAACTAGTTTCTTGTAAGAAGCATACTAAATGCAAATAGGTTATTTTATAACTATTAGAATTTCCATGATGTTTTGCTTTGAGGGAGGCACTTTAAATTCTGATGTTCTATGGAAATTTTTTAAAAAGGTAAGTATGAGGTGTAGGTATATCTACCATTTCTAGCTTTTCATCTCCTTCCAGTCCACTGTCCTGTCATTCAGTGCAGGTGAGCATGTAGGTCAGTCAATTTCTTGCTTCTTTACCTGTTTGATAATGTCTACTGGTGCTGGGCAGAGTCAGGATGCTCATAATTACTTACATTTCAACTATCTAGAAACACTCCCACCATCATCATATAAAGGGGTAAGGAGTGTGACTAGGTTATTCCTGCAGTGGCCTGGAGCTGGCTCTGGCAGCTTTTCTTCTCTTCTAGAACTTTTTCCTCCCTGCAAGGCTGTCCTTCCCTTTATTCTTCCTCATCACACAACTCAAAAATCAGGGCTTCTGGTTTTCTTCTGCTCGTTAAACCTTCATGACTGAGTTCTTATTGTGGTGGTCAGATATTTATATTTAGATGATACAAGGAAAAGTCTGGGGAAAAAATATGACCTCTTTGCTAACATTCTTAGTTCCCCTGGCCAAGTCTTACACTTGAATATGCGCTAGATTACACAAAGCTAGGGAGAGTGATCATGGACCCCTTAAAGCAAGCTTGTCCAACCCGCGGTCCAGGATGGCTTTGAATGTGGCCCAATGCAAATTTGCCAACTTTCTTAAAACGTGAGATTTTTTTTGCGATTTTTAAATTTTTTTTTGAGCTATCATTAGCATTAATGTATTTTGTGTATGGCCCAAGACAGTTCTTCCAGTGTGGTCCAGGGAAGCCTAAAGATAAGACACCCCTGTCTTAAAGCGTTTTTTTCATCTTAAAGGTAATGGATCTTCATCTATAAATAGAGCCAGTAGTCATTTCTAACGTCAGGTTAGACCTCATGTTTCTGGACCTCACATTGACTTTAGGAAGACCCAAACTCCAAGGACCAGAGTATGAAATCGTGGCAGAGATTTATGCTCAAATCATAAACACCATTCTGCCGTTGATTATCATCTGGTGGCTGATTCTGCAGCTCTCCATTGCTAATTTGTTTCATTTAAGTGGGGGGAAATTATGCATAGTTAGGAGAGGACACAAAAAGCTCCTAGCTGTGTTTCTGTCCTGCCTATCCAGCCCTAGTTTAGCTTCAACGCCCAAGGATCTGCTTTGGCTGTCCTAAGGTTTAGAGATCATTTTGTCTTGGTTCTTCTAGGAGCAACGGGAGCTCAGTGCTCAGGCCTGATTTTTGCTTGTTCTTTCAAGAAAACAGTGATATGGTTGTTTTGCATTTAATACTTCAAAGGTTTAAAAATGTAGACCTTCACTGTGATAGCCATTATTGGACACTTCAAAATATTTTCCATCTTAGTTCTGTCCTGCAGGTTGGACATCTTTTATCATAGGAGTGGCTTATCTAGGGGACTGGAATGCATTCCCTCTTTTCTATCTTTAAATACCTGATCAGGATTCCACTTTGCAGGTGAGAATAACTGGTCATGCGAGCCTGGGTCACTTGCCTGTACACTTTGAAGCATCAGTTAAAAGGAACCTCCAGAGGCTCTTTAGTTTCTCTGGTGAGAGGCCTGGAGGTTGCTAGAATGGGAGAAGTGATGCCAGGCAGCCATTCTAGAGGACTACAAGCAATAGGTTCAATAATGAACTATCTTCTATTTGCTAAGGGCTTTACATGAAATATTTCTTACTCCTCAAATTCCAGTTAGCTAATAATACACTGGGAAGCTTTTGGAAAGGATGCCCAGGTCCTGAAGCACAAAGCCCTGCCCATCTCTAGCTTGCAGTCTTCTCTAGAAATGTCCCTTCCATGGGCAGGCTTCGCTGCTTTTATTCCCACTATGACTAATAAACTCAGGGTTGCTGAGGGACTTCTGGCAGACTCCGCTGGCCACTGGGCAGAGAACAAACGTGCAAGCTCCCATCAGCCTTGTTTTGCCATGGAACAGAGGATCAAAGCGAACTGGTTTGCAAAGAGAAGAATGAAGCAGACACTCCGCAAGAAGTGGGAGCATTCCCAGCGCCAGTTCCTTCTGAGACTCCACTGTCTTTCCTTCCATTGACATTTGCTGATTCTTGGCCTCTGCCTTTTTGTTGTTGTTATTTTTGAGACACAGTCTCACTCTGTCACCCAGGCAGGAGTGTAGTAGCTTAATCACGGCTCACTGCAACCTCTGTCCCCTGGGTTCAAGTGATTCTCCTGCCTCAGCGTCCCGAGAGCTGGGGGATTACAGGTATGTGCCACCACGCCTGGCTAATTTTTGTATTTTTTTTAGTAGAGATAGGGTTTTGCCATGTTGGCCAGGCTGGTCTCGAACTCCTGACCTCAAGTGATTCGCCTGCCTTGGCCTCCCAAAGTGCCATGACTACAGGCATGAGCCACTGCACTCAGCCTTTTCTTTGTTTGTTTGAGACAGGGTCTTGCTCTCTTGCCCAGGCTAGAGTGCACATCTGGCACAAACATGGTTCACTGCAGGCTCAACCTCCTGGGCCCAAGTGATCCTCCCACCTCACCCACCTGAATAGCTGGGACCACAGGTGTGCCTCACCATACCTGACTAATTGTTCTGTATCTTTTGTAGAGATAGAGTTTCTCCGTGTTGCCCAGGCTGGTCTTGAACTCCTGGGCTCAAGCACTTTGCCCACCTCAGTCTCCCAAAGTGCTGAGATTACAGGCGTGAGCCACCACGCCTGGCCATTAGCCTCTGTCTTTGAGAAAGTATTAATAACTGTTTGCTCTATTAGTTAATTTAGCTCCTCCACAGCCAGAAACTGTGGATGTGGCAATAAATAAAGGCCTGCAACGTGGAGCTTTCCTTCTAGTGGAGAGAGGCAAGAAACAGTATGGATGCATGTTTACCTATCAGAGGGCTCAGAGATAGATAGAATCTGACCATCAAAGGACCTTAGCAGCATCCAGGGTGAGAATTATGTTCTAAATGTACTGATATGTGATGTGGAGCATAAAACTGCTGCCTCTGATGTCACTGTTTATTGCAGTGGGGGTGCCGTGCACATATCACAGTAAGGTGAAGCTGGTTAAGTAACTTAAGCTTAGCCCAGCTGTCTTTCTCTGGGTCTGTTTCAGCCACCTTGAGGTAACCAGCCCCTGGGTATACTATTCATCAGGGTAGAATGACCCCTGTGAACTGTAGGGATCGAGAGAGGAGTAAGAGACAAGGAAATCCCACCAGACACTGACACAGCCGACTGTGACTCTGGGATTCCTATATACCAAGAAGGCGCTACTTAAAGGGTCTCCAAGGAGTTTCCTGATAGAGAACCCCACCTTAGAGTAGAGTCAGACAAGTTGGAGGCGGGACGGAAGAGCCAGGCTGACGAAAGGCAAGGGAACTTGCAGATGGGCTGAGGAAACAGCCTCACTGTCACTCTTGGTTTGGTTCAGGAGTGACCTCTGTCTACCACAGAATGCAACTAGATGAGTAGCAGGGAAGTCTGAAGCGGGAGGTAGGTGGAAGGAGGAGCGAGCTGGGGGTTGAGAGAGGAAATCAAGAGTTTTCGCTATGCCCATTTTGAGATCCCTGTTAGACTTCAAGTTGAAAGGACAAGTAGGCAGTTGGATCTCCATGTCTGGAGTTCGGGGCGATGTCTGTGCTGGATGGGAACATTTGGGAGTCAGTCACTTGGACATGATATTTAAAGCCATCATCCTGATGAGATCACCAAGGGAGGGGTGTATGGAGAAGAGGTGAGCCCCGGGGGAGGGCGTGAGATACCAAGTCACTCTCAGGTCTTCAGTGTGACTCCCGAGATTCTGCATTTTCCAGCATGCTCCCACGTGACACCGATGCTGCTGGTCAAAAGACCCCGCTTCGGGTGGCAGGAGCTTAGTGTGTCCACAGACAGAAGTGAGAGTGATTGACAAGAAGTGAAAGAGTGGCTTTGCTCCATAAAAGTAATTATTTTTAGTGATTGTTACTGTTTTCCAAATAACTGTTAACAGTCATTTTAGAATTTGCTGCCTTGTTTTTTTAAACAGAGTTAAAATTTCTCCTTATACTTGAGAAGGCCCATATACCAAATTACAAATGGGATAGTCAGATAATGTGATAATGTGGCCCGTCTAAAAGCTAAAATGTTCATATGCAACTGTAGTCACGATACAGAGGCTTGCATTACCTAACCGTGTGCATAAACCTCAGAGCCTTTTGACATCCAAGGCGAAGTTGCTGTATGTAGAAGTTCGCATACAGTTGTTGGGCAACTCCTGAGTTTAAAAAACCTTTGGTTTGGGGGAAAAGAAACACCTCAGTTTTAATTGGCGAGCTCCCCTACTCATGAGAGCAGTTCTGCAAATTCAGAGAGGCTAAATTATCACAAAAACCTAATAAGAGGTATCTGTGCTGAGATTCACAGACAGAGACAATCCTCAGAGCTGTGTCTCCTCACTCAAACTGGCCAGGCGTATCTGTAGAGAAACCTTCCTGTGGCCTGGCTCTGGAAGGGCCGTGCTTTCTTTTCCACACTGTGATTTGAGATCTAAATGACACCAACAAAGACACAGGTGCCTTCTAGGGAGGGGATTGTGGATACAAGGTGAGCAGAGAGAAGCAAAGTAGAGGGAGAGGTCCCAGAAATGTGGAGGTCCCAAAGACGGGTTGTCAGAAGACAATTGAGATGTGCACTCCCGTCACTAATGAGATTTGGAACACACGTGTGTGTGAATGTGCATCCCCACTACCACCACACACTGCAAACCTGCTCTGAAAATGTTTCAACAAAACCAAGGAGTCTCTTTTTGGAATGTGATGCTTAACATTTTCTGTCATGTGATTTGAACACCGGCCAAGTGTGTGCAAAGAGCAGAGCTTCGGACACAGTTACTGGAGTTTGACTCATTGTGGACAAGTGGAGAGAAAGACGACTTTGTAGGCACAAGAGCCCAGGCAAACCTGGGGCTTTGCTTTTGTTTTTTGTGTTCGTTTTAACATTTGTAATAGACATGGAGATATTTTCAAAGATTGAAAGTAGCATGTTAGGGCATATGAAATACTTTGTTTTCTGAGATGTAAAAAAATTGCAAACTCACATTTTGTTAACTAGGTGCAGATCACTTCATTATAGTGTTGCCTGAAATATTGCACATCCTAGGCTTTAACTCACTGGAGGCAGCTGATCACTCTCTCATGTTTGAAACTCTTCACATGGCTTCCTGGACACCAAGCTTTCAGGCTGCTCTTTCTCAGTCCGCCTTGCTGGTTCCTTCTCACCTTCCCAACCTCTGCATCTTGGAGAGTTCCAAAACAAAGTCCCATCCCCTGAATTCGGTTAACACAAAATGATGCTATGTGATTATCTTCTCTAAAAGTATTACAAATCCCACCCCATTTCCATACTGATGGAAATTATCTAAAATGAATTAGGGAAATGGACCATCTATCCTTCCAGTTACTGGGAAGTCCTACCCACTTCCTTTAACCTAATAAGAAAATCACCAAAGCGATGGTGCTCCCCACCTGTGCTCCTCCCATGGTGACCTCTCCCCCGTCTCACATTGAAACACCAGCTATATGGAAATGACTCCAGAATTCATAGTTTCTGCCCAGACTTCTCACTTGAACTCCAGAAATGTAGATATAGCTGCTTATTTGACATCTGAAGGCTATAGGCGTTCCAAACTTCTATCTAAAACGAACTCATTATTTCCTTCCCCTTGCCTTCACCTAATCCACCGTACCCAGCCAGGCTTCCACCTTGGGTAAATAATGCCTCATTCTTCCAATTGCTCGGAGGAGAACTATGAAGGTAGCTGTGATTTGGTTCTCTCTTTCACATCCCACATCCAGTCATTGAGTCCTTCAAAACATACTCGGACTCCAGCCACTTCTCATGACCTCCATCACTACCACGGTGGGCCAAGCCACCATGGTCTCTCACATTGCTTATTACAATATCTTTCTAAGAATTTTCAGAGAATTGGTCTGATTAGATGCTAAGATGGGAGAATTGGTCCATGAGAAACCCATCTGGGCTTGCTAACTGGCACTGGTCCAAAACCGCCCCTGCAGCTTCATCTCTTCCCATCTTAATCTATTCAGACCGATTCTCTGAAAATATGTCCCTCTGCTGCATAAAGGCCTCCACAGATTTTCTGTCTTGCTCACCAAGATCATCCTCATGCCTCTTACCTCTAGGCCTTCCTACTTCTC
This sequence comes from Homo sapiens, assembly GCF_000001405.40. Lineage (NCBI taxonomy): Eukaryota > Metazoa > Chordata > Mammalia > Primates > Hominidae > Homo > Homo sapiens. Next base: position 26,442,658 of record NC_000004.12, read on the forward strand.
AGTCTTCCTCTTTTGCCCCCCTCCCTGGGTTCACTGTACTCCCAACACACTGACTTTCTTGAACTCTTTAAACTCTCTCACCTTGCTCTCACCTCAAGACCTTTGTACTTGGTGTACCTTATGCCTGGAACACTCTTTGATCTGTCCTTCCTGAAGGTTATTTACATAGATGTGCAAAATTATATTTCCATTCCCATCGCTTTCTTTACCCTTGACCTGCTTTTTCTTCACAGCACTTATCATCACCTGATATTTTGTGTAATCACTTGGCCGCTTGTTTATTTCTGCCTCCTCCTACCAGCATGAAAGTTCCTTGAGACTGTGGACTTTGTTCTTCACTGTGTCCCCAGACCCTAGCACAGTGCCTGTAGCACATGTTAGGTACTCAATAAATATTTGCCAAATGGATGACTCTTTCCGGGATGGTATGGCCAATCTACCTTGACAATCCAGATCCCTGCTTTAACTCAGAAGCTTGATAAAGAACAACACACCCTGGAACACGGCAGTGACAGAAGCATCTAGAAGTGACAGCAAACTACCCAAGATCAGAGATCCAACACAGAGACAATAGAAACATTGGGATTGAAGAGATTCTTGGGACTGTAAAAATCCCAAGAATATGGGATTGTAAAAAACCTGTCATCTTACTGCTATGATAGATGAAGATTTTGCTTGCCTATACCTTGTTGCTATTCCTCTCTTCCTTTCCTCCAAATATACTTGTAGGTATAAGATAGTTTTCACTTAAATTATTGGCGAGTGCTTACATTATGCTTATGTTTTGCGGTTCGTTCTTGACAGTATACAATAATATGTATACTATGTTTCTTTTTTGTACAACTGTTTGTTTTTCTTGGAATTAATTAGTTCATCTCTTCCCCTACTCAGTTTTCAATACACCTAGTCTCTCTTTGTTTTTGAGTGGTCCATCAGATTCATTAATTCTAAGTTTCCAATATCCACCAGGCACTGTTTCTGGCACCAGAGATCAGCACTGAACAAATTACAAAATATCTGCCCTCATGGAGCTTATACTTGGTTAAATTCCTATCAGTTATTTTCTAAATACTTGGACATATCAAATAACCATTAATTTTTTTTTTTCTTAAAAATCCTCCTTCCAGAGACCTCTGCTTTACTGCCATTTTTTCTGTGGGCTTTTTCCTTTATATCTGTTCCCTTACAGTGTACTTATTTGGTTCTATTTGCTTTTTTACTCTCTAGAAGATTTTGGGATTAAAAAAAAAATACTTGGTTGCTAAAATTTCACACTGATATGTATGTGCTGTTGTACTTTTTTTTTTTTTTCACACACAGGTGCTCAACATTCCACTGGGCTCTTTCAAAATGGATACTTGTGAACTTCAGTGGAGTTTTCTAGTGTTATTTCTTTGAAAGTTTCTTCCCTTTCATTGTCTCTGTCTTTTCTTTCTAGAATTTCTACCAGATGACCCTACCACTCTGTATTAATTCTTTGTCTTATCTTTTTTTATCTGTTTTCCATCTCTTTGCTCTTTTTTTCCCATATTGAGAGAGTTTTCCTTTAATCTTCCTTTTAGCTCTCCCTTTTTCATTTTGGCTCCCATATTTTTTTCAAAAAGTATGGAGGGTTTGGGAGAGAATTGGTCCATGAGAAACCCATCTGGGCTTGCCAGCTGGCACTGGACAGAGACTGAGAGATGGGGGCCCTATTTTTGGGTGTTGACTAGCATAAACTAAGTTCGTTTGGAAGCCTTGAGTTTTCTCAGGCAGGCACTTTAAGGGAGGCTATGGTCATCCTAGGGATGTCATCTTGAGCTGTTAGAAACTGTGTTAGTGTTTCTGCAAATCTTTATAGGCCAAGGTTGAGATCTAGTGGACAAAGGGTTTGAGAGGAGCCTGGCTAGAGTTTGGTCAAGGAGAGAATCCTTGTCACCTTCACTTAATCTCTGTTGGCAGCTGTGTGTTCATGCCCTCCCCACCCCACCCTTCTCTGAACTTCTTAACTACATTTTAAATAAACCCAAACCTGAGATTCATTGCAGAGGACATCATCAAAGCATATAGTCACCAGACTGTCTAAAGTCAATGTGAAGGAAAGAATTCTGAGCAGTGAGACAAGAGTATCACATAACCTATAGAGGAGAACCTCTCAGACTGCTAGCAGACTTCTCAGCACAAACCTTACATGCCAGAAGGGATTAAGGTCCTGTTTTTAGCCTCTTAAACAGAATAATCAGCAGCCAAGAATTTTGTCTCCAGAAAAACTAAATTTCATACGTGAAGCAGAAATGATCTTCAGACAAGCAAATGCTGAGGGAATTTGTCACTACCAGGCCAGCCCTACAAGAAATGTTAAACAGAGTTCTAAATCTTGAAACAAAAGGTTGATATGCACCAGAATAGAACCTCTTGAAAGCATGAAACTCACAAGGCCTATAAAACAATAACATAATGAAGAAAACAAAGTATCTAGGTAACAACATGATGACTGGAATGGCATCTCACATCTCAGTATTAACACTGAATGTAAATGGTCTAAATGCTCCACTTAAAAAATACAGATTGGCAGAACGGGTAAAAAAAAAAAAATCACAAAGCAAATATCTGCTGTGTTCAAGAGGCTCATCTAATATCTAAGGTATATGATAGACTCAAGGTAAAGGGGTGAAAAAAGATATTCCAGGCAAATGGAAACTAAAGGTGAGCAAAAGTAACTTTTTATATCTTACCTAATATCTGACTTTAAGGCAAAAAAAGTAAAAAATGACAAAGGTCATTATATAATGATAAAAGAGTCAACCCAACAAGAATATATTACAATCCTAAATATATATGCACCTAACTCTGGAGCTCCCAGATTTATAAAACAATTATTACTAGACCTAAGAAAACAGCCAGGCATGGTGGCTCACACCTGTAATCCCACCACTTTGGGAGGCTGAGGCGGGCAGATAACCTAAGGTTGGGAGTTTGAGACCAGCCTAACCAGCATGGAGAAACCCTGTCTCTACAAAAAATACAAAATGAGCCACGCGTAGTGGTGCATGCCTGTAATCCCAGCTGCTCAAGAGGCTGAAGCAGGAGAATCACTTGAACCTGGGAGGCAGAGGTTGCAGTGAGCCGACATCGAGTCATTGCACTCTAGCCTGGGCAACAAGAGCGAAACTCCGAAACTCCGAAACTCCGTCTCAAAAAAAAAAAAAAAAAAATATGTATATATATATATATATATAGACAGCAACACATTAATAGTGGGAGACTTCAACTCTCCACTGACAGCAGTAGGCAGATCATCGAGTCAGAAAGTCAACAAAGAAACACTGAACCTAAACTACACTCTAAAACAATGGACCTAACAGATATTTACAGAACATTCTACCCAAGAACTGCAGAATATACATTCTTCTCATCAGCAAATGGAACATTCTCTAAGATAGACCATATGATATGCCACAAAACAAGTCTCAATAAATTTTAAATAGAAATCATATCAAGTATCAGACCACAGTGGAATAAAATTAGAAATCAACCCCAAAAGGAATCCTCAAAACTATACAAATACATGGGAATTAGTCTACTTAGGAATGATTTCTGGGTTAACAAATCAAGATGGAAATTAAAAAATTATTCAAAGTAAATGATAATAGTAACATAAATTCTCAAAACCTCTGGGATACAGCAAAAGCAGTGCTAGGAGGAAAGTTTATAGCACTAAATGCCTACATCAAAAAGTCTGAAAGATCACAAATTGACAATCTAGTGTCACGCCTCAAGGGCCCAGAGAAATGAGAACAAACCCAAAGCTAGCAGAAGAAAAGGAATAACAAATATCAGAGCAGAACTACATGAAATTGAAACAACAACAAAAAAGAAGATCAATAAAACAAAAAGTTGGTTCTTTGAAAAAAAATCAATAGACCATTAGCTAGATTAACCAAGAAAAGAGAGAAGATTCAAATACAATTCAAATGTCAAGGAAACATTACAACTAACACCACAGAAATACAAAAGATGATTCAAAACTACTGCGAACACCTCTATGCACACAAACTAAAAACATCTAGAAAAAGTGGAGAAATTCCTGGAAACATACAACCCACCTAGATTGAATCTGGAAGTAACAGAAATACTGAACAGACCAATAATAAGCAGTGAGATTGAATCAGTAAATTAAAAAGTGCCAACAACAATAAAAAAGCCCAGGACCAGATGGATTCACAGCTGAATTCTACCACACATTCAAAGAAGAATGGGTAACAATTCTCCTGAAACTATTCCAAAAGCTTGAGAAAAAGAGAATCCTCCCTACCTTATTCTATGAGGGCAGTATCATCCTGATACCAAAACCAGGAAAGGACATAACAAAAAAAGAAAACTACAGACCTATAACCCTGATTAACATAGATGCAAAAAAAAAATCTTAAAAAAAAGATATTAGAATACTGAATCTAACAGCACATCAAAAAGATAATATGCCATGATCAAGTGGACTTCACCCCAGGAATGCAGGAATGATTTAAGATATGTAACTCAATAAATGTGTTACATCACATAAACAGAATTAAAAACAAAACCCAATAGGTACACAGAAAAAGCATTTGATAAAATCCAGCATCCCTTTATGATAAAAACCCTCAACAAACTAGGCAGAGAAGGAACATACCTGAAAATAATTAAAGCCATGTATGACAAACCCACAGCCAATTTCATACTGAATGGGAAAAAATTAAAAGCATTCCCCCTAAGAAATAGAACAAGACAGGGTTGCTCCCTTTCAACATTTCTATTCGAAGTAGTACTGGAAGTTCTAGCCAGAGCAATCAGTCAAGAGAAAAAAATAAAGGGCATCCAAGTTGGAAAAGAGGAAGTCAAATTATCTCTGGTCGGCCTACCTGCCTGCCTGCCTGCCTGCCTTCCTTTCTCTCGCTCTCTCTCTCTCTCTCTCTCTCTCTCTCTCTCTCGTCTCTCTCGTCTCTCTCTCTCTGTCTCAGAGTCTTGCTGTGTCATCTAGGCTGGAGTGCAGTGGTAGGATCTGGCTCACTGCAACCCCCGCCTCCCAGGTTCAGGCGATTCTCCTGCCTCAATTTTGTATTTTTAGTAGAGACAGGGTTTTGCTATGCTGGTCGGGCTGGTCTCCAACTCCTGACCTTAAGTGATCTGCCCACCTCGGCCTCCCAAAATGTGTTGCTGGGATTACAGGCATGAGCCACCATGCCCAGCCCTATCTCTGTTTTCTGATGATATGGTCATATACCTAGAAAACCACAAGATTCCAAGATTCCTCCAAAAGATTCCTAGATTTGATAAACAAATTCAGTAAAGTCTCAGGTTACAAGATCAATGTGCACAAATCAGTAGCACTGCTATACACTAATGATGACCAAGCTGAGAATCAAATGGAGAAGTCAATCCCTTTTACAGTAGCTGAAAACCAAAAGCAAAAAACACCCTAGGAATATACTTAACCAAGAAGGTGAGCTGTCTACAAGGAGAACTACAAAACACTGCTGGAAAAGAAACCATAGATGACACAAACAAATGGAGACACAAACAAATGGAAACACATCCCATGCTCATGGATAGGAAGAATCAATATCATGAAAATGACCATACTGCCCAAAGCATTTACAGATTCAATGAAATTTCTATCAAAATACCAACATCATTTTTCACAGAATTAGAAAAAAAAATCCTAAAATTTATATGGAACCAAAAAAGAGCCCAAATAGCCAAAGCAATCCTAAGCAAAAGCACAAATCTGGAGGCATCACATTATCTGACTTCAATTTTTACTATAAGGCTAATTAGTATAAAAGTAGATACACAGACCAATGGAACAGAATAGAGAACCCAGAAGTAAGGCAAAATACTTCAACTGATCTTCAACAAAACATACAAAAACATAAACTAGGGAAAGGACACCCTATTCAATAAATGGTGCTGGGAAAACTGGATAGCTACATGTAGAAGAATGAAACTGGATCCCTGTCTGTCACCATATACAAAAATCAACTCAAGATGGATAAAAAAACTTAAATCTAAGACCCCAAACCATAAAAAGTCTAAAAGAAAACCTAGGACCCTAAAAGCAAATGCAACAAAGACAAAAATAAATAAATGGGACCTAATTAAACTAAAAAGCTTCTGCATAGCAAAATAAATAAATACTCAACAGGGTAAACAGACAACCCACAGAATGGGAGAAAATTGTCACAAACTATGCATCTGACAAAGGACTAATATCCAGAGTCTTCAAGGAACTCAAATGAACAAAAAAAAAGTCTCATCAAAAAGTGGGCAAATGACATGAGTAGACGTTTCTCAAAAGAAGATAATACAGATGGCCAACAAATGTGAAAATATTCAACATCAAAATCAGGGAAATGCACACTAAAACCACAGTGAGATACCAGCTTACCCCAGCCAGAATGGCCATTATTAAAAAATAAAAAATAAAAAAAAATAGATGTTGGTGTGCATGTGGTGAAAAGGGAACACTTATCCACTGCTGGTGGGAATGTAAATCAGTACAGCCTCTATGGAAAACAGTATGGAGGTTTCTTTAAAAACGAAAAGTAGATCTACCATTTGATCCAGGAATCCCACTACTGGGTATCTACCAAATCATTATATTCAAAAGACACCTGCACACATATGTTTAAAGAAGTCATTATATTCAAAAGACACCTGCACACATACGTTTATTGCATCACAATTCACAGTTGATAAGGAACCAATCTAAGTGCCCACCACCCAATGAATGGATAATGTGGTGTATATACACCATGGACTACTACTCAGCCATAAAAAAGAATAAAATAATGTATTTTGCAGCAACTTGGGTGGAGATGGAGGCCATTATTCTAAGTAAAATAACTCAGGAATGGAAAACTATGTTCTGACTTATAAGTGGGAGCTAAGCTATGGGTACGCAAAGGTAGACAGAGTGGAAAAATGGACATTGGAGACAGAAGCAGGGAGGCTAGGAAGAGGGTGAGGGCTAAAAAAACTACATATTGGGTACAATATATACTACTCAGCTGATGAGTACACTAATCTCAAACTTCACCATTACACACTTCATCCATGTAACCAAAAACTACTTGTACCCCAAAAGCTATTGAAATAAAAAATAATAATAATAAACCCAAACCAGAAGTCACAGATTTGGGATGAGATTTTTGCAAGAAAAATCATGGAGAATGTAAATTACTGGGCACATTGTCAAAGAAAAGGCCTTAGCCCTATATCAAAGATCATTAATATGTATATGTTTAAGTTAAAACTTATACTATTTCCTGTTTTATGAATATTCCACTTTAGCTGATTTTTTTTTTCCACTCACTGACTCAAGATACTGATTGAGATGTGGAGGACAAAAGACAGAGGGTTCCTCCTGGAGTAAATGTATCATTCTTGTCCCGTAAACTAGGTACTGAGTCAGGGGCTTTACATATATCATCTTATTTAATCTTCCAAACCGCTCAGAGAAGCAGGTGTTATTATTTCTATTTTACAGGTTAGAAAATGATGCCTTAAGTAATTTACCTTAGATTCCACAGTTCAAAAGCGACAGAACTGGGATAGAAACCAAAATTTGATTCCAAAAGCCTTTGTTGCTCTCCTTACACCTCACAGGTTTTCATTGTTACGGGGGAGCTACAGGTGAGGCTTGAGACTCACCTAGGGCCTCTGAGCTGGTCCACAGCCCGGCTGCTGATCAAACCCAGCCTCGCCCAGTTGAGCTGCTCTCCATTCCATGTTTGTTTTAGTTTTGCTCCTGCTTTTGCAAGGGAAGCCCAGTACTCAAGGAGACAGGGCACAGTTAAGAAAACCAAGTTCTTGGAACAGGCCCAGATCTGTACCAGGCTCTGGGCTTGAACATGACTGCAGAAATGTCAGGAGTTGCTCCCGGAATGGATAATTGAGTCCAGGGAGGTGACTCTTTCTCTGTGTGGATTAACACATGACTATCTCCATTGCCTCCCTGTGGCCCGTAGTGGTGATGGTTGTCAGGAGTGCTGTGTGTCAAGAAGGACCATTCTCAGCAAACTAACACAGGAACAGAAAACCAAACATCGCGTGTTCTCACTTGTAAGTGGGAGTTGAAAAATGAAAACACATGGACACAGGGAGGGGAACATCACACAATGGGGCCTGTCGGAGGGTCAGAGGCAAGGGGAGGGAGAACATTAGGACAAATACCTAATGCATGCAGGGCTTAAAACCTAGATGATGGGTTGATAGGTGGAGGAAACCACCATGGCACATGTATACCTATGTAACAAACCTGCACGCTCTGTACATGTATCCCAGAACTTAAAAACAAGGATTCAGAGGCTGCATCTGCGGTTAACTAAAGGGCATTATGAGCAGTGATGCCTGGTGTGTGAGATGGAGACTATGCACAGACACCAGTTATTTTCCTTCCTTGGCCTTAGGTGACGGTTCTCAAACATGACCCTGCAACAGAATCACCTGAGGGTTAAAACTCAGATTACCCTTCCCCAGCGTTTCTCATTCAGGATATCTGGATTAGAGCCCAAGAAACTGTTTAAGAAGTTTCAGGTGAGCTGATGCGAATTCAGAGACCCCACTTTGAGAACCAGCAGTCTAGGGGTGTTAGCCTGTAACTACCTTTCCTTTGCCACTTTTTTTTCAATTGTGATTTGTATCTTCCTGCACTCACCTCCCAGCCCACCAGCCCATACACCAAAAGAAAAAAAAAAAAAGAAAAAAAGACCAAACGACCCAGAATACAGCTAGGCAGCTCAGGGGACAGGCGTAAACAGTTTTTTTGTTTGTTTTATTTTTCCCAAGTCAGGCCTGCATTTCAGCCCCTCACCTTCTGAGCTTAGGAAGGTCAGCTAGACACTCTGGCCTCTGTTTCTTCTGTAAAGGGGAAGATTGTGATAGATGGGCTCAAAGGTGACTTCTGGCTGGAAGTTTCTATGATCTATGACTGCTATCAAAAGCTTCAATGCTGCTACTAGAAAATAATCATCATCACTACTTGCTAAACACCTAAGGTGCCAGAAAGTGTGCTAAATACTTTACCTGCCTGATTGCATTTCTAAAACTTACAGCAACTCCGGAGAGCAGGACTTCTTATACCCATTTCATAGATGAGGAAACTGAGGCACAGAGAAGCTAAATGATGTGACTAAGGGGACGATGTCAATGATGTGAGAGCTGGGGAATTGTAGGGGCCGTTGGAGCATGGTATGGGAAAGGAACATGAACCTGAGAGGCACATATCTTTGAACTTTATCAGATTCAAGCTTCCTCACTCCCAGCTCTGTGGTTTTTGGACAGCTCACTTTATTATATTTCTCTAACCTTAAGTTTCCTCCTGTAAAATGGGGTAATGTTATCTGCCTTATTGAGGTTGCTGATAAACATAAAAAAACTGAATATGAAAAGTGCCTGGCATGAAGTTGACCCTCAGCTAATTCTAGGTTTGATCTGGGCAATGTGGAAACTCAGCTGTGTTTTGGGGTGGAAGGCAGACCTGCACATGGGAAGGAAGGTGGCTGAATTTTCACCCTACTGAGACTTATCCCTTGGTGGAGGAGGTGAGGGGCCTTCACCCATGTCTGAGCAGCCATCTGTATTCTCTAGTAAGAAGGGTGAATGCTCCCTGTTCTCAGCCTCCCAGAACCCATGTTTATCATCATGAATTAAGCTGCATAAAATTCAGGAAGCTCCTGGGGTAGCCGAGAATATAAAAGTTGAGCTGGGAGGAAGTTAAGATAGATCTCTCTGCCTTTGCTGTAGAAACAGACGCTCTGCTCAAGGGAGATTGTGCTAGGAATTTGAATCCCTGCAAAACACCGAGGCATTTCAAGCCACAGAAGGCTAACGAGGGGGATTTTTAGTAGAGGGAATGAATCCTGGGGGGAAAAGGATGAAGTGGAGCCTTCCACGATACACAGCACAGACAGGCTGAGTTACTGCTGGTGATGGAGCCAGAAAGTCAAGGACGTAGAATTTAAAGAGCCCTGAGTCAATAATGGAACCGGAATGGAGGATGCATCAGGGCTTATTGCCCCTCCTCCCCTCACCAGCCTTCTCACCTGCCCATTAGGAGGCAGCTTTCCCTGGGGAACAGGTGTGGCCATCAGCAAGCCATGTTTCTAAACAAGCTCACTGACTCCTTCCTCCCCTGGATGTGTCCTAATCAGCGTGAGACAAGTCAGAGTTTGAGGGTCACACAGGTGTGCAGGATCTCACAAATGCGGAACCAGCTAGACTAGAAGGGCCCCCGCACTGGGTTTTTCTCACGCAAAGCAAGGACAAGCAGAAGCAAGTAATGAAAATACATAAAAAGGTACAAAAGCAAATGTTGACATTAAACAGAAGACTCCTTTGAACCAGAAGAGGGACATGGGTAGCCAAACACAAGCCAGGCTCAAGTTTCCTGTCTCAGCAGGGGAATACGCTGAGATTAGCGGTATTGATTGTTCATTTATTTTTGAGATAATCAAGTTACAGGCTGATTATAAAATTGCATCTCAGCAGTGTGCCTTGACTTTTTTTTAAATCTCCCATTAGTCTGTCTGGGTCAGCCTGGCTGTGGTCACAGGGGGGCTGCCAGAGGCCCACACAGCAGCATGATACCCCTATACCTGTTGCTTCCCGAGGCCACCGAGGTCTCGTGAGTCAGGGCTTGTGACAAAGAGAACCTGCCACATCTGAGCCTGAACCCTGGCACACGAGGAAGCAGGCCCAGGAAATGAGATTGTCTCCATTCCCTGCTCCAGCTCCTCCTCTGTAGAAGCCCATTTGTGTAAACGGACGGTGCTGGACTGTGGATGTGCAGGGGTGTGTGGGCAGGAGCAGGGGCAGCAGGGCAGGTGACTGGACCTGAACATGCCTGCAGCCAGGGTAGGGAAGAAGTGTGCTATGAGCTGTGGAACCAAAGCCCCAGGGCAAGGCCACTTGGGATAGGCAGAGAGAGATGGGCCACTTCCTTTTGTTTTTTTTTTTTTTTTTTTTTTTTGAGACAGAGTCTCGCTGTTGCCCAGGCTGGAGTGCAGTGGTGCAATCTTGGCCCACTGCAAGCTCCACCTCCCTGGTTCAAGCAATACGTGTACCTCAGCCTCCCAAGTAGCTGGGATTACAGGCACGCGCCACCACACCCAACTAATGCACTTCCATTTTTTTGCAGCACCTTCCTTATATGTTACAGAGTGAAGGAATGCTTCCTAATCCCACAGCCAAGAGAAATGAAAATATGGGTTCCTGCAAAGAACAGTGGATGTTTAGAGCAGCTGTATTTATAATGTCCCCAAACTGGAAATAACCCAGATGCCCATCAACTGGCAAAAGAATAAACAAACTGTGGCTTATCCATGTGTGGTGGGTGGAGTGACGGCTCTTCCCAAAGTTATATCTGCGTGCTAATTCCTGGAAGCTGTAAATGTGACCTTTTTTGGAAAAGGGGTCTTTGCAGATGTAATTAAGGCTTTTGAGATGAGGCCATCTTGGATTGTCTGAGTGGGCCCCAAATCCAATGACAAGTGTCCTTGTAAGAGGCCCACAAGGGGAGAAGAGGAGAAGGCCATATGACGACAGAGGCAGAGACTGGAGTGGTGCAGCCACAAGCCAAGGGCCCCTGGAGCCACCAGAAGCTGGAAGAGACAGGAAACTGAAATCCCCTCTAGGACCTCTGGAGAGAGCACAGCCCTGGACTTCTTCCTGGAGCTGGCACCTGGACTTCCACCTTCTGGTCTCCAGAACTGTGAGAGAATAAATTTCTGTTGTTTTAAGCCACCAGATTTGTGGTAATGCATCTACAATGTAGTGCAACTCAACAGTTAGAAGAATAAACTACTGAGACATGCAATAGTCACACTTATCTCAAGTGCACTGTGCTAAGTGAAAGAAGCCACACACAAAAGGCCATGAACTCTGAGTCCATCATATGACCCAGGAAAGGCAAAAGTTGAGGGACAGACATCAGAGCAATGGTTTTCAGGGACAGTGGAGAAGAGAGGATTTAGTATAAAGAGGCTCCAGGGAACTTTTTGCAGTGAGGGAAATACTCTATATCTTCAATATGGCCATGGTTATACAACTATATGTGTTTGTCAAATGCATAGAATTATGCACCTAAAACAATTTAATTGTACCTAAATGATACCTCAATTGTGAATGATTCCTCAATAAATCTATTTTTTTTAAGTGAAGGAATGCCAAAACAGGGTTCTCAAAAACTATGTATATTTTAAATGTTTACTTTTTACAAATCAACACTTTCATCACACCCAGTTTAAAAACAATGATGGCTTATATCCTTATTTGGGTGTAGTATCAAAGGCCTACATTGTAGCCTTGTGTGAAAGGGAGATCTAGGCTGACCACCCTGCGATCCCACCCTGTCACAGTCTCTTGCTAGAGGACCTGTCAGTTATGGTCAAGGACTCCTGTTGGATGCCCCGTACCTTGGAGATACCTGCCTTCAGTCAAACCTTAGTGGCCTCACCTGGATGGCTACCTAAAAACTAGGGGGCAGGAGGGCTGGGCCCTGGGCACCCTTCCCCTGCTGATTTGTGTTAGACCGGCATCTTCATGTTCAAGGTTCCTTCTCAAGCAGCTCCTATATGCTTCAGCTTTGCCCTGGGCTTTGAGGTTAGTGTGTGTGTGTGACCCTTGTGCATGGCTGTGGCCACTTCTTCTGGGTCTCTGGATGCTGATTTCCACCTGTATGGCCAGTACCCACCACCCTCACAGACACCTCCAGAAGAAACATCCATCTCATTCACTCTCTCTCTTTTTCTCTTTCTTATTTCTCTCCTATTTTGCCAGCCCTGGATCTGTCATATTTCCAAAAGGATTTAAATGGTGGGTTCTCTTGATTCCCTAGTCTCTAACTGAGCCTTTTAAGGCACTGGGCAAAGCTTCAAGTTTGGGAAACAGAAATCAAAATTCTGCAATTAGGTGTCTGGGAGTGATGGGGAGAGGGGAAAATCCTACTTCCATCCTTTGGATCCTGGACCTGAGTATTCTAGCTCTTGGGAATACAGTTGCATGTTGTGGTCTTTGACTCAGAGCTCATGCCACATCCTGAAGGACAGCTCCCCAGCCCCATAGGGCGGGTGCTTAAACTGTCATTTTAGCTCAACCACTACCAGTCCGTGCCATCATTCTATTACAGCAGCTGCTTCCAGGTGATGCAGGTTTATGGTAGGGCCAGTGGATCCCATGTTTGGGTACCCACTGCCATGCCTCTTGGCCACAAATAGATCTCTTGATCTGAAGCAATCATAGGCAGGTTCCCATGTCCTGGGTGGTGGTGCCAGCAAGGATACTGTTGGCAGTGAAAGCAAACTTATATCTGATATAGACGTCAATTCCAGAAAAGCAAATCGCAACCTCTTCCAGGGTAAAGGAAATCTGGGGAAATCAACCTGTCACCGAGGTTCCATAATCTCATCCACAGCATCTGCCTTTTATTTTTATTTTAATTTTTTTTTTTTATTTTTTGGGGGGGACGGAGTTTTGCTCTTGTCGCCCAGGCTGGAGTGCAATGGAGCAATCTCGGCTCACCACAACCTCTGCTTCCTGGGTTCAAGCGATTCTCCTGCCTCAGCCTCCCGAGTAGCTGGGATTATAGGCACACACCACTGCGCCCAGCTAATTTTTGTATTTTTCGTAGAGATGGGGTTTTACCATGTTGGCCAGGCTGGTCTCGAACCCCTGACCTCAGGTGATCCACCCACCTTGGCCTCCCAAAGTGCTGGGATTACAGGCATGAGCTACCACGCCTGGACAGAATCTGCTTTTTAGAACCCTTCTGGTCCCAATGGTCTTAGCCTTGCTTCCCTCAAAAAGCAGAGCCTGAGACAACAGCTAGCAGGCAGTTTATTTTGGGCATGCTCCCAAGAAACAGTAGTGGGAGACTGGGAATAGTGTTAAAAAAAAAAAAAGGAGAGAGAGAGGCCACATAAAGGTGCATTATCCAGCTGATCACTACTGTGGGCCACTGAGTTTGACTCCACAGGGGACCACCTTGGGAGACATGTGTATGCAGCTAGAATTGCCTCCTGGAGGAATGAAAGGGGGTGGCATTTACTCACTAGATTTGTCCTCCATTGGCTGAGGGATTCATCGGGGGCTAACTCCCTCACATTTTCCATTTTGCAAAAGATGTCAGAATGACATCTCTTCACTCTCTAGAATCTCTAGAAACAGCCTCCTTGACCTATGCTGCCACGTTGTCACCAGCTCGAGGGAGGCAGGGATATGGGGAGGGGATGCCCTGTGGGCTGCAAAACTCTACAGAGGGGCTGGATAATGAGCGCACATGTGTCTTCAGTGGGGAGGAATTTAAAGTGATGTACTCAATATGACTGTCTCCATCATCCAAGGAAACACACACACACTTCACTGGGGACCCGTGTAGACACACTGTAGGCCGTCATTTTCCTTTCTCATCAGATAGCACATGCTCTTCTGAAAGATTATTTTCTATAAGCCACACAGTTGGAAGGAAACTCCACCCTTCATCCACAAAGACTGGTTTGGTCCTGGGATCCACCCTCCACCTCCTACTCAGTCCCTCCCACCCAACTCTTGCAGGTAATAGGTAACGCTGGTTTCTTACTATATCCAGGCAAATTCTTTAACAGCCTGGACTCCACAGCCACACTGCCTGGGATCTTTGCTGGTTCTGCCATTTGCCAGCTGGATGACCTTGGACAGGTTACCTAACCTCTCTGAGCCTCATTTCTTCATCTTTAACATGAGGATCATAGCAGTACTTCTTAGGATCTTTGCAAAGATACATTGAGATCACATATGAAGAAGCACTTTTCTCTGGTTCCTCGAAAATGCCAAGGGGCCCTCACCCCCAAGCCTTCATGCCCACTTTTCCTTTTGCTTGAATTGCTCTTCCCAGATCTCCTCATGGTGGACTTCCTCACTTCACTCAGGTGTCACCTCTCAAAGACGGCCAGCCTAAGAATTCTCTCTCCTCCAGCGCCCTAGCTCATTCACTCTTCTCTCATTCCCTGCTTTATTTTCCATGTAGCGCTTGCAGCTCCTGCATTCGTGTCCTTGTTTATTGTCTTTCTCACCCACCAGACGGCAAGACCCAGGAGGATGGAAACATCTGTCTCCACCACTGTATTCCCAGAGCTAAGAATAGTGTCTGTAAAGGCCCCAAATATATTTACTGGATGAATTTATAGAATAAATAAGTTCCATGGGGACTTCCCAGCAGGTCAGTTGGGTTGAGGGGATGAGGGGTTTGTCTTCCCTACTGGTGAGAAGTTGTCCAAGGGGCAACCATTAAACACACATACATACACACATACGTACATGCACACATATGCACACAGACCTGTTCCTAGGGACAAACATTAATTCTCAGAAAGTTTAAATCTACTTTCAAGGAAAGAGGACACTTCCTGGACTACAACAGAGTCTGCCTGCCTGCCCCTGGCAGAGTGAGCTTTTAGTGATTCTGTGAGGCAGTGGCCACTCCGGTCAGTCTAAAAAAACCAGCAGCCAGGCGTTGAGTGTATAAACATCAGGGCCCATTCCAGAACCATCAGCTTCTTGATGGCCATTCCTGAGCCACACTGGGTCTTGCAAGAATCTTTGAAATTGAAGCTGTCTGTTTGCTTATATGTCTGTGTGGTTTTCTCTGCTGCGGTCTGTGTGTGTTTTCCTTCTGCTGCACTCAGAGGAAAGTTGGGCCAGACTTTCCTTTAAATACGCAGTGTGGGGTAGGGGGCAGTGTGAAGGCAGCTGTTGTTCTCCTTTGCAAGTTCCCCACATGTCAGTTGCAGATATTTAAAAAGCACAGGAAGCATGCGTGTGTGTGCACGCGCACACACACATACACACACATACACACCAGTTTTTTTGGTGGGGAGTGGGGTAGGGGGACTTCTGGCGTATGCTTTTGAGTGGGCAGTATGCTCTTGAGTGCCAGGATTTTCTGAATCTCCACATTCCAGGCCTGACCATCTTCAGGAGACCTTCTCCATCTTTCAACCTCAGTTTGCTTCTTCCCAGACTCACAGTCTATGAAGGAGTAGCATCAAACCCAGCAGAAACAGCACATCTATCAAAGGAGGCTGTCACAGAATTTACTGGTTAGAAATTTCATTGAGCTCTAGTTTATAAACTAAGCTTTTTTTTTTTTTTTTTTTTTTTTTTTTTTTTGCAGGAATGCTCTGGGGGGACATATATATTTTAGAGGTTAAATTATATATATATATACATCAAATGTAACCTTTTAAAACACTATTAATGCAAAAACAGTAGTTTCCGTTCATTCTTTTGAAAATGGAATACTACTGTCAAGTCTTTTTTTTTTCTTTTTTGACATGAAGTCTCACTCTGTTGTCTAGACTGGAGTGCAGTGGTGCGATCTCAGCTCACTGCAACCTCTGCCTCCCAAGTTCAAGTGATTCTCCTGCCTCAGCCTCCTGAGTAGCTGAGATTACAGGCATGCACCACCACTCCCAGGTAATTTTTTTTTTTTTTTAAATAGAGACGAGGTTTCACCATGTTGGCCGTGCTGGTCTTGAACTCCTGACCTCAGGTGATCCGCCCGCCTCGGCCTCCCAAAATGCTGGGATTACAGGCGTGAGCCACTCCGCCTGGCCTCAAGTCTTTACGGTAGATTATGTTTCCACAATTTTCTGCAAATGTTTTCCGTTTTACGCAGGTAGTTAAAATTTAAACATATGCCGGTAAGGCTAATTTTAAGTGTTAGCCAGTAGATGGCAGTAAGTTTGAACTTGGTCTGGGAAATGGCTTTTCGGTAGTTTGATGTAACAGAGCACACAAGTCAGCCTGAGCATAGCATAGGCTTAAAGGTAAACAGCTTTCGACAAAAACGAACTGAAACGTGGCCACCAATTATGATCTTTGTAATGAGCATCTTTGTAAAGTCCGCTTGCACTTCTATACTTCATGGCATTTATTAAGAAATCTATACTGAAGGCCCACTTTGTGCCAGGAGGGGCGGTTGTAGCACACAGGATTGTTGCCATTATGAAAGTTACATTTTAGTACAATCACTTCATTTGTCATCCCAATACAAATGGTCTCTAAATGACCTTTCGAAGCAGGTGTATTGAGGTGCAAAGCGAAGTTGTTACAGAGAGGTTTTTAAAAACGTTCTTTATTGGCTCTCCCAACAATCCCATATGGGTATAGTCATCAAGAATGAAAAGCAGATCCTGTGGCTCACTAAAATGACTTCTGCATGAACTAAGAGAAGAAAGTTTAGTTTCCAGAAGGTTGGATCATCTCTTAGATATGAAAAAACAAACTTTTATGATTCCTTGAGCTCAGAGTTGATGAATCGGCACGGACAGGTCTGGATAATGTTTCAGAGGCTTGGAAGAATGTGTCCTCTTGTTCTTCTGTCTCTAGGGCTTGCTTATGGGGTGGATAATTCAGACAGGGGGATGCCTTCCACAGTCAGAATCCTGTTCTGCTGTGTTTTTCAGGTGCAGCAGGTGGTCCAGGAGGATTGCCAAGGACCAAAGGCACCTCTCCCAGGATGCTGTGATGCTGGTGGCCAAGCCAACCAGGCTCAGGTTCCCCTTGTGCGTGATGCTACTGGAACCTCCTAGCCCCAGCCGATTAGTCCAGCGTGGGCGTCTGATGGGGCAGCTTTCAATTCACTGGAAGCCCAGCTTGGAGTGGCAGGTGTCTGAAGAACAGCAGATGGATTGGCAGCAAAGTGTGGAGGCCCAGGCACCAAGCCCCAGGCGGGGAGAGGGTTGGGGTTCAAGTGAGTGTTCAGGACAGTACGAAGGACACGAGACCCTCGACTGCAGCAGGCTCAACCTACTCCAACTTTCTCCTTGATAAGAATCCCCTGGGGGAGGGCGGACACAATGGCTCACGCCTGTAATCCCAGCACTTTGGGAGGCCAAGGTGGGTGGATCATGAGGACAGGAGTTGGAGACCAGCCTGGCCAACATGGTGAAACCCTGTCTCTACTAAAAATACAAAAATTAGCTGGGTGTGGTAGTGCATGCCTGTAGTACCAGCTACTTGGGAGGCTGAAGCAGGAGAATGGCTTGAACCCTGGAGGCTGAGGTTGCAGTGAGCCAAGATCGTGCCACTGCACTGCAGCCTGGGTGACAGAGGGAGACTCCATCTCAAAAAAAAAAAAAAATCCCTTGGGAAAGGTGGTGGTGCTGACTACATATACAGATAACCAGGCCTTTCCCCCAGAAGTTCTGCTTTAGTGGTCTGGGGTGGAGCTTGACTTTCTTTATTTCTTTTTTTTAATTTATTTTTTTCCCTTCAAGACAGGGTGTTGCTCTGTTGCCCAGGCTGGAGAGCAGTGTCACTATCTTGGCTCACTGTAACCTCCACCTCCACCTCCCAGATTCAAGTGATTCTCCTGCCTCAGCCTCCTGAGTAGCTGGGATTACAGGCACACACCACCACACCCAGTTAATTTTTGTATTTTTAGTAGAGATGGGGTTTTGCCACGTTGCCCAGGCTGGTCTCGAACTCCTGGCCTCCTGTGATCTGCCTGCCTCGGCCTCCCGAAGTGCTGGGATGACAAGTGTGAGCCACTGCACCGGGCCTCTGAGTTTCTTTATTTCTAACATGATGGGGCTGGTCCTTGGACCATACTGAGTAATAGGGGCTTTGATTCCCTTTCAGCTCTCGATTCTACAACGATTCATGTCACTGAAATGACTCTGGTTTTCTATGTAGTAGGGAAAGAATGTTGGATGTCAACATTTCTGTAGGCATCTGTCTTGTGACTGCCTTGCTATTAACCCTTTACAAAAGCTATCTCATTTAATCCTCTCCACACTCAACCCTGTGATTGCCTTATTATCCCCATCATAGATACAATCAAAAGAGGATCAGAGAGCTTAAGTAATTTGCCTGAGTTGAACAGTAAACAGGTGAAGGAGGTGAAGGATTTGGGATTCGAACCAACGTCAGGCTGGCCTAATGCTCATTAATTACTTACTTATCTAATTACTTACTCTATACCGAATTATTTAAAAATCTGTAGGTTGTGTAGGGGGGCGGCTCATGCCTGTAATCCCAACACTTTGGGAGGCCAAGGTAGGAAGATTGCTTGAGGCCAAGAGTTCAAGCATCAACCTGGCCAATGTAGCAAGACGCCATCTCTATAAAAAAAAATCTATGAACTAAATGCTATAGCAGGCACTGGGGACATAAGATGAGCAGAATAGATGAGGCATTGGCCCTTGTGGAGCTACCAGCTTATCAGGAAACGTGGGTATTTAAATAAGAAATGCCACCACAGAGCGAAAACAGATCTGAAACCTTCCACTTATCACCGTGTCCATTGCTGCCGTCTGGTCCTTGTCTCCCTCATCTCTTGCCTAAAGGACTGCAATGATTTCCTCGCTTTCTGTTTTGTCTAGAATATTCTTCCCCAGCTCTTTATGAGGCTGGCCCATTCCTGCACTCCAACCTCACCTGCTCTGTGAGGCAGTGTGTGGGGTAGCGGGTGACAGCGTGACTCGTGGTGCCAATACCTGGGCCTGCCTTCCAGCTCTTCTGCTTTTCAGCTGTGTGAAGCAGGGCAGGTTACTTCACTTCTCTAGGTATCACTTTTCTCACCTGTAAAAGGGGCAGTAACAGCTTCTACTCCGTAGGGTCGCTGTGAGGATTAAGTGAGTTAATATACATGAAGTTCTTAGAATGGTGTGTGTCAAAGCGTAAGCAGCATAGAAACTTCTGTCACTGTTATTCCCTACCCACCCTGCCTACCTGTGGCACACCCTCTTCCATTCAAGTGTACCACACCACACTGTTACATTTTCTTCATAGTCCTTGTGATCAAACCACCTGTGTGTTTATTTGTGTGCTGTCTGTCTCTCCACCTCTAGAATCTAAACCAGGAGACCTGGGCATTGTCTTGTAACCCATGCATTTCCAGTTCCTGGAGCTGGGTCTGGTATATAGTAGGTTCTCAAGAACTATGTCCTACAGGAATGAATGAATAGACATGAGAAGTTGGGGTGCTATGGGAGAATGCAGTTGTGTTCTCTAGCTCAGGCCAGGCTGTCAGGGAATGGCTTCCTGATACAGTGCATGACATTGACTCAATTAGACACTGTCCCCCAACCCAAAAGCCACAGCTTCTGCCATTAAGTACAGATGATGGAAACAAATGTATGGACTTCGCTGGCCTCTGCTGACTTCTTCCTTGAGTAGTTTGAGCCTTCCTGGAAAATCTTTAAGAGACTTTAAGCTCAGAAGTCAAAACTTGAAGAACCTCTAGTTATTGAATGTTAAAGCCAACAGTCTGTCTTGGATCGTGTTGGTGTGTGTCATACCTTTGACATTATATTTAAACATGAGTTTTTATATTTAATAAACAGAAGGGCCCTGAGAGATTTCCTGGAACCTTCTGCTCACATTAATCATCTTCTTGAACACATACTGCCATTTGGACTGCGGATCTGGCCAAACTTTGAGGGAGGGGTGAAGAGGAAGAGAAGTCCTCATAAGCCCAGCTAGAATTGCCAACAGGCTTCAACTTTCCCTGAGCAAATGATAGAATGAAACAGATGCATGGCTTTTGCTAAGCCCTTCTTGCAGGATTTTGAGCCTTCCTGAAAAATGAGCTCTATGCTGGGGTCTGCCTCACTCTAGGCTGCTAGGAGTACGAAACCAGGATACCCTAGAAAATGTCCTCAGCTTGTAAATGTCGTTCTCATGAGACTGCTGATTTCTCAAATCCTAATAGCAAAGTCTTTCTTTTTGCAAAGAGACAAGACTTGAAAAACACATACGTTTGGGAGGAGAAAGTCTGTAACTGAAATTCAGTCTAAGAAGTGAAAGCTCAACCCCAGACTTTTAGGTTGAAAAGTTTTGGTAGGGAGAAGGCAGACGAGAAAGATAGGGAGACATGTAGAGAGAGGTGGTAGGAAATAAAGGACAGTGTATCAGTCAGCTACCACTACAGTAATGCTGTGTAACAAAAACATCCAGACTCAGTGACACACATTGAGCATTTATTTTTCCCTCATGTGGCCATTGGTCAACTTGGGTTCAAGCCTCATCTGTTTTAGGCTTGGCTCCAAGCTGCAGATAAGAACCTGATCTGGCCCTGGGTCTCTCTTGTCCTTCTTGGACCAGCTTCATACTGAGTGTTTCCACTCATGTCTCTTCAGTCCTAGGCTTAAAACTTGCCCACTGTCACTTCGGACCCCCATTCTTTTGGCCAAAGCAAGTCACACAGTGAATCCCAATATAGCTGGGAGAGGGAAGTGTATGCTTCCCATGGAGGTACTAGTGGTGATGTTTGCTGAGCAATAATTGAATCTTCCACAGGCAGCCTGCATATCAAAGGCCACCTTTACCAATCTCACAATGTATCTTGCATTGCATTCATCCCTTTTAGTTTCCTTGGGTCCTCACAGAATTAGGACATTGAACCTTAACTAAGGTCGAGGGTCTTTACATCATGTTGCCCCCACCACCCTGTCAATGCACTATAATTTTATTCTGCAAATAACTCCTCTCTCCTAAATGCTCCTCTATTTCCACTACTCACTTTGAACTCTAGGACACCAGGTCCCACTTACTCTACTTCCTTGGCCTAAAACGGTTCAGATTCCCTTTCCCTCTCTGGACCTTTATATTCTTCGTTTGAATACTGAGGGCCACCCCCCACCCCCATAGAAAACCTAGCTGTCGCTCAGTGTACTGGAATTTTTCAAAAATCCCCTTAAACAAACAAGGGTTCAGGGACCTGGGAGCTAGAGTTTCAGACTCACCTTAATGAGATTTTCCTTTCCCTGCAGGAAATTCAATAGAAAGGTTATTTTCATAGTTAATAAGTGTATTTTGTTACTGCCAAGCTAAAAATCAGAAATTGACAGATCAAAACTGACAACAGCAAAACCTAAACATATTTTCCTGTTTGCCCTGCAGCGCACATGCGCAGTGCCTCTCACCTTTGGCTTTGATCTTGCAATTTGCAGGCAGCTGGGTTCATAGGCACCCACTTAGGTAAACAGGAGGAATGGGAACCCTAAAGGGCTGTGAGGCATGGCAGTGGCTTTCTGCTTCCCCGGGTGGTGCTGGCTCCCGATTACAGCGGGCAAGAGCAGTCCTCGCCCCCAGTGAATCGGCAGGACCCAGCTCACGTTGTGCAAATTCACTCAGTGGGAGAGACGTGGGCGGCCTGGATACCTGCCCTGCTCAATGCCTGTGAGAAGCAGAAACAGGCTTCCCGTCACCTCCCTTCTTCTCCAACAGCAGATCCAGCCTGGTGCCCTTTGGGGACTGAGTAAGAAAGGAGGGGAGGGCCCCATGTGTTTACCGGTAGAGTATTTAGGGTAGCGAAGGAGTCTCCGAGTGAGGAATCAGCAACACTGAGTTTCCACTTTTATAGGGAAGGAAACCCTGGAAGCCCACTTTCAAAGAAGGAGAGGAAGGTTTAGGGGAAATGATGTAACTGTCTTATGGGATCTACCTCTATCTGGCTTTTGTTCAAGTGATGTCTAGGGGCTGGTCCGTGACATTGGGACTCACCCTGGGCAAACCCTGGGCTGAGGACCATGGAGAAGATCAAAAGTCAGTGAACCAGCTCTTCCAGCTTTGGACCTAAGCGGGGAGACAGGAAGAACATGCAAGGAAGTTTTACGAGCACACAGACCAGCGGGGCGCAGGTGCAAATCCATGCACTGCAAAACTCTAACAACACTCTCTGCAAAATTCAAGAAATATTTATTGAGCATCTCCTCTGTGCCGCGTTCCTCTTCATGGGCTTGCCAGAAGCAAAATTGACAATTCCAACCATCCAACCATGTCTTGTCTCATTGACTAGTAATTTTAGTTAGCTAACTTATTTATTTTTTTTTTGAGACAGAATCTCGCGCTGTCGCCCAGGCTGGAGTGCAGTGGAGCGATCTTGGCTCACTGCAACCTCTGCCTCCTGGGTTCAAGTAATTCTCCTATCTCAGCCTCCTGAGTAGCTGGGATTACAGGTGCGTGCCACCACGCCTGGCCGATTTTTGTATTTTTAGTAGGGACTCGTGAGCCACTGTGCCTGGCCCGTTAGCTAACATTTTTGAGCACCGTTGGTATGGTAAGTCCTTTTTGAAAAGATGACGCCATTCATTCTCTGCAATTCCCTTTGAAATAGACACTGCTCTCCTCCCCCAACTTCACAGACAATCAAATGGAGACACAGAGAGGTTATTAACTTGTCGAAGGGCTCACAGCCAGCAAGGGTAAGAATCTGGGAGTGAACTTGCTAGTCTGGCTCTGGAGTCCTCCCTGTAATGCTACCTGTCCCCTTTTCACCACGGGAACACTCTCTAAATTAGCAAGGATAGGGCCTCAGCTTGTGGTTTGCTCTCCCCAGCCACCCCGCCATTACTAAGCAGGTCTCGGTGGTTTGGCCATGGGCCTCTTGAGTCCAGCCTGAGAGGAGAGTCAGAGGCTGGTGCTGAGAATGTGGGTGACATCATACACCTTGTGTCCCCCCAAATCCATGTCACCTGTCTCCCGGGCAATGCCAGCATTCCTCATCTGTCCCATAATGTTTATGGAATAGGAAGGCTGATACTCCTTCCCTGCCCTTGGACCACTGCAGTCCTGGGTCAGTCCCAGCCTGTGACTCGGGGGCCCCTCCAGTGGCTCATAGGCAGGGAGTGGTAGTGAGATCCACAGCCCCATAAATCCTCCTCTTGGGAAACAGGGAGTCAAACCTGCTGAAGAGGCGGGGTGCAGTGGCTCATGCCTGTAATCCCAGCACTTTGGGAGGCTGAGGCGGGTGGATGACCTGAAGCCAGGAGTTCGAGACTAGCCTGGCCAACATGGTGAAACCCCGTCTCTATTAAAAATACAAAAATTAGTCAGGCATGGTGGTGCACGCCTGTAATCCCAGCTACTTGGGAGGCTGAGGCAGGAGAATCGCTTGAACCCAGGAGGCAGAGGCTGCCATGAGCTGAGATCGTGCCACTGCACTCCAGCGTGGGCGACAGAGCAAGACTCTGTCTCAAAAACAAAACAAAAAACAAAAAACAGGCAAACAAAAAACTGCTGAGGAAGTTCCAGAACAGGAATTCTGAAAGTGCACCCCTGAACCACCCGCATCCACGTCAGCTGGAAGCTTGCTAATCATGCATATTCCTCAGCCCCACACCAGGCCCTAGGGATGAGGCCCAGCATCTGAATTTCAAATAAACCCTTCCCATGATCTCTCTGCACATTCATGTTTGAGAATGCTAGTTTTCTTTTGTAACTTTTACCAGGGAGTCCTTGCAATATTGCTTTGGTCTGGGGAAGTAGTGCTATTTATCTAATTATAAAGACCTTCATTTTCATTGGGCAGGGTGCATCTGGGAGTTAAGAATGGCAAATGCCAAACCGTGTGTCTGCGGGTGTGAGGCTGAGGATCGTACTTTCCACCTATAGGCACAGGTGGAGGCTGCATCATCACTCGAGCCTGTCGGCCCCATTCACTCAGGCTTCCCATGTGCCCACTCCACAGTAAATTGTTTCCTGTTTGGCAGCACTTCTTGCACTTCAAAGAATTTGCCAGAAGAGTCCAGACCTAGGTACCTGCCCAGTTCCTTAGAGGGGACTCAGATCCCTGCAAGGGTATAGCCTTTGGTGAGTCCCAGTCCTGAGCCTTGCTCACTTGACCCTCTTCTGGGGCTGGGGACAATGAATACGTGTGTTCCAAAGGTGTAAATTCTTGCTCTGCCCTCACCAGGGATGTGACTCTGGGCAGGCTTCTTGATCTCTTGAAGTCTCAACTATAAAATGAGGTTAATAATACTCACCAAACTCAGAACCTGGATTTGCTGGCACTGTCTTTGTATATATCTAGGAGCCATGGACCCTGGTCAAACTGTTTTTTCGTAACAGTAGCTTTGACAGGTCGAAAATGTCACAGGAGAGAAACAATGTTGGAAGATAGAATAATGCACCCCCCTGCCAAAGATAACCACACCCTAATCCCTGGAACCTGCCACTGTTACCATTCTCCAGGAAGGCTAATGTCGCCGATCACAAAGGTCCTTATAGAAGGGAGGCAGGAGAGTCAGAGTCAGAGAGGGAGATGGGTAGGTGGAAGCACAGAGAGAGAGAAAAGAAGAATAGGAAGGAAGGAAGGAAGAAGGGAAGGAAGGAAGGAAAGAAGGAGAAGGAGGAGGAGAAGGAGAAGGAGGAGGAGAAGAAGAAGAAGAAAAAGAAAAAGAAGAAGAAGGAGAAGGAAGAAGAAGAAGAAGAAGGAGGAGGAGGAAGAGGAGGAGGAGGGGAAGAAGAAGAAGGAGGGGAAGAGGAAGGAGAAGGAGGGGAAGGGGAAGGAGAAGGAGAAGAGGAAGAGGAAGAAGAAGAAGAAAGAGGAAGAAGAAGAAGAAGAAAGCGGGAAGAGGAGGAGAAGGTGTAGAGGAGAAGGAGGAGAGAGAGAAGGGGAGGAGGGAGAGGAATGGGAAGGGAGGGGGAGGGAGAGAGAGAGATTTGAAGATGCTGTGCTGATGCTGGCCTTGAAGATGAAAGAAGAGGTCACAAGTCAAGGATCCTGAAGGAAGCCTCAGGAAACTGAGAGAGGTAAGAAATGGATGCTCCCCTAGAATTCCTAGAAGAAATGCAGTCCTACTGGCATCCTGAGGTTAGCCCACTGGAACCCATTTCAGACTTCTGAACTACAAGATCACGAATCTGTTTAAGCCACTAAGTTTGTGGTCATTTGCTACAGCAGCCATAGGAAAACGCCATAGCTAGGATTCTTGGACTTGGCTCCAAATGAGGGCCAGAAGTCTGGGAAGGTGACAGAGACTCATTGGTCAGAGGCACTCCTTTCTTTCCTTCCAGATGGGCGCAGTGCCTTTTATGTGACCACCCCGGTCGTGTCCTTTGCATGCGCAGCTGTAGTGCAGCCCTCATTCATATGTAATTTCTCATCTCTCGGTCTTTCTTCTCTGCTGCCTTACACCCACCCCATTGACAGCCCCTGGTTAGGGTTGCCCGAGTACACAAATAAAAATACAACATTGCCCAAGACATGCTTATACTAAGACATTATTCACCATTTATCTGAAATTCAAATTGAAATGGCGTTTTGTATTTTATCTGGCAACCTTACACCTGGAAGGTGCCCAAGAAAACACCTGCAGAATTAGGTCTTGGGATCTGTTTGCTCCACCCCTGGAGAATTTTTCAGCTGGGCTAAAAGTCCCTTAGCCATTTGTGTTCTCTCTTGCCCACCTTGTATATTTGCCTCAACTGGCTGTACTCTTGTTGCAGCTGCTGCCTCTGTGCTTGAGGAAAGTCATTGAAATTAGAGAACAGGAGAGAAAGACAGAAGCAGTTGATGAAGAAGAGGTCAAAGAACAGATGTGAGGACTTGGCTCAAGTTTTCAGTGGTTCCTGCTAGTGCCATGTAAGGGGCATTAGTAAGGTTCCATCTTCTCTGACCATCTTGGGCTGGTTCTGGGCCTTTGGAATGAGTGGACTTTTGAACCCTGCATCCTTCAGGGAGCAGAGGCATATTTGTGGGTGGCTTAAACAACA
Source organism: Homo sapiens (assembly GCF_000001405.40). Lineage (NCBI taxonomy): Eukaryota > Metazoa > Chordata > Mammalia > Primates > Hominidae > Homo > Homo sapiens. The sequence goes on from NC_000004.12 coordinate 26,469,154, forward strand.
GAAATGTATTATCTCACAGTTCTGGAGGCTGGAAATCCAAGATCAAGGTGTCAGCAGGGTTGGTTTCTGGTAAGGGCCCTCTCCTTGGCTTGCAGTTGGCCGCTCTCTTGCTGCCTGTTCACACGATTGTCTCTCTGTGCATGGGTGTGCACGAGGCCATCATGACACCTTCATGTACGATGTTCTGTGCTAGATTTGGGGGTTGCTTGTTATTGAAGCACAAGGCAACAAACACTGATGAATAAACCCAGAAACCTCAAGCAGAGTTCTTACATTTCATTGGCTAGAGCCAGTGGTGTTTTAGGGTTGGCTTGTATTGGCTTGTAAGGGCCAGTTGTTAACTTTCCAGAAAACTTGGTAGTTGATACTCAAAATGCATCCATATTAGGCCACTCTTGCTTTTCTATAAAGGAATATCTGAGACTGGGTAATTTATAAGGAAAAGAATTTTAATTGGTTCACAGTTCTGCGGGCTGTACAGGCAAAAGCAGGAGCAAGAGGGAGAGAGGAGAAGTAGGTGCCTCACACTTTTAAATGACCAGATATTGTGAGGATTCACTCACTATTATGAGGATAGCACCACGGGGATGGCGCTAAACCATTTATGAGAAATCCTCACCCATGAGCCAATCGCCTTCCACCAGGCCCCACTTCCGGCATCGAGGGTTACATTTCAGTATGAGATTTGGGCCAGGACAAATATCCAAAGTATATCAGCATCACTTTTTTAATTATTTTACTACAGGTAGCTATCATCTATGCTCTTGTTATTTATGTTTCTTGCATCTGCGTGGTGGAAATACTATAAAATAATGGGCTACAGCACGTCTCTCCCAGCTCCCTGTTCAATGAGGCCATGCTGGTGACTTGAAATTGTCTGTGATAGTATTTATACAATAGAAATCAGCAAACTAGCTATAAATTAGAATTTTTTTTTTCTTTTTCAATTAGAGAGCAAGTTGTTAAGCATCCCTGGCCAGACTGGGACACAAACCTACCTCTCAACCAATAACTAGCAAAAGGGAATAAGATTATCATGTCTGGCACAGATTTATCATGATTTATCTCCTGGACGTAGGCTCTTTTTCTCTAAACATAATGCCATTGTCTCAGTCTGTTTTGTACTGCTATAACAGCATACCTGAGACTAGGTAATTTATAATAAACAAAAATGTATTGGCTCACAATTTTGGAGACTGGGAAGTCTAATACCGAGGGGCCTGCATCTGGTAAGGGCCTTCTTGCTGAGTTATAACATGTCGGAAGGGCAAAGAGAGGGTGAGAGAGAGAGCGAGCAAGAGGGGGCCAAACTTGTCCTTTTATAAGGAGCCCACTCCTGAAATAATGGCACTAATCCATTTGTGAGGGCAGTGGTCCCATGACCCAAGCACTCCCATTAGGCCCCACCTACCAACACTGCAGCATTGAGGATTAAGTTTTCAACACATGCTTTTTGGGGAACACATTCAAACCATAGCAACTGTCAATACCTGTACTGTACCATTATGGAGTTCATGAGCAAGAAATAAGGAGTAGGGTGGGGGGACTGAGCTGTTGTTAGGTGACAAGAAATATACAAAGACAGCATTATGAGAGCTCAGAAAAAACAGACATCTTTTCTGATAGAGAATTTTGGAGGTTTTATGGGGAAGTTAACAGGTGAGCAGAGCTGTGAAGAATAAGATTTTATCAGGAAGTGCTAAAGAGAGGAGAGTGCCCCAAATTGAGGGAGGCATGCATGCAAGGAAGTGCTTGGGAACAGCAAATAATTCTGTTCTGAAAAGAAGAGGAAATTGACTGATAGGGAAGGGAGATTGACTCTTGCTTGCTGGGGACCTGGATGCCAGGCTAAGGAAATCGAACCACTAAGCACTGGGGAGCCACTGGGCAGGGAGAAAAATGATCCAAACCTCATATTGGTAAGGCCAGTCTGTTACCAGAGGGTGGGGTCAAGTGGAGGAGAGAGAGAATTGGGAGGGGGAGAGGCCAACTGGTCAGCAACTGTGACATTTTGGGTTATAAGTAACAAAGTTAATTCTGATTTACAGTGCTCTCAATAAAAATAAAAAAGACCAGCTGGACCAGGTTAATAACTGAAATTAGTGACTTAGACATCATTTACAATGGCTATCACTCATTAAGCACCTACTGTTTGTCAGACACTCTTCACATGTAATTAGTTTATTGAAAGGTGTGGAACAATCAAGAAACAGCTTTGTTTTTCTTCTACCTCTGTCTTCATTCCCTCTCTGTTAGATATTCTGCCCCTGACATGATATCTCTGCCCAACCGATAGCTTTCCCCAAATCTTTCCTGCCTATTTCATCAGGACAACTTCATCTTCAGGTATTTAGTATGATACAAATCCAAACTTTCATCTCACATTCAGTTTGAAGCCTCTCTCTTTTCCTCTAAATCAGACAAGTCCAGGCAAGGCATCTGCAATGAGAAGAAGCTAGTAGTCTTTTCTCTCTCTCTCTCTCTCTCTCTCTCTCTCTCTCTTCCTTGTTCTATTTCTTCCTCTTGAGGATGGAAGGAGAGGTCAGTGGTAAAGGGGCAAAAGTGGTGTCATTTGTAATTCTTCAATGGTCAAAGGACCTTTGGCAAATGCTGAGCCCTTCTCTTTTGGGGCAACTTTGTGGCTTTCCAGAGACCACTCTCCCATGCACACACATTCTGTGAAGACCTCCAATACTGCATCATGTTCTGGTGTGAAGACGCATTCCCTGGTCAGCTCCTGCTCTAGCAGAATAGCCCATGTGGCTTCCTTCTGCCCCAGGGTGACCAGGCCTGGCTACTTCCTATGATGTCTCCTGGATCAATGGAGCCATCCCTCTTTGCCTCTCTTCTGTGAACTGAATGCTTGTGTCCCCTCCCAAATTCATATGTTGAAACCCTAATCCACAATTTCATGGTCTCTGGAGGCCTTTCAAAGGTAATTGAGTCATGAGGGTGGAGTCCCATGAATGGGACCAGTGCCCTTATAAGAAGAGACACTAGAGAGATGATTCCTGTCTCCACCATGTGAAGACACAGCAAGAAGCTATCCTTTTGCAAGCCAGGAAGAGGGGCCTCGCCAGGGACTGAATTGGCTGGCAGCTTGATCTTGGAAGTCCCAGTCTTCAGAACTGTGAGGAATAAATTTCTAATGTTTAAGCCACCGAGTCTATATTTTTGTTATAGAAACCCTAACTAACTAAGACACTCTCTATCCTTGGAAACCTCGCTCCAGTCAGGCTCTTTCTTAACACTTCACAACACTAGACACCAGAAACAAACCCTGAATCCAGGAGACGCAAGTTCCCTTGGAACTATGTTCCCAAATTGAGATCCCATGAGAGGAAGGGTCAATTTTCCCTATGACAAAAACACCACCCTTTGCAAATGTTTCTAGATGCAAGGTTTGAAAGGTGTGGTTTCATGGTGAAGGAAAAGGAAAATGGCACAGAATTCCCTGCCCATTCAGTTGACAACACTTGTCAAAGAAATTCTCTCTCTTTCTCCCCTTTATATTTGTAGGGCCAGGAGAAAAGTGAAGGGGTACGTGTTGAAGGACAAATTTCATGATCTCTTAGCAAATCATGGGCTCGCATCTTGTCCCACTCTTTGGAATGTTGGACAACTTGTCTTTCTCTGTCTATAGCCACAACCTGAGTCTAGAACCCCTTCAGTATCCCTTTTAAATTTAATATCATTAAAATCTTTTAATATGATTTAATATCACTTAATTATCACAAAAACCCTATAAGGAATGTTTATACACTGTCAGTGGGAATGTAAACAGTTCAGCTACTGTGGAAAGCAGTTTGAAGATTTCTCAAAGAACTTAAAACAGAACTACCATTCAACCCAACAATCTCATTACTGGGTATACATCCAAAAGAAAATAAATTGTTCTGCCAAAAAGACATGCACTCACATGTTCATTGTAGCACTATTCACAATAGCAAAGACAAGGAATCAACCTAGGTGCCCATCAGTGGTGGATTGGATGAAGAAAATGTGGCATATATACATCATGGAATATTATGCAGCCATAAAAAGGAATGAAATCATATCCTTTGCAGCAACTTAGATGCAGCTAGAGGCCATTATCCTAAGCAAATCAATGCAGAAACAGATCACCAGGTAATGCATGTTCTCACTTATAAGTGGGAGCTAAACACTGTGTACTAGTGGACATAAAGATGGCAACACTAGTCACCGGGGACTACTGGAAGGGGGAGGGAGAGAAGGGGACGAAGGTGGAAAAACTGACCATTAGGTACTATGCTCAGTACCTGGATGATGGGATCATTCATACCCTAAACCTCAGCAACGTGCAATATACCCAGGTAACAAACCTGCATCTGTACCTCCTGAATCTAAAATAAAAGTTGGAAACACAATAAAATAAAAATTTAAAAACCCTGTAAGGTGAGTACTATGGATGAAGAATCTAAGACTTGGGGGCTGAGCCATTTGCCTGCTATTCCCTACATAGCCGAGCCTAGGAAATGAATTCCAGTCTTTCTGACTCCAAAGACAAGGTTCTTCACCCCTTCCTTGTCTTCACCGCCTTGCAAAAGATGAGCTAGATTTTGAGTCTATGAACCTGGGAGGCTGGGGTACCATTCATAGTTAGAGAGAATCAGGAAGAGAAGTGATATGGGATATGACAACTAGCTCCATTTTAGATATGGTGAGTTTGAAGTTGTGGGGGACATTGAATGTCCCAGCTATGCCCTGTGGGTAACAGTAACTTGCACGTTTCACTAGGGAAGGGCAGACTTGCTCAAAAAGTAACAGGTGAAGGGGAAAACCAGGAAGCTTTTTATTGCAGGCTGGTGGGTCAGTTGGACTGTATTTGTCTCCTTTCTAATGATTCTGAGAAAACAGATCTACCTTAATAATGCTGATAATTTGCTGAAAGTTCATTTACTGTTACTATCACTTGGCTTCCACGAGATGGCGAAGTATATTATCTTCCTTCTAAAGATAAGCACAGGGGCCTGGGTGCGGTGGTTCATGCCTGTGATCCCAGTGCATTGGGAGGCCAAGGCAGGAGGATCGCTTGGGACCAGGAGTTCAAGATGGGCCTCAGCAACATCACGAGACCCCGTCTCTACAAATAATTTAAAAATTAGCGGGGCATGGTGGCGCACACTTGTAGTGCTACTGAGGAGGCTGAGATGGGAGGATTGCTTGAACCCAGGAGTTCAAGGTTATAGTGAGCCAAGATCATGCCATTGCACTCCAGGCTGGGTGACAGAGTGATATCCTTTTTTTAATTTTCAATTTTTTAAAAAAAATTAATAATAAACGTAGAGATGGAAGCATCCAGGACACAAGTGCAAAATTCAGCTTTCAAATCCTCCGCATCCAGGGAGCTCAGAGAGAGACCCAAATGTCCACATGGGGAGGGAAGAAAAGAGAACAAGTCCAGGGATTTCTTTTCCTTAGGGCCGCTACAGCACGTGGCCTCAGAACTATAAAGCCTTACAGGAAGCTAAATAGACAGCTCTTGGTTACTTAGCTGGTGGATGCCAGCTAATCCCACAGCAGCCTGGTGGAATGAGGACGGGGCTCACCCCTGCCTCTGTCATTCACTAGCTGTCTGACCCTGGACATGTTACCACCCCTCAGAGCCTCAATACCTTCACCTGTGAAATGTGGAAAATGATGCCCCACACATGTTGTTTGGAGAATTAAATAAGACACCACATGTAACAGTCATTCATTCCTCCCTCCTGCCACTGTTCATTGTCACCTGCTGCCACTTGTGACTTTCACAGTGCCTATATAAAGCAGGCTTTAATAGATGTTGGTACCCCTGTCAATCCTAGACCACATTTGGTTTTAGAGTGGATTTTTTTTTTTTTTTTGAGACGGAGTTTCGCTCTTGTTGCCCAGGCTGGAGTGCAATGGCATGATCTCGGCTCACTGCAACCTCTGCCTCCCGGATTCAAGCTATTCTCCTGCCTCAGCCTTCCTGAGTAGCTGGTATTACAGGCATGTGCCACCAAGCCAGGCTAATTTTGTATTTTTAGTAGAGACAGGGTTTCTCCATGTTGGTCAGGCTGGTCTCGAACTCCTGACCTCAGATGATCTGCCCACCTCGGCCTCCCAAAATGCTGGGATTACAGGCGTAAGCCACCACGCCTGGTCTGGAGCATATTTTTATGCCTACATCTTAATTAGAATGAAGCTGGTGTTCCAGAGATGAGCCTTTCACTGGTCGCTCTGGGAAGCTGTGACCTAGAAGGGACCGGGAGCCTGGAAACTCCTGTTGAGGCCCCTTCTCTTTATTCATCCTGGAAGCCTTGGTTCTGTGCCTGGGTGTCAAGGAGCTCCTCTGATTGCAAAGTCAATGGGAAGCGAACGTAATTAAGGGAGGGTGTGGAATAGTAAAAGAGTAGCACATTCTTCTTCTTCTTCTTTTTTTTTTTTTTTTTTGATGAGGTCTCGCTCTGTCATCCAGGCTGGAGTACAGTGGCATGATCTTCGCTCACTGCTGCATCAACCTCCTAGGCTCAAGCAATCTTCCCACCTCAGTTTCTCAAGTAACTGGGACTACAGGTGCATGCCACATGCCCGGCTAATTTTTGTATTTTTTCATAGAGATGGGATCTTGTTCTGTTGCCCAGACTGTTCTCGAACTCTCTGCCTCAGGTGAGCCTCCCGCCTCGGCCTCCCAAAGTGCTGAGATTACAGGCATGAGCTACTGCACCCAACCAAGGGTGGCATATTCTGACCCAGTGAGTCACGCAGTATCAGAGCCACAACCCGTCATCCCTCATTATGTACAAGAGGAAATTGATACCCAGGGAGGGCCCGACTTGCTTGGAGCCACACTGTAAGTTAGTGATAGCTGCTGAGATTGGGATATAGACTTTAGAATTTCCAGTCCAGAGTATATCCGCTTTACTTGTAGAAGTGGCTTTTATGGTCAGTGAACTCAAAAGCAAAATTTACCAGGCATTACATACAGCGAGGACGATTGGAAAGAGAATGCAATTGCAGAATCAACTGCCTCCTTTATCAGGCACTACTGCACCCTCTGCACAAAAGCCCTCTTGGTTGGGAAGGCATGCCCTCCCCAAAGACACCAGGAAAGAACTGGCATCAAGGAACAATGCCATTCAAGTGTATTCATTCATTCACTCATCTACTTATTCCCTGAAATGTTTATTGAGCACATGTTATGTTCTGTGAACAATGCTAAGTGCTGAATAATGTGTAATTGTCTGACTTCTCTTCTTAGGCAAGAAGGAGGATCTGAAATTCCACCCGGGCTGGGTTTCCAAGACCTGACGTGCGTCTTGGAATTGTGGGGCTGGCCCTGGGCTTGTGGGATCAGGTTTAGGAAACCAGGAGGCTGTGTTATACTTGAGCGGGGCCAGGAAGCCAGAGAAGTCAGAAACATCCAATTCAAAGAGGCAGAGGGAGGGGAGTGCCATGCTTGGAGCTGAGAGCCAGCCACGGGGAGTCGGCAGATGTAACATGGGTTCAGGTGGCCCAGAAAGTCTCCCAGAGGTCCCCAGAGAGGCCCTGTGAGAGAGCAGATGGATGGGAGGGCAGGGCCAAGGGAGCCACGTGGCTTTGATAACACTTATCACTGCTAAGGAGTGAACTGGATACTTTGGTATGGATTAGACACGTGGTGATGGTTTTTGACTGTTCTCCTTAAAGGGAATGAGGGCAGGAGTCACCAAGCTGAGGGATACCATAGACCACAGGCTCCCAGCCCTCTTCTATCGGTGGCTTCACATCATTCACAGGTGCAACACCCTCCCATTGGTGACATCTTCTGAGACAGGAATAATACAGGGTTGTCTTAGGAGGATAGAAAATTCCAGGCAGCAGTTTCCCATGACTAGCAAAAGGAAACTGTTGAAACAGCCATAGAGGCTACAGGCTGATAAGATCCTGAAAACCGGGGTGTGGACCAAGCTGGCTAAGACTGCCTGCATCCAACATGGTGCTGGATCTGACTAGATTTCACCTGGGACCTCATTATTCACTCATTAACATACTAAACACACACCCACCAGTGCCATGACCGTTCTGAGACCACCCATATTTGGTGTAAAAATGGGTGGCATCACAGCTGTGAGAGATTGCCACCTTTTTTCCAGGAATCTTCATGAATATTCCACCCCTTGGCCAGGTGCGGTGGCTCACACCTGTAATCTCAGCACTTTGGGAGGCTGAGGAGGGCAGATCACCTGAGGTCAGGAGTTCGAGACCAGCCTGGCCAACATGGTGAAACCCCGTCTCAACTAAAAATACAAAAATTAGCTGGGTGTGGTGGCGGATGCCTGTAGTTCCAGCTACTTGGGAGGCTGAGGCAGGAGAACCGCTTGACCCCAGGAGGCGGAGGTTGCAGTGAGCCAAGATAGCACCATTGCACTCCAGCCTGGGCTACGAGAATGAAACTACATGTCAAAAAAAAAAAAAAAAAAAAAAAAAGAAGAAAAAGAAAAAGGAAAGAAAGAAACCCATAGAGTAGATGTAGCAGCCCCAAACTCCACTGTGTGTCTCTCTCTTGAGTATACCCACACCCCCCTTTTCTTTTCTTTTTTTTTGAGACAGAGTCTCGCTCTTTCGCCCAGGCCAGATTGCAGTGGCGCTATCTTGGCTCACTGCAAACTCTGCCTCCCGGGTTCATGCCATTCTCCTGCCTCAGCCTCCCGAGTAGCTGGGATTACAGGCGCCCGCCACCGCGCCCGGCTAATTTTTTGTATTTTGAGTAGAGACGGGGTTTCACCGTGTTAGCCAAGATGGTCTCGATCTCCTGACCTCATGATCCACCTGCCTCGGCCTCCCAAAGTGCTGGGATTACAGGCGTGAGCCACTGCGCCCAGCCCCCCTTTTCTTGAGTGTGTACTTTTCCCTTTGCAATAAATACTTTCACTATTTTCTGACTTGTCCTTGAATTCATTCTTGTGATGGTGTCAACAGCCTTGACACAAACTGGGTTCCAGGCCCCACCGGCATTTGGGGACTTCCTCCAGCCCACCGGCATCACTTTGATTACATTCACCCTCTCCCCACACACACATCAAGGAGGAAAGAAAAGGGGAGGCAGCAAATGTTCACACCTAGAATCTTGGATGGGGATACACCAGAGTTGGAAAAAGTCTTCTAGAAATTCTGCTGCCATGCCCCTCCACCTCCGCAAGAATGTGCCTTTCCTTGTTGGGAATCACAGCTGTGGACAGAAAGAGAGGGCGCCGGAAGCGCAGGTGCACAGTGGAAGTCAGTAACAGCGTTTATTGAACACACAAAGTGCGGAGTACGGGGCAAAACACTGGAAGGAAATACAGTGGAGGTTCGACAGTTGTTGTCAGCCTCATGAAGGTTACATTTGATTTGAATGGTGAGAACGCCGGTTAAGCATACACAGACGTGTGTAAACAAGCCACAGAAATACACACATGCTTCGTCACTACTACACGCTTATGATATGAGATTTCCACAGGAACTGGGGTACAGGAAGCCACTGAGACACGCAGCTTAATTGAAGAGCAAAGATACCAAGTCTCCATCCCAGGGTTCAAGTTCTACCTGGCTACTCTGGGGATGAGTGGGAGCTACCAGAAGACACTAGAAAATACCAGAGAATGATGATGAATGTGTTTTCTTAGCTCTATTAGCCACCGTATTTCAAACTCAAATTAGCATTCTACTTTAGCATGATATAAAGGCAGTTAACAAAGTACTGACAAAATAGAATTATGTCAATTTTTAAAAAAAGTAAAATCAGACCGTCTTAAGGACAAAGATTCTAGAAGTTAATGCCTTTTAAAATTCTTTTTAAAACAAGCTTCCATACATGAAAGACTTTCCAATAAATTTAGTGAATAGAGGCATTTTACCACTCTGTATCTGGGAAATTGTTTTTATTTTTATGTGCTTTTAAAAATTTTGTAACTTTTTTTATGTGCTTTAAAAATATTTTAAAGTAGGGTTGCCAGATAAAATACAGGATGTATTTTAGTGCATGACATGTGGTCATCCTAAAAGCTATTCATTGCTGACCTGAAGTTAGAATTTAGCAGCTATTTTTAGGTTAACAGGCCTTTGGAACTTCCAGAGCTTCCCAATAATGGGGGGCCTAATTTATCTTCATTTATATGCTAACACTGCTAGAAAGAAGGACTTATTCTTCTGGCAGGAAAATTGTAGATAATGTAGGGCTTACTCAAATATTGGAGAGATTTTCATTTCTCACACCCTTTATTGTCACCATTTTAGCAGTGCGTGTTTGAGTCAGTTGAATTTTTTACCTTGAAATCTTTGACTGAGGTGGCTAGTGACAGATAGTAAAATTAGATTGCAGTCTGAGGAACAATCTGGCTTGAAATGTCCCCTGCACTAGTCACACACTCAATAATTTCTTCTGTTAGCAGGTGACAATCCCCCCCTCCAAAAATGTGACACTCACATCTTGTCCCATTACATATCTGTTATGCTATTCATCATCACTTCTTGTCACTCTCTTTCCTTTTCCCCTTTCCACATTGAATTTTTTGGAGAATTGAAATCCTTGTGTGCCACACAGAACATCAGGCCTGGATCAATGGATGGCCATAACCCCATGGAAACAAGAAAAAGCAAAGCTCACTTCCCTGATGCCTAGAGGCATGAAACTATGAACGGTGGTTTTGTTTGTTTGTTTGTTTCCTGTTTGCTTCCCACACTAGCAGGCAAACTTGCTTTTGTCAAATATGTTCACGTTAATGTGTGTAAGCAGACAGGACAGTGTTGCTCTAAAAAAAGTGAGAAAGAAGTCTTGGTAGACTGAACTGATACACACTATTCTAGAACTGCACTTCCTGGTGTCTGAATGTACAGCTTGTATCTTATTTGAGATTTCTAAATTAGAGGAGAGATATTTCAACACTAATTCTGCTAATAAATGAAGTTCGCATGAAACTTTGTCATGAAGGAATGTAAAATTATAATACTAGCTGAATTCCTATAACTATTCCTATAAAAAAAAATAACTATTCTTTTTTCTAAAGAACACCAAAGAGTATATTTATATGTAAAGAACATAATTTATGTTTTGTTTACACGTATACATAAAATTAGCAAATTATTAGCAAGCATATAGATTGCATTTAAAGGCATGGACAGCTTTGACATTCAAAAGCTATTTGTTAACTGAGTCCAAGTATGCCGGTTTTAATTCTGGGCCTGATTATACGTGTTTCTACCTTTGGCCAGGTAGATGTAACTTACAATGCTCCTTTGTTCCCGGAGATCTTTTCTGGGAAGACAGAAATATAGATGAATATGAGAAATTGAGTTGAGGCAAAGAAGTCATGAGGTTTAATATCACCATATAAAGGAGAAATTAAGTAATATATATCATTAAAATAGAAAAAATATTCCCATGCACCTTCTGCCACTTAACATTCCTTAAAGTAAGATAGCATTCCATCCAGCTATTTGCCTTGTACTCTTTTCTCTTTAGAAATGCTAAATTCAAGGCTGGGTGTGGTGGGTCTTGCCTATAATCCCAGCACTTTGGGAGGCCAAGGTGGGAGGATCACTTGAGCCCAGGAGTTTGAGACCAGCCTGGGCAACATAGTGAAACCCCATCTTTACAAAACAAACTACAAACAAACAAACAGCTAGCCAGATGGTAGCACATGCCTGTAATCCCAGCTACTATGGAGGCTGAGGTGGGAGGATCACCTGAGCCCAGGAGGCAGAGTTTGCAATAAGCTGAGATGGCACCACTGCATTTCAGCCTGGGTGACAGAGCCAGACCCAGTCTCAAAAAAAAAAAAAAAAAAAAAAAAAAAAAGAAAAGAAAAGAAGTAAGTATTAAGTTCAAACTTCCATCTTTCAGACATTGCTTATGCTATTCTGATGACAACTAGCTTATGACTCCGAATGTTCTTGGCCAACCTGAAGATGAAGAAATCAGGCTGCTGTCGTACCCAGGACAAAATGGCCAGAGAGGGTTTGCTTCCTGTTCCCTTTGTGGTCACAATGAGGTGGAAGGCTACAGCGGATACATGATAGGGTGATGGGCTCCCTGCAGGCAGAGCAACCGCCACAATTCTGCATGAGCAGAAAAAGCAGAGCATGGAAATGTGTCACAGGAGGAGTGAGAGCCCACCTTGGATGTTCTAGAAGGTTTGAAAGCTCAGTAGGCCCCACATCTCCGTTTTGAACATGTGCTGGCAACTCCATTTGCAGTATGAGCCCTGCTGGACTCCCGTCCCTGGCCTGCTGAGGATTTTCTGATGGTGAGTGTTACTTAACATATCCTGCTTTGAACTGCCTAGAAACCAATCATGGCCCCACTGGAGCAGTGCTCTGGAATCCAGATGAAGGATGAAAAGCAGACCTTGAAGAGTTCCCACTGGAGATGGAGCCTTCCTTCTCCATCAGCTCTGCTCCTTCTCTTCCTGATCTCTTCTTCCGTTCTTTCTTCTCTGCCTCCTCCCTGCCTTCCTTCTGCGGTGGAGGGTCAGGGGACATCTCACTGGGGTGGCACCGAGGCACTCATATGGCTGTACGAGAACCTGGACAGAGAGGCTCCTGTGGTCCCGCCTTCCTCCTCCTCCCCCACCTCTCCCCTCGCCCCTGGGGGACCAGGATTGGGGCAGCAGGGGAAGGTGGCCATGAAGCCGAGGCGGAAGCGTTTGTTCATGAAGCAGTAGATGATGGGGTTGACGCAGGAGGAGGTGTAGGACAGGAGGAGGATGAAGGAAATGGGGGTTCCTGAGAGGCGGCGCTCTGCGGAGGCGGTGTCGTAGGCCCGCCAGGCGTTGGCGCTGAAGATGGGCATCCAGCACAGGAAGAAGAGGACCACGATGACGATGAGCATGCGGATCACCCTTTTCTTGGCCATCAGGTTGGCTGCGGAGCTGTTACTCCGGATGCGGTTGGCCCTGCTGCTGCTGCCGGTGGACAGCTGCCGGAGCTCCAGCTTCCTCGGGGGCCTGGTCTTTTGCAGGTAACACCCATCGCTGTCCTCATATTTGCCGCTGCTGGTGGTGCTAGGTTTCCTTTCTGGGTGGGCAAGAGACATCACTCATTGCTGGGGATGGGTCATGCCCGGTAGAAGGCATGGAGCCCCCACTCCCCTCCATCAAGAAGTCCAAACCAAACAGGAACTGAGAAATGGCAGACAACCTGGCCTTACACTGATATGGGTAAGCATTGATCTATACTAGTTCTTCCCTTCAATGAAATGCTGCTTAAAATGAATAAAATATATAATAAAAACAACATCTTATGGATGTAGGTTACAAGAAAAAAATTATTAAAGAATGAATATTCACACTCTTCTCCTTTCCTTCATTAGCTCCCCAGAGGGAAGGTTCCTGCTTGCTGGGTAAGATTCCAGATTGCTTTTATGATGAGGAATCTGGATAAGAAGAAAAAATCCCATGAAAACCAAAGAAGCTAGAGAGACTCAGTTATCTGTGTAGTAGACAGCTGAGTTAGGGCATGGAGTGAGAAGGGAAAAGCTATGTCAACAAGGGTGTCAAGGTCAATTTTCATGGACAGTGGATTGTAATGAATGGAGAAGGAATGAGGCTTTGTGGCCACTGCAGGGTGAAAATAAAAAGGAGAGAGGATGAGGAGGAGACAACAAAAAGCCGGCTGTGGGTTAGGAATCAAATCCCCTCCAGTACCTTTGGAGAGACACAAAACAGGCTGGAATTACAAGTAGCTCTGGTTATGGAAAGGGGTCTGTTTGAATACAGCACTACAGAACAGCTGGCACAGAAAAGGCCTTGGCTTGTTATTGGGTTATATGTGGGTTACTTTATTCCACTCAGAATGCTTTTGAAAGGAATGATTTCCCCATTTTACAGATAAGAAAATGAAATACTGGGCCCGTGACTGTGCTTCTTGACACAGAATCTCATAAGAATACTTAAAAGCTTTTCCAACAAACTTTACGTACACTCTGGGTATATCTATTTAAATGATAGAAAACAAGCTTTTGTGCTCATTTGGCATAAACACACAGCTACAAGATAGTTACCTTTAGCAGACTTCTTCTGGCTAGCCTCAAATTTTATTCCCTGGTAGAGTTCCAAAGAGATTAATCCATATGCCACCATCATCACAATTCCAGGAATAAGAAAGAGGATGAGTAACAGGAATGTGTGCCTAATGAAATCAAAAGAAATCCAATAACCAGCAACTTTAGACCTTCAAACTCAAATGGGAAGGAATGAATAGGGTTTATGTTTATTTTTACTGGCCTGAGCAAACACATTAATTACTAGTATTTAATATCCTTGGCAACTTCATGTCTGGAGATTCAGTCATTATAAGTTGTTTACTTCTTTTCTTTTTTTAGATGAAGTCTCTGATGAAGGACTAGTTTAATTGGAAAAGTTTGGCGTAATTCTGTGCTTGAAAGAAGTCTATGTATGAAAAAGAATGTAAGCTTTAAAAAATAAGAGTATGTGAATAGCATTTCAATAAAGCTGTTTTAAAAACCCTTAAAAATTACTTACATACATCGAGGATTTCTATGTGCTACATATAGGCTAAGCATTTTACATACATCACTACATTTAACTCTCATAATAACCATTGAGGTAGGTGCTATTGTCTTAATACCTACAGCAGAGAGGAGGAAACTGAGACTTAAAGAGATTAAATAATTTGTCCAAAGTCACACAGCTGGTAGCAGAGGTGGAATTTGAACCCCCAAAATATGATTCCAGAACCTAGAAGCTATGCTTTTAAGCATCACGGTATACCATTTGCCAAACAACAGAGTAATCAAATGCTTAGGTGGGGACAATGGAAAACCTTCTGGGTCTTACAAAACATGCCATTCTGGCTGTTTCCAACCCATAAGCAGCTCAAACATTTACGTGGGCGTCCATTCTCCATGACCCTGTGAGGCTAGCATAGTGGCATCATCATTCTAGTGCCTGGTTGGGTAGAGCTATGCTTTTTCTAAACATCTTTGATTACTGAAGAATCACAGCCTCCTTCTTTATGAGTCTGGCCCCTAAATCACTTCTGCAGTCTGGCATGTGTGAGGTTACACGATTAGGCCATAAAATTGTCAGAGGCTCATGGTGGCTGGGCCATTTCTCACTTCAATTTGACATGTTTTGATAAGATTCCTTTTCAAGCCTTGGAAATATTCCTCTCATTTGCAACGTAATTCCTTTGTGTGTGTGCTACTTGGTTGAAATGAAAGGAGGAAAGCAAAAAAAGCAGAGATGATCTCAGTTTGGGGCTGTTACTCAATGTCTAGTTCCCTGCTTCTAAAACATCCCTGCAATTGGTAAATATAATACCCTGCAATTTGTGTAGCCTTTTTTATAATGACATTTTTATGAACATACTCTCCTTGGTATCTTACAGCCACCCAATGAGGTAGATTTTTAAAATATCCACATTGTTAACTCCTTATAGAGATAAGGAACCTGACGTTCAGAGAGCTTATGTGAATTTGCCTAAGGTGTGCAGTTAGTAAGCAAAGGAACCAGTATTAGAAACTTGCGTTTTTATTTCTGGTAAAATGCTCTGGGTAAGTACCGGAGCTGCTGCAGCTCTAAGAAAAACCATGTGGGATTTGGGACTCATTCCCTGCTCTGTCTTAATTCTTTAGAAAATCATTGCCAGCTGCAGTGGCTCATGCCTGTAATTCCAGCACTTTGGGAGGCCAAGGCGGGAGGATCACTTGAGCCTAAGAATTCAAGACCAGCCTAGGCAATATAGTGAGACCCAATCTCTATTTTAAAGTAAAGATTTTATTAAATAAAAGAAGGCCGGGCGCGGTGGCTCATGCCTGTAATCCCAGTACTTTGGGAGGTCGAGGCGGGTGGATAACCTGAGGTCAGGAGTTCGAAACCAGCCTGACCAACATGGAGAAACCCCACCTCTAATAAAAATGCAAAAAAATTAGCCGGGCATGGTGGTGCATGCCTGTAATCCCAGCTACTCAGGAGGCTGAGGCAGGAGAATTGCTTGAACCCGGGAGGTCGAGGTTGTGGTGAGCCGAGGTCACACCATTGCACTCCAGCCTGGGCAACAAGAGCAAAATTCCGTCTCAAAAAAAAAAAAAAAGAAAGAAAAAGAAAGAAAATCATAGCTCTACAATTAATCAGCCTAACCCTCCACTACAGCATTTAGAAGCATACTGCATAATGATTAAGCACAGAGCCTCTGCCTCTTCCTTAAGTTTGTGAATTGGGAAACTTAACCTTTCCAAGTCTCAGTTTCCTCAACAGCAAAACGGACACAATAATAATAATACCTATCTTAGAGTGTTTTCAGAGGATTGATTGAATGAATATATGCATGGCATTTAAAACAGAGCTCGCCAGCTAAGTGTTTGCTATCGTGATTATCCTAGAACGAGGCTAGAAAGACCTTCTCAAAACGTCTCCAGGAAACTGATCCCCCAACCACTCTGGGCAAGGCATCTCAGTTTTTCATGATATTGCAAAATTACATCAAGCTGTATTTTTAAAAATAAACAATGCAACCTTACCAGGACTGCTGCATAACATCATTTGGCAGTAGAAAGCGGCACATATTCGCGGTCTGGTTGTTATTTTTGGTAAAAGGCACCAAGTTGCTATAAATGGGGTACGGAGTCATGATGGTAAAGGAAAGGCACCAGGTAGCAGCAATCACCTTCAAAGCATGGGATTTTGTCTGCCAGACCCGGGACTGTAAGGGTTTGCAAATCGCACCATATCTCTCTAGAGATATGGCTACCAGATTAAAGGTAGATACACTCACAGAGGTGCCTGGGAAAGGAACAAAGAAGCCGGTTATGTTGACTCTGAAATCCAAAGTTTATTTGCACATTAGCTTGAATATATCTGATCTGCACAGGTTTGATATCAAAGGAAAACGCTTGGAAGGTAAAGAAATATTGTGTATGTATATTTTTAAAAGATGATTTATTCTCAGCTTTGTTCCAGAAAGGGTTTAAGGCAGTTAAAGAAATGGCTTTGTAAATATATCTCATTGCCAATTTTTAATAAGTTTATTGAGCTTTGATTATCACCTAACACCTGCTTAGGCTCAAGGTGCTCATTAATTAATAACCAAGGGGATGAAATTCATTCTTGCCCCCACAGAAGAGGTTTCTCTAAAATCTGAAGAAAAGCTGTAATTTTGAGTATCGTCTGCATAGTTAAAATGATTTTTAAAACCCGAGATTCTCAAGGGCTCTGTGACCCTGAAAGGTCACTGTGATGTGAGCCGGAGGCATGAAGGTTTTTTCTAAAAATTTTGAGTACATACTGTTCTTAATAGTGAAACAATCTATATTTCAAAATGCAGCTTGTTGAAAAAATAAGTAGTAAAAAAGACGAGGGAAAATGCCCCATACAGTAACTAAAGGTTTCTCTGGGTTGGGGACTAAAGTCTCTTGTCTTATTGTTTTTGTTTTTCTGTATTTTGTAGAATGAGCAAGCATCACCATTACAGTGAGGAAGATATTAAATGCACCTCATTTAAAATCATGTATTTCTTGGCTGGGTGCAGTGGCTGATGCCTGTAATACCAACGCTTTGGGAGTCCGAGGCAGGCAGATCACTTGAGGTCAGGAGCTTGAGACCAGCCTGGCCAACATGGTGAAACCCCATCTCTACTACAAATACAAAAATTAACCAGGCATGGCTGCACGTGCCTGTAATCCCAGGTACTTGGAAGGCTGAGGCAGAAGAATCGCTGGAATCTGGGAGGCCAAGGTTGTAGTGAGCCAAGATCGCACCACTGCACCCCAGCCTGGGCGACAGAGCGGCACTCCATCTCAAAAATAAAATAAAATAAATCATGTACTTCTTGGTCTTAGATGGCCTATGGAAAAAAAATTAAAATAAAAAATGAACAAAATCATGTGCTTCGGCATTGCCCAAAAAGCTTAACTTCCATTATTTTTGTATTTGTATATGCATACTTATTAAAATGTCCTATTATTCCCTTAAAATTCCCTGTAGAGTCCTTCTGCTATAAATTCTGTCAATTCTTCTGAATATCTCTTACCAAGATTTCTTAAACCTCAGAATTAATATAAATTTGGGAGCAGAGGTCCTGAAACTGGGGTCCTTAGATTCTCCTTATTCTTATGGATATAAACTAATTCTCTGAAACTATATCCAAAAATGTCATTTTTCTAGGGAGCCTAGCTCTAGCTTTCCTTAGAGTCTTAAAAAAGTCTATGACCCCCAAACCATTAACTAAAAACTCATGTTCTGGGGATAGGATTTGCTGTGTTTTACTGGATTTTACTCTAAAGAGTTGATGACATTTAGAGTGAAGAGTACGGCCCAAAAATCTCTAAGACTCAGTTCTGCATAATGGATCATCAATAACTATAAACTCACTGGCAGGCAAGCATTCTTTTTCTTTTTGCTACAAATTAGGAGCTAATGAATGTTAATTATTAGTATTGAGGAGACTGCAAAATTAAGAGAAGAGCCTAAATTATTGGAATTAAAAATCCAACAAAATTATTATGGTATTGCAAATACTTTCAGAATGATGTTGCTTTTCTTTTGCCCAATAAAATATTTTTTATGCAGTTGAAATTTACATAACATAAAATTAACCTCATTTCAAACTGAACAACTCTGTGGCACTCACAATGTTTTGCCACCATGAAAACACTCATTTAAAATCTCGGTTCACATTCTCTGGTTAAGGTTCCCAAATAGTATTACCATAAGATATATATGGATGGGCCTCGGATGTCTACAGTGCTAGTTATTATTATTGCTTCATTATTTAACAACGATCTTTTTCCTTTGTAAGTTTTGTCTTTTTTTTTTTTTTCAGAGGACTTGGACATGGATTGACACATTCTTGGTTTTTGGTGGCACGAGGGTCAGTAATTCACCATC
The DNA here is from genome assembly GCF_000001405.40 of Homo sapiens. Classification (NCBI taxonomy): domain Eukaryota; kingdom Metazoa; phylum Chordata; class Mammalia; order Primates; family Hominidae; genus Homo; species Homo sapiens. The sequence goes on from NC_000004.12 coordinate 26,488,002, forward strand.
ATTTTGTCAGTGTGGAATCCCACTTCCTCAACTGGGAAAAATGAGGACTTATAAGGCTTTCTGGTCATTGAAGACTGCCCTAGCCTAACTCAGTTCTGCATATTCTGCAAGGCTTGGGTCAGAACAAAAAATAACTCCCTTCTTATTTCCCATCTCTGCCCTTCTCCCAACTAATTCTCAGAAAGGGCAAGGGACTAGGCAATCTGGCACCCAGAGGGGACCAAGAAATGTGTTTTTTTGTTCAACTTTAAGAGAACCACAGCAGTTGGCAAACTGAGGTATCATGCTCACCATTGTGTGGCTACAAATCTGGACTCAAATCTCAGCTCTGTTGCTTACCATCTGTGTGGTTCTAGGCACATTATGGACCTCTCTGTGCCTCTGTTTCCTCCTTAGGGAGACAAGGAAGAATCATTGCATTTACTTCATAGAGTGGTTGGGAGATAAGGTAAGATCATGGAAGGCAAAGCACTTAGTACCACATGGGGTGCATAAAAGCGCTAAAAAAATTTAGCTCTTATGATTTTCATTATCATCATTTTTGTTTGGCATAGGCAAAGAGCTATATATCTCAGCCAATCAGGGTCAGCTTAGCGACCCCATAGCCCCCAGGAGCAAATTCAACTCCTCATCTAGGGGCAGAGACCTCTCTCTCTCTCTCTTTCTGCCAGAGATGGCCCCAGCTTTGGGGAGAACAGGCTGGGAAGTGAATCCTGAGAAGAGAATCTGAAACTGCGATAGAACTGGTTTTCAAATAGCCCCTGTTCCCTAAGAAAACAAAAGAAACAACTGCAAAGAACCCTCCTCCATCATCCTCACCCTCCCTAGAAGCCAGGACTCAAGTTGTGTATAGATCAGGACACAGTCAACAGCTTCCAGAAAGGGATAGAGCAGCTTAAAGTCACTTCTGACTTCAAACAGAAGCAAGCAAGTCCCTCTTCCCTTCAAATAGAAGCAAGCAAAATCAACTGCCCCTGTGTTTTCCTATCAATTTATTTCACTCTTAGAAACTGACCTCCAACATGGATGATGGGGACCGACTTGTGGGGAACGTATAAGGATGACTGTCAAGCCAGCACCAATGTCCGTGCACACAGCCATGCACAGCCTGATGTTCTGTGATTCAGCCCTCAGCAGGGCTCCTTTGCTGTGATTGTCAGAGGTTTGGGAAGGTCTGGGGCTGAGTGGGGTCTGGGGCAAGCTCCAGAAAGAGTCACCAGCAGCAACTTACCCATGAAGTAGGTGGTGGTCTTGCAAACGGCGCTCCCGAAGATGAAATCCTTGAGCAGATTGGGGATGAGGTTGAACGGCATGCAGAAGAGACAGAGCATGAGGTCGCTGACAGCCAGGGAGAGGAGGAAGATGTTGGTGACCGTCCGCATCCGCTTGTTCCGAATCAGCACGGTGATGACCAGCGTGTTTCCCAGCACGCTGAGCAGGAATATCAAGGAGTACAAGAGAATCTGCACCGCTGGCTGCCACTCTGCAGAGAGAAACAGGAGCAAGACGGAGGGATGGAGGTGATGACAGCAGAATGCTAAAACCGAAGCCAAGGGTGAATTCCTGCCGATTTTCCCCCCACCGGGGTGTACATCACTGGACCCACGATTCCTGTCCTGGCAACATTTTGCGGAAACAAATTGAGGAAAGCAGAGACTGAATTATTTTCTTTTTAGAAGGTTGGTTTGTTAAAGGATCACTCAGGGAACCACTTTTTCTTAAGAACAAAGCTCCTCAAGTGAACAGTGATCACTTTCTTTCCTGGCTGCTAAGCATTATTTCACTTTAATCACTTCATGCTGGGTTTCCCCCCAAGAAAAGAAAACAGCTGCATGGTGACAACACCTTTTCTGCTGTGCTTGTAAGTTCAGGCTTTGACACTTGTAGTCCCTCTTGCTTCACTCAGCTTTTCCTCCCCTGCTTTTGTTCCCCCAAGTCCTATTCATGAATGCCCAACTCCCCCATGGGGGACAATAAGAATATTTGACTCTATTCTGCTTTTTAATCTCTTCTCCAAACTTCTGAACATATGACTTTATCTAGCCTTGTCTCACAATGACTTGGTTATATATATTTTTTATCAGCCTTGCCTTTGCTGATTTCTCCCACAACTCAATAGTTTCCTGAATTAAAATAACAGCTTCCGACACTTACCTTTGGAAGGACGGGGCTGATCCAAGCAGAAAAGCGTCTCATTTTCGAGCCCGAGTTCACAGGGAGGAGTGATGTTGCTTCCATTCACAAGAAGGCTGTCAACCACATCCATCCTTGCCTGCTGCTTTCCACCAAGTGCTGGAGAGCTGGTGAATTGCTCACTCCCGGCTCATTCCTCTAATGACCGAAGCGTCTCGCAGATGCAACCTGCCGTGGAGGAGCAGGGAGGGAGTGATTTCCAGGTGTGGGCTTTTTCAGCCATTCCTAAAGGCGACTTGAGTTCACCTCACTCACTCCAGCATTTGTACTCCTGTTGTGGAAAAGGCAGTGAGCACAAGCCAAGCCCGCTCCACCTTCACCCCGCCCCACCTCCCCCGGCCCTTTCCTGGGCCAGTCTTAGGGCCCTGAGTACAGACAGCCTGGCTACCCGTTAACCATTCTCAGCGTGTGGCTGCTTTTTACACACATGTGTACATATGCACGGACACACACACACACACAGAGGCTTCCCCAGTACTCCTCTATATAGGAACCCGTCACCATCCCAGACATATGCAGAAGAAAGCCCAAACCGGCTGTGTGAGACAGGAACAATTAACACGGTAACAGATCCGATAATGCAGACCATCAGGCCTAAAGAACACGGAGGGACTGTGTTCTACCTCCTTATAGAAAAGCAATTAGTGCCTTTTTAGCTTTGGAACCATGCCCGGTGGTGTGTGTGTGGACAGAACTGCTGGCTGGTTGTTAAGTTGCTACTAAACACAGTGTTGTTTCTCGTGGTCTCTGCCCTTGTTAACTAGGATTGAGGCACTTTTGAACATAGGTACCTGGGTCCTTATTACAAAAGACGTTAGTGAGATTTCCTCTTCATTCATGAAGCCTTGCATTCAGCACATCTTCATTGAGAGTCAATCATTTGCCAGGCACTTTTCTAGCATGTCAGCAAATAATGAGCAGAATTATTTCAGGTAGTAAGTACTACAAAGGGAGTAAAGCAGGGAGATGTGATGTATACAAACAGATTAGGGGCTGATTTTTTGGGGGGCGGGGACAGGGTCTTGCTCTGTTCCCCAGGCTGCAGTGGAGTGGCGCGATCATGGCTCACTGCAGCCTTGCTCCCTGGCTCAAGCAATCCTCCTACCTTAGCCTCCTGAGTAGCTGGGACTACAGGCACACACCACTAAGCCCAGCTGATTTTTTTAGTTTTAGAAGAGAGGAGGTCTCGCTATGTTGCCCAGGCTGGTCTCAAGCTCCTGAGCTCAAGCAATCCTCCTGCCTTGGCCTCCCAGTGTTGGCATTACAGGCGTGAGCCACTGCACCTGGCCTGGGGCTGCTGATTTAGAAGGGGTAGTCAGGAGAGGTCTCTTAAGGAGGGGACTGTGATCTGAGACTGAACCACAAGAAGGACAAAGTCTTGTGAAGATCCCAAGACAGCTTCTCCCAGGCAAAAGGAGGAGCACTTTTAGCAGAGGTAACAGCAAGTGCAAAGGCCCTGAGGTGGGAATGAGTGTGGCCCCATTGAGGTACAAATAGATAGAAGTAGGAGTGAGTGAGAGGCAAACAGCAGGACGTGAGATCAGAGAGGGGGGCCATCTCAGGGTCCTGGGTGTTCCATGAAGCTCTGTGGTGCTGGAAAGCCCTTCAACCTCCATTGCACAGATTATGTCCTCAGTTCAGACCCTTTGGAAAGCAGACGACAATGGCTGTGAAACCTGCGTTTCTGACGCCCTGCTTGGCTGTGCTGAGACTTGGTCCATTTGCTAGATACCCGTGGGGCTCCTTGTGTACTGACAATGCTTCCACTGGCAGAGCTGCATGCTACATCTTGCTGAGTCTCTGCCAGACACAGAGGAACTAACGCATTTTTACTGTCAGTGTGGGGCTGGAAAGACAGTGGTGCCTCTTTTCTTTGAAACCATGAAGACCACATGGTTTGGGGCATTTAGTCACAGAAACAAGAAGGGGAAGGGACACTGGAGAAGCTGTGGATGTTATTGGGAGGACAGGCTTTGGCATCAGACAGACTTGGGATCAAATCCTGGCTTCACTGGTTACCTGCTAGGAAATACTGGGCAAATTAGTTTCCTTCCTTCCTTCCTTCCTTCCTTCCTTCCTTCCTTCCTTCCTTCCTTCCTTCCTTCCTTTCCTTTCCTTTCTTCCCTCCCTTCCTCCTTTCTTTCTCTCTCTCTTTCTTTCCTTTCTTCCCTCCCTCCCTCCTTTCTTTTTCTCTTTCTTTCTTTCTCTCTTTCTTTCTTTCTTTCTTTCCCTTCCTTCCTTCCTTCCTTTCCTTTCTTCCCTCCCTTCCTCCTTTCTTTCTCTCTCTCTTTCTTTCCTTTCTTCCCTCCCTCCCTCCTTTCTTTTTCTTTCTTTCTCTCTTTCTTTCTTTCTTTTCCTTCCTTCCTTCCTTCCTTCCTTCCTTCCTTCCTTCCTTCCTTCCTTCCTTTCCTTTCTTCCCTCCCTTCCTCCTTTCTTTCTCTCTCTCTTTCTTTCCTTTCTTCCCTCCCTCCCTCCTTTCTTTTTCTCTTTCTTTCTTTCTCTCTTTCTTTCTTTCTTTCTTTTCCTTCCTTCCTTCCTTTCCTTTCTTCCCTCCCTTCCTCCTTTCTTTCTCTCTCTCTTTCTTTCCTTTCTTCCCTCCATCCCTCCTTTCTTTTTCTCTTTCTTTCTTTCTTTCTCTCTTTCTTTCTTTCTTTCTTTTCCTTCCTTCCTTCCATCCATCCTTCCTTCCTTCCTTCCTTCTTTCTTCTTTCTTTCTTTTTTTTTTTTTTTCTGAGACGAAGTCTTGCTCTGTTGCCCAGGCTGGAGTGCAGTGGCATGAGCTAGGGTCACTGCAAACTCCACCTCCCAATCGCAAGCAATTGTCGTGCCTCAGCCTCCCAAGTAGCTGGAATTACAGGTATGCACCACCAGAACCAGCTAATTTTTGCATTTTTAGTAGAGACGGGTTTCACCAAATTGGCCCGGCTGGTCTCAAGTTGCTGACCTCAAGTTATCCAATCGCCTTGGCCTCCCAAAGGGCTGGGATTACAGGTGTGAGCCACTGCGCCCAGCCTGAGCAAGTTTCTTAACCTAAGACTCATTTCCATCTGTCAAATGGGGATCAGAATGATTTAATAGATATTTGTTATGAAGATTGAACGATTGACTCAATAGAGTGTCTGACATACAAAAAATGTTCAATAAATCACAGGCAGCAGTATTCATAGCCTTCCTACGATAATGGCTATTTTCGTTTTACAAATGAGAAGGCTGGGACTCACAGTGGCCATATGCTTTGCTGGTGAGAACCAGTGGTGGATTTCCCCTCGAGGACCCTGCAGACCCCATCCTCACGCCACTTCCCATGGCATGGAGCTTTCCTTCCCTATTCTAGCATCATGTAGCCTGTTTGGAGCCAGGGCTCTCGTCTCTCTTCCTCCTTCCTGCTATGAGTCCTTTTGTCTGAATCTTCCCTGTCTACAGATGATGGACCCTGCTCACTGGGCGATGACCCAGAGCAGCTGTGTTCTGATGTGGGAAGGGATGAGCATCCAGGGTTTTGGCTGCTGCTTCAACTGCTCCAGCTGGGCAGACATCACCAGCCATTCAGGGTGCCTCCTGCTGAGGCTTGTCAGGCCCATCAGCACCTGCTTCAAAAGCTGGGGGGACAGTGGTTCTGTAAGTCCAAGAACCAGAAGAGCAGAGGGCTGGGCATTGACCTGCCCTGAACCAAAATGGAGTCCAATTTGGGACAAGTTTCTCCTTTCCCTTCCCTTCCCTTCCCTTTCCCTTTTTCCTATTCTGTTTCTTCCTCCTGCTCATTGGTTGGCAGGAAGTGAGAGTGGGAGATGTGGTGGATGCTAGTGATTTTGTCAACTCATGGTTGGGGGGATGGCAGCATATTTGAGTGCTATTTTGTACAAACTTTACTGCACAGCTGAATTACCTGGGTTAGTGGTTTAAAAATGGTGATTTCCAGACTTTCCTCCTGGAGATTCTGATCCTCAGCCCCGAGCCTGGAAATCTGCATTTTTATCCAGCATCCCTGGGGATTTGGAGACCTGTGATCTCAGGATCACTTGTGGGGAAACTCCCTGGGAACCATTAAGAGGGTGAGGGGAGCTATCAGAAGGCAGAAATTGAAGCCTGATCTTCACCCCTGGCTGGCTGGGAAGCATGAACAAAGAAATTACTTAACCTTTTTGAGTCTCAGCTTGCTCATCTGTAAAATAGAGATAAAATAATGCTACTATAAATAAAACAATACATGGAGACAACTCAGAACAATGCCTGGAACATCGTGCTGGATACTATTTGTTATTATTAATGGGTAAGATTAATTCTAGGGATGCTCTATTTATCTCATTTTCATGGCCATATTAAGGGCTTGTATTAATATCTTCAATACCCTACCACAATATCTGGCATATAGTATGTGCTTTGTAAATATGAACGAATAAACAGTAAAAATTAGAGGAGCCAATATTTCATTGCTTATTACACCAATTGATAATTCTATTCCACTGATTCCTTTTCTGGCCATCTCTGGATTTTTTACTTTGAATTTGTGAGCCCATGTGATATGCTTTGTCTGTGTCCCCACCCAAATCTCATCTTGAATTGTAGCTCCCAAAATTCCCACTTGTGGTGGGAGGGACTGGATGGGAGGTAATTGAATCATGAGACTGGGTCTTTCCCTTGCTGTTCTTGTGATAGTGTATAAGTCTCATGAGAGCTAATGTTTTTATAAAGGGGAGTTCCCTTGCGCATGCTCTCTCTTGCCTGCCGCCATGTAAGATGTGACTTTGCCCCTCATTCGCCTTCCACCATGATTGTGAGGTCTCCCCAGCCATGTGGAACTGTGAGTCCATTAAACTTCTTTTCTTTATAAATTACCCAGTCTTGGGTATATCTTTATTAGCGCATGAAAACAGACTAATACACCATATGACCTAAGAGTTCAGCTAACAAAAGAGAATTGCAGTGAAAGATTCCAATGCACTTTCAAGGGAAAAGTTGATGCACTTCCAGAGTGTCAGCCCTTGTTTCATTCCTCAACATACATTATAGCGAGTGCATCATAAGTGCCAGGTGCTGTATTTGGTGCTAGGGATTTTGTGAGCCAAGTGGATGGAATTTCTGTCCTCATAAAATGGCTGTCCTCTGTGGGACACAGAAGATGAGTAGCTGGGCAAAGTGGAAATGCCTTCTCACCTTGGAGACCTAACCTGTGATTAGGCACAGTTCCAGGTGAATTGATGCAAATGGACTAAATTGAATTGGAATGGCATAAATGCCTCCCCTCTCTCTGAGACACACACAGACACACAGGGCATAAGCCTACATGCCTCCTGCAGTCCACAAAACTCTTTCAGTATTGGGGACTCTCTTCTATGTCAAACCCTGCCCTGGAAGGAAAAGACATGAGCAATCTCCATGGGTTCCTGGATGATAAAATTATTAACTGTTCTCCAAGCTATTCTCCATGTTAAGAAACAGTTGTTCTAAAACACCTAAAGGATTTATATGTACTTTCCCCCTCACGATGATATTAATCACATGCTAATTGCAAATTTTTTAAAAATAAAGAAAAATAATGGCTGGGTGCAGTGGCTCACACCTGTAATCCCGGCACTTTGGGAGGCTGAGGCGGGTGGATCACCTGAGGTTGGGGGTTCGAGACCCGCCTGACCAACATGGAGAAACCCTGTCCCTACTAAAAATACAAAATTAGTCAGGTGTGGTGGCACATGCCTGTAATCTCAGCTACTCGGGAGGCTGAGGCAGAAGAATCACTTGCACCAGGGAGGTGGAGGTTGCAGTGAGCCAAGATCACGCCATTGCACTCCAGCCAGGGCAACAAGAGTGAAACTCCATCTCAAATAAATAAATAAATAAATAATAAAGAAAAATAGGTATAAATATAACACAAATATATTTTGGGGCCCTACATGATTCATTCTTAATGTGGTGCCACTTTCAGAGAAACTCAGACACTCAGAGGTAGTGAACAGGCAATTTCATGTTATGGGAGACTCAATTCATATGGCAGCCTGACATTTCTTAAAATTCTCTCGCCTCTCTGCAGTTTCTCCGTACACTCTGCTGCTCAGATTGTCATTCCCTGAATTCCTCATTCCTCACTCTATTCCCAAACTCACTCAGAGTGCCACTTGCTAGGGTTTTTCTGTTTTCCTCCTTCTAGCCTTCTCAGCCTTCTGGAACTGGCTGACTGGGACTTCTCTTCCTCACTGCACGCTGGCCAAGCTTGGTTGCTCTGGGAAAAGTTAATGCACTGAGGCTCTCGCGCACCCCTGGTGCCCACAGAAGGCAGCTTGCAACCACCCTTTCAAGTTCTTCCCCCACGGCTGCCCTCCTTGGAAAAAGCATAGTGGACCTTTGCTGTTGAATAGATCCCTTCTCCTTGAACAGAGGAAAGCCAGTACTGTGTCTACTTGGAGATGTCACTTAGCAAACTGGAGCTGGGCTTTGGGCAAGCAGTTTTGCCTCTCTGAGTCTCCATTTCCTCAACTGTAAAATGGATTTGCAGCGAGAACGCACACCTCAGAGCAGCTGGGACCTTTCTTCTCACAATGTGTGTGTGTGTGAAGCACCCAGGAGAGCACTTTGCATGTCATAGGGGCTCAATAAATGATAATAACAAGCAAAAAATATATTGATAGGAACATTAAAACCAACTCTGATACCACTGTCTCAAGATAACCTTTGTTAATGGTTTGGTGATTATCCATTCAGACTTTTCCTCTAAATACATTCTTAAAAAAAGAGAGAACTGGAATAATACTCTATATACCGTAATTATTCTACTTACCAATTTTTTTGAAAATGTAATTTTAAGATAAATTTTTTCTCTCAAAATGAGAACTATGGTTTTTGCAGCATAATGGAAAAATGTATTTTTTAAAAAAATTTAGATAAGAAAGTAAAAACATCTATAACCCTATCATCCGGAGAATTTAAAAAATGTTTTATATACATCCATCATATTTTGTATATTTATTTTGCATATGTCTTTTCTTCACTTAACATTACTCCATGATCATGGTTTTTTTTTTTTTTGAAACGGGGTCTCACTATGTCGCCCAGGCTGGAGTGCAGTGGCACCATCTCGGCTCACTGCAATTTCTGCCTCCCAGGTTCAAGCGATTCTCCTGCTTCAGCCTCCTGAGTAGCTGGGACTACAGGTGCATGCCACCACGCCCAGCTAATTTTTGTATTTTTAGTAGAGACGGGGTTTCACCATGTTGGCCAGGATGGTCTCGAACTCCTGACCTCATGATCCATCCGCCTTGGTCTCCCTAAGTGCTGGGATTACAGGCATGAGCCAGTGCGCCCGGTCAATATTTAGGTTTTATTGTTAGCTTTTTGTTTTCAAAAGGGAACACATACACACATATTTTTGTGACATTTGATGTACATTGGTAACTTCAGGGCTGCCATCAGCCCAATTACAGCATTCACACTGAATGCAATGCAAATGTAACCTCATAAAGTTGTCCACGCAAGGTGCATGATCCCCTGGAGCTGGTTACCTGGCAGGCCTGGGCAACTGCTTTCCAAAAAAATCATACTATTTTATAAGGCTGCTACTTAATAGTACTGGCTTATTTCCTTTTTTTTTTTTTTTTTTTTTGAGATGGAGTCTCACCCTGTCACCCAAGCTGAAGTGCTGGAGTGCAGTGGGGCGATCTCAGTTCACTGCAACCTCCACCTCCCAGGTTCAAGAGATTCTCCTGCCTCAGCCTCCTGAGTAGCTGAGACTACAGGCAGCTGCCACCATGCCTGGCTAATTTTTGTACTTTTAGTAGAGATGGGGTTTCACCATGTTGGCCAGGCTGGTCTCGAACTCCTGACCTCAAGTGATCCATCTGTTTCGGCCTCCCAAAGTGCTGGGATTACAGCCACTAAGTCTGGCCCATTTTATTTCATTTTTTTTAGAGATGAGGGCTCCCTCTGTTCCCCAAGCTGGAAGGCAGTGGTGCATTCATAGCTCACTGTAGCCTTAAACTTCTGGCCTCAAGTTCTCCTCCTGGCTGAGCCTCCTGAGTAGCTAGAATTACAGGCATGCGCCTGGCCACTTTTAAAAAATATTTTTGGAGACAGAGTTTTGCTAGGTTGCCCAGGTTGGTCTCAGACTCCTGGCCTCAAGTGATCCTCCTGCCTGAGCCTCCCCAATAGCTGGGATTAGAGGCATGAGCCACTGCACCTTTCTAGTTTATTATACTCTTGTCAGCACTGGACATTTTAACACTTAAATCCAAATTTAACATTTTTATTTTGTTAATAATTGAAAAAGGTACTCATGATTGCTTTAATTTGCGCAGGTCCTTTTTGAGACAGAGTCCTGCTCTGTCACCCAGGCTAGAGTGCAGTGGCGGGATCTCTGCTCACTGCAACCTCCACCTCCTAGGTTCAAGCAATTGTCCTGCCTCAGCCTCCCGAGTAGCTGGAATTACAGGTGCCCACCATCACGCCTGGCTAATTTTTTTTTGTTTTGTTTTGTTTTTTGAGACAGAGTCTTGCTGTCACCAGGCTGGAGTGCAGTGGCGCAATCTCGGCTTACCGCAACCTCTGCCTCCTGAGTTCAAGCGATTCTCCTGCCTCAGCCTCCAGAGTAGCTGGAACTACAGGCGTGCGCCACCATGCTCAGCTAATTTTTTTTTTTTTTGGTATTTTTAGTAGAGACAGGGTTTCGCCATCTTGGCCAGACTGGTCTTGAACTCCTGACCTCATGTGATCTGCCCACCTTGGCCTCCCAAAGTGCTGGGATTACAGGTGTGAGCCACCGTGCAAGGGCAATATGCAGGTCTTTTATGTTCAGAGATGCTCACTATTTCCCGCCTTTGTTTACTAGTTGCATTTCTTCTTTACCAAAATCTAAGATAAGCCAGAGCATCTTTTAGGAATTCTGTGCTTTGCCCATTTCTTTATACCATCAACAAATATTTATTGAACATCTGCTCTGTAGCAGGAACTGGGGCAGATGCTGTTCACCGTGGCAAACAAAACAAATTCCCTTCCTTTACCGAGCTCTCATTCTATGAGGGACACACAATAAACAAATAACTGAATAGAGTTTTATGCCAGAGAGTGTAAAGGGCTGTGAAGGGAAACAAAGTGGGTTTAGGGATGGAGAGTGATGGGTCATCAAGAAGGCCTTTCTGAGGGAAAGAGTCTCAGGACAGTCTTGGAGAAGATCATTCCAGACAGGGCAGTTATTGCGGTCTTAATGTTTTTCTCATCACCTGATACGAGCTCTGAAGAACTGAGAATGATGTTTAATTTGCAAATCACTGTCATAAACTGCAATGTATGTGTGTGGCAGAAACTCCTTCCCTTCTCTTTTTACTTAGTAATAGGGTGTCCCATTTTTAATTGGGTACACAACTGCCTAGCATTAATAATAATATTTTCCTGCCTCCTTTGCAGCTAGATAGGGCCATGTGACTAAGTTCTGACCACTCAGAACTTAGGTAGGCAGAAATGAACATGTAGCTTCTGGAAAGCATCTTTACAAAGAGGGAGCATGCCCTTTTCTTTCCTTTTCATCTTTCCTCTGGCTAGAATGAAGATGTGACCGCTGGAGCTGGAGATACTATCTTGTACCATGAGATGGGTGCCTGTGTTGGATGGAATGAAACAAGACACTTGAGGAGCCTGGATTCCTGACAATCTTATTTATTTATTTATTTATTTATTTATTGAGACAGGGTCTCACTTTGTCACCCAGGCTGGAGTGCAGTGGCGTGACCTCGGCTCACTGCAACCTTAACCCCCTGGGTTCAAGTGATTCTCGTGCCTCAGCCTCCTGAGTAGCTGGGATTACAGGCACACACCACCATGCCTGGCTCATTTTTTTGTATTTTTAGTAGAGACGGGGTTTCACCATGTTGGCCAGGCTAGTCTTGAACTCCTGATCTCAAGTGATCCACCTGCCTCAGCCTCCCAAAGTGCTGGGATTACGGGCGTGAGCCACTGCACCCGGCCCTGGCAATCTTAGAATTGGTATATTAGCTAGACCTAAACTGCTTACCTTTAAACTTCATTAATGTAAGGAAGAAAAATTGATTTTATTTCAAAAAGCCAATGCTGTTATTGATTTTCTGCCTCTCTCAGCCTAATTTGAACAGAAACACTGTAAATGAGAGTCTGCATATTTTAGTTTCTAGTCTTTTTTTCTCACACTACTCCACAGCTATTAATATAGTCTGGATACATCACGGTAGCTTTCGCATCAACGCTGGTGATATTTCCAACATTGGTTGGGACATGGTGATATTTCCCCGGCTCAGTGTGCCTGTCTGATTCCTTACCACCTCATCAGAGTCGACTATTCCTTTTTAACTTTATTTTTATTTTTGTAGAGATGAGATCTTACCATGTTGCCCAGGCTGGTTTCGGACTCCAGGCCTCAAGTGATCCTTTCACCTCGGCCTCCCAAAGTGCTGGGATTACAGGTATGAGTCATTGCACCTAGCCCAGAGTCTACTATTCTTATTTGTTTTGAAATATCACCTCTCTCTGTCACCCAGGCTGGAGTGCAGTGATGCAATCTCAGCTCACTACAGCCTCTGCCTCCTGCGTTCAAGCAATTCTCCTGGCCCAGTCTCCTGAGTAGCCGGGACTGCAGGCACGTGCCACCACTCCCGGCTAATTTTTGTATTTTTAGTAGAGATGGGGTTGCGTCATATTAGCCAGGCTGGTTTCAAACCCCTTACCTCAAGTGATTCACCCGCTTTGGTCTCCCAAAGTGCTGGGATTACAGGCGTGAGTCACTGCACCCGGCCCAGAGTCTACTATTATTTAGGGCCCAACTCCAATCCACCTCCCAGCAGCCTCCTCCAGTTTACAGCCCTCATTGCTGGGTTTTTTCTCTCAACCTCCACAGCCCTTACCACGAATTCCACTCACTGGGACTTAATCAAGTGGTCTTGTCCTTTCATGGGTTGAAGACAAATTTCTGCCTCATTTTTCCACTTTTGTCTATCTCTCCTGCTGTTGCCCTAGTGCACGTGATCCTCACCTCTCCCAGGGGGAATTGCTGGAGGTCCCCGCTTTCCCTATGACTCCTCCAGTCCCTCCTCCATGCAGTAGCCTGTGTGGTGTTTTAAAAATAGCAGCCAGAATGTCATTCCCTACTTGACTTTGCAGACCTTTCTGGTGAGTCCCTCAACGACCTGGACGGCCCCTGCCTCCCTCTGTGGCCTCACCTTACACTCTTCCTCACCCCATCTCCTTTCTGTGTGTGCTATAGACTTGCTTCTCCCCCGTGCCATGCTCTTAGCGCACTCCCTTCCTCTCACCTGGAGTCATCACACATGTTTTCTGTCTGTCTGGACTGTCCTACCCTCATGAATTCCCACCCACCAATGCCCTTCCTCAGGGAAATCTGTCTTTGGACTTAGACTAAAACAAGTTTCCCCATTGGCTGCCCACACAGGTCCCTGGTCTTTTCTTTAGCAGTCCTTACTGTGGTTTGTAATATTGATTTGTGTATTTGTGTATTAGTCAGGGTTCTCTAGAGGGACAGAACTAATGGAATATATATACATCTATATATGGGAGTTTATTAAATATTAACTCACATGATCACAAGGTCCCACAATAGGCCGTCTGCAGGCTGAGGAGCAAGGAGAGCCAGTCCAAGTTCCAAAACTGAAGAACTTGGAGTCCGATGTTCGAAGGCAGGAAGCATCCAGCATGGGAGAAAGATGTAGGCTGGGAGGCTAGGCCAGTCTAATCTTTTCACATTTTTCTGCCTGTTTATATTCTAGCCACACTGGCAGCTGATTAGATGGTGCCCACCTAGATTAAGCATGGGTCTCCCTTTCCCAGCCCACTGACTCAAATGTTAATCTCCTTTGGCAACATCATCACAGACACACACAGGATCAATACTTTATATCCTTCGTCCAGTCAAGTTGACACTCAGTATTCATCACAATTTGTGTGATTGTTGGGTCACCTGTCTGCACACTAGATGGAAGCTCCATGAAGACAGGAGCTGTGCTTTGCATGTCACTACAGTAACTCCTCAGTGTAAGTGTTGGTCAGTATTCCTCACCAAACTGCTAGAAAGTAGGTATTATAATTCCTACTTGCACATAAGGAAAATGAGTCTCAAAGAGATTATAATAGCAGAATCAGCACTCAGACACAAGTAGGCTTGATGCCAACTCCAATAGCACAAAGTCTCACTGTAACAGTCTCCAGAGTCGGTTGGGAATGGAGGCCAAAAACTGGTTCCCACTCCGGTCTGGTCTTCAGTACAATTGAGGAGGAGGCTTATGAGTCTTTAAGATTCAAGTACATGAATCTCTGAATAAAATTTCATAATGTATGGCAGGCCCTGGGGGAGGTATTTGGAGGTTCTCTTAACGTGGGAGTCAACACAAAGCCAATATAGAATTAGCTTAGAATTTTCTCACTCTTTCTTAGGCTCTCCAGGACCACTCAGAGAAGAAAGCCAAGAGGCACTGCTACGCAGTGAGCATATGGAGCTCCAGTGTGCCACTTTATTGGGCCATCTTCACTGCCCTGATCTCAGTTAGGGTCCACCATTGACCTTCATCCCTCTGCGTTTCCAGTTCCTCCTCCACAAAGTGCAGATCATAATATTAACCTCACAGGGTTGCGTTAGGAACCCGTGAGGTGGTGCATGTGAGGGAAAGTTCTGTCTGAGTTCTAGAGAGATGAGGGAAAAAAGCACCATTTTTCGGGCACAAACCCTCCGTCAGATGTTCTATTCTGCTGTTCTATTTCTCACACAGCTTGCTGCCCCACCATGAGGCATCCTCCACTTATTTGTGGGAGTCCTCAAGGCAGGCCTCATGTACACCTGCAAGTCACCCTCTTAGCTATTGCTACCTCATGCCACCCCTGACTTTATCCCCTGCCCTGGATCCCACTGCGGAAAAGTTCTACCTTGAACCACTGGAATCTCATCGTGAGAATGCCATGGACCATGGAAAGGACACTGTCTCTGTATCTTTCATGTATTCGCACGAAAGGACACTATCCTGTAGTGGCTCATCCTCCCGTACCAGTGTGCAGCAGTGGGGACTGAGCACCAAAGGAGCCCCACTGTGTTAGACCCTAGAAAGCCGCCTGTGAAAACAGTCCCATCAACTTCAGACCTCAAATCTAGTCCAAGGCCCAATGTGGCCCTCCATCTCTCTGCTATCCTGCTGCACTGCCCCATCCAAACCCCCTTTTCCCCTGGAAATTAACAGACAAAAGCCCCCAGGAATATCAGAGGATGCAAAGAGACGGATGAGTCTTCCTGGGGTGGTGGGAGGTCTATGTCCCAGCTCAGCCAGCCCAGTGCCCTTCCATACCACTGTTATTATGTTCCCATCATGTCAGGAGGAGGCTGCTGGGCACCACTGGGTCGCTAAAACCCTGAGGATCACATTCCTCAGAGGCGTGGGGAACAAGCTTCGTGGCTTTTACGGGAACCATTTAGAGTTGTGCCCAGTGGCATCTGATCCACCCACAAGTCCACTTGCTATTTTGGGATTGTAACAGCTACCGAATCCATTAACTGGTTTAAAAGTGAAAGCAATTGGAAACACAAGTGCCTTGAAATGTTTAAACACCATAATGCTTATCTGGCCTGATTACTGGGAAGGGAGAGCCAGAATGGAACACTTGATTTCAACCCTTTCATGAACCAGTCAATTAAAGGAGAAATGTCAGGAAAACATTATTTCTACTCTTGTCAGTAATAAAAGCTTGGATTTGAAAGTAACTTATCTTCGACAGGCATTTACAGATCACAGAATAGTTACAGCCCCAAGCACAGAGTCTCAGGGCCTACTACGCAGTGATGTCATTGTGCCTGCAGGGTCGGTCTGTCACCACGATGGGCCCTGCCCTCCTTAAGAGCAGTGCACTGTCAACCACATTTGCTGTACTTGTATCTCCATTTATTTCTGCAATAGTTAGTGCATTGTAAGCATGTGCTAAATGTTTGTGGGGTAAAAGAATGAGCAGATGGGAGGATTGATGTCATTTTATCATTTTTATATATGGAAGAAGATGTAAGAGTCTGGAATTGTAGGATTTTCAAACTGGATAGAATTACCCCTCTATTTTACTTATGATATAACCATTTCAAAAATTCAAGTCTCTTGAGTGGCATGATCTTTCCAAGCTATTTAAAACAGCAGCAACAACAAAAGGAATACTAATAACTAATATTTATTGACTTCCATTTTGCATGCTTTATACACATTGATGCACTTAATCCTCACCCCGACTCCATGAGGTAAGTACTATTGTGATCCTCATTTTCCAGAGAGGCTGAGTAGCTTTCCTAAGACCACAACAGAACAGGAACATTTGCCACCAAAATTGTCCTTGACTTTTTTGGGGTCTTGGATCTTGCTATAGACTGAACGTTTATGTTGTCCATTATTCATATGTTAAATCCTAACCCCCAAGGTGATGGTATTTGCTGGTGGGGCCTTTGGGAGATGATTAGGTCATGAGGCTGGAGTGCTCTTGGATGGGATTAGCTCCCTTATAAAAGAGACCCCATAGAGCTTTCTTACCACTTCTGCTACATGAGGACACAGCAAGATGGCGGTCATCTATGAACCAGGAAGCAGCCCTCACCAGACCCGAGTCAGCCAGCACCTTGATCTTGGACTTCCTGGTCTCCAGAACTGTGAGAAATCAATGTTTGTTGTTTATAAGCCATCCAGTCTGTGGTATTTTGTTGTAGCAACCCAAGTTGACTAAGACAGATTTCCTTTGGAATCCAATATTGTGAATATAAGAAAAGATATTTGTACCCCAACATACATTCAATGTGTGCACAATTTTAGAAGTTCATGAACTTGTTAAAACCTAACCATAAACCATAGGTTAAGAATCAATATAACAACATACTTAGGCTCTGGAGTCAGCCACACATTGTTTCTTTCTCTTTTTAAAAAAGTATTGGCTGGGCGTGGTGGCTCAAGTCCTGTAATCTCAGCACTTTGGGAGGCTTGGGTTGGGCAGGGGGTGGATTGAGGCGGGGCGGCATGAGAGGGGCAGGGGGCCGGGGCAGCGGGGGGCGGATTACCTAAGGTCAGGAGTTTGAAACCAGCCTGGCCAACATGACGAAACCCTGTCTCTACTAAATTAAAAAAATTAGCTGGGCTTGGTGGCAGGTGCCTGCCATCTACTTGGGAGGCTGAGGCAGGAGAATCACTTGAAGAAGAACCTCTGAGGCAGAGGTTGCAGTGAGCCAAGATCGCGCCACTGCCACTCCAGCCTGGGCGACAGAGTAAGACTCTGTCTCAATAAAAAAAAAAAAAAAAGTATTCATTGTTAGTTATAAGCAACAGAGGACTACATCTTCTCTAGTGAAAATTCAAACCTTAGAATTGATGTCTAAATTTCCTTTGACCAATTATTTCCAGATGCCTTCCTAGAAGTAACCATTGTTACCACTTCATTTTATATTCTTTTTCTATACATTAAATACCTAATTTTGTATCCACAGACATTACTTGCTATGGTTGTGTGTTAATGAGGAGTTTACACAAATGATATTGCATTACATCTTTCTTCCCCCTGCAACTTTCATTTTTTCACTTAAGAATCATTTTAGAGGTTTTCAGCCTATATAGGTCTTCCATATCCTTTTAAGCTACTGTGTAGTATTCCATAAGATAGATGCCCCACACTATTATCATTTTCTTACTAGATGACTTTAAGTTGTTTTTATCAAGTTGGTGCAAAAGCAATTGCAGGTTTTGCCATTACTTTTAATGGAAGTAATGGCGAAAACCACAATTGCTTTTACATCAACCTAATAGCTCTTTGATCTCACAAAGCCACAGTGAACACTTTTGTACACCTTTCTCCAGTACTTAAGCAGGTGTTTCTCCAGAAGAAACACCAAAACACTGGAATTGCTGGGACATTGAATATGTGCATTTAAAAAAATGTAAATGTACCAAACTTTTGTTAAAAATGGTGGTGCTGACTTGTATTATCTCTAACAATGCATAAAACTCACAATTTTTGCATGTTAAACCATGACTTTTATCAATCTTTTCAACTTTTCTCCAAACTGATGGATAAAAAATGATATCTCATGATTTTAGTTTGCATTCTTTGGTTACTAGTGAGGTTGAGCATCTTTTTGTATTTTATTGATCATTTGTATTTTTTATTTGGTGAATTACTTGCTCATTTCTTATACTCATTTTTCTGAGCATTTTCTTTTCATTTTTGATTTATGACTGCAGTATTATATTCTGACCAAACATTTATTAGCTATGTTACAAATATTTTCTCTCCGTCTGTCTCCTGTCCGTGTAAGTTACACACCTAGACTGGAATTCTGGCACTAACATTGACATTCTACATGACTTGCATAAATACCACTCTGAGCCTTAGAGTCCTTTTTTTGTAATATGGAAGTAGTAACAGTATCTACTGTTGTTGTTAGTATCTAGGGTTGTTGTTAAGATTAAATGAGATAATGATTATAAAATGTTCAACCCAGTGCCTGACATACGATAAGTGCTTAAAGGTCATTATTATTCTTCATTGTTAATTTTTAGAAGATTTTTCCATGTATAAGCCAAAATAACTCCTACCTGTCGGTTCTAGCTCTATTTTCCACAGGGAAACAAAAATGAAAGTCTGAGAGATCTTTTAAGATAAATGGTAGAAAAAGATCACATCTGATTTTAGTTTATAACTTCTACCATAGGCCGTTTTTATTTTCACTTGCAGCCAATTTTATAGAAACCAAATTGTTAGCACAGCAGGGGAAAGCCTGAATAGAAGTAAATTCTGTTTTCATTCAAAAAAACTTTTAAAGCAAATTTATAGAAATAATTTTAATAATGGCCTCAGCCTGGGGAGATGGAGAGACATTCGTCCTCCTCTTCCCCCTGTAACATTGCCTACAAAGTCATTGTTCTTAAAGACACCTATTTGTTCTGAGCGACCACACAGCTTCTGATTTGGAATCATCATAAACCTATGTAACCAACCATGCTCTCTAGGTCACAGACCTTCCTCATGAACTTGATTCCCCCAAAAAGCCTCCAGAATAGGTGAGGGCAATAAAAACTATTTCCTCCAAACTTTCAATTGAGGAAACAGATGCTCTGAGGGCAAAGACATTCTTGACCTTCCCCATCGGAATGGGGTCTCCTTGTAGAAGCCTCCATCCCACCACGTATAAACCTCTATCAAACTATGCTCAAGTCGTGTGTATATGTCTTGGTCTCCCCTATTGCATGAGTTCTTTGTGAGCAGAAGCCTCAAGTTTTGTCTGTGCATCCTTAACGCCTGCCTAGTATGAATGCATGGAGAGGTGAATGGATGGATGGAAGAAGGATGGAGGGATGGATGGATGGATGGATGGATAAATCAATGGAAGAGGGAGGGATGGATGCATGGATGCATGGGAGAAGGATGGAGGGATGGATGATGGATGGAAGGATGGGTGGATGGATGGATGGATGAGTGGGTGGGTGGGTAAACTTAGTCAAAACCATATCTGGTAAGAAATGGTATCCGGGTCTCCATAAACCATATCAAGCACTCCTTCTTGAGTTGTAGTCAAAATTTTAAAATAATGTTTCAAATCATCATACAGGAAAATAGACTTTGGGAAGTGTGTTCGTAGAGTTCTATGAATTTTAACACACACATAGATTCATGTGATCACCTCCACAATCAGGATACAGAACTGTTCCATCATCACAAAAACTTCCTAATGTTACCCTTTAGAGTCACACTCTCTCTTACCCCAACCCCTGCAACCATCTGTCTGTCCTCCATCAATATCTTTATTTATTATTTATTTATTTATTTATTTATGGAGACAGGGCCCCATTCTGTCACCCAGGCTGGAGTGGATCACCCAGCTATAATCACAGCTCACTGCAGCCTCGAACCTCTGGGCTCAAGTGACCCTCCTTCCTCAGCATCCCAAGTAGCTAGAACTACAGGCACACCACCATGCTCAGCTAATGTTTTTTATTTTAATTTTTGTAGAGGTGGGGTCTTTCTATGTTTGGGCCTGGGCTGGTCTCAAACTTCTAGCCTCAAGTAATCCTCCTGCCTCAGCCTCCTAAAGCACTGGGATTACAAGCATGAGCCACTGTGGCCAGCCTTTCATCACTACCTCTTTGTCTTTCAAGAATGTCTTATATGGAAGCAAACAGTATGTGGCCTTTTGAGAACGGCTTCTTTCACTCAGCATAATTCATTTGAGATCCACCCTTGTTGCGTGTGTCAATAGTTTCTTTTTTATTGCTGAGCTGTATTCCTTTGGGTGATGTACCACGGTGCCTTTATCCATTCACCTATAGAAGACAATTTGGGCTGTTTCCAGTTGTGAGCAAGTATGAATTAGAGCTTCTGTGAACAACCTTGTACAGGTTTTTGTAAGAAGCTAAGTCTTCATTTCTCTAGGATATTCCAAAGAGTAGAATTTCTGGGTCTCATGATAAGCGTATGCTTAACTTTTTAAGGAGTTGCCAAACTGTTTTCCAGCAAGGCCATATGAAGCATGCTAACCTTGATACTATGGATCCTATTTAAAAAACCCTCTTCTCTTTTTTCTCTCTTGAGATAGGATCCCTTTCCCAGGCTTCCCATCATCTAACTCCCCTCCCTGCACCCTTCAGAGTGCCAAGTGCTTCCCTGACATCCAGAGCCAAGAAGACAGCTATCAATCATTGTATGTGTTGCGGGGCACTGCGAGGCACGCCCCCTCCAGGTCTTTCCCTCCTGGCTTCAGAATGGCCTCTCTTCCACAGCACCAGATTCCGTCTTTCCACCATATTAAAAAACAAATGGTAGGGACTGGCCGGGCGAGGTGGCTCACGCCTGTAATCCCAGCACTTTGGGGGGCCGAGGCAGGTGGATCACCTGAGGTCAGGAGTTCAAGACCAGCCTAACCATCATGGAGAAACCCTGCTTCTACTAAGAATACAAAAAGTTAGCTGGGCCCAGTGGTGCATGCCTGTAATCCTAGCTACTCAGGAGGCTGAGGCAGGAGAATCGTTTGAACTCAGGAGGCGGAGGTAGCGGTGAGGCAAGATTGCTCTATTGCACTCCAGCCTGGCAACAAGAGTGAAACTCTGTCTCAAAACAAACAAACAAACAAACAGCAGATGGTAGGGACTGAGAATATATTGGGCTCTTACACATTCTACTTAGAATAAACCACATTCAAGGCCATCCGAGTATAGACTGGGGTATAGGAAGTAGAACAACCAGTAGGGAGTTGGCCATCTGGAGGGACTTAGGGACAGAGGCCCTGAAAGAAAAAATAGAGGGCACCTAACCCTGTTTGTCTATGTCCTAGCACTGCTTTGCTCACTTACACTCCGACTCTTAGTAATGCGTCAGGGTGATCCGCTCTCTTCCCTTCTTTCCTCATACGCTTCTACTGATGATCTTCTCATTTCACCATGATGAACGTGGTACCACTGGCTCCTTTCATCCAGACTGGCATGCTGTTGTGTGTACAGAGAACCAGGCTAGACACTTTTCTTGCCCCCCACCAACTTTGGAAGAGGCACACTGCCTCTTAGAATAATCTGTGTGTAATATTTCAAGCCTCATGCTCTTCCTTTTATCTGTGATTTTAAACACAGCTCTGTCAATGAAATGTGGTTATGCTAGACCTTGCAGCCACACTTCGTGATGTTATTTGAGTTGCTTCATTCTTGACAAACTTCCCAAATGCAAGGGATAAGAAGAAAAGGCTCTTTTTGTCTTTCTCTCTGTGGAATCTTGACACAATGCAGATCCACGTCTTTCTAACAGGCCTTTGACCAGCTCAGCAGTGGTGCGATCCGTCAGCGAAGCCCACCCAAGCCCTCAGTCCGGGTAAAGCTGGGAGGGACTTGTGGCCTGGGGCCTGTGGCGCTTCCTACTGGAGGTGGTATTTCAGGGAAAACCACCTCACTGATGCCCTCTGTCCCCTCCTCCCCTCTGGCTGGACTGATCCTCCCAGACTGGCCTGCTGGAATTTTCTCATTTCAGGAAGCAAATTGCTTCCAGGCTTACAGCTCAGAGAGTCCATGTCACAGTCTCTCTTGCCTTAACCGGGCAGTAGGCACACAGGAAGCTCCCTTTCTCCCAGAGCTGGGCCTCAGCACCTTTCCCCTGGGGCTTGCAGATTAGAGAGAGCAGTGAAGAAGGAGGACTAGGGGTGGGATGAGAGTATTTCTGGGGTTGGTGAATCTGATGGGGCTACCATGCAAAAATTCTATTGTGAGAGGGTGGAGTGAGAGGAATGGAGGCCACAGAATGTACAGTATGCTCTAAATCCCCAGCCGTTCTGAATGACCTCTATAAACTGAGGACCAAGGAAATGGCTCATGCCTCTGTCTGGAGTTGTGCCTACTTCCGTGATGCCAACTGGCTGCTGTTCTTACCAATCAACATGGAATCTGGAGGATGACCCTAGCCAGGAAATAACAAAAGCATATGCACAGGTTTTCAGACCGACTGAAAAAATGTTACACTTTCCTTTAGCTTAGGAGCTTGGGGAAAGGGGTATGGGTGTTATCTTCTTTCCTTTAATTTCCAAATTGTTTAGAGTATCATGGGCTGCGTTTACATTAAATAGACTAGCTCTCATTCATTTACTAAACACAGTCCACATGTCAGGACTGTGCCAAGCTGGGGATTGAATTCAAAGACAAGGCTGTCAAAAGCTAGGAAGCACCACCTCCATTTTAAATGAGAAAAACAAAACAAAAAAGGGGAGGAAATCACTGACATAGAATGTTCTTTGTTGCTTGTAGATCATGGAGAACACCTTTTTTTTTTTTTTTTTTTTTTGAGACATGGTCTTGCTCTGTTGCCCAGGCTGGAGTGCAGTGGTGTGGCTCCGCTCACTGTAGACTAGACTTCCTGGGCTCAAGTGAACCTCCCATGTCAGCTTCCCAAGTAGCTGGGACTGCAGGTGTGAGCCACCGCATCCAGCTAATTTTTTTTTTTTTTTTTTTTGTAGAGACAAGGTCTCCCTATGTTGTCCAGGCTGTTCTTGAACTCCTGGGCTTAAGTGATTCTCCTGCCTCAGGCTCTCAGTGTTGGGATTACAGGTGTGAGCCACCATGCCTGGCCACATGGAGAACATTTTATAGGGCATTGAATATTCTGAGCATATCCTCAGTATTTTTGGCACCACAGGAGATGTGGGCAGCTGCTCTCTGGAATATTTACTTCATTATCCTCTTTGCCCTCCTCCAGCTCCTGTCTTATTGGCAATTTCCCTCACTTGAAGGCACTGGCTCCTCAGACTATCCAGCCTGCTCTTGCTTCTGGCTAGACTGAGAGGAACTTGTATTCGTGATTAGTATTATCCACGCTGTTTCTGCGCTTGGGATGGTTTTCTTCTGCTTTATTAAAACTAGTTGTGATAACACTGAACAATTTTCGTAATTGTTAATATATGGAAAAGTGGCTTGTTATTATAAATCATTCTTCCTAGGACTCAGGCATGAGTCCTTAAAGGCTAGGTCAAAGGTCAGATTGTGAAAGTGACTATGGAACCATGGGCTCAAACTTTTCCCCGATGCTAATCCAGCTACATTTGGATCATACCTGTGCACTTGACTCTAGTATGGGACACGTTTTCTCCCAGGAGAATCCTCAGTTCTTTATGCAAATAAGGTCGTGGTCTGATTCTCCCCACTACTCCTCTAGATGCATCTGAATCCTAAACACCAATTGATGTCCCAGCAAACACACTTGCATTCACAGTGTGTGCATGGTTTTGTTAAAATAGCATGGGCTTTTTGGTCAGCCAGACCTGGAATTGAAAGTGACTGCATCATGTGCTTAGTGTGTGACCTTGGCCAAGTTATTTGACCCTTTGGAATCTTAGGTCCCTTATCTTCATGTGACAGAGAAAGAAGAAAAGATATGACATTATGAATACTTGCAGTTTTCTAAACACACACGCACATACACACACATGCAACAATAGAACACACTTGCAATGAGCAAGGATTCTTTGCCTGCTTGATCATTTATTGGATTTTGGCTGGGTTTCATCAGGGTGAGAGAGGTGAAAAGGAGAATTAAATAAACGAAGAGAGGCTGGATTACACTATTTAGGAAAAATGTAAGTGGAGGTGATGAGGCAGACAGGAGCAAGGGGGAGCCTCCTTTCCTTGAAAAATACAAAGACATGGGATCATGAAGCTGGGCCTTAGAAGATGTATCATTTTTGATCTTTCAAGAAGCAGAGGCCAAGACGGAATTAGAAGAAAAAAGATTTATTGGGGGAAGTATCTGTAGGATAAAAGGAAGAGGGAACAGGAGGAGCAGGAGGGAGGTTTGGTATCTGTGAAGAAAGAGTGAGAAGGAAGGAAGGCTGGACAAGAAGAGCTTCAGGCTACAGTGCAGCTCTGAGGAAGTCTGCTAGGCTGTTGGGGCACCCAGACCAAAGGCTGTACCCAGACCAAAAGCAGCCTTGTGGACAGGAATGGCTGGGCTCTGGTAGCCCCATCACACTGTCACTGGCTGGGAGCAGCGCAAAGAAGGAAGATATTTGACTCCCACAGGGGAAAAAGACTTGGGAGTGGAGAGGAGAGAGAGAGAGACAGAATTTTAGGTGGCTGAGAAAGTTTGGCGATATGAAGAGGGAGGAGAGATGAGTTGGGCAGCTCCTTGATGAGTGGAATCTTGAGTTGTGGAAAGAGGGTCTAGGTGGGTTCTGCAAGGTAGTTCCTTCTTTCCCATCATCTACTCAACCTTCTCATCCTGCTCCCACCCCAATACAATCTTCCATAAAGATTTATGTTGTGTTAAGTGCCATGGGGTCTAATTTGTTCTTGTTCTTTTTTAAAAAAGTTTATATATATATATATATATATATATTTATCTACATATAATAATTTTACATATTTATAGGGTACAGAGTGATATTTCGATACATGCATACAATGCTTAATGATCAAGTCAGAGCAATTAGAATATCCATCACCTCAGGCATTTATTATCTCTTTGTTTTGGGAGCATTCAAAATCTTCTCTTTTAGCTTTTTGGACATATATAATAAATTATTGTTAACTATAATCATGCTGCAGTGCTACAGAACGCTAGTACTTATTCCTCCTATCTAGCTGTTATTTTGTATCCTGTAACCAACTTCTCCCCATCCTCCTGTCCATCTTTCCCTTTCCAGTCTCTAATAATCATAATTGTACTCTCTACTTCTAGGAGCTCATTTTGTTAGTTCCCACATATGAGTGAGAATATGCAGTACTTATCTTTCTGTACCTGACATGTTTCACTTAACATAATGTCTTCTAGTTCCATTCATGTTGCCATGAATGACAGGATTTCTTTTTTATGGCTGAATAGTATTCCCTTGTTTATATATACACCACATTTTCTTTAATCATCTGTTGATAGACACTTAGGTTGATTCCATTTCTTCATTGTTGTGAATAGTGCTGCCATAAATATGGGGTCCAGATGGCTTCTGTATGCTGATTTCCTTTCGTTTGGGTACATCTCCAGTAGTGGGATTGTTGGATTGTATGGTAGTTCTATTTTTAGCTTTTTGAGAAACCTTCATACTATTTCCCATAGAGGTTATTCTAATGTACATTATCACAAACAGTGTATAAGAGTCTCCCTGTCTCTGCATCCTCACTGGTATTTGCTATTTTTTGTCTTTTTGATAGTAGCTTTTCAGACTGGGATGAGGTGATACCTGATTGTGGTTTTGATTTGCATTTCCCTGATGATTAGTGATATTGAGCATTTTTTCGTATTGTGATTCGTGTTTCTTTTAAGGTGTCTTTGTCTTATTTGGGTTATGTGTAAAATGGCTATAACAGCTACCTTCCAGTATTGTAACAATTAAATGAAGCAATGCAAGTAGAATTGCTTGACACACAGCTCACTGAACAGCTAATATGTGTCTGCCACTATTCTGTGTGGTAAGAACGAAGGAATAACTAGGAAAGGCACAGTCCTGGTCCTTATGGGCCTTAATAAAGAGTAATTTTTCTAATTTTCCTTTTCTTAATCTCAGGAAACTTTTCAGTGTAGAAAATAATGCAATAGAAAAGCCCAGTTTAGTCTCATTGCAATCCTGATTTTAGATGGGCAATTTCCCCTAGTTGAAATGATATTGATTAGTTGTAGTAATAATGATCTTAGCTAATATTTTCGCTTGCCCTTTAGAGTTTCCAGGTGTTAATTCATTTAATTCTCATACCATACCTATAAAGTGAATATATGCATTACCGCCATTGTATAGATGAGGAAAATGAAGCCCAGAGATGGTTTTGGAGCACTTGCCAAGGTCTTGGCGGAGGTGGGATTTAAATCAGAAGTTGGTCTTCCAAGCTGCTACTCCTAATGGAAGCTCCATTCTATCACTGGAGTGAAAAAGGTTGATTGCCTCTGGAGAAATAAGTATTATCTAATGGCCGTGTCCACGCAGCCCTTAATAAGGTAAATGTTGGACAAATGTTTGCTTTTCATAAAACAAACCTTAATGCCTTTATCGTTCCAAATGTACGTAGAGCCAACCCAAGGCCATTCGGGGAACCAGGGAACAGAGGCAGGCTGCGTAAGCCTTTATTTACAGTTGGAGAAGAGAGTTCAGCATCTTCTTGCCTACAGAGTAACACTAACGTCTGTCTTTAGAGGTCATTTTGAGTTCCTGCTGTTCCTGCTGCTGTTTGCTGCTACTGCTGTTTACAATCTATGGCTGCCAAGACTGAGTGCTCCCCTCATTCTTACCATACTGAGACTTCCCTGGTTCCTGGTTCCAGATAGACATTTCCTATGTCAATGTCAGGAATAGTTCCTCAGCAAATTGTCATTCTAACCCTTCATCTATTCCCCCATTATCAGCATTCCCCCACCAAAGTGGTATGTTTGTTATAACTGGTGAACCTACTTCACACATCATTATCACCCAAAGTCCATAGTTCACCTTAGAGTTGACTCTTGGTGTTGTATATTCTATGGGTTCAGACAAATGTGAAATGACATTTCCACCACTGTTTTCACTGCCATGCAAACCCTCTGTGCTCCACCTATTCATCCCTCACTCCCTCTATAACCCCCGGCAACCACTGATGGTTTTACTGCCTCCATAGTTTTGTCTTTTTATCCCTTCAATTTTAAAGTTGTGGCCCAGGTTAATTTATTTCCACTGCCATGTTCATTTCTTTTGGAATGACATAGGTTTTTTTCTGGATTCATTTCCTTGTCTTTCTATCTTTTCCTTTGTTTATTTGGATTTTGCTTCCTATCATTCAAGGTCAATAGTGATATTAATATCTTCTACTTGGGTAGTGCCTTCTGAATTATAGTGATCTCATTTACATTACTGTAACCTTCTCAGTAATTCCATGAGATAGGCATTTTACCCCCATTATACAGATGAGAAAACTGAGACTCAGGTATTTTTGGCAATTTGTCCAATGTGATTGTAGTAAACACTTATTGTGTCTATTACACTTATTGTATATACTTATTGTATACACTTATTGCATCCATCCCCCCTGTTTCTGGTACCATCTCAATATTTATTAGCGTCAATTTCTCTACTCTTGAGACGTGAGGTCCTTGTGAAGTTGAGTCGACCACTGGTTACAGAAGTGGATATTAGAGTAATACACTACCAGTGAAAATCATTCAGTGACCACTTCCCATCAGAGCCGATCACAGTTCATCTTGACATGGACCTGGAGAAGGGCCTTCTTTTTACTGGATGTGAAGCTTGAGGAGGGGCCACAGGAGAAGAGTGAAGATGGAGTTGTTGCAAAAGAATGCAGAGCTTTTGCAAAGTTTATCATGTCAGAATCTGGATCCGGCTGGGGTTTCAGTAGAGAAAGCCAAGACATTTCCTTTCTGGCTTTTGCCAGACGAACTGGGTTTCTACCACTGAGCCCTAATCATCCCCCACATTCTCAAAAGCAGCAGAGAGGATGTGGCCCAGCTCACCAGACTCCAGGAATGGGGTGTTTGACTCTGCTGAGAGCCACCTTCAAAAGGCCAGCACCTCCACCTGTCTGAGTGTGATAAGACAGGGATGAAAGACTAGACATTGGGTACAATGTGCACTGCTCAGGTGATGGGAACAACAAAATCTCAGAAATTACCACTAAATAACTTATTCATGTAACCAAACCCCACCTATTTCCCAGCCTATTGAAAAAAAGAAAGAAAGACTAAGGGCACATCTCATTATGATATCACCCCTTCCCCTCCCCCAAGGACTTCATGTTTCTCCTAGCACTTGCATTTTTACTTGTTTAAGGATCTCTCTGATATCTTTCCAGTGATTAAAAACAGAGTAAAAAATGTCCAGCCTCTAAGAACCAAGGTCACCCCTCCTTTTTTTTTCATTTTCAGTAGAATGGTGACCTTTTCTCATTTTTTGAGGGCTTCCTTTATTCTTCCAAAGAACTGAAAAATAATAGTTAATGGCTTTGCAGTAACATCTTCCCATTCCCTGAGTACCTTAGAATAAATGCCATCAAGCCTGGTTGATCGGAGTAGGTTCAGCTTTTATATACTCTCAGCCATCCTCTCTATTTGGAGAGACAGAGATTAAAGAAAAAACAGTAAAAGCTACTGACCTTAGAGATGATATTTTCTGTCTATTTCTTTTGCTTTTTGTTTTGTATTTTTTTCTCCGTGCTTTTGCTATCATAAAATTAATACATACTTACCACAAATTATTTCAAACAATAAAGAACACAAAATTAAAAACAGAATCCTACCTTCCATTAACCCACCCTTCTTGGCCCAATTCTCCAGAAATAACCACTGTTAACAAATTACAATGGAATATTTCTAGATAATTTTAAAAGCATTTCAAACACACTTTTTGAAATCTAGATAATTTTAAAAGCATTTCAAACACACTTTTTGAAAATAATAAAACAGTATATATGTATAAAGAAAATATTTCCTCCACCCTTACTCAATTTTTACTACCTTACGGTCGTCATTGGGACTATTTTTATATTGTTCTGCAATAGTTTGTTTTTACTTAAAAGCTTGTGATAAACACTTTTCACTCCCAGCCGGATCCAGATTCGGACATGATAACTTTGTATAAACTCTGCATTCTTTTGCAACAACTCCATCTTCACTCTTCTCCTGTGGCCACTCCTCAAGCTTCACATCCAGTAAAAAGAAGGCCCTTCTCCAGGGCCTCATTCTTTCCAAAGGCTGCATAATAGTTTTATAGTCAGTTATACCATTATTTATTTATCCATTTTCCAATGATGGTTACTTAAATTGTGACTATTTTCTATGATTATAAGCAATACAGCAATAAGTATCCTCATACACATATCTTTACACACTGGCATTAGTATTTCTGAAGGTTCAGTTTCCAAAAGTGGCATTTCTGGGTCATAGGTTACAAATACACATATTTTTTGATTGATAGTCAAATAATGCTCAAAAAGGCTATATCAGTTTATACTACTGAAAGTGTAGAAAAGTGCCTGTTTTGACCGGGTGCGGTGGCTCATGCCTTTAATCCCATCAATTTGGGAGGCCGAGGCCAGTGGATCACCTGAGGTCAGGAGTTCGAGACCAGCTTGGCCAACGTGGTGAAATCCCATCTCTACTAAAAATACAAAAAAATCGGCCGGGCATGGTGGCAGACGCCTGTAATTCCAGCTACTTGGGAGGCTGAGGCAGGAGAATCGCTTGAACCCAGGAGGCAGAGGTTGAAGTGAGCCGAGATTGTGCCACTGCACTCCAGCCTGGGCAACCAGAGTGAAACTTCGCCTCAAAAAAAAGAAAAGAAAAAGTGCCTGTTTCTCAACCTGTTTGCCAACACTAGAGGTAGTCCATTTTTTAAAGATTTTTTCCAGACAACAGGTGGAAAAGGGAATCTTGTTGCTATTTTAAATCCTTTCTTTTTACTATTATGAAGAGTTTGCTCCTTTTACTATTTATCAGCCAAAAATATTTTTTTCTGTGAATTGTCTTAACATAGCATTTGACCATATTTTGATCAGTTTGTTTGAATTTTTCTTATTGATTTTGTAGAAATTCTTTATATTGTTATATATACTGTGGTAACTCATTTAGCTCTAATTGACCAAACAGAAGATTCCCCTCCACGTTTATGTAGTCGGGTTTGTTAGTTTTTCCTTATACAGAGATCTTCTTGATTTCCGTTCATGATTAGGAAAATCTTCTCCAATCAATAATTGACTTTTCTCCAATAAATTTTAAATACTTTTTAGTTTACTTTACTTCTCTTTCTTTTCTTTTCTTTTTTTTTTTTTTGAGACAGAGTCTCACTCTGTCACCCAGGCTGGAGTGCAGTGGCATGATCTTGGCTCACCGCAACCTCCACCTCCCGGGTTCAAGTGATTCTCCCACCTCAGCCTCCCTAGTAGCTGGGATTACAGGTGCCCTCCACCACGCCCGGGTAATTTTTTGTATTTTTAATATTTACCATGTTGGCCAGGCTGGTCTCAAACTCCTGACCTCAAATGATCCACCCACTTCGGCCTCCCAAAGTGCTGTGATTACAGGCGTGAGCCACTGCAACTGGCTACTTTTCTTTATATGATGTAAAGTAGGAACTAAATTTTAATTTTCTAACTAGTAGCTAATTACTCCCAAGAAAATGTATTCAATAGCAAGTTCATCCTTTTTCTTCTAAGCTGAAATACCGCCTTTATCATATTTCCTAAACCTGTCTTTATTCCACTTCTGGATTCCCTGTTCTGTTCCAACAATATTATATTTGTGTATCCAAACCAGCATTGCAATATATGTTTGCTCTACCTTACACATTATAGGTACCATGCAGTTGAAAGCACAAGCTCTGGAATCAGACTGCCTGGGTAAAAATCCCAGTCATAACACTTATTAGCTGTGTGATTTTGGGCAAGTCATGAAATCTTTCTTGAGCTTGTTTCTCTCATCTGGAAAATGACAACAGTAATGGTATCAGTCTCATAATGCTGTTGTGATGGTTCAATGAAATAAGACATGCTGAGCATTTGATAGACGGCTTGGCTCATTCTAACTGGTGCTGTCCTAGGTAACTTCAAGTCTGAGCACTTACCATACATCACACACTCTGCTTGTGGGTACTTTTTTTTTTTTTTGAGATGGAGTTTCAGTCTTATTGCCAAGCCTGGAGTGCAATGGCACAATCTCGGCTCACTGCAACTTCCGCCTCCCAGGTTCAAGCGATTCTCCTGCCTCAACCTCCCGAGTAGCTGGGATTACAGGCATGCATCACCACACCTGGCTAATCTTATATTTTTAGTAGAGACGGGGTTTCTCCATGTTGGTCAGGCTGGTCTCGAACTCCCGACCTCAGGTGATCCGCCCACCTCAGCCTCCCAAAGTGCTGGGATTACAAGCATGAGCCACCGTGCCCAGCCAAGTTTGTTTTTTAATCTCCATTTCAAAAAGATAATAAATAAGATTCAGAAATATTAGCTAACTTGCCTGATGTGTGATGGGGTGGAACCATGCTTCTAAGCTCTATTTGACTCATTACAAGGCATGTGCTCTTTTCATTATATTATTCTCTTCTTAAATAACGAGCACTAGGCAATAGTGGTAATTTGTGACTCAATTTCCTACATTTTCTAACCATCGTATTCTTACTACCCAGAAACCATTGCTTTTGATGTTCTCTTAACTCCATGATGAGGAAGGATACCTGTTTCAAAGTTGGTTCTCAAAAGGGACTTCCCATGCTCTAAGAATTTGGGAAAAACAAATCCTAAAACATAGTAATATATTTTCTATTGTGGTGATTTTCACAGCTGTGTCATCCGAAAATAATATACCATGTAGGCTGTTGGTCAAAACTTGAAATTATTTTAATTCTACTGAATTTTAAAAATTAAATTCCTGCTAACAGGTTTGTTCAGTGTGACCTTGGTTTGCCCTCTGCTCTGAGTTCCCAGCTCCCCCTACGTCTGCCACCCTCTGCTCTCTTTGGCGATTTGTTGGGCATCCTCCTCACTCAGTTCCAACTTTTCTGGGGTGTTTCCTTCCCAGATCGGGATTCTTTGTGTTGAAAACTCACTAGGTAGGTGTTCAGCAGCCTAATTTCCTCTTCCTAAACACATGTGAAGATTATACACCTTAGCTTGCTTGTGGACAGACCATGGCCTTGTGATGAGTTTTAGCCAGTGGAATGTAGTCAGAAGTAATATCTGCCAATTCCAGGACTGACAATAAAGTATACCATGTGTGACAATTAATTTTATGTGTCAACTTGCCTGTGCCATGGCACCCAGAAAGGTGGCCAAATATTATTATGGATGTTTCCATGAGGGTGCTTTTGGATGAGATTAACCTTAAAATCAAGGGACCGATTTTAAGTAAAGCAGATAGATTACCTTCTATAATGTGGGTGGGCCTCATCCATCAAAGGCCTGGTTGAAACAAAAGACTGGCTTCCCACAAGCAAGAATTGTGCGAGCAAATAGTCTTCGGACTTGTATTGCAGCGTTGGCTCTTCCTTGGACTCCAGCCTGCTGGCCCATCCTGCAGATTTTGGACTTGCCAGCCTCTGTAATCACATGACTCAACTCCTTAAAATACATCTCTTTCTCTTTCTCTACACACACATCCTATTTGTTCTGTTTCTCCGGAGAACCCTAATGCATGTTGCCATTCTCCATGCTGTTTTGTTCTCCATCTACATGGCAAAGATCTCCAAAGGTGATGGAATCATATGATGGGAGGAGCTTGGAGCCTGAGTCACCGCTGAAAGCACACTGCCATATAATGTCATCTGACCAGTGTCGGAGTTTGTGTGTGTTAGAGATAAACTTGTTGTTGTTGTTAAGTCACTGAGATGTGACTTACTAGAGTTACTTGTCTTAACTATATCATTATTGTCTGGAAAATCCAGTGATGGAGTAACAGAGACAAGAGAGGCTAGCTCTGCAGATGTGCCAGGGTTTAGTTCCAAGTGGGGAACCATAGTAAAAATCAAGGAGGTAATGCGGAAGGGACTTGAGAATGGAGCAAACACAGAGAGGGCTTCTGGACCAGAGCTGGCCTGGTGAGTCAGAGCTTTCCCAGGCACAACAGATACCTGTGCCTCGTATCCAGACTCCAGCTGCTGGTGGGTGTGAACTGACTGTCTGGTCAGCATCAACTCAGAGGCTGCATGGGAGTGAGAGACTTGGCTTCTATGGAGCCAAAGAGGCTGGGACCTGATCCAGTTGATTCAAGAATAATTCTCATGGAAGTGGGAGGACAGTTGCAGGTAGCTAGCGCAGCAAACTCTCTCCTCTGCTCGAACTCTCTTGCTTGTTTGGTTACATTCATACTTCTCCAAGTATCCCTGCCCCTCTCTTGGTCTTGCAGACCTCCCCACATCTCCCTCTTGCCTTATTCCTCTGTGATAAGCTGGATTTCTTGCTCACCTGATTTAACTCTCTGGTCTGACCCATAGCTTGTTTTGTCTTGCAGGCATCCAGATGAGAATAGAGGGATAAGGCACTGACTTCAGCCAGGCTCTAGTCTTAGATTTGTTCTTGCTCATTGTAATAGATTGAATAGTGTCCCTCCAAAATTTATGTCCATTCAGAACCTCAGACTGTGACTTTATTTAGAAATAGAGTCTTTACAGATGTAATTCAGAATCTTGAGACAAGATCATGCTGGATTTAGGGTGCACCCTACATCCAATGACTGATGTTCTCATGAGTACTGGAGAAGACACAGAGACACAGAGAGGAAGGTGATGTGAAGGTGCAGCAGAGACTGGAGTGATACACCTGGAAGTCAGAGAATGACAAGAATTGCCGGCTACCACTAGAAGCTAAGGAGAGAGGCATGGAATACATTCTCCCTCGGAACCTTCAGAGGAAACCAATCCTGCCAACACCTTGATTTCAGATTCTTAGCCTCCAGAACTGCGATAGAACACATTTCTATTGTTTCAAGCCACCCAGATGTGGTCATTTGTTACGGCAGCATCTAGGACACTAACGTACCCCTCAAGACCTTGATGTGGCTCTTGTTTCATATACGGAGCCTGCTGCCTGAGGCTTCACAGCCAGTGAGTGGTAGAACTGGGATTTGAACCTGGTTCTTATGATGCACAAATTAAGACCCTTTTTCCTACCTCTTGAGCTTGAGGCTTGCTAGAGCGAGTTTACATGGTTAAAGAACACCTGGTTAAAGAAGAGACTGGGGCAGCCAGGAGCAAGGAACCTCTTGCTGGAAGTCAACTCGGACCATTATCCCCTTCATCATAGGGTTACTGGTTAAATATACTTGTTCCTTAATTTCCACCCTTCCTATAAGGAAGAGAGAGAGAGCTGTCTACACCACCGGTTCTATACAATGAAATAGAAAAACTCTATTCATCACCTAAATTTTTATTTGCTAGCCTCAAATTGCTAAATAATAGAATTCTCTGACTATAATCAAGATGTTTTCTTGGCACAGGTATGGAGAGGATTAGACATCTCCACAGTTGGCTTTGTTTAAAGAAAAAAATTAGAGTGATGACTCAGAATGTAAAAATCACATTACTTTAAACGATATGAATAGCAGTCAAGGCAAGAACACAATTATCTGTGGTTGGAATCAGAAAGCAGAGATTCACTGTCGCAGCTCAGAACAAGGTTTGTAGTCGTCTGCCCTCCTTCCTTTTCCAGACAATTTAACTGACTGTTGATCAATCAAACACAACCAAGAGCACAGAAACTGACCCCTGTGTATTTAAGAGAATAAGATGGCATTTCAAGTTAGTTGTGGGAAAAATACATTATTATTATTATTATTTTTCAATGAGCCATGTAGGGGCAATTGATTAGCTATTTGGAAAAACATAAGTTCTTATCTCATGCGTGCCTGAATCAGTCAGTGTTCTTAGTTGCGGA
The DNA here is from genome assembly GCF_000001405.40 of Homo sapiens. Classification (NCBI taxonomy): domain Eukaryota; kingdom Metazoa; phylum Chordata; class Mammalia; order Primates; family Hominidae; genus Homo; species Homo sapiens. The sequence goes on from NC_000004.12 coordinate 26,523,020, forward strand.
CAACAGAAACCTCCCTAGCTAGTGTAACTGGAAAAGGAAATGATTAAATTATTAAAGGACAGGGTAGCCCTGAAACTCTCTGAGAAGGACAGGAATTGGGTCCAAGGATTATGCAGGAAGGGACAAAGCCCAAATTATAGAACAGGCCAGCGGTAGTGGAAACACTAAAGCTTCCCTTCTAGATACCAGCCTCCACTCACTCTTGTAGCCAGGCAAAGGGTGGTGCCACAGAACTACTGCTATGATTGTGTCTGAAATCTGGAGGCCTGTGCCACCACTCTCCACAGAATGGATTTCTGGAGGTCCTTGCTTCTGTTCATCACTGGTTTCTAAAATAAAATTTCACATGGAATTATCTGATTGGTGGAACCTTGGTCACAGGCCTGTGCCCTCTATGCAAAGGCAGCTGCAACATCCAGTTTCTGGCCTCTACTGTGGAGTTAAGTACAAACCGATAAGGTGAGGACATCCCCTTTGACACACACACACACACACACACACACACACACACGAAGGATGTATCAAAGTTGTTAGCCCACCAAAAACGTAATGCATGTTAATTACAATACTTTAAAATATATTCTAGCCATTGAAGAGTTAAAGAATTAGCTGTACAAAAGGGAACCCTAAATGGACTGGAAGAAGATGTGGGTGAATATTGAATCAATCCTGGGATGAGGAAGGACTTTCTGAGCATAAAAGCAATAGAAGAAATCACAAAGGAACCGATCCATAGATATGACTACTTGAAAGGTCAATCCTCCTTCCATCAAGCAAACCATGCACAGTGTGACTGATCACCCTCTGGTGTCGTTTGCCCCTTTTAAAATCTGCAGATACAAGGCCAAAGTCAATGGCATAAAATCCACTTGGAAGGTCATCAGGGATCATAAATTTGAGTCCAAAATGAAGGGATTTCAGTCCTCTCAAAATTGCCTAAAACTCAGCTCTGATCTACTCCAAAAGATTATTTATATTGCAAAGGAAGAAGCTTTTGTTTTCCCCAGTCTCTCAAGAATTGCTCTTACATATTTGGAAAGTTTAATTATTTTTATTGTCTAAATTACTTTCTGTCTTTTAGAGGAACTTAAGTTAATCCATGTCTAGACTTATGAGATTCTTTTAATTAGAAAGAGGAATGATTTAGGTCACAAAGTAGATTCCCAGCTCCCCCCAGCTCCCTCAGCTCTGTTTACAAGGTTATTGCTGAATGTTTTATTGCTAAAGTGGGTGCAGATGCAGGGCAGTTAAAAAGAATCCTCTTTATTCCTTTTCATTACAGCTACTGGAGAATGTTCGGATTTGCTTCTTGTGGCTAGCTAGGGTCTGACAATTGCTCTTCACTGGCAACACAAAATATATTGCTTTTGATTCCCTGTCAGATTTAAATGTATCCTTCAGCTAATAATAAGCTGAATCTGCAAAGAAAATGAAGAAAAGAAGAAGAGGAAATCAGGGTCTTGGTACAGAGATGAGCTGATGAGTGTGATGCTGGGGGCACCGAGCCAGCGGGCGGTGCAGACTTGGGTGCATCCCTGCTCTGGCTCACTCCAGGGTGAGCGAAGAGATGAGAAATAGGCCATGGATGGGGAGCAGATAAAGAAGCGCTGTCTGAAAAACATGATCTTCATTGTTTTGGGGTTTGTGATTTAAAATTTATCCAAAGAGGGCACTTGTATGCAGATATGAAAATTAAGGTCTATTTTTAATCTGAACTTTCCATTCTTTGCCTTCCCATCACTGTAAACCTTTCAATGTTCATGTTTCAACCCACAAAACAGTAAAAGTCAGAAAATCTCATTATTGCATTTATATGCTAAGTACTTTGATGGGTAACAGAAAAATAATTTTGTTATTTATAACCCTTTTCTTTTCTTTAGAGATGGGATCTTGCTTTTGCCTAGGCTGGTCTCAAACTCCTGGGTTCAAGCAATCCTCCTGCCTCAGCCTTCTGGGTAGCTAGGATTACAGGCATGAGCCCCTTTTTCAAGATGATGGGTGTGGTGGATTGAAGATCGTACAAATACTTTGCCCCTCTTCCTCTTAAATTTAAGCTGGTCTTTGCTTTGACCAATACAAAGTGGTGGAAACTTTTTACTGTAGAACTTTCAAACCTGGGCCTTAAGAGAGTAGCAAGTTCTGTTTTCAAGTGCTTGGAATGCTCCTTCATGGAACCCAGTTGCCATGCTATGAAAAGCCCAATCAATTGGAGAGACCACATGGAGAACTAAGTTGCTCCAGTTCAGCTTTCAGCAGAGAACCAACTCCAACTGCCAGCCATGCGAGTCAGCCATCTCAGACATTCCAGCTTCCCAATGACTGTAACACCAGCTTACCCCATGTGCAACCAAGGAACCACCAGGCTGAGCCCCAGCCCACCCAAAGGACTGTGAGAAAGACAATAAAGGCTTCTTGTTATGTGGAGCCCCTACATTTTGTGTGTGTGTGTGTGTTTTTTTAATGCAGCAATAGTAACCAAGATAATGGGCCCTGATAAAATAACTAGAGAACCCTTTGTTTGCTAAGTAGTGTGTCAAATATGCATATATGAGTGTAGAATTCAGAGCAGGCTTAGCGCCAAAGCAATATGGTTTGATGGAGTTGCTTGGGGTGAAAGATCTTGGAGGGAGAAGGAGGAGTCTGAAAGCTGAAAGTGTGTAGAGTTGGGGGAAAGTTAAGGGAGAGAAAGAAAAAGAAATAGATTTTAAGTTTAAACTGCCCACGCACTCCATCCCCTTCTGTAGCAGGTTAGCAGAGAAGGGGAGTTAGGGAAAGAAACACTAAGTCGTTGCTGTGGTGGGGGATAGGTAAAGTTCCTCCTCATCTCTTCTACACAATCCTCAGTATAGTCTATATTACTTACAAATGCTTCTGTGCAAGTGTATTCTTCGGGGAAAACTAAAAGGTGATGACTAAGAAGTGACTAAAACATGGGTGAGTGGAGGGCAAGTGGACACAATGGCTGCACATGGTTACCTGGGGGCCAAAGGACAAGAAGGCAAAGCACAGGGCACAGCCATCGATGTCGTGTTTCATCCTGCCAGCAACCCTCCAAGACAGGCATTGCTATGCTCATTTGGCAGATGAACAAACTGAGGCTTAGACATGTGAAGTGCTGTTTCCAAAGTAAGGCAGCTTAGAGGTGGCAGCACTGAGATTCACACCCAGGTCCCTCTAATGCCTGTGCTTGAATTCTTTCCACCTTGCCTTGTTCCCTGTGCCTCTTCTCATCCTTTACTTTTCAGGTAATCAATCTTCAAGACTTAAACAAGAGTTTCATATACCTTATATACCTGGGTTTCTCAAACTCTTCATTCTCTATAAATGCAATGCCCAGATAATATTTAGATGCGGCCAGATGCAGCGGCTCACGCCTGTAATCTCAGCACTTTGGGAGGCCGAGGCCGGTGGATCACCTGAAGTCAGGAATTCGAGATCAGTCTGACCAACATGGAGAAACCCCGTCTCTACTAAAAATGCAAAAAATTACCCAGGCGTGGTGGTGCATGCCTGTAATCCCAGCTAATCGGGAGGCTGAGGCAGGAGAATCACTTGAACCCAGGAGGCAGAGGTTGCAGTGAGCCGAGATCACACCATTGCACTACAGCCTGGGCAACAAGAGCGAAATTCCTTCTTAAAAAAAAAAAATAATATATATATATACACATATATATATACATATATATATATACACATATATATATACATATATATATATACACATATATATACATATATATATACATATATATATACATATATATATATATATACACATATATATACATATATATATACATATATATATACATATATATATATATATACACACACATATATATATACGTATATATATATATACACACACATATATATACGTATATATATATATATATATACACACACACATATATATATATATATTTAGATGCTGTTTGAGAGCCTGCTTACCTAATGTTTATGTACCTGGACTCTGAAGCCAGACTACCTCGGTGCAAAGCTCTGCCCCACCACGTGCTAGCTTTGTGAGACTGGGCAATTTCCTTGTGCCTTAAACCTTCCATGCCTCTGTTTACTTCATCTGTTAAATGGGAATAAGGCTTTTGATCTCTTTTGTTTGTTAATAGGTTTCAATGAGTCAATGCCTACAGTTCTTAGGGCAGTACCCAGCACACAGTAAATGCTACACAAGTATTCACTCTTGTGATTATGTTCCCTGCATCGTTTCATTCCCTGACTGAAGACGGGAAACTATTTTTTAAGAGTTATCTCATTATCCCACAGTATGGTGCTGATATTCTTGGTTTGGATTGGAAATGAGAGACAGGGTCCCTTCTCCCTACAATGGTCAAGTTGCCTCCAACAAGTGGAGAGAGAATTCTGTCCCAGGACAGCAACTGTGCACCAGTGCAGAAATCTACTTAAAACTTCCTTTCTCCCATTCGGATGAAAAGAAATACATTCCTCCCTAATTTAAGGAGACACATACCCCTCAGAAGAACAAATAAACAGGCTTGCTAAACAAGAACTCTCAACTAGAGATTTGTGGCTGACACTAGTTTTCCTTCATTAAAGAAAAAGAGGCAGTGACTTTGGCTGGCATACCTTGCTCACCTGTTTCTGTGAGAAGAAACCAGTATTAGATTATCATGCCAAAGGTATCAGATGCAATTTGAGGATTTGTCTCAAGTTCCCCCATAAGAGGAAATATATAAATAAAAAATTCCAGAAAACAATTCATCAAAATATTGGATCAACAATCCATAATGGATCGATAATATATATTACCTAAGTCATCTTTAAACACAAACACACATAAAACAAGGTTATATATTGATCAATTGATTAAATTGTTGTGACCAGAGGCCTGCAGGAAACTAACCTTGTAGTTCTCCTAAAAATAGCAGTTGTCATCTCTGAGTGATGGGTTGACAGGCAAGCTTAACTTTTTTCTTTACTCTTTTCTATATTTTTAAAATAAAAGACATGAACATGTGTTGTTCTTACTGTCAATAGAAATAAGATAGCCATTTAAAGAAAAGTAATGTAATTGACTCAATATTAACTTGGAATTCATGGACTCTTCTAGAAATCTCAACTCCGGTAATAATCTTTGCTATACCAATAGCTCAACCAAAGAGAGACAGTCCGTTCACTTATTGGAAGGACAAAATAGCCATTTTGATGTTTCTTCCTATTTTCTTGAGGAAAATAACACCAATTTTGTTGGTCTTTTCTCCTAGAGGCGTTTCTTTCAACCCTTTCATCATGTTAACATTTCCCATTGGCAGCCCCACAATTTACGAAAAAAAAATATACTTCTCACTGACTTCCATCAAAGCAGGTTAACTACACCTTGCAATAGACATTTTGACAGTCTGAAATAAAAGCTTGCTGGATCACTTGTATCTGAGAAAGGACAGCATAAGGCATAATGACCAAATAGGGCCCTGGAAGCCTGTGGCGATGCCTCCATCTTTATCCACACCTTCAGGTGTGGCTGCAACTCTTACCCAGAGGCAGTTTTAACTTTTATATCACAAGACCTGGGGCCTGGAAGCCAATGTCCCTAATCAAATTGTCCTGCCTTAATAACAACAACAATAATAATTGTTCTGATTGCTATATCATTAGTAATACCAAATAACTATTGTTATATTATTATTACTATTATTTCAGTTGATTCTCATTATTCACCATAGTTGTGTTCTGTCAACTTCCCACGAACACTGAATTAGCAAATCCTGAACTGCTATTTTTAGGAGAACTACAAGATTAGGTTCCTGCAGGCCTCTGGTCACAACAGTTTCATCAGTTGATCAATATATAACCTTGTTTTATGTGTATTTGTGTTTAAAGATGCCTTATGTAATATATATTGTTGATCCATTAACATTCAACTCACAGTCAACAGCAGTAGAACTCACGCCTGAATGAAACTTAGCTAACACATGTTTTTTCTCTGCAATGCATATCACAGCCTTCTTGTGCCGAGGAAGATTTCAGCACTATGCATGGGGGACACGGTAAACAGCAAAATTAGCAACAAAAAACACGCACAAAAATGTGGAATAATGCGGTGTTAAACAGATCATGAAAAGGACTATTGTCTACAGTATTGAGACGGGAGAGTTCCCTTGACTCTGTTGCAGGACTGGCAATAGATGTGTAGCTTGTTTATCTGGCCCCTTGTGGGAAGGGGAGCAGACAGTTGAGTGGGTGCAGGAACCAGGGTGAGCACTTTCGGGCTCTGCCCCACAGCAGCATTTAGGGGTGTGTTACAATTAATGCTCTTTTAGCTTTGCTGTCCGTAGACAGCTTAAGTGTTAAACAGCTCAGTGAAGAGTCAGTGTGACAGCCTTTTTGTATTCCTGCACCCAGCGCATCCCAAATTCTTGTCCTGCATCCAGGAAGAATCAGGTCACATGAGTGGTTTCAAAGATTATGAATGTGGAGGATTTTATTAAGCAGTAGAAGTGGCTCTCAGCAGAAGGGGAGCAGGAAAGGGGATGGTGCAGGAAGAAGGTGATCTTTCCCTAAGCCAGGCTGTCTGCAGTCGGGCTCCTCTCCAAAGCCGGGCCGTCTGAAATTAAGCAGCATCTATCCATAGTCTCTGATGCTCAGTTGCTGCTTCTCCTCTCAATGTTCAGCTGCTTGTCTCTCTGCCAGCTGAGGTCTGGGGTTTATATGGGTACAGGATTGGGGAGTGTAGCAGGCCAAAAAAGTAACACTTGGGCAGGAAAACAGGGATAACTGTTCTCATTTAGAGCTGTGGTTCCAGGCTTGAGGGTGGGGCCTTTGCCGGGAAACCACTCTCTTTTACCCAGTATTTCCCTGCCTCCTGTTCATATCAGTACGAGAGCTGAAACTAGAAGGCAGAGGGTTGCTTTGTTCCACCTCAGCTGTGAACATGCACATGGAGTGACACCAATATTTTGCCACTCTGTGCATGTCCACGGATGACTTCAAAAGCACCGTGAATACTATTTTGGGGTTACAAATAAATTTTAGGGAGTAAGTAAATTCATAAATAAGAAATCTGCAAATAATAAAGATCCACTGCATATGATTTGTGCTAAAATTTATTTCACACTTTCTATAGGGTAAGCACTATGTCAAGTATTTTGTGCACATTTTCTCCTTAAACCTTTACAATAACCCCATTAGGGAAGTGCTATTGTCATTCGTAGGGACAGGGGGCAGGGAAGTTCTGGGCAGACGAGGGCAGGTCCCTGGCGAGGGCCCTACCCTCAAGCCTGGAACCACACCCTAAAGTGAGAACATAACATTCCTGTTTCCCCGCCGAATGTTGCCTTTTCCAAAACTATCCATGGCCTGCCCCACCCCATCCTGTGCCCATAAAAACCCCAGGCTCTGCCAGCAGAGAGAAGAGAGGAGAAGAGGAGAGGCAGTAGGACATGGGAGACTGTGGTTGGACTTCAGAGAGAAGCAGCTTGACTTCAGAGGGATGGCTTGACAGCATAACTTCAGTGAGGAGTCCAGCTGGAGATGGCCAGACTCTGGGGAAGGTTATCTTTCTACTCCATCCCCTTTTCAGCTCCCCTTCCTGCTGAGAGCCACTTTCATCAACAACTCCCTCTGCTTCTCCACACCTTCATTTTATTGGCTTTCTCCCTTAAGTGGGGAGGCAGGTGATGGTCCCAGGACATCTAGGGCTGAGGAGGTGTATGTAATTCTGTGGTTCAGAATTAGGAAATCCACCTACCTGCAGACATGTTGCAAGTCATTTTTTTTTTTTGAGACAGGGTTTCACACTGTGACCCAGGCATGATCACAGCTCACTGCAGCCTCAACTTCTCAGGCTCAGATGATTCTCCCACCTCAGCCTCCCAAGTAGCTGGAACTACAGGCATGTACCACCATGCCTGGCTAATTTTTAAAATTTTTTTGTAGAGACAGGGGTGGTCTTGCCATGCAGCCTAGACTGGTCTTGAATTCCTGGGCTCAGGCGATCTGCCCTCCTGGGCCTCCCAAAATGCTGGGAGTACAGGCGTGAGCCACCATGCTCATCAGTTGCTAGTATTTATCAGCAATAAAGGCGATACTTGGGCTCAATCTGCCTGTCTCCTTTGTCTCATTATTTTATTTTATTTTATTTTATTTTTTGAGACGGAGTCTTTGTCTGTCACCCAGGCTGGAGGGCAGTGGTGTTATCTCGGCTCACTGCAACCTCTGCCTCCTGGGCTCAAGTGATTCTCCTGCCTCAGTCTCCGGAGTAGCTGGGATTCTGTAAACCTGCCACCATGCCCAGCTAATTTTTGTATTTTTAGTAGAGATGGGGTTTCACAATATGGTCAGGTTGGTCTCAAACTCCTGACTTCAAGTGATCCGCCCGCCTCCGCCTCCCAAAGTTTTGGGATTACAGGCGTGAGCCACTGCACCTGGCCCTTTTGTCTCATTTCTCAATTAGTTCAGAACTTCAGGACCCTGACACAGGACAGGAGCTGATCAAATCCACTGGAATCTGAAACAGCTAAAATTTCCATCCCTGACTCCTGAAATTATCTGAGCTGCCCATTTTTCAAACACATCCAGTTTCCCAGCAAAAGGACATGCTTTGTATGGAAAACAGCGTGAGAGAAACCACTCAGTAGGTTCCAGTCACCATTCAGACTTGGCTTGGGATTTTTGTTGTGTTAACTGCATATGCCAAGGTTTGGCTTAGCATATCAGGACCATCCGTTTCACTGTCCTCACGTATGCAGACTTGACAGGGCTTCCTGGTTATGTCAGGGCAAAGTATTATCCAAACAATGACAAGGAAGACAATTGCCTGCTGCAAGCTGGGTATATTTTCTTTGTTTTATTTCAGAATGATCAGTCTACCCAGGGTACTTTATATTCAGAAAGGATCTTCCCAGAAAGCCGTAGGCAACATTTACATTTTGGTTATGTTTATACAGGACTGGATTTGGGAGTGGCTGAAAGGAAGTAAAATCTAAATCTCACTTTTGTTCCTGGCTCTTAGTTTACCTTAAATAAGCGATATGCTGCCTACACAGTAAAAGCATCCAACACAGAACATGAAAGGGAAAGACTGGGCTAGATTTCTAGCAAATTCATCCTCTTGTTCAAGCTACTCTTTAAAGTCATTTGTTAATTGCAAACATAAATTTAAAACTGTTACTTTATTTATTCATTTGCAGTTTGGAAACAGGTAGAACATCTCTGTTCTAGAATAGAAATGAAGGCAGACCTTTCTCGCGGAACGTTTTAAACTGTCTGTGCATGGTGCTATGCCAGGTGCTTTCGTAAGTAATGTTCCATTGAACTCCCACAATAACTCTATGAATTGCATAGTCTTACTTCATTTTACTGATAAAGAAACTGAGGCTCAAACTTGTTATGTAACCTGCCCACAGCTGCCCAGTTAGGAATGGGATAACTGGAAGGAGAGTCCAAGTTTCTCAGACCAGGAGTAAAATAAGAATTTTTGTTTGTTTGTTTTTTGAGAAGGAGTCTCACTCTTTCACCCAGGTTGGATTGCAGTGGTGTGATCTCGGCTCACTGCAACCTCCACCTCTTGGGTTCAAACAATTCTCTTGCCTCAGCCTCCCAAGTAGCTGGGATTACAGGAGCCTGCCACCACACCCGGCTAATTTGTTTTTGTTTGTTCGTTTGGTTTTTTTTTTTTTGAGACGGAGTCTCCCTCTGTCGCCCAGGCTGGAGTGTAGTGGCGCGATCTCGGCTCACTGCAAGCTCCGCCTCCTGGGTTCACGCCATTCTCCTGCCTCAGCCTCCCCAGTAGCTGGGACTACAGGCACGTGCCACCATGCCCGGCTAATTTTTTGTTTTTAGTAGCGACGGGATTTCACTGTGTTAGCCAGGATGGTCTCAATCTCCTGATCTTGTGATCCGCCCGCCTCGGCTTCCCAAAGTGCTGGGATTACAGGCGTGAGCCGCCGCGCCCGGCTCACACTGGCCAATTTTTGTATTTTTAGTAGAGACGGGGGTTTCACCATGTTGGCCAGGCTGGTCTTGAACTCCTGACCTCAAGTGATCCACCTGCCTCAACCTCCCAAAGTGCTAGAATTACAGGCATGAGCCACTGCGCCCAGCCTAAAATAAGAATTTTTTTAACTCCTTCAAAAGAATGACATATTGGACTACATTTTTTAAAAATACAAAAAAACTTTGCAAAACACCTTAAGTAAAGCAACGTGTCCAGAATCTCCACATTTCAACATGAGGTGCTGGACCATCTATGCAAGACTTACAAAAGATACTTCAAAAAACTTGTTATGTGACATCACAGTGAATGATTTGCAGAGTCGAGGTTGAAGATCTTTAGAGAGAATCACATATGCTTTGCATCTGTCTTCCTTCCATGATGATGGGGAGGAGAGGGCTGCCTTCCCACCTCAAGCCAAATGTGAGAGCTTGGCATGTACCCTATGGAGTAAAAGAAACACAGGGATTTAATACTTGTTCCACTTCTGAAAAATTCTGCAGGCAGGTGGTTGGATGAAGTAGCCAGATGTGGTTCAAGTAGAAAGGCCCATACTGGCAGCAAGCTGTACCTCACTGATGGGAGCAGGGATGCCTCCTGGGAGATAAATTAGGAGAATTCAGCTTGGGGTCAGCCTGAACTCCACTCAACTCTCTGGAAGCGTAATGTGACCCCAACAGAAGGAGTGGATGGTCAGATGCCTACAGGCTTTGGAGGAATTATAAGTAGCCAGCCAGAGTGGGGAATTCTCCACATTAAGGAAGCTGCAATCACAGGGGACATATTTGGGGAATTCCTGACAGCACCCTAACAAGAGAAAGAATCAGCTTTGGGAATCTCCATACAGTGGAGACAACGCTATGCATTCCAACTCCCAGGCACAAAGACCACATTTCCCAGCTGCCCTTGCAGTTCGGTGGGCCTATGTAACTGAGTTACAGCCAATGGGGGATGGGCAGAAGTAAGATGAGAGACACCTTCCCACCTGGCCTGGCCTTAAAGTAGATCATCCTACAGGATCCTCCATGCCTTTTCTCTTTCCCCACCAACAGTAGAGCAGGAAGAGGTCCTAGAAAATGAAGACACCACAGGCTGGGGTTTTGAATGAGTGTAGCCGAGTCCTGTGTCCTCTTTCCCACTCAAAGGCTGATGCATGTTGCCTGTGACAAGGATGAGAATAAACTTTCACTGCGAAGTCACTCTAATTTGGGGTTATTGTTATTACATTAGTGTGGATCTGATTAATACACTCTGACACCTACCATTGTCAGATTCCATCTGTGACAAACAGCTAAAGCCTTTGTTGCTCCTTAGATCTCCCCACCACACCCACCCTAGCCCGCCAATCGTGGAGAAGTCAGAGGTAGACTCTGTGTGGAGCCTGGAGGAGAGGAACTAGCAGAGACAAGAAGCAGCAGCTAGCCATGCCCCCTCCCACAAGGCAGATTTCCAGTGAGGTTGTGAGGAGGAGAGAGCTTAATTAGAATAAGAATATGACAATTTTAATATTACTCTGGGCTAGATATTTGGGCTAGTACAATAAGATCAATCTTGTAATTAAAATTACCAAAGGCCTTTTTATTACTGTAAACATCTGGAGAAAAAATTATGAGAGTAGCTTACAGTTTTATCCAGGACAGAAAAGAGCTGCTCCACAATGAGAGGAAAAATAGCGTTGTTTTTATGGCACCCTATAGAATCAAGCTCATTTAACATAAAGGTTAGCATGTTTAGATTGTTTCCAGTTTTTTGTTATAAACAATGCTTCAGTGAATAATCTTGCACATACATATTTTTATTTTTACAGGCATGTTGAGTAGAACTGCATAAATTCCTGAAATCGGAACTGCTGGTTCAAATGATGTATCGTGTGAAATTTTGATTATTATTGCCACATTGCCCTCTATGAGGTTGCCCTCCAATTTAGCACCCTGTGGTTGTGTGTGAGAGAATTGGTTTCCCTACACCCTCATCATAGAATTGTATATTAGTTTGCTATAACTGCTGTAACAAGTTACCACAAATTGGTGGCCTAAAACAATAGAAAGTGATTCTTTCACAGTTCTGGAGGCCAGAAATCCAAAACTAAGGTGTGAGCAGGGCTGCACTCACACTGGATATTCTAGGGGGAATCTTTCTTTGCCTCTTCCAGCTCCTGGCAGCCGTCATCATTCCTGGGCTTCCTGGGCTTGCGGCCGTGTCACTCCGATCTCTGTCTCTGTCTTCACATGGCTGTACCCTCTCCTGTGTAATCTCCCTCTGCACAATCTAACAAGGACACTGGTCATTGGACTGAGGGCCCACTGCAGCCTCAGACTCTGCGGCTCAAGGGATCCTTCCACCTCAGCCAACAGGCTTGGCTAATTTTTGAAGTTTTCATAAAGACAGGATCTCGCTATGCTGCCTAGGCTGGTCTTAAACCCCTAGTTTCAAGTGATCCTTGTGCCTCAGCCTCCCAAAGTGCTGAGATTACACGCCTGGCCTCAAGATTCTTATAAGGTAACATTCACATATTCTGGGGATTAGGACGTGGACATGTCTCTGTGGGAGCCCACCATTCAACACACTGCAAGCTTATTAAAACTTTTAAAGATCTTTACCAATCTTAAAGATCAAAAGATAGTATCTCTGTATACAGTTGACCCTTGAACAATGGGTTTGAACTGCATGAGTCCACTTATACTCAAATTCTCTTCTGCCTCTGCCACCCCTGAGACAGCAGGACCAAGCTGTACTCTTCCTCCTCCTCCCCAGCCTTCTTAACATGAAGAGTATGAGGATGAAGACCTTCAAGTGATCTACTCCCACTTAATAGAGTAAATATATTTTCTCTTCCTTATGATTTTCTTCATAACATTTTCTTTCCTCTAGCTTACTTTATTGTAACAATGCAGTATATAATACATATACAAAATATGAGTTAATTACTGTTTATGTTATCAGTAAGACTTCCGATCTACAGTAGGCTATTAGTAATTAATTTTGGGGGGAGTCGAAGGTTATATGAGGATTTTCTACTGTGCAGGGTGGTGGCGTCCCTCATGCCCATGTGGTTCAAAGGTCAACTCTAGTTTTATACTCCTTTCTTAAAATGCTCTTGTCTCTTGAGTTCTGTGACATCACTCTCTCGGGTTTTCTCTCCTGGCTGCTCCTTCATCATATCTGCTGGTTTCTCCTTAGTCTTCATGTTCCTCCCCAGGGTTTTCTTTTCAGACCTCTTATCTCCTCTATCCTCATGCGTTGCCTCCATCTGATCTCAACCAGGTCTTAAATACCACATTTATGTGCCCACAGTCCTGCCTTCTCTCTCCTATTCCAACTTTTCTCCTGCACTCCACACTCGATATCCAAATTCAACAATCCTGCTTGGATGCAGTGCCCTTCTGAGCCACATTGGAGCCTGAGACAAAAGAAGGCATGTGAGCTGCTATATTCCCTTATCCAAATTTCCTCAAGTATTTGAAACAAAGTGGAAAAAGGAAATAAAGCTCTACATTAGAAAAATAAAATAAAGGCTATATGTAAAGCCTTGTATTGCCTAGCCAATAGGCATTCCACTGTCAATTCTCACAAAAGAGTGAGATCTCATGGCCTCATGGCCCAGGAAGCTCAGGGTGATAGAAATGACTGTTCCTGTTGTGCAATAATAGACGGTCATAAAACAAACCAACCAGTCTTTCTTTATTTTAAATTTTCATAGTTTGTGCAACATCAATTTTTTTACATTAACTTTGATTTTTAAAAATATTACATTCAAATATTACTTATATCAGTTACTGAGTTTTCGGTGGTCTCTTGTATTTTGTGTCTAAAGCGAGTACCTCACTGGCTTTACCCCGATCCTGGCCCTGCCTGATATGTTGAAACCAAACTCTTGATTCTTCACCCTACCCTAACCCCAACCTCGAACTTGTTCCTCTTTGTCTCCATAACTGTTAACTCATTTTTTTAGTTGCTCAGGCCAAAACGATTTGAATCATTCTTGACCCTTTGCTTTCTCCATACTCCATATCTAATCTATCAGTAGATTTTGTCAGCTCTTCCTTCAAAATTACCCACAGTCTGATCATTCCCTCCACCTCTGCCACCTTCCACATCATCTAAGCCTCCATTGCCTCTCAACAGTATCATTGCAAAAGCCTCCTAAATGGTCTTTCTGCCATTACTCTCTAGTGGCTTCTCATCTCGCTCGAAACAGGATCCAAAGCCATTCCATGTCCTACCAGGCCCTAGGCACCCAGCTACCCCGCCATCTCTCTTTGTCTCCTAATCCTTCTACCCCCGACCCCCATGATGTAGCCACGCTGGCTCCCTTACAATTTTGCAAATATGTCAAGCCTCTCCTGCCTCAGGAGTTTGCCCTTGCTGCTCCTTGTTCCTAAGAAGTGTTCTTACAGATATCTTGCATGGCCAGATATCTCACTCCATTCAGATCTCTGCTCAAATATTACTTCATGAAAAGGTCTTCTCAACTATTAGTTTCAAAATAATATAATCCCCCCATTCCCATGCTTATTCTATCACCTGGCTTTATTTTCTTCGTAATGATCAATGACCACCTCATGTAATATATGCATTCATAGGGTTATTATATTTTTCTCTGTGTTTGGCTCTATGAAGGCAGGGAATTTCTGTTTTCAGTCTTATATCCCCTGTGTTTAAGATAAGATCTGGCTTAAAGTAGTATCTTGGAGATAATATACTCAAACTTGGCTCCCACCCTAAAAGGTGATTAAATATATTATCTTTTTGTTATTGTTGAGACAGGATCTCACTCTGTTGCCCAGGCTAGGGTGCAGTGGTGCCATTTAGAGCTCACTACAACCTCAAACTCCTGGGCTTAAGGGTAGCTAGGACTACAGATAGATGCCACCATGCCCAGCTAGTTTTAAAAATTATTATTATTATTATTATTTTGTAGAGATGGAGTCTCCTTATGTTGCCCTGGCTGGTCTCAAACTCCTGGCCTCAAGCAATCCTTCCACCTTGACCTCCCAAAGTGCTAGGAGTACAGGCATGAGCCACTGTGCCCAGCTTACATTATCCTTGAATTCAGTTTCCTTGATTGAGCTCCTTTCCTGTTTTTGATGTAATACTTTATTGGCCAGGTACTCATTTGGGTGATTTTTTTTTTATTGCTATAAGACCTATTCAAGAGTATGTATTCCCAGTGTCTCTCTGTAAGCAAGATCAGGTCTTGCAGGATCTCTCTCGGTCTCTATCTCCATCTCTGTTTATCTCTGTTTCCATGTCTCTCTTCCTTAGCACTGCTTCAGGCAATTAATAAAAATCTGATAATGATTTTCCTCATTAAATCAGGAAGATGAGCTACAAGTAGACTGACAGGTGGTTGAAAGTCACCCTGGAAAATCATGCTGATTGGTGCCCTGTGATATAGAGGTCAAAATGATTTCATTCTTATTATGTGGATGAAAACATTTTCAAACTTGTTTATATTGCTTGTTGATTACTCCACCGAGCCTTGTTGTTAACACATTGGGGAAAGTAAATGTAATTCAAAGTCACCTTTACCAAAGAGAAAATGAACCATCAAAAGTAAAAACAAACTTCAAAAGGAAAAAATGAGATAATTTGGTGGGAGGATATAAATGGCCATGTCACGGGCTGTGACAGACTTCCCTGTGCCCAGTACAGATGGAGGCATGACATGCATGCTAGTGTGCAACCCATGCTGGACCCAGTACCATAGGAAGAGGGAAGCTGGCAATCACTGGCCACTTACTCAACAGGCACTATGGAATCCTGTGAGAAGGTAATATTATCATCCCCATTTAACTGATAAGCAAATTGAGAGTCACAGACACTGGTTAATTGCCCCAGACCACACAGGCTACAAGAGGCTGAGTGCACTTCTCAGTAACCCCCTGGTCTGTCTCAGTGCCATCTAGCACACCCAGCCCGGCACTGAACATATCCCTAGGGGAATCACAAGCAAAGGGAAGATGCTCATCTTGTCTTGAATTAGAGCTTTGGGTCCTAGTTCATTCTGTTTTAGAGAGGATTTGATTCAACCCCTGAAGGAGCCAAGGAAAATGGTTGCAAGGGTTGAGAATGCGTGAAGAAAGCAGAAAAACTAATGTATTCATGGTAAAGGAGCGGAAGGGTTGAAACAATGTGTTTACTCAACTTCCTGCCCTAACCATGTTATCTTAGTCCATTCAAGCTGCTATAACAAAAACACCACAAACTGGGCAGCTTATGAACAATAGAAATTTGTTTCTCACAGTCCTGAAGGCTCAGAAGTCCAAGATCAAGTCTATTCCAAGGGGGAAGGATGGGTCCCACCTTCTAATACCATCACATTGGGAATTAGGTCTCAACTTATGAATATTTTGGGGTGGCAGAAAAATTCAGTCTGTGCCAAATATGTTTCCTGAACCTTCCTGTTCTAAAATAATTTCTTACTCTATAACAAAGAAAAAGGTATGGTGATTGGCTGCTTGATTCGAAATTGTAAATTGTTGTATTAGATAATATTCTCCAAAGAGACAGAACCAATACTATATATATATACATAGTATATATACGCATATATATACACTGTATACCACGTAATGATGTTTCGGTCAATGTGGACTGCATATACAACAGTGGTTCCTTAAGATTATAATAAAGCTGCTCTATACAGGTGTATCATTTTTAAGTCTTTTTATATCATATTTTTACTGCACCTTTTTAATGTTGAGCTATGTTTAGATACACAAATACTTACCATCATGTTACAATGGCCTACAGTACTGTATTTAGTACTGTAATATTCAGTACTGTGACATGCCATACAGGTTTGTAGCCTAGGAGCAATGGCTATACCATATAGCCTAGGAGTATAGGAGGCTATCCCATCCAGGTTTATGTAAGCACACTCTGTGATGTTTTCAAAACAATGGAATTGCCTACACATTTTGTAGGATGTATCTCCCTCATTAAGCAATGCATGACCTGATATATATGAGAGAAAATTTACTAGAGGAATTGGCTCTCATGGTCACTGAGGCTGAGACATCCCATGATAGGTCATCTGCAAGACGGAGAATGGGGAAGCTGGGAGTGTGGCTCATTCCAAGTCTGAAAGCCTCAGAACCAGGGAAACTGATGGTGTAAATCTCAGTCCAAAGCCAAAGGCCTGAGAACCCCAGGGGGCCACTGGTGCAAATACCAGAGTCCAGTCCAAAGATCAGAGAACCTGGAGTTCTCATGTGTATCAGCTCTAAAAGAGAAGGAGAGAATTCACCTCTCCTCTGCCTTTTTATTCCAGCTGGGGTATCAGCCAACTGGATGATGCCCACTTCCAGTAGGTGAGGGCAGATCTTCCTTACTCAGTCCGCTGATTCAAATGCCAGTCTCTTCCAGAAACACCCTCACAGACACACTCAGAAATCATGCTTTATCAGCTATTTGTGTACTCCTTAATCCAGGCAAGTTGATACCTATAATTAATCATCACAATGGGCATACAGTTGAACAAAAAACGTCAATTGTCAGTTTTATTTTTTTTAAGCTTCATTGCATTTTAAAATATATCTTCCACTTGCACACTTACAATAGTGAGAGGACAAACATGATTTAAATACTAGTTCTCCATAACATATAAATGACAAGATGAAATTGGAATTATAATGGCATAGTAGATTACTGTATCCTGTATGTAATTTTGTCATTGTCGTTGTCATACTGTTTTGTAACTACTGCTCGGGTGTTCCCCCTATTGATTGTGTCATAACAACAGTACCCACTTCTTTTTCATCTCTATAGCTCCAATGCCATATCCTTTGTTAATTTTGCTTATAATAAATCACAGACCTTCATTTCGTTATTAATTAAAGACAAATTAGACCACTCACAAACTTGTTTGTGACTTGGAACCTACCCAAATGGCCATCAATGATAGACTGGATAAAGAAAATGTGGCACATATACACCATGGAATACTATGCAACCATAAAAAGAATGAGTTCATATCCTTTGCAGTGACATGGATGAAGCTGGAA
Organism: Homo sapiens; assembly: GCF_000001405.40. NCBI lineage: Eukaryota > Metazoa > Chordata > Mammalia > Primates > Hominidae > Homo > Homo sapiens. The sequence goes on from NC_000004.12 coordinate 26,540,999, forward strand.
ACCATCACCCTCAGCAAACTAACACAGGAACAGAAAACCAAACATCACATGTTCTCTCTCATAAGTGGGAGTTGAACAATGAGAACACATGGACACAGGGAGGGGAATATCACACACCAGGGCCTGTCGGGGTGGGGGACAAGGGGAGAAAGAGCATTAGGACAAATACCTAATGCATGCAGGGCTGAAAACCTAGATGATGTGTTGATAGGTGCAGCAAATCACCATGGCACATGTATACCTATCTAACAAACCTGCACATTCTGCACATGTATCCCAGAACTTAAAGTAAAATAAAATCAAATTTTAAAAAAGTAAGAAAAAAAATCTGTTTATGAATAGTTGAGCCAAGTTAATCAGGATTCTGTCAGTTGTAAAAGGTAGAATCTCAACTCACCTCAAATTGCCTGAAATTAAGAGAACTATGAATCCTACAACTGGGGTAGCTCTCAACATTAAAGCAAGTCTTGTAGGAATCATGGAAGCTCCAGGGGCACCTGGAATTGGAACTGGGCCCCAATGTTTCAGAACCCTACTTCATCTTTATGACATATTTTCTAATCTCTCTTTGTTATTCTCACTTGTTAAAGATGAGAGTTCTCTACCGGGCATGGTGGCTCACGCCTGTAATCCCAGCACTTTGGGAGGCCTAGGTGGGTGGATCACCTGAGGTCAGGAGTTGGAGACCAGCCTGGCCAACATGGTGAAACCCCGTCTCTACTAAAACTACAAAAATTAGCTGAGTGTGGTGGCCTGCACCTGTAATCTCAGTTACTTGGGAGGTTGAGGCGGGAGAATTGCTGGAACCCAGGAGGCAGAAGTTGCAGTGAGCCGAGATTGCGCCATTGCACTCCAGCTCAGCAAGACTCTGTCTCAAAAAAAAAAAAAAAAAAAAAAAAAAGATGAGATTTCTCCATGTGATAGGGAAGGGGGTGGGCCACCAGCTGCTTCAGTTTCATATATTTTATCTCCTTGTCCCTTCAACTCCAAGTGGAGAAATCCAGAGAAAAGCTGTGCTGGGCCCCGCCTGGTCACTTTCCTATTCTGGAACAATTCTCCGTAGCTCAGGGCATGGGAGACAATGCTCTTCCACAGGAAAATGGCTGAGGGATTGGGGTGAGGGGTATCTTTTGATTGGAGGGGAGGATCTGTTCCTCTACCTAGAGGAGATGTGCTAGATGGGCAAGAACAACAGATAGTCACCTCAGAAATGTTTTGTTACTTGGAAAATCTTACATCAGTAGATAATTGCTGAGCTTCTGAAGCTTGACGCTGAAGGTTGGGTACAACAAAAGTTCTGGACCCAATGCCTCTCTTCAAGGAGTTCACCAACCAACTGGGGAGGCCCAAAGCCATTCCACCTGCCAGTTTCACCTACTCATCCTCCAGATCCCAACTCAGAGCTTCCTTAATCTCCCCAAATAGACATGTCCCTTTGTTATATGTTCTGACAGAAATCTGTCCCCCACCCTCTTTTTTTAAGGCAATCTGTGTTTGTAACAGTTGCCTTTCATGAATACATTTGCCCCTCCCACTAGAGTGTAAGCCCTTTGAGGTCAAGGCCATGTTGATATAAACTCTCCATCATGTTCTCAGCACTGAGCATAATTTTTAGAATAAAGGGTCGATGAAATTGCTAAAGATCTCACCATGAGTTTCCTATTTGAGGAAGTGTGGAGAGGAGGTAAAGCTGAGAGCCAATTGCTGAGCCTGGGGGAGGGCCCAAATGAAATTGGGCAAGAGAATAGAGATGAGGAGGGAGATTTGATTGATTGAGCATCGTTCTGGCCAAGTTAGGATAAAGTTTCAATGAAACGAAGAGATGGCAGTGTTTGCTGCAGTGAATCAGGAAAGAATAAAAATTTGAAAAATCATCTCTCCCCAGGTTTGTTCTAGGAAAGAGAGTTGAGATTCAACCCACTACCATGATCTCAGACCCATATAGGGACTGGTCTCTCTATGGGTTAGGAAAAATTCCCCACATAGAACAAACTTAAGCACTTGGCCTTGAGCCCAGCCTACAGATTTAATCTGTAGGGTCTTTGCAGCCTTTAAGGAAAATGAATAATGTTGAAGCTTCTACTTGTTATTTGTTTTGTTAAAGGTCATAAATTGTGATTCTCTTTTGGTGGGTGACAGGAATGATTATGTCTTTAGCTATGTAAAAGAATACAGTCTTATGCTAGAGCAGAAAACATAAAACAATGAGCAAGGAAACTGGGACTGCTTTACTACACTGCACATTAAACCACGTGGACAGCTTTTCAAATATAAGCCATAAGCTGGCCCCAATTCAGAACATGCGAATCAGGCTCTCAATCAGTGCGAATCAGTGATTGCAGCTCAATCACTGGAATTTTGTAAAAGCTCCCCAGGTGACTCTAATGTGTAGTCAGGATTGAGAGCTATTGAACTAAACTGTTTTATATGAAGTAAAAGCATGGTCTTCTTTGTGGGGGGCAGAGATTGTCTGAGACTTTTGGAAGTTGAGGTTCCTTTGCATGGGGCTAGAGATGAGGCACTGGAACTTGGGAGAATATTAGAAAGGAGTCTTTAACCTGATGGAGGAGTGGGCTGTCTGCAACATGATGGCTAGCCTAGGGCTCAGGTGGTAGACAGCCAATATAGAATTCCCCCTCTTGTCCCACTTCTATGCTTGCCCACCATGAAAGGACACAGCCAGTGAACTTTAGGGTTGTACAGGTTTGTTATATAGGTAAATTGCATGTCATGGGGGTTTGGTGTACAGATTATTTCACCACCCAGGTAATAAGCACGGCACCCATTACGTAGTGTTTTTTTGTTTTGTTTTTAAAATTTCATTTAACTTTAAGTTCCAGGATACATGTGCAGAATGTGCAGATTTGTTACATGGGTAAATGTGTGCCCCAGTGGTTTGCTGCACCTATCAACCCATCATGCAGTTATTAAGCCCCACATGCATTAGCTATTTATCCTGATGCTGTCCCTCCCTCCACCACCCTGACAGGCCCCAGTGTATGTTGTTCCCCTCCCTGTGTCCATGTGTTCTCATTGTTCAGCTCCCACTTATAAGTGAGAATATGTGGTGTTTGGTTTTCTGTTCCTGCATTAGTTTGCTGAGGATAATGGCTTCCGGTTCCATCAACGTCCCTGCAAAGGACATGATTTCATTCCTTTTTATGATTGCATAGTATTCCATGGTGTGTATGTACCACGTTTTCTTTATCCAGTCTATCATTGATGGGCATTTGGGTTGATTTCATGTCTTTGCTATTGTGAGCAGTGCTGCAATGAACATACATGTATATGTACCTTTATACTAGAATGATTTATATTCTTTTGGATATATACCTAGTAATGGGATTGCTGGGTCAAATGCTATTTCTGCTTCTAGATCTTTGAGGAATCACCACACTGTCTTCCATAATGGCTGAACTAATTTACATTCCAACCAACAGTATAAAAGCATTTCTCTTCCTCTACAGCTGCACCAGCATCTGTTTCTTCTTGACTTTTTAATAATTGCCATTCTGACTGGCATGAGATAGTATATCATTGCATTTTTAATTTGCATTTCTCTAATGATCAGTGATGTTGAGCTTTTTTCCACATGTTTTTTGGCCACATAAATGTCTTCTTTTGAGAAGTGTCTGTTCATGGTTTTTGCCCACTTTTTAATGAGGTAGTTTTTTTTTTTTTTTTCAAATTTGTTTAATCTACAATCCTTGTAGATTCTGGATATTAGACCTTTGTCGAACGGATAGATTGCAAAAATTTTCTCCCATTCTGTAGGATGTCTGTTCACTCTGAGGATAGTTTCTTTTGCTGAGCAGAAAACTCTTTAGTTTAATTAGATCCCATTTGTCAATTTTTGCTTTTGTTGAATTGCTTTTGATATTTTTGTCATAAATTTTTTACCTGTGCCTGTGTCCTCAATGGTATTGCCCAAATTTTCTTCTAGGGTTTTTATAGTTTTGGGATTTACATTTAAGTCTTTAATCCATCTTGAGTTAATTTTTGTATAAGGTGTGAGGAAGGGGTCCAGTTTCGATTTTCTGCATATGCATATCCCAGCACTATTTATTAAATAAGGAATCCTTTCCCCATTACTTGTTTTTGTCAGGTTTGTAGAAGATCAGATGGCTGTAGATGTGCTACCTTATTTCTGCAATCTCTATTCTGTTCCATGTTGGTCTATGTGTCTGTTTTTGTACTGGTACCATACTGTTTTGGTTACTGTAGCCTTGGAGTATAGTTTGAAATCTGGTGGTGTGATGCCTCCCGTTTTGTTCTTTTTGCTTAGGATTGTCTTGGATATATGGGCTCTTTATTTGTTCCATATGAATTTTAAAGTAGTTTTTTATCTAATTCTGTGAAGAATGCTAATGGCAGTTTAATGGGAATAGCATTGAATCTATAAATTACTTTGGGCAGTATGGCCGTTTTCACAATATTGATTCTTCCTATCCATGAGCATGGAATGTTTTTCCATTTGTTTGTGTCCTCTCTAATTTCCTTGAGTAGTGTTTTGTAGTTCTCCTTGAAGAGGTCCTTCACTTCCCTTGTTAGCTGTATTCCTAGGTATTGTATTCTCTTTGTAGCAATTCTGAATGGGAGTTAATTCATGATTTGGCTTTCTGATTGTCTATTATTGTATAGGAATGCTTGTGATTTTTGCACATTGGTTTTATGTCCTGAGACTGCTGAAGTTGCTTATCATCTTATGATGCTTTGGGGCTGAGATGATGGGGTTTTCTAGATATAGGATCACGTTGTCTGCAAACAGAGACAGTTTGACTTCCTCTCTTCCTATTTGAATATGCTTTATTTCTTTTTCTTGCCTGACTGCCCTGGCCAGAATTTCCAATACTATGTTGAATAGAAGTGGTGAGACAGGGCATCCTTGACTTGTGCCAGTTTTCCAGGGGAATGCTTCTAGATTTTGCCTATTGAGTATGTTATTGTCTGTGGGTTTGTCATAAATGACTCTTATTATTTTGAGGTACGTTCCATCAATATCGAGTTTATTGAGACTTTTTAACATGAAGGGGTATTGAATTTTATCAAAGGCCTTTTCTGTGTCTATTGAGATAATAATGTGGTTTTTGTCTTTAGTTCTGTTTAGGTAATTAATTTGCATATGTTGAACCAGCCTTGCATCCCAGGGATGAAGCCAACTTGATCGTGGTGGATAAACTTTCTGATGTGCTGCTGGATTTGGATTGCCAGTGTTTTATCGAGGATTTTTGCATTGATGTTCATCAGGGACATTGACCTGAAGTTTTCTTTTTTTGCTGTTTCTCTGCCAGGTTTTGGTATCAGGATGATGCTGACCTCATAAAATGAGTTAGGGAGAAGTCCCACCTTTTCAATTGTTTGGAACAGTTTTAAAATAAATGATACCAGCTCCTTTTTGTACCTCTGGTAGAATTCAGCTGCAAATCCATCTGGTCTTGTGCTTTTTTTGGTTGGTAGGCTATTTATTACTGCATCAATTTTGGAACTTGTTATTGGTTTATTCAGTGATTCAATATCTTGCTCAGTCAGTCTTGGGAGAGTGTGTGTGTCCAAGAATTTATCCATTTCTTCTAGATTTTCTAGTTTTTGTGCATAGAGGTGTTAATAGAATTCTCTGATGGTTGTTAGTATTTCTGTGGGGACAGTGGTGATAATCCCCTTTATCATTTTTTATTGTGTTTATTTGATTCTTCTCTCTTTTCTTCTTTGTTAATCTAGCTAGCAGTCTATTTTATTATTTTTTTCAAAAAACCTCCTCCTGGATTCATTAATTTTTTGAAGGGTTTTTCATGTCTCTTTCTCCTTCTGTTCCACTCTGATCTTGGTTATTTCTTGTCTTCTGCTAGCTTTGGGGTTTGTTTGCTCTTGGTTCTCTAAGTCTTTTAGTTCTGATGTTAGGGTGTCAATTTGAGACATTTGTAATTTTTTGATGTGGGCATTTAGTGCTATAAATTTCCTTATTAACACTGCCTTAGCTGCACTCCAGAGATTCTGGAATGTTGTCTCTTTGTTCTCATTGGTTCCAAAGAACTTCTTGACTTCTGCTTTAATTTCATTCCCAATAGGTAGTTTTTTATCCTCCTCCTTCTCTCTACCTCCACCATCAAGTAGGCCTCAGTGTTCATTGTTCCCTTCTTTGTGTTCCTATGTACTCAATGTTTAGCTCCCACTTATAAGTGATAACATGCAGTACTTGGTTTTCTGTTCCTGCTTTAGTTCACTTATGATAATGACTCTAGCTGCATCTGTAATGCTGCAAAGGACATTGTCTCATTCTTTTTTATGGCTGCATAGTATTCCATGGTCTATATGTACCACATTTTCTTCATCCAGTCTACCATTGTTGGGCATTTAGGTTGATCCCATGTCTTCACTATTGTGAATAGTGCTGCAGTGGGCATACATGTGCATGTGTCTTTATGGTAGAATTATCTATATTCTTCTGGGTATATACTCAATGATGGGATTGCTGGATTGAATAGTGATTCTACTTTGAGTTCGTTGAGAAATTACCAAACTGCTTTCCACAGTGGCTGAACCAAATTACATTCCCCCCAGCAGTGAGTGTATATACATTCCGTTTTTTCTGCAAGGTCGCCAGCATCTGCTATTTTTTCACTTTTTAATAATAGCCATTCTGACTTGTGTGAGATGGTGTCTTGCAGTTTTGATTTGCATTTCTCTAATAGTGATGTTGAACATTTTTTCATATGCTTATTGACTGCATGTACATCTTTTGAAAAGTGTCTGGTTCCACATGAATTTTTAAACACTTTTCTCTAATTTTGTGAAGAATGTCATTGGTAGTTTGATAGAAATAGCATTGAATCTGTACATTGTGATGGGCAGTATGGCCATTTAAACAATATTGATTCTTCCTATCTGTAAGCATGAGATATTTTTCTATTTCTCTGATTTCTTTGAGCAGTATTTTGTAATTCTCATTGTAGAGATCTTTTACCTTTCTGGTTAGCTGTATTCCTAGGTATTTTATTCTTTTTGTGGCTATTATGAATGAGATTGCATTCTTGATTTGGCTCTTAGCTTGGATGTTGCTGATGTATAGGAATGCTACCAATATTTGTACATTGATTTTGTATACTGAAACTTTTCTGAAGTTGTTTATCAGATGAAAGAGTTTTTGAGCAGAGACTATGGGGTTTTGTAGGTATAGAATTATATCATCTGCAAACAAGGATAGTTTGACTTCCTCTCCTCTTATTTGTATGTCTTTTATTTCTTTATCTTGCCTGATTGCTCTGGCCAGGACTTCCAGTACTATGTTGAATAGGAGTGGTGGACAAGGGCATCCTTGTCTTGTTCTGGTTTTCAAGAGGAATGCTTCCAGCTTTTGCCCATTCAATATGATGTTGGCTGTGGGTTTGTCATAGATGGCTCTTATTATTTTGAGATATGTTCTTCCAATGCTTAGTTTGCTGGGGGTTTTTAGAATAAAGAGATGTTGAATTTTATTGAAAGCCCTTTCTGTATCTGTTGAGGTAATCATAATCATGTGGTTTTTGTTTTTAGTCCGTTTATGTGATGAATCACATTTATTGATTTGCATATGTTGAAACAACCTTGCTCCCAGGGATAAAGCCTACTTGCTTGTGATGGATTAGCTTTTTGATGTGCTGCTGGATTTGGTTGACTAGTATTTTGTTAAGGATTTTTGCATCTGTGTTCATCAAGGATATTGGCCTGAAGTTTTCTTTTTGGTTGTGTCTCTGCCAGATTTTGGTATCAGGATAATGCTGGCCTCATGGAATGAGTTAGAGAGCATTACCTCCTCCTTATGACTGATATTATGTTTAATTTTTCTTGCCCTATGTGATAATTCCTTACAATAAACTTGTGTTATTAGAGTCATGGTGATTGAGGAAAGGGGCTGTGTCTATACTTCAGAAAGAGTGTCAAGATGGCAAGAGGTACGCAAAGGAACAGTCTGGCATAATCATCTTGAGAGAGGTAACTGCCATCAACTCATCTGGAAATTTTCAGCTATATTTGGTAAGAAACTAAATTTCCCTCAGTAATGCAAAATGAGACTAAGTGATTTTTTTTGAATATTCTTTTTAAAAGTAACTTAAAGGGGTAATACATTTGTTTGGGGACAAGGAGGACCAAAAAAATACTTTTGGATTTGGCATTAAGATCTGTGGCAACATCCAAACTATCAGTTTCAGATGCCTGATATCATATTGTAGGGTCATAAGGACAGGGTCTGAGCTTGCTTGTGTATATTGAGAATGGCAGTGAGGACAAAAAGCAGTGGAGTGCAATTATTCAAGCAAAACAGGCATTACTGTTTTGATGACCACTTGGTCAAGAAATTTGGTGACATAAAAGAGGAATCTCAGCTAGAGGAGGTTACAGGATTGAGCAAGGATGCCCTTGTGTGTTTGATTTCAAGACAGGATGGAGGTGCACATGCTTGAATAGCAACAAAGAAGGCATCAAGGGAAACTAAAGATGTTGAATAGGAAGGGCAGAGGTGTGAACCCCTGGATATAAGAAAAATAGGCATATTTTTAGGTGACTGGTCTTGAAACTTTTTTGATTGTGCCGTTCCTATCAGTAATGTCTTTTTGAGGGTTTATTCTGGATACAAGTATGTTCACTTATTTATAAATTGCTTGCACGTACCATTATTATATGCATTATGAAATTGTGCAAAAATATGGATATTCTTAAAGGATAACATAAAAGTAAATATTTCAAATAGCTTTATTTATGATATTTATGAAACTTTTGTACTCAAAATATTATTTATTGCTATTATTTTATATTAGTAATAGTAATATTTATAATTTTAGTAGCAGCAAAGTGACAGTATATGCTTCACTATTTTTGAAAATCTCAATTTAATGTTATCTATTATGGCAAATCAAAAGTCCGTTCTAATTTCAGCTTATTTGATACTTGATTTTATGTCTGTCACAGCTGAAAAAGATACCTCACAAAGCTATGTAGATCCAACTAGAAGTAGTATATTATTTGCTTTGCTTACCAAATCACGACACTCATTTTTCACTTACACCTACCAATTATGCAAGAGTTGTTACTGAAATTCAGAGGAAATTTCCATCTTCCCTGATGTCAATTATTTGTTCTTACTAAGTGCAAGGTGTTTCATATCCACATTTTTAACAAATGAGTTTAAAACCTACTGAAATTTTTTGTTTAGAAAAAAAGTCTTCTTTATTGAGTGATAATTTGCTCAGTAAAAAATACTGATCATAAACTCAATTGAGAATTTTTAAGCAGTAGAAAATTCAGTTTCTGAAATTTTCAAGTGTGTAGATGTGGCTGTGTTTGCAGGTGAGAAATATAAATTGTTGGGAGCAGCGTCATGAAATAATTGTGGAAAAATTCCAACATCGATTCAAAAATGATTCCTCCATAAAATAAATATTAGTTTGGTGCAAAAGTAATTGTGGTTTTTGCCATTACTTTTAATTTATATTTCTAAATATACATTTTAAAAACAATAAATTTTAAGCTCATTGTTAAAATTCATCTTTATATTGAAGGGATCAATTAAATGTATTTACTTATTTTTTATTATTATTATACTCCAAGTTCTGGGATACAAGTGCAGAACATGAAGGTTTGTTACATAGGTATACACGTGACATGGTGGTTTGCTGCACCTATCAACCCGTCATCTACATTAGGTATTTCTCCTAATGCTATCCTTCCTCTAGCCCCACCCCCCTACCCCCGACAGGCCCCAGTGTGCAATGTTCCCCTCCCTGTGTCCATGTGTTCTGATTGTTCAGCTCCCACTTATGAGTGAGAACATGTGGTGTCTGGTTTTCTGTTCCTGTGTTAGTTTGCTGAGAATGATGGTTTCCAGCTTCATCCATGTCCCTGCAAAGGCCATGAACTCATTCTTTTTTATGGCTGCATAGTATTCCATGGTGTATATGTGCCACATTTTCTTTATCCAGTCTATCATTGTTGGGCATTTGGATTGGTTCCAAGTCTTTGCTATTGTGAATAGTGCTGCAATAAACATACATGTGCAAGTGTCTTTATAGTAAAATGATTTATAATCTTTTGGGTATATACCCAGTAATGGGATTGCTGGGTCAAATGGTATTTCTAGTTGGAGATCCTTGAGGAATTGCCACACTGTCTTCCACAATGGTTGAACTAATTTACATTCCCACCAACAGTGTAAAAGCATTCCTATTTCTCCACATCCTCTCCAGCATCTGTTGCTTCCTGACTTTTTAATGATCGCCATTCTAACTGGCATGAGATGATATCTCATTGTGGTTTTGATTTACATTTCTCTAATGACCAGCAATGATGAGCTTTTTTTCATATGTTTGTTGGCCACATAAATGTCTTCTTTTGAGAAGTATCTGTTCATATCTTTCACCCACTTTTTGATGGGGTTGTTTTTTTCTTGTAAATTTGTTTAAGTTCCTTGTAGATTCTGGATATTAGTCCTTTGTCAAATGGACAGATTGCAAAAATCTTCTATCATTCTGTAGGTTGCCTGTTCACTCTGATGATAGTTTCTTTTGCTGTGCAGAAGCTCTTTAGTTTAATTTTATCCCATTTGTCAGTTTTTGCATTTGTTGTCATTGCTTTTGGTGTCTTAGTAATGAAGTCTTTGCCCATGCCTATGTCCAGAATGGTATTGCCTATGTTTTCTTCTAGGGTTTTTATGGTTTTATGTCTTATGTTTAAGTCTTTAATCCATATTGAGTTTATTTTTGTATAAGGTGTAAAGAAGGGGTCCAGTTTCAGTTTTCTGCATATCGCTAGCCAGTTTTCCCAACATCATTTATTAAATAGGGAATCCTTTCCCCATTGCCAGTTTTTGTCAGGTTTATCAAAGATCAGATGGCTGTAGATGTGTGGCATTATTTCTGAGTCCTCTGTTCTGTTCCATTGGTCTATATATATGTTTTGGTACCAGAACCATGCTGTTTTGGTTACTGTAGCCTTGTAGTATAGTTTAAAGTCAGGTAGCATGATGCCTCCAGCTTTGTTCTTTTGGCTTAGGATTGTCTTGGATATACAGGCTCTTTTTTTGTTCCATATGAAATTTAAAGTAGTTTTTTCTAATTCTGTGAAGAAAGCCAATGGTAGCTTGATGGGGATAGCATTGAGCCTATAAATTACTTTGGGCAGTGTGGCCATTTTTACAATATTGATTCTTCCTATCCATGAGCATGGAATGTTTTTCCATTTGTTTGTGTCCTCTCTTATTTCCTTGAGCAGTGGTTTGTGGTTCTCCTTGAAGAGGTCCTTCATATCCCTTGTAAGTTGTATTCCTAGGTATTTTATTCTCTTAGTAGCAATTGTGAATGGGAGTTCACTCATGATTTGGCTCTCTTCTTGTCTATTATTGGTGTATGGGAATGCTTGTGATTTTTGCACATTGATTTTGTATCCTGAGAATTTGCTGAAGTTGCTTATTAGCTTAAGGAGATTTTGGGTTGAGACGATGGGGTTTTCTAAATATACAATTATGTCATCTGCAGACAGAGACAATTTGACTTCCTCTCTTCCTATTTGAATACCCTTTATTTCTTTCTCTTGTTTGATTTTCCTGGCCAGAACTTCCAATACTATGTTGAATAGGGGTGGTGAGAGACACATTCTTGTCTTATGCTGGTTTTCAAAGAGAATGCTTCCAGCTTTTCCCCATTAAGTATGATATTGGCTGTGGGTTTCTCATAAATAGCTCTTATTATTTTGAGATATGTTCCATCAATACTTGGTTTATTGAGAGTTTTTAGCATGAAGGGGTGTTGAATTTTATCAAAGGCCTTTTCTTCATCTATTGAGATAATCATGTGGTTTTTGTCATTGGTTCTGTTTCCGTGATGGATTAAGTTTATTGATTTGCAGCGTTGAACCAGCTTTGCTTCCCCTGGATGAAGCTGACTTGATGTGTTGCTGGATTCAATTTGGCAGTATTTTGTTGAGGATTTTCACATCGATGTTCATGAGGAATATTGGCCTGAAATTTTCTTTTTATGTTGTGTCTCTGCCAGGTGTTTGTATCAGGATGATGCTGGAGTCCCTCTTTTTCTATTGTTTGGAATAGTTTCAGAAGGAATAGTACCGGCTTCTCTTTTTATCTCTGGTAGAATTCGCCTGTGAGTCCATCTGGTCCTGAACTTTTTTGGTTGGTAGGCTATTAATTACTGCCTCAATTTCAGAACTTGTTATTGGTCTATTCAGGGATTCGACTTCTTCCTGGTTTAGTCTTGGGAGGGTGCATGTGTCCAGGAATTTATCCATTTCTTCTAGATTTTCTAGTTTATTTGTGTAGAGGTGTTTATAGTATTATCTGATGGTTGTTTGTATTTCTGTGGGATCAGAGGTGATATCCCTTTTGTCATTTTTTATTGTGTCTATTTGATTCTTTTCTCTTTTCTTCTTTATTAGTCAGGCTAGTGGTCTATCCATTTTGTTAATCTTTTCAAAAATCCACGTCCTGGATTCATTGAGTTTTTGAAGGGTTTTTTGTATCTCTATCTCCTTCAGTTCTGTTCTGATCTTAGTTATTTCTTGTCTTCTGCTAGCTTTTGAATTTGTTTGCTCTTGCTTCTCTAGTTCTGTTCATTGTGATGTTAGGGTGTCGATTTTAGATCTTTGCCGCTTTCTCCTGTGGGCATTTAGTGCTATAAATTTCCCTCTAAACACTGCTTTAGCTGTGTCCAAGAGATTCTAGTACATTGTGTCTTTGTTCTTATTGGTTTCAAAGAACGTATTTATTTCTGCCTTCATTTCATTATTTACCCAGTAGTCACTCAGGAGCAGGTTGTTCAGTTTCCATGTAGTTGTGCGGTTTTGAGTGAGTTTCTTAATCCTGAGTTCTAATTTGATTGCACTGTGGTCTGAGAGACTGTTTGTTATGATTTCTCTTCTTTTGCATTGCTGAGGAGTGTTTTACTTCCAATTATGTGGCCAATTTTAGAATAAGTGTGATGTGGTGCTGAGAAGAATGTACATTCTGTTGACTTGGGGTGGAGAGTTCTGTAGATGTCTATTATGTCTGCTTGGTCCAGAGCTGAATTCAAGTCCTGAATATCCTTGTTAATTTCCTGTCTCATTGATCTGTCTAATATTTAGAGTGGGGTGTTAAAGTCTCCCAATGTTATTGTGTGGGAGTCTAAGTCTCTTTGCAGGTGTCTAAGAACTTGCTTTATGAATCTGGGTGCTCCTGATTTGGGTGCATATATATTTACGATAGTTAGCTCTTCTTGTTGCATTGATCCCTTTACCATTATGTAATGCCTTTCTTTGTCATTTTTGATCTTTGTTAGTTTAAAGTCTGTTTTATCAGAGACTAGGATTGCAACCCCTGCTTTTTTTTCCTTTGTTTTTGCTTGGTAAATATTCCTCCATCCCTTTATTTTGAGCCTGTGTGTGTCTTTGCCCATGAGATGGGTCTCCTGAATACAGCATACTGATGGGTCTTGACTCTATCCAATATGCCAGTCTGTGTCTTTTAATTGAGACATTTAGCCCATTTACACTTAAGGTTAATATTGTAATGTGTGAATTTGATGTTGTCATTATGATGCTAGCTGGTTATTTTGCCTGGTAATTGATGCAGTTTCTTCATAGTGTTGATGATCTTTACAATTTGGTGTGTTTTTGCAGTGGCTGGTACCAGTTTTTTCTTTCCATATTTAGTGCTTCCTTCAGGAGCTCTTGTAAGGCAGGCCTGGTGGTGACAAAATCCCTCAGCATTTGCTTGTCTATAAAGGATTTTATTTTTCCTTCACTTATGAAGCTTAGTTTGGCTGGATATTAAATTCTGGGTTGAAAATTCTTTCCTTTAAGAATGTTGAATATTAGCCTCCACTCTCTTCTGGCTTGTAGGGTTTCTCCAGAAAGATCTGCTGTTAGTCTGATGGGCTTCCCTTTGTGGGTAAGCCGACCTTTCTCTCTGGCTGCCCTTAACATTTTTTCCTTCATTTCAACCTTGGTAAATCTGACAATTATGTGTCTTCGGATTGCTCTTCTCAAGGAGTATCTTTGTGATGTTCTCTGTATTTCCTGAATTTGAATGTTGGCCCTTCTTGCTAGGCTGGGGAAGTTCTCCGGATAATATCCTGAAAGATGTTTGCCATCTTGGTTCCATTCTCCCCATCACTTTCAGGTACACAAGTCAAATGTAGGTTTGGTCTTTTCACATAAGTCCCATATTTCTTGGAGGCTTTGTTCATTCCTTTTCATTCTTTTTTCTCTAATCTTGTCTTCACAATTTATTTCATTAAGTTGATCTTCAATCTCTGACATCCTTTCTTCTGCTTGATCAATTTTGCTATTGATACTTGTGTATGCTTCACCAAGTTTTCATGCTGTGTTTTTCAGCTCCATCAGGTCATTTATGTTCTTCTCTAAACTGGCCATTCTAGTTAGCAATTTCTCTAAGCTTTTTTGAAGGTTCTTAGCTTCCTTGCATTGGATTAGAACATGCTCCTTTAGCTTGGAGGAGTTTGTCATTACCCACCTTCTGAAGCTTACTTCTGTGAATTTGTTAAGCTCATTCTCCTTCCAGTTTTGTTCCTTTGCTGGTGAGGAGTTGTGATCCTTTTGAGGAGAAGAGGCATTCTGGTTTTCGGAATTTTCAGCCTTTTTGTACTGGTTTTTCCTCATCTTCATGGATTTATCTACCTTTGGTCTTCGATGTTGGTGACCATTGGATGGGGTTTTTGTATGGACATCCTTTTTATTGATGTTGATGCTCTTCCTTTCTGTTTGTTAGTTTTCCTTTTAACAGTCAGGCCCCTCTGCTGCAGGTCTGCTGGAGTGTGCTGGGGTTCCACTCCAGACCCTCTTTTCCTGGTTATTACCAGCAGAGGCTGCAGAACAGCAAAGATTGCTGCCTGTTCTTTCCTCTGGAAGCTTTGTCCCAGAGGGGAACCCACCAGATGCCAGCTGGAGCTCTCCTGTATGAGGTGTCTGTCCACCCCTGTTGGGGAGTCTCTCCCAGTCAGGAGCCACGGGGGTTAGGGACCCACTTGAGGAGGCAGTCTGTCCCTTAGCCGAGCTTGAGCACTGTGCAGGGAGATCTGCTGCTCTCTTCAGAGCCAGCAGGCAGGAATGTTTAATTCTGCTGAAGCTGCACCCACAGCCACCCCTTCCCCCAGGTGCTCTGTCCCAGTCCCAGGGAGATGGGAGTTTTTTCTAGAATTCCTCTACTGGGGCTTCTGCCTTTCTTTCAGAGATGACCTGCCCAGAGAGGAGGAATCTAGAAAGGCAGTCTTGATATAGTGGCTTTGCTGAGCTGTTGTGGGCTCTGCTCAGTTCAAACTTTCCCGTGGCTTCGTTTACACTGTGAGGGTAAAACCGCCTACTCAAACCTCAGTAATGGTGGATGGCCCTCCCCCCACCAAGCTCGAGAGTCCCAGGTCGACTTCAGACTACCATCTGGCAGCGAGAATTTCAAGCCAGTTGATCTTAGCTTGCTGGGCTCTGTGGGGGTGACATCCACTGAGCTAGACAACTTGGCTCCCTGGCTTCAGCCACCTTTCCAGGGGAGTAAACGGTTCTGTCTTGCTGGCATTCCAGGTGCCACTGGGGTATGAAAAGAAACTCCTGAAGCTAGCTCAGTGTCTGCCCAAATGGCTGCCCAGTTTTGTGCTTGAAACCCAGGGTCCTGGTGGCATAGGCAGCCTAGGGAATTTCCTGGTCTGCGGATTGTGAAGACCATGGGAAAAGCATAGTATCTGGGCTGGAATGCACTATTCCTCATGGCACAGTCCCTCACAGCTTCCCTTGGCTAGGGAGGAGAGTTCCCCAATCCCTTGCACTTCCCGGGTGAGGTGACATCCCACCCTGCTTTGGCTCGCCCTCCATGGGCTGTACCCACTGTCTAACAATTCCCAATGAGATGAGCTGGGTACCACAGTTGGAAATGCAGAAATCACCTGCCTTCTGCATTGATCTCGCTGGGAGCTGCAGACCAGAGCTGTTCCCATTTGGCCATCTTGCCCCTCACCCTACTTATCTTAAAAATAACCAGCGAGGTTGCATTCCAGTGGCATTTACTTGTCATCACAGAAAAGGTTAGCAAATTTGTAGTATTTATGTTTTTCATAAAGGAAAAATGAAGAAGATATTTATGTTTGACATTAATCTTACCTTGAGATAACCACATTGTATGTGGGGTACTGAGTTAACCTACTGTTGCTTCAATGGTGACAAACAGGATCTCAGTTGTCTCTGGCATAAGCATGATTTCTTGCTCACAGGTCTGGGGCAACTCTGCTTCCAGCTGTGGGTGATTGGGATTGATGCCAGGTGGCAGGCCTGCTGCACTCATCATATTGCAGAGATCAGGCTAATGGTTACCAGCAACCAGGGAATATTCTTCTCATGACAGCTGCAGAAGTGAGCAGAGCCAAGCCAAATTGGCAAGCATATTTCAAGCCTCTGCTCATGCAACAGCCTCTAATATCCCATTGGCCAAAATGAGTCCACACTAAGCCCAAAGTCAAGGGTGGTAAGAACACTCCACCCACCATGAGTCTATGTCAAGGGAATGGAATTTTATAGCAGAAAAATAAAGAACTGAGACCAATAATTTAGTTCACCACAGGTTCCCAAGTATTTTATTGTCATACCTCATCTCACTAAAGCATATTTATATAAATTCCACTAAAGGAATTTATCTTTGTAAACTTTCCTCAAATGTGTTCATTTATTCCCATCAAACTCTTGCCCTATCAGGAGTTACACTAACACAGTGTATTAGTACATTTTCGCACTGCTGATAAAGACATATCCAAGACCGGTTAATTTACAAAGAAAAAGAGGCTCAATGGACTCACAGTTTCGCATGGCTGAGGAGGCCTCACAATCATGGTGGAAAGTGAAAGACACATCTTCCATGGCGGCAGACAAGAGGGAATCTGAGGGAAGCAAAAGGGGAAGCCACCCCCATGATTCAATTATCTCCCACAGGTCCCTCCCACAACATGTGGGAATTAAAGGAGCCACAATTAAAGATGAGATTTGTGTGGGCACGCTGCCAAACCATATCACACAGGTAACACAGATGTGTTAGTGTGGCATGTTTTTTCCCCTTTTTAAATAAAAGTCATTTTCTACTGAATTCACTATTGAATTCTACTGGACAGCTTTCCTTAGAGGTTCACACACACAAAATTAGTCCTTCCTATGTTCATTACTGAAACAGAATGCTACAAACTGTCAGGTAAAGCATGCTGGCAACATCTGTGTTTTCCCCCAACAGAATAATAAACCTCCCAAACCATTTAGCTTGTGCCAATTCTAATTTGGTCCATTTTATAGCAGTGTTTTTTTTTTTTGTACGTCTTCCAACAATATTTTATGACAGATGAATATCTATTTGTTTGTAACAGTATTATTTTCAGCGCATTGTTTCAGCAGTTTTCACCACCATGGGAAAAATGAGTGTTACTTCCAGTGCTGTGTGGCTTGCTTGGTTTCAGTTTTAAGACATCTCATATGGCCATTCTAAATATTTATCATTCAATTTTGTGAAATGTAGTTATAAAGTACTAGATTGATATCACATGATTTTAAATACTTCTGAAAAGTGGTTGGGGTCGTTAATGTTTTGCCTTGTTGGTTTTTTATTGTGACACAACACATACAAAATTTCTCATTTTAACCATTTTTAAGTGTATGGTTCAGCAGTATTAAGTACATTCATATTGTTGTGCAACCATCACCACAGGCATCCATCTCCAGAACACTTTTCACCTTGTGAAAATCAAACTCTATATCTATCAAACAATAACTCCCCATTCTTCCCTCCCCTAGCCTCTGGCAACTGCCATTTTACTTTCTGTCCCTGTGATTTTGACTACCTTAAATACCTCATATAGGTGGAACCATACAGTATTTTTCATTTGTGATTGGCTTATTTTGCTTAGCATAATGCTTCAAGTTTCACTCATGTGTAACATATGTCAGAATTCCCTTCACTTTTAAAATTAAGTAATATTTTATTGTATGTAGGTACCATATTTTATGTACACATTCATCTGTGAATGAACACTTGAGATGCTTCCATGTTTTAGCTACTGTGAATAATGCTGTCAGGAACATGGGTTTACAAGTATCTCTTTGATACTCTGCTTTCAATTATTTTGGGTATGTACCCATAAGTTGAATTGATGAATCATATGGTAATTCTATTTTAATCTTTTGAGAGACAACCATACTGTTTTTTACAACAGCTCTACCATTTTGCATTCCCACCAATAGCACACTGGGCTTCCAATTTCTGTACATTCTCACCAACACTTATTATTGTGTGTGTGTGTGTGTGTGTGTGTGTGTGTGTGGTTTTTTTTGGCGGGGGGGATAGTAGCTGTCCTAATGGGTGTGAGGTGGTGTCTCTTTGTAGTTTTGATTTGCATTTCTCTAATTATTGGTCATGTCAAGTATCTTTTTATGTGCTTATTGGTCATTCGTATGTCTTCTTTGGAGAAATGTTTACTCAAGTCCTTTGCCCGTTTTTGAATTGTGTTTTTAAATTTCTTGTTGTTGAGTTTTAGGAGTTCTCTGTATAGTCTGTATATTAATGCCTTAGCAGATATATTATTTGCAAATATTTTCTCCCATTCTGTGAGTTGCCTTTTTACCTGATAATGTCTTTTGACATGTAATATTTTTAAACTTTGATGAAGTCCAATTTTCTGTTTTTTAAAAAATTTCCTATGCCTTTGGTACCTTACCCAAGAAATCATTGCCAAATCCAATTTCATGAAGTCCTATGCTTTCTTCTAAGAGTTTTACAGTTTTATATATTACTTTTAGACTTCAATTCATTTTTAGTTAATTTTTGTATATAGTGTTAGGTAAGAGTCCAACTTCACTTTTTGCAAGTAGATATCCAGATATCCCAGCATCATTTGTCGAAAAGATTGTCCTTTCTCCACTGAATGGCCTTGCCACACTTGTCCGAATATTATTTGATCATGTACGGGAGGGTTTATTTCTGGGCTATCTCTTCCATTGGTCTATATGTCTGTCTTTATGCCAGTGCCACACTGTTTGGTTATTATAGCTTTGTAGTAAGTTTTGAAACCGGGAAGTGTGAGTCCGCCAGCATTGCTCTTCCTTTTCAAGATTGTTTTAGCTATTTGTGGTCTTTGGAGATTCCCTATGAATTTTAGGATGAACTTTTCTATTTCTTCAAAAGACAGCATCGAAATTCTGATAGGGAGTGCATCATACTGGTAGATCACTTGGATAGTATTGACATCTTAACAAATTGTCTTCCAATCTGTGAATATATTTCCATTTATTTATGTCTTTTCTAATTTCTTTCAGCAATGTTTTGTAGTTTCCTTTGTAGAAATCTTTTACCTCCTTGGATAAGTCAATTCCTAAGTATTTTATTTTTTGATGCTATTATTAATGGAATGGTTTTCATAACTTCTTTTCTGGGTTGTTCATTGTTAGTGTATAGAAATGCAACTAATTTTGTATGTTGTCTTTGTATCCAGGTACTTTGCTGGTTTTGTTTATTCTAACAAATTTTTGTGGAATCTTTAAAGTTTTCTACCTATAAAATTATATTATCTGTGAATGGAGATAGTTTAACTTCTTCCTTTCCAATTTGGATGCTTTTTTTTTTTTTTGGAAATAAGTTTCTCTTCCTGTTAAATACAAGAGAGAAAATCAACCAAATCAAATATTTTGTTTAATACAATGGATATATTTGGGGGAAATTTTTTAAAAATTAAAAAGGAGACAGTACAAATAAATATATTAAGATGAAACAGGGAAGATAAACTAAGATAAAGCAGATATCAAAATAATAAAAAGAATCATATGGACTTTATACAAATAAATTTGAACATTTATATAAAGTGAACAATTTCCAAGGAAA
This sequence comes from Homo sapiens, assembly GCF_000001405.40. Lineage (NCBI taxonomy): Eukaryota > Metazoa > Chordata > Mammalia > Primates > Hominidae > Homo > Homo sapiens. The sequence continues at coordinate 26,560,875 of NC_000004.12, forward strand.
ATATAATTTCACGTAACTGAGTCAGGAAGAAATAGAAAACCAAAGGGACCTATAATCATTAAAGATGCTGAATCTATAATTATATAAAACTCTATTCTACCACTCCTAAAAAAGAAGGAAGAGGAGAAAATGGAGAAGGGGAAACTGAAGAACTACCACCAGGTCAAAATGATTTTAATAGCTAGTTCTACCAAATATTGGAACAGGCAAATCCAGTCTTATACAAATGCTTCCAGAGAGTTCAGACGACCCAAATTGTTCTCAAAGATGATTTAATTTTCTTCTTTGAGGAAGAACAATTCTGTTTCTTCTCAATTTCTTGAATTTGCTTTGGTAACTTTTACTTTCTTTTCATACAATGTTCAAAGGAGGAGAACGGGCTGAAAAAATATTATTCCTTTATCTAATGGAAGAATGGTCAATATGAAATCAGAGATACACACACACACACACACACACCCCCATCCACACACACACCCCCTCCATTTTAAAGGAAGTGTCAATATAGATGCTTTTTATTTCTTTTTCTTGCCTAATTGCTCTGGCTAGAACTTTCAGTACTGTATTTAATAGAAGTGATGAAGGCAGATGTCCCTGTCTTAGGTCTGATCTTAGAGGAAAAGCTTCTGGTCTTTCACTTTTGAGTATTATGTTCACTGTACATTTTTCATATATTACTTTGATTATGTTGAGGTAATTTCCTTCTATTTCTAGTTTGTTGGGGGTTTTTGTCATGAAAGAATGTTGAATTTTGTCAAATTCTTTTTCTGCATCAATTGAGATAATCATTTGGGTTTTCCCCTCTTCATTTTAGTAATATGGTGTATTACATTTATCAATTTTCATATGTTGAACAATCTTCTCATTCCACTTGGACATGGTATATATTCCTTTTAATATGTTGCTGGGTTCCATTTTCAGGTATTCTGTTAAGAATTTTTGCATCAATGTTCATAAGAAATATTGGTCTGTAGTTTTCTTGTAGTATCTTTGTCTGACTTTGATATCAAGGTATTACTGCCCTCATAGGACGAATTAAGAAGTGTTTCCATTTCTTTAATTTTAAGAAAAAGTTTGAGAAGAATCTGTGTTAGCTCTTCTTTAAATGTTTAATAGAACTCACCAGTAAAGCCATCAGGTCCTGGGCTTTCTTTGTTGGGAGATTTTTTTCATTACTGATTTAACCTCCTTACTAATTATAGATCTGTTCAGATTTCTATTTCTTTGTGATTAGGTCTTGGTAGGTTTGTGTTTCTAGGAATTTGTCCATTTTATCTCGGTTATTCAATTTGTTATAATACAGTTGTTCATGTAATCCTTTTTATTTCTGTAGAATTAGTAGTAAAGTCCCCAGTTTCATTCTGATTTTAGTAATTTGAGTCTCTCTTTTTTTCTCTTGGTCAACCTAGCTAAAGATTTGTCAACTTTGTTGATCTATTCAAACAACCTATCTTTGATTTTATTGATTTTCTCCATTGTTTTTCTCTCTCTATTTCATTTCTCTCCACTTGACTCTTATTTCCTTCCTTCTAGCTTTGGGTTTAACTTTTTTCTAGTTCCTTAAATGGTAAAGTTAGGCTGTTGATTTGAGTTCTGCTTTTTAATATTAGTGTTTATAGCTATACATTTCCTCCTTAGCACTACTTTTTCTGTGTCCCATAGTTTTGGTATGCCATATTTTTGTTTTCATTCATCACTAAATCACCCTTGTGATTTCCTCTTTAATCCATAGGTTGTTTGAGTGTGTTGTTGGCCAGGGCAGTGGTTCATGCCTGTAATTCCAGCCCTTTGGGAGGATTGCTTGCGGCCAGGAGTTTGAGACCAGCCTGGGCAACATAGCAAGACTCCATCTCTACAAAAGAAAAAAAAAATAACCAGGCATGGTGGTGGGTGCCTGTGGTCCTAAATACTCAGGAGGCTGAGGTGGAAGGATTGCTTGAGCCCAGGATTTCAAGGCTGCAGTGAGCTATGATTAAGCCACTGCACTGTACTCCAGCTGGGTGACAGAGTGAGACCTAAACTCAAAAAAAGTATGATGTTTAATTTTGAATAATATAAGTTTTCCAATTTTTCTTCTGTTACTCATTTCTAATTTCATTCACTTATAGTTGGAAAACATACTTTTTAGATACCTATCATTTAAAATTTATTAAAACTAATATATGCTGTATCCTGAAAAATGTCTTATGTGCACTTGTGAAGAACGTGTATTCTGCGGTTGTTGGTTAGTGTTCTGTATATGTCTGTTAGATCTAGTGGGTTTATTATGTGTTCAGTTCTCTATTTCTTTACTTATCTTCTGTCTAGTTGCTCTGTCCGTTATTGACAGTAAGCTATTAACTTCCTCAACTATTATTATAAAACTGTCTATTTCTCTCTTCAGTTCTGTCCACTATGGACAGAAAGCTATTAACATCTTCAACTATTATTGTAAAACTGTCTATTTCTCCCTTCAATTCTGTTCATTTTTGCTCATATATTTTGATAATTTGTTATTAGGTACATAAATGTTTATAGTTGCTTCATCTTCTTACTATATTGAACCTTTTACTAACATATAATGCTCTTCTTTGCCTCTTATAAATTTTTTTGATCTGAAGTCTATTTTGTCTTACGTAAGTATAGCCACACTTACCCTCTTTTGGTTACTATTTACATGAAATATCTTTTTCTATCCTTTCATTTTCAATGTATTTCTTTCTTTGTATCTAAAGTGAGTCTCCTGTAGATGGCATATATTTGGATCTTTCAAAAATCCATTTAGCCAATCTATCTCTTGATTGGAGAATTTTATCCATTCACATTTGAAGTAATTACTGATAAGAAGGGACTACTTCTGTCATTTTCCTGTTTGTTTTATATGTGCCTTATAGCTTTTCTTTTTCCCTCATTTTCTGTGGTACTATCTTTTTTTGTGTTTGGTTGTATATTTTTGTAGTGAAATGTTTTAATTCCCTTCTCATTTCATTTTTTTACATTCTATATCTATTTTCTTTGTCATTTCTTTGGGGATTATATTTAATATCTGCAAGTTATAATGCTCTAATTAGAATGTATACCATCTTAACTTCAATAACATAAAAACACTCTGCTCCTTAACAACTCTATTCCCATCTCTTTTAGTTATTGATGTCATGACATTATCTTTTTACATTGTAAGCCCTAAAACATAAACCAATTTTTTTTTTACTTCATTGGCCACCTCCTAAATGATGTAGAAAACAATATGTGGAATTACAAACAAAAGTTACAATAATACTTCCTTTCATAACTGCACATGTATTTACCTTTCTTGGGATCTTTTATCTTTATACTGATTCAAGTTACTGTCCAGTGTCCTTTCACTTCACCCTGTAGGATTGCTGCTGCTGAGCTAAGAGCTGAAATTGACTGCAATTTACTGTTCTAACCTTCACCTGGAATTTGCAAGCCTTCAATAGACTCCAGAGTTCCAAAATAGTTATATTGCACTGATTCTGCCAGTGTAATTATTGTCTAGGTAGGAAGATAGATTCTGTTGGTTCCTACTCTGCTGTCTCCCCATAATTTTTGCCTGCTTAGCCTTTAAGGGTCTTGCAAATTGTGATGCTTCTAGACTATCAATAACTAATATCTCACACACAAGATACATTTACAAAGAAGATTATCATTTGTGAGAGTGGATATAAACCTATATTTCAGATAGACATTAATATTTTTGAGAAATTTTGGCCAACTTCTAGTCATATATTTCTCTACAACATTTCTTTTACAAATTGTCATGTGACTGATAAAGGGCTTGTACTAGGTAGTCACAAAATAACAGATTTGCCATTTTGTGTGCATCCTTGCATTATTAACGTGATAGAGTTGGTCTATGATTTCTCTGCAACATCTTTTTTTTGTTGTTGTTCCACTTGGGAAGGTTGATTTAACTGAAATTTGAGCATACCTCTGTAAATCTACTTCCCCTGGCTGAAGCCCACGTGCCTCAAACTGCTGAAAGTGAAGTACATGTGGCTACCACTGTCAGCTCCTCATGGGATTCTTCCACCAGTACACCTCCCATGCTGAGTGGGCAACATGGCTAGAGAATAGGTGACTGAGTGTGGACCATGCTTCTAGTAAATAACAATTGTCCCCACCCAAATCTTATCTTGAATTGTAGCCCCCATAATTCCCATGTGTCGTGGGAGGGACCTGGTGAGAGGTAACTGAATCATGGGGGTGGGTCTTTCCCATGCTGTTCTCATGATAGTGAATAAGTCTCACAAGATCTGATGGTTTTATAAAGGGGAGTTCCCCTGCACACACTCTTTCTTGCCTGCTACCATATAAGATTTGACTTTGCTCCTCATTCACCTTCTGCCATGATTGTGAGGCCTCCCAGCCATGTGGAACTGTGAGTCCATTAAATCTCTTTTCTTTATAAATTACCCAGTCTTGGGTATGTCTTTATTAGCAGCATGAGAACAGACTAATACAATAATGAAGGCTAATTTCATTTTTTTAAGATAAATGCATATAAATAGAACTTCTAATCCTGATCCCACAGTCCTGTTTTAAAGACTGCTAATTCAGGTCAGTAGTTACGTAGTGGTTTAAAAGTTTCTTAATAGAATAGTTTAATTATGTGTTCAAGATTAGGTTATAGGCTGAGTGGGTGGCTCATGCTTATAATCCCAGCAGTTTGGGAGGCCCAGGTGGGAGAATCACTTGAGCCCAGGAATTTGAGACCAGCCTGGGCAACATAGTGAGACTCTGTATCTACAAAAACATTAGAAATTAGCTAGGCATGATGGCACATGCCTATATTCTCAGCTACTTGGGAAGCTGAGGTGGGAGGACCACTTGAGCCCAGAAGATTGAGGCTACAGTGAGCTGTGATCTCATCACTGCCCTCCAGCCTGGGTGACAGAGTGAGACCCTGTCTAAAATAAATAAATAAGTAAATAAAAGATTAGGTTCTACTAGCAGGGCCAAAAAGGCTACTCCAAAAGGCCAGCTTCCTACACCAAGAAGCCTGCTTCTCTCTCTTGGCTCTCTGTCCCCATGGTAGATTTTCTTCTTGGGCTGGCATCTTCCAGTAAGGTGGGATGTTTTCAGAACAATTCTCTTGGTTCAAAACTGCCTTTTCCTTTCTTTCTTAAGTTTATGTTGTCCTTGTGACTTAAACCATGTGTAATCTTTATAGTCCCATTAAAAAACTTCTGGCAGCTTTTATGTGTGGCTAAAACTTTATCTTTGAAAAATAGACTTTTACTTTTCTTTGCTGATTACTCTGGAACTATCCCCATTGGGCTACTATAAGCTCTGGCAGTGTTGAGGGAGCCATTTAAAATTAAAGTCATTTTTTCCTTCCTGAGCTTAATAGATACCTATTTATGCAAAGACAGAGAAAGGATCTTTGCATTTCCAGGAAATGGGGAAGATCATGAGACTGTGTAAATATGGTTTGAGGCAGAACTGTGACTAATAGAATTTTGTTCCATTCAGGAAATAAGAAAACAACATGAGGAAGGTAAAGAGCAAATTATGAATAGATTTCTGCTTAATAAGATGTCCAAAGAATTAGACAAGGAACATTAAGCCCCATAAGAAGAAGGAAGAGTAATCTGACCTGTTGAAGTTACTGGGAAATAGGCCAGGTTTATCTTTAAGCATCCAGTCTTGCCCTGTTATTGGTAATGATCTCTAATACTTTTATAGCCCTTTGAAATTTACATAGAGCTTTTCTCGCTGGTGGCGTCCTTCTTCCTACATTCTTCCCTGGCTCCTGTGGGCTTTCATCACATCTGATCTCAGAAATGCATTTGCTTAACTCATTCCTAATAAGCAGCTTCAAATCCTTTTTGTAAGAAGACAGGGTCAAATAAAAAAAAAATCATTCAACAAAGGAAAGAATGGCTGATAATGTTAAATGTGTGACCTTTCCAGAGGCATTTGTATTTTATCAGAAGATAAGTTAAACAGATGAATCTCTAATTCTATAAGTAAGGCAGTAGGAGAGATTTTTCTGGAGGGAAGGGAAAACATAACACTCGGAAGTGTCTTATTTTAGATCCCTGAAATAATTTCACATTTAGGAAGCCATTTTGCTTACTGGCAAGGTATTTCTCTTTCCAGCTCTGCATAGCTGATAGCATACACTCCTTAGATTGGTTGAATTTAATTTTGAGTCCAGATTTTCAAACCATTCAAAAATATAAAATCTCAGAATTTTAGAGATTTTGGGAATCTTACCGTTATTGTGGTGAAACCCCTTATTTTATAGATAAGAAATCGAGAACAAGAAATTCTAAATCATTCTGATTAGTCAGATCCGCAAGATCCAAATGCTTTAATAAGGAAACTGAAAATCGGAGGACTAAATGTTTAGCTGACCAAGAAAGTCTCTTGAGATATGTTGTTATTTAGACCTACAGGCAGAGCATAGTGTAGTTTTTTTGTTGTTGCTCCATAAAGGTAACAGAACTACGTCTGAGCAGTAGGAGATGTTACTACTCCAATGCCTATCAATTTGTTATTTTCATCTGTATAATCATTACCTTCTGTCCCTAGGTTAATCGGTATTTCATTATTACTTGCATTAATTTTTTTTTTTTTCTTCCCGAGACAGAGTCTTGCTCTGTCGCCCAGGCTAGAGTGCACAAGTGTGATCTCGGCTCACTGCAACCTCTGCCTCCCAGATTCAAGCAATTCTCCTGCCTCAGCCTCCTGAGTAGCTGGGATTACAGGCATGTGCCGCCATGCACAGCCAATTTTTGTATTCTTAGAGACAGGGTTTCACCATGTTGGCCAGGTTGGTCTCAAACTCTTGACCTCCTGATCCACCCGACTCGGCCTCCCAAAGTTCTGGGATTCCAGGCATGAACCACTGTGCCCAGCCCCACATTAATCTTTTATATTGTAATTATCTCATATTTATGACACTTAATAGATAGAAGAATACTAGAAAAGTCAACTGATGCTTTTTAATAATGGATTCTTCCATCACATTAGCAAATATCTCCTTTCTTACAATATGGTATTGTTGAGCTGCTGGACTTCTTGTTAGCTTTACAGCATCATAGAGTTTATTTTATTGAGATAGAGTCTTGCTCTGTCACCCAAGCTGGAGTACAGTGGCAGAATCATGGCTCACTGCAGCCCTTGACCTCCTGGGCTCAAGTGATCCTCTCACCTCAGCCTCCTGAGTAGCTGGGGGTACAGCTGTGCTACCACACTCAGCTAATTTTTTTTTTTTTTTGTATTTTTTGTAGAGATGTAGTTTTGCCATTGTGCCCAAGCTGGTGTCAAATTCCTGGGCTCCAGTGATCCTCTCAAAGTGCTGGGATTACAGGCATGAGCCACTGCGCCCAGCCCGTCATAGATTTTTGATGGAAGATCTTGAAAGATCATCTTGTCTAGCCACATCATATTTTCAAATGAGACACAGACCCAAAGGGTTATACCCCTAATTTGCAGCAGAGCTGACATGAGAGCCTGATTCCCTTAATCCAAGTCCAGGTCTCTGTCTGCCATATCACAAGACACCATTCTATCAGCTCAGAAGCCTTTGGTGGCTCCGGAAAGACATTTATTCCATATACTTCAAACCTAGGGAATATTGACTAGCATGATTTCGTCAGAATAAATTCATTCCGGAAGAGAACAGGAGACTTAGCAGTTCTTTCCCAATCTTCATGAGATCACAGGAAACAATCTTAGATGATGTGTTTGATTTTTCCTTTCAGCTGTTTTTTGTTTTGCTTGGCCTCATGAGGAAGGAAAACACTTAGCTGAATGATAAAGCCATTAAAGTCTTAATCATCTATTTGTTTAATGTTTTCCTCAGTATTTTCATTTTGTGTTTAAAATTCAGAAGCTCATTTTAAGGAGCAAAGGTTACACGCAAGATTAAGATCAAAGAATTCCTAATAATACTGACTGAGAAACCAAGATCCTAGTCTTTAGAGTAACCATTCTTTCTGAGAAAAGCTGATGACTCATGCTGATTGTAGAAGTTTGTAATATGCCATGAAAATTGAGCACTTAAAATTCAAAGATTTCCTTGGATGCATCTACTCTGAATCATCTGGAGGAAAATTGAATAAAAACAAAACCAAAACCAAAAAACCAAACCAAACAGTCAATTGTCTGGGTATTTTAGCCACATAATGGCAAACATATAGCTATTTGTAAATATCATATGACTGCCTGAATTTTTTATAATCTAGATTTCTAGTCATGAACCCAGTAAAATCTGTATTATCATCAAATAACAATTTATTTCTACACAGACTACAATTGAAAATTTAAGCCACAGATTTTGATGATTACTGGCTTAATAAATGAACATAGCTTAGTTAGATATGAAATAGCACAACTCATATAATCAAAAATTAGTTGAAGGGAAAATATCATGTAAAAGAAAGGGCTGAAGCAATCTAGCTGCAACTTTTAATCAGAAGCTAGCATACTGTCAGCATAATGAGATGTATTATATATGTAAATGCTCATTACGATAACAATTTTAAAATTTCAGTATAATGGCAGGGTCTCTAGAACACTAAGCCTTGAGCTCTACTGATTACTATTAGGAGGGAATATTCACACATCACTTTTATTTATTTATTTTTTTTGAGACGGAGTCTCGCTCTGTCTCCCAGGCTGGAGTGCAGTGGCGTGATCTCTGCTCACTGCAAGCTCCGCCTCCTGGGTTCACGCCATTCTCCTGCCTCAGCCTCCTGAGTAGCTGGGACTACAGGGGCCTGCCACCACGCCCGGCTAATTTTTTGTATTTTTAGTAGAGACAGGGTTTCACCGTGTTAGCCAGGATGGTCTCGACCTCCTGATCTTCTGATCCGCCCTCCTCGGCCTCCCAAAGTGCTGGGAGTACAGGCGTGAGCCACCACGCCCAGCCCACCCATCACTTTTAGTTTTAAGGATTCACACTCATCTGTCTGGGAGATTTGCAAAGAAATCCCCGGTGCCCTGAAAACAGGAGAAAAAAACCTACTAAAGCAGGAGATTGTACCAAATGAGAAAGGTCTGGTTTTGTCCACATTTATTCATCGGTCTGCTCATAGCTACTTAACCTTTCATCACTAGAACCTGGGGCTTTGTTTTCTTTGTTTTTTATTTGTTCACACAAGCAGTAACTACCTTTATGTACGTACTATTTGGATGATGAAAATAATTTAATGTAGCTTGGCCCAGCCTTGTTGAATGTCATCACCTCAGAGACAACCCCTGACCACTCAACCCACATATCAGACTTTACTCCATCATCAGGTTTCATTTTCTTCAAAACAACCATGGTTATCTAAACTGGTCACCTTAAAAAAAATTCAGTTATGTGTTTACAGTCCATTTCCTCCACGGGGTATAAGCATAATAAGATCAGGTTCTTTGGCCATCCTGTTTGCTGCTGAATCCCCAGTGTCTAGGACAGAGCATGGCACGTGAAAAATATGTGTTAATCCATATTTAATCCATATTTAATCCAAAAAAATATGTGTTAAGTGAATATTTGAGTGTCTAAAGCACATAGCCTTAATTAGATCTCTTTCCTCTAGAACACTAAGTTCAAAGTTGCCATCAAGGGTTACATGGAAAGAAAGTCCTATTAAGTATAAGACAAACAGAGACATTGGAAAAAAGAAGACTGAATAAAATAAGCAGAGCCAGTGCATGAAAGGATGTAAAAAATAAAATTAGCACCAAATGATTTTACAGGTAAATATTCAAAGGACAGCAAAAAGATTAAAAAGTAGAAATAAAGTAGAGGGAAAAAAAGTCAGCTATTGGTACAAAGGTTTTAACTGCAGGATTGGGATGCTTCCTGCAATGATCTTTAAGAGTTAGAATCCTGGACAAGTCAGAAGGACAGAGGATAAGAATTTCTGGCACAAGAAATGAGTCATTGGAAATAGATGGCCCTGATTCAAATCCAAGTTCTCCCATTTTCTTCCATGTGATCCATGGTAAGTCACTTAGTTTCCTCAGCTGTTGGCTTACTCAGTGAAAACTGCTATAACAAAAATACCTTAGACTGGATAATTTATAAACAACAGAAATTTATTTTTCACGGTTCTGGAGGCTCTGAAGTCCAAGATCAAGGTGCCAGCAGATTTGGTTTCTGGCGACTTTCTGATTCGTAGATGGGAACTTCCAGCTGCATCCTCACATGATATAAAGGACAGTGTCTCTCTGGGGCCTCTTTTATAAGAGTATTAATCTCATTCTTGAAGGCAGAGCCCTCATAACCTAATCATCTCCCAAAGGCCCCATCTTTTAATACCAATATCTTGGTGATTAGATTTCAATGTTTGAATTTTAACAAGACACAAATAATCAGACCATAGTAGCTGTAAAGTCTAGATAATTCTGAGATAAGGCCTAAAGGAGATATACATGTATTTCTCATTGAATGTTCAATACCGTTACCCTTTATTATGTATTTTTCAATTAATAAACAGGGTGCTAGTGAGAAAAGCTCTCTTGCCTTCCTTCCACAACTAGGTTACTCTTGAAGTCAAAGGAGTGGAAGTTTGTGTAGAATTTCAGCAACCACCTACAGGTACGTCTTGTACCATCTCTTTTCCTCACTATTAAACACTAGAGTTTGCATTAGAACCCTACATCTAGAATGGAAAATAAGAACTAATAAGGGTAAGGAGTTCTACTTATAAGCTCTGTACAGAAAAATATAACTCATCACCAAAGGTTCACCTACATCTTGTGCTGTTTTCACCATAATGTCTAGATACTTCATTTGTGACATTTAGCACCTGCAACTGTGTCTATGTGTTTTTATAACCTGTTCTCCTGGGGCAAATTCTTCCAGTGCAGAGGTCTGTCTTACTCATTGTTATGGACTGAATTCTCTCCTCCAAAGATTCATACATTGAAGCCCCAACCCCCAATATGACTATTGGGAAACAGGGCCTTTAAAGAAGTAATTAAAGTTAAATGAGTTCATAAAAGTGGGACCCTAATCCAATAGGAATGGTGTCCTTATAAGAAGAGATACCTGGAGTGCTCATGCCCACAGGTAAAAGGTCACGTGAGGATACATTAAGAAGGCAGCTGTCTGTAGGCAAGGAGAGAGGATTGAGGAGAAACTAATCCTGATAGCATCACGGTCTTAGACTTCTAGCCTCCAGAACTATGAGAAATAAATTTCCATTGCTGAAGCCACCCAGGCTGTGATACTTTGTTATGGCAGCCCTTGCAGACTAATACAATCATCTATGGTGAATATGGTAGACTGACACTCAGAATCCCTTCCAACCTCCTTCCCGCGCCTGGTTCTGTACTGCCAGAGAGCTTACAATGTTCTCTTTCAGATATCTGCACTGCCGTGTTTACTGCATGACTATTCACAACAGCCAAGAAATGGAATCAACCTAATTGTCTGTCAGTAGATGAATGAATAAAAAATTTGGTATATATACACACAAGGGAATATTCTTCAGCTATAAAAAAGAATGAAATCCTGTCACTTGTGGCAACATGGATGTACCTGGAGGACATAATGTTAAGGGGAATAAGCCAGGCGCAGAAAGACAAATACCACATGATTTCATGCAAAGGTGGAATCTAAAGAAAGTTGACCTCGCAGAATTAGAGAGTAGAATAGTGGTTACCAGAGGCCAAGGCGGGGAGGGGGTCAAGAGATGGGGAAAGATACATAGTAAGAAAGAGTTCTGGATTTCTATTGCATAGTAAGGTGACTATAGCAAGTAACAATGCATTGTGTATATTTCTTTTTTTTAAATTTTATTTCCATAGGTTTTTGGGGAACAGGTGGTATTTGGTTACATAAGTAAGTTCTTTAATGATAATTTGTGAGATTTTGGGGCACCCGTCTCCTAAGCAGTATACGCTGAATCCAAAATAGTCTTTTATCCCTTATCCCCTTTCCACCTTTCTCCCTGAGTCCCCAAAGTCCATTGCATCATTTTTATGCTTTTGCATCCTCACAGCTTAGCTCCCACTTATGAGTGAGGACATATGATGCTTGGTTTTCCATTCCTGAGTTACTCCACTTAGAATAGTAGTCTCCAATCCCACCCAGGTTGCTGCAAATGCCATTAATTCATTCTTTTTTATGGCTGAGTAGTATTCCATCATACATGTATACCACAGTTTCTTTATCCACTTGTTGATTAATGGGCATTTGCATTGTATATTTCAAAACAGCTAAAAAAGAAGATCTTAAAAGTTATCACTACAAAGAAATGATAAAACTTTGAGGTGATGAACGTGCTAGCTACCTGTGTTGTATCAATTTGCAATGCATACATGTATTGAAAAATCACACTGTACCCCACAAATATGATTATCATGTGCAAATAATAAATATTAAAAATTTATAAAATTAAAAAAATTGTTTTCTTCCAGTCTGCAAATGTAAATTAAATCCCCCAATTAGATGACCTCATGTAAGATTTCAAAGGTGGAAGTGAGGCAGGGGCCATCTTCAGCTGTTGCATGTGTTGCCGGAACAAGCACAGTCGTGGAGGTGCTGTGTTTTTCTGCAGCAGCATGGCAGTATCCAGTTCCCAGTTCAGAGGGTATTGAGAGAGTTGCGGTGGTTGAGGTAGCCTCTTGATCAGTAGGTGGCAGCTAAGGCAGTGTATCCTCAAACTCAACAGTTCTTGATGGCTGTCTTCTGACTCCTCCTCCCCCTGATCATGGTGAAGATAGCAGCTGCCTTGGTGGGCCACCTTGGCAGTGTGATTCTGAGAGCTATTTTTGGAAAGGAAGTCTATAACTAGCTCCCAAGACTTTCCAACTACCTTGTGTTTAATGGTCTGGATCAAATTTCTTTCTGTTTAAGAAAGCTAGGGTGGTTTTTGTTTTTTGTAACTGAGCCCTAACTGATACATTCTTCTTTGTGTTCTTGGCATTAAACAAAATACCTGGAATATTTAAAAGATGAACAAGTGTTTTTTGTCGCTGTTTAAACCAGCAGTTCTCAATCTTTGATATGTATCAGTATCAAATAGATATTGACACTGTATCCACTTAGAAATCTAATAGAGTACAAAGTCTCAACCTCATTGAAATAGACTAGGCCCCTAGTCTTCATATTTTTATCAAGTTCTCTAGATGATTCTAACACTCACCAAAGTTTGAGAAGCACTGGTTTAAACATTCGCTGAGGCCTACCAGGGACCAGGCATGCTTCTAAGCACTTGACACTCAGTGTTTTATTTAATTCTGGTAATAACCTTATAAGGCAGGAAGCATTATTATCCACATCTTATATATGAGAAAACTGAGGTGTAAAGAGCCTTAGAAAAATACCCAGGATCATACAACTGGTAAGATCTTGGGTATCTGTCTCTGTCTGTTTTGCATTGCTATAAAAGAATACCTGAGGCTGGGTAATTTATTAAAAAAAGAAAAAAAAAGTTAGGCCAGGCACAGTGGCTCACACCTGTAATCCCAAAACTTTGGGAGGCCGAGGCAGGCGGATCACCTGAAGTCAGGAGTTTGAGACCAGCCTGGCCAACATGGTGAAACTCTGTCTCTACAAAAATACAAAAATTAGCTGGGCATGATGGCAAGTTCCTGTAATCCCAGCTACTTGGGAGGCTGAGTGGGGAGAATCACTTGAACCTGGGAGGCAGAGGTTGCAGTGAGCCGAGATCACGCCATTGCACTCCAGCCTGGAGGACATGATGAAACTCCACCTCAAAAAAAAAACCAGTTTTATTTGACTCACAATTTCAATGGCTAGAAAGTCCAAGATTGGGCATCTGCATTTGGTGAAGACCTCATGAAGGGGAGGTGGTATGTGCAGAGAGCACATGGCAACAGAGGAAGCAACAACCAGCTTTCATGAGAACCAATAAAGAGAGAACTCACTCACCCCCAAGGGAGGGTATTAATCTCCTCATGAGGGATCAGCCCCAAGACCCAGACAGCTCTCCATTTAGGCTCCACCTCCAACACTGGGGATCAAATTTCAGCATGAGGTTTGGAGGGGATAAGCATCTATACCGTAGCAGTATCTAACCTGTGTCTACCTGACCATAAGCTCCAAACTCATGATCACTATACCCTTCTGCTTGTATCATCTCCATTCTTTGCAGAGCCTAGAAAATGTATCCCGTTTACATCTAAATCAGATTCTTCCAAATAATTGTTTTGAACATAACAATATCCCAGTGTCTCTGACAAGGTCATTTAGTTACTAAAGAAAAAAGTTGGACTCATAACTATCCTTCCAAGGAAACAATAGTCTCTTGGATAAATGCAAAGGTACTTCAAAGTCTAATAAGGCTTATTTAAATCAAGAAATAGCTTGAAGAAATAATTGCTCTCTGTTACAAAACTAACAATTCTCTAAATTTTATTATTATCTTTGAAGTGAGAAATAGCAAAACCGACCCTTAGGTCTATCCATTTATTAGAGAAAATATTATATATTTTCAAAAAGAATAGCTCAAAATAGTATTATCAAGCTGCAAAGCCCCACATTCTTTTCTCTTTATTAATCATGTTTCTGACATTTTAAGATTGCATCTCTAAGATGTAATAAAATCTTATTATTCTTCTAATATCTAGAAATTAATAATGTAGAGGAAGATATTAGATGTCCAGAGGAAGTTTTCCCAGAGATGTGAAGAATGCACAATGGAAAAAGGGAAATATTCTCCTCTTTTATACTTTATAAGCTTTTCAGTCAATAGAAGTTATCGAATTTAAATATAGTCACTGTTAGAAAGGAGGAGTTCTGAAAACTTCTGGAATTGTCAATTTCATCACCAGTTGGGCTTGTTAGAGAAAAGTGAAACCTGAACATTTGTGAGGCAAAAATTACTCTGATTTGTCCCAGAGAAGAAATGTGAACAAGTTGCATGCAAATCCCAGCTGTTATTCTGGACTTTATTGTGACTTTTGACAAGTTATCTACCTTTCAGGTGTTCATTATCTAGTCTGTTAAAATTAGAGAAAATAACCCCTACCTTGTGAGGTGTTACAAGGGTTAAATGAGATACATTAGTTTCTTTCTGTGGATCTGTGCAGGGAGCAGAAAAAAGAAAAATTAAGAAAAGAAAAGAAAAGACACAGTAACAAGTCACCCACACCAAGATAGTAGAAAATCACAGGACAAACTGTCAGAAAATTTGGCTTTGAACTTGGAACTCTGCCTCCATCTTGTTGTGTGACTCGAAGCAATTCTCTTAATTTTACCCTTGGAAAGAATACATTTCACTCTTGTCAAAAGGAGATGAAATTTTTGACTTCCCAAGTTTGTTCTAATTTTGATGGCTCTTGTTTCAGGAATATAAAAATAATTCTTAAAATTTATAAAAAATGTTACATCTTCACTCACCCTGAAAACCAAAAAATGTACTTTTTAAGCATCCACATTTCCTGTCCTCTTTCTTTATTTGTATTGTCAAGTGAAGTTGTTCCAGCGAATGAGTCAGTTGAGATGGAAACATTTATTTATCTGATGTAATGTGTCAGTGGTGCGCTTTCAAAGTGTTTCTAGTATGCTTTGACAGTAAGTAACGGCATTAAAAAATGCTCTGACAAAAATGCTAGTGATAAATCACAGCTGTCATTCCCCTTCTCCCCAGGGGCTGCAGTTTGATTTTGCCACCTTTCCTTTTCGTTAACAAAAGTGCTATTTGACATATATTTTATGTGTAGTTCCATGAACTAAACTTCATTTTGTTTGGGGAATCTGGAAAGAATCTCACACTTTGTTTGAGGCTCTACACAACAAATCACTGGATTGAAATTCCTGCGGGGGGGGCATTCTGGAAGGGACTTTGGACCCCGCTCAAGAAGTCAGTCCCCAAGAGTGGAGTCCAATTCAGCAGAGAATTCACGGACAGAAGAACAACACAGCAGGGCAGAGAGCCACAGAGCCACTAGCAGATGTCAGGGAGATGAAGAGAGGGGCCACAGTAAAATAAGACTCTGGGATGAAGGTATGACCAGGACAAGGGCCAGGTATGACCAGGTAAAGGGCTATGTCATGAACCTGTTGTATCTGTTGGGATGGTTAAAATTGTGTGTCAAATTGGCTAGGCTATGGCGCCCAGTTGTTTGGTCAAACAGTAATCTAGGTGTTGCTATAAAGGTATTTTTGTAGATGTGAAAAACATTTACAGTCAGTTGACTTCAAGTAAAACAACCCTCCATAATGTGGGTGGGACTCATCCAATCAGTTGAGGGCCTTAACAGCAAAAACTGAGGTTTTCTAGAGAAGAAGGAATTCTTCCTTAAAGCTGGAACATAGAAAATCTGCCTGAGTTTTCAGCCTGCTGGTCTGTCCTATGGATTTCAGATTCAAGACTGCAATATCAACTTTTTTTTAACTGAACATTCAGCTTGCTGCTCTGCTTTATAGACTTTGGACTTGCTAGCCTCCCCAGTCACATGAGCCAAATCCTTAAAATCTCTCTTCTCTCTCGTGTGTGTGTGTGTGTGTGCGTGTGTGTGTGTCTGTGTGTGTGTGTATTCTCCTATTTGTTGGACTCCTCTTGGGAACTTTGAGTGATACACCTCTCTTGTCATTTTTTGTTTCCAGTGCAAGGCTTGGAGGACTCTGCTGGTCTGGAAAGTCATGCTTAAAGTTGCAAGAACCCAGCCAAACAGTCCCCTCCTGGGGAAAATTGGAAATGGGTTTTCTTTTCTTCAACCAGCACATCTTCAGTACTTGTTACCTTCCAGGCAACATATTAGGTACTAGACAGGTTGGGTTCCCCCAGAAGCAGATGCTAAAATAAGAATTTGAGTACAAAGAGTCTAATAGGTAGAGGTAATTCTAGGAAACACTGGTAGGGGAGTGGGGAAGTGAGACAGGGAAGGGAAGGAAGACACAACAGGGCATGTTAACAAGAAGGGAATGGCTGTGGGCCACTGGATTCAGTGTCACTAGGACTTATGAGAGACTGCATGGGAGCCTACAGCTGTATGCCCGGAGTGTACTGAAAATCAAGGATAAAAATGGTGCATTCATTTTCTGGATGTCGCATTGTTAAAACCTTTTTATATTATAATAAACACATGCATATTTTGGAATACATACATAGTTTCATAAATTTTTTAGATAAAACAAGAGCATTCAAGGAAATTTTGAGCTAAGAACTATTGTCTTAGTGCAGTCTTTGTCTTTTTTCTTCTCTCTTCTCCTTTGTGTCAAACACTTAATTCAGTGTCCTGTTTAAAAGGATTCTCCTTGCTAAGACACCCACTTTGTTCCAGGGTCCATGGTCTTGCTCTGTCCACTACACGGAGTTTGTTTCAGGATTAAGTCTTGGTAACAGGCTTTTGGTCCCTGCCCTAGTCCCCTTTCTTGTGCACGGCATCTTACAGTGGGCCCGCCAGTTATGCAGTAGAGCTCCTTGCTGTGCCTGCACATTTGGCTCTGCTCCCAAATTACTGGGCCTCTGACATTTCCAGGCCTATAACTTGATCCTAATTCCCCATCTGTGTCCATATGGACAACTTGCTAACTTCCATAATGGATGGAGACAGGTCCAACTGCAATCTTCAATTTGATCTCAAGGACCAATATTGCAGCCGTCCTATTCTCATAACATATGCTTGTCTTGTAGATATTGCTAGGCCTTCAAGAGAACTGGAAGAACAAGAAAGATAAAAAAAGATGGTGAAAGGCATGTAAGTTTCCCAGGTGGCAATGGAGGAAAGCCCAAAATAAGAAAGAACCATGAAAAAGGAAACATTCTGGAGTAGAAATGTAAGAGAGAGAGAGAGAGAGAGAGCACGTGCAATTATGTATGTGTTAGGTGTAGTTTGGAGGAGGTGAGAAGAGAGTAGTGATCAGAGAATTGAGGAGAAAATAGGCCAAGTGAATCCTGCTCTACTGTTAGCTGAAACCTAGAGGAAGTGCCTAGAAAAACTAGAACATCATTTTTTATCAGTAAACCTCTTTTGCCCCAAGTTGTACAGATTGTATTAGAGAATAGACTATTTCTGATGTTCATTTCTTTTGTACAACTCAACAGAGGGAATAATCTCAAATTCCAGTAGAGTGGCTAACAGATATAGGGAGGCCTTAGTTGAAAGCAATTTATGAGCAAGCTGCTTTCTTCACAAGTCATCAATTTTTGTCTTTTTTACAATGACATTTGCAAATATTCTGCTCCTGTCATGTAATCTGCTACTCATAGGCCTCATTTTGCAATGGGTTAGCCTTATTTGTGTTTACCTTTCAAAATGTCACCACGATACTAAGCAAATGCCACCTAGATAAGTACTATAATTTAGATTCTCAGTCTAAACCACACACAACCAACTCTGTGTGAATGGTCAGTAATCTGGATATTGTCTAACTCTTAAGTAGTCTATTTGTGGCCCAAATATCATTCACAGGGGTTCATATCCCAGTACCACTCTCACATAGAAGTCATTTTGGACATCACGGCAGAAGAAACCATACATTCTTCTACTCCTTCATCTCTCTCCAAGAATTGAGGACGAAACACCAGATCATCTCTTGCCAGACTCTCTTGTAACTAGCGGTGATCATGTGACAAAGCTTCAGGCAGTAAGATTTATGGGGAAGTCTTCTTCGGAGCTTCTTGGAAAAATATTCTTTACTCAAACAGAAATGTATACATTGAGAACTTTTAAAATTTTTCTCCCTTCTTTCCTGCCTTTTTTTTTTTAAATTTTACTTTAAGTTCCGGGATACCTGTGCAGAATGTTCAGGTTTGTTGCATAGGTATACATGTGCCATTGTGGTTTGCTGCACCTATCAATCCATCATCTACGTTTTAAGCCCCGCATGCATTAGGTATTTGTCCTAATGCTCTCCCTCCCCTAACCCCCAACCCCCAACAGGCCCCAGTGTGTGTTGTTCCCCTAGCTGTGTCCATGTGTTCTCATTGTTCAACTCCCGCTTATGAGTAAGAACATACGGTGTTTGGTTTTCTGTTCCTGTGTTAGTTTGCTGAAAATGATGGCTTCCAACTTCATCTTCTTTCCTGCCTTTCAAGACAGCGGTAGGACAAGATATTTGGAATTGCAGCAGCCATCTCGAGACTGCGGCGATAAGCCAGGGAGGGAAAGTCAATACGCTAAGCATGGTAGAATGGAAAAGATGGAAAGAGCTTAGAAACTTGATGTTTCTGAGACACTGAACCAACCTTGGGACTCTCCTCCAGACTTGTTGGTAATAATAAAGATCTTATTATTTAAACCACAGTTAGGTTTTCTCCTGTAAGTTTTCCCTTTTGCATAGAGTCAACACGGTCCCTGAGATTACTCCTGGAGCCAGTAGCCCAGTCCTCCCCATTCACATAAATTGTCTGGGACCACAGGAATGAAAGACGGGAAAGTGGAGGAGGAGAGCATAGTCTGATACTCAGCCTGGATTCAGAAAAGAGGTATGACTGCCATTGTAATGAGAGGTGGCAATCAGAAGCAGAAGGGGCTTTTTTTTTCCCCCATAAAGGTCTTTGTGAACCTTGGGGTTTAAGCACCTTTGGTGCTTTTGTAGCACCCAGAAAAGCACCCTGGACAGTGGCTTGAGGGCATCAGACATCCCGAGGCAGGCAGAGTAGAAGACAATGAGCCAGTTTCTTTTTAAGCATACATGTATTACTTCCTGAGGACTCCTGGAATGTGAAGAGACTCTGAAGAGGGGCCTGGGGTCTTGTGCCAACAAATGGGGCTAACTATCCAGTGACAGGTAATTGACATCAATATGACCTCGTTTGTTCCCAAAGACAGTGAGGCCTGTGACATGTGTGATACACACAACACACATCATGATTTTTGTTTATTCTAAGTAAATTCCTGTCAACAAACAGTTGAATTTATTCTGCAGACATGGCATGTTAAAAGCAGTCTCTTTCTAAAACAACAGTGGAAAGTATTTTTCACTGCAGATGGTACAGTTTATACAAGCCACCCTCATGTG
The DNA here is from genome assembly GCF_000001405.40 of Homo sapiens. NCBI lineage: Eukaryota > Metazoa > Chordata > Mammalia > Primates > Hominidae > Homo > Homo sapiens. The sequence goes on from NC_000004.12 coordinate 26,580,760, forward strand.
AATAAAGTAAAGATATGTTTCAGTGTACCCTTGAAGGGTGTTTCAATTTTGAGTTAGGCTGGCAGGTTGTTTTTAATGCGTTCCACAACCTTGCCATGTGATACCACTAGTCAGTGGTTTTCAAATGCATCCTCTGCCCCTCCCCAGTAAAATCTGACACAGCATTATATGAAGAATAGATCAAACCAAGCAGGTCTGAGAAAGGCAGGGTTGGGCCCAGAGCCCTATACATGTTGGCCCAGAAGTACCTCTGTCCTAAATTTCAGAGAATTTTGAGGAGATTTCCCTCTGCATCTGTTTTAATTTTGTCTCTCTTTGTATAGTTTTAACTATTCAGATAAAATTGCACCCCCTCTTGCTATTCATCTGTTAGTCACTCTGAAATGTCAGAAATAGAGGATTTTCCTGTTCTCTACCCACCTTGGGTACAGTAAGGATTTTCTTTTTTAAAAAATTTATTTACTATACTCTAAGTTCTGGGATACATGTGCAGAACGTGCAGGTTCGTTACATAGGTATACATGTACCATGGTGGTTTGCTGCACCCATCAACCTGTCATCTAGGTTTTAAGCCCCGCATGCATTAGGTATTTGTCCTAACGCTCTCCCTTCCCTTGCCCCCCATCCCCTAACAGGCCCTGGTGTGTGATGTTCCCCTCCCTGTGTCCATGTGTTCTCATGGCTCGACTCCCACTTATGAGTGAGAACATGGGGTGTTTGGTTTTCTGTTCCTGTGTTAGTTTGCTTAGAATGATGGTTTCCAGCTTCATGGCCTGCAAAGGCCATGAACTCATTCTTTTTTATGGCTGCGTAGTATTCCATGGTGTATATGTGCCACCAGATTTTCAAGGCCAAATTCCGCCTTGTGGGATGGAGATGGTAATCTGTACCTTCAGTTTCTTGTGAGACAATGACTTTACAGTAATAAAATTTCCAGACACACAGGTGGGAGACTGAAGTGGTCTATCTATCATTATAACTCTTTGTATAGCAGCCACATAATTCCTTTGGGACTGAAATTTCTTGAAAGAAAGGACCATTTCTTACTTATCTTTGTATTCCTTGCCATTTCTTGCCTAGAGCAGGTGTTCTGAAAAGTTTTGCTAAATCGAATTGGAAATAGAGAACAAAGACCATTCTGTAATTAAATTATACTCCGACACATCTGCTTCTATGTATGTAAAAAACAATTTAAAGATATTAGGATTAAGGGACTTTTTTTTTTTTTGCTTGGACATGCTTTCCGAATTAGAGCCAAACTTCGTAATTGTTGCTTTAAGCTTATAATTGTTCTCTTCTTTAACAAAATTATTTAAGTCTCCATCTGTGCAAGGAATAGTTCTGGGCACTTTCACATATGTTGCTATGTTTATTTAGTTACTTTCCATTCCCTTGTCAATAGTACTGGGCATTATTTTTATTTAATTATCACAGTTTCAATATTTAATTTATTAATATATATTAATAGTCTAATACTTGGTACATTTGTTCCTCATACTGTCTCCTTAGTTGGATATTTTACACTCTTGATACAGAGAAGAAAATGAAACTGATAGGGAAAGAGACTCATGCAATTCCCAGGGTACATACTAGGAAGGAAGCCAGAATGTTTTCTGACTCCAGGCACTATCTATGCCTTTTCTTCTGCTCTACAGCTTCATCCTTCCCTTCAACGCTCTACTAATCTTTTCAGCTGAAGCATCTTTATCTCTTTGGCAGCTAATCACTCCACTTCTTTCAATCTCAAAGGGACTGTTATGGTAGTGCTCTCTCTCCTCTCTCTGCCTCTTCTTTCTCTCTGTTCAAAGTGAGGTTTGTGGTGGGAATTCATGGATGGGTGGACAGTTGAGATGGAAGGACTATAAAGAGTTGACAATATCTACTTATCTGCAGCTTTGAGAAATTCTGAGTTGTGAGAGAATGTTTTGTAGAGAAACTGCACTTTAGAGAGTCTGTCATTAATTGCCTTTAAGTGCTTTGTTTCTTTCCTGGCTGCCTCTTTCTAAACTTGGTTTGATAAACCAACTTTACCAAATTATTTAGAATTTGTACTTATCATCCCAGTATTCTGGATGGTGGTGTTATAAATGTCAGAGTGCTGTGCATAGAGGCCCGGGTCCAGTCCCTTTGAATTCATATTATTTCCTGCTTTAGTCCTTTGCTATTCAGAATGTAGTCTTTGGACCATCGGCATCATAATTTCTTGGACTTGTCAGAAATGCGGTTTACCAGTTCTCACCAGAGTCCTATTGAATTAGAATCTACATTTGATTGAATGAGATCTCTTTGTTTCTAGTTAGTCTAGAGTAGCTTTTGCAGCAATCTTGGTTTGTTTTCTTAAAATCCTACTTCTGCTTTGCTTAAAATATGCATATACACATTTGAACTCAATTTTGATTATTTTTGTGAGGTTATTCTAATGTATTTTTCACTAGGCCTTTTTTGGGGGGGGAAGGGAGGTGCCGTTGGCCTTTGGGGATGTCATTCAATAATTTAAGTCAGTTACTTTTAGTTCTGCTAAAAATCTTTTGTGCATTTCCTTGAAGGCAAGAACCATATTTTATTAAACCTTTGTGCCCACACAGTTCCTTTTATGTAAATGTTCAATAAGTTGAAAGCTGAATGAATTATGAATAAATGCTTGAATGAATGAATATACGGAAGAGGATGAATCTAGACGGTAAATTCCTGGAAGACTTGGACAATGTCTTATTCATCCTTGAATTGCTAATGCTTTGCAGAAAACCTACAAATAATGCCTGTTGGTTAATTTGTAGTTGTTAGATGAGACGAGATTGTCTACTTATTCCTGGTATAAGACTCTAGAGAATAGAAACGAGAGAAAATGAAGTAAAATGGAGTGCTATGGTACAGTGCTAGGCACCTTCACGATTTTTACCTCAGCTAATCATCACAACATCCTGCAAACTGGGTGTTATTTTACAGAGGCGGAAACTGTAACACGTTTACGCAGGTAGTGTCAGAGCCTAACAATTCGTGGTTGTAATTCGCAGTATCATTGCGTGCCACAGTCCTGTTTCTGCAGAAATTGAGAGGTGGAAGAGAATGATCCTTTATATAGTAAAACGCACAATTCTCCGTGTCCCCCTTGTGCATCAGAGGCGCTGTGGCTCTGAAAGAATGAGCTTTCTTGCCTTTCAACCATAGACAAGGCAGGAACAACGGTGTGAAAAGCGTCCTCCCCGCCCCGGTCTTTTTCCGCCGGCGGAACGCAGATGCTGTGGCCTTCAGGCGCTGAGGGGACCAGAGAGGGACGGACACAAGGCTCGGCAGTTGCCTGGTAACGCCCGCTGGAGGAGTCCCAGTGTAATAAGGTCCCGGAGAAGTGTCACTGGCCCTGAGTGGGACCCGGTAGCCCGTTCGCTCCGCGCCGGCGGCCTGTCCCCGCGGCTTGGCGGGCTAGGGCAGGGGAAATGTTGCAGGAGGAGTCGGACCTCTCTCTCATTATTGCCCAGATAGTCCAAAAGCTCAAGGGCTCCAATTTGTACTCTCAGCTGGAACGGCAGGCCTGGGTAAGTGAGGCCGAGTGGGAAGGGATGCAGACGGGCGGGGCCGCGGCGATGTCTCTTCTTCACCCTCCTCACCCAAGCCAGAGCTCGCCTCTGACCTCTCCAGCTCCGCTCTGGTGCTCAAAAAACAAACAGACAAAAACAAAAACAAAAACAAAAACAAAAACAAAACAAAACAAAAAAACCCCACCTCCCTGTCCGGTGCAAGCTGTGCTGCCTCAGCCCCAGGCGTGGTTAATAGATTTTTAAAGAAGGGTGGGGCGCATCACACCTTTTTTTCAGACCAGAGAAACGCTTACTCATTTATCTATTCCTGTAGTCATTTACAGGGTCTAATTTTTTAAGCTGCTGGACTCACTGAAGGTAGCTTGGACCATGCCTTCCCTCACTTTTTCCGTCCTGTGGGTGGACTTGGGCCCCCAAGTACCTTTCTGCTTTCTCGTCAATGTATCACTTTCTTGCAGTTTACCCTCCCTGCAATTATTCCTCGTCTATCCGTCCACCACCTAGCATTTATTGGATATTTTATAACATGCTAGGCACTGAGGATGCACAGATTGATTGAGATCCTTGCCTTTTTGTGACTCATATAAATGAAATCATACAGTTTGTACATTTTGTGCCTGCTTTCTGGCATTAACACAGTGCTTTTGAGATTCATCCATTTTGTTGATATTTCAGTAGTTCTGTTCCTTTTTATTGCTGAGTAATATTTCAGTGTTTGAATGTACAATGGCTTGTTTATTCATCATTGTGTGAAGGGCATTGGGTTGCTTTCTGGTTTTAGAGATTATAAGTAAAGCTGATATATACATTCTAGTATACGATTTTGCTTGGATATTTGTTTCTTTTTTTCTTGGATAAATACCTAGGATTGGAATTGCTGACTTGTATGGTAAGTGTAATGTTTCATTCTATGAGAAACTGTCACACTTTTCCAAAGTGGCTGTATCATTTTCCATTCCCACAAGCAATTCTGAGAGTTCCAATTGTTTTGCGTCCTTGATAGCGCTTGATGCTGCCAGTCTTTTATTTATTTTTATTAATTAATTATACTTCTCTAGTAGAAGTGTAATAGTATCTTATTGTAGCTTTTATTGCATTTCCCTAATGACTAATGATATTAAGCATTTTCTTATGTGCTTATATCTTTTTTGGTGAGGTAGTCTTCAAATCTTCTGCCCATTAAAAAAAAAATAGTGTTGTCTTCTTATTGTTGAGTTGTAAGGATTCTTTCTATATGATGTAAGTCTTTATCAGATGTGCGTCTTGCAAATATTTTCTCCCAGTCTGTGGATTATCTTTTTTTTTTGAGACGGAGTCTTCCTCTGTCACCCTGGCTGGAGTGCAGTGGTGTGATCTCGGCTCACTACAACCTCTGCCTCCCAGGTTCAAGTGATCCTCCCGCCTTCGCCTCCTGAATAGCTGGGATTACAGGCATCCACCACCATGCCCAGCTAATTTTTTATGTTTCCAGTAGAGATGGGGTTTCACCATGTTGGCCAGGCTGGTCTTGAACTCCTGATCTCAAGTGATCTGCCTGCCTCAGGCTCCCAAAGTGCTGGGATTACAGACGTGAGCCACCACACCCTGCCCAGTCTGTGGATTATCTTTTCATTTTCTCAACTGGGTCTTTGAAAGAGAAAAATGCTTAATTTTGGTGACATAAATTTTTATCAATTGTTTTATGATTTGTGCTTTTTGTTCCCTACCTAAAAGTGTTTGCCTAACTCAAGGTCTTAAAAAAGTTTCTACTATGTTTGTTTGTTCTAGAAGTTTTATAGTTTTAGCTTCTACATTTAGGTCTGTGATCCTAAATGTAGAAGTGTGATCCATTTTGTGATCCATTTGAGTTAATTATTGTATATGGTGCAAGGTAAGCTTTTTTTTTTTTTTTTTTGCATATGGATATCCAGTATTTCCATTACTGATTTGCTGAAAAACCTATCCTTTCTCTGCTAATTTCCTTGGCACCTTTGTCGAAAATCAATTACACACACACACACAAAATTTCTGGCTCTCTATTTTGTTCCATTGATCTATTTGTTCATCATACAATACCACACTGTCTTGCTTTTTGTAACTTTATAGTAAGCCTTGAGATCAAAGTCCTCCAAATTTGTTCCTTTTTTTCCCAAAATTATTTTGGCTATTCTAGGTCCTTTGCTTTGCTATATAAATTTTAGAATCCTCTTATAAATTACTACAAAAATTGTTGAAAATTGGATTGGGATTATGTTGAATCTGTAGATCAATTTGGGGAGAATCGAGATTTTTAGCAATATTAAATTTTCTGGCCCATGGACACAGTTTATCTTTTCATTTATTTATGTTGTTTTTATTTTCTCTTGTCAGTGTTTTGTAGTTTCAGCACACAAATATTGCATACTCTTTGTTGAGATTTTCCCCTTAAGTATTTTGTGGTTTTTGACGCTATTATAAATGGTGACTTAAGTTTTAATTTTTTATTTTTAACATACAGAAATGCAATTGATATTAATCTATTTACCATGTATTCTGAGAACTTGCTAAACTTATATATTGGTTATAGTACCTTTTCTGTAGATTACTTAAGATTTTCCAGGTACATGTATCATAATGAACTAAAGACAGTTTTACTTCTTCCTTTCCAATCCGTGTGCCTTTTATTTCTTTTTCTTGACTTACTGTACTGGATAATGCCTCCAGTGCAATGTTTTGCAGATGCTTTTTTGCAGGTTGAGGAAGCTCTATTCTATCCCTAGTTTTCTGAGAGTTTTATCATGAATGGATGTTGAACTTTGTTAAGTACTTTTTTATATCTGTAGATATGTTCATATTATTTTTCCTGCTCATGTTGATATGATGAATAATACTGATTGGCTTTGAATGTTGCACCAATTTTGTATTCCTGAGATAAATTCCACTTGGTTATGATGCATTATTCTTTTTATATATTTCTTGACTCAATTTGCTAACATTTTGCTGAAGATTTTGTAACTGTATTTATGAAAGATACTGGTTTGTGGCCAGGCGCGATGGCTCATGCCTGTAATCCTAGCACTTTGGGAGGCCAAGGTGGGCAGATCGCTTGAGCTCACGAGTTTGAGACCAGCCTGGGCAACATGGCAAAACCCTATCTCCACAAAAAATACAAAAATTAGCCAGTGTGGCAGTGCGCACCTGTAGTCCCAGCTACTTGAGAGGTTGAGGTGGGAGGATGGCTTGAACCTGGGTAGCAGAGGTTGCAGTGAGCAGAGATCGCACCACTGCACTTCAGCCTGGGTGATAGAGCCAGACCTTGTCTCAAAAAAAAAAAAAAAAAGATATTTCTTTGTAGTTTTTTTTTTTCTTGTAACACTTTGTCTGCTTTCGATACCAGTTAATGATGATCTTATAAAATAAGTTGGGAAGTGTTCCTTATTTTCTGGAAGAATTTATGTAGAATTAATATTATTTGCTCCTTAAATATTTGGTAGAGTTCCCAGCAAAGTCACTGGTGCCTAGAGTTTTCTTTATGGACACATTTTTAATTAAAAAAATTCAATTAAAAATATATGCAGGCCATTCAGGTTATCTATTTCTTCTTCTGTAAGCTTTTGTAGTTTTTATGTTTCAAGAAGTTGCCGCACTTAATTTATTTTAACGAATTTACTGGTATAAAATTGTTTATATGATCCCCTTATATTCCTTTTAGTGTCTGTAGGATTTGTAGTGATAGCCCCTCCTTCCTTCCTTATACTGTCATATGTGTTCTTTTTTTTTTTTTTTTTTTGAGGTGAAATCTCGCTTTGTCGCCCAGGCTGGAGTGCAGTGGCATGATCTCGGCTCACTGCAAGCTCCGCCTCCCGGGTTCACGCCATTCTTCTACCTCAGCCTCCTGAGTAGCTGGGACTACAGGCGCCTGCCACCACGCCCAGATGATTTTTTGTATTTTTAGTAGAGACAGGATTTCACCGTGTTAGCCAGGATGGTCTCGATCTCCTGACCTCGTGATCCGCCCGCCTTGGCCTCCTAAAGGGCTGGGATTAAAGGCATAAGCCACCGCACCTGGCCATGTGTTCTTTTTCCCTAATTAATCTGGCTAGAGATTTATCAATTATATCAATACTTTCAAAGAAGTAGCTCTTGGTTTGATTGTTTTTCTGTTTTCAATCGCTCTGATTTTTTTCCTTTATTATTTTTTTCTGCTTGCTTTGGATTTAATTTGCATTTTTAAAGCTATTTAGGTGAAATTTAAATTTTTGATTTGAGACCTTTATTCTCTTCTAATTAAATGCTCTAAATTTCTTTCTATGTACTGGTTTATCTGTGTCTATAAATTAGGATATAGTCTATTGCCATTTTCACCCAATTAAAATTTAAAAAAATTCTCTTGTGATTTTATGGGTTCTAATAACCCATGGGTTATTTATAAATGTGTTGTTTACCACTATCTTTCTCTGATTGATTTCTAGTTTAATTCTCTTATGGTCAAGAATAAAATATGTATGATTTTAGCTGTTTACTTACTTTTATGATCCAGAATATGTTTTATCTTGTTTGTTTCATATGTACTTGAAAAGCATGCTTATTCTGCTGTTTCTGTTCCATAATTGTCAATTAGGTCTAGTAGGCAATTTTGTTTCAGTATTCTATATCCTTACTGAGTGTAGGGGCTTCAGTCAATATAGACAAGGATCAAGCTGGGTTTGGGTTTTGTTATTGTTGTCATTACCTTCAGTATATCACAGGCTTCAGATTCCTTTGAAACTAGAGGTAGTTAGGAGGCTGAGGTGGGCAAATCACTTAAGGCCAGGAGTTTGAGACCAGCCTCGCCAACATGGTGAAACCCTGTCTCTACTAAAAATACAAAAATTAGCCAGGTGTGGTGGTGCATTCCTGTAATCCCAACTACTCGGGAAGCTGAGGCAGGAGAATTGCTTGAACCCGGGAGGTGGAGGTTGCAGCGAGCCAAGATCGTGCCACTGCCCTTCAACCTAGGGGACAGAGCGAGACTCCATCTCAAAAACACAAACAACAACAACAACAACAACAAAACCCAGTAGTAGACTGCTGTTACTTTGTGCTTGGCATAGATCTTAGGGTACTACAGAGTTTTTCTCATTGTTTCTACTACATCCTTGACTTTCTTCTGTCTCCTTGCCTGTTCCTCAGGGGGAGATCTCTCTTTGTGCTCTTGTCCCCAGCAGAAGTCTGTTGTTTGTTATTCAGTCCTGGGCTCACAGTAGGTGCAGGAGTCATCTGTTTTTCTGACTCAGTCCATGTGCTTTATCCTTGGATGTGGAGCTTTCCCAGCTTTGGCATGTTCCATCCCCTTATCCCTTTGGCAGCCCAGTTCTGCCTTGTGTCTGTGGTATTGAGTGAAAGACCCATACCTGCCCTGCCCTAGTGCTAATTTACCTCTGCTTTGTATTGTTGTAGGATCCTGGGCCCAAGAGAGTTTTCTTATTTTCCTATGAGGTTGAGGGTTTTTGTATCTATCCCACCCCCAAAAGCAGTGAATTACTGCCTTGTCTTCAGAATGGGAGGGTTTCTGAACCTTCCCCAGTGTTTTTAGTCCTTTGCTTCAGATGAGAGGAGAGTTTGGCCAAGGTAGCAGTTTTATGCTTGTCCTGCAGTGGCAGCCTATCTCGTTTTGCACACCTGTGCCACCAGAGTGCTCTTTGTAGATTTCTGCTCTCAGTCTTTTGTATGGGCACCTGGCATAGACCTATGGAAAAGACTATGCAAATGTGTGTGAATTCCCCTTGCATTTTGGGTTCCAAAATTATTCCAAACCGACACACTAGCCTACATCTTGTCTATGATAGTTAACATTTTAGTTCATTTCTTACTGTCTTGTATGGTAGCTTCCTTTTCCTCCTGTGCTCTGCCAAAGGTGAAGTAGTTTAGAATCTCATTTGTCCTTGAAGGAGCTTGTTACTACTTGGAATTTAATTCACTTGGTTGTCTTATAGCTTCAGTTTACTGATGGGTTCAGAATGTATGATTTTTGAATATTGTACTGTTTTTCTTATTTGGCTGGGGGTGACATTCTTTTATAGTGGCTTTCTACAGTGGAGCTAACAGAACTCCAAGAATTAGGGTATAAATATTGCTATAATGTCGTGAGAATGATTGGTATGTAATTTTCCTTCCTTGTAACCATCTTTGTCACGTTTTATATCAAGGTTATGCTGGCCTCATAAAATGAGTAGGGAAGTGCTGCCTCCCTTTTAAAATTTTATTTGCCATAAGAGTGTTATGAGATTTGTTATTTTTTAAATGTTTGGAAGAATTCTTCAATGAAGCCTGTGTCTGCAGTTTTCTATTTGAGAATATTTTTAAATTAATAGACTTTAGATTTACAGAAAAATTGATCAGAAAGTAGTTTCCATTTATCCCTCTCCTTTGCACAATTTTCATCTATTATTAACATCTTGCATTAGTGTGGTACATTTGTTTCAGTTGAACTAATATTGATACGTTATTATTAACTAAAGTTCATGGTTTACATTAAGGTTCACTCTTTGTCTTGCAGGTCTGTTTTTTTTTTTTTTTTTTTTTTTTTTTTTTTGTGAGTCAGTGTCTTGCTATGTTTGTCTCGCTAGGCTGGTCTCAAGCTCCTGGGCTCAAGGGATCCTCCTGACTCAGTCTCCTAAGTAGCTGGAATTCCAGGTGTTCACCCATGTACATGGCTACTGTGGGTTTTGACAAATACATGGTGTCCTGTATTTATGTATTCACAATTCCAGTATCATACAGAATAGTTTCAGTATTCTAAAAATCCCCTGTGGCTTACCTGCTCATTCCTCCCTTCCCCCTGAGACTCCGGCAACCACTTTTTACTGTCTCTATAGTTTTGCTTTTAAGAATGTCATATAGTTGGAATTATGTGGTATGTAGTTATTTTACTGGTGTCTTTCACTTAGCAATATTCATTTAATGTTCCTCTCTGTCTTTTTGTGGCTTGATAGCTGATTTTTTTTTCTGTTTAGTAATATTTTATTGTATAGATGTACCACAGTTTGTTTATGCATTCACCTGTTGATAGACATCTTGGTTGCATACAAATTTTAGCACTTATGAATAAAACTGCTATAGGGAGCTGAGATCGCACCACTGTGGAACAGGAATTAAAAAAAATTAAAGAATGTGTAAGCAGAAACTCAGTTATATGTAAGAAACCCAATTCCCCTTGAGAAAGAGAAAGAGCTGGAGTCCTTTAAAAATTAACTGCCTGAACTGAAGGAAACAGAGACACAAAAAAACCCTTCAAAAAATCAATGAATCCAGGAACTGGTTTTTTGAAAAGAACAACAAAATTGATAGACCACTAGCAAGGCTAATAAAGAAGAAAAGAGAGAAGAATCAAATAGACACAATAAAAAATGATAAAGGGGATATCACCACTGATCCCACAGAAATACAAACTACCATCAGAGAATACTATAAACACATCTACGCAAATAAACTAGAAAATCTGGAAGAAATGGATAAATTCCTCGACACATACACTCTCCCAAGACTAAACCAAGAAGAAGTTGAATCTCTGAATAGGCCAATAACAGGCTCTGAAATTGAGGCAATAATAAATAGCTTACCAACCAAAAATAGTCCAGGACCAGACGGATTCACAGCCAGATTCTACCAGAGGTACAAGGAGGAGCTGGTACCATTCCTTCTGAAACTATTCCAATCAATAGAAAAAGAGGGAATCCTCCCTAACTCATTTTATGAGGCCAGCATCATCCTGATACCAAAGCCTGGCAGAGACACAACAAAAAAAGAGAATTTTAGACCAATATCCCTGATGAACATCAATGCAAAAATCCTCAATAAAATACTGGCAAACCGAATCCAGCAGCACATCAAAAAGCTTATCCACCATGATAAGTGGGCTTCATCCCTGGGATGCAAGGCTGGTTCAACATATGCAAATCAATAATTGTAATCCAGCATATAAACAGAATCAATGACAAAAACCACATGATTATCTTAATAGATGCAGAAAAGGCCTTTGACAAAATTCAACAGCCCTTCATGCTAAAAACTCTCAATAAATTAGGTATTGATGGGACATATCTCAAAAATAATAAGAGCTGTTTACGACAAACCCACAGCCAATATCATACTGAATGGGCAAAAACTGGAAGCATTCCCTTTGAAAACTGGCACAAGACAGGATGCCCTCTCTCACCACTCCTATTCAACATAGTGTTGGAAGTTCTGGCCAGGGCAATCAGGCAGGTTAAAGAAATAAAGGGTATTCAATTAGGAAAAGAGGAAATCAAATTGTCCCTGTTTGCAGATGACATGATTGTATATCTAGAAAACCCCATCGTCTCAGCCCAAAATCTCCTTAAGCTGATAAGCAACTTCAGCAAAGTCTCAGGATACAAAATCAATGTACAAAAATCACAAGCATTCTTATACACCAATAACAGACAAACAGAGAGCCAAATCATGAGTGAACTCCCATTCACAATTGCTTCAAAGAGAATAAAATACCTAGGAATCCAACTTACAAGGGATGTGAAGGACCTCTTCAAGGAGAACTACAAACCACTGCTCAATGAAATAAAAGAGGATACAAACAGATGGAAGAACATTCCATGCTCATGGGTGGGAAGAATCAATATCATGAAAATGGCCATACTGCCCAAGGTAATTTATAGATTCAATGCCATCCCCATCAAGCTACCAATGACTTTCTTCACAGAATTGGAAAAAGCTACTTTAAAGTTCATATGGAACCAAAAAAGATCCTGCATTGCCAAGTCAATCCTAAGCCAAAAGAACAAAGCTGAAGGCATCACACTACGTGACTTCAAACTATACTACAAGGCTACAGTAACCAAACCAGCATGGTACTGGTACCAAAACAGAGATATAGACCAATGGAACAGAACAGAGGCCTCAGAAATAATGCCACATATCTACAACTATCTGATCTTTGACAAACCTGAGAAAAACAAGCAATGGGGAAAGGATTCCCTATTTAATAAATGGTGCTGGGAAAACTGGCTAGCCATATGTAGAAAGCTGAAACTGGATCCCTTCCTTACACCTTATACTAAAATTAATTCAAGATGGATTAAAGATTTAAATGTTAGACCTAAAAGCATAAAAACCCTAGAAGAAAACCTAGGCAATACCATTCAGGACATAGGCATGGGCAAGGACTTCATGTCTAAAACACCAAAAGCAATGGCAACAAAAGCCAAAATTGACAAATGTGATCTAATTAAACTAAAGAGCTTCTGCACAGCAAAAGAAACTACCGTCAGAGTGAACAGGCAACCTACAGAATGGGAGAAAATTTTTGCAATCTACTCATCTGACAAAGGGCTAATATCCAGAATCTACAATGAACTCAAACAAATTTACAAGAAAAAAACAATCAACCCCATCAACAAGTGGGCAAAGGATATGAACAGACACTTCCCAAAAGAAGACATTTATACAGCCAAAAGACACGTGAAATAATGCTCATCATCACTGGCCATCAGAGAAATGCAAATCAAAACCACAATGAGATACCATCTCACACCAGTTAGAATGGCGATCATTAAAAAGTCAGGAAACAACAGGTGCTGGAGAGGTTGTGGAGAAATAGGAACACTTTTACACTGTTGGTGGGATGGTAAACTAGTTCAACCATTGTGGAAGTCAGTGTGGCGATTCCTCAGGGATCTAGAACTAGAAATACCATTTGACCCAGCCATCCCATTACTGGGTATATACCCAAAGGATTATAAATCATGCTGCTATAAAGACACATGCACACGTATGTTTATCGCGGCACTATTCACAATAGCAAAGACTTGGAACCAACCCAAATGTCCAACAATGGTAGACTGGATAAAGAAAATGTGGCACATATACACCATGGAATACTATGCAGCCATAAAAAATGATGAGTTCATGTCCTTTGTAGGGACATGGATGAAGCTGGAAACCATCATTTTCAGCAAACTATCGCATGGACAAAAAACCAAACACTGCATGTTCTCACTCATAGGTGGGAATTGAACAATGAGAACACATGGACACAGGAAGGGGAACATCACACACGGAGGCCTGTTGTGGGGTTGGTGGAGAGGGGAGGGATAGCATTAGGAGATATACCTAATGTTAAATGACGAGTTAATGGGTGCAGCATACCAAAATGGCACTTAAAGTATAATTTAAAAAAAAAATTAACTGCCTGTTTTTCTGTGACTAGTGAGCCTTATCTCTCCCTTTCTCAGGCATTGTAAAGACCCTGTTTCTCTAGCTGTGCAGCTGCAAGGTCATTAGACAGATAAACTCAAGCCGTAAAACATGTTTTTCCTTGAAAAGTAAGAAATGATGTAATGCATGTCTCAATTAATTGAATAACTGTCTTTATTTCTTGCTTCTGTTATATGCTTCTCCCTGCACAGATCTCCCCCTACCCCATGAAATGCTAACGTAACTTAACTCTTTGTTCAGGGCTCAGTTCTTTGGATGTTAATCCGACTGAGCCGGTGCACCTAAATAATAAATATCCTCCTCAACCCCTCGGTCTCTCTGATTCCCTAAAAAATCCCGCTACAACTGCACTCCAGCCTGGCGAAAGAGTGAGACTCCGTCTCAAAAACAACAACAACGAAAACCTGGTATAAACCTTCATGTGTAGGTTTTTCTGTGGACATAAATCTTCAGCCATGTTAGGTAAATACCAAAGAGTGAAATTGATAGATTGCGTGGTAAGAGAGTGGTTAACCATCAGAAACTGACAACCTGTCTTCCAATGAGGCTGTGCCATTTTGCATTCCCACCAGCAAGAAATGAGAGTGCTGGTTGCTCCACATCCTCCCCAGCATTTGGTGCTATCACTGTTTTGGATTTTAGCCATCTTAATGTGTGTTGTGATATCTTATTATTTTAATTTGCAATTCCCTAATGACATATGATATTAAGTATCCTTTTATGTTTATTTGCCATCTGTGTGTCTTCTTTAGTCAGGTGTCTTTTCAGATCTTTTGCCCATTTTTTAATTGGGTTGTTTTCTTATTGTTGAGTTTTAAGAATTTTTTGTATACTTGGGTAGAATTGTTTTGCAAATATTTTCTTCCAATCTGTGGCTAGTCTTTTTATTTTCTTCAATATCTTTCTAAGAGCAGAAATTTTTAATTTTAATGAAGTCTGATTGATCAATTGTTTTCTTTTATGGATTGTGCATTTGGTATTGTGTCTAGAAATTAATAGCTAAACCCTAAGGTCATCTAGATTTTCTCCTATGTTGTCTTCTAGATGTCTTATATTTCTATGTGTTACATTTAGGTCTATGCTTCATTTGGAGTTAATTTTTGTGAAAGGTCTAAGGTGTGTTTCTAGATTCCATCTCTTGTCCCCCCACTCCCACCACCCACCCTCTCTTTCTCTTCCTCCCCCCTCCTTTGCATGTGGATGTTCCAGTACCATTTCCTGAAAAGACTGTCTTTCATCCTTGTATTGCCTTTACTCATTTGTCAAAAATGAGTTGGTGATGTTTATGTGGATCTATTTCTAGGTCTCTATTCTGTTCTGTTGATCTATTTGTCCATTCTTTCACCAATACCACACTGGCTTGATTGCATACCTTTATAAGTCTTGAAGTTGGTGGTGTGAATTCTCCAACTTTGTTGTACTTCAGTATTGTGTTAGCAAGATTTTTAATACAGATTTATTTATTTTTAATTAAAAAAAATTTTTTTTGAGAGAGAGTGTCACTTTGTCGCCCGGGCTGGAGTGTGGTGGCATGATCTTAGCTCTCTGCAACCTCTCTCTCCTGGATTCAAGCGATTCTCCTGCCTCAGCCTCTAGAGTAGCTGGGATTACAGGTGCGTGCTACCATGCCTGGCTAATTTTTGTATTTTTAGTAGATATGGGGTTTTGCCATGTTGGCCAGGCTGGTCTCAAACTCCTGGCCTCATATGATCCATCTGCCTCGGCCTCCCATAGTGCTGGGAGTACAGGCATGAGCCACCGTGCTCGGCCCATACAGATTGCATTTTGATAGATATAGAAGTATTTGGATTTTCTATGCTTCTGTTGTCTGTTCTGATAGGTTGCATTTTTCAAGGAATTTGTTTTTATTTAAATTGTATAAATTATTGGCCTAAAGTTGTTTATAGTAAACCTCTATTTCTTGTTAATGTCTGAAAAAATCTGTTACCATTTCTGATAATGGTAACTCGTGTGTGTGTGTGTGTGTGTGTGTGTGTGTGTGAGAGAGAGTGTGTTTGAACAATTTTGCTAGGGGCTTATTAATTTTATTAGTCTCATCAATGAACCAGTTTTGGGGTTTACTAATTTTCTCTTAATTTCAGATCAGTTCTTTATTATTACTTTCCTCCTGTTTTTTTTTTTTTTGAGATTGATTTGCTGTTCTTTTTCTAGTTTCTTAAAATGGAAGCTTGTGCCATACACTTGAAGTCTTTCCTCTTTTATAAAACATGCATGCAAGGTTATAATTTTTCTTCTGAGCACTGCTTTGACTGCATTCCACAGTCCTAATGAGACATATTTTTATTATCCTTTTGTTTAAAATGTTTTCTAATATCTTCTACAATTTTTCTAATATTTAACTCAAGGGCTATTTTGAAGTATATTGCTTAATTTCCAAGCAATTGAGATACTTTAAAAGATATTTTTGTTATTGATTTCTAGGCTGAAGCTTGCTTTGCTGATTTGCTTGATTTGCTAAGGCTTGCTTTATAGCCCAGAATATACTCAGTTTTGCTGAATGTTCCGTGTGACCTCATAAAGAATGTTTATATTGCCATTGTTGGATTAGATTACCTATATGTGTCACTGAGGCCAAGTTGGAAATTATGCTGTTCAGCTCTTCTATAATCTTATTGGATTTTTTTGTTTGTTCCATCAGCTATTAAAATAAATATGTTAAAATCTCCCACCATGATTATGTATTAGTCTATTTCTCTTTTTAATTCTTTCAGATTTTTGCTTATGTATTTAAAGGCTATTTTTAGTGGTTATATACAGATTGATCTTATGATATTTTCCTGTTGGTTTAACCTCTTAATCGTTCTGAAGTATCTCTCTTTATCTCTAGTGAGGCTCTTGCCTTAAAGTCCATTTTGTATGGTGTTATTATAGCTGCATTAGGTTTCTTTTGGTTAGCAGTTGCATGGTATGGCTTTTTCTATCCTTTTATTTTCACCTTCTTTGTGACTGTATTTAATGTATATCTTGTAAAGACGTCATATAGTTTTCTTAAAAATCCAGACTGACAGCTAGAGTCTTTTTTTTTTTTTTTTTTTTAAGTAGAGACGGGGTTTCACCATGTTGGCCAGGCAGTCTGGAACTCCTGATCTCAGGTGATCCTCCCGCCTCAGCCTCCCAAAGTGCTGGGATTGCAGGCGTGAGCCACTGCGCCTGGCCTTTGTATTTTTTTAAATAGTCTTTTAATTGTATAGTCTATTTACATTTAATGAATGTACTGATCTATATGGTTTTATAACTCACATCTATATGGTTTTATAACTCACATTAATGTTTGTTTCTTATTTGATATACTTCATATTCTGTTTTCTCTCATTTTTGCATTCTTTTGGGTTATTCAAATTCTTTATTATGTTTTCCTCTTCATTAGCTTGTTGTACTGTTCTTTAGGTAGCTACACTAGAGTTACAGCACTTATTCTTGATTAATTATAGTTTTATATAAATTATTACTTTCACTATTTTCCTGTAATATAATGCTAGAACTTAGAACAATGTACTCACCCCTTTCTTTGTGTGTTATTTTGCCATGCATTTTAAATCTGTATATATTTTACATTTCATAAGACATTGCTATTTATCATATTGCAGCATTAATATTTAGTCAATATTATTCATTCTTAACCATATTTTAATCGTTTTTGCTCTCATGAAGAGATGATAGTATTACAAATAAGTATATACAGTCCATACATTCCCTTGTGCAAAATCTAAGGACCAGATATTAAGGAATTCATATTATTTTTTAAATTATAGAAAGGTAATTCATGCATATTTTATGTTATTTAATATCCCTATCAGGATCCGGCAGTACCTTGTAATTGTATACATTAATATTTCTGCAGCAAAATGCATGAATTTTTACACTATGTATGATAAATGACTAAATATTCTTCTTTTTTTTTTCTTGAGACGGAGTCTTGCTCTGTCGCCCAGACTGGAGTGCAGAGGCACGACCTTGGCTCACTGCAAGCTCCGCCTCCCGGTTTCACGCCATTCTCCTGTCTCAGCCTCCTGAGCAGCTGGGACTACAGGCGCCCGCCACCACGCCCAGCTAATTTTTTGTATTTTTAGTAGAGACGGGGTTTCACCATGTTAGCCAGGATGGTCTCTACCTCCTTACCTCGTGATCCGCCCGCCTCGGCCGCCCAAAGTGCTGGGATTACAGGCGTGAGCCACCGCGCCCGGCCCTAAATATACTTCTGTCAATTTAGTATCACATGAGTTCAAGTCAGGAAAGATTTTGCCACTAATTCAGTTTTGAAAAAACTTGGTTTGCAAAGCTTTTCAGGTTTCAGGATTTCAAAAAAGGATTATGAATCTGTACATATAACATCAGGAGGTGAATCCTTGAAGTAATAGAAAGTTGGGCAAGGATAGAAAGAAATAGAATAGAAAGAAAAAATAGAAAAAATAGAAAATTAGAAAGTTAGAAAATAGACAAAATAGAAAGTTGGGCAAGAATAGAAAGAAGGATAAAGCAGGAGTCTGGCGATGATTACACAAGAAACTCAAAAAAGTATTTGGCTGGTTCTTAAGATAAAATAACATCTATATTATATATATGTATATTTGTAAAATCAATGTAGATTTATTAGACAGATCTATAATATTATAGATTCATACTTTAAAAGAATATGATTATGTATCTTTAAAAATAATCTTGGACTTGTAAGAGAATCTGTGATACCAACTTTGCCTTAGTTTATATCCATTAGCACTGACATTTAATAGAAATAACTCTTTAAAGGCAACTTTACAATCTGCTTTAATAATATACTTTTAAACAACTGGTGGTTTGTTACAAGCCTTTTAAAATTTAATCAAGAGGGCATTTTCCTGCCACCAGCATCTTCTGTACTGCCTTCGTTTTATCTGTTTGGGTATATCCAGAAAGTGCTAGAGCAGTGTTGGCCCAACTTAGTTGGAAATATAAAATCACACAGAATATTTCACAGCCAAATATAAGTGATTTTTAGATTTCCCCACCCCCCACCATTAGCTCTTCTCTTAAACGTTGACTGTATTTTAATATATCCCTTTATGTGTTGAAGTTTGTTAAAGAGAGTGTGGAATTTTGTGTTCTCTAGAAAAGGGCTATGTTTTTCGTTTTCTGAGTTACTTTATGAAGTCAACCTGCATCTTAAAATTGAATTTGCTGGCCAAGTGCAGTGGCTCACGCCTGTAATCCTAGCACTTTGGGAGGCCAAGGCGGGCGGGTTGCCTGAGCTCAGGAGTTTGAGACCAGCCTGGGCAACACAGTGAAGCCATGTCTCTACTAGAGTACAAAAGAAATTAGCTGGGTATGGTGGCGTGCATCTGTAGTCCCAGCTACTGAGGAGGCTGAGGCAGGAGAATTGCTTGAACCCAGGAGGCAGAGGTTGCAGTGAGCTGAGATCGCGCCACTGCACTCCATCCTGGGCGACAAAGCAATACTCTGTCTCTCCAAAAAAAAAAAAAAAAAAAAAAAAAGAATTTGCTCACTCATCTTCTAGATGATGGGGTGATTAGCATCAGATCAGCAATGTTATTTTATGTTATCATGCATTATTTGTATTTCAAATGGATGTTGTGTAATACCCCAAATGTTATTTTCATTCCATTAAGTGTTTAATATGTTTTGTTGCTCAGATTGTCATTATAAATAATAGAATTGCAAAAGGAAGGAAGCTGAAAGAAGATAGGCTTTGAAGAGAGAAGGAATAATGCAACTAATAGGTTGTTGTCCTAAGTCAAGAACCCTGATTACATTTGGTGTGAACCATGGAGTGCTGTGATACTTACCCATATTTATTTTGGCTGCTGTTTGTCCTTTAATCCTGAAAAGTTAAACACAGTAAAGAAATGAATAATGGTGTACAGGATTATAAAATAAGAAAGTTCCTGTCTCCATAGAAAATACATATGTAAGGGATAAGAGAAGTACTAAAATGTGGGTTTGCTTGGTTTAAGTACATCTCTTCATGTTTTATTTCAGCTTTTAGAGAAAACTGCATTGTTTATAGAAGGTCATGTAGGGTTGAATTAGGTAAGACCAAGTTGAAATAAAAGGTGGAAAATTGGTTACTAAATGTGAAGTGAATACTTTCAGGCATAGAGTATACCACGAAAGGAGGCTAAGAATAGAGATGCGGATGAATAGGGGACAAGACAGCCAGTGCTGGAAGAGAAGGGGGTCAGCTTGGGGATGTCAGCAAAAGAAAACCAGTGAGGGATCCATCCTCAGGTGAGAGAAACCAGAGCAGGGCTGAAATTATACAGTGCAGATTGAGTATAAGGCATGGTCAGCTTTTGCAGAGCCAGAACTTTCCATCTGAAACTAGAGCTTATTCCTGGCTACAATGTGTGTCCACTGGGATGACTAGGATTACAGAAACAAGTCCAGTCTACAGTTTTAGAAAGAACCATAAGTATTAGGAAGAAATAAAGATAGTAGTAATTCAACATATTTTAATTGAGCCTCTCATCTGTGGTAGGTTGGGCTCTTGAGAGAAATTAGAAAAGTACAAAACAATTAAGCTCATGATAAGGATATTTCGGGGATTGATGTGAGAAAGGACATATCCTTTTAAAATATCACTTCTGTTTTAGCTTTTTGTTTATATATTTTATATATATTGTGTATGTCTATATATATATATACATATATACATAGAGAGAGACATATATAAGCAATAACTCTCCTTCTCCCCCACTCCCACCAACCTGTAGTAACCACTGTTCTACGGTCTGTCTCTATGAATTTAACTACTTTAGGTACCTCATACAAATGGAAACATACAGTATCTGTCTTTTTAAAGATTTATTTCACTTAGCTTGATGGCTTCAAAGTTCATTCATGTTGTAGTGTGTGTTGGAATTTTCTTCCTTTTTAAGGGCTGAATAGTATTCCATTGTATTTATTGAACACTTCCTATGTGCCAGTTACTGAGTATATTGAAAGAAGAATGCAAATGAATAAGGTATAAATATACTGAGAGGAAATGGCTAGAGATTGGGGAAGTCTTGGATAGCACTCAAGGTGACAAGATGGGAGTGAGTTCCCAATGTAGGAACAGTAAGAAGGCTAAGCAGAGGGTCTCTCTTATAGGGTATTTCTAGAGAAATAAGCTTATCTAGGTTGAGTAGAACTAGAGTTTTAGAGGGATGTAAATACTTGAATGAAATATTCTGAGGAGGGTGAAGGCATGGAGTTGGTTTTTAGGAACATTAATCTGACACAGATGAGCAGGTTAGATAGGAATTGGAGTGAGTGCTTTAGCTTCACCTTCTACTCTTTTTGATTCTTACATTCTATTGGATCTTTTGCTGTTCCATAAACTAACATTGTACAAAACCATTTTCATGCCTTTGCTCAGTCTGTTCACTCAGCCTCTATTGCTTTGCTCCCGTTTTCCAGTTTCTTTAATTAGAATTGTTTCTTTTTCTATAGGAGGTACCTCTGTTGTGACATCTTTTCTTTCTTATAATGGCTTTTTGGTGTGTTTTAAAATTGGCTATCTTGCTTACTGGACAATAAAAACAAGTCCCAGAGAACAAGGACAATGTCTTATTCTTCGTGTGTTTCTCATGGGGTTTTGTAGTTTGTAGGTTGAAATCTTTCATGCATAAAAGAAGGGACAAATACATTAATTAGAAGTACTTACCATGTGATAGCTCTTGTGCTAGATCTTGGGATACAGAGATGAAAGAACATTTTTCTCAAGAAGCTTATAGTCTAATGCAGTGGTTCTCAAAGTATGGTTTGTAGGCCTCTGGTGGTCTCTAAGATCCTTTCAGGTCAAAGCTTTTATAATAATACTAAGACTTCTTTGGGGGGCTTTATTTATTGTGCAGACATTTATACTAATGGCACAAAAGCAATGGTGATGTGTTAGAACTGCTGGTGACTTAAACCATATCAAGAAACTGATACCAAACCCTATTGTATTCTTTTTTTTTTTTTTTTTTTTTTTTGAGACGGAGACTTGCTCTGTCACCCAGGCTGGAGTGCAGTGGCACGATCTCAGCTCACTGCAAGCGCCGCCTCCGGGTTCATGCCAGTCTCCTGCCTTAGCCTCCTGAGTAGCTGGGACTACAAGCGCCCGCCACCATGCCCAACTAATTTTTTGTATATTTAGTAGAGACGGGGTTTCACCGTGTTAGCCAGGATGGTCTCAATCTCCTGACATTGTGATCCACCCTCCTTGGCCTCCCAAAGTGCTGGGATTACAGGCGTGAGCCACCACGCCCAGCCAGCTCTATTGTATTATTTTCCACCACACACTGACAGTGAAAAAAAAAAAAGAACCAGTTTTACTTGAGTGTCTTTGAAGAAACAGTAAATAATTATTAATTGTATTACATCTCATCCCTTGAATACACATCTTTTTAATATTCTGTTGGATGAATGGAAAGTGCACATAAGGCACTTCTGCATACAGAAATAAGATGGTTATCTAGAAGAAAAGCAGGTATGTGATTATTGGAGGTATGAGCTCAAATGCTTTTTTCTTTTTTTAAATCAAACATTTGGAAGAGTGACTGACAAAAAATTATTGTTATTTATACTTGGGTCATTGGGATGTATTTTCTCAAAAATGGCAAAGTGAGCCTCTCATTTCAAAGAAAGCCATTTTATGTTGCCAACGATAAAATTTAAGCTTTAAATAAAAATTAGTTTTGCAAAACTTGTCTCTGCCACTGTGAACTTGATGGAATCGCAATACTTACAGACTTCTCTGATGATATTGGTGGTGATATTAATGAACATTACTTTTATTTAATGATATGTTTTCACTTTATAACTTAGTTAACCAATATATTTGAAAAGATCAGTGTATAATGTTACAAAATTATGTATGATACGTAAAAAATTAAGTCACAGTGCAAGGCTGATCAATGCATTTTTATGTTATAAAGTATGGAAAGTTTATTGATGGTCAGATTCTACATCAAAACTAATCTTTAGGAAACTACTGCTTAAAAATTTTGGTATACTATCAAAGGAGAATATCCCCATTTATCTGAAAAAGAATATTAAAATACTCTTCCTTTTTCCAGTTACATATATGTATGAGGGTGGATTTTTTTCATGGACAACAACCAAAACAACACAGTACCACAGACTTAAAACTATGGCAGGTGAAAAAATCTAGCTGTCTTCTTTTAAGGCAGACATCAAAAGAGATTTGCAAAAATGTAAAACAGTGCCTCTTTTCTCTTTATTTTTGAAAATACAATTACTTTAAACAAAAATAAGTTACTATACAATGAGTTTTTTACTGTTATATTAAAATAAAGTGAACAAATTTTTGTGGTAAAATATACATAACATAAAAATGACCATTTTAATCAGTAAGTATACAGTTCATTGTCATTAAGTACATACACATTGTTGTGCAGCCATCCTCACCATCCATCTTCAAAACTTTTTCATGATTCCAAGCTGAAACTCTGTACCCATAAATAATAACTCTGCATTCTCCCCCTCTTCAACCTGTAGTAACCACCATTCTATGGTCTGTCTCTATGAATTTAACCACTTTAGGCACCTCACATAAGTGGAATCATATGGTATCTGTTTTTTTGGACAGATTTATTTTACTTAGCCTGATATCATGAACGTTCATCCATGTTGTAACATGTGTCAGAATTTTCTTTTTCTTTTTTTTTTTTTTTTTTTTTTTGAGACGGAGTGTCGCTCTGTTACCCAGGCTGGAGTGCAGTGGCGCGGTCTCGGCTCACTGCCAGCTCTGCCTGTCGGGTTCACGCCATTCTCCTGCCTCAGCCTCCCGAGTACTGGGACTACAGGCACTTGCCACCACGCCCGGCTAATTTTTTGAATTTTTAGTAGAGATGGGGTTTCGCTGTGTTAGCCAGGATGGTCTCCATCTCTTGACCTTGTGATCCGCCCGCCTCGGCCTCCCGAAGTGCTGGGATTACAGGCGTGAGCCATCGCGCCCGGCCAGAATTTTCTTTTTAAGAGCTGAATAATATTCCATTGTACTAACATATATGTACATATGATTTTTGTTTATCCATTTATCCATCTATAGACATTTGGATTATTTCCACCTTTGGCTATTGTTAATAATGCTACTATGGGCCGGGCATGGTGGCTCACGCCTGTAATCCCAGCACTTTACTTTGGGAGGCCAAGGTGGGCGGATCACGAGGTTGGGAGATCGAGACCATCCTGGCTAACACAGTGAAACCCTGTGTCTACTAAAAATACATTAAAAAAAAATTAGCCGGGCATGGTGGCGGGTGCCTGTAGTCCTAGCTACTCGGGAGGCTGAGGCAGGAGAATGGCGTGAACCCGGGAGGCGGAGCTTGCAGTGAGCAGAGATCATCGCGCCACTGCACTTCAGCCTGGGCGACAGAGCGAGAATCCATCTCAAATAATAATAATAATAATAATAAAAATGCTACTATGAACATTAGTGTGCAAATATCTGAGTGTCTGTTTTCATTTCTTTGGCTATGTACTCAAAAGTGGAATAATTACTGAATCATATGAACTCTATGTTTAATATTTTGAAGAACTACCATTCTTTTTTTATTTTTATTTTTTTATTATTATTATACTTTAAGTTTTAGGGTACACGTGCACAATGTGCAGGTTAGTTACATATGTAGATATGTGCCATGCTGGTGTGCTGCACCCATTAACTCGTCATTTAGCATTAGGTATATCTCCTAATGCTATCCCTCCCCCCTCCCCCCACCCCACAACAGTCCCCGGAGTGTGATGTTCCCCTTCCTGTGTCCATGTGTTCTCATTGTTCAATTCCCATCTATGAGTGAGAACATGCGGTGTTTGGTTTTTTGTCCTTGTGATAGTTTACTGAGAATGATGATTTCCAATTTCATCCATGTCCCTACAAAGGACATGGACTCATCATTTTTTATGGCTGCATAGTATTCCATGGTGTATATGTGCCACATTTTCTTTATCCAGTCTACCATTGTTGGACATTTGGGTTGGTTCCAAGTCTTTGCTATTGTGAATAGTGCCGCAGAAAACATACGTGTGCATGTGTCTTTATAGCAGCATGATTTATAATCCTTTGAGTATATACCCCGTAATGGAATGGCTGGGTCAAATGGTATTTCTAGTTCTAGATCCCTGAGGAATCGCCACACTGACTTCCACAATGGTTGAACTAGTTTACAGTCCCACCAACAGTGTAAAAGTGTTCCTATTTCTCCACAAACTCTCCAGCACCTGTTGTTTCCTGACTTTTTAATGATCGCCATTCTAACTGGTGTGAGATGGTATCTCATTGTGGTTTTGATTTGCATTTCTCTGATGGCCAGTGATGATGAGCATTTTTTTCATGTGTTTTTTGGCTGCATAAATGTCTTCTTTTGAGAAGTATCTGTTCATATCCTTTGCACACTTTTTGATGGGGTTATTTGTTTTTTGAAGAACTACCATTCTAATAAACAAATATTTTAATTGTTTTTGTTTTAATTTCCAATGCAAGTATCAATAGATGTCATCCACATAAACAAAAGCATTCTTGGGTTCTCAATAATTTTTTTGAGATGTAGTCTCACTGTGTTGCCCAGGTTGGTCTCAAAGTCCTGGATTCCAGTGACCCTCTGGCTTCAGCCTCCCCAGTAGCTGGGATCACAGGTATGGTATATGCCACTATACCTGTCTCCTCATCAGTAATTTTTAAGAGTGAGGGTCCTGCGACTGAAAAGTTTGAATATCAGTGGTCTAGTGGAATGAGTGAAATAGAGAGGCCAGTTAAGAAACTACAACAGTGGAGAACAAGTTGGACTGGACCTTGCTCAGAGAGGAATGGCCAGGGTGGTAAGAAGGCTCTGTTATATGAAGAGAACTTGAAGAACCCAGGAATATATTGTGGACTTTAAAGGAGAAGCCTTCAGAGAAGACCCAATAGCTATCTTCAAATAGGAAGCTATCTTCACATAGGAAGCTCTCTCACAGAAGAGACATTAAGCTTATTTCTGTGACCCCAGGATGGAGTGGTGGAGGGGAGGGGAGTAGTGATGGTGAATCTTAAGGAGAATTAATCTCATAGTAAGAATTTTCCAGTAGAATAGTTCAGAGATGGAATTGAGTAAGGTAGGGATGTAGACAGTTTCTAAGTTAGAAAGGTAGAGTTTTAAATTTAGAGTTTCGAAGCCAGAAAATCATTTGGAGAGGATAATCAAGCATTAAATGGTTAGTCAACATAGAAGAATTCTGTAATCACTTCTAACCCTACAGTTCCATGGGGCATAGAATGATGAAGTTCAGGATTAGCATGATAGCATAGTGAAAAGCAGGAAAGATGAGGTCTCTTTAGAGGGAATTAAAGGATCCTTGGATCCCTTTCTGTAGAACTTCCTATGCCCTCATTTGTACTTAATGGAGATTTAGCCTCAGCTTACTTCGCAGCTTCTTTGGCCCAGCTACTATTTTAGCTGCTTTGCTTCTCCAGTTCCCTTTGTTCATCAAGATTAGAAATTTAAGATTGCTAGTGGCCAGTACTTTGGACTAAGACTATTCTGGTAGGAATTGAAAGAAACTGGATTTGTGTATGTGTGGGAAGGGGAGAGGTTTGGTCATGTGTTTCTAGGAGTGCAGAAGGGTGGAGGATGTCAGAATCAGCATAACTAAATGGATGAAGGATGTATGCAGGACCATACCACAAATGTACTGTACCCTCTCTCACTAGATTATATTTTTGAGCATAGTCTTCACTAGCTCTTAAAGTGAGTGAGAGGCATTTTGTTTAAAGAAGACTTAACTTTTGTCATAGATATTTGAAAAGCCGCTACTTCTAGCCCCCCTCACCCACCTCCCTGACAGTCTTTTACAAATATTTAGTCCATTGCCATCTGGGACATATTATATTTTATTGCACAGCAACTTTAATTTATATTGGACTTCACAGCCTAAAAATAACTGAAAAATTTTCTATTTGAGACTCATAATAACTCAGTTAAGGTATTATTTTTCCTACTAAATAAAGAAGAAAACTGCCATACAGAGAGGTTAAGTGACTTGAACAAGCTAGTAAATTAGGCTGAGAGGTGATTCCAGATCTTTTGATGCCAAATCCCACTCTCATTTAGTCCCAAGTGGTTTTCAAACTGTGTTCTATTATACCTAAGGATTCTGATAAGCCATATTCACTTAAAAATATTTAATTAAAAAATTACACTAAGAAACAACACTCTTTCAGATGCACTAAATATCAAGTGTTTAGCACATAATCCACTACTGTGCTTCCAGATTAACTTGTTTCTGGGTGATCCCAGAATAGAACCTGTTTCTCTTATCTTTTGTCGTGTGTTTGGGACACTTCTTACAAATGCATGCTTGATGATAAAGATATAATTCTACACCGGTCCTTTAAAATATCTGGGCTTGCACATGTGTGCTTGTGGAATGTTGTTCAAGTGATGAACCTTAATGCAGTGGGTATGCTGTGTTTGGGGTTGATTGGGCAGGCAAAGCACAAGTGCTTCTGTTCAACACAGGCCCCTAGTGATGGTATACTGCTGAGATGTAAGGCAAGTGAACTTGTCATACCACATCATGTAGTAGTAAAACCATGTTATGCAGAATTTTAGCAGTATTGGAAGCTCTTTGTCTGGTTTTTGCATTTGTGATAAATTTTAGGATTTATCTCAAAATAAAAATTTCCAAGTCTGCTTCTTTCAATTTCCTACATCATTTTAATTTGGGAGTGTGCTGAGATGACCAGGAAATCTATTAAAAATGCAAACATGTCTTTGATTGGGATTTTTCTCTATGCTAAGCCACTAAAACAAAATACAGAAATTGGATATTGAGGCTATATCAGAATAAAGCTGTACCTTTTTAATGTTAATCACAACATTAGCAAACAAGAAAAGGCTCATTGTTCTTATTGTTTGGTAATATCATTTTCAATGTGTTTTATATAGGATTCCTAATAGGGTTTCGATTTCATTTGCAAAATAGGTTCTGTTGCTAAATCATGTTTGGGAACCACTGTGCCTTACCATGTTGTCACTGTCCTGCTTTTGATCCTCAAAAACTTGAAGATTTTTATAATTAGTTTGGGTGCAAAGTATATCTAGGAGGTATAGCAACCTTAAAGTACTGAAAGTGTTTAGAAAAAATAACCAGTTTTTAAAAAATTCTTTAAATTGTCTTCTCTCCGAATCATTTTCAAATGCAGGCTAGTATAAGACAGCTTATTTACTTTTGATTTAGTACATTTGAATAATTAGCAGGGTTTTTGCAGCTTTTAAAAATCTTTTCTAGGAGTAACAGATTGGAAAACAGTCTCTTCACTTAAATATATTTTTTATCAAGTTCCTTGTTTTGGGGGGGAGGAAATTGGGTAAAAATAGAATCATGCTGCTATAAAGACACATGCACACGTATGTTTATTGTGGCACTATTCACAATAGCAAAGACTTGTGGAAACCATTCTCAGCAAACTATCGCAAGGACAAAAAACCAAACACCGCATGTTCTCACTCATAGGTGGGAATTGAACAATGAGAACACATGGACACAGGAAGGGAAACATCACACTCTGGAGACTGTTGTGGGGTGGGGGGAGGGGGGAGGGGGGAGGGGTAGCATTAGGAGATATACCTAATGCTAAATGATGAGTTAATGGGTGCAGCACACCAACATGGCACATGTATACATATGTAACAAACCTGCACATTGTGCACATGTACCCTAAAACTTAAAGTATAATAATAATAAAATTTAAAAAAATAGAATGTGGTTTGGGCAATATAATTTTGTCAAGCAATAATTAATGCCAGGGTGATACTTGGGATGCAAAAATAAAGACCCATTCCTTGCCTTTGAATTTATAGTCTAGTCAGAAAGATAAATAGGTGAGCTGAAAATTACATTGTAATCTGATAATTGCTGAAACAGAGGAACATAATGTTCTATCCTTGCTGCCTGGCCTAGGGAAAGGAGGTGATATTTGAAGGATGTCTTGGAAGCTAGCAGGTGTTTGCTAAGGTAGTGAGAGAGCACTTCCATCTGAGGAAATATGAACAGCCCTTAAAGGACTGACAGTTGGGAAATCAGTGAATATAGTTCACTGTGGCTAGGGTGTGTGGGGAGGAGGTGTGAGAAGAGGATGTTGTTAACTTGGTGGAGCAACAGCAGGAGATGAATTTGTAGAGATAAGTTGGGTCTACATTGTGAAGGACCAAGTATGCCCTGTTAAAAAATGTAGACTTCTTGTGTAAGCTGTGAAGTGCCACAGCTGGGAAAGACTTATGTTTTAGGAAGAAATGCTGGAAGATAGATTGGAAAAGGGAAAAATTGGTTCATTCATTCGATAATCATTTATTGAGCACCTACTGTGTGAAAACAACTTAGGTTCTAGGCACTTGGGATACGGATAGTAAAAAAAAGGCAGAAATGTCTGCTCTAATGGAGCTTACCGCTTGCAATGTAATGAGATAGATGATATACCAATAAACATAGTAAATAAATTAATCATATAGTATAATAGAAGGTGAGAAATGCTAAGTAAGAAGAAAAAATAGAGTAAGGGAGTTTTGAGAGTGCCAGGTGGAAGTGGTCACAATTTAAGTAAGGTGGCAAGAAGCCCAATTTAGAGGTGGTTGCAGTAATTCAAATGAGAAAGACTTGTCTTAGACTAAATGTGGGACTTTAAAATGGAGAGAAAGTATAGATTGGGAGGACATTTTTTCCTGTCTTTTTTGAAACTTTTTAACCCATAAGTATATAAATTTATATTTATGTTATAGATACAAATCTATAATGTATTGTTATGGGGTGAAGGACTTTGTAATGACCACCCTATAAGTGAAACTTTGCCAGCCACACTGGAAACCTCTCCATTTGCCCCATCCCAATCACAAACCCCTCCGTTTCTGATAACATGATATTTATGGTAATCACTTTTCTGCATTTCTTTTTTTTTTTTTTTTTAGCTGTTCTGTTAGATATTTTATTATTCTTAACTTTTAGTTTCAGGGGCATATGTGCAGGTTTGTTATATAGGTAAATTGTTTGTCACGGGGGTTTGGTGTACAGATTATTTCGTCACCCAGATAGTGTGCATAATACCCAATAGGTAGTTCCATTCCTCATCCTCCTCCCACCCTCTACCATCAAGTAGGCCCTGGTGTCTATTGTTCCCTTCTTTGTGTCCATGTGTACTCAATGTTCAGTTTCCACTTATAAGTGGGAACATGTGGGTTTCGTTTTTCTGTCCCTGCTGTTAGTTCACTTAGGATAATGGTCTCCAGCTTAATCCATGTTGCTAGACGTGATCTCGTTGTTTTTTATGGCTGTGTAGTATTCCATGGTGTATATGTACCACATTTTCTTTATCCAGTCTACTGTTGATGGGCATTTAGGTTGATTCCATTTCTTTGCTATTGTGAATAGTGCTGCAATGAACATAGGCATGCGTATGTCTTTACGGTAGAATGATTTATATTCCTTTGGATATATACCAGTAATTGGGATTGCTGGGTCAAATGGTAGTTCTGTTTTAAGTTCTTTGAGAAATCTTCAAACTGCTTTCCCCAATGGCTGAACTAATTTACATTCCCACCAGCAGTGTATAAACGTTCCCTTTTCTCTACAGCCTCCCTGGCATGTTATTTTTTGACTTTTTAATTGAAGCCATTCTGACTGGTGTGAAATGGTATCTCATTGCAGTTTTGATTTGCATTTCTTTAGTGATTAGTGACATTGAGTATTTTTATATTTTCTGCATTCCTTGATAATTTTATTAATCAAATATATGTCTCTAGATACTATAACTTAGTCCTGCCTATTTTTAAAATGTCTTTGTCTTTTTTTTAAGCTATAGGTTTTCTCTCCTTCCTTTCTTTTTCCTTACAGTTTATCAGCTGAAGAACTAGGCTATTTGACTTTAGAATTTCCCATAGCCTGGAGACCTTTCTTGTTGTAAACTCATGGTATAGCTCAACATGTTCCTCTGCCCTTTGTATGTCTTATAAGTTGACAGGTGGACCCAGAAGCTTCATCAGACTCAGGTATTATCCCTTTGGCCTGACAATAGCAGTAGAGTGTTCTTTCATTGAAAACCACATAATGTCTGATTATCTCTTTTGCAATGTGAGCAGCTGTTTTTGCTCAATGCCTAGAATTAGTAATTCATTGGGGATTGCAAAGTTGTGATATTCTAATTGTATCATATCTGTTTTAGTTATTAGCTAGAATTATTTTGCAAAGAATCATTTCCCCTCATTTACTGTGTGGATATCCAGTGGTATAGTGCCAATAGGAAAGGCAGCATAAATGCCTTTTTCATTATTTACCAGTGTTTAAGGTAATGAGTTAGTTCCCTATCATTCTTCTTTTTTATTACTCTATCAACATTTCCAGACTTTGGAAAGGGAGCGTTGATTTGTCAGTTTTAAGAATTTATAGGTACTAGATTGCTCCAGTCTCTTCAGATATCACCTGGCTATATTTGAATTAGGCAAAACCGTTCCCTGTTTTAACTTCTGCTCTAAAGTTGGCTCATCATGTGTTCAAATGTATGTTTGTTGACTACTTTGGGTTCTTTTGTTTTCACTACATCAGATAGTCAGTTGCTTTCTTCTGCTTCTTCCTGTACAGATGTTGATGTCTTAGAGGTCTTGTGGCAGTTGGTTTATCCTCAGCTGCTTGTATTTCTGGGGGACAGCTTATCATCTAGTTTTGTTGTGAATATTTTCCAAAGGATTTGGCTTTGCTATCTAGTTGCTTGGTCTGTTTTTATGTGGAAATCAAGGAGGTTTTTTAAAAAATCTCACTGCCACCAGTGCCATCTCCCAGAAAGGGATTGAATCACGGAAGAGTTAGTGTGGAATTGAGAATAAATTTGAAGTTTCTAACTTGGAAGATCTGGTAAATGGTAATTTTATTGATGAAGATTTAAAAAATGTAAGAGAAGGAACAAGACAGTAAGTGGAGGATAAGACCAGTTTTTGATTTCTTAGGTTTGAAATACTCTATTTGAGATCCTCTAATAGAAATTCCTTCTGAAGAGGTATGCTGCTAGAATTTGACAGAGCTAGGTGATGGAACATCAACACTTTGAGAGTAATCAAAGCCATTACAAGTAGGAAAAATTATATTTTTGGTAAAAATTACAGTGTGAAAAACCAGTAGAATAGGAAACATGCACTTGAAGATAAAACACTAATAACACACATTTATGAACTAGTAGTTTTATGTATTTTCTACAAATATACACAATGCATTTACATTGAGAAGCAATCCAAAGAGGAAGACACTGTGCAAAGATCCATTTGCATGGATGCAACTGGTTTTTTAGTCATTAGATACAGGTGCCATATATATTTAATATAATATCAAGGCAATGAATTTATAAAATCTGAGTATTTTTCCAACTTGAGACCCTAGATAAAGATGATAAGGACTCATAATCTCCAAGTTTGTATAGTTTTAGTAGACTTTAGTATACTATCACAGATCCTTTAAGAGTTAGTGAGAAAGTCTTCTTTCTTATAAGCTATTCTAGATAGTTCTAAGCTCTATCTTCAAAGAGGATTTTTCAAGTAGTATACATTTTTGAACACTCCTTTTTAAACATTTCCTTTGTTCTAAATATCAACCCAAATGATTTACTTTGGATATCTTTTCCTTCCTTATCTTTCTTTTTTATTATTATTATTATTCTTAGGCCAGTCTTCAGAGACCTGAGATTAAACTTGAATCACTGAAAGAAGATATTAAGGAATTCTTTAAAATATCAGGTTTGTAAGTTTTTCCTAATAACTTAAGGCAAAATAAGAAAATGTTTTATTTATTCCTAATTCTTTAAGCCCTCAAGCTTGTACAACCACCTTACTTTGTTGTCGTTCTGTTTTGTTTTGTTTTAGGCTTTTAGCAGCCTGAAGCCATGGTTTTTGGTTTCTGTCTCTAGTGATAAGCAGAAAAGAGAGATGAGGAAAGGGCTTTACTGGCCCAGTCAGAAACAGAAACTAAGAACCCATGACTGTATTCTCTCTCTTGGATACTCTTGTAAGGCAAAATAAATAATATTTTATCCCCAGCCTTCCAATTACTCATTCAAAATTGTGAAAACTATGGCCAAATAGGTTTCTATTTAGGGAGAATTAGAACTATTAGACATTTTAACAAAATGGTGCAAAAATTCAAGAACTCTGTGAGAAAGACTCCTTTGCATTAGTTGGTTTTAAATACTGTTTACCTTACTGGTAATATTCTGATGGATAAATACATCCATAAGGTGTTAAGTATCTCCTTAGTTAAGTAATTTTTCATTTTACTTTTCAGTTGTGACTTTTTTCCTTGTATGCTTTCACAGAAAATAAAAAGAAAATTCTAACTTTTCATAGAGCAAGAGGAGAGAGAGGTTCCCTAGTCCAACATCTGTATATGGGAACTGAGATGTTAAATGGTTGACCCAGATAGTTAGCAGCTGAGCTAACTTGTCTGACTATTGGTAACTCACAATAATCTGCCTCTGTCGTCCAGGACTTTGCTGACGTGTGAATTATAACTAGATACTTGTCATCTATCTTCAGGTGGCTGTTTTTTGCCGTTCCCTTGGCACATTCCTTATAGCTTTAGTAGTACAACATCTGAAGATTTTGACATTCATTGAGCACTTTGATAGTGAAAAAGGAAATGTTCCTCCCAACTTGGTAAAATGGTGCAATAATGATATTATTTTAAAATATCATGTTGATGACTTTGCTACTCAGTGTTAGACAAGGGATATGGTAAGTGTATAGGAAATAATCTTTAATAACGCTTTACATAGGGATTGGCAGTTGACAAAATTCTTTCACAAATTAATATGATGCCAAAGTTTTATTGAGATAAATTTAATTGTAATGTATGTTTACTTAAAAACTAGTATGTTCATATATTTTATTCTTTTTTTAAAAAACAGGTTGGGAGAAGAAACTTCAGAATGCTGTTTATAGTGAACTGAGTGTGTGAGTTTTCCCACCTATTTTACAATAGTATTTTGTTTAGCTATATTTACTTTGTGAGTAATAAAACCAGTATTGTTATATATACTTGTTGTATTATTATTTATCATTAATATTTATACAGCATTTCAAGTAAGTTGATACAATTAAAAATTACTACCGTCTTGCCTGACAAATAATAAGAAATAGGTGTTTTTGTTTTTGTTTTTTACCACCCACTATTGAATTTTTTTATTTTCTTTTTGAGATGGAGTCTCACTCTGTTGCCCAGGCTGGAGTGCAGTGCAATGATCTTGGCTTAACTGAAACCTCCGCCTCCCAGGTTCAAGTGATTCTTGTGCCTCAGGCTCCCAAGTTGCTGGGATTACAGGCCCCTGCCACAACACCTGGCTAATTTTTGTATTTTTAGTAGAGATAGGGTTTCACCATGTTGGCCAGTCTAGTCTCGAACTCCTGACCTCAAGTGATGCACCTGCATTGGCCCCCCAAAGTGCTGGGATTAGAGGTATGCGATACTGTGCCTGGCCCCACCCATTATTTTATATTAACAATTCATTTATCTAGTGTAATTAGGGAATAAGATGTTTCTCTGAAGTTAATATTTCAGATAACTGAAGCTTACTAATATTCTTTTTATTGTTCTCATTTTGGGTATTACACTTTTTTATGTCTTTATAAACTATCCATTCTAATCATGATTATCTTTTTTGTTCTTTGGCAAAATTGTTGTCATTATTAAGAATATCCATGTTTCTGTTTATTTAGATTTAACATCAGGGTCTATTAAGGTGTATAGAACTGTTTGCCATTTAAAAAAAATGTAGACCCAGAATGTTAGCTTTTGTAGTTTCTCCAACATTCTGTTACTTGTCAATTACTTATTGAATACCTACCATGTGGCAGCACCGTACTAAGCACTGAGCATATAGTATAGAACAATAAACAATTTCTGCCCTCATGGAGTTCATAGTCTAACAGAGTTCCCAAGTCTAATTGCACGTCTGCTTTTTTTTTTTTTCCTTTACTGCTATCACTGTATTTATGTCTGTAGCATTCTCTAGTGTTTAACATTCCCATTTTCAAGTTGACCTTTCCAGTTTGTTAACTGGGAAATGACATAATGCAGCTTACCAGAATTGTTTCTAAAATAAAGAGACTCAGATGAACCCCTATGCACATGTGCTTTAGATACAATTTTTAAAGAATTAGCATTTGCTTCTTTGCTTTGCTCAAATCCATCTTCCCAGTTGGATTTGAATTCTTAAATAATGTTAGATATAAGTGCTATCTAATAATTGAAGTTGACTGTGACCATACCTTTAGCAGTACTGTGACAGTACCTTTGGCAGTCACCAAAGGAATAGATATTTATCATGACAAGTAAGGTTTTAAATTTACAATATGTACTAAAGGTGCCTGTTGTGTATAATTCCAAACACTGGATTCTCAATCTGAGGCAATATTACTGATATTCCTGAAAATTGTTCTGTGTGACCTACTGACCTTTTACTTGATAGGGGAGGGACTATGTTTTATTCATTATCATATTGTTGGCATTCTGTACAATAGAACTTTAAGTATATATTTTCTGAATAACTCGTTGGGATTTTTTTTTAAGCAGTCCAGTGATATTATTTTTATTCCTCATTTGGGTTCTGAACAAATTAAGAAACAAGATAAAACAAAAAAGCAGATGGGAGATCAAAATTACACTTTCATTACCGATAAAGACTAGATAGGAGGACATAGCTTAGTATGAGAGCAAAATTAGTCTTTCAGCTGAACTCCAGAATTAAATGGATTTAACCTTCCAGTCAAATAGCATTGGATCAGGGGCAGTATGTTCAGTTTATTCTTCTCAAATTTAAAAGTTGAATAAGGCATTAAACCTCTTCTGTGGTGTATTGAGTTAAGCCTTAGAGAGAGTCCAAGAATGTTACAGTAATGGAACTCTTTTCATATGGAAGTGCACATCAAGGGTGGGGAAGAAACATTTCCCCTAACATAAGTCAAAAGAATAAAGAAGACTTAGCGTATTCTGTTGCATTTTTCATTGGCAGCAACCATTAGATGGATGAATAAGGAAAGCAAAAAGGAAAGTATGAATATTCATTAGGTAATATTAAACAATGGGAGATAAAAAATACACATCCTTATGCCTAATAGAGGTATAGAACACATGAGCTATACAGACTATACAGACTGAAAACAGCACACTTCGTTTTACTTGTTTTAGTAAGCATTACAAAGATTTTAGTCAGTTTCTTATTTAACAAATACACTAGAAAATTTTCTGTATTTTTTTATTTACATGAAATTTTAAACTAGTGTAGGTTAGCACTCTCCATTTCAGATTGCATACTTTAATTATCTTTTCCATTCATTTAAAACAATTAGTTATATATTATTGTGTTAATAGCTATTTAGTATTAATGATAATTTACAGTGATTGAATGCTTATTTTATGCCAACACTTTATATGCATTGGCTTATTCCATATAATCTTCATTACAACCCTATGAAGTAAAATTTATTATGATCACCATTTTACAGAAGAGAAAACTGAGGCTTAAACCATGTTTTAGTTTGTCTGGTGATGCTATAACAGAATACCTGAGATTGGGTAATTTATAATGGACAGAAATTTATTGGCTCACAGTTCTGGAGGCTGGGAAGTCCAATATCAAGGTGCCAGCATCTGGTGAGAGCCTTCTTGCTGCATTATCCCATGGCAGAAGGTGAGAGGGCAAGAGGGGGTTTAACCCACCCTTTTATAATGGCACCAATCCCACCCACGTAGGTGAAGCTCTTATGGCCTAATCACTTCTGAAAGATCCCACCTCTTAATACTGTTACAATTGCAAATTTTAACATGAGTTTTGGAAAGGACAAACATTCAAACCATGGCAGAAACTTAAGTAACTTGTTGAAGATCATATAGCTAGCAAATGGCAGTGCTAGGCCTTAACCTCCAGCTATATAATTCCAAAGCCCATACATTTTACTATGTCTCACATAGGTATATGTCTTATCTCTTGACTGGATTAAAAATGTTCTGGAACAAAAATTGTGTCTTACATTTCTTTCATATTTCCTATAGCATCAAATAAATGACATTGAGTCAGCAAATAGTTATTGAGCCACCTACCAATGCTAACACATGACAAATATTTGTTGAGTTGAGGAGACAGTGCAATTATTAGTCTTAGCCTTACTGTATTTAAGACAATCTTTACATGCAAAATGAAAATAGATCAATTTATTTCTGTGTGTTAGTCTTCATTGTACTTTGTACAGAGCAGTTTATAAGAAATTAGATGACCTATTCTTTTTCCCTCAAGGAACATAAAGAAGTAAATAAACCTTAACAATCTTATTCTATATGTGCATGTTATAAAAACATATAGCATAGTTTGCTGTTATAGTAGATATATGCAAATGTCTACCATACCTTAGAGAGTTACAAGTGTCAAACAGTAGTGGGTCTAAAATGGAAGGATGTTAGATAATGGATACCTTACACTAGACCACAGATTTGGGTAAGTCTTCGTACACATTCATGGCTTTCGCTGGGAGAGTGCTCAAGCAGTAGACCTGGGTACCTCTGAAACGTCCTAAACATACAGTTCTTCTTTGCCCTCTTAGTTTGAAATGCTACTGTATGTTTGCTATTGTGCACAGAGCCAGGTGCTGTTGTTAATGAACAGGCTAGACAGTCTTTGCCTCCTGGAACTTACATCCCAGTTGGGCATACAGACTTTAAAGAGGCAATTACAGTACAGTAAAATAAGTGCAATGATTAGGGAAATACAAGGAACACGTAAGGCCGGCATTTAACTTAGATTTGGGGATGTCATGGTGGCTTACCAAAGGAAGCAATATCCAGGCTGAGATCAGAAAGCTAAGCTAGAGTTTCTCAGGGGAAAGAGTAGAGAAGAAAAGCACTTCAGGCAGAAGGGAATAGCAGGCTCAGAGATTTAGAAATGGAAAAGAGTGTGGTGCAAACATGGTACAAAAGTTTGTATGGCTGAATGGTAGCAGGTGAAGGGATCATGGCTAAGGACGATTCTAGATTTATAAACAGGATTGTGCCTCTTAAGACTTTGTAGACTGGATCCTAAAAGCATTTGGGTGCCATTTAAAAATTGTAAGTAAAATAGTAACATGATCAAATTTGCATTTTATTCATTCAGCAATATATTGGTTATCTACTGTGTACCAGGCATTTTGCTCAATGCTGGAGTTACAATTACTGGTGAATAAGGAAGACATCACTTCTGGCCAACATCCAGGCAAATTGGTGAATAGGTTGAAAACAGTCTGGAAGCGCTTAGGAACCTGCTGGATAAATGTAGGCAAGGAATAATGGTTGCCTAAAATAGTTTACTGTCAGTGGGTAGAACATCTTAGGTTATTTAGGGAGACTTGGGGGACAAGAAAAAATAGAGTCAAGTGTGCTGTATAAGTTTCTGTGCATTTTTCCTATCTGGCAACTCTTATCTCTGCATATTACTAAATGTAAGCTCCATGAGGGCAGGTATTTTAGCTAGTTTTGTTCACTTCTGTATCTCTTTTATATTGAGTAGGTTGTCATTAAATATTTCTGAAAAAATAAATATCTAACTTGATTTTGGTCTTAATATGAATGACTTTCAAGTTGTCTCCTCTTGTTACCTGTATTTTGGATATGTTTCTTTGATCATTAAATAACTATTAAGATCATCAGTAAAGTCTCTCAAATTTTAATCCTAAATTTCTTTTTTTTTTTTTTTGAGACGGAATCTTGCTCTGTTGCCCAGGCTGGAGTGCAGTTGTGCAATCTCGGCTCACTGCAAGCTCTGCCTCCCAGGTTCACGCCATTCTCCTGCCTCAGCCTCCCCAGTAGCTGGGACTATAGGCATGTGCCACCACGGCTGGCTAATTTTTTTGTATTTTTAGTAGAGACGGGGTTTCACCATGTTAGCCAGGATGGTCTCGAGCTCCTGACCTCGTGATCCACCCACCTCGGCCTCCCAAAGTGCTGGGATTGCAGGCATAAGCCACCACGTTTGGCCTTAATCCTAAATTTCTAAGCTTTATTAAATTTTACATAATTACCATTAAAAGTGGAAGCAAATGGTATATTGGACAATGTGAGATAGTTTTTAAACTGTCTTACATATAAGACAAGAAATATCAAGGTATCTAGAGACTTAAATTTTTTTTCATTTGTGAATGCGAAAGATACATGAAATGTAGATTTTAGTAGAAAAATAATTTGCCAGAAATAATCAATTTGTGAAGCTGTCTTATAGATTAGGTTGGATAGGTTGCCTTTCTCTATTCCAGCAATGTTTCTATGGACAGTTTAGCCTTTTACATGTAGGCTCCAGGACAGATGCAAGTGGTTTTGAAAATTATTAACCTTTTACATGTTTTTGTCCCACTTTGGACCAGGAATTTATTGAGAATTCAGTCTATGGTTCCTGATTATTGGAACATGACTGTTTTGCTGTAGGTACAAGTCTGATGACTAATTTCAAGAGGAGTTATATATTGTTGTGAAATGGATTGGAATCTCCAAATAAACATTGAACCATCATGTCTTCCTACTGCCTTTTCTATCTGTGATTTCATACCACTCTGCACTTCAGTCATTATGTTCCAGTGGCCCTGACTTTTTCTGATCCTTAAACATTTCAAGCATTACCTCCTCAGAATTCTTGTGCTTGCCATCCCTTTGCCTGGAATATTCTTCCCCCAGATCTTTGCATGGTTGGCTCCTTCACACTCATGTCTTGGTTTAAATATAAAATCCCCAAGAGGACTTCACTGACCTCCAAATTTATTGTGTCTTATTACCCTGCTTTCATTTTCTCACGGCACTTACTGCAATCTGATATTATTTTATTTGTATGTGTTTGTGATTATTGGCTTTCTTCACGAGAATGTTACGTCCATGAGAACAGAGAATGTTATCTCAATCACCACCTTATACTTAGTACCTAGAATGGCCCAAGTATTTGTTGACTACATCAATCTATTTTCTTAATAAAAACAGTACATTTTGAATATAAAATGAAATGTTACTGGGAAAACAGTTTATAACATGGACTACAGAGGTAAGTAATATCTAACCAAGAGAATAATGTGTGATATTTAGCTGCCTCTTTTTGCTCCTAGGTTTCCTTTACCTAGTCATCCTGCTGCACCTCCTGAACATCTTAAAGAACCTTTGGTATACATGAGGAAAGCACAGGTTGGCTATTGTTCAATTTCATTTTATTTTTTCATGCCAAGTTATGTAATACAGAGCAAAAGATCATTACTGATGTCAGGAGTATGTATTATTAATTATGAAATACTGGGTAAGAACCACTAAATTTATGTTAATAGTATTTGTATATTCTCCCATTTTATATTCAGTAACCAAGGATCATACCTATTTAACTATGGCAACCCTGGAAAAAATGGGGTAGAAGGGGAAAAATCATCTACTATACTGGCCTGCAATTTAAAATATGGTACAAGTGTAATGTGGCAATCTATTCTTCATGGCCTGTGATATTAAAGGAATGAAATGTGAATGAACTGACACCCTCTTTCCTTAAAATTTTGGCCTTTGAAGCCAGTGTTATTGAAAGTGTATTTAAAATATATTTGTTCTCGCAGTAGGCTGTCACCTATTAATTGTATGCTATTGTAGAACTCTGATAAACCTGCTATCAAAATGGGTTGGCAAAAAACTAAGAATAAAATGACAAAATAAAATAATTTAAGTATAAAAACTATGAATAGTTGTTAAAATGGAAGCTCAAGAAGTTCTAGCACATGCCCCTAGCTCTTTTAACTGTCCTTCATCTCAGCACAGCCTCACTCACCTCCCCTCAGTCCAGTCCTGTCCGTAAGCCTTCCTCACAGTGCTGGTTGAGTAGGACTCTGTGACTGCCACTGCTGAGGCACGTAATGAGCACCACAGTCAGTCGACCTTCATTCTTCAGCATAGCCTCAGAGATGGATTTTTAAAACCTTTTTTGGTATGGAATATTTCAAAGGTACCTCAAAGAACTCCCATGAACCCATCACTCAGCTTCCACAGTTATCATCATGGTTCTTCTGCTCTTGAAAATTTTCTGCAGAGTCATCACATTCCACAACAGTGGAAATTAGGCACTTTTTTCGACTTTTATTTTTATTTAAAAAAATCATCAAAAAATTAGATGGTGAAAAGAAGCAATATAAATAAAAACCTTGGAGATATTTGAGGAAGTATATATTTCTATCTCTAGGTGGTATCTTTTAGGGCTGGAAATCAGTTAATGTTTATTTATCAATTTGTCATAAAGCATAATAAATAATACATATATGAAAGAATTGTGGGTTTTTTTTTGTTATAAAGATTTGGAACCAACCCAATTGTCCAACAACGATAGACTGGATTAAGAAATTGTGGCACATATACACCATGGAATACTATGCAGCCATAAAAAATGATGAGTTCATGTCCTTTGTAGGGACATGGATGAAACTGGAAACCATCATTCTCAGCAAACTATTGCAAGGACAAAAAAACCAAACACCGCATGTTCTCACTGATAGGTGGGAATTGAACAATGAGAACAGATGGACACAGGAAGGGGAACGTCACACACCAGGGACTGTTGTGGGGTGGGGGGAGAGGGGAGGGATAGCATTAGGAGATATACCTGATGCTAAATGACGAGTTAATGGGTGCAGCTCACCAACATGGCACATGTATACATATGTAACAAACCTGCACGTTGTACACATGTACCCTAAAACTTAAAGTATAATAATAATAATAATAAAGATTTAAACTCAGTAAAATAAAACTAAGAAGGTTGGGCCTGAATATTTTTTAGTGAAATTGAAAATTTCTAAACAGTATAGAGAAAGTATCAGTTTTAACATACTAGGTGTAAGAAACAAAACATAAATTTTTTTTTTTAAATCATGACTGAAAAGAAGAGATAGAGAGGTAAATAATAAGTCGACTCTTAGAGCTTACTGCTAGCTGCTGAGAATATATGTGAGTGATAGGTACACGTATGATACTCCTCTCTTTTCTTTCTGGACTTTCCCATGTATATCACGGATCTGCAAACTACAGCCCCTGGGCCAAATCCAACCTGCCACCTATTTTTATAGGGCTGGCAAACTAGGAATTTTA
Organism: Homo sapiens; assembly: GCF_000001405.40. Classification (NCBI taxonomy): domain Eukaryota; kingdom Metazoa; phylum Chordata; class Mammalia; order Primates; family Hominidae; genus Homo; species Homo sapiens. The sequence goes on from NC_000004.12 coordinate 26,622,621, forward strand.
TTTTTACTTTTTTTACATTTTTAAGTGGTTGAAAAATCAAAATAAGGATAATCTTGTGACACATGAAAACTATATGAATCACTAAGATATGTTTTATTGGAAAATAGTCACGTTCATTCATTTGCATATTGGTTGTTGCTGCTTTTGCACAACAGTGACAGCCTAAAGTGGTTGCAATAGAGACCCATGGACTGCAAAGCCTAAAATATTTACTATCTTCCCTTTCATACAAGGTTTGCCTATCCCCGCACTAAATTATTCATTCTTCAATAGCAGGGATTGTGCTTTTTATCGTCAGCATCTAGCATAGTACCCAGCCCACAGAACACTCTTGATAAGGTTTGCTGAGCTAATTGATTCTTTAACCATGGCCATACTGATTACCTCCCCTATCAGTAAGTATCTATCTGTCTTTCTATATTTGTTCTTTTTGAGACACTTAGTTGTTTAGCTCCCTATTTTGGGGGGCAATTCTCTCTTCTTTCCATGAAAGCTACCTAGTTTGGATCACATGACTTGTATTGCATCATGTTCTTCCTTACGTTTCATAATCTCTTCCCCAACAGACTTCTGTTCTGTCTGCCATTCTACTCCTTAGTCTAAGGCTACTTTTACTGTTTACTTTCTCTCTTCTCCCAAACTTTTGACTACTTCAAGAGAAAATCATGTAATTTCTGTGTTAACCATTATCTAGTCTCAATTCATTTGTTTAACTTCCAGTGGATTCTTTTTGCTGTCTGCCAATATTATATTTGTTATTCATTGTCTGTCTTCCATTTAGGTTGTTCTAAAACTTTTTCATGCTTGTGTGGCCCCTAATTCAACCTCTGTCTCACTCATTTTAAGCATTTCTCACTTATATTTTATAAAGAATATTCAGGTTATCTCATTCAAGCTTCCACAGCTTCCTTCTTTTTTGTTGCCACATCTCTTTTTGCTCCAATCCTCTAAGATCAACTGTGTGCTGCACATCTTTTTTCTGTGAGATCAAACTTAACATGTCTAAAACTGTTTGTGTTCTTTTTAAAATGACCATCTCTTCCTGAACTTCCTGTTTTTGTTACTAGTGATCAAGTGCTATATATTATTTCTTCCCATAGTCTTATAATTTCCTCTTTCTTTTCATTACCAAGGCTGTTACCATAGTAGTCACAATAATGATGATGATGGTGATAATGCTGATAATGTTGCCTTTTATTGTTTACTTTATTTTAGACATTGTGCTTTAATTCACATCCTTATCTTATTTTTATACCTCCCAACTTTCAGTCTATCTCTCCCAATCTCCTTATGTACTCTCAATACTATTAACTTTAATTATAAGCAGACGAACCCTTATAGCTCACTGCCTTTTAACAAACTTTCAATGATTATTCCCAGTTGCCTAAAAAATGAAGTTCCGATTCCAGAGCCCAGCATTTAAGAATTTTTACTGTCTGTCCTCAGCCTTCCCCTTCCACTTTGTCAGTCTCTGCTGTCTTATAACTGTCCTATGTGCCTGTCCAAGTGAATCATTTTGCCTTTCCCTCTTGCATCATTAACACTTGTTTTCCTGTCCTGGAAAGCCCTTTCTGCCTGTTTTGTGTTACAAAAGTCCTATCTATTTTGTGAGGGTCAGCTCAGATGGCATCTCTTCTCTGATGTTATTATTGATTACCCCTGTTGAAAGGGATCTCTCTCTTGAACTCTGTTGAATAGCTCCCTGTTGTTTTATGGCCCTTAGCACAAATTGCAATTTATTATAGTAATTGCTTTTTTTTTATTTTTATTTTTTGAGACTGAGTCTTGCTTTATCACCCAGGCTGGAGTGCAGTGGTATGATCTCAGCTCACTGCAACCTCAGCCTCCCAAAGTGCTGGGATTACAGGCGTGAGCCACTATGCCCGGCCTATTATAGTAATTTCTGTATACATCTTTCTGACATTTATTATATGCCTCTTGAAAGAAGTAACAGTTTAAAAACATTTTTACATAACTGCTGCATCTAGTACACTGGCCTTTATGTAGCAGGAGCTTAGTAACTTTATGTTGGATTGATAGTAAAGGAGTTAGCCATCTATTTTCCCAATTATTACACTATTTATTTTAAGGATATTTACTGAATACCTACTCAGTAGAAGATTCTATGCTGCAGAAATTCAGAAATAAATTAGATACAGATTCTGCCTTCAAGTAATTGCAAGGTTTAGTAATTGAAATAAGACTTGGACACTAGATGTAATACAAAGTAAAAAGTGCTGTGTGACTAGCGGGAAGTGACTAGGAAGTTTCGTCCACGCACTGGGAAGGAGTAGTATACAAGTGGTTTCCCACCAGGTTATTCTTTGCCCTTTTTAATGAAAAAGAAGCTTTAAAAATCCAGTTAGTGTTTCTTTTCACTTTGTATTCAGTAAAACACGGGTAGAAAATATTTTGAATTGTACCCTGGAAAAATTCAATTCATTTTTTTTTTTCAGTTAAAGTTTTATGAATTACTTTAACTTCACTTAGCTCTTGATCATGTCTTCAGAGTTGGGTTATAAATCAGCTTCCTGCAGTTTCTGGCAAGCTACACTGGTACTTAATTTTCTGGGCTCATGAGGTTATGAAGCTTCTTATTCTGTATCAGCATTTCCCAGAATGTTTTCTGCTAAATACTAACCTTGAGAGATGCTCCACAAAAAATGGTTCCTTGGACAAGGAAGTTTGCAAATTGAGGAACACTGCTTTCCTCTTGATGACTCACAATTTATTTTACTATTTTTACTGGACTTCGTATTTTAGAAGAGTTTTGCGAAGTTAGCACAGAGAGTTCTCATAGATCTCATACGCAGTTTCCCTTATTATTAGCATCTTAACATTAGTATGGTACATTTGTTATAATTAATGAGCCATATTGGTTGATACATTATTATGAACTTAAGTCCGTAGTTTATTCACACTTCCTTAGTTGTAACCTAATGTCCTTGTTCTGACCCAGGATCTCATCCAGGACACTACATTACATTTGGTTGTCATGTCTCTTTAGACTCTCTTGGCTATGACAGTTTCTCAGACTTTCCTTGTTTTTGATGACTTTCGCAGTTTTGAGAAGTACTGTTCAGATATTTTGTAGAATATCCCTCTCTTGGAATTTATCTGATGTTTTCTCATGATTAGGCTGGGATTGTGGGTTTTTTGGAGGAAGATCACAGATGTAAAGTGCCATTTACATTTATCACATCATATCAGGGTACATACTATTAGCATGATTTATCGCTGTAGGTGTTAACCCTGATCATCTGACTGAGGTAGTATTTGTGAGCCTTCTCCACTGTAATGTTACTCTTTTTCCCTCTTTCCATACTGTACTCTTTGGAAGGAAGTCACTACATATAGACCATACTTAAGGAGTTGAGAATTATGTTCCACCTCTTTGAGGGAGGGGTATCTACATAAATTATTTGGAATTCCTCTGCATGAAAGAGTTTCTCTCCTTCCCCATTTATTTATGTATTCAATTATTTATTTACATCAGTATGGACTCATGGATATTCATTTTCTACTTTGAGTTTTAATATTTTTTAATTTTGTTGTGCACAAATTATTGTGGCATGTTAAAGGTTTGGAGAAGTTCTGCAGGAAAGAAACCTGTTTAATTTTATTTAATCCAGTGTTGTTCAAGCTTACTGATCATGAAACCCTATTTCCATGTAAAATACCTTGGGAAATACTTTGCTACGCCCTTCAGTGAAAGCTGTATTTGAAGACATACAGTGTGATAAATATAAGTGCATGAGTTTTCTTGTGAAACAATACTAATAAGCATATAGATCCCTAATTGTATCCTAGGTAATATTCTAGTGCTATACATGTACTCACTCATTTAATGTTCATGATAACCCTATGAGGTGGGTTACTAATGTGGTCTTAGTTCTCACTTTACAAAATGAGAAAGTGGTAGAGCTGAGATTTGAACCTGGTCAGCCTGGCTCCAGAATTTACATTACCTGATGTTCAGTCTGTTTATCTAGCTCAGAAATGCTCAGGCAAACTCAAGATGTACTATGTGGTTGAATTTATTCTGTTCTCTGTCAATCCAGTAACCTTGGCAAAAATGATAATTTTGTTAATTTTGCATTACTTCAGTTCTCACCCTCTTCCTAATGGTCTTTTTGCCTTCTATACTGTCACTCCTTTTCCTAAAATTTCCAATACCTTGAGGATAGAGCTCAAATTCTTTTTTTTATTTTTATTTTTATTTATTTTATTTTTTATTTTTATTTTTATTTATTTTATTTTTTATTTTTTTATTTTATTATTATTATACTTTAAGTTTCAGGGTACATGTGCACAATGTGCAGGTTAGTTACATATGTATACATGTGCCATGCTGGTGTGCTGCACCCATTAACTCGTCATTTAGCATTAGGTATATCTCCTAATACTATCCCTCCCCCCTCCGCCCACCCCACAACAGTCCCCAGGGTGTGATGTTCCCCTTCCTGTGTCCATGTGTTCTCATTGTTCAATTCCCACCTATGAGTGAGAACATGCGGTGTTTGGTTTTTTGTCCTTGCGATAGTTTACTGAGAATGATGATTTCCAATTTCATCCATGTCCCTACAAAGGACATGAACTCATCATTTTTTATGGCTGCATAGTATTCCATGGTGTATATGTGCCACATTTTCTTAATCCAGTCTATCATTGTTGGACATTTGGGTTGGTTCTAAGTCTTTGCTATTGTGAATAGTGGCGCAATAAACATATGTGTGCATGTGTCTTTATAGCAGCATGATTTATAATCCTTTGGGTATATACCCAGTAATGGGATGGCTGGGTCAAATGGTATTTCTAGTTCTAGAACCCTGAGGAATCGCCACACTGACTTCCACAATGGTTGAACTAGTTTACAGTCCCACCAACAGTGTAAAAGTGTTCCTATTTCTCCACATCCTCTCCAGCATCTGTTGTCTCCTGACTTTTTAATGATTGCCATTCTAACTGGTGTGAGATGGTATCTCATTGTGGTTTTGATTTGCATTTCTCTGATGGCCAGTGATGGTGAGCATTTTTTCATGTGTTTTTTGGCTGCATAAATGTCTTCTTTTGAGAAGTGTCTGTTCATGTCCTTCGCCCACTTTTTGATGGGGTTGTTTTTTTCTCGTAAATTTGTTTGAGTTCATTGTAGATTCTGGATATTAGCTCTTTGTCAGATGAGTAGGTTGTGAAAATTTTCTCCCATTTTGTAGGTTGCCTGTTCACTCTGATGGTAGTTTCTTTTGCTGTGCAGAAGCTCTTTAGTTTAATTAGATCCCATTTGTCAATTTTGGCTTTTGTTGCCATTGCTTTTGGTGTTTTAGACCTGAAGTCTTTGCCCATGCCTATGTCCTGAATGGTAATGCCTAGGTTTTCTTCTAGGGTTTTTATGGTTTTAGGTCTAACGTTTAAGTCTTTAATCCATCTTGAATTAATTTTTGTATAAGGTGTAAGGAAGGGATCCAGTTTCAGCTCTCTACATATGGCTAGCCAGTTTTCCCAGCATCATTTATTAAATAGGGAATCCTTTCCCCATTGCTTGTTTTTCTCAGGTTTGTCAAAGATCAGATAGTTGTAGATATGTGGCATTATTTCTGAGGGCCCTGTTCTGTTCCATCGATCTAGATCTCTGTTTTGGTACCAGTACCATGCTGTTTTGATTACTGTAGCCTTGAAGTATAGTTTGAAGTCAGGTAGCATGATGCCTCCAGCTTTGTTCTTTTGGCTTAGGATTGACTTGGCGATGCAGGCTCTTTTTTGTTTCCATGTGAACTTTAAAGTAGTTTTTTCCAGTTCTGTGAAGAAAGTCATTGGTAGCTTGATGGCACAAGACAGGGATGCCCTCTCTCACCACTTCTATTCAACATAGTGTTGGAAGTTCTGGCCAGGGCAATTAGGCAGGAGAAGGAAATAAAGGGTATTCAATTAGGAAAAGAGGAAGTCAAATTGTCCTTGTTTGCAGATGACATAATTGTATATCTAGAAAACCCCACTGTCTCAGCCCAAAATCTCCTTAAGCTGATAAGCAACTTCAGCAAAATCTCAGGATACAAAATCAACGTACAAAAATCACAAGCATTCTTATACACCAATAACAGACAAACAGAGAGCCAAATCATGAGTGAACTCCCATTCACAATTGCTTCAAAGAGAATAAAATACCTAGGAATCCAACTTACAAGGGATGTGAAGGACCTCTTCAAGGAGAACTACAAACCACTGCTCAATGAAATAAAAGAGGATACAAACAAATGGAAGAACATTCCATGCTCATGGGTAGGAAGAATCAATATCATGAAAATGGCCATACTGCCCAAGGTAATTTATAGATTCAATGCCATCCCCATCAAATTCTTTATTATGGCTTACAAAGCTAGAAATGATCTTGACCTCTTTAGTTCCAGTCTCATCTCTTGCCTTCTCACACCGTTCTTCCCCAACCTGCCATGCACATACTTTCTCTCTCTCTAATCATACTTGACCTCTTCCACTTGTTGCAATAGGAGAACTTTTGCTTATGCCACTGCGTCTATTTGAAACTGCCTCCTCTCATCCCATATGTTTCTGGGTATACTTGAAACTGCCTCCTCTCATCCCATATATTTCTGGCTAGCTTCTGCACATCATTTATGTTATCAAGTGAGATGATAGATTGTTTAGGATGGCTCTCTGACTCCCAGATCTCAGATACTCAGGTACTTTTCCGGTCTCATCCATCCTCCACAGGAGAGGCCCCCTATACTTCTCTACTATAATACTTGGGTTGTTTCTATCATCACTTAGATTCTTTAGTGTCTGTGAAGTAGGACCTGAGTCTCTCTTTTCACCACTGTATCTCCAACATCTGGCACAGTCCCCAGCCCGTGGTAGATAATAGATATTTTAAAAAAATTATGAATGAATAGCATAAACAAAAAATAGAGAACATTCCTAGAAAATATTCAGACCCTTTGACTTAGTAATTCCACTTCTAGAACCTTGTATAAAGAATCAGAAACACAGAAACTTATGTTCGTAATAATAGTAAAAAATTTAAAAGAATCTAAATGAATAACAGTAGAGCTTGCTTAAATATGACATGCTGTTTCCAAAAGAAACAATGTTACATAGGCATCAAAAATGTCCATTTTTGAAGAATTATAATGAATAGGAAAAGGCATACATTATAATCTTATATGGAGAAAGCAAAATATAAAACAACATAATTTCACTTTAATCCAAAATATATATGTTTTTATGTCTCAATTACACACATATACATGCATAGAAAAATGAAAGAAAATATATTAATATTGGTTGTTTTTGTTTGATGTATTATTTTTATTATCAGAGAAGAATTACTAAAATGTTTTTCTGTTAGATAGCTGGGTTATAATTAGTTTTTTTGTCACAGTGAAGAAAATAGTTTTCTGATTTTATAATTTCATTGTTTTTTTTACGTGCTATTTGTTTAATATATGGTTTAAAAGTCATTTTATTTACCTTCATTGTTATTAAAAAGTAGTAATGCTATACTAATTTAAAAAAATTAGTATGATCATGAATCTTTTATAAATTTTTTGCTTCTCATACTTAGAAATTGCTTTATTTATGAAACTCCTGAAATCCTTTGAGTCAATACCATAGATTCCAATTATTAGGGAAATTTACTTGAAGGCAACAATAATTTCATTTAGAGAGGATATAGGTTTGGGTAAAAGGTAGATGTCTTCCTATCTGAACATTTTAAATGTTAAAAACCATTCACTTTCCTTTTGAATAACATGAAAGCTTTGAATTTATTTTGTAAGTCTTTTGGGTAGAAACCATCTATTTATTTATTTTGGGGTGCTAAATGTACATTGAAATTATTATATAATAGCACAGGCATAATCATGATTTTTTTTTTGGCATTTCTTCTAAGACTTAGGGCCTAATTATCCACCTCCATGAATAGGACCTGAGAAAAATTGTGTCTATAAAACTGGAGCTAGAGTGGACCTCAAGTTTATCCATTCCAAACTCTGGCAAGTGTTCACTTCTCATCTCCTTTTGCTCCAGGACTTCTGGAAACAAGGAGCTCATAATTTCACTGAGTTAAGTTATATTTGAGGTAAATATTTCTACTTGTTGCAAAGTGTCTTTTTTAATATTAAATGATCATCTGCTCCTTACTACATTTACTCACTGGTCCTCGTTTTGTGCTTGGCACATAGACAGCATTCAGTATATTAATATATTAGTCAGTGAGTCAGCGAGTGAATAAAGGAATGAATGGATACCACTTAATTAAGATTAGAGTTCTTGAGGAAACCTAAAGGATGGCCAAGCTTGAAAGCAGCTGCTTGCTTCTTCATCTTGGATTTCCCCTCATTGTCAGGAAATTCTATTCCTGTTTCTGATAACTGTGGAACTGACTCCTTTGACCATCCAAGATTTCAATGGAAATGACTTCACTTACCATCTGACTGAAGTTCTTGCAAGAGATACCTTGGAAAAGACCTCTCCACCTTGACATAGTGTTATAGATATGGGACAGAGGATAGACATGGCCAGCAACTGGGGTCACTTTTCTTTCCTTATGTTTAGGATTTTCAAGGAAGTGGTATATGTTCAATTGACAATGTTCAAGTTTAGCCATATCTAGCTTTTCTGTTTGCTCATTCTTTCATGTTTTTTCTGTAGTTTATGACATATGGACTGATACAGATCTTATGAACTTTTTGCAAACTATCTCTGTCCCATATTATTTGTATATCTGTCTTATCCTCCTGACTTCCACCAAAAAAGTGATGTGTTGCTTAGTGACAGGAATGCTGTTTTATTCATCTTTAGTGGCATGTATTTAATAGGTGGCTAATAAATATTTGCTAAATCAATGTATTTTCATCATTTAAAAACTCAGATAATATACCTCATTTTCCCCTGTTCTAGTTATTAAAAAACCCCACTTTTCTGAATTGGACATACTCTTTTCTTTCCTCAATGTTTAGTCATAGTATTTCTCTGTTCCGGGTCATTTCTAAGTTCCTGCTTTAATTGTGTAGCTCAGAAAAAAATGGTAATCAAATAAGTTTTAATCAGCACTTCTTACATTCTTAACAGTCTTTCTCATTGTGCTTTCATGTGTTACTTTTTAAGTTTCCTCATTTGTAAAATGATAGTAATGACACACATCTTATAGGTTAGTAAAATAACATCATAAACACATGTAAATCACATAGTTGTGTTTCATCAACTCTTTCCATTGAGAATACTTTCTTATGATGTCTAATTTCTTTTCTGTGTAACTTTTTCTCTTGACTGTTTTCTCTATATATTACATCTAATGTTAAATTTAGAGTTGGTAAATTGAAATTCTTGATACAATGGGATATCTATATTTGGAGAACTGTGATTCATCACTTTACAGAAAATACCTGAATGAGCTGTTTTTGCCAAAATAATTATTTAAAGGATAATTTAACAAATATTCAACATCTTGTCTAGGTGTCATTCCAAAAGTTATCTTTCTATTTTGAATGGCCTTCATGTTTGAATTTTTAGTAAGTTTTATGCTGTTTTAAAATTGTGTATTGCAGTCTTGAAAATTTGTACAGTACAGCTGACCCTTAAACAATGTGGGGTTTAGGGGTGCTGACCCTTCATGCAGTCAAAAATTCACATATAACTTTTGACTCCCCCAAAACTTAACTACTAATAGCCTACTGTTGACCAGAAACCTCACTGATAACATTAAGTGGATTAACACATATTTTATATGTTATATATATTATATACTATATTCTTATAATAAGGAATACTAGAGAAAGGAAAATATGAAGAAAATCATAAGTAAGAAAAATATACTTATTATTTATTAAGTGGGAGTAGATCATCATAAATATCTTCATCTAAATGATCATAAATCATCTTCACATTGAGTAGGCTGAGGAGGAGGAGGAAGAGGAAGGGTTGGTCTTGCTGTCTTGCCTGGCAGAGGCAAAAGAGGTAGAGGAGGTGGAAGGGATACAGGAGAGGCAGGCACACTTGGTGCAGTTTTACAGAAATACATTGTAACTCCCACCTGACATTTTTACTTTTTCATTTTTCTAAAAATATTTCTATATGGTTCCAGTCCTCTTTCACTGTTTGCTTTAGTTTCAAGGGTCCATGTTGCAAAATGGACCCTTCTATGATATGGACACTGAAGTCAAAAGCAGTCTTGAATAATCAGAACTCTTCTGCCAGATTGTCTAATGTCAATTTGTTTTTTGGCACCACTTCTTCTACGTGTTCTTCCTCATTATCTGACAGTGGTCTGGAAGCAGTCATCTCCATCAAGTTGTTTTTAATTAACTTCCTCTGGTGTGGTGTCTATTAGCTGTTGAATTTCTCTAAAATCTGTATCTTGCAACCCTTCACTCCCAACCTTTTTTGGTCATATCTACAATCTCTTTCATTATTTCCTTGATTGACTCTCTTGTAAATCCTGTGAAGTCTGTACAACATCTGGAAACAGTTTTCTCTAGCAGGAATTTACTGCTTTGGGCCTGATGGCTTTCACAACTTTTTCCATAACAACAATGGCGTCTTCAATGGTATAAGTCTTCCAGACTTTCATGATGATCTCTGTATTGGGTTTCTCTTCCATAGCATTGGCAAATCTTTTCCATAGGATGCTGTATATAATGAGCCTTAAAGGTCCCTATGACCCAGACCAAGAGGCTGAATTAGAGACGTTGTGTTTGAGGGTAAGTAGACCAATTTGATATCTTCTGTGTTGAACTCGTGGTGTTCTGCGAGGTGAAGGGCATTGTCCAATATCAAAACAGCTTTAAAAACAGTCCTTTACTGACAAGGTACTTCCTGACATCAGGGAAAAAGCATAAACTGAACCAATCCAGAAAAAGGGTTCTTGTTGTCCAGGCCTTCTTGTTTTAAAACCAAAAGCCTGGCAATTGGTGTTTATCTTTTCCCTTCAAGGCTCAGGGGTTAGCAGCTTTACAGATAACGGCAGTCCTGTTCCTAAATCCAACTGCATTTACAAAAAATGGTAGAATTAGCCTATTTCTTCTTGCCTTAAATCCTGGTACTTGCTTCTCTTACTTACTAATGAAAGTCCTATGTGGCAATTTTTCCCCCTTAGAATAAGGCACTCTCTTCTGCATTAAAAACCCGTTCAGCCAGATATCCTTTTTCCTCAATGATTTTAATGGCATCGGGAACTCATCTTCTGCCTCTTGGTCAGCAGAAGCTACTTCTTTTGTTATCTTGACATTTTTAAGCCAAACTGATTTTGAAAATGTCAAACCATCCTTGGCTGGGATTAAATCCTCCAGCTTTAGATCCTTTACCTTTCTTTTGCTTTAAATTGTCATGTAATGACTTCACTTTTTCTCAAATCATATTTGGAGTCTATGGGTATGCCTTTAGTAACCCTGTACCCACATAAAAGCTGTATTTTCAATGCTAGATAGATAAAAGAGTATTTTGCAAAAAAAAAAAAAATGCAAGATTTTCACCTCTGGTGGTGTAGCTACAGCCATGGCTTCATGAATTTCCTTTTCTTTTTTTACAATGGTCCTTATGCTGGATTCATTTCTCTTGAAGTGATGGACAACTGCAGCTGCAGACCTCAATCTTCCGTACATATCAAGCAATTCAATGTTTTCTTGCAATGTCATGACTTTTCTTCTTGGGAGCATTTCTAGCATCACTAGTGGCTTTTTGTATGGGTCCCATGGCATTATTCAGGGGCAATATTGTGCTCAACACAATAAAAAAATGTGAGACTGCGAGAGATCACTTTTTACTGCAATACACAATTTACAGGCCTGTGGAACTGCTCACATGGAGATGATTAGCATCACCCAGGGTTTCAAGCAGATACTCACAGCACTTGAATTCACTGTGAATTCAATAGCAAGAGGAGGTGGCTACAAAATTGTTACAGTAATATAGTATGTGCTACAGTTAATTTTATGCAGTTGTGATTTAATACTGCGTCTTTATGTTTGTTCATATTTCTCTCAACTTCAAATGGTACCATGTATAGTCTGAAAGTATATATACGTTTTTAATAAAACTTAACTTTTTATAATAGTTTTGTGTATACTTTACGGTAGGAAATGATAAAATAGACTACTAGTATCTACATATATTTTATGCATTCAGAACAAACCCAACTTTTTCTTAAAATTTTCAATATGTCTAGGCTATATGGTTTGTCTGTGAGGTTTTTTGAAATTGTTGCTGATCTCCAGAATTTTTTCCAGTATATTTATTGGAAAAAATTTAAATATAAGTAAACCCATACAGTTCAAGCCTATGTTGTTCACGTGCCAACTCTGTATATTATGAGCTGCACATTCATGTCTATTGTATTTAATAACTTTAATTTTGTTTTTATGTCTGAGAGTTAATGCCTTTTTATCAATTCTAGAGCTGTTTGCATGAGTGATTGAAAATGAGAATATTTGTAACCATAATTTAATAACTAGCAATTTGGTTCCTTATAATAGGATAAATAAAAATCCAGGGATTGGATTTTTAATATGTATGCAAATTTTATTTTATTGTGATCATTTAATTAGAAGTATTTTTTAATAAGCTTTTTCTTACCTGTTTTCTCCACCATTTGGGGTGGGAGGCAGCAGGTAACAGAAGGCTTGTTAGAGGAAATGATACTTAATCTGACATCAGAAAGGTGAATGAGATTTATCTAAATAAGGTGGGTGTAAAGATAATGAATGTGGAAGGTAGGTTGTATCATTATAATTAATGTTTGCTCATTAACAATGTACCCAAATAAGAGGTACCAAATAAGTCTGGGATCTAAGAGAATTATTTATAGTTAAGGAGAGAATTAAAATAAGCCAATAAATAGAGTTAATTTGGGAGCTATTTCATGTAATGTATTGAGTATGCTTTTATTCTTGAAAATCTATTTCTATAAATGTAGTAAACTGAACTTTATACATTTCACATAGCTCGATATTTATTCTTCAGAAGAATTTTTTCTGTTCAGTCACTGCTTGGGCCATTGCATTAAAATTTTTTAAAATACTTGCAACATTACTTAGAGTAGAAATATGTTTAATTATTGAGCATCTATTATGTGCTAGACATAGTGTGATTTGTACCATGATAGGTGGAGGACAGGGTGTTATGAAAGCCCATAAGCAAAGTCACCTAATGCTATCTTGGTTGGGGACCAGGTGAGAAAAGTTTTAATGGAGGAAGGGATATTTAAGCTGATACCTAAAAGGTGAATAAGATTTATTTAGACAAGAATAAGAATGTTGGAGGTGGGAGTTGAGCTTGGAGAGCAAATTTCAGATAAAGACTAATGTATTTGAATGTGTGTGTTGAAGAAGCTATGAATAATGATAGCTGTAGTAAAAGCCATCACTTATTGAATGATAATTATCATATTATGCCACTGTTTGAGTCAGTTTACATGTATTAACATCTTTAATCTTTGTAACAGCCATATAAGGGAACTGTTGTTATTATTCCACTTTCATTAATTGATTATTGATTATTAATTGTTCTTTATGAGTAATATACCATTCTCCCCTTCTTTCCTTATTAGGTCTGAATTTTGGGACTTTGGTATTGTTTTATTTTGGTTTCAGTGAGCCAGAAGTGGTCTGTAGGCACATTTAGTAAAAAGACAAAAAACATCATATGGCATTTTAGCTTGTCATTGAAAAGAATATTATATTAAAATATGGTATTTATGGATGATCAAACCTAGGACTATTAAAACTTAATTTCCATGTTATAAGAAATAGAAGAGATAATGAAGAAGGTAATCAATACTATGAAAAATAGTGAGACAAATCTAGATTGTGACACATTCTAAGAGATAACTGGCCTGGACCTTTCAAGAAAGTCAGTATCATAAAAAAAAAAAAAAAAAGAAGAATAGAGAGATTCTGGATTAAACTGCTCTGAAAGACAGAGACATAACAACCAATGAAATGTAATGCATGAATTTTGAATGGATCCCAGATTTTAAAAAACTATAAAAGATATTTTGGAGACAACTGGAAAATTTGAGTATATATGGACTAAGTATGACATCATGAAATATTAATTTTCTTAGGTATGATAATGATATTGTGATATGTTGGAAAATGTCCTTATTCTAAGAATATGCATGCTGATGTATTTAGGGGTAAAATTTCATTTTTGGAAAAATTACAATGTAATAATTTCTGTACATTTTTACCTTTTACTAGATCATTAATGAGATTCCTAAGTATTAAACATTTATAAAATACTTAAATTTAACTTATCTTTTTATCTGATATTTTCCATATAATGTTTATTACCATATGACTTCTTGACATTTTAAAAAATCTGTCCTCATTCCCATCCTCAACTAAAATATCAGTTATTTGAGGACTGAGGCTTTCTGTTATTCACTGCTTAATTCATAGCACAAAGGATAGTATCTGGCATATAGTAGGCAATAGTCAGTATTTGTTGAGTGGACTAATAAATAAGGATAACCAATCTCAACCAGCCTTACCATTTCTATATAATTTGTAATATCTTTAATTTTTTTATTAGTTTTAGTATTGTTACTGGAAAAGATAATTGATTGTTTTTTATGTTTCAGGGAAGTTGGGAAAAAAGAATTTTGAAGAGTTTAAATAGTATGTGCACTGAACTGAGTATCCCACTGGCACGAAAGGTACTTTTAAACATTTTTCTGTTTAAGTATTTCATTGTGAATCAAATACAGAAAGTATCATGAAGTTATATAACTGTTAGGCACATTTATTTATTTATTTATTTAGAGACAGAGTCTTGCTCTGTCACCCAGGCTGGAGTGCAGTGGCGCGATCTTGGCTCACTGCAACCTCCGCCTCCTGGGTTCAAGCAATTCTCCTGCCTCAGCCTCCAAGTAGCTGGGACTACAGGCACCCGCCACCAGGTCTGGCTAATTTTTTTGTATTTTTGATAGAGACGGGGTTTCACTGTGTTAGTCAGGAGGGTCTCGATCTCCTGACATCATGATCCGCCCACCTTGGCCTCCCAAAGTGCTGGGATTACAGATGTGAGCCACTGTGCCCGGCCTATTTATGTATTTTTACTAGTATATCACCTTGGTTTGAAACAAAAATCTGTAAAAGGCCAATTATGTGGGTATATTCTATATGGATTTCTATTTTGTGTGCTATAATAATTATTATAACAAACCTGTATCTTTGCAAATAAATTGAAATATGAATCTGTAGTACAGATGAGTTAGACATTTGGCTGTAAAGATTAGGAATATGCTTTAAAGATTTTAATTACCTTTAGTCTCCTTACCTTTTGGCTAATTAGCACAACAGTCATATTCCTTGAATCACAGATAGAGTTCAGGCATACTGTGATCTTGTAATAGGTAATACGGTACCATCTTTCGGTATTAACGTAGGAAACGAAAAGGATAATTTGTCATCTCTCTGTAGAACTGGAATTCTATTTAGATCTAATACTCAACATTTATGTTACTCTGGGCATTGAGGAGAAAAGATGAGAAAGAAAAGAAAAAACACTTGAGGGATGTTCTGTTTTCTTTGTAGCTGCTCACAAGTAGGAGAGAGTCAGTTTCCCTTTACTTCATTCTCCCTACCTGCTATTTATTCCCTGTTGTTGGACAGGATGTAGTAGGTATACTTTGGATAATATCCAAGGAAAAATTACTGAAGGCACCAGAAGGATGGTGTTTAAAAAGGGATACATTTATATTAAAAACTGTCTAAATATGTAGTATTGTATAATATACTGCCTTTCTTATAGGAAGATGATGCTACTGACTCTTAGTCACACTCTCTTGGCCAGTCCCCCTTGTGATGCTTTTCTGAGACTGCTGGATGGGGGTAAGAGAAGTAGTATGTGGCTGAGGAGCAGTTTTTCTTTGTGAAATTTACTGGCCAGTACAGATCACTTACCTTCTTTTATTGGACTCATTAGCACCATGTTCTAACTAAGCCATTGAGACTAGATATAACATAATAGTTAAATAATAATTTAAATGCAGTTACCCCCCAAATTCAACATGTTTAATGAAATTATACTGTTATGGTCATTTATTTAGCTTTTAAATAAGTTATTGATTCTTGTTTTTAGTTGTATTGCTAGACTTCAAAAAATGAAATGAAACCAGTTTCAAAATTACCTTTTCCAGAGGCCAGTTGGAGAACAGAAAGAACTTCTTAATAAATGGAATGAAATGGGAACTGATGAACCAGGTATGTGAACAATTTTTTCTGAATGTAGTAGTGGAAAAATAATTGCCTTCTTAACTGTGGATCCAAAATAACATAATTAACAATTCTTTTGGGAAGATTGCAATTTTCCTTCTCATTAATTTTCTATCATCTGGAAAACCAGAATTAGACTGACCTACTCAAACTCCCAGACACCACATGCAACTAATAAATACAGACATCAGGAGCAGCTTTTTGTTTGTTTGTGTTTTTAGAGACAGGTTCTTGCTCTGTTACCTGTGCTGGAGTACAGTAGCATGATCACAGCTCACTTTAACCTCAAGCTCCTGGGCTCAGAGGGTCCTTTCACCTCAGCCTCCTGAGTAGCTAAGACTACAGGCACACACCACCATGCCTGGCTAATTTTTTTATTTTTTGTAGAGATGGGGTTTTGCTATGTTGCCCTGGCTCTCTCTGTTGAACTCCTGGCCTCAAGTAATCCTCCCATCCTCCCACCAGAGCCTCCCAAAGTGCTGGGATTACAGGTGTGAGCCACTGCGCCTGGCCTTATTTATCCTTTTTTAAAGCAGCCTTTAAAAACATTTTTATAAAATTATAAATTATCCAGTGGATTTTTGAGATTCTTGTCTTTTAATTAAGGTAAATATTGTGCAAGCTTAATTATATTGGGTTGTTAAAAATAGGATAAATAGTGAAAAATACGTTTGAAGACTTTAAAATGTTTTAAAGAATTTATTTTTGTTCATTTTAATATTTAAAATCTAGTCAATTTTGTAAATATAAAATGAATAACAACTATATTTCATTTACTATGATAGATGCCTATAATTGTATAGACAGACATGTACATAACCCTTCCTCCTCCCCTTCCTTTACCACTGCTAAAAATACATGTAGGGGACTAGGTAAGAGATAAATACCATAATAGAGTTATTATATATAGTTATTTGAGTTCAAAAGGGGGAATAGTTTAATACAACTAGAGGAATTCACTAAGAATGCATTGTTTGTATTTTAAGTACATTGAGAATTCTCATATAGTACCTTTATGTTACATTGACATTGTTTGGCCAATTCAGTTACAAATAATTACAATTTGTGAATAGGATGCTCTTAATTTCTTCCAGAATATGTCATCTAGGATGTTAAGGGCAGAAATTGTCTTTTCATTTTAATGTTCTCTGTACTTAATGCAGTGTATGCATTCTCAAGAAATGTTTGAATTAATCTATCTGTATGATAACATGTGAAAGAATGATTAACATTTATTTAATAAGCCTTCATATATTATTAGCTGAAATTTTGTTTATAATCTATCTTATTCTAGATTTAAGCCTTTTCAGACCTGTTTATGCACCTAAGGATTTTCTTGAGGTAGGTTCTATTGGATAAATACACATATATTAATGAATGAATAATGTGAATAAATGATGATGTAAAAATATATCAAGGCAGAGGGATTAGCATGTAAAAAGCCCCAGAGTCACTGAAGCAGTAGAATGACATGATCAGATCTGTGTTTGAAAATTACCCTTGGAAAATATATTGGAATATGGAAAGATTAGCATTGAGTAAATCAGTTAGGATAATTTTGATTAAAAAATAGTAACTGTAGGAAGTGGGTTCCAAGATGGCCGAATACGAACAGGCCCAGTCTGCAGCTCCCAGCGTGATCAACACAGAAGACGGGTGATTTCTGCATTTCTAACTGAGGCACCTGGTTCACCTCATTGGGACAGGTCAGAAAGTGGGTGCAGCCCACGGAGGGTGAGCCGAAGCAGGGAGGGGCATTGCCTCACCTGGGAAGGGCAAGGGGTTGGGGGATTTCCCTTTCTGACCCAAGGGAAGCCATAACAGACTGTACCAGGAAAATCAGAACACTGCCAACTAAACACTGCGATTTTCCAACAGTCTTAGCAAACGGCACACCAGGAGGTTATATCCCATGCCTGGCTCAGCAGGTCCCATGCCCACAGACCCTTGCTCACTTCTAGTCCGAGATCAAACTATGAGGTGGCAAGCCTGGCTGGGGGAGGGGCATCCGCCATAGTTGAGGCTTGAGTAGGTAAACAAAGTGGCGGGAAGCTCGAACTGGGTGGAGCCCACCACAGCTCAACGAGGCCTGCCTGCCTCTGTAGACTCCATCTCTGGGGGCAGGGCATAGCTGAACAAAAGGCAGCAGACAACTTCTGCAGACTTAAAACATCCCTGTCTGTCAGCTCCGAAGAGAGCAGTGGTTCTCCCAGCACAGTGTTTGAGCTCTGAGAACAGACAGACTGCCTCCTCAAGTGGGTCCCTGACCCCCGTGTAGCCTAACTTGGAGACATCTCCCAGTAGGGGCTGACTGACACCTCATACAGGCCAGTGCCCCTCTGAGACAAAGCTTTCAGAGGAAGCATCAGGCAGCAATATTTGCTCTTCTGCAATATTTGCTGTTCTGCAGCCTCCGCTGGTGAAACCCAGGCAAACAGCATCTGGAGTGGACCTCCAGCAAACTCCAACAGACCTGCAGCTGAGGGACCTGACTGTTAGAAGGAAAACTAACAAACAGAAAGGAATAGCATCAACATCAACAAAAAGGACATCCACACCAAAACCCCATCTGTAGGTCACCATCATCAAAGACCAAAGGTAGATAAAACCACAAACATGGGGAGAAACCAGAGCAGAAAAGCTGAAAATTCTAAAAACCAGAGTGCCCCTTCTCCTCCAAAGGATCGCAGCTCCTTGCCAGCAGTGGAACAAAGCAGGACGGAGAATGACTTTGACGAGCTGACAGAAGTAGGCTTCAGAAAGTCGGTAATAACACACGTCTCTGAGCTAAAGAAGGATGTTCGAACCCATCACAAGGAAGCTAAAAACCTTGAAAAAAGATTAGACGAATGGCTAACTAGAATAAACAGCATAGAGAAGACCTTGAATGACCTGATGGAGCTGAAAACCATGGCACGAGAACTATGTGATGCATGTACAAGCTTCAGTAGCCGATTCGATCAACTGGAAGAAAGGGTATCAGTGATTGAAGATCAAATGAATGAAATGAAGTGAAAAGAGAAGTTTACAGAAAAAAAGAGTAAAAAGAAACCAACAATGCCTCCAAGAAATATGGGACTATGTGAAAAGACCAAATCTACATTTGATTGGTATACCTGAAAGTGACAAGGAGAATGGAACCAAGCTGGAAAACACTCTTCAGGATATTATCCAGGAGAACTTCCCTAACTAGCAAGGCAGGCCAACATTCAAATTCAGGAAATACAGAAAACACCACAAAGACACTCCTCGAGAAGAGCAACCCCAAGGCACATAACTGTCAGATTCACCAAGGTTGAAATGAAGGAAAACATGTTAAGGGCAGCCAGAGAGAAAGGTTGGGTTACCCACAAAGGGAAGCCCATCAGACTAACAGCAGATCTCTCAGCAAAAACCCTACAAGCCAGAAGAGACTGGGGGCCAATATTCAACATTCTTAAAGAAAAGAATTTTCAACCCAGAATTTCATATCCAGCCAAACTAAGCTTCGTAAGTGAAGGAGAAATAAAATCCTTTACAGACAAGCAAATACTGAGAAATTTTGTCACCACCAGGCCTGCCCTAAAAGAGCTCCTGAGGGAAGCACTAAACATGGAAAGGAACAACTGGTACCAGCCACTGCAAAAACATGCCAAATTGTAAAGACCATCGATGCTAAGAAGAAACTGCATCAACTAATGAGCAAAATAACCAGCTAACATCATAATGACAGGATCAAATCCACACATAACAATATTAACCTTAAATGTCAATGGGCTAAATTCCCCAATTAAAAGACACAGACTGGCAAATTGGATAAAGAGTCAAGACCTATCAGTGTGCTGTATTCAGGAGACTCATCTCACATGCAGAGACAAACATAGGCTCAAAATAAAGGGATGGAGGAAGATCTGCCAAGCAAATGGAAAGCACAAAAAGAGCAGGAGTTACAATCCTAGTCTCTGATAAAACAGACTTTAAACAAACAAAGATCAAAAGAGACAAAGAAGGCCATTACATAATGGTAAGGGATCAATTCAACAAGAAGAGCTAATTATCCTAAATATATTTGCACCCAATATAGAAGCACCCAGATTCAAAAAGCAAGTCCTGAGACACCTAAAAAGAGACTTAGACTCCCACACAATAATGGGAGACTTTAACACCCCACTGTCAATATTAGACAGATCAATGAGACAGAAGGTTAACAAGGATATCCAGGACTTGATCTCAGCTCTGCCCCAAGCTGATCTAATAGACATCTACAGAACCCTCCACCCCAAATCAACAGAATATACATTCTTCTCAGCACCACATCGCACTTATTTCAAAATTGATCACATAGTTGGAAGTAAAGCACTCCTCAGCAAATGTAAAAGAACAGAAATCACAACAAACTGTCTCTCAGACCACAGTGCAATCAAATTAGAACTCAGGATTAAGAAACTTACTCAAAACCGCACAACTACATGGAAACTGAACAACTTGCTCCTGAATGACTACTGGGTACATAACGAAATGAAGGCAGAAATAAAGATGCTCTTTGAAACCAATGAGAACAAAGAGAAACATACCAGAATCTCTGGGACACATTTAAAGCAGTGCGTAGGGGGAAATTTATAGCACTAAATGCCCACAAGAGAAAGCAGGAAAGATCTAAAATTGACACCCTAACATCACAATTAAAAGAACTAGAGAAGCAAGAGCAAACACATTCAAAAGCTAGCAGAAGGCAAGAAATAACTAAGATCAGAGCAGAACTGAAGGAGATAGAAACACAAAAAACCCTTCAAAAAATCAGTGAATCCAGGAGTTGGTTTTTTGAAAAGATCAACAAAATTGGTAGAATGCTAGCAAAACTAATAAAGAAGAAAAGAGAGAAGAATCAAATAGATGCAATAAAAAATGCTAAAGGGAATATCACCACCGATTCCACAGAAATACAAACTACCATCAGAGAATACTATAAACACCTCTGCACAAATAAACTAGAAAATCTGGAAGAAATGGATAAATTCCTCGACACATACGCCCTCCCAAGACCAAACCAGGAAGTTGAATCACTGAATAGGCCAATAACAGGCTCTGAAATTGAGGCAATAATTAATAGCCTCCCAACCAAAAGAAGTCTATGACGAGATGGATTCACAGCCGAATTCTACCAGAGGTACAAAGAGGAGCTGGTACCATTCCTTCTGAAACTATTCCAATCAATAGAAAAAGAGGGAATCCTCCTTAACTCATTTTATGACACCAGCATCATCCGGATACCAAAGCCTGGCAGAGACACAGCAAAAAAAGAAAATTTTAGACCAATACCCCGATGAACATTGATGTGAAAATTCTCAATAAAAGATTGGCAAACCAAATCCAGCAGCATATCAAAAAGCTTATCCACCAAGATCAAGTCGGTTTCATCCCTGGGATGCAAGGCTGGTTCAATGTATGCAAATCAATAAACATAATCCATCACATAAACAGAACCAAAGACAAAAATCACATGATTATCTCAATAGATGCAGAAAAGGCCTTCGACAAAATTCAACAGCCTACATGCTAAAAACTCTCAATAAACTAGGTATTGATGGAACGTATCTCAAAATAATAAGAGCTATTTATGACAAACCCACAGCCAGTATCATACTGAATGGGCAAAAACTGGAAGCATTCCCTTTGAAAACTGGCACAAGAGAGGGATACCTTCTCTTACCACTCCTATTCAACATAGTGTTGGAAGTTCTGGCCATGGCAATCAGGCAAGAGAAAGAAATAAAGGTTTTCAATTAGGAAAAGAGGAAGTCAAACTGTCCCTGTTTGCAGATGACATGATTGTATATTTAGAAGATCCCATCATCTCAGCTGCAAATCTCCTTAGGCTGATAAGCAACTTCAGCAAAGTCTCAGGATACAAAATCAATGTGCAAAAATCACAAACATTCTTATACACCAATAACAGGCAAACAGAGAGCCAAATTATGAGTGAACTCCCATTTACAATTGCTACAAAGAGAATAAAATACCTAGGAATCCAACTTACAAGGGATGTGAAGGACCTCTTGAAGGAGAACTACAAACCACTGTTCAATGAAATAAAAGAGGACACAAACAAATGGAAGAACATTCCATGCTCATGGATAGGAAGAATCAAAATCGTGAAAATGGCCATACTGCCCAAAGTGAGGCACAAACAAATGGAAGAACATTCCATGCTCATGGATAGGAAGAATCAAAATCGTGAAAATGGCCATACTGCCCAAAGTAATTTATAGATTCAAT
This sequence comes from Homo sapiens, assembly GCF_000001405.40. Classification (NCBI taxonomy): domain Eukaryota; kingdom Metazoa; phylum Chordata; class Mammalia; order Primates; family Hominidae; genus Homo; species Homo sapiens. The sequence continues at coordinate 26,645,102 of NC_000004.12, forward strand.
GCCATCCCCATCAAGCTACCACTGACTTTCTTCACAGAATTGGAAAAAACTACTTTAAAGTTCATATGGAACCAAAAAAGAGCCCGCAGTGCCAAGACAATCCTAAACAAAAAGAACAAAGCTGGAGGCATCACGCTACCTGACTTCAAACTGTACTACAAGGCTACAGTAACCAAAAGAGCATGGTACTGGTACCAAAACAGAGATGTAGACCAATGGAACAGAACAGCAGCCTCAGAGATAACACCACACATCTACAGCCATCTGAACTTTGACAAACCTGACAAAAACAAGAAATGGGGAAAGGATTCCCTATTTAATAAATGGTGCTGGGAAAACTAGCTATCCATATGTAGAAAGCTGAAACTGGATCCCTTCCTTACACCTTATACAAAAGTTAATTCAAGATTGATTAAAGACTTAAATGTGAGACCTAAAACCATAAAATCCCTAGAAGAAAACCTAGGCAATACCATTCAGGACATAGGCATGGGCAAGGACTTCACGTCTAAAACACCAAAAGCAATGGCAACAAAAGCCAAAATTGACAAATGGGAACTAATTATATGAAAGAGCTTCTGCACAGCAAAAGAAACTACCATCAGAGTGAACAGGCAACCTACAGAATGGGAGAAAATTTTTGCAATCTACCCATGTGACATAGGGTTAATATCCAGAATCTACAAAGAACTTAAACACATTTACAAGAAAAAAACAACCCCATCAAAAAGTGGGCAAAGGGCCGGGCGCGGTGGCTCACGCCTGTAATCCCAGCACTTTGGGAGGCCGAGGCGGGCGGATCACGAGGTCAGGAGATCGAGACCATCCCGGCTAAAACGGTGAAACCCCGTCTCTACTAAAAATACAAAAAATTAGCCGGGCGTAGTGGCGGGCGCCTGTAGTCCCAGCTACTTGGGAGGCTGAGGCAGGAGAATGGCGTGACCCCGGGAGGCGGAGCTTGCAGTGAGCCGAGATCCCGCCACTGCACTCCAGCCTGGGCGACAGAGCGAGACTCCGTCTCAAAAAAAAAAAAAAAAAAAAAAGTGGGCAAAGGATGTGAACAGACACTTTTCAAAAGAAGACATTTATGCAGCCAACAGACACATGAAAAAATGCTCACCATCACTGGCCATCAGAGAAATGCAAATCAAAACCACAATGAGATACCATCTCACACCAGTTAGAATGGTGATCACTAAAAAGTCAGGAAACAACAGGTGCTGGAGAGGATGTGGAGAAATTGGAACGCTTTTACACTATTGGTAGTGTAAACTAGTTCAACCACTGTGGTAGACAGTGTGGTGATTCCTCAAGGATCTAGAACTAGAAATACCATTTGCCTCAGTGATCCCATTACTGGGTATATACCCAAAGAATTGTAAATCATGCCACTATAAAGATACATGCACAGATATGTTTATTGCGGTACTATTCACAATAGCAAAGACTTGGAACCAACCTAAATGTCCATCAATAATAGACTGGATTAAAAAAATGTGGCACATACTATGCAGCCATTAAAAAGGGTGAGTTCATGTCCTTTATAGCAACATGGATGAAGTGGGAAACCATCATTCTGAGCAAACTATCGCAAGAACAGAAAACCAAACACTGCATGTTCTCACTCATAGGTGGGAATTGAATAATGAGAACACTTGGACACAGGGTGGGAAACATCACACACTGAGGTGGGGGAATGGGGGAGGGATAGCATTAGGAGAAATACCTAATGTAAATGATAAGTTAATGAGTGCAGCAAACCAACACGGGCACATGTATACATATGTAACAAACCTGCACATGTACCCTAGAACTTAAAGTATAATTTAAAAAAAGTAAAATAATGAAAAAGAATAGTGACTGTACATCACATAGCCTGCTGCCTGGCACATATACATACTCAGGAAATCTTTTTCTTTTTTATTCCATTCCCTGTTCTAGTAGTCCAGAAGACATGATGAGTGTCTGAACTAAGACAACAACACTGGAAATGGAAACAATTTGATGGATTTGAAAGAGATTTTAAGGATGATTTGGGAACTGATCAGATACGGGGTCTATGAGAAAAAGAAAAGATAATGATCACCTTCAAGTATCTAGGTTGTGTAATTGGCTAGAAGTTACTTGACATGAGATAGAGGATACAGGAGGAGGAACAGGGCTGTTAGTGAAGGTGATAAGCTGAGTTAAGTTACAGAGACATATCAAATATTCAAGTGGAACCCTTCAGTAGACACTTGGAATTCATTATTTTAATTCATACGTTTGATTTCACTCTTTCTCTTGGACTTCACATGTAATCCTATTATATTTATCTTTGAAATATATCCAGAATACAGCCAGTTTTTGTCACCACCACTGCTATATCCAAGCTTCCCAACTGGTCTTCCTACTTCTACCTTTTCCCACCTAGAATCTGTTCTTAGCACAGCTTCCGGAGGAAGGCCTTTAAATGCAATTCAGAATAAGCCACTCTTCTGCTATCCAGTGGCTTCCCATCTTATTCTACTTATTAAATAAAAGCCCATTTGATTTGATATCCCATTACCTGTCTGAGTTCATCTCTGGTTACTGTCCTTCTGATTGGTCTTACTCCAGCTACTTTAGCCTCCTTGCTTACCCCTGGCTTCCTCCCAGCTGAGTGTCTTTGCTCTTTGTTTTATCTGCTGGCAATGATTTTTCCCTAAATGTCTACCTGCATGTTCCCTCACTACTTGTGTCTTTGCTTAAATATCACCTTCTTAGTAAAGGTTTCACTGGCTCTTCTGCTTGGAACTCCTTATACCCTTTCCAGCTTTGTTTTCCTCCACAGCATCTATCATGACGTATGTAACATACTATTGATTTATTTTGCTTATTGCTTGCCTTTTTCCATTACAAAGGAAGCTCCACAGGGGCAAGAGCTTTTCAATTCTGTTTTGTTCCCTGCTTCAGCAGTCACACAGGGTCAAATAATTGACAACACTCACAAGACTTCTCAGGGTACACCCACATGTGGCTTTCTTTCAGCAAGAGAAAGAATGAACCTGCAAACACAAAGAGATCCACACTTCTGACAGAGCTCTCAGGGCCCTTTCTCAGTTACACAGGATGTGTTTAGATTTTCAGTTATAAACCATCAAGATACATGTGAGATATCTTGGCCTAGAGAGCCAAGACACAAGTTTTTTGAGGGGTCGTTTCTACCCAACTGGTTATATCAGATGCAAACCACCAATCTACATTTTCAATAAACAATGTAAATAAACAGTTGTGGAATGCCTCCAGGTTAGTTTTGGTCATAAAAATAGCATATTACAACTGACTAGTTAGTACATGTCACTGCATCTTGGCCAAGGGTCACTACCAGACTTCCAGGTATTTCTGGAGATTAGCATAACACTACCACAGGTCAGCTGTAAGTTAATCCTGTCTTTGACTGCACTGTCCCCAAGTAGAACAGTGCTTAGCACAATCTGCTCAATAAATATTTACTGAATGAATGAATAAATGAATCAATGAATGAAGGTTTCACATTTTATCTCTTTACATTTGCTAAAGTAAAACTTGGTTAGAAATTATTTCAGAACTTTTGGAATTGTAAACAGTTTACTTTGAATGTTGAAGAGACAGGTTAGTAAAAAACTGCCTTTATGATGATGGCTTTATTTCTCTTAGCTTACTAAAAGTTTCTCCCAAACTCTTCCCTTTTCTAGCACTTAAAAGCTGAAACTTTATGTAATTTTTATATTCTTATTCTTATTCTTATTATGTTTTCTCCTTAATAGCTCGTAACATTGTTTCTTTGAGGACAGTTCCTTAATTGATCTTTTATTACTCATGCTGAGATCTTTTTAAAATTACGAATATTTTAAATAATTATTTCCTTAATTACAGTTTCTACATTTCTAATATTTTTATTTTTCTGTTACTCATGTATTTACAGTTTTTTCTCCTTTTCCTGTCTTTTATGTTTGTCAGTTTCCCTTGTAGTATGATTCCTTATTTATGTAATTAGGCTAAAATTGTGCTGTTAGGTAATTAGGCTAAAATTGTAGATTCTTTGCTAATTTTTTTTAAACAAATACTATTTATATTTATAGTGTCAATATAGTGTTTGCAATTTTAGGAAACTTTTTTGGTATTATAGCATATATTTTATCAGCTGTTAGCTATCAGTTCATTAATGTCTTCCTCAAATATGATAGCGTTTCTGTCATCATAATCTCCTCCACTAGATTCTTTTTTTTCCCAATACCCCCAGCATTTTTGACAGCTTTATTGAGCTAGAATTTTTACAGCATAAATTTCAGCCATTTAAAATATACAACTCAAGTGGTTTTCAGTATATTTACAGAATTGTGCAACATCACCACATTTTTAGAACATTTTTATTACCCAAAAAAGAAACCTTATGCCCATTTGTAGTCACCCTTCATTCTCTTCCCCATGCAGCCCTAGGCAACCACTAATCTACTTTTTGTCTCTATGAATTTGCCTGTGCTAGACATTTCATAGAAATGAAATTATACCACATATGTTTATTGTATAACCAATGACTGGTTTCTTTTACTTAGCCTACTGTTTTCAAGTTTCATCCATGTTGTGGCATAATATCTCAACGTTCTAACTTTTTTTTTTTTTATTATACTTTAAGTTTTAGGGTACATGTGCACAACGTGCAGGTTTGTTACATATGTATACATGTGCCATGTAGGTGTGCTGCACCCATTAACTCGTCATTTAACATTAGGTATATCTCCTAATGCTATCCCTCCCCTCTCCCCCAACCCCACAACAGGCCCCAGTGTGTGATATTCTCCTTCCTGTGTCCATGCATTCTCATTGTTCAATTCCCACCTATGAGTGAGAACATGCGGTGTTTGGTTTTTTGTCCTTGCGATAGTTTGCTGAGAATGATGGTTTCCAGCTTCATCCGCATCCCTACAAAGGACATGAACTCATCATTTTTTATGGCTGCATAGTATTCCATGGTGTATATGTGCCACATTTTCTTAATCCAGACTACCATTGTTGGACATTTGGGTTGGTTCCAAGTCTTTGCTATTGTGAATAGTGCCGCAGAAAACATACGTGTGCATGTGTCTTTATAGCAGCATGATTTATAATCCTTTGAGTATATACCCCGTAATGGAATGGCTGGGTCAAATGGTATTTCTAGTTCTAGATCCCTGAGGAATCGCCACACTGACTTCCACAATGGTTGAACTAGTTTACAGTCCCACCAACAGTGTAAAAGTGTTCCTATTTCTCCTCATCCTCTCCAGCACCTGTTGTTTCCTGACTTTTTAATGATCCTCATTCTAACTGGTGTGAGATGGTATCTCATTGTGGTTTTGATTTGCATTTCTCTGATGGCCAGTGATGATGAGCATTTTTTCACGTGTCTTTTGGCTGTATAAATGTCTTCTTTGGAGAAGTGTCTGTTCATATCCTTCGCCCACTTGTTGATGGGGTTGATTGTTTTTTTCTTGTAAATTTATTTGAGTTCATTGTAGATTCTGGATATTAGCCCTTTGTCAGATGAGTAGATTGCAAAAATTTTCTCCCATTCTGTAGGTTGCCTGTTCACTCTGATGGTAGTTTCTTTTGCTGTGCAGAAGCTCTTTTGTTTAATTAGATCCCATTTGTCAATTTTGGCTTTTGTTGCCATTGCTTTTGGCGTTTTAGACATGAAGTCCTTGCCCATGCCTATGTCCTGAATGGTATTACCTAGGTTTTCTTCTAGGGTTTTTATGGTTTTAGGTCTCACATTTAAGTCTTTATAATCCATCTTGAATTAATTTTTATATAAGGTGTAAGGAAGGGATCCAGTTTCAGCTCTCTACATATGGTTAGCCAGTTTTCCCAGCACCATTTATTAAATAGGGAATCCTTTCCCCATTGCTGGTTTTTCTCAGGTTTGTCAAAGATCAGATAGTTGTAGATATGTGGCATTATTTCTGAGGGCTCTGTTCTGTTCCATTGGTCTATATCTCTGTTTTGGTACGAGTACCATGCTGTTTTGGTTACTGTAGCCTTGTAGTATAGTTTGAAGTCAGGTAGCGTGATGCCTTCGGCTTTGTTCTTTTGGCTTAGTATTGTCTTGGCACTGCGGGCTCTTTTTTGGTTCCATGCAAACTTTATGGTAGTATTTTCCAATTCTGTGAAGAAAGTCAGTGGTAGCTTGATGGGGATGGCATTGAATCTATAAATTACTTTGGGCAGTATGGCCATTTTCACGATATTGATTCTTCCTACCCATGAGCATGGAATGTTCTCCCATTTGTTTGTATCCTCTTTTATTTCATTGAGCAGTGGTTTGTAGTTCTCCTTCAAGAGGTCCTTCACATCCCTTGTAAGTTGGATTCCTAGGTATTTTATTCTCTTTGTAGCAATTGTAAATGGGAGTTCACTCATGATTTGGCTGTTTATCTGTTATTGGTGTATAAGAATGTTTGTGATTTTTGCACATTGATTTTGTATCCTGAGCCTTTGCTGAAGTTGCTTATCAGCTTAAGGAGATTTTGGGCTGAGACGATGGGGTTTTCTAGATATACAATCATGACATCTGCAAACAGGGACAATTTGACTTCCTCTTTTCCTAATTGAATACCCTTTATTTCCTTCTCCTGCCTGATTGCCATGGCCAGAACTTTCAACGCTATGTTGAATAGGAGTGGTGAGAGAGGGCATCCCTCTCTTGTGCCAGTTTTCAAAGGGAATTCTTCCAGTTTTTGTCCATTCAGTATGATATTGGCTGTGGGTTTGTCATAGATAGCTCTTATTATTTTGAGATATGTCCCATCAATACGTAATTTATTGAGAGTTTTTAGCATGAAGTGTTGTTGAATTTTGTCCAACGCCTTTTCTGCATCTATTGGGATAATCCTGTGGTTTTTGTCATTGGTTCTGTTTATATGCTGGATTACATTTATTGATTTGCATGTGTTTAACCAGCCTTGCATCCCAGGGATGAAGCCCACTAGATCATGGTGGATAAGCTTTTTGATGTGCTGCTGGATTCGGTTTGCCAGTATTTTCTTGAGGATGTTTGCATTGATGTTGATCAGGGATATTGGTCCAAAATTCTCTTTTTTTGTTGTGTCTCTGCCAGGCTTTGGTATCAGGATGATACTGGCCTTATAAAATGAGTTAGGGAGGATTCCCTCTTTTTCTAATGATTGGAATAGTTTCAGAAAGAATGGTACCAGCTCCTCTTTGTACCTCTGGTAGAATTTGGCTGTGAATCCATCTGGTCCTGGACTTTTTTTTGGTTGGTAAGCTATTAATTATTGCCTCAATTTCAGAGCCTGTTATTTTTTTGTTTTTCCTTTTTGTGGAGAACGGGGTCTCACTGTATTTCCCAGGCAGGTCTCGAACTCCTGGGCTCAAGCTATCCTCCCACCTCTTGCCTCCCTGAGAGCTGGGATTACAGGCGTGAGCCACCGCACCCGGCCAGAGCCTGTTATTGGTCTATTCAGAGATTCAACTTCTTCCTGGTTTAGTCTTGGGAGGGTGTATGTGTCAAGGAATTTATCCATTTCTTCTAGATTTTTCTAGTTTATTTGTGTAGAGGTGTTTATAGTATTCTCTGATGGTAGTTTGTATTTCTGTGGGATCAGTGGTCATATCCCCTTTATCATTTTTTATTGTGTCTATTTGATTCTTCTCTCTTTTCTTCTTTATTAGTCTTGCTAGCGGTCTATCAATTTTGTTGATCTTTTCAAAAAACCAACTCCTGGATTCATTGGTTTTTTGAAGGGTTTTTTGTGTCTCTATCTCCTTCAGTTCTTCTCTGATCTTAGTTATTTCTTGCCTTCGGCTAGCTTTTGAATGTGTTTGCTCTTGCTTCTCTAGTTCTTTTAATTGTGATGTTAGGGTGTCAATTTTAGATCTTTCCTGCTTTCTCTTGTGGGCATTTAGTTCCATAAATTTCCTTCTACATACTGCTTTGAATGTGTTCCAGAGATTCTGGTATGTTGTGCCTTTTTTCTCATTGGTTTCAAAGAACATCTTTATTTCTGCCTTCATTTCGTTATGTACCCAGTAGTCACTCAGGAGCAGGTTGTTCAGTTTCCATGTAGTTGAGCTGTTCTGAGTGAGTTTCTTAATCCTGACTTCTAGTTTGATTGCACTGTGGTCTGAGAGACAGTTTGTTATGATTTCTGTTCTTTTACATTTGCTGAGGAGTGCTTTGCTTCCAACTATGTGATCAATTTTGAAATAAGTGCGATGTGGTGCTGAGAAGAATGTATATTCTGTTGACTTGGGGTGGAGAGTTCTGTAGATGTCTATTAGGTCCGCTTGGTGCAGAGCTGAGTTCAGTTCAATTCCTGGATATCCTTGTTAACGTTCTGTCTGGTTGATCTGTCTAATGTTGACAGTGGGGTGTTAAAGTCTCCCATTATTATTGTGTGGGAGTCTAAGTCTCTTTTTAGGTGTCTCAGGACTTGCTTTATGAATCTGGTTGCTCCTGTATTGGGTGCATATATATTTAGGATAGTTAGCTTGTCTTGTTGAATTGATCCCTTTACCATTATGTAATGGCCTTCTTTGTCTCTTTTGATCTTTGTTTGTTTAAAGTCTGTTTTATCAGAGACTAGGATTGCAACCCCTGCCTTTTTTTGTTTCCCATTTGCTTGGTAGATCTTCCTCCATCCCTTTATTTTGAGCCTATGTGTGTCTCTGCATGTGAGATGAGTCTCCTGAATACAGCACACTGATGGGTCTTTACTCTTTCTCCAATGTGCCAGTCTGTGTCTTTTAATTGGGGAATTTAGCCCATTGACATTTAAGGTTAATATTGTTATGTGTGGATTTGATCCTGTCATTGTGATGTTAGCTGGTTATTTTGCTCATTAGTTGATGCAGTTTCTTCCTAGCCTTGATGGTCTTTACAATTTGCCACGTTTTTGCAGTGGCTGGTACCGGTTATTCCTTTCCATGTTTAGTGCTTCCTTCAGGAGCTCTTTTAGGGCAGGCCTGGTGGTGACAAAATCTCTCAGCATTTGCTTGTATGTAAAGGATTTTATTTCTCCTTCACTTACAAAGCTTAGTTTGTCTGGATATGAAATTCTGGGTTGAAAATTCTTTTCTTTAAGAATGTTGAATATTGGCCCCCACTCTCTTCTGGCTTGTAGAGTTGCTGCTGAGAGATCTGCTGTTAGTCTGATGGGCTTCCCTTTGTGGGTAACCCAACCTTTCTCTCTGGCTGCCCTTAACATATTTTCCTTCATTTCAACTTTGGTGAATCTGACAATTATGGGTCTTGGAGTTGCTCTTCTCGAGGAGTATCTTTCTGGCGTTCTCTGTATTTCCTGCATTTGAATGTTGGCCTGCCTTGCTAGATTGAGGAAGTTCTCCTGGATAATATCCTGCAGAGTGTTTTCCAACTTGGTTCCATTCTCCCCATCACTTTCAGGTACACCAGTCAGACACAGATTTGGTCTTTTCACATAGTCCCATATTTCTTGGAGGCTTTGTTGACATTTCTTTTCATTCTTTTTTCTCTAAATTTCTCTTCTCACTTAATTTCATTCATTTGATCTTCCATTGCTGATACCCTTTCTTCCAGTTGATTGAATCAGCTACTGAGGCTTGTGCATTCGTCACGTAGTTCTCGTGCCTTGGTTTTCAGCTCCATCAGGTCCTTTAAGGACTTCTCTGCATTGGTTATTCTAGTTAGTCATTTGTCTAATCTTTTTTCAAGGTTTTTAACTTCTTTGATGGGTTCGAACTTCCTCCTTTAGCTCGGAGTAGTTTGATCTTCTGAAGGCTTCTTCTCTCAATTCATCAAATTCATTCTCCATCCAGCTTTTTTCCATTGCTGGTGAGGAGCTGCATTCCTTTGGAGGGGGAAAGGCACTCGATTTTTAGAATTTTCAATTTTTCTGCTCTGTTTTTTCCCCATGTTTGTGGTTTTATCTACCTTTGGTCTTTGATGATGGTGACGTACAGATGGGGTTTTGGTGTGGATGTCCTTTTTGTTTGTTAGTTTTCCTTCTAACATCAGGACCCTCAGCTGCAGGTCTGTTGGAGTTTGCTGGAGGTCCACACCAGACCCTATTTGCCTGGGTGTCAGCAGCGGCAGCTGCGGAACAGTAGATATTGGTGAACAGCAAAGGTTGCTGCCTGATCGTTCCTCTGGAAGTTTTGTCTCAGAGGAGTACCCGGCCATGTGAGGTGTCAGTCTGCCCCTACTGGGGCGTGCCTCCCAGTTAAGCTACTCGGAGGTCAGGGACCCACTTGAGGAGGCAGTCTATCCGTTCTCAGATCTCAAGCTGCGTGCTGGGAGAACCACTACTCTCTTCAAAGCTGTCAGACAGGGACATTTAAGTCTGCAGAGGTTTCTGCTGCCTTTTGTTTGGCGATGCCCTGCCCGCAGAGGTGGAGTCTAGAGAGGCAAGCAGGCCTCCTTGAGCTGTGGTGGGCTCCACCCAGTTCGAGCTTCCTGGCTGCTTTGTTTACCTAGTCAAGCGTTGGCAATGGCACGCGCCCCTCTCCCAGCCTTGCTGCCACCTTGCAGTTTGATCTCAGACTGCTGTGCTAGCAATGAGTGAGGCTCTGTGGGCATAGGACCCTCCGAGCCAGGCACGGGATACAATATCCTGGTGTGCCGTTTGCTAAGATCATTGGAAAAACGCAGTATTAGGGTGGGAGTGACCTGATTTTCCTGGTGCCATCTGTCACCCTTTTCCTTGGCTAGGAAAGGGAATTCCCTGACCCCTTGCACTTCCTGCGTGAGGCAATGCCTCGCCCTGCTTCAGCTCATGCTCAGTGCGCTGCACCCACTGTCCTGCACCCACTTTCCGACAATCCCCAGTGAGATGAACCTGGCACCTCAGTTGGAAATGCAGAAATCGTTCGTCTTCTGCGTCGCTCACGCTGGGAGCTGTAGACTGGAGCTGTTCCTATTTGGCCATCTTGGCTCCACCCCCTCCACTAGATTCCTAATAGTTTTTTTTTCTCTCTAGAGTTTTACTTAAAAATATTTTTAAAAATTATTATTATTCTGTCTTGAAAAATGCATGTTATTAGAAAAATAAAAAAGCATATGTAAGAATAAAATTTGAAATAATGCACAATGTTATTCTACAGCAATAACTACTCTTTTATTCTTACTATATGTGAGAATAAAATTTGAAATAAAATAACACACAATGTTATTGCACAGCAATAACTACTATACTTTTAAAATAACAATATATTATGAACATTTTTCATGTCATTACCCATATTAATTGAGGCATATTATACTGTATTTTATTATATGAATTAACCATTCTTTATTTAAATAATTCCTTCTAATGAGTTATTTGTTTCATATTTTTCCAATGTAAGCTGTACTTCACTAACATTATTTCTTTATGATCCTAGCAAACATATTTATTTTCCTTAGAATCATATTCTATGTTTATACTTACAGAAGTAAGATTCCTACATTAAATGGTATGTCAGTATCTAAGTTGGCTTTTATCTGCTTTTTTTTTTTTTGAGATGGAGTGTTGCTCTGCCATCCAGGCTGGAGTGCAGTGGCACAATCTTGGCTCACTGTAACCTCCCCCTCCCGGGTTAAAGCAATTCTCCTGCCTCAGCCTCCCGAGTAGCTGGAACTACAGGAGCACACCACCACACCCAGCTAATTTTTTGTATTTTAGTAGCAATGGAGTCTCACGATGTTGCCCAGGCTGGTTGTGAACTCTTGAGCTCAGGCACTCTGCCTGCCTCGGCCTCCCAAAGTGCTGGGATTACAGGCATGAGCTGCTGCGCCCAGACACTTATTTTTGAAAATTATATAAATGACCTTTTTTAAGCTCTGCTTTTCAAATTTTTTTTTTCCTTGTGAGTTTGGTTTAGAGGAGATGCCCTGCAATCTTTCTTCTTCTTCTTCTTCTTCTTCTTCTTCTTCTCCTTCTCCTTCTCCTTCTCCTTCTCCTTCTCCTTCTCCTTCTCTCTTTCTTCTTCCTCTTCTTGTTCTTCTTCTTCTTCTTCTTCTTCATTTATTTATTTATTTTTATTTTACTTTAAGTTCTGGGGTACATGTGCAGAATGTGCAGTTTTGTTACATAGGTATACATGTGCCATGGTGGTTTGCTGCACCCATCAACCTGTCACCTGCATTAGGTATTTCTCCTAATGCTGTCCCTCCCCTTGCCTCTGACCCCCTGACAGGCCCCGGTGTGTGATGTTTTCCTCCCTGTGTCCATGTGTTTTCATTGTTCAACTCTCACTTATGAGTGAGAACATACAGTGTTTGGTTTTCTGTTCTTGTGATAGTTTGCTGAGAGTGATGGTTTCCAACTTCATCCATGTCCCTGCAAAGGACATGAACTCATCCTTTTTTATGGCTATGTAGTATTCCATGGTGTATATGTGCCACATTTTCTTTATCCAGTCTATGATTTATGGGCATTTGGGTTGGTTCCAAGTCTTTGCTATTGTGAATGGTGCCTCAGTAAACATACATGTGCATGTGTCTTTATAGTAGAATGATTTATAATCCTTTGGGTATATACCCAGTAATGGGATGGCTGGGTCAAATGGTATTTCTAGTTCTAGATCCTTGAGGAATCGCCACACTGTCTTCCACAATGGTTGAACTAGTTTACACTCCCACCAACAGTGTAAAAGCATTCCTATTTCTCCACATCCTCTCCAGCATCTGTTGTTTCCTGACTTTTTAATGTTCACCATTCTAACTGGTGTGAGATGGTTTCTCATTGTGGTTTTGATTTGCATTTCTCTAATTAGCAGTAATGATGAGCATTTTTTATATGTTTCTTGGCTGCATAAATGTCTTCTTTTGAGAAGTGTCTGTTCATATCCTTTGGCCACTTTTTGATGGGGTTATTTGTATTTTTCTTGTAAATGTGTTTAAGTTCTTTGTAGGTTCTGGATATTAGCCCTTTGTCAGATGGATAGATTGCAAAATTTTTCTCCCATTCTGTAGGTTGCCTGTTCACTCTGATGATAGTTTCTTTTGCTGTGCAGAAGCTCTTTAGTTTAATTAGATCCCATTTGTCAATTTTGGCTTTTGTTGCCATTGCTTTTGGTGTTTTAAGACACGAAGTCTTTGCCCATGCCTGTGTCCTGAATGGTATTGCTTAGATTTTCTTCTAGGATTCCTATAGTTTTAGGTCTTATGTTTAAGTCTTTAATGCATATTGAGTTTATTTTTGTATAAGGTGTAAGGAAGGCATCCAGTTTAAGTTTTCTGCATATGGCTAGCCAGTTTTCCCAGCACCATTTATTAAATAGGCAATCTTTTCCCCATTGCTTGCTTGTATCAGGTTTGTCAAAGATCAGATGGTTGTAGATGTGTGGTGTTGTTTTGGTGGCCTCTGTTCTGTTCCATTGGCCTATATATCTGTTTTTATACCAGTACCAGTCTGTTTTGGTTACTATAGCCTTGTAGTATAGTTTGAAGTTAGGAAGTGTGATGCCTCCAGCTTTGTTCTTTTTGCTTAGGATTGTCTTGACTATGCGGGCTCTTTTTTGGTTCCATATGAAGTTTAAAGTAGTTTTTTCCGATTCTGTGAAGAAAGTCAGTGGTAGCTTTGGGGATAGCATTGAATCTATAAATTACTTTGGGCAGTATGGCCATTTTCACAATATTGATTCTTCCCATCCATGAGCATGGAATGTTTTTCCATTTGTTTGTGTCCTCTCTTATTTCGTTGAGCAGTGGTTTGTAGTTCTCCTTGAAGAGGTTCTTCACATCCCTTGTAAATTGTATTGCTAGGTATTTTATTCCTTCGTGGCAATTGTGAATGGGAATTCATTTATGATTTGGCTCTCTGTTTGTCTGTTATTGGTGTATAGGAATGCTTGTGATTTTTGAACATTGATTTTGTATCCTGAAACTTTGCTATAGTTGCTTATCAGCCTAAGGAGATTTTGGGCTGAGACGGTGGGGTTTTCTAAATATACAATCATGTAATCTGCAAACAGACAATTTGACTTCCACTCTTCCTATTTGAATACCCTTTATTTCTTTCTCTTGCCTGATTGCCCTGGCCAGAACTTCCAATATTATGTTGAATAGGAGTGGTGAGAGAGATGCCTTGCAATCTTACTTCATCATCTTTCTACAAATATTGTCAATTTGTTTTTAAATGTGTTAGAATTGATTCTAAAATTTTTCCTGATAAATATTACAATCAAGCAAGATTTTTTTCTTATCACCTTCTCTGGTAAAGTGTTATAATCAAGCAATTTTTATTTTTTCTAACCACCAAAAAGTTTTTATTTTTAAGTAAATTCTTAACTTGGTAGAGTTTTGTATTGTAGATCATTCATTGGAATATAAAACCATCCTAATTAAAGTATATTTATGGCATTATATATTAACATTTCAATATACTTTTATACTATTTTAGAATGTAATTAAAGTATGTGCATCACCCAAATAGTAATTAATTTTGTGGTGATACACTAAGAATATCCCTGCTAATTTTATAAGTGTAAACATCCTGGAAAGAAACTAACCAATTTTGTTGGATTTGTTTTTAAAGGTATTAATTAATCTTCGCAACCCAAATTATGAAAACGGTGATTCTCTTAGTTTCAGGACTCATTTGGGTTTAATTCAAGTTCCACTGAAAGTAAAAGACATCCCTGAATTGGTAAGTATAGAAACTTAAAAATAAACATCATTTAGAAGATAACCATTAGAAAAATGTTTTAATACAGCATGTATGTAAAGCAATAGGGTAATCTACTCATTAAACAAATTAATAAAGTGACGTTGATTCTTTTATTGCAAATATGTATATAGAGAGAGCAAGTTGTTTTGCTAATAGAACTAAAAATGAGTTCACATTGACATATAAATGCTTTTGCTTATTTTGTATTTTAATAAGCAGCATAGATTTATGAGACAGCTTGTTGGGATTGAGTTGTCTGCTGGATGGTTATAAAACTGATTGAGACAAATTGTGAGTTTTATAAGATTATTTTTAAAAAAGTACATTTTATTTAATTTCACAAACTTTTATGGAGCTTGTAACAAGATGAGGCACTTAGGGAGATGGAGAACATAAGAATTAATTAGAGACTGGCTTTGCTCTGGAGACCGTAATATTTTTGTGAGGAAGCTCATTTTAAAATGAAAAGTAGGGAGATTTCCTGATGGTGGAATTAAGAAATTATCACTCCTTCTTTCAAAGTCACCCTAAAACAATAAGGAGCGTAGAAATATAAATACTGTCTTTGGTGAAACTAGGAAGCCACTTATAACTCTGGGCATTAATGTATTAAGATAGAGCACTGATGATAAATGACTTAAACAGGGGAGAAGATCAAACCTAAATGTCTCTAGAAGATAGAAAGTGTGAATGAGATTAAAGTATATTTATGGCATTATATTTTTTGCCAGTCATCAGTTTATTATCTTTCAGCTCCAAATTCTCCTTTTTGCTCTGCTTTATCATGCTGGAGCCGGACCCTATAAACGTTTCCCCTTTGCCAGCAGGCCTGATGTTAGGGTTTGTCAACAGAAGGTTCTAGAGGGACACTGCAAGGCCATAGCAGGAGGCAGGGGCTTCCATTTCTAGTTCCTGTATGTAGGAGTCAGCAGATTGGGATGCAGGAGGTTCAATAACACTCACCTCAGTAGTCCTCAATAGTCCAGGTCTAAGCTGCCCCTTGACAAGTTTTTCCACTACCCCTGGTCTGCCTTTGTGTGGCAGCTACACTGCCCCTCTACAGAGGTATGAATCTCAGCATTCAGGGCCAGGGGACCCTTTTCTAAGTTCTTAGTTTCTTCTTTGTTTACTTTCCTTTAGCCTAGAAGTCATAGTTGCTTTCTGCATTTGCTTCTTCTGTTTTTCCCTGTTCACATTTCTGGTATGACCTATTTCCTGACTAGACACTGACTGATGCAAGAAGCAATATGATTTTCTCCATAGAGCCTTAGAAATGTTCAAGAAATGGAGGTACCACATGTCAGAGGAAACCATAGTGAGCCATAGGGCTGAAAATGTAGATTGTGTGAAAGTCTGGATCAGGAGAAGTTAGTCCCCCAGATTCCCATCACCATGCCTACTCAGATGACTCCTCCTCCCCCACAGAAGACCAGAGGTGTATTCACTAGAGATCCAGATGCAGAAAGACTGCACTCGGAGGCCTCAGACATAGAGCAGGACAGGAATGAGCTATTGAAAACAGCAATTAAGTGAAAGTCTGCTGAATGGTGAGATTAATACTCTCATTCTTAACACCACTACCCTACTTTCCCCACCCTCCACCTTCTTTTTCCTTACCCTCAACCAACTCTAGAATGCCAGAGAAAAGACTAACAAGGATTCAGGGAACCCTTACAAAAAAGAGGTTGGCTGGCTATAAAATTGCCTCACAGTGAAGCCTACTGCATTCTATGCCTGACCCTTGCCGACAGAGCTTCCAGTCAGTTCTTTATTACCTCATTTCTAAATCGGAACGACCAACCTAGAAACCCCAGACTTTTGAATTCTTCCAGTATGAGAGGCAGAGACCAAACTAAAGCAAAACCAAACAACAACAACAATAACAAAACCCAAATAGCCAAATTAGGGAATGACCACTAATAGGCATTTCAGGTTCTGATTTACATTGACACTCACAGGATGCAATAGACGATAACCTGGCCCCAGGTTCACTTAAATTTGTGAATGAAACAGAATGGAAAACAGCATGACAGTATACTAGCATGCCATTAGCAGGTACATCATCACGGAGAGTCCTTACAGCCATCCAAATGCTACTTCCCAACCCTCACAAGGAAGGTATGCAACTGAAAATGACAAGTCACATAGGCACAACATAGGGAAGTCTCATACACAATAGGAATCATTTCTTGTAATGCACATAAGCATAGCTTCCAAGTCCTCTCAAGAGATACCACACAGGTGGCTAAGGCCTGTGTTTTCCAGTCAGTTTTTATACTCTACTCACAGTTTTCCATTTCAGATGTCGTTTACCAGTCAAGGATCGTATGTTTTCAGTAAATAACATTGCTTAGCAATATAGTGGGGACATTTCTCTTAGAATTTTTTTTTGTGATTCAGTACACTTTTAGGGCAATAGTGATGGGAGAAGGTAAACCCAATGTCATCTTCAAATGGACATGTTAACCATTTATTCCCAGAAGGAGACTTTAATGAAACCATTAATATTCTCAGAACGATAAGATATTACTCAAAACAAGAACAGAATTTCATTAATGCAAGAAAACACTTGAGAATGAAAAGGAGGTTTTGGGATTAAGAATATAGTATGCCAAAAAATACATATCAATAGATGAGTTGAAAACAAAGCTGAGGAAATCTTTATCAGAAGATGAAGCAAAAAGCCAAAGAAATGAAAAACAGGAGGGAAAAGATTTCTTAAATTACAAGATCAATCTACAAAGATTAACATCTGACCAAAAGGAGTTCCAGAAAAGGGAAACAGAGGGAATGTAATTAAGTTTATAAGAATTTAAGCAAGATGTGGCTGTCCAGTGAAAAGGCTTACCAAGTACCCAGTGCCGTGAATGAAAGAAGATCCCCACCAAGGCACTTGAAAACGAGAAAACTGAAATTTTTTTATAAAAGAAAAGCAGAGTATATACAGTGTCAGGAATCAGTGTGGCATCTTACTCTCAGCAGCAACACTGGAAGCCAGAAGATTTTGAAGTAATGTCTTTAAAAACCTGAGTGATTTCAAGCCTGGAATTCTATATGTAACCAACAATCAATCAAATGTTAAGGAGGAGTAAACATTTTCTGATGTACTGATCTAAAATATTTACTCTTATTTAGGGAGCTCTTGGTAGAAGCGCTTCAAACAAGGTCATAAACAAGAAGCAAAACATGGGACCCAGAAAACAGGATCCCAACCAAAGAGAAGGAGAGTTTCCCAGAAATGATAGTAAAGAGAAGTTCCAGGACAAAGGCTGTACAACTGGACTGAAACACAACAATCCTAGATTGGAGCAGGAGGTTGGAAGGTTCCAGGATGGATGCCTGCAAGAAAAACACCAAAAGTACAGATGATCTCACAGGCTTGACCACATGCAAAATTATATTAAGGAGGGTCTTTTCAGAGTTGTTATGGGTTTAAGAAAAAGACGTAAATGATTAGAGAAAATTGTATAAGTGAAAAATCAGTTTAATTATAAACAGTGTGGAAAAAAGTATAAGAATGAAAACATTGATAAGTACCACATGCCTCACCAGTGAAACATTTACATAGTCACAATAATGCAAACTTTTAATATGGATTTAATTAAGAATTAATGATGACTGAAGGACGGAAAGAATGTGCATGAGCTAAAATCCTCATTTTCCATATAAAATCAATAGATGATATCTGAAACTGCTGCATGTAGAGGCAATTTCATATGAATATTAGGTGATGACACTCTGAAACCAGCCAACTTGAAGGAGTTTGCTAGGTAAAAAAGCAGGGAAAGGATAATTTAGACAAAGTTTCAGCTTATGTGTGAATGAGACTACTATGTATTCTGTCTGTCTGAAGAGACCCTAAACTGATGCGAATGCATTCTTAGCTATTGGAGAACCAAAAGCTTGTAGCTAATTTTCAAGAAATTGTAGCTATATGATTAAGAGTATAGTTAGTCCTTTTATTCCTCAGTCATTATGGGTAGTTGTCCCTGCCTTGCCTATATCATGCAGCCTGGCAATATAATGATTCTGACTCCAGGATACTTGGTTTATCTGTGACCCTGGTCTGTCTGTGCGAGTATTGAACTTGGTGAGGCTCAGTGAGTCCTGTGATCCTGTAATGGATAGCCCTTAAACCTAATTACAAGGTTAAGTAGACTCATACATATTAAACAGAAATTCCTTATAACTGAGATGTATTAACTCTAAAGTGTAGTTGTGATAAATTCCTATTTACTAATTTGGTTATGTGGAGACAGCTAGTTAGGACTAGAGCTAAGTAGTGTGGTTCAATATTTATTGAACCCTTTTGTTATGTCAGGCCCTGTGCCAAGTAGTAAAGCAGAGTGCAAATGTGTGTAAGAGACAGTGCTTGTCTTCCAAGAGCTGCAGGCTAGTGGAGAGGTGGGCAGTAAAAATACAGTTTCAATATGATGTGATTGTGTGCTTGGGTAGAGGTTGATAAAGGATAATATATGTGCATAAAAAGTTGTTTATATCAGCCTGGAATGTCAAGGGAGGCTTCTCTGAAGATGTCATACCTGGGGTGAGTTTTGAAGGAAATCTGAGATTAGGGTCCATGTCTGCTGACATTGAGTTAAAAATAGTCCAGAGCAATGAAGTAGGAAATTGATGTCCAGAGTTCTGTTCATGCTTTTTAACATGTCCTAGCCTAAGTAAAACTCTCCATTTTAATTATAGAACCTAATATTAAAGCATTTGTTGGGTATAAGTCCCTTTTGCAGTATGAAGATTAAGGTTATTTTTAAAAAGAAAAATACAAATGATTTCAATTACAGAAGAGTGCCTTAAAATAAATGGAAAACAATGGTTGAAAATGGAAGAATAACACATTTTTACCTCTTCAGTCATTAGAAATTGGTAACATAAGATGCAGTACTTTTTTTTTTTTTTTTGCAGTTGCAAGATTTAATAGAGTGAAAACAGAGCTCCCACACAATGGGAGGGGACGCAAAGGGGATTGCCCACTCCCAGCTCGAATGCCTGGGTTTATATCCCGATCATTGTCCCTCCCCCTGTGCTCTCAGGCGATATATGATTTGACTATTTCTTTACCTCCTGCTTTTAGCCTAAGTTGTATTTTAGTGAGCCCTCTTTACTACCTGGTTGGTCGAGTGTGAGCTGAGTTACAAACCCCGTGTTTAAAGGTGGGTGCATTCACCTTCCCAGCTAGGCTTAGGAATTCTTGGTTGGCCTAGGAAATCCAGCTAGTCCTGGCTCTCAGTCCTCACTCTCAACAGGAAAACCCGAGTGCTGTTGGGGAGGTTGGCCGACGATCGCTCTAACTGCTTCCTGCTGAACTGGGGCATAGTAGGGGACGTGCAGTTGAGATTTCCTTGGAAGGGGTGCCTTCGATGTCATTAACATCAGAACATGGGCTAGCAGGCCAGTCCAGGGGTCTGCGGTAGATCTTAGTCATGGACAAGATGCAGTACTTTTTAAAGGGTAGATAAAGATTAAAAATTGAAATATAGTAGTAGTTATTTAAAATCTATACAAAATGAAATGTGTATATGTGTATGTTAGGCTGAATAACTGTCTTGTAAAGGACATTAATAAATCACTAACTTAAGTAATAATAGATAATTAGTAAGGATTAAAACTAATTCCATCTTTTAAAGGACAAGGAAGTATGGGTTTAGCAATTAGAATAGTTAACAAAATGCTGAGGAAAATATTAATAGAAATATTTAATTACTTTGGGCATAAAAATGTGAATAATGTGAGGTTTTTATATATTTAAAAAATACCAGACAAACATTATTATTTTTCTTAGACATTACTAGATAAGTAGAGGAAGTCTGGAGAATAAATCTGATTTATCCTTATTTTAGCAGAGCACTTGATGGTCCAATTGTACTTAAAAATTAATTTAAGTTGTTTTGGATATTTGCAGTGTTTAGTTGATTAAGATCTGAGTGAAGTACAGTAACATAGAAAGCACAAATACAGGATCATAATGGTAATTTTAGACAATGATTTTAGAAGATAAAATTGGTAAGTGATATGCATACTGAGTGTTTGTATGTGTGTGTGTGTGTTTCAGGAAAGGTTTAAAGTTAGTTTTTTACTGAAAGGATAATTATCATTCCTTACCTTACTGAGTAGTCTGTTACCTAAAAAGGCAAAATCAAGAACTGTTTTTGGAAAACAGTTCTTTTAAACAATGGCAGCACTCATTGGTCAAAAGGCAAGAAGTAAAACTTTTATTAGGTAGGAAAAATTAGGAGAAAGAAAAATATTGCTAATGGCTCTCCATTTGGATAAACATTATATGTTTGTGTCTTTCCCATTATATATTTATATTTCCTAAATGCTTATATCTTTTCTATTCATGATTATTTTATATGAAAATAATAAATATTATATAGTAATCACTGGTTATTCTATTCCTTAATTTTGGACTAATGCCTTATTATTTAGATGTTTAATATGTCCTTTTCTTTTTTAGGTATTTGAATAAAGCAAAGCCTCATTTCACACTGTGATTTTTATTCAAGCTAATGTTAAGGCAAAGGTGATCTTTTAACAATGTGCAGCAAAGTCTGAGATCTATGTTAATTCTACGTATGTTATTTTTCAGAAAGAATGCTTTGTGGAACTTGGCTTAAATATAGGACAACTGGGTATAGATGATTCTACACAAGTGCCTCCTGGTTAGTATTTTTCCAACGGCATATAATTAATGATAAATGAGAGTGAGCCTAAGGTTTATATTGCTATTTCCAAGTTAATCTAGCAATTTTTTTATATCTGAAAACTAAGCATGCTTTTGCCTCTCCTTGGTTACTGTTATTTATTGAATAGAATCCTGTATGTTGTAATTATTAGACTTCAACTAAATTTTGTCTTTTTATTTGAAAGTCTTTAAAATGATTTTGAAAAGTCATTAGACATATATAAGTCATTTTTGTTGTCAGAATCTTTACTGGCAACATCCTTTCCTGGCCATCAGCATCTGTTTTTACTTTTGTATCACCAAGTTAAGTGAACACTGACGTCTACCTTGAGTCAACTTAGGCTTTAAAAATAGTGTGTTTTAAACCTTAATAATCCAAGCAGTTTTCCTAACTTTTCCCTTTTTGTGCATAAATTCAATATACTTTTTATTAAATACTACACTGGTATTTAGCTATAATAAAAATGAAGTACAAATTTACTTGAAGTATGGGAGCCCCGTATTGTAGTGGAAATAATACTAGATAGGGGTTAGGAGACTATTCTAGTCTTTCCTCTGCCACTGGCTAACTGTGTAACTTGCACAAGTCACTATGCATCTTTGGACTTGTTTCTTCCTCTATAAAATAAATAAGTTGGCTCTTACCACTATTATAATAGCAATATTACATAATTATTACTATTATTATTACTATGTAATCAGAAATAACCATTGGGCACATACTATATGTTGCATCTATATTGTCTCATTTTAACCTCTCAGCAACTTTATATGGTATCAATTTTCATTTTTAAATACTTTATTAATGTATAATGCATATAAAAGAATACATCTATAATAAGAGGACAGCTTAATGAATTTTTACAAATTGAATACACCTATTAAAATACCCAGAACACTAAACAGAAGCCCTCCTCCTACCCTCTTTCAATCTGTAATCCCCATTACAAAGATTACTATTCTGATTTCTGGCAGCACAGATTAGTTTTTCAAATTCTTGAACTTCATATGAATAGAAGCATACAGTGTGTCTCTGTGATGTTTGACTTCTTTTGTTCAAATTATATTTGTGACATTTGGCCATGTTGTTATATGTGTTTATAGATCATTTGCTTTCTGGTGTTCCACTGGATGCATATACCACACATTTATTTATCTATTCTACGGTTGATAAATATTTGGGAAGTTGCAAGTTTGAGGATAGTACAGATAAGGCTACTATGATCATTCTAGTATGTGTTTTTTGGTGAACGTATCTATATTCTGCTGTGGAGTATATACCTGGGAGTGCATTTTCTAGGTCCTAGAAATATTCATTCATTCATTCACTCATATTCATATTTGTATATGTTCATTTTTAGTAAATAACTGCCAGTGAGTTTTCAAAAGTGTTAGTACCAGTTTACACTTCCACCAACAATGTGTGAGAGTCGTAGTTTTGTTGTATGTCCTCACTAATGCTTGGTGTATTTCATCTTTGTCTTAGTCAATCTGGCAGAGTATAGTGGTATTGCAGTATGGTTTTAATTTTCTTATATAATGTGATGTAGGATTATTATCTCCATATTAAAGTAGAGGATGTGGAGATGTTAAGTAACTTGCTCCAGGTCACAAAACTAGTAAGTGGTAGAGCCAGGATTCAAAACTAAGCAATCTGTCTCCAAAGTCTGCTACCCTGTGCTGCCTCCCTCCTGCCACCTTTGACAGCTTTTTCTTATTTTATAAGAAGATATAAAATATCTTATAAAATAAAATATCTTATACTTTTATTAATGGCAAATGATAGTCATATAAGAAAAGGAAAGGAAGTAGTAACACAGCCTTGAGTTATATTTTTATTTTTTACTTTTGAAATAATCTTTGAGTTATTTAAAATTATTCTAAATCTCATAGTATCTATGCTTTAGAAGACTTAATATACTGTATTTTTAAACTACAGTGCAGATTTTCCTTCTTTGATTCATTCATAATATAACAAATGTGTTTTGAGACCCTGCTGAGGGCCAGGGACTGGTGAATGCAGAGATATACATAGAATACATAGACATAAGACATAATCTCTGCTTTTAGGGGAAAAAATAGTGGTAAGTGACAGATAAGATACAGTGTGGTATTTGCTGTTATTACATTTAAAGGGCAGTTGGAGCATAGAATACTAAGCCTGCTTGAAGGAGGCCAATGACCTCTTATTTTATATTTTAGTCTGTGTCTTTCACTTCAATTAAGTTGGAAATGTAATGCTAATGTTTGAAAATGTTGCTAATACTTGTGTTTGGCTAGAGGCAAGTTTTTTATATTCAGAATTAAGTTTAAGCGTGGCTTAAGGGAATTGTGTTCTTACGCATCTTTAAAACCTCTGTTACCTATGTTTTATCATTACTGCTATTCAATTATTATATTTGAAATGCACTTCTTACTTATGAGCTTTTATATAAAAGTCAGGAGAAAAAGTCCTTACAATTATACTATAGAATCCTTATTTAACAATAATAAAAAAAGTCATAGCCATTACTTCTACAAACTCTCATGAACATGCATTGCATTTATTTTAAATACATACACACACACACACACACACACACACACACACACATTTACTATGGAAACCATTTATAAGACTGATGTTAACAGAGTGAGCAAGCTCAGCATTCTTTCATAAGCCTTCATGATAAAGGAGGTCATATGTCTGATATTATTGTCTGAGTGTACGTAATAATGAATCTTATTAGATGAGGGTTCTACTAAATAGACATTTTCTTTCTAAAAGAAAAAATCATACTCAGTTAGTGCAGTATTTCCTGAAGTGTTATACTCAGGAGCACTCATAAGATGCCCTGTGAAAAAGAGAATCTTGTTGTCAAATAGGGTTTGAGAAGGGCTGTATTGTATACCTTCTTAAGATACACAGTGTATGTTACTATCTTATAAAGACTATGAGAAGTCTTAACTAAATTATTTTAGCTTTGCATCTTCCAAGATCATTTTAACAGAAGTTTTTTTCCTGAGCAAGATCTATTAATATAGGTGCATCTGTTAACATAATGGTCCTCAGGGCACTCTGAAAAACACAGAATTAGAGTGTAAGTTGGAGATTTTGGTTCTGACTTTTTAGGCTTCTTATTCTTAGGACAGAAAATAGCATTTAAAAAGCAAAATTATTGTATTTCACATAATTGAATAGTTAAATTTTTTAAAGAAGTCTGTTTGATTATTGTTATTTCATACTACTTTGGGTAATAAAGCACTGTTATCATATAGTAATATCCTCTGCTTTTATTAGAAAATGAGAATTGGCTGGCAACTTATTTTTACTTGATTATTCAACTATTCTTTATTCATTCAGTGAAAATTATGAATATAAAACATTTCTTGGCATATTATGAGAAGAAAATCTTGAACTGTATAAACTACATTGATTGAAATGAACATAAAGGATTATAATTTTAATCTTAAGAGAAATTTTAACTTAATCCTTAGTCAAGGAGGATGAAAAGAATCGAGTTGTTATGGGCAGTTTTGTGATGTGCTTATCAAGATAACTGAGAAGAACCAGTTATGGGGTTCTATGTGAAAACTGTCTCCAGTGCCTGTAATATACTGTTTGTTATTTTCTGAAAGTTTACTGAACTTCGCCCCACTATAGTATGCTGCAGTATTACATCTGCTGTTTCATGCTATTATAGTGTTCACTGAAGCATTGTCTGCTTTGGTCACTAAGTCTCAGAAATCATAGCTGATTAAAATGAAACTGTATTGTTACTATATACATATATATGTAGACTATATATATTTTTATATATAATCATTTTATATATATAAATGATTTATGTTACGGATCCCAGACACTTTCCTTAGTCATTGTATAATCTGTTCAACTAATTACTTCAGAAATATTAGGACTACAATAAACTAAAAGAATAAGGCATTCTGGCTCAAATACTCTAGTGAAAAAACAGCTTTATGGATTATTTTTTAAAACTAAAAAATTATCTAATACTGAAAATGTACCACACATACATTAATCTTTCTTTGATTAAGAGAATTCTTCTGATTTTTCTTTAGTGTTGCAATTTTATATTTCAAAACTAGAGTTTTCAAGTACTGCAGGTAATAGAAAAATGACTGCTAATTTTTAAATAACTTTTATAGAAGTACAACATACATACTGGATAGTATACAAATCACGTATATACAGATCAGTGAATTTTTACAAAGTGAACACACTTGCGTAACCTCCAGCTAGACCGAGAAACAGAATATTACCAGCATCTCAGAAGCCCCCTTAGGCACACATTCAGATTCTGTCACTCTCATGGGTAAAAACTATTCTGCCTTCTGACATCATAGATTAGTTTTGCTTATTTTTGTACTTTATAGAAATGAAATCATATAGTATATACTCTTTTGTGTTTGGCTTCTTTTGCTTTTCTTTATAATATTCAAGGTGTTGTAGAGAATTATAAATCATTCATTCTCATTGCTGTATTGTAATCTATTGTATGAATATGCCACTATCTAGTATCCTGCTGATGGTATTGATTACATTTTTGGTTATTATCAATGGTGGTGCTGTGAATATTCTTGTACATGTCTCTTGGTGCACATATGTATGCATTAGGGTTTATAACTGAGAGTGGATTGCTAATTATCATAGGATATGCACATATGTTCAGTGTTAGTAGCTATTGCTGGACACTTTTCCACAGTGTTTGTACCAAGTTCTACTCCCACTAGCTTTGTATGAGAAATTCATTTGCTCCACATCTTTTACATTTAGAATTGTCAGTCTTTTCATTTTAGCTATTGTGGTGGTTGTGTATTTCATAGTGGTTTTAATTGCATTTCCCTGAAGACCAATGTGGTTGAGCAGCTTTTCATATGTTTATTGGTCCTTCAGGTCACTCCTTTTGTGAAGAGCCTCTATTTAAGTCTTTTGCCTGTTCGTGTCTGAGAGTCATCTGTCTTTGTCTACCAGGAGTTCTTTATATATTCTGAATAGGAGTCTTTTGCCAGATATATGTACAGCAAATATATTCTTCCACTGTGTTACTTACATTTTCGCTCTCTTAACAGTGCTTTTGATGAACAGAAGTTTTTTTTTAAAAATGTAATATAGTCTAGTTCATGAATCTTTTTCCATTATGATTTCTACTTAAAAAAATCTCATCATAGAATCTTTTAAAATGGCATTTGTAGAGCGAGATTTTTCCTATATAGCAGTAAGGCTTTTATTAGATATGCTTTTATTAGATAGCCAATGGTAGATTGGAGTGGAAGTAGGGTTTTGTAAATGAAGCTGTCAATAAGTTTTGTTTTTCTTTAAGGAAAAAATTAAAGATGAATGAATAGGAACATTTTTGTATTATGAGAAGATGTTTTAACAAAGGGAAAATTCATTCATCAATGTTTTGTTTGATTAAATGCTCATAACTGTTTTAATTTTAAACAAAAAATTGTTTGGCTTTATTATGAGATGTTTTAACAAAGGGAAAATTCATTCATCAATTTTTTTGTTTGATTAAATGCTCATAACTCTGTTTTAATTTTAAAAAATGTAGAAAAAACTTTTTTACATATGAGATATTCTTTAGTTTTCTGTAGAGCCATCTGGCTTTAAAAATCATTAAATGTATCAATACCAGAAAAATGTATCTAATGTTGTTCTAAATGTGATTGCTCATACTCATGTCTAATAATTTTAATTTTTTTTTAATTTTTAGAACTTTTTGAAAATGAACATGTACGTATTGGGCAAAAAGGTAAGCTTTTAATTATAAATGTTATTATTTCTGAAAAGTGAGACAGTCCCAGCTAAATGTCTGCCTCAGATAACCTCCAGGTGAAATTTAATCTCTGAAAAGTGAAAAACCTAAAGAGGGGTAATATTTAACCATGTAGATTACATAATGAGAATCTTTATAAGTAGGGAAAATGCATCATTTTGGCTTTGTCAATAAATGTCAGAGAAAGAAGTACACAGCTGGTTCACTAAAAAGGAAATGCAGACACATATTCCTCAGGGATGTTAGCTTAATCCATTCGGCAGTAGAATTTCATTTTAAAATCAAAGAGGCAGGTTCTGTCTTTGATGCACCCACACACCTCTCATTAGAGTTAATGGGAATATGCTCCCGCATCAGGAGAAAATATAACTGTAATGGTTCCCAGTGACCATTCACAGTGGTGTGGCTTAATAACCAAAGTGGCTTTTAGTATTCTGGGGAATAGTTTTTCCCTATCTTTTGAAGATTCTTTTCCTTGTTTTTATAAATCCTTTTTTGTCTTTGAGATATGAAGTACAGATTGGTCTTTGTGTCAGAATGAACCTTCTATGGCAATTATATTGTCATGTACCAAATCCCTACTTCAATTTTTAAAAATTGTATTTATTTAGAATTTATTTGTATGATTTGACACTTTTATTAAGAGCAATTTCAAATTAAAGAATATGCTTCATCTCTTTTTTATTTCATGATTCCTTTGTTTCTTCTGCTCATGTCATTTTCATTTAATATAAGATTTTTTTTAAGAAGAAAATATAAGAAAACAATACTGGTTAGATAAACATTAGCAGTTGTTTTGATATGTCTTTTTTTGGTTTTGCTTCATTTTGTTTTTTTGGACCTTTATTTCCAGACTGAATAGCTGACATCTTTATTAAAGAAAATAAAAATTAAAATGAAAGCAAAAGATAACATATTGATTGTGTGAACTTGGCTTTTTAAGAATAATTTGAGCCTTCTTGCAAGGTTATGAGATCTTTGTTTCTACGTCTTTGAAAATCCCTGTTTTCTGTTGATTTTGGCAAATAACTAAGAAGTCATTTAATAGAATAGATAGCTAACATTCTTATATATTGTAATTCTTAGGCATGAAACTTCATGTACCATACATTTCCAAATATTAGAACATTCATGATGTAGTAGAATATGCATAAGAAATTTGGGGTTTCCGTAGCTATGAATTAACTTGATAATGGAATCTAAAAATTATTTCATATATATATATATATATATATACACACACACACACACACACACACACACAATACTAGTTTCAGATCCATGGAGCTATAGTTAAAGCAAAGTGATCTCAAAGTCCTTACATTAAGTCCCTCCTTATCCACACTGGGTAGGAGGTGGAAGAGCTTAAGGCTTGCAACTGGGAGGGCTGCAAATAGGGCTGTATTGAAATCCAGAGAATAAATTTTAAAAGGTAAAGATACGGTGTAATTATGTTAGATAGAAAGACTGAATATCAGCTTCCCAAAAGATTTATAATTGAAGATTTCAGTGATGTTTCTTACATTCTGAGTTTTCAAAGGAGATTTTCATATACTTTTGATAGTTCTAGCAGAACAAGATAGTGCTGCTGCTCAACAGTACATCAGACAAGGAAGTCCCACGGCACTGAGAGCTGAATTGTGGGCTCTCATTTTGAATATTTCCAGCCAACCTGAGGTAAGAAGAAAAAAAGGGTGGGTCAGATTTTAGCTTTGGGGTATTTATTTTTCAAAGACCAGTTATTCAAAATTGAAAAAACTTTTGTTTCTTAATCTATTATTAACCCCCTTTTTAAATTTTCAAAATCACTATAGTTTTAGGTTCTAAAATAAGATTTAACATATAATTTAATATTGTCTGCTTAATATTGAAGTTTTTGTTATTAATAATTAATGAAATGGTGTGACCTTACATATACAACAAAACAGTAAGTAAAATTTTGAGAAGTGGAGACTGACAATTTAGATCTGTGAAGATGTGTGGTTGAATACGGATGTTAGACTACGGAGAAATAAAGAAAGGCAACTCAGGTTAAGTAAATGGATTCTTTGTCCCTATAGGTACTTTTGAAATATGCACTATTTTTATGGTTCTAGAAATTGACAGATTAAGTGGGAATGTTATTTTTCTATATGTAAGAACATTTTATTTTAGGAAATATGAATATGAAAAGAGATCACCAGCAGATGGGTAATAGATTAAATAAAGCAAAACTATGTAAGACATTGATTCTTGAAATATTCTTAGTGGGGATTTTTTTGTTTGTTTTTTGCTTAAGCCCATTAATCATAGAAGTTATCCATTTAAAAAATTTTAATGAATAGCACACTAATAGTTTTCTAGCCTGGTGTTTAAAAACATGGGTTTTGGAATCATACAGACCTGATTTCAACTTCTAGCTCACCCAGCTTACTAGAAATATATCATTGAGCAAGTACTTAAATTTCTTCAAACCTCAGTTAACCCACACTTAAATATAGGTAATAATATTTATATCACATAATCGTCAGAATTAAATGAAATAACGTACATGTACTTTTAACATAGTGCCTGGAACATAAATGATCACCATTAATAAAAGTAATCATAAGAGTTACATATTACATTTAATCATGTTATAAATTAATTATAATTAATAATGATGTTTTTAAAGAAAATCAAATATTATTAATATTGTTATAAAAACTATACCTCTAACCCTTGCAAACTATGTATACGTGCATGTGTGTATACTGTGTTTTAAATCTCCCTCTGAACAGTTCTGTCAAAAATCACTTGCTTCCTTTGTGAAACAATAAAGCTTGCAATTTATTTCAGAGCAGTTTTAGACAAATGATATTGCTGACTTTTTATTGTGACACTTTAGAGAAAATAGTTTATAAAATAGTTTTGAGTATATATTGGGCCTTTTTTTGGTGAGTGTATCAATTCTTGTAGAAGAAGATACAACTCTTGTCCTGATCTAACTTTGTAGATGCACTGCCAACTTAACTGTATAGAAATTGTATTAACAAATTCTATCTCTTCGCAGAAGAATCACTGCGATTTCTAAAACAAATTTAGAATATTTCCAGAAGTATCATCCTAATAACCCCACGTAATAATAAAATAATAATCCCAGGTAATCATTTTTTACAGTGTTCAAAAATCATTTTTACTACTTGTAGGTGTTTTCTTGTAAAAAGAAAAAAATTTTTAAGGTGATTTTTACCCTTGAATTTTGGAGCTAATAGCCATCTGAGTTTTCTAATTGCAAAGTGACAAGTCTATTCAATATCTGTAAATAGAAATTAATATTTTCAGGAAAGCAACCCTGATTTTTTTATTAAAGCATCTTTTATCATTTACAGTTAATTTCAGCTATAAAAGTGTGACCCCAATGAACTATAGCAGTTCCAAAATAATTGTTGTAGGTGGTACTTTAGAGAGAAAGAGAGAAGGAAAAAGAATACTACTTCTTATTAGGAATACCTTATTAGAATTTTTTGTTGAATCGCTTTTCAATCACATAAAATAAGCTGCACATATAATTGTAGTCATAGTTGAGGAGTTAGACATAAATGGAAGATTCTACATTTCACAAACATAAAGCTATTCTTTAAAATCTATTTCAATACAAAGACTTTGGATATAATACTTGTGGTTCCTAGTAGTTAATTCTTTTCATACTTTGAATAGAATATTATCTAACTTTCATTTTTTAAAGAAAATCTATGATAGGTTTAAGAAGATTGCTTTTGTATATTTCCTTTTCTACGCATTTCTAGGTATGTGTCAAAATATCCATATTTAGTAAACATTGTTCATATTTTAAAAATTTTTAAATTTCAGTTTGCTAAATTAAAGACAGAAAATGTTCTTCTACTTTTGCTCTAGGTACTTGCTTACTGATAACAATAGCCAAGACTAATATTAACATTTAAGATTTTCTTTAATAATTTCTTAGGAAGGTTCTTACAACCTTACATTGGCTCTTAACAATGCCTGATCTGCCTAGATTTTTGTGGTCAGCTCACTTAGTCTTCACGGTGCCTGTTTCTGACCTTCACTCTCTTCAGTCCCTTCTCTTCAGTCTTAGCAAAATACTTAACCTCCTGATACTTAGAGAAAACAGAAGTCATCATTAGAAATTCATTCAAATTCTTCCTGCCAAACTTGTAAACTTAATTGCATCAGTACCTGGTCCTTTCCTCAACTACTTTTACTTAAATGGAAGAAATGTCAGGCTGGGCACAGTGGCTCAGGCCTGTAATCCCAGCATTTTGGAAGGCTGAGCCAGGTGAATCACCTGATTTTGTGAGTTTGAGACCAGCCTGGCCAACGTGGAGAAACCCTGACTCTACTAAAAATACAAAAAATTAGCCAGGCATGGTAGTGCATGCCTGTAATCCCAGCTACTTGGGAGGCTGAGGCAAGAAAATGTCGTGAACCCGGGAGGCAGAGCTTGCAGTGAGCAGAGATCGCGCCACTGCACTCCAGCCTGGGCAGCAGGGCAAGACTGTCTCAAAAAAAAAAAAAAAAAGAAATGTCTACCTCTTATACCTGTTGTCAGTGTTTAACCTCATTGACTATTCCTTTATTGACATATTCCTTTGCTTTTGTGACACAGTGCTCTTTCTGGCATTCTTCATTTGTGGAGGGTCTTCTTTGTCTTATCAGTTAGGATTCTTGAGGGTCTGTCTCTTCTTCATACATTCCTTAGCAAATATTACAAACTCCCAAAGCCTCAGTTACCAGTTACCTCAAATCTATATGCCTTCTTCTCAGATCTCTCTTTTCTAAACTTTAAATGCAGCTGCTTAGTGAACCTAAGCACTCGTGTATCTCACAAGCACCTCAAATTCAAGATGTCAACACTCTTCCTAAATTCCTTTTTCAGTACCACTGTCCATCAAGGAACCGTAGCCAGAAACCTGGTGTCATCCCTAGCTCCTGAATATCATATTGTATTACTCGATAATTATACTACTCAATAATTCCTTCTTGATTTAACTCCTAAACATGTTTCACTACCACTCTCATTTCAAAATACCATCATTTCTTGCCTGGATTAAAAAAAAACAAAACCTTCTACCTTATCTTTCTGACTTCAGCCTTGTTCCCTATAAATCCTTTTTTTTTTTTTGAGACGAAGTCTCACTCTGTCGTCTAGGCTGGAGTGCAGTGGTGCGATCTTGGCTTACTGCAAGCTCCGCCTCCCAGGTTCACGCCATTCTCCTGCCTCAGCCTCCCGATTAGCTGGGACTACAGGTGCCCGCCACTACACCGGCTAATTTTTTTTTGTATTTTTCAGTAGAGACAGGGTTACACCATGTTAGCCAGGATGGTCTTGATCTCCTGACCTCATGATCCGCCTGCCTCGGCCTCCCAATACCCTGCTTTTTTAAACACTGAAATCTGGTGATATGGTTTGGCTGTGTCCCCACCCAAATCTTGAATTGTACTTATAATTCCCATGTGTCATGGGAGGGACTAGGTGGAGATAATTAAATCATGGGAGCAGTTTCTCCCATCCTGTTCTCATGATAGTGAGTGAGTTCTCACGAGATCTGATGGTTTGGTTTTATAAGGGGTTTCCCCCTTTACTGGGCACTCATTCTCTCCCCTGCTGCCCTGTGAAGAGGTGCCTTCTGCTATGATTGTAAATTTCCTGAGGCCTCCTCAGCCATGTGGAACCGTGAGTCAATTAAACCTCTTTCCTTTATAAATTATCCAGTCTTGGGTATTTCTTCATAACAGCATGAGAATGGACTCATATAGTAAATTGGTACTGCAGAGAGTGGGGTGCTGCTATAGATATCTGAAAATGTGGAAGCGACTTTGGAACTAGTTAACAGGCAGAAGTTGGAATAGTTTGGAGGGCTCAGAAGAAGACAGGAAAATGTGGGAAAGTTTGGAACTTCCTAGAGACTTGTTGAATGGCGTTGACCAAAATGTTGATAGTGATATGGACAATGAAGTCCAGGCTGAGATGGTCTCAGATGGAGATGAGGAACTTGTTGGGAACTGGAATAAAGGGGATTCTTGTTATGCTTTAGCAAAGAGACTGGCAGCATTTTGTCCCTGCCCTAGAGATCTGTGTAACTTTCGTCAGTCGAGAAAAATGACAAGACAAGTCTCAATTATTTTAGGAGGTTTGTTTGCCAAAGTTAAGGATGTGCATCCTGGAAACAGGTCTATGCCTTCTCCAAAGATGATTTTGAGGGCTCCAAATTTAAAGGGGAAAGAGCGAGGTATTGAGAAGTACACAATTTTTATGTAAGAGGTGGGCAGGGAAAAATAGTTATTCATGCCTTTGCCTGGCTCAGCGAAACTGCTTTTTTTTTTTTCAACCTCAGATGACATAGACAAATGGAGTGAGGAAAAATGTGGAGAATCTGCATTTTTATATGAGATAACATAGAAAAAAATGGGACAGGGAAACAATCAGATATGCATTTGTCTGGTGGGCAGGGAGGTGACTGCACCTGTAAAAATAAGCTATCAGCTTACATTGTGGTAGTGAAATTTTAACAGAAACACCTTACAGTAAAGATCTTTGAGCTCACTAGGAATTTCCTTGTGGGTAAAATATGGGGGAGGTATGTAGCTTTTCGTCCTATAATCATCTTTTTTAGGAAACAAAAGGGGAGGCAGTTTTGCATGACCCAGTCCCTAGCTTGACTTTTCCCTTTAGCTTAGTGATTTGGGGACCCCAAGATTTATTTTCATTTCACACTTTGCACTTGAGAGAGTTAATTTAGGGTAAGTATCTGGTGGAAGAAATTTCTAAGCAGCAAAGCATTGAAGAGGTGACAGAGCATAAAAGTTTGGAAAATTTGCAGCCTGACAATGTGGTAGAAAAGAAACACCCATTTTCTGGGTAGAAATTCAAGCTGGCTGCAGAAATTTGCATAAGTAATGAGGAGCCAAATGCTAATTGCCAAGACCATGGGGAAAATGCCTCCAGGGCATGTCAGAGACCTTGACAGCAGCCCCTCCCATCACAGGCTCAGAGGCTTAGGAGGGAAAAATGGTTTCCTGAGCCAAGCCCCGGGCCCCCCTGCTCTGTGCAGCCTCAGGACATGGTGCCCTGTGTCCCATGCTTCAGCTCCAGCCATGACTAAAAGGGGCCAAGATACAGGTCAGGCCACTGCTTCAGAGGGTGCAAGCTCCAAGACTTGGCAGCTTCCATGTGGTGGTGGTCTAGCAGGTACACAGAAGTCAAGAATTGGGGTTTGGGAACCTCCATCTGAATTTCAAAGGATATATGAAAATGCCTGGATATCCAGGCAGAAGTGTGCTGCAGGGATGGAGCCCTCATGGAGAACCTCTGGTAGGGCAGTACAGAAGGGAAATGTGGGTTGGAGCCCCCACACAGAGTCCCCACTGGGGCACTGCCTACTGGAGCTGTGAGAAGAGAGCCACCATCCTCCAGACCCCAGAATGGTAGATTCACTAACAGCTTGCACTGTGTGCCTGGAAAAGCTGCAGACACCCAATGCCAGCCTGTGAAAGCAGCTGTGAGTGGGGCTGTACTCGGTAAAGCCACAGGGGCAGAGCTGGCCAAGGCCATGGGAGTCTACCTCTTGCATCAGCGTAGTTAATGCTGGAATGAGTTGAAACTTTGGAGGACTGTTGGAAGGGCATGATTGTGTTTTTAATTGTGAGGACACGAGATTTGGGAGGGGCCAGGGTAGAATGATATCATTTGGTTGTGTCCCCATCCAAATCTCATCTTGAATTATAGTTCTCATAATCCCCACATGTCATGGATGGGACCAGGTGGACATAATTGAATCATGGGTGTGGTTTCCTCCATTTTGTTCTCGTGATAGTGAGTTAGTTCTCCTGAGATCTGATGGTTTTATAAGGGGCTTCCCCCTTTGCTGGGCACTCATTCTCTCCCCTGTGGCCCTGTGAAGAGGTGCCTTCCACCATGATTGTAAGTTTTCTGAGGCTTCCACGGCCATGTGGAAGTGTGAACCAATTAAACCTCTTTCCTTTACAAATTACCCAGTCTTAGGTATTTCTTCATAGCAGCATGATAATGGACTAATACATCTGATATCTCAGCTCTTCTGGTTAAACACTTTTAAAAATCCTGTATTTTAAACACCTTAACATACTTTCTCTTTACCCTATGTTTGTACATGTTCCATCTACTTTTAAAAAAAATCTTTTTTTCTGCCTTTTCCTTCCTCTCTACTCACTCCTTCTCATAGCACTGTACATTCTCAAGTCTTTTCTATCTTAGGAATAAAAGTAAATCTTAAACCTCATGTCTTTCCTAGCCATCTCTCTCTCCCTTTCCTTCCTTTCACAGCTACACCTGTGAAACAAAATTCTGTGCTAGACTTAATTTTATTAATTACTTGATTGTATTAATATGAGTTAAGTAATGCTGAGTTAATCACTTGATCTCATTAATTACTCAGTTGATTGTAGTCTGACATACACCCACCCCCACTACATAACTACAACTACCCTAATTAAAGTCACCAAGGAATAGTGGACATATTTTAGTTCTTATACCTACAGTATTGATACCAGTGCCTATTTGATCCTTGAAATATTCTTGGTCTTAACTTTAGTTCACCCTGTTTTCTTAGCTCTTCTTTCTCTCGTTTTTCTTTATTTAGTCTCCATTTGGATTTCTCTGCTGGCTCTTAAGTGCATGTATTTCTCAGAATTCCATTTTGATCTTATTCTATTCATTTTCCCTGAACTGTCTCATCCACAAGTCACCTATTCCCTAATGGCTTCAACTCTGTTTTCAATCCAAGAAAGATAATCTAATAGAAAAATAGGTATATGTTATGAATGACAAATCATTGAAATGGAAATTCAAATGGCCAATAAATATATGAAAGATTCTTCAACTATATTGAGTTGGGAAAGTGCAAATTAATACAAAAATGAGATGTTTCTCATGCATGAGAATGTTTAAAAGAGGTGAGTACATAGATAAAATGTGCTCTCGTGTTGCTGGTGGGAATTTGAATTGATTTTTTTTCTGAGATTAGTCAGGCAATTTGTGGCCCAGTTTAAGATACATAGAGCCTTGGCCGGGCGTGGTGGCTCACACCTGTAATCCCAGCACTTTGGGAGGCTGAGGCGGGCAGATCACCAGGTTCAGGAGATGGAGATCATCCTGGCTAACACGGTGAAACCCTGTCTCTAATAAAAATACAAAAAAC
Organism: Homo sapiens; assembly: GCF_000001405.40. Taxonomy (NCBI): domain Eukaryota; kingdom Metazoa; phylum Chordata; class Mammalia; order Primates; family Hominidae; genus Homo; species Homo sapiens. The sequence continues at coordinate 26,681,391 of NC_000004.12, forward strand.
AAAAAAAAAAATCAGGCGGGTATGGTGCTGGGCACCTGTAGTCCCAGCTACTCGGGAGGCTGGAGCAGGAGAATGGCGTGAACCCAGGAGGCAGAGGTTGCAGTGCACCGAGATCGTGCCACTGCACTCCAGCCTGGGCGACAGAGTGAGACGCCGTCTCAAAAAAAATATATATATATACAGCCTTCAGTCTATAATCCTGCCTTTGCCAATTTATTCTGTAGATATAAAAACATAGTGCCTAAGGATATTTATTACAACATTATTTGTAGGGACAAACAACCTGAGTATCCATCTATAGGGATATGATTAAACAAATTGTGACAAATCTATACCACAGCTTTAAAAATATTAAAATGTATGTAACTATTAAAAAGAATGAGTTAAATGTGTATTGTTTAACAAGAAGGAAAACCATGATATGGCATTAGGTTAGAGAAGCTGAATAATGACTATGATATGATTCCATTTCATATTGAAAAACAACAACACAAACGCCCAACTATGATTACATAGTCATATAAGCATGGAGATAGGTATAAGCATGGAAGAATACAAATTACAAATAACACCACAAATACAATACCAAATACAAATAATATTAATTATTTTGGGACAGTTGAATGGAAGGAAAAAGGATGTTTAACTTTTTCTTTATTTTACTCTAGATTGTTTCACTTGTTTTAATGGTCATATATTAGTTTGTAATTTTAAACTTATTTTTAAATAGAGGCAAACCCCTAAACGTAGCTTTTGCATTACTCTACTTATGACAACTGGCAGGAATTGATATTTGAATTAGGTGCTGTTTCTACCATTAAGGAGCCTGCATTCTAGCCAGAGAGATAGATTCGGTAGATACAATGGAATATAAATAAAATAGTAAAATAATTTTGCTTTAGTTAAAAAATGAAAACATCAATAAGGACCAATTAAGGCTTTTTAATTAAAATTTAAATGACTAAAAATAGCCAGTAAATGCCCTGATCATCATTAGGCAAAGAGCACTTTGACTCAAGCCAAAGAACTATGTATTAAACATCTTTTGCAATGAAGAAATCATATTTCAGGAAACACAGAGTCAGATTTTATCCTGGCCAGGCAGCTACATGCAGTAAATATTCCTCCTTGTCTCAGACGACCCTATCCCACAACTCTTCTGTGAGGTCAGGAGGAGTCATACAGATCCGCTGTCCTAAATTGCCTTTGGGTTTGAGAGGAGGCTAGGGCTAAAGTGCCTGAGAGGTGAAAGGAGGGATTTGGAGCAATACACATGTCAGCTAAAGCAACGAGACACTATTTGCATCTCTTGTTAGCATAACTATTACCCAGTTGATCCCTACCTTCATCCTTAATGCCCTGACCAACTATGAACCTGATGCTTAACTTGATTACTGTCTCTAGTCCCTCCTCCCCCTTCTTCCTTTCCTCCCTTATTCTCTCCACTTTCCATTTTCCCTCTTTTCCACTTCTTATTCTCTATTACATTAGCCTAATCTCATCGTTGTGCAGTTAATCAGATTTTATAGTATTATGTGGCCATATTCTTGTATTTATTTATTTATTTATTTTAGAGACTGGGTCTCAGTCTGTTGCCCAGGCTGGAGAGCAGTGGCTCAATCATAACTCACTGTAACCTCAAACTCCTGAGTTCAAGCATATGGGACCATATTCTAATATTAAAAGCTGACTTTATATCCTATATGATTGCTTTTACTACCAGGAGTTCTTTGTTATGCTTAAACTTTTTATTTTGTAATAATTTAGATATTAGAAAGGCAGTATAAAGTAATCCTTCTGAGTTTTTTGTATAGGTTGTGGGGCCAGGTTTCTTGAGGTTAAATGTTACTAGCTTTATGGCCTTGGATAGCAAGTTACTTTTCTCTCTTGGCTTCAGTTTCTCAAGCATAAATGGGAATAATAATCACTGACCTAATTCATTTTGTTGGTTTGGGATTAAATGAGTTAACTCTTGTAAAGTGGGTAAAATAGTGCCTGGCACCTGTAAGTACTTAATAAATACTGTATTTGCTATTAAAGTTAAATTATAGTTAACTTAGCAAATATTGACGGAATACTCACCAGGTGCCAGATGTTATCCTAAGTGATAGAAGTAAGTATATTTGTTGAACATCTACTATTAGTCAGGCATGAGGGTTATAGTAGTGCCTAACACTGAGTTCCTGCCCTTCTTAGTGTTTAGAATACTATTATTATTTGAGTTTAAGGCTGACTTTATAAATGTGATTGACCTTTAATTTTTTTGTTTTACTTTTAAATTTAGGATGTCTTGTATTATGAGCAGCTTAAGACCAATGTGATACAACATGACCTTTTGGTGGACAGTCTAATCTATAAAGTAAGTAAAAGTCAGCTTAGTTTTTCCTTTTCATTAATATAATTTAGAATTGAGATTCTTCAGTATGCAGAGCCTGTGCTATGTATGATATATATTAACCTTGAAAAATAATTTTAAGTGATTAGATTTATACATATAAAGTTAAAGTTGGTGTTCAAAATTTGCAGTTTGCATTCTCTGTTATCTTCTTTCCCTTTGAAGCTGTCTTCATGATTCTTTCCTAGTCCTCCTATTTTTTGATTAAGATAAGCATTTCTTATATCTCTAAATTCAAGCTTTCTACACAAACCAAGTAAAAAGGCAACTGAAAAGCAAAACCGGATTATAATATTTTTATCTTATGATTCTTTAGGGCCCACTTGTTTATTTTCTTTATATTGAAGTCATTTTTAATTTTTAATTTCTTTTAGTTTCTAGACATATGGCTAAGTATATCTCAGGTTTTAAGGTAGAGACACATTGAGTTTTTGCCTCCAAGCATCTGATAATCAAGTTGAGAGCTGAGTTAACGCTTTCATCACTGAGCCAAACAGGGTCCATTTTCCAGTACACAATAGAAAGCCAAGCACCAAAGCACTGGGTTTTTGTAGCTAGAAAGGTTTGATCGGACTGGATCCTGCCATGGGGTGATGCCAGGGCTTGATCTGATTGAATCCTGGATACTGCCATGTGGTGTCCACTTCTTAATTCAGACCCCACTCTTTAGTCCTGTCACATAGGTTCCACCTGTGGTTGCGTGCTTGGTTCATCTGGCCATGCTCAGGTTACGTGACCTTCAACCTGGAGGTCCATGGCAACTGAAAAACAGCTCATAACTGTGTTACATAGAAGTTGAACCAGATTGGTCTGGTGTAGCTAACACTTTATGTGTAATATAGGATATGAATAATTCTGAATTAATATTAGGCAGTTTAAAAGTCTTAGATTTAAAATTTAGATTTGAAATATAAGAGAGAAAGGCATATTATTATAGGTCTCAGAAATGGGAAAAAGAAGATTACATATTGAGGACCTGAAAATGTGTCTGAGTAGAACATGGCCAGGGGTAATAATAACTATTACTAACAAATGACTGCTTACTGTGCCATATAGTATTCCAAACCCTTTACATAGATTACTATTTAGTGCATACAACTACCTAAGAGTAGCAGATACCAACATTTAGGCTATGCATTATAAATGTATTGTTTTTCTGCGGAAAAACTTGCATTCTGTAAAACCACGCTTTGAAAATAACAGAGCTTATGGGCAAAACAGGGTTGGGGTAGACCCACTCAAAATTTTTGCAACTTTGTAATCAGAGTACTAACAAAAGCAATCATTGGTGGCCTGGGAGAAGAATCAGACAGCTCAGGCAGGCTACTCTGGTAGGAGCTATTAAAAATGTATAAAAATAATAAAACAGAAATGCTAAAATAATGCAAGTGGAAGTGGTGCTCTGGGCCACTGGGGCTACTGTTAAGGTGTGCACAAGAGAACAGCAGTGAAGAAATGTGCTGGGCTGGGAGCGTGCCTCTCTCAAGAGGAAGCCCCAGTGCCAATGCCTGTTTTTAATGTTCTTAAAAAGCAACTGTAAAGTCTCATGCCTGTGCAGCAGCAGCTGAGCTGAAGACATTTTTTTTCCTGCTGTTGGTTATAATTCTCCTCCCTCTGCTCCAGCTCCTCTTGCTTAAGAAAAATTGCATCTGAACCAATACAATTTCCATGTTATACTAACATCATTTCCTTACTTACCAGCAACATAGTGACACATGTGTGATAACAAAGCAGAAAGTAGTTATGGAAATTGAGATAAAGAAAGAAATTTGTTTAAATTAACATGTGAAGTAGTGAAGCCAAGATTTAGACCTAGCCAATCTGACTTCAGAACTGTATTCTTAACCACTAAGCTCTACAGTAAGTGGAAATGAGAGTTTAGAGGATACAGTCCTTTGATGGAAAGTCTTGTATTTCACAGAGGTTTTTCACTAGATTTGGATCACAGGTACTACTATTAAGTTTGAGGTCAAATTATTATGCTCAGTGGATTATTTTATCAAAAATGTAAGAGATCTTTTGGCCTGTAAGACCATTAGCCTCTTTTCTAGTCAAATGAGAGGAAACTCACACGTGAAAAAGCTAAAAAAAAGTAAGGAGTGCTAGGATGAGAGTTCTCTTTGTCACCAAAACAAATTTCAGTTTGAGTCAGTAAAGAAAATTTGTTCCAAGAAGGAAGTAATTTGTGCCTGAGGAATTGGATGAAAGTTTTAATGGCATCTAAGCTGTGCGCAACGTGAATGTTTTTAGGAAGATATCTGTCTCTGGTTATTTTTGACTTAGTTGGGCTCTGCCAATCACTCCAAACATTATTGAAGTCAGCCGTTAAGGGAATGATCATTTAAAAAAAAAAATCCCTGTTATTACAGCTCCCTATAGCAAAAACTTATTTTAAATTTAACTGAAAACAAGGTGGAATTCTTTTAAAGGTTAAAGGAATGAATGGAACAAGGCAATGTTACAAAATCCATGGTCAAATAGCTCAAACAGTCTACAAAATTCAACCAGGCTGTTGAGCAAAGTAGCAATCGGGGAGGATGGAAAGTCATAGATGTTCTGAGCCAATGATGTTGTGAGTACAGAACATCATTGAACCCTCCCTAAGCTAATTTATTAAATGGTTTTGTGTTTTGTTTTTTTTTTTAACAAACTTGCCTTGTATCCATACTTTCTATAGTTTTCAACCATTTACTATAATCTGATAATTTATACTAGTGTTTTTCAACCTTTCTTCATTATCACGCTCCTGGAGAGAAAGATTAATTAACTTCTCTCTAATAAGAAAAAGTAAATAACAAAAAATAAGATTTGGATGGGTAGGGATGAGCTCTGGTCGGCCACATACCATTGTAATATGTAAAATTTGTTGACCTCCAGGAACCAGTTTTCATGCCCACAGAGGCAATAGTATCCCCCTGTTGAGAATGCATGATCTCTACCTTTGTCTGGGTTGTCTTCTGACATAAAAGGCTGGACTGTTTCTTTCTCCTTAATCTGTGTCATTATGGTTTTTTCAGAGTTAGCACACATTCGCTAACCCCAGAGTCATCTATGACTCTTTCCATCCTCCCCTGATTGCTACTTTGCTCAACAGCCTGGTTGAATTTTATAGACTGTTAGAGCTATTTGACCATGGATTTTTGTAACATTTCTTTGTGATTTTCCCATGTTTTTACTATCTTGCCAGTGAGATTGTAGACTGCTCGATGGTAAACATTTATTATTTGTCTTCTTTTTTGTTTGTTTGTTTGTTTTTTGAAGTTTTGATTTTTGTATCCTTCATCCCAACCAATCAATCAGTACTTGTTGAATTGATTATATATTGGGTCTAAAAGCATGGTATAGTTACATCTGGAGATTTTGGATACATGTAAGGTTTGGGATCTATATTTACTTATAAATAGATGAACACTATTATAAGTAAAAGGGCTTTTGGTGAATTTTTTTAAAAAAGCTTTCTGGATGTTTACTCTTTATCTGATACTGTGCTAGGCATTTACCCATCCTTTCTGAAGGAGGCAGTGGTATCCTCATTTATGGATATGGAGATCTAGCCTCAGAGTTACTGACCAAAGTCATACAGCTAAAAGTAGTGGAACTGGATTTCAAATCTTAGTTAAATCTGTTGGAATTTTATGTTCTTTACACTGAAGCACACAAGCAGCAGTTTCCAACTCTGGACATAATATTCAGAGGCAATCCTGGGGGAAACACAAATGCTTTAGTTCATTTTTCTAGACTTTTGTTCATTTGTTTGCTTGTTATTGGAGGGGTACCTATATACTTATGAATTATATCACAGGAAAATATAATTAATTTCTATTAATAATTTTATCATATTTATTTTTACTCACTCATCAAATATGTATTGGGTATTTAGGTGCTAAGCACTGTGGTGGTACTACGTATACAAAAAACATTTAAGATGTTGGAGCTCAAAGTGGCTAAAGTGTCATAGGGAGGCTCATAGAAATCATTAAGGTAGACTCAAGTCAGAAAGTGAGAATAGGAATATATTTAAAGAAGGAAACTAATATGCTATCCAGGGGAAGTCAGTGAACTGGCCCTTAAACTCATAATACAGAAAATCAACATTCTTGCTCTCTCAGTAACAAGTGGTGACTTGCAAGTGAATAATCACAAAGGCATGGAAGATATTTGGTCTTTTGTGGGAATGGCAAGAATTTGGACTTGAACAGTGAGATTGGAACAGTAATTTGGGGCCAGATCGTTATGGTTGCTTCTGGATGTTATGATTGCATCCGCTTTTCTTTTTTAGCTTTAAGCCATCTAAATATTAGATTAAAAGGAGATAAAATTGAAATAAATATTAAAGAATTACTAATGGGACCTTAAAAAGTATGAGGAATTCGAGTTCAAATAATGTGTCACATATATTAGTTCAGTAAATACATAGCAATGATAAAATTTAATTGAGAAGTTTATAATCATAAAGTAATAAATTTATTGCAGTAGTGCTTCTAAATACATGTGTATGCTTTAGTACTACAGACAGATCTGTTTGAGTTCTTTTCAGTACTGTCTACTTTTAATTATAGGATGTGAAGTTGACAGCAAGCAATGATGATTATTATTTTGTATTTGAAGATTATTTATATCAGGTAAGTTTAAAAATAAAAATACATAGTGTTCTTGTTTTAGGTTCTCTATATCATGATACTTTAGGAGATATCTCTGCTGTTGACTAAATCTTTTTGTAATCCATGGCATGCTTGTCGGATGAAATGTTCTAAGTTTGGGATAAGATTACCTTTTGTTTTTACTGTGAAATTAGATAGGAGAATAAGAGTTCCCAATTGTTTCTTTTTGTCATATATGGTACATCAAGGAGGTATTATTGGCAGGTAAGTTTTCTATCTTTGTTATTGGCATAGATGCTTAAATCAGATGTCAAATTCTTATTTAAGCCATTCCAAGATGTTTGGAGAAAGCATTTTGCATTATACTTTTAAAATTAAAGATATTGAAAAAATAATGTTTCAAAATCAATTTGGAGTGTCGTGATTATCCTTTGATCATTTCATTTGCAGATATTGTGGATGCTTGGATTCTTACTTTTTCACATCTAGAATAAAATCATTTATCATAAATAGAAAATATGTAATTTATATAGAATTGCTTACATGATGTTCTTTTTTAAAAAGATATGTACATATTAATAATTTGATTTTGAATGAATGTCAATACAAATGTCATAAAGGAAATACCTAGATTCTACACAGCAATTTCTGCTTGATTAAATGTAAATTGGTCCCTGCTGTTTGTATGAGCAGGTTTTTGTTTGAAAATGGTATTGTGGTGTATATGTGTTTAAGAGAGAATATAAACTTAAATAAGCATCTTCAAGAAGGTTTATCATATGTTCCAAGAGCTAAAGTATAAAGACTTTATAAGACTTATTTATAAAGTTAAAATTTTAAATAACCCCAGAAACAATTTTAAGAGATTCCTGTGATTTCAAATGCATAATTAAAATTTTTTGTTTTTTTAAGTAGTGGACTTAAAATTCCATTTTAATATAAAGTTAGTTATTAATTAAAAGTTGGAGAATACAAAAATCTTCTTCTAAAAGTTTATGTAGCTAATATGTAGCCCTGTACCTAATTCTTAGTACTCAGTAAATTTTTGAATATACAGGTGTATCTCACTTTATTGTGCTTTATTGTGCTTCACAGATATGTTATTTTTACAAATTGAAGGTTTGTGGCAACCCTGCATTGAGCAAGTCTATCAGCACCATTTTTTTCAACAGCATGAGCTTGTTTCATATTTCTGTGTCACATTTTGGTAATTCTTAACAATATTTCAAACTTTATTATTATATCTGATTTAGTAATCTGTGATTAGTGATCTTTGATGTTACTACTGTAATTATTTTGGAATGCCACAAACTGCACCCTTAAGATGGCAAACTTAATTGATAAATGCATGTGTTCTGATTGTTCTACCAACTGGCCATTACCCATTTCTCTCCCTTTCCTCAGTCCTTTCTATACACTGAGACACAACAATATAGAAATTAGGCCAATAATAACCCTGTGGTGGCCTTGAAATGTTGAAGTGAATGGAAGTTACATGTCTCTGGCTTTAAATCAAAAGCTAGAAATGATTATGCCTAGTGAGGACGGCATGCCCAAAGCCAAGATAAGCCAAAAGCTAGGCCTCTTGCACCAAACAGCCAAGTTGTAAATGCAAACGAAAAGTTTTTGAAGGAAATTAAAAGTGTTACTCTAGTGAACACGTGAGTGATAAGAAAGGAGAACAGCCTTGTTGCTGATATGGAGAAAATTTTAGTAGTCTGAATAGAAGATCAAACTAGCCATGACATTCCCCTAAACCAAAGCCTAATCCAGAGCAAGGCCCTAAATCTCTTCAATTTTATCAAGGCTGAGAGAGGAGAGGAAGCTGGAGAAGAATAATTGAAAGCTAGCAAAGGTTGGTTTATGTGGTTGAAGGAAAAATGCCATCTCCATAACTTAAAAAATGCAAGGTGAAGCAGCAAGTGTTGATGTAGCAGCTACAGCAAATTGTCCCTGTCTAGCAAAGATCATTGTTAAAGGTGGCTACACTAAACAACAGATTTTTCAGTGTAGATGAAACAGCTTTCCATTGGAAGAAAATGCCATCTAGAACTTTCATAGCTAGAGAGGAGAAGTCAATGTTTGTCTTCAAAGCTTCAAAGGATATGCTGACTCTGTTGTTAGGGGCGAATGCAGCTGGTATCTTTAGGTTGAAGCCAGTGCTCGTTCCATTTCAAAAATCCTTGGGCCCTTAAGAAATATGCTTAATCTACTCTGCCTGTGCTCTATAAATGGAACAAGAAAGCCTAGATGACAGCACATCTGTTAACAGCATGGTCTACCTAATATTGTAAACATACTGTTGAAGCCTACTATTCAGAAAAAAACATTCATTTCAAAATATTACTGCTCATTCACAATGCACATATTCACCCAAAATCTCTGATGCAGATGTACAAGGAGATAAATGTTGTTTTCATACCTAGTAACACGACATCCATTCTGCAGCCCATGGATAAGGGAGTCATTTTGACTTTCAATCTTATTTAAGAAATACATTTTGTAAGGCTATATAGTGTCATAGATAGTGATTCCTCTGATGGATCTGGGAAAAGTAAATTGAAAGCTTCTGGAAAGGATTCACCAATCTAAATGCCATTAAGAACATTTGTGATTCATGAGAGGAGGTCAAAATATCAACATGAAAAGGAGTTTGGAAGAAGTTGATTCTAACCTTCATGGGTAACCTTGAGGGGTTCAAGACTTCAGTGGAGGAAGTAACGGTCACTGTGGTGGGAAAAGCAAGATAATTGGAATTAGAAGTAGAGCCTCAATATGTGACTGAATTGCTTCAATCTCATCATAAAACTTACATGAATGAAGAGTTGCTTCTTGAGGATAAACAAAGAAAGTCATTTCTTGAGATGGACTCTACTCTTGGTGAAGCTACTATACACATTGTTGAAATGACAACAAAGTGTTTACACTATTACATAAACTTAGTAAAACAATAGCAGGGTTCAAGCGAATTGACTCCAATTTTGAAAGTTCTGTGGGTAAAGTGCCAACAAACAAATATTTTGTGAAAGGAAGAGTCTATCAATGCAGCAAATTTATTGTTGTCTTATTTTAAGAAACTGCCACAGCTGCCCCAATGTTCAGCAGCCACCACCCTGGATCAGTTAGCAGCCATACACATTGAAGCAAGACCCTCCACCAACAAGATTACAGCCTGCTGAAGATTCAGATGGTTATTAGCATTTTTTTTTTAGCAAGAAAGTATTTTTAATTTATGGCATGTATATTTTTGGGCATATGCTAGTGTACTTAATAGACTATAGTGTAGTATAAACATAGCTTTTATACATACTGAGAAACCAGAAAATTTGTGTGATTTGCTTTATTACGATATTCACTTTATTGTGGTGGTCTGGAACTGAACCTGCAATATCTCCAAGGTATGCCTATATAAATAAAATTAATTCTTCATTTATACAATAATACTAGTTTGCCAATAACCTCTGTACTTCAGAAATACAGAGTGGAAATTATCAGTTCTTAAATGGTTGTCTGAGAGAAGCTCCACAGAACCATCCTCAGCAGGAAACTGTAACTAGTGAAAACTATTTTTTTAAAAGTATTTAAAGTCTCTGGTAATTATCCTAAGGTTACATAAAAAGTCATCAAAGAAGAAAACATTTATTTGAGAAAAGCTACTAAATCTCGGTAAAAATAATTTGTGGCCCTTGAGTCATGACCTGCTTTTTGCCTCCCCTCACCCCCAGATTAGCATGACAGAAGCTTCAATTCAGCCATGTGTGGCCAGGAAGATGGGGCTCCATTTCCCTCCAGCTTCTAGTTGACGGTTACAATATCTCCACAGGAGGGGCAGATGGCCAGTATTTCTTATCTCCCTCACCTCCATTGCAGATGCTAAATTCTAGAGAGTACCATCAGGAAGTTGTCAGATTCCTTCCCATAGGGCAGAGATCTGGCCCAAAAGCTCTGACTCCACTCAGCAGGCCAAAAATACTAGGGCCTCAACGGCTTTCACCTCATTTTGTTTATAGAGGGGACAGAGGTTCCACATGGGAAAGGCAAGCTGAGAAGACCAGAGGCTACCACCCTCACCAGTGTCTTTCTCACAAAGCAGAAGTGTCACTCCAAGAGAAGTAGGCCACTGTCCACAATCCGGCTCCAGGGCAAATGACTCAGAGATTTTGGCCAGAATGGGAGACAGCTTTAACAACAGTAACTCTGAAGCTCTCCTCAAAGAACTAACTTTATATGGAGTATAGGAAAGTTCCAACCTAATGGGTCTCTGAACAATGAAGATTTTAATAGCAAACACTTAAGAGTAACAAGCTAAAAGCATAGCAGCTGGTTTACCAGAGAAAGCCAGAGACAGAGATAACTAGGAGGAGTCCTGATGGGATAGGACAAACCTCAAAGACTGGCCACAAAAATGACCTCACAAAGGACCATACGTTTAATTGAATCAGACTGTGGTACAATTTATGCATGAGGACATTGTTGAAAACAGTAGAATAATCAGCTGGCAATTAGAGGAACCTAATATCTGGCTGTGATATCGAGAAAGACAGAAAGCTTAACACAGAGATCAGGGGAAGAGACAAAGAACCTGCTAAGTTAGCCGGGCTTGGTGGTGCATGCCTGTAGTCCCAGCTACTCAGGAGGCTGAGGCAGGAGGATTGCTTGAACCCAGGAGGTAGAGGTTGCAGTGAGCCAAGATTGCACCACTGCACTCCAGCCTGGGTGACAGAGCAAGACTGTCTTAAAAAAAAAAAAAAAAACCCTGCTAAAGCCAGTGTCATTGAAGGATGATTGTGTGTATGCTCAAGGCGGCATACTCTGAAGTACATCAGAGGCTTCACACTTTGGGAGAAACAGACTTAAATGAAATATTTCAACCAAGTCACTAAACAAATAAGCAAATAACAATCATGAGCCCCAGCTGCTTGTAAGATGGCTTAGATGTTGTACTTAACCAAATAAAACTTCAAAGCAGCCATTATAAATATATTCAAAGAACTAAAGGAAGCCATGCTTAAAAAAGTAAAGTAAGGCCAGATGCAGTGGCTCACACCTGTAATCATAGCATTTTGGGAAGCTGAGGCAGGACAATCGCTTGAGCCCAGGAATTTGGGACCAGCCCAGGCAACATGGCAAAACCCTGTCTCTACAAAATAGAAAAAAAATTAGCTGGGTGTAGTGGCATGCACCTGTTGTCCCAGCTACTCAGGAGGCTGAGATGCGAGGATCACTTTTGCCCAGGAGGTCAAGGCTGCAGTGAGCTGTGGTTATGCCATTACACTCCAGCCTAGGCAACAGGTGAGACCCGGTCTAAAAAAAAAAAAAAGGTAAAGTAAGGTGTGATGACAATGTCTCCTCTAATACAGAAGGTTTTAAAGAGATAGAAATTACATTTTTAAAGTACCAGACCGAAATTCTGGCGTTGAAAAGTACAATAATTGAAATGAAAATTTTACTGGAAGGACTCAAAAGTATATTTGAAAAAGCAGAGAAGAATCAGTGAACTTGGAAGACATCATAAGAAATTGTCATTCAGCAGTTCCAAGATGGCCGAATAGGAACAGCTCCAGTCTACAGCTCCCAGAGTGAGCGATGCAGAAGATGGGTGATTTCTGCATTTCCAACTGAGGTACCGGGTTCACCTCACTGGGGCTCGTCGAACAGTGGAGGCAGGACAGTGGGTGCAGCCCACCGAGTGTGAGCCGAAGCAGGGTGAGGCATTGCCTCACCCGGGAAGCACAAGGGGTCAGGGAATTCCCTTTTCTAGCCAAGAGAAGGGGTGACAGACGGCACCTGGAAAATCGGGTCACTCCCACCCTAATACTGCACTTTTCCAAAGGTCTTAGCAAACGGCACACCAGGACATTATATCCCACCCCTGGCTCGAGGGTCCTACGCCCACAGAGCCTCACTCATTGCTAGCACAGCAGTCTGAGATTGAACTGCAAGTCAGCAGCAAGGCTGGGGGAGGGGCGACCGACATTGCTGAGGCTTGAGTAGGTAAACAAAGTGACTAGGAAGCTCGAACTGGGTGGAGCGCACCTCAGCTCAAGGAGGCCTGCCTGCCTCTGTAGATTTCACCTCTGGGGGCCGGGCATAGCCGAACAAAAGGCAGCAGAAACCTCTGCAGACTTAAACGTCCCTGTTCGACAGCTTGAAGAGCAGTGGTTCTCCCAGCATGGAGTTTGAGATCTGAGAACAGACAGACGGCCTCCTCAAGTGGGTCCCTGACCCCTGAGTAGCCTAACTGGGAGTCATCCCCCAGTAGGGGCAGACTGACACTTCACATGGCCAGGTACCCCTCTGAGATGAAGCTTCCAGAGGAATGATCAGGCAGCAACATTTGCTCTTCAGCTATATTCGCTGTTCTGCAGCCTCCGCTGCTGATACCCAGGCAAACAGGGTCTGGAGTGGACTTCCAGCAAACTCCAACAGACCTGCAGCTGAGGGTCCTGACTGTTAGAAGTAAAACTAACAAACAGAAAGGACATCCACACCAAAATCCCATCTATACGTCACCATCATCAAAGACCAAAGGTAGATAAAACCACAAAGATGGGGAAAAAACAGAGCAGAAAAGCTGAAATTTCTAAAAGTCAGAGCACCACTCCCCTTCTAAAGGAATGCAGCTCCTCACCAGCAACGGAAAAAAGCTGGATGGAGAATGACTTTGACGAGTTGAGAGAAGAAGGCTTCAGATGACCAAACTGCTCTGAGCTAATGCCTTGAAAAAGATTAGACGAGTGGCTAACTAGAATAACCACTGTAGAGAAGTACGTAAGTGACCTGATGGAGCTGAAAACCATGGCATGAGAACTACGTGACAAATGCACAAGCTTCAGTAGCCAATTCGATCAACTGGAAGAAAGGGTATCAGTGATTGAAGATGAAATGAGTGAAATGAAGCGAGAAGAGAAGTTTAGAGAAAAAAGAATAAAAAGAAATGTCAACAAAGCCTCCAAGAAATATGGGACTGTGTGAAAAGACCAAATCTGTGTCTGATTGGTGTACCTGAAAGTGATGGGGAGAATGGATCCAAGATGGAAAACACCCTGCAGGATATTATCCAGGAGAAATTCCCCAACCTAGCAAGGCAGGCCAACATTCAAATTAAGGAAATACAGAGAATGCCACAAAGATACACCTCGAGAAGAGCAACCCCAAGACACATAATTGTCGGACTCATCAAGTTGAAGTGAAGGAAAAAATCTTAAGGGCAGCCAGAGAGAAAGGTTGGGTTACCCACAAAGGGAATCCCATCAGCCTAACAGCGGATCTCTCGGCAGAAACTCTACAAGCCAGAAGGGAGTGGGGGCCAATATTCAACATTCTTAAAGAAAAGAATTTTCAACCCAGAATTTCATATCCAGACAAACAAAGCTTTGTAAATGAAGGAGAAATAAAATCCTTTACATACAAGCAAATGCTGAGAGATTTTGTCACCACCAGGCCTGCCCTACAAGAGCTCCTGAAGGAAGCACTAAACATGGAAAGGAACAAGCGGTACCAGCCACTATAAAAACATGACAAATTGTAAAGACCAGCGATACTAGGAAGAAACTGCATCAACTAGCGAACAAAATAACCAGCTAACGTCATAATGACAGGATCAAATTCACACATAACAATATTAACCTTAAATGTCAATGGGCTAAATGCTCCAATTAAAAGACACAGACTAGCACATTGGGTAAAGAGTCAAGACCCATCAGTGTGCTGTATTCAGGAGACCCATCTCATGTGCAGAGGCACACATAGGCTCAAAATAAAGGGATGGAGGAAGATCTACCAAGCAAATGGACAACAAAAAAAGGCAGGGGTTGCAATCCTAGTCTCTGATAAAACAGACTTTAAACGAACAAAGATCAAAAGAGACAAAGAAGGCCATTACATAATGGTAAAGGGATCAATTCAACAAGAAGAGCTAACTGTCTTAAATATATATGCACCCGATACAGGACACCCAGATTCATAAAGCAAGTCCTTAGAGATCTACAAAGAGACTTAGACTCCCTCACGATAATAATGGGAGACTTTAACACCCCACTGTCAACATTAGACAGATCAACCAGACAGAAAGTTAGCAAGGATATCCAGGAATTGAACTCAGCTCTGCATCAAGCAGACCTAACAGACATCTGCAGAACTCTCCACCCCAACTCAACAGAATATACATTCTTCTCAGCACCACATCACACTTATTCCAAAATTGACCACATAGTTGGAAGTAAAGCACTCCTCAGCAAACGTAAAAGAACAGAAATTATAACAAACTGTCTCTCAGACCACAGTGCAATCAAACTAGAACTCAGGGTTAAGAAACTCACTCAGAACAGCTCAACTACATGGAAACTGAACAACCTGGTCCTGAGTGACTACTGGGTACATAACGAAATGAAGGCAGAAATAAAGATGTTCTTTGAAACCAATGAGAACAAAGACACAACATACCAGAATCTCTGGGACACATTTAAAGCAGTGTGTAGAGGGAAATTTATAGCACTAAATGCCCACAAGACAAAGCAGGAAAGATCTAAAATTGACACCCTAACATCACAATTAAAAGAACTAGAGAAGCAACAGCAAACACATTCAAAAGCTAGCAGAAGACAAGAAATAACTAAGATCAGAGAAGAACTGAAGGAGATAGAGACACAAAAAACCCTTCAGAAATCAATGAATCCAGGAGCTGGTTTTTTGAAAAGATCAACAAAATTCATAGAGTACTAGCAAGACTAATAAAGAAGAAAAGAGAGAAGAATCAAATAGACACAATAAAAATGATAAAGGGGATGTCACCACCGATCCCACAGAAATACAAACTACCATCAGAGAATACTATAAACACCTCTATGCAAACAAACTAGAAAATCTAGAAGAAATGGATAAATTCCTGGACACAAACACCCTCCCAAGGAGAGATTCAACCAGGAAGAAGTTGAATCTCTGAATGGAACAATAACAGGCTCTGGAATTGAGGCAATAAGTAATGGCCTACCAACCAAAAGAAGTCCAGGACCAGGGGGATTCATAGCCGAATTCTACCAGAGGTACAAGGAGGAGCTGGTACCATTCCTTCTGAAACTATTCCAATCAATAGAAAAAGAGGGAATCCTCCCTAACTCATTTTATGAGGCCAGCATCATCCTGATACCAAAGCCTGGCAGAGACACAACAAAAAAAGAGAATTTTGGACCAATATCCCTGATCAACATTGATGCAAAAATCCTCAATAAAATACTGCAAACCGAATCCAGCAGCACATCAAAAAGTTTATCCACCTTGATCAAGTGGGCTTCATCCCTGGGATGCAAGACTGGTTCAACATATGCAAATCAATAAACCAAATCCAGCATATAAACAGAACCAAAGACAAAAACCACATGATTATCTCAATAGATGCAGGAAAGGCCTTTGACAAAATTCAACAACACTTCATGCTAAAAACTCTCAATAAATTAGGTATTGATGGGACGTATCTCAAAATAATAAGCGCTATCTATGACAAACCCACAGCCAATATCATATTGAATGGGCAAAAACTGGAGGCATTCCCTTTGAAAACTGGCACAAGACAGGGATGCCCTCTCTCACCACTCCTATTCAACATAGTGTTGGAAGTTCTGGCCAGGGCAATCAGGCAGGAGAAGGAAATAAAGGGTATTCAATTAGGAAAAGAGGAAGTCAAATTGCCCCTGTTTGCAGATGACATGATTGTATATTTAGAAAACCCCATCGTCTCAGCCCAAAATCTCCTTAAGCTGATAAGCAACTTCAGCAAAGTCTCAGGATACAAAATCAATGTGCAAAAATCACAAGCATTCTTATTCATCAATAGCAGACAAACAGAGACCAAAATCATGAGTGAACTCCCATTCACAATTGCTTCAAAGAGAATAAAATACCTAGGAATCCAACTTACAAGGGACGTGAAGGACCTCTTCAAGGAGAACTACAAACCACTGCTGAACAAAATAAAAGAGGATATAAACAAATGCAAGAACATTCCATGCTCATGGATAGGAAGAATCAAAATCGTGAAAATGGCCATACTGCCCAAGGTAATTTATAGATTCAGTGCCACCCCCATCAAGCTACCACTGACTTTCTTCACAGAATTGGAAAAAACTACTTTAAAGTTCATATGGAACCAAAAATGAGCCCACATCGCCAAGACAATACTAAGCCAAAAGAACAAAGCTGGAGGCATCACACTACCTGACTTCAAACTACACTACAAGGCTACAGTAACCAAAACAGCATGGTACTGCTACCAAAACAGAGATATAGACCAATGGAACAGAACAGAGCCCTCAGAAATAATACTACACATTTACAACCATCTGATCTTTGACCAACCTGACAAAAAGAAGAAATGGGGAAAGGATTCCCTATTTAATAAATGGTGCTGGGAAAACTGGCTAGCCATATGTAGAAAGCTGAAACTGGATCCCTTCCTTACACCTTATACAAAAATTAATTCAACATGGATTAAAGACTTAAATGTGAGACCTAAAACCATAAAATCCCTAGAAGAAAACCTAGACAATACCATTCAGGACATAGGCATGGGCAAGGACTTCATGTCTAAAACGCCAAAAGCAATGGCAACAAAAGCCAAAATTGACAAATGTTATCTAATTAAATGAAGGAGCTTCTGCACAGCAAAAGAAACTACCATCAGAGTGAACAGGCAACCTACAGAATGGGAGAAAGTTTTTGCAATCTACTCATCTGACAAAGGGCTAACATCCAGAATCTACAAAGAACTCAAACAAACTTACAAGAAAAAACAAACAACCCCATCAAAAAGTGGGTGGAGGATATGAACAGACACTTCTCAAAAGAAGACATTTATGCAGCCAACAGGCACATGAAAAAATGCTCATCATCACTGGCCATCAGAGAAATGCAAATCAAAACCACAATGAGATACCATCCCACACCAGTTAGAATGATGATCATTAAAAAGTCAGGAAACAACAGGTGCTGGAGAGGATGTGGAGAAATAGGAACACTTTTACACTGTTGGTGGGACTGTAAACTAGTTCAACCATTGTGGAAGATAGTGTGGCGATTCCTCAAGGATCTAGAACTAGAAATACCATTTGACCCAGCCGTCCCATTACTGGGTATATACCCAAAGGATTATAAATCATGCTACTATAAAGGGACATGCACACATATGTTTATTGCGGCACTATTCACAATAGCAAAGACTTGCAACCAACCCAAATGTCCAACAATTGTAGACTGGATTAAGAAAATGTGGCACATATACACCATGGAATACTATGCAGCCATAAAAAATGATGAGTTCATGTCCTTTGTAGAGACATGAATGAAGCTGGAAACCATCGTTCTCAGCAAAGTAGCACAAGAACAAAAAACCAAACACCACATGTTCTCACTCTTAGGTGGTAATTGAACAATGAGAACACTTGGACACAGGAAGGGGAACTTCACGCACTGGGGCCTGTTTTGGGGTGGGGGGAAGGGGGAGGGAAAGCATTAGGAGATATACCTAATGTAAATGGCAAGTTAATGGGTGCAGCAAACCAACATGGCACATGTATACATATGTAACAAGCCTGCATGTTGTGCACATGTACCCTAGAACTTAAAGTATAATAATAATAAAAAAGAAATTAAAAGGGGTAAGAAAAAGAAAAAAAAAGAAATTATGTCATTCAAAGAACAAAGAAAATAACAAACAGAGCCTCAGGGAAGTTTAGGACAACATGCTCACCAACAAATTTATAATAGGACTATCAGATGGAGAGGAGAGAGAGAAAGGAGCAGAAGTATTTGAAGAAAGAATGGCTGAAAATGTCTCAAATTTGATGAAAAACATTAATCTACACATCCAAGAAACTCATCCAAGAAACTCAACAAACTGAAAGTAGGATAACCACAGATATCCATACCCAGACATATCATAGTCAAACTGTCAAAAGCCAAAGGTGATGAAACTATCTCAAAAGTGCTGAAATAAATATTGAATGGCATTTTTTTTCTTTTATTTAACTCACGTTTCAGTAGTTCTGTCTTCAAATATCTTTGTGGCCTTAGGCAATTCACCAGAACTTCATGGGCCTTCATATTATTGTCATTAAGCTGAGAGTTTAGACTAAACTGTCTTTATGTAGATATCAGAGGTACAAAAAAAAAGTTTGTATGATTTGCCATAAAAGGAACAATTAGATTTTTCCATAAAAGTATTGATTACAGATTGTTTATTCTTTTTAAATGTGGATTTTAAAATTCTTTTATCTCAAGAGTTATTAGTTAGTGGGATTTTATCTGTTGAAAGTTTCATAATTTGTTATGCAGGAAAATTCTATTGGTTTTGTCCTAAAGAAAGAATAGTTATATTGTCTTTAATCTATGGGTATTTTATTACATTTCTTTACTGCTACTAAAAAGTAAATTGGCCTTCCTATTTTTCTCTCTTGCTGAATGCTGGCCACCCCTGCTTTTAATCCATGTTCTACAGTAAAGTCAGAGTGGTCTTTTAAAAACACTAATCAATTCATGTCACTTGTTTGATTAAAACCAAAAGACCCACATTTTTCACAAGAGTCTACATGACCCTGCATTACCTGGCCCACCTCTCCGGGTGGATTGTTCACTTCTCTCCCTGACACTCTGGCATTCTATATTCCAGCCACCCTGATCTTTAACTTCATAAGTTCACTATACTCCTTTCTACCTCAGTCCTATAAGATCTGCAATTCCTTTTATAAGCAAGACTGTTACCCTCCCCTCTTCACCTAGTCAACTCCTATTTTTACTTCATTTCTCAATTTTGGACTTAACAGACAAAAACTTCAAAGCAGCCATTATAAATATATTCAGAGAGCCAAAGGAAACCATGCTTAAAGAAATAATCATTTACTCAGATACACCTTCCCTGACCAACCCGTCACTCATCTGCACAAACACACACAAAGTGATGGCTATCTAATATGTGCTTTTGAAGTACTGTGTAGTACTTTCCATACTTTTTGTTTATAGTGCTTATCACAGTTTATTTGATTATTTTATAATTGTCTCTCCCGGGTAAATTCTTAAGTATTTTGGTCCTTATTGTTAATTCCAATGCCTAGTATACTGTAGATACTGAGTAAAAATTTTCCTTAACATCGTGTACTTGTTTTCATTGATGGGGTTATCTTTTTCATTATTGAGAAGGAAGCTTTCTTCTTTTATCTAAAAGCTTAATGTTAGTAATTTGTAGGCTAATTGATATTTTACCATCATTTTATCGGGCTCTAGATTTCCTTAGATTTTAGTATAGTTGTAATGAATCCTTTTTTATGAACTGACTCATAAACAGATTAGTTAATGTCACACAAAGACATAAAAAAAACCCACATAAACTAAATATCTACCACTTGGCAAAAATTTAACTAACTCACTAAAAGTTTTTGGTCCTTCTTATGCCATTTTGATCCAGAACATGAAACTGTTGTGACACCAAACATATGAACACATAAATTATAATATCAGCCAAAGGCCAATAATGGCATGACTCATAGTAATCTGTGACTATTCTACTTCAGTGTGTGGGTAGAGAGAGTATACATTTGAGAAGTTTGTCCCATTTGGTCACCAGAGATAAGAGGATTGCCATTTTTAAGTTACAACTACAAAGCCTCTTTGGTGGTGGTAAAAAGGGGCTTGACAGGTAATAAATCTGCCTCATTTGGTAAACAGAGTCAGTGAGGGCATCTGTTTTAAATGAGAGCAGTAACAAGTTCTCCAAATAATGCCAGAACTAACCCTTAAGGGAGCATTCATTTTTATCTTTTCCACATGTAAGTGACTTACATGCAAGAAAACTTCTAAGAAAACTTATAAGTAACTGAACTAATAAGTGGATGCATATTTTGAGAAAAAGCAGAATGAGCATCAGTAAATATTTATTGATCTACCTCTGATGAAACCTGTGTTGGTGGGGACATCTGAGAGTGTTGATGAATGCCAGTGACTCTGATAGAAAAAAAATACTGATTCTTATACTATGTGTAAACGATACCACCTTTGATGGGCTTACATTCTAGTTAAGGGGGCAGGACACAAACATACAAAATATTCTGAAATTGTTTTAAAGTGTTTATATAAAGCATTAGGTGCTAAGTCAGTATCACAAACAGTAAGTACTATAGGAGTATGCTTTAACCTTTATTTTCCATTTCTATTAATATTTTAGTCCAAATTGTATTGTTTTTAGATTTTACATAATTTTTTCAGTCATAGGTCTCATGACTTCTCCTGCTTTTAGTACTTTGGAAATGACTAAATAAGCCTGTTTTAAATGCTGTAGTAAGAACACTTATCACAAGGTCTATCCTCTTAATACCTTTTTAAGTGTACAGTATAGTAGTATTAACTATAGGCACAGTGCTGTACAGCAGATCTTTAGAATTCAGTCATCTCCCATGACAGAAACATTATACCAATTGAATAGCAGCTCCATATTCCCCCTGCCCCCGGGCCCAGCAGTCACCATTCAACTGCTGCTATATGTTTGACTGTTTTAGATACCTCATGTAGTAGAATCATGTAATATTTGTTCTTCTGTGACTGCCTTATTTCATTTCATATAATGTCCTCCAGGATCATGTGGCCTCATGTAACTCATTTTCTTCTCTATAATGACTGAATAATATTCCATTGTATTGTATATACTACATTTTCTTTATCCTTTCATCTGTCTAAATAAGCTTTAATGTGGATCTCTATCCCCATAACATAAATAGATGGATAATTACAACATCTAAGCATCTCTCTTTGGGAATTATGTAAAAATAAATTTTCCTTATATGGATAATTACTAAGAAAACACTTTCATGGTGATACTTTTTAATTATTCATTTTACAATTAGTCTGAATTATTAGAAATTTATTTTAACTAATAAAAACGTATGTAATTGTATGCATTGTAAATATTCTGTTTTCAGAAATTGAGTTCTGTTTTTTCCTTTCAGAAAAAATTGTGTGTGTGCATGTGTGTGTGTGTGCATGTGTGTAATAAGACAGAAGAAAGCCTGTTCTTGTCATTAATTACAGGCATTCCTTTAGCAGAGCTGCCTAGCAACACAGTTGCTGTATAGGAAAATTGTCAATGTATAGCAAATTTAATATTCCTGGCCATGTTCTTGGTCATAGCCGATTTATTGGATTTTGTGACTACACTGCAAAATTAGATGTCATGTGGCATTGCTGTGTTTACATACAGATGAGAAAATATCCAGTAATCCTTCTTTAAAGAAAATCTGGGCCTATGTCCGGGCACGGTGGCTCATGCCTGTAATCCCAGCACTTTGGGAGGCCAAGGCGGGTGGATCACGAGGTCAGGAGATCGAGACCATCCTGGCTAACATGGTGAAACCCCATCTCTACTAAAAATACAAAAAAAAAAAAAATTAGCTGGGCGTGGTGGCGGGCGCCTGTAGTCCCAGCTACTCGGGAGGCTGAGGCAGGAGAATGGCGTGAACCAGGGAGGTGGAGTTTGCAGTGAGCCAAGATCGTGCCACTGCAATTCGGCCTGGGCAAAAGAGTGAGACTCCGTCTCAAAAAAAAAAAAAAAAGAAAAAAGAAAATCTGGGCCTATGTTACAAGGATACGCAGGCACTTGTTCCTGAGTACCTCATGTTAATGTTCCTAAATTTTACAGGCAACAATGCTGAATATTATAGAAATAATGTTTTTAGTAATAAGCCAATCCTTTAGTATTCCAGTGTTAAGTTAGTTTTTATTTTGCATGAAATTCTTAAAGTACCCATTTTTAAGTGTTGTAAGTTTTAAATTATGTCAGTTTCAAAATGTATTCAAACAGAAGACAACTCTTATTTAATGGAAGTAAACTGAGTAGTTTGACAGTACCATTTTCAGACTTCAATACTGAGTGGAATTTTCACAAACTACGTAAGTTAACATATTGTCCAAAGTATATAAGATATTCATAGGAAAGAATTCATATATAGTAAAAGGGAAGACATGGAGATTTACTCTTTCTGTTGTATGACGAATCTTCCATCATATGCTTGGTTTATCTGGCATATACTTAGTAGTAGTCCTGAGATACTGAAGTGTGACATAGTTATAGATATTTTAACGCTATTGAATGGAGTTAAAAAGGTCCAAATGTGTCAGATATTCTTTGTTCATGTATCTAGTTAGATTATTTGGTGTATGTTCTGATATAGGCACTGTGTTAGGTGCTAGCAAAAGAAGATATTTATTAAGCTCACAACTTAGTGAAAAATGAAGAGAAAGACAAATTCATAGTTATAATTTGATAAATCCCCCAATAGAAATATATATAAATTCTATGCAAATATAGATAAAGGGAAAATAAATTCTGGGAGTAGTGCAGAACTTAGTGATGGCTTCAGAATAGAAATATAATATTATAAGAAATGAATTTTATTTCAACTTTTTGAGGAAGTGTCATACTGTTTTCCACAGTGACTATACCATTTTATATTCCAACAATAGTGTACAAAGTTTCCAGTTACTCCACATCATCGCCAACATGTTACTTTCTCTTTTTTTGATAGTAGCCATCCTAATGGGTATGAAATGATGTTATCTTATTATAGTTTTCATTTGCATTTCCCTAATGATTAATGATATTGAGCATCTTTTCTTGTGCTCATTAACCATTTATATATCTACTCAGGAAAAAAATGTCTATTGAAGTCCTTTGGCCATTTTTGGATCAACTTGTTTTTTTTTGTTGTTGTTGTTGTTATTGTTGAGTCTTAAGAGATCTGTAAATATTCTGGTTATTAATGTCTTACTGAAAATGTGATTTGTAAATATTTTCTCCCATTTGTGAGTTGACTTTTTACTCTGTTGATAGTGTCTTTTGATGCACAAAATTTTAAAATTTTCATGAAGTCCAGTTTGCCTAATTTTTGTTGTTATCATCTGTGCCTTTGGTATTGTATCCAAGAGATCACCAAATCCAATGTTGTGAAGATTTTGCACTATGTTTTCTTCTATGAGTTTTATAGTTTTAGAACTTGCATTCAGGTCTTTAATCCATTTTGACTTAATTTTTGGATATGGTGTTAGATAAAGGCCCAGCTTCATTCTTTTGCATATAGATATCCAGTTTTCCTAGCACCATTTGTTGGAAGACTGCACTTTCTCCCATTGAATGGTAATGGGAGAAAGGACAAGCACAAACCCTTGTTGTAAATCATTTGACCGTATATTCAAGGTTTTATTTCTAGTTCTGTTCTATTCTGTTTGTCTGTACATCTGTCTTTATGCCAATAGCACACTGTTTTGATTATTATAGCTTTCTAGGAAGTTTTTAAATCTGGAAGAAATAGGAATCTTCCAGATATGTTCTTCTTTTTTCAACATTGTTTTGGCTATTTGGGGTTTCTCGTAGGGTCTTTGGTGTTGGTATCAAGGTAATACTGGCCTCACAGAATGAATTAAGAAGTGTTTTCTATTTTTTAATTGTGTGGGAAAGTTTTTGTTTTGTTTTGTTTTGTTTGTTTGTTTGTTTGAAAGACAGGATCTCCCTATGTTGCCCAGGCTGGAGTACAGTGACTGTTCACAGGCTTGATCATAGCACATGCACTGTACCCTTGGACTCCTGGCCTCAAGCAATTCTCTTGCCTCAACTCTCTGAGTATCTGGGACTATAGTTGCACATCACCATGCCCAGATCAATTTTTTGAAAAGTTTGAGAAACATTGGTGTTAGCTCTTCTTTAAATGTTTAGTAGAATTAACCAGTGAAGCCATCAGGACCAAGGCTTTTCTTTGTCAGAGTTTTGATTATTGATGAATATTTTTACTAGTTACAGGTCTGTTCAGATTTTCTATTTCTTTGTGATTTAGTCTTGGTTGACTTTGTGTTTCTAGAAATTTGTTCATTTTATCCAGGTTATCCAATTTGTTGGTGTACAATTGGTCATAGTACTCTCTTATAATCCTTTTTATTTCTTTAGAGTCAGTGGTAATATTCGCAGTTTCATTTCTTATTTTAATAATTTGAGTCTTCTCTCTTTTTTCTTAGTCCTTCTAGCTCAAGGTTTGTTAATTTTGTTGAACTTTTTGAAAAGCCAACTTTGGTTTCAGTTATTATCTCTATTGTTTTCCTATTCTCCATTTCATTTATCTCTGCTCTACTTTTTATTATTTTATTTTCTTTCTTCTGCTAGCTTCTAGCCTAGTTTGCCCATTTTTTCCAGTTCCTGAAGTTGCAAAGTTGGCTGTTGATTTGAAACCTTTCTTGTTTTTTAATCTAAGCCTCTATAGCTATAAATTTGCCACTTAACATCACTCTCACTGAATCCCGTAAGTTTTGATATGTCATGGTTTTGCCATTTGTCTCTAAGTATTTCTAATTTCTCTTATAATTTCTTCTTTAATCCATTGGCTGTTTAAGACTGTGTTGTTTAATTTCCATAGATTTGTAAATTTTCCAGTTTTCCTTCTGTGACTGATTTCTACCTCCATCTCTGTGGTCAGAGAAGCTACTTTGTATCATCTCTGTTTTTTAAAAATCTATTGAAACTTAATTAGTGACCTAATATATGATCTATCTGGAAAATGTCCCATGTGCATTTACATGGAATGTGTATGCTGTAGTTCTTGGGTAAAGTGTTCAGTATATTGTTAGATCTAGTTGGTTTATCATGTAAATACTCTAGTTGGTTTATCATGTAAATACTTCATTTCCTTATTTCCTGTCTAGTGGTTCTATCCATCATTGAGAATAGGATATTGAAGTCCACTGTTACACTAGAATTGTCTATATCTCCTTTCATTTTTTGTTAGTTTTTGCTTCATACATTTTCAAGTCTGTTGTAGGTACATAAATGTTTATAGCTGTTGTATCTTCTTGCTGTATTGAAACTTTTGTTAATATATAATGTCTTTCTGTCTCCCATAACCTCTTTTATTTAAAGTCTATTTTGTGTGATATAAGTACAGTCACCTTGCTCTCTTTTGGTTACTATTTGCATGGAGGGTCTTTTTCTGTCCTTTAACTTTTAATATATTTATGTCTTTAGATCTAAAATGAATCTCTTATAGATCACATGTAGTTTTGTCTTTTTAAATTTATTCTGCCAACCTGTCTTTTGATTGGAGAGTTGAATGCATTTACATTTAAAGTAATTGCTGATGAGGAGATATTTCTCTCATTTTTCTATTTGTTTTCTATGTGTCTTATAGCTTTTATGCCTCTCATTTTCTGTATTGCTGTCTTCTTTTGGGTTTAGTTGGGGTTTTTGTGTGTGTGTGTAGTGAAATGTTTACATTTCTTTCTCATTTTCTCTTCTCTTTTGTGTATATTCCACAGCTATTTTCTTTGTGCTTCCCGTGAGGATTATATTTAACAACCTAAAATTGTAACACTCTAGTTTAAATTAATACCAATTTAACTTTAGTAACATACAAAATTTGTATTACTTTACGGCTCTATCCTCACCCCTTTCACTTGATGATATCAGAATGTTACATCTGTGTACAGTGCGTACACAAACCCAGAAATTATGTAGAAAACAAAATGTGGAGTTGCAATCCAAAGTTACAATAATACTGATTTTTAAATAATGACTTTTCAAATGTACGAGTTTCTTAAATCATACAGAAAGCAAAAAATGGAGTTACAAACCTTTGTTACAATAGTATTATTTTTATAACTGCCCATGTGTGTTTTTTAAAGATCTTTCTTCACTCAGAGTCTAGTTACTGTCTTGTATCTTTTCATTTTACTCTGTAGGACTCCTGTGAGCATTTCTTGAAGGTCAGGTCTCAGCATTCATTTATGTGAAAAAGTCTGAATATCTCTCTCACTTTTGAAGGACAGTTTGCTGGATATGGCATTCTTGATTAATGGCTTTTTTCTTTTACCACATTGAATATGTCAGCCCATTGCTTGTGGTCCTCAAGTTTCTGATGAGAAATCTGCTAATAATTGTATAGAGGATCCTTTATATTTAATGAGTCATTACTGTCTTGCAGCTTTCAAAGTTCTCTCTTTGCCTTTGACCTTCAACAGTTTGATTATAATGTGTCCTAGTGTGGGACTCTTTGAATTCATCTTACATGGAGTTTATTGAGTTTCTTGGATGTTTATATTAATGTCTTTCATCAAATTTGGGAAATTTTCAGCCATTATTTCTTCAAATATTCTCTCTACCCCTTCCTCAATTTCTCTCATCTTTCTGAGACTCCTACCTTGCATATCGGTTGGCTTGATGGTGTCCCATAAGTTCCTATGGCTCTGTTAACTTCAATTTTTTTTCCTTTCTGTTTCACAGCCTCAATTATTTCCATTTCCCTATCTTCAAGTTTGCTGATTCTTTCTTCTACCTGCTCAAATCTGCCTTTGAATCCCTCTACTGAGTTTTTATTTTAGTATTATACCTTCCAGCTCCATAATTTCCTTTTGGTTTCTTTTTTGGTTTGCTATCTCTTTATTGATGTTTCTGTTTTGTTCATATATTTTTTCTTGATTTTCTCCACATTTATTTAGTTTTTTGAGAATCTATGGACAGTTGTTTTAAAGTCTTTCTATAGCAAATCTGCCATCAGGTCTTTTTCAAGGACAGTTGTCAATTTTTTTTTTTTTGGCCCTTTAAATGGGCCATATGTTTCAAGTTCTTTGTATTATTTGTGATCTTGTTGTTGTTGTTGAAAAAGGGACATATAAATCTAATAATGGGGAATCTCTGGAAATCAGATTCTTTTTCTTCCCAGCGTTTTTGTTGTTGTTGTTATTGTTTTAGTTTTAGTTTTTTTGAATGTTGTTTGTTCTCCTTCTGCCCAGGATCAGCCTGAGGTATAAATCTAACATCTTGGGACTTTTCTTAGCCTTCACTTTTCATTGAGCGCATGTGGTCACTTTCTAATTTCCCCCTTATACACAGTTGTTTTTGAATGACCTAGTCTTTAACATCTGGCTCCCAAAGGGAATAAAAGAGAAAATGAAGAGGAGGGAGAGCATTGTTCCTTTAAATCTTCTGAAAGTTACTTCAGCCAGAGGGGAAGGGGCTTGCAACAATCAAGGGAAGTTCAACAACAGTGTTTCCTTCCTCCGATCTTCACCCTTACTTCTTTGTTTGCACCTCTCTGGTCAGAAGAAGCAATCAGAGTACAGATACCAGACATTTGGAGGATGGGGTGCTTTTTTCCCTTTCTGGGTCCTTTAAGCTGCTTGTAAGCTGTTCCTGGGACTCATGCATTCCTGCCTGTTGAGGGGATTGGGGTGGGTGATGCATATATGCGGCTATGCTAGAAGCTGACATTGATCAAAATTAACTGAAATTTACCATCCAAGCTTTCTCCTAAAAGTTGCAAGACTTCAGTAGACTCCAGAGTTCTAAAATAATTACAGCAGACAGTAGCTGCCAGTGCAATTTTTGTCTAGGTGGGGAAACAGATTCTTGGTGCTTCCTACTGCACCATCTTCCCAGAATCCACTTTATAGATGATTCTTACAACAACCCTAGGAGGTAGTTTTATTCGCCTTTTATAGATGAAGAAGCAGAGGCTTAGATCCCAAGCCCATACAGCTATCAGGACCCCAAGCCAGGGGTGTCTATTTTCAAAGCTAGTAAGCCACATTGCCCTTTATTTTTTGAAAATTTGTATCAGGGCAGAGTGTTTTTTTTTATTTTTTATTATACTTTAAGTTTTAGGGCACATGTGCACAATGTGCAGGTTTGTTACATATGTATACATGTGCCATGTTGGTGTGCTGCACCCATTAACTCGTCATTTAGCATTAGGTATATCTCCTAATGCTATCCCTCCCCTCTCCCCCAACCCCACAACAGTCCCCAGTGTGTGATGTTCCCCTTCCTGTGTCCATGTGTTCTCATTGTTCAATTCCCACCTATGAGTGAGAACATGCGGTGTTTGGTTTTTTGTCCTTGTGATAGTTTGCTGAGAATGATGGTTTCTAGCTTCATCCATGTCCCTACAAAGGACATGAACTCATCATTTTTTATGGCTGCATAGTATTCCATGGTGTGTATGTGCCACATTTTCTTAATCCGGTCTATCATTGTTGGACATTTGGGTTGGTTCCAAGTCTTTGCTATTGTGTATAATGCCTCAATAAACATACGTGTGCATGTGTCTTTATAGCAGCATGATTTATAATCCTTTGGGTATATACCCAGTAATGGGATGGCTGGGTCAAATGGTATTTCTAGTTCTAGATCCCTGAGGAATCACCACACCGACTTCCACAATGGTTGAACTAGTTTACAGTCCCACCAACAGTGTAAAACTGTTCCTATCTCCACATCCTCTCCAGCACCTGTTGTTTCCTGACTTTTTAATGATCCTCATTCTAACTGGTGTGAGATGGTATCTCATTGTGGTTTTGATTTGCATTTTTCTGATGGCAGTGATGATGAGCATTTTTTCATGTGTGTTTTGGCTGCCTAAATGTCTTCTTTTGAGAAGTGTCTGTTCATATCCTTCGCCCACGTTTTGATGGGGTTGTTTGTTTTTTCTTGTAAGTTTGTTTGAGTTCTTTGTAGATTCTGGATGTTAGCCCTTTGTCAGATGAGTAGGTTGCAAAAATTTTCTCCCATTCTGTAGGTTGCCTGTTCACTCTGATGGTGGTTTCTTTTGCTGTGCAGAAGCTCTTTAGTTTAATTAGATCCCATTTGTCAGTTTTGGCTTTTGTTGCCATTGCTTTTGGCGTTTTAGACATGAAGTCCTTGCCCATGTCTATGTCATGGTATTGCCTAGGTTTTCTTCTAGGGTTTTTACGGTTTTAGGTCTCACATTTAAGTCTTTAATCCATCTTGAATTAATTTTTGCATAAGGTGTAAGGAAGGGATCCAGTTTCAGCTTTCTACATATGGCTAGCCAGTTTTCCCAGCACCATTTATTAAATAGGGAATCCTTTCCCCATTGCTTGTTTTTGACAGGTGAGGGCAGAGTGTTTTAAAAAGTGATTCTTGAAAATTTATCATTTGAAATTTTCTAAATTTGGATAAAAATGTAAGAGTATCACAAATGAAAAAAATTTTATAATAGTTTTACGTTAAAGTGATTGCCCAATTTATATGTCATTTCTTATGTGCTTTTTATTATAAAAATAATTTATTTCTCAGAAACATTTACCATAAATATATTTTCTAGAAGTAAGAGAAAGCTTTAGGACAAACTAAATCTTTTGTGGCTATATGTAGACATTTTAGGTATAATTCTGCCGTATTAGCATAGTTCAGACTTACACATTCAGTTTCTTATAACTCTTCTAAATGAAGTAAATTACTATCATGTGTAGCTTCATCCTGATGAAGTTTAATTTTTACTTAATTGGTAATTAATCCAGGTTAGATTTTCTAGTTAATTTGATTGAAATTGTCATCTTCATATAATCATACCATTTTCTAGCAGATTTACAATTGAACTGTCATTTCCATACAGATACAAAAATTAGAATCTCAGAAGTTAAAACAACTCAGGTTAGAATAAGAGTTGGCAGCTCTTTGCTTGTATCACAGGATTGCACACCAGTACGTACTGTCTAACATACCACTTCTGGCATTATCACCTTACAATCGCCAATATTCTCCTTAGAGCAGTCTCAGATAGCTTGTCTTCTCTAGGGCAACAGGGACTCTAGGGAGATATATTTAATCATAGAGCTTCTTCTAAAATTACTGTGCTTCTACGAGTCTGCTAAACTAAGGGAAAGTTAATACAAATGTTTCTTTAGGAATTGTTTTTCCTCTAGGCAATAGTAGAAAGTTGTTTGTAAGTATATTTTCTTGTTGTATTATTTTACCCTAATTATATATGTTTATTGTTGTATTTGTTGATTGGTTCTATTAGTTTATTATTGCTGCCATAAATTTAGTTGAGTTTGAAATTGGTTTCATTGGGCTTGAATCAAGGCATTGGCAGGGCTGTGTTACTTGTGGATGCTCCAGAGGAGAATCTGGGTTTTTCTTGCCATTTATAGAACCTAGAGTGCCCTTTATAGAACCTAGTGTATTCCTTGGCTTGTGTCCCCTTCCTCTGTCTTCAAAGCCAGCAGAGAGCATCATCACATCTCTTTCTGACTTTGACCCTGCTGCTTCTCTCTTTCATGTATAAGAATCCTTGGTTACATTGGGCCCAGCCAGACAATCCTAAATAATCTCCCCATTTAAAAATCTTCTATTTAATCACATCTGCATAATCCCATTTGTCACATAAGTCACATTTTGTGTGACTATACCAGAATACCTGAGGCTAGGTAATTTATAAAGAAAAGAGGCTTATTTGGCTCATGATTCTGGTGGCTGGAAAGTCTAAGATTGAACAGCCTATCTAGTGAAGGTCTTATGCTGCTTCAACTCATGGCACAAAATGGAAGGGTAAGCAGGTATATACAAAGAGACCAAACATGAGAAGGAGCAACCTGCTTTCATGGCAGCTAGTCCTGTCCCACAGAGATACATTAATCTATTCATAAAGGATCTGCCCACATGACCCAGACACCTCCCACTAGGCCCATCTCCCAACACTACCACATTGGGAATCATATTTCAACAGGAGTTTTCACAGGAAAAAACCATATCCAAACTGGTAGCACACAAATTTCAGGGATTAGGATGTGGACATCTTCGGGGGCCATTATGCTACCTACCACAGTGGTATGTGAAAGTTTGGCAGGAGAAGAGATTAATATTTATAAATTTAGAATTTTTAGAGCCTAATGGTTTTTCTTAATTATTGGAAAATATTTATTATATTAATAGGTCAAAAAAAATTCACATGATTATCTTAATAGACGCCAAAAATTTATTTGAGACCATATTTGATAATATCGATTTTTAAAAAGTATTCAGTTGTAGTAAAACAAATCACAACATAAAATTGACCACTTAACCATTTCTAAGGGTACAGTTTAGCACTGTTAAGTATATTCACATTGTTTTGCAACTTAATATTCATTTTTATACTTTTTATACACTAGAAATCAAGTATTAATATATTTTCTTGACATAATAGTATTTATCTGAAACCAACATTTGCAATATTAATGTAAGTTAATGTTACTCATTAGTGAAATACTAGAGATGTTCCCACTAAAGGAAGGAAAGAACATATCATTTTGGAATTTCTCAACAATGGAATAAGAAAAATAAAATAATAAATAACAGAAAGGACACAACATTATTGTTAACTATAGTTATTTAAAAATTCAAGGGATTGGACTGAAAGCCAGTAGAACTAATAAGATGATTCAGTTAACTGCCTCTTTACTGAATAAAATATTAAAATCCCTTACTCTTTTAAATATGAGTAATAATGATTTAGACTATGTAATAGAAAATAGAGTTAGGCAACATAAGGTATTGGGCTTGTTCACACAGCTCCCTTTTAGACTGTAAACATATAGAAATGCTGGAAAAAGAACACAAGGGATATAAATATACAGCCAAATAGCCATCACATTTTTCAATGTGTATACTCTCTGACTGGGCAATTCTATTCCTATGTATTTGTTCCACAGAGACACTCATATGTGTAAAATGATACAGTAAAAGGCTAATTGTTTTGGTATTGTCAGAAACAGCATAAAGTTGAAAATGAATGTTCATATATTGGGGAGTAACCCATTAAATGAATCATGGAGTACATATTCAGTGAAACATGATACAGCCCTTTAAAAATGAATGCAGCGGGTCAAGCACAGTGGCTCACGCCTGTAATCCCAGCACTTTGGAAGGCTGAGGCAGGAGGATTACTTGAGCTCAAGAGTTCAAGACCAGCCTGGGCAACATAATTAGACCCTGTCTCTACCAAAAAAATTAAAAAGAATGAGGCAGCTCTGTATATACTGATATGAAAAGATCTCTTTAATGCATTGTTTGTTTGTTTT
This sequence comes from Homo sapiens, assembly GCF_000001405.40. Lineage (NCBI taxonomy): Eukaryota > Metazoa > Chordata > Mammalia > Primates > Hominidae > Homo > Homo sapiens. Next base: position 26,714,262 of record NC_000004.12, read on the forward strand.
TTCTTTTTTTTTATTATACTTTAAGTTTTAGGGTACATGTGCACAACGTGCAGGTTAGTTACATATGTATACATGTGCCATGTTGTTTTAAGAAGCAGGTACCAAACATTGTGTATGGTGCTCCTACCACTTGAACTGAAACTACTCTCGTCAAGGTCATCAAGAACTAAACCCAATGACCAATTATCCATCCTCCTTTTAACTAATCTCTCAACAGCATTTGATTCATTTTTGCTGTTTCTTCACTTGGGTTTCAAGACACCACATTCTTTTTAGTTTTCCTCTTACTTTTCTAGTCACCAGTGGCAAATTCAGCATTTTGCGGACCTAAAGCTTATAAAATTTGGAAGGCCTTCTTTAAGAAAAAGAATATCATATTATAAATACAAAACCAGATAAGAACACATATTTTTGTTTTGAATGAGGAAAAATTTGTAACAGATTATTAGAACTATAGAGATTCAGGTGTTTTTCTTCTGAGATCTTATTAAACAGTTTACCTTTTCTAGAAACAGTTTCTAGAAATGCATACATAGAAATGCTTTCTGATTACACACTGACTTACTTTCCTTGCCTAGGACACTCTGCGTCTCCCAGCAACTTGCAGCACTCACAGAGCATCATGGTAAATCCACCTTTGATGGTTACTCACTACTCAGTTGTCTAGGCTGGTTCCTTCTCTTTTCTCCAATATCCTAGAATGCCTCAAGTCTCAGTTCTTGGTCTTCTTTTCTCTAGTTACACTCACTCACTTGATGATTCCACCAAGCTCACCTATTTTGTGGCTTTCACTACCATCTATATGTTGATAACTCTCAAATTTGTATCTTCAGTTTAAACTTTTCTTCTATACTCCATACAAGTATCTCCAATTACCTCTTCAATTTTTCCATTTAGATGTCTTGCAGACATCTCAAATTTAGCATGTTGAAAAATGAACCCATGATCTCACTCCCCAAACTGTTCTGCCTGCCACTTTCCCTGTCTCAGTTAAAGGTGTTCCACTCGCTGAGATCAAACATCCTTCTACCTTCAACTTCCACATGTTACTCTCCTTGACTGCTGTCTTTCTCCAAAATATCATCTCAATCTATCAGTAACTCCCGTTGGCCCTGCCGTCACAGTGTATTTAGAATCTGACTTTTCCCCACTTTCACTGTATTGTAAGATGGGTTCCCAGGGAAGCCAATTTAGATGGAGACGAGGATACCAAAGGATTATTAGCGAGTGCTCTTGGAATCAACACATGTATAAGTGCAGTTAATGAAGCAGGATTGAGCATAAGGACAATTCTAGCTGCAATACAGTTTAAATGAAACCCTCAGCCAATGCTGCAGAGAGTTCTAAAGATGGAATAAACTGTCAGACCCATCCTGAGCTGGGGACAAGCATTTCAGACCTTTTTCCCTTGCATCCTCTTCATCAGATATAGGCCATTTCAGGAAAAGGGTGTGACCTTGATATTTGAGCAAAATAGCTCTCTCCAGCAGAGGTAGTCCATGAAAAGAGCTGGCTGCTGAGGGCTATTTGCTACAGCACTACCAGCTGCTATAGTTAGTCCTTCATTCCTAGAGGAGGATCTCTGGGTGGTGTGTCATACATCTGCCACACACTGCTGCCATCTTAGTGAAAGCCACTGTCAATAGTCTCCTAACAAGTCTCCTGGAATGCTTTTGCACATATATCCGCATGCTAAGTTTCTCAACTCCTTTCAATCTTTGATTAGATATCACCTTCTCAAGGAAGCCTACACTGAACAGCCTCTTTAAAGTGTCACCCACTCTTTCTCTGTTCCCCTTTATCTTGTTTCCATAGCACTTGCTACCTAATACACTATATAATGTAATTATCTATCATATTTGCTATTTGTTACACACATTCTGCTCCATCATAATTAAACTCCATAAAAGAGGTGTTTTGTTTGTTTCCTTTTATGTATTCCAAACACAAGGAACAGTGCCTGGTGCATAGTAGGGGCAGAAGAAGAGAATTAGTGAACTGACTAAAAAATAATCTGAGGAAGTCATCCAGAATGGAACAGGGGGGATAAAAGTAAGTAAAAGGCATGGCAGGTTGAATACGTGTAGGTAAATCTTACAGCTTACAGGAGTCAGGTAGAAGTAAATAAAGAAAATGTGGGAGAGGCATCGTTCAATTAAAAATGCCCAAAGCAATTGACCAGACAGGTGGTCCAGTTTTTGGAATTTAAATAACTAAAGGCGTACATATTTAGTCATAAGTAAATTCACTCTAGTGTTGTTTGTAGTTGGGGAAAAGTGGAAATAATTAAATGTTCAACAACAGTACAGGTTAAATAAATTATTGTTCTTTCATACAGTGGAATATTCTGCAACATAAAAATGTGTAAGAAATATTTATCTTACAATAGTGAAAAGAAACTACATATAATCCTGTTTGGTTTGAAAAAATTATATGTATGAGTATGTTAAAAAGCAGTCTGAAAGGATATACCTCAAATTATTAAGACTGATGGGATTATGGCTGTTTCCCCTTTTGTTTATCATCTGTATTTCTTTATTTTTAAAATTAATCTTTTTTTTTTAAACAGAGATGAGGTTTCACCATGTTGATCAGGCTGGTTTTGAACTCCTGGGCTCAAGTGATCCTCCTGCCTTGGCCTCCCAAAGTGCTGGGATCATAGGCATGAGCTACCATGCCCAGCCAATACTCTGTATTTCTAAATTTGTCATTAACATGTACCACTTATGTAGTCATTTAAAATATAATGAAAACAAAGCAGTGGCAGTGGTTGATATGCATTCCACCAGTGAACCTGACTGATTCCCAATCTCCATTACCTATCCTTTTTTCCAAAGCTGTATCCCCTTTCTTGTGTCTTGGACACAAGGATTTTTCCTCTCCCTTCACTCTTGCTGCTAGTTCAGCCTGACTCTGTGCACCTGTTCTGCCTTTTCAGTCATCTTGAGTTCTTTTCTTGGTAATATTTTTAGAATCCCAGGTCTTCTAATACTGAGACCCAGATTTCCTGTCACTAATGGCCTTACTGGGTCTTGGACTGCTGCTCCCAAATTCCAGGCTGGTGTCCTCAATCTAGTACCTCCTAATGGACATCCTTGATCCTGACTTTCTACTGTGCCTATTTTCATCTCCACATAGAGTTGACATACTCTACCCTACTGGTCAGGACAGCTAGCTTCTACCCTTTATTAGGCAACCACTTGTTCTACTGCTGCTGCTGTCCTTTCTAAGTACCACGAGTTGCCTTCCCTCCCACCCTGACATGCCTAACTGCGTGATGCATCCCAGTATGAGTCAAGTTCATTTCCTGCACTTCCCAAATTGCTCTATGTCACAATAGTTACTCAGGGTCTTCTCCATACATTTTTCATCTGTTAAATTTCCCCCAGGTGCTTCTCTTGTCCAGATAGAAAACACAAGAGAAGAGTCAACTGTTAGTTAGCAGTTTGCATTTTCTGCTCTTCAAAGTTGAGGTAGCAAATGGTGAGAACTCTTTGGAAGAATTTGGCATCCCACTGTAATGCTTACCAAAGGTATACCGATAAAGGGCATTCTTCCCACCGCAAGGCACGGTACTTGAACTTGAAGGATGCCTCCTGAGTAGGAAATAATGAATTACCTGGTTTTATAATAGTGCTTAATTGCTATTTTTTTTCCAATGTTATATTCAGGTATTACTTTGTTTTTCCCGGGATACATCTGTGTTGAGTCACTTTGCATTCAACAGTGCCTCGCCACCAAAATCATACATAAGAGGTAAATTTTTAATAATTTTAAGGAAGTATTAAGACTTACATAATCATGCCAAGAATATTTGTTTTATTTTTGGAGATAGTGGTGTTGCCAAATTATTATAAATTACTTAAGATTTCTCTCAGATGACCGTAATTATCCTTTCATACCTCAAATCAGTGCCCAAGTAATTTATCACAAATCACGGGAAAGTGGTTCCCAGAAGCAGCATTTCAAGTTACTTTCTCTGTCTTCCCTGTGTGCTCTACCCTTTATTGTTGTTTTTATGTCATATCTGTTGACTTTTCTTTTTCTTTCTAAGTTTATAACACAGATTTGCTTTTTCTACTTTTTTTAACAATCTATACTTCTCTCAAAACGCTCCACCACACACAAAACTTTGATACAATTTATATGCTTTTAGCTCTCCAATGTCTAGTTTAGTTATTTTTCTCCTCTTTATCACCAGCTGCTTATAAAATATCAATATCCTGCCATCATCTGAAGATACAATTAACTTCAGCTGAATGCCCTTCCCAACTTTTCCTTTTTATTAAATGGTGAACACCCAACACTGAAAGCTCAGACTTCATTGTGTATGGTCATTCTGCCATTTCCATGAAGAAAGAAACTTTCTCCTGTATCTCTTATGTCTGAACTATCTGCCTGATTGCTCCACCTCCTACCCTAGGAGAGGCCACATAACCTTGTGCTGGATTTCAGCTACCCCTAACATAAGGTTTTCTTAGGTCCATTGCTTCTAAATTGAATTTATGGAAACCTTTTGTTTGTTTCTTTAAGTCTTCTGCTGAAAAACTGATTGTAAACTGAATTATCTACTGAGCTCACCTCTAAACTCAGCCAGGATTTTAAGGCCTTTGACCAGTTGATACTGTCCTAACCTAACTAACTTTGCTTCCCTGATTATTCCACAATACCCCATATTCGTTCTAGCCTCCCTATAGTCCCTGCATGTGGAAGGCTTCCCACTTTCCAACCTTAAAAATCATAGGTCCTTGAAGAACTAGCCAGTACCTCACCATGTCCACCAACCCATCATCTATTTCTCTCTCCTCTGAACTTCTAAACACTTAAAGTCTGTGCTAGAAAAGTTAGCAAATATACCCTAATGTTTCATGGTTTAGTCTGGACTATAAACCACATGGTTGAGAGAACATATATATGTTTGCCTCTCAGCATCTAGCCCAGTAATCAATTTTATCTACTTACCTACCTACCTATTCATTATTCCATTCTCTTCTTGCTCACAAGATCAATCCTTTTTGTTTCCACCCTAACCTGAACTGCTCACACTTCTTATTCTTCATTTCGTCTCTGTCACCACCCCTAACAAGAATAAAAAGAACTTTTTTTAACTAAAAATATTACTCTTAGCCCAGTATAAAAATACAAGTGACTTTTCAATAAACTCAAAAGTGTTAGAAAAACTGTCAAAGTAAAAGCTATTTAAAGATATTCAGTGGAAGGTGGAAAAAACTGAGAACTTTTAAGAGTTTTAAAGGAAAGATACTTTTTAAAACTCTCTTAAATATTTGACTATTGTGAATATACTTTACTTTTCTGGGACAACTCTGATTTCAAATATTCAGCCCCATTCTGAAATCATGTGAACTGTTTTGGTATTCAGAAAATATGACCACCATACAGCTAGTCATTTAATTTTTAACTTTCAGCACATTCCATAAAAGTGTACACACAGTATTACAAAGCTTAAGACTTGCTTTAATGAATAGATTAGACTTATTTGTAATTAGCAAAACAATTTTATGCATAATAAATAGATACTTCTCTTCTTAAGTGCCTAAGGAACTTGAAAGCGTTTGTTCTTTTGGTTGTTTTGTGTCGCTTCTGTTGTACTTATGTTCGTGTTACTTTAATTGATGAAAGGGTTTGCTAATACCAAAAGATTGGCTGGTACATTTTTAAGTTAATTTCATATCATGAAATGACATATCAGTTTATAGTAGTTTTTAAAATTCCGTTGTTAGTACATTCACAAAATAAGTTGATTTTTAAAGATTTATTTACTTAATCATATTGAAATCCTCTATGGTTTTCTCTTATAGGAAAACTAGGACTGGAAGAATATGCTGTCTTTTACCCACCAAATGGTAAGAGTAATGCTATTGCTTCCTCTAGTGGGAAGTGAAAAAATTACAACTTTTATAATCAAAATGTGACTTTCTTATTCTCTTTAATGGATAATCATTTATTATCTAAAATAAACCTTCCATAGAATGTATAATTTAATGAAATCCTCCACATTTGTGGTAGGTTTGTGCTAAATTATGCATACTCTCTCTGATTCTCCCTGGGACCAACAGTAAACCTGTGAGAAAGCTGAGTATGCTTAGATCTAAGTCCAAGGCACTTCATTTTCCTGTGAAGAACACTAGCTAATCCAATGCAGACCTTCCTTTTGGGTTTTTTGGAGCTGGGCTTTACTCAATTGAGTGGATTATCTTGTATTGCACCTTATTGTTCTCATAATTTGACCAATGTAGTATTTATGAAACAAAAATATTATTAAAAGGTATCACTGAAATCACCTATTTTGATGTTATAAAGTGATCAAATATATAATGACCTCATTAGACATTAAATATTCTTTTGAGATAACTAGACAGGTTTTAAGATATGCTTCTTGGAAAAGCAATATATAGCAGTCCTTATGATAATATTAAGTTGCATCCTGAAGAAGTTCTTTTACTCCAGCAGAGTTAAGAACATGGGTTTTGTAATCCAGCAGACTTGGGTTCAGATCCCAATTCTTCCAGCTTATCCTATGACCTTAAGTAAGTTACATGACTTCTCTGAACTTCAGGTTCATCATCTGTACCATGTGGATAATAGATTACATGAGATATGGTATATAAAACCACAAAGTGCCTGACATGTAGTGAGTGCTCAGAAGATGTAGCTGTTATGAGTGTGTTTAACTTTACTGATCACTATATCTAAAACTCATACGTGGCTTTGGCTTTCATGGCGCTGTTCTCTCCCTGTGTCTCTCAATATGGAATCTCAGTTTCATGGGCCATCTACCTCTGTCCCTCTTTTAATATCTCACTCTTGTTCTGCTGCTCTTCTCTTTTCTTACTTTTATCTAGGGGCTGCCATTTGCTTTTATGATTCTATCTATTGTTAATTACTCTAAAATATATCCAGTTCGTACCTCTCCCATAACTACCTAAAGCTTAATATGTCCCAGCCTGAACTCACTGTTTTATCTTCTTATGCCCACCCCCAAAAGAAAAAAGAAGAAACTAAATTAAAAAACAAAAAACAAAAACCCACCTATTTCTCTCTCAGTTAATTGAATTGTCATCTTCCTAGTAACTCAAGGCCATCCTAGATTTCTCTCCACCTTGTCCCCAACTCATCTAATAAGTCGCGAGGACCTTCCAATTTTATCTTCCAAATACGTCTGGAACCCTCTCTTCCACACCATCCCCGCTGCCTTGTCTCCTTTCAGTTCTTACTATCTCTAGCTTGTTAATTGCAACAACCATCTAACTGGTCCCTCTTCCCACAGTCTTTTCTAGTTTTGCTGTCTTTTACACTGCTCATTTGAGTTATACATCTAAAGTGAAAATCTGCAAATTGCCATTTTTCTCAAAGTGTTCTTAATGGCTTCCCATCTCTTAACAAGTGATATTCAAGCTTCTCAGCATGACATATGAGGACCTCTTGAGTCTGATCCCTATAGTCTACCTCCTAGCTTCATTTTCCACTATTTCCCATCTCATTTTTAATTATAGCAATATCAAACTATTTATTATTTATACCCACAGCTACATACTCTCACGAAAGCACTATGCTGCTTCCTGTCTCATCACTTCTCATGTTTCCATGCTTAGAATAGCCCATCTAACCTTTCTTCACCTGGCTGTCATCAAGCTCAGTTTAGGCATGATCCTCTTTCAGGAAGCTTTCCCTGAATCCCCAGGTTAGGCTAAGGGCCCTTCCTCTAGACTCCCATAGTACCTGGTCTAAACTCTTTGGTATCTCTAGCTATGTTATCTTGATATTGTTTGTTTATACTTTATCTCCTCCTCTTAATTGCAAGCTTCTTGTAGTTCAGAGCCATATCATTCATTTTTGTTGCCTCAGTATCTAGCATGTAATAGGACTGTAATGAGTATTTATTTGAACTCAATTAGAGGTTTGTTAATTTTAACTTTATATATTACCATTGTTACATCTATTATCCCAGAAACTTACTTTTATAGTAACTTTTTATATTTTATCTAAGAAGCAAGAAACAATAACAAAATACCTCTGAATAGCCAAAAGAGTTGTCCATGGACTCAAGTTCTTCTCTCCATCCATAGAAGTGTTTTTTCAACTTAGTTTAGAATATATTAGCTTTTACTTAACACACATGTCTAACAAATTGGTTAACTCTTTTTTATGCCTCCTACAAAAATAGAAGCATGGAAAAGGCTGATATAGATATGAAAAAATAGCAACAACAGTGAGAAGTAAAAAGGAGACTTCACAAAGGAAAATACAGGAGCTATAAAACAGCGTATTAGACCACTCCAGCAAATCAGTCTGGGGCCATTTTATGTAAAAGCTAGTAACACTGTGCCCTTTAAGAAGGTATCACTAAGTTGCAGCATATTATAATTTAGCATCTTTATAATGAGCTCAAGACACCAAAAAAAATCTCGCTATAGTAATAATTGTAACAGTATAGTTATAGCAGCAGCAGCAAACATTTTCCAAGCAGTACTATATCCCAGGCAATGTGTTAAGTATATGACATATATTAATTCATTTAGTCCTTACAAGAACCTATGAGGAAGGTACTAATATTATCCCTATTTACAGATAAAGAAACTGAGGCATAGAGTGTTAACCTGCCCAACAGGTGAGTGACAAAGCCAAGCTTTGAATCCAAGCTGTCTGGCTTCAGAAGCAACATTCTTATCAGGATGCCCTACTGCCTCAGAAGATGTTGCTGAGCTCATTATAGTGAATTTGGGAAGAAAGGAAAGTAGTTAATGTAATAAAAAGGTAGAGGATGTATGTGATAGGTTCTAGAAAGATTTTCATCCAGAATGAAAACTGTTTAATCCTTAATGAGATAAGCCCACAGCTGTTCATAAATTTAGTTCTACAGAATCATTTCTCCTCTCAGGTTGTTTTAGAACTTGCCAGAATCAAGGAGGACACTTTTCTCTGGGCAATGATTCTGAAGTTTCAGAACAAGAAGAGACAAAGACCAGTCAATCTACTCTCCCCCGCTTTTTTTTTTAACTCAAGGCAATACTTAGCAGCATTTTTATATTACCCACCCTGTTTTGAACCTCTGCCAAAGATATTATTACTTTGAAATCTTGACACCTCTGTCACTACTACCACCAAAACTGTTGTGGCTTTCTTGGTCTCAGGGGACCACACATAGAGGTTAGCCTGCAGCTCACTGACACACTCTCATTCCCTGACCAGGCCAGTGCTTACAGGGTGGCAGAGGTTTTCTCACCACTACCCCCAACATGCCTGTGATTACCTTCCCTGGGAGGGAAATGACAGGCTATGGTGGCATCAGACATTTTGTTCTCTCACTTCATTTGAAGAATCACCAATGGACAGATTTCCTCTAGTAGATTCCCCAAACAGCTAGTGAGCAAAATTTCTGAACTAAGGGAGACTTCTCAGAAGAATTTTATAAGCTTTTTATATTTTTTGTTGTTATTCAACACATATAAATTGTCTTTATTCATTTGATAAATATTTATTTAGCCTAGGTCACTGTTGTAGGAGGGTGATCCACAGTAAATGATACAAACAAAGTACCTGCTGCCAAGGAGCTTACCTTCTAGTAAGGGGAACATAAAATCAGTCAATCATCAGTCAATCAACAAAGGATGAATGAATGAAAGTAATTTCAAAGAATGATGAACTTAACAATGAAAGGGAGCAGAAATTGTAGGAAGTTGGGATGGGCATAGCCATTTTAGATCAAGTAGTCAGGAAAGGTGCCTCTGAGGAGGTGGAATATGAACAGAGACAGACTATATGGAGTATGCTATGCAATGAAATGGGAGAACGTTCCAGAAGAGAGTACACAGCATGTCTGAAGGCAGGAATAAGCTTGATAGTCTGAAGCTCACCAAGATGGCCAGTGTGACTGGCAATAGTGAGCAAAGCATTGACTGATACAAGGTGAGTTAGAAAAGGTAGATGGAGCTAGGTCAGTTAGGGAGATAGTTGACTTAAAGTCTTGTCTAGTAAGTCCAATGTCTGTGCTTCCTCAGGGATTTTTTATTATTTTTTTTCCTGTGAATGGGTTATACTTTTTTATTTCTTCACATGCCTAGTAATTGTTTTATTGTTGAAAATGGAATAATTTGAATATTATACTGTGGTATCACTGGAAATGGGAGTCTTTCTGTCCCCCTCCCCAAGAATTCATTGTTGTTGCTTGTTGTGGGTTCTAGGTGTTGTTTAGTGACTTTTCTAAATATTTTTATAAAGATATTTTATACAGATATTTTTATAAAGATATTTTTCATCTTATATGCTCACTGAAGTCTTTATTTTAGTAGAGTAACAGTCAGCTAGTGATTTGACAGAGATTTTCTTAAATATCTAGAACCAAAAATAAAAACCCCTCTTTCAGTCTTTGCAGATTGGCTGGGTATTGGGGCACTCCTTCAAGGCTTAGCCAGGCTGTTTACAACTGTATGTTAGCCTTCACTTCCTGCTTGCACAGAGCCTCAAAGGCAGTCAGAAGTGGGAGCCTAAGGTCTTCTTGGGTAAGTTTTAGATTCCCCTGTATACACAGATGCTTTCCAAAGCCCTCATGCCCCAAGTAGCTCCTACCCCAGCCTCTTTCTTCCCAGGCTTTTCAATCTGTATACCACCACTCCCATCTTTTATTCCTTCTCCTAGGTGGCTGCAGCTAGTATATATTTTCCTTTAAATGCTTTTGACAAATGCCTCTTGGCAGGCCATGTCAGTCCTGAAAAAGCCCAGAGATGAGGCAAATAAAATGAAGGCAATCTCCTGAGCCAGTCCCGCAGTTAGCTACTATATAGGTCAAAACACACAACCACAATATTTTGATACAAGATCCCCCTGGTACCAGCAATCTGCATCAGGAATGTGAGCCATGGTCTTCATGGCTGCTGCCAAGTTGGGGAGTAGGGTATGGTAGGTGGGCAAATTAAAATGCCATATGCTCTCTTACTAAAATTCTTTCTTCATTAAATATTCCCCTGGTGGTTGTAAGTTTTTATTAAATTCCAGAGTTCAAAAAAGTTGATTCTAACAGTTCCTGCCAGCTTAACCATTGCTTTAATGGAGGAATGGAGTTTGGGAGTTTCCTACTCCACTCTTCTCAGTGACATCTCTCCTCCAATTCCTGACTAATGCTTTTTCTTTTTTTCTTTTTTTCTCCCCCCAAGACAAAGTCTTGCTCTGTCGTCCAGGCTGGAATGCAGTGGGCCGATAATGAACTACTGCAGCCTCGACCTCCTGGGCTTAAGTGATCCTCCCACCTCAGCCTCCCAAGTAGCTGGAACTACAGGTGCACACCACCATGCTGGGCTGATTTTTTTGTATTTTTCATATAGACAGGATTTTACCATGTTGCCAGGCTAGTCTTGAACACCTGGTCTCAAGCAATCCGCCCACCTCAGCCTCCTAAATTTCTGGGATTACAAGCATGAACCACCATGCCCAACCCTGATTAATACTTCTAAACGATCATCCTGTCTACTGTGTAGAATAAAAGTGTCACTAGAATGTAAGCTCCAAGAGAACAAGGACCTTAATAGTTTTGGTGATCAACATATCTAGCACCTAGAATCATGCATGGCATAAAGTCTGTGCTCAGTAAACATTATTGAATAAGTGAGGGAATAAATAAGAAAATGAACATAGAATACAGAGGAATAAGAATAGAAGCAAGGAAACCAGACTTGTAGCAAAAATACACATGTATCTGACTGACTTAATTACAAGTGATAAACAACCATCATAAATTTGTTAATACCATTTGTTTCTTACATGACAGAAGAAAACAATTGTCAGTGAATATTGGGTAGGGGAGTTTCAGTACTCTAGAGCAGTAATTCTCAACCAGTGGCAATTCTCCCAACACACACACACACACACACACACACACACACACACACACACACACACACACATCAGGAAACATTTGGCAATGTCTGAAGACATTTTTGGTTGTCAGCCAGGGGAGAGGGATGCTGATAAACGTCCTACAGTACACTGGACAGCCCCTTACAACAAAGATTAGATAAGGCTCTTAGAAGAAAAATAATCAAAGTACATCATTTTAAATCTTCTTGCAAGTGTCAAATTAATAAATAGCAATGTAGTTTGTCATCCATATTAATTAAATAAATTTAAACTATCTCATATTCTAAAATTCATTTGAGGTATAACTTTAGACTTCAGTGAAAACCTCACTAAAATTTTAAAGTAAGATTTTCAGATTGATATTTAAATGTGGTTATGTTCCTATGTTTTGTGAAATTTTAACTACTGAAATAGAGTAACAAAACCATAATGTGACATTCTAATTCAGAAAGATAATGGAAATAACTAGAAAACAATTTAATCATTGTCCCAATCTCTATTCTTACTGACCTGTAGGCTACATATGGAATGAGAATAAACAGAGGAATTGATTACTTCAACAAATGAATTAAATAAACTGTACTAAGTAATAATATGCTTTCAGCTGGAGTGAAGTTGAAGTGAATCAGATAGGCGAGTTACGGTACAATGATAAATGCTAAGTATTAATAGAGACAATGAGGAAATGAAGAGAATATTTAATAAGTGCAAAGCATGTTAATATTTGGGGTATTTTCTGAGTCATATTTACTATTTATATCTCATCTAGTTCAAGATTTATTTTAGTTAACGATGTTTGCCATTCTGAGCTTTGTCAAAGGCCCATAAATCATCACTTTATAAAATTATTCACATTGAGTGGAATAGGCAGTTAATATTTTAGACTTTCTTCAGATGCATAAGGAAAGGCTAGAATCTGAAAATAATTACTTATAGCAGACTTGTAGAAGAACTCTGAGGCCAGCTATGAGATGTGCCCCAAGCATCCTGACGCCTGCTGGAAACATGCTCTTGGGTGGTAGTCAGGTGAATGAAACTTGACCCTTGAAAGGCTGAAGTGATGAGAGGCAAAGGGAAGGATTTTGAAAAACTAGCCAAGAACATGACAACCTCTAAGATCAAAGAAATGTTCTAGGTAGTATGCACCCTACAGTGTTAATGGATTCTTCACTGCTTCTTATGCCTCCAGATTTTGTTTACCAGAATCTGACTCGTCCTTCAACAAAGCGGACTGTGTAGCCTTTTTTTGGAGCCTTAAGCCCAGACTAATCTTGGCTAAGCTGAGTGTGCCTTTATCTGATACTGACAAAAAAAGATTTTCTTAGGTTTAAGCTGATATGTTAATGTGGCACTTTGCCTTCTGAGAGCATAAAATAGGTATGGGTTATTGAGCATCTGCTATGGACTGAACACCACACTGGCACACTTTAAATAAATTAACTCCGTTGTGCTTTGTAGTGCAACCCAATGAAGTTGATCTTGTTTATCTCCATTTTCAGAAATGAAAATATGGTTTCAGCAAGGGTTCGTAACTTGCCCAGAGTCACACAGGATTCAAATTCATGTCTATATGACTTCTTTGGTCATTTGTTCTTTCAACATTGAGTTATCAAAAGCCTTCTGTTCTATATCTTACTTATTTATAAATGAATTTTATATTTTAGTATTTTATTTATAAGCCTTGATTATATTTATAAATGCTCAAATTTCCATCATTAACATTTACTGGGCATCTCACTTGTGGAAGACACTGTGCTGGATGCTGAAGATAATACACAGTATGAAATACAGTTCTTTCTTCAAACAGCTTGTATCCTAGCTACTTAAAGAGAAGCTATAGATTTCAGAACTTGGGGGAAATGTAGTAAAAGTGGTTAAACATGACTCATCTTAATACTTGCATCCCTTTTTGCTGCTTCATAGTTCACTAATTAATTTATTGTAAGCTTTCTTATTAAAAGTGCCTTGTCCTGACTAGGGTATTCTTACACTTAGCAGATCCTGAATAAGTATTTTTATAAGATGAAAATATTAATAATGTCTTCATTTCTGACTACCTTAGCCACTTGTTGAAATGTTTCTGCAGTGCAGTGGCTTAAAAGAGGAAGGCAAAAGTGTTTTTTAAGTAAGGCTGTCAGGTTTTTATATAATAGCAATCTGCTTTGAGATTTAGTATTTAGAAAGATATAATATGTACTTACACTTTTATAAGGCATCAAAATATGCCTACTATTTATTAACTTATTTTTCTCTCTGAGTTTTTCTTTCACATGTCAACATGTTTATTGAAGAAAAGTTAGAAAAGACAAACTTTGTAATTATTTTTTAAAAGTTTATAATTAGTAAAGGAAATAACATGAAACAGCAGAGGCAGTAGGAAGGTAAAAAAAAGATGGGCGGAAGAAAAAGAGACTCAACCAAAGAATATAGAGAAAGACTTGAAAAAGAAATGTTTTTTGAGCTCTCCTTCCAGATGGTCCCTGGAAATGAAGCTGGTGGCTATAGTGTCATTGGGAATATTGACCTTCTAATCTGGTTTTTAATTTTTTTAGTTTCTAGAATGCAAAGGGCCTTTAAGTTGTTAAAGAGCCTTACTATTGGCCGGGCGTGGTGGCTCACGCCTGTAATCCCAGCACTTTGGGAGGTTGAGGCGGGCGGATCACGAGGTCAGGAGATCGAGACCATCCTGGCTAATATGGTGAAACCCCGTCTCTACTAAAAATACAAAAAAAATTAGCCGGGCGTGATGGCGGGCGCCTGTAGTCCCAGCTACTCAGAAGGCTGAGGCAGGAGAATGGCCTGAACCCGGGAGGCGGAGCTTGAAGTGAGCCGAAATCGCGTCACTGCACTTCAGCCTCGGCGACAGAGCGAGACTCCGTCTCAAAAAAAGAAAAAAAGAAAAGAGTCTTACTGTTGGAAAATCTTTATAGGTACTGTTTTCTTCAAGTCTCACAATTTTTTTCGCATTTCCTCTAGACTTAATTGTTAACATCTAATTTTAGAGTTAGATAATACATCAGAGGCAATCATAGTCCCCTTGTGTGTCAGGCAGGTTACTGAAGCTCAGCAGGTTTGATGACGTTCCTAAGGTTACCCAGCTGGTTTGTGTTAAGCCCACAATTGAACTTTGATCTCCTAACTAGAGACCAATACTTCTCTTGCTGCTTCTGTACCTATGATTTACTCATCTCTTCATTCTGCAAAGATGTATATCATCAACTATGTACGTGGCACCATGAGTTGTATACTCAGATGAATAAAATATATTTCCTATCCTCAGGAACAACCTGTTAAACAGCTAATTATAACACAAAACAGAGTGAAATCATAGTGTTGGAAATATGAACTAAGTACCATGAGAATGCAGAAGAATGAGCATTTAATTATGATTAAGAGATCAGGAAATGTTTGTCTGAGGTTATAGCTGACCTTAGTAAGGTTTTGATGGCTAAATAGAATAAAGAATTATCAAGTTCAGAGCTATCAAACTGTAGGGATACTGGTGATGATAAATAATCTAGTGTGACTATACTACGGAGAGTATGGAGTTAGGATAGTATGCCAAGGGGGAGGCAGATGTAGCTCAGGTTGCAGGACATAATCATGAATGTTTAAGGCCAGATCAAAGGTCTTGAATTTTACTGTGTATACACTTAGCCTATATTATAAGGCTAGAGTGTGAGCTCTATAAATACAGGGACAATGTCATATTTATTTTAATATCTCCAGAGGCTACAGAGTAGGTTTTTAAATATTTGTTAATTAGATGAGTAGGAGCTCAGCAAATATTTGGTAGATGGATAAATAGTGGAAAGTCCTCAGTGGATGTAGAGAACTTTTTCATGGTCTCATTAATATTTTTGAAAGATAACTTGAGCTCTCTAATGTCAAAAACTGGTTAGAGAACTGAGAGTTTGGAGGAAAGGATACCAATTAGGAGGCTCTTACAGAACCATAGGTAAGAGTTTATTAGGGACAGAATTCTGATCATGGCAGTATGGAAGGAAATAAAAGGTTAAAAAATGATAGAGGTAGACTCCCTACAGATGCATATATTCATTCTGCAAGCATTTAATGAGTACCTGTTATATTCTGGGCACTGTGCTTGGTCTCTGGATATAGAGATACATAAATAAAAAGCAGTTCCCATGCTCAAAGGATTTATTCTACTGGGAGAGAAAAAAATAAAAAATTATTAAAAGACAGTAAGATAGGGAAAGGAATACAATTCTTAAGTACTGCCTTTGTATCAAATATTGTGCTAATCATATTGCATATATTATAATATTTAATCCTCACCACCTCATTGGTATTGTTCCCACTTGATTGTTGAAGGCAAGTTTCTCTCCAACCTTTGCAGGGCCCAGAGCAGAAGTACGAATAGAGGCCCACCTACCATAAGTCAAAATATATAAAAGTTATAAATTAGACTCATAAACTGATAAAGTCTACTCTATTTTCTTTCCTTGACACGTATACTTTGATAACAATCTGGAAGGCCAGGTTTGAATTCAGAATTATCAGACTCTTCATCCTTCCCTAGCCTGTGGTATCCCCACCCACTTCTCATTTACGGCTCCACTTCACACCTTGGACAGGCTTCATGGACAGAAGCCTGCAGGTCCAGCCTCTGTTCACAGTTTCCACAAATAGCCAGCCTTTGGCCACCTCTCTGTCCTGAGGTATACAGGTATATCAGGAGGTGTATACCTTCTCTTCTCTTCCCCACCAAAGAGAACATGCAGGCTCTGGAAGCTGTCTTAGGAGCCTTTGGGCTCAGAATTTCAGAGTCTTGGGTACCTTGGATGTGGTCTGGAAGGAGAAACATTGGCTCTGGATAAGGAGTACAGCCGGAGGAGGGTCACAGAGCCCTCAGCTCAAGCCCCTGTGCCTTAGTCTAAAAGCAGCTTTGGATGAGGAAGCAGGTTAAGTAACATACGTAAGCGTACACAGGTAGAAAGTGCTGGAGTCAGAATTGCACAGTGTGTAGGAGTAGTACCTCAATCAATGAGGGCAAATCAACTGAAAGAAGAGGACCGATTAATGAATTGCTTAGGGGGAGGGATCAAGGCTATCAGGGAGATCTTTCTAGGAAGATTATTGTTTAAAATTATGAAGGAGTAGGGCAGGGACAGGGCCAGAGGTAGAGGAGAACATTGCCTATAGCCCTTGTCTTGCACCCAGAGGCTGAAGGGGTGGCGATCAATTTGGAGGGATTAGAGCAGTGCTTGTGGGGTACAGAGAAGGAATGAAGACTGAAGAGTTAAGTGGTCCTTATCCAAAAGAGACAGGAGAGGTACATAATCACATTTAGGTATAAGGGCTAAGGGAGAACAAGAGAGCAAAAATGACTCAAAAGTTTCTTCCCTGAATGACTAGGGAGGTGGTGAGTCATTTACAAAAATAGAGACCAGAAGGAGCCTGAGGATACTGGGCTTTTAAGGTTGGTATTATGGATTAATAATGAGAATACTGGTAGAGCGAAAGAGAAAACAAGTATACAGAGTCTCAGAGCTATATTGAAGGAGTGCGCAGAAGAGAGAACTGCCAGAAACAAAACAAACACTCACAAAAAACTGAGCAGCAAAAGTTTCTGTGGGACAAGAAGCCCGATCTGCGTCGTGTCATCAATGCCGTGGTAGACTCAAGTTTGACTGTGAGGCCATTAAGTACAGCATACAAAGAAGGGAAACCCCTGGATTTGGCAATCAGAAGTTACGTCCGTAGGGATGGGAAACCATTTGCGAGATTTTGAGGATACATAATAAGGAAGTAAAGGAAGTCAATACAGTTTAAAAAAAATTAAGCCTGGCTTTGAGAAAATGAGCGAGATTAGAGATTTGTTTGATGGGAAAGTAGGGTCCGGGAAAAAAAATTGACTACTTCTTCCTTCCTTCCTATTTTTTCTTCTTCTTTCTTATTTCTTCTTATTATTATGTGTAAGAATATTCGTAACATCCTTGGCTGAAAGGATGCAGTGAAATATGAAAGACTAAAGATATGATTACTTTGATAAGATACACCCACCCCTTGCTTCTACTCTGCTTCGTTAGAGGAGTAAAGAGCAGATCCCACCACTATCCGGCTGAAGACCAGTTGCCCTCAGTAAAGGTAACCCTGTTTATGACAATCATCACATGAAGCTAGGGCTTCCAGGTCACCCTTGTCAGATGATTCTCACCTCCACAGCTTAAGGGCTCTTTATCAGTAAGTCCTCCTCCGCCCTAGCCTGGCCTTGTCCTCCTTCCCTCCATTATTTTTCTTCATAGCCCTTATTACTATCTGACATGTATTCGCTTATTTTTATTATGATTGTTTTGTCCCTAATCAAATGGCAGCTACAGTTCTTAGAACAGTGTCTGGCACATCGCAGGGACACAGCACATGTGTGTGGAATGATGCATGTGCAGCAAGGGGGAAGGGATGGTTGATGGGGCAGGAGTCCGAAGCAGGGTTTGGCAGACTTTTCCTTTAACCAGCCAGATGGTAAATATTTCACATTTTGCTGGCCACAAACAGTCCATGTCCCATATTATTCTTTGTTGTTTTTGAAATAATCCTTTAAAATATGTAAAAGCCATTCTTAGCTCACAGGCCACACATAAACAAGCTGCAAACCTGACTGCTGCTTGCCAGTCACTCTGAAAGTCAAGGAAACACGATTTAGAGCACAGGTGAAGATGTTGGGTGAAAAAGAAAAAGGATACATCCTCCTCTGGGCTGTAAGTGAGAAAACATGAAATATGAAGAACAGCCAAAGGAAGGAGTTCATGTCAATGGCATCAGCCTCGTAGTGAGGAGAAAGTGAAGTCTACAATTCAGTGTTAAACACTTGAAAAGGGAGGAAATTTTGAAAGAATGGGGTGGCTAATCATATAGAGAGGAATAAGAAAATTGATACACAACATAAAATTCAGCAGAAGTTGGAGAACATGAATCTGTGTGCTAGAAGACTAGAGAAAATGTCAATCCTCAGAATTTTCACTTGTGAGCTTAAAGCAGTGCTGCACAAAATTCTGAAGATGGTTGGCCTGGCATACCAGCTCAGAATAATTTGGCTTTTCTCATACTATTTTTGATAAAATTGCTTCTAGAAACAACAAAGAAGTATGAACTAACTTGTAAATGATAACATCAACAATTAACATTTGCTTATTAACAAATAATAGCCTAAGCTATTTAAATAAATAGTATAGGCCCTAAGCTATTTATTAATGGCTGAGCCACAACTGTTATCTCATTTAATCATATTATGTGAGTTCTAGCGTTATCTCTGATTTACAGATGAGGAAGCTAAAGCTTAGAGAAGTTAAGAGACATATGCAAAGACACACACACACACACACACACACTCTTTAGTGATAGAACCGGATGAACCCAACCAAGTCTGTCTGACATCCAGTCCATGCCCTTATCGCAACAGGTTGCTGATTAATGCATTGACATCAATATGAAAGGAGTTTCTACTGATAATTCTAGTCTTCACCCCGTCATGTTCAGCATTTTTATATTGCTTTTGATGAGGACATGGTATACTTATCAAATTTTTCAGTTTTGTAGAATCAGGAGAACTAGAGAATGCATTAGATAACAGAATAGAATTCAGGATTATTATCTCTAACTGGAGTGGTTCACCAAAGAAGAAATGTAATAGGGATAAAAATATAACCCTTTCGTGAAGTCCGGGAACAACTGTCCAAGAACACTGTCTTAGCTGTTGGGTGTGTAGGGAGGGAAAATGATTAGAGATTTTAGTCAGCTCACTTTAAGGACTGCAGTGAACTGTAACTGGTTAGAATAAAATAAAATATGGAAGCTTTTCAAGACCACCTCATCTCAGGAAAATTTGAAGAAATTCATGAAGTCTTGGAGCAAGAAATCCTGATGGTGATAGAGCAGGAGAGAGAGCAGTGTCTTCAAATATTTCTGAACATTTTCACATAGAAGATAAATTAGATTTGTTCTGTGTGACCTTTGTAGTCAGAACTAAGAATACTAAGTAGAAATTTCAGGGAGCCAGAGTTTGGCTCACTATGAGAAAATAGCTCCTTCCAAATTAAACCCATTCAAAATTGTAATGAGTTGCATTGGGAATTAATGCTTCTGCTATCGCTGGACATGTTTTAAACTGAGGCTGAACTATCATTTATTAGAACTCACTCTATATGACCACAAGCACAAAATTTTTGCCTGTGAACATGTCTGAATAAAGCATTTCTATATTATTTTTCAAAAATGTAACTTAGCAGCTTTCTTCTGTGCTGTGTTTGCAACCTGATTTAGTAGTGTTAGCTATATGGTGGTATATATTACAAAACTTCTGTTTTGAACTAAACTGTACAAATTCAAATTTTTTACTTGGAATGTGAGACGATGTTTAGCACACCAAGTTAGGCTTTGAGTATTTATTTGAAAAGGATGTGTACTTTACTTGTGTGTAATTATTGCCAAAGATTATACTGAATTTGTATCGTATTTCTGCCAATATTTCTTCTAAAGCCATATCCCATGATTAATTTTCAGTTAGTTTACTTAACACCCATAGTGTTTTCTGTAAAGCAAATGTTTTCAAGAAGTGCCTTGAAAAGCTCACTTATCTTTTAGCATATTCGATTCTAATATACACAGTGAAGTTGTTTCAGGAGGGACATAATCTATTGACTTTCTGAGACCATTATAATTAGTTCTTAAACTTAATTCTGTGATCTGTCTCGTTATGTTTTTGTCCTGTTGTTTTGTGTGTGTATATGTATACGTATGTGTGTGTATATATACACACATGTGTACATACACATATATGTGTGTATATATGTATACACATATGTATATGTATATATGTATACACATATGTATATGTATATATGTATACACATATGTATATGTGTATACACATGTATATATGTATATGTGTACACACATGTATATATGTATATATGTATACACATGTATATATGTATACACATGTATATATGTATATATGTATACACATGTGTGTGTATATTTGTATACACATATGTGTGTATGTGTATATGTATGTACACATATATACACGTATATATACACATATATATATTCAAAGCTTTGATTTCTCAATATTAATAGAATGTTAACTGGATATATGTTTTAAAGCCTCTAGTTTACTTTTCTGAAGGTATTAAAAATATCTCTTTATTGTTTACTATCACTAAGTCTTTCTGACATTTATGAACAGAGTTGAAGCAAAAATAGAAAACCTTTTTATTGTCAGTTTTAATCTTTTAAAGCTTACCTAATAATCAGTAGGCCTACTACTTATTGAAAAGAAATACCTTTTTTTTTTTAGGTGTTATCCCTTTTCATGGATTTTCAATGTATGGTAAGTTGGGCTTTAAAAACATCATAATGTACACAAAACATACAATGTTATCTGTCAATTTAAAAAATAATGACTGACAGATATAATTGTTTTACTATAGTAAAACAATAAAGGAAAAAATAAAGTGAAATGCATGCTAGTTCCCCATAGGGGCTTCATTTTTTTTAATTATTATTTTTATTACACATTAGAAAATTGAACAAAAAGAACACCACTTTATTTCTAATCACCCACAAGTTATTATGAACGTTTTAAAATGTTGAGTTTAATAGTCCAGGCGTGGTGGCTCACGCTTGTAATCTCAGCATTTTGGGAGGCTGCTGGCCATCAGAGAAATGCAAATCAAAACCACAATGAGATACCATCTCACACCAGTTAGAATGGCAATCATTAAAAAGTCAGGAAACAATAGGTGCTGGAGAGGATGTGGAGAAATAGGAACACTTTTACACTGTTGGTGGGACTGTAAACTAGTTCAACCATTGTGGAAGTCAGTGTGGCGATTCCTCAGGGATCTAGAACTAGAAATACCATTTGACCCAGCCATCCCATTACTGGGTATATACCCAAAGGACTATAAATCATGCTGCTATAAAGACACATGCACATGTATGTTTATTGTGGCATTATTCACAATAGCAAAGACTTGGAACCAACCCATGTCTAACAATGATAGACTGGATTAAGAAAATGTGGCACATATACACCATGGAATACTATGCAGCCATAAAAAATGATGAGTTCATGTCCTTTGTAGGGACATGGATGAAATTGGAAATCATCATTCTCAGTAAACTATCGCAAGAACAAAAAACCAAACACCGCATATTCTCATTCATAGGTGGGAATTGAACAATGAGATCACATGGACACAGGAAGGGGAACATCACACTCTGGGGACTGTTGTGGGGTTGGGGGAGGGGGGAGGGATAGCATTGGGAGATATACCTAATGCTAGATGACAAGTTAGTGGGTGCAGCGCACCAGCATGGCACATGTATACGTATGTAACTAACCTGCACAATGTGCACATGTACCCTAAAACTTAAAGTATAATAAAAAAATAGAACATACTGTGAAAATGGTCCTGTGGTTTACCATTTTTTAGTCCAATGGAAACTAGAGATACATATTAATATTTAGCTCTAATAGGTGTAAAATCAGATGGCTTAAATTCCTAAGGTAATTCTCTTAAGAGTTTTTTGAAAATAATAGGTCAGAAAGAATGCTAAGGAAGGAACAGTACTGAGTTTGAGCTCATGATTTCTCCAGGCTACTTATATGCACAGCCACAATTACATCAGAGCATTCAGTCACCTGAGATACACGTGGGTGATGCATATGCAGGCTTGAGAGCTCTGAGTGTCTCTGAGGCCTCATGTGTCATTAAATGAGGAATGCAAGAAGCTTATGAAGATTAGCAAAAGGAAGAACTCTCTACACTTTAATGCCACTTAATTTTTAAGTTTTCAAGTGTTACATATAAACTTATTAAAGATTGTTGTCCCCTTTATTTCTATCCCCTACCTTTAGAATGAACAGAAATACATTAATGTTTTGCCTTTGTACCAAGAATCTGCAATAAACACTTTTCTTTGTAAACATCAGTGTTCAACATCAGATGGTCGTGGTGAATGACATAATATAAAACTATCGTTCAATGAAAACGAGTCAAAGTACCTAGGGACTTTATGCTATACTTGGTGTTAGTCACAGGCTTGAATTATAGGGTACTCAGCTTTATTCTCTTGGGCAACCAAAATTTCATAACATAATACATAATGTTATAGAGACCTTACAGCGTATTTATCTTATATATGTGAAGAATTTAAAATAGAAAACCAAAAAAGATTAATAATATAAATTTTTACATCTAATAATAAAAATGTTCACTTTTTATCTTTCTACTTTAATAGTTCCAACTGCAAAAATTTTTCAAGTAAATCGTTTTTGGAAGTTGTACTTGAATGATTTGGAGGATACTTGATGTCATCAAAGTTTAAATCTTCTAGCAAGATCTTCTGGTGTTTAAAATATATCATTGACTCAGCCTCTGCCTATTCACATTTATGGTCATTTAAATAGGCTACAGTTTATACACCCAAGGGGAAAGCATTTGCTAACAATGATGCAAAATGTTTGATATGGAATTTATTTATACTATTTTAGAAAACTATTTTAAACATCCACAAAAACTTTACCAGCAACCACTTATTTAGAACCAGTGTACAAAAATAATCACAAATCATCCCTAAGGAACTCTAGTTAGTACTTTGCCATTTCAGTTTTAGTTACTATATTTCTTTAAAATTATAATACTTATCTCTTTTAAACATTGATACAGATCTTTAATGATAGGCTGTCATTAAAAAGGAAACCAAAAGATAGTAATTTATTTTAAAATTTACTCAGAACTCTTCTCTAATTTAAAATACCTTCTGCTCTTCTATTTATGCAGATTAATGAAGTTTTATTGTAGGTGTATAGTATATTATGGTGTCATAAATTCCTACAGTATAGTCTTTCATTGGTTTAAAAGATAATTAGCTAAATTTATTTTTATGGAAGAACCAAATAGGAAAGGATGCTTAAAATTAAAAATTAAGTCATGTAGAATCTTTTTTACATATAATCTATAATGGACTAAAGCTTTTCCATTTCATAGCTATATAAAGGAATTCAACATAAACAACTGTGGTATCTTGAATAAAAACTAATTGTAAATTTCTTTTATATTTTATGTATTCGTAGAAACATGCTTATTTTAAAATTCTCTTTTCATTTCTTCACTGGAAATTTTCATTAATAATTACTGAATCCATACCATCTTCAGATTCAGGTTATAAGTTTTCACATATCAATATCTAAGAATTGGAGGAAAAAATATGCATCATTTTTTAAAAATAAAGAAGTTCCAAACCTTAGTCTTAGATTTATAATAATACCATATATTTGTACCACACTGTTGTTTCTTAGGTTGTTATTGTAATTAGAGCATGAGTTACTATTTGTAAATATATGAAATATCCTAATTTGGGCTGTTTTTATAAGTAGCAATTTATTTAATAGTAAAATAAGTTTTAAAAATTAGTCTTGAAATAGACATACCTGTCTTTTTTAAATTTTATTTATAATACATATTGTAATACATTTTTCTATATATATACAAGTATGTATTTTTATATGAATTTAGATATTTACCCCCAAAAGTGATTTCTCTTTTGCCCTTCAGAAAAAATAAAAATTCTCACTTGCAATGCTAATTTTTAATGACTTATTTATCAGTAATACTGTGCATTGCTGTTTATCCCAGAAAATTGAACTTTTGTGTTTGAAAGAATTTAAAATATTTTACTATTTTTCCTTTTACTTTGTCAAAAAGAAGAGAGCACAACTGGCCCACTGACTTCCTTGCTTACTTAGTGCTTATTGCCCTCAGAGCATTACCAACAGATTATAGAGCCCCAGAAATTCTTACTTGTCCAATACATATTGTTTGAAATTACCCTGTAAGGCATTTTTTATTAAAATTAATATTTAGGTAATGCAGTTGTATCTATCTGCATTATAAATTTGTCTCTATGCTGCCTAAAATACTTAAGGCTTGAAAAGATGGAAAGCATGACCACCTTTGTCAGTGTAGAATAATCACATGCTCAGGTAGGTCGCCAATCCAAGATTAGGACTTTCTGACATTCAACTGTGGAATGTCTGGTTGAGTTGACCCAGCTGTGCTTAATTGCTACAAACTGGGGGCAGTCAATTCTACATTCATTAGAGAAATAAATCCTTTCTGCCTAAGGATTGTTTTCAGTTGATGAATATATATGGGGATATAGCGATAAAGACCAGTAGTATACAGCTATTACTCAAAATCTTTATTTTCAAATTGAATTAATTGAAGACCATGATTCTAAAAGTCATAAATCATCTGTTTTACTTACCTGACTTCCAAAATTAAAAATTTTGAAATGTGGCCTGAATCTTTTGTGAGAGAAAGTAAAAATAAGCTGCCTGGTTGTTATTTTCTTATTACTTCAATTAAAAAAAGGAGAGATTTGACTTATGTAGTTTTTATAAGTTACTTGGAACTTTTCATATTTCTGTATAATTCCATAATATCATTCTTAGGCATCTGTTAAATTGGGATTATAATAGTTTGTAATATATTCCTTTCTGTATAATATTTAATGGCTGTTTGAACTTTACATATGCATATATTCCCCTCTCAAAATGAAAAAAAGTAGTATGATTTTAAACTTGTCTGGTGGTGTATATGATTACTATAAAATAGTGATTTATTATGACATATTTTATAAATTTATCTTAACATTTCAGTAGTTCTGCAGTATTATAAATTAATTTTTTTCTTTCAGTTGCACCACTTTGTTTTCTATACCATGAACCTTCCAAATTGTATCAGATATTCCGTGAGATGTATGTGCGTTTTTTCTTCAGACTCCATTCCATCTCTTCTCATCCTTCTGTAAGTTCATAAGAAAAACTTGATCAAATTAGGTTGGATTGTAATCTATTCTTTCTTTCTGTTAAGAAAAAGTCTTCTACTCAAATTCTAACGCAACAAATTTTAATTTGTGATGTCAAGCAATGTGTTTTTATTGCAAAAATGACAGAGAAGATGAAATTGATATTTAAATATTTTGGTAATAATTTAAACAGAAAAAGTCTCTTGTCAACTACATTTAAATGATTTTTTTCTTTTACATATTAAAAAAATTAGAATGTCTGTATTATTATTCTTAGCAAAGATGCCTACCTTCTTTTCTCATTTCTTATCTATGAAATGAAGTAAATAATATATTATCTCTAGTGCTGTAGAAAAGTCTACAAAGCACTCAGTGTAGTTAGTGCTTGGCTCCTCGCAGGTGTTCAGTAAATAAATGGCCGTTGTTGTTATAATTATAATCATCATTCTTCTTTGTTAGTGAAAATCAAGTATTGATTTGTCACTTGTTTGCCAATTTCATATTTGGCTAATTATCAGTTATAATAGTACATATTTTCTTTGTATTCAATAAAATGATCCTTTGGCCTACAATATAAGAATCAAGGAAAAGCATATATTTAGGAGTTGAACATTTTAATCTGTTCTCTTTTGGCTGTTCCTTTATCATATCTTTTTTTTCCCTTCCCATAAACCTGACTAAGAGCAGTATTTATTTTATTTCAGTTATGCTTTTTTTCCCCCTTTGGACCTGCTGTGGGTAACATGACTGCTACTCCAGGTGAAACATTCAATTGGAATATATGTCAGGGCTACTAAATTTCCCCAAAGAGGCAACTGTATTATTGCTATGAAATTAAATAGCTGTTCTTTATCCCCCCATTCTAAGCCTATATATTCCTATTTCACCTTCCTCCATCTCCAGTTTTGCTTTCATACATCGCTAGTGAAAGTTGGCAAATCACAGAATTCCAGGATGTTACAGATAAACAAATGAAGCAACACCAGTTATCCTGGGTTTCTTATCTCTAAGAGAACTTGATTTTGTTCTTATCTTACTTTAATATTTAATCTGGAATAATCAGAAATATGACCAATAATTAAGATTAATAATTCTTTTCTGGCCGGGCGTGGTGGCTCACGCCTGTAATCCCAGCACTTTGGGAGGCCGAGGCGGGTGGATCATGAGGTCAGGAGATCGAGACCATCCTGGCTAACAAGGTGAAACCCCGTCTCTACTAAAAATACAAAAAATTAGCCTGGCGCGGTGGCGGGCGCCTGTAGTCCCAGCTACTCGGGAGGCTGAGGCAGGAGAATGGCGTGAACCCGGGAAGCGGAGCTTGCAGTGAGCCGAGATTGCGCCACTACAGTCCGCAGTCCGGCCTGGGCGACAGAGCGAGACTCTGTCTCAAAAAAAAAAAAAAAAAAAAAAAAGATTAATAATTCTTTTCTGATATTCAGTTCTAAGTATCATATTTCTATGCTCATATTCTATGCCATTTTATGCTTCAGAGTTTAAAAAAACTGGCTGCATAGCACACACCCATGGTGTTCTCCCTGTGCAGAGCACTGAAGCCTGGCACTGGGCAACTCTGGGTATTTCTTGTCTATCTCTATGCTGGTGGCCCTGGGTATTCTTTTTCAGCGAATTGATTGAGCCAGGCCTGCCTCTGTCCTTTTTTTTTTTTTTATTCAGAGGAGTAAAAACTTACGGGCAGTCACCACCTTTTTTGGCTTGCAGCTAGACTGAACTATTTGGAACCATGACAGTCTTTTTTTCTTTAGAAACACAAAAAGAGGATTAAAACTTCCTTACAAAGATAAACTCTGAGGAATGCTAAGCTGCAGGAAAGACTTTATTCAGAGTTGTCAAATAATAAATGTACTTGAAAAACTATCTGCTTAAATTGGTTTTGTACTTTACAAATAATGCCCTTTTAAAAACAGTAGATTTTAGTTTTAAAAAATATGTGTATACTAAGTAATCAAACATTCTTGTTCAATAACTTCTGAAGCAAATTTAAAGCAGCTAGCTGCTAGTCTTTTCCTGGGGGTAGATTTCAAAGAAAGAGTGAGAAAAGCAGGCAGTATTTTCCCTAGTGAGTGAGGCTGGAGGGGAAGGGACATATGGAGGGAGAGTGAAGGTGGCTATATAGCACTAGGGAAATAACTGGAAACTGGAATGCATTCAGATAAAAACTAATTTTGCTGGGGCTAAGTAATCATAGTGGCTTGCAAAGTAGCAAGTTTTCTGTAAGGTGATATTTTCCTTGGACTCTCCAAATATTATATACTGGTTTATGTGGGGAGCATATTGTGTAAAAAGGGAGGCTCTTTAGCACATCTGTATGTGTGAGTATATATAAAGAGGATAAAGTTTATCTCTAAACACAATGTTAGAGATTCTTTAATACATTTCATGTTTTTGACTCTTAAACAGTATAAAGAAAATTTATGTTGATAGTTTCTCATTTTCCATTTGAATAATTTGTTGGCATAGTTAATTTTTAAATATTAAAATATCTATTTCTCTTATGATTCATTATTGTATCCAGGGTATTGTGTCACTCTGTCTGCTGTTTGAAACTCTTCTTCAAACTTATCTTCCCCAACTCTTTTATCATCTACGAGAAATTGGGGCTCAACCGTGAGTACTTTTCTCTCCTAATTGAAGAATAGATAGTTTCACAGAAAGCTCTTTTTTCCTCATTGCAGAGCACTTGCAAATACGTAATTTTTCAGAGACATTAAGCTAACAGTTTTCCTAATAAAACTATAATTATCAATTAGTAAATTGTAATAACATTGTTCCAAAAATTCTTGAAAGAATTACCAAAATCCTAATAAAGTCTTATTTACTAGGATTTTTGTGTCTGGTACAAGAATCACCAAAATGAACCAATTTCTATTCATAACGAAAGGTGTCAGCCAAAACTGAAGCAAACATTTGTGGAAACAAATACTACCTGAGAAACATGATCATACTAAACTTAATTCAATATAGGCCACATTTATCAGAGAATAACCTATGAAAACTATAAAAGTTAAAGTTGGCTGTCTTTTCTTAAAGGAAAGCAAATCAGGTACCTATCAATGGTTGTACACTGTGATTTCTCCTTTCTAAAATTTGAGTTTTGTTCATTGGTCTCAGCATGAGTTATAAGTGAATATGTATAGTATCTCTGGACTTCAAGATTATTGGTTCTATCTCTCTCTTTTAAAAAAAAATGTCTAAAGCAAGAGAACTTTCCAAATGGTTTATCAGTGTTTTCTTCCTGTCTTCTCTGTGCAGCTATTTTCTCCTGTTAAGGAGGGCATATTTGAAAAAAGTATTAACTCCTTGAGGCCACAAAAGAAGTTAGTGGGAGATAGAATAGTATAGCATTTGTCTTCTCCACTCTTGAATCCATAGCAAATAGATAGCTCAGTGGGTGGAAATTTAATCCAGATTCAAATTCCATTTCTGTTAAGCTTTGTAATCCTGGTGAAGTTTTTTAATTTATCAAAGCCTCAATTTCTTTACGTTAAGATAATTCAGTTTGTTTATCTTAAAAATCAAGAGAATTAGTACCTTGCAGAGTTGTTTCAAGATTGACTGATTATAAAGATGGAGATAACAATCAAGATGGAGATAGAGATAGGTAGATATATAATCTCCTTTTTATAAAGTACCATTGAATTTCAGACATCTTAGAGATGGCCTTTATAAAATAATACCTCATATCATCCATTGATAATACTGAGTGGATACCCTTTCCTTTATAGCCATTAAAAAACAAAATTCTATTCATGATTCAGAAATATTTTATATTGAGCATAAGACTTTTATTCTTGTAGTAAATTGACTTCTTTTTGCTATTGTGAAATGAACATTGGAGTATAAGTAGGGTTTTCTTTACTAGGATGAAGACATTTAGTTCATTACTAGAAACAAATATTTTTTCTAGCCTGTTTGTATACTTTACTCATTAAAAGAAATAAATTTATTTCAATGACATGATAAACATTAAAATTCCTATATAGGAAAAGTGTAAAAATTCTAATTGTCAAGGTAGAAATCATTTTTTTAAAAACTGAAGCTTTTGGAAGGTTTTTTAATTTTGAATTTAATTTCTTTAATAGATATAGGACTACTTGGGTTATCTATTTCTTTTTGAATAAGCTTCAGTAGTTTATGTCTTTTACTAGGTTATCATATTTATAAACAGAAAGTTATTCATAATATTCTCTATGCTTAGCCTTTTTAATATTTATAGGGTTAGTAGTGACATCATCTTTGTCATTCCTGAGATTAGTAATTGTATTATCTCCCATTTTTTCTTGATTATTCTGGCTGCAGGTTTATCAATTTTATTCATCTTTGAAAGAATCAGTTTTTTGTACCATTGATTCTTTTTCTCTGTTGTTTTTCTACTTTAATTTTATTTATTTTTACTCTTATATTTATTATTTTCTTCTTTTTGCTTGCATTAGATTTATTTTGCTCTTGTCTTTCTGCTTGTTTAAGGTAGAAGTTAGATCATTGATTTGGGACTTTCTTTTTTTCTAATATAAGCATTAATGTTACAGATTTCCCTCAAATTACTTATTTACCTCCACCTAACAAATTTTGATATGTTATATTTTCATTTTTATTTAATTAGAAATGTTTCATAATTTATCCTGTGGTTTCCTCTTTGAATATGGGTTATGTAAAAGTACGTTGTTTAATTTCTAAATATTTGGAAAGCTATCTTTCTGGCATTTATTTCTGTTTTAATTCTGTTGCAGTTAAACAGCATGCTTCACATGATTTCAGTTGTTTTAAATGTGTTGAAGTTTGTTTTTTGATCCAGAACATGATCTGTCTTGGTCCATGTGCACCTGAAAAAAATTTGTATTCTGCAAGTATCGGGCAGAATGTCATATAAATGTCAAGGAATCAAGTTTGTTAATAATGATGTTCAAACCTTGTATACACTTACTAATTTTCTGTCTACTTTTTCTATTAATTATTGAAAGAGAAATGTGATCAGCTCTAATTATAATTGTGGATTTTGTCTATGTCTTCCTTTAGTGCTTTGTCTTTTTCTTCACGTATTTGGATGCTTTGTTTTTAGGAGAATTGATCACTTTATTATTATATAATGTCCTGTTTTATTCCTAGTAATAAATCTACTATGTCTGATATTAATATAGCCATTCCAGCTTTCTTTTGATTATAATTGCATGATACATTCTTTTCTATTCTTTTACTTAACATATTGATTATCAATATCTTTTTTTAAGTGGATTTCTTATCGAAAGTTGGGTCTTCCTATGTGGCAGTCTGTTTCTTAATCGGTGTGTTTATACCATTTATAGTTAATAAAATTGATATTATTGAATTGGAATCAACTATATTACTAAATTTTTTTAGTTATTCCATGTTCTCTTTATTCCTTTTTTCTCATTCTCTGCCTACTTTTGAATTGAACATTTTTTATTCCATTTTATCTCCACTATTAGATTTTTATACTTTTAAAGTATGTTTTTGATAGGTGCCATGAGGTTTACAATATACTTCTTTTTTTTTTTTTTTTTTTTTTTTTTTTGAGATGGAGTCTCACTCTGTCACCCAGGCTGGAGTGCAGTGATGCGATCTTGGCTCACTGCAACCTCACCTCCCTGGTTCAGGCAATTCCCCTGCCTCAGCCTCCCAAGTAGCTGGGATTACAGGTGCACGCCACCATGCGCAGCTAATTTTTTTTTTGTATTTTTAGTAGAGACGGGGTTTCACCATGTTGGCCAGACTGGTCTCGGACTCCTGACCTCAGGCAATCTGCCTGCCTTGGCCTCCCAAAGTCCTGGGATTACAGGTGTGAGCCACCGCACCCAGCCAATATACTTCTTTAATTAATCACATTCTACCTTCAAATAAACTTCAGGCCTAGATGGCTTCACTGGCAAATTCTACCAAGCACTCCAGGAAGAAGTGATATCAATCCTTATTTTTCTGTGGCTACTGTCAAGATTTTTGTTTTCAGTTCTCACCACTTTGATTATGATATATCTAGGCATAGATTTCTTTGGATTTATCCTCTTGGGTGTTTGCTAAGCTTGAATTTATAAGTTTATGTCTTTTGCCAAATTTGGCAGTTTTGACCCATTATTACTTTAAATATTTTTTTCTGCACCATACTCATTCTTCTTTTCTTCTGGCAATCCAGTGGCACAAATGTTCAAACTTTTGATATAAAAGAAAAAAAGAAGATGAAGAAAAATAAGGTTTGTTATTTTCTCACAGGTCCTTGCAGGTCTATTTTTTTTTTTTTTTTTTCCATAGAGATAGGTTCTTGCTTTGTTGCTCAGGCTGGTCTCAAACTCCTGGCTTCAAGTATTCCTTCCTGTCTCAGCCTCCGAAAGCACTGGGATTACAGCCATCACCACACACAGCCCTTCACTTTTTCTTAATCCTTTTTCTGTATTGTGTAGATTGGACATTTTCTACTGATCTATAGTCAAATTCTCTGGCTCTTTCCTCCATCATTCTCATTTTACTATTGGATCCCATCTAGTGAGATGTTTTTGTGTGGTTTTTCGGTTATTGTATTTTTCAGTTCTATAATTTCCATCTGGTTCTTCATACAAAACATATTGAACTGTACACTAATAAGGGTAATTTCTGCTATACTGTAGTTTCCCCTTATCTGTGGGAGATATATTCCAAGACCCCCAGTGGGTGCCTGAAACTGTGGATAGTACTGAGCCCTGTATATACACCATGATGTTTTTCCCTATATATGAATAACTATGATAAAGTTCAATTTATAATTAGGCACAGCAAGAGATTTACAATAACTAATAATAAAATAGAACAATTATAACAATATGCAAGCATCACTACTCTTACTCTTTGGGGCCATTATTAAGTTAAAAAAAAAAGGGTCACTTGAACACAGGCGCTGTGATACCAGGACAGTCAACCTGATAACCAATGTGGCTTCTAAGTGACTAACATGTGGGTAGCACGTACAGCATAGATACACCTGACAAAGGGATGATTCATATCTGGAGTGGGACCGTGCGAGCTTTCACCAGGCTACTCAAAACAGCACACAATTTAAAAGTTATGGATTATTTCTGGAATTTTTCATTTAATATTTTTGGACTGTTGGTGACCACAGTTGGCTATGGGTAACTGAAACCACAGAAAGTGAAACCGTAGGAGGATGACTATACATAAATTATAGCACAATAAGCTTTATTTCTAAAAAGCTATGCTATGTTATTTCTATATTGGTGGGTGGGGATGTGTGGCACTATTCCTCAAATATGACACTATGAGAATTTGAGTAAAATGAAGCAAGCTGAAGTTAATAATTTTGACTTTAAATTCAAATGTATTTTGTAAGTTATTAAAATATCCAGTGGCCCAAAGTTTCTTTTGTATATATAAAGAGATATTCTAAAACCACCCAAAAAGCTTAGTCAATACTAGTGCCTACATGTACTTTGTTATATTAGAACAATAGTTATGCAGTATTGAGGAATTTCTGAAACTTGAGGATCTTTTTCAGTCTTAAGATAATTAATACAATGACACCAACCAAGGCAACCTCTGGGTCCTTTTCTGTCTTTTAAGAGAATAGCACAGATGTTTATTGACAAAATATGATAATTCCAGCAAACAGTTTAGCTAGTACCTGTCAGGGACAGTCAAGTGATATTAGATGCTAATAGATAATACAGAAATATGAAGAACTGGTTGATCCCTTAAGGCACCAGAGCCAAAGAGTTCATTTCCTGATTTCAGAGATAAATTGTTATTGTAACATAACCTACTTGTAAGTAGTAAGATCTCATACATCTTAGAATTGTTTTAGCAAAATGGAATTTAATTGAATTTTCTGGCTGATCTTTCAGAGTTCTATAACCTCCTAACTAAAATGAAGTGTTTGAAATCAGAAATCTATTTCTAATGTCTCATAGCTTTAAAACTATTTTTGTCCTTATACTCATACTTGTTATTTTATTTTATTCATCCTATATAGCCATTTGACTGAAATGTAGAAAATAATTTATTAAATTGAGAAAATATGCAGGCATTGAACAATCTTTCAAGTATTTTGAATAAAAATTCAAATTATTATAGATTGCCTGGAATTGTTAAGACTGTCAGAAGGTCAGCTCATTGATAGCTAAGTAGTATACACTCTGAAAAACAGAATGTAGAAATGGGTTTTATAAAAGCTGACCTCTAGAGTAAAGGAGGACCCAGCATGTGTAATTCTTCCTCTTAATACTTTAAGACCACTAATTTGAGGACTTATGGTTTCTCACCACTGCACTCTTGCAGCTTTCAAGAAAGTACTTAAGTTTTAAATGCCCAGGTGATTTCTAAGACTCTTGAATAGAATTGGTTGGGTTCTTCTGATATTGCATTTTCATGAGAAAAAATTTCAGTGGTACATTAATTTTTATTTTTCCTTGCTTATAGACTTCGCATATCATTTAAGTGGATGGTTCGAGCTTTCTCTGGATACTTAGCTACAGATCAGCTCTTGCTTTTATGGGATAGAATCCTAGGATACAACTCTCTGGAAATTCTTGCTGGTAAGAGTAAATGCTTGTTTGTAGAACACATGCTGTTTCTATAATAAGTCCCCTTTTCTTCCTAACATTCACCATCCGTAACTGGAATTTATTTGTCACTTCTAATTCATGAACAATTAATAGATATATCTGGCTTTGACGATAAGTACGAACAAAAACTGCAGTCTTGATACTTTTATGTAACTGCACAATACCAGCCTACTTCTAGTCTTTCTTCCCAGCTCCCAGGAAAGTTCATTTTCCCTTCCCTTTCCCTCTCCCCTTTTAGTCCAGCTAGGTCTCACTATCTCCCAACACCTATGAGGTCTGTGCAGCAGAGTGTAGATATACTTCCCTTCTACTCTGGACTCCCCTGGCTACCTTAGCAGTCTGTTCTATGCCCCATCTCAACACCTAAGATCCAAACTGAGGCTAAGCCTCCCTACATGGCTGAAACCTCAGCTCTTCTGTGTCTATTTATAAATGAAGTTAAAACCTTTTCCTTTTTGCTAACAGTCTCTGACTTCCTCCCTGGTGGCTGAGTTTCCCCTTTTATTCTCTCAGGCCAAAAACTATTTCATCTTTTTTTCAAAGCCACAAATTTATCTTTTATTTAATAATTAAGCAGTTCTTACAACAGATGTATGCCCAAGGCAATTATATGATTACAAAGAAGGCATATATTTCTTATTAATTATATTATTTTGCTTCTCTTGTGCACAATAGACTCAATTACTTTATTAGTGAGATTACCAGGAAATTCAAATAATAATTACAAAGTTTTCACAATAGATAGGGATCAGAAAAGTTGGCAGAATGTTTCCATACCTTAAATTGATAGCATTATAAAATCACCTCTCTGGGCTGCTGTGGAAATAAAGCTTAGTTGAAGAAGAATATGATAGGAAGATTCTCTAGGTATCATATTAACATATTCGGGTTGTTTTTTTTTTTTTTTTTTGAGACACTCTTACTCTGTGGCCCAACCTGGGGTACAGTGGCATGATCTTGGCTCACTACAACCTCCACCTCCTGGGTTAAAGAGAGTCTCCTTCCTCAGCCTCCCGAATAGCTGAGATTACAGGCGCCTGCCACCACACTCAGGTAATTTTTGTATTTTTAGTAGAGACGGGGTTTTACCATGTTGGCCAGGTTGGTCTGAAACTCCTGACCTCAAGTGATCCACCCGCCTCGGCCTCCCAGAGTGCTGGGATTACAGGTGTGAGCCTCCAGGCCCAGCCTTAACATATTCTTGAATGCTGAGAAGTCTATAGTTATAGTTACTGGGTAGCATATGTCCCTGGGTGGCAATTACCCTGGTATAATCAGAGATACCACTGATTAATGTTTTTAGCAACTTCTAGTGTTCTGTCTCAATTTTTTTAAAAACCTATACAAATATGATTTAGGAAATAATGGTCTGCCCTCATTTCTTTTGGCTGAATGGCAGTAACATATATAATCTAGCAAGAGAAGGAATCCTCAAGGGTGTTGAGTATAACTTTTTCTAAACATTGTTCACAAGCCTTTCTTATCCTCTGCTGGGACACTTCAGTATTGGGCAATCCCTGCCTTACCTCGTGGCCCATTTCATTTCTGGATAATATGGCTCATTACATGTACCCCTATTAAACCAAAGTAATTATCATGTTTTCTCTACTCTCACATTTTCGCCTCTCCCCAAAGTCTTCTATTTTCCAAGCTAAGTAGCCTTGTTTTCTACTGTCATTTCTCAAGTGAGAGAATTGTAGACTTTTAACCAAATGTCTGTCCTCTGAGTGTGCCAGAAAATTTGAAGATTACTGTGTATAGCTTTCTGTATCATTTTAAAGAGACATTAAAGCATGTTTAAAAGGAGGGCTCAGTCTAAGAAAATATTTTCTAATAATTAGGACTTTCAAAAAGTAGAATGGGTTCTTTAACTGTTATGTGAAGGGTCAAGAGGTTTCATACCTTGAAAGAAATGTTGAATTAGAAAACCTCCAAGCCCTCTTTCAATTTAAATTCTCTCATTCTGTGCCTTATCATCCCTTAGCAAACTGAAGGAAAAGAGAAATAAATGTATGTTGAATACTGTATTTGCTGTAAGCCAGGCACTCTTCTATGAGCTCAATAATTAATAAAAACGTTACTGAAGAATAGGTAGAAATGTAGTCTGCATTATTGCTTCCACCCATTTTCCCTGAGTGCTTTAAAAAAATCTACAGGGAAGAATTCTGGAACATCTAGAAATGGAACTAGACTGAAGGAAGCTCCCCTACCATGGAATTCAGATAAAGAATCACAGGGTAGATAATTTCATGTAAATGTATACAAATTAGTTTTGATTATTTCGTATACTTTTGGTATGAGTATTTTGGAATCACCTTTTTCTGATCAAGTGGGTTACTATGTAGTCTTGAGAAATATTTTCATAAATGTCACTGGCTTTAATTGTGAATTAATTAGAGCCTTTTGAAGAACAGTTTAAAGCAAAGTTATCTTAATGTTCTCGATAGAATTGCTTAGAATTAAAGTAATAAGACCAAAAGAAAATATTAGAGCCTCTATATTTCATATGAAGCATAATTTCAGTTGAAAATATCCCAAAGTGTAGACCTTTCCTCCCTGGCAAACAAACCTGTTCTGTGGAAGGGCTGGGCAAACCAAACATGAGGCAGATGGAAAGGAACTTCTGTGATGTGACACCAAGATAAATAAAGGTTATGAGCACATAAGCATTTTGGATGCTGAGGTCAATTAGTGAACTGCTCTTTTTTTCCCCTTCTTATCTACCTTTGGAGAAACAGTTTCCCACTGTGTAAAACTCTTTCCTGCTGGAGCAGAAAATTTGGCCAGACTGTCAAGCTTTCAGCAACTATGTTCAATTATATACAAAAAAGGAAGTAGTAATCATACTCTTTAACTGCTAAAATGCCTGCACTATATAAAATATGATTCCAGATATTAGGAAGTGGTAAAAAATTGTTGGTCTACAGAAATAGTTTTCTTTGATATTCTTGTAAACATGAAACTCAGTGACTTTAAAGTATTCATGTTTTCTTCATTTCAGTTAAGGAGTAAATCCTTTGTTGCAGATCTCTTGTATCTACTGTTACATATTCACTAACTCCAGCTGACTTGACTTTTAAAATTTTACCATTCTCATCTTTTTCTCCAGAATTTTTCTCTCTGACGAGTTCTAATGCTTTTTTGCCCGACTGTCCAAAATCTCTAGTCCCCTAGAAAAGTGCCTGTGCTTCCCAGTTACTGGTTGCACTTGGCCTTTATCTGGGGAAATTAAGAGACCTGGCTGCTGACTTCTGTTCCTTAGGCACAATGACCAGGACCACTGTAGCAGCATCCTTCATGCCATCTCTGGAAAGCCATTCTGATAGACAGCAGAGCCAATGATTTTTAGGAAAGCACACAGATTTTCATGTCAGAGATGAGTAGTTGCTGCTTACTTTCAGTCTCAATAGTATCTTCACATAGTGGTTAGATGCACAACTCCAGAGCCAAGGTTGAGTATTGGCTTTACTATTTTCTACCTGGGTGCCTCTGAACGTGTCACCCCACTTACTATGCCTCACTCTCTATATTAGTAAAATGGGCTATTAATAGTATTTAACTCACAGAATTGGTATGAGAATGACTTATTCTCTTTGTAAAAATGTATTTTAAAAAATATATGTGTTTGCATTAGGTATGCAGTATACCTAGGAACCAGTCTTCCAAATAATTTGGAATATTTCTTTCTTTTTTTTTTTTTTTTTTTGAGACGAGGTCTTGCTGTGTTACCCAGGCTAGAGCACAGTGGCACAATCATAGCTCACTGCAGCCTTGAACTCCTGGGCTCAAGCAATCCTCTGCGTCAGCCTCCTGAGTAGCTGGGACTACAGGAATGCACCACAGTGGCTGGCTTATTTTTTAAATTTTTTGTAGAGACCAGGGTCTTGCTTTGCTTTCCAGTCTGTTCTTCAACTCCTGGGCTCACACAATCCTCCTGTCTCAGCCTCCCAAAGCACTGAGATTGCAGGCATGAGTCACTGTGCCCAGTATTTTGAATATTTCTTACCATTAATTTCCTAAACTTCAATGACTTGTTGGGTAGAGAATCCACTACCATCACTGGTGATGGAGAGAAAAGGAGATAAGTCAAGAGTTAGCTCCAAGCAGTACCATCTCCTTATCAGGGTCACCTGCCTTTCAAATGGGTCCTTCTGTTGTTTATGACTCACTCCCTCACATGGAGTTTTATGGTAGGTTATATAAGTTTTGCATGTTAGCATTACTCTTTTTCCATGTGCGTATGTTTAATGGAAAAAATAATCCAAATGCTGTTTTTAATTTTTTTTAAGAGACGGGTTTTTGCCATGTTGCCCAGGCTGTCAAACTCCTGAGCTCAAGACACTTCTCCTGCCTCAGCTTCCCAGTTAGCTGGGACTACAGGTGTGCACCACCATGCTTGGCCTCCAGTGTTGTTTTCTACTTAATGTATATTATTGACCTTTAAGTTGTCCTGTAATGTTTGGATTTTTTTGAAGTTTCACTTCTTTTTTCCTGTAGCCAACATTATATTAAATGTCAGGATCAATCCCACAGCAGCCCTCCCTACAGATATATCCATTTGTGACACTCTAAGAAAGTCAGTGCTGTGTATAAAAATATAACAAAAAATTATAAAAATATTTTTTAAGAAAAGGCTTTAAAGCCATGTTTCTATCAGGACACCTCCTTGTTACATATGAAACATAATCTGTTTAAAAATTCAGCCTCTGTATAACGTTTCAGAAGTCTGTCTACTATATTAGTAAGAAATACCTGCACCAAAATAAACCTTAATCAGTAAGACAGTCATTAGGCCAGGCGTAGTGGCTCACCCATGTAATCCCAGCACTTTGGGAGGGTGAGGCAGGACAATCACTTGAGCACAGGAATTCAAGACCAGCCTAGGCAACATAGTAAGACACCATCTCTACCAAAAAACAAAAACAAAAACAAAAAAAACTCATTAGATCTTCATGCCATTTTAAAGTGGTTTAAGTTGTAGGTCTGAAAGAAATAACTTATAAAATGGCTTTTTTTTAAGAACACTGAATTTTCCTTTTTCTCAAAACTGTGGTATTCAGTTTGTCTGGCCATCAGGCACTGTCCTCTAGAGCAGACAATTTCCATTCATCACAAGACCTTAATTCAGAATGCGGGGGTGTGGTCCGTTGTGTAAAGCACTAGTTCTGAGTTTCCGTGCAGTGGATTTTGGGCATAGCATAGCAGTAACCGTGCCGGGCTGATGAGTAGGCCAGCAGTTGAAGTAGTGTGCATTCTTTTCCAGTGCTGGCAGCTGCCGTGTTTGCTTTCCGAGCAGTGAACCTGATGGAGGTGACATCACTGGCTGCAGCTGAAGTAAGGATAAGTTTCACTCAGATGGGATGGAAATAGTTTCTGAGAGATTGCCAGGCTGTCATTTTAGTGTCTGTTGCATAGGACACGCGTTACTTGTAGCCAGGTTTTTTAACTCGGGTAAAACCTGTTAAGTTCTGAGCTAATAATACTTAAGGATTCAAATTTCTTTAATTACTTGAGAAAAGTCTTCTTATGAAGGAGTAATAAACAAGATTATTATAGGAAACCATTATAACCATATGGGAAACCAGATACCTGGTAATTTTAATGGAAACAATTGGGGTTTATGTTGCATTTTTTTATCGTTCATGTCCATGCATTATTTTCACAGAAGAAAAACCACTTGAGAGAATTAAAGAGCATGTATTTGGATGATATAGTGAAGATACATGGGCTTTTTTGGTTATTTTAAATTGTGAGTTAATTATTTAAAGCTGATTTCTTTTCAGTGGTATAATTTATACCTGAAATATGGTTCAATTAAATAGTGTTTACTGTATTATTCTATTTGTTATCTTTCACAGAAATATAAATTTTTCCTTAAAATAGCTGCCTGCATTTTTGTTTAAAGGGAAGAGGATGTTTATGCATCTTGTAACTGAATAAACATTAGTTCCATCTCAAAATGATTTCCTGCAGTCAGTTACTACTTACACTAGAATAACAGGACTAGGATTCATAATGTATGCTTATTTATAGAAGCAAGTTGAAATGTTAAACCTGTTATAAACTCATGCTACCTTGTATATTTGAAGAAGACTGAGGCTAACATCCAGGTTATTTTCTACAGCACATTTCAGCATTTTGCACATGTACTAACATTAAGATATTCTGAAAAGAGAAGGAAAGTTGTAGCTTTAGTATTAAGATTTAGGACAAATCCAAAGAAGGAGCTTAGTGTCAAAATTACATTGTAATTATGTTTACCTTATTTCATAGACTTCGCTTTGCTATTAATAATTCTTTTTATTTTTTGTTTCAGGCAGTTCTTGCTGACCTTTCTACTTTAAAAGTTATGCCTCTTCTTCAGATTTTTCTGTTTGCTACTGTCACCTGATCTTCTTCACAGTCACTGGCAACACATCTAGTTTTTCATTAGAAACAAATCATGAACTATGCAAACTCTGCATAAAACCAAAATGAAACTTTGCATATAAGCCAATAAAGATCATGTTCCCTCTTCAGTTAAACCTAAGTAGTTTCTCACTTTTTGAAACAATAACTCTGCACCAAATATTGCATCGCATGCTGCTGATTTTCAAGAGAGAAGCAATAAACACAACTTCTGCTAAATTGAGCATTATATATATAATATTATAATATATATATAATCCTGACTTGTCAATGGCATGTAATAATATATGCAATAAGAACTAAAGATACTGTAATAAACTTCAAGAGGTAATGTAGCTTCTTGGATAATTCTTTTATGTCAGTTTATAAATTTATCTCTAGATAATGTATTGTTTTGTCTCATAAATTGCTCCTCACTAAGAGCCAGGGGTGGGGTAGGGTGTGAGAACACTTGAAAAAGATAATGTTTTTAAGTAGGAATTCAAAAGTTGCTTAAATGGTGTTTTAAGCAACTTTTTACACCCCAGGGATTTTCTACATTTCTCTCCATTTTATTTCTCTCTTTAAACATCTCTACTGGGGAAGGTCGAATACAATTGTCTCCATTTGACAATATTTTATGCTTGACTCTCTGAAAGTCAGAAAATTATAGGTGATCCCTTTTCACTTCTCAACCTTCCTTCTCTTGCTTAGAAGACTTGACATTGCCGATGCTTGTTGCCAGCTTCTGTTACTTTGTAACTATACAAGGAAGACACCCAAGAGAATGAGGAGTCAAAACCCCATTCACTTTTGCTGAAGCTTGGTTTAACAAGATTTACTTCTAGGGCAGAGCAGCTGAGAGAGATTAAAAGTAGGTAGTAGGCATTCATTCTAAACTGCAGACATTATGCAAGGCATCAGCCTTATTTTGGGCTTTATTATAAGTGAAGGGTCTTATTTTGTATTACTTCCTAAAGACCTACCATTTCTGTAATATGGAATAATAGTATGTGGGGTAAAAAGTCCAAAAACTATTGTCCTTTGATTTTAGTTTCAAATTTAAGATGCTGATCACTTCACTAAAACTGTAAATCAGTAGATTGATACGCTTATTGATTGCCTAGAATTTTATTCAGTTTTACCCAAATGTATTTTATGAGTCTTTTATTTTGGCAGTATGTATTAGGAAAAATGCTTGTTGATTTACTAAGAGCTGAATAATAATTTATTCCATGATTGATTCTTAATAAACCCCATTTTATTGCTTTTGAAGGTGATGCAGTTATAATCCTATGCTTTGTCATTCTTTGTTTGCAAATGCACATTAATTGACAGGACAAGCACACACCCATGACTATTATCTACTCTGAGAAAATGGCTAAATATTAGGAAGAGAGTGAGTTTTAAATGATCTCGTTCACATGCATACAGATATGCCCATCTTTGGCTTTTTTCTTTAGGAGAATATGCATTAGCTTTTTTAAAAGAGGCAACGTAATAGTCTAGTACACTAGATTGGAGAATTCTGGTCCTCAGATGGGGGAATTTTGGTCCTCCTGTAAATCCCTAGAT
Source organism: Homo sapiens (assembly GCF_000001405.40). Lineage (NCBI taxonomy): Eukaryota > Metazoa > Chordata > Mammalia > Primates > Hominidae > Homo > Homo sapiens. The sequence goes on from NC_000004.12 coordinate 26,756,519, forward strand.
AATGTAAGCTTTCTTATCTGTAACTGGGGTTGAGGGACTGGCAACAAATGGTAGGAACTTATTGTATCTTCTCCATTTACCTTGCAGGTAGGTAAGGACCTGTAGGACCAAATGAGAAAATACTATATTTGAAAGTAATTTTTTAAACTGCAAAGCACCAAGCAAATGAAGGATATTGTTGGTACTTAGTTTGTATGTGACATTTTAAGGTCAAGTGGTAGAAGATGATATATGAAGAATGCACAACTTCATTAGCATTTCTATCATTTAACCTGATAGTTTAAGACTATGTCTGTAAAGATGAATGGACCATGCCATAGCAGATCCTTTCATTTGAAACAGGTGGCTCTAGGCAGTAGATCTGAATCTGAATCCCAAAGCCAGACCTGGTTGACAACCACCCACTTTGCTGCTTCCGCAGACCCCTCTCTGCCAAGCTGTGCTCTTGGCTGCTTGTTAAAACACTGCACTGAGGGTCATCGGGCTGCCTTACCCATGCTATTTTTTTTTTTTTTGACGCAGTCTGGCTCTGTCACCCAGGCTGGAGTGCAGTGATGCGATCTCAGCTCACTGCAACCTCCACCTCCTGGGTTCAAGTGATTCTCCTGCCTCAGCCTCCCAAATAGCTGGGACTACAGGCATGCGCCATAACACCTGGCTAAGTTTTTGTATTTTTAGTAGAGACAGGTTTTCACTACGTTGGCCAACCAGGTCTCAAACTCCTGACCTCAAGTGATCCACCCGCCTCAGCCTTCCAAAGTGCTGGGATTACAGGCGTGAGTGACCACACCGGACCTGTCCGCTCCATCTTTAACCACGCCTCCTTAGGCTCCTTCATTTGGCTTTCTTCCTCTTGCATCCTCCTGTGCCATCTCCTTCCAACCCCTGACACCCCCTTCACATCTGCTCTGCCAGTGATTACAAAGATTGGAGTAAACAGTGATACATTGGCATTGATGTAGCCTAATAGGCAAATTGTATTTGGTTCTTCAGGGTGTCATTTCACCCACTAATGTGATATGTTATGACTTTATAGTATAGAAGAGTTTATTGAATAATGGTTTTGTTGAGAATGCTCTGGTAAGGCAGTGTTCTGGCTAATAGAAATTTCCAGCTTGTCTTAACTTCACAACACCCCATACTCAGCATGTGCTCTCTTCTCCTATTTTGCAGGGAAAATAGAGACCATTAAGCTTGAGTTGTCTCAGCCTTCTACTTCAGAATTTAGCTTTTTCTCTCCCCCCAGATTTATCTCCTTCCTTCTTGCATTAAGAAGTGTCTAGTCTAGTCTAGTCTAGTCCTGTAGTTCTCTGAATGCAGATTTGATTGTGCCATTTCTATGCTTGAAAAACTCAACAACTTCTCATTGCTTAAAGGATAAAAGCTGGGCTCTGTAGCATAACAGGAAAAATTCTTCATCGCTTGGTCTTTTCATTCCTATGTTCCCACAATGATCCATTATCCTGTACTTCAGCCTCTCCAGATTCCATGCTGATTCTCAACCAGATATGGCTGTTTATTTTTGTCTCCACCAAAATCTTCTCCATTTCTCAAGGCCTTCCCCCAAAATTTTTCTCTGTTGTGAAGATACCATGGAGCCTATAAATTAAATTAATTATGCCCTTCTCCTTGTTCTTATAAAACTGTTCATCACTCATATGATGCTTATAGTATTAAGTGATAGCTTTTTGGATATGTGTTCTGATTTTGTCACTTTATTCTCAAGGCAGTTTTCATTTACTTGTCTGTCCTAAATGTGGAAGATGCAAGCAGAAATTTGTCCATGTATGTCTGTATCCCTTGACCTACTCAGAAATTGTTGGGATCTGTTTTCTATAAAACATAATTTCTCCTTTGTATCTAGTCTTCCTTCTTCCACAAATGCTCTGATTTTTCTTTAGTGATCTACCCCTTCCCCATGTGCATCAGGTGAGGCTGACTTGCATCCCCAGGACCTCTGGGTCCTAGCCAAGTAGTCACCATGTACTGTTCCTCTGGCCATGGGGATTGCTTCAGGACCAGTGCAAAATCGAGACCAATGAGAGCTAGTGAAACTTAATTAGGAAGCTTTGGTTTAATCTTTCAGGGAAGCTGGATATGAAAATGAAAGAATGTAGGTTGTGTAGCTGCTGCAGTCTAGGAATGGAGAGAAGGAAAAGCTGCTCTTTTGGCCTTGTTGATCCCCAGATCGTGCTGCACCAGTCTACCTCTGGACTATTTTTTTTACAAGACCCAAAGGATTTTCTTTGCAACAGAAAGGATCCTAACTGATGGCAGTTATTTTCCTTTTAGGTGATGCACAATAATAAGGGGTATCATTATTTGGTATAGAACCCCTGTCTACACACTGCTCAAACTAGAGTAGTATATTTTAACTTCTTCTAATCAAGACACAACCATGACCTTACAAGGATAAATTGTATATTTCAGACCTACTGAACTACTCGAAGTACCTAATACAAGGTACATATTTTGCCTTTGGCCCTTTGCCCTTACAGCTTCCTCTGCTTAGAATGCCTTCTCTTCCCTCTTTACCTAACTCTTACTTGTACATCAAAACCCACCTCAGGTATTGCATCATCAGGGAAGACTGCTTCTCTTAAGAATCCTTAACCCCTACATATACATAAGATGTATTATAATCAAGTTAGCTTGTCTTTCACTCCCACTAGACTGTGACTCCTTGAGGACAAAATTGGATTCCTTTTCAGCCATATATCTCTAGAATCTAGCATTGTGTTTGCCCCATAATAGACTTTAGTAAATATTTATTGAATGAACGAATGACATCATCTATTCTAATTCACTCATTTACTGATAAAGGAATTTGCGGAGTTGCCTTTGGAAGTCCAAAAGGAAAGAATATTTTCAGAGGAAAAAATGAAATGGTTCAGTCACTCTTTTTTTTCATTTAAGTTAACTTTATTAAGTATAATTTATGTACAATAAAGTTATATGTATATTTTATGTAAAATAAAATGCATTTTAAGTGTACAGTTCTATAAGTCTTAACAAATGTATATACCCATGTCACCACCACCACATCAAGATATAGAACATTTCCATCTCCCAAAATAGTTCCTTTTGTGCCCCTCCCCATCCAATCCCCCATACACGCATTCACTCCAACCACTCATCTGCTTCTGTCCCTAAAGATTAGATTCATCTTTTCTAGAGTTTCACGTAAATGGAATCATCCATATGTACTTTTTTGTGTCTGGCTTCTTTTGCTTAGCATGTTTTGAGATTCATCCATATTATGTGATAGTAGTTCATTCCTTTTTACTACTGCCTAGGATTTCATTGTATGAGTATTTCACAATTTTTTTATTTACCATTGTTAATGTACATTCATGTTGTTTTCAGTTTGGGTGTATTATGGATACAGCTACTATAAACATTTGTGCACAAGCCTTCATGTGGACATATATCTTCATTTATCTGGGGTAAATACCTTAGGAGTAGGATTTCTGGGTTATGTGTAAGCACGTGTTTAACTTAGAAGGAGGCCTCCAAACTCTTCTGAAGTGGTTCTACTGTTTTACGTTGCCACCAACAGTATATGAGTTCCAGTGTTTCCCAATCCTTACTACCAACACTTGGTGTTGTCATATTAGTCATTCTAATAAGTGGTTATAATTTGTATTTTCCTAATGATATTGAGCATATTTTCATACTTATTTGCCATTTATACATATTCTTTTGTAAAGTATCTGTTCAAATCTTTTGTCCATTTTAAATCAATGATCTTACTAAGTTATAGGCTAGGTGTGGTGGCTCACACCTATAATCCCAGCACTTTGGGAGGCCAAGGCAGGAAGATGGCTTGAGCCCAGGAGTTCAACACCAGCTTGGGCAACATGGTAAAACCACATCCCTACAAAAAATACAAAAAAAATTAGCCAGGCATGGTGGTGCACACCTGTAGTTTCAGCTACTGGTGGGAGTGGTGGGGATGCTGAAGTGGGAGGATCGCTTGAGGCTGGGGGTTAAGGCTGCAGTGAGCTGTGATCCCGCCACTGCATTCCAGCCTGGATGACAGAGGGAGACCTTGTATCAAAACAAAGAAAGTTGTAAGGAGTCTTTATTCTGGATGTAGCATATGGTTTGCAAAATTTTCTCCCAGCCTATAGGATATTTAATTTTCTTAACTATGAGATAGTTAATATTCTTAACTGTCTTTTAAAGAGAAAAAGTTTTAATTTTGTTGAGATCCAATTTATCTATTTTTTCTTTTATGGTTTATATTTTTTGCTTCCTCTCCAAGAAATCTTTGCTTAAGTCAAAGTCACAAATATTTTTTTCCCTATGTTTTCTTCTAGAAACTTTAAAGATTAACTCATACATTTAGGTTTATGATCGCTTTTTTTCCAAGTTAATTTTTGTGTATGGTGCAAGTTAAGGGTTGAGGTTTTGTTTTTGCACGTGGATATAAATCATTTGCTGAAGAGACTGTCTTTTCCCTTTCACATCAGTACCTTTGTATAAAATTAACTGATTATGTGTATGGGCTGGTTTCTGGACCCTCTATTCTGTTCATGAATTTTTGTCTAACCTAATTTCAATATTGCACTCTCTTGATTTTTGTAGTTTTATAGTAAATCTTGAAATCAGGTAGTGTAAGTCCTCTAACTTTATTCACGTATGTTAAAACTATTTGGCCATTCTAGCTTCTTCGCATTTCTAAAGAACTTTTTAATCTGCACCAAAAGAAGTAAAAAGTCTGCGTTAATTTTTATTGAGATAGCATTGGCTTAATAGATCAGCCTGGAAATAATTGATATCATTAACAATGTTGAGTCCTCCAATCCATAAACATGGCATATCTCTCCATTTATTTAGATCTGCTTTAATTTTACTCAGTAATATTTTGTAGTTTTCAATGTACAGTTCTTGCACATATTTTGTTAAAATTATCCCTACTTCTTTCACATTTTTTGATGCTATTGTATTTAAACAATGGTATTTTATTTCAATTTCCAATCTTTTGTTATTAAAATGTAAAATACAATTGATATTTTATATTGACCTTGTATCCTGAGACCTTGCTAAGCTTACTACTTCTACTATCCTTTTTTATAGCCTCCCTGGGATTTTCCATATATACAGTATGTCATCCATAAATAAATAAAATTTTGTTTCTTTCAAATAGGTATGCTTTTTTTTCTTTTCTTATGCACTGACTAGAACTTGCAATTGAATACAGAAGTGTTGCAGCTCACCTAATTTTAAAGGAAATGTACTTATTTCTTGAATAAGTTTAACAAATATTTTTCAATATTTATAAACAATAGTTTGGCCAATTTAGCTATAAAACAGTAGGGGAGGATGGGCACGGTGGCTCACGCCTGTAATCTCAGCACTTTGGGAGGCTGAGGTGGGCGGATCACTTGAGATCAGGAGTTTGAGACCAGTCTGGCCAACATGGTGAAACCCCGTCTCTACTAAAAGTACAAAAAAAAGAAAAATTAGCTGGGTATGGTGGCACATGCCTGTAATCCCAGCTACTTGGGAGGCTGAGGCAGGAGAATCACTTGAACCTGGGAGATGAAGGTTGCAGTGAGCCGAGGTTGCACCACCGCACTTTGGCCTGAGTGACAGAGTGAGAATCTGTCTCAAAATAAATAAATAAATAAAACAGTAGGGGAAAGTGAGACAGATTCAGAAGGAGGTAGGGAGCAATACTGACATACAGAGAAGATAGATTAAGTTTTATGTTGCTGATCATTCACATGGCTTCTTAAAATTATCCTTTTAACTTAAACAGCTGGCTTCAGGTATTATCAATGCCTTTGTCATATTAATTAGAAAATGGTTTTTAATTACTTATTCAACTATTCTTTATCCTTAAAACTTTTTTCTTAGATATGTAGTGTACATATACTTACTCAACAAACATTGAATACTTACTCTGAGCAAGGTACTCTGCTGGACCTTCAATGTATACAGGTATTTGTGTGATTGCTTTTTCAGTATCAAATGTGGTAAGAGACAGTACCCCCTATGAAAATAGAATCTTAGCACCTCTTTCTTAAAGTAATGGCGCCATCCTTCCTGTGATAGGAAAAATAATGGTTCCTCAAAGATATTCATGTTCTAATTCCTGAAAACTGTATATGTTACCTTACCGGCAAAAGGGACTTGCTGATGTTATTAACAATTTTGAGATGGGAAGATTATCCTGGATTATCAGGTGGGCCCAATGTAATGACAAGTGTTCTTATAATTGAAAGTGAAACAGAGAAACAGGAGGGTATGAGTCACAGAGGGATTTGAAGGTGTCACACAGCTGGCTTTAAAACTGGAGGAAAGGGCCATGAGCCAGGAATACAGGCAGCTTCTAGAAGCTGGAAGGAAATGGAGTCTCCCATGACCCTCCAGAAGGAATGCATCCCTACCGACACCTTGATTGTAGGACTTTTGACCTCCAGAACTGTAAGATAATAATGTTGTATTGTTCTGAGCTCCTATGTGGGTCATAGTTTGTGACAGCAATAAGAGATAATCTGTCTCCTCGCAGCTAAATTAAGTTTACTGTATTAACTGTAACGTATGAAAATAACAAATTCACATTGTTTTAATAACCCTTTTTATAAAATAGGTGATTCTGCCTGTCTTAATTTCTCTTGTGTGGTTTTGATAATGATCGAATGTAAACCAAAAATAAAATTCTAAGACCTCCCAACCATCTAAATGGACTTCCTCCTCAGCCAGGGCTCTTAAAATTTAACCTGAAAGACTGGTTCAGGCTATAAAGGGAAGTGGGAGTCAGACATGCCTCACTATACCTCTCCAGCATTAAAATCAACACAGACTTTAAGTCTGATGAGAAACATTTTACAGCCTGTTCTCCCTGAAGCCCACTAGCTAAAAGCTTCATCTGCATGATAAAACTTTGGTCTCCACAACCCAAACATTCTATTGATCCCAGGTTTTTAGACAAACTCAACCGTCAACTAGGAAATGTTTAAATTTACCTATAGCCTTGAAGCCTCCCCGCCTTGAGTTGTCCCGCCTTTCTGGACCAAACCAATGTCTTTCTTAAATGTACTTGATTGATGGCGCATGCCTCCCTAAAATGTATAAAACCAAGCTGCATCCCAACAACCTTGGGCACATGTCGTCAGGACTTCCTGAGGCTGTGTCACGGGCACACGTCCTCAACCTTGACAAAATAAACTTTCTAAATTAACTGAGACCTGTCTCAGATTTTCTGGGTCTACACAAGTAAGATAAAATACATAAAAGTATCTTGAATACAAACTTCTGTTCTGGTGCTGACAGGGAAAAGACCACAGAAAGTTGGGCAAGTGTGATAGAGGAAGAGGGGTGTTAGGGGAAGTCTATCACCAAGTCCTAATGTTTTCTTCTGTGTGGAAGGAGCTCGCTGGTGTAACTGACCTTGTGTCCTGAGACTTTGCTGAACTTACTACTTCTACTATCCTTTTTTGCAGCACCCCTAGGTGATGTACAGTATGTTATCTATAAATAGGCAATTTTGCTTCTTTCAAATATGTATGCCTGTTGTTTTTCATTTCTTATTTGCTGACTAGAATTTGCAATCAAGTATAAAAGTGTTACAGCTCACCTAATTTTAAATGAAATGTACTTCTTTTTTGAATAAGTTTAACAAGTATTTTAAGATATTTATCAATGTAATATTTTGGCTGATTGCTGACCCTCACTCCCTCCTCCCCTGGAGAAGAATGAATTATATTATTGATGAAGTCGGGATATGACAGTGAGCATTTAAAGCCAACCTCCTTCTCTCATCTTTTTCACAGAATCTAGCTGCCCACAGTGAACAGTTCTGCACTGCTCCTCTATTCCCTGAGCTTTACAGAGTCCAGATCCCATGGTATGGAATTGGGGGTGGGGAAGGAGATGGCTGTAGTTGTTCAGGAGCCTGTGTCTAACTCAGTTTTTAAAAGCTGAGGAGCCCATGACTAACTCAGTTTTTAAAAGTCCTTGCTATAAAACTAAGTCACATTCCTTGGGATTAACTTTAGCAGTAAGAAAGATGATATATCATCTTCATCTGCTTTCATCAGCCTAGATTTTAATTTTCTCTCTCAAGTACTGCTGAACTCAGGCAGAAAGAAGAGTGCAGTTTATTGGACTCCAAATCTCATTCAACAGAACAAAGAAGTTGAGGTTGCAAGGAAGAACCTATAATGATGGGTCATGGAATATAACCTAGAAAAGAAGAGAAATAAAAGGTAAGGAGGGTTTGGTGATGGATATGGATAAAGAGGGGTAAATGGATTAAAGGTTACAACAAAAAAGTAAAAGTGCTTCTGAGAGAATGGTAATTTTGAAGGCACATAACGTGGAAGGTTAATATTGGTAGTCAGAATGTGATATTTGCATTTGAAATTTTGGAGATGATGCCATTTTTATTGATGTAAAAATGTAAGGCATATGGATAGCTGAAATAGGGTAGAAGAAAATATCATTGAAAATATGAGGAAGTCAAAAAACCAAGAATCCATGATGTTAGATGAATCATGAGAGTACATGTTGAAGCCACAAAGGACAATAGGAGTAGGGTAGGAATAAAGAAGAAAACTGAGTTGCAAGCTCACTTCCCTGAGAATGAGGAGGAAAGACCCAGAGACTACTAGTAGGCGACAGCAGGATGGAGGCGGAAGAGTAGTAGAACCAGATGGCATGAGCCTCAAAGGAGCAGAGGGGGTTTGCAAGAAGGAAGGAGGAATAACACTCTAAAATTGGCATTGAGGAGTAAGGTTGGTGCTGAAGCACTTTCGGGGAGGAGAGAAAAAAAGTTTGAAAGGGTTTCAGAGAAACCATGTCCCCAAGATATAGCCTGCTTTTAGTTAAGTGAGACTGTGAATAGATCTCCAGAAAAGAGATTGAAAAACCCAGGATTTTAATGAACTCATATTGGGGGCTGGGAATTCCAAAGAGGTAGGGGGGGATGGTTTATTAAGGAGGGGAATTTGGGGATGAGAGAAGTGGGGAGCAAATTAGGTCAGATAAAGGGAAGAAAGTATTTAGGTAATTGATGCCTAGAGAGTAAGTTCTGATAAGGAGTGGAATAAACGGGGATGTGTAGGTGAACCGTCTCCTCAGAGGTGACTGAGCAATAAACTTTACTGCTGTGGTCTAGATCATTTGTCTCTGGGGAGGGGCACCTACTGCCTCAGGAAGCCTGATATGGTCTAATCAAAGTCAGCTGCTTCTTAGACAGCAGGAGTTGTGGTAGTCTCTGCTCTATCACTACACTAGTTTGGTGACTCACCTATTTTTTCTAATCTAGTGAATTTGGTTCTCCTCTCTTCTCTTCTGACTTCTGCCTATTTGTTGTTTCTACTTACTTCGGGCATGGGGAGGGATTATCTTCAGACAAAATAATTCCTCCTTTATAAATGGAATCACTGCAAGGTTTTTTTGAAATATAAAGCAACAAATTCTTTTCGATACACAACTTAATTTGCACCCATAACACATGCACGATACACTGCCAAGACTTGGGTGATGGACTGACCCATGGTGGGGAGGTGGGGAGAGTGTTTGTGAAAGACAGAGATATGGAGAGAGGCATACTATTTTTTACATTGATGGATTTCCTCCCCTAGCATAGGAGAAAAGTAGATGAATGAGTATTTCATGTGTGAGAGCCTAAAGAAAGAGGAAAGAACTGAATACATGTCTGGAAAGAAAGATTTGAGTCTGAGGATGGCAAATAGAACTTCACCCTGAGAGTGCTCCCCAACTCTGTCAGAGGTCTGAATAATGCCAGGCTGGTGGCCAAATACAGAAATGTTGTAATGGAGCACTGTATGAGGAACAGGAACTATACTCTCCTCAACAGAAGGCCAACCCAGCGTTTCAGCCCTAAGACAAGTTGAGTGGCCTCAGCTAGAGAATAGGAACAATACCTTGGTTGACCTTCCAGACTTCTCTTACCAATATAAATACGCAACCACTGTGTGAGGACACCTTCCAGATTCTCAGGTCTTTCTCCACTCCTAAGTAACCACCAGACACCTATGCCATGTGAGGGAGGTAGTTGAAAGAGGAGGGGAGAGTTTCTACACCCATGCTTTGTGGAGAACTATGCATATTAGTAACACCTGGACTGGAGACAGAAGGAATAGTCACTACTGTTGCAAACAAATATTTTCACAATATACCCATATTTTTTGTTTAGATTTTACCAGGCATGCACTTGAATCCCAGCTCCACTATTTACTAACTGTGTGACTTTGGTAATATTACTTAACCTTTAAGCCTTGATTTCTTCATCTACAAAATGTAAATCAGTACCAAATAGGTCTGGTTACTCTAAAGGTTAAATGAGATAATGCATATAGAATATTTAATACTAAACACTTTACGAAGAAGAAGAAATCTATTCTTATCATCAAGGGACATACAATTAATAGGTATGTAGTGATGCATAAAATAGCAAGCTCAGAACAATAAGACACATCAGAAGTGCTCTGCCATTTTTAGGGTTTCATGAGCAATAAATCTGCGAGACCAGGCATGGAGGCTCACATCTGTAATCCTAACACTTTGAGAGGCTGAGGCAGGAGGGTTGCTTGAGCCCAGGAGTTCAAGGCTGTAATGAGTCATGATCATGCCACTGTACCCCAGCCTGGGTGACAGAGTGAGACTCTATTTCAGTCAACTGATTAATAAAAAATAAATAAATGAAATGTTTTGTGCTGTATTTTCCTCATGGAGATTTATACTGCACATTAGTCCATTATATACTCTGAGAATTCCTGCAATAAACAACCTGAATAACTCCATTTATCCCACAGTTTCTCAGCATTGCATATACACAAACTATTAATATCTTACAGAGATAGTCTTCCTCAAAACACCACTTGAATAAATTTCCATTTCTGTCCGAGATGGACTGAGTGTTTATGCCCCACTCCCAGAAGTCATATGTTGAAGCCCTAACCTCCAATGTGATGGTATAGAAAGCAGGGCCTTTGAGAGGTAATCAAGTCATCAGGGTAGAGCCACCATGATGGAACGTAGCTCTCTCCCCTCTCACTCTTCTCACACACAAAGAGGAGGTCATGTGAGCACATAACAAGATGGTGGCACTATAAGGCAAGACTAGAGGTCTCAGAATAAATTTCACCTTGCCAGCACATTCATCTTGGACTTCCCAGCCTCCAGACTGTGAAAAATAAATTTCTGTAGTTTAAGCCACCCTGCTGCTAAATTTTGTTATAGCAGCTTGCACTGATTAAGACAATGGAGTAACCAGAATCAAATTTACCCATTTACCCTTCATCTGAAACAACTCAAAATCTAGACTATACAAAATAATAGTTCTCAAGATATGGGACATCAAGCACTAAGGACAGTGACCCTTACAGTTGCCCTAACTTGCTGCCTGTGGAAAGTTTCCATGATGCAACATAAAAAGGAGGAACCCAGGAGGAACCTGGATTTCTTGCTGAGTTGAAGAGATGGGATTAGGAGTTCCAGGAGGCCAAGACAGGAGTTCACAAGACAGAGTACCAGAGAGGAGAGAGATGCACAGAGAGGGAACTCTAAGGATCTGCAAAAGATCCCCTCAACTTTTCAGCTGGGAGCTTTCCTCAGAACATGCACATGAGGAACCTATCCAAGGCTGAAAAAGAATTACTCAGAAGGATTAAAGGGAGTAATCTCTTGAGCTCACACAGGCCAGGAAGAGTGGCTATTCCTACCAGCATTCATGGGTAGAATACTCAAAAGGGTTTTGCCTCAGGAAGGAATATTAATCCTAAACTAGATGCTGTTCTAGTCCAACCTAGCAAAGCTTAAAAGCAAGGCTCAGGAGGATTAAATGACTGCCAAGTTACTTAACCCCATATCAGCACACCTCAAGACTATAAGAATACAAATATATCCAGCATTCAAACAAAGTAAAATGTACAATACTTGGCATTTGATAAAAAATTACCAGACATGCAAAGAAGCAGGAAAATTAGACTCATGATAGGAACAAAATTAATAAATCAAAAGGGACTGTAAATGACACAGATGATAGAATGTATAAGCAAGAACATTACTTTTTATAACTTTGTCCTATTTGTTAAAGAAGCCAGAGGAAAATTGGCCATGTTAAGTAGAGACATGGAAGATATTAAAAAGCTTCTAGATTTAAAAAATAGTGTCTAAGATGAAAAGGAACTGCTTATTTTAACAGCAGATTAGACAATTTAGAAGAAAAGATTAGTGAATCATGAAAATATTGCAATAGAAACTATCCAAAATGAAATACAGAGATTAAAAACTAAAAATAAAATAATAAAAAGATAGTCAATTATCTGTATGTCACCTTTAAACAACCTAATATACTTGTAATTGAAATCTCCAAAGGAAGCAGGGGAGGATATCTCAAAAAATAATGGCAAAAATATTCTAAATTTGATGAAAATTAAAACTCTCCTGTCCAAGAAGATCAACAAGCCCCAAGCAGAAGAAACATGAAGAAAGTTACAAGAAGACACATGATAATAAATTTAGCTAAAACTAGTTATGAAGAGAAAATCTTAAAAGCAGCCCAAGAAGTCCTGTCCTGTAGAGAGGAACAAGATTAAGGATGACAACATATTACAAGCTAGAAGGCAGTAGACCGATGTCTTTAAAGCACTGGAAGAAAAATGTTGTCAATCTAGAATTCTTTATCCAGTGAAAACATCTTTCAAAAATGAATATGAAATAAAGATTTTTTCTCACACCTACAAGAGCTGAAAGAAATCTTTGCCAGCAGACATGCCTCGAAAGAAATGGTAAATGAAGTCCTTCAAGCAGAAGAAAAATGGCTCTAAAAGGAAATGTGTGTTTACATAAAAGAATGAAGAGCACTAGAAATAATAACCATGTGGGTAAATAGAAAGGCTTTTTCTTATTATTTAAATCTATTTTAAAAATAAACAGTGTAAAGCAATAATAATAAATCATGAGATTTATATAGAAGTACAAGTAAAATGTATGACAATAGCACAACAGCAAGTAGGATTAGAAAATGTAAATATATAGTTTAAGGTTCTTTTTTTTTTTTGAGACAGGGGCTTGCTCTCACACCCAGCCTGGAGTGTAGTGGTGTGAACTCAGCTCACTGCAGCTTCAACCTCCTGAACTCAAGCAATCCGCCCACCTCAGCCTCCCAGGGAGTAGTTGGGACTACAGGTGTCTGCCACTATACCTGGCTAATTTTTGTATTTTTTTTGCAGAGACTGTGTTTCACCATGTTGCCCAGGCTGGTCTCGAACTTCTGAGCTCAAGCAATCCACCCTCCTCAGCCTCCAGAAGTGCTGGGATTACAGGCATGAGACACCAAGTCCAGCCATAAGGTTCTTATTCTATATATACATGAAATGATATCACTTGAAGGTAGACTGTGATAAGTTAAATACGTATATTTTTTAAATCTTCAAACAACCACTAAAATAAAAGAACAAAGAGTTACAACTAATAAAGGAGATAGAATGGAATCATAAAATATGTTTTCAAAAGATGGTGTAAAAGGAATAAAAAGGAAACAAAAAACAGATGGAGAAAAATAGAAAAAAAAAACAACATGGTAGATTAAAACTCAACCATATCAATAATCACATTAAATAAAAAATCTAAATACAAAAATTTCAATTAAAAGGCAGAGATTGTCAGACTGGATTAAAAAAGATGAGACCTACCTATATACTGCCTTCAAGAAACCCATTTTAATATAAAGGCACAATTAGGTTAAAAGTAAAAGGGTGAGAAAAGATCATGCTACCACTAATCAAAAGTAAACTAGAGAGATTTCAAAGCAGCAAGCATTATCATGTTAAAGGTGAATTCATCAAGAAGGCATAGTGCTAAACATTTATGCACATAACAGAGTTTCTAAATATATGGAGCAAAACTGATAGAATTGCAAGGAAAAACAGACAAGTCTACAATTAATCAGATTTCAACAAACTTTATCAATTATTGGTGGAATGAGTAAGTAGAAAAATCTATAGTTCTTATTTCTTCTAGATTTTTCTACCTATTCCACCAATAATTGATAAAGGGGTGTTGAAATCTGACTAATTTTAGATAACAGAAGAACAACATTATTAACCAACTATGTCTAACTGCATTTATAGAACACCCCACCCAACAACAGCAAACTATACATTAATCTCAAGTGCAGACAGAACTTCTATGAGTATAAAATATATTTTGGGCCAAAAAACAGACAGGTCTCAACAATTTTACAAGGATTCAAGCCATATAAAGTATGTGCTGTGATTGCAATGAGTAATATTAGAAATTGATAACAAAAATATCTGGAAAAATCTTGAACTATTGAGGATACTAACAGATTGCTAAATAACCCATAGGTCAAGGAATAAATCAAAAGGGAAGCTTGAAAGTATTTTGAACTGAATGAAAATGGAAATAAAACAACAAAATTTTTGAAATTCAGTCAAAGCAGTATTTACTAGGAAATTTGTACTATAAATACCAATATTATTATAGAAAAGGGGAAGATCTCACATCAGTGATCTTGGTTTCTATTAAAAAACTAAAAGACATACAAATGGTCAACAGACATATGAAAAGACACTCAATATCACTAATCATCAGGGAAATGCAGATTAAAACCACAATGAGATGTCACCTTCTACTTGTCAAGGTGTCTATTATAAAAAAAAAAAAGATTACTGTTCACAACGATGTTGAGAAATTGGAACACTTGTACACTGTTAGTGGGAATGTAAAATGGTGCAGCTGCTTGGAAAACAGTATGGAGGTTCCTCAAAAAGTTAAAATAGAACTACCATACAATCCAGCAATCTCACTTCTGGATATTTATCCAAAAGAATTGAAATCAGGATCTCAAGGAGATTTGAACACATGTTCACTGCAACATTATTCCTAATAGTCAAGATATGGAAACAACCTAAATGAGTGAATAAAGAAAGGTGGTATATACATACAATGGAATATTATTCAGCCTTAAAAAAGAAGAAAATCCTGCCATCTATGACATGAGAAAACCTTGATGACATTATACTATGTGAAATAAGCCAGTCACAGAAAGACAAATACTGCATGATTCCACTTATATATGGTATCTAAATAGTCAAATTCAGAAGCAGAGTGGCTGTTGCCAGGGGATGGGGGAGGGTGAAATGAAGAGTCGTTTTTCAATAGTATAAAGCTTCAGTTATGCAAGATAAATAAGTTCAAGAGATCTGCTTCACAACATTGTGCTATAGTCAACAATACTGTATTATACACTTAAAATTTTGTTCAAAGGGTATGTCTCATGTTAAGTGTTCTTATCACATTTTTCAAACTAGAAAAAAGTGAAAAAATTAAACCCCAAAATAAGTAGAATAAGGAAATAATAAAGATCAGAACAGAAATCAATGAAATAGAAAACAAAAACAGTAGTGTCATTAAAACAAAACTTTGGTTCTTCAATGCAGTCAGTATAATTAGTAAACCTCTATCCAGACTGATTAGGGAAAAAAAGAGAAAAGATAAATATTACCAATATCAGAAATGAGAGAGATAATATAACTGCAGGAAATACTATGGACAACTTCATGCCTGTGAATTTGACATAAGGTAGTTTTAGCCCTCCAACTTTTTTTTTTTTTTTTTTGAGTAATTATGGCTATTGTGGATTCTCTGCATCTCTTTATTAAGGAGTCCGGCTCCTGGCCAAAGTCTACATGTGATTTTTCAGATCCTACTATAGGCAATTACAAAGGCTTTACCTCGCAGGTCTCAAGGGAGGAAGCTGACTACCCCCTCACCAGACTTGGTGCACAGCCAGAGCATTGCAGTCCCTGAAGGGTCTTGCAGTCACAGACTCAGGCCCATCTGGCTGACCATGCTCTTACACATGCCTGCATTCCTCACCTAAGTACCTCCATTTGGAGTCCTCTTTATTTTTTCTGGGTGGGGGGGAGCCATCTTTTTTTTCCTTCAACTTTTAAGTTCAGGGGTACATGTGCAGGATGTGATGTTTGTTACATAGGTAAACGTCTGCCATGGTGGTTTGCTGCACAGATCATCCCATCACCTAGGTTTTAAGCCCAGCATTCATTAGCTGTTCTTCCTGATGCTCTCCCTCCCTCATCCCACACCCCCAACAGACCCCAGTGTGTGTTGCTCCCTGCTGTGTGTCCATGTGTTTTCATTGTTCAGCTCCCACTTATTAGAACATGCGGTGTTTGGTTTTTTGTTCCTTCTTTAGTTTGCTGAGAATAATGGCTTCCAACTCCATTCATGTCCCTTCAAAGGACATGATCTCATTCCTTTTTATGGCTGCATACTTTCCATGGCGTATATGTGCCACATTTTCTTTATCCAGTCTATCATTGATGGACATTTAGTTTCATTCCGTGTCTTTGCTATTGTAAATAGTGCTGCAATGAACATATGCATGAATGTATCTTTATTACAGAAAGATATATATTCCTTTGGGTATATACCCAGTAATGGGATTGCTAGGTCAAATGTTATCTCTGTCTCTGGGTCTTTGAGGAATCACCACACTATCTTCCACAGTGGTTGAACTAATTTACACTGCCATCAACAGTGTAAAAGCATTCCTATTTCTCCACAACCTCACCAGCATCAGTTGCTTTTGACGTTTTAATAGTCACCATTCTGACTGGCATGAGATAGTATCTCATTGTGGTTTTGATTTGCATTTCTCTAATGATCAGTAATATTGAGCTTTATTTCATATGTTTGTTTGCCACATGTATGTCTTCTTTTGAGGAGTATCTGTTCATGTCCTTTGCCCACTTTTTAATGGGTTTGTTTATTTGTTTTCCTGTAAATTTGTTATGTTTCTTGTAGATTCTGGATATTAGACCTTTGTCAGATGGATAGATTGCAAAAATGTTCTCCCAATCTGTAGGATGTCTGTTCACTTTAATAATAGTTTATTTTGCTGTGCAGAAGGCTTTTAGTTTAATTAGATCCTATTTGTCAATTGTTGCTTTTGTTGCAATTGCTTTTGACATTTTTGTCATGAAATCTTTGCCCATGCCTACGTCCTGAATGGTATTGCCTAGATTTTCTTCTAGGGTTTTTATAGTTTTGGGTTTTACATTTAGGTCTTTAATCCATCTTGAGTTAATTTTTATATAGGTATAAGGAAGGAGTTCAGTTTCAATTTTCTGCATATGGCTAGCCAGTTTTCCCAGCACCATTTATTAAATAGGGAATCTTTTCCCCATTCCTCGTTTTTGTCAGGATTGTCAAAGATCAGATGGTTTGTAGGTGTGTGGTCTTATTTCTGAGTTCTCTGTTCTGTTCCATTGGTCTATGTGTCTGTTCTTGTACCAGTACTATGCAGTTTTGGTTACTGTAGTCTTGTAGCATAGTTTGAAGTTGGGTAACGTGTTGCCTGGAGGCCTCTTTATTAGAAGCCTTGCACAGGGGCTTTCTGCAGAGGCCTTCCTCAGGTGCCTCTGCTAAGATCTCCTTATCTAGGTAGAAATAGGGGACACTTGATGCTTTTCTCCGCATTAACCCAATACTCAGTACTTTTTTTCTCCTACCCCTTCCCTTCTCTCACCTCCTGGTCCCCAGGTCCATAATACACCAGGAGCCTTTTGGGGGGCAGGGCTCCTTTGGCATTGAGACCATTCCCCACAGCTGCACTGATCCACCTGATCCTCAACCAGAGCTGTTTTACAGGGAAAATAAAGGGAGGTGGCACATTGCTTATACCATCATAGTACAGCAAGTGACTAAAGGCTTGACTCTTATTTTCATTTTAGTTTTTTGCCTTAATCAGCTATGCTGATTCCTGGCAGATCAGCACTCTCTTAGTTCAGTTTTTGACACGTGATTATAGAAGCAGTTTGTCAATCTCCACAATAAAGTCTAATCCGTTTAATAATACTGAATCTTCCAATCCATGAACATGGTATATCTCTCTATTTAAATCTTTTTCCATTTCACTTAGCAATGTTGTCATGGTATATCTCTGCATTTGTTGTCAGCGTACTGGTCTTGAACATCTCTTGTCAGAATTTTCCCTGGGTTTCATATTTTTGATGCTATTATAAGTGCTGTTGTTTAATTTCAATTTTGGATTGTTATACTATATAGAAATACAATTGATTTTTGTATATTGATCTTATAACCAGAAACCTTGATAAACTTACTTATTAGTTCTAGTAGATTTTTTTGTAGATTATCTAATATTTTCTACATAAACGATAATATTGTCTGCTGATAAAGGCAGTTTTACTGCTTCCTTTCCCATATCAATATCTTTTATTTTTTTCTTGTCTGTTTGCATTGCTAAAAGTTCCAAGAAAACATTGAGTAGACATTGTAAGAGTGATATCCCTCACAAGTTCTTAATCTAAGAAGGAAAGCACTTATTCTGTCTCCATTACATATGAGCAGCAGGCTTCAGCCTTTTGTAAGGTTAAGGAATTTCCTTTCTATTCCAAGTTTGCTGAGAGTTTTTTTATTAGGAACTAAGGTTGAATTTTGTAAAAATGACTTTTCTGTATCCATTGAGAATAACCATATAAGTTTTCTCTTTTCGTATGTTAGTATTGAGAACTGGTAAATTGCATTTTAATAATTTAGGGCAGTACTGCTATGATTTGAAAGCTTGTACCCTCCAAAACTCATGTTGAAATTTAATTGCCAGGCCAGATGCAGTGGCTTACACCTGTAATCCCAGCACTTTGGAAGGCTAAGGCTGGAGAAACACTTGAGCCCAGGAGTTTGAGACCAGCCTGGGCAACATAGTGAGACCCTGTCTCTACAAAACATTTTTAAAAATTAACCAGATATAGTGGCACACGCCTATGGTCCTAGCTACTCAGGAGGCTAAAGTGGGAAGATCACTTGAGTCCAGGAAGTGGAGACTGCAGTGAGCTGTGATTGTGTTACCACACTCCAGCCTGGGCAACAGAGCGAGACTCTGTCTCAAAAGAAAGAAACAAAGAAATTTAATTGCCAATATAATGGTATGGGAGGTGGGGACTTTAAGAGATGATTAGGCTATGAGGGCTCCAGCTTCATGTGTGCCTTACTAAAAGGGCTTTCAGGGTGGCTACTCTTTGCCCTTCCACCATCAGATGACACAGCAAAAAGGTCCTCTCCAAATGCCAACACCTTGATATTGGATTTCCCAGCCTCCAGAACTATAACTTTCTGTTCTTTATAAATTACCCAGTCTCAGGTATCCTGTTATAGCAGAACAACATGGACTAAGACAAATTCATACAGGAAAGCCAGGATTTGCTTGATCCTGACAAATAAAGGGCTTTCCCTTTATTTGTCAGTTTTCAAGGCAATGAGTTGGTATCTTATTATTCTTCAAAGGTGGTCAGTTTTTTTTTAATATCATTGTGAACTTATGTAGTTAAATGTGATATGTTATGGGTTTCATTCCCATGCAGTTTTTATCCTTATTGAGGTTCAAGGTTTCCCATCTTCAGTCAGTGACAGCCACTTCAAGGAGTAAAGTTTTTTTTGTCATGACTCTAGTCATCATTGAAAGCTTACTTGCCATCAGGTATGACAAGATGTTCCAAGTTTATCTTATACACTTTCTACCCAAAACCTGAAATTAGTCAATTCTCAAAGAAGTCATGGTATCTTTTAGTAGTAAACAATATTTTAAGGCCACAATCTGATCGTTAGGTCTAATCATTGCTAGTAGGTTGGTCATTGTTATTAGGCCTTTTCAGGTGCTCAGAGGTAATTTCAAATTCAAATACAGACTTTGTATTTTTACTTAAGCTTTCATATATATATAATTTTTTTCTGCATACTAATAATAGTTTTCAAGAATACAAGAGGTGATGGGATAAAATATCTATAATCATTCATTTGCTTTATCCAACAATTCACATATAATAGTCTTAAGATAACAAAACTCACCCCAACAGAAGAGTTTGTAAATGTCTGTATTATATGTTTTTCCCAATTTTGCACTATGTCTACATTGTCAGAGCATATAGCCAGAGCAGACTATATCCTAGTCCATTTAACCCCTTAGTCTTAGTTCTACAAGTAATTATATTGAATACCCACCATCTGTACTTGTGTCAATGTCATCCTAGTCATTTTGGTTGTCTGAAGCTTGTTTTCTATTTAGATACCTCAAGAAGGGCTCATGGGAGAAAATAATCTCTTAAGTTTATATGTTGATAAGAGCTTGTATGTACTCTTTTTCTTGAAAGTAAGTTTAGTTACATGTAAAATGCTTGGCTCACATTTTCTTTCCTTGTGTATCTTAAATATGTTATTCTGTTTTTCTCTGGCTTAAAATTAGATGGTCATCTAATTTTCTTTCCCTTATAAATCACTTGCAGTTTTTGCCTAGATTTTGTAAGGATTTTTTTCCTTTTCATTAAGCCAAGTAATAACTAATATATATCTTTCTGTTTGTTGTTTTGTGTTCACATTTTGAAGTTCATCGTGTGCTCTTTCAATATGTAATTTCAAATTTTTTTATTTCAAGAACGTTTTGTTGAATTATAGCTTGTAGAACTATAGTTGCAGAATTTATTTTATTTCCTTGTTTTGGTGTTATTCTACAGGAAACGCTGGGACAGGCCACTTTATATCTTTACATAGCTCTATTAGGCATCTCTCTCTCTTCTTTTTTTTTTTTTTTTTTTACGGAGTTTCACTCTTGTTGCCCAGGATGGAGTGCAATGGTGCAATCTTGGCTCACTGCAACCTCTGCCTCCTGGGTTCAAGCGATTCTCCTGTCTCAGCCTCCTGAGTAGCTGGGATTACAGGTGCCCGCCACCATGCCCCACTAATGTTTGTATTTTTAGTGGAGATGGGGTTTCATCATATTGGTCAGGTTGGTCTCGAACTCCTGACCTGAGGTGATCTGCCCACCTTGGCCTCCCAAAGTGCTGAGGTTACAGGCGTGAGCCACCGCACTCTGCCTGTTTGTTTGGTTTTGTTTGTTTAGACAGAGTCTCTCTCTGTCCCTCAGGCTGGAGTGCAGTGGCATAATCTTGGCTCACTGTAACCTCCGCCTCCTGGATTCAAGCGATTCTTATGCTTCAGCCTCCAGAGTAGCTGGGATTGCTGGGATTACAGGCGTGTACCACCACAACTGGCTAATTTTTGTACTTTTTAATAGAGACAGGGTTTTGCAGTGTTGGCCAGGCTGGTCTCTAACTCCTGGCGTCAAGTGATCCACCAGGCTCGGCCTCCCAAAGTGCTGGGATTACAGGTCTGAACCAATGCTCTTGGCCTCTTACCCCCATTTTTAAATTGAGGACACTGATAATCAGAAAGATTTTTTGTCTGGACATGGTGGCTCATGCCTGTAATCCCAGAACTTTGGAAGGCCAAGGTGTGAGGATTGTTGGAGCCCAGGAGTTCAAGACTAGCCTGGGAAACATAATAAGACGCTGTCTCTATAAAAAATTAACAGGGCGTGGCGGTACATGCCAGTGGTCCAAGCTACTGAGGAGGCTGAGGTGGGGGGATTGCTTGAACCCATGAGGCTGAGGATGCAGTTGCGTCTCAACCTGGGCAACAGAGCAGGGCCCTGTAAGAAAAAAAGAAGGGGAGGGGAAGGGAGGGGAGGGAGACATGGTGGGGTGTGGAGGGAGAGAGAGAGAAGGAAAGGAAAGAGGCCGGACACAGTGGCTCATGCCTGTAATCCCAGCACTTTGGGAGGCCGAGGTGGATGGATCACAAGGTCAGGAGTTTGAGACCATCCTGGCTAACACAGTGAAACCCCGTCTCTACTAAAAAATAGAAAAAATTAGCCAGGCATGGTGGCGGGAGCCTGTAGTCCCAGCTACTCGGGAGGCTGAGGCAGGAGAATGGCGTGAATCTGGGAGGCAGAGCTTGCAGTGAGCCAAGATCGTGCCACTGCACTCCAGCCTGGACAACAGAGTGAGACTCCATCTCAAAAAAAAGAAAGAAAGGAAAGAGAAGGGGAGGGAAGGGGGAAGGGAAGGGGGAAGGGAAGAAGGAAAGGAAAAAGGAAAGGAAAGATTATATAATTTATTCAAGATTCCACAGGTGGTAGGGGAAGAACCAGAACCGAGGTCTGCTCAACTATGAATCTTTAGGTCTTTTTTCCATATTACCCTGCCGCCTGGGTCCTTTCTGAGTTTATTTCACTGCTTTTCCTTCAGATGGTCACTCTCATATGCCTTACAGTCTTGCTTCTCAAAATCTAGCCCTTGGACCAGCATCATTGGCATTACCAGAAACCCCATTAGAACTGAAGAATCTCAGTTGCTCCAGTCCTACTGAATGAGATTCTGAATTTTTATAAGATCTCCAGGTTATTTCAATCTCCATTACAATTTAAGAAACACTGGTCTAGAGAAAAATCTAAAGGTATTTTAGGCTATAATTCTCAAATTTTATGGCATACTGATATCCCTTGGAATAATTTTTAATTCCTGATACCCAAGCCACAACCCCTATCAATTAAATCAAATCCGAATCTCTGGGGATGGAGCATAGCATATGTTAAAACTCCCCAAGTGATCCAAAGTATAGCCATGTTTGGGAGCTAGGTCTTAAAACAGTACGGTTAGTCCTTCATGTTCCTAAGAATACTGGGAGCTTCTCATCTTCACATGCTGATTCAGTAGATCTAGTTTGGGGCCTGAGATTCTTCATTTCTAACAAGTTCTCGAATGGTAGTTTCTGCTGCTCCTAAAAGTTTCTGGAGTTAAATGAAACTACCGGAAGCCTCCTTCAACAATGTCAATAAATACAAATAGCATCTAATCAAGGAAAGCTTCTCTAAGGCACAGTCCTGGCCTTCTAACTCCACCTGAGAGCAAAAAAGGAACTCCGGGAGAAGGGGTGGAGGTGCTGCAGGCTCTTACAAGGCTCCCCAGGTTACTTCACACCTGGTGCTGGGCAGACCCACCTAGGTGTGCCAGACAGTTGGGATCAGGCTGCTGCTTGCAGCCCCAAGGCAAGAGTTCTTGCAAACACATACTTTTTTCTCATTGCCTGTGCCTTCACCATCTGTCTACCTTTCTTTCCCCGGGTCCTTCTCTTTCTTTTCCCTGGGTTCCTGTCTCCAGGCTTCCCAGCAGCAACTGGGGCACTTGCTTGGTCTGCTGTGTGCTTACTTGGGTTTTGGACTAAGTCAAAACTGCAAAATCTCAGGCCATAACACAGAGGAGCTTAAGCCAGCAGAATAAGAAGGGCCCTGGGGATAAGTGCCTAAGAGATATGGCATGATGGAACTTGATTTGTTTTTCATCACAGATCCATTCATGACACACAATATGTGGTCTGATAGCTTGGCAGGACTGAACATGAACTATTCTCACTCCAGCTTATAATTTACATATTTTTCCCTTGGCAAGACCCAAGCAACTGTCATCAGCAGGTTGTGTGGGACTTGTCGAGTGTGGTGGCAGGTCCACACTGGGTTTGGCTGTATCCCAAAGTTTTGACTCATCCCCTGGCCTGTGGCAGAGTGGGAAATCTTGCTGGTGTAGCTAGGTAAGGGCTTCCCTCTGGACATGCCAGGGCTAAGGAATCCTCAACAGCCTTAGCTGGCCATTTCTGAGATGGCGAAACACTTACCCAGAATTCCACTGGGCCAAAAGTTAACCTCTACAGAAGAGCAAACTAATTCACTTTGTCTAGCTTTGACAGGAAAGAACAGAAAGAGAAGGGAAAAACTGAGACCTTAGGATATTCAACATAAAGGCAGCCAAGTAGAGGATTCTTAAAATCTGTTTCTAAATTAGGATCGTCCCACATTTATTTGGGGCTTATTCAATGACATTTTCCTAAGCACTAGTTAACAAGGCATCTTACCACATGCCAGATAAAACTGGTCGTCAGAACATAACCTTTTTACCCTGCGGAATAACACTTTTCACCCAGATTCTTGAGACTCTTTAATTTCCTTACAGTTTCCAACCATTTAGGGAAAGCTACTCTGGGAACTGAAAGAGGCAATGTGGCTCAGAGATTGAGCAGGTTTCTCCTCCCTACTAACAGCATCAGATGATAATTAATCCTCATTGCTTCCCAAAGGACAGCCAAGGAAAAACTTCATTTCCCAGATGAGGTGGCTCAACAAACTGCCCAAGACCAGTGTCCCAGCTAGCAAGTAGCCAGCTACCCACAGTGCAATCTGTTTCAGCCCTTGCGACAGGCTTCTGGTCTCCTGCAACTGGTCTGAGTAGACTTAAGTTCCTGTCTTCACTTGCCCCAGCCTTGTAACACCTCCCTTGAGAGTACTATTTCTATGTAGGCTTTTTAGGGCTGAAATGAGAGAAGACATTTCCTGGCCCTGAAGTGAGTCATTGGCCTAGTAAAACTTCACCTAAGGGGTAGCTGACTAGCCAATTGAGGACAATGGAGGAAGCCTGGCACCTCTGGAGGGAAGTTCCTGATGTGTGGAGATTTGCCATCTATGAGATGGCAAGGCTCAGTGGCTACACAGGCCCTCCGGCAGCCTTAAGCATCAAATAAATTACATAAATACTTAGGGCCTCTAGGATCCAGGTCTTGAACTATGTGCCTTGGAAAGTCCAGAGTTGAGGTTCTTGCTCTCACTTACTATTTTCAGTGTGGTCCCTGGGAAGCAGCATCAGCATCACCTGGGAACCTGTTAGAAATAATTGTCAGACACCATCCCAGACCTACTGAAGCAGAATCTCTGGTGCTGGGATACAGAATTCTGTGTCTCACCAGCTCTCTAGGTGATTCTGGTGCAAGTCCAAGTTTGAGGGCCATTGCTTTTATCAAACCATTATTTGTTGAGCCCCTTTAAATCAGGTTGAATTGGGGTTCTCTAGAGGTAAGGGGGGCTGGGTAACAAAGTGAGGCTCTCAAGTCAGGTTACCTGGTTCTCTGCAACTTCCTAGTGATGTGACCTTGGATGTCAGTTCTCTCACCTCTAAGACGGGGGAAATAAAACCTCTTCCACTGGGAGGTCGTGTGTGTCTGGCCTATGTAGTTTCTCTCTTTTCGCCACCCCAATCTATCTAAAAGGAAATTTACAGAACAGGACCTACTGTTCCTAGGGTAAAAATCTGCAAGATTGGCCACATGCAGGATGCTGATGTTAATACCTTTTTAATTAACATTTTAAGTGGTTCTAGGTTTAAATGAGTTTGGTTCAGCCTTTAAGTCCTGAGGATAATGGTATTTTTAGCAGAAATATGTTTTCCCATGCTGACTTACATCCAAATAGTTTCAAAGATTAGATTACAACTTTACTAAAAAGTGAAACTTAACTTCTACTTAGGTTTCCTTTGTTTTCTTTTTAAGAGAGAGGAAGAATAGATCATCAAGGTTGATTTTTTTTTTTTTGTATTTGTAATTCAGGATTAGGCAAATGTTTAAAAACTAATAAAAATGATTTGAGCATTTTAATTATTTTCTCTTAAGGCAGAACATTTTTTACTCACTTCCATGTTACATTGATATCTGCTTATAAAAAAAATATACCTTTATAGCAGAAATTTTAGAAAATACAGAGAAACATGAAGAGGAAAGCAAGCACACATATCCTACTGCCCAGATAATCACTGTGAATGTTTTGGTGTATTTCTTTGTGGCTTTTCTTCCTGCTCACATATGTAATGGTTGATATGTATCTATATTTAAGATGTTTTAATGAAATCACACTCTACTGTTTTTATCACCCCGCAGAGGCAGGATGGACTCCCCCCAACCCAAAATTTGGTTCAGATGTCAAAACTGATGATGTCACACATACATCTTAAGAGGGTATGGAAAGGTTTCTTGCATAATGAGGCTTTCTAGAAAGAGCAGAGTAGGATTCCAAGGAAGTCCATAAATGGCTTGAGAAAGCAGGGAAAGGAGACTAGCTTGGGGTTTTTATCGCAGTTAGAGTGTGGGGCTGAGTGGAGGGCTCCTGCACACAGACTGAACACTGCATGGTTTGAACTTCTCACTGGTGCACTGGGGTTTTCTTATCAGCTTGTCCAGATGTGGAACCAAATGGAAAGGGCAGTCACGGGGCTTGAAAGTTGTCAGCAGCCAAACGTCAAAACTGGAATTAGACTCTTAATTATATGTAGTTTTGCATCTTTCTCTTAAATTTAGCATTGTACTTTCTGTGCTTGAGAGACAAAGCTTAAACCAAAAGCTTTACTGTCAAACTAGATTGCTTTTGACATTGGCATCTTGTGGCTATGCCAGTGTTTCTAGTGACTAATCATTTATTTATTCATATTCTAGAAGAAAAGGATGTATGGATTAAAAACATTGACTTTTTTTTTAATAAAACAAACAAAAGAGTGTGGAATAAGAAAACAGAGCATACTATATATCCCAAAAGCAATATATCCAAAAGTTTTCCTTGAGAAAAAAAAAAACCAGCTTGCTCAGGAAAGAGAATACAGATTGTTTTCTCTTTGTAAGTATATTTGAATTTTTTATGATCAAACATGACTCTCAATTTACTGCAAAATACGACTGCAGAATGTGTGAGTCATGTATCTAATCTGCTTTGAAATATTGTTCCTAAAGAACATAGGTACTTATAATCCTGTACAATCCACAGTTGGAGTCCACACCTTGTGACAACAAAAGACAACTCAAATCAGCTTCAAGCATGGATCATAACTAACCGCGGGGCTATTTTTTCCATCTGTAATAAAGAATGTTCCAACATCTTTAATAATCGAAGATAATCCTCTGTCGTCATCTTGAGCATCTAGGTTATAAAAATACATACAGTGCTTTGAAGAAAGGTTCTGGTCCACTGGTGTCACGTGAAGGTCAGATTATGGAAAACTGGCATTGTTACAACAAGAAATGAAGGCTGCTCATGTTTTCTCTGGGTATTTGGAATAAAGTATCTCATAGTTTCCAACTTGAAGATTTAATTAAAGGCATAAGGAGTGATTAATTCTAAATGCTCATCACTGACAATGACTTGCCATATGTTAGAGAAACACCTATTGAAATGAATGAGGGAAAAATGTTTGGTTTCAGATTGAAGGTCTCCTGAAAAACGTTTTGAGTGTTCAAACATTTTGAACAGAATAATCAGAACAATTTGGAATGTCTTATTCCAAGATAAAAAGCACATTTTTTAAAAAAAAGATATTTGGTAGAAATATTAGCCAATCCTATTTATCCACTTTTATGCAAAAGAACTTGTCATCTCTGAGAAATAAAGGGGGTATGCTTTTTGAACTGAAGTGTAAAGATTGGCAATACAGTGTCAAAATAATAGCTAGATGGGGGAGATATAAGACAGGAGGATGCGGGTGGGGATGAATCAGTTGAGAAGAAATGCTCTTCATGGTTTTGCATTTGGAGAAACATGTGCTGCTCATAATTCCCCTACAATGCCTGGCAACCATGCATCTTAGGCCACCATGCATCTTAGGCCACCATGCATCTTAGGCCACCAAATTATGAGGAGCATCCAAGTATGTTCTCTAAATTCAAAACATTGGGAATGGTCCAGAGGTGCCTCTGGTGGTTGCCATCTCCAGAACTCCCCCTTCAAGTTTCTTTGTTGGTCACCAGGGAACCAGGTCAGAGTTGAACTTATCCTCCATCCTCCTGGAAGCCCTGTGTACTAATCTTGTTGAGATTTTTGGCCACTCAATGGCTTTGGCTTCAAATTGCCTTTCCAGTTTTTCACCCTCAATAAAAACTTCTTCATCCTTCCCAGGCATACAAAACAACCTGAATGAACTTGTTCACACTAAGGTAGGGGTAGAGAAACTGTGCAGGCTAAGACAAAGGCTATGGTGACTGACAGCATTAGAGCAAGGGTTACCCAGAATCCCAGGAGATACCCCTGGGCTTCTTCCAATTGAGTCTCCTAGTAAAGAATCTTGGAGACTGGGTCTTTACTACCATCTCTTTGTTCCATAAGTCCAGTATTGAGAAGGCAGTGAGAGATTAAAAATTATTGTGTCAGCCTCTTATCTCTCAGGCCAATAGCCATCTTGTGACTACCCAAGGCACTTGGCAGGAGCCCTGGAGCCCAACCTCAGATCTTAGGCTATGGCTAGCCTCATCCTCACCTTGCTTCTTCAGGCTACCAGTGTATGCTGGGCTGGTGAAACACTGGGCAATCCACCCAATTGCCCATCAGAAACCTTTGTTATGGACATTCCCAAATCTTCTCACAGTTTCTTCTCACTGTTGACATACCAAAGAGACATTTCCAAGACTGTCTACTTCTGCTTTCCTCCGCCTACAAAGCTCCTAAGGCCTCCAGTGACAACATGCTTGAGTATCCTTATATCTCTTGGAGAGCAGGTTCATGTTCTGATACTAAGCACTTTCTGAATTTATGAGAAGAAAAGTAGTTCTCTGCCTTGGGGAGCATTGGCTAATAATTTTTAGATAATTAAAAACTGCCATGATATACATTCATACTAAATCCCAGCTTATGTTACTCTCCAGTATCAAAGGGTGAATGTTGACCATGAAAATAATGGTAACAATAACCACAATTTATTATTGCTTATTATTGGTGCCACACGCCATGCTAAGCATTGGGCCTAGGTCCTCCCTAGTTCTCCCAATATCCACCAAAAGAAACTGCTTCACATGAGTTAAAACTGAGGCTCAGAGTGGTGCAGGGACTGGCCCAAAATCACATAGCCATTTGAAATGTTAGAAGCCATTTCAGATCTAGGTCTTTTTATCTCCCTACCCACTCTAGCTATTATTTTGACATGGCATTGGTAGTTTTTACAATCCAATTCAAAAGTGTCTCTAGGATGACAAATTCAATAAAGGGAAAAAGTAGGGATAGCCTAACATTTCTCCCAAATAGTTGCTTCTTTTTCTTTTTAAAATTAAACTTTTAAAAAATTAAATAAAAGTAAGATAGACCTTGCTGAAATATGCAAAGGACTTCAGAGAACAAAATGGCACCCAAGAACTGTAAGAGCACAGCGTTGTTTTGGCAGGATGAAGTCCAACAATGTACATAGAAAAGATAACCATGTCAATAGTTAGCAGTGACACAAGTTAACTATTACTACAATGACAATGATGACGATGATGATGACATAGTTATTCCTCTCAAGAAGTTCTCTGTCTAGTGGAGGAAGTATTCAGGTAAACAAAAGATCATAGTACAGTGTGGCAAAAATAATGCACAAAGTGTGAGCAGGACTAGAAAAAGAACTCAATCTGGATGGGCAGGTGTTTGGGTGGGGACCACGGCATTGCATGCACACACAGACGTACACTGTGTGTGTGTGTGTAGAGATGACTGTAAATACAACTGCTTGTCTGTTCATATATGTGAACAGGAACAGATTCAGTTTCAGACAACTGCTGCTTTTATCATTCCTTTTCTTTGTGCCACATAGCACTGGGGTCTTTAGGAACTTTTTAGAAATACCACTTTGGCTGCTATTGAAGAGTATTTTGGATTTGTATTCCACTCACCAGAGGCTTCCATTGTAATACACAGGGGTAGGCAGGCAGAATGGAAAGAAAAAGAATAATGGTTTCTTAGGAAACTGAACACTACATTTCCTGTGATTACAATCTCAAGGCTAAAGCTCCATGCTCATTACAGGATTTTCTTGACAGCAGTGTGTCCCTGTCAAAAGGTTTTGAAAGAGTTTGAAATTAGGGTTTCTTTGGGTTCCAGGAGGCACTGGCTCAGGACTTTGGCAAAAGACCCTTCATCTGCTGACATTTCTTGAATGGCCTCGTTTAAGCCTAGCCACCTTGCCTCTTGCTCCTGGGACGTGGCTGCCCATAAAAGCAGGGTGAGTGCTCAGTCATTAGCCAGTTGTCAGTGAGTATTCAATGTCGCCAAAGTGCTGGGCTAGGCTTTGTGAGGGACACCAGATCCCAGTTCTTAGAGCTTCCAGTCTAGTTAAAGAAGTAGTACCAGCCGGGCACGGTGGCTCACACCTGTAATCCCGGCCCTTTGGAAGGCCGAGGCAGGTGGATCACGAGGTCAGGAGATCGAGACCATCCTGGCCAACACGGTGAAACCCCATCTCTACTAAAAATACAAAAAATTAGCCAGGCATGGTGGCCAGTGCCTGTAGTCCCAGCTACTCGAGAGGCTGAGGCAGTGCCTAAACTAGAAAAGGAGAAGTATTTCACTGGGCCAACATCGGGGGGTGGTGCTGCAAACACAGTGTCACAGGACTTTGAAGGTGGGAGAGAGCTGTCTTGCTGCATGTAGGTTTTTGGGGATGGGCAAGTAAATGGATAGATAGCCAGTTGAAAGGATGGTAGCATGAACAGGTGGGTGGATAGGTGGGTGGGTGGGTGGGTGGATGCCTGGATGGATGGATGGATGGATGGATGGATGGATGGATGGATGGGTGGGTGGAAGGATGGAAGGATGGCAGCCAGATGGGGCCGAATGGCCGGTTGATGAATGGGTGGGTGGGTGCATGAGTGCAGCAGCATTACACAGTATCTTTGAAGTCAATTAGACAAGAGTTGCTCTTCTGCCATTTACTAGCTACATGACCTCAGGAGATTTAATTAACCCTTTCAAACACAATCGCCTCACTTATAAAATAGGAGTGATAATACTTGCCTTGCAAGCTTGTTGAGAAAATTGAATGTGACAAGGCTTGTGAAGCACCTGGCATGTGGTAGACACATAATAAAGAGGAACTAGTTTTTTTTTTTTTTTTTTTGAGATGGAATCTTACTCTGTAGCCCAAGCTGGTGTGCAGTGGTGCAATCTTGGCTCACTGCAACCCCTGCATACTGAGCTCAAGCATTCTCATGCCTCAGCTTCCCAAGTAGCTGGGACTACAGGCACGTGCCTCCAAATCTGGCTAATTTTTTGTATTTTAATAGAGACGGGGTTTCACCATGTTGCCCAGGGTGGTCTCAAACTCCTGAGCTCGGGCAATCCACCCACCTCAGCCTCCCAAAATGCTGGGATTACAGGCGTGAGCCACAGCGCCTGTCTAAAACTAGGTTTATTAATATGAATAATGATCTAGAAAAGTTTCCAGGTGGACATGGGATTACAGCCAGGCCTGAAGAAAGGACCGGATGGAGATGGATGGAAAAGAGGAAAAGGGCGGTCTCTGACGAAAGGGCAGCACTATGAGAGTGTGTGCCTGGAAAAGCTAGAGTTGCATCTGGTGTCACTGAGGGGGCTCCCAGAGCCACAAGTTTGTGGGGCTGGAAAGGCAGATTGAAGCCTGAGTGTAGAGGACTTGACATGCTTTTCATGTCAAGTCACGAGATTTGGCTTTTCCCTGGAGATTCATGGAGGTTACTGAAGGTTCAGAAGGAAGTAGGAACGTTCCCTCTGGACCCCCTTTCCTCTAAGCCTGACCTTGACAACATCCGGACTTCCTTTGAACTTGGAAGCTCCTGGCTTCTTACAGTATTTATAGTTCCCCTTACCTTTTACAAGAAGCTGTGGACTTCCTGTGCCCAGGACAGCTGCAGGACTCTGGCAGCCAGCACTCTCCTCCCTCCCCAGGGAGCAGCTGAAAGACTGCTGCCTACAGAAACTCTCGGCTGACAGTTAAGAAGCAAGTGATTTTTAAAGATTAGATGATACAAAGGGAAGCAAGTCCCCTTAAACCTCCTTTGTCAAATAAATGCTACCTGTGAATCAGAGGAGCGATCTGCTGTGACTCACCCTTTCACAAGCCTCTGCAGAGAAGGCCGGCTGCCAGCTGATTTTCACGGCATGGTTCCAGGTGACTATGGGATCCCAGGGGCCCTGGGTTCAGGGGAGGGGCTGTGCTTTACCACCAAGCAAACCACACAGGGGGGCTGACACAGGAACCAAGAGGGTGCCTGGAAGGTTTCCTTCCATAGGAGGCAGCAGAGTCAAGGGGAGCGGTTCTGTTTTGCTTTTGGAAAGCAAGAGCATTAGAGCTGAAAAGTGCCTAGAATCCACCTCTTCTTAATGGGAGGTTCCCGGATACTCATCAGGAAGTTTGTAAACTGCAAAATTAGGTGGGTATGTGCATTTTGTGCAAAGAGGGCACATAGTTTTAATCAGATACTCTTGGTTCTAAGATCCTCTCTCTATGTTGTGACACCTAAACTCCTCATTTTGCCCACAGAGCATGATTCAGTGATTTGTTCAAAGCCACACCACCAGTGGATAACAGAGAAGAGAGAGAAAGCAAAGTCATTAGGCCTCTTTCTGCTGCCCTGGCCCCATGAGAGAACCTACAATAAGCAATCTGCTGTGACATTCTGAACATAGCCCCCTAGACAGAAATTAAATGTGTCAAGAAGGACCACTTTGAAAACCTTTGTGCCACCAGCCCCTTCCCTCCTTCCAATTAGCCTACTCCCACCCCATGACCCTACCTACCTATCAAGTCGGCTTCCTGTTAAGAGGACAACATGCTCTAGAGACAAGTATTTGCAGTTGGAGGATCCCTGAAGCTGCCTCTCAAATTCTCAAGCACTTAGGGTGGGAGTCGCTGAGCTACTGGCCTTCTTGGCTGAACATTTCAGGGGAAACAGCAGATTGAGAGTAAGCAAGTAAATGGGAGCACCCTGGAGTTGCTGGAAGTCATTGTTACCTTTTTTTCCCTTTTTTCATTTATGTGGATGGGTAGTTGTCACCTCAAATTGACCTTAGTGTATCTTCAACATAGTTGTAATGTAAGGAACCCACAGTTTGAAGACTAATAACTTGGGTTTGAATCTTAGCTCCATCATTTATTGCTAATTTAACTTTGAGCAAGTTTCTTAAACTTCTATACCTTGGTGTTCCCATGTGTAATTGAGTACTTGGCCTTTGGCAGAGATTGGTAAGTGCCAATTAAAACCAATTCCTGGCCAGGCAGCCAGACTGCTCTTTCTAGCCCAGCCTCCCTTGCAGTTAGACTTGCTGTGTGATTAAATTATCTAGCCAATAGAATGTGGGCAGAGGATGATGTGTCACTTCCAGATCTGGCCCATAAAAATTTTCTGGGTTGGGCAAAGGACATGAACAGACATTTTTCAAAAGAAGACAAAACAAATGGCCAAGAAGCATTTGAAAATGTTCATCACTAATCATAAGGGAAAGGCAAATGAAAACCACAGTGAGATATCATCTTACACCAGTCAGAATGGCTATTATTAAAAAGTCAAATATAGCAAATGTTGGTGAGGATGCAGAGAAATGGAAATGCTTAAACACTGTTGATGAGAATGTAAATTAATATAACCTCATGGAAAACAGTATGGAGACGTCTCAAGGAATGAAAAATAGATCTACCATTTGATCCAGTAATCTCACTACTGGGTATCTACCCAAGGCAAAAGAAATCATTTTACCAAAAAAATTTGTTTATCACAGAACTATGCACCATAGGAAAGTCATGAGTCAAAGTGTTCATCAATGGATGGCTGGACAAAGAAAATGTGGAGTATACATACCATGGAATACTATGCAGCCATAAAAAATAATGAAACCATGTCTTTTGCAAAAACATGGGTGGAATTAGAGGCCATTGTCTTAAGTGAAATAACCCAGAATCAAAAATTTAAATATTGCATGTTCTCATTTAAAAGAGGGAGCTGAATAATGTACAGACATACAGCGTGAAATAGTAGACACTGGAGACTTGGAAGGGTGAGAGGGTGGAAGGAGGGTGAGGAATGAGAAATTTCTTAATGAGTACAATGTAAACTATTCAGGTGATGGCTACACTAAACACCCAGACTCCACTAGGCAATATATCCATGTAACAAAACTGCACCTGTACCTTCTAAATTTATAATAAACAAAACTTTCTGGGTGGTCCTCCGTACTCTCTCTTATTCTATCTGCTGGCTGAGGTTACTTCAGAGGACTCTGAGGCCCTGCGGGATGATGGTGCCATCAGATAAGAGGAGCCTTGGCCTCTCAATCACCATGTGGAAGGCTGCCTTCCAAACACCTCCACTGAACTGTTACTTGAGTAAAAATAAATTTTATTGTGTTAAGATACTGAGAAGTTAGGGTGAGTTTTTTACAGCAGTCAACCTGCCTCATAGGTTGTTATAAGAATTAAATGAAGTCACATATGTGACTGGAACTAGAATAGTGTCTGGAACATACCTGATGAGCTATAACCATGATTGATATTACCGTGATGGATGGATGGATGCATAAATAGATAGATATTGAGAGAAAGAGAGACAAAATTATGTTTAGGGGTTGCAAAGGCAGTTGGCCACAGAGTTTTATTTCTTAGATTATCACCAAGATAATATTAAATTTTACTGTACAGCTGTAAAGTTTGCATTCTGGAGGCAAGAGATGGCATTACAGAAAAATATGTTGAGCCATTTAT
This sequence comes from Homo sapiens, assembly GCF_000001405.40. NCBI lineage: Eukaryota > Metazoa > Chordata > Mammalia > Primates > Hominidae > Homo > Homo sapiens. The sequence continues at coordinate 26,790,736 of NC_000004.12, forward strand.
TAGTACTTTCCTATGTTTCTTGAAGAAAAACAAAAATCTGTCACTTTCCTCAAAGAGATATAGTCTGAATGAGACAGACAACTTAAACATTTTTTTCAGCCAAATGGAGTTTTATGCAAAAATATTTTCACTTTTCTATTCAAATAATTATTAAAATAATTTGCTTATATGGGAAATGATAAGGTGATACTGACATTTATTTATGGTAACTGAGTCTGCCTGTGGGGTAGAGCCTGTTCCAAATGTCGGGTGTCCCTTAAACTCCAAGGTCATCTTTAGCTCTTTTCTTGACAACTACAGTGACCTCCTACTGGTCAACCTGCTCCTAGTTTTCTCTGCATCCTCTCTGTGCACTCCCAAATCCATTCTCCACACTATCCCCAGAACAACTGCTCTAAAACTCTTTGTCACCAGTCTCTTCCCTGCTCCAAACCCTGCATGGCCCTTGGCTGCTTCCCACAGAGAATCTCAGACTTTTCTAGAGAAGAGCCACCATGGTGGAGGAGAATAAACAGCACCATTCATCCTGCAGTCATTGATTCGATTCATTCAAACATTTTTTGAGCACTTGCTATGAGCCAGGGGATACAATGGTGAACAAAATAGACAAAAAGGTCCCTCACAGAGCTGACCTGTGAATGAGCAAGGAGAGTCCAGCTCAGTGAGGCCTTGAGGACCAGCTGGCTTTTCCCTGAAGTGGAAGCCACTAAAGGGTTCCGAGCAGAGGCATGGCATGATCTGATTTATGGATTGAAAGGATCACTCTGCCTGGTAGCTGGACAACAGCCTGAAATGGCAAAGGCAGAAGCCAGGAGACCAGTTGGGAGCCCAACACAGTAATCTTGGCAAGAGATGATGGATGACGGCAACTTGGGCCAGGGTGGCACCAGGGAAAATTCTGGATATATTTGGAACATAAAGCCGAGACAATTTTCTGACTGATTGTAGGGTATAAGAGCAAAAGAAGAATCAATAAAGACTCATGGCTTGAAGCCTAACAATAGATAAGATAGAGCTGCCATTTAGTGAACTGGGACAGGAGCAGTTTTACTGAGGGAAGATGAGTTTCCTTTTTGAGTGTATTAAGTCTGAGATGCATATTAGACATCCAAGTGGGGATGTCAGGTATGCAGTTGGATCAGGGGAAAGGTCCAAGCTGGGGCTATCAATTTGGAAGTTGTCAGCCTATAGATGATATTTAAAGCTGTGAGACTGGCTAAGATCACAGATCAGAGCATGTGGATGGACAGAGCAGCCATCAGAGGGGACCCTCATACTAGGTGGTCTGGGAATTCAGAAGAACCAGCAAAGGAGGCTGAAAAGAGGTGACCACTGTGAGACAAGACCTAGCAGAATGTAATGTCCTGGAAGTCAATGAAGAGTATTCCAGAAGAGGTTTATGCATTTTTTTTTCTATGCTAAGAATAAACTCTTTTTTTTTTTATCCTGGTTGTTGTGTGTAACGTAATTAGTTCATTTCCATTGTTGTATAATATTCCAGTATATGAATAAACCATACTTATTATTAAAAAAAAGAAGAGGTTTATACATTCTGTCAGTTTCTGCTGCTGAACAGTGAGCTGAGGGCAGATAACAGCATTAGATTTGGCAACGTGGAAACTACTAGGGACTTAACAGAAGTGAAATTGGAGCAAAAGACTGATTGGGTGGATTCAAGAAAGAATAGGATGAGAAGAAATGGCAATGGCAAATTTAGACACCACTTTTTGAGTGAGTTTTGCTATAAAGGAATCTGATGAAACAGGCCCAGCTGGAGGCGAATATGGGGTCAGGAAAAGGCCTTAAGGTGGGAAAAGTATATCTTAATTGTATATCACCAGAACATCTGGGATGCATTGGCTGAAGCAACCTGCGTAAGCATACGATTTCTTTGAAGTCTTAAAGATGCACTTGAATTTTTCCTTTTATTCTGAACAATAATCTGTTTTAATTTATAAGTACTCTATTCTCTCCAAGTCCTTGAGTACAATGGATCCCCCAGAAGAAACATACTGTATTTGTCCTATTTCCCTGCAGTACTGCAAAGGCTATGCATACACTAGTCTGAGAAGCTGGGTTCCAGCCAGGCCTTCCAGGCCTCTGCTCCTGAGCACAGCTCCTTCCTGTCCTCCTTCCTCTACCCTGGCCAGGCTGGGCTCTTTGCAGCCTTCCTGTTTTTCCAGGAAAATGGGCCTATTAAGGATGTGGTTCTGTAACCAAAAAATTAAGCAATTCTGCCTTTCTCCCAAGTCAAAAGTTCAAACTGCATCCAGCTTTTAATTAAAAGTTACTTTTTCCCCCCTGATATTCTTAAATAAATACCAACATCTAACAGACAACCAGAAGACTTGGAGGACCAAGTAATGTGGAAGTTGCAGTGCTGAAGAGGCCAAGGGATGGGCACTTCCAAGAAGGAGGAAGTCAGGAACAGTGAGGGATGCACCTGGGAAAGCCAGAGAGGTACGACCTGAAATGTCTGGGGTGACTAGTCCTTCTCGGCCAGGAGACCCGCTTCTCATGGAAAATGGCACCAGGTGGTCTGTGTCAGTCAAAATTCATCCTACGGTGTGTGATACAAACCAAATTCAAACTCACTGAACAAAAGTGGGAGTTTATTTGCCCACATAACTAGAATGTTCAAAGGGATCAAATCAGCTCCAGACATGACAACCAATGGTACAGTTGATGTCATTAAGAATCCATCTCTGGCTGGGCACAGTGGCTCATGCCTGTAATCTCAGCACTTTGGAAGGCCAAGGCGGGCAGATCACTTGATGTCAGGAGTTCGAGACCAGCCTGGCCAACATGGAAACTCCGTCTCTACTAATAGTACAAAAATTAGCTGGGCATGGTGACGAGTGCCTGTAATCCCAGCTACTCAGGAGGCTGAGGTGGGGGAATCGCTTGAAACCAGGAAGTGGAGGTTGCAGTGAGCAGAGATCGCACCACTGCACTCCAGCCTGGGAGACAGAGTGGGACTTCGTCTCAAAAAAAAAAAAAAAAAAAAAAATAGAATCCATCTCTTTCTCTCCTGTTCTATGTTGACTTTATTCTCAGACTTCATTCTCAGACTGGTTCTAATGGCAACAAAGATAGCCTCTGACAGTTCCGGATCAACTTACTTCTTAGTACTTGAAACCTCTGAAGAACAGAGGGACCATCTTTCCAATAGTTCTAGCAAATGCTGGGAAGAGATTTGATTGGTCCATCTTGGGTCATGTGACCATTGGCTGATCCCAGACAGATACAGAACCCTGATTAGCTAGTCTTGAGTTACAGGCCTGTACTTGGAGCTTGGAGGTGGGATCACGTAGACTGAGGATGAAGGAGAACATGTTCCCAAAAGGAGATTGATGTTCAGTTGCCAAAAACAAGGAAGATGCATATTATAGGAGCAAAAAGAAATATTGATATCTGTTCTATCCTACTAATCCCAATTTACTTTTAAAGAAAAAAATTCTTATTTTAGCCAAGAATTGCTGTTATTTATATTTTCAGGTTTATTTCATTAATTCTTTCAAACTTGAAATTAAATTTTTTAAAAGTAAGAAAATAAGCCAGGAGAAATTATAAGGTGAAATTAGTAAGACAAAATCAAACATTACTGAAATATAAACCAATAAAAATAATGAAAGAATAAATGAAAATAAACTATTTGAAAAGATAAATAGATTAAATGAACTTCATCAAGGGTAAAAGAGGGTAAAAACATGTAAGTTTAAAAATAAAAAAGGAGGTACAACCATGTTACAGAAGAAATTAAAAGTCATAAATCGATACAAAGTGAAAACAAAAAAGTATGATCTTTTAAACAATATACAAAATATCAAAATTAATCAGAAAAGAACTGGGAAATTTTTTAAAAAACATTAATTGCCATAGAGAATATGGAAAAGGTGACTTTAAAACTAACATTGAAACAGACAGTAATACCAGATGGTGTCATAGCTGAGTTTTAACTTTTACAAACAGATAGTTAAAATGCTACTTAAATAATTCTAGGCCATAGAAAATTTTTTTAAAGTTCTGTAATTCAGTAGTAAAAGAAAAAAACAGCAGATTAATTAAATATAACTGCAAAAATAAAAAATCAGCCAATCAGTCAGAAAATTGTCTTGGCTTTGCATTCCAAATATATCCAGAATGTTCCCTGGTGTGAACCTGGCCCAAGTTGCCATCATCCACCATCTCTTGTCAAGATTACTGTGTTGGGCTCCTGACCGGTCTCCTGGCTTCTGCCTTTGCCACTTTAGGCTGTTCTCCAGCTACCAGCCAGAGTGATCCTTTCAATCCGTAAGTCAGATCATGCCATGCCTCTGTTCAGAAACTTCCAGTGGCTTCCACCTCAGGAAAATGCCAAACTCCATATGCTGGTCCCCAAGGCCTCACTTATCTGGACTCACCTTACTCGTTCCAGCTCAGCCACACTGGACTTCTTGCTACCCTCACACAGGCAGGCTTGCCCTTGACCAGATTTCCTCGTCCTGGAATGCACCTCCCAGCTCTACAAAGGCTCTGCTCCCTCACCTTCTCTTGGCTTAAATGTCACTTTCCAGGGAGCCCTTTCCTGATCACCTTATTTAAAATGGCATCCCCCTACTCCAACTTGTGGTAGCTACTATTACAATTCCCTGATTCATTTTTTCCTTATATTGATCACCATTTAATGCACCATGATTTAACTTATTTACTCACTTACTGTCTATCTGCCTTCACTCTAACGTAAGCTCTGTGAGGGACCTTTTTGCCTGTTTTGTTCACCATCGTATCCCCTGGCTCATAGCAGGTGCTCAAAAAATGTTTGAATGAATTGAATCAATGATTACAGGATGATTGGTGCTGTTTATTCTCCTCCACCATGATGGCTCTTCTCTAGGAAAGTCTGAGTACCTGAGGAAGTCCTGGGCACAGAGGGATGACTGTCATTTAAAACTTGATCCTCTCAAAATTCAGATATAAGTTTGATGTGATTACTCTTCTAATGCCAATAGTGTTGGGAAGGTGAAAACTGAATAAAATTATCTTGGAAGTTATGTGGAAAAGTCAATGCCTAAGATAGCTAAGAGAAAATAGGTAAATTTTTAATATAAAATTAAAATTAAGTTACAGAAACATACAGTGAATATTTTTCTTCTGTCTTTGTCCCACATCTGCCCAGTTCCATCTTACCCCCCACCATATGTATCCCTCCAGAATTTCTTTATACATAGACAAGCAGATATGAGTACAAAAATCTTTTCTCCATTGTTTTTTACACAAATGTTAATACTGTACACATTGAATCTTGCTTCTGCTTAATATGCCTCTAAGGTATTTGTAGTACAAAAAGAGCTTTCTTGTCCTTTATTATACAGCAGCCTCATGTCTCCATCATATGAATATACTATAATTTGACGAGTCCCCTAGGACATGGTTTCTAACATTTTGTTACGAAAAGCAATGTTCCAAAATATGTACTTTTTCTTCTTAATGAAAAAATATATATAGAATAAGCTTCCAAAAGTAGAACTGCTGGGAATATGCATTTGAAATTTGGCCAAATTGCCCAGGGCTTATGCTCTTACCAGCAATGTGAGAGTGTGTTCACCCAAAACTCGTCAACACAGTATGTCACTAAACTTTTGGATTGCTGCTGATATAAGAGGTGAAAAATGACATCTTAGCATAGTTTTCATCTGTACTTCTTATCAGGAGTGAGGGTATCTTTTAAGAATAATGTGTATTTTTTTTCCCAAAAACTCTTTATGTTCTTTGCTCATATTTCTATTAAGTTGAAGGATAGACAAAAGACTCAATGGGAAAAAATAGAGAATCCTACCCAGGAGTGGTGGTTCATGCCTGTAATGTCAGCACTTTGGGAGGCTGAGGCAGGATGATCACCTGAGCCTAGGAGACCAAGGCTGCAGTGAGTGATGACTACACCACTGCACTCCAGCCTGGGCAACAGAGCAAGACTGCCTCAAAAATAATGAAAATAAAAGTAAACATTTAAAAAGAAAATAGAGAATCCTGAACAGATGTAATAATATATTTATGTTTCAAATAGGATGAAAATGATTTTTCATGTCTAGAAAAGGCAAATTTACAGACACAGAAAGCATATCTGAGATTACCTAGGCTGGAAGGTAAACAGGTAAACTTTTGGAGGTTATAGAAATGTTCTAAAATTGAATTGCAATGATGGTTGTAAAACTATCAACTTCTTACTAAAATCACTTAACAAAAGTTAAATTTTATGGTATATAAATTATACCTCAAAAAAGCTATTTTTAAAAAATTATTTTTGGAAGTCATAGAGCAATCAGGCAAGAGAAAGAAATAAAAGGCATCCAAATTGGAAAAGAACAAGTGAAATTATCTCTGTTCACCGATGACATGATTGTATACCTAGAAAACTCTAAAGGCTCCTCTGAAAGATTCCTACACTTGATAATCAACTTCAGTAATGTTTCAGGATAAAAAATCAACATATGGAAATCAGCAGCATTTCTATATATCAATAATATTCAAGCTGAGAACCAAATCAATAACTCAATCCAAAAAAAAGAACTCAATCCCCGCAGTGGCCACAAAAGAATAAAATAGGAATACATTTAACCAAAGAAGTAAAAGATCTCTACAAGGACAACTACAAAACACTGATGAAAGAAATTGTAGATGATATAAACAAGTGGAAAAACATCCCATGCTCATGGATTGGAATAATTTATATCATTAAAATGACTATACTGCCCAAGGCAATCTACAGATTCAATGCGATCCCTATTAAATTACCAACATCATTTTTAACAGAATTAGAAGAAAACAATCCTAAAGTTCATAGGGAACCAAAAAAGAGCCCGAATAGCCAAAGTAATCCTAAGCAAAAAGAACAAATTTAGAGGCATCACACTGCCTGACTTCAAATTATGCTACCAAACTATAGTAACTGAAACAGCATGGTGCTGCTACAAAATTAGACACATAGGTTAATGGAATAGGACAGAGAACCCAGAAATAAAGCCACATACCTACATGTAACTGATCCTTAACAAAGTCAACAAAAATAAACAACAGAGAAAGGACATCCCAGTCAATGAGTGGTGCTGGGAAAACTAGCTCGACATATGCAGAAGAATGAACCTGGATCCCTATCTCTCACCATATATAAAAATTAACTCAAGGTATATTAAAGACTTAAGTATAAGACCTGAAACTATAAAAATCCTAGAAGAAAACTTAGGGAAAACTCTTCTGGACATTGGCCTAGGCAAAGAATTTATGCTGAAGACCTTAAAAGCAAATGCAACAAAAATAAAAATAGTCAAATGGGACTTAATTGAACTAAAATGCTTTTGCATAACAAAATAAATAATCAGCAGAGTAAACAGACAACCTATAGAATGGGAAAAGTATTTGCAAATTATGCCTCTGACAAAGGACTAATATCCAGAATCTACAAGGAACTCAAACAACTCAACAAGAAAAAGACAAACAACCCCATTAAAAATGGCAATCCTAGCCATGTCTACAGGAGCAGACATTTCTCAAAAGAAGAAATACAAGCAGTCAACAAACACATGAAAAAATGCTCATCACTAATTATCAGAGAAATGCAAATTAAGACCACAATCAGATACCATCTTACACCAGTCAGAATGGCTATTATTAAAAAGTCAAAAGCAACAGATGTTGGTATGGATGTGGAGAAAAGGGAATGCTTATACACTGATGATGGGAATGTAAATTAGTTCAATCCCTATGGAAAATGGTATGGAGATTTCTCAAAGAACTAAAAACAGAACTACCAGTTCAACCCAGCAGTCTCACTAGCAGTGAGACTAAGGAAAAGAAAACACATTATAAAAAAGTCACCCGCATTCATATGTTCATTGCAGCACTATTCAAGTCATGGAACCAACCTAAGTGTCCATCAACAGTTGATGGGATAAAGAAATATATACCATGGAATACTAGATAGCCATAAAAAATGAAATCATGTCTTTTGCAGCAACATGGATGGAGCTGAAGGCCATTATCCTAAGTGAACTAACTCAGAAAAAGAAAACCAAATACTGCACATTCTCACTTATAAGTGGGAGCTAAACAATGGATTCATATAAACACAAAGATGGAAATAATAGACACTGGGGATTCAAAAATGGGAGAGGGTAGAAGGGGGGATGAGGGTTGAAAAAAAACTTATCTGGTACAATGTTCACTATTTAGGTAAGGGATACACTAGAAGCCCAATTCCTACTAGTATGCAATATGCCAGCTAACAAACATGCACATATAACCCCTGAATCTAAAATGAAATAAAAATAAAGAGGAAAAATGATATTTTTAATCCCATGAGGAGGAATTAGGTATTAAGTAGAGATGCTAGAATGATTATCCAGTCAGAAGAAAGTTAAAATGGACCTTTCCAGCCTGGAGAACATAAAGAGATACCCCATCTCTACAAAAAATAAAATAAAATTAACTGGGTGTGGTATTGGGGCCTATAGTCCCAGCTACTGAAGAGGCTGAGATGGGAGGATCATTTGAGCCTGGGAGGTTGAGGTTGCAGTGATCAAGCCACTGTACTCCAGCCTGGGTGATGAAGCAAGACCCTGTCTCAAAGAGGAAAAAAACAAACAAACAAACAAAAAACTAAGGTGGGTGAGAGCTTTTTAATTAAGGTTGGAAACTCAGAAGCTATAAAAGGACAGATACACATATTTGACCAGATAAATATGAAAAACTTTTGTTTGGAAAAGATACCAGAAGCTAAGTCCTACGATCTGAATTTTAAGTGTCCCCCCAAAATTAATATGTCAAAACCTAATCCTCAAGGTGATAGTATTAAGAGGTGAGGCCTTTGGGAGGTGATCAGGTTATAAGAGCTCTGCCCTCATGAATGGGATTAGTGCCTTTATAAAAGAGGCTTGAGGGAGCTTGTTCATCACTTCTGCCATGTGAGGACACAGAAGGTGTCATCTATGAGGAATAGGCCCTCACCAAACACCAAAACTGCTGGCATCTTAGTTTTGCACTTTCCAGCCTCCAGAATTGTGAGCAATAAATTCCTGTTGTTTATACATTACCCACTCTAAAATGTTTTATTGTAGGAGCCCAACCGGAATAAGATGCTAAGGCAATAGGTAAACACTAGCTTGGGGAGCAGGGGAAGACTGTCAACTCAGAGATCAGATAGAGGGTGAATAGCTATAATATACAGAGAATTCTTTTTTTTAAAAAACTGTGTATAGATTTAATTGCCTGTTGGACATTTACATTTCTTTTTTTAAATTTTATTATTATCATACTTTAAGTTTTAGGGTACATGTGCACAATGTGCAGGTTTGTTACATATGTAAACATGTGCCATGTTGGTGTGCTGCACCCATTGACTCGTCATTTAGCATTAGGTATATCTCCTAATGCTATCCCTCCCCGTCTCCCCACCCCACAACAGTCCCTGGTGTGTGATGTTCTCCTTCCTGTGTCCATGTGTTCTCATTGTTCAATTCCCACCTATGAGTGAGAACATGCAGTGTTTGGTTTTTTGTCCTTGCGATAGTTTGCTGAGAATGACGGTTTCCAGTTTCATCCATATCCCTACAAAGGACATGAACTCATCATTTTTTATGGCTGCATAGTATTCCATGGTACATATGTGCTACATTTTCTTAATCCAGTCTATCGTTGTTGGACATTTGGGTTGGCTCCAAGTCTTTGCTATTGTGAATAGTGCCGCAATAAACATACGTGTGCATGTGTCTTTATAGCAGCATGATTTATAATCCTTTGGGTATATACCCAGTAATGGGATGGCTGGGTCAAATGGTATTTCTAGTTCTAGATCCCTGAGGAATCGCCACACTGACTTCCGCAATGGTTGAACTAGTTTACAGTCCCACCAACAGTGTAAAAGTGTTCCTATTTCTCCACATCCTCTCCAGCACCTGTTGTTTCCTGACTTTTTAATGATCCTCATTCTAACTGGTGTGAGATGGTATCTCATTGTGGTTTTGATTTGCATTTCTCTGTTTGCCAGTGATGATGAGCATTTTTTTCATGTGTTTTTTGGCTGCCTAAATATCTTCTTTTGAGAAGTGTCTGTTCATATCCTTCGCCCACTTTTTGATGGGGTCATTTGTTTTCCTCTTGTAAATTTGTTTGAGTTCATTGTAGATTCTGGATATTAGCCCTTTGTCAGATGAGTAGAATGCAAAAAATTTCTCCCATTCTGTAGGTTGCCTATTCACTCTGATGGTAGTTTCTTTTGCTGTGCAGAAGCTCTTTAGTTTAATTAGATCCCATTTGTCAATTTTGGCTTTTGTTGCCATTGCTTTTGGTGTTTTAGACATGAAGCCCTTGCCCATGCCTATGTCCTGAATGGCATTGCCTAGGTTTTCTTCTAGGGTTTTTATGGTTTTAGGACTAACATGTAAGTCTTTAATCCATCTTGAATTAATTTTAGTGTAAGGTGTAAGGAAGGGATCCAGTTTCAGCTTTCTACATATGGCTAGCCAGTTTTCCCAGTACCATTTATTAAATAGGAAATCCTTTCCCCATTTCTTCTTTTTGTCAGGTTTGTCAAAGATCAGATAGTTGTAGATATGCGGCATTATTTCTGAGGGTTCTGTTCTGTTCCATTGGTCTATATCTCTGTTTTGGTACCAGTACCATGCTGTTGTGGTTACTGTAGCCTTGTAGTATAGTTTGAAGTCAGGTAGCATGATGCCTCCAGCTTTGTTCTTTTGGCTTAGGATTGACTTGGTGATGCGGGCTCTTTTTTGGTTCCATATGAACTTTGAAGTAGTCTTTCCCAATTCTGTGAAGAAAGTCATTGGTAGCTTGATGGGGATGGTATTGAATCTATAAATCACCTTGGGCAGTATGGCCATTTTCACAATATTGATTCTTCCTACCCATGAGCATGGAATGTTCTTCCATTTGTTTGTATCCTCTTTTATTTCATTGAACAGTGGTTTGTAGTTCTCCTTCAAAACAAACAAGACAGGGATAAGTACCAAGACAGAAAAGTGGTACTTTTCTGGACGTGAAAAGGCAATTCACAAAAAAATCCATGTGACCAACGCATATGTGAAAAGAGGTTCAAATTCATGTGCAATCAGGGAGCTACCAAGTAAAGTTACAATGAGACAAGAATTTACTCTGATCAGGTGAAAAAATGAGAGAGATTGATAATCTTTACTGCTAAAGAGAATGTGGGGACTTTAGTACATTTGTGATTGGAAATACAGTATTATTATACTGTATTGGAAAGACTGTATTAATGCAGTCTTTTTGGAAAGAAATCTGGGCCACATTTGTTATGATTAAAATATATACACCTTTATCCAGAAGTCACACTCCTGAAAATCCATCCCATAGGAACAAAAGCTTCAAAACCAAAAAGCTTAGATACACAGAAGTATACTACCTTGTAAACAGGCAAAAAACAAACAAACAAAACAAAAAACAGGAAACAAAGTGAGTATCATCTACATGGGAATAGCTGAAGAAATTATAATAGAACTGCACCAGAGTTATATGTGGCCATTTAAAAGTATAAATTGAACCTGAACCAGGTGAATTAAGAGTGATTTCCTTGGCCCAGCATGGTGACTGGCACTTGTAATCCCAGCACTTTGGGAGGCCGAGGCGGGCAGATAACTTGAAGTCAGGAGTTTGAGACCAGCCTGGGCAACATGGTGAAACCCCATCTCTACTAAAAATACAAAAAATTAGCTGGGTGTGGTGGCAGGTGCCTGTAATCCCAACTACTTGAGAGTCTGAGGCACAAGAGTTGCTTGAACCTGGGAGGCGGAGGTTGCAGTGAGCCAAGATCTCACCACTGCACTCCAGCCTGGGCAACAGAGCAAGACCCTGTGTCAAAAACAAACAAACAAAAACAAAAGTGGCTCCATTAGGTGCTAGAGGAATAAAGCAAGATACAGAAAAAAATATATGAAATAATGGCATATACTTTATATATGTATCTGTAAAGATGCACATTGATGTTTACAGGTGATCATATTAACACGGAGAAAAATTATTAGAATGATAATGTATTAGCTCAAACTGCTATAACAAAATACCATAGACTGGGTGGCTTAAATAACAGATACTTATTCCCCACAGTTCTAAAAACTGGAAGTCCAAGATCAAGGTGCCAGCTGATTAGGTTCTGGCGAGGCCTCTTTTCCTGGCTTGCAGGTAGCTGCCTTCTCACTGTATCCTCATGCGGTGGAGGCATGAAGCTCTAGTGTCGGTTCATCTGATAAGGACGCTAATCCCATTTATGAAGGCTCTAGCCTCATGATTTCATTTTCTCCTAAAGGCTCCACCTCTTAATACCATCACATTGGAGGTTAGGGCTTCAACATATGAATTTGAGGGGAACGCATGCCATCCCTAACAGTGCAGTACTCACTTCTCTATGCAGATTTCCTGGGTGCCAAGGATGCATTGGGGGTACTACAGAATAACTGAAAGGGAAAAGGAAGAAAAAAATAAATAAACCAATACTTTTATGAAGAGATTTCAGTGCACCTGACAAATAGCTGTTACATGGAAGATTTCTCACTGTTTTCAAAATGGAGAAATGCAGGCTCCGGGAGGATTATTTCCTGAGCCAGGGCCCCACAACAAGGCAATTACTGAACCATAAATACCACCCAAGTCTCCTGACTTTCCCATGGCTTGAATCGGAACCATTCCCAGATAAATATAACTAAATCATCAGCGTAAAATCGATGAGCACAAACATATAAATGACAAAGGCTTGGCTTCACAGACTGGAACTGGCCCTGTGACTAGAGTTCTCAAGTGTCACTTCGCTGAGCAGAATGGAGGTGGCTGCCTCCCTGCATTTCAGAGAGAAACAGAACAAATGAGAGTGGCTGGAGCCACATGAATCAGCCCTGAGGTCGCGCTGCCAGTTGTCTCATGCCCATTTGTGGCAAACGGTGCATTTGGAGGGATTAACAGGGAGTAGGAGTGAGTGAACAGATGCAACAGATTAGAGAGGAAATCTGTTCCTGGGTGGCTCCTGGCAAGCTGGTGGGGTTTCTGGCAGAACAAGGAGGGGAGAGGACGGCTGGGGAAAGGAGAGGAAAATGTCTCTTTTGCATTTTTGATTTTGCAGGGCCTTCTGAACAAGAATCTTTACTGCTGGTATATCTTGGTAAACTGCAGCAAAGAGAAGGGGACGGGGGAGGGGGCATGGAGGTAGGAAAGAGGGAATTTTCTGGAAATGAAATGGGATTCAATAGGCAGGCAAACTCAGCAGTCTCCCTTCCTCACTCAGACAATTTGTCTCTCAAGGATCCAGGGACCTAACTCCTTAAAAATAAAGAAAACAAAACAAAACAGAAACAGAAACAAAAAAAAAAAGCCGCTGAGTCTGTGTTTTTCTTTTAAATTTTTATTTAATCATTTATTTATTTATTTATTGAGATGGAGTCTCGCTCTGTCCCCCAGGCAGGAGTGCAACGGTGGGATCTTGGCTCACTGCAACCTCTGCCTCCCCGGTTCTAGCTATCCTCCTGCCTCAGCCTCCCGAGTAGCTGGGATCACAGGCGCCCACCACCACATCCGGCTAATTTTTGTGTTTTTAGTAGAGACGGGGTTTCACCACATTGGCCAGGTTGGTCTTGAACTGCTGACCTCAGTTGATCCACTGGCTTCGGCCTCCCAAAGTGCTGGGATTACAGGCGTGAGCCACACGTGCGCTGCCCTGTCTGTGTTATTTAAAAGCTGGAAGCTTGGTAATGGTGACCGTGGGCCTGAAGTCAGTCTGGGACGTGGCCCCTCGCTAGCCTTTCACCTGGAGGGAGCCAGTAGGACCGCGGCTAAATGAAAAGGTCAAAGAGCCCAGAAGCGAAAGAGGTCCTCACGCCGCAGGCCCAGACCCCACCGGGCGCAGCCCAGGACGGCGCAGCGCAGGCCCGGCGGGCGGGAGCAGCCGCGGAGGCGGCGGGCCCGGGTTTGCCAGGACTCCCTAGAGCTGCTCTGTTCGCAGGTGTCAGTGATTTGAGCGCTGTGTGCGATAAATGGAGCTCTCCAATAAACGGGAAGCGGCAGACACAGTCCAGAAGGCAAGATTTATTTTTATTTAGAAAGGTTGAAGAGGGAAAATTTAAATTCGATTTAAACATTTACTCAAAGAGGAGATGGGCAGACAGCTGAGATATTGGAACCGAGACTCAGGAGCAAGCGGAACATGGCTTTTCTGAAGTCAGCCCCAGACAATAAAGAAATCTCCGGATGGAAAGGAAGCAGCGTGAAGATTCAGGAGATGCCTGGAATCCGCTTAGGGTTTGAGATCACGTGGCTCAGCTCCTCTTCCCACGGATGCTGGAACTTGCTGTGAGACTTTGAGCAAATTACCCAGCTGCCCTGAGCCTTCGTGTGTTCAGCTGCAACATGGGTGGGGACATGGATCTAGCTCGCAGAATTCTTATGAGATTAAAAAAGTCCATAAAGGAAGTGCTTAGTAAAAGTAAGCTGTTGCTACATCATTCTAGGTCTGTTGAAACTACGGATTCCTGGACCCTCGTATGTTAAGCTTCAGTCTGGGATGAGGCCCAGGAATCTGTATTTTGAATATGCTCTCCAGGGGTTTCTACTGGGCAGCCAGCTTTGGGAACCCCAGCCCCTGCCATGGGTACCAGCAGGATTCTCAGCCACAGCGTCCTCATCCGGATTCAGTCCCGCAGCTTCAAGGACCACTGGGTGCCTAACAGTCTTAGTCCTTGACTTAGTCCTTCCTCAGGCCGTGCCTCTTGCCCCACCCCATCCTTCCCATCTTCTTCAGGGTATCCTCAGTCCTCAGTCACTCAGGCCTAACGTGAGTGCTTTCTCGTTCCCTTTCACCCTTCACATCCATCAGCAAGTCCTGCTAGGGATAACCCAGACCCCATCTGGGCTCCCCACCTCCACCCTTACCTACAGTTGTCCATTCTCCATTCCCAGCCAGAGAGACTTGTGTAAAGAACAAATCAGGCCGGGCACAGTGGCTCACACCTGTAATCCCAGCACTTTGGGAGGCTTAGGTGGGTGGATCATCTGAAGTCAGGAGTTCGAGACCAGCCTGGCCAACATGGTGAAACCCTGTCTCTACTAAAAATACAAAAATTAAATTAGCCAGGAGTGCTGGCGTGCAGGAAAATCGGTTGAACCTGGGAGGTGGTTGAGGTTGCAGTGAGCCGAGATCGCACTATTGCCCTCCAGCCTGGATGACAGAGTGAGACTTGGTCTCAAAAAAAAAGGGAAAGAAAAAGTATCAGACCCAGATTCCTCACCACGGCCTCAGAGGCCCTGCTTCTCTAACCTCACCCCACTCTGCTGCCTGGCACTGGCTCCAGCCACAGGTGCCTCCTTCATCTCCCTATGCCTGCTAAACTTGAGCCTGACTCAAGCTTGCCAAGCTTGGCATGGCTTTTGCCTCTGTCTGGAACACTTGCCTACCCCATCCGCCCTCCAGCCTTCCTATAGTTGCTGTTTTCTCCTGATCCAAGTCTCTACTCCAGTGCCACTTCCTCAGAAGAGCCTGCCCTGACTTCCACAGGCAGGGAGACCAGGCCTGTGACCTGTGGCAAGTACTCATCCTCCCTGGAACTCAGCCTCCTCATCTGTAAAATGGGGATAATAGTACTACATACCTCTAGGGTTGCTATGAGGATCATGAGTTTAAATGTACACTGAATAGTGCCAGGCACTTAGTAAAAGTTCAATCAATGTCAGATATTAGCTCATGCTAATCTCATGGAATTACAGTGACTCACTATGTGTCTGCCTCCTCAGTAACTGTCAGATTGTGGGGTCTTACTCATCTTCACATCCAGGCCAGCTGTCAGGGTGCCTGGCATGAAGAAGTCACCTGTACTGGGTTGAATAGTGTCCTCCCACCAGCCCTCTGCCAAATTCATGTCCACACAGAACCTTAGAATGTGACCTTATTTGGAAATAGAGTCTTTGCAGACACAATTAGTTAAGGTGAGGTAATACTCCATTAGAGTAGGCCCTAAAACCAATGACTGGTGTCCTTGCAAGAAGCCATGTGAAGACACAGAGACTGAGACACAGAGGGAAGAAACTCGTCTGACGGCAGAGGCAAGATTGAAGTTAGTAACTGCAAGCTGAGGAATGCCAAAGATGGCTGGTAAATGCCAGAAGCTAGGAAGAGGCAAGGAAGGGTCGTCTCCTAGAGCCTCAGAGGGAGGCTGGTCCTGCAACCGTGAGGGAATAAATGTCAGAAGGTTTAAGCCGCCTAGTTGTTACCACAGTCCTAGGAAACTAATATAACACTCAATCACTGGTGAGAGAGTGAGTGAGTGAATAAATTGAAGACACCCCCTTCCCACGGCACTCTCTGACTCCCATGAAAAGGCAAGAGCTCTCCCTGTCCTTTCCCCTGTAGCATCACTACGGAGTGTGTTAGGGGTGTCGGCAACCTTCATTCTCTCAGGAGACGCAGCAGGGATCCAGAGTCCCCCATCCTCAACTTAGAAGTGAGGAGACCGGTATCCGACCTGACTCAGCCAAGGTAAGCCCAACAGAACCTGAGCCTCCATAGCCGCCACCCGCAACAAGACAATGTCCTCTGTCCAAGGAGGGAAGAAGGCCTTTCACAATGAAAGCCGTTGAAACCCATCCACTGGTTGGATAGTTCTGAGTGTCCCCCACGGGCCAGGTGCTGGGCCTGACACTGAGCCCCACAGCCCTTTCCTGCCCTCTCTAGGGAAATCTCTCACTTCCTCTCCCAAATGGTGGTTATTTATATAGATCGAGCTGCTTCATTTTCCCAAGGGGCTCATTTGGCAAAGACAAAAATGGCTCAGAGGAACCACAGACCAAAATATATTTCCTACTAGAACCGCCCACCCCTCAGTGTGCCACTTGCTTGGCGAGTTCATCTCTCCCATCTGCATGTGGCATTATCAGTTTGCCCAGGCACGAAAGCACCCAGCCCCCGTAGGTCTCTCTCTAGGTCCTGGATTCTTGGCCTTTTAAGGTCACCCCCTACATTCTCTAGGCCAGGCCATGGGTTGAAGACATACTTATTTACAGAACATATCAGGTTGATAGGACAATGCAGACATAATCATTACAGTTGATCTTACTGAGGTACCTATGCTATGCGAGGCACCATTAACTTCAATGTTTATTACAAGGGTAATGACTATTATGGGTAAGGAGTGTTATGAGCTCTAATTTAGTGACAGGGAAACTGAGGCACGGGAGATGGAATGAAGCGAGGTTACCTAGTGAAAAAGTGATAAGTCACAAGCCAGAGGCTGATGCCAGGCAGTCTAGCTCCAGAGCCCCGGCTCCCAGCCACTGCTGACTGCAAAGCTGAAGGGTACATTTTTGCAAGAGACATCGTCATGCCGTCATTGAGGACCCAAAAAATGATTCCTCTGAGTGCATTTATGCTTGTTGTGTTTCTAAAAATAACAAGCATGGGTTTTCTTAGCCATAATCCATTAGCAACCTTTATTGAAGCAGAAGAATATGGAATGTGGAGTCAGATGATACTATCCATCTGCAAAGTGATGACGTACACAAGTTCCCTGGCACGTAGTAGGCATCTAATGATTCTAGTTCTGTGAGTCTCCCTCTGCGTAAGTAGATTTTACATAGAACTGCACAGTTATGGAGCTAAGATATTCCCACTTTAGGTCACCTCTAAGATGACACATTAAATCAAATCATTATTATATTAAGAAATTTGAAGCTGGCTGGGCGCGGTGGCTCACGCCTGTAATCCCAGCACTTTGGAGGCCAAGGTGGGTGGATCACAAGGTCAGGAGATTGAGACCATCCTGAACAGGGTGAAACCCCTTCTCTACTAAAATACAAAAAAAATTAGCCAGGCGTGATGGCAGGCACCTGTAGTCCCAGCTACTCGGGAGGCTGAGGCAGGAGAATAGCTTGAACCCGGGAGGTGGAGGTTGCAGTGAGCCGAGATCGTGCCACTGCACTCCAGCCTGGCGACAGAGCAAGACTCTGTCTCAAAAAAAAAAAAAAAAAAAGAAAAAGAAAAAGAAATTTGTAGCTAAGAGGGACCTCTAGAAATCATGGCTTTGGTAACTGACTCCAAGTACCAACTAAGCTATTTCAAAGATGTCATAGTAAAGATGAATAATGTGGTCATTGCTGAGCAGCATTGACTTGCTGTTTCTTGGGAAGACATGATGTAAGAAAGAGAACGCTGGACTCTGAATCCAAAGATAAGATTTGAACTCTTGGCTCAAACAGAGGGTGGATATTAGCACCTGCTCTGCCCAGCTGATCAATTATTTTGTGGCAAAAGGAATACAGGGTCAGTGAAAAGTGATTGTAAATGGTAAGGTGCTCACAAATAAAAGACATTGTTGGGTAAAGTTGTGCTTTGCCATGAAGTGATGAGTTTTCTGGCAGTGTAGAAGCTGGTCTGAATAGGGTAGGTGAAAAGCTACTCTGCTGTGAGAAGGGCATGTTGGGTCTTCTCCATCTGCCCCTCCAGGTGAGCTCTCCACTTCTCTCCCTGCTCTGTGCCCTGCAGACGCTTCTCTCAGGACAGACCATGTTGCTAGGGCTTCCTTGGCCTCTGTTTTTCAGTTCCTATGGCTGAGGGACTGGACAAGAGAGGGGACACTGTTTCTGCCTTCGGTTCCTGCCAACAAGCTGTAATTTGGCAGGGCTGCAGTTTTCTACCTAAGACCACACTCCTATTGGGCAGGAGAAAGAGGTTGTTGGGAAACCTCTTTCCCTTTTTCCCTCAACTTCCCTCAAAAATGTTCCCTCTTTCCCTCAACTCTGGCTCTCACCCTATTCCACCAAGTAGGTTAATTGGGAGGTGATCCCAAGAAGGACTACTTAGGGTAGTAGGGAAGTGGATCAGAAAAGGAAGGAGCAAATGTGGCCAATACAGGGTGCACTGATGAGCAGGTGTATGGCTGAGCAGCTCAGCTGAGACCGCTGGGCAATGGTGGGGAGCCAGCCTCAGAGTTATCACACCTGAGCGGTGAGAAGGCCGGGTTCCCTCCTCTTGGGGCCTAGAAGGATTAGCTCCTGGTGCTTCCCCTGCCCAAGCCTCTGTGAATCGTCCCTTCATCAAACTCTCTTCCATTACCCCCTTGAGCATGCCACCTCTTTACGGTCCTGACTCTCATAGCAAGAGCCAATAATGTTTTTCCACATTATTCCATCTGAATAACCAGATGTGGCAGACGCTGAGCCCCACTGCACCCTATCACTCACTGTTCTTGTACATGGCCAGGGGCCAGGGCTTCTTCAGACACCCAGCGCTCTCTGCCTGTGTGTTCTCTCCAGCTGGCAACTCCTTCTTGCCCTCACACAGGGCAGGCCACAGTGATGGGGAATACATGCCCCTGAGAGCAGCCTCCAAACAATGGCTCCTCCACCCTTGAGTAGGATGTCTCTGAAGCATGTCTTACAGTTTTCCAGCAATCTGAGCCGAGGTGCTCACAGCAGCAACCTACTGATCAATGCACCCTGTATCAGCTGCCTTCTTTTTCCTGACCCATTTCCCCTCACTCCCCCAGTAGCTCTTCGGATCATCTCCCAATGAACCTACTTGCACTCGAATCTTTGTCTCAGAATCGCTTCTGTGGGAACTCAACCTCAGATACCAGGTAATTGTATCTTGACCTGTGACATAACTGAGTGCCTCATCTATCCAGGCCACTTACAAGGCACCATGGACTAAACTCTCTAATTCTTTAGCAAGGTTTGCAAGACCCTGTATGATCAGGCCTCTTCTCCCCATCCAGCTTGACCCTTCTCTGGTCCTATCTTTGCCACATTCTTGCTTGACCTTCATATAGCAGCCACAGTCAGTTCATTGCAGTTCTCGGGACACATTCTGACCCTCCAACTGCTTGCCCTGCGCCATGCTGTTCTCCGTGCCAACAGCATCCTTCACCCACCATTCATTAGCCCACCTCCCACTTGTCCTTGAAGATTCAGCCTTCCCTGACCACACCCTATGAGCACACACCAAGTCTGGGTCGCACGTCCCTCTTCTGTGCTATCAAGCCATTCTGTTCTGATGCTGCCTATTTTCTCCCACTAGACAGTAAGTTCCAGAATGCAGGAACTCTATCTTCAAATCCCAAGCCTAGCACCATACTACATGGGGTAGGTTTTTAACTAAATTCTTGATGAATTAATTTTTTTGAAGTAAGTGAGTAGTGTAAATTAATTCCACCACTGTGGAAGACAGTGTGGCAATCCCTCAAAGATCTAAAACCAGAAATACCATTTGACCAAGCAATCCCATTACTGGGTATATACCCAAAGGATTATAAATCATTCTACTATAAAGACACATGCACACATACGTTTATTGCAGCACTATTTACAATAGCAAAGACTTGGAACCAACCCAAATGACCACCAACAATAGACTGGATAAAGAAAAGGTTACACATATACATCATGGAATACTATGCAGCCATAAAAAAGAATGAGTTCTTGTCCTTTGCAGGGACATGGATGAAGCTGGAAGCCATCATTCTCTGCAAACTAACACAGGAACAGAAAACCAAACACTGCATGTTCTCACTCATAAGCAGGAGCTGAACAATGAGAAGATATGGACGAAGGGAGGGGGACATCACACAATGGGGCCTGTCGTGGAGTGCTGGGTGTTGTGGGTGCCAGAGTGGAGAGAAGGCAGCAGTTACTGACTCGTGAAAGAAGTGAGCATTGACTTTGAAGGTCATGAAGGACGATATAAGTGAGCAGTGGAATTGGAGGTGACGAGGAGCATGGAGAAGAGTAGTCCAGAGATAGTGTTACCAGAAATCGGTCCCGATCCAGACCCCTAGAGAGGGTTCTTGGATCTCATGCAAGAAAGCATTCAAGGTGAATCTATGAAGTGAAAGCAAGTTTAATATGAAAGTGAAGGAATAAAGAATGGCTACTCCATAGGCAGAGCAGCCCCGAGGGCTGCTGGTTGCCCATTTTTGTGGTTAATTCTTGATGATATGCTAAACAAGGAGTGGGTTATTCATGTGTCCCATTTTTAGACCATATGAGGTAACTTCCTGACATTGCCATGGCATTTGTAAACTGTCATGCACTGGTGGGCGTGTAGCAGTGAGGACAACCAGAGGTCACTCTTGTTGCCATCTTGGTTTTGGTGGGTTTTGGCCGGCTTCTTTACTGCAACCTGTGTTATCAGCAAGGCCTTTTTGACCTGTATCTTGTGCCAACCTCCTAACTCATCCTGTGACTTCGAATGCCTTAAGCATCTGGGAATGCAGCCCAGTAGGTCTCAGCCTTATTTTACCCAGCTCCTATTCAAGATAGAGTTGCTCTAGTTCAAATGCCTCTAATGCTTCAGAGCCCTGAGCACAAATGTCCTGAGGAAGGACATTTCTGAATCAACCTGGGAAATGAGGAATGATCTGGGCCAGCAGGAACACAGGGACCTAGCAGAGCCTTGGGAGGCAGCGAGGAAGATGTGAATGGGGGTGCTTCCTCTAGCCACCTAGACTTGGTCCCAAGGCACATGACTTTGCTCATTGTTTAATAGATGGACCCTCCCCCAGCACTGCCATCTTTCCTTCCTTCCTCAGCTTCCTCTGTTAGTGGGTGAGGCTTCCTGTTAAGTCGTTCTGAGAACTGCAGTTTTCAGAGCTTTGGAGACCAGGAATGCCTGCCAACGCAATTACCATGAACGATCCCCACGGAATTCCAAGAAACAATTCCTCACACTGCTCACCTGGGCATTCCGGAGAGCACCAACCCTTCAGATGGATGGAGCCCCAGAGAGGTTCTCTTCACTTTCAGGGACCCACCCTTTATTAACATAGCAGTCAATGCCACACAGGAAAAGGAGTGTGCAACTCTGCTTTTAGTCAACAAAGCCACATTGTAACTACCAGTGTGCTTACTATTTAGAGGAATGCTGCTATGAATCATTTCCAGGACAAATCCTCTTTTTGCAAACTAAATTGCCATCCTCTTTTATCTTTTAATTAATAATATTTAAAGCTATATAAGGTAAATTACCCATTTTTCTGGTATTCAAAAAAGGATATATATATAAAAAATACATATATACATATATAAATATACATATATGAATGTGTGTGTCTATATATGTATATATATGTATATATACAATTTGATAGTAAAAGAAAGACTATACAGGGACAACCAGCATTCATAATAATGACAATAAAATGCCATAAAATCCTAGAATATCAGGCCAGGTGTGTTGGCTCACATCTGTAGTCTTAGCACTTTGGGAGGCCCAAGGTGGGAGGATCCCTTGAATCCAGGAGTTTGAGACCAGCCTGGACAACATGATTAGGCCTCATCTCTAGAAAAACTTTTTAAAAATTAGCCAGGTGTGGTGGCTCATGTCTGTAGTTCAAGCTTCTTGGGAGGCTGAGGTGGGAGGATCATTTGAGCCCGGGAGGTTGAGGTTGCAGTGAACAGCCTCACTGCAGAGGCTCGCTGCAGAGACCTGAGATCACACAACTGCACTCCAGCCTGGGTGACAGAGAAAGACCCTGTCTTAAACAAACAAACGAAAAAAAAGAAAAGAAAAGAGGAATACTTGAATATCTTTTGAAAAATAGAAAACTGTTCAATAATCTCTTATCCCTCCTTCACAATTCCAAAATCCTAAAAATTCTGAAATCCAATTTTTAGGGGCAAGTTTAGCCCCAAAATTCATGTAATAGCAATCACTGACCTAAATTAATGAGAAGTTATTTATAGTTATTATTTAGCTCACTTACAGTACATAAATGCGAATGCGTTTTTTTATAAAGTGCTGTCTTAGACCCTGCTGGGGTGTGCTACATAATATATAGTTTATATCCATGGTGTTCTTCTTGGAATACAAAATATTACGAATTTTAGAACACATCTGGCCCACAGAGCTTCAGATAAGGTACTGTGGGCTGACCCTGTACAAATTATGTTTAACTGAATTTTGTGTTAGGTATTTTTCAGGGTTTTCCAGTTTTGTGGAAGCCAAAGTGCCAGCTCTTCCTTTTCACAGCCTCACTCCTTCCCCGCGCCTCTCCTGGATTCTACTCCATTGCCCAGGGAGGCAGCCCATGAGGATGGCCTCATGCCAGCAGGCTTCCCTGATGGCCAGTGGGAGGCTCTGGCTGAAGAACTGAGGGCCGGGAGAACGGTAAGCTGGGGTGTTTCCTCCCCACTTCAGTGCCTGTCACTGGCACCGCCTGTCTCCCTCCTCATGCCAGCTCCTGCCAAGCAGCCCGACTTCACACTCCAACACTCAGAGAGTGGAGAGCACCATCAGCTCTTAGAGGTAGTAACTGCTCCCCACTCTTGCAGGCCTCTGGGCACCTTGATCTTTGTTTGTTCTCGGTACCCAGCCCACACCTCGTAAGCAGCCCCTCCATTTGAGCCTCTCCATTTGAACCAGCAACACATCCAATAACAGATACATTGGTAGACCACGGTCCCTGTAGTGCCCTGTAAAACGCACTGATTTTAAATCAAGAGGCTTGAATTGAGGATGCAAGTCACTTTACTTTTCTGTTTTCCTATCTGTAAAAAGGAGCTAATAATTCCTATTTCAGAGTGTGCGGTGATAATAAACAAATTGATATATGTGAAAATGTCTAGGAAACTCTTAAGAAATGCAAGGAATTCAAGAGCTCTTGAGAAAGTAGAATATTTATTATTCTGATTGTCCCCCAACTCTTCTGGGTAAAAGGGTGTTTGCTTTATTTAAAGGTAAGTATAACAATGCCCTACTCTGAGATCAGACGTGGCTACAGATGACTAGAAAAGGAAGGTCCTCTCTTCTTTCCAGCTGTCCTTTGCTGCCTGTGCTTAATTTCTATCTGCCTTCTGTGAGTGCCTTGGGCAGAAGCACAGTGCTTTAGTCTTATACTGATCAATCTACTTTTCCTTTTCCATCCTCTGCCATTCTGGAATCATCTGGGGCTTCATCTTTATGTCCTTCCAAATCTTTAGCATTTTGTCCAGTGTTTTTATAGCTTTATCTGCTTTAGAATTTCATGCAGCCAGGCATGGTGGCACATGCCTATTATCCCAATGCTTTGGGAACCTGAGGTGGGCAGATCACTTGAGGCCAGGAGTTCAAGACCAGCCTGAGCAACATGGCAAGAGCCTCGTCTCTACAAAATTTCAGAAAGTTATCTGGATGTCGTGGCACGCGCCTGTTGTCCCAGCTATGTGGGAGGCTGAGGTGGGAGGATCACCGGGACCCAGGAAGTTGAGGCTGCAGTGAGCTATGATTGCACCACTGCACTCCAGCTTGGGTGACAGCGTGAGACCTTGTCTCAAAAAAAAAAAAAACCAAATAAATAAAGTCACATTCTTCCCTAGAGCATAAAGCAATAATTTTTAATAACAACTATATCACTCATTAAAATTATCTTCTCCTTCTCATCCCAACACTGTGTCAAACAGGAATCTGCTGTGGATGGCATTTGCCAATAAGAAATTGTGGCTTTGGCTTTAGAAAAATCCAGATCAACTTTTTGTGGCCAAAATTCACCAGAAATATATTTAACTCTCTCCTTTCCTTTAATCACAGAAGCTTGGCCCAAAATGCTGATCTTTCCTGGAGCTGGCCATTCTAGCATTACATGGGTGTTCCCCATAGAAGAGAACAATCAACAAGATTAAGTTACTCTTGAGTTCTTAATTGATTTTCCAGAACTTCCTCTTACTACCACAAAACACAGCTTTCTGAGCAATGCATTCAGTTGAGCCTAATCCTGTTGGGAACTTTAGTGAACAAGACACATTCTGGAAATAAACATGATTTCACATGTAAATAACTGATACTCTTGACCTCCCCAATAACCCTTACCAGGCTGGTGCCAAAACAGGTTCTGTGTTCATGTTACACACTCTGAGAATGGTTTAAATGCTCTTCCTCTCCAGAGTTTTGTTGTACAAAATATGTACTAGAAAAAAAGAGGCCATTCTGACAGGACTCGTCAGTGCCTTGACATGAAAAGATTTTGGTCAGGCTAATTACAGTAATTGTATTTAGTCATTCTGACTTGGTATAATTTCCTGTCTTGTCGGTAATGTATAGTTACACCTAAACAAAACAGAGTTAATCTCTTTTAAGTAAGAGATGGCATGGCTCCTTTGTAGTGTGCGTATTAACCTAAATGGGAAAGCCTACATAGGACTAGGTTCTAGTTCAGGAACACTCCTGCCTTGGAATACCCCCCGAGGGCCTGCAGAGCGAATGAATGCTCCCTGTGTGTGAGTTCCACAGAACTGAAGCACCATTCAGAGGAGTTCTCTCCACAGGCCTTGTATCAAGGGTCAGGAAACTTTTTTCTAAGGGCCAGGGAGCAACCCTATAAGGCTTTGTGAATCACGTGCCTTTGGTTATACCTCTCAACTGCCATTGTAGTTCAAAGGCAGTCACAGACACTAGGTAAGGAGAAGATGGGCATGGCTGTGTTCCAACAAAACTTTACCTATAAAAACAGGCTTTGGGCTAGATTTTACCCAGGGGCTTGTAGCTTGCCATCCCTCACTTTACTTTTTTTATGGAGCAATTGCTACATTACACCGCAATTATCTGTGATTTGCCTGTCTCCTCCACAAACCTACGAAGATTCTGCACTGTGAAATGTTTTCACAAAAGAAGTCCAATCATTGGGTAACCCATTGTAAAAATAACTGATTCTGGCAGAGGTTTTCAGTGGATAAGAAAACAAGTGGGAGAGTTTAATGAAAAACAGGATATTTGCATAATCCCCAAATATCACCCCACAACATGCATATAAATTCCAAAGGGGGAAAATCGTAAATTTACAGTGGAAAAACCTGGCAGAAATCCCGTCAATCAAATGATCAAAGTTAATATACCTGATAATGTGATAAACCAACACCAGGTACCTCTGTGGGATTCCTGCTAAAAATAAATAACTTGGATTCAATCATGAGAAAACATCAAACAAACCCAGGATGAGGGGCATTCTACATATTAAGTTGGTGCAAAAATAGCTGCAGTTTTTACCATGACTTTTCATGGCAAAAACCACAATTACTTTTGCACAAACCTAATACATGTCAATATCATGAAAGACAAAGAATGAGGAACTGTTCCAGATTAAAGAATGGAAAAAAAGCTGGGTGTACTACATTTTAGTAGTATAAAAGTGGTGCCTGCCTGTTCAAAAATATTCCAATCATATGAAATTTTTTTAAAGTTAAAAATAAAAATCCCCACTCTCTGAGACAAAACCGCTGAAAATAACTTGAATTTTGGGCTTCTAGATTCTACGTGCTTCTGGGTCCCTCACTATGCTACTTTAGTAGGAGCAGAGCGATGTACTATCAGGCATTTTAACAAGTTCACCGGCTGATGCTTATGCTCTTTACTCTAAAGCTTGAGAGACCTCTTGTCTTTGACCTTTCTGTTAACACAAATTGTGTGTGTATGCATATAGTTTTGCACATACACTCTTGTAGAAATTAAACTCATACCCACATGCCTAAATGGAATCCACAACCAAACTGAATGCTGCCTGGCTATCTTGACTCAATGATCAGTCATTGATACCCCCTCTCCCGCACCCCGCCGGCAGCTTAGGCAGCAACAGCTCATACTTTTACACAGCTGTTTAATATTCCCCAGAAGGGATCAACAAACGTCCTTTAACCAACCCCCACTAATAGGCATTAGTGTTGTTTTCAGTTATTTAGAGCTGGTTTTGGATCCCACCTTGCCCACTTGGTAGTTGCGTGCCCTTGGAGGAGCTGTTCAACTTTTTTTACAACTCACTTTTTTCCTGCATCTGTGAAGCTAGGCAGTCTCCCCCAGGTTGCTGTGGGGTTTGGAAGTGTTTAGCTGAGGGAAAGTGCACAACATGGTGCCCAGCACAGAATCAATCAGGGATTCAATAACAGCTGAATTTCACTCATTTTCTGACTGGTCTCATACTTTGTTTAGGGTCTAAAATATGGTATTCTAGGCTGGGCATGGTGGCATACACTTGTAATCCCAGCACTTTGGGAGGCTGAGGTGGGCGGATCACCTGAGGTCAGGAGGTCAAGACCAGCCTGGCCAACATGGTGAAACCCCGTCTCAACTAAAAATACAAAAATTAGCCGGGCGTGGTGGTGCGTGCCTATAATCCCAGCCACTTGAAAGGCTGAGACAGGAGAATCTCTTGAACCCAGGAGGCAGAGGTTGCAGTGAGCCAAGATCATGCCACTGCACTCCAGCCTGGGTAACAAGAGTGGAAACTCCATTTAAAAAAAAAAAAAATATATATATATATATATATATGAATAGTATTCTAAGACAAAGTCCCAGTTCTCCAGCTGGGATACTGTGGGGGTGTGGTTTGAAGTCCAGGCACCTGCCATGTGAATGGGGCTCTGCTTTTTGTAGTGCCAACTCTGGGCCACTGTGTGTACTGCCACAACACAAAAAAACAAGTTCAAAGCTGCTTTGGAGAACACATCTTCAAACGGTGTTGGAATTTTTTCTTTCAATTTTTATTTTTATTTACTTGTTTATTTATTTTTGAGACAGGGTCTTGCTCTGTTGTCCAGGCTGGAGTGCAGTGGCACAATCAGTGCTCACCGTAGCCTTGTCCTGCTGGGCTCAAATGATTCTCCTTCCTCAGCCTCCTGAATAGCTGAAACTACAGGCATGCACCACCATGCCTGGCTAATTTTTTGTATTTTTTGTAGAGATGGGGGTGGGAGTTGCCAGGGAGAAGGGAAGGTCTCACCATGTTGCCCAAGCTGGTCTCGAACTCCTGGGCTCAAACAGTCCGCCTGCCTTGGCCTCCCAAAGTGCTGGGATTACAGATGTGAGCCACCGCGGCTGGCCTCAATGTAAAATTTTGACATAATTTCAGACATATAAAAGATGCAAGAAGAGTACAGATTCTTTACTCGTATTCCCCAAATGTTAACATTTACCACACTTATTTTATATCTACACACACAAACACACATTTTTGTCCTGAACCTTTTTAGAGTCAGTTGTGGCTACAATGACGAACTCTTCTCAGTTTGTCTGGGACTTTCCTGATTTTAACATTGAAAGTACTGCATCTAGGACCCCCAGAAGTCTTGGGCAAACCAAGTCAATTGGTCACCTTAGTTGCCCAGGTACCCGTAAATACTTCAGTGTGTGTGTACTAAAATCAAGGACATAACCACTGTATAATTATCAAAATCTGGAAATTAGCTGTTCTGGAAAAATGCATCCTTCCTAATGTCAGGTGCAAGGTAAAGCCCAGGGCTTAGCTTATTTGTGCAAACACTGTCTATGCTTCTGGAAACAATGGTTGTGGTATCCCCAAAGAAGTGGATGCCAGGGAGACCGACACTCAACAGGCAAAGGCAGGTAGTGACTTCCTGGGGCAGCCGCTGGAAGCAAAGACAAAAGAAATCCCCAGCGACTAACTGGTTCCTAAAACAAAAGAGTAGCTGACCTTTTCTTTTTCCCTTTTGTGTTTGTGAGCAGCTTGCTTTCACCTGGGGTGTCTGTTTCCTCTCCCAGGGCAGTGGCCCCTGAAGTTTGGGCACCAGTGGGGTGTGAGCTATCAAGGTAGTGAAGGTAGGACGTCCCCTGGTGGGAATGACTGCTGGGCATCTGCCAGTGTTCCTGTGCTCCTGGAGTCCTGCTTCAGCTCTGGGGTGGTTTTGCATCTGTTTCCCCTCAACAGAGAGGGGAATGGTGGAGAGAGGAGGGAAGCATCCACATGGACACAAGAAAGAATTGATGGTCTAAATGGATCCAGCATCTTGTCATTTCTCATCATCTCTACCACATATACCCTGGTCCAAGCTGCCACTGACTCTCTCCCAGATGATGGCAACAGCCACAGTCATCATCATGGCAAAAGCTATGGCTTCCCTGCCTCTGCTCTTGTCACCTTTAGTCTGTGCTCAACATTGTGACCACAGTAATCTTGTTAACCTTGAAATCAGATCATGTCACACTTCTGCCTCCAGGGGCTTCCCATCTCACTCAGAGTAAATTTCAAACTCCTTACTGTGGCTCATGAGGCCCTACCCAGTATGGCTCTCAGACACCTTTCTGACTTTATCAAATACTAGTCTCAGCCCTGGTCACCCATCTACAACTGCCCTTGCCTCTTGCTATTCCTCAAGCTACTCAAATATCTCATGACTCAGAGCCACCGTGCTTTCCCTTCCCTTGACCTGGAATGCTCGTCCCTCAGATATCAACATGACTTTCTTACTCACCAATTTCGGTCCTTTTCTCAAATAACCCCTTCTCAGTGAGGCCTTCCCATTCCTACTCTAAAATTGCAAACTTCAACATTTTTCTCTCTGCTTTGCTTTTTAATGGACAATAATTACATATAATTGTGGGGTACAATGTGATGCTTTGATCTATGTGTACATTGTAGAAAGATTCATTCAAGCTAATTGACATATCCGTTATCTTAGTAACTTACTTTTTGGAGGATGAGAACATTAAAAATCTATGCTTTTAGCAATTATGAAATATGTGATACATTGTTATTCACTATGGTTACCATGCAGTACAAGAGATCACTAAAACTTATTCTTGCAGTCTGAAACTTTGTACTGTTTGTTCAACATCTTTTCTTCCCCATCTCTTCCCTTCTCCACCTGCCCACCCCTATCCTCCAACCTGGACCCTAGCTTTTGGCATCTTTCTACTCTATTTTTATGAGATTGACTTTTCTAGAGTCCACATGTAAGTTGAGATCATACAGTATTAGCCTTTCTGTGCCTGACTTATTTCGACCAAGCATAACATCCTCCAGTTCCATCATGTTGTTGTGAATGGCAGAGTTTCCTTCTTTTTAAAGGCTGTATAGTATTCCATTGTACATAAATACCACATTTTAAAAATCTATTTATCCATTGATGGGCACTGAGGCTCTTGTGAATCATGCTGAAATGAATGTGGTAGTGCAGATATCTCTTTGACATACCAATTTCAATTCTTTTGGATATATGCACAGAAGTGGGATTGCTGGATCATATGCTAATTCTATATGTAGTTTTTTTGAGGAACCTCCATGCTGCTTTCCAAAATGGTGGTACTAATTTCCCTCTCTCTGTTTACTTTTCACCATAGCACCTACTCCATAAAATATATTATATGTTTAACTCATTTGGTGATCATCTTTACCCCCATTAGACTGTAAGCTTCATCAGTACAGGGATTTGTTTTCACAGCTGTCTTCTCAGTGCCCAGAACATCACCTGGAATACAGTGGGCATATAAAAATATCTGTTGACTGGCTACCAAATGAATGGTATTCACTCGACTCAGCTTTCTGTATCCCTCTGGCCCCTACACTGCATTTAGTGTAGGGATGCATGGGTGCCAATATGGCGCCTGGAAGAAAGGACGTTTGCAATCAAGCATGCACATGAAGAGCAGTTAGCAGTTCCAGACTGTATGAAAGCTTCTCGTGTCCTTGCCACACTTTCTTTTGAGGGTCTCACCCCACATCTTAGCAAAGATATTTAAATGCTCCTCCCTTCCCCATGAAACAGAATTTTGGCTGAGATTTTTTCAAAGGAGTATCATAGTTTTGTCTTTGAAATCATTTGGCAAGGAACAACTCATTGAATTTTCAGTTGGCTCTGATTCTCTGCAGTCATCATGCACACTTGAAGTAAAACAAAATCTACCATTAACATTGTTTTCAAATGTAATGAAATTTTTCTAAATAATTCAACAGTTGATCACATAAGTGTAATTCTGTGCTTTGTGGGCATTCATGTAAACAGGTATTTATTTTAACAGGTTTTGTAGTACTCCTTGTGTGTTTGAGGCAGTAATTATTTTCCTTTGGGATTTAGCCATGTTTCTGGGCTCTTGAAATCTCACAGGACCTAGATCTTGGACCTGGAAAATTAGGCAGATAAAATAGTCCTGCAAGAATGAGAGACTGGAGAAAGGTCTCCCTGCACTTGCCTGCGAATGCAGGTCCTGGCCCAGTGGTTCAATGGTGGGGCTGTCCTGTAACTGTGCCAGGGAGTCAGAAGCCATGGCGGGGCTCACCGTGGTCATGCTGGAAGTCCCTGTCCCTGTCTGCTCATCACACACAGGTCAGCAGGTACCCGTTCTTTATGTGTGGCAGACCTCTGGTGGCCAGGCGGACCACTTTTCTCCACGGCCCTTCTCTCTCCACTTCCACCTGCATGCTCTCCTGAGCCCTGGTGGCAGAAATGTTTTCCTTGACATTTTATGACACTTTGGCAGAATTCTGTTGACTCATCTAAGACAAGATGGGGAATTGTTCTGCAGCAGTCGCCACATGGGGAAACAGATCACTTAGTCACATCATCTGCCAAGCCCCGCTGTTGCCTGTGCAAAGCATTTCTAATCACGGAAACTTGAAAGCTGTCCCTCATTTGTGATGACATTAGCCATGGTGATTTTTTACCCCTGTCTTAAGCTGTCAGTCGCTGGGGTTTTCTTGTTACTCTCTCTGGCAGAGACACATTTATTTATCACACAAAAGCCTGGCTCTGAAGGGATTTGTGCAAACTTCCTTCTGGAGATGAAAAGAAAACATCTCCTTCCTGGCCTGTGCCATCTACTGAAAAGCTTTCCAAGCCAAATGTGAGTGACTGTCCTAGTGGACAGATGTCACCCAGAGCAGGCCTGAATCATTTTGTTTGTTTTTCTTGCTAACCCAACACGACTTTGAACCCACTTCATTAATAAGAGAGACAGGAGCACGAAACCCTTTTTACTTCCTGCTTTCTTCCCAGTGTGCTGACATTTCCAAGCCCCATATGTTTCCCTAAATAAAGTTCCATGGAAATATATATTTTTTTGAAAAATCCTGTTTTTGGGTTATTACAGCCCAAGAGGAAAAAAGGCTGCCAGTGGACTATGTAGGGCCCTTTACGTAATGCTATGATTGTTTCGACCCCTCTTGATAACAGCAGGCTCGTTTAAATGGTTAACGTTGAGATGCGGTTGAAGACCTGTAATAAATGTATACTTCTTCATTTAGGCAAGTACATTAGCTACAGTCAATCTGCAACAGCGGGGAAGCACTAAGCCACAAACAGGAAATAGTTTGAATAAATATTTCCCATTCTAAAATGAATGACTAGATAGAGTTTAAAACATGTCAGACTCTTGTAGAGACATGATAGACATTTGCTGGTTACCTCTCCAGCAGGGATCCAGTCCCACCCTTCCCCACCTTGATTTTC